>NC_000013.11:108978417-111703855 GCF_000001405.40 Homo sapiens
TAGTGTTTTCAATCATGGATGGATACAAATATTTTCTAATGGTTTTCTTTCTTTATTAGGAAGATCATAGCAATTTCCTTCTTTCCTTTGCTCTTGTGAGACATTGCATTGATGTTTATTTTTTGATGTTGAATCATTCTTCATTTATACTGCAAACCCTGTTTGCTCATGATATACTAGATTCTGTTTTCTAGTCTTTATTTATGTTCGCATTTATTTTCATTAGTGAGATGAGATTCTTTTGTTTTTGTCTTATACAATCTGTTGCTATCAAATTTACATTAAAAGTAGGTTGGGTAGCTTTCTCTTTTCTTCCTCTGTTTTTTCTCTCCAAAACAGTTTGTACTAAATGAAGATCATATACTCCTTTAATGTCTGGTGAAATCGCCCTAAAATCTTCTGAGCATTTGAAAGGAGAGTTGGCTTTTGGATACTGATTATTTTAAAATGTATATTATAGATTCAGATTATTTTCTTTCTTTTTTGACTCACATATATTTTCTGGAATTTCATCCACTTTGATATTTTTAATTTATTCACCAGCTAAATCATAGCTAGCTTTGTTTAGTAATCTTTTAATCTCTATTTCAACTGTAGTTTGACATTTACATTCCTGATACTGTTTCTTTATGCATTGTCCCCAAGATCATTGATAATTATTGCTCAAGAATCTGCCTATGCAAATTATTTTCAAGAATCATATTTTCATTTAGTCACTTTCACATTTATATTATTTTAATTAATTTCTGAAGTTTCAAAAATATATTTTCTGTAGTTTTATTATATCCTTCTTTTTCCTTTCTTTGAATTTTGACTTTTTGGGTGATTTTTTTTTCCTGAATTCATGAGCTGAATATTTGTTTCATAGTTTCCAATGATGTTTTTTCCTGAGTCTATAAAGTATCATCTCCTAAATACCTCTTAGTATATTCCAGAAGTTTTATCTGTAGTGCTTCCTTTGTTGTTTAGTTCTAAATATTTTGTCTTTATGTTCTTTCAGAGATAAAATAACAAGCAGTTTGTCAGAAAAATAAATTTGACACACCATGTTTTTCCCTTCTTCATCCAAACTGGGGATTTTTTTACCATTAAATAATGAGATTTCTTTGATTCTTATGAATATAGTATGAGTGACTTCTATTTCTGTGTAGACTTATTTAAATCATGTTGCTTATTACCATGACAACCCAAACTACACAATTTAGCAAATATCGGAGACAAACCTGCTTTCTAAATAATCCCCCTTCTGCTCCATTTCCTTACCAAAATACCCATATGTATAATGATTTCCTCAAGAGCTAAAAACCTTTTCTCTGCAATTGTGCATTTGTTTTTTCATTACTTTGTGAGACCATTTTTATTTTCAAAAAGAAGAATATAGAGGAACAAAAAAGTATTGGGGTTTTACCAAAGTATCATACAGATTATAATACTTAAAAATAACTTTAAATTATCAGATAATAAATACAACATAATAGTTAAAATTTTGCCACTCATTATTTTTAAAAAAGTATGCTATAGACAAAATAGTGGTTAAATTTAAATATTAATCATGATATCTATGATAAATTGCTTCAACAATAGTGTAGCTTATTGACCCAATAAAGAACTATGTATTTTGCCTTAAGTACATGTTTTCAGGAGATGGAGAGGAAAATAGATTTATCAGATCTAGGAGAATATGTCATTTTTTATATTAAACATTAGTGTTTTCTTTCTGTTAATGACTAATATGTTATTACAAATATTGAGAGCCACATAGTTTTAATAATAAAATGTATACGAAATGCAATGATTTAAAAGGCCAAAAAATCCATTTAGCATTTTGTTTTGCTAGCTCTTTCTTGAGCCAAGAGTGCAGAGGCTAAAGCTTGTATATTTTATATAAAGGAAAAAATTCATTGCACTGTTAGCTATTCCTGCTCTTGTTTCATTTCTAACTGGGGAAATGCATTTGGCCTCTTTTCAACCCCTGTTAACTGTCCTGCTCAATAGAGTTAGCCGAATCTTTGTTTATTATGCTCTCTGTGCCTGTCATTTGAGCATAGTGGCAGTTCTGCCAGAATAAATAACACTGCAGTGCCGTACAGAAAGGAGAGCAGAATGTCCCTTTTTGGCTCTCCATGACCCTGTCTGTCCCCGAAAAAAACACCAGGAAGGAAATGTCAGTACCACTAGTTAAATATCGTTTGCCTTTTTCGAATGTAATTTTCTAATTGAGGAGGATGTGCTTTGCAACAAAGGACATTTTCAGTTTTTGTCAGCCTCAAACTTTGAACTATTCTCTCTTCACATACTGTCTAGTGGAAAATACATTTTCCAAGCCTGGCATCTTTATGTGTGGAGGTGTGAGAAGTTGTGAAGCTACGATTATTGTGGTTATTATTTTTTGAATATTACCTGTAAATGAGATAGTCTTGGAGCTGCTGATTATTACAGTTTACATTGACATTAGCTATGAGGTTGGCATTCTTGTCTCCCTTTTACAGATAAAGAAAATGGAACTCAGAGAGATTAAGTACATGGCCCAAATCACACAGCCAGAAAATGATGGGCTAGGGATATGAACCCCAGTATGCCAGACTTAAAAGCCTGAGTTTTTGCAAAAATGCCTCCCATGTTGATGACCATCAAAATAGTGATAAAAAAGATTAGTTTTAAAGCTCAAATGTTTTCTAAATAACCCTTTAAAATATAGGTAATTTCTTTATTTCAAATGAAATTGTTTTGAAAGTTAAATTTATGTGAATATGGACATGCCCCGCAGGCGAGGTTATCCTGTATTCCTTTCTCTCTGGATCTCCAGCATGCAGCACAGTGCTTTCCCAATCAAGGTGCTCAATATGCATTTATTGAAATGATAAATGAACTCATACAATAGTTAAATAAAGCCTAGCTTAAATGCCATCATCAAGAGAAGTGTCATGTGGTAAACTGCAAAAAAGTGATCCCAATTTTTATTAGTCTGTGCATCCATGCCATGTACAATATAAGTTTGATGCTTCTCTTATAAGAGGTTAATTCTTTTTCCTTTCCCTTTGAATTCGAGCTGGCCTTGTGACTTGCTTTAGCCAACAGAATACAACTGCAATGATGGTGTGCCAATTCCGAAGCCTTGCCTGATTCTGCTTCCTCTGACCCCTGTCACTGCCATGTGAATAAGGCCAGGCTGGCCTGCTGGAAGATGAGACAGACACTCGTGTTGCTCCAGCCTTCAGCTGGCCAATTGCGGGGCCGCTGGGTTAGGTCATCCTGAACCTGCTAATGTCTGCCAGGCGGCCCAAGGTGACACACACGATTATGAACAATAATAACTACTTACTGTTTTAAGTCACTGAGTTTTGTGGTGCTTGGTTATCTAGAAACATTGACTTGCTACAAGTCTCTAATTCAATGTTCATAGCTGTTACTTGGAACCACACATTTTTTGTATGTACATTTGAAGGTCATTATTGAAAAGACAGCTCTCCATTTTATGAGTGATTTGGGAGATTCTGAGATTATCTGCCTTCCCAGTGTTTTCAGACTCTTTGGTCTGTCATCTTCTGGGCCATTAAAATCCCAAACCTTCAGGTAATGAAGACTGTTGGTTTTTAGTACTTGTACTAGATTGCAGAAAGATCCAGAAGTGCTTTGTAAAATACTTAGTAGCCAGAAGCCCCTGGAGGAAATGAAATAAGGAGATGGAGATAGAAGGATACAAAGTAGCAAATATGTATGATGAACAAGTGAAAGGACTAATATAGGACATGAGGACTATGGTTAATACCAGCGTGTTGTATTCAGGAATTTTGCTCAATGAGTAGATTATACCTGCTCTTGCCATGAGGCAGGGGCGTGGCTAACTATGTGTGGTGATGGACATGTTAATTACTTTCACTCTAATAACCATTTACTATATATGTGTATCTCATAGCATCATATTATCTACTTTAACATACACTTTATTTTTACTTTAACATACAACTTATTTTTTAAAAAACCCAAATAAAAAATAAAAAAGGAGCGTTTGGGCTGGAAGATAATTAAGGGAGAAAAGGAACTGTACTAATAAAAGCATAATAAGTTAAAAAAAAGTAAACAGCACTTTTACTGTAGCCCTTAGCTACTGGGTTGAAATGGCATGCAGCTTTCAAATTTTGTCTACATGCATATACAGTAATTTTATCTTTTAATTGGGTTTTAATTTTTTAAAGGGTAATAGGAAGCAAAAGATCTGGATTCCTATTCTGAGCCTACTACTTAACATTAATGAAATCTTTAGTTAAACATTTATGTCTTGTGAATCTTAATTTTCTTCATCCCTAAAATTGTGATAATCATATCCCATCTGCCTACAGATGGAGGTTTAGCCTACATATCTCTTTGGCTTGTTTTTGATCTTAAGACCTATGAGTCTATAATTCCTAGTTAGGATAAGTTTGAAATTGTCAGTAACACTCAAATATCCTATGCTCTTAAAATACATTTTGGATACATCAGACCAATCCATACATTATAGCACTCCAAGACACCGTCAGTTTTCTGATTGGGATGGCTAAAATTGGAATGATTTAGTGCCACACTTTCTTTCATTTTTAATTAAGAAAAAAAAACCTTTTCAATTGATATCCGTCTCCCGACTGCCAGTAATATTTGAACATTTTATTGATAATATGTGTGAGCTCTAAGGCCAAAGACTAAATCAAAACAAGAAAGGTAGATTGTAATTCTCTAATTGGTTTGAAGTACAAAATAAATATACCATGCAAAGTAAAATCAAAATTATATTTCTGGAAACAAATACCATCTGTACCATTGATTTCATCTCTCCATTCTCCTCTTTCTCTCTCCTGTCTTCCTCCTTCTCTCTTACCAATGCATTTCTCCATCTGAATCTCACGTGAGAACCGTGGGAGGAAGAAAGTGATCAGCCCCAGGACAGTGTTTCCCAGAGAACATTCTGTGGGATATTCATCCAAGATTTCCGTGAAACAAATTTTAAAATTCAAGAAAGGGAGTGCCTGTTGTCCAAAAAAGAGTTGCACATTCTCTTGAAACAGCACAAAGTCCAATGGACTGAAAAGCTTTGAACGTAAGATAAAGAGTAGCCAGGTTTGGTTGGCCATAGAACTGAGGACACACTTGAAAAACTCTTCAATAGCCTATTTAAAAATATTTAGGAACATTGGAGCCCAAAATGCTATGTGCCTTCGGAGACTGCTGCTTTCTGTGAGCGGAAGCAGGCAAGCAATTCAATGTTAATAAAAGTGAAGATGACCTCTCCCAGCTTGTTGCTCTCCAAATAGACTAAACGCTGCCTGAGGAATAGGTTCCATGCCTTCCATTCTTAATTGTTAAGACTGAAGGGCATGGTGAGGCTTTACAGGACTTTCTAATTGACAGGTTGAAATTGTGAGGAAGTGCCCACAGTCTTCTCCTTCCATTTGCAAAACAGTTATGTTGAGTCCTCCCTCACCTCTCATTAGTAAAAGTTGACCCAACTACCTATAGCACTCCTACTATACTGATCTAACATCAGGAAAAGGCAAAATAGAATTTATCAGCCTGGAAAGGTTTTCATCCCTGAGAAGAACTAGTTATTCTGTGAATGCTTCTAAAATATTCACAGAGCTCAATAAGCCACCCTTAAGGCTCAGCCAGCAGCTGTACAAAGTCTTCACTCTGCTCTATCACAAAACTTTCTTTCTGCAAATGGATTCTCACTACTTTCTGCCATAATGAATGACCTCTGAATTGGCCTTCCTCAACCCAAATTATGCTAAAAATGCATCCAATTCCATGGGTCCTGAGGTCTTAGGAGAACTGGTAGGACCACTATTAATGGGTGAATTTTGAAGCCTGCAAATCAGAAGATCACTCTTAGAAATCCTCATACCCATGACCTGGATTAGCTTGCCTCTCCCAGTGCATCGACCTTAACAAGCCCAAGTCCCAGAGAAGCACTAGAACTCCATGGAGAGCCTGGATTCCTGCCTTTCCTGCAGTCACCATCCGCATACATTTGCCGTGGCTTTCTCTTGCAGGGTAGCATGTGCCTGCTAGAACTTGTTCATTCATTCACACAAGGGATTCAGACATAGGGAAAACTCTCTTTTCAGTGGTTGGTAATCATACCTTTTCTTTGACAATCACAGAAATCTTCCACCCCACCTATCCAGATTAGTCCTGCTGGGGTCCCAACTTTGTCTCTGTCATCCTGAATTGCTGGCCTCTAAACCAGACCCATGTACTTGGGTTTCGTGCTTTTTGAGTTTCCTTACAATTTTCCTGAGCACTCCTTGACAGACCTTGGTCATATCCTCTGACTCACCATCTTCTCTGTGACCCTCAGGTTTGTCAAAAACCAACACATAAACTTCAAATACACCTCACGGCTCAGTCTCCTTTCAAGCCTATCCTTATGTTAATGTGCGTGGATCCTTTTGTGGCATGAGATCTCTTAAAGATCACTGGGCTAACTTGATTCCGAGTCCTGAATCCTGATGCTGAACCTTGTCCCACAGTCATCTACAAACTGACACAGACAGACAGTAAGGAAAGAAGTCTCTTATTGATATAATACTGACATTAATATTTCCTTGAAAAGACAAATAAGCTGCAGATTTCCTGCATCTTCATATAAGTTTTCATTTTGACTTCACCTTTCTACCAAAAGTTGTTCAAATACAATGATACAGACTCATTTTTTTAAAAGAATGTAGATATAACCACTCTGTGTTATTGTATGGGATGCAGAATAATAGAGTTGGTCACTGACTTTGAGATAGCAAGTACAAACCACACGTAGTGGACAGCTGAGTTGACTTCACGTGCTGCTGTTGTTTGGGTTTTTTAAAGCTTTTATTCATGCTGTGTTTCTTTAATTGACGTGCATGGTCAGGAAATCCATCCCTCCTTGACAACATACATCAGCAGCAAGCAGCCTCCCTCTAGTTTGTCTCGCTGACTCACATCCACATAATTGGTTGAACACAAGGAAGTATTTATCGTTTTTGTGGGAAGGAGTAAAGTCATTATACTGAAGATACCCCCAAGAAGTGGACCTCCGCTTTGACAGCGTAGCATGTAGCTGACGTGTCAGCAGACGTGGGAGGAGACCAGATATAACTCTTAACGATCAGTGAAAACACTAGTGGGAAAAATACGGCGGTCAGTGTATTTAACTTCATGAAGAATGTATTTTCAGTTCTTCCTGAAGTTCTGGGCCACTCAAACATCTTGCTGGTAATTTGCTTCCTTGCTGATATCTTTCTACTGATAGATGATGCTTGAGCTTCTTGTAGTAGCCAGAGCCAACCGTAATAATTTCACTATTCTAACATCGTGTTTGATTTGGCATTGCCAAAATGAATCTGCATTTAAGTGCTTCTCATTTAACAAATATTTATCTAATAATCTATCACAGTGCATAGTTGTGATCCAAGTGAGCATACATTTTGTTTGTTTGTTTTCTACTGTTTTATTGACGTATGTATTAGTCTGTTTTCACGCTGCTGATAAAGACATACCCGAGACTGGGTAATTTATTAAGAAAAAGAGGTTTAATGGACTCACAGTTCCACATGGCTAGGGAGGCCTCACAATCATGGCAGAAGGCGAAGGAGGAGCAGAGGCACATCTTACATGGCAGCAGGCAAGAGAGCGTGTGCAAAAGGAACCACCTTTTATAAAACCATCAGATCTCGTGAGACTTATTCACTATCATGAGATTATCGTGAGAAAAATCTGTCCCCATGATTCGATTACCTCCCAAGGGGTCCTTCCCATGACACATGGGGATTATGGGAGCTACAGTTCAAGATGAGATTTGGGTGGGAACACAGCCAAACCATATCAAGGTAGAACATAGCTACAGTGCACGTTATGTGTAAAGTTCAGTATATTTTTATACATGTAATCTCCATAAAGACTAAGATGTAGTCTGGGCATGGTGGCTCATGGCTGTAATCCCAGCACTTAAGGGAGGCTGAGGTGGATGGATCACCTGAGGTCAGGAGTTTGAGACCAGCCTGGCCAACATGGAGAAACTCTGTCTCTACTAAAAAAACAAAATTAGCTGTGTGTGGTGGCACATGCTTTTAATCCCAGCTACTCAGGAGGCTGAGGCAGGAAAATCACTTGAACCCGGGAGGCGGAGGTTGTGGTGAGCCGAGATGGTGCTATTGCACTCCAGCCTGGGCAACAAGAGCGAAACTCCGTCTCAAAAAAAAAAAAAAAAAAAAAAAAGATAGTATTCAGGCTTTTAAAGTCTGAGTGTGGCTTTCACTAATATGAAGGATATAATTGATCTGTTATTATGTATACTCTTCTCACTACTACAGTTATTGATGAACTGCTCACTTTCTTATCTCAAATGCAGACAGTGCCCTTTTTGGTTTCTGAGGAGAACAGAATTAGACTCGGGTGTAAGACCACCAATTGGAAATAGTTTTCTGCAGAGCTTCATAGAACTTACAGACACAGGCCCTACAGCTAGATGGCCAAGTTCAAATGCTTGGTCTATCTAATACTCATCTGTGTTTGGGGGCAGCTTACTTCACCATTCTGTATCTCAGTATTCCCTAGGATTAAATGAGGAGAGGCATTTTTAAATGCTCCTAACAGTGCTTTGTGCACGGGACTCCAGTGTTGACCTACATCCTGGATTTTCTCTAAGTCTAATTAACTGCAATGTTCCTCGCAAGGGGTCCGCAGTTCTGTACTTCCTAACATATATTTCTGTGGGGAAAGGTGCAGGGAATGACTGCATCTAGGAAGATGCTAGTTTGTACAATACCATATAGAATAGAGAAGGCCGGACGGCCTCTCTGGTTACTCCCAGCCTCTAGTGCAACTGTCAGAATTGCAAAGGCTTTCCATAATTTCTGGCATGGTTGCAGAAAGTGAGAAGTCTCAAGTACTTTCTTCAAAGAATAAAAGAGAGGAACCCCCAAAAGTATGCAATCCTAGAGTCCCACTTCTTCCCCCCAAGTTTCTCTCATAGACTAAAAAACACCCTGAGAGGTTGAAATAAGGTAAGATTTAAGCAGGGTTCACCTCCACAGCGAGGCATCAGGCCAATTAAGGAAAGCAAAACTTTTTGTAAATGAATAAATCAGCATATTGACAGGGCAGTTGGTGAATGCCATAGCATAGCTCGGCATCTCCAGGGACTTTCTGGCACTAGCCTCTATGTACGTGCAGCTGATCCCAAGGGCAGTAAGTCTGGACAAGATTGCTCACGTCTGGAATGTGTTTATATTTAATTCTTGCCCCATCTGGGGTCCTACTGGTCTAACTCAGTCTAAGGGTTTTTGTGCCAAGCAGGGTTAAGCTACTTCCTAAACTGACTACTTGGAGAACTCTCTAGGGAATCTCCTTGCCTGAGGATAATTGAGGACAAAAGCTGCCTTGTACACACCATCAGATTGTTCTGCTCAGATGAAGTGAGTTTACCCGTGTTCTAAGATAGGCATTCTCTTTAATTCAGTCCTTTCTCCACTCTATATCTATCTACATAAAAGGTAAAATGAAAACCAGACTGATGTCTTGGCGTTTAATATTTTGTCTGATGTAAAGGGTGTTGCATTTTACTAATATGTCAATGCAAGCTGACAGTTTTGTTAACTATCAAGAAAGCTCTCGGGAGAATTCTAAGGCAGAATTTGAACTGAAACAGATCATCTAATTCATATGTTAATTTTGCCTATAGGATTGAGTCTTGGCTGGATCACATGACCTCTCTGCTCCCAGTTGTCAGAAATTGAATGTTAAGTTAAATGCCTGTGGAATAGGAGTCAGATATCAATAAGGGGAATGACAGTCAGGTCAACTGCTACGTAGTATGGGCGTTTTGCTGGCTGAAAGTTTTTATTACTATCCTGCCAATGTTGCTATTGCAGTAACAGACGCATATTTCAGTCATAAATGATGAAATAAATTATTTTAAATGATCATGTTATGCCTGTCAGTAATTGCAAAAGTCGTCCTTAAAATGCTTTAAACTTGCATTTAGTTTTTCTCCTGACAATGGAATTTTCTTTTTTTTTTAAAACCAAATATGTTTGGATTCAGTATCTATAAAATGTGAAAAAAAGCATTTAGGAGGAATACCCTTCCAATCAAATGTATGCCACTCTAAATTACCAATTAATAATTCACTTTCCCCAATGTGAACCCATCCTTTAATGATTTTGCCCACCCACACATGCCACAGTGGCCAAATAATCTCTTCTCTGTGTGTTGATGCAATTTGCCATCCTTGTAAGGGAGGGAGGTAGGTATGAAGTGACATGGTGTCACTGATCTCTGCTGCTCTTTTCCCTAAATTCTATCAAAACAATATGCCATGATTATAGGGTCTCTTCTGCCAAGGTCAACTGGGAAGCAAGGAGGGTAATCGGACCTGAGAGCCTGACATAGGGACCCTGATGTCAGTGGATAGAGAGGCATCTGTGCTCGGGACCAGCACCCGGCCTTCAGGGGAGAGACCCAGTGCTTTTTCTCCTTATTCCTGAAGTTGTCCCTGCATCGGCAGCATCTCTTACCACTGGCAAAACCAGACACTTTTCTCCTACCACGATGGGGCTCTAGTATCCCCTCTCTGCCCTTAAGGTTATTGGTGTCAATTTTCTCTACAAAATTAGAAAATGCCCAAATATATTTTTTAAATGAGGTTAAAGATAAATATTCTTATAATACTAGTATAGAACATTTAAGAAATTAAGAAATCACCTCCAGGTCTACCATCTTATTACAGGTACTGTTAACATAGATTTTATTTTTCCTGTGGCTTAGGTTTATTTGACATAGTTCAAATTATACTTTAAGAATACTAAAGGTATACATTTTGTTTCTGGCTTTTGTTTTGGGATTAATGTTGTTCATGAACATTTCCTATGTTTTCATATTACCTTTATATACACATCAATGAAATATTTGCTGGTTATAAAAATATATGTTTCAATATAGAAACCTTAGAAAGTGGGGAATAGTTAAAAGAAGTAAACAAAGCAATATCTCCATTTCCTCTTTCAAGGCTCACTCTATTTCTTTCCAGGCCTTCTGGATATATAATTGGGGTTATTCTTTATACAGAATTTATATATTGCTTTCTTAATTTATCATAGGGTTCATGCTATTTAATTAATTGTGTTTTTAGTGTGGGATATAAATAAATGTTTCTTTTTGTAGTTATAGTAATTAAGATAACAATGAACATCCTTGTTGATAAGTCTTTAAAAGCATTTCTCATAGTCTTCTTGGAATAGGTTCCTATATATGGAAGTACTGGTTCAAATGATATGAATATTGCAAAGCTTTATAACTAAATTGTTTTTGAGGAAGGCTCTACCGATTTAAACTGTCAGAAAAAGTATATAGGAAAATATCTTTCTCATTCTAATTTTTTTCAGATTGTATTTCTTTGTAATTTTAATAAGATTGATACTTTTAAAAAACTTATTTTTTAAAAAAGAGGCAACTTTTTGGAAACACTATATAACAGCTATTTGTTTTAGAACTTTGCATCACCTCTAATTCTAGCAATGATCTAGCTGGACAAATTTTACTTGGTCTCCTATTTGTATACATGATGAAACTCCAGTTCAAAATATTTAAGTAACTTGTCTAAAGTTAACCAACCCAAAAGTATTTAAACCTACCCCAAGACTGAACATCTCCAAAGTCTGACAAACTTTATCACCAAACTGCTTTAAGAAAAATGATGCAGCTCATCACACAGACAATACACACACACACACACACACACACACACACACACACGACCAAAACAAACAAAAAATCACGCTAAGCCTCAGCATCATTGTTAGCACTGAATGAACATCATTCCAGACATCTCTTTGTGCATATCATAAGGAGGGCAGGATGGAGAGGAGGATGCATGGATGCTGGATGGTGAACAGAAAACTGGAGAGACATATCAGCAGATTGAAAAATAGTGATCAAAACGAATGACACAATACATTTTTACATAACACTTACCTATAACAGAAACAGTTTTATTTATATTACTTATCCTGCAAAGGAGTTTAATAGTTGAAAAAGTGTTCAATAGTTTAAAACACTTATTTTGAGGTTTCCCAAAACTGAAATCAGAAAAAAAAATTGCATTTGTTTTCTTATACCATTTTAATTTCTTGTTCTAACATTTAATCCATGTAGAGTTTATTTGTACACACTATGAGTTATAAAGCTATTTTTATTCTTTCTTCTTATAAACTAAGTCAATTAGGAAAATATATTGAATGATTTCTTTTTTTCTCTCACTGTATTATATTCTTTACCGTGAAATTTGTACGAAGGCTTTTAAAAAATTCTCTCCCTCCTACTTATGAAGCTTATATTCTACCATATATAACAAAAAATATTACAGACAGGATATTACAGAATTATGACTACATTTTTAGAGAAAAAATGGTCATTGAAGTGATGTATTATAGACCCTCATGGATTATAATTATGTACTGTACGTGAAAAACAAAATACAGTGCAAAGACTGAGGTGGTTGCCAGTTTTGTTCTGCCGTTTGGAAAAAGCAAGGAAATAACAATTTAACGACCAATCAAATAATGGATATTGATCCTATAAGAACTATAATAATAACAGAACAGTGTACCCATAGCGTACCCATTGGCAGAAAATTACGACAGCAGTTGTCCCATTCATACTATACGTCAATGATGTGGAAGAGGTGGGGTACGTGCCCCTCCCAGAAATTCCAGAATTATCTCTGGGCTTCCTTGCAAGAAGCAAGTTCATGCCGACGTCCCCATGCTACCCTTCCCTGCCTTCCATGTAACCCTCTTCACCTGATCACCATTGCTAGAGTGGCTGTCATTGACTTGGGCCTGTCTTACATCTTTCCTTGCTTACCAAGTGGGCTCAGACATTTGAGATTTTTATCATCTGTAACTGTAGTAAATTCTATTTCCAAGAGTGATAGTTCACATTGAAAAAAAAGATTGATTTCTTTAAATTATCCTTCAAAAGTTCTGCTTTTTTCATTCTTCTTTTAAAAGAATTACTTCTGGAAGAACTTTTAAAGTGACTAAATTTGATCCATCAAAGAACATGCATGTGACTTAATTGTGTTTTACCTTACATCGCACTTGGGTGTGACGAGAAAGTTCTGACTCACTGCTTGCATAGCATGAGAAGACACAAGTATAGCTAGTGAGGACCACCTGACTCACTGCTCGCATAGCATGAGAAGACACAAGTATAGCTAGTGAGGACCACCTGACTCACTGCTTGCATAGCATGAGAAGACACAAGTATAGCTAGTGAGGACCACCTGACTCACTGCTTGCATAGCATGAGAAGACACAAGTATAGCTAGTGAGGACCACTTGACATGTAGGCTCAGTTCCTTAAGGGAAAAGAAGTCCAACCTAAGGAGATAGCCACGAGAACTATTTCAGAGAAGCAAATATTAAATCACCCACATAGTGTTACATTTTTAATTTAAAATCAATTTGGTTTTTGGTTTTTTTGGCCTCAAATTCTTGTTTTTTAAAATTTTTAAGTTTAAGGGTGCATGTACAGGTTTGTTACATAGGTAAACTTGCATCATGGGAGTTTGTTGTACAGATTATTAAAAGACACTATCAACAGAGTAAATAGACAACCTACTGAATGGGAGAAAATTTTTGCAAACTATGCATTGGACAAAGGTCTAATATCCAGCATCTATAAGGAACTTAAAACAGATTTACAAGACGATGTGTTTTTATAAATGTGCATGTGTTTGAATCAAAGCATTAAAATAACAGTTTTGGGGGGGCTAACTTTCAGAGTTTTTTTTAATGAGACTCTAAAATAATTATTTCACATTTTTAGTCCAAATTGGCAGCAATGTGCTAAGTGGCTGGATTCTTCTGACCTGAATAATGAAAAGAGGGTCATGAAGGAGTTTTAAGGATGCCCATTTATCCTGGTGTATTGTTTTGTTTCAGCATGCAGACATTGGATATTGGAATATTGGACATTTTTGGTTTTGAAGAGTTTCAAAAGAATGAATTTGAACAAGTAAGTAGTCTTTCTTTTAAAATTGTGTGAACTTGAATGGCTTTTGAAACTAAGTTCTTTTTTTAATTCTGTAAAGACAGTGTAACTACTTACAAATATGGAATTAAAATAAGTACTCTAATGTTTTAAAATTAATATCTCTGGTTTATCAATATATTAACCATTTTATGTGGTCTTGTAAACAACTGGCATAGTCACACATTGAAAGCAGAATCACTTGTTTTAAAAGACAATGCAAGATGAAGACCAGAGTTGTGCTAATGGAAATGCTATTTCAACTAGGTCAGAGAGAAGGGAGAACATGAATATTTGAAATAAGGCAAAGGCTTTCAAAAACCTTGGCTAAACATCAGAATGAAAATGCTCTGTTATGCTACATGCTGTTATTTGTAGATTCATCTCCATATGACATTCATACATAGGACTATTGGAAAATCATAAAAATACATTAGAGAGGCATGGGTTGTTTTTAATCCATCTATAATTTGGGGCATTTTAAAAGTATTAAATTATGTAGTCATCTTAATAGCACTGCATGAATAGTTTTATTAAGTATACCTAAAAACTAAGTGTTAATAAAGACAGTAGAAATACAACTCTCCTTATCAAACAGAGGAGAAAAGTCAACCTGTAGGAAGGTAAACATGAAAAAATAGAAAACCAAGCTACATTATAGTACGGGAAGAATTACAACTCCATAGCATTTGGGAGGAATTTTCATAGTTACGTAATTTGTTTAGCTTTATTTTCTTAAGGTGGTGTGGTAGGATAAACAATTAAATAGAATGTGTTTGAGATGCAAGTCTGTGACTTTTAGTAGCGTCGATTTCTTGGCCAAGATGAAGACTCTATAGTGAACTTTGGTTTTCTTGTTTGTAAAATCAGGTTAATAGACTTACAGAGTTCTGAGATTAAACATAATTAAACAGGTTCTCGTGTCAGTTACTCTCATACTGTATATGATTAAGAAATGATGGATACCTACCCGTTACTGTTGCAAATGGGAGCACTTTAATAACTTAAAAATTGGCCAATTTTATTTTTAGAAAAGCTCTGCATCATCCTGTGTTTAGATGTTAATTACGCTGACTTACCTAATCCAGGGTGAGTCAGCACGAACCACGTTCCTTACAAAACTTCACAAAATGTCTAGTTTGAACTAGAACTATAGAGGCAATAGATCTCTTCTCCTTTCATAGTTTTCTGTGGATTAATAGAAAAGGAGATACTTCATGTGTTTATTTTTATTGCTTACTGTGAGAAAAGTAATGATGAACATAAGGAAGAAAGCAGTTGAGTGTGACCAATAGAATATATGACAATATATGTGGGTCTGCAGGGTGCTTAAGAAGGTGCATCTCTCAGCTCAAGGGTTTGAAGCTGTCTGGCATCAGTAGAGATTCCTTATGTTATTATCTTAGAAAACAGGCAAGCTTTCATGTCTGCAATGAGAGTCACTGGTTTATCCATCTCCTGGTAAGCGACATGTAGAAATTACAGATGGAATGATGTCCTCTAAAGTCTGCTAGGGGACTTGCCTCACAAGCTGCAACTCCACACCCAGACATAATTGTCAATAGAGTGTCCTAATGATGAATACGTGCAAAACTTTTAAGTTATTTTCTTACTGAAACATATTTATTTTACTACAATTATATAAATCCCTTATTAGTCCTTCTTTTGCTAAATATTTTTATGATTTATTTTGGAATACATTTACAGCCTGAGATTTCTGTATAATAGTAATGGCATTTTTTTCACATCTAAAGAGCCAGTCTCTATTAAATGCCAAAAGCTAGCTTTAGGCATTTATGGGTAAAAATCTCAAGAACAATTCTGGGACTTAAATTTTGAAAAAAATTTGAAATACACACACACACACACACATATATATATATAATTTTTAACAGGTTTGCTTTGCTATTGTGTACAAAAGCAACTAGGAGTCATTTAGAAGAATAAAATTATTTCCATTGTGATGAGTGCAAATCTCATCTTATGATAAGTACAAATCTCATCTTTTGACGAGTGCAAATTTGCATGTAATTTTTTTTAAGACCATTGGTTTGAGCGATACATTTTAGATTTCTGTGTTGCTAACAGAAGCTGGACTTTTTGTCTTTTATTCCACTACAAACTTGCAACAAAATGCTTAACAAATCAATGCTGTATTCAGAATCAAACCTAGAAGAATATTAGTGCTTTTATAATATGTTTTTTATTCTGTTTTGCGCTTATTGACCCATCCATCAGTTCTTCACTCGAACGTCAACTCCTGCAGAGTTGAAATTGTGTCTGTGCTTTGTATATAATAAAAGTTCAACGAACATGTTTTCAATTGAAGTTTAAAGAAGAATAAACTCCTAAGAAAAAAGTCTTCATAGTGGATTTCATAGTGGTTCTTCTTGTTCAGGAATAAATGACAATTGTTCCTCCACAGGAAGCTTGACAATTGTTTAGAGTAGGGACACATTTGAGGAGATGTTAAGAAACACTCCAAAACTTCAGCATCTCCAACCTCAGTCTCCTCCAGTAGCTCCAAAAGATTAAATGGATTCTCATCTAAAAGATGAGATACTACAGCTAATAGGAAATTCTGATCGCATTTTCTCTGACTTTATCTTAGTCAGTTCAGGCAGCTAGAACAAAATACCTTAGAGGAGGTAATTGACAAACAGCAGAAATTTATCGCTCACAGTTCTGGAGGCCAGGAAATGTAAGATCAAGATGGCAGTGGACTTGGTGTCTGGTGAGGGCTCTCTGCTTCATAGATGCTGCCTTCTTGCCACATCCACTCATGAGGGAGGATCAAGGCAGCTCTCTGGGGCTTCCTTTATTAAGGGCACTAATCTCACTCGGGATGGTGGCGCCATTATGACCTAAATCGCCTCCCAAAGGCCCCACCTTCTAATCCCATCACTTTGGCAAATTGTGGAGGAACACATTCAGACCATAGCAGAATTAACGAATCATTTCTATTCAAAAGTATTTCTTTTTTTTATTATTATACTTTAAGTTTTAGGGTACATGTGCACAACATGCAGGTTAGTTACATAGGTATACATGTGCCATGTTGGTGTGCTGCCCCCATCAACTCGTCATTTAACATTAGGTATATCTCCAAATGCTATCCCTCCCCCCTCTCCCCACTCCACAACAGGCCCTGGTGTGTGATGTTCCCCTTCCTGTGCCCATGTGTTCTCATTGTTCAATTCCCACCTATGAGTGAGAACATGCGGTGTTTCGTTTTTTGTCCTTGCGATGGTTTGCTGAGAATGATGGTTTCCAGCTTCATCCATGTCCCTACAAAGGACATGAACTCATCATTTTTTATGGCTGCATAGTATTCCATGGTGTATATGTACCACATTTTCTTAATCCAGTCTATCATTGATGGACATTTGGGTTTGTTCCAAGTCTTTGCTATTGTGAATAGTGCATCTCACACCAGTTAGAATGGCGATCATTAAAAATCAGGAAGCAACAGGTGCTGGAGAGGATGTGGAGAAATAGGAACACTTTTACACTGTTGGTGGGACTGTAAACTAGTTCAACCATTGTGGAAGTCAGTGTGGCGATTCCTCAGGGATCTTGAACTAGAAATACAGTTTGACCCAGCCATCCCATTACTGGGTATATACCCAAAGGATTATAAATCATGCTGCTATAAAGACACATGCACATGTATGTTTATTGCGGCACTATTCACAATAGCAAAATTATTTCTTATAATAAGTACAATACTAGTGTAAAAAATATAGTTCACATAGCTCAGCAGTAATTTGGTACTTCCAGTGGTACTTTTCAGTGTGTGGAAAACTGTACAGGACAAACAACTGACTTCTTCAACATATAAAATGCAGAGAAAAATTGTGAAAGGAGGGCACCTGTAGATTAAAACCTATCTAAAGACATGTACAACAGCTGAATGTGTGGGCATTCTTGGGCCCTAATGTGCTAAATTATGTATAAAAGCTATAATTAAAGTAATGTGCAATCTGGACAGTTGATGAAATTTTTAAAAATTATTATTTATTGGATTATGTGTGATAAAGATACTAAAAAATGTGTTTCTCTAAGTTCTTGTATCTCAGAGAATTATACTAAAGTAGTTACCTGTTTAAGGACATACCATCTGCAAATTGCTTCAAATGAGTCCACCTTTGAGGACAATAAGGAAATGGAAAAAGCAGAAGTGGCCATAGGTTGGTACTTACTGATGATTGTTGAAGTCAGTTGGTGGCTGATGGAGGTTATTACATTATTCCCTTCATGATTGAATATGTTTAAAATAGTTCATCATGTGCCATTTTTAATCAATGAGAAAAATTTAAGATTATATAAGTGTTACTATAATAAATGATAGAATTTTTTCTCTCTAAACATGTTATTATAGAGCTCTGCAGATCTGCACCAATGAGCAAAGTCATGGAAACAAATCATTTAACCTACAAATAATTTCCCTACATTCTCCCACTAAACACATACATGCAAAGGCATGTAGTGAATCTCTTAAAGCCATGATGTCTAGTAAAATTACATGTTAACAATATGCTGGAATGACAGGTGCATTGGCTCCTGTCTGTAATCCCAGCACTTTGGGAAGCCAAGGCAGGTGGATCACTTGAGGCCAGGAGTTTGAGACCAGCCTGGCCAACATGGTGAAACCCTGTCTCCACTAAAAATACAAAAATTACCCACACATGGTGGCACATGCCTGTAGTCCCAGCCACTCAGGAGAATGAGACATGAATATCGTTTAAACCTGGGAGGTTGAGGCTGCTGCAGTGAGATGGGATTGCGCTACTGCACTCCCATCTGGGTGACAGAACAAGACCATGCAGAAAGAAAGAAAGAAAGAAAGAAAGAAAGAAAGAAAGAAAGAAAGAAAGAGAGAGAGAGAGAGAGAGAGAGAGAGAGAGAGAGAGAGAGAGAGAGAGAGGGAGGGAGGGAGAGTGGGAGGAAAGGAAAGGAAAGGAAAGGAAAGGAAAGGAAAGGAAAGGAAAGGGAAAAATGCTGGAAGAACTTAGAGAATTGAAGAATTGGAGACAGAACACATTTGTTCAAAATAAAAGCTCCCTTTGCAGAAGATAGAATTGTGATACATAGGCCGGGCCCAGTGGCTCACACCTGTAATCCCAGCACATTGGGAGGTCAAGGCGGTCGGATCACTTGAAGTCAGGAGTTCAAGACCAGCCTGGCCAACATGGTGAAACCCCATCTCTACTAAAAATACAAAAATTAGCCAGCGTGGTGGTGGGTGCCTCTATTCCCAGCTACTCGGGAGGGTGAGGCAGGAGAATCGCTTGAAACCAGAAGGCGGAGGTTGCAGTGAGCGGAGATCGCACCACCGTACTCCAGCCTGGGCAACAAGAGTGAAAGTCCATCTCAAAAAAGAAGAAAAAAGAATTGTGATACGTAATTTATCTTCAAGCCAGGCTTTATCTAAATTGATTTCATCAGACTTGTCAAGAATTCAAATCATTTCCCTGCTTACAGACTGTTTTCTAACAACTGAAATTTACTGGACACTTCAGATGACCTGGGCTTGGGCTATGTGGTCAGAGTTTGGAAAAATTGAGATACTTTGACTTCTAAAGTTTTATGAAATGATATGATATAATTTGGCAGTCTCAACCTCAAGAAATATTTTAATGCCCTTCATTGTGAAATCATGATGCTAGAGATGATAGAAAGAAAAATGGAATAGTAAATTAACTTTTCTTAATTGGACTTTTCCACATACTCTTCACATGCGTTATCACATTTCACAGATGAGAAAATTGAGACTGCTATACTCTGTGCTTTGTAAGTGCATGGTAGCAGTACCTAGTAGGATTCATTTTTCTGGCTTAGTTGCATCAGTAATCTAGGATTCATTCATTCAATAAACATATATTGTATATGCCCCAAGTTCCAGACCCTGTTCTAGGCACTAAAGTTTACATAGACATTATGGTATGGCAGGTAAGGTACAAATGTTAAAAGGGCAAATTCCTTTTTTATAAATTAGATTTTCTCTGGCCAGATAATATGTTCCCACTTCTGCACCAATTCTTCTCTTTTCCAGTCCTACATATTTTTTAGTGTTCCAGCATTTATGATTATATAATGAATTACCTGAAAACTTAATGACACACATAAACATTTATTATGCTCACCAATTCTTTGGGTCAAGTATTTGAACAGGGCATACGGAGACAGATTGTCTCTGGTCCATCATATCTGGGGCCTTAGCTAGATAACTGGAGTGTCGGAGGCCAATGCCATGTGAAGCTTCCATCAATCGCGAATCTAGAGGGTGACACTGGCTGTTGGCTGGGGGCCTCAGTTCCTCTTTGCATGAGTCTCTCCACGTTGGTCTCTCCATGTTGGTCTCTCCCTATGGCTTCTATGTACATGCTAGTTGGGGCTTTCTCGCAGTTTGTTGGATGATTTTTCTAGAGTGGCTTCCCCAAAGGAGAAACACATGCGGAAGCTGGATGCTTTTTTTGATAACCTAGCTTCAGAGGTCACATAGTATTACTTCCTCTGTAGGTTGGAGCAATCACAAGCATGCCCAGGTTCAGAGAGGTGGGTAAATTGAGTCTACCTCTTGATGGTGAAGGACCAGTTTTAATTGGACATCATGGGAAAAGGACTGGGGATGTTTAAATGGGTAATGGTTGCTATATTAGTCTAAGTATGGGACAGGATCCATGTAATTTCACTCACACTG
This sequence comes from Homo sapiens, assembly GCF_000001405.40. NCBI lineage: Eukaryota > Metazoa > Chordata > Mammalia > Primates > Hominidae > Homo > Homo sapiens. The sequence continues at coordinate 108,999,167 of NC_000013.11, forward strand.
TATCATGTGATAGCTATTAGATATCAATATTGATTTGTCTGCTGATCAATTGATACACAAATATGATAAAATATTATTTTCAGTTGTTTCACACATAGATTTCAAAATCATACATGTGTTAAATATCTACCTCTATCTTAAAGCATCTTCTACCCTGTGTATCTCCTTTTCACAATGATGTTGAACTTTCCAAAATCATTTCAGGGACTTACCAGCTGTTGATCTGATATTTTTAAAAATTTGAACAAGGAAATGCATTTATTTTCGCTACGTGTCAGAACTCTAGCATAATGCTATTCAGGTTTCTACAGAAAAACAAATAGAATCATTAAATAATGAGATGCTAGTATAATATACCTCTTACAATCATATTGGATTCTGTGTTTATAGATAGCATGATTATTGGTCTTCTTTAAATAACAGTCTTCAAAAACCTGTTTTGGGGAAATAAAATGGGGAGTGGCAACATAATTAAGAATTTTGAGCATATAAACTATACATTTAATGACTTTTCCCTCAAAATCTCTGTAAGTTAAGTAATATCACCTCTGAGCTTAAATAATTTAAGTAGCTCATAGAAGTTCACACAAAACCAAGGTCTGAATTCAGGTTTAATAACAAGCTATTTTCAGTTCCAAAGGTTCTTAGAAAGCTAAACATAAAATTTTATTAGTATATATTTTCTAAACTTCACTTGATGCCCCTTTTGTTTGTATTTCTCTTAGGACTCAATATTATTTATTCTATTATGTTTAGAAACAATAAACTCTTCGTAAATTTTATGTGCCATTGTTTTTTCCATAGTGGAATTTATCACCAAATCCGTTTAATATAAATAAGTTTCATAATGGAGGTGTATCTTTTTCATTGTAGAGTACCAGGATGATTAAAAGGAAATGTTACAAAGCTTAGTAAGGAGAATTAATGCATTTGAAACCATCTATCAGATTACTTTAGAGAAGAGTGAATTGAGTAATTTTAATGACCAGGAAAAGGCTTAAGTTAATCATTGTGGCTGTCCAGCTATAAAGCTCCAATCCCAGATACGTAAACTAGGAAAATGCTTTCATGTAGTTTTGTGCTAATAATTGATAATGGCTACAATTTCTTGAGCTCCTACTATTAGTCAGATTATTTTTCTATATAATTTTTAACTCTTACAACAGCTTTTTCAGAAAATTAAGAGTTAAAGTCCCCACAAGTTTTATGAGGCCCAGTGGGAATTCAGAGGCAGATGTGTGAGGCCGCAGGAGCTGCTCCAGCACAGGCCATGCTGTCAGTTTGTCAGAACCTCTAAACTTTGCATTTCATTCTGAATCATTACAACTATTTGAAAAAGGCTTATTATTTTGGTAGAAATTATACATTAATCATTGGTTTTGGACTATATGAATAATTTTATATGAAAAAAGAAAGCATATTGATTAGAAGTTTATTACTAAACAAGAAAACAAACTTTTTTTTGAAAAATATTGAACAATTTGATAGAGTGACTGAAGCTCTAAAATAAGAGCATTTTAACCAGAGGTTATGTTTCTAACTCTTGGGCATGGCTTCTATTTAAATTGAGGAATATATTTTATGTACAAGGTATCATACAAAATACTAAAAATAATTTTTTTAATATGTGTTTTTCAATCCTGATCTTAGCATATTATTATATAAGATTTGTCAATAAATTTAGCCAGTTAGTTTGTAGTCGATAGACTCCTTTTTGAAGACCAATTCTTCAAATCCCAAAGTAGTAATTATTTACATTAAAGGAGAATATAGTCATGAATTAAACCCATCAAAATACTAGATTTTTTTGTTCTGAGTAACAGAATAAAATAAAAGTTGTAAAAAGAGAAAGTGTTTTTCATTTGTGTAAAACAATGTCTTTATACATGTGAAGTAGCTGAAATTTATATTTACTTAAAATTTGTTATATATACTTTAATTTTAAAATATCTAAGGAAGCCAGAGAAGGAAAGATGATTGATTCCTTTAAGAAATAGTAACAGAATAAAAAATTTAAAAAAAAAAAAAGAAAAGGAAGAGAAGGGGATTGGGAAATAGAAGGGTGAAAAAAGAAATACAAACAAAAACAAATACGGCAGCCTGGGCCAGGTGGTAGCTGTGGGTGGTAGCGAATGTGTGCCCAGTCCACTTCCTGGGTGCTGACTGCGGGTCCCAATGTGGGGCTCTGGTAAGGAAAGCAACCCTTCTCTGCTGTGGCTACCAAGCACCCAAGTCCTCTATTTTTAAAATAAGATTAGCTTATCGGCAGAGGTAGTATCCTCTATCAAGGTAAGAGTCAGTCATGGTGCTAGCAAAAGAGTAAACATGACCTTTCCCAAACAAGAATGGTAGGAAAGAAAGGCCTCTACAATTATAGATTCTGAGAAGACAAAATAAACTAGACTTTTAAAACTGAAGTAAACAAGAGAGATGCTATCCCCTCACCAACCTCCTGTACCTGCCGTTTCATAGGCAATATATGGAAATCAGGGATAACTGATTTGTCGGAGAACCACTTGGAGCAGTCTGGTGAGCCCCAAGGTAATCTTCAAATAGTTGAAGTTTATAGTATGCTTGAAGTGTTCAAGTCCCAAAGAAGTCCTGCAGAGAAGCCTAACTTAACTCCATATTTCCCCAATGGGCTTCTGCTTAGGTAGGGTTTTTAGACAACAGCTATTAAAGTCTCACACAATTAGTGTTCTGCTGAACATATTTCAGCAATGCTCAGTGTCTAAAATCTAACACTATTCCTTCTCTCTCTCTCTGTGTGTCTGTCTCATGTGAACACACACACATTAATATCTTATATATACACATATATATTAACTAATGAGCAAATTAGTTGATGCATAGTGCATTCTCAGTTCTATGATCTATCTCAGTGTGTTCAACCATGTCTACCCATTAGAATCACCTGGAAAGCTTTTTAAATATTTCAATGCCTGCACCCCACTCCAATTTAATTGGTTTGGGGTCAGGCCCAGACATTAGCCTTTCTTAAAAAACTCCTCAATTAATTCCAATGTGCAGATAGGCTTGAGAGTCACTGCCCAGGGCTCTGCCTTCAGCTGGAGTCAGCTTTAATTAATCTCCTACTTTAATTCTGTGATGTGTATGCCATGCTCTATTATATTTTTGTTTCAGATATGTTTCACTGAGTAATGAAAGTAAAGGGAGAGCAGTTGGTGGAAATTTACTCAAGAAATTGTTTGTCATTAATACAAATGATGAGCCATCTGGATAAGCAATAAGTTTCCGTTCCTAAAGAGTGTGTTCCAGGGGTGCATAGTTTTTATTAGTAAACCACTTAGCAGTGGCACTTCATGTACAAAGCTGTATTTTAATTAGAGAAGAGCAAATACTATCTAAGCAGCTACTTGATAATTATTCATGAGCATTTATGAATACTCACCTTTCACCCACATTCACGTCTACTCTGAGGAATACCCGGAGATCTAATTGAACCCCAAAACAACTCTACAGTAGGTAGATTTGAAAAAGTAATGGTTGTTTTCCATTGAAGCCAATGATGCCAATGATTGATGCAGATTTATGCTTCTAGGTATACGAACTAATTTGCCTGTAAAAATCTTCACTCTATCTTTCTCTGATTGTGTTGAACACACGCCCACATATGCACATTCACATACACATACAGAGTTTAGTGAAAATAAATCAAGAATAAGGTTCTGTCCATGACTTTGGCAAAACCATTTGGTTTGTGGGGTACATTTTTTTAAAGTTTCAATGAGGTATCCGATATTGAATGATATGTTCCTATTGTTAACCTTAGCTACATGTTCTAGTGGTTTTGAATTTCATGCCACAGTACGTCTATATTTTAACTTTGGTTCAAACAATGAGTGCTTTGAACAGTTTAGAATAAAGGCAAACTTTAAGTAAAACATTTTAATGGACACATTACACCAAAATTATTTTGAAAAAAAACATTCTACTTTAAACTACATATGTTTCCAGTGACTCACTACCACTCCACATCACTCTCCACTGTTGGAAACACAAATATAGATTTAGTTCCAGAAGGCACCTTCATAATAAAAGGTACAAATTGGAAATCAGTCCACAGGCTACTTGGTTTTACACATGAAGCTGGAAATTTCTCTACGGGATTTTAATAATTTACTTTAAAATTTTTTCCCCCAGAACACAAAGAACATGATGTTCAATAAAAGGTTCAGGTGTATTGCAAAGATCACCCTATGCCACAAAAAGAACTCGCCACTGACGCTGCAGCTTAATAATGCTAGAAGTCCAGCAGAGACGCTGTAGGTTTTATCAATCATTTTGATTGACCAAGAGAGGAATAAATTGGGTTGCTCTATCCAGAGACACAGGCCACATCCATTTCTGTTATCCAAAGTTTGGTAGATTGCTTTAGACGTTTGTGGAAAAAAGGAAGAAAGCTGAGACCTGGCTTCTTCCCGTCCTTGTGTTTGCCACGGTTTCATCTACATTCATACTTGGTTTCACTGCTTTGATTAAACCAGGGGATCAATTCAGTGAAGCCAATATTCAATTCAGTAAAATATTAGTACGAAAAAAACAATTACAGTATCTGTTTTCTATTATCAGAAGCCTCAGGTCAGTCAAAACAAGACAGAGGTTGTGTTCTGTAAGGCAGTCAAGGCCAGGAGGATGCAATCAGATTGTGATCGAAAGCAGTTTTTGTACCTACAGAGCTGCAACCTATTCTGAATGCAAAATAACAAAAGAATTGTATTAGATATGTTAGAGTCATCAATGTCCAAGTATTTTCAATTAGAGAAGCTCAAAAGGAGAGGAAAAGAAAATGTCATATAATGTGGGTATGTCTTGTAAATAATCAGCCACTGAGTTTTTAAAATTTGGAATCCTGTTTATCGAACTTCTTATCATTTCGCACAGTAATAGACATTACCTTATTTCATGGATTCAACATTGTTTCTCAGCAATTTGTTCCCTAAAATGTATTCCACTTAACCACACTATCCATAAACAGTTTTAAGTCAAATTGTTGCAGTAAATGACCTATTTGTGTTAATTTTTAAATGATTCAATGTATTTTTAATAATAAAAAACTTGAGAAGTTACAGTTGTATATATCATATAGTCAAAGAAGATATTTTCCAGTGGTTTCATTCCATAAGAGAAGTCATTAGTTTCTGTACATTTTCAGTAAATATTTCACCCCAAACTTTAATAATTGTATAGCATTTATTATTCCTTTATAACAAAATTACCTTATTATTGGAGTTTAACAAATTATTAAAGGAATGCATCAAAATATTATTTCTGAAGCAAAGTGAAATAGTTTAAACAGTTTTTATTTCTTTTTAACAATTTTTATTTTTTATTTATGATTGAAATGAAAGTGACAAGTAGATGTACTGCTTGAACAGTAGGGATGCCATTGTGGACAGATGCTACATAGTTGCATGGAAAGTAGTTTTTCTTTCCAAAACCATTACTGGAGATTTATGCCCTGTAGGATAAGATAAACATAGAAACTGATCATGAAGATCTGGATTGCCTGGCATCACTTGGTTTTGATGGAATAATTCAAGAGGATAAATGTGCTAGACTGTATCAGTTACAAGAAAGAAAATATTTTTCATATGATATTTAGATACTGAATGCCACTCCTCCCTCTGCCAGCTATAATGTGCAGAATTTGTTGGTCTGTGTCCATATTCAAATCGTATTTGCCTTAACAACAACGCCTTTAAAATTAAATGTTTTATATGGTATGTTCTCATCCGAAGCAACTGTTTTAATTAAGAGATGATCACAGCAGTGTGAGTTTACCTAAGAAACACTTAAAGGTTTAAAAGGTAAAGAACTTCCAGCTTTGTGCATTTCTCTTGAAATCTAGTTGTCAGAAGACAGAGAGGAAAAGTTCTAGTTACTTACTGTGCAAATAATGTACAAGGAAGAAAATCCAGTAACCACAGAGGGAATGCTGGGGGAAGAAGACGATACCAGGAGAGTCTCCTGGTTTATACAAATCCTCTCAAGTTCTTTAGGTTTAAAATGACTTCTATGACAACCACAACATGGCAAGTTCTTCTTTAATTTTTAATTTAGATTTCATGTTGTAATAGAATGTTTTAGGGAAACTTCTTCTATCTACAGAAATTAATTTATCACTGAATTTAAGAAACCATCTTTTACCATGAAGGCAGAGAGACAAGAAAACCCATTGGGAAGGGTGGTAGTCATGGAGCACCATTTTTTGACCTGAATCTAAGAATTATTTTTGTTACTATTTGAATGTCAATATGTGATATTCAGATCTTATTTTAATATGGTTATTACTTTAATATTTTGTTTGGTATATGTCTACTATACTGTTATTCTCCACCTGTCATATTAATAATAATAAAGACCATGTGCATTCATCATTAAAATAACTCCATCAGGTTGTAAGAACCTCTGCACTTTGAGCTCTCCTACCTCTGCTTCAGTCAAGGACCCCCTTGCCTGCCACCCTCTCATGCTCTAATCACCCCGTTTCTGAAGATGTTTGAGCTAGCTACACCTACGCACAACATTCTAACCCTGGCAAGAAGACTAGAACTTTACAGCAAGTCCACCCAGTCCCACGCCACACTCCCTTCTGTGTTCACACCAATGTTCTGCTCTTTCATATGTTTGTTTCTTCTCTGAAGAAATTTCCCCCTGAGACTTCTTCATGCCCTACAATGTCATAAATTTCCATTCTCCCAAGTAACTGGATTTTTGAGAAAATGTCCTTTTCCATCTAGGTGCATGTAATTCTCAAGTCATTACTAGCCACACCCTTAAGGGTAAGTGGGAGCTCCCTTTGGGAGGATATGGAGTGACCTCGTGCTGGTCACTTGAGAAGGTAATTTGTCTTGCTCATTGGAAGCTGTCCTTATATGGGCTAGAAGGAGGACATGAATGCCCATTAGCAGGACCAGAACATCTAGAAGGAGCTCCTACTTCCCAGGTGTTGTGATGACATCAGACTTGGAGAAGATTTGGGATATGTGGAAAAGAGGAACCCAGGAAGTTCTTTCTTTTCTGGGCTCTTCTTTCCAGTCTTTCTTATTTATTTTATTTATTTATTTGAGACGGAGTCTTGCTCTGTCACCCAGGCTGGAATGCAGTGGCGTGATCTCAGCTAACTGCAACCTTCGCCTCCCAGGTTCAAGCGATTCTCCTGTCTCAGCCTCCTGAGTAGCTAGGACTATAGGCACCCACCACCACACCAGGATAATTTTTGTATTTTTAGTATAGACGGGATTTCACCATATTGGTCAGACTGGTCTCGAACTCCTGACCTCAGGTGATCCACCCACCTCAGCCTCCCAAAGTGCTGGGGTTACAGGTGTGAGCCACTGCACCTGGCTAATATTTTGTTATTTTTTAACAAAAGCTTTCGCATTTCTTTATATTAATACAGGATATTTCTCATTAAATATTATCTTAGATATTATTCCCCTTGCAGATGAGATCTAATTTTCTTTCAAATGTTTTATCAATTGTTTCCAGCTATATAAATATTGATCTGTAATTATTTTTAGTTACTGAGCAGTAAATATTTCTAACCGGCTTTAAGTTTTGTCTAGTATAACATAGTGGTTTAGGGTGCAGATGAGGGAACATAAAGGTCTGTAAAACTGAGTAAGCTCACAAAAGAAGTGGGTATAGGCAGAGAAGAGACAAGGTCCACAGGCAGAGCCCCTGGACACTCCAATATGAGCAGGCCAGGAGTCCACGAAGAGTCGGGAAAGGAGATGGGGAGGAAGCAGCCAGTGAGCTAGAAAGCCAAGAGAGTGTGGTGTCCCGGAGGAGAGGGGAGAAAGTGCTCCATGGAAGAAGAGAAACCGACTCAGTCAAATAACGCCGGGGTGGGGATGGGTCAAGAGAAACAAATGTGAGAGTTGAACATTGGATTTAGAAATGTGCACACTGCTAGCCAGGGGCGGTGGCTCATGCCTGTAATCCCAGCACTTTGGGAGGCCAAGGCGGGTGGATCACGAGGTCAGGAGATCTAGACCAACCTGTCTAACATGGTGAAACCCCATCTCTACTAAAAATACAAAAAATTAGCTGGGTGAGGTGGCGGGCGCCTGTAGTCCCAGCTACTCGGGAGGCTGAGGCAGGATAATGGTGTGAACCCGTGAGGCGGAGCTTGCAGTGAGCCGAGATGGCGCCACTGCACTCCAGCCTGGGCGACAGGGCGAGACTCCGTCTCAAAAAAAAAGAAAAAAAAAAAAGAAATGTGCACATTGCTGATGACTTCTACAAAAGCAAGTTTGATGGCGCCATGGTGTCAAAAGTTTTATTAGAGTGGTTTCAAGAGGGAATGGAAAGATAAGAATTTGAGATAATAAGTAGAAATCAGCCGTGTGTGTGTGTGTGTGTGTGTGTGTGTGTGTGTGTGTGTGTGTGTGTTGATAGGAAAGGAAGCACAGAAGTAGAAGAGTAGCCTAGAGGGGAAGTCGGATTTTGCGCTGGTTAGATTTGAGTTATGGTATAGTTTTTTAAATACTTTAAGATAAATAAAGGTTTTTCTTTAAGATTAAGAAATAACATATTTGTTTCCTGATGGGAATGTCTTGTGGAAAGAGAAAAATTGACAGTTGGAGGAATGTGGAAAATTTTCTGATAAAGAAAATAATTTCTTCAATATAATGATTTGACTGTTGATTACTATTTCTGAAAGAACCCCCACATTCATTCTTGCCCATCACTAATACGCAATCAGAAATGAGGCCCTCATGAAATGCTTCTCTTTTCTCTGGGATCTCATGGTAAACCCAGCTTTATCTTCATTTCCTGATGAGAGCTCAAATATATTTTCCTTTTGGAAATATTTTAAATGCTCAAATATATTTGAGACTCAACGTTTGTAATATTGGAATCATACTTTTCGTTGTTTTTAGCATACTTTGAATAGTTAGATGATATGGTATCAGATATACTTGATCTGTGAAATATGTGCAAGTCCATTCCTAGACTTCAGTTGAAACTCTGACTTCCCAGGCAACGTTGTCATGCTTTATTTTGGTAGACTAATTGGTTGGAAACTCCCTGAGTCAATACTTTCCCAATCTGAAACTGTGTCATTGAACAACTGAATATGCACTGCTGTACTATCTTGTGTATGCACTACTGTACTATATCTTGTGTATGCACTACTGTACTATCTTGTGTATGCACTACTGTACTATCTATCTTGTGTATGCACTACTGTACTATCTTGTGTATGCACTACTGTACTATCTATCTTGTGTATGCACTACTGTACTATCTTGTGTATGCACTACTGTACTATCTTGTGTATGCACTACTGTACTATCTATCTTGTGTATGCACTACTGTACTATCTTGTGTATGCACTACTGTACTATCTTGTGTATGCACTACTGTACTATCTATCTTGTGTATGCACTACTGTACTATCTTGTGTATGCACTACTGTACTATCTATCTTGTGTATGCACTACTGTACTGTCTATCTTGTGTATGCACTACTGTACTATCTTGTGTATGCACTACTGTACTGTCTATCTTGTGTATGCACTACTGTACTATCTATCTTGTGTATGCACTACTGTACTATCTTGTGTATGCACTACTGTACTATCTATCTTGTGTATGCACTACTGTACTATCTTGTGTATGCACTACTGTACTATCTATCTTGTGTATGCACTACTGTACTATCTGGTGAAATGTTTTCTTGTTTTCTCCACAACAGCTTTGTGTCAACATGACCAATGAGAAGATGCACCACTATATCAATGAAGTGCTTTTTCTCCACGAGCAAGTGGAATGTGTACAAGAGGGAGTTACCATGGAAACAGCATATTCTCCTGGTAACCAGAATGGAGTTTTGGACTTTTTTTTCCAGGTATTCATATAATATAATTAGATACTTAACAGGATATATGGGTTTAAATATACTGGAGACAAAGAATTTTCTTTCAGGACGCCTTATTTTTGAGATATCTTTATATGTGAGATTCTGCAATAATTTTTCAAAATGTATTGAGGTGCACAAGTTATCTTTTTATGAAAGGACATTTGAAGGATCACCAATTCATTAAAAGGACAAGAAAATATCATTTTGATATAGAAATATTCAACACTGTTTATTCAACATCACTAAAACTCTCCTTTTGGCAATTATAAGTGCCTATTGTAAAAAAACAGACTTTTTATAAAATAATACCTAAGATTAATCATACCATAAAACAAGTTCAATGGAATCTTTTTTGTTAATTTATCTTCAAAGTTTCTAAGATTTAAATTTGGAAAAACTGGCAGGAAAAACATATAAACACATATATAATGTCGGTTAAATTAAGAGTCTCACAGCATCTGCAGGTGTTTATAGTTTTAGTTTTTCTACTTTACAATGAAAAACAATTTGACTCTGTGTCTCTATCATATAAGCCAAAATCTATCACATAAACAGCAATTGCGATGTACTAATATAAGAAAACATTATATGGATTTACTCACAATATCTCCAAGATACATGGACATTGTTGAAAACAGACACAATTCAGCTATTTGGAGAATATGTCATTCTTTACTCTCTTTCCATAAAGATAGATTTCTAAATTATTTTATTTTATGAATTTTTCTGATTAACACATTCTTGTTCTTGCTTCTAACTTGTCAGCATTCTTCTTTTTCTAAAATTACAGCCCTCTTCCTCCAGAAAGCCCTCGTAGTGACATACATAACCTATAATTATTTAAGGTTTAAAAATGTCTTCAAACCGGCAGGACTGTATACTTAATTGTATACGGGACGCCTCAGGCATCTAGCACCTTCTCTCTAGCTTGCCATGTTCTCTTCCACTGCTAACCAGGGGTCATCAGAATAAAAACTTGCATGGGCCATATTTATATTTCAAGGATTACCTATTTGTCCCTGGCCCTGAGGGGAGGGGTTGATCCAGATTTTTACCAAATACTCCAAGTGTCTAGTACATTTTGTTGCACTGTGTAGTATTTGATGAAGGTGAAACTATGACAACCTTTCACATGGAGTAGAGCCATGCAATCTCTTCTAAGCCGTTACTACTAAAGGAATTGGAGGTCATTAATCCCTTTCTTATGGCTTATTTCCCTAGGTTCTATTTTTGTCTTTAGGCACTTCCACAAGTTTTCAAAGTCTAAAAGGTTAATTGCCCCATTCTTTTATTGCTTTATTTCAGACATCCAGAAAACATAACACACAAGATTTTGTTTTTAATTTGAAGACAATACAAATAATAATGCTTAAAAAATGTTGCTAGTAATCAACCACCTTATCCATGGAGAATATCATCTTGATTTTTGGAGCAGAATCAGTTAGCTCTCTGAATGTCTATCTCCTTTATACTGATTTGGGGCCCTGTCTTTGAGTTACTGCAATATCCATTGACAGCTTTACCAAACAAGTGAATATTTTCACCCCAGAGAAGAGGTCTGTCACTGCCCTTGAAACAGAAACAGACTTGCAGACAACCTTGCAATGGCTCATTTGTCCTTCTGCTGTGTGTCTTGTGTAAGTTTGTATGTGAACCTGTAACAGCATTTACAGAAGTGTGGTGACCTGATGCTCACAGATCAATAGATGAAGCAATGATGGATAATATTGTAATATCAACACTTTACTTACTCTTCAGTAAATAGCTTGCTATTAGTTGAAATAAAGAATTGTTTGATTTTGAAAACATCACAGATGGAACCAGTCCTTGGCAAGCTTCTCACATAGACCGTTTTCTTCTAGGGCTGCTCTCTATTATATATATTACATATAATATTATATATATATATATATATTTCTTCACCTCCAGCCTCTTCAGAGGACTCCTCATGGGGGCCCCCGGCCACTCTGAGCTTCTTGCAGTGTACTCTATGGAACTTCCTGTTGAGCCAGCACTCCCAGTAAGGGGCTTTCTTCTTCAAATTCCTTTATCTAAAAACACTTTTGTGTGGCAACAGCAGTCTCACCAGGCATTGCTGACCTCAGATAACTTGCTGAGGTGGGTTAGCTTGCTTTTGCAGGCATTCCTACTTCCTTCCTAGTGGCATTCTCCTCTGCATTAGGTCTTCTTCTCTTTCTTTCCTTCCCAGGGAGGTTATGTGGCTTCTCAAAGAAGGTGGCTGTCATTATTGCTGAGTATCTTCAAGAAGCACGCTCTGCTGTGTGAGCCCCACCAGGGGTGTGCGTGTCTCATGGCTGGCATTATTAGCTTTCATTCCCTTTGGCTGGCAAGGGAGTGATCTCACCATTGCAGCTCTCAGGCAATTGCAGTCTTTGGATTTTATTTTTCTTTTTGCTTTTTTTTTTTTCTTCCTTTCTTTTTTTTTTTTGTTGTTATTTGTTTGTTTGTTTGAGACAGAGTCTCGCTCTGTCACCCAGGTTGGAATGCAGTGGCGCGATCTCGGCTCACTGCAGCCTCTGCCTCCTGGGTTCAAGCGATTCTCCTGCCTCAGCCACCTGAGTAGCTGGAACTACAGGTGTGTGCCACCACACCTGGCTAATTTTTGTAGTTTTAGTAGAGACAGGGTTTCACCATGTTGGCCAGGATGGTCTGGATCTCCTGACCTCGTAATCCGCCTGCCTCACCTCCCAAAGTGCTGGGATTACAGGTGTGAGCCACCGTGCCTGGCCTGGATTTTCTTTAATAGGAGCAGGAGACTCTGAAAGGCCTAAAACAATTAAAATATTTAAGACACAAAGAAATGGCCTTTATTAGCCAAATAAATAACATTTTGAGTTGCCTGTAGTGGTATGGTTTGGTAACCTCAGGTCAAAATACAAACTGAATTCACAATAGGGGTCAATATATGTCTCTTTACTTCCTGAGAAGAATTATTATCAGAGTATCTACACATTTAAAAGCACAGTGAGAACGATTAAGATATATTAGGGATTAATGTGAAGAAGTTTCATAAATTACCTTATTGTGAAAGGTAGATTTGAAATGTCAACAAAAACTAAACTTTCCTAGGGGACATAATAGAAAGAAAAGATAAACAGCACTAGGGAAGAAGTTATTCAATAGTCGTCTAAACCAGGGGTCCCCAACCCCTGGGGCACAGACCAGTACTGGTCCACGGCCTGTGAGGAAAAAGGCTTCACAGCAGGGGGTGAGCAGCAGGTGAGGGAGCAAAGCTTCATCTGTATTGACAGCCACTCCCCGTCACTGGCATCTCACCGCCTGAGCTCCAGCTCCTGTCAAATCAGTGGCAGCATTAGGTTCTCATAGGAGCAGGAACCTATGAGAGGGATCTAGCTGCACACTCCTTATGAGAATCGAATGCCTGATTCTACATTATGGTGACTGTATCATTGTTTCATTATATATTACAATGTAATAATCACAGAAATAAAGGGCACAATAAATGTAATGCACTTGAATCATCCTGAAACCATCCCCCCCACCCCTGGTCCGTGGAAAAATTGTCTTCCACAAAACCGTTCCCTCTTGTCAAAAAGGTTGGGGCCCTCTAGTCTAAACCATGTGGTCAGAAGGTATTCCATATGTGGGGGATGGAAGATTAGAGGTTGGGAAGTGATTTAAGCAGCCTTTGCTCTCAGATGAGATTTATTTCAAATTGTTGTTATATGTGTGTGTGTATATATATATATATATATGTATATGATTTTAGTTTTATTGTTCAGTAGTTATAAACTGTCAGACTTCTAATTTAAGTTTTATAAGTCATAGCTTCAAACTTTCTTCTAGGTCTAAAAATTGGAATATCACAGTCACTTCTCCTTCCTGTTGAGTAGGATTTTGCCACCTTGTTTTTTTTTTGTTTTTGTTTTTGCTTTTTATACTTTAAGTTCTAGGGTACATGTGCACAACATGCAGGTTTGTTACATATGTATACATGTGCCGTGTTGGTTTGCTGCACCCATTAACTCATCATTTACATTAGGTATTTCTCCTAATGCTACCCCTCCCCCACCCCCCCCCACCCCACCACAGGCCCCAGTGTGTGATGTTCCCCTTCCTGTGTCCAAGTATTCTCATTGTTGAGTTCCCACCTATGAGTGAGAACATGCGGTGTTTGGTTTTCTGTCCTTGCGATAGTTTGCTCAGAGTGATGGTTTCCAGATTCATCCATGTCACTACAAAGGACATGAACTCATCCTTTTTTATGGCTGCATAGTATTCCATGGTGTATATGTGCCACATTTTCTTAATCCAGTCTATCATTGATGGACATTTGGGTTGGTTCCAAGTCTTTGTATTGTGAATAGTGCCACAATAAACATACGTGTGCATGTGTCTTTATACTAGCATGGTTTATAATCCTTTGGGTATATACCCAGTAATGGGATCGCTGGTTCAAATGGTATTTCTAGTTCTAGATCTTTGAGGGATCACCACACTGTCTTCCACAATGGTTGAACTAGTTTACACTCCCACCAACAGTGCAAAAGCATTCCTATTTCTCCACGTCCTCTCCAGCACCTGTTGTTTCCTGACTTTTTAATGATTGCCATTCTAACTGGTGTGAGATGGTATCTCATTGTGGTTTTGATTTGCATTTCTCTGATGACCAGTGGTGATGAGCATTTTTTCATGTGTCTTTTGGCTGCATAAATATCTTCTTTTGAAAAGTGTCTGTTCATATCCTTTGTCCACTTTTTGATGGGGTTGTTTGATTTTTTCTTGTAAATTTGTTTAAGTTCTTTGTAGATTCCGGATATTAGCCCTTTGTCAGATGGGTAGATTGCAAAAATTTTCTCCCATTCTCTAGGTTATCTGTTCACTCTGACGGTAGTTTCTTTTACTGTGCAGAAACTCTTTAGTTTAATTAGATCCCATTTGTCTATTTTGGCTTTTGTTGCCATTGCTTTTGGTGTTTTACTCATAAAGTCTTTGCCCATGCCTATGTCCTGAATGGTATTGCCTAAGTTTTCTTCTAGGGTTTTTATGGTTTTAGGTCTATCATTTAAGTCTTTAATCCATCTTGAATTAAATTTTGTATAAGGTGTAAGGAAGGGATCCAGTTTCAGCTTTCTACATATGGCTAGCCAGTTTTCCCAGCACCATTTATTAAATAGGGAATCCTTTCCCCATTTCTTGTTTTTGCCACATTTGTCAAAGATCAGATGGTTGTAAATGTGTGGTGTTATTTCTGAGCCTCTGTTCTGTTCCATTGGTCTATCTCTCTGTTTTGGTACCAGTACCATGCTGTTTTGGTTACTGTAGCCTTGTAGTATACTTTGAAGTCAGGTAGCATGATGCCTCCAGCTTTGTTCTTTTTGCTTAGGGTTGTCTTGGCAATGCGGGCTCTTTTTTGGTTCCATATGAACTTTAAAGTAGTTTTTTCCAATTCTGTGAAGAAAGTCATTGGTAGCTTGATGGGGATGGCATTGAATCTATAAATTACCTTGGGCAGTATGGCCATTTTCACGATATTGATTCTTCCTATCCATGAGCATTGGAATGTTCTTCCATTTGTTTGTGTCCTCTTTTATTTCATTGAGCAGTGGTTTGTAGTTCTCCTTGAAGAGATCCTTCACATCCCTTATAAGTTGGATTCCTAGGTATTTTATTCTCTTTGTAGCAATTGTGAATGGGAGTTCACTCATGATTTGGCTCTCTGTTTGTTATTGGTGTATAAGAATGCTTGTGATGTTTGCACATTGATTTTGTATCCTGAGGCTTTGCTGAAATTGCTTATCAGCTTAAGGAGATTTTTGGCTGAGATGATGGGGTTTTCAAATATACAATCATGTCATCTGCAAACAGGGACACTTTGACTTCCTCTTTTCCTAATTGAATATCCTTTATTTATTTCCCTTGCCTGATTGCCCTGGCAGAACTTCCAACAATATGTTGAATAGGAGTGATGACAGAGGGCATCCCTGTCTCGTGCCAGTTTGCAAAGGGAACGCTTCCAGTTATTGCCCATTCAGTATGATACTGGCTTTGGGTTTGTCATAAATAGCTCTCATTATTTTGAGATACGTTCCATCAATACCTAGTTTATTGAGAGTTTTTAGCATGAAGGGCTGTTGAATTTTGTTGAAGGCATTTTCTGCATCTATTGAGATAATCATGTGGTTTTTGTCTTTGGCTCTGTTTATGTGATGGATTACGTTTATCGATTTGTGTATGTTGAACCAGTCTTGCATCCCAGGGATGAAGCCCATTTGATCATGGTGGATAAGCTCTTTGATGTGCTGCTGGATTAGGTTTGCCAGTATTTTATTGAGGATTTTCGCATCGATGTTCATCAGGGCTATTGGTCTAAAATTGCCCTTTTTTGTTGTGTCTCTGCCAGGCTTTGGTATCAGGATGATGCTGGCCTCATCAAATGAGTTATGGTGGATTCCCTCTTTTTCTATTGATTGGAATAGTTTTAGAAGGAATGGTACCAGCTCCTCTCTGTACCTCTGGTAGAATTTGGCTGTGAATCCATCTGGTCCTGGACTTTTTTGGTTTGTAGGCTATTAATTGTTGCCTCAATTTCAGTGCCTGCTATTGGTCTATTCAGTGATTCAGCTTCTTCCTGGTTTAGTCTTGGGAGGGTGTATGTGTCCAGGAATTTATCCATTTCTTCTAGATTTTCTAGTTTATTTGCACAGAGTTGTTTATAGTATTCTCTGATGGTAGTTTGTATTTCTGTGGGATAAGTGGTAATATCCCCTTTATCATTTTTTATTGTGTCTATTCTATTCTTCTCTCTTTTTTTCTTTATTAGTCTTGCTAGTGGTCTATCAATTTTGTTGATCTTTTCAGAAAACCAGCTCCTGGATTCACTGATTTTTTTGAAGGGTTTTTTGTGTTTGTATCTCCTTGACTTCTGCTCTGATCTTAGTTATTTCTTGCCTTCTGATAGCTTTTGAATTTCTTTGCTCTCGCTTCTCTAGTTCTTTTCATTATGATGTTAGGATGTCGATTTTTGATCTTTCCTGCTTTCTCTTGTGGGCATTTATTGCTATAAATTTCCCTCTACACACTGATTTAAATATGTCCCAGAGATTCTGGTATATTGTGTCTTTGTTCTCATTGGTTTCAAAGAACATCTTTATTTCTCCCTTCATTTCGTGATTTACCCAGTAGTCATTGAGGAGCAGGTTGTTCAGTTTCCATGTAGTTGAGCGGTTTTGAGTGAGTTTCTTAATCCTGAGTTCTAATTTGATTGTACTGTGGTCTGAGAGACAGTTTGTTGTGATTACTGTTCTTTTACATTTGCTGAGGAGTGCTTTACTTCCAATTATGTGGTCAATTTTGGAATAAGTGTGATGTGGTGCTAAGAAGAATGTGTATTCTGTTGATTTGGGGTGGAGAGTTCTGTAGATGTCTATTAGTTCTGCTTGGTGCAGAGCTGAGTTCAAGTCCTGGATATCCTTGTTAACTTTCTGTCTTGTTGATCTAATATTGACAATGGGGTGTTAAAGTCTCCCGTTATTATTGTGTGGGAGTCTAAATCTCTTTGTAGGTCTCTAAGGACTTGCTTTATGAATCTAGGTGCTCTTGTAGTGGGTGCATATATATTTAGGATAGTCAGCTCTTCTTGTTGAATTGATCTCTTTACCATTATGTAATGGCCTTCTTTGTCTCTTTTCATCTTTGTTGGTTTAAAGTCTGTTTTATGAGACACAAGTATTGCAAATGCTGCTTTTTTTGTTGTTGTTTTCCATTTGCTTGGTAGATCTTCCTCCATCTCTTTATTTTGAGCCTATATATGTCTCTGCATGTGAGATGGGTCTCCTGAATACAGCACACTGATGGGTCTTGACTCTTTATCCTGTTTGCCAGTCTGTGTCTTTTAATTGGGGCATTTAGCCCATTTACATTTAAGGTTAATATTGTCATGTGTGAATTTGATCCTGTCATTATGCTGTTAGCTGGTTATTTTGCCCATTAGTTGATGCAGTTTCTTCCTAGCATTGATGGTCTTTACAATTTGGCATGTTTTAGCAGTGGCTGGTACTGGTTCTTCCTTTCCATGTTTAGTGCTTCCTTCATCAGCTCTTGTAAGGCAGGCCTGGTGATGACAAAATCTCTCAGCATTTGCTTGTCTATAAAGGATTTTATTTCTCCTTCATTTATGAAGCTTAGTTTGGCTGGATGTGAAATTCTGGGTTGAAAATTCTTTTCTTTAAGAATGTTGAATATTGACCCCCACTCTCTTCTGGCTTTTACGGTTTCTGCCGAGAGATCCACTGTTAGTCTGATGGGCTTCCCTTTGTGGGTAACCCGACCTTTCTCTCTGGCTACCCTTAGAATTTTTTCCTTCATTTCAACCTTGGTGAATCTGACAATTATGTGTCTTGGGGTTGCTTTTCTTGAGGAGTATCTTTATGGTGTTCTCTGTATTTCCTGAATTTGAATGTTGGCCTGCCTTGCTCGGTTGGGGAAGTTCTCCTGGATATCCTGAAGAGTGTTTTCCAACTTGGTTCCCTTCTCCCTGTCACTTTCAGGTACACCAATCAAACGTAGATTTGGTCTTGTCACATAGTCCCATATTTTTTGGAGGCTTTGTTCATTTCTTTTTACTCTTTTTTTCTCTAAACTTCTCTTCTCACTTCATTTCCTTAATTTGATCTTCAATCACTGACACCCTTTCTTCCAGTTGATTGAATCAGCTGTTGAAGCTTGTGCATGCGTCACGTAGTTTTCATGCCATGGTTTTCAGCTCCATCAGGTCATTTAAGGTCTTCTCTACACTGGTTATTCTAGTTAGCCATTCGTCTAATCTTTTTTCAAGGTTTTTAGCTTCTTTGTGATGGGTTTGAACATCCTCTGTTAGCCCGGAGAAGTTTGTTAACACCAACTTTCTGAAGCCTACTTCTTTCAGCTCATCAAAGTCATTCTCCGTCCTGCTTTGTTCTGTTGCTGGTGAGGAGCTGTGATCCTTTGGAGAAGAAGGGGTGCTCTGGTTTTTAGAATTTTCAGCTTTTCTGCTCTGGTTTCTCCCCATCTTTGTGGTTTTATCTACCTTTGGTCTTTGATGATGGTGACCTACAGATGGAGTTTTGGTGTGGATGCCCTTTTTGTTGATGTTGATACAGTTACTCTCTGTTTGTTAGTTTTCCTTCTAACTGTCAGGTCTCTCAGCTGCAGGTCTGTTGGAGTTTGTTGGAGGTCCACTCCAGACCCTGTTTGCCTGGGTATCACCAGCAGCAGCTGCAGAACAGCAAATATTGCAGAACAGCAAATATTGCTGCCTGATCCTTCCTCTGGAAGCTTTGTCTCAGAGGGGTACCCAGCTGTATGAGGTGTCAGTCGGCCCCTACTGGGAGGTGTCTCCAAGTTAGTCTACATGGGGGTCAGGGACCCACTTGAGGAGGTGGCGTGTCCATTCTCAGAGCTCAGACAACGTGCTGGGAGAACCACTGCTCTCTTCAGAGCTGTCAGACAGGGACGTTTAAGTCTGCAGAAGTTTCTGCCGCCTTGCAGTTCCATCTCGGACTAGCAGTGAGCAAGGCTCTGTAGGCATTGGATCCGTTGAGCGAAGCATGGGATATAATCTCCTGGTGTGCCATTTGCTAAGACCGTTGGAAAAGCACAATATTTGGGCGGGAGTACCCCGATTTTCCTGGTACAGTCTGTCACGGCTTCCCTTGGCTAGGAAAGGGAAATCCCCCGACCCCTTGCACTTCCTGGGTGATGCGATGCCCCGCTCTGCTTCAGCTCACCCTCCATGGGCTGCACCCACTGTCCAACCAGTTCCAGTGAGATGAACCAGCTACCTCAGTTGGAAATGCAGAAATCACCTGTCTTCTGTGTCAATCACATTGGGAGCTGCAGGCCAGAGCTGTTCCTATTCGGCCATCTTGGACATACTCTGTTTTTTTTTTTGTTTTTTTTTTTTTGAGGCAGGGTTGCGTCTGTTGTCCAGGATGGAGTGCAGTGGCATGATCGTGGCTCACTGCAACCTCCACCTCTTGGGGTCTAGTGATCCTCTCACCTCAGCGTCCTGAGAAACTGGGACTACAGGCACACATCACCATGCCCAGCTAATTTCTGTATTATTATTATTTTTAAATAGAGATGAGGTCTTACCATGTTTCCCAGGCTGGTCTCAAACTCCTGAGCTCAATGACCTGGCTGCGTTGGCCTCCCAAAGGGCTTGGATTATAGGCCTAAGCCACTGCAACCAGCTTTGCCATAATTTTTATGACTTAACATCACGATAAGCTTTATTTTTTGATAAGTTTCTTGTCTCATCATTGGTATGGAATATTTTATATGGATTATAGGTCAAGAAAAATGATAATTTTCCTGTAGTCTGAATTTCATTTTTCTTATTAAGATGAAAATGTACTTTTTAAATAACTACAGTATTTTAATGACATTACAATACGTTTTTTACTTATTTGTTCATTAATTTGATAAATATTATTGGGGACCTACTTTACATCAGAGCCCTGCTAGGTGGTGGGGTAGAAATAGAAATATATTAAGGTAAAGACTGATTCATTTTCTGAGTGTCTATATGAATCTAACAAAAATATAAGCAAGCATGCTTGAATAATAACAAAAATATCAAACTAAGTAATAGACAAAACAACTCCCCATCTCTTCTTAACTCTCAGAAGCCATCTGGATTTCTCACCTTATTGGATGAAGAAAGTCAAATGATTTGGTCAGTGGAATCAAATTTTCCAAAAAAACTACAAAGTCTCCTAGAATCCTCAAACACAAATGCGGTGTACTCCCCCATGAAGGATGGGAATGGGAATGTTGCCCTCAAAGACCACGGTACAGCCTTCACCATCATGCACTACGCAGGAAGGGTAAGTGGCCAGAACTGCATAATTTTTCATGTGCACTAATGATCAAAGGTCCTTGGGACAAGCTCTAGAGTTATTGATATTTTAAGGTGTGTTATTTGGATAAATGGAAGCTGGATGAACAACCCACAACATGTACTTTTCTAAGTGATTTTCTTTTAGCCTGATGAGGAATTAACATCTTCAGAATGATGACGCACACTGTGTGGGCCTTCTCATAATGTTTCTAGAATTATAACTTTATATGAGCAAAGGATCCCTGGGTTTAATACAAAGAGCTCTGCTATAAACTTTGGAATATTATTCATAATACAGATGAACATTGGACATCTGAGTTTTCTTGCCTTGAATATAGTTTTTAGTATTAAAGTATTTTTTATTAAAGCATGTCAACTTAAGGAAGAAAGAAAGCCACTCTCTCATATCTTTCCCAATTCTCTAACCAGGTTTGTAAAACATGCTTCTTAC
The DNA here is from genome assembly GCF_000001405.40 of Homo sapiens. Classification (NCBI taxonomy): domain Eukaryota; kingdom Metazoa; phylum Chordata; class Mammalia; order Primates; family Hominidae; genus Homo; species Homo sapiens. Next base: position 109,020,377 of record NC_000013.11, read on the forward strand.
TTCAACACCTTCAAGGACTTCCTCTTACTTGTATAAAAATGATCATTCTCCTTAGTCCAGGCTAATATCAGGTTTCTCCAAGCTGATCATAATTTTTTTCCATATCTTAACCTGCCAGAACTCCCCTGTGCAAGATCTCTGTTCAGGTTATTTTTCTCAACCACTCAGTGTTTCTGCATTTTCAGCCTCCCTTAAACTCCATTACATTAAGCTTGATATATCTTCCTTGTCTTCTTAACAAGATCAAATTTTATCCAACTTTCAGTATTAAATCCATGTTTGTTTATCCTCAGTCCAAATCCCAGCTGTAGTTAATGTCTTCCACTTTTGCATGTACAGCTCTCTGTCTCCTACTCTTAACTCCTTTGACCCCACTTAGTACAGATGGCGTGCTAGAGGGTAAAATCTCTCACCGCTGTCTTACAGTGTATTTCAGTTCATTTCGACCAGTGTTTCTAGACTCTGCCTTATGACAAAGAAGGAGCATTTGAGAATCAAAGATGAACGAAGCCTATTCCTTGCCTTCAAATATCTCAGCTTCGAATAGGGAAAGGCAAATGAACAAATATTAATATGAATAATGTATTACATTGATATAATAATATCAACAAATGTATATATTACGATAGGGAAGGAAGCAATGCGTGGCTTAAAAAATGTGTAGATGCTTTCCAAACCCAGACCTTCAAAGGTGATTGAGAGCTCACTAATTATAAAAGAGAAGGGGGGACATTCTTGGAAAGACATAGAATTTTGATTCAGGATTCAGTTGTATAGGAGAGAATCCATTCTACCTATTTAAGTAGGAAATAATATAGTTTGAGAAAATAATCATTGGGAGACTCTAAATTGAACTTTCAGGAATGACATTAAAAGCACACCACAGAAAAGAGTTACTAAGACAGTTACAGCCTTATCTTAGATCAGGAAGCCTCTAGCCAAATTAAGAAGCTGCTGCTACAGCTACTGCTACTGCTCCCACCTGCACAAGTAGCGTGTGCAAACCCTAGCACTCAACATCAAAGGAGTGAGGGACTAGACCTGGAGATTCCCACTGCAAGGGAAAATCATCTTCACGGAGGCTCACCAGCTAACACAGCAGAAGCAGCAGCAGTGTGGTTTTCACTGCATCTACTTCTGAGTCTTGTGCCATCATAACAGACTGGTGGAAGCTAAAGAGCAACTGGATCCCAGTGCAAGGATATGTGGAAGGCAGGCTTCTCCTTTTCAGCCTTGGCGGTACAGGCAGCAACCAGGATGCATGGGCGATGCCATTCCAACACAGCACCTACCTAGTATTTGGGAAGTTGTGTCAGAAGTTCAGTGCAGGGTAGAAAGGGCGGTAGGTGACATGTCTAAAAAGATTGGGTGGGGCCAAATCATGAGTAAATATGCATGTACAACCAAGGGCTTTGTCCTCTTAACACTGTTAACTCACGAAGTATTTTTAGACAAAGTAGGAAGATGAAGCAATAAAAACAAAAAAGCAGAGGGCCTGATACAGGAGATATTGGTATCATAGAAACCAAGAGAAATGAAGAAAAGGGGTCAATAGGAAATGTACCTGGGTGATATGGTAGTTAGGCTAAACAGGAGCTTTGAGAGGCATTAGAGTGGCAAGGCCTCAGAAGGCTGGGGTGGTGAGTGGCACGTCAGAAGGAAATCCATGGAGGATTTTTATGTATATAAAATGTATATGTATATGTATGTATAATATATACATATAAAACATATTTATATATACAAATATATATACATATATATATTTATATATACAAATTTATATATACAAATATATATTTATATATTATATATTTATAATGTATTTATAATTTTTATATTTATATATTATATATATGTATATATTTATATATACAAATATATATACATATACATATTTATATATACAAATATAATATACAAATATATATTTATATATTATATACAAATATATATTTATATATTATATACAAATATATATGTATATATGTATGTATTATATATACAAATATACATATATGTATATATGTATATATTGTATATACAAATATAAACATATGTATATATTTATGTTATATATACAATATAAACATATGTATATATTTATGTTATATATACAATATAAACATATGTATATATTTGTTATATATACAATATAAACATATGTATATATTTCTATATTCTACATACACATATAAACATATGTATATATTTCTATATTCTATATACGCATATAAACATATGTATATATATTATATATATGCATATAAACATATGTATATATTTATATATTATATATACACATATAAACATGTATATATTTATATATTATATATACGCATATAAACATATGTATATATTATATATATGCATATAAACACATGTATATATTTATATATTATATATACACTATGTAAACATATGTATATATTTATATATTATACTCAATATATAAACATAGTATATATTTATATATTATACTCAATATATAAACATGTATATATTTATTATATATACACATGTAAATATATGTATACATTTATATATTATATACACATGTAAATATATGTATACATTTATATATTATATATACACGTAAATATAGGTATATATTTATATATTATATATACACATGTAAATGTATGTATATATTTATATATTAATACACACATGTAAGTATATGTTTATATTTATATATTATATATACACATGTAAATATGTTTATATATTGTATATACATATAACAATATATAAATTTATGTATATGTTTATGTATTATATATACAAATACAAATTTATGTATATATTTATATATTATATATGAATATAAATTTATGTATATATTTATATATTATACAGATATAAATATATATATTTATATATTATACAGATATAAATATATATATTTATATATTATACAGATATAAATATATATATTTATATATTATACAGATATAAATATATATTTATATATTATACAGATATAAATATATATTTATATATTATACAGATATAAATATATATTTATATATTATACAGATATAAATATATATTTATATATTATACAGATATAAATATATATTTATATATTATACAGATATAAATATATATTTATATATTATACAGATATAAATATATATATTTATAATTATATATACAATATATAGGTATATATTTATTATATATACAAATACATGTATATATTTATATATACAAATATAAATGTACATATTTATATATACAAATATATAGACAAATATATATACAAATATATGTATATATGTATATATGCAAATATATGTATATATACATATATATGTATATATGTATATATACAAATATATGTATATATGCATATATACATATATACGTATATGTATACAAATATGTTTTTATATACATATTATATGCATATTCTACATTTATATACATATATTTATATTTTATATTTGCATTTATTAGATATTTATATTCAATAAATATAAAATTTATTAAATTTTATTAAATACTTATATATTTAATCAATACATATATAAGTATAAAATACATAAATATAAAATATGAATATATGTATATAAATATATACTATATATTTCTATATGTATATATTTCTATATGTATATATAGAAATATTATATATACAATGTGTATGTATATATTTATATTTATATATAAATTCTCATATATTTATTTAAATATAAATTTATATACATAAACTATAAAAATGTATACATTTTAAATATAATTAAATATAATTCATGTTCTTTGAATTTGAGAGATTTCACTATTACAAATTCTTTAGGAAAACAGCAATCTTAGACTTGTATTTCAATTTTTCAGGCTATATTTTCTTCATAGTTAATATTTGTTGAATTCATAGGGAGTATTTTACAATTTACAATGAGGTATGATGATTTCAGGAAATTACTTTTCCTAAGGTTTCATGGAAGTGACTGTAAGCGGATATGTACTTGATGTGCCTTCTGAGTCTGTTTGTACTGTGTATTGGAGATGCACTAGATGTTCAATAAATGCTAATTGCATTAAAGTCAGTGGAAATGTGCTTTGGAATAATAGTTTTTAAATCATTTTATGTTCAGTTTAAAAAATTGTACATTCACTTAAAATTTCCAGTTTTAGTTTCAAATATTTTTAGAAAATTTTTGGGAAATCAACTAAGTTTAAGTCAATGTAATTATTTTGCTGAATTCTGATAGAAATAAAGCAAAACAGAGAAAACCAATTGATTAGTTGGTGCACAGCCTAAACCCCTGTGGAAACATGAATGTTCCTGTTAAATCACCTTAATTTTTTAAGCAAGATTTTTCTCATGGGAGTCAGTTTTGTGGTTTTATAAAAATCTTTTATTGTACTGAGATGTACTAATGAGTCTTAGCCAAAAGACTCCCTGAGGACTCATTCACATGTTCAGTGTAGATTATATGTAATTTGTGGCAATATGTCAAGCCATATGCCATTTGAATAATCAAATGTAGACACATACACTTAAATTTTGAGCTACTGCAGTTTCAAAAAAAGCAGCAACACATTCTGAATTTTATAAATCAAGACACGTAGAAAAAGTTAACTGATTTGAAATCAACATGCAAGGTCTAGTTTGGACAATAGGAGGAACATTGCTAAATAGCTCTATGATAGTAAAGTTGGGCCCAAGCGAGAGCTCAATGGCCCTGGGGTTCTTGGCTTTATTGCCACTGTTTTGGCCAGACCGATGGGGTAGAATGTATCTCCTTCATCACCACTTGCTCCTCCACGATGGGATTACCTGGTCTTTTTACTGGAAATTCATTACATTTCATAGGAAGGATAATTATTACTCCTGGATGATATTGGCATCCAGCCCCACCTGGAGGGACTCGCCTATCCTGAAAGCTCTGACCAGGAAGACCGGCCACGCTTCAGAGTCTTGTTTGGAACAGAGGCTCTGAGGTGCTTTTAGAAATGTTTAAGCAACATTATTTAAATTATAGCTGAAGATCTTTTCTAAACACATTTGAATTTTTCATTACTCATAGGAGCACAATATATTTTCCAATCACCATTACAGAAATATTTTAAAGTAAATGGGAAGAGGCCGTACATGAAATATTAACACAGTCTCATTAATGAGCATGAATCTGAATTAAAGAAGGCTTGTAGGGTTTTTTGGCTAGATATTTGTTTTAGCAAATATTAAATCATATATGGGATTATCACTTATAGGGGCTTCTCTTAAAAGTCTGATGATTTACATGATGGATAAGCATTAAATTCAGAATGTGTCTAATTTTATTGGCTATTAAAATTAAGAATCTTGAAAGAAGAAAGAATTATGGGTTGGAGAAAGACATTGGCTCTTAGGAAAGTTAAATTTCCATTAAGATGATTCTAAACTAACTCTAGTAAGAAATAGTATTTTTAAGTTCCTAAATTTTGATGTGAGATGAGCAAATAGATTAGGAGATAGTAAAACAACATTAAGTAATAAAAATTGCATTAATGAAAATGTAGGTCAAAAGTAATAGTTATACAATATATGACACCTACCTATATGAGCCTTGTTTGTTGTCTGCTCATAGGATCTTTGTCTGAAAGTTGTTTTTTATGAAAATTTATATTAGCATGAAGTGAATCTCTTTGGATCTCAGATAAGCATCCCATTGTGATTGGCCTGAATGGTTTATAGGCAACAAATTGGTGATGTGTTCTTACACCTAAGATGATGCATCCCTGTTTCAGCTCCTTCTCCCCACAAATGCTTATGCATTATAATGGGCTGAACGGGAGCCCTCCGAAAATATTTTCAGGCCCCTATTCATGGAGACTGTGAATATGATCTTATTTGGAAAAAGGGTCTTCATTTATATAATTAAGTTACAGATCTTGAGATGAGGAGATGATTCTGGCTTATCTGGGTGGTCTCTACGTCCAAAACCTACTCTAAAAGTTAGGCAGAGAGAGATTTGAGAGAAAAGAAGGAGGCCATGTGACCACGGGGGGAGGTATTGAAGCAGCCAGGAGCCAAGGAACACCTGGAACTCCCAGAAGTTGGAAGAGGCAGGAAGGATCCACCCGTTGAGCCTGGTGTGGGTGGGCCAGATTCCAGAGTGCTGGCCTCCAGTGGTGAGAGGGAACACTTTTCTCTTGTTTTGAGCCACCTAACTTGTTATTTGTTGCAGCCATCCTAGGAAACCATAAAGTATTTATTGGTTCATCTTGACAGATGATAAGAGTAGTAGTTTTATCAGATAACATTGTAGAATTTCCTTGCCACATTTGATTCGTTTTTAAGTGATTCCTACACTTCTCTAACCCAGGTTTTTGCACGTGGTTTTCCTTACCTGGAACATCCCTTTTCTTTGTCTTTCCAAATCTTATCCATCTTCCCTCAGATCAAGTTCTTGGCCTGATCTGAATTTCCTTGATCTCATTTTGCCCTACTCAATAATGATTCCTGAAGCTTGCATGACATTTTCCAGTTTACAAAGTACTTCTGTGACATTGTCACCACATTCTTGGATGTAAATATTACTATTTCCGTTTTCCAGGTAAATAAGCCTTGGTGAAGTTCAGTGATTCATCAAAGATTGTACAGCAGCATATTAATTTCCTAGGCCTGCCAAAACCAAGTACCGTAGACTGAGTGGCTTAAAACAACAGATTTATTTTTTCACAGTGCTGGAGGATAGAAGTTCAAAGTCAAGTGTTGGCAGGGTTGGTTACTTCTGGAGACTCTGAGGGAGAGGCTGTTCCAAGCCTCTCTCCCAGCTTGTGGTGGTAGCCAGCCATTGGCATTCCTGCCTTACAGACCCCAGTTCCTGGCTTGCAAACCTATCACCCCAATCTGTGCCTCCATCACATGGCCCTGTCCCTCTGTGTGTTCTCTCCTCTTCTCACAAAGATTTAATCCAGCCGGACCGCATCTTAATTTAGCTGATTTCATCTACAAAGACCCTATTGCCAAATAAGGTCATATTCTGTTGATCTGGGTGGACGTGAATTTTAGGGTACACTATACAAGCCACTACAGGCTAGCAGTGACAACACTGTGTCTTATTTTCCCCCAAGTTCACTGTGCTTTTCTCTCTTCACCACATCGTGGGGTGACATTCCTAATGTGTTTATTGTCTGTACTCATAGAATTCATGTGGCATAGTGGAAGGAGGGTGGAAAGGGCAGGATCCCTGCCTGGGGCCCAGCTGGCCAGGGTTTGATTTCCAGCTCCATTACTCTGTGCCTTTGAGGAGGATAAGGACCCTCAGTTGCCACACCATGATATTTATCATTAAAGAAAATATAATTATGAGCCTCATAAATTTGTCCTGAAGCTTAAGTACAGGACAAGCAATAAATGCAGATACAATTATTTTTACTCATTTTTTCAAGTATGTGAGTCATCTATTTCCCCAACAATGGCTGAAGGTCTTCAGTGCAGGAATACAACAGTACTTCGTAACATTTTGAACTCATCAGTCACAGATATTGAAGACCAGAAAATATTGCAGGAGTTATCGAGTCAACTTTTGCCATATATTCAGAGGAGAATATTGGTGGCCCCATTGAGTTGCTCAAATAAAGTAAGTGGTAAAGTGTCCTTGACTTGTTTAAAAAAAACAGAGTCAATTCTTTTATCTTATAAAAGTGCTCACATTATATAAAGTAATATTTTGAAAGTCATGTTAGAATGTGTATTTTTATATACATGCGGTTACTGGTATCACTTTAGTAGATGATAGGAAAGGTACAACCACTCCCATTATATTACAGTATTTTCTGGCCCTTCTTATGACACTTGACTTCAGTGGAAGGTATGTGCAGAAAATTGAGATATTTCTCTAACTATAGTATTAAATTAAATATATAAACATATAATATAAAAAATATATAAAAATATTGTATAATATAACATTAAATTCTCTAAATATAGTATTAAATACAGAAAATTGAGATATTTCTCAACTACAATATTAAAAGAGAAAACAGAAAACAAAATGTTTTAGTTTATGTTAATGTAACATTTTGTTTTTCACAGAATATTTGGGATGCTTTGTGATGAGTAGCTCCCTTTGAAGGGAATTTTGTAAAAAAAATATATATTCTTTACCATTTAGTTTTATAACTAATACTTTAATCAGGCATACAGTTGTGTGAAATGTTACTGCACATTTTAAAAGATCCTTTCCATATGATTTCCCCTTATAAAATTAAAACATTCTCTACAATTTATATACATATTTTGAGTTGTAATTTTATGATGGCATAAAAACTTACAGCCACCTTATCTAGTGTGCTTGCAAATACATCTTTCTGTGGTGGATTTTGATTGTATTTGTCAGGATTCCTTCGTTGTAGCTCTAAACCACAACCCTACAGATAAAATTGTAATCTCAGACACGTAGGCCCTGATCATTACTGTTCATGTCACTGATTTCCACAGACCTTTACGGGAATCACATCACTAAAACGTTGCTGATGGGAATGACGTGAGGAAAAGAATGAAGTCACTGATTTGTAGCCCGTCTGTAAAATACGTAGATTTTTTTCTTCTGTTTAAAAATAGCGTATCTCTATCTTTGAATAAACTAAGTTTGAAATGTTCCTATTGTTTAGATTTATGCTGTTATGCAGGTCCCCGAGTAGAGATCTTTGTCTCATTGATGCTGCAATGCTGCAGTCGATTCTAGATGATCTAGTGATGAAAGCCAACCTCTTTGCCTTTAAACATTTTTTCTTTTCTTTTTTTTTTTTTTTTTTTGAGATGGAGTTTTGCTCTTGTTGCCCAGGCTGGAGTGCAAAGACACAATCTCGGCTCACTGCAACCTCCGCCTCCCAGGTTCAAGTGATTCTCCTGCCTCAGCTTCCCAAGTAGCTGGGATTATAGGCGTCCACCATCATGCCCAGCTAATTTTTTGTATTTTTAGTAGAGACAGGGTTTCACCATGGTCTTGAACTCCTGACCTCAGGTGATCCACTCTCCTCGGCCTCCCACCTTAAACATTTTTATATAACATGCTTGCGGGATCTCTGTCTGTTGAGCTTCTCAGTTCCACCTGTGTCAGGAACACCTTTCATAACGTGTCCTTTACCTCCCTGGAGATTTGTGGGGGACACATTGTACCCAAGAAGACTCTGAGATTGAACTTTTAAATTAAAAAACAAAAAACATGAACTAATCAACAGGGCAGTTTTCATTTGTTTCTCTCCTTTTCTCCAGGCAGAATCCCCAGACATAACAATCAAATCAGTCTGGTCTAAGCCAAACTGATACTCTTAAAAGCTATTTGACAAAGGTATTTTGACCTGCACAGAAAGAAGTTAATTTACATCTGTATTTGTTCACCTCTTGAGCAGGCGTTTTGAAAAATAAAAAGTAGCTCTACTAGGCTCCTGGTGTTCCACTGCTGACACGAATTTCCCCTTTGGCAGTATTGTGTGGGAGGCATGATCCACCTTTTCTTACCTAGGTTTTGTTAAGACAAAATGTAATACCTCATTTAGAGAATCTTCTGCTTCTTCACATATTTAATATATTCTTTTATTTCATGAGCTGACAGAAAGTTATAAAACTTTAGATTGTTCAGAATATTGATAGTTTATGGCTAGTTGGTATATTTTTTCATAAAGGAATCAATGAGGCACATTCATAAATTTCAGCTGTGTCAATTTCAAGGGACTATCCATATACAGATTTCTAGATATCTAGATGGGACTCTTAACAACATTACTATAGGTTCCTAATAACCTTCTTTGTTAATTAGTATTCATCAATTTAAAGTGAATCAGAAGGAAAGCAAAAAAAAAAAACTAGCGGATAGAATCACTTAATGGGAAAGTAAAAGAATAGAAGCTCTTGCTTATAAATATTGATGATATACAGACATCAGTTTACCACTACAGAAGAAATTGAGACTCTTTTCAGCAAACCTCAGATAGAAAGCTGAAACCAGGCAGGGAAAATAATTGGACACATTTATATTTGCTGCAAATGATCACTTATTTATTTTGCTAAAATCCAATCTTCACATATATTCTGTGATATATTGAATTCAAGGGTTTATCTCAAAACTTTGCATTTTAAATTATCACCACTTCCAACACCAGAAAAGTGGTTTAATTAAAAATTTAATTCCAACCACTTATTTCCTAAGGATTATCTTTTGCATCATATAAATAACATGAGAAAGGGATTATAAATTTGATGGATGTATGAATTTACTTTCATTTTGTGAATATTGATGATGTTTCTCAGAGCAGGGAGCTTATCGACTCTCAAGATTCAGTTGCACATACACGATGATTCCCAGATCTCCACTCTATTTCTGCTGTGGGCTGCATATTGACTTTTTAATATCTCTATTAGTATAGCATCTTAAATTCAACAGAAGCAAAGTCAACTAAACTCCCTACCCATCTCCCACTCCCACTCTTTCTCTCTCAACTCACCTCAAAAAAGTAAAAAAGAAAATAAATAAAGCTGATTTTTTGTATTTGTCCCCCCTTTCAATTAATGGCAAAACCAGACACCCAATTAATTACCAAGTACAAGCTACTGTCTTTCTTATTTAACTCTCAATCCAAATACTCCACTTCTTATCTCAGTACCCTGGTTCACATCACCCTCCTTGTTCTCTGGACTACTTCAGTAGTTCCTCAACACTAATTGATGGAATGAGTACTAATTATCATTAAAGAATAAAGGAATGAATGAATTTTGTTTTGTTTTGATTTGATTTTTGAGATGAAGTCTCATTGTTGCCCAGGCTGGAGTGCAACGGCGCGATCTCGGCTCACTGAAACCTCTGCCTCCCAGATTCAAGCGATTCTTCAGCCTCAGCCTCCTGAGTAGCTGGAACCACAGGCGCCCACCACCACACCCGGCTGATTTTTGTAGTTTTAATAGGGATGGGGTTTCACCATATTGGCCAGGTTGGTCTTAAACTCCTGATCTCAGGTGATCCACCTGCCTTGGCCTCCCAAACTGCTAGTGAATGAATATTTTTACTTAAAGGAATATTAACTGCCTCAAATTCATTTAGTTTTTTTGTTTCTCTGATAACTCTCTTCAAAGTTAAATGTGATTACTTTGATTTGATTTGTTAATAATAGACCTAAACTATTGGCACTGATGGATGCTCTACTTACCAGTTGGGCATAAATGATACCTTTTAAACATTTCTGTCCCCAAGCTTATTTCTCATAGTTGAAGAATAAATTTTGCTTTCTCTCTTCAGAACCAGAACTTCCAAATTATTTTCACATTTTTGTTTTTCACCTACCTGGTAGTAGAACAGACACAATTCAGAAGATGTAATTGAGATTCCTTAATATTTTGGGCTTATATTGCTTTTTAAAATATATTCGGCAAGATTAGTTTTTTCCTTGTAACCAGATAAAAATTTGGGCAGCTCCAGTGATATTTCTGGTCTCTGTCTAGTCATACAATGTCATTTATTTGCTTTACTTGGCACTCACAGACCCAATTCAGTAACTAAGAACTGTAATCGTCAAAACAACAGATTTAATGGAAAGTGAAGTCTCCTCATGCCTCAGATACTGCCTAGACATTGTACGGTGGCCTAGAAAGTGCCTTTTTCTTCCTTTTCATGCCATGCTTTGCCTCTACTGATGTGCATTGTTTCACTGTGGTTTCCTGCACACTGTGCTTCACGTGTGCAAAGCTAACACTCACTCAGGTGCTTTTCTGGGCGTCTTAGGGGGACCGACTTTCCCAGGTGTGGGTGATGCTCATCTTTGGCTGGCTGCTCCCCCTCGACCCTGGTTTTGGGGTTGATTCCACATAGACCCTCTCTACTGGACTCCATGATTTCCAACTTCCCATGTGTCTCTTGGCAGGATTTAACACAGCTCTGGCTTGTGTACCAGATGAAGCCCTACCACCATATCCTTCGCTATCAAAACCTCCATCTGTGGTGTGGTCTTTGTTTTCATGTGCTGGCTCAGAACAGCTCAGGCCGCTGCAGCAGAAGCCATTATCCCTCCCACATCGTCGCACATATCCCCATCCTTTGTGCTTCTTCCCAGGGCCAAAGGCCAGTGCACAGTATCTTCCTAGCCAGTGAGACAAGGCAAAGGTGTAAGAAGGTTCCCATGAAGCCTCCCTTCTCTTGACTTAGAGGACAAAGGAAGAAACCGTGGAAATGCACTTATGTCCACATTTGGATGTTATTAAAGCAATAAAGCAATCGCTATTGTGTACTCAAATTGAGCACAAGATCAATAGATTGATAGATGTAGACTTTGGTGTATGAAGTAAATACAGTAGAGAGCTAGATAGATGGGCAGGCACACACATAAATCAAATACCACTACTGACAGACACACATGCATATTAGCCATGCTGTAGTCTTGGATATTCCTACATGTCTAACCTGAGGGTAGCTTTGTTAGAGGAACTTTAACTTTTAGCACTTTAACTACATGGAAATGTAGATTTCAATATCAGAAATATATTGAAGATATATGTGAGATACTGTAATTAGCATTTGATTTGACCTTAGCATACCTAACAAGGTAGCCTGTGCAAGCTTCAGAAAAGTCTCTAATTTTAATGCAGAGAATTACATATAATTCTCTAATTTACATGTAAATTATGGATAATCTTAGCTAGGTAAGAGTAATAGGGAAGGAAAATTAAGGCGTATTTATAAGAGAACTAAGTAGTGAATCTCTACACAATGCCCCTAAAGGCCCACCTAGGGACATAACACCATGGTTTTGCTATTCAGAGGCATTGGTGTGTGCACTTACTGAACTACAGGGAGTTGAAGAGTGGCAACATCCATGTTTTCACCCTTTGCCCAGGGCTCCGTTTCCTCTCGTCTCTCTGTTCTGTAGCCTGTGAGGCAGTGCACCACTGACAAGCATGCTGAGACCCATTAGGCTCTGTGCACAATACTCATTTTGCAGCTCAGACGGCTTCTCCTTTCACATACAGTTCTCCTACAGTGGACGATTCTCATCCCTTTGCCTCGATCTGTCAGACTTCGTCGTCCCACATTATTCTCTTTGCTTTCCTTTATACCTTCAAGAGCTCCATTATCTTTCTTTAGGAGTCCTAAACAGTGCTGTGCAGCATCTATCCCTGTCTTTTCCTGAGCTACGTAGCAGGAAGGAGTTTCTCAGCTGTCAGCAACAAGACAGAGTAGACAAAACAAGAAAATGGAAAATTATTGAGGTCCATCAGGATTCCATCTCAGGAATAAACTGTACTAAATTTTCAAAGAGCAGAAAATGATTACAGGGAATAGATTCCCCAGGAAAAGTTAAGCAGACAGACAAGGGATGCTGAAGTGATCTAGAGGTTATCCACAGCAGAAAGTAGCTGCATTACCTAAGGTTAAAGGATCATGGGAGGAGAAGTTACCTCTGGACCCCAGGAGCTGAGGGCAGGAGGTGGAAGCCACATGTTTCTACAAGGCCACTACTCTGGAAGAATTGGGCTATGAAAAGTGGGCTGCAAGACAAAAATGGAATCAGGGAGGAAATTCAGCCCTTGTAGGAGAGGAAGATAATTACCAAAACTTGGACCCTCCTCCTGCCTTGTCATTTTCTGCAGTGCTTTTAGGGTTGTAGCCCTATCTGGAAGGCCAGGCTGAGAACCCCACTGCCTCAATGCATCTTAGGGCAGAAAAGGGCACAGATTCATTCGAGAGCAAATGGGCGTACCTTGAAGAAAAAAGACATCACAAAGCACAATTTGTGGCAGAGTCCAGGTCTCTTGAAAGTGCATACCTAGACAAAGTTAGAGTTGATAGATACAGACATATAAGTTAAGGCTGGCTACCCTTGGAAAAAGGAATTAGAGATAATTTTTAATTTTGTTACTTTTAGTACATTCCAAATTTTACAAATGTATATGATATGCTTAGGCTTTATGTCCCCACCCAAATCTCATCTTGAATTGTAATCTCCATAATCCCCAAAGGAGAGACCAGGTGGAGGTGATTGAATCATGGGGGTGGTTTGCCCTGTGCTGGTCTTGTGACAGTGAGTTCTAACAAGATCTGATGGTTTTATAAGGAGCTCTTTCCCCTTCGCTCAGCACTTCTCCTTCCTGCAGCCTTGTGAAGAAGGCACCTTGCTTCCTGTTTGCCTTCCGCCATGATTGTAAGTTCCCTGAGGCCTCCCTAGCCATGCTGAACTGTGAGGCAATTAAGCCTCTTTCCTTTATAAATTACTCAGTCTCAGATAGTTCTTTACAGCTGTGTGAAAACAGACGAATACAACATGTAACATATTTTACAAAATATTTTTAAAAGGTTAGTCCCTGCTGTTTTCCTTGGCTTATTAAAAATTTAGTCTTTTAACCCTGATAACCTCCTCAATCCAAGGATGATATTTTAATAACCTTTGATATTAGCCATATCAAAGGCAATCTGAAAATCTAAATAGATGCCCATTTACTAAATTTACATATAAGCCATTCCTAGCCCCCTAAAATAATAGTTTTGTTGATGGATTATGCTAATCGATAAAATCATTAAAATTCAGTGTGAAGTGGCCAGAGATCAAAACTCAATTAAATAGATAAGAAACTGTGGTTCAGAGAAGCTGACTATCATGTTCCCACAATTAATTATCCCAGCACATGGCCCATGAGTGTTTCTATAGGTTGAGAAGCAGAAACTATAATAGATTGAGAATCCCTTCTTCTTAACCCTTGGTCTATTGTTCCTTCTACTTTACCACGCTCTCATTTTTATATCATTTTCTCCAAAATTCCAACACCATATATGGCATATATAGCGTACCACAATAACCAGGGATTTTTGAAAAATCCTGCACTTTATTGCCACCCTCTTAGATGAAAGTATTTGAAAGTTTTTTTTTTCCCTCTACAAGAACTTTTCAAAAAATGCTAACTCCCCTAAGAAAATAGCTTAGCCCTGAGTATACTTATAGTCCAATCTCATCTTAAACCTATCAGCAATTTAAAAATACGTCAATATCTGCTCTAATGGCTGTTCTCAGAAGGACTGTGTTTCTTTATTTAAAATGCACTGTAGGCCGGGCATGGTGGCTTATTCCTGTAATCCCAACACTTTGGGAGGCTGAAGCAGATGAATCACTTGAAGTCAGGAGTTCAAGTTCAGCCTGGCCAACATGGCAAAACCCTGTTTCTACTAAAAATACAAAAATTAGCCGGGCGTGGTGGTGTATGCCTGCAATCCCAGCTACTCAGGAGGCTGAGGCAGGAGAATCGCCTGAACCTGGGAGGCAGAGGTTGCAGTGAGCAGAGATCATGCTACTGCACTCCAGCGCGGGTGACAAAGTGAGACTCTGCTTCAAAAAAATTAATTAAATAAAATAAAATGCACTGTGTACAGTTACTTCCTGCAAACCCTGCTCCCTTGCTCCTTTCTCACCTGCCAGCACCACATAGAAGGACTGAGTTAACAGAGCATCCTAAGCTCCTAGTAGCTGGAGCTGTGATTCTCATACGTAACGTGCATCCAACTTAACTGGGGAGCAAGTTTAAAATGCAGCTTCCTGGATTTCTCTCCAATAAATAATGACTAAAGAGGTCTGGGGTGAAGTTGAAAGCATTTGCATTTTTATTAAACACCAGAGGACATTCTCCTTTAGGGAATCTGGAAAGCACATTTTGACAGACACTAAAATTATTAGCCACATAGTAGGTGCTCACATTTCACAGTTTTGCATTATTCTCTCACTCGGTACAAGGCACAGCGAGAAAGGAGGCTGCAGACATAAAGAACTCACTATTCCCCAGCTCCAGCCAACCCCTGGACCTTCTTTAACAAGGTGAAGTAAGCCAATTGCTCTTGCTTTCAGTTCAGGGAATTAAAATCCAGTGTTGGTGGATAGAGCTATTTCTGTGGCGTTCTCTTGCCTTTGGATTTCAGTTTCCTTGGTGATTAGCCAAGCATGAGCCTGACACCCTTCAGTTAGGAAGAAAATCCATGTGGTTTGGCACTTTGTAACTTTTGTTCTCTTTGTGGAGCCAGGAAACTCAGTGTCTTGATGAATTTTGAGTCACAGACATGGTGAAAGTTTTATACCCCTTTTTTCATATATAGATGACATAATTTATCTTTTAATTGTATTTATTGCAGTGCTGGAGTGTTACAGCAAGTACTTCCAAAAAAGCCGCATACTGTCACTGCTCTCAAGTTTATATTGCACCCCTCATTTGGCATCCACACTGGAGCATTTAAATGAGGATCGCTAACTGCCGCAGCATAAGCAAAATGCTAAGTTTTCTTTTGAGTTATTTTATTGAACAGAATCATTCCAAAGGAAATTTTGAATACATGACAATTTCCTTAAAGATCCATATTGAGTCGCATGAATATAAATTTCTCTATTACATGCATGAGAGACGCTGCCATGTACTGCATGAATCCTGTCTTCCAATCTTGAGAAGGAAAAATAAATACATAAAGCCTGAAGATCAGTTATGTAAAGAGAGTGGGGAAAAGGAAGGCATAAACCCAGCCTCTATCTTTGGCTACTTTCATGCTTTTCTCCTTTCATCCCACAAATAATAAACCAAAAAAGATGAGCAAGGCCCTGAGCCAAGCAGCTGCCCTGAGTGACCCTGGAGAGCCTTCGACCTAAAATCTTCTCTCTGCTGCTCCAGCAGCACCAACCTGCTCTCCCCAGTGGCACAGCAGAGAGCAGACCTTTGTGTGTCAGCAGACCTGACACTCCAGACTCAAAAAGCTCTAGGTGAATTCTAATACAGGCTGAGTTTCTCCTTAGTGCTTTTTCTTTCCTAGAAATGCTTCCATCTCACTAGGCTCTGAGGCTCACTTTCCTTTGAATTGCCCGGGAGGCCACTGGCCTTGTCTGCACTGTTGTGCAGCTTTTCTTTGTTTCTTCTCTATGCGAAGTTATTGCCCCTTCCTGGAGCTGGAGGCGGCGGCCCTCAGTGAAGTCCAGGTGCTGCGTATAGATGCTGATGAGTTTAATGGGCTCTCCTTTCTAGGGAGACTTCTTTTCTTAGGAAGCATTTCCTTCATAAGTTGTCAATCAGTGAATTTCACCTGAGACAATTATGGGTCTAGAATGAGAAGCTTTTTATTGGGAGGCAGCCTATTTAGCAGCCTCAAGACAGATTACCTAGGTAATGCCATGAGTCCTTCTCAAGTAAGTCATGTATAAAACTCTGGAAAACGGCAAAGAAGAAGGTACAGGTGAGCATTAGAAACATCAATTAGGGATATTCATGAGAAAACTATAGTAAAAACTATGCAAAGGTAGGTAGGAACAAGCCTTTTTATTTATCTCCAAAGCCACCGAGAGACACACAGAGAGAGAGAGAGAAAGAATGGGAGAGATAGGAAGAAAGAGCTAGAGAGAGAGGTCAGCATTACTGCCTATGTGTTGTAGATGAGAAGCCTTGGAAACTCAGTAACTTGCCCTGGTTATCCAGGCCCTGGGGCTTGTTGAAGCTGGACTCCAGAAGGTATGTCACTGAGCAAGGCCAATGCACTTTTGACAACAGCTTGATGCCTCTCAGAGACTTGGGCCTAGAAAGGCAGAGTTGGCCTTGGTTGCTGGAGAAGCTGGAAAGGAGTTTATTGAAAGGAAAAGCAGCAGTGATGGCAAGGGAGGAATCTGTGAGTAGGGTAGAGGAAAGTAGGGAGTACAATGGGGAAAATGGGAAAATGCTGTAAAGCGAAGGATTTAATTAGGCAAAATGTACATATTTCTGTAGACAGTGAGGATTTATCAGGGATCCAACATGATCGATCATCAAGTTAGATATTTTTTTTCCATTTCCCTCTTTTCTTCAGAATTAACTCCCAGGTTGTGATGATTAACTTATGTGTCGGTTTCACTGGGCCATGGGATGCCCAGATGGCTGCTTGAACATCATTTCTGAGGGTGTCTTCGAGGTGTTTTGGGAAGAGATTAGCATTTGATCAGTAGACTGATTAAGCTGTTGCCCTCGCTAGCTTCAAGTGGGTGGGTGGGCACCACCTAATCCCTTGAGGGCCTGAATAGTGCAAAAGAGAGGAAGGTTGAAATCTCTCTGCTTGACTGCTTGAGCTACAATATCAATCTCCTGCCCTTGGTACTCCTGGATTTCGGGCCCTCTGACTTAGACTGGAATCTACACTATTGGCTCTCTGGCTGTCAGGCTTTCGAACTACCTTGTCGACTTTCCTGGGTCTCCAGCTTGCAGATGGCAGATTGTGGGACTTCTCAGCCCCCATAATTATGTGAGCCAATAACTCAGACTATATATATTATACTATACTACTGGTTCTATTCATTTGGAGAACCCTGATGAATACAAAGCTTTTGTATTCATTTAAGACAAAAAGAAAACATTCGGGCTGTCTTAGTCCAGATTATACTTTTTTTTTAGAATCAAATTTGTTATATTTTTTAAATCAAAATTTTAAAGAATCTTTTTAGTTATATTTATTGAAATTACAGTTTTCCTTTTAGTGTGCACAATTTTTCAATGCATAGGTTTATTTAGGATCTTATTACTGTGCTAAGATTCTAAATGGATATTTTTCTCCTAGCTCCCTGCCACTGTGATGATATCAAAGGAGGCTTGGTAGGGGGTTAGGACTTCCAGCACTGTGCAGAGATAATACCCCACTACCCAATTTATGAAGGCTATGTAGGAAGCAGTAAAGAAGTGTTTCAGCCCATTCCACTGCTCATCCCACAGCCAGGGAAGAATGACTGGAGGCTTAGTGGAGAGGTAGAGCCTTTATCTTCACCCAGAAATAATGAGGATTCATTCTTCTTGCATATCAGAGGAGGCTGGGTAGGGACCTAGACATCTACTCTGACAAGGCAGTAGTGAGGCTGTGCCTTCCTTCTCTTGCCAAGTGCTGGAAGGAGCCAGCTAGACAGAAAGTGATGCTGGAAACTTCAACACCCTCCTCTCAACAATTGGTAAAACAATGACATAGGCAATCGGCAAGGGTGCAGGAGAACTGAACAACACCATCACCAATAGGATCTAGTCAATATTTATAAACACATCCACCAGCAAAAGCAGAACTCATATTCTTTTCGAGTACCCATGGGACATGTGTCCAGATGGACTATCTGCTCGGCCGTAAAGCAAAACTAAGCAAACTCAAAAGAATTGAAATTATACAGAGTAGGTTTGCCTACCACAATGGAATCAACCCAGAAATCAATAACGGGAAGAAAACAGCCAAATCTCTGTATACTTGGAAACTTAACAGTGCCCTTCCAAATAATCCATGGATAAAAGGGGAAATCGTGACAGAATTAAAAATAATATGCTGAACCTAATGAAAATGAAAGTACAACATGTCAAACTTGTGTGGCACAGCTAAAATAGTATTGAATGAGAAATGTATATCACTAAATGCGTACGTTAGAAAATAGGGAAAATCTCAAACCAATAATCTAAGCTCCCATCTCAGGAACGTAGGAGCAAAATAAACCACAGTAAGCAAATGGAAACCGATGACAAAAAAGCAGAAATCAATGGAATTAGAAAAAAAGGAGAAAATCAATGAAACAAAGAGCTGGTTCTTTGAAAACACCAATAAAAATTATAAACCTATAATATGAGTGACAAAGAGAAAATAGAAAATACATAAATAGCCAATATCAGTAATAAAACAAGGAAAATCATTATAGGCCCTGTAGACATCAAAAAGATACAAAGGGAATATTACAAACAGCTCTCACACATAAATTCTATGACTTCGATGAATGGATCAATTCCTCAAAAAACACAAGCTACTTCAATTCACCCAATATGAAATAGACAATTTGAATAGCACCATAACTTTTAAGAAATGAATTTGTAATTTAAAGTCTCTCAAAAAAGCTTCCTATTCCAGATTGTTTCACTGGAGAATTCTACCAAATGTTTTAAGGAAAATTAAAGCCAACTTTACACAATCTTTTCTAGAAAATAGAAAAGAATACTCTCTAATTCATTTGATAAAGCAAGTATTATCCTAACACCAAAACCACACAGACAGTAGCATACACACACACACACACACACACACAGAGAGAGAGAGAGAGAGAGAGAGAGAGAGAAAATTAAAAACAAAAAACATCCCTCATGAATATAGGTGAAAAAATATGTTTAATATATTAGCAGATAGAACTTAGCAATATATAAAAAGAACGGTTTTGGTTTTTGTTTTCTTTTTCTGGGGATGCACAGCTGATTCAATATCTCAAAATCTATCAAGGTAATCAATCACATCAACAGGTCAAAGAAGAAAAAAATACATGATTATATCACAGGATGAAGAAAAAGCATTTGATAAAATTTAACATCCAGTCATGATAAAAATCAACTCCCAGACAAATAGGAATGGAAAAGATAACCTGAACTTGATAAAGAGTTTCTACAAAAATCCTACAGCCAATATTATATTTAAGGGTGAAATCTGGATGTTTTACTTCTGTGATCAGAAACAAGACAAGGATGTCTGCTCTCACCACTCTTAACATAGGCTGCTGGAAGTTCTAGCAAGTGTAATAAAGCAAGAAAGGACATAAAAGGCAAACAGATTGGAAAGGAGGAAATAAACCTGTGCTTATTTAATTGCCTTTGTGTAAAATCCCAAGAAATCTACCATAAAAAAAGAAAGGAAAGACTCAAAGAACTAATAAGTGAGTTTAGCAAGGTCACAAGACACAAGATAAACATTCAAAAAATCAATTGTATTTCTGTATACTAGCAATGGGCATTGAAGTGAACCATACAATTACATTTACAATTGCTCATAAAAATGCAATACTTAGGTGTAAATCTAACAAAATATGTAGGGAACTTGTGTGGCGAAAACCACAAAATTCTGATAAAATAAATTAAAGATCTAGATAAAAAGAAAGACATTTCATGTTTATAGATTTGAAGACAATATAGTGTCAATTTAATAGTAATCATCATAGTAATCAGTTCTCCCCAGATTGACATATAGGCTAATGCATTCCTATCCAAATCACAGTAAAATTTTTATAGATATAAAGGTATAGATGATACCATTCTAAAATTTACATTGAAAGGTAAAGAAGATAGAATAGCTAAAACAATGTTTATAAAGAAGAATGAAGTGGGAGGAATTCACCTTCTCCATTTAACGTCCTTAAAGCATGTTACACATAGGTTAATGGAACGGAATAAGGACACAGAAATAGAACCACACAAAGGGACTCAACTGATTTTGGGGAAGTGAAATTGTTTATAAATTGGCAACATGCGGGATCCGTGTGGTGATGTAAATATTCTATATTTTCACTGCATTAATGTCAATATCCTGGTTGTGATAGTTTTGCAGGATGTTACTATTGAAAGAAATTAAGTAAAGAGTACACAAGATTTATCTGTATCATTTCTTACAACTGTATACAAATCTAAACTTATTTCAAAATTAAAACTTTAAAAATATTTAATGGTAATAGAAACAGGATACATGTAGACACAATAAAGGGCATAAATGGACATCATTTATTTTGATTTTCAAATTGCCTTTTTTTTTTTTTTTCCGAGACTAGAGTGTCACTCTGTTGCCCAGGCTGGAGTGCAGTGGTGGCGTGATCTCGGCTCACTGCAATCTCCACCTCCTGGGTTCAAGCGATTCTCCTGCCTCAGCCTCCCGAGTAGCTGGGATTGCAGGCGTATACCACCACACCTGGCTAGTTTTTGTATTTTTAGTAGAGACAGGTTTTGCCATGTTGACCAGGCTGATCTCGAACTCTTGACCTCAAGTGATCCACCCGCCTCGGCCTCCAAAAGTGTTGAGATTACAGGCATGAGCCACTGGGCTGGGCCCTCAAATTGCCTTTGACAAGGCCAATGTGAAACTTCACTGATCAAGGAAAGTATCACGGTTAAAAGACCTAATTTGGAATCGAGTAGTATTTTATCTTTAAATGGAAAAGAAAAGTATTTGTGCATGCTTGTGTGTGCATGTTTATGTTGTGTATTTAAATTACTTGGCTGTGTCCACTAGAAATACCTAGAAACATTGGTTGATCCAGTACTCAATCACACAATGTGCTATTGTGAATCCTTACAGTTCAGATGGTCTCCATGTCATTTCTCTTCACAAAAATTTGCAAGATGTCCCGGAGGGAATACTTGATTCCAAATTTAGCACCAGGAAAAGACAGCAACAACAACAACAACAACAAAACACTGTTTGCAACCATGTGTTAACAATCCACGAATGCCAATTTTATGTAACATGTTATCAATTGTTTGCATTATTATGAAAAAATGTATAAGCTATTTGCATAGTCTCTAATACTTGTGTTCATCTGTCAACTCAAATCCTGTCAGTACTGGTCATCTATATCTTATGAATAGGGTCAAAGGCTTTTAAAGTTGGAGGGCCCTTAGGTAATATTATTTAACACATTAAGAAAGACTCAAAGAATGTAAAGAGCTTGTCTGATATCACAAAAATAATTAAGCTCACCTGCTTCACAATTCGTTAACTTCATACAAATGTCCTTTTAGCAATAAAAAAAGAGTTACTAAACACTATGCTTCCTACAAAAATCAAACTGCCATCAGCAAATGTTTGTCGTTGTATGTGGATGTTAAATGCATTTTCCCAGGTAACAGTGAATTGAAGTCTCCAAATGGGAGTTTTTTTACTTTAGTTTGAATGGAAGACCTTCAGCATTTTCTCTAGATATCCACGTAAACCGGGTGCCATGTATGAGAACTTTCCAAAGAACATTATCTTGTGCTGATGAAAGATTAGTTAGCATTATATTAAATAAAAATGACAGCACAATGTTATGCTGTATTTAGTTACAGTATAACCAAAACTTGCTATCCATTTCACTAAATGATTATTGATTGCATCCAATAGACAAGGCATTGTGCTGGCTGCTGCAGAGACAGAACTGAGAAATGCGTAGTCATCGCCCTGAAGACACTTGGTAGCAGTTTTACCAGGGAAGTTTGGAAGCACTATCAAAAAACAAGCCCATAGCATGAACAAAGATAGGCAAGAAATGTATTTAATGAAACTCTGATGGTCCAGTTGTGCGTGTGTGTGCATGTGTGTGCGTGTGTGTTTCATTTGAAATCATCGGATTTCCATGCAGAGACTAAGCTAGAATTGTAGATTGTGGCTATATAGAGGAAGACTCTATATGACAGAGTCAGAGGTTCTGAACAGGAGAAATGACATTCTCAGTTTAATGTATGCATCAAATAGCAGTGTTGCATTAAAGTGAGGATGTAAAAAGGCCAGTACTTAGCCTTTTTGACTATTTGTCTGTCAAAATAATAAGTGATGGTTTTTACTAGTGTGAAGGTAGTAAATATAAAAAAGCAGGGATTGAAGGGAAAATGAGGGGAAAGCTGCAGCCATTGGCAGATGACAGGGAGCCGTCCTGGGGGAGGGGATCCCAGATGGCACCCTGGTTTCTAATCTACATAACGTGCAGCAGTGAACATGAGGAAGGAGAGAAGGACGAATGAATGATTCAGAGATTTCAAGTGAGAGAGTATTGAATTTTTAAGTAAGAAATATGGCCATCTTCTGAGAATGAGCCAATCTGGGCTGGGGCTGGAAGCTTGAAAAGAGGCAAAAAGATTTCTAACAGTTACTGTGAGGATTGTAATGTGGCATTATCAAGAGGTGAATTGGGGAACTTCTTAGCAGCCAGACAGGGTCCATCTGAGATGTCAGAATGAATTTGTGGCAGATGCAAATGATACCGAATTACAGTCAGATCCAATGATTGACCATGTCATTCACTACAATTAGGAATGACTGACTATGATGAAAAAAAAAATGGTGGCAGCTTATCAGTGGCTTTTGCTACTTAAATGCTAAGCCCTAAGTTTCAGGTTTTCTTGAGACCTGAAAGAAGTCAAAATAGGCCGTTGCTTTAGAAACTATGGATGAATTGAAGGAGGGGAGATGCCAGTGGGAATGAAAAGCATGTTTAGAAAGTGGAAGAGAATAACGTTAATAGGCTATTAGAGATGAGAGTCAGGATTTGAATATCTTGGAGGTAGGGTACTTCCAAATATTTGCACCAGAAATACTCAAAGTCATGGAGAAGGATATGATTGGAGGCATTTGGATGAGATCTTTAGTAAATCCATAGTCCTTTTTGATGTAACTGAAATGACATTTGAGGAAGCTAGGAATAAAGTGAAAAATGAATCACTGATACTCACAGAATTTGATGATCATACCTGTTATATAGTATGCCAGAAGAAATTATCTCAACTTCCATTAATTTTCTAGAAGTGAATTGGAATAACTACTAAAGTCATGTGAGCATGGTTGGGTAAGAGCACAACACAGTAGGACTTTGTAGAGATTACCCACACTATTTGTAACCCCTTATACTTCAAATAACTTGTTTTTGGTCTACAAAGCAATGGCAGAATCTCAGCTCACTGCAGCTTCCGCCTCCCAGGTTCAAGCAATTCTCCTGCCTCAGCCTCCCAAGTACCTGGGATTACAGGCGTCTGTCACCACACCCAGCTAATTTTTGTATTTTTAGTAGAGATGGGGTTTCACTGTATTGGTCAGGCTGGTCTCAAACTCCTGACCTCGTGATCTGTCCACCTTGGCCTCCCAAAGTGCTGGGATTACAAGCGTGAGCCACCGCACTCGGCCCTAAGAACTTTCATGTATATTACATCACAATATTAACAGTGTGGTAATGCATTTTTACTCTCATTTTACCAAGTAAGAAACTGCAGCACTGGAACATTGAATGACTTGCCTAATTCCACATAGCTTTGAAGATGTGTTGACTTCTCCATGGTTTTGCTGGGCACTGCTGCTCCTAACTCAGGAAGGCATAGGGAAGCCAAGCCTCTAGATGGAGGTTTCTTGACCTCAGCACTATGAACATTTATAGCCAGATAACTCCACGCTGTGGGAGCTTCTCTGTGCACACACGGATGTGTAGCAACATCTCTGCCCAACTATCACCCCCAGTTGTGACAGGAAAAATGTCTCCAGAAACGACCAAGTGTCCCCTGGAGGCTATGATTGAGAACCATTGCTCTAGGTTGTATAAATTGTTCACATTTAACAACGTATGGTGTGTCACATCATATGTAGCTCACATTTCAGTATCACTAAGCCATGTGGTGGCACAAGTGCAAACTGGATAATTAGGTAATGGTTTACTTGTACCTGAAAGTAGTTTAAGATTTTGGCATTGTCCCCCAGCTCAACTGATCTTCTGACCCAAATTTATTGGAAAACCTGGGAATGTGTGGGATGCCTTATTACTTCTGTTTTATTTAGGACCTTGTAACAGCAAAGAATAAAAACTCAGCCTTTATGGGAAAGGTGGAGATAATCAGGCACCCATTGTGGCAGATGCAAATATAAAAGCCTATAGAAAGGAAGTTGCATCAGGGATCACCCACCTTTTCCAGGTCCTTCCACAGTCTGCACAGCCCTTTCTTCATAGTTTCTTCTGCTGTCTCTAATATCCATTCACTGCAAAGAATCCAGTCCTCTCTGGGCTCTCTAGACAAAATTCCCAAAGAACTCAGGTTAGCCATCCATACTACCTCATGGGTGACACTCAAATGTCCACAGGCATAACTCTTATACTCCCGCATGGCCGAGGCACACTCTCCCTCAGGCGAGGAGGCAAATTCTCCCTCACGGCGGATGCTCGCCCTCCCTCATGGCGGATCCTCGCCCTCCCTCATGGCGGATCCTCGCCCTCCCTCATGGCTGATGCTCACCCCCTTTCTTGGTTGTTGCTCACTCTTGCTCAGGAGTAAAGAGGCCTCACTGGTTTTGTGTCTCCCATTATCCACTACCGGTCCACACTGGGCAGAGAACAGACTATGACACACTGACCGTGGTCTGTGCCCCAAGGTATATTTTCAAAGGTAAGCCTTTTAAAGAATGTATGGCTGATCAGCTTCCCATGACCACTGAGATTTCACACTTAGTTGACACTAAGAGAGACAACAAACTATTTCAGTCTTCAAAGATCAAGTTTCTCAGCCTCTACTAGTAGGCTGATAAAATTATAACATCCTTCTAATTGATTCATAAATCACCTATGGTGAAGAAGATTGCCCTTTAGAAATCCAGAATTAATTGTTTCCTATGTGTTCTTAATTGTAAAGACTTAAGAGTACTAATTCTTTAAGTATTCAAGCAGAACTTTTTAAATTAGGAGACTATTAAATTTCTCAAACTGAAATCACACTTCATTCCAAAAGTTTCGCAAGTGTGTTTACTTGGTTTAGTGAGTTTTCTGAGCAAGTTAGAGTCCTTAAGAATAAAGGAAACTACATGAATGTGAACCGTCACTATTTGCTCTTAAACTTGGCAATCAAAGGAGACCTTCACAAAATAGAACAGAAGAGGGTTCCCTTGTTTAATGTACAGAATGAGAACAGGCAGATTATAGCTTGGAACTTGCATGTAACGTGAACTGTAAGACCTGAAGACACTTCTTTTATGAATATTTGAAAACTTCAGCTGGGTCAAGTTATCCTTTAAAGGAATTTATTTTCACAGTCATGTTGAATCATTAGTAATTATGCTGCTTTCTTTTATTCTAGGTAATGTATGATGTTGTTGGGGCGATTGAAAAAAATAAAGACTCCCTTTCACAGAATCTTCTATTTGTAATGAAAAGTAAGTTGATTTTTTTTCCTGCCCTACACTGGTTAAAATGCCATGCATCCGTTATTTCTTTATCTCTGAATATTTTCCTAGAAAATATGCTACCAGCTAAAGCATAATTGAAATGCCTTTTGCATTCTAATGCCCAGACTAATGAGAAATGGGTCTTGCTGCACTATATGTTGGCTACAATGTAATTTGGAGTCCAATGGAAACCATAATTTAACTAAGCTTTTAGCAGATAGAAATGTAAAATACCCTTACTACTTTAGTGGGTTGAATATAGAAAAGCTTTTCTGTGAAGACTAATGAAGATGAGTATGGCTTCCAACGTTATTTAAGCCACAACAGGGAGAATTTCATTACTTAAGATGACTCTGGAGCACAACTAAGGGTGGTATTTTATTCTTATGTACTTTCAGTTATAAAATATTCATGCTCACTATGTAGGAGGAGTAGAAATAGAAGGAGTATATATATGTATACACAAGTAAGTTTAAATGTATAGGACCCTTCTACTTAATGAGCATTAATACTTTATATGCATATATCTACTATAATTCTACACTATATACAAGACTGTATACAAAATGTATATATGTGATAATTAAATGTATATTCATACATATATACATAATTCTGCCTCTAGTAATTATTTTCTTAACAGCAGTTCTGCAGTGATTCACATTTTTCTAATAACCTTTATAGTGAATTAAAACATTGCATCTTGTATGCTTTAAGTTGCTATAAATGAAATAGTCATTCATCTTTAAAAGAAGCACAGGATAGCTTTTTCGTGAAATAGTTGAATGCTCTAGCATTGAAAATAAGAAATCTATATCACTTCTGGTTTGAGAAACATATTTGCCTCAAATTACAGCAGCACAGCTGTAATACACTGTTTTTCACTGAAGATTATTCTGCTTGCTTCTCAGAACTTATGTTTATTGTGAGTTCTCTTAGCTAAAACTAACAAAAAAAACAAAGAATAACATTATGAAGACGGAAAAGAATTGGTCTTATTTATTATCATTGGAAAATCTTCCTTTTAGTGTGCTATTATTTGCACTTTTATTTATAATGCACTTCTCTTTTATGGAGATCTAATATATAGCATGTATTTAAAAGTTTACACAATGCTTTTTTTACTTTTGTATTTCATGTTAATAGGATATGTGTGTGTGTGTGTGTGTGTGTGTGTGTGTGTGTGTGTGTGTGTGTGTATTTAGAATGAAAATATGATGGCTAGTCTGCTTATCTTAATAGAGTCCCTGTATTTTAAAATCATTCTTTTATGTAAATTTGTACAAAAAAAAGTTCCAGGAAAAAACAATTCAGTCTTTTTTTTTATTCTTTAGGAGGAAGGTGCTTCTGAGCAAAAGGACAGAATTTACAATGTACCCTTTTGTATTTATACAGGAGGTGTCAGATTTTTTTTTTTGTAAAGGGCTAGAGAATAAATATTTTAGACCTTGTGCACCATAAGATCCTTGTTGCAGTTACTCACCTCTGCTGTTATAATGTGAAAAACAGCTGTAGACAATACAAATGGATGTGACTGTATTCTGATAAAATTTTATTTACAAAAACAGGCAGTGGGCCATGTTTGGCTCAGGAGCCATGATTGCTCACTCACTCTATCATAAAAGCAAAATATTTGTGGTTGCCATCATGTTTTATGAATCTGTGAAATACTTTGATGCTTGTACATATTTATTAAAAGCAAGTGTAATTCATAAATAATAATTTTTATTTGCAGGTACTTTGCTTATAGTATCTAATTCAATTTTCGTAGCATCAAAAAGCTCCCAGTTGAGGAAGATGGTGAGGTCTGTTGTAGAATGTACACAAGCAGAGCTGAGTCTCTGAGACCACTAACCAGGTACAGTCAGGGAGCTTGGAGACAGCTCATAGAGACACACAGCAAATACACTCATTAGTGCCTAAGATTAGAAGTAAAGTCTACTTCACTCAAAAGGAGGCAGAAAAAAAAAAAAAAAAAAGCCGAACTCCAGACTTTTAATTCTGCTCACAGGAATAGAAAATTTTAGGATTTAGGAAAATTTAGGATTTACTGTCAATTATGTTAATAATTATTGAGTCTTTTTTTTTTTTTTTTTGCTGTGTGTCTCTGTACACTTGCTTATAAGTTAGGTTATCCCTCTTTACAGGTAGAAAGACCTTGTACAATGATTGTAGATCCCAGTGAGGGACACTTCCGCTCTCAGTATTTATATAGAGTGACATGAAGAAAATGGTTTGTGGTCAGTGACTCCTTGTAATCCCAGTGAGAGAAATATGCCTCTTCACCAGGAGTTCCTTTGCTCGGTTTTAAGAGGCAAATGGATAGTAGAGTTCTCTTTAAAGTCCTGGAGGAACTTGCTGTCTCCTGCCATGTGCTCAGCTGTGGTCAGGGCTCTCCCGTTAGGGCCCAAAGCGTGATGGCATCTCCCTGTGCCCATAGGATGACATGGATCTTGCTATATCTTCATGCAGCCTGACCACATGATTCAGGGAAAATACAAAACTGGGTCAGTTACATATTTTGGACCATATTTATGTCTCATGTTTTCAGTTTTTTAAATCTTTTATTTTTCTTTTTAAATTTTTTTTTGTACTACCCACCTTCTCAGTAATGTTTTCAGTTTTATTAGAGGCATTTTCTCAATTATAAGAATAAAATGTTGCATTGCTTATCTGTGGGTTCACTTATACATAGACCTGCTATAACTATAAATAATTATTTAAGTTGGCTATACTATTATGTATTTATCATTTAACTTTTTATTTTGAAGTGGTTTTAAACTTAAAGTGACGAAATCATTATAAAGTACTCCCAGGTATCCTCTTCCCAGATTCATTTTTTTCATTACCTTTCTTTTACCCTCTTGCTATCTTTCTTTCTATCTCTTTCCATCTTTTGTTCTCCTCTTTCCTTCCTTTGTCCTGTGTGTGTGTGTGTGTGTGTGTGTGTGTGTGTGTGTGTGTGTGTGTGTGTTTACTTTCTGAATCATTTGAAAGTAAGTTGCTTGCCTCTTCTTGTCTAAATAGTTTGGTGCCCACCCTGAGACGGGACATTATCTTACATAACTTCAGTAAATTATCAGAATATTCAACAGGGATGTACTACTCATATCTAATCCAGAATTCATATAAAGTTTTACCAATTGTCCCACTAATATTAGTCTTTTATGGTCATTTTCTCCTAATTCAGGATCATTGATTGCATTTAGTTATCATTTTTCCTTTAAATCTGAGACAGTTCTTCAGCTTTTCTCTCTCTTTCATGACTTTTTTTAATGCCAGTTAATTCGTAGAAATCGCTCTGTTTGAGTTTATTTGCTATTTCTTTATTTTAGAAGCAGGTTATGAATTTTTGGCCAGGAGTCCCAAGAGGTAGTGGGGTATCCTTCTCGGCACATCACATTCGGAGGCAGTCACGGTTTGAAACAGGTTCACCATGAGCACTGTGATAAGGCGGTGCTCTTCAGCTTTTTCTAACATAAAGCTTGCTGTTTTCCCTTTGTTATTAATGAGTAATTTGTGAGAAAGTACTTTGAAACTATGTAAATATTCTGTTCCTCATCAAACTTTTACCCATTAGTTTTACATGCGTTCATGATTCTTGCCTAAATCAGTTATTTCTTATGATTGCAAAATTTTGATTTTCTTACCCCATCTTTCAATAAACAGTGGCATTCTGCTATAATAATTCCCACTGCTTTATTAATTATTTATTTATGAGTGTACACTCATGGATTCTTATGTTATTCAATGAATAATGATTAATTACTATGATTATACTGATGCTAAAATTGTTTGAGACTTGACCAGTAAGAACCCCTTCAAAGCTAGCTCCTATTTCTTTTTGACATAGTCTCTTGACTTTTTTTTTTTTTAACACTGCCTTACATTCTGGCCTTCCAAAAATGTTCCAGAATCATTTACCTTGCCTCAAATCTAGAATCAGACATTTGTTCAGGAAGCTTTGATTTATCTTAGAAAAGAATGGTATTCAGAAACTCCAAGATCTGGAGGCTGGGTGAGCTCATTGCTACTGGTGTATGATTGCTTTTAGGACCTTTTGGAATCTGAACATTTAAGATGTAAGTATAGATAACATATAGGTGTATAGATCTGTAACTCTGTATTAAGAATCATGGATTTCTCTTGCTATCTCTAATTTCATCCCAACATCACAGGGCCCCTTTTGCATTGCATAATTGTATCTCCTTTTCCTGACAGTTCTTCCTGCTTCCCTGTTCGTTTATTACCTAATGTAGGGATTTTTTTAATGGAAAGCATTACAGATATATATTATGTCACCCGCATTTTGCACCTGGGCAGGCAAAATAATTTGAGTATGGCAAAGGCAGAAACTAAACACTTTGCCACAAAACGTTGCCAACTGTCTGATTGGCTAAGCGTGATCCTAGTGATTTATGTTCATTATTTCACATTTTAATTTTGCAGTGATTCTCAAAGTAGGTACTGTCATCATTATTTTATAGGAAAGGACACTTAGGCTTAAAAACCACCTACATTCAGATATAAGTAACACAAGAAACATTCCTTTTGACCCTTAACCGCCACATACATTGTTTTCCCTGTGATTTTTAAATTTGTAATCCAAAATCCACTCAACTGAGCTCTAATTTCTTCCTGAGGTGTCAAGAAAGGAATATGGACTCATGGACTCAGAATTATTTGATTTTTATAACTTAAACATGAAAATATATCATTTTGCTTTTACCTTTTCAGCTTAACTGTGTTTTTTGTTATTTGTTTTGTTTTGTTTTGTTTTTTAAATAAAAGGACACTTCTTTTCCCTTCTTTCACCTAGCAACTGGTGCACCAAGTAAGGCAGGTCCTCTCACAGGTACTTACAGACGGCTCTGAGACAGGTGAGTTAGGTCCTGGGGAAACATTTTCCTGAGTAGTTATTTTCCTGGAATGGGGCGTTTCTAATAGAGACCATAAGTCTTCATGATTTGACAAGTGCACAAAAGCCCCTTAGGTCTGAGCAGGTAAGATTTGGTTCTGAAAACTAGGATAGAAGTGTTACTCAGTTAGAGAGCAAGGCCCAGTTGGGATCAAGACTCCTGGTCAAGGGTAGTGAATGTCAGAATTTGTCAATGATATTAAATAGTGGAGGAAATAAAATAAGGATACAGGAAAAGGTAGACTCCTCAATCTGCTGAACGAATGACGTCTTGCACCCAGAATGTATCAGTGGCTAG
Organism: Homo sapiens; assembly: GCF_000001405.40. Taxonomy (NCBI): domain Eukaryota; kingdom Metazoa; phylum Chordata; class Mammalia; order Primates; family Hominidae; genus Homo; species Homo sapiens. The sequence goes on from NC_000013.11 coordinate 109,052,220, forward strand.
AGCTCTTGTATGAAGAATAAGTTCAATGCTTAAGTAATAATTTTAGTGCCACTTACGATATTCATTTATTTATTTCCTAGCTAGTGAAAATGTCGTGATCAATCATTTGTTCCAGTCGAAATTGTCACAAACAGGATCCCTCGTATCTGCCTATCCTTCCTTTAAATTCCGAGGACATAAGTCTGCCCTGCTCAGTAAGAAAATGACAGCTTCTTCAATTATTGGAGAAAACAAGAATTATCTAGAACTTAGTAAGGTAGGAGTTTTTATGATTATTGTTGGATTATTTTTAATTTTGATAAGTATATTTGCTTCTTTTTTTTTAAAAAAAAGCACAATTTTAAATACCAAGGAAATAGATATTCTAATAGAAAGTATTAAGGAAAAGAATGCCTATCTGATGTATAACCATCAGAATGAAGGAAGAGTAGAGGAAGGTGCAGCAGAGTGACAATTTTAATAGTAAGTATAGTCCGAGTCATTTTATTGGTTGTCTGTGCAACATCCCAGTTCTGTTTCATCTCTGACTGCCTTTTTGATGAATAGAAGGTAACTTCAGATACTGTAGGCTTAGAGGGAGTAAACTTAGCTATCTTATTCTGTTGATATTAATCACTTCAGATAACTGAGGTCTCTAAATGATAAATTGTTGTTTCTCTTATAGACGTAGGGTGTTGTTCAGGTGCTAGGATGTTTTTACTGCATGTTTGTAGATGTTTAATTTTATTGTATTATACTAATTTGTAATGTATATTTGTCTCGCAAAAGTTTGGTTGTATACACAAACTCAAGATTCTATGTGCCAAAAGAGAACTAAAAACTCAGTGAAGAGTTGTTTCAAACTGATAGGAAACATGTATGGAATGTTTTAGGTTTCTTCAGAATCCAGTGCCAGATGGTATTCCAGAGTGTTTTGCTTATGTCTACCAAAACTATAAAAGATGAGGAATATATTTGGGAAGGTGTTCAGGACAATCAATTTTAGAAATGCAATTGTTGCAGCTTCTGGAATACATTTTAACTTACCAATTAAAATAAAAGCATAATTAAATTCAATTCTATTTTAGAAGAGTGGCCAAAATGTGTAATATGAGTGTGAGTGAGTGTGAGTGTGTGCTCCAGCCAGTGGCTTCTAGAATAAAAGATCCTTTGATGTAGTTGTTTAGAACTAAATGATCATGAGAATTAGTCTCTGCCACATAGAAAATGGCATTTTTTACATTAAAAAAAAAGAACCCAAGCTTATCCTTATAAGAAAGATCTCTATGACTGGAGGTCTTCCTGAACCTTCTGGCCCCTCTTTTCTCAATCATCCTAAAAATCAAGAGCAAAAACCATCACACACTGCTAACCTCAATTATTAAACATTACGAAGCCTAGGTGCCATTACTCTTTTCCCTAAAGGACTGCAGAAGGGAGGTAACTCACAGTAGTTCCTCCACCCAGAAAGGGAACTGGAGTGTTCCATTTCAAGGGACAGACAGCTATTTATTATGATTATTCCTTAAATGTTCTATTTCTCACTTCCCTTCAAACTGCCTTCATCCATGCACAGCCACCCCTGTGGCCAGGAAAATAGGATTTTCCCTACTCTTTAACTGAGCATGACACGTTGTATTGTGTTTGTAGAAAACGGGTTGATCTTGGCCCAATCACTTCATTTTACGTTCACTTGTCAGTACCAATGAATCACTTTAGATTGACAGTACATCTTAACAGAAGAAAATGAGCTATTGTCATAATAGCAAAAGCACTAAATCCACAAGAATGTTATCTCAGATTTCCTTCTTGTATCAAGACCTTTTTTAAGAAAAACGATTTTAGATCAATAAGTCCATTAGTCTAATATATAATTTTGTGAAATGTAATAGTAGGTTAGTGGCTGAGGTTCCTTTTAACCCTGGGTGGAATTTAATTAATTACCTTCCGCCCTTTATTTCTGCCCTTTATTTCGTTTTGGCCTCATTTTCACTGATTTTATGTCTCTATCATCATGTAATCTTTTCTACATATGATCTTTTTCTTTTCAGGGCTGCACATATTTGCTTATTTGAAAAAAAATAGAGTCTACTACCATTTTTTACAGATAGGTAATTTAGTAACCTTTTCTTAGTAGTTATAAAACGAGGAAGAGGAGGAAAGGGAAGAAAAACATGGTAAGAAAGCATCAGACCATTCATTCATTCAACTCCTGAGTGTAGTTAAATTTAAGGGAACAAACCAATGATAATTGACACATAAAATCTTTGTAACATAAAACACCATCATTTTGCCCCAGAGTAAACTACATTTCATGATAAATATGAACAGTTAGTAGCATAACCAGGATATGATCGTGAGTTTATTGTACCACCAAGCAAATGAGGATCTATGTTTATTTTCACACTAAAATGAGTGCAGGATGGTGATAGATCTGATTTACACAACAGCCCTGTACTTGAAAGGTTGGCAGTAACAGTTGTTATTTTACAAATAGTTGCCCATTTCCTCAACTTATACACCATTACAAAAATCACTTGGCACTGATTTGTACGAACTGTGTTTTAAATCCACATTTGCCTGTAAGTGAATGTACATGGATGTGAGACTTAATATTTTGCTCTTCTGAACTGAAATTTAGTAAAATAAATTTGCTCACTTTTTCTTTTTCTCCATTCTGTCTTCTTTCCTTCCTTTCTTCCTCCTTCTTTTCTTCTTCCTTCCTTCTTTCTCTTTTTTCCTTTCTCCCTCCCTTCCCTTCCCCTTCCTCCCTCCTTTTCCTCCTTCTTCCTTTCCTTTCCTTTCCTTTCTTTTCTCCTGTCCTTCTTGTCTTTCTTTTTATTACAGTTATTAAAAAAGAAAGGAACTTCTACATTTCTTCAAAGATTGGAACGAGGAGATCCAGTCACCATAGCATCACAACTCAGGGTTAGTGACGTTTTCAGATTTCAAAAACTTAATGTATGTTTATAGCAACTAAAGAGGGTTTATGTAGACTTTTTTTTCCATTTTTGACAACTTAAATATCTTCACAAAAAAAGTAAACATACACACACACACACACACACACACACACAGAGTAAATGCATAATGAGATTTAAAGACGTAAAGACTTTTTATTTAAAAACTGCTTTATATTTTTAGCTAGTGTCTCCTTTGGAGAATCAGTTGGGTTCTACTTCTCTCCTTAGAAATCACTAATGGATATTATTGGAAAACTTCAGAAGTGCACTCCACACTTCATTCATTGCATCAGGCCCAATAACTCAAAGCTGCCAGATACTTTTGATAATTTTTACGTGTCTGCTCAGCTACAATATATTGGGGTCCTGGAGATGGTGAAGATCTTCCGATATGGATACCCTGTTCGCCTTTCCTTCTCGGATTTCCTGTCAAGGTAAATTCTTCTGCTCTTAAAATCGTCGTTCTCGCTGCTGTTCAGTGCAGTGTACTGACACTGACACTATTGTAGCAAGGGTCTTCTGTTGTCTTTTTTGGCACTGCTTTTGTTGTTTACTTTTTTCTATCTCCAATAAACAAAATATTCTGGGAAACAATGAAATACACTGACAAAGCTCACATAAAAAATAATTAAACTGTACTGAGGACAGTATCTTGGAAACCATTCTCATGTTCCTTTCAAAGTGTGGCTTTCCTTGGATTAAAGTTTTGTAAAATGATTGCATGTGATATTTACTATTTATTATTTAAAAGGAGAATGTATGTAAGTGATTATTTCCCCTTTTATATATGAACAAAATATTATTTAGATCAGTGGTTGGCAAACTACACTCATGGGCCAGCCAAATCCAGCCTACCACCTGTTTTTGTAAATAAAGTTTTATTGGAACATGGCCACAATCATTTCTTTGCATATTGTCTGTAACCACTTTTGCACTGCAATAGAGATAGACAGTGTGCCATGGTGTAAAATATTTGTAAAATGTTTCTTATCTGCCCCTTTAGAACAGAAGTTTGTTGACCTCTGTTTTCAGTAAATTCAGCTGAAAAATACACTGTGCACAAGACAGTGCACTCATTCCTAGGATAAGCTCTTGTCACGTGTCCTCATCTTCATGTCTGTATTAGCCCTTCTCCCATGGTAGCCTTATCCCAGCCATTTGCAAGAAGCACCTAAACTCACCAAAAGCAACATCATCCCCTCAGGCTACATATTTGTTCATTTGTATTTTATTTGATCAGAAACTTTAGTCTGATTTTAAGTAAATTATAATCCTCACTGATGAATCCATTTTAAGTAAATTGGTTGATGGGTAGTAACTTAATTTACAGATATATGCTACTAAGCACTATTCCAGGCCTCATCTTTAGGTACATTGTTGTGCTATACACTCTAGCTTGATGAATGTCCCAGTTTAGACAGGTAAATGCATACGCAAATAATGGCCATTCAGTGCTTGTAATATTACAAAGGGTTGGAATATTACATGGGTTGGAATATTACAAAGTGTTACAGAAGCATAGTAAGAAGGTAATTTGGGATCAGAGATAGCTTTCAAAGATATTTGAAAGATATTACAATCCTGGTGAAAATAATGAGACTATCTGTTTTTAAGCATTCAAACAATAAAACAGGGGTGGGCAAAAAGGAAATCAGAAGACATTTGGTAATTCTATATAAAATAAATGAGATCTTAAAATAATACTGATGTAAACTAATATAAGTATTGCAAGTGTGAAATCTCGCATTTATGTTTAAAAATTAACTATACAACTACAGTATGAAAAAGTCTGTTTGATAAACCATTCATCCAAAAAAGAGAGATTTTGAGACTTTTGTTGACTAGTTCAATGTGAGCCACTATTTTGAGGAAGCTGTGAAACAAAAACAAAATAAGCAAGCCAACAAACTTAAATAACTACATTTGAAATATTTAATTCAGAACAAAGGGAATAATATTTAAACGATGACTAAAATTCTGTGTTTAATTTTTATAACATTTGTTTTCCCAGAGGAAATAAGCCGCATTTACTTATTGTGCATTTTGGTAAATTTTATAAAGACACATAGAAGAAAATAAACAACATATGAGTTCAGCTTGAGCCTTCCATTTTAAAGGGGTAGTAGAATATGTTTAGAAGATAGAAGATAAGCAGAACCACATGGGGATGGATGTATTTAAACTGTAGAATATGTATTTCAGATAGACAAGATATTTGTGTTTAAAATTTAAAAGGTGCTTGTAAATGAGATAATAGACATGTTGTCTCTTAATTTATAAGGAATAACTACAAAGTTGGGCTTACACAGAAATAAATCAAAGCTGGATATAATACTTCTGGGGGTTGTTTTGGACAGGAGTCATAGTAGCTATCACTGACTGTTGCAGGGCTTTGGGAAGGACGGCTCCTGACTCGTCTCTTTCTGGTCCCTCGGTGGATATCCCTTCATAGTCTTCAGAGATGCCGAACCTGTTAAGAGCTGATATTTCTTACATTTTATAGTGTGTGTATTAAAGGTCAGCCCTCCCACCTTCTTAAGTGTAGATGGCCTTTGGTTCGAGTTTAAAAATGCTCTTGTGTAAGTTTAAAACAATAGATTCCCCAAATTTATCCCAAACTTTCTGAATCAGTATCAACAGGGAGTAGGGACCGGGCTCCCCCTGGTTTGTAGCTCCAGAGATGATTCAATATGAAATAGAATGGAGAGTGTCAGTCCTAAGGCTGAGGTCTCAGGAAGTGATCCGCGGGGGCCTCAGAGGGTGATGAGCCTTGAGACGTTACAATTTGTTTAACTGTAGTAACTCCCTCTTTAGTGTTACCCAAAACAGCAGTTCTCTGACATGAGTGCACATCAAAATCACCTGGAGGCTTCTTAAAATATGGATTCCTGGGCTCCCCACCCCAAGTTCAGATTCAGTAGGTCTAGCGGAGGCCTGTGAATTTGCATTTTTAAAAAGTTTCCAGCTGATGTTAACATTGTTGCCATGTGAACGGCACTTTGAGAACCCCTGGCATGGAATCTCTAGTCATCTGGGGACAATGTTTTTGTTTTGTTTTGCTTCCCCCCAGCCAAATGTTGAAAGGGTGCCGGTGCCTTGGTGATCAAAGCAAACTTGTGGGGAATGTATAATCTCCAGCCTCACCCCAGGTTCACTCAATCAAAATCTGCAAATTCATCAGAATTCCTCAGTGACTGGTATGCAGTTGAAGTTTCAGAAGCACTATCCAGGCAGACCTTGGAGACGTAGTAGGTTCAGTGATGGACTACCATAATAAAGCTAATACCATAATAAAGCAAATCACATAAAGTTTTTGGTTTCCCGCTGCATATAAAAGTTATATTTGCACTATCCTATAATCTGTTCTGTGCAATAGCATTACATCTAAAACACAATATGATACCTTAATTTTAAAATATTTTTTGCTAACTAATGCTAACAATGGTCTGAGTCTTTGGCAAGTCATAATCTTTTTGCTGGTGGAGGATTTTGCCTTGATGTTGCTGGCTGCTGACCCATCAGGCTGATGGTTGCTGAAGGCTAGGGTGGCTGTAGTAATCTCTTAAAATGAAACAATCAAGCTTGCTACATCCATTGACTCCCTTTCATGAAAAATGTCTCTGTAGCATGCGAAGCTGCAACAGCATTTTACCCAGAGTAGAACGTCTTTCAAAATTCGAGTCAATCTTCTGAACTCTTACCACTGCTTTATCAACTGAGTTTATGGAATTTCTAAATCCTTTGTTGTCATTTCAACAATGTTCACAGCATCTTCACCAGTAGTAGATTCCATCTCAAGAAAACACTTTGTTCATCCATAAGCAGCAACTCCTCATCCATTAATATTTGATCATGAGGTTGCCGCAGTTCAGTCACATCTCCAGGCTCCACTTCTAATTTTGGTTCTATTGTTGTTTCCACCACATCTGCAGTTGCTTTCTCCACTGGCGTATTGAACCCCTCAAAGTCATTCATGAAGATGGGAATCAATTGCTTCCAAATCCCATTCATGTTGATATTTTTACCTACCATAAATCACAAATATTCTTAGGAGCATTTAGAATGGTGAATACTTTCCAGAAGGTTTCCAGTTTGCTTTGCCCAAATTCATCAGAAAAATCACTACCTGTGGCACCTATATCCTTAGAGAATCTATTCTTACATAATTCCTCCTTGATCCATGGGCTGCTGAATGGATACTGTGTTAGCAGGCATGAAAACAACATTCAATTCCTTCAGCAGTTTTTGGGTGACCAGGTGCATTGTCAATAAGCACCAGTATTTTGCAAGAATTTTTTTCTGAGCAGTAGTTCTCAACAGTGAACTTCAAATATTTAGTAAACCATGCTGTAAATTGATGTGCTTTTTTTCATATGTTTGTTGGCCGCATAAATGTCTTCTTTTGAGAAGTATCTGTTCATATGATTCACCCACTTTTTGATGGGGTTGCTTTTTTCTTGTAAATTTGTTTAAGTTCCTTGTAGATTCTGGATGTTAGACCTTTGTGAGACGGATGGATTGCAAAAATTTTGCCCCACTCTGTAGGTTGCTTGTTCACTCTGATGATGGTTTCTTTTGCTCTGCAGAAGCTCTTTAGTTTATTTAGATCCCATCTATCAATTTTGGCTTCTGTTGCAATTACTTTTGGTGTTTTAGTCATGAAGTCCTTGCCCATGCCTGTGTCCTGAGTGGTATTGCCTAGGTTTTCTTCTAGGGTTTTTATGGGTTTGGCTTTTATGTTTAAGTCTTTAATCCATCTTGAGTCAAAACCACAATGAGATACCATGTCAGTTAGAATGGTGATCATTAAAAAGTCGGAAAACAACAGATGCTGGAGAGGATGTGGAGAAATAGGAATGCTCTTACACTGTTGGTGGCAGTGTAAATTAGTTCAACCATTGTGGAAGACAATATGGCAATTCCTCAAGGATCTAGAACCAGAAATACCATTTGACCCAGCAATCACATTACTGGGTATATACTCAAAGGATTATAAATCATGCTGCTATAAAGACACATTCACATGTATGTTTATTTCAGCACTATTTGCAATAGCAAAGACTGGAACCAACCCAAATGCCCATCAATGATAGACTGGATAAAGAAATTGTGACACATATACACCGTGGAATACTATGCAGCCATAAAAAGAATGAGCTCATGTCCTTTGCAGGGACATGGATGAAGCTGGAACCCATCATTATCAGCAAACTGACACAGGAGCAGAAAACCAAACACTGCATGTTCTCACTCATAAGTGAGAGTTGAACAATGAAATCACATGGACACAGGGAGGGGAGCATCACACACTGGGGCCTGTCGGGGGCTGGGGGGCAAGGGGACGGAGACCATTAGGGCAAATACCTAATGCATGTGGGGCTTAAAACCTAGATGACGGGTTGATAGGTGCAGCAAACCACCATGACACATGTATACCTATGTAACAAACCTGCATATTCTGCACATGTATCCCAGAACTTGAAGTAAAATTGTTTTTTAGAAATGGATGTGCTGTCATCCATGCTTTGTTATTCCATTTATATAGCAAAGGGAGGGTAGACTTAGCATAATTCTTGAAGGCCCTAGGATTTTTGGAATTGCAAATGATAATTGGCTTCAACTTAAAATTACCAGCTGTATTAGCCCCTCACAAGAGAGTCAGCCTGGCCTTCGAAGCTTTGAAGCCAGGTATTGTCCCATCTCTAGCTGTGAAATTCCTAGGTGGCATCTTCTTCCAATCAAAGGCTATTTCACCTACATAGAAAATCTGTTGTTTGCTGTGGCCACCTTTATCAATTATTTTAGTTAGCTGTTCTAGATAACTTGCTGCAGCTTTACATCAAATGTGCTGTTTCTCCTCACCCCTTCATGTTACGGAGACAGTTTGTTTCCTCAAATCTCATGAATCAACCTCTGTTATCTTCCAGCATTTTTCCTGCAGTTTCCTCACCTCTCTCAGCCTTCATAAAATTGAAGAGTTAGGGCCTTTCTCTGGATTAGGCTTTGGCTTAAGGGAATATTGTGGCTGATCTTATCTTCTGTCCAGACCACTCAGACCTTCTCCATATCGGCAATAAGGCAGTTTCACCTTCTTACATTCGTGTGCCCACAAGAATAGCACTTTGAGTTTCCTTCAATAACTTTTCTTTTGCATTCACAGCTTGGCTGTTTGGTGCAAGAGATCTAGCTCTTGGCCCGTCTTGACTTTTGACATGCTTTCCCTCCTAAGCTTAATCATTTCCAGCTTCTGATTAAAAGTGAGAGATGTGCATCTCTTCCTTTTATGTAAAAACTTCGTGACCATTGCAAGTTTATTAATTAGTCTGATTTTAATAATTCTGTGTTTCAGTGAATAGGGAGGTCCAAGAAGAGGGAGAGAGAGGTGGGGGAACACTTGGTAGGTTGAACAGTGAGAACACACATGACACGTATTGATGAAGTTTGTTTTCTTATATCGGTGTGGTTTGTGGCACGCCAAAACAATTATAATAGTCACAGCAATGATTGCTGACCACAGGTCACCATAACAGATATAATATTAATGAAAAGGTTTTAAATATGACAGGCATTACCCAATGCAAAGCAGAGAAGTGAAGTGTGAACGTGTTGGAAAAACTATGCTTCAATTTGTGAAAAATGCAATGTCTGCAACACCACAACAAAATGAGGTGCACCTGTGCAGGATGCGAAATGGGATTTATCTCACTCAGCCAATAATAGAAAAGTGCATTTAGTGTATTTTTTTTCTGTTTCCTTAATGTTATTAGAGTTCCTTAGATCTGTGACATCAAAGATTCTCTTCATTAAAGGGACCTTAGTGGTTGTCCAGCGTAACCTTTGTTAGCTACGTGAATATTTCTAACCATTATTCCAACAGTTATCCAAATTGCTCTATTTCCCCAGAAGAGAGTGGAGGGAGAAAGAGAGAGAGAGAGATATCATAAAATTAGAAAATTATTTTTACCTTTGCTTTTGTATATTTCCAAGTCAGTTTTATATACACTCTGTTAGGATTACGCTTTTGCTAAAATAGTAAATGCAATTAATACTTAAAAATTGAGTATAATTTTTATATGTATGCAATAGACTATAACTTCTTCTAAATGAGGATCGTATCGTATTCATTCACAATGCTTGTGCATTGTCGGTGTTTAACAAATGTTTTCAAAATGAACTTGGCATTGGAGATTAAGTGGTCGTTCATTTTAAAGTAATATTTCTGCATAACAGAGACCATAGGCATACTGTAAAAAGTACAGTGAGTAAAAAGGAATAGTGAGGATGAGAAATGGTACTTTTAGGTAATTCTTTGCATTTCTTTTAGCATTCCTTTATTTGAAGTAAGATGTGATTTCTCTTTCTTATCTTTATCTGTAATGGCATATCAGTGGAAATGGAATTATGAATTTATTTTAGAGGAAATCTGCCCCTATCTCTCTGGCATTTAGGATGCCAGTCTGAAATAATATTACAAAAAATATTGATTCATAGAGAGATTATCAGTTTCTGTAGAAACTGAAGAATTTAAGTAACATACAATCAAAATACTGTTACATCAAGAAATAGCATATTTTAGTATTTCTTGAGTATTCAAGAAGCTCATCAAGTCTTTGAAATGCCTCCAGGCAATGGAAACATCATTATAAAAAACAAAGCCTTGAGGTGTAATTTAATAGAAATTTTTGGTTGTTTGTTTGGTTACCAAATTTTCAGGTAAAGAATGTATTATCCCTATGCAAAATATTTATTTTGTATTTATATCACCTTGTCTTAACTGTCAGAGAATAAAAATCTATCAAAATGACTTCATTAAGTATACAAGAAAGAATATGATTACCACAAAAATCTTGAACAACAACAACAAAATGTCCAGTTTTGCCGTTGGGAAGTAAGCAACCACTGCTTTGAATGGGATTTATTGTTTCTGAAGTCTGACATGACAATAAATGTGGATAATGGACATTTGTTGGACTTTGTAGGTGGACATGAGGTTGTAAATTTGCATCATGGTATCTTGGCTGTAATAACTGTCCATCATTCTGAGTCTTTCTAATTGAAACTGGAGGATCGCTTTAGTTGAGAGGATACTATTTTGATTAAATATAGAAAAGTATGCTTGTCAATATTTTTTTCTGTTTATTACTTGTGTAATACAGCTTCAGAGCGGGATTATAAAGACTTAAGGACTCTGTCTTCAATGGCAAGAGACTTCACTAGTTTGGAGACAGGAGGAACAATAAAAGAAGCAGCAGGAAAATTATGTGCAAATTATGGTACATAATTGGATTGCCTACAGCTGTGGACTTACTGTGTCCTCCTGTAAATTCATATGTGACTTCATTTGGAGGTGGAACCTCTAAGAAGGTAATTAAAGTTGAATGAGGGCATAGGAATGTGACTGGCACAAGAATGTGGCTGGCACCTTGATCTTGGCCTTCTCAGCCTCCAGAACTGTGAGAAATAGATTTCTGTTTTTTAAGCTGCTCAATCTACAGTATGTTGTTATAGCAGCCCACCCCAACTAAAACAGCCGTGTTTGTGTGTTCATTTGGTGTCAATAGGCAGCAAAGTTATATATATTGTGTTTGGAATTTTGGAATTAAGTTTATGTTACTTGATACTTATGCTGATAGAAGGAAATATGGCTTACCTGAACATACCATGTGGTTTCAAAGATTTTGAGGCATCGTATGTGTCAATCCCATCATCTTTTCTACCTTGTTTCCTTCACTGCTATTCAAGGTTCACTCAGGCATCCTCTCCTTTGGAAGACATTTTATAAAATACCAGATAAGTTGGTATCTCTAAGGTTCAAACTGTGTTGTATAATACAATTATCATATGCCTATTAGATCATGCTGGAAATATCCATGTATGTATTCATTTCAACCACCAGACCAGAGGTTAGAAAATGACAGCCACTGAGCCAAATCTGGCCTGCCATCTGCTTTCATGTGGCCTGAGAGCTAAGAATATTTTTTTACATTTTTAAATGGTTACATTTAAACGGTTATATAAGTACCTATATAATATCCTCAGTTTTGCCTCTTAGCATGCAAAGCCTAAAATATTTACTCTCTGGCCCTTTACAGGAAAAGTTTGCTTATCTCTGCCTTAGACCATAAAAGGGGTTTGCCTGGCTTCCAGCAAGAGGCTGGTCACCCTTCCTGCCTCTGCATCCAAACTCTGTGCAACTGAAGGAAAAAGTCTGATCTACTCTTCAGTAGATCTCAATAATGTTCTCTAATGTTGGTCTCATTCTTCAGTTTATCAGATCTTTTACTGATGGCACTGTAAAAGCCAAGTTCCACCAATATGTTCTGTAGAACAAAAAATCCTAAATCAGTGGCTTGCAACAGCAAATGTTTATTTCTCTCTTGCATTGCATTTGAGTGTGGTTTAGAAGTAGCATACCTAAGCTCAAACCAGCTCCAATCTTTGTTGTTATTATTATTGTTTTTGTTTTTAATGGGATTCAGGTTTAAAGACTAGCCCAGATCTAGGATATGCTCTTCCTGAGTCATAGGGAGGAACAAAAAAAAGGCTGAATGAGTGTTACAGAGGCTACTGAAGTGTGGCCTGTGTCATTCCCAAGTATCCCATTGGTTAAAACCAGTCACTTGGCCAAGACCAACATAGATAGGGTGGAGAAGTGCCCTCCTCATAGGGATGTACTGCAAAACACATAACAAAGGGTTGGAAATGCATCAACTTCTGGCTGAATTATCTGTTATTGTGTATTGGACCATCCCCAAACTCAGTGGCATAAAACAGCCATATATTTTTTTCTCTCACTGCTGTGAGCTAACTGGGATTAGTGGGCAATGCTTGCTTGGGGCCTCTTCCCCAGTTGCAGCCATATGGCTGAAGAAGTGGGTGTTAGCTAAGGCCTGGCTGGGCTGGGGGATGCACACGATGGTCCCTTCACTCCTATGCCTGGTGCCTCTGTTCCTCCAGGTGACTCTCTCTCTGGCAGAATAGCCCAGACTTTTTACCCACTGGGTCAAGTTTCCATGGACAAGGAAAGAAGCTTGCAGCCTTCTTAAAAGCTAGGCCTGGACTTGGCACAGCATCACTCTCGCTGTATTCTATTCATCAAAGCACTTGAAACCAACCCAGATATGTTCAATGGGGAGCATCCATGTATAGCCCCAATTTGAGACAAGCTACTATCCTTTAAAAGACAGGACTTGCAAGTGATGGGAAAGAATAAAAACCCTTCCACAGCCATGTCTATACATATTAATTATTATTTTCATCTCTCCCCGATATGTATATGTTAGTTTAATGTGTTGAATAATATAAAACCATTTATTTTTTTCAAAATTGTAGAATTGAAAGAAAGGGTAATAGGAGGCCATGCTGAAAAAAAAAAAAAGAAAAAGAAAATTTAAAAAACTGCTTTGAAAAGTCCCTACAGGAGATGTTTTATATGGTCTCAGCCACCTTTCCCAAAGCTGCCTTTATCACCCTGTATGCTTGTGGAATTCTCATCCATACATCTTTGTTTCCAATGGTCATGAAGGGCTGTGGCAGAATTGTGGTCCTATGGCTCTCTCTCAAGGTGTCACTCCTCTCCATCTTCATCCCGGCTTATGAGGAACAAACATCGGAGTCTTAACTCCAGATCCGGGGTAGCAAACTTGCATAGGTCACATCCATCAGTCATTTAAAGGATTATTTATGGTTGGCAGAGAAGAGTAGGGTAACTAAATGGAGAAGTTTACTATTTAATGAGGAGAACTTATTTGGAAAAGACAGAAGGACTTGTCAATGAAAGCACCAGAGGGTTGGCTATTATGCTTGGCATGGTGAGGGACCGTGAGCTGTGTTTTTAGATTGTTACTGGATGAAATCCCTCTCAGAAATAGCCCGAACCATTTAGCTTGCCTAAATGACACAGTTGTTGCTGAAAAGCCTCACTATGAAAGGACACAGCCATGATGTTAAATTGGGTGTTCGGAGAGGGATGAAAGAAGACACACTTCCATCTATTGGATTAAAGCTAACGGACAGTGGCTACCCAATGAGGCAGACCCTCGCTAGAGAAACAGCCTGTGCTGGAGTCTTTTAAAAGTCTGCCTTGTTACATGTTGGAGATGCCAACTACTGTCAATGCATCCTTTAGAGAAGTGTGAATTAATAAGGTCAGGAGATGTTAAATATTCTTAACAGCTTGAATTAGCAGACGATAAACTTTCTCCAAGGTAATTTTGCCAAATCTAACCATTTTCTTTCTGCTGAAACTGTTCTTGAGTGTTGGCTGCTTGTTTAAGGTTTAACGAAGTTTGAGAGGAAAGAGGACCTGTAACTTTTCAATGAAATGTAAAAGATGACAGAGGAGCTTAAACAACGCTTCCAGAAGTCACTTTAGCTTAAATGTAATAAAGTATATCTTTACTGAGAATTTGTTATGCTGCTCAGTACATTATGGATCATAAGATTTCCCATATTATTCTTCAAGGATCTGCACACTTTTTGTATAAAGGACCAAATAGTACGTATTGTAGACTTTATGGCCATGTGGTCTCTGATCCAGCTGCTCAACTGGGCCTCTCCAGCAGAAAGCAGCGGTTGACAGTATTTAAACTAATGGGTCAAGTGGTGTTCCAGTAAACCGACAAAAACAGGAGGTGGCTGGTTTTGGCTCAAGGGCAACTAAACCTTGATCTACTCGCACTCAGCTTCTTTCTAATATAGTTGGGGAAGATTTTTTAGAAAAACGGACGATTTGAAAGGCAACTTGGCTGTTTCGTTTCATAATCTGGCTCGGATCCTAATTTCTACTCTACCAAGTGGTATGATCCCCCATAACAGCATCCACTCATTCGTTCATCATTCATTTCTTCATTCCTTATTTGCTCACTCTTATTTCATACAAGCAGTTTACTAAATCAGAACGTCAGTGTAACTTAGGAGTCTGCATGAATGCAGCATCACAGTCATCATCATGGGTCACCGCTGTGTACCTGCTGGGAGTCGGACTCCACACTCTTCACTGTATACTCACTATCCTTCTCCTTATAATAACCATTTAGAGTAACTACTCTCATTATGTAGACATTTGTTATTATGTAATTAATATTTGCCATAGCTTTGATTTAATGTTTTTCCAAATAACATTTATCAGTATTTACTAGGCAATGGGCACTGCGCTAAGCCCTTCACAAGCATCATCTCATTTAATCCTCATAGCACTCGTGTAAAGTTGATTATTGCCATCATTCCTATTTTACAGCTGAGAAAACAGTTCCCAGGAGGTAGGTTCAAAGTCTCACATCTCATCCCTAAGGGTGTCTCTAACCACTACAGGACATGAGATTTGTACTGATATTGGCCCTGTTCCAAAGTAGTTGTTGGTTCCAATTCTTCCACAATGGCGTGCTGTTTCTGAGGCTTGACTGTCATTAGCATCCACCCTCAATTGCACAGGCACATCAGGACGGCACTGTGACATCAGGTGAAAAGAAGGCCTTGGAGAGTTCTAAAATTCAGCTGTGGGCCTTACACTCTGGATTGCCTTTGGTCGGCTTCCTGAAAAACAACCCAGTTAATTTTGTAGAGTTTCCTGGACTGCAGCCAGTCCCATACCTCTCACCAGCCATCCCACAGACTCGTTCGTGGCGTAAGGCAGCTGGGTATGAAATGAGGCTGAATCAGTCACAACCTTTGGAAAATCAGCTCAAAGAACAATAAGAAAAGCGATGTCTACAAATGAAGGATTGTACATTTTCGCTTAAAACAATGTGAAAATGAAAATAAAAAGTCTTTAATAACTTCCTAACAACCTAACGACCTCTGAAACAAATACGCAAAGCTGACCAGCCCAAATGATTTAAAACGAATATATAATTCCACTGAGCCAACATTCAATACCACACAAATGAAACGAAGGTGATTATTCCAGGAAAATAAACAGAGATCTATTTGCAACCCTAATTCAATATTTTGAGAGTTGCAATATACTTTTAATACAATTGTGAGGTCCATAAAAAAATTCAGTCCCAGAATTCTGAATATTTTTATTAAAAAATGCAATATCAGATTTTGAATCTTGGAGCTTGAAGAAGCAGAGGGAAACAACTGTTTCTTTGCAAGCAGTTTGTTCACAAGTTTTCTTCCCTAGATTAACGATTAAATTAGTCTACCACTTCACCTTCCTTTAGGAAGTGGGAAAGGTTAGAGAGTGGCCCAGCAGGTCACTCTGCCTCCATCTCCAAGGAAGCATCAGACTAGAAGTTTCTCTGTGTAGCGTTCTGCCATGTTTTACTTTCTGGAACTGCTGGTCTCATCCAGTAAACTTATAATAATGGGCATGGCTATACGCCTGGGGTGATATTTAGTCTTTAAGAATATTCTTTCTCTCATCTTCATGAGCACACCACTTCTTCATTGTGTATCCTTCTGGGACCACTGATAAGCCATGAATTTTTTTTTTTTTTTTTTGAGGTGGAGTTTCGCTCTTTCTTGCCCAAGCTGGAGTGCAATGGCACAGTCTTGGCTCACTGCAACCTCCACCTCCCGAGTTCAAGCTATTCTCCTGCCTCAGCCTCCGGAATAGCCGGGATTACAGGCATGTGCCACCATGCTCAGCTAATTTTGTATTTTTAGTAGAGAAGGGGTTTCACCATGTTGGTCAGGCTGGTCTCAAACTCCTGACCTCAGGTGATCCGCCCACCTTGGCCTCCCAAAGTGCTGGAATTACAGGTGAGAGCCACCGTGCCCAGCCCAGCAATGTAAATTTTGTACCCAAAGAAACTGAAATGGGTCAATAGTCAACAATGTGTTACTTTATCGATCTCCAGGCCACTCTACATTCAAGGCTGTGAATTCATTCTATTTCCCATCCCAAACCTTGCCCTGACACATTGTCCAATGTAGTTCATCAGGGATCCTGTAACCAGAATAAATGAAAGTGTTAAAATAAAACAAAAGAGCAGTTCTAATAATAAAATCCCAATAGCCTCGATATCCCTCCATATTTGACTGGAAGTCTGCTTCCATTATTAAGTTCCCAGTGAGAAAGGAAAGTTCAAAGATCAATATGCTTTGTAAATTAAAGTCCAGAGATATTCAGTTCCAATGGAATTGAAATCCCAAATCTGATTATCTTGCCTTTCTGAGTTAAATGTCCAAAATTTTGTATGCATAAGTTAAATTATTGTCCCCAAATCATCCTTTGCATTTTCTTATTTTACTCAGTCTTAGCTAAAGAGGTTCCAGACATCTTGGTAGAGCTGAGACACTTCAGCATTGTAGTCTGAGCTGTCAATCATTGTATTAGCCTGCTTGGGCTGCCATATCAAAATAACAGACTAGATGGCTTAAAAAACATTCATTTTTTCACAGTCTGGAGGCTAAAAGTCCAAGATTAAGGCACCAGAAAGCAAGCTGGCATCTAGTGTGTGCTTGCCCCTCAGTTGTAGAGGGGCTCTACACTGTGTGCTCATATGACCTCATGGCTTTTCTTTGGTACATACATGCCATGGGAAGTCAAGAAGGAGGTCGGGGGAGTGCTAGCTTTCTCATGTCTCTTCTTATAAGGACACTAATCCTATTGAATCAGGGCCCCACCCTTATGACCTAATTTAGCCTTAATTACTTCTCAAGGGATCTATCTCCAAATCCAGTTACATTGGGGATTTGGAGACTTCAACATATGAATTTTAAGAGGTCACAAGCATTCAGTCCATAACACTTATCTCAATAGATGTGGCTAATCCAGGGCCTCACTTGTCTTAATTCAGTGCCAAGTCTCTCATGATCTTTACATTGAGAGTCCAGTGAATAAATAGCAGGCACAACTATTAGGGCACTAATCTCACACACAATTAATTTAGAAATCTGTCTCTAGTCTTCAGAGCAGTGTATTGCCAGCAGAATTATTCTAGAATCTAATACTGTATGTGGCTAAAGACAATGGTGATTTTATAGTGTATGGACCAAACCAAGACATATTTCATAGTAAAACAAGGAACAATTAATAATTTTACCAGGAATATAGGTATTAAACTGGGACTGTCCTGACAAAGCAGGACATACAGTCATCCTATCTTTATACTGCTCCATCTTCCCATAAGTCTCATTGGATTTCATCACCAGGATTCTGTATTCTGTAATTCCCAATAGACTCTAAGCTCCATTAAGGAAGGCCTTCCACTGTATGCCCATCGCCTGGCACTAGTGGGTGACCAACAGGTATTTGTTGAATGGACTAACACACAAATGATTAATGTTTTAGTTTTCTGTATAGTTTTATAGTTGAGCTCTAAATTTTGTGTCTTAGGTGTAATGTTTATTGATATCCCATACAAGACATATCAATAGACCTAAACAGTTGTTATTATCTTACCAGCTTAAAGAGTTTGGTTTAACTATGAGTAAATGTTTCCATTTTAGGGTAGCCATTTACTCTTTAGAGTGAGATAATGATCCCAGGTTTTGACATTGGGTGGGTTAATAATAGTCTTTCTCCCCAAAAAAGCACCCTGAGTCATTTTCTGAAATATCTACCCATGTAGTAACTATGAAATGAGGAATAGATTAGTACTTCTGTTTTATCTTTTAAAGGTTACCTTTCATTGTTCTTTCTTAGGTCTTTGAAATGCTTTGTTAACTGACAGCATTCTTTGTAATATTCCTAAGGTGAAGCATCAATTTATACACGGAAATATGTTTAGGGATAAAAACATCAAATCACAGTAGACACTGTATTGGTGATCTCATGTTTAGGTGAGAAGCTATTTTTAACTGAGAAAAATTCAGTTAGAGCTGACCCACTTTACAGTATTTCCACAGAATACTCATGGCATGCTCTACTACCAACTACATCATTGTGAGACCCTAGCACTTGAACTTGAAAACTTAGTTTTGTGGCAACTTAAGTACTAAATACTTATATTATATGACATAAAGATGTCCATTTTTATCAGAATCTATTCTGGAATAAAAATAATTTGTTTTATTGTCTAGAAATCCATATTTTTTTAAAAAACACGTCATTTGCTAAAGAATGAAAAGGATGATGACAATATTTTTTCAACTTTAAAATAGTATTCTTATAAATATTTTCGCATTTATGACAAAACATCTATTTTTTATAAGTTCCCAACTACTGTCTCTACAGTTGTCAAAACTTGGATAACTTTATATTAGAAAGAAACTTTTTATATATTCAAAACAATGAAATTTGCAGAAGAATGAATGCTATTACAAAGTGTCCTGAAAATTAGCAGTGCGTATAGTGAGGGAATGAGGAAAATACTTTAATAGGAAATATGTGAGCCACCTCAATCACTGATGAATGATGAGAGACAGGGGCAATGTGACCTTTTTCCAGCTCTGATCATTATGACACTAAAAATCAGAGTCCCATTCACAAATCAGAATACAACATGTGGCATTCATCAAAATTATGTTCTCTGTTTTGAAAGAACTTCTTCTATTAAGTCTCTACAAGGCTAAGAAATATAAGTTAACCATTTATACATTAGATTTGGTAAATCAGTGATTATTTAACAATAGAGTAAAACATGAAAATTATACCTATACTTTTTTTTAATTAACGATGACCTACACATTATTTAAAGATTGTCTTTCCTAGAATTACCAAGAAGAGACTTTAAAGAGGAATCATCACAGGAACTAGTAAAATATCTATTGGTCTTGTCCTAGTGAAAGATACATTTGAGGCAAGTATACACTCAGGTAATCCATTTTCTATGCCCAACACACTGCCTGGCTAAGACCAATGTTAATGCCATAATCACCTTCCCACACTTGAATGAAAAACTTCAGCACTGAATTTCATATTTTATAGTTGGCTTTAGTTCTTTATTGTACTATGGTTATGCTGCCAATAAAGCATACACATTCTGATAACAAGAAATGTTATCACCAGTGTGCTGGGTGTTGAGAAAATACAGACCTTGATTGAAGGTTCATCTCAAAACAGCTTCTGTGCTCTAGCTGTGTTTCTTGTTTCAGACGCTCATCAGCTTCACAATCCAGGTTAGGTCCTCTTGGTAAATCTCTCAAGGCGCATGTTCACTTTCAATTTTTACGATCGATGTTATAAAGTAACTTGGAGATGCAATGGTAGCAATGTCTTTTCCCATTCTGGATCTTTGTCATTGGAATAGAAAATATTTGGAATAAAGATTTGCTCTTCCCACTATCCCATAATATCTTCTCACAATCTTATCTAGATGCAAGCTGAGTGATATTTACAAGCATCCCATTTTACATTGTGTCCCCTCACCTTTCCCTGGGCCTGGTACAAGGTTACTTCCTCATTAATTATCATTTTGCTCTTGAAATAATTAATACAGATTTCAACTTATAATTGGAAATTTTCCAGGGAATCCTCTTTTTCTTTTGCTACTCCTAATGGTTATAAAATCTGTGGCATTAAACACACACACACACACACACACACACACTCACACACTCTCACACAACCCAAGCATTCTTCAGACCAAATTATTTAAATCAGTGCCTCTCAACCACGGCTGCTCACTAGACATACCAGGGCATTTTGCAACATGGATGGCGGAGTTGGGCCTGTGCAGTAGGTAAGGTTGTGATAAGACATAGAATATTTCAGATAAACAACAAATGTCAAAGACTAAAAAAACAAGATTATGTCTTAAGGATGCCGTGACATTTCCTGGTTGAGAATTTGAAGCATTCCTCACTCCTTTGTCTTTTGTTTCCTTCCATCCTTTACTCTCATCTTCTTTCCTTTCTTCCTTCAACAAATATTTATGGATTGTCTGCTACGTACAAGGAATTCTTAACTACAACAGCTAATTGAGTGCCCTTGCAGTTCTTATAGACTACATTAGGATATTCAAATCCATTATTTTATAAGATACATTTCAATTTTCTATTTGATTTATGTTAATTATTGTTAAATATTGAGTATAGAGTGAAATTATGGAATATCTTTTTTTTTTTGAGATGGAGTCTCGTCCTGTCACCCAGGCTGCAGTGTAGTGGCGCAATCTCAGCTCACTGGAACCTCCTCCTCCTGGGTTCAAGCGATTCTCCTGCCTCAGCATCCCGAGTAGCTAGGATTACAGGCACATGAGACCACTCCTGGCTAATTTTTTTTTTTTTTGTATCTTTTTAGTAGAGACAGAGTTTCACCATGTTGGCCAGGTTGGTCTCGAACTCCTGACCTCATGATCCACCCACCTTGGCCTCCCGAAGTTGTGTGATTACAGGCATGAGCCACTGCACACGGCCTGTGGAATATCTTTATATTCCACAGGTGATCTGCATTCAAATTATTAAAAAGCATGAAGAAAAAATGAATTCCTTCATTTAGTGTACATTTTCATCTTTGTCCCATTATTTAGAAATAAGGGGTATCTAAGCCTAAAACACATACAGAAATACATGCTTTTAACCAATAGACAAGTACCTGCTGATGTAGAAATAGGGTGATTTGGTGTGTGAATTTATTAGGCCACTGACTGCCTATGCTATGTATTATCAATTTTTTCTGAAAATGTTATATACATTGACCAAATAACAGATGTTCTTCTGCTCTTCAGCATATCCTAGTGAGACTAATCCTCACCGGTTAAATATATTCATAACTGTAACATCCAGAATGTAGCACTTATCCAATACAAGTGACTAATATGAGTAGTTTTGCTGTTGGCCAGACACTGTGAAAGCGTGCATTATGTAATCTCATCTGCCTAGCAGTTTGGTGAGCTACGCTGTGATTCCTGTCAAGATCTCAAGCTCGGTTCACCTGAGTCCATTTTCTTTGCTTTTTGCACCACGGGAAGGTACTCCTTCAGTGTTTACTTTTGTGCAAACTATACATCAGAAGGAGAAACCATTTTGGTTTTGATGGTAGTCATCCAGGACAGATTTTTTAAGTTTCTCTGAATTATTTTCATGAATGGACATTTATTTATTTTTAACAATTTTAACAGTTTTATTGAAATGTAATTGACCTACCTTCACCTTGTTTTTGGTAAAGAAAAAAATTGTGTTTTTACATAAACATACACCCATGAGCCCAAGATGGTAACATCTATCACCCCCCAAAAATGCTTCCAGCCCTTTTATAGTGTCACTTTCTTACCTGTCACCAAGTTCTCATCCCCAGACAAGCATTGATATGCTTTTGCCTCCTGTATTAGTCCGTTTTCACACTGCTATAAAGAACTACCTGAGAATGGACAATTTGTAAAGAAAGTAAGTTTAATTGACTCTCAGTTCTGCATGGCTTGGGAGGCCTCAGGAAACTTACAGTCACGGTAGAAGGCAAAGGAGAAGCAGGCATGTCTTATGTGGTGGCAGGAGACAGAGAGCAAGGGGGGAAGTGCCACACTTAAGCCCTCAGATCTTGTGAGAACTCTCTATCACGAGAACAGCATGGGGGAACATCCACACTTACACCCTTAGATCTCGTGAGAACTCAACATCAGGGGAACAGCATGGGGAACATCCACACTTACACCATCAGATCTCATGAAAACTCACCATCAGGAGAACAGCGTGGGGGAACCAGCACACTTACACCATCAGATCTCATGAGAACTCACTATCACAAAAACAGCATGGGGGAACTGCTACACTTACGCTATCAGATCTCATGAGAACTCACCATCAGGAGAACAGCACGGGGGAACCACCCCATGATCCAAACACTTTCAACCAGGTCCCTTCCCCAACATGTAGGGATTACAATTCAACATGAGATTTGGGTGGGAGCACAGAGCCAAACCATGTCACCTCCTATAAATTAATTTCATTTTCTATTTTTTAAATAAATGGCACCATAAATTGTTTACTCTTGCGTCTGGTTTCCTTCACTCAGCATCATAATTTTGACATTCATCTATATTGTTATAGTCCGTTCTTTTTTATTGCTGAGTTGTCTTAATTTTGTATATTTACACACCCATTGATAGATATTTGGGTTTTCTCAGTTTTGGGTTATTACAAGTAGAGCTTCTATGAACCACTGATGTACAAGTGTTTATATAGACATGTTCTCACTTTTTGAGGGAGTGGGAAAATTATAGGAGTAGAATGGCTAAGGCATAGCGTTAGTGTATGGTTATGGTTTTTAAAAACTGCCAAACTGTTTTCCAAATTGGTTGTTCCCTTTTGTCTTCCCGTCTCCTGTCCAACACGTGGTTTGATCAGTCTTTTACATTTCTGGCATTAAAATGAATTTATACCAGCATTTCCTTTTTTTTTCTTTTTCTTTTTCTTTTGAGATGGAGTCTCACTCTGTCACCCAGGCTGGAGTACAATGGCATGGTCTTGGCTCACTGCAACCTCCACCTCCTGGGTTCAAGCGATTCTCCCGCCTCAGCCTCCCAAGTAGCTGGTACTACAGGTGTGGCTAATTTTTGTATTTTTAGTAGAGACGGGGTTTCACTATGTTGGCCAGGCTGGTCTCGAACTCCTGACCTCGTGATCTGCCTGCCCAACCCTCCCAAAGTGCTAGGATTACAGGCATGAGCCACCGCACCTGGCCTGAAAATCTTTTTATGGGCTTATTTGCCATCCTTACATCTTCTTTAGTGAATTTTCTGTTCAGGTATGTTGCATAAATAGTATCATGTTGATTGCTTTTTCGAGTTCTTTATATATTCTGAAGACACATGTGTATTGGATATTCAATTGGCAAACGTTTTCTCCAAGTCAGTGTCCTGTCTTCTCCTTGTGAAGAAGACTGTGCAGAATTGGTATTAATTTTTTCTTAACTGTTTGATAGAATTTATCAGAGAAGCCACTTGGGTATGAAGATGTCTTATCTGGAAGGTTGTGAACATGAACTCAGTATCTTTAATTATCTATTTGTAGTTTGTAGTTTCTGAGGAATTGGTCTATTTCATCTTAAGTTGTGAATTTCTGTGAGTGGGTACCAGTACTCCCTTATTATCCTTTCAGTGTCTGCAGGGTCTCCAGTGACAGCCTCTTCTCTGTTCTCTGTCTTTTTTTCTTTGCCAGTCTTGGTAGAGTTGTATTATGTTATTTATTTATTGAAAGAAAAAGCTTTTGATGTATTTTCTCTGTTGTTTTCTGTTCAAACAATTAGTAAATCGATTTCATTAATTTCAGCTCTTATCTTATTTCCTTCCTTCTTCTTCTTCTTAGGTTTATTTAGTTCTTTTCTTTCCTAGTCTAAAAGTAGAAGCTTAGATTAGTGATAGGAAATCTTTCTTCTAATATAAACATTTAATGTAAACTTCCCTCTGTTTGTTGAAACAACACAGAGTTGATGGTGTGTTCACCATGGCCTGGAGTCCAGGCAGCTTTGCACCCAGAAGTGGGCATTAATGCAAACAGAAACAGCTCCAGGAGAAGCCTCTACTTCAGGCTCAAGGGGAAGGACATGAAACTCCTGACGCTCCCAGTGTATGGGAATACCATTTCTTATTTTCTACATTCTTCCATGCTCCATCTCAAGAAATCCCATAGCAGAGGGCCCAGAGACACCTAACACTCCGCAAGAGTAGAACCTTCCTCTTCCATCAGCAGGGAAATGGTCCTAAGAGAGTGGGGTGGACCTCTGGGGCTGTTTTCCTCTTCCAGTGAGCCTGCAGCATGACGCCAGATGTACATGCAGTCTGGATGAGTGCACAGCAGAGATGGAAAATGAAGCCCAGATTTCAGGCTGGAAGGCAGAAAAGAGGAGAATCTAAAAGTAAGACTGGGAAAAAGAAGACGCTGTGGAAACTGATTCTCTCTATATATTTTAACAAACTCATAGGCTTGCCTCCAAGCTGCAGTGGCTGGATCTTATATTATTTTACCTACATTCTTTTCAGCTCAATTTATTTATTTGTTTACACTTTTTTTTTTTTTTGGAGATGGAGTCTCGCTCTGTCGCCCAGGCTGAAGTAGTCTTGCTTTGTCACCCAGGCTGAAATATGGTGGCACAATCTCGGCTCACTGCAGCCTCCATCTCCTGGGTGCAAATGATTCTCCTGCCTCAGCCTCCCAACTAGCTGAGACTACAGACATGCACAACCATGCCCAGCTAATTTTTGTATTTTTAGTAGAGACGGGATTTTGCGATGTTGGCCAGGATGGTCTTGAACTCTTGAACTCAAGTGATTTTCCTGCCTTGGCTTCCCAAAATGCTGTGATTACAGGTGTGAGCCACTGTGCCCAGCCTGTATAGACATTTTTAGAGCAATTGCAGGTACATAACAGGACTGAGCTGAAGGTACAGAGATTTCTCCTAGACCTTCCCTTTCCCTCAAACTCACAGCCTCCACTGCTCTCAAAAATCCCCTACCAGAGGGTTAGGTTTACTATAATTGACGAATTTGCATTGACACATTATTATCACACAGAATCTGTGGTTTGCATGAGCATTTACTCCTGGTGCTGTACACTCTCACGTCATTTGTGGAAGGCATTTTTATGAGAAAGGCATTTTAGGTCAACATATTTTTCTTTTAGTATTTTTAAGGTTTTACTCTTCTGTCTTGCACTTTTTCCAAGAAGAAAGCTGCTGTCCATCTTAACTTTGTTCTTCCGTACACAGTATGTCTTTATTTCCATATGCTTTTAAGATTTTCTGTATGTTACTATGTTTGAGTAAGCACTTTGGTGTAGTTCCTTCATGCTTCTTGTGCTTAAGCTTCATCAGGCTTCTTGGATCTTTGAGTTTACAGCTTTTGTAAAATTTGGAAAATTTTTCAAATATTTTTTCTATTCTTTTTTCTATTGTTTCTCCTTTAGAAATTATAATTTCCTGTGTATTAGGTATTTGAAGTCCTCTCACATATCACAATGCTCTGTTGATATTTCTTAGTCTTTTTTCTCTATGTTCATTTGGGAGTAGTTTCTATTACTATCTCTTCAGGTCCACTAATCTTTTCTTCTGCAGTGTTTAATCTTCTGTTCATCCAATTCAATGCATTTTTTGGTTTAAGTTATTGTAGTTTTTGTTTCTAGAAGTTTAATTTGGATCCCTTAAAATTCTGCATGTCTTTAGGCTAGGTGCAGTGGCTCACGCCTGTAATCCTAGCATTTTGGAAGGTCAGGGCAGGCAAATTGCCTGAGCTGAGTTTGAGACCAGCCTGGGCAGCATGGCAAAACCCCATCTCTACTAAAAATACAAAAAAAAAAAAAAAAAATTACTAGGCATGGTGGCGCACACCTGTAGTACCAGCTATTCAGGAGGCTGAGGCAGGAGTATGGCTTGAACCCAGGAGGTAGAGGTTGCAGTGAGCTGAGATCTCATGCCACTGTGCTCCGGTCTGGGCAACAGAGCAAAACTCTTTAAAAAAAATTCTGCATGTCTTTAACATATTTAGTTTTTCTTCTAGTATCTATTAGTATACTAATTCCATTATCTGTGTAATTTCTGGGTCAGTGTTAATTGATTAATTTTTGTCTTTATTATAGATTGTATATTTCCACTTCTTTGCATGCCTGGTAATTTTTGAATAGTACCAGAGTTTTAATTTGTCCAGTGATGTACATTTTTATACTTCTATTAATATTCTAGAGTTTGATTTGGGATACAAGTAAGTCCCTTGGAAACAGTTTATTGTTTGGGGGTTTTGCTTTTCAGCTTTGTCACTTGGAGCCAGAGAAGAATTTAACCAAGGGCCAATTATATCTTAGTACTGATGCAAAACAATCGAGTTTTGTACGCAGTGCCCATGAATTACACAGTTTTTTACTCTGGCAGATGGGAACAGCCCTTCTTCCTTTTGTCCCTGCCCTGGGGATGGTTCCCTCTAATCCACTCTGGTCGTCCTTTTCTGGGACTTAGGTAGTCTATTCATATGCACGTACTGATCTGTGTTCTGCTTATGACTTGAGAGGGAGCCTCTGAAAATCTCCAGAAATTCCTATCTGTGCAGCTGTCTCCTTTTTGATTCTCTGCCCCGAAACTCTTAACTGGTTGGTATCCCTCATCTCTCATCTCTTCCACTCAGAGAGATCTCCAGATTTCACTTTGGTTCCCCTCTCTGTGTCAAAGCCCAGAAACTTCCATGAAGTCAGCTGGGGCAGAGTTAGGGATTAATTCATTTGTTTTCTGTCTCTCAGAGGTCACTGACTTCATTGTCTGGTGTCAGATAACCTGAGAGCCATTGCCTCCTATTGATTGTCCATTTTCAGTTGTCTCAGGAGGGAGGGCAAATCGGAGACTATTGCTCCATCATGGCTGCAAGCAGAAATCTGGGATTTATTTATTTTCTATATGAGTTACCTACTGTATGGGTTTTTTTTTTTTAACTATTAAATTGCTCCTGGAACACTATGCAGCCATAAAATTGAATGAAATAATGTCCTTTGTGGCAACGTGGATGCAGCTGGAGGTCATTATCCTAAGCGAATTCATGCAGGAACAGAAAACCAAATACCATGTGTTACCGCTTATAAGCGGAAGCTAAACATTGAGCACACATGGACATAAATATGGGAACAACAAGCACCGCAGGCTAGGGACACGGGGCATGAGTGGAAAAACTACCTATCATGTAGTATGCTCACTATCTGAGGGACAGGATCCATACCCCAAACCTCAGCATCACACAGTATACCCATGTCACAAACCTGCACATGTACCCTTGTATCTAAAATGAAAGTTAAAATAAAGTAAAATTGAATAAAATAAATTGCCCCTGGGGTGTCTTGTGAGCACCTACAGTTCTTATTATGGAGAACTTTCTGCAATGATGGTTTTGTTTGAACACTTTTATTTCTTTATTTCTTTTTTTTTTTTTTGAGTTGGAGTCTCACTCTGTCACCCAGACTGGAGTGCAGTGGTGTGATCTCAGCTCACTGCAACCTCCACCTCCCGGGTTCAAGCGATTCTCCTGCCTTAGCCTCCTGAGTAGCTAGGATTACAGGTGCCTGCCACCACAGCCAGCAAATTTTTGTGTTTTTAGTAGAGATGGGGTTTCACCATGTTGGTCAGGCTGGTCTCAAAACTCCTGACCTCGTGATCCACCCACCTCAGCCTCCCAAAGTGCTGGGATTACAGGCATGAGCCACCATGTCCAGCCTGAACACTTGTATTTCTTAAGATAATTTTTGATAATGTGGATAATATTTTTCTATATGGATAGCTGTTTTCCTGCTTTGATTATTTAGATTATGTATACCACCTTTTCCTAAACAGACATATCTCTGTACAAAAATTAACATAGAGCAGCTGGTATTTCATAAAATGATGATGCTAGACGTGAGTTTTGGATAGGAAGTGGAGGCGAGTCCTATATTTGTTTGAATGTGCATGGATTTTAATTAAGTTAAAATTAAGCATACTAGAAATTGTCCAGGAAGCTGATGACTTTTATTCTTTTTCTTAGGAATATCTTGGGTTAGGAGCTTTAATGACCACATGGTCAAAAATGCATTTGTTTCTGTAGAGTTCTGAACAGAATTCTGAACATTCTGTGCCCCTCTTCAAAAAAAAAAAAAAATGCTTTGGCTCAGGACAAACTGCCACCTTCTTTGTCCACAATAGAATGTAGGAGTTAGCAGGAAATCCTCCATTCTTTTATTGATGATCTACCAGTGCTTTAACCCGGAGAACTCTGAGACATGAAAAAAAATTCTTAAGATATTTAAGAATTTATAAATAATGAGCATAGAGGGATACGCTTTTTAAAAATTACCTTTCACTTACATTTCTCATATATTATCTCAAGAGTTTTTGCAGCAACCATTACTTGTAAGTACTGTGTGACCATTTATCAGGTCAGGAATGAGGCTTAAAAAATTAGGATTTTAGCAAATGCCTCTGGCCTTTATTATGTGCTCTTACCATTCAATTTCAGTGATCAGAGAAATTATACATAATATCATACTAACAATATTTATCTATTTCAAGCAAACAAAAACGTATTGACAGACTTGAAAGTTATAAGTCATATGTAAACACATATTTTATTTATATATTATAGATAAACACACATACATAGACATATATATGTGAGTCTTATACATTCTGTCCTCAGAATTCTCATACGTTATTTATTCACTTGGTTAAAACTATAAATTCTTCATATGAAGCTACAGATATACTTTCTCAACATAATTCATTGAAATATTTAAAATTAAGAAGTCATCTCAAATAAAATCTAACAAAGTAAAATACTGCATGGTGCCTTTATTCTAGATATTTATTTATTGCCAAAATGTTCTCTGAAGACCTAAAAGCTTGAAAACTCAAAGACACCTCCATGAAAGTTATGCATTAGGGTGAATATTGAGTCCCACAAACTACCTGATGTTATTCTACATGTTGAGGATACAAAGATGAGTAGGTCATGCTTAAACCCACTATCTCAAGGGAAAGTTGGGGTGACAGACACCCCGCACTGTGGTGGGGGTCAGCAGAGCCTAGGAGAATAGCATGATACCTCCAGAGAAAAGAGTACTTAAGTGCTCCCGCAGGGGCCTTGAGCAACGATGAGAGATGGACACATCCAAAAATGCAAAAGAGGAGCTCCCAGACTTAGAACTGGACCTGAGCGTAAGGGTAGTTGAGTTTAATATGAAAAAAGGGATGGGCATGAGCAGCATCTTAAGGTGTACAGGAAAAGATGCCACCATTGCAGTGGCATAAGAACAGGTGGAAAAGACGAGAAAATGAGAGAAAGGTAGAACCTTTGTATTTTAGGGTATAAAACTTGGACTTTATGCTGTAACTAATAGGCATTGAACATTTCCTGCAATGCTAATAACGTGATTGTATTTTTCTTTAAGCTAGATCAGGGGTTGGCAAACTTCAGCTGACGGGCCAAATCCACTCAGCAGCCTGTTTTTTAAATAAAGTTTCATTGTTACACGTCCATACCCATTTGTTTTCATATCATTTTCAAAGCAGAGTTGAGTGTTGCAATACAGACTGTAGGCCCACAAAGCCTGAAGCAGTTGCTATCTGGCTCTTTAGAGAAAATGCTGACTTCTGAGCTGGATTGCTGTGCACAGAGCTTCTCAACTTGGCATTTGATATTTGTGGCCTGATAATTCACCATCGTCGTAGACTGACCAGTGATTTATAGAATATTATCAGCATACCTAGTCTCTATTCACTGAATGCAGGAGGAGCACCCCGTTCCCCATCATGAGAACAAAAACCTCTCCAGACACTGCCAGATGCCCTTGAGGAAGGTAACATCACTCCTCTTTAAGAAACACTTTTAGCAGCTAAGTAGAGTTTAGTTTACGATGGTAGCTGAAGTTAAAACAGTGGTAATTTTAATGAACTGAAGGGCTAGTTGTGAAAAAATATATTTTGAATCTAAAAATATAACAATTATAAATATGGGGCTTAACAAAGGTGAAAATTGAAGATAACTTCTGAAGGTCTAGCTTAGGTTACAGGAAGAGTAATGATGCCCTTCACTGAGATAAATAATAATGGAAAAAAGCAGGCTAGGTGCAGTGGCTCATGCCTTTAATCCCAGCACTTTGGGAGACTAAGGCGAGTGGATCACTTGAGACCAGGAGTTCGAGACCAGCCTGGCCAACATGGCAAAACCCCGTCTCTACTAAAAATATGAAAATTAGCTGGGCCTGGTGGCCCTCGCCTGTAATCCCAGCTACTTGGAAGGCTGAGGCAGGAGAATCACTTGAACCTGGGAGGCGGAGGTTGCAGTAACTCCATCTCAAAAAAGAAAAAGAAAAAGAAAAAAAAGCAGGTACCAAGCAGAAGATAATGGGTTTAGCTTTAGATGAAGCGGGTTCAAGGTACCTGTGAGATGCTAAGGCAGAGGGGCTCTAAGATTATATGCGTATGAATATAAGAATATATATTCACATATCTATAAGACAATTCTGGCAGAAGATATATATTTGAATATCACCAGAATATGGCTAGTATTTAAAACCAGGGTAATAAATGAAAACCAGATTGCAGTGTTAAAAAGGCTAAGCAAGGGAATATAAAGCTTATGCAAATGAGAATCAAGAGGTTCTGCAGATCGGGCGAGGTAGCTCACACCTGTAATCCCAGCCCTTTGGGAGGCTGAGGCAGGTGGATCACTGGAAGTCAGGAGTTTGAGACCAGCCTGGCCAACATGGCGAAACCCTGTCTCTACTAAAAATACAAAAATTAGCTGGACGTGGTGGTGGGCGCCTGTAATCCCAGCTACTCGGGAGGCTGAGGCTGGATAATCACTTGAACCTGGGAGGCAGAGTTTGCAGTAGCCTGAGATTGCACCACTGTACTCCAGCCTGGGCAAAAAGAGGGAAACTCCGTCTCAAAAAAAAAAAAAAAAAAAAAAAAAAAAAAAAAAAAGCTTCTGCAGTAGAGACGATCAAAAAGCAAGGGTTATTATGAATTGTCCATTGGGTCTGTGAGTTAGGGAAAGGTGTACTGAGGGTGCTGGGTAGAAGAAAGATGATATAGATTGAGGCATGAATGATAGTCAAGAACTTACGAAACATAATGAGAAAAAGACAAAAAGAAGGTAAAATACCAAGAATCAAAAGCTCCATGACCTCTAACATTTACTCTAAGTGGGAGTCATACTTAATGCTGGCTGGATACGTTTCCAATAATCCTATAGGTGAGCAAGACACAGTGTTTCAATGTTTATAAGGGCAGGTTCCTTGTAAATCTCTCAAGTGTGCAGATAATTGCACTTGGTGGGTGGCAATCAGGACAGCATGAGAGAGTTTTCAAGGGCACCAGCATCATACCAAATATTTGCAACAGTCTGTCAAAGAGATGGAGTGTCTAGGAATGAAGCTTTTGTGAAGTCATAGCTTGCATCTATTTCTATTCTGTAATATAGATCTGTGGTCGTATGCAGTATGTATCTTTCTATTGCAACACATATATAATGCATTATGTATAAAGACAGGCTTAAAGTTGATCCATTTTGTCATTTTTACTGAAGTTAATCCACTCAGCAGTTCCTGTTTCTAAATGTATTTTAGATGTTTAAAATTGATGTTAAGCAAATTGTCATAGTCTTCTTTTAATACCATCCAATCTAAAAGTGTAGAAGAAGACACATCTAAAGAAAACCTGGGTACTTATAAATTTTTAAAATAATCCAGATGAATAAGAGGAAAAGAGAACGATTAGATAACAATCATGTAGGGTGCAGTAGCCTAGAGAAGCAATGATAGCATTGCCAATTCATCCTAATGACTGCATCTGTTCCCTATACATGGAATTGATGGCACCAACACAACTGCCGCCTCCTCCGTGTGAAAGAGCAGGTTGATGACTTGATGATGACTTTGACCTCAGAGATGGTGACCAGGTGCCAATTAAAGTTACATTGTCGATACCCTTTAATATAATTAGAAATGAAAATAAGAAATGAATGGCTATGAAATTGCACTTTTACCTTGACAGCTAATGAAACAGGCTGTATGCCATACATCACTCGTGTATATGTATTTGTTTAAGGGGATGGTCACTAGCATCATCACATCCGTGAATCATTATTAGAATCATATTAAATAATACTTAAGTTTACTCACTTTATTAAGTATACATATAAGTAAACATTGTATATTAATTATGTTAAGAAATAATATTTAAGTAATTATTAAAATTTTTTCTCCCACCTCTTCTCATTTCTCCTTCCTTCCCTTCCTTCCTTTTTTTTTATTCATGCAGCAATAGTTTGTGAATGTCTGGACACTAAAGTGTCCCAAAGTGTGGGACACTTTGGGGATAAAAATATGGAATGCACAAAAAAGCCCCTATCTTCAAAGCCAGAGAAAACAGAAAAATGACCATTTGGAGTGATAAAGTAGAAGGAGCCCAGAAAGGAAGCATCTAGACCAGTCAGTGTGGGTTTATGGGTAGAGCTTTATAGGACATCTTGCAGTAGCTGACATGGAGTTGAGTCTTTAAGACCACTTAAAATGAGCCCGAAAGGGGTGTACACACAAGCAGGTGCAGAAGTGCAGCACTGAGGGAGCATGTGAGTTCAGCAGGTTCAGCCTGGGGGAGAGCAGATCCCGATGGCCAGGGAGACGTTGAACTAGGGAAAGACACAGCAAGGACTGCCACATGAAGGGTCCTGGTGCCAAACTAAAAGCTAGGACTGGATGCAGGAGGTGAGGAGTCACTGCAGGATAGTAAGCAAGACCACGCAACAAATTAACTAGATAGGGCATGAGAGTTGTATTTTGGAGACTATTGATGAGAGTAATTGAGGAAGATTTAGTTGAAGTTGTAGAGAGAAAACTTCATTGAGCTGAAGAAAACGACATAAACTTTCGAGATGTTTAGGATGTGGAAGGACCACAAGTTGATGAACCAGTCTTGACAGAGCCCAGGTCTGCAGGTAGGGAGGCGGAGAGAGGGCGGACCCAGTGGAATGGGAGCGAATGACTGGGGATGTGAGAGGATGGATGGAGACAGCAACTTGTCTTGAGGTCTCCTTGGGAGATCGAAGCTGTGCTATCCAGAAGGAAATTCAATACATAGGTGTGAAGGTCAAGAAAGGGAGGATTGCATTTGAGTACATAACATTTTTAAGTCATTCATTCCTAAATGATAGTTTTAACCTTGAATGTGTTTGTGATCGCTAAAGAAAGACATGCTGGGAGAGCCAAGAAGCAGATGCTGAGGAGCACATACGCTTAGTGGGAGTGTGGACAGACCAGGGTCTATAAGGGACACTGACGATGTGTAAGGCAGGTAACAGGGAACAACCAAGTGTGGATGATAGTCAGTGATAAGGCGATTTCAATGAGGGAGAAGTCAACAGATCCATACACTATGGAAACAGAAATGTGTGACGGAGAGAAACTTTGAAATATCGTTATTAAATTTGACCTATAACATGTTAGCTGTCTTGATATGGGATGCTTTGATAAAGTGGGGTGCCCAAAACTCCAGTCTCTGTTTGCAGCAGAGACTAGAGAAAATATGTTAAAACAAGTTCAAATGAAAAATAGATTTATAGAGATTTGTATTCTCTACTGACAAAATTTATCTGTGCTGCCCAAGATAGACATCATTTGTGCTGCTTTGGAAAGGAATTATTTGCATTGCTAGAAGTTTTCTATATCCACAGAGCTATAAAATAACCTTCTCACAAGCAATCGAAGGTCACACTTCTGTAGAATTAGGTAATTACCAGAGGGCCCACTGGACAATGCCCAGCATTCTGTTCAAAGCATACTCCCAGACAGTATTCTCTGCTTCACTGTGGTTTCCCCAGTACCAAGCACGATGTTGTATTTGTGTTTGTCTCAATGGGTAGTTATCAAAAGAGGTAACTTCCAGGTAGAAAGCTTAGATAGGATCCAGCCTTTGAGATATGTGTTGTGTCAAAGGCATGTGATATATTAGTGGATATTAAGAGATGAACCATCTTATACAATATTAATTTCTTTAGGGTTCTAGCTAATGCCAATTTTAATCATGACTGTTTTTGAATTTTGATCTTCATTACCATTATTAGTGCCTATCAGTGAATGATAATATACCTTAATTTCCATGACATTTCAAATGTCATGCATCTTTTCTTATCATTTGGACCTATCCATCCAATATTTACAAATAGTGAAAGTAAGTCATCAAGATACAATATGACAATTTGGTGCACAAATTATTTTCCCTCAGAATATGTGTCTGGGACTCTGATTCTTAATGTTGCTAATTACCCCTCACTATTATCCAGTCATCTTTGTTATATTACTCAAAGGCAACAGATCTATATTTAAAGCGTCTCACTGAAAAGAAATAGGAAGTCCATTATTTGTATTAAATTGATCATTCTGATATGTTCTGAAAATGTACATATCTGTTGCATTTCATGGCTCAATGTGGCATAATAGAGTTAAATGACATTAAAATTCACTGCTACTAATGTTTAATATCTCACGGGCCAAATGTTTATTTTGTCTTTATAATAAATATTGATTGGCTGTATTTTTAAAGTAATATTTTTCCAAATTAGCAAACATAATTCAGTTCAGATGCCAAACTCTAGCTCTTAATTCAACCCTTGCCACACTTTCCGAAGGAGGTGTGCAGAGGAAAGTGCCTTGCTGTAAAACCAGCCATGTGGTCTCAGCACCAGGCTGCTCCTTTGGAGATCATTGTTATTTCATTCTTAACTTCTCAGTGATGTGCTAATCAATTGCACTGGCAATGATATTCTGAACAGTAGATTCATATGGTAGTGAGTAACTCAATATCTGAAATAGGCATAAACTTGTTTAAATACTAAAATTATTGGCATTAGCCACAAAACTCACAACACCAGCCAGGTGCAGTGGCTCACGCCTGTAATCCCAGCACTTTGGAAGGCCGAGGTGGGCTGATCAGCTGAGGTCAGGAGTTTGAGACCAGCCTGGCCAACATGATGAAACCCTGTCTCTACTAAAAATACAAAAATTAGCTGGGCGTAGTGGCGGGTGCCTGTAATCCCAGCTACTTGGGAAGCTGAGGCAGGAGAATCACCTGAACCCAGGAGGTGGAGGTTGCAGTGAGCCGAGATTGTGCCACTGCACTCCAGCCTGGGTGACAAAAGTGTGGTCTGTCTCAAACAAACGAACTAAAAACTCCACAACGCTCTTTAGCCATTTTCAAGAACAGCCTTCTCTCTTCAGTAAGAGGAGAAAAACACTGGAATAACAAATATCTCCAACAACTAAATCTACCTGTTTAATTTTCTGTCCCTCCTGAAAGATAGGAGGTCAGACTGACCTTGGTGAATATTTGATTAAGGAGCAAATTGCTTTAGGAATGGGATAATTTTACTTAAACCTCAGAGCTTAAACAGGTCTTTTATTTAGGCTTAAACAACAAATGAACATCTGTTCTTTTCAGTTTAACGAAACAAGCTGTTCTTGTACCTGATAAATACAAGCCATGGCTCAGCCAGTGAATTATAAAATGCATGAAGGATAAAGATATCGATTTGAATGTACAAAACAGGCTGGGCTCAGTGTCCTCCTGAGCATGCGTGATCAAATCAGAGAACAGTGTGGTTGGTTCCTCTGCCTGCGACCATTATTTCAGCTCCATCGCAGTCTGGGTTCTCCAAGAGGGCACAGTTTTAAATTCAATGTCCCCTTTGGTAGATGGTTCTGAGTATTAGGTATGCACGGGTGCGGAGTCTGTGTTGAAAAATATCCTAGGGCTGTATGGGAAGCAAGTACAAACCTGGCTAAAATAAACATTACGTGTGGGAAAGGCTGCTCAGGAGATGGAGCTTGGTGTATGTTTCATGCTGAGACACTTCTAATTTAGTGTTTCACTTTCATCCATTTCTTGAATAAATACAATGTTGTTATATGGCACAACTAAAATGAAACGGTGGGACCAGCTTTGAGTAAGAGAACTCGAGAGTATTGTCATGTAAATTCTTAGCAGATGCTCTGAATTCATTTTTTATCTGCTTCCTGGTATTGCCTAATCCCAGGAGCTGAAGCATAATTCAGCATTCTTTTTTTTTTATTATTCAGCTCCCATATTGTCTGGGAGGAGAGACCCCCTGGCTTAATGACATAAAGTACATGAATGAATCCCTGGGATTAAGACGGTGCTGCGGATGCGGTGCCTGAGAGGCGGCGGTTGCGGTGAAGTGAGCTCAGCGGGCCGCAGTCCTTCATGCTCGGCACCGCCACAGGCTGCCCTTCCGCATCGCGCGAGAAGAAGACACAGCGCCTTTAGACAGAAGCACACAGAGGAGGAGAGGCCACAGCAGCCTGGCCATGGCCAGACGATGGTGAACAGCCCCGCCGAGGGCCTCAGGTGGTCCCGCAACCGCTCAGGAGGGCGGGCAGCCCCTCACTCCTCCAGGCCCGCTCCTTTCCCTTCCTCTGGGTTTCTGCCAACGGCGTTGTGAGAGTCAGAAACTGAGTCCCGTTTCAGATGCTGTCTTAGAATCTTAAGAGATTAATTCCTAATAAATTTGGCCATAAGGACATTAAAATACTAGTAACAAAAACAACCACCGCCACAATGAGAGAGGGTGGGGGAGAGGGGGAATATGACCCTGATTTAGAAGACTTGGAATTTAAGGCAAAAGCAATCATAGAATTTAAGAGAATAGCATAGAGTCTTGCCTTTTTTGTTTTCTGCATTATTATTATTATTATTATTATTATTGTCATTATTATTATTTGAGATGGAGTCTCGCCCTGTCCCCCAGGCTGGAGTGCAGTGGCATGATCTTGACTCACTGCAGCCTCCACCTCCTGGGTTCCAGCGATTCTCCTGACTCAGCCTCCTGAGTAGCTGGAATTACAGGTGCCCGCCACCATGCCCAGCTAATTTTTGTATTTTTAGTAGAGACGGGGTTTCGCCATTTTGGGCCAAGCTGGTCTCGAATTCCTGACCTAAGGTGATCCACCCGCCTCAGCCTCCCAAAGTGCTGGGATTACAGACATGAGCCACCGCACCTGGCTGTTTTCTGTATTACTAATATGCTTCATTTGTACATTATTCTGTATGTTGGTTGTCTTTATCTTTTCAAACACTAAAACAATAGGGAGGAACATCTATCATCCCATCTCCCATATTGATTTAGAAACTACATTTGACTCAAGATCCTACAGTCCAGATTAAGATGCTAGCTTTGCAATAAACTGACTGTCTTATGACATAATGCCTTAAAATGTCATTCTGGAGTTGTTGTGAGAAGTCAGTGATGATGTGGAATCGTCTCATATCACACCTGGAATTTATGGGCACTCTATAAATCTTCCTTTGTTTTCCTGTTTCCCTGTCCCTCCCTCCCTTCTGTTTTTCCCTCACGCTCCATTTTCAACTGCAGAAAGCTGCATGTAGAATTTAGGGAAGTCCCTTACCATACCAGTGCCCCAGACTGCAAGAGAGACCTCCTGGGGCTGCGAGGCAGCCCTTCCCTATGGT
Organism: Homo sapiens; assembly: GCF_000001405.40. NCBI lineage: Eukaryota > Metazoa > Chordata > Mammalia > Primates > Hominidae > Homo > Homo sapiens. The sequence continues at coordinate 109,089,981 of NC_000013.11, forward strand.
TCCAAGGAGGCTCTTGAGCCAAGAATTGCATGGGAAAGACGTTTGCAGCAATGTGAAGTGTCACAATGTCTTCGTTTGAGTGGTGCATTTGTGTTCCTAAAAGACGATAGCAGCCTGTTCTCCTTAGTTTGGAAGTAGAAGGGAAATCCGTGTTGGCCAGCCCTAGAAGCAGTAGCCCTGGAATTGTCATAGTGATAATGCGAAGACTTCTTCCTCCCTTAGCAGAGCCATGTGCAGACCATGGTGAGAACTGAGAAGCCTCATACGGGTCCCTGTAGATGTGAAAATAAACTCAAGACCAAATTCGAAGCCTCAGCACTCAGGAGGTGCAAAAGCCATCGCAAGATATAGCTGAAGTCCCCTTTCCATCTTTCTTGTAAATACGCAGGGCGGGGTCATGGGAACTGAGGGAGAAGACTGGTGAGCTCTATGGCTGTGCGTCCACATGTCTGCTGACAGGCTCCAGTTCAAGGGCACGGCAAGTGCCAGGGATTGTGGGGAGATGGGAGGTGACGTGACTGGTCCTGATGCAGAGGACCCTCAGGAAGGGGCAGAATGCAAGAAGGGGTGGGCAGGAGTGCATGGTGAAAGGGGGCCCTGCCCTGCAGTGTGGGCGTGCGGAGGCTGCAGGACAGCAGAGGAGACCCACAGCAGGACAGACAGAACTAAACTGCAATGATGGGTGGATATTTCCTGTCAGAATCATGGGAAGGAGGGAAAAAATGTGCACGTGTAGAGAACAAAATAGATTTCTGTGTGAACTAGAACGTTTTTGACAACTTTGTCTCTGCTTTCATATCCTTTTCCTTAAAAGAAAAAATAACTAGTACTCCCTCCTTAGGGGAAAAGCACTTCTGCAATCCCCGCCCCTCCCCGTCCCATTTCTCTTTCTTATCCTTCCCGGCTCTCCACATTGAAGCAGGTTTTATATCTCTCTCAAGCCCACTTGTGCTCCTTTTTCTTCATACTTCTCTCTGTTTTCTTGATGTATGTCAGTCTTGTTGCTAGGCAGCTGTTATGTTCAACCCACCATGCAGCCTTCTGAATGCTGGAAATTAGCCCCAAATAGCTTGAAAATCACCCTTCCGCACCTGCTTTGTGTTTACTGTGAGAGCTGGAATATGAATATAAGTTCATAGAATGGGGGAAATGCATCCATATGTAGCCATGGGCAGACAGCCACGTTTTTGGTGTGCATGGCAGGTACAGACACCATGCAGTGCCTCAGGGAAAATGCCCAGGAGTGGTTCTAGAAGAAAGGGGACATCCTCATTCTATCAGAGCTAAAATTGCTAAATAAGATGATCTGGTGGAAAATGGAAATATACAAAAATAAATATGAATAGAATGTAGACATTGTGTGTATTTCTACAAATGTTGCTGCCTGCAAGCTTAATCGGTTTTCCCTTGCCTCTGAAAAACAAAAAGCACTCATTGATTCTATTTCACCCTCCAGCTATTGGTCTTTTCTTTGATTGATGTTAAGAACCACCAGCTGCTAGCATCTTGATGCCATCGTAATCTAGTGTCTCCCGTGTCTGACGTTGCCATTGACGCCACAGTCACCAAATCCCACAGCCACCTCAGTGGGCATCTGCTTCTCTTCCTCTGCAGTGCTCAGCACTGGCGACCGCATTTCCAACTTTGCCTTCCCTTGGCTGCTCCAAAATTGGACGGCTCCCATCCAGTCCTTTCTTTCCTGGTCCTCCTTTCCTCTCCCCTTCACCACTCTCTTTCTCTGCCAATCCTCCAATAGGTAACTCCTACGATATTCCATTTTTCTCCTTTAGTTTTTCTCTTTTTATTGATTATTCAGTCTTTCTGGAAGAGCACGAGGTTAATGGTTCTCCCCAAATATTATTTTGTTGTTCACAATGAAGTAATTGGAATATAACCGTAATAAGATAAATAGTATAATATCTTGAAATAAGAAAACCGCATCTTTTCTGAGGTATAATTTTGGTCCAAAAAAGTCTTGCTTTATATTTGACCATGTGCGGTAAAATTAGAATATTGCTTTACACATCTTAGTGATCTTGGCATTTCTTGGCAGATTATGTTTCTCTTAGTAAGTGTTCAATAAATACTTCTCAAGTAGAATTAAATTTCTAAGGGGTTTCAGGACACTGAAACAACATAAGTTTTACTTTCATAACAAAATTTTCCTTGAGAATGAAGCGGTAAAGCCAATATTTAACAAACAAAGACATTTTCAGAGAAAGTGCATCTGAGGTTAATAAACATTAGCTTGAAAAACATACAGTATATTTTCTAAGAAAATGATTCTCCTACTTCCTGATAGTCTTTTTTTAAGTAGTCAATTAAAATTCACTATGTTTTAAAATCAACCTAAATGCCCATCAGTGACAGATTGGATAAAGAAAATGTGGTACATATATGCCATGGAATACTATGCAGCCATAAAAAAGAATGAGGTCATGTCGTTTGTGGAACATGGATGGAGCTGGAAGCCGTTATCCTTAGCAAACCAACAGAGGAACAGAAAACCAAATACTGCGTGTTCTCACTTATAAGTGGGAGTTAAATGATAAGAACTCATGAACACAGAGAAGGGAACCACAGACACTTGAGGGAGAAAGGTGGGAAGAGGGAGAGGAACAGAAAAGATAACTATTGGGTACTGGGCTTAATAGCTGGGTGATGAAATAATAGGTACAACAAACCCCCTGACACATGTTTACCTATGTAACAAACCTTCACATGTACCCCCAAATCTAAAATAAAAGTTAAAAAAAGTCACCATTTTAATCTGAATCCTGTGGTGACTGCATAAGCTGTTTTTATCTCTAGGTCCATGATACATAGGATGTCAAAGTTCTGCTTTATACTGGAAGGAACAATCACTTTTGAAGAGAGAACACTATTTCATCACTTTCCTTGGGTTCTTTACACCTTTTACTAGTTAGATATTCTCTGCCTCTTCAATTTCAGCCTGTTCTTTTAAAAATACAGACTCCAAAATGAAGACTATCTATGATGTGGCTCTTTCACTTATAATTTTGTAAGATACTATGATTTCTGTTTTTTTTAGTGTTATAGTCACAATACGTGAATGTATGGAAGCGTGTTTTTATGCTTGAGTCCTTGATGTTGAGAATGTACTTGACGAATGGGACTCATGTTAGATAAATTTTCATTTAACTATGATAGAACTTTTTTGAAACCCCACACTTAGTATACACTGCCAACTTAGGATGCAGACTGACAAGAAGAAGGGGAAGTTGAAAGTGGTCAGAAACCCATCACAAGAAAAGTGAGGCAAATGGAGCGTCTAACATAACACAGCTTGAGGTTGGAACCCCATGAGGGCATGAGCATTCCGCACCATCACAGAAGCTGCATCCATTTCCCAAATGCTCAGTACTGCCCTGTCCAGTCAGACAGAGGTGTATGGCAGTAAAGAGACCAGCCACAGATAAGTAATTGGCAACCAGCAAGGTAATAAATCTAGTGTGGGGGACTGGCTGACGTTTGGTCAATGTCTCCTTCCGAAGCTCCACCCAAATTTCTCCTTTTTGCTTCTCAGTCACAGTATTTCCCTCCTGTTAAATAGCATTAGTCTGGGGAATAAATGCTCTTCCCTGTCTACTACACTGTGGGAAACGTCAGCCACAGCCTCCAGTTTGTTAGGTCAAAAACCTTGAAGTCATCCTCTCTTCCTGTCGTAGCCACGTTGATCCATTCACCAGAAAATCCGGCTGGGCCTACCCAAATATGTAGAGAGCCCAGCACGTTTTTACCTCTTCCGTCGCCATTGCCTTGGACCAATGCCTCTCACCTGGACTATAGGAAGGTCCTCCAGATGGCAGCCCTGACTCTTTCCTGCCCCTCTCCAGCCGCACTCAGCCTCACAGTATCGATGATGATTTTCTTCACAGTCAAGGAACAGAGCTCCTGGGCTGGAACCTCACACCCAGGAATCAGGGTCTGAGCTGAGGTCCTGACAGTCACCTACAGGATTCTGAGCCTTACCCCATTGCACTAACCTTTCGAAACTCATCTCCTACAACTTTCCTCTCCCTTCCTCTTCTCCAGCCACACTCGACTCCTTGATATTCCCAGAGCAGCCATGCACCACCCCCACTCCACCGGGACTACAGTTCCCCCAGAGAAGCCACAGCTTCCTCCCTCATTGTCAGGTGTCTGCTCACAGTGAAAGCTTTCCTGCTTTATCTTTCTCCACATTTCTCATTTTATTTGACACACTTCCTTATTTACTTTATTTTTTTAAGAGTTGGGGTTTCTGTCATCCAGGCTGGAGTACAATGGTGTGATCATAGCTCACTGCAACCTCAACTTCCTGGGCTCAATCCATCCTCCTGCCTCAGCCTCCTGAGTGGCTGGCAATATAGGTTTGTGCCACCATGTCTGCTTAATTTTTAAAATTTTTGTAGAGATGGGGTCTTGCTGTGTTCCTCAGATTGGTCTCATACTCTTGGCCTCAAGCCATCCTCCTGCCTTAACCTCCCAAGTTGCTAGGACAACAGGCGTGAGCCACTGTTCCCAGCCCTTATTTACTTTTCTTTAAATTATTATTATTATACTTTAAGCTCTGGGATACATGTACAAAACGTACAGGTTTGTTACGTAGGTATACACATGCCATGGTTGTTTGTTGCACCTATCAACCTGTCATCTACATTAGGTATTTCTTCTAATGCTATCCCTCCCCTAGCCCCCAACCCCTTGACAGGCCCCAGTGTGTTCTCATTGTTCAACTCCTACTTATGAGTGAGAACATGTGGTGTTTGGTTTTCTGTTCCTTTGTTAGTTTGCTGAGAATGATGGTTTCCAGCTTCATCCATGTCCCTGCAAAGGACATGAATTCATGCTTTTGTTACGGCTGCATAGTATTCCATGGTGTATATGTGCCACATTTTCTTTATTCAGACTATCACTGATGGGCATTTGGGTTGGTTCCAAGATTGCTTTTTAATTCTAGCTCTCTCTACCATAAAGGGCTTTGGCTGCTATTCCCTGCTACATTCCCAGCACCTAGGAGCATCCCCAGCACAGACTTTGTGCTCAGTCAATACTGGTGAATTGATTGATTGATCCTGAGTAAGTGAACCACAAACCCTGATTCTAGATATGAAAGTAGATAACAGTTGTTCCCCTCATCCCAAACCAGGATAAGACAGGAAGAGCAGGCTGTCTGGAAAGGCTCATGTTTACTTTTTACAGTCCATTGGTTTGCCTCAGACACAGAGCAAGTGAAGCCTAAATATAGGTGTCTTCAGTGGATTGAGGCGACCTGTGTGTCTTGGATGACAGACGCTGGGACAGTGTGGGGAGTGAGAGTGGATAAGTCCCTCTCCAGTTGCTCCTGTGCTCCGGACTCACGTCCTGCTCCAGGCTTGCAAACCGTGTGGCCTCAGATCAAAGTTACTGGGGGAACGTGTTTTAGCTCAGGAATGGAATGTGACCCTGTTTTTCTATCCTGTGACACCACCTATAGAAAACACTCATATTCCAAAAGACAAGATGTTTTACATAACACTAACATAGAGTATGTCATCCTGTCTGAGGTGATCTTTTTCTTTAGTTGAAATGTCAGAATTATACCATTTTAAGTGTCAAAAAAATATTTAAAATGAGAAAAAAGCATCAGGTGCATGATTTTTCATTCTGACTTGTTAATACTATATTCAGATGCTCGAATTATATCAATTAAATTCTTGGTTATAATTAACAAATTTCCAGAATGAGACAATTATGAGAGAGAATTAAAAAAATAACTTGAGTGATTTCATTTCAGTGTATTACTCTGGCTAAATGTTAGAAACACATGGCTTTCCTGAGGGCATGAATGAGTTCACTGTTAAAGAGCCTGCAGGCACCGAAGGCCAACAAACCAAGACTTCTTATTCCTACATGTCCAATATCATAGTGGTTACTGTTGAGTTTTACTTTTTCAGTTTTTAAGGGTAAATCTTATCCTTTTCCACTCTAGAACCATCTAGGATTAGGACTTGTTAGTTGTCATCAAAACTGTAGCAACGGCGATGAAGAGCTTGGCCCTGGAGTTAGATTGTCCTGGGTTCAATTCCAGCTCAGCCACTTTCCTCATCTGTGTCAGCTTCCCAGAGCTGCTGTAACCAAGTACTACAAACTCCATGGCTTAAAGCAGTAGGCATTTCCTCTCCCAGCTCTGGAAGTGAGAAGTTCAACACTGAGTCTCAGCAGGGCTTCCTCTGAAACTCTGGGTGGCATCCGCTCTTGCCTCTTCCTGGTCTCTGGTGGCAGCCATAGATCCTCAGTGTTCCTTGGCTTGCAGCTGTGTCACTGACACCTCTGCCTGCATCACGTGGCCCTCTGCTCTGTGTCTCCCGTGGCGTTTCCCTTTTCTTTTCAGGACATGAGTCATATTGGATTAGGCCCTACCCTAATGATCTCGCCTTAACTTGAGTACTCTCCAAAGACCCTAAACATCACATTCACTTATCTTTGGCGGGGGGACACAGTTCAGCCCATAACAGCATCCCTGTGAACTTGTGTAAGTGAATGAATGTCTACAACCATTATCTGTCTCACTATCAAAAGACGATTGTCATCCAGGCCTGTGTCTGTGAGGAGGATGTGAGGTGATATGAAAAGCCCTTTGCATTCATTCAGGGCTCAAGAAATGCGACTTACCATCTCCTGCTCCACAGCCCCATTTCTTGGCTATCAGTTATTTAAACTTGCTACATTCGAAGGCAAGCTAGGAGACACCATAAAATGTACAAAGATGTCCCCTTACTCTGGGCGAGCTCACACACTTTGAGGAGAGGTCAGAGTTTGTAACACAGAATAGAATTTATGTCTTGTCCGGAGAAACGCAAACAGGCAGCTCTGAGGGAGGGTAGAGCGTTGCTTGTTAGGTGACTTGCCAAGGGCATCATAGCAAACTGGTTACAAAGTGGGACCTAAATCTCAGTTTTCAGATTCCCAATTCAGTTTCTTTCCCATTTGAACACATTGTACAGTTATATCACTTGTCACCTTTTAACCACTCAGACATTATCAAACCTAACCCATGTTTGTTCATAAGAGGTACTGATGTCAGCTGGGCACAGTGGCTCACACCTGTAATCCCAGCACTTTGGGAGGCCAAGGCGGGTGGATCACCTGAGGTCAGCAGTTCGAGACTAGCCTGGCCAACATGTGAAACCCTGTCTCTACTAAAAATACAGAAATTAGTTGGGCGTGGTGGCGGGCACCATTAATCCCATCTACTCAGGAGGCTGAGGCAGGAAAATTGTTTGAACCCAGGAGGCAGAGGTTGCGGTCAGCCGAGATCACACCATTGCACTCCAGCCTGGGCAACAAGAGTGAAACTCTGTTCACTGAGGTACTGATATCATGTGAGAGAATCATTAGGGGATGCCCATAACCTTCTGGGTGGTCCACATGCACTGCCCTTTGCACAGCTTACTCCCGGTTCCCAACCCTCTACATATCCCCCATCATACCCATTTGCCCTGCTCTGTTGTACAGGGGAAATTCCCTTTCTTCTTCTGCAGAAACCCCAATAAAAATTAATAAAGTAAAATAAAATAAAACACACAGCTACCAACTTCAGTACACGGCGTGTAAGAAATCACATTCTTGTCACCTATCAAAAGCAAAACAATTCCTGAATACTTCACCCATCAACAAATCACTGAAGTCCATTTAGTGTGAGTAAAATAATGAGCCACCTTTTTCATATCCTTGCCTCTGGCACTGCAAATTCAGTCTCAGTTACTTCAGCCTCAGTCTCTGTTACTTACCATTTTTTGTATTTTTATGCTTTCCTATACACTAAGTTTGAAACATGAGCAAAAATCCATCTATGAGAAGAAAGGGTGGTTGCTGATACTGATAAATTCATTCTGGTTTTTGGCTAGCAAGATGATGAGGATTCTCAATCCAGGAAAAGTCATACACTGACTTTTCAGTGAGAATGCTGAGGATTTAAGAAAGGAAATAAGAAATGTCTTCAGCTGAGAAGGTAACTGGGTACTGTCTTGGTCAGTTCAATCTGCTTTCCCAAATTACCATAGACTGTGTGGCTCATGAGCAACAGAAAGTTCTCATAGTCCTGGAGGGTGGAAAGTCCGAGATCAAATTGTCAGCAAATTCAGTATTCAGTGGAAGCTCGCCTCCTGGTTTGGAGAGAGAACCTTCTTGTTCTCTCTATGAACTGTGTTCTCACATGGTGTTAGGTTAGTGCAAAAGTAATTGCGGTTCAGGCGTGAATATTAAATCATTATAACTAGAATCAAACACATCTTTATTAATCAAAATAGGAACCATTACAATGAACACATTTTTGCCAATGAGAAGTAAGTTTTGTTTATCCCTGTAGTGTAAAATTCTGTGCTTTGAGAATCGACAAACTCTTGGATAGCATTTTCTGCATCCCGCCACTTGCAGAAGCATTTTCCCTGCAAAAAGTTGTCGAGGTGCTTAAAGAGGTGGTAGATGGTTGGCAAGGGGTCAGGTGAATATGGTGGATGAGGCAAAACTTCATAGCCCAAGTCTTTCCACTTTGGTTGTGTGACGTGTTGTTGGGCGTTGTCATGGAGAAGAATTGGGCCCTTCCTGTTGACCAATACCGGCTGCAGGCGTTGTAGTTTTCCGTGCATCTCATCGATTTGCTGAGCATACTTCTCAGATGTAATGGTTTCGCTGGGATTCAGAAAGCTGTAGTGGATCAGACCAGCAGCAGATCATCAAACAGTGACATGACCTCTTTTTTGGTGCAAATTTGGCTTTAGGAAGTGCTTTGGAGCTGCTTCTTGGTCCAACCACTGAGCTGGTCATCACTGGTTGTCATATAAAATCCACTTTTGTCATACATCATAATCTGATCCAGAAACGGTTCATTGTTGTTGCATAGAATAAGAGAAAATAATACTTTGAAACTACATTTTTTTAATTCTCACTTAGTTCATGAGTCACCCACTTATCAAGCTTTTTCACCATTCCAATTTTCTTCAAATGTCAAACGACCCTAGAATGTTCGACCTTGAGTTCTTTGGCAACTTCTCATGTAGTTGTAAGACGATCAGCTTCGATGACTGCTCTCAGTTGGTCATTGTCAACTTCCAATGGTCAGCCACTGCACTCCTCATCTTCAAGGCTCTCGTCTCTTTAGCAAAACGTCTTGAACCACCACTGCACTGTATGTTCATTAGCAGCTCCTGAGCCAAATGCATTGTTGGTGTTGTGAGTTGCCTCTGCTCTTTTGTGACCCATTTGGAACCCAAATAAGAAAATCGCTCAAATTTGCTTTTTATCTAACATTATTCTCATAGGCTAAAATAAATATAAAATAAACAGCAAGTAATAAGTCATTCGCAAAAAACATAAAGCAAGAAATGCACACTAACATGATGTATAGCATAACCACATTTATTTAAGAATGTATTCCAATATCAAACGGCAAATTTCAACAATGCGAAAACCACAATTACATTTACACTGACCTAATAGGAAGGAATAAGTCTGTTCTCTTCAGCCTCCTCTAAGCGCACTAATCCCATTCATGAAAGCTCCACCCTCATGACTTAATCACCTGTCAAAGGCCCCACCTCTTAATATCATCATATTGGGGGTTAGGATTTGAACGTAGGGACCTTGAGATACATTCTATCCATGGCAGGTGTGTTTCCCAGCCTATGTTACACACCAGACTGTACTGCCGCACATGTGAGCCCTCGTTTACCCACAGTACCTGCCAAAATAAGACACACGTGTGATTCCCATGTGGCTGTCCATGAGACATGTCCCATACTCCCACTACTTGCTCTGAGGAAAGCAAGTAAATAAAGATGTGTAGGCAAAACACTCCCTCCCTTAATTGCACTAAGGAAACTGAATAAACTCATTTTAGAAGATACCAAATTTACTGCAGTGAACTTTAGATGAAACACTAAGGTATTAAACAGAAAATAACAGAAAACTGATGACTTCAGCTTTGGCATTGCGTTTCCTTCGGCTTGCGGAACAGCCGAACATGAGAATCATAAACACAGAAGGCAACAGGATGCAACTGCATAGATCTTTGCTCATTTCCTTTCTGGTTTTCTCCTCTTCCTCCTCCTCCATTGCAACCTTGCCTGTATCTCAGGTTAACCACTGTAAGTGCAAAGGGAATTTTACATAGATTTTTTTTAAATGGATGATGTAATTTTAAAAGTCATTTTTGAAAAACCTGTAGGAAACTATTATATTGCCATGAATTTCAGCTAGGGAATGAAAGTCAATTGCTCACTGATACTTTACAAAATAAAAATGTCCCAGAATATTTGAAATATTCGATATATAATATATGGGGAAGAAGCGATTCTACCTCTCAAATAAGTATTCTGAATGGACGTTTTGGTATTCCATTATTATGGACTCTAGTTACATCTGAATTCACGCTTAAGTGGCCATAAAGAATGCTCAAATTTCTTAAGAGGTATGTTTTTAAAGAGCATGCCAAATGTTTAAAAATGGCTACTGGATTAATTTTCATTCCTTTCAAATTTCCTTTGGTTAAATGGTTTGAAGTGCTTCATGACAGTGCTAAACATATATTAGAGGACTGAAAAATATATTTGACGCGTTGTAAAAACCATTTCCCTTATAAAAGATAAGGATTCTTTCCAGTTCCCTAGTAAATGCACAATGGACAGGTATTTGGCTGTTCCTGGGATAAAGAAAGACGGGGAAACTTTTGGGAAACGATGTAACAAAGACAGCCCTGTTGAATGTGATCATGTGCTTGGCAAATGCAGTCATTGCTTTCTGTCTCTGCTGCTTTTCACAGGTATAAGCCACTGGCTGATACATTCCTGCGTGAGAAGAAGGAACAGTCAGCTGCCGAGCGATGTCGACTTGTTCTCCAGCAGTGTAAATTACAAGGCTGGCAGGTTGGTGACCTACAAGCTATGAAAATAACATTTTAGGATTTTAAATAAATGAGCTGAGTCATTGCAGGGAGCCACCAGAATCTTCCTGGCAAAAACAAATTCCTTTGATGTGTTTGGCAAGGCGTGACATTAAGTGTATTCCCTGGAAATTTGTCATTCTTTATGACTTACCGATTTTAACATCTTGCAGCCAACATGAGAGGAAATCTAACAGGCTCCCTTTACAACATGACAGAAGCTTATGAGCCCCATTCTGTTTGCCCGTGTGTCAGATTCATACCTTGTCAGTAAAGCATTTTGTCATATTTACCCATAGCAGGAGTCAGAGGAGCCAAAATTGAAGAACTAAGGTTGATTTCTTTGTGCAGAGTTGGTCTCTCATAAGTGCATGTTCAACCTGGACTTCCCCAGCTCGTTCACGTCTCAGTCAGCTCCCCTTTTTTTCTGTTTCTCTTTGCCCTGCTTCTCACCTGCCATACAGTGAAAATGTCACCATCCTTTGAAGCCCATTTGTTGGCAAAAGCTTCATAATTGGAAACACTTTATTATAGTCTGTGATCCATTTGAATGGTAGACCCTAGGGGCCAATGAAAGCTACAGCTAGACTTGCAGAAAAAGAAAATAACCTGAGACAAAATTACAGGCAAATGTTTACCAGAAACAGGAGAAGATGGTTCCAGATTTTGTAAATACCTTCAACAACATCAGAGTCCATCCTTGACTCATTTTAGGAAGTAGAGGTTTGAAGTGAGAAGGGCAGATTAGAGCAACAATGGGAAACCACGCAGTCCATGACACCAGAAATTATTTGGAAGTTTCTTGCTGTAAAACCACCAAAAGTGCATAGGTGGCAAAAACAAATGGTAGCTAAAAGCTTTGATAAAAATATGACGATTACTGGAAAGTAGACATAAATTGCATCTTTAAAAAGTGATAGGGAGAATATCTATGAGTAAAAATATATGATAATTGATGAGTCAAAGGATGGGGACTTGGCTTTAGAAATGACATGAGCTGATGATTCAGAATTGCTGAATAGGTCCAAAAGTGGCCCAGTCTAAGTAAAACAGGGAGGGAAGACTGGATTGACACTCGCACACTCATCTGTCTATGACAAAGAACAAAGAACCTAGAATTTTGGCATTGATGAGTAATGATTTAATTGTCTGTGCCACCCAATCTTTTTCTTTGTTATCTTTTTTCCTTTTCTTTTTTTTTTAACTAATAATGAAATTTGAACTTTAAATAACAATCTGAAGGAGGAAGCTTACTCAGTCTGAAGTTGTCAGTGATGCACATCAGTGCCAAAAGATTGGATAAAAAGGGAAGGAGGAAGAAGGAGGAATTACTAACCAAAAGTGATGTCTGCCAACCCCTCCAGAGTCAGTGACATAGGGGTGGGATTCACATATATCAGCATTTATTCTGTCTATAGGTAACTGAAGTCAGTTCAATGGAATCATTACTGAGATTTTGAATAAGTAATTATATAGTAGTAGTCCACGGATGATGTAACACTAAGATATTCTTATTGTATTATTTTGCTTTTAAAGACTACTTACAGATAATGATATACATATATGTATATGTATGTGTATATATGTATATGTGTGTGTGTGTGTATATATATATATATATCTGTGAGATAGATGTATGTGTATGAGGGAGAGAGAGAGGGAGAATTTTTATTTGTAGAAGAAAGCAAGGGAATCTGTAATAATTATTTCACTAAGAGAGTGATTGGCAGTAACCACAATATCTGAGCAGTGGTCCCTCTGATAGACCACTGTAAAGTACAGGTCAAATATGAGAGGAGACCAGAAGACAAATTGGTAAGCCCTGCCAGCCATCATTTCTTCTATATTGGTGCTTTTGCTAGGATTGCAGCTGAGGATAGCATTAAATTGAAACATACATTGGGACTTTCAACAAGAGCATTAAAATTTATTTTAAATGGGAAAGGGATCCCATTTCATGGCACTAATCTATTTTCTCCACACTTTTCACCTGCCTAAAAGAAGCTGAAAACACAAGACAAAAAAATTAAAAGGAAAGAGAAATAAATGTGCTCATTCACTGAGTATATTTGCTTATGAGTTCCCTGTTGTCTAGTCAGAAAAGACAGTATTTCTTCAGCTTCTTCACGATGTAACCTATGATATACTTTATACTACCAGACAAATAATCAACTTCACAGAAATGAAGCATATTCATACTTCACTTTTATATTGGTCTGACAAAGGAAAAAAAGATTTTGTTAAAAAATAAATAAATAAAACAAAAAACACTCATTCCTAACCTGGAAAGTTAGACTCCTCAGTTTCAAAAGCAAAGCATTTTTTAGATATGTGTTGCTAATTACAGAAAGAATTCCTCCTAGTCAATTCTGTTTTTAATTAATACAGGGATTCAATCAGAAGCTGTTAGGCTGCAGGGACAACAAGGTTGTATCGGATGGTTATTCTATCTGTAGCATTATTTCCAAATTGCTAAGAGTTATAATGTGTGTTTTCATTAACCAGTCAGTTCATCCTTTAGTCCTGAGTGGTTAGCATGAAATGAATGGTTACTCTTTTCCATATTTTTAAAAGCAGTGCTGGAGGACAGAAGTGATTAGAATTATATTTTGCTGTGTTAAGTGGTATACAGTGTTAGCTAGAAATTCATTTCTTTTAACTGAAAATAGTAATTTCGTTGTCATTCTAATGCGTCTTGGAGATCTGGCAGGTTTTCTCTTCTCTCTTTAACTTTAATCAGACCCTGTAGAAGGAAAGCCTTGAATCATCAATATGAGATGGTAACTCTGTAATTCTTATACTCTCCAACATTGTAGCAATTCAGTAAGCCTTGGTGCACATTTGATTTCCTTCTGTTTCAGATGAGGATAGAGATGTGGTATCTTCAGTACTATTACTTTTGTATGCCGATCTATGCACCTGTGTCTGCTTTTCATGCTTTAGGTAGTCACAGGTTTGTAGTCGCACATGAGGTACTGGAATTTTTAGTATTTAATAAAAAATAATTCCTCTCATCTACAGAGTATATTACAACTATTCATAGTTTTTATTTTATTTTATTTGAGCCTAATAACTCTATGCAGAAAAGGAAAGTAGACAGCACGTACAGGAGTGACCTTATTTTAGATTTGAGGTAATGGAACGTCACAGAGAGCCCTTGTCTTAATTAGAGATCAGTGTACTGATCAAAATACTAGGTGCAGTTAATATTCAGTTTCAGTGGGAGTGCCACTTTGCTGAGACCAACGTCTAGCTTTTCCTATGTCATGTTCTTTCCACTGCATTTAACTCAATCTGTATCTTCTAATATAACTATCTGAAGTCATTTTGCTCATATTACAGGACTTGGAAGGGGTAGATTATGCATCACAGTACAAGCTTTGATCAAAGGCACTTATACCGTTTATTCATCTGAGCAGCCTGCCCCTTGTACAGTGTCTTTTTTATGTTTATAATTCACCCAGCAAATGAAGGAAAAACAAGCAGACTACTTCCCATTACAGGGTGACTCTGATCAGAATCCTTTTCAACCCAAACTGTCAATCAAACTGACCCTGAAATAGCACAATGCCTTTGCACCCTCATTCCCAACTACATCTTGGAAACAAGAGGAGAAGGAAAAGGAGGAGTAAGGAAAGGAGACGATAGAGAAGGAGAAGAACTGGAATCAAGTGAAGAGTCTCAGGAAGCATTTGATGTCAATTCTAATTCTGAGGGTTAAGACCTAGATGTGACTCAGGCCATCCAGAGGAAAGGACAGGGGTGGGGGCAACTCATAGGCGGTGCTGGTGGAAATGCATGTCAAAGGAGCATCGCTGCACCTTCGCAGCTAGAGCAAAGGCAGTTTGAAAACAGTTTATTAGGCTATTCCGCAGATCCACACAGTTTACAGTATACCGAGTTTTGCTCACGTGCCAATTCTCAGCGAGACATTCCCTGGCTACTAGATTTTAAATTCTCACTATCCTCGACCTTCGTACTGCATCTTCTCATCCTCTTCTCTGCTTTGTTCTCCTCCATGGTGCCTGGGACCTTCTGTTACGCTTCAGATTGCAGTCCTTAACATGCTGTTCACCACCTTTCCTCCATAGCGTGGGAACTCCATCACGAGGGCTTTGTGTCTGCAGCTTACTGCTGCATCCCCAGCATAGAAGCCAGAGAAAGACACAGGACAGACACTCTGTGCCTGGATGCTGGGCCAAGAAATGAGTTTCTGTAAATAAGAAACTACCAAACAATACAGTACACTTGATGTGGATGCAAAGACATGTAAGAATTTTTACAGGCTGGGCGCAGTGGCTCATGCCTATAATACCAGCACTTTGAGAGGCTGAGGCGAGTGTATCACCTGGGATCAGGAGTTCAAGACCAGTCTGGCCAACATGGTGAAACCCTGTCTCTACTAAAAATACAAAAAAATAGCCAGGGATGGTCGTGGGCGCCTGTAATTCCAGCTACTTGGTAGGCTGAGGCAGGAGAATTACTTGAACCTGGGAGGTGGACGTTGTAGTGAGCAGAGATTGTGCCATTGCACTCCAGCCTGGACAACAAGAGTGAAACTCCATCTCAAAACAAACAAACAAAAAACTTTTTAAAATTTATTGTTTTGAAATGAAATAAGAATCCAATGGATTTTTAGCTTTATATCTACGTGTATAAGATACATGTATTAATGCATTAATTCTATAATTAAAAATAATTTTAAAATTTTGAAACTACTACATAAATGTAATTTTAGCATAGAATACTATATAGGGTCAAATTAATTATTTTAAACATTTGTGAGAAAGCTGTAAGTCACACTGCATTTTGCACCAAAACATTTTTGTGTTCCAATATATAATTTCTGTTGTGTCTTTTATACCACTAGACTGTACTTCTCAAAGGAATCTTGTGCCCTTTTTCATAGAATTTGAACTGGTCACCATAAGTTTTGGCAAAGTCATACATGTTGCTGTTTCCTTAACATACTCAAAATTGCTACTTTTACATAATGTGGTTTGATTTTGAAGAAAGGAAAATCAGGATGTAGTGGTGGCTAGAAGGGAATCTTTCACGTTGGTGGCTTCTTATGTTTACAGTGAAATGACATATTTTAAAAACATGGTGGACTAGTCAGAGCCACGTCCTTATTTGCAAAGTGGGATTTATGTAACTTGTTTGCAAAAAGGAATGGAAGTATTTTGAAATGATTTGAGTAAGACCTGCATGACTAACTTCTAGTGCTGTTTTCTGTCGCAGCAGATATAGTTTTCTTTATGAAACGAAGAGTTCATGGATTACCTCACTATGGAAAAATATCCAAATAGTTTGAATTAATTCCTGGTTTGAAAACAAGTTAAATTAAGCCAGTAGTTATTAACCATCTGCTATTTGTTTCATTATTGTTATTATTCAGGTATTTTCCTTATCTGAACATATGCATTTTAAATTCAGTGCTATCTTAAGGTAACTTGGAAAGGATCCCTCTGGAACTGTGTATAGTTAATCAAAGACTATTTGCCCGAATTTCTCCAAGCCACAGAAGAGTGACTGGACAGCAGTTAGGCCCCTGTGGAACATGCTTGTTTTTCATGTTATATCATTTATGTAAAATGAAAACCTCTGAAGCTAATTCTAAGTGGAAAAATAAGTGGTATAATCTGATTTTCACACATTTTATATGCATCAACTGGTTATAGGATGATTTCTTCTGTGTAGTTATTTGAATGCTATATTCATTTTAAAGCCATCTGGAGGGATGACGAATGAAGAAACAAATCTGTCAGAGTCGGTCCATGTGATACCAGGGGTGCTGCTTCGGAACACAGGCACTCACACAGCACTGGGAGAGTCGAGAGGGGCACTGCACCGATGTGGCTCTGTGCAGAAAGGCTTTCCCAGTGGTACTTTTCACTGATAGTTCAAGAAGATGTCGAGAACTTCGGGGTGAAAGAAGTTTTGTGGGTAGGCAAAGAAGAGTGGCCTGTGTGTCCCGTTTGAGGCAGGAACTTGTGATACCTGTTTCTGGAAATTGTGGAAGGAGAAGTTGAGATCTTAACCTTAGAGATAACATATCGTCTATGATTTTAAGGATGAGGAGTCAGACACACAGATCCTTCTGGTGGCTTACTCAAGATTATAATACAGACAGGAAGAAAGAAACAAAATTAGAACACCAACTTCATCCCAAGTACCGGCATGATACGATACTTACTCTAGTGTGTGTGCATGCGTGTATGTAAAAGAGACAGAGAGAGAGGCTCTGAAAGAAATAACAAAGGGTACTCAACAAAAAACATACTCCAAATTGTAATGAGATATACTTTTCCTATTTGTGTTTACTTGTGAACAAAGAAATTCACAATCTTTGTTTTTATCACAATCTTCTAATGTAATGTTTACGGAATAGTCTAGATTTTATTACCCAAATAGTTTGAAATAAGTCATAGTTTGAAAATGAGTTAAATTAAGTTATGATCTTTGAAGGATTTGCTCTTATATTGCCAAGAACTGCAACATTAACATTTTACCATAACATTACATAAAATCAGTTGGATGAAGGTTTTATTATTTCATTAATCTGCAGTAGTACAGTAGAGAAAATAAAATAGAAGAGCAAGGAACTGTTAAAGTTTTAACTACCTCTCACTTTTTTTACATTCTCTATGATGAGACAATTGTATTAGGGCCCTTACTTCTTATTAGTACGATAAATTAATGGTTTATAACCTTTGTTTTACTACTCAGGGAACACTTCATAAATCAACTATAATTACAAGCTAGAAAATAGCCTATAAAATGATTCTTTCTTCTGTATCCTTTCTCCTTCTCTGGAATTATAAATGTTGAAAATAATAAGCATTAGGAACCTAAGAGTACACCTTGAAACTATGTACATTCTGTTTGGAATCACCATATATATTCATATTATATTATATTATATTATATTATATTATATGTGTGTGTGTCTGTGTGTGTGTATTTCCTTTCTTCTTTTGTGCCAAACACATGCATACACACACGCCATATACATATATGACACATTTTTGTTATAAAAGTAGTATGTATCCTTGATAGGAAATTTGAAAAAGAAAAAAACTGAGGAAGAAAATACAATCTACCAGAATTGAACTACCTAAAGATAACTACTGAAAATATTTGGTGCGTATTCATTCACTTTGTTTTTAAAAATGATATTACATGTATTTGATCCTTACTCAGTGTGTCTTTCTCTCTTTCCACACTTAACTTCCTGAGGACAGGTGTCATGTCGCCGTGTTCTTTTGTATTTTTACATGTGTGCACATGTGTGTGTTTCACTATGACATCTCTTACAGGGTCTGGCACATAGTGTGTATGAAACTTGTGTTTGTTGAATGAATGAATGAATAAATGAACCTCCTACTGATGACCACATCTTCCCTTTGCAAATGAAGGTATCTGCAGTGCGTTTGGGTGATATGTGTGATAGTTTCTGCCTTTAGAGTAATTTTACATTTTTTCACTCAGCTTCATTATGCATGAAGAGTAATATCTTAGAGTACTATCTGGCACCTACTAATTGCTGATTAAAACTGACTAGGCCTATGCCTAATCCAACTTTGATTGCTTAGAAATCCATCTGTTTTCCTCTACTTCAAGTTTATTGATTGACTGATTCAACAAGCATTTACTGATCACCATATGAGTTCCCCCAAATTAGGCAAGGCAATTGCGATGGCTCACAGTCTGCTGGGGGAGAAACAGTCAGCTTTAAACTAATAAATAATCACAGGTTAGGATCCAGGTGCAAAGAGAGCAAATGGGACACTGCAGTAGTGAACTGGAGGGTTCCTGACCTAGACAGGGCAGTTGTCATGCAGGGCATTTCTGGGAGGGTCACATGCAGGCCCAGATCTGAAGGGTGAGAAGGAGCTGGGGACGTGCTGAGGCAGGACCAAGGGGCCCAGGGTGAGGGGCCCGAGTGTGCTGAGCCCCCGAGGTGAGGACATCCTGGGAGAACTGACAGGAGAGTAGGAGGGCTGGGGACAGAACCAGATGAGAACGGGAGACAGGGATGCTACAAAGCCATGTTTCTCAACCTTTATGTTTTCATTATTGCCCCACTAAGGAGAAAAACTGAGAGAATTAATAAAGAATTGAGTTCTGGGGAGGCAAAAATAACTTTGCTATTACAACAGTTTCTGACCTTCAAAGCTCAGTCCTGCTGGATAATATGAGGCCCCTAACAACTACTGAAAGAGGGGTGTTTGTGTCTGTTCCTACTGAGAGATCCAACTCCATATCTTCTATGTCAATATAAATTTCCCCAACTTCAAGATTATTTAGTCATTCGATAAGCATTTACTGAGCACGTATTATATGCCAGAAGCCTTGTAATTACTAACACGTTTTTCTTCTCAAGAACCAGTTGTACCCACTGGACAGGATCACCACAAGGAGAAGGTGTGTTTAGAGCTAAATGGTTCGGAACCAGTGGGACTTTATGTGTCAAAGTGCAGCATTCTATTTTAGGTTCAATGCATGCTACTGATAAGTTTTAGAGAGGGTAGAACATGACCTGATTTATGCTTTAAATGTAAAAAAGTGGTATTAGAGAGCAAGAACAGAGCTGGGAAACGAGTTCCCAAGCCAATGTGGCAGCTCAAGCAAGAGAGAGCCATGGTGGATGGGACAAGGGAGGAAGCCGAGAACACGAAGGGAGGGGAGAGGACCTCACCGTGGCAACAATGAAGGTGCTTGTTAAGTTACATTGACCTGAAGGTGGAATCTCTTTTAAAACCAAAATATTAATGTAGATCAGGAATATACTCAAGCTCTTTTAAAAAACGAACTTGCTCCATAAAATATGTTTGGAGCTCTAGATGATGGAAAAGACTCGGCCCTTTAGGGCTGAAAACAGAAGACAGTTCACAAAATTAGATGGGATTCTCAAAGCAAACGTGAGCACACCACAGGACAGACATATGCAGAATTAGGAAAGCAATGCCAGAACTTCTGAATAGCTACAAATAGTCCTAAAGATGCACTACATAAGATCAGATGTGCAGGATAAAAAACCATGGTATCATGTTTTTAGAAGAAAAGCACACATCAAAATATGTAAATGCCATCAACTTGGCAGATGACAATAGGACAAGGGCTCCCACACCCCAGGGAGTGCCAAAGGCCATGACCATGTTTGTGTTACTGTTTGGCCATTTATGACATACAGTCCCATGGGGCAAACCATTATTGACATGATGTAGGCCATTTTGTTAAAAAGAAAGATCAAATGTGTGCTCTGACTGAATATATTAACTTATCAAATACATTTTCCTCTGTGCTTTTGAAGCTAATTACCTTTGTTTGGGTGTGGCTTTGGTAAGCTTTTTCACAATGTGTCTCTTTGGGAGAAGTGATTTTCTTTAAGCACTCTTGACCATATCAATATGATTTCCATAATGAAATAACGTATAGAATTACATAGTGAGTCATTCACTAGTAAGCTCAAAATAGTAACTTTTATTCATCACTGCCTGCTATGCAGGTCATACTGTTCTAGGTAAGAATAATTAATTTTTCTTAAACTATAATTATATGTAATTCAAGCCAAACCACCTTCTTCAAATACCAGAAGATACAGTGCTCTATTAGATGTGTGTGGCTGTAATTATCTTTTCTGTGTTGAAGTTAAACTTCAGGAATAGTCTATTTATAACAAAGAGAACATGTATTTTCATATAAATGTATCCTTTGAGAACGTTTAAAAGTACATTCAGACATTCAGAGCCAGGCTGAACATTAGAATTTTTCTATTTAGTAGCTTTTCAAAGCAACCATGAAAATGTAGAGTGTGGAGGTATTAATAGTAAAATATTCACACACAAAAAAGTAATGGTCATTCTTAGAAATTTAACGAATGAAATGGGGGAAATGTGAATTCAGCCTGGAGAGGATGCCTTTAGTTCAATGGTTTCTTTACTGAGCTTGTTGAAAGGATAGACAATATTCTACTCATCCTTGTGGTCCCAGCATCTGTGCCCTGCTGGTATGAAGAAGGTGCTTGGCAAACATTTGATTTACGAATGGATACATGAATGAATGAATGAAGGTGAATGAATGAATGAACTAATGAGTGAATGGATGTTCAGAGCAGACAGATGGTAGGATGACGGATGAACAAATGTGAGAAAAGGAACATCAGGAAAAATATAAATATAATGCAACTGAGTGTTATGAGAAAATGATATTGATCCAGGAATGAATTATAGGTAAAGGCCTTTTCATGGCACACATGTAGAAATGTTGGGATTTTGAGATTTGTTTCCCTTGGAAGAGATGACCTGGTAGGCACAGAAACTGTTTCACATAGCAAAAATAGAACAGGGTTGTGAAGGAGCACAATGACATTCTGAGATCAGCAGGAAGGAAAGCAAATCTGAGGGGAGAACTCTGCAGACATCAGAACACATGAAAAGATTGTGTTGTTCATATCACCATCAATAAAGCTATTCTTAACAAACTGGGAACAGATTTACATTGCTGGGCACTTTAAAAAATACTAGGGCATTTTTCCAGAATACTGATATGTGAAAGATGTGACTACTTTTGATGCAACTACGATAGTACATATCCTTTGAAAAAGCTGGAAGTATTTACTAGACTAGGGCTGTTTTTAGAGCAAGAGGGGTTAACATTTTTAAAGATTAATTTTGTATGAAAATGAAGCATTTTAATTGCAGAAAAGAAGCTAGCATTCACAGTAAGACCTTTCTCATTAAAATATAATCTATGTTAATAAAATATTCCAATGATTGTAGACTTTTTTTTTTTTTTGAGACGGAGTCTTGCTCTGTTGCCCAGGCTGGAGTGCAGTGGCACAATCTCAGCTCACTGCAACCTCCGCCTCCCAGGTTCAAGCAATTCTCCTGCCTCAGCCTCCCAAGTAGCTGGGACTACAGGCACGTGCCACCACGCCCGGCTAATTTTTTGTATTTTTAGTAGAGACAGGGTTTCACCATGTTAGCCAGGATGGTCTCAATCTCCTGACCTCATGATCCACCCACCTCGGCCTCCCAAAGTGCTGGGATTACAGGCATGAGCCTCCATGCCCGGCCGATTGTAGACTTAAAAATAAAGGGATAGCATCTAACCCAATCCTGACAACAGTAATGATATTATTCAGTGAAAACTCCATTCATAAGAATGCTATGGGCCCTGTACAATATATAAAGAAGGTTCACATTGGTTTTCTGCTTCAGGAGAGTATACGGGAAGCTAAAATAATAGTAAATAGCATCTCTTTTAGAGAAATAAAAAAGGGTTAGCTCATATTATGGAGGGCTTTATAGGCAACATAAAATCATTGAAGTTTCTAGAAGACCAATAAATTGAAGTCAGTGTGCAAGGTGAGTTAAAAAGCAGATAAAGGAGAGATGATGAGTTAAATTCTAGATTTTAGTCGGTAATAATCCTATATCAGAGGTGATGGCACTGGAAATATGAAACTCAGCATCTTTGTTTCTTTAATCCTATTAGATGTATTTTAATAAAATAAATCAAATAGTTTAAATAAGTTGAAAATATTTAAGATTTAATTTTTGATGGCCGGGCATGGTGGCTCATGCCTATAATCCTAGCACTTTGGGAGGCCGAGGCAGGTGGTTCACCTGGGGTCAGGAGTTCGAGACCAGCCTGACCAACATGGAGAAACCCTGTTTCCACTAAAAATACAAAATTAGCCAGGCACGGTGGCGCATGCCTGTAATCCCAGCTACTCAGGAGGCTGAAGCAGGAGAATTGCTTGAACCTGGGAGAAGGAGGTTGTGGTGAGCCGAGATCATGCCATTGCACTCCAGCCTGGGCGAAACTCTGCCAAAAAAAAAATAATTTTTGTAGACAAATGAAATTTTAAATATCTGAGGTCATGTTATAGCAAGTGCTTATTCAAAGCATTTTTTAAAATTCTGCCTTCTCCATTGTACACATCCATTTACTTTCATTTCCTTCACCTTAATACATGTGAATTATGAGCTTTATACTTTTCCAACATTATCTGAGCTTATAAATATCTCACAGTTAAGTTGAATAGTCAGACAGATACACAAATAAGAAGAAAACCAGGACTTCAGTGCTACTGTAGAGATGTATACAAGGTACACTAGTGACATGGATGTACTACTGTAATTGATTTATTATTATAAGATACACACTAAACAGGAGAAAAATGAATTCCCACTTTGGATCAGAAAGCAATATGATATAGTTGGAGAGTAAGTAAGCTTGAATGTATTGAATAAGTTCTAGAAGCCTACTATACAACATTTCACTGCTATTTAACAACACTGCATTATATGCTTAAAATTTTATTAAGAGGCTAGATATCAGGCTAAGTGTTCTTACCGCAAATTTTAGAGGGAAGGTGAGGGAGGGAGGGATGGAGAGAGGAAGAAGGAAGGGAGGAAGGAAGGAAAAGAAGGAAGGAAGAGAGGGAGGAAGGGAGGGAGGAGACTAAAAGGGCCATACAATAAAAAAGTCTAATAAACCTTTCAAAGGCATTTGAACATCATCCTGAAAATCATTACAGGCCACTAAATAATTTTAGACAAGAAAGGAACATAATGAGATTGATATTTAGAAAGATCACGCTGAATATAGTTTAAAAAATGGACGCATGTAGACCCATGATAATTTATGGAGCTACTGAAATTATTCATAGAAGTAAACAGGAAGTGGGTTCTAGAAACCTCAATAGAACTTATGACTAAATGGGGACTGGGAGAAAAGCTGTAAACATACTTAGGTGATGCTTGGGGTTCTGGCTTGGGTGATGAGGTGATGACGACTCCATTAGCCTAGAAAGGCAAGAGTGGGTAGGGATGGATGAGATGGGAAAGTGTGGGAGAAATGACCTGTGGAAATCTTTAGGGCTTGAGGTGCTCAGGGAACACCCAGGTAGATGGTCCTTTTGGTCACTGAGCTAGAGAATCCAGGATAAGATGGAAACATATGAGTGAGGCTAGGGTGCCTATGAAACATCGACATAAATGTGTGCACAAGGAGATGGGCTCCATAGGTATGGACTCGGGGATAAGATGAGCTCTCACGAGCAGTCTGTATTGAAAGCTTTTGGAATAATGAACTTACCAGGAAGATGATGAAAAGTAAGAGGAGAATTCAGTGAAGAACTCTGAGGATAGCTAACTTTTCACTGGGGAGCAGCAACATAGCAGCTTTGGACAAACATTGGAACAGAGATGACAGACACACAGAGCAGGGGACCAGGTGAGCTTGTCAAAGAAGTTAAGCTTCAAGAAAAGAGAGTGACCCAGGGTCTTACTCCTGAAAATGTGGTCCACAGACCACCGTCACCGACATCATTTAGGAATGTGTTAGAAATGCAGAATGAATCACTGGCCCCATCCCAACCCACTGGAACAGAATCTACATTTTGACAAGATCCCAAGCGATTAATATGCATTTTTCAGTTTGAGACTTTATAGGATCAAGGGTGTGTGCTTCTTTTAGTCTGGAGCCTAGAGAGCTCCGATTCATCTTATCTCTGGCACTAACTTTCTGTGTGGACTGTGTGAATGTCATACGTCCTCTCTAAAACATACCTTTTTCTCTTGAAAACTGAAGAGGTTGATCAAGATGATTTCTGAGATCTAACTAGAACAGTGTGGGTTATGGGCACTCTGTTTCTTTGCACCTCCTTTGTAGATTATTAATCCTACTAGTGTAGTCTATTGTGGATATCACAAGTGCACATTTCCTTAGAGGAAATTGTACTATTATTCCGAAATAAATTCTATCCAATTTTCTATGTCTCCATAAGTAACTGAAGTGTTTTATGTTGTTTTAATTGACGTGTCCTTCTTCTGTCAAAGCAGAACCATGTGACCTGAGCTTTCTCCTTTACTTTACCTGCATGGGAAACAATTACTGATTGTATTTTTTAGTAGCAGTAAATGAGTAAACTAAATTAAGTGACACATACAATACAAATAATATATGCCTCTTCAACTCCCAAAGAATGCATAGATATAACAAAATGAGAGGCGTCACTATTTTTCTAAACTACCAATATGTAAGAAGAGTTCTACATTAGATGTTTTTCTCAATTTCATTAATATAGAGAGAAATGTGCATCATAGAAAAATATCAAAGGATAATAGCTATATTTTTCCTTTGTAAATGCTATTTCAAAAGTACTGCCAGAAACACTCAGCACTCCTAAAAATTGTCTTTTAAAAAAAAAGAAGTGCTCTACAGGTTCCCTTGAAGTCTCTACTAACACAGCTTCCGTGCCACCTACACTCTAGCACAACCACCGTTCCAGCATTTGTCTGTACCTCCACAGCCTACACCTCTCAAAAAAAAAAAAAAAAAAAAAAAAAAAACACCTAAAAATTGTAACAGTAATTGGAGCTTTGGAAGTCATCAATGACAATTTTGTTTAATCTTTTAAAATCTGTCACCTAACAAGAAAAAAAACCTAATGGTTTTCTAATAAAAATAGCGATGACTGTAATTCACAGATGGTTTACTTTTACAGGAGTCAGAATGACATTAACATTTTAATCTCAGCTAGGAACACTCTGCATCTAGCAGTGCACAGGGAGAGGGCTCAGTTGGAGAACATTTTAACCTCTCCTTTTCTCTGCTAGTGAGAAACATTCTTTGATGTGAGAATGCCACCAAAATGAAAAACGTAGGTGATCTGAACCTTTGGTCTAATTTTAATGAATCTTAATTTATTGGATTTGATATAACACTGTAAGACTGATTATACAGTAACATTCATTCCACAGGAAAAAAAAATCAAAAATGGTCAATAATTTTCTTTCGGTCAATGTCATTAATAGACAATGTAAATCCATGAAAATTCAGAATATATGTGATCTTATCTTTGTTTCCTGCTAAAGAAGGATTCTTAAATTTGTATCTTCATTAATCCCTAGCATCAGTGAAAGTAGAGAACTGTAAAGACTGCATTCAGAATGGTTTCTGAGGAAGAACTGCAAAATATTACTTAACTGCTAATTTCATTGCTTTCAGAAAGACCAAACATTTACTACAAGTATAGCATCTCAAAAAAACAAACAAACAAACAAACAAAAAACAGCAAAGTCAAACAAATGCTAAAACATCCAATGAGTATCTCCAAATATTGCCAACCCACAAATAAATTATATAGTACAAAACTATATGAAATAAAATGGTCCATTGGATACCCATAAAATATGCCCAAGTAGTTGATTGAAGAATTTTTTACAAAATAATCTGAATGTAATAGCAGCAAGCACAATACCCAGGCATTGCAACAAAGTGTTTAGCCATGTCTTGATAGGATGCTTGTATTGTGACTTCAGATCTCCAACCTCCACCGAGTGAATCCGAAGCCCAGAAGCCCCTCATACCTTACAAAGCCCTTGGTTGTACCTCAGCAGTGCAGATTTGCATAGGCTACATGAAAAACCCACCAGGGGATTGGAGGACAGATCCACCCTTCCAACTCCTACCATTGCGCATGTCTGCCTTCCTCTCATTTGTGCTTCGATTGCAACGCTGCTCCTTCCCAGCCATTATCCCAATCCGTGGCTCCCAGAAAGAAGTCCTTTTCTCCACCTCCAAACCTGGCCTGACATGCAGATCTGCCCTGTGAAACCATCAATCCACTTCTCAACTACCGACCATCAAGAACTTCCTGAAGTATCTAGTACATTCCAAGAAAAGTTCACTTCAACCTCTGTGTCTACTCTTCCTATAATTTACCCTCCATATCTGAACCAAAAGTATTTCCTGAATATACTCTATCCTGAGCTTCCCCTTTTCCCTACTTCCTTTGTCTGAGAGGAGGAGATGACAGGGTCAGCTAGTTCCTGGTTCCCCAGCCTATGGCTGCACCTAGCCATGGGTTGAGATAATGGGGATAATGGCTGGGAAGGAGCAGGGTTGGCAACTGAAGCACAAATGAGAGGAAGGCAGACACTTGCAATGGTAGGAGTTGGAAGGGTGGACCTGTTCTCCAGTCCCCTGGTGGGTTTTTGATGTAGTGATGCCTAAGCAAATCTGCACTGCTGAGGTACAACCAAGGGCTTTATAAGTTACAATGGGCTTCTGGGCTTCAGATTCACTTGATGGAGGTTGGAGATCTGAAGTCACAATACAAACTGGTAGGCCAGTTTCACCCCATGTTTCTTTTTCCTTTTATTTCCTCCATGACTTATTCTATCACCTGCCACCTTCTGTGACTTATTCTGGATTGCTGAATGACTCTAGGGTCTGACTTAAGTTTTCATTTGTCATCTTATCTCATTTTCACCCTAGAAGCTATCATCTGTCTCTGTGACTCACTTTATGCAAGGGCTTCACAATTCTTTATCTTCTGTTCTTTTTTTCTAATCTGAATTCATCCTGCCCACATCCCTGCCACTTGTGCATTTCAAGAATATATGTCCATATTCTTCAGGAGATGCAAATATATATAATATGCAAATATATATAATATATGCGTGTGTATATATGTATATATATATGTGTATATATGTATATGTGTATATATATGTATATATATGTATATATATGTATGTGTATATATGTATGTATATGTATATATATGTAATATATATGTATATATGTATGTATATATATATACACACACATATATATATAATGGTAAATATGTACAAAGCACTATAATAGGATAAATAATCATTTATAGGGTGCTCTGGGAACACAAATAGAAGGTGTCAAAGCCCTAAAGGAAGTGGAAAGGTGGATATCAAAACTCTAGTAATGGAGATGAGGTTTGATTTCAGTTGTAAAGGATAAAGAGGAGTTGGTCAACAGAGAAGCAGCAGTTGCAGAATCTTCCAAACCTAAATGATTAATTGGAGTATTTTGCCCTGCCTTGCCAATGACCAGCTCAATAATCCATTCTTAGACAGTTTTCAGAATTCAAGACAAATTTCAAGAAATATTTTTTTTAAATTTAGATCTGGTCCTCTTTATATTTCCCAGCATATCCAAATTGCTCCCAGGAGAATTTCCATGTTTTTCCTATAGTACTCTTCATGATGTAGCCACCAATTACAGATGTAGCCTCTTCCCTCATCTGTGTCCACATAACTGTACCCTCAGATGGTTTGCTGTCTTCTGGTTCTTGCCTTTCACATGCTAGTTTCTCTGTCTCACACCCATCATCTCAAGATGCCCTGGGAAATTCCTGCTTATCCCTCAAGACCAAATGGCTTAGAAAACATGCTTCTTACTGAACCCTGCCTGATCACACCTTGATCACTCTTTTTTCTCTAAAGCTGTTTCTTGGACATAACTCTATGTCCTGAGCATGGACAATTGCCAGAATCTGCTCACTGCTGACCTTCCCCAGTACACTATGTGCTCCATGAGGACAGAGGCCTCCTTCATATCCCCAGATCTAGCACAATGCTCAAGATAAACCTCCTTTGGGTTTTTGAATGGCTGTTAGAAATGCCACTGTAAGAGATCATACTCATTTTGTCCACCTCCTCTCCTGCTGAGGGTCTCCACTGAATTAAGAGAGGGGAACTAGAATCCTGTTCTCCTGTTTCCCTTCCACAGGTCTTTTAGGCATGTTGCTCTCCTTCCATGTTAATTCCCCTAATGATCATTATTGATCCCATCCATTGTGGAGCATCACCAGCCATCATTCCTTTGGAGTTTTGTTTTGGAACCCAGGTTTGGATGAATTTTGTCTTTGGGAGTTAGTCTCCCACAATGAGTTACATCCCACAATCAATGATGAACAGAGAGGTGACATGTTCCCTCCTTTCCAATGCCTGTCTCACAGATTTGTTCTGCAGAGCTCACAGACAGGACCAACTGTTCTTCCTGTCGACTGCCAAAATAAGTCAGCAGTTGGGAAGGAGAAAAAAAAGACTATGAATTATGGAAAATAACTGGGAAGATAAAATGGCAATACAATGAAAAAAAAAAGTAACAATCTCAGTAGCCACCCACTCATGTTACTGTCTCAAATTTCAACCAACTAAAAGAAACTAAACTAAATGAAGAAGAACATCTAGTCAACCAGAAGGCTTTGAAGTAGACCAGTAGTTAAGAGCTTTCCCCATTGATCTAACTAATTAGCCTGACTGTCATAATGCATGATTCAGTCAAAATCTTTGGCAAAACTGTGTTTTATTAAGACAACAGATCATGTAAGGGAAGAGTTAGGTGGAAAGGGGCAAAGTGACAAAGTGTGTTTGGAATAAACTCCATTTTCATATGAAATGGCTCATAAAACATCTCTGGCCAACCATTCTGAAGACAAGTCTGACCTATAAACCTTTCCCGTACCTGATGATGTGTACACACGTGCCAGCGTCTGGTGGTACTGTGATGTATGGCATAGGCTAGGGGGTGTTATCATTTTAATGTCCCCAGTTCATGCTTGAGAGCACACATGTTAGACTTCTCACTTTAATGGTGTTTGTCTCAAGTGCTAAGAATCTGATTATAAACTTATTGCAAGTAATACTTTCCCTTTATCTAACAGAATATCATCTCAGAGCTTCCTTGGCACACCACATTAGGATCCACCAGGCTCTCCTGCAATTACTTATGTCTGCTTCTCCTAAGAGACTATGAGTGCCTTCTATGTGAGGGGTATTCCTCACACCTACCTCGGTTCTGTGAATTCTTCAAATAAGCACAACACACAAGAGAATTACTTAAAAAGTGTATGAATGTGGCTTACAGCTATGTGTTAAGAATTTTCTTTGGCAGCTGTCTTTATCAATATCAGTACGTTTGGATAAGTTCTCATGCCACTAGAGCTTGTCATATAAACTGATTTCATGTCATGCTAAAATTTCTTTTTAAAAATTCTGGAAAAGTATGTTCATCCCTACTACTGTTTGTGCAAACATCCAGAAGATTGTTGCTCAAAGATGACTTTCTCATCTTTCTTGAGACTTTTAAACTTTAGTTCTGAAGTTCTATAATTGCAGTTGTACAAACATTTGATTTATAATAATATGTGGCATAGTGGGAAAAATTATAGAAGCAAAACAATTTTATGCATCAGCTTTATGTTTCGTTTGGTCTTTTGAGTATTTGTTTTTCTTTTTGTAAACTCAAACTCCCTGCTATGAGAAGAGGAAGGAAAGATTCTCTCTCTAGAATGGGAGAATCCATTCATGGGGATGCTCTTATCTTCTGACTGATAGTCAAGGCCAGTGTTTCTCTTTTGCACCACATGGTACAACCCACATCAGTAGTGTGTAACCATTTGAAAACAATGTTGACACATGCAGTAAACATACTTATTACAACAAAGCCTTTGGGATTTTGATTAAATGTAATAGTGTTTAAGAATCAGAGACATGTACTCTAATTTTCTGAGTTTGTTTCTTCTAATCCTCTGCTGGAAAAATATTTTGTCTGATTATTTTTCCATCATCATTTTGGTATCTTCATGCTGTTAAATGTTTCCCTGCTGTTTGCATTTTAGATGGGAGTCCGAAAAGTGTTTCTAAAATACTGGCATGCTGACCAACTCAATGATTTGTGCCTACAGTTGCAGAGAAAAATTATAACCTGCCAAAAAGGTAACATTTATATGCCAACATTTCTGAATTTATTTGAGTTGTGAAATGCAAAATCTTTTAGTGCATCCCCAAGTTTAAATGTCGATGGGGTCTGCACCCTAGTGGACCACTCTCTCGATTCCTGGATGCTATCTTCAGGCAAATAGTTTTTGGGTGTTTAGGAAGCATTGTGGCTTAGTTTGCTATGCAACCATCTCAAAATCAACATTTGCAGACATTGTTCATGTTTTAATTAGACATCCTTTTTCTGTGGGGCTCATTTGGATATGCCCCTATGTGAATCTCTAATGGGTCTTTTCATTTTCTGATAATAAAAAGTCCACCTGTAATCCCAGTTACTCAGGAGGCTGAGGCAGGAGGATCCCTTGAGGCCAGGAGTTCAAGACCAGCCTGGGCAACATAGTGAGATCCCCATCTCTCAAAAAATGTCTTAATTAGTCAAGCATGGTGGGACGCAACAATAGTCCCAGCTACTCAGGAGACTGAAGTGAAGAATTCCTTGAGGTCAGGAGTTCCAGCCTGCAGTGAGCCGTGTTTCTACCACTGCACAGCAACCTGGGTGCCAGAGCGAGATCCCACCTCTAAAAGAAAAAAAATCAAAATTTAGAAAAATAAATAAAATAAGAAGCCCTGTTACATGCTAGTCCCTTGAACAGTCTCTGTTCAGATTTTAACACATCCAGCTCAAATAATGATCAAAATTCTGAACTTCATTCTAAGTTAAAACATCCTTCTTGGCTGTTCCAGGCCTGTCCCATCCTTACTGGGCATGGGACTGATCCCTACCTACTCAGGTTGCCTCTGGGTCTTCCAGGGTTAATGAGGAGGGGAAGAGGTAAGGAGGTGTCTTCTGATGAAGGTAAAAAGTCTTCTAACGATAAAAAGACCTGCTTATGGCAGGTGTTCTGATGACACAGGTGTACTATGGCGCTGGTCTCCTCCAGCTGGGGCAGACTTCAACAGCTCTCCACATATTCAGGAGCACTTCAGGGACTTCCTTCTCTAACTGGCAACATCCTCCTTTGGCCGGTCATTTGTAACTCACCCCTCAGCCCCTGGGCACCTTGCAGACCCTCTGTTGGAGTCTCATTGTTCTCTCAGTACACATTCTTTGTGAAAACCACATCTGGTGCCCAAGAAACAAACTCTTAGATGGCTTCCTAGGTGCAGCTTTTCTCTAACAGAGCCTGTGTTTCCATGCAGGGGCCTGGCAGGAGCCATTGCCACAGCCCTGGCCTCAGAGATATCACAGTGCACAGTGGCCCCAAACCCCCAGGAGCCACATACCAAGATCTCTGGGTGGCCTCCTGAAACCACTTTCACCAGGCTGAGGCAAGGGGAAGCCTTGGACAAGAGAGGGCCAACTGCTACCTCTTGGTAAAGGAGGCATCATCTTTCTAGTGTGTGATGACCTGGCTGCTAACTCTTGGTAAAGGAGGCATCGTCTTTCTAGTGTGTGATGACCTGGCCTTCTTAACTTCAACCTTCATCAGTGCAGGGGAGAGGGCGGGCTACAGGGCTGTTTTGGATCATCCCCTTGCAAGTCCTATTTGCATGTTTGGCCCTGCCCCAACCCATGTGTCCCTGGAACACCAGCGACACCAACATCGCCAGGGATCTGGCTAGCACAGCAATGCCTCAGGCCCCACCCAGGACCTGTGGCATCCAGAGCTTTATCTGCAGCCTTAGCTGAAACTGGGACAGGGAGAGTCTCATTTAATCTAACGCTAAAGACAGAACAGGGTATCACAAATTCTCCTGAAAACTTCCCTTAAATATAATGATAAGAAATTTTGCCCCATTAGAAATTTCTGTTCTATTTAACAAAGATTAAATTTCTATACCCTATTGACCTGGAACAGAAAAAATGAACAGAACTGTAATTACTTGTTCACTTTTCTAAAGATAAAAATTAAGAATGGTCTTAAAAGGTCGGGCGCAGTGGCTCACGCCTGTATTCTCAGCACTTTGGGAGGCCGAGGCAGGCGGATCACCTGTGGTTAGGAGTTTGAGACCAGCCTGGCCAACATAGTGAAACCCCGTCTCTACTAAAAATACAAAATTAGCCGGGCATGGTAGCGCATGCCTGTAATCCCAGCTACTCGGGAGGCTAAGGCAGGAGAACCACTTGAACCCAGGAGGCAGAGGTTGCGGTGAGCCAAGATCGTGGAGATCATGCCATTGCACTCCAGCCTGGCAACAAGAGTGAAACTCTGTCTCAAAAAAAAAAAAAAAAATGGTCTTAAAAAATTACATCAAGATAGAAACCATAATCTCATATTGCATAAATGAAATAATGGATATGAGTATTTTTTAATTACAGGCTTGTAAATGCAAAGCATTAATTATTGATTTTTATTTTCATAGCTCTTAAAACAGTTCCCTCAATGCTTTTTGCTAATATTAAATTTACTCAAAATTTATATAATCTGGAACCATTTCCAGTTGTTGTTTTAAGAATTCTATATTTTTCTTTAAAAATGTCCAGGGGAAAGAAAGCTGTAACTTTTAGTTTTAAATTTAATCATTTTAATTTAAAATTATTCCTACCAGAAGTTTTTTCTCTGACTCTATATGCTCATTTTATCCTGGATGAAAAATATCTGTAAATTAAGACCTTACATGGGCGGTATCTTAGAAGCAGTCTTCTGAATTTGTCTGAAAGACAACAAACATCAACATCCATTAGTGGCAATTTTATTTTTACCAGTTGCCCCTTATTGAAGATATCAATATTTAGCAACTGGTGTAACATTTTTAAAGAATTTTAAAAGGCTATTGGGATGAAGTGTGAGAAAATGAGGTCTTCCGGAGGCGGGACAATAGACTCCGGGTGAAAGTGAATCCAGTGAATAGCTGTGCTGTAGTGGGAGGTCAGGAGAAGTCTGGCACATCCACATTAATCTTCTCTTTATTCCAAGAGATTAAACATCTTGAAAATACTCTCTCTTTCACCCTTCCGAAAGCCAATGTCTCCCTTTTTTTTTAGTGTAACAAGAAAGAACGAGTGAACAGGCCAATTTCAAGTCTTCTGCCTTTTTCGCGCTCAAGGTGCCCATCACATGGTTCATACGTCTCCACTTTACTCCACATTTTATATTCCTGGAAGTCTGACTGTGCCTCATACTGTTTAACATTTTTCCTTTAGGTTACTTCAGAATGACTGTTTTACAGTTAACTTAATGCAACTGCATTCCAACATAACTAAACCTTTAGTAGTGCCATCTGAAAAAAACGCTTTCAGCATTTCAGATATCCACATATTATTTTCCTGTTCAGCCATCATAGTAGAACGTTCTGTTCAGCTTTCTACCAGCTACTCAAGTAAACACATCAAAGTTAATATCATAGGTACCCCTCATATTTATTATTTTATAACCATGAACTATTTTAAAGCACTTAATATTTTATAGGCTTCCTCCTTTCCCAAGGGCAAAAATAAAGTGTCTTTGCTGCAGACATTGGCTTTCCTGAAATTATAACTCTTCTATAATCTTAATCAACTCCTTGTAATCCTAGAAACTTTTAAAATTGGGAGAGACAGAATCACAAAGTTTGAAAAGACTCTAATCAGAATTCCTCTACCTGCACTTGTCCACTTCACCCATGAGAAGGCGTCACTGTGCTGGCCTTGTACACACTCAGGGCCCAGGAAGCAACTCTTTCATGAGGCAGCCTGATCCACTTCCACCCTGTGCTAATTGTTAGAAAGTTCTTTCTAACACTGATTGCAAATATGCTTCCCTGTGACTTTCTTGGTTGCTGATCTGCCCCCTGGAGAGTGAGAGATTATGTCTGTGTAACTGCAGGCTAAGGAAATGTAGTTTGACCTCCTAAGCTTGGGGACATATGAGCCCGGGCTCTACTATTCCTTGGTTGTGTTGACCTGGAGGAACTTTCTTAGTTTTACTAAGAGAAGTGCCATTGTGTCTGAAATTGAGATAGCGGTATATTTTGTCATTGAGTTTCAGAATTGAATGACGCAATAGAGTGTCTTACAGAGGTCCCTTTAAATGGTGGTCTTTTATTTTTAATTCTTGTATTTGTTACTGACATATTGATTTCAAAGCATTTTCACTCATTTCCCCCAACTTTTACACATTTTTCTAGCCGTCCTTTCCCAGAGAGCAGGATGGATGTCCTATATTTATACACAATCTTTTTCCAGAGTCTTAAATATAGTGTTAATTTCTCTAAGAATTAAATCATAATCTTAGAAACAATATATGCATGATATTTCCAAAGACAAACCCCATAAGCCTTAGGTGTTTATGTAATAATGTGATGTAATGAAAGATGATCCGCACATCCCAAAATGCTGCAGTTGGAGGCACACCCCAAAATTCTGTGGGATTTAGACCTAGTTCTTTCCCACTGATTTAACTCCAGTCCATCAAAGTCCAGCTTGTGTTACCAAAAACAATGTGGAGGCCTTTATCATCAATATATTGCCTGCAAGATCTCATTCAAGTCAAAGAGCTTTGCCTTTAGTGTTATCACTGCTGATTTAGATAAAGTCTTATTCTGGGTTAAATGTACCTTATTCTACAACTGCTCAGAGATAAGTATATTATGATTTTTGTTTGTGCATGTCTGAGTTTTTCACTTTTCCTCCATTTACTAACCCATGATCCTTCTATAAAAGTTATCAGAGGATTTTTAGCACGCCAGCACCTGCTTCAGAGAATAAGCATCAGACAACAAGAGGTGACTTCTATCAATAGCTTTCTGCAGAACACAGAGGACATGGGGCTGAAAACCTACGATGCCCTGGTCATTCAGAATGCTTCAGACATTGCCCGGGAAAATGACCGGCTCCGTAGTGAAATGAACGCTCCCTACCATAAAGAGAAGTTAGAGGTCAGGAACATGCAAGAGGAAGGAAGCAAAAGGTAAAGGCAGAGAGCATGCAATTTTAATTACCTTTGTGATTGGTTCAGTGGAGTCATGAAAATTCAAATAGCCCTTAATGCAGAGTTCAATCAAATATGACAGGAGTTGCAGGAACAGGCATGCGTGGTTTGTTATTCGAAATGGCAGCAGTCTAAAAAGATGCTTTCCTGTGCTGTCTTCTCACGAGTTCAAGGCTTTCTGTGTTCCTTCATTCATATGTGATGATGACTGCCTCTCCTGCCATGCTTGTGTCACT
This sequence comes from Homo sapiens, assembly GCF_000001405.40. NCBI lineage: Eukaryota > Metazoa > Chordata > Mammalia > Primates > Hominidae > Homo > Homo sapiens. The sequence continues at coordinate 109,125,616 of NC_000013.11, forward strand.
TAACTACCTCAAGCACACTCTAGTTCTAAAGCATTTACTGTTTCTGTATTAGCAAAAATATATAGCTTGGCTGTTGACATTTTTACACAAGCGTTACGGATATAAGGCTGGCTTATAGAAACTTCTGGAAATCTGACCCAAAAAATGGAGATACCACTCTGAAAACATGGAAGAAGTGAACTCAATAGATAGATTGTAAGTGTATTATATATCCCTGTGTAAACTGTCACGTCTCTCTTTACCAATAAAGCAAGCTTTGGGGAAAGCTTTGTATTTAAAAGTTCACTTTAGAGGCTTAGCTTAAAACAGAAATGTGACGATCACCTGGTCCCTCTCCATTTGATCACTCTCCTCTCTCTGTGAATGATGAAGACACCCGTGAATCACAACACCCCTAAGAGGGAGGGCAAGGAGCTGCTTCCTTTGGACCTTAATTCATCGTCAGGGAGATGTTTGTTTTGCTATAGAAACTTGGTAATATCTTGTTGTTTCTCACTGAAAATGACTCTCCTTTCCCATTTCTGCCGATGTCAATTTTTTTTTATTAAAGTGGAAATGGCAATGTGTATCTTGTTAATTAGCTTCAAATATCTCAGTGATTAAATACTGAAAAAAATCCCCTTTGTACAGAAAAAAAGACTGTAATTAAACATTACAGGAAAAACAAATTATCCACTGAGTGCCATGCTTTCATCTTCAGCTATTTCATTTTCTACATGGGCGGCTGGCTCTGCCTTGTGGTAGATTCTAGCCCTGTTGGTGTTCTGCCACAGAAAGATATAATTATAAAAACAAACGCTTGGAAACTCCTTGTAGAATGAATGCATTGGCATCTTGCTAGCACATGATTACGTTGACATGCGAAGCCAGAAGAAGTTTTTTTAAGCAAGATAACTATTAATTTTATATGACTTCCAAAATAATATTTATTATTTTCTCTGCTGGAACTAAACGGCCACCCCAATTTCTCAATTTGATTATGTATGTATTTTCCTGATACAAAATTAAGTGAAGAAGTATTTGTCTGTTTATTTACTGAATACCAGCAGTTTACTTGGCACTGGACAACCATATGGAGTCAAGGAGGAGAAATAATAGCTCTGCACATAATTAAATAATTTCTGGTAGAATTTAAGAGGCAAGAAAGAGAGTAATGGGGAGAAGGAGAACACTGAAATGTAAATTTCTGAGAGTTTTAAGTAGAGTCTATCCTCTTGCGAGGGGAAATGGTGATGAACTCCCAGCATTTGATGCATCAGTAACTCTCTATTAAGATGGATTTGCCAGAAATTATCATTCAGATTGAAATTCTGGTTTTTTGATTTGCTTAATAATCAGAGTGTGAAGAATTCATTCAGTGAGTGCCTGATGGAAAATGCGAAGGCCCTTAAGTAGTGTTGCGTTTGTGTGAGAATGTTTAAAAAGTAATCATGATGGATATCCCGCGGGCTCATGTGCTTTTCATCACAAAGCCGGAGCCAGAGGACGGGTGGCCTTCTCTGGACCAACTGGTCACCAGAGGGCTGCACACGTCCTCCAGCCACAGCAGGAAGGGCTGCTTGCCAAAAAGCCGTCATTATGTCTGCTTGAGCAGGTTCCTTGTTACCGGAATAATGCATCTGGGCCTCTCTGGCGTGGTGCTGTTTGTGTTTTGTTTCCCCCTAAGAACCGATGACAAGAGTGGACCCAGGCATTTCCACCCCAGCTCCATGTCAGTCTGCGCGGCCGTGGATGGCCTGGGCCAGTGCCTCGTTGGCCCGTCCATCTGGTCTCCTTCGCTGCACTCGGTGTTCAGCATGGATGACAGCAGCAGCCTCCCGTCTCCACGGAAACAGCCCCCGCCCAAGCCAAAGAGGGACCCCAACACCCGGCTGAGTGCTTCCTATGAGGCTGTGAGCGCCTGCCTCTCCGCGGCCAGGGAAGCGGCCAACGAAGGTCAGCCCTGGGGAGGGACCCAGCCTCGTGTTCCGGGCTCGCGCATGCTCTGACTTCGCCTTGGGGCGCCCATGGCAGTACTGTCGCCCTAATGTATTCTTAATAGAAATAAATCCAATTGTTGGCTTGCCAGCAGCTCTTAATCATTAAATATAAATAATATTTATTCAAATCTCTAAGCCTCTTAGGGAAAAGCTACTTACATGGCATTTCCTTAACTCCCATCCCCACCCTGCCTCCAAAGAGCAGTATCAAATCAATTCAGAAAGTCGGCAGCTATTCCATGTAAAGGTTCACCAATGAGAAAGTAAAAAAAAAAAAAAAAAAACTGCTTCAGGCATTCCAGTTATCACAATCTAATAAAAAATTAAGACTGCTTCATCATATGATAAGTGAAATTATTTACCCATAGGAGAGTCATCGTGCAGGAAACTTCTGTTAGGAAAACTTTTGAGACTAGATTATAAAAGTTTCTGCATCCATTGTCTAGAAACAGGGATGCTCAAAAGGGAACATAGCAGTTTCTTCTCAGCCAGATCTCATAGATCAGTAATGAGACAATTACTGTTTAAATATTAATTTTAAGAATGGTGAAAAATAAAGGAAGTGCTTCTTAGCGGAACACTTAGAATTTAACAGATTCTATTGATCACCCGCTATGCATCAGGCTCTATTCTAGGCATGTCTGTCTCTTTCTTCATGGAGTTTACATTCTAGTGCGGCAAAACAGATGGTAAACATAATACAACAGTAAATACTTTAGAACTGGATTGTTGCTGCTGAGAGAAATACATAGACCCAGGGTAGTAGTACAGGATGGAAGAGAGGTTGAGATTCTAAATGAAACGGCTGGGTAGAACTCGCTAGAAAATAATATCTGAGAACATAAGATGAAACACAGTTCCTTCAGTAAATAAATGACCCCAAATACAAAAACACAGCAAATCCATAAGCTCAAACGTTGGGATGACTGACACCAAGAAGATAATAGGAAGACATGGGGCAGAGGACTGAAGCAGTAAGTCCATCCTAGCCAACTTCTTTTTTTTTTTCAAATTTATTTTTAATTGACATAAAATTGTATGTTTTTGTCATGAACAACATGTTGTTTTGAAGTATATGTACATTGTGGAATGGTTAAATCTAGCAAATTAACAAATCCATGCCTCACACAGCTATCATTTCTGTGCTGAGAGCACTTAGTGTCCACTTTTTTAGTTTTTTTTTTTTTTTTTTTTGAGACGGACTTTCACTCTTGTTGCTTAGGCTGGAGTGCAATGGCACAATCTCAGCTCACTGCAACCTCCGCCTCTGGGGTTCAAGTGATTCTCCTGCCTCAGCCTCCGGAGTACCTGGGACTACAGGTGCCTGCCACCACGCCCAGCTAATTTTTGTATTTTTAGTAGAGACAGGGTCTCACCATGTTGGCCAGGCTGGTCTTGAACTCCTGACCTCAAGTGATCTGCCTGCCTTGGCCTCCCAAAGTGCTGAGATTACAGGCATGAGCCACTGCGCCAGGCCTTTTTTTTTTTTTTTTTAGCATTTTTTAAGAATACAATATATTGTCATTAACTATTGTCACCATGCTGTACACTCTTCAAAGTGCTTTTTATTAGTGGCATTAAGAAAGAATAGACCTTTAGGATATTTTTCACTTACAAAAAGTTACTGTCTTAGTATATCAGCCATGTTTCAACAATGCTTAGATCAAAGCAGAGGAGAAATTCCTAAGACTATGGGGAGGAGAGTCCAAATGTTTGTCTTTAGAGTCCTGGTGATAAGGACAACAAGAAAATCTGTAAAACGACATTAGATGAGATCGTCCATAGGAAAGTCTTCAAAGTGGACATTGACGTGGGCTTAGATATAAATTAGAACAGGACCTCCAAAGATATGAGGCATTCTCCCCCGGTGCCACATATACCAGGAGAAGCCCAGGATCTGAGGGAGCCACCAGCACCCTCCCTGAGAAAGCGGGGAGTGTCCCGTTGCCACTGTTCCTACTTTCAGGCCTCCATGTTAGATTTGCGGCCCATATCTCAAAAAGGTGTGATTAGAATAACAAGAAAGATTTTTGGCAGCTTGCGTGAGGAAGATGGTATCTAAAATGCTAAGACCGATAAGATGGAGAGGGTACGAAATTAAGACTCCAGATAGTACCAGACATTGAAAAAACAGTAATGAAATGTGATTGAAAATTGCAGCAAGTACAGAATGGAGCCCCATCCGAGCTTGAACCCTGCAAACAGGCTCTAGAAAGTTGCATAAATAGGCTTCAGAATACCTTGTAACATCTAGAAAAAGCTAAAGGTTTGTGTGCACCTTAAAACACCACTGCCCTGGAGTAATGAGGGGACCACTTTGTCACATGTTATGAAGGGGGATCAAATAGGAAGAAGCTGACCTCAGAGAGCTCTCTCCTATGGGCAGCAAAAAAAAAAAAAAAGTCAATTAAAATAAAAGTTAGGAACCATAGGAGATATATATACACACACACACACACATATGTATATATCTATACACACACATAATATGAAAGCAAAGTGACCCCAAAAAAGATTAATAAAGAAGACAGCTATCATAACTCTTAAATTCCTTATTACATGCTATCAAAATACATCATGTGATAGCATTAGGCATGCAAGATATTTATGTAAAATTTAGTTTCTTGGATCCTAATTTTGTCTCATATGTGACTATAAGGTACTTAGAGATGCGTTTGGTCCACTGTGTCGCACCCTGGTGAGCAGACCTTTCAGAAGCTTGTCAAAGGGCAAGTGTATGCATTGTTTCCTTTTTACCATCTACATTATCTGTTCTTTCTTACAGTACATAATTCTTCATGCTGGTTACTTTACAACCACCACCACAAAAAGAAAGTCTTTGATCTCCTGCAACTAGAGATGTATTTCTGCATTCTGGCATGTGCTCTCAATACTGTATATTTTTAAGAATAAGACAATTAACCAGCTTAAGCTGCTTGAGCATGCTTGCTGATTAGTTTTTACAGCATTAGGGAGTCAGAGAGGGCAAGCGCAGGAGCTTAGCCACTCAGTCTGTCAGTGGTCTGGGTTTGTAATCCATGATCGCAAAGGTAGCTCCACCCACACGTGATAAGCCAGCTGTCAGACAGGGTTCTGGTCCCTTCTGTGCCATTATGTCAGGAGCTGAAGGTGGTTGAGTTAGGACAGTGATGAAATTGATCCTAGCATGTTAGACATCTCCCTCAGTCCAACACAATCCGAGTATAATCTAAGTCTTTGTTGTTCAATGCAGTAGCCACTAGGCACACGTAGCCAATTAAGTTTAGAGTAAATAAAATTAAATACAATTTTAAATTTCATTCCTCCATCATCAGTCACTTTCCAAGTACTCAGTAGCCACAGGGGTAGAATTTTTCCATCATCACCGAAGCTTCTCTTAGACAACCCTGATTCTAAATGCTTTGTGTGTCTACCAAGCGGTGATACTGAATTTTTTGCATCTAGTAACGTGTCACAAAATTATTCTCCTTTCTGTCAAAAGATAGGAAGACCATTTGATCACTATTCTAAAATGTTTGGTGAACCTTGGTTTCGCAGGATCAAGGACTACGGCTGAAGTTGGTTTTGTACCTGAGCCATCCTTTTTGGCATGTTAAAAAATCAAGTTCAAGTTCTTTTCCTTTACAAATAAAGCTGCGAATCAATTCAGATGGTTACAGAGTGAAAGGAGATCTGATCGGAGACCAAGGGCCAAGGATTGTAGGGTGACCAGCACCACGGTCACTTCAAAGTTGTCTTTGTATTTATTCTTGTTCTTACTAGCATATGTCTTTCCTGGTAGGTCTTCACCCAATAAAAATGGTTGTGGTGAAGGAAAACAGTACAGAGAGCAATTTTTTCTCATTTCCTTTGTGCCTCAAAAGCGTGAAACAATTTTGCAGGCCAATAAATGTTAACACTTCTTTGCAAACTACCAGCAAGCTAGAGACAACTTTTTTTTTTATTATACTTTAAGTTTTAGGGTACATGTGCACAACGTGCAGGTTTGTTACATATGTATGCATGTGCCATGTTGCTGAGACAACTTTTTAAAAGTACTATGTTTTTGTTAGGTCAGTGCAAAAGGAATTGTGGTTTTTGCCATTGAATAAAAGCCTGCAGTTGCTCTTTGCAAATAGTGGCTAGGAAAGGAAAGATAGGGCCTCGTTTTCACTTCCTCTTGGCTGGGGCCTCCCAGCTGGAGTGCTGTTCTGCAGAGTTCATTCCTCACACACCGGGTGCAGCCTTTCTCCCAAAGACGGTTAACATTCTCTCGAATTGTCTCCTGACTGAAGTTAAATATAAGCCTGCATTTCATGCGTGTGACTTTGAAGAAGTGACTCAGTCTTTCCAAGCCCATGTATGTCAAGTAGCAGCAACAGCCGAGACATGGCAAGGGCTATTTCTGGGGAGTTAAGAAGCAAAGGACTGTAAAGCCTCATTGCCCAGGACGTAGCAAGCGCACAGCAAAGTTACATGCATATAACTTTGTTGTTAATGAAGCCTCTGACAGTCAGTTTCCTCATCTGTGAAATGGATACTAAATCCTAAGATGTGGGACTTGCAATTAAGTCATGATGTCAGTGGTGCTGTGCCTGGCTTGGAGTGACGGTTGCTCAAGGTGAAATTGCAGAAGCAAGCTTTTCTCAGGCAGCTCTAGTCCTCACTGTTCACCGTTCTATGTTGATGCTTCCACACTCACCCTCCCTTCAGACTCCAGCTGTCCCCTCCTTGGGGATCATACCTTAATGAAACCATAATTGTTTTTTCCAAAATTGCTGTACAACTGCATTCTCCACAAAACACAGTTTACATGTGTAGACACAATCATGGCTCAGCTCTGTGGCTTAATTTGGAAATAATATGTCTTTTCTTTACTCTCTTGTTTCTGTCTTCATTCTAGAACAACATGTGTCACATAGTAAGCACTCATCAAATACTTACCAAGTGAATACATGTTACAGAAATCTATTTCTCTACACTCTCTTCATTAAAAGAGAATTTGCTTCCTATCGGTATATGAGAGGGAGCACAATTTGGCAAGGTTCGAGAAGTACCCTTGAAATGTGTCAAGGCTAGATTTGTCTGCATATTTTTAACAGAAGCCCTTTAAAAAAATTTTAAATGGACAGAAATTAGGTCTTCTGTGTTGCTCTTCTGAGAAATGTGTTACTGGGAATAACAGAACACAATTGCACAGTTCACCACCTATGACGCAGTTGTACATCCAACAAATAGTAATTAAGTGTCTTCCATGAGCCTGGATTCTCCCCGAGGATCTGACAGACCAGTAGGAGAGATAAGTGGTCAAACAAATTATAGGGGAAGCACAACCACAGCAGTGAGGACGTGATGGGTGCACACTGGGCCACAGAGTGCCTTGCCCTCCGTGGAAACTGCGAAAGGCTCAGGAAGGGCATGCCAACAGCATCGAGTGCAGTAGTGCAGTCAAGAGGGTAAAAGATGGGGGCATGGAAGGCAATGGTATTGCCTGAACCGCTCCTCCCACCAGGAAAGAAAAGTTATAACAAAGTTGCGACATATGACAGCTCAGTAGAAGTCCTTTCTGTCCATTTTGCAGCTGGTTGTAAATCTATCCTACATCCACTCATGTACGCAGCCTCAGCAGTCAGCTAGCAGGCACTTAATTAAGCATCTTTTTTGTCCTAGGTCCTGTGCTCTGTGCTATGTTTGCTTTCGCTCTGAAACTAGCACAACCACACTAGAAGTGTTGGAAAATGGAGGAGAGTTACACACGCAGACACTGTTTATTTTGGATGAACAAGCATCTCATTCCTCCTTTTTCTCATAGATTAACTATGCAGGTATTTTGTTCTTGTGAGAATGGGACCAAATAACTTATGCACAGAAGATGACTTAAAAGTCACCGACATGCCTTAGCAAAAATACCAAATGGAAAATACTTTGTAGGAGAAAATGTTGATCTCCTAACGTGACACACATGTCCGTATCATTCTGCAGCAGTTCAGATAAGAGGCAACTTTATGATGTAATGAGATGGCTTCAGAATGTAGTCTAACTCCTAAGCTACTGTTAGGATCCCAGAACCTGCCCTAAAAGTATTCTGTGATCATGGACTGTCTTCCCTACTTCATCTCATTGACTTTATCAAGTAGTTGCAAACATTTTATGCATCAATATTAGAACAAAAAAATAAGAAAACTCTTGATGTAAATTCATTTTTAATAACCCTCTAACCAGTATTTGCAAATGAACTTTTAGCACGTGTACACATGCACACACACCCGGAAGTAGCCACAAACCAAATTAGACTTTAATTTGTTAACTGTGGTTTTCTAATTTCAGTTTATAAAGAATGAATATTTCCAGTTCTGACCCCCAGAGGTTCCATTTTAATTGTTATGGAGTAGAACAGGATAATGCACTCTAGTCATCTGATGTTACTGAACCCCAGACCACACTTTAAGGAACAGTTCTATCTCTCACAGTAAGTTTCTGGTTGTGTAGCGGTGATAATGTCGATCATGATGGATACTTAGTGATGTTTATCATGTGCAGGCATTAAGCTAAGTATCTTTCATCTGTAGAATAGCCCTACCTAGTAGGACTGTCATCATGACCCTATGTAGAGAAGGGCATTAAGTCACTGATCAATGGTGTAACTTGTCCTGTGTCACATAGGCAAGTTTGGACCCTTGAGTCAGGTTCTCAACAGCCTCCCAACAAACATGCTACTTTTATTTATAATTGTTTAATGCAAAAAGGCTCTTCACCGCATCTGAATCAAACTTTGAGGGAATACTGTACCAGTTATGTGTTTTTGCATAACAACCCACCCAGAACTTACAGGTTTACATAAAGTAGTGATTGTTTTACTATCCCTCTCAGGCTCTGGGTGTCAACAGAGATCACTGGAGCAGTTGTCACTCTCGGTCCTTCATGCAGCAAGGTGGCTGGAATCATCTGAAAGCTGGTCACGGGCATGTCTGGTGCCTCAGCCATCTGAGGACTGTGACTCCTTGGGTGTCTCTCTCTGTCTGTGTGGTCTCTCTGCATTGCCTGGGCAGCATGACAGCTTCAGGGTATCCAACTTCTTACAGGGAGAGTCAGTGCTTCAGGGGCATGTGCTTTGGGAGAGAGAAAGCAGTAGATGCAGCATCGCTTTCAGGGAGCCAGTTTTGGGAGGTGAGCAAACTCCCTTCTGCCACGTTCCTTCCATCACCTCAGTCCCAAACACCAAACCAGGTTTAGGAAAGGAGAAACAGATTCTACCTCTGGAAAGGATATACTGTGGTGGCCAAGGTGTTGGAAAGTACCATCTGTATCAGTCCACCCTCTGGACAAAACAATTTGTATCCCTCTGTCATACAAACTATACTCACCCCTACCCCAGACTCCCCAAAGCCTCCTTCATCATCTCATCTGGCTCAGGTTCAAGGGCCAGATCGCATCGTCTAAACCAGATCCACATGTGCCGGTGCCTCCGGTACGATTCCTGAGAGAGACAGCGCCTCAAGTGTGTCCTCTTCTAACTGAAGACTTGTGGCCTAAAAAGACAAGTTGCCTGATCCCCCCACACAAGCAAAATGCATCAGAGGGACAGGTAGAGAATAACTGATGCATGCTTCTGCTCAGACACAGGAGGGAGATCAGGCGACACACAGTGGTCATTGGTGGGTAGCAGTTGTGAACAAGAGCTGGATGCATGTTGCTTATGCCTTCATGAGGATGAACAAGAGCTGGATGCATGTTGCTTATGCCTTCATGAGGATTTAGTCCAGTTCCCAGGCTGGAAATAATTTTCCGTAGCTCTTAGGTCTATGTTCTGGAATCTTGGTTCCCCACTTTTTGACTAATAATTCCCAATCCACAAGAGGTGACTTATGTTTGGGGCTAGTAGTTTTTTCAGCCTGCTTCTTCCTTATCAGGGTTGTGTTGTTGCTGTTGTTTAGAGGTGAGGTCTTGCTATGTTGTCCAAGCTGGAGTGCAGTGGCTATTCACAGGTATGAGCATAACGCACTGCAGCCTTGAGCTCCTAGCCTGAAGTGATTCTCTTGTTCAGCTTCTGGAGCAATTGGGACTGCAGGCTCACATTGCACCTCGCCAAAATTTTGAGAGACCAAAGTTTCTTCATTTTTGTGTTCAGGCTGCTCCTTTCAGTGTAAACTGATAACATTCATTTAAAAGCTTTGTGACTTTCTTGTGAATCAATTCATAATCCACCTGATTAGTCAAAAGCCACACCCACAAATCTTTCTGAGATAATCTCTTCTCTATCTGGAAGCTCACTGAGTACTTCCGTGGGTCAGTGCCCTTGATATTCTTAGAAGACCTGTGGTTTTGCTTCCTTGAAAAGACCTATGAAGCCCCTCCTTGATTTTTTCTGTGTACTTCATGAAGGGTCTCATAAGTGTGTGCTTGACTTCATCTTTAGATCATGTTTTTCTGAAAATTCCCTGAATTTTATTTCTGCTTGGAAGTCATTTCTTTTCTTTCTTTCTCCTTCCTTCCTTCCTTCCTTCTTTCCTTCCTTCCTTCCTTCCTTTTTTTGTTTTTGAGATGGAGTCTCACTCTGTTGCCCAGGCTGGAATGCAGTGGCGCAATCTTGGTTCTCCGCAACCTCCACCTCCCAGGATCAAGTGATTCTCCTGCCTCAGCCTCCCAAGTAGCTGAGACCACAAGCACGTGCCACCATACCTGGCTAATTTGTGTATTTTTAGTAGAGACAGTTTTCAACATATTGTTGAAAGGCTGGTCTTGAACTCCTGACCTTGTGATCTGCCCGCCTCGGCCTCCCAAAGTGATGGGATTGCAGGCATGAGTCACTGTGCCTGCCTGGAAGTCATTTCTTAACATTCAAATTATTTGCCATCTGAAGAGCCTGGCAGTGAGGACCATTTTATTTTTAAACTCAGAAGGTTCTTGTTCCTTTATAGTGAATAGTTCTTTCTTTACTTTATCTCTGTATCCTCATGATTTACTCTAGGCAGCTAGAAGAATCCAGGAGGCAACTTTAACACTGCCTGGAAATCTCCTTAGCTATGTCACCCTGTTCATTTTCTGTTTTCTATTTTCCACATGACTGTAGGTGAGATACTATTGCTAAACTTTGTACTGTGGCTGAAGTGTTGTGTTCCCTTCAGCTTCCAGCATCTTCCTCACTGTTCTTTAGGCCTCATCAAGAGCTTTCTTGAGGCCACCACGCTTCCCTGATGGTCCCTTCAAAGCTCCTCCCATGTCCCAAAGCAACTTCAAAGAGTTTAAGGTTTTTTTGTTTTTGTTTTTGTTTGTACAGCAGCAGTCCACTTCCAGGTACCAATGTTTTTATGACTTGTCTATTGTTATGTAACAAACCTCTCCAACTTAGTAGCTTAAGACACCAAAGAAAAGGTTATTATATCTCTCATGGTTCTAGTATTTCGCTGGGCTCTGCTGAGCAGTTCTCAAGGAGCCTCTCTCATCACTGCAGTCAGATAGTGATCACTGGAAGTCATAGTCAATTACATCTCTGGTGTCTGGGATGGGAAACCAGACAGCTGAGGGCTGGAGCAGATAGGAGTCCTCTGGCTCTCCCTCACCTCCACGTAGCCTCTCTACAGTGCCCACAGCATGGCTGCTTCAGGGTGTACAGGCCTGTACATGGAAGTCAGGGCTACCTAGACATGTGTCCCAAGGGAAGGAGGGGGCCAGGCAGAGGCTGTATTGTCATTGTCCCAGCCCTAGAAAGCAGGCAACATCATCTTCTAATCATTGTATTCACTGGGGCAGAGACAGAGACCCTCCCCGATTCCAGATTCTGGAAGAGCATGTGGCGCTGAAAATATTATTGAAGCCAGCTTTGGAAAATACAATCTCTTACAAATCCTTTAAATTATTCATATCTTCAGAGCAACTCTGTAATCTTAATGTTAAAAATTGGGTTGCTTCATTCACTTTCTAGAAGCTCAGGGGCTGCTATGTTTTAGCCCATTGAAAGTAACTGGAATAATGCTTATTAATTAGAGAACTGCACACTTTGGGTACTTTCTATTCTTAAAAGTTGGCTGCTTTGGGGAACCCTGTATAGTACTGACTTAGAAAGATGTCCATTGAGTTCAAAAATTACCTTTGTTCTTTTCCATTCCCATTTGAATGATTCCCATTGTTTTCTGGTTACAGTGTGTTGAGAACTGAGCGAAGCACTTTCCCTACAATATCTATTTTATTCCTTCGAGATACATACTCATATCACCATTTTGTGCATGAAAACCCTAAGGCTCAGAGAGCTTTGCCCAGGAGCTCTTCTCAAATTACAACCCTGCCCTACCAAGCCCAGCACAAACACACACAGTTCTGTGACCCTCACCCTGGCCTGTTGGTTCTCATCTTCAAGGCCTGCATCACATTCTAACATACTGTAGAACTCACTCATTTGGTGTATTTCCTTTTTTGTTGTTGTATGACTGTTCCCACTAGGGTAGAGGAGGGCAGGGAACTTCTCTTTATTCATGAATTTATCTCAGTAAATACTGGTTGAATGCATATGACTGAATGAATGAATAAAAGGTCATGCTGAGATTTGAGCCCAGATCCCTCTGATTCCAAAGCTTTAATTTTAACCATTAGACTTCATTGTCTCCCAGAAACTGGGTACAGAGACTGATGTCAAAATGTGCAGTCATAGAGAGGGAAGAATACAGCTGCCTCAGTTAAATAACTCAAGAACTCAACAAAGGCAGATGTGCCCCTATCAAGAATTCCTGCAGATACAGAAAATACCAACTTAGTAAAATAATTGAAGATTTGGGAGTTTGGGTATTTCTAAGACTGGAGGTAATTTTTCTAAAATTAACATCTCTGTTATCAGTGAAATTATATTTATTTAATAAAACATTATTATAATTTACAGTAAAAGCATTAGAAAAAGAAGTCTTGTGGAATTTCTTTTTTGACTTAATTTTCAATTGTTTTAAACTTATATTTAAGTAGTTTTGTTCCATCTCTTTTGAAATTCACTCTTGTAATAATATTATGCTCATTTGTTTTTCTGAGTATGGCTTCTTTTTTCAACGTCAGAAGTTTCCCCTTGAAAAGTTCTTAGGGAAATGTTATTCTCTTGGTTTCCCTGTTGAGTATGTGTTTTTGTTAAGGATTGAAATGTACTGATTGTAAAACCTGTCCTCCCTGACATTTGAACAAAGTCCTTTTTTAAAGTCTCTCCATCCACACAAGTGTTTTTGTTTTGTCCATTTTACATCATTTATTTAATTTAATTTAATTTATTTATTTATTTATTTAATTTGAGACCAAGTCTCACTCTGTCGCCAGGCTGGAGTGCAGTGGTGCAATCTCAGTTCACTGCATCCTCTGCCTCCTGGGTTCAAGCAATTCTCCTAACCTCAGCCTCCCGAGTAGCTGGGACTACAGGCGCGTGCCACCTCGCCCAGCTAATTTTTTGTATTTTTAGTAGAAATTGGGTTTCACCATGTTAGCCAGGCTGGTCTCAAACTCCTGACCTCAAGTGATCTGCCCACCTCAGCCTCCCAAAGTGCTGGGACTACAAGTGCCCGCCACCACTCCCGGCTAATTTTTGTATTTTTGGTGGAGACAGGGTTTCACCATGTTGGCCAGGATGGTCTCTATCTTTTGACCTCATGATCCGACTACCTCGGCTTCCCAAAGAGCTGGGATTACAGGTGTGAGCCACTGCACCCAGCCCATTTCACATCATTTAAATAATCACGCTTACCCATTTCCGACAGTAAGCTTTCATATGCCACTAACTATTAATAGTTAATTGGCCAGGTCTCCTGGGTTTCAAATCATAAGGACCAGTTCAACCCATACCTTATGTCACACCTGTTAGGTCCTAAGAATCCACACCTAAGTGTGTTCCACCACCTGATCCCTGAGTGTCACTTCCCCACTGCATCTCCAGGGACCGCACCTCCGCAGCCTCCATGGGTGGCTGACATCCTGGTGTAGCAGGACCAGCCACAGACAAAACTCCTCAGACACCAGGTTAAAGAAGGAAGTGGCTTTATTCGGCCGGGAGCTTCTGCAGACTTGCGTCTTAAGAGCTGAGCTCTCCGAAAAAGAAATTCTTGGCCCTTTTAAGGGCTTACAAGTTTAAGGGGTCTACGTGAAAGGGTCGTAATAGATAGAGCAAGGGTGGGGAACGTGACTGGGGTTACATGCATCAGCTAACAGAACAGAAAATTTTACAATGCTTCTTCATACAAAGTCTGGAATTTACAGATAACACAAGTAGTTTAGGTCGGGGGTTGATATTATTATTATTATTATTTTAACCACCAGAGCCGGGTGGTGGCACCAAGGTCGTCTGGCTATTTATTTTACTTTTGTTTCTTTTTAACTTTTTGCTTTCTCCTTTTTCTCCTGTCTTATAAACTAGGCAAGGGGGGTGGGTGGGTAGCAGCAGAAGTGGTGGTCTCCTTCCTCACTGGAACCCCTTGACGTTCCACTGGACAACCTCCTCAGAGGGTGGGAGTCTTCTTCCATCTCCAAGATCAAAACTCTCTTTTCTTGGGGGTGGTCTCAGGAGTTCGGGTTCAGCCAGGGAGCCTAGTGGGTGGAGGAACATGCAGGCCCGGTCCCTTGGGATTCTCGGGGCACGGGGCCGTGGCTCCCTCCGAGTCGAGCCCCGGGCTTGGTGGGCACCCGTGGGCCTGGCCTGGCACCCACTGACCGCGTCCTTTCCTGCCGCAGCTCTGGCCCGGCCCAGACCGCACAGCGACGACTACAGCACCATGAAGAAGATTCCTCCTCGAAAGCCCAAGCGCAGCCCCAACACCAAGCTCAGCGGCTCCTACGAGGAGATATCGGGGTCCCGGCCCGGGGACGCGAGGCCCGCGGGCGCCCCGGGGGCAGCAGCGCGCGTTCTGACCCCCGGGACTCCGCAGTGCGCGCTGCCCCCGGCGGCGCCTCCGGGTGACGAGGACGACAGCGAGCCTGTGTACATCGAGATGCTGGGGCACGCGGCCAGGCCCGATAGCCCGGACCCCGGGGAGTCCGTGTACGAGGAGATGAAGTGTTGCCTGCCCGACGACGGCGGCCCGGGCGCGGGCTCCTTCCTGCTCCACGGCGCATCGCCGCCCCTGCTCCACCGCGCGCCGGAGGACGAGGCGGCGGGGCCCCCAGGGGACGCGTGCGACATCCCGCCGCCCTTCCCCAACCTGCTGCCGCACCGGCCGCCCCTGCTGGTGTTCCCCCCGACCCCCGTCACCTGCTCCCCCGCCTCCGACGAGTCGCCCCTGACACCCCTGGAGGTGAAGAAGCTGCCAGTCCTGGAGACCAACCTCAAGTACCCCGTGCAGCCGGAGGGGTCGAGCCCGCTGTCCCCGCAGTACTCCAAGAGCCAGAAGGGCGACGGCGACAGGCCCGCGTCCCCCGGCCTGGCGCTGTTCAACGGGTCCGGCCGAGCCTCCCCGCCGTCCACGCCGCCCCCGCCCCCGCCCCCGCCCGGGCCGCCCCCCGCGCCCTACAGGCCCTGCGCGCACTTGGCCTTCCCGCCGGAGCCCGCCCCGGTGAACGCGGGGAAAGCGGGGCCGAGCGCAGAGGCGCCCAAGGTTCACCCAAAGCCAAACTCTGCCCCCGTGGCCGGGCCCTGCAGCTCCTTCCCCAAGATCCCATATTCCCCCGTGAAGGCCACCAGGGCGGACGCCAGGAAGGCCGGCTCCAGTGCCTCGCCCCCCGCGCCCTACAGCCCTCCCAGCTCCAGGCCTCTCAGCAGCCCCCTGGACGAGCTCGCCAGCCTCTTCAACTCGGGGAGGAGTGTGCTTCGGAAATCCGCGGCGGGAAGAAAAATCAGGGAAGCAGAAGGTAAGCGGAGCAGACATCCCCCCACTCCTTTTGCATGGACGCTGTGCTTGCGTGCACCTGTGTACATCCGTGTCTGCGCAGATGTGAAATAGTAAAGTTTCAGGTGATGGCCGTGGTCGTTCAGAGCAGATATCAGCTTTAAAAAAAAATCGTATACACCCACTGTGACCAAATAGGTAGGAATTAATATTTCCATATTGCAGAATATGATAGGAAAGGCTCGTGATATAGAAAGACGCAGACCGCAACTGGATTTAATAAATTATAACTTGATAAATGTTCGACAGAGCAAGGTTAAATGTTAGCTACTAATTTCTTTTTTTAAAAAAATATTTTTTCCTTATAACGTGAAAGTGGTATTTTGTGTATGTTTCTATCGCCGATTTCCGTTTGATGTACAGTTCACAGCTAATCCCCGAGCGTGCGGTTTGCCATCCATCTAGCTTTGCCTGGCGGTGTCTGGGATGTTGACCTAGCCAGTTACTACCCTGCGCTTAATGCCACTCGGCTGTGGGCTGTTTGGGATGAACTGCTTTTCTTCTGGTCGTATGCCATCCAAGGAGCACTCTAACGCAGCCCCGTTATCTGTGTTTTCTCATCCAGCGACTCAGCCCACAGTGGGGTTTGCAGGTGGAAATCAGTCCACTCAAGTGAGCTCCATGACAGGCTGTTGCCTGCATTCAAAAACATTTATTTTGTGTCCCTGTAGAAGAATGTACCTGGCAAAATAAGATTTTCATGACGACGTTTTTTGCCAGTCTTTTGTAACTGGCTAACCACATGGCTCTTCCTTCAGATGACACGACCTCAGTGCCAAAGGCACTGCTTTTGCACAGATTCCTTTAATCACAAAGAATGTCTTCCTCTTCCAAAAGACATGTTAAGGTTTGTATACAAAACCAAAATGTTTTCTCAATGGTGTGTATTTTGGGGAAGAAGTTCATTGATGAAAAGGATCTTCTCCTTAAGGAAAATTATAACCAGTCTCTTCCATCATGATGGCACTGGATCCCCCACTCGCCTCCAGGTGAGGCAGGAGGATAGGGTCTGGAGGCAGGGAACCTAAGGCCCTTTCATGTCGACTCCCTAGAACTAAATTGAAAGGAAAATCATAATTTTCCATGCCTAAGTAACAAAAGGACCCAAGGCTACTCCCTCTGCAAACCCCCACCTTTTCTGCACCACAGATGGGAAATTGGCTGTCCGCAACCAGTCAGACTTACTGCAGGCAGAGTCTTCCTTTGTGTACAAATGCAACTCTATAACTTCACCTTAGCCTCTGTTCCATTGCTTTTTGCAACCAATCAGATGTTTGCACAGGAGTGTGATCTTTTAACTTCACTTCAGCCTCTGATTGGAGGCCACCACTTTATTTACATGAGGTGAGCATGAAGTGGCCAATGGGAAACCTCTAGGGGGTATTTGGACCCGAGAAGATTCTGTATCTGCGCCCCTGAGCTGCTGCCCAGCCCAATCCCACACTGTGGAGTGTACTTTTGTTGTCGTTAAATCCCTGCTTTCATTCTTTCGTTGCTTCATTCTTTCTTTACTTTGCTGGGTGTTTTTTCCGATTCTTTGTTCAAAACGCCAAGAACCTGGACAACTTGTAGTCAAGACCCTCTACTGGTAACACAGGGTAGATGGCAACTGTGGGCATTCTCATTTCATACTTGGAAAACTTCACGGTGGAGAGGTTAAATATCTTCCTTAGGGTTAAGTGGTAGGATTGGAAGTAAACTTTGACCTACAGTGTAGTAACACTTTATGCATGCATTAACCTGCTCCTTCACCAAAAGAAAATACATAAATGTGTAAGCATTCATCATTTGATTAGCGAAATTACTTTAGGTACAAAAACTAGAACATCTAGAAAGCAATCTGAACAAGTGAAAAGTAGGTCAAGGCTAAGAAACTTTAAAAATGAATGAATAACCTTCTCCCTATTTATTCTTCAGACAAATAAGCTAATTGTTTGTTTAGCTAACAGATTCTTCTTAATTATAGGCCATTAATAAATGAAATTGTACTTCTAAATAGCAGAATGTTTGAATTTCACACACCGTGTTTCATTCCAAGGAACAAAATGGATAAGAGAAAATCATTAAATGAACAAATTAATATTTGCTTTTAGAACTAAAAGTTTATTAAAACCTCATGAACCTCATTTTACTAGAGAAAGGAACAAGGTGAGTTCTTCTTGACTCTATTCAAGGAAGTGAAGTTAATGAATTTCTAGACAGACCTCATCATTTGGAAATCCCAAAGTCTACTCCTTAGAGGATAGTGAGAATTATAGTGAGCCCTCCAGGCATAGTGTGTAAATTTGCTAATTTTATTTCCCTGTGGTGGTATTAACCAGTATTTGGGAACACACATCAAAATCTCAAGTACAACATAGTTCAACTATAATTATAAGACTCTATTTTCTTATTGTGGGCTTTTCTGAAATCCAATCATTTGAAAAGATTGGATTGAGCCACTTATGACTTTCTCAAAAATACATGAATTGACAACTTTGGCCTTTGGCATAGTTGCTGTAGTAATAGAAAACTTAGCAATACCAGACCAGGTCATCCCTGTACATAATCTAACTCCCTGTAGTTAGATTATGGGAGTCCTAACTATACAGTTGAGAAGTGTATAATAATTCTTTTTTTTTTTTTTTTGACGGAGTTTTGCTCTTGTTGGAGGGCAATGGCACAATCTTGGCTGACTGCAGCCTCTGCCTTCCAAGTTCAAGCAATTGTTCTGCCTCAGCCTCTCGAGTACCTGGAATTACAAGCGCCCACTACCATGCCTGGCTAATTTTTGTATTTTTAGTAGGGATGGGGTTTCACCATGTTAGCCAGGCTGGTCTTGAACTCCTGACCTCAGGTGATCTGCCCGCCTCAGCCTCCCAAAGTGCTGGGATTACAGACGTGAACCACCATGCCCGGCCAAATGTATAATTCTTTATGGGCTGTGATGAGGGAAATAAGTTTACAAGTTCGGATATCATGTTCTCATGGATAGTTCAGGCCATTCTTTTAGAATGTAGGAGAGGTTAAACATAAGCTATGGAAGGAAAAGCATTCAGTGCTGGTGCTCAGCACTGGGGCTGGTTATATGACTATTAAAGTTTACACAGTTTGATCCTGAGGTTAGTAATCCATTTTCTTCTGAATGAATTCAATGACTTTTATGGAATTTCTTTCAAGTTTTAAATCTTTTACTTTACCTTCTTTATGCTTAAAGACATTTTTATTTTCACCGTGAAATAGCTTTCTTACCAAATAATACAGTGTGTGGCTAATTTACCCTTCAGGGTCCTTAAATTAACTAAAGTTCATTTTTTGTTCAATTTTCATAGGAGAAAATTATTGCACAAATTTTGCAGAAAGGTTCAAAATGTTCTCCTTGGCTGTTTGGAACAATGACATCGAGGAGATTAAACTGCTCAGTAATTCACTGCTTTAGTTATTTCTGGTTGAAATATAATGTGCTATAATGTACAGTGAGTTGTGTATAGGAAGCAAGGTTGTTTCTTGCGTAATTCTACTCCATTACTATTCCATAGCCTTATATGTAGGATTTCACAAATTCTATGTTGCCCAAACCAGTTCATTTTCTATAGATTCTTGGATATGCAATTTGAAGTATACAAAACCATGCAGATTCTAAGAGTGGTGGACACACATATAAGAAAGATATGATTGTGCAGATGATGGATGTGACTGCAGTCTGAGAAGAAATATTTGCAGCAAGGAATTGTAGTGCTTACTGTGCCAGGCATTGTCTGAGTCATCTAATTCTCACAACACTATAAGGCATCTTCTCCACTTATCTCCATTTTACAGGTGGAAAAACTGGGGCACAGGGAGATTAATCTACTTGCTCAAAGCTGCTGTGCTCGTGCGGGACAGAGAATGACTTGAGTGCAGTAACTCTGTCTCTAGAGTCTCTTCCCCTAGCTACCTATGCAATGCTGCTCAGACAGCAAGAGAAAAAGAGACAGAAAAAAAAAAAGTCTTTTAAAATTAATATTTGTTCACTGAGGGGCAACGAGTAATAGTCATAAGAGTTTAGTTGAAGAGAATTTTCCCATAAACTCAAGAATGCCAAATGAACTTTATACTGATGATGGGTATGTATAATTCTGGGATACAGTGTCTAGGCTACTTGGCCCTTAAAATTAATATTGACTAAATGTTTAATTGTCTGTTCCATTCTAGACATAAAGATCCCATTAATTCACAACATTTTTTTCCATCTCATGTGATGATGTGGCTAATATTATTATGCTAATTATTTCTAGTTGCTTGGTTTCAAAAACTATGAGACCCGATTCAAATGGTGAATGAGAGTCCTTGGCTCCTTTAGGCCACTAGGGTGCTCCATTGCTCTGAATGGCATCTCAGCGTCTGGTTGAGTTTATCCAGAATAAAGTGAAATCACATGAGCATGTTATTCTCTACTCACTGAAAAAGATCAGGAAGACAGGGTCTTGACAAAAAATGCAGTACATCTCAGAAATCTGGAGAAGAAAGTGGAAGACAGCCAGGCCGAATTAACGAAAATCAGACTCAAAATATTTTTTAAAAATTCAGTTTTATTACATTCTGATACAGTGCATCCTTAGCTTATAAGTTATAAACAGGTACTAAAAATGATGTCAACAAAAAAGCTGTAATGTACAGTATTTCTTTGCATATAGTAGGTGGCTATTAAATAGTTGTTTGAGGTAAAATTTACCTATAAAAGAGCAGTTTGACATACAAATCTATTTGATAGAACTAGCTCTTGTGGCATTTTTACTTAATAAGGATCACATAAGCTAAATGGAAGTCACTATTAATTTCAAATATTTTATTTGATTACATAAATATTCTGAATAAGAACATTATGAGTTTGGAGTGAGAGTATTTTATAAACAATTTTTTTACAATATACTTTTATTCCATAGGGCCATTTGTTTACAAAATAATTGTTTTTCAAGTTTTCCTTATGGAAAATTTCAAACATAGACAAAAGTATAAAGAATAGATTAATGAACCTTCTCTGTGGCCCATCCTATTTCATCTCTACTCCTGCCCATTTCCCTCCTCTGGCACTGGATCATTTTTAAGTGCATCCCAATGTCAAATCAGCCAGGCATGGTGGTTCATGCCTATAATCCAAGCCCTTTGGGAGGTTGAGGTGGAAGGATCGCTTGAGCCCAGGTGTTCAGGACTAGCCCTGGCAAAGTAGCTAACCAGGCCTTGTCTCTACAAAAAAAACAATAATGATAATAAAATAGCCAGGCATGGTGGCATGTGCCTGCGGTCCCAGCTACTTGAGAGGCTGAGGTGGGCAGATCGCTTGAGCCTGGGAAGTGGAGGCTACAGTGGCCGTGGTTGCTCCACTACACTCCAGGTTAGACCACAGAGCAATACACTGCCCAGAAAGAAAGAAAGAAGAGAGAAAGAAAGAAAGAGAGAAAGAGAAAAAGAGAAAGAAAAAAAGAAAGAGAAAAAAGAAAACCAATGTCAAACCATTTAAATAATATATATTTAAATATTTATAAATATTTTATCATAGATGTTCTTTAAGAAGAAAAAAACATTTATTCTTAAGGCATTTTAATAAGTACTCAAACCAATCAATCCATTTCAGTCTTCACGAGCATGAAGCTGCTATTCATGACAAAAGCCTGATTCTCGAAGCCAGGGCGTCATTTTTCACGACACAAACAAAATAATTCTTGGGCTAGCATTCCACCAAGCAATGTGACTCTGCAAATTTCTCCAAGGGAACACTTGCAGACAGCCCCTTCTACTACAGAAAAAAAAAAAAGATTCTAAATATTATATCAGGTAGAACTAACTATGAAAGATCAAAATTCAAAGACACGCAATTGCATCCTAAGTCAATATCATATGGGTTTCAGATGTTTCTATGCCAAATCAAGTGCAGTTACCCATTCATTGTTTAGCGACAAGATGCAGGATGCTTTACAATGACTCAAATGCCCCTGAATTACTCATGGAAACCTGGGATGTGCTCCAGGACGGTGTGTGCAAATTGCTATTCTCTGCTCCTGATGTTTGAAACAGAAGTTCCAACATTATCGTCATTTATTCTCTGACACATCGAAACGAGACTGAAGTATGAGACATTAGTCTGCCTTATGCAAATCTTGACATCCCATAATGGGATGCAGAGCTTAGCATCCCCCAGGCTTCTTGCCTATGTGCGGGTCTTGTAGTGTTTTATCCTGTCTGAAGCAGTTAAATCTTTTTCACTCCCCTTGATGATTTCTCCCCACAGTGATTTATTTGTGTGTGGGGAGTTGGGGGTGGGAGTGCTCATGAAAATTAGAAAAAGTGTGGAAGATAATTTACTGAGGTGCTCTTCTGCTGATGATCTGTGACTGTCTGAATTCTTGTCTCATACAAAGTGGGGCGCTCCTCTGCATTCCAGAACCATTTTAAATCAATGCATAATTTTCCTCATTTTCCAAACGAGTAAGTCCTTTGGGGAAACTAGATTAACACCCCCAGAGAAGGGGGGTCTCCATTTATCACTAAGTGGACATTAAGCAAGCAGGAGCTGTGTGAAGTTTCTTCCTTTGCCATGTTAATAGACCTGGGCTTGACAAGAAGAGAATATGTCTCTTTGGAAGAAAAGGATTTTTTTTCTAATTTCTTTGCCTCTCTGTAGTAGCCAAGAGTGCTTGTGCCTGAGACTTGCAGCTATATATTTCATTGTTTTTAATCCCCTAAATGTCTAGTAGAAATAATACTGTGTTCATCTACACTTCGAAATGAACTTTCAATGTTAATAAATGTATCAGTAACCAAATTTATCTATGTTAAGAGCACAAAGCTCTTTGTTCCCTATATTAATTAGAAATATATATTTTTAATGCCTAAGGATTTGTTGTGAATGTTTGTGACATTTTTCTCACAACTTGTAGCGCTTTCTCTATATAAATGCCCAATAATTCATACAGGGAAATTGTGCAAGCAGGAGGCCTATAAACCAGACTTGCACTAACTTGTGGAGCTAATTCCCTTACAGTCATCCAATAAGCATGTACTTAATGTAAGCACAGGGATTGCTACTGGAAATCCAAAACACTGATAAACAAATCTGGCATTGCCTCTGCCCTCTCACAGACCATATAAGAGACAGAAGGTGCATCCACTTTCAGTGAAAGAAATTCCAAAGAGGAGAGAATTTCTAACCTGAGGGCCATAAACCACTCGTGGATTCGTAGTTGAGCTCCAAGTGGCCCATGAGCCCCCATGGTATACATGCCACTTGTTTGGGCAGAGGCTTCATAAGCTTTATCGGATCCTCCCAAAATGTCAGTGACGTGGGAAAAGTGAGGAGCCGCTGCAGGAGATGTGCACACACGGCATTTTCTGCAGCCAGAAGAAGAAAGAGGTAAATGCCTGAGAGAATCTGAGGGCCTTGCAACCAGAGCTGGCAGAAGGGCAAGAGGAATGTTAGAGGCGGATGATGGGTGGATGGAGCTCTCTAGGTGCAGAAGTCAGGGTAATAGACACTGCAGGCCAATGGATGAATATAGGTTGAGACATGAAACTTCAGGGTGTGTGGTTCCTTTAGAATATAGCCATGCATTTTTGAGGAAGAAGGAGGAGAAAATGACTTTCCTTGCATGGAATCAGAGCCTGATAGGCTTTGTACCTGGAAGCTCCTTGTTAGCTTGATGACAAGGCTCTGAATTATCTCCATTGTTTCTCTTCTGTCACATAGGAATTCAGCATTAACTCTTAGGATCTTTCCTACAAAGTGCAAAGAGCCAGAGGAAGAAAATGAACAAAAACCATAGCAGCGCTTCTAGGTGCATACGTATAATGGGAAATACTCAGATATACACTGTGACGTGTTAATGGCATCCTGGTCATAATATAAACAGCTATTTGTAAGTGGCTCTCTCCTGTTGACCAAGCACATTGACGTCTCCTTTCTCCCCCTGGACCCTTGCGTCTCAGTGAGGCGGGTAAAGCAGGTGTTACCATCCCTATTTATTAATGAGCAATCTGAGACTTTGAGGGATTAAGTGATTTTCCCATAATCACAAAAACTAATCAGTCTCAAAGTCAGGAATCAAACACATCTCCTTTCTCCAAACCCTGGATTCTTTCTATTATGCCCTTCATAGTCTCTGAAAACAATAAAATTAAAATAATGATACAAGGTCTCTGTTTGAGAAAGGAATTCCCCTCTGAAGTTAAACACAAACTCATTGCCAGGAAAACATGTGGGAGGCGGACAGATAAAACTGTTTTGCCCATTGTCAATGTCCCACCAGACATCACTTTTGAAACAGAGCATGTTCTTCGTGTGCCCCCTGCCTTCTCCTCCTCTTTTTCTCCCCTTTCCTGGAAAATCCTTTCTACCCACCTGCCATAAAATACCTTCTGCAGTACCAGGGATGCACAGCACACGTGATAGACTAGGATTATTCCTCACATCCAAAACTCGTGTCTCCTCACTTTCCGTTTCTCTTTTTCTTGGCCTCTTTAAAGTTTTACTTGGGACTGAGTTCCTAATTACTGAAAAGAAATTCACACTGAAATTGTACTCACTTGCAGAGTAGCCCAGCATATTTTTTGTAGGACACATATGACTTGCTGGGGATGTGGACTTCAACCTCATAAGTGGGGTGTCAGATGCCTGCCCCAGACCCACCAGAAATTAAATGGGTGGTGGGCCCTCACCTAGCACCAGGAACCATGCTAAGAACTGTACAGACAGATGATCAGCAGTGATTCTCAATAGCGACCATGATTGGAACAGGGGAAAGACAGACAATCAAAAAGTCTTCATCGTTTGTCTCTACAGCAACTTTCTTTAAACAGGCAAAAATCCATTCCTTTCTCAATTATGTGTACGTAGAAACCGACATCGGTAACAGCAAAGTGAGAAACATGACTAAATAAAGCCAGGGCTATACTCACAGCCCCTCAATAAATATTTGTTGGGAAAATATAAAGCTCATTGCTCTCGTGACTATGCTGTTCCCGCTAGGTCATGCCACTTCATTATTCTTTGAAACCGAGGAGCAAAACCAAGCAGAAGGTTATGACTATTAAATATTTAGATCAATCTGATCAAAAAGGTACCCTATGAATTGCATGAACTGTCCTGAGAAATTACCTTAACATATTAGCTGTAAATCTGCGGCAGCTAGCATGTCAGTCAGACCAGAGATACGTATCTAGCGTAAAGAGGTTATCATTTTTTAGATTAACCAAATGCAACAAAGAAGCCTTTACAACCGGGATGCTCTATAATGCACCGTCAGTGGGGAAAGGATCTATTGCACCTGAAATTCTGAAAATAAGGCAGACTTCTCAGAAGTGGATTCTCTTTCATAACCAGTAAATATTTTTCATACTATCAACCCACTAAAGCAAGCAGCTATTGTATATTGTGTCTCTACACTGGATTGCAAATTAAACTCCCACTGGGGGCTCTAAAGAGAAATCCAGCCCTTTATCCTCTAAGCCACTCAGCAGCTCTCCTTAAGCAAGTTAATAAAGACCTTCCTGACTATCTGCATCTCATTATTGCCACATAATACAATATCCTGGGGTTTTCTTCCTTTTGTGAAGAAATGCTTAGAAGCAACATGGTGCATGGAATATTGTCCTAAAGAGAGACTGGGCAGGTGCCATGCTCTTTCTCTCCTGAAGAGTATTGGAAGAGAAAAACCTATTTCCCAATTACCTACCAGTGTTTAGGCTCCTTATGCCTGACTTCAGTCATTTTTATGATTAATCCCCAGATTAGCCTACAAAATTTCACGCCATCGAGAGTGAGCTATATTCAATATCACTTCACCCAGTGCTTCATTCCATGAATCAACACAGCCGTCCACCATGTACTCTGTGCAGAGCTTCTCAGGCCTTTACTGACTCCATCCTGGTTTCTCCTTGAAATCTTCAGTTTTCATACTTAGACCCTGTACATGGGCAATTAGTGGCCATTTGCAAATTTAATAACACATGTTAATTATGACAATAAACAATATGATTCATTTCTCTCCTCCACGCAAATGACTAAGTTCTAAACTATGCAGAGCCCAAACAAGGTCAGACATGAACTAGATCCGAGACTTGCACTGATTTACAGCAGAACACTGACTGCGAGAGACACCTGAGAATTTGTGCATTACCTGAAGTCCTAAAAGCCCAAAAAGAGCTTCTTCATACTGAAAACTCTGGCTCAAAATCAAACATAACCCTTCAAAAGAAATCTCCATTTTTAAGCAGGAAGAAGTGATATATGCACAATTGGTACATGAGGGTGTGTCCCTGAAAAATATGTATGTTTTGGATTTTGGCTTTATTATTTTCCTTTTATGTGAAAAGCTGGATAAACTGGGAAGAAGTAAGTGAAAATGAGAAGACTTAGGCAAAGCAATGAGTGAAAACTTTCACCATACAGGCCTTTCCATGTCACTAAAAAGCAAACCAAAGCTCACAGCTATGAAGTTACTTGCTGAGGCCACATCCGTTTGGTGACGTTACATTCCCTTAACTTCAGCTCTCAGGCGAGATGACGTGCTGGAGGGGGTCAGACTGGCTTTAACAGCAGGATGGAGGGGACATACAGGAGTGCAAACAACCAACTTAAAGTAGGTGGCCTCCATCGTACTTCTGCCAGTTCACAGATCCTTTCTTAAGTAAATAACCAGTGCCCAGCAGCAGATCCTATAAGGCAAAATAGCATACATTTTTAAAATTTTTTATGAGAATTTGATTGACTCTGTCTCTTGGTATTTAACTACCTTTGTATATATTACCAGTAATAAAGCCCCCTTAGTAACAAAGTCCCCTTAGATTTTTAATTGCTAAATTGCCTTTCGAGTAACTATTTCAGTCTTTAAGGAAAGAGAAGCTACGGGACCTTGATTTCGGAGATAGGAGCACACTCTTGGTGTTGTTCTAGTTCCTTCTAATCACACCCTATTTGCACCACATAAACATTAGCACAACTAGAGATCTGGTTGAATCACTTACATGTCATTCCAGACAGTAAAACTCTAATCGTGAACATTAATTTCACTGATGTAGTTGCAGCTTAGTAGGGGGTCGCCACCATTCACTTACCCAGGCTTGAAGTTATCTCTAATTTAGAGGTTAGGGACAGTGACACAGGAAAGAGGCTCTGTGCTTTATATCTGGAGATGTGGGATCATAAAAACGTCTTTTTAATCTGATGATCATTAAAACACCCGGTGATGTGGCACAGCTGCTAATCGGAATACATTTCCATTTCTGCGGGGATTGAGCATGTCTTCGGAACCCTCTGCAATAGCTTTAGAAACAAACGTTCCTTTTATCAGGTGAGAAAACTACCCTATGGCATGCCTCCGGATATGTAGTTCTTCCTAGGCTACAAAATATCAGAGGTTAACTTCAGGCAAAATGATAAAACTAGCAGTAGTATTTCCTATTACTATCTGCAGTTTGCTTCAAAATTTCAAAAAGGTTTCGGAAAAATCACTAAATACGAAGGGCACACTTCATTCATTTATTCCAAGGAATCTATTTGGTGCCAGACATTGCATGGAATTGTATGGATTTTTAAAATGAAATGTGGGCTCTCTCTTAAGCAGACCATGGCAAGGAAACTTGAAAACTCCGACGCATCCAGGGGACGAGACTCACATTTTACATAGAGATACTACTCGGGATTCACAAAACACGACGTATCCATGACGCTCGTTCAACACTGCATTTTTACTCATGGTATTCTGTTCTCTTTCATTTTAAAGTGCGTGTCATGACCCACTAAATTGATTTCTCAGCTCACAAATATGTCCTCTGAAACACTGGTCTACAGGGGAGGATTTATACGGGCAAATAGGAAACAAAATCTCCAAAGAGAAAGCATCAGAACAAGAGGAGGTTGTCCTCTTGTGTGCTAGAAGCCACTGTGTGCCTTATCCTGCACAGTAAAAGGATTTTTCAAAGGGCGTGATCAAATTATGTTTTGGAGTAACTGTATCAGAATAGCTATAGATATATAGATATAGAAAGGATAGATTTTTTTCTTGCTATTTCTATGTTCATTTACATGTGAACCTACGTACTTTAGAAATGATTAATCTGGCTGGGCGAGGTGGCTCATCTCAACACTTTGGGAAGCCAAGACCGTCCGATCACCTGAGGTCAGGAGTTTGTGATCAGCCTGGCCGACATGGTCAAACCCCATCTCTACTAAAAGCACAAAAAGTAGCCGGGCATGGTGGTGTGGGCCTGTAGTCCCAGCTACTTGGGAGGCTAAGGCAGGAGAATCACTTGAACCCTGGAGGTGGAGGTTGCAGTGAGCCGAGACTGCAGCACTGCACTCCAGCCTGGGCGACAGGGCGAGACTCTGTCTCAAAAAAAAAGTGATTAATCTGGGCTGATTAATTACTTAAGAAATTAACAGCTAGGCTAGGAGAAGGGAAACCCCACCACCGACCTGCCTGGCCACCTCATGGTGTCTTCCTGTGGTCCCTGGTGAAGTGTGAATCCACTGGAAGCTTAGGCTCAGCCTTTCTCTACTGCGTCCCAGTCATTTGTCCTTCCTGAGTGACTGGCACCTGCCCTGTGGCCCATCAGGGGAAATTGGGTCACGTGAGCACGTAAAGAATTAGTCACTCCAGCCAATCTACCACCAGAAAGAGATGCAACCGCTACGGCTATCAAAGACACGGTCCATGTAGCTCTTCCAGAATTTCGAGAAGAATTTGAATCTCCATAGATATTTTAAATTTATTTTTCAAGGCCTCCGAGCTCCTGGCTGGGAGCCAGTGAGTGTGGGCAGGTGGGCTATGCTTCAGCTGGTGTCCACAGGTGCTGCCACACTCTTATTAAAATATGGAAATGTCTTGATGCCAGCTGGTGCAGGGCTGCTGCCCTGAGCTCTCAAGGTCCCCACGTCCATCCCACCGCCTTGGGTGGCCTGGCCCGGGCCTGCCACGTTTCTCCTTGGTGAAATGTTGACACAGCAAAATGCTCAAGGTCGATGACTCATGCTCGTTCCGATGGGCCCTGGTCTGTGTCTTTTTTTGTTATTAAGTACTTTAGATGGGTAAATTGGTAATGAGTTCTGAGCAAGGGATTTGAAAAGACCTCACATCCACCACTGCTGTAATTTTTCTTTTTCTTTCTTTCTGTTTTCTTTAATTTTTGCTGTTTCTTTTTTAGCAGAGGACAGGCACCACTAGCTTACCATCCAGGCTGTAGGTGTCACCAACACGAAACACTCCCAACAGAAGAGCAGGGACGTTATCTTCTCACCTTTGCCTTCTGGGGAAAGTGAGGAGGAACCATTTCCCTCCAGGAAAACATATGTTGCTGACACCGACCGCGTACTTGGCCACACATCGTGGCTCAGGACTCCTGGATTTACGTTACCACCTGGCATTGAGGAAATGTAAAAATAACAGCAATATAAATAACCTCATGACCTATAAAAGTATGCATGAGGAATGGGGCTCTGGGCCAAGCAGGCATGTTGTTTAGGTATTGCATACTCGGCTAATTATGAAAAAAAAAAAAAAAAAAAAAAAAAAGCTACCCAAGTACAAGAAAAGGAAAGGGATTGAAGTGATTTTTTCCCCTTTATGGCAGGGACAGAATAAATGGGCAAAAAAGGATTCAGTTAGTTAAATTTAAAAGGAAATTGGCACAACTTAATTTTCTGTGCATTTTTGGGTACTGAAAACCTTATTTATACTGACAGTCATTTTTTAGCTTTACTATCAATGCATTCTTCCCTTGCTCAGCACATATGTTGTTGAAGACATCGCTCTGTTTCCTACTTCAGTTGGTGTTTTCTAGCACAAACCATCTCCTTCGACTTGGCGGGGGGGTGGGTGACAAGAGTTAGGAGTGAAGGAGGAGCAGACATTTCCATTCCTCCCCGCTTAACCTGGAGGATAAGTATCTGCGGCACTCGCTACCAGAGAAGAATGCTTAAAACATAAGTTCAAGAGGAATTTCGATCTACTCCAGGGTGGTGATTTCATAAGGGGTTATTAACAAGTAGGAAGGAATGTCGGGAGCCCAGCCCGAGACATTTAAAGTCAGTAGAGGGCCGGGCAAATCCAGTTTCTCAGCACACGCAACCTTTCCAAGGTCTGCAGTGATGTATTTTTCTGTTTCTTAAGTAATCAATGCTTATAGAAATATGACCTGTCCACATAGTGTGGGTAACAGCTGTGTCACAAGAGTAACTGCCTGGGAACCCAGTTCTCTTCCCAGATCTCCATCACCACTAGACTCAGACGCCCTCTCTTGATATATTTCTGCAAGCATTCACAAAGGGATGATAAAATCTGTTGCACGTTTTCAAAAGGCAATTAGAATTGTGCTGTTCAAAACATGCATAATTGCAGTGTGTCACCTCCATGAGTTTAACACATTTCCCCTGTAGCAGTCTCCACTCTCCTCACATCCACCCATCTCCACTGAACTCTCTCTTCTTGAGTTTCAGATTAGCCTCTGTGGTTCTTTACATCTGAAATTCGTCTTTCTGAGAGGCAATAACACAAATATTTGGATTATGCTATCATGGAAAGGAAAGAAAATTCTATCATGTAAAAGAAAAAACATATTATGTAAAAGAAAACAAATCACTTCCTAGAAGCTTATAAAGTAGGATGCAGGTCGACTTGAGAGGGGTGTCAAAGCCCTGTTTGCATTTCTTCCTCATGTGCAGTAATACAGGGTTTCAGAGAAATCTATATTTTAGAGATTTAAAAGGAGTTGCCCTGTGTAACACAAACTAGATTTGGTTTAACACAAGCTAGACGCCAATTTCAGGTCGAAGTGCTTGTATCCAAATTTAATTACGCACCATCTATGTGTATCTGCAAGCGCTGTCGAGCTGCGACTTCTAAATTTTACAAACGAGAACTTGAGAAGTGGTGGGAGCCTGCCAGGCACCTCTCTCTGCATTTGTACTTTTCCTTAATGCCAAGTAGGAAAAAACAAGCACATTCCCTTCATGCAATAGCCTTTCTGAAGAGGAATTTTCCTATAGAGTTTCAGAATGAGTTATAGCCAGTATGAGTAATGAGTTTAAAATGTATTTTCACATTTTTTATGCCTTACATAGCACTCTCAGTATTAAGTCAGCCAAACAGCTATAGTTTGTTTTTCTCCTGCGTTACTGAAACCCGGATCCCATCTCATAGGATTCTAAAATACACTCTAATCTGATCTCTAGCGCAGGTACCTAAGAGAAAAGTGGTGTTTTCAGCATCTTGTTGGGGAAACATTCCATGGCTCCTTTCTCTCCCCTGCTTCCTGGCCTTTCCCCAGCACTGACGCTGTCAGCCGCCCTGCGTGCCACACAGTCCTGCCCTCTGCCAAGGCTCCTGGCCTGCAGCCCCTCCTGCAAGCCCACATCTGCCCTCCTGCACGCCCACATCTGCCCTCCTGCACGGCAGTCACCTGGGCGTCCCCTCCTGCTACCTCCTCACACTCGAGAGTGTCTCTTCCTTGAAAATTTCTCCTTCCTGAGAGATTTTTAAGTCTCTCCTAGCTGTTTCCTTTCCAGTCCTAATAAATTCTCTTCTTCAAAAAATTGCCACTCAATTTAATCCTCAGGCCTGCGGCTGTCACTTCAAAGTCAACAAGTACAACCCCAGATGCACCCTGCTCTTCAGGTGGGAGCTGCTGCTCTGAACCACGCCCCAGCTGTGGTCCCCATCAGGTCCCAGTTCTCCCGCTCAGTGGGATTGAACTCAGCTTCCTCCTGCCTTTCCACTCCTCCTTCTGCTTCCCCAGCCTCTCCCCTGACTCTCTTTCTACTTCTAATCTCTCCTCAAGGTCCATTCAGCTGTATACTTTCTTTGCTAGATTAGTATTTACAAAAAAAAAAAAAAAAAAAAAAAAAAACCTTATTCTTCACAGCATGCCCTTGCTCAAAATACTTGCTGGAACCCAGTCCTGTGATGCTCATAGACTCCAAAGCTCTCTGCTCCCACTTCCCGGTGCGGAGGTGTGGGCAGAGCCAGCCTCCCCTCCCTCACGAGTGCAGTCAGCTCTGCCTCTGCGGCATTCCCTTCCTTTTCCCTCCCCCTCTCCACATTCCGTCCTCAACTCAAAATCCACTGCTTCTTCCTCCTGCCTACACAACAAAGGCTCACCTGGCTGCTCCAGCCCACTCTGACCTCTCCTAAGAATTCCTAGAGCATTTTGCAGAGCTCCCATCCCAGCCCCCTGGCCCTTTGCAACCTTAACACATGCCTTGAAGGCACCTTGAAGACAGTCCCCCTTAGAGCTGAGTCACCACAGAGAAGCCTGGGGAAAAGCACCCCTTAGAATGCACCCTGGATGTCCCTGTCACATGGGTTGGCATTATAAGTGTCAAAGGCTTTAACAAGTGAATAAAACCGTCAAAATTAGCTCAGCTGAGCAGGATGCGAGTCCCACAGTGATGCGTCAGATTCTTCATTCTTCTATACCCCTCAGGATAGATGTAGTCCCTTTTCTTCTTGCACTTACCCGGTCGTCATAAATTCTTGTCATCTGCCGTGCTCCATAACCCCTCTAAAATGTGAGCACTCAATGGATTGTTTCTTTCGGACGAATATTTCTTTAAGTTCTAAAGTAAATCTTAGCACCAGGTTTGGACCTTGTAGGACGTGAATACCTGTTGAATCAGTGGAGAGCTCCCTAGCTTGGGGGAGGAATATAGTTTGCTCATGGTCCACCCCTCTTCCTTTCTTCTTCATTCAGCTCTCATGTTCCCCAGAGTGGCCACTGCGCTCCAGGGCATCTCTTTGCCTTCCCAGGGCTGAACCACGTGCTGTCCGTTCTGCCAGGTTTCTTGTCACTCTTGGTTTGGAGCAAGGACTCATCTTAACTCCCATTATGCTCCCTGTCTTTCTCCAGCTCTCCCAGAATTATTCAAGGACATTTCTCTCTCCCCACTAAGAAACGTCTCTCCACTCTTGCAGAGTTTTTGCATTCTTCCTTAAGAGAAGTTCCTCTTCTCGCCTTCCATCCTACCTCCCCCTCCCTCCACAAAATCCTTCCTGTGTCTCCTCTCCCAGACACATCCCTGATGTTAACTTATTCATACCTCTCCTGTCATGGCAAACTTATAAAACAGTCTTGTTACTGTCTGAGGAGTTGGACTTTTCCCATAAAACATTTCCAAGGTGAGCCGGAGGTGACGTTGCCTTTGTAGTCTCATCCAGTGACCTCACACCTATTTCTCCTCCCGCCTGTGAATTACTCAAAGGTAAAGATTTCATCATGTAGATTATGGCTAGAGGCTCTATGCCTGAGACCCATTTTGGTTTTTGTCCAGAGATTGAAGCATATGCAATTGGGGAAAGGTGAGCTTTTTTAAAAAAATAATAATAAAGATGAAAAATGAACATTTAGAGAGTTAAGTGGACATTTATTCAAAATGAGAAAATAAATCAAAGTATACGTTTACAAAGTATTACAAATGTTAACTGTTTGTACATTGCTTGAGTCCCTCCCTCGGCCTTGGAAGAGGCCTGGGGAAGATAGGGGTGCATGGAAGCCCCTTCACGTAACTACGGGTCAACCCACTGTGCCCACTCCAGTCACCAGGATTCCAGAGTCACACTCAGCACAGCCAAAGCATGCCAACATTCATCAAATTGATTTTTATCTCCTGATATTACAGATTGTAAAGCAATGTAAAGTACAATTTTAAAAAACTATGTATGGACCTTGTGTCTTTGAATTCTCAAACCATGGGTCAGGAATCAGTTTCAAACAACCATAGGTCCTTTCTCTCATAAGTTAACAAGCTTAGGTAGAAAACAAACAGCTCCACTCCATTGCATAAAAGAAAATATTCACCTCATGCAATGAGATATTTTCCTTATCTTATAATTTTAAATAAGTAAAGATCAGCACTCAAAGGTGGATTAACACTGAAAGTGCTTCCGTAAGTTGTCAATCTTGTGTGAATGGGGAAAAATGATCATTGTGGTGCGTGGCTTTACTGTACTTATTTGCATAAAATTTTCATTTAGTAAATGTGCAAGCTATTTTACAGGTATGGAAAGTGTAGCTCCTTTCAGAAAGAGAATTTCTATAGCAACATTATTAAAACTAATTTATTGTTCATTCATCTTTTTTCTTTTTCAACAAATATTAATTGAGTGCCATCTGTGAGCCGGGCTCTATTCTAGGCACTGAAAATACAACGCACATTGTATTTGCCCACATTCCAGAGGAAGGAGACACAAAACAAACAATTGGGCTGTTCTGTGCCATGCAGTGAGAAGGACTGTGTAGAAAACTAAAGCAAGGAGTGGGGACAGGAACTGACCTGGCGAGGAAGACAGGTGCTGTTTTTCAGAAGGTCATCCAGAAGGCCTGAACACAGTGCAGCTGCCATGCCCTGCTGGACGCTGGAGAAGGAGAGAGAGGCTGGGAGGCTGACAGGGCCGGGAAGGCAAGACCGAGGCCAAGGCCTAAGGCGTGTAAGGGGGGCTGGGGCCCAAGGCCAGCAGGAGTCAGGGCATGCAAGGTCCTCTCAGCCTCAGGAAGCCTTTGGATCTTAATGTGAATCAACTCAGAAAGCAGCAGAGAGGCTGGAGTCGGGAATGACATGATCCGACTTATGTTTTAAAGCGAGGTTTCTCGGCCTCAGTACAATGGACATTCTGAGCTGGATACTATAATTCTAGGTTGGGGGACCGTCCTGTGTGTTATAGGATGTTTTGCAGCATTTCTGGCCTCTGCTCACCAGACGTCAGTAGCACACCCCATCGCCCGGTTGTGACAACTAAAAATGTCTCCAGACATTGCTGAATGTCCCCTGGGGGTCAGAAAGCACCTCCTATCAAGAGCCATGATTTAAAACAGAATCACATTGACTGGGAGTGATATTTCAGTTATATAAAAACTAGCACAAGACAACCGAATTTTTTGTATCAACATTTAGAGATTTGCTCTCGCTAGATTAAAATTCACCTTAAATGTACCTACACTGCAAACTTGTAATTAATAATCATATCTTAATGCAAAGGCCAAGACTTTATTTTTGAGTCAGATCCTGATGTGATTCAATTCTCTCGTACCTGTAAAAATAGCACCGAGCCCGAGGTCACAGAGAAATCTTGTTAATAGGCCAAAAGAAAACACTGCAGGTGTCCAAACCAACCCGTGTTTCCATGGACCCAACCACAGGATGCCACTGAACTACACAACCCCTTACTTCACTAGATACAGAGGCACAAAAATGTCTCAGACACACCTTTAAATATTATACAGGATGTACAGTATTCACTTCCTTAGTTGTTTAACTAAATTCACTGAGAGTTTCAAATATTTTCTTTTGATGTGACTTTTCTTCATTCTCAGAACCCTGCTGGCCACTGCTTGAAGGCATGAAAAGTCTTGATGACTTTGTTTGCACTGTATTATTTCTAAAATTCTCCTGAAAGCATGCATCATGTATATGCACTTTTAACAAAGACCTCTTCAGACTTAATGCCATTGTCCTCTTGATTTCTGATTGTTGTAATTCCCTCACTGCTGAAGTGCTGGGTAGTGGGAATGCTTTTGACAAGGAATGTTGTGTGCTAAGCTACCACTTTACGGGAGAACCCAACCATCCAGAGTTTCTGCATTCAATCCTCAGTGTGTTGAATCTAGAAATTAACAAGTCAGGGCACGGCTGCTTTCACGTGTTTGGATCTAACTGGGAGAAGGGTGTTTATGAGCGGAGGCTGATGCATAATTCAGTAGAATGCCGCGGCTACTACAAGCAGAGGAGAACCCCAAAGTGGGGATGTCGATACTGAAGCCGCAGCACTATTGCAGCTGCCAGAGTGCAGCTTTGCAACCTACAGTTTTCAGTTCATTACCACTGAGGCCTGGGTGGTAAACTCGTCACAGGAAAGAAGCTCCCATATCCTATCCTTTACATCAACAAATGAAACAGTGAAGGAAAACTTTACATAGAGGAGCCAAGAGTAAAAGAATGACTGTGTGGGGACTGCTGAGCCCTCTGGGCCTCAGTCTGAATCTGGCTGCCTTGCCATGAGTTGTGAAATGTTTACACAGAGATTAACTTCCCCAAGCCTCAATGATCTCATCTCGAAAATAGGTGTAATAGTGACAACTCTCCAGAATTGTCATGAGAACAGAGCTAAACCAAGCACCACATCTAGCAGGGAATTGGCACCTAATATACACCTGGGTGATGGTAACTATTGTAAGAGCAATGTGAGGAAGTATCATGCTGACCATTAGTTCTTATGCCTTACGTTAAGAAGGGCCTTTTCCCTTATTCCCATCCAGAGCCAGGCTTAAGTAGATAAATGTTTTTAAGATTTAAAAAATTAAAATTTAATTATAAATTAAGATTTAAAAAACTAAAATTTAGCAGATAATTTAAGGATTTCAGCCTAACCTGTGTGACCGTTTAAAAGCATGTCATGGTGGCCGAGCACAGTGGCTCATGTCTGAAATCCCAGCACTATGGGAGGCCAAGGAAGGCAGATCACTTGAAGTTTGAGACCAACCTGACCAACATGATGAAACCCTCACTCTCCTAAAAAATACAAAAATTAGCCGGGCATGGTGGCATGCACCTGTAATCACAGCTACTCTGGAGGCTGAGGCAGGAGAATCTCCCAGGAGGCAGAGGTTGCAGGGAGCTGAGATCGTGCCACTGCCCTCCAGCCTGGGCAACAGAGTGAGAGACTCTGCCTCAAAAAACAAAACAAAGCCCAAAAAACATGTCTTGGCTATAGTTTAACCTGCCAATTGAAAAATAGAAATACGTTTAAACTTTAATTGCAAAAATGAGAATTTTGGCTGCAATTTAAATACATCAGTTGATGAGATAGAAATCAGTTGTGAGGGAGGCCAGCCTGAAGTACTCAGACTGAGAGTCAGCAAGTGCCTTAGAGGATTCGTTTATTGCCACCAGGTGTAAGAGGACTGTGCTCATTCAAAGCCTTGGGGAAGCCCTCACTGCGCTGAGAATAAAACCTCTCAGTTCCTCTTTGGTGGTTTCCCAGGCCCTGACTCATTAGTACCTGGTTTCTTGAACATGGTGAGCTCTTTCCTGCTTTGGGGTATTTACACATGGTGTGGAGGTTGCCTTTCTAAAATCACGAGCTGAAATGCAACCTCATGGACCTCACCCACCTTGCCTGGCTGCCCACCAGTGTTTTCCACTTACTAGGTTTTCCACGTAGCTGTGAGTCCACCACGTTTAATTATCTGCTTGTGTATCTGCTTGTTTATTGCCAATCACCTTTTTGGGAGAGAAGCTCCCAGGTACCAGGCAGTGGTATTCATTATGTATCTCCCGCACTCAGTGAGTATCTGGCACATAGTAGGCACCCAATAAATAACTGAATTAAAGAGTGCAAAAATAAAATAGGTGAAAGCAACATAAAAGCAGGTGAGTACATCTTGAGCCAGTTTTAAAACAGAACCTGTTTTACTGGCATTCGGAAGCTTAACAGAAATAAAAAAAAGCCAAACTAGAGTTGACCACATTGAATAAGTATTCTTTCAGTTTCAGCCCATTCAATAATTGCTCATTGTCAAGAGCTAAAACAGTTAAGATCACCTGACTTTCACTTTTGTTGCCATTCTTGTACATGCTAACTTGACTGAAGGTCTTTGTTTTTTATGTATAATGGAGTCAGGAGCCACAGTGGCTCGCTGGATCATTTAAATTTAAACTCTTCTGCCTAGTTTTCAAAATGCCGATAGTTTTGCCTTTATTCCATCTATCCAGCGTTTCCTGCTCATAAATCTTGACCTGCTTTCCTTTCTGGGCAGAACAGGCTGTGCTCTGTGCTGTAAAGGAGAGGTCCCTGCGGGTGATCTGACCAAGGTCCTGACTGGTGGGTAGGAAGACTTGGGGTTGATGCGGGAGAGGGCTTGAGTGCACCAAAGCAAGAAAACAGGAGTCAATATGGAGAATTTGGATAAACATGCATTGCTTGTAGTGCTATTTGAGGGTATGTCTCGAGAGGCAAGAGGAGATAATGTCAAGGTAGGAGTTAAGAGGGACCAAGTCAAGACCAGCCTTGAGAGATAAGCTCTGGGGAGATGGAACCTTCCCTTCCTTCCTTCCTTCCTTCCCTCCATCCCTCCCCACTCCCTCCTTCCCTCCCTCCCTCCCACCTCCCTCCTTCCCTCCCTCCCTTTCTTTCCTTTTTTGCTTTCTTTCATTGTTTTCCTGTCTTCCTCCCTCCTTCCCTCCCTGTCTCCTTCCTACCTTCTTTCTGTAGATTGCAACCAACAGCAGTTTATCCAAAACTTTTCAGCATGGAAATGACATAATCCAATTTGTCTTTTAATGAAAAATAAAGACTGAATAATAATCAGAACATACAGGTTAAAGTTCCATTCTATCTCTTTCCAACTGCATGACTCTGAGTAACCCTAATTCCTTCTTCAGCAAAATAAGGATAACATCTCTGCCTATGGAGGTACCGGTGATTGGGATTGGGGTGGTAATACACCGTTCTGCCATATTTAAAGTATAATAAAGCAAATGATGTGTGTTGTCCCATTCAAATAATTTATTAGTCTAAATCTTTAGAAAAGCCTAACTTTAAGACAGTCAGAATCAACTGTGTCCCAACAGAAAAGAACCAAAGTCTCACGCATATCCTTGATGCTGAATCAAAAGTCTCCAATAGGTTGCAGCTTTTTTGAGGTTCCTTAGGAAGCAAGAGCCAATCCCAGGTGCACCTGTGAAGTCAGAGAAAGGGAACTTGGCAGAGGTGGTGATGGGGGGATGTCTGGCCCCTTGATGGCAGTTGTGCCTGATTTGCAAAGTCTGATTTTGTGCCTAAGGGTAATGCAGTGACCATGGGGAAACCTACCTCCATTGGACATTTTTCCAAATAGAAGCATTTGCTGTGTTTCACTTTATTAATATTACATCACTTTAAAAAGTCTTCATCAGGCCCTTCAGTGGAATTTGGACAGTGGCTTTCGTGTTCGTACCTCTCAAAACACTTAACATAGGACAAGCATTACATATTTAAGTAATTATCTTAGTGTGCAGAATGCGGAAGTCGAGTATTGAAGTTCAGTATTCCAACATGGACACTAAAAGTGTTTATAGTGATGTTGAAAATATCACTATAGTGTTTCTTATCACTCAAGTGTTTCTTATTTTTTCCAAAGCTGTAAGATTGCCTTAATTTATTTAAATGTAATCATTCAGAAAACTCCTGAAACATGAACTCATTGCTTTCTCATGACAGGCAATACTATAATGACAAGTTATTTGATCTATGACATCAAAAATTCTTTATAAATATGTTTGAATGCAACAAATTATTGTTACCACTTGACATTTTCCTTTTTGTTTGACATTGTTGTGGCAAAATTTGGTGAATATTATATAGGCTACAAATTTTATTAAAGATTATTATTATTTTAAATGTCATGAATGTTTGATTTGATGTTTTATTATTTTCTCCAAATGTTTTATTCAGTATATTCAGTACATGTTATCAGAAAATAATTATGTTTTCTAAAATTTATTTTAGGTTTTGAAACTAACATGAACATAAGTAGCCGAGATGACCCTAGTACGTCAGAAATTACTTCCGAGACTCAAGACAGAAATGCAAATAACCATGGAATTCAGTTATCTAATTCACTATCTAGTGCTATAACTGCTGAAAATGGAAATTCCATCTCAAATGGTAAGCACTTTTTAAACTCAGAAGTAAATGTACAAAAGTTTTAGGCTGTATCAACTTTCTGGGAGGAATGGATTTAAAATATGAAAATGAAGTAGGGTTAAGAACTGGAAAATAGAATATAAACCATGAAACTCCCCTGCAAGTATTATTGTCAGCATATGATTGCTTCAGTTAAAGAATTGGAATTCTATTCACTCCTTGTTGACTTTTCCGAAATTTTATGGAGTGTTAATCTAAAAGAACTGGTCCAAAATTAGTCTTATACTGAGCAGAAGAAGGCAATAGATTCTCTACCAATATTTTTAATTAAAAAATTATTCTGGAAACTAAGAAATGTGAAGGAAAATAATATTAAAGAAATGATAAGTGCCAGACTGGCTTCAGGTATTTTAAGTACATCAATGAGTGCCACATTTAGAAAGTGGCTTGATTGCAGGTACAAAAGCTGAGGATCACGCAAGTATTTTCTCTCACAAATAAAAGAAGACAAAGGCGTCTGGGAATAACTGATGGGAAGACTCAGACCAACTATTCCTGAGGGCCTCCCGCAGGGCTGGGAAAAGCATGTTTGTTTAGTCTAATTAGAGGCGTGGGAGAACCATCATGATGCTGAAATGCTGGGAAGCAGTTGAAGACCTGGGAGTGGGGTGCAAGGTGAGCCGAAGCAAGGAAGCCCACACTTGAAGCTTGGCTCATGGGGACATAAGGGTACCCACATTGTTCAGAGAAGGCAGCTAAGAAGTCAAGTTGTGCTTCTGACTGCCTTCTCAAATTACAGGGCAAGAAACTGAGTCGTGGCCCCACCAAGGCCTTGGGGTGGGGCCTTCAAGTGTTCTTCCCAAGAGTCAGAGTGAACCAGAACCAAGAACCATGTTGAGTTGCCCAGATGTAACCAGGCCTACAGGTACCTGGGAGAAACACGTGTACATTTTCCCCAAAGGGCAGTAATAGCATCCTAGGCTTCAAAACATTCATAGAAACCATTTTTCAAATGCAAAGTCCAACACAGTTAGAAATAACCAGGCATAGGAGCACACAAAATAAGATAAAAAATTAAAAGCAGAGACGGCAGCCAATTGCAATATGTCCACAGGGATTCAAAAGGTTGGAATTCAAAGACACATGCCTTAAAATAAGTATGTTTACTCAGCCCCCCACGAAATAAAACAACGAGAATTTCAGCAGAAATAGGAAACTATAAGGAAATCGTCAAATGGAAATTCTGAAATTGGAAAATGCAGTAATAAAATTGAGTACAACAGAGGATAAAGTTAAATTTAATTAGATATAGTTGTTTAAAAACAAAACAAATAAAAAATAACTGGAGAAGTGGAAGATAACTCAGAAAATCCCCAGAATGAAACAGATTGAAGCAAAAGGGAAGAATGGAAACTCCAGACAATGGTTTAGAGATATAAAGGGCAATGAGGAGGATGATTGAAGTCTTAGGGAAAGAAGAGGGAGCGCATGAGCAGAAGAAAGACTTGGTGAGAAATGTTAGAGCATCTCCCAATGCTGACGAAAGAGCACCAGGAAACAGATTTAAGTTGGCAGATTTTTATAACATTCAACATACATTCTTCACGGGATCCAGCAATCTGACTCCTCAGTATCTTCCCAAGAGAAATGACAGCAGTGTCCACACAAACACCTGTATGCAAATGCATATGGTGACATTATTCATAATCACATAAAACTGGAAATAAATTCAGTGTCTTTCAACTGATGACTGGCTTGTATTAGTGATCCATCACTGTGCAAAATATTACTCCCAAAACTTGGAGGCTTATATAAGAAATGGTTATTATTTCATAGTTTCTGTGGGCCAGGAAGCTGTGTGTGGCTTAGCAGGGTGCCTTTGGTTTAAGGTCCCCCATGAGACAGCAATCAAGCTGTCAGCCAAGACCACAGTCATCTTGAGACTTGAGTGAAGGCTGATCCATTTTCAAGGTCACTCACGTGGCTATTGGCAGGCCACAGAAGGTTCACATCCAAGTCAACTCACATGGGCAGCCTCCCAGCACAGCAGCTCTCCCCACATCCCTGAGCAAGCAATCCAAGAGAGAGCACCCCAGATGGAGGCTGCAGTCTTCACATAACCCAGTCTTGAAAATGACACCCCAGCACTCTGTCACGTTTGATTGAGTCACTAAATCCAGGCCACACTCAATGGGTGGGGAGTCCGTGAGTGCCTGGAGGTGGGCTCACCAGCATCTCACAGGCTGAACTAGCACATGGATGAAGCCTGCAATAAATAAGAGTGATCAACTATAATGAGCATCATAAAAAAAAGGGATGGCTAAAGCATTGTGTTGAGGTTAAAAAAAAAAAATCAAAAGACTAAGTGTGATCCTGCTTATGTAACATTTGGGGAAAAGCAAAGCTGGAGACAGAAAACAGCTGAGTGGTTGCTGGAGGCTGGGCGTAATGGCAGGAGATGAAGTTCAGAAGGACATGTGGTGTTATAGACAACCTGGAGTGCTCATGTCTGCAGATGCACAGATGTGTATGTCTAAAAAAGGTGAATCTCACTGTCTCTAAATTACACCATAATCAATCCAACGTTTGTAAAAATGAAACAGAAACCTTTGCAAAGCCTAAGTAGGATACATAAAACTTTCCTAGGTGTATCATAGTAAAACACCTATAAAATAAAGACCGAGAATTAATTTTAAAAGCAGTTAGAGGTAAAAATATGTACTATCTTCGAAAAGTAGCAACTGAAGTCCAAAGACAATGAAATAACATAGTTAACATGCTCAAATAAAATAACTGCCCCCCAAAAATTCCTGTAATAATGAAAGGGAGTTAAGGATATTTTTAGGAAAAAAAATAAAAATGAAAGGAATTAAACACTGACAGACTCAGAATGCTTAGAGATAAAGGAAAGAATAAAGAATAACTAAAAAGGCAGTAAAATTTGGAGGGGTAAAATAATATTTAATATTATACACTGATAAACCTACCTTGCCAGTTGTAACCTCAAAGGTAACCCCTGAAAGAATATTAGTGGGGTAGATAATATCCAAACTAGTAAAGAGAGAAAAATAAAATCATAAAAAGTCAACTCAAAAGATGCAAAAAGGGGATAAAATAGGAAAAATAGGGCAAGGAGAAAGTTCTGAGACAGTAGATATGAAAACACATGTGAAAATAAACTTTATTTAATTATAATAAACTTTAAAAGGCTTATTTAATGTAAACTTATATGAAAAATGATTAGCAGAATATTTTAAAAACTAAGTTTTCTGAAAACAGTAAAACATAAGGATTCTGAAAGAGTAAATGTAAAGGGATAGAAAAGAAAAAGATACAATGTGCAAATATTAAAAAGCAGCAAAAACAGTGCTCATATATTTGAACGTCAAAAATTACATCTCTAGGCCAGGCGCGGTGGCTCACGCCTGCAATCCCAGCACTTTGGGAGGCCGAGGCAGGCAGATCACCTGAGGTCAGGAGTTCGAGACCAGCCTGGCCAACATGGTGAAACCCCCATCTCTACTAAAAATACAAAAATCAGCTGGGCTTGGTGGTATATGCCTTTAATCCCGGCGACTCGGAAAGCTGAGGTAGGAGAATTGCTTGAACCCAGGAGGCGGAGTTTGCAGTGAGCCCTGATCGCGCCACTGCACTCCAGCCTGGGTGACAGAGCCAGACTTTGTCTAAAAAAATAAGATAAAATAAAATCTCTAAGTAATCAATGTATTCAAGAAGAAATCACAAAATAAATTAAAAAGCAAAATATTTTAACTAATGACAATGCAAATATGACAACAGAACTTTTAGGACATGTCTAATGTCTTTTGTGTATGAGTGGAAGGGGCTCGGGTACAGTGTCGGTATGGTCAATATGTGGCTGTATGGCATCGTGGCCATGGCTGGGCTTTTAGTGTCCACATCAACTGAATAGTATATATTGTCCTGATTAAGTCGTTTCATATGCTTCATTCCATCCCATCCTCCCACCTTGCCACCCTTCTGAGTCTCCAGTGTCTATTATTCCACACTCTGTGCCCAAGTGTACACGTTATTTAGCTCCCACTTATAAGTGAGAACATGTAGCATTTTTCTTTCTGTGTCTTAGTTATTTCACCTAAGATAATGGCCTCCAGTTCCATCCATGTTACTGCAAAAGATCTCTTAAGAAATGGAAATGTATGGCTTCAAACCTTTGCATCACAAGAGAACAAATACGATGAGTGTTAAAAGGGTCT
This sequence comes from Homo sapiens, assembly GCF_000001405.40. Classification (NCBI taxonomy): domain Eukaryota; kingdom Metazoa; phylum Chordata; class Mammalia; order Primates; family Hominidae; genus Homo; species Homo sapiens. The sequence continues at coordinate 109,169,274 of NC_000013.11, forward strand.
AGAAATTAGAAACAGAACAAAAACTAAATACTATGAAAATGGAAGGAAAGATATGATAGTGATAATAAGAACATAAGTTATTGAAATATAAAACAAATAAAATAATGTGAAGGGATAGAAAGGAAGGAAAGAGAAAGTTGTTTATCTTTTAAAAAATTATCTTTGAAAACAATAAGATTGAAAATTTTCTTGCAAGGGGATAGAGAAATAGAGAAAATTGGCACAAATAACAGATTTTAGATTGAAAAGGGGACATCAATACAGATCTGGCTGAAATTAAAAATAGTAAGAGAATATTACAAACAGTTTTACACCAAGATAAATTTACAAATTTACATAAACAAATACATTCTTAAAAAAAAAAGAACTAACGAAAATGGACAAAAGAAGTAGGAAAGCTAAATAACACCGTAAATGTTAAATTAATGGAATTTGTAATTGAATGCCTTCCTACAAGGAAAATTCCAGAATCAGATGGTTTCTCCACTAAATGTTTCCAAAATTCTAAGGATTAAATAACTCCAATGTCACGTACACGCTTTCAGAGAATAGGAAGGAAGGAGAAAGAAAATAATATTACTCCAGCTTGCATAATTAGCCACTTAATTTATGACAAAATTGGCATGTGAGAGCACTGGGGAAGAATAATTGATTGCTATCCATGTGGAGCAAACAGTGAAACTCGACTCTGCCTAATGCTATACACACAACAATTCCTGATAGATTATAGATCTGTATGTCAAATGTCAAATCATAAAATGGATAGAAGAAACAATAGGAGAGTATCTTTCTTACTTCATAAAAGGAAAGAAGGGCTTGTTAAGCAAGACACAAAAGTTTTAACCATAAAGAAAAAAGAAAAAAAAAAACATAAATAGGGAGAAAATATTTTTAACACATTTACCCAACAAAGGCTAATATTCAACGTTTATTTAAATTAAAAACAAAAGACAGCTGAAAAGAAAATTGGACAGAATATGTGAATACCACTTAGAAAAACAATTTTAATGGAGTCCAACCTCATTAGTAACTAGAGAAATGTAACTGAAGACTCCAGGGCAATACTACTACACACACTCTAGAATTACAGACCCGCCTGAAAAGGAAGAGGTGCTCGGAGAACGGACTGCCACAAAGTGAGGATGGCAATTTCATTTGGAGGGGAAGGCCAGTAGCGATTTGGAGAGATGACTACAGGAGCTTCCGCAGAGCTGCCAGTGTTCTATTTCTTTATTTTATTTGTGTGGTTGTTACAATTCTGCAATTTAAAAAAAAAAGGAGGAAGAAAGAGATGGAGAAAGGGAACTTCTCTTCACCAAAATATTTAAGTTTTCTGTGTTTTGAGGCAAAAGGCAAAAACTACAGCTTCGGAAATGATCCTAAAAAACTTAATAATAATAATAATAAAAACGGCAAGTCATACTCTAAATATCAAAACATAACCAAAAACCAAGGAAACAAGCAGAAACCCTCTAGACCAAAATGGAGATGTTTGTGAAATAGGATCCATGAAATTAATAATATAAATTCTTTAGGAGTATCAGGGTTCTAAACTTCAGCATGTAACACATAGTGTGTACGGCCAAAGCCTGCAACACAGATTTCTGTGTTCTCCCTTAACACACTTACAATTTTTAAAATAAAGTTGGTTCTATGCTGTCATTAAGTAAAAACCACTTGAAAATCTCAAGAGTTATGCGTGCAAAAGGAAAATTATTTCAATTGGAAATTCAATCTTTCAAAGCAACTTGACACATTTATGCTGATCTACTCTTGTGAGCGCCATGAATTTCTGGGGGCCTGGAACTTTCCCCATGATTTTTAAAACATCCAGCACAATACCCTTTATACTTAGGCCCTGAGTAAGCATTTGCTGATTGAAACAATGTTGTTTGTTACGGAGGAACCAGTAAATCCCATACAGAGGGCAGAGTCAGAAAAACTGCCTCGTCAGTATTATAGAAATTGAACAAACATTACACATGTGCAGAATGTGATGTATACATGAGCATGATAACTCTTAAAGCAATTATTAGTACAGGTTCATAACTTACAAAGTGCAGCCAATGCACTTTCTAAATAAGGGCACAAGATGAAAATAAATGTTTAAAATAACTTAAAGTTCTAATTGAATCAGAAACAGTGTTATTTTCTAGGAAACATTTCTCTTTTGAATGCCAGTATCTGCATGCTACCTCTGCTTCCCAGAAATAATTATCTGTTTGTTCATTTGTTGAAATATAGTTATGTGTGCGTAATTATAGCTATCACTTACTTTAATTGCCATCCTTTTACTGATGCGAGCGCAGACTTGGATCTTTTTTTTGTATATTTAATTATTCCCTGGACTTGTGGTTATTTATCATTAGATTAGAGAGCAGTTTTTAGTGTTAGAACATTTTAGCTTTATCAAACAAAATATTGTGAACATAAAGATGTTTATTTTGTGGGGACACACAGATATAAAAAATTCCAACTAGGGCATTTTATGTTCAGTATTATTTTCTTTCTTGCTATTCAGTGAATACACATAATATGGCTGGGTATCAGGAAAAATTGCAATTAAAGAATACAGACATTGCGTTTGCATTTACATTTATCATTCTGTATACGTTGTCTATTTTTAATTTGCATTATGTTCATCCTCAATGCACAATAAGGGTTATTTGTGTTGAATAAAGGCTTCCTAAGGCAAAAGGTTGGGGGCCATCATTTGCAGGACCAGGAAATCTGCATTCTGTGCTCTGACTCCGGTGCCTTGTTGAACTTAGGCCATTAGGGCGCCAAACCACACCAGTTCTGGGAACATCTAAGAAGGGCTTCCATCAGCCGCACCTCGAAATCAATCCAAACCACCAGCCAAGGAGCCTTTGGTTGGAACCCATAAATATCTTTAATATGTATTTTACAACATCACTTTCTTTATGGAGATTGTACACCTTCTTTGGAACGCATACCCTTGTCTGACTGAAAGCCTAACAGCCAGAGAAAAGGAAGCAAGCCTCACTTGACAATCTGGAATATGTTGCAATCATCTATTTTAAGCAACAGAAGTTACCTTTGCAAAGAAAGAAAACTCCTGGGGCATCGAGTAAGCCCTGCCCCACTCATCCTTCTAGTTAAAAGCATTTTAAAGTCACATTAAATAATTTCTAATTTGGATATTATTTAATTACATTTTCTCCACTGCAGTTGAGAAGTCAGTATTGAAAAGGAATAGATTGAAATGCTCAGTCTGGTATTTCCTTGCAGTGGAATAGTGTTCCCAGTGCTTAAGGCATCATTCTGCCTGGGTTTGAAGCTCACCTCTGATGCTTATTAACTCCCCGACCATGGGCAAGTTACTTAACCTCTCTTTTTCAATTTTCTAATCTTAAAAATGGGAATAATAAGAGCACCTACTTCATGGACTGCTGTATTTTATATGATGAAATTTAGCAGAAAGTTAATACTCAAGAAATATTACCTATACACAGTTATTCATAAAATATTATGTGTTTTAGAGCTAGAAGAGTCATGAGGGTTTATCCAACAGAAACAACAATTACATGAATGAGGTAGATGGAGGTGCAAGGCAGTGAATTCGTTTCTCTGAAACCATGGAGGCTGTAATAGTAGATCAGTGCTTTATGATATTTTCTTAGACACAAATGCCCACGTGTACAGCCAAATACACAATATTACTTTGATGGCTTGTGCTGGTATTCAGGGCAAAGACAGACATTACAATTTGGAATCTCTGGGATGAATAGAAGCAGGAATATCTGGGTGGAGTTCAGGGGAAGGGTCTATTTAATATCTAGGTTGGAGGATTCAAAATAATATGAAGGGCAGGATGGCAAGAGGAAACCCAGTGAAGAGAGAGGTGCACATTAGTCAATCAAAACACTTACCAAGTGCACCTGTCACATGTAGGCATTGTGTTATGCATGGGAGCCCTATGCTACTACCTAAGCAACACAAGATGACCTCTGTGTGTGAACAGTGAAAATACGGAGCACATTGAAAATACATACCAAGGAGACTGCAAAATAAGGCAGTCAGCAATAATGTCAAATGAATCCCATAAATAATGATTACTCTGTTACTTTCCACATAGATAAAAGAGATGAGTCTGGTGGGCTGGGATTGCTAAGGATGCTTCATAGAGAAGGTTGGGATTTTCAAATTGAGTTTAATTCAGAAAAGAAAGGAGCACATTTCCATGAATTTGCTGCACAATGTATTGTGGCAGAAATGTGAATCAGCTTCTCTGATAGAATAGGTGAGTAAATAACAGAGGAAAGAAACAATTATGTAGGAGTCTACAGAGCCATGAATGCCAATTTAAAGAGTGTCTCGGCCGGGCGCGGTGGCTCACGCCTGTAACCCCAGCACTTTGGGAGGCTGAGGCAGGCGGATTACAAGGTCAGGCGATCGAGACCATCCTGGCTAACACGGTGAAACCCCGTCTCTACTAAAAATGCAAAAAATTAGCCGGGCGTGGTGGTGGGCGCCTGTAGTCCCAGCTACTTGGGAGGCTGAGGCAGGAGTGAACCTGGGAGGCAGAGCTTGCAGTGAGCCGAGATCGCGCCACTGCGCTCCAGCCTGGGTGACAGAGCGAGACTCCATCTCAAAAAAAAAAAAAAAAAAAAAAAAAAAGAGTATCTCTGAAAGGGTTGTCCTTGTTTTGATGGGGGGGGGTACTCTCTGCTGTTTTGGAAAAGTGTACCTGATTGTACTATCCAGGGTGAACAATAGAATTGGAAACTGAGTTTGGGGGTGCCAGTTTTGAATTCATTCACTACTTAAGCCTTGGCAGGTTTTGTACATGAAGCAAGAGTATTAAAGACTGTATTGGTGTAGGAGTCAAGAAGAGGAAGGTGTCAAGAACGACTCCAAGAATTTGAGGCAAATGATGGGAGAATACAGCACTCTTAAGAAGGGAAGGGCAATTCCCAAAGGAGGTTAATTCTATAAGCGGATTTGGAGCTCAAGAGAAAAGGACTTCTGATTATGGATGATTTTTCCATAAATGATGATGACAGGTTTGGAGTTTAGGCCAGGGTTCCAGGATAGAAAGAGAAAAGCCAGAATTTTTAAAGAAGCTGGAGACATGGTGGTTATTTATAGCATCAGAGGAACAATCATAAAGAGAAATAAGAAAAGAAATATGACCACTAAACCACTCAGAATGCCAAAGTTTGAGAAATTTACATTGAGAAGGGGGGAAATGGAGACATACAATAGGTGCTCAAGAGATAGAAGACAGATGTCCAATTTCATGGAAATCAAGAGGGTAGTGGATTTAAAGGTGATGGAATACTTGGAAAGCTGGACAGATGTAAAAAGAGAATTCAAACCCTCTTGCCATTGACTAAACAAGTTTGGGTCCCTACAAAATGACAGATTTGACTAATAGATTCTAACCGGTCAGCCATGTAAAATTCAGTGCCATACCCCCCTTGAAAGTCTCTTTCTCATTCTTGTCTTGTCTTTTTTTTTTTTTTTTTTTTTGAGATGGAGTCTTGCTCTGTCGCCCAGGCTGGAGTGCAGTGGCACAATCTCAACTCACTGCAAACTCCGCCTCCCAGGTTCAAGTGATTCTTCAGCCTCAGCCTCCCGAGTAGCTGGGACTACAGGCGCATGCCACCACATTTTTTTTTTTGTATTTTTTTTAGTAGAGGCAGGGTTTCACCGTGTTAGCCAGAATGGTCTTGATCTGCTGACCTCGTGATCTGCCCGCCTCAGCCTCTCAAAGTGCTGGTATTACAGGCGTGAGCCACTGCACCCAGCCCTCATTCTTTTCTTTTTATAAGAATTTACATGAACCCACTACGCTCTGCATGTAGACCTCATGGCCCCAGAGTCTGCCACTTTTCAAAATTACTTCTTTAAAAATCACACAGAACTCCAGGGACCAGGTCTACACCACAGTGATGAGGAGGATGTCCTAAAAGCCATTCCTCTTTGTGTCCTGCAGGAAGGTTTAACTTTCAGTGCTCTGAGCAGCCTCCAATTCAGGAGGAGAGGGAGAACAGAGGCTGCTTCTTCCTGCTAAACCTTCAATCAAGGCCAAAGCCTTTTCGACTTTTGCCCACCCAAGTTTGAAGGAGCAGCAGCAGGTTCTATGGAGTGTCCACAGCATATCCATTATGCCATGGAGATCAGCTTTGGGGAATTCCTTCCCCTGAACATCTGCATGTTTTCTTTGAGCAGAAGAGCTGGCTATCTGGAGGGTAGAGTAGGGTGGACGCAGTTTCAGAAGACCTTGATTTGCTGTCATTTGGGCAAGAATGGCTTTTTGAAATAGTTTGGTATCATAATGGACCAAAAGCTCAACTTTTTGAAGCACACTATTGCCCTGGAAAGAATGTGTTCAGCAAGGGACACATGAATCTCTAAGCTGGGAATTGTTAACTCCAAGCCTGGTCTGGGGAGAAGGCTGCTACAGTAAGAGGAGCAGTGGGGGCTTCTCAGAATGTGCAGAAGCTCCTTCTCAGACAGAATTCCACCTTTTAATGAAGGCACAGATAAAGAGCTCCATCTTCACTTTAAATGTTCCTCCAACACGATTGGAGTCTTCACCCTGGTTAAAATGCGCCGTGGGATTCTCTACCCACGCAGGACTGTGGGACTTTTCTGGAGGCCTTTGCTTAGCAATGTTCCCTTTAGCTGCGTGAGAAAATCCTTGCTATGTTAAAAAAAAAAAAGTTCTTGTCAGTTAAGGACACATGTACAAACATTTACAGCTGAAATGACATGATTTCTGGGATTTAAGTGAAAAATGAATAAAAAATGGATAAAAATGGATAAAATTGACAGCCCCAAGGCTTGGAATGGGTGCATGGAGTTTCACTGCATATTCTCTTTATGTCTGAAATGTTTGTAATAAAAAGTTTTAAAACTGTGTTATTTTGATAGATAGAATGAATGTTACGTAGTCTCATATCCATTACTTGGAATTCTTAATGAAATTGAATATGTGTATTACTTATTAGCCATTCATATTTTCATATTTTTTCTCCTTTATTTTCTAAACTTTTATTCTTTGTCCATTTTTTAATATCTGGGATCTGTAGGATGTTTGAAGAATTAAAAAAGCCTCTTATTTAATATATTTCAATGTTCTACATTGTTCTTTTAAAATACACATTTTATTTTTAGGGCATTGTCAATATGTTTATTTTTAATGTTTATAGAGAGACATGAATCCGTTTTCTTTTTTTTTATTCATGGTTTGTGCGTTTGGTGTCATTTTAAAATAATTTGCCTTAAAAAGGTACTGCTTCTAATACGGCAGCTAAATAAAATATTGTGCTGGTAAAAAAAAAAAAAAAAAAAAAAAAGACCTCCTTTGCACCTTTGGCGCTTCCTGGCCGTCACTTTGTCCCTTCCAGTTCTCAAAATGTTACTGCGTTGGCCGTGATGAGGACCCTTGGCCTGTTTGCTACAACCTTCAAAAAATCCCCTTCCCTCTGACTTCTCGGGCCCAGTCGCTTGTCCCACCCCCTCCTCCACATGCCCGTCTCCCCCAGCACCCACTCACCTGCCTCCCTCCCCGCTGTCCTCACCTGGCCCTCCACCTGCATGCGACCACCTGCCCAAGCTGCCATATGTCCCTGTCTGTGGAGCCCTGACACAGGTTCTGGGACCCATTCTTTCTTTAGTCAACAGTTATGAATGAAATACCTTTGAACTCATTACTTAGATAAAATGGTGTCACTTCTCTTCTGGGAAGTCTGCAGTGCTACCTATCGTCTCCAAAGTGTGGTCACATTTCCGCGAAGCGTCCTTGTGTTTTGTTGCCTTATCACATTTGTGCTCTCAGCCAGGCATGTCCTTCTCGACTTTGTTCGCCCTCCACAATTCTCCTCCTCCTCGAAGGCCCAGGTCCTTTAGCAACACCACCATGAAGTTTACTCTAGTCCGTTCCATCAGAATGCATCCTTACCTTCTCCAAGACCCTGTTCAACGTGACCTGTACTCCTCTTAATCCTGAAATCATGCTGCTGTGTGTTTGGCCTCAGTGCCATTCTCACTGAATTGACTTTCTCAAGGGTGGGGACTTTTCTTCGTTCTTCCTTGTATTTCTCAGCGCCTTATGCAGCGGTTGCTCATAAATGTTTTTAACCTTAATTTAATTGACTCTATGCAGTGCTCAGCAGGCTATCGATTCCGCTCTGAGCTTATACCCTTTCAACTGAGTTTCTGTTTTGATTCTGAGATCCAACTTCTAATTTTATGTATTTATTTATTTATTTATTATTTATTTATTTATGTTGAGATGGAGTCTCACTCTGTCACCCAGGCTGGGGTGCAATGGAGCAACCTTGGCTCACTGCAACTCTCCCTCCCAGGTTCAAGCGATTCTCCTGCCTCAGCCTCCTGAGTAGCTGAGACTACAGGTGTGCACCACCGTGCCCGGGTAATTTTGTATTTTTAGTAGAGATGGGATTTCACCGTGTTGGCTGGGCTGGTCTCGATCTCCTGACCTCAGGTGATCCGCCACCTTAGCCTCCCAAAGTACTGGGATTACAGGCGTGAGCCAGTGCACCCAGCCCCGACTTCTAATTTATAATTTAGGTTTGAAAAATGGATCACATTTGTCTTCTCCTGCCACAGATCCCCTGTCTTAGTAAGACATCTGGTGAACTGGTTTCTTTATGGTTCCTATAGAAGTGAAGGTTTATCTTGCTTATCAATCAGCCCCTTCCTCCCAGCACCCCATCCTTTATTCCCCTCTAAGAGGTGGTCCTTCACATGAATCCCAAGCCCTTTGTTGTGCCCTACTACCCGGAAACACATTTTTTTTCCAACTATCTGCTTTATCTAGTTTCCTGAAATTTCATATTGTGCCTGATCTTGGATTGACACACTCCCTTCCGCCTGTGTGAATTTCAGGCTGCTCTGACACTCACTGTGATTGGAGCCTTTCCTGTGTCCTGCCACCACAGTGTCTAAGGACACTATTGCCACGTAGCACCTGAGGCTACTGCTGCTGCCTGTGGCCGAGATCTGTTCTCCAGCAAGAGACCCCCCCCACCCACTAGCCATTGTCCGCCCAGTCTTCATGAAGTTAGCTTTTCCATACCAAGGTATCTGGACATGTAACAAGATCACCTGGAAGGCCTTGTTGTGTGTTGACAGGATTGTGTCGACTTCCCTGAGGAACTCTCTCCTATAATTGGAAAAGCGTGCACTGATTGTCTAATGATTTTTAATTTAGGAATTATGTATATGTTTAATCAATTACCTGTGCTAGTTAATTATGCTTTCAGAGGAGAGTAGTAATCACTTCAGTATTTAAAGTTCTCTGAGTTGAATTCATTTTGTTGGGTTCTTATTTCTCTTTTTGTCTATTCATGTTTATTAATCGAAGTCACTTGCGGTGATGCATTGCGCCTGTATCACAGTGATTCTCAGCCCGTGTAGGAGGGGATGACTTTGCCCTCCAAGGAACTTTTGGCAATGTCTGGGAACATTTCTGGGTGCCACAAATGGGGGTGCTGCTGGCATCTAGTGGGTGGAGGTCAGGGATGCATGGGGCAGACCCCACTGCAAAGAATTATACAGGCCAAAATTCCAATAGTGCAGAGGCTGGGAAACTGCTTTGATCATAAAGGATAATTAATCAAATCATTTGGTGCCTCATAGTAACTTCGCGTTGTTGAGGGACATGTAAAGTTTCATAAACCTACAAGTTACTCTGCATGGTTGCTCATGAATTGGTGTGTTGTGAATCGGCAGCTCTCCCCACCTTTTCCTCATGGAAATTCAGCCAATCTCTTTGCTTCCTTGTGCACAAAATGAACTACAGCCAGTGGAATTCATCAGACACACAGGCTTAGTTATGCTCTGATTTTCAATCCCTTCCTCGTCTCCCTGCAATCCTATGAATGGCAGCCACATTCTGCTGTCTGCAGTCACCCTAGTGACTCAGTGGGCCCGTCACTGACCCCGTATGCTTCTTCAAACCTTTTCAGTCTCTAGAAGTTTCCCTTCTCCCCTCCAATACTTATCTGCTCACTTTTGTGCTATTATCACATATCTCCTTATTATCATTGTATCTCCTTTGGCAGGATATGCCCTCTTTTCCTAAATGAAGCTGCCACAATACTGTGCATGCCCATGTTTCATTGCAAAATTTAGTATTTAGTTTGTGTTTAAGGATCATCATTTCAATTCATAAAAGATAACAATTCTAGTTTATTGTAATGAGTGCATGACTTACTTTATTTGGAACAAGGAGACACTGCTTAACTCCCGATTTGTGTTGACCTCAATAGGTTTACCTGAAGAAGATGGATACTCACGGTTGTCTATAAGTGGCACAGGGACTTCGACATTTCAAAGACACAGGGACAGTCACACCACTCAGGTAATGATGTCTGTCTGTTCACATGTGCAGTGACAAATGGAATTAAGTTATGACAAGGCATTCATTAACTTGTTACCAATAGATGCTCTGTGTGGACTGGAGGGCTCAGCTGTTCTCACCTCTGCCCTGCACTCCTTCAGCTGAATGGTCTTCTCTCTCCACCTCAGCTGACTGCAATTTTCTGCTTGTTTCCAAAATAAGGAATAATGTCCAAAACAACTAAAACATAATAGTTTTAAATGAAATATTGTAGATTTAATTTATATTGTGGTACTTTAAAATTATTCTCGGGTGAAGATGATATTAAATCTGCTGAATGAAGTTGCTATGCATTTGACCTTGGCTAAAATAGGATGACTCTTAGTGACCACACCTGGGAATAAAATGCTTGAACCACCTGTGGTTTCATGGCATGCATCTTATCTCAGTTATGACATTCATTTCCATGTAATTCACATTCATTTAAAATATGACATATGATGAGAACATGGTAAAATCAAAATGAGATTGCAGTCCACAAAACTGTTTGGAGGTGCATTACTGATTGCATGTAAATGTTTTATGTGTCTCTTCCTAACAATTTCACCAAAATAAACAAGATTATCACTTCAAGAAGAAGAAAAAAAGAACCCATTTGTGCTTCTAGAAAGTGAAAGAATTTATATTATAGAATGTACTGTTTTATTTTCCTTTTATGTTGAATTTTAAAATATACTTTAAATAATTGTCTTTAAAATATATAATGTTGCATTCAAGGTGATGCACAAACCACCCATTAGAGAGACTTTGTTATCAATATATTAACAGACTATTGCTTTAGCAACAGGATTCTCATTTTATCTAAAGTTACAGCACAATTTTTATGTCAAACATCTACATAAAAGTCTAAAATAACCTCAGCCAAGTATCCAGATGTTTCCACGAAATCAACTATACAGCTAATGATCAGCTTTCCTTGGAATATTTAGCATTATAGAGGCATGGCCATATTATCAGCTGAGATTTTTCTAAATAACACTGATGAGGTAGTGAGAAAAATCAATAGTTTGAATCTTAAGAATAAATCTTACAGTAGGCAATCTTCTGAAATCACTTGCACTGATATCCAGGCACTGAAATAGAAAGAAAATGCTGATTGGTTGCAATAATAGATTGTCCTAATCTTCCCTCTATTCCTTAGAGATGCATCTACTTTACCTTGTAAGCATCACAGATGCTTCCTCTGAGATCATGCACAGGGGAACCTCCTGGTCATGAACACTGGTTTGATTTTTGTATTGGAGGCCTGACTCCTGTACATTACAACACAACGCTGGGCCATCTGACATCCTTTCCAGGCCTGCCCCCTGTACATTACAACACAATGCTAGGCCATCTGACATCCTTTCCAGGCCTGCCCCTGCAATGTGGTTCTTAGACAAAGGGAGTCATTTGAAAGACGGTGTATATAGTAGGGTGCTTTGTGACTTTTCCTCTGTGTTTGGCTAAGAATCAAAGAGAGATGAGAAAGGTCATCGGGAATCATTTTCCATTCTCAGATTTCAAAGAGGCCTTGTTTTCAAATGCAGACATCCCTGATGAGGCAGGAACTGCCAGTCATCTTGGGGCACATTCTTTTTCTCAAGGAAACTGAAAACCATGCTTATTTTCTTCCATGCAAATTGTGGGCACTCACGTGATGAGACAGATTCCTTACTGGTGAGAAGCTGTAAGAGTTATGTGAAACTATGTGTTGAATGGCTTTCAGAATTTATTGCTCATGTGACATTTATACAAGAAGTATGGACACATGCAGGGAACCAGCTTTTTAGCTTTTCTACTAATGCAATTAAATAGAAATTCTATAAAATCCAGTCCTGGACAGATTGGGCACGTAGCAGTAAAATTAAATGGTGACCAAAAATGAAATTTCTCTTTAAGGATGTCTATATTTTCATTAGCCTCATCAGCAGTTTTAATAAACTCCCTTCAAGGAAGATAAAATGTCTGGGCGTTATGGTAGATAAAGAAAAGAGAAAATAGAGTCAGTGATTTGCCAAAGATCATATGGAAAATTCACTGAGTCCACAGTTTGAATGGAAATCAAGATCATATGTTCCGTTTCTGAGAATGAACTTATCATAACCCATTAAAAGAAATGCAGGAGTCATTCAACTGTTTCATAAAATTTATTTATTTATTTATTTTATTTTATTTTTTTTTTTGAGACAGAGTTTAACTCTTGTTGCCCAGGCTGGAGTGCAATGGGATGATCTCAGCTCACTGCAACCTCCACCTCCCGGTTCAAGTGATTCTCCTATCTCAGCCTCCCAAGTAGCTGGGATTACAGGTGTGCACCACCACACCCAGCTAATTTTGTATTTTTAGTAGAGATGGAGTTTCATCATGTTGGTCAGGCTGGTCTCAAACTCCTGACCTCAGTGATCCGTCCGCCTCGGCCTCCCAAAGTGCTGGGATTACAGGCGGGAGCCACTGCACCTGGCCTGTTTCATAAAACATAAAGAATTTTTGGTTCAAAAATAAAAGTCTTCAGTAGCCATAATGGACATTTGTGATTTGGCTTTTTCCTGCCAGTCTCACATTTCAGTTTCGCACCTACCACGATGAAAATACAAGGGAAGGGACTCCCTCTTCCTCCCCTGCTTTGACAGCTGGACAAACACATGTAAGATGGGCTCAGTTAACCTACCTACGATGGATGCAGAGTGAGGGACATATAATGGAAGGGACAACAATTGACCTGGCTCCATGGGGTGACATTGGGCAGTAGTGGCTCCATGCAGCACCAGCAGAAGAATATTAGTCGGAGAAGAACTTTGCTCAGAGCACGCCAGCCATCAGCCCCTGAATCCACCTCACCCACTCGCCAGACCTTTTTGTCGAAGTTCATGTCCTTCCTTAGCCTTCCAATGAAGCCTCTACCTGCCTGAGATGTCCAAGGTTAGTTTTCTTTGCTTAGAAATCAGAATTTTGACTAATATACACATTTAATTTTATTGTTACTATCTATAAAGTTTTACATCCAAACAAGTATTTTTTTCACTAAGTGTACAAACTCTTCATTTGTTCTCAAAATAGATGCAAAACATTTTCTGATAGGGCTGGAGCCTTAATATACGGTGGTTGTTTATGTAAAAAAAATATAGAAAATATAGTTGATGTTGTACTGCATTATAACTTTATTAATTTGAAAACTATAATGGCTTTATATAAAAGTAGTGAAAATTAATTTTACATAAAATGTTTGAAACTAGCAAAAGCTGGGACATTTGCTGCGCTGTGCATGGGGCTGTGTTCCTTTGCACTTCCCAAGCACTGGGCATGAATAAAACTGGCTGTGAGATACGACATCATGGAATTCCACACACTGGCCCTTGAGGGAGCTTTGTGGCAGTTCCCAGGACTCAAATCTAGAATTTCGTAGGTTATAGTATTTTATAGTAGCTTTGGAATTAAACAGCATTTATGAAAAGAATATGACATTTATCTACTTACCATTTTATGAGATTTTACTTTTTTTAAAAGTTTATGCTATTTGGCGTGATGCAATCCTTTAGAAGTAACTCGGTGGTGAGAAGCTAAGCGGCGGTGGGGGGGAATGCTGACAGCATCAGCCAGCCAAGAATGACTTCTTCGCATTTTTTGCCATGATGGCAATCCTCTGCCGACTCAGAGGGCCAGGTAACCTGACACAGGAAGCCCACGATTTATAAATAGAGCAAAAGCATGAAAGTCACAGGGAGGTGGGAGGATGGCCTGAAGGCAGAATGATGGCAGAAGGGGACGCAGAAACAAAAATGCTTGGTACTTGCCCTTGGCATAAAAATTTCTAGTTACACATCTGTTTAGGGGTCCACACTTGACATTGAGAAATGAGCTGTTTAATTGTTTCATTAAGCATAGGCTATCTCTATTTATGTTACTATTTTAACTCTACCACCTTTTCTTCATGCCTTATTCTTCTTCTCAGCAGTCTGCTCTCCACAGTAATATCATGTGCTTTATGTTCTTTTATTTTCATTATGGGCATTTATCATATTTCTTGCCAAGTTTTTAAAAATATTCTTTTGTTTTTGTAAAGAACATAAAAAGTTATTATGCATATTGATCATATTCAGGTATTCATCGTAAGAAACCATTCATGGTCTTTGATAAACTAATGGCAATCTGGGACCCAAGATCTTAATAAATATCCAGCTCACTCCTGCCATAGCTGCCGATGAAAGCCATAATAAGATCAATATGCAATTGATTCACATCAAAAAGCAAATTGTTATGTGGTTTGCTTTACTGAATGATCAAATAAACCTTTTTGTAATGTCATATAAAAACAAAGTTAAGAGTTGCAGAGCACTAAATAAATCCAATGCCTTCTTTCTATATTCATTGTATTTGTTATATAGACTGAAATATATTATAGCATGGAATTAAAACAAATTGTGTGTTAGATAAAATAATGAAATGTGGAAATATTTAGTTTAATCATTAAACGATAATTCTAAAGATATGTCAGGGAACGTAAGTAAGATAACCCTTTCAAAAGGAAACATATATAAATATATATTTTATATAACCATATATGAGCTACAAAGAGAAGGAGATCTAGCACACAAAGCTCTTTCACACAGCCAAGGTTCAGGGAATCCGTACTCACCACTCGTGACTTACAGATTATGTGCAAAAAATGAAGGTAGTAAATTAAGTTGATGTGTGAAATGGCAGCATTTTCAACAGGGAAAGGTCATGTCCAGTAGAGATAAATAGAAATTTAGAAAATAAAAAACAAAAACATATCCTATATTTTGTATTTTTCCATCATAAAATTGCACTGTATTTATTAATGCAACATAAGTGTATATAAATGCACAGTTTTTTCTGATTAAGACACTATTTATTATCAGTGAGGAGGATTTAATTGCCATAAATTTTGAGAAAATAAGAAGTCAGAGTAGTGACTATGTTTTTTTTTGTTTGTGTGTGTGTTTGAGATAGTCTCCCTCTGTCCCAGGCTGGAGTTCAGTGGCGCAATCTCGGCTCACTGCAACCTCCACCTCCCAGGTTCAAGTGATTCTTCTGCCTCAGCCTCCCAAGTAGTTGGGATTACAGGCGCGTGCCACCACACTTGGCTAATTTTTTTCTTTTTTTTTTTGAAATGGATGGAGCCTCACTCTGTTGCCCGGGCTGGAGTGCAGTGGCACAATCTCAGCTCACTGCAACCTGCACCTCCCAGGTTCAAGCGATTCTCCTGCCTCAGCCTCCTGAGTAGCTGGGGCTACAGGCACATGCCATCATGCTCGGCTAATTTTTTATATACTTTTTTCAGTAGAGACGGGGTTTCACCATGTTGGTCAGGCTGGTCTCAAACTCCTGACCTCAAATGATTTGCCCCCCTCCCTCCCAAAGTGTTATTACAGGAGTGAGCCACCGCACCTGGCTGTGACTACATTTTTAAAGAGGAAAAAGTCTTGTGATATTTCTGCAAGCTCACCTTCTAGATGGGAAACCTGCAGTTAGCAATATTATTGTATAGTGGAGGAGTAACAAAGTAATTAGAAACATTTGGCTAACTATAAATTCTAGGTAACAACAATTTCAATATTAATTTAATTGGTTTTTAAAGTGAAGAAAATAAGAAAAGAACTAGATAAGAATCCCAGATTCATCATTCATCATGTAAGTGCACAAAAAAGTAATTTTGGGGGTCAATTAGAGAAAATATATGTAACATGCCTAGCATGATGCTGCCTGGAATACTGTAGGTGCTTAAAAAAAAAAAAGCTAAAAGCTTACTTGCTCTTGTTATTATGGTATTCCTTTCTTTGCAGGGTCAATATTCTGAAAACCAGTTCTGATTTTAACATTGTAGATGCTATCCAAAATATGGAGGAGATTAGATTGGATCAAGAGAACCCAATATTTTTCTGGGATTTTGGTCAAATCTATTATATGTGTGATTTTTAAAATATGATTTATTATGGAATAGTATAAACTTAAAAAACAGTGATTAATGAAACATCACCTTTAATAAGTCTTAACATTTTGCATTATTTACTTTAGAGCTACATTTTTGGAAAAACATGTATCCTAGCTCTCAATCTCATCCCTGCCTACCACACCAGAAGTGAATCATCACAATGAAGTTTGCACGTAGCCCTTCATCCATGTTTGCACCTTTACTGAGCATAGGTGTACTCATAAATCATATAATATTCACAAGTAATAACCAATGCTATTCATGCTTTCAAAGTGTAAAAAAAAATCTCACTTTCTACAGATTATTCTGCAAACAGCTTCTTGTTTTTGCTGTGGTGGGACTTTTTTTTCCATTTTGATACATGCATCTCCCACTTGTTATTTTATTCTAAGAATTAGCTCCAGGTGAAATGTACAGACTTTAGGGTTAACAACTGTAGTCCCCGCTACTTGGGAGGCTGAGGCAAGAGGATCACTTGAGCTCAGGAGACTGAGGCTGCAGTGAGCTGTCTTCACACCATTGCATTCCAGCCTAAGCAACAGAGACCGTGTCTCAAAAAAAAATTAAATTAAAAAACAACTTTAGGGCTGAGGTATCGATACAATAAGAAACTATTGATGACCGACACATACTTAGTGCAAAATTATACTCATATTCCTTCAACAAGCATGGCAGGGAGCAAGCTCAGGAGGAGAGGAAAGCATTAGGGACTGAAGGGCAGGTGTCACACGACCTGCTGCTGCTGGCCCTAGGGTGCTGTGGTGCCTCAGGGGGACAGATGAGCACAAGGCAGATGGTGTTTTCCTCTGGTCTGTTGTGTTGTGGTCCACAGAAAACCTAATTCAGTGATCTCCATGAAAGGTGCAGGGAGATCGATGATGCTCTGTGCTCAGTGCCAATATGCAGGTCATATTGTAGTTTACAACTTCACTAGAGGGCTAGAAGTTACAGCACCCAAGGAAGTGAGCATACATTCTGGCCAGTGCCTCTATAAGCTTTTCAACACACACACACACACACACACAAACACACACAATCATATTGCTTTTTAGGTGCAAACATGCCTCCTTCATTGGAAACTTTTCTGAGAAACAAGTTCCATATAAATGTGGTCATGGCATTTCTTAAGAACATGTTTACAGTTTGACCAAAGTGAGTGGAAAACTTACATCAAAATCATTTCCAAGTTATCAATGTTACAAGCCATGCTACAATTAACATCACTGAAAATGCCTCTAACTTACAACTGGGGGAAACAAAAAAATTGCCCAAGATTCCCCTAGAAATGGAAGTGCTAAGTTTCTGCTCATGGACATTTTCAACTGTAGTGGTTATTACCAAATTACTCCCCTAAAAGGTTAAACCAATGTATGTACTTCTAAAAGGGAGTAAAGTTTTCCATCTCTCCTGGTAAACACTTGGTTTAATTATTCATTTAATTTTTGCCAATATGATAAATGTAAAATGGATCTTATTGTGGTTTTATTTTATTTCCTGGTTGCCAAGCAGTATTTTCACATATTCTCAGACTTGTTAATCCAAATACATCCTTTTCTTATTTCCCAACTTGTTTGCATGATTTTCTTGATGATGTTAGGAATTTTCCACATATTCTGGATAATATTCCTTGCCAGTTTCATGCATGGCAAACATTTTGCTTATTGTGTTTTCTTGGTCGGTTTAGCTAGAAGTCTATCAATTCTATTGATTTTTTTAAAGTAGCTTTTGATTTCATTGATTTTCTCTATTGTTTTACTGTTTTATTGATTCCTGTTGTTTTTTATTTTCTTTTCTTTTGCTTGCTTTGGGCTTAATTTTCTCTATTTCTGCTTTCTTAAATAGGTAGCATAGATCACTGACTTGAAGTGTTTCTTTTCTTCCTAATAAAAGCATTTAATAGAGTTGTAAATTTCCATCTCAACACTGTAATAGCTGCATCCCACAAATCTTAATTTGTTTTGTTTCCATTTTCATTCAGTTCAAAATATTTTCTAATTTCCCATGGGACTTTCTCTTTGGCTAATACTGATGCTTTCCAAGTATTTGGGGTTTTCCAGGTACCTTTCTGCTGCTGAATTCTAGTTTAATTCCCCTATGATCTGAGGGTATGCCTTGTATGATTTCAGTTCTCTTAAATGTACTAAAATGTTTTTATGGCCCAGGATATGACCTGTCTGGCTGAAATTTCCTTGGGCACTTCAACAAAAATATGTATTCTGCTTCCATTGGGTGGAGTCTTCTGGAAGTGTGGATTAGGTCTGGTTGGTTACTTGTGTCCACATCCATGTCTCTGCTGGCTTTCTGTGTTCATTTTTCATCTATTCCTGAGAGAAGAGCACAGAAGTCTCCAACTATACTGTGGCTTTGTCCACACCTTTCGGTTTCATCAGTTTTTGCCTCATGCATTTGGAAGCTATATTTGAGATACAAAGACTTTTAAAATTATTGCATCTTTTTTGGTGAAGATCTATTCATCATTATACAATTTCATTTTTTATTTGTATTTCTTTGTCTTAAGTCTACTTTGTCTGAAATTAATATAGCCACTCCATTATTTTGTTCATTGTCTGCAAGGTATATTTTTTCATCCTTTACTTTTTAAAAATAGCTTTATCAAGATATAATTCACATACCACACAACCCGTGCCTTTAAGTTATGAAAATTCAGTGTTTCTTCGTAACTTCTTAATGTTGTGCAACTATCTCTACAATGTAATTTTAGAACTTTTTGCCTCCTCCCCACAAAAAATTCACCCCTTCACTTTAATGTATTCATCTTTCTATATTTGACATGAGATTTCTGTAGGCAACATAACAGATGAGTCTTATTTATTTTTATCCAATCTGACAACCTTTCATGAGACCATTTCTATTAATGTAATTATTGATATGGTTAGATTTAGGTATGTATTAGATAGATTCTCTAGAGCGACAGAACTAACACGATAGATGAATATATAAAGGGGAGTTTGTTAGGGAGAATTGACTCAACACCATCACAAAGTGAAGTCCCACAATAGTCCATCTGCAAGCTGAGGAGCAAAGAAGCCAGTCCGAGTCCCAAAACCTCAAAAGCAGGGAAGCCAACAGTGCAGTCTTTAATCCGTGACCAAAGGCCCAAGAGCCCCTGGCAAACCACTGATGTAAGTCCAAGAGTCCAAAAGCTGAAGAAGTTGGAATCCAATGTTCAAGAGAAGGAAGCAGGGCCAGGCGCAGTGGCTCATGCCTGTAATCCCAGCACTTTGGGAGGCCGACTTGGGTGGATCACCTGAGGTCAGGAGTTCGAGACCACCCTGGCCAACCTGGAGAAAACCTGTCTCTACTAAAAATACAAAAGTTAGCTGGGCGTGGTGGTGCATGCCTGTAACCCCAGCTACTCGGGAGGCTGAGGCAGGAGAATTGCTTGAACCAGGGAGGCGAAGGTTGCAGTGAGCAGAGACAGTGTAATTGTACTTCAGCCTGGGCAACAAGAGCAAAATTCTGTCTAAAAAAAATGAAAAAAAAAAAGAAGGACACATCCAGCATAGAAGAAAGATGAAGGCCAAAAGATTCAGCAAGTCAAGTCCTTCCATGTTCTTCCCTCTGCTTTATTCTAGCAGTGCTGGCAGCTGATTAGATGGTGCCCACCCAGATCAAGGGTGGGTCTGCCTCTCCCAGTCCACTGACTCAAATGTTAATCTCTTTTGGCAACACCCTCACAGACACACCCAGGAACAATACTTTGCATCCTTCAATCCAACCAAGTTGACACTCAATATTCACCATTACAAGGTATATTAGTTTTATTACGTGTTTTTCTGATTGTCCCTGCTGTTTTCATTCTTCTGTTTCCTTATGATGACTTCTTTCAGATTATTTGGATATTTTTAAAATTCCATTTTACATTACCTATTGGTAAATTAAAATTGTAATATATGAACATCTAATTTCAGTCTACCCTGGTCAACCGTCTTGGTCCCTTCACCCTCTATCACCCATCTTTACTTAGCAGTTGAACCATGTGCTACATCTGTGTACATTGAAACCCCCCAGGCCATGTTGTAACTTCTTCTTTCAACAGTCATACAGGGAAAAAATAGTGGGGAAAAAAAATCGTCTTTTATGCTAACTCAATATTTACAATTTCTGTTGCTCTCCTTCATTTCTGAAGTTCTGAGTTTCCTTCTGGTATCATTTTACGTCAGCTTAAAGATCTCCATTTAGCATTTCATTTAGAGTAGGCCCAAGAAATCTTAGTTTTCTTTACCTGAGCATGCCATTATTCTGCCTTCATTCTCTACGTTTTGATTCCCTACCACGATTTGTGTTTTGTTGTTGTTTTTTTTTCAACTTTCCCAATTCCTCAGATAGATGTTTTGTATTTTATACAAAGTTTTAGTTGTAATCAGTGAGAGAATTAGACTATAGTAGGCTTACCCGTTTATGTGTTTATCCCACGTAAAGTTTTAATGTTATTATAGTCAAATTGATTAATCCTTACCTTTAGGGTTTGTACTTTTGTTGTTCTGTTTAAGAAAATCTTTCTACATTTTTAAGGAAAAAAAAATTATTTTACTGCTATCTGCCATAAAGATATTATCCTATTATATTTTTGTAAAGTTTAGGTTTGTTTTTTACATTTAGGGATTTAAGCTACCTGGACTTTGTTTTTGAGAATGGTGTGAGTTAGCAATGTAATTTTACATTTTTTCTGTACGGATAACAATTGTTCCACACTTTTTGCAACATAGGCCATGCTTCTGCTTCCTCCTAACACTGAGTATGTCACCTCAGTGACATATAATCAGTCAGTGTAATATAATCATTTGTGTGTGTGTGTATGTGCACCTTGATAGACCTGTGAGCTTATAGAGAGTGCATTAAATGCATCTTAATCACTTTTGAATTCCAAACACAAAGCACAATAATTTGTCAGCTCAGTGTAATTGTTAACCAGTAGCAGCCCCAGAAGAATTAAGAGAAGCTGACTGATATATTATTCCCTAACTTTATTAGATATTTTAAATTTAATCCCATGTTAAAAATGTATCAATAAACTTGTTAATTAGGATCACAGGCAGTTGTTTCACTGGTTGGAGGAAATTAAAGTGAAGTCACATTTTATTCAGTGATTGGCTTCTAAAATTATGTAATTTGAAAGTGACATATGATGAAAACCACTCTGGAACATCCTTACATTACCTATCAAGAATAATATGCAAGGTTTGTAACTCCATTCAATTATATGCATCCATGTATAAGCAATGCATAAAGCAACTTAAAGCATATAATAATATATATTTAGCATTTTGAGTTCCGAGTGAGTGGATTGCATAAAATTGAATTTTCAGGCTGGGTGCAGTGGCTCATGTCTGTAATCCCAGCACTTTGGGAGGCTGAGGCGGGCGGATCATCTGTGGTCAAGAGTTCGAGACAAGCCTAGCCAAAATGGAGAAACCCTGCCTCTACTAAAAATACAAAAATTAGCCGGGCATCGTGGCAGGCGCTTGTAATCCCAGCTACACGGGAGGCTGAGGCAGGAGAATCACTTGAACCCCAGAGGCAGAGGTTGCGGTGAGCCAAGATCGCGCCACTGCACTCCAGCCTGGGGGACAAGAGCGAAACTCTGTCTCGAAAAAAAAAAAATTGAATTTTCAAAGGCTCATTCATTGATCAAAAGATGTTTATTGAGGTTCTGCTTGTACTAGGCACAAGTCTAGGCACGTGGGATACTTTGTCTACAAAGCAAACTTGCTTGCCCTCATAGAAGTTAAATTCTAGCATGGAAAAATAGGCAATATTTAAGTAAAATATGTAATACACTAAAAGGAAAAAATCATATGGAAAAAAGAAAACGTTCAACAGGGTAAGCAGGGTTGGGAGGGTCAGACTGGAGAGTGGTGAGGAAGAAGGTTGGGCTGAGTTGCAATTGTAAATCAGGGATCAAAAAAAGCCTCCTGAGCAAAGATATGGAAGTCAGGGAGAGACCAGTGCTGACGTCAGGGCAGAGTGTTCTAGGCAAAGGGAGCAGCCAAGGCCCTGAGGTAGGAGCATGCCTGCATTGCAAAAAGGCTGGTGTGGCTGCAGTGAGATTACTCTACTTGTCACTAGATGTTCAAGTGGGGTTGAAATTACTATAAGTGTTAATTCTAGGAAAGGGATACTTTCCAGTTATGAACTACGGCAAGAGGCTAAATATAAAATACCAATTATGACTATATCATATTACAACCTTCTTTAAAATCATTTTACTCGGTTTGGAAACTTTAATCTGTTCAGAGTATAAGTAAAGGTTAAATGTTTGCCTTTTTTTGTAAGTGGAAAATATTAGACATATAGTTCTGTTTCTGCTCAAGATATCAGAGAGTTGGAGAGAGACTCCAGGGAATCTGGACCCCATATTTCTGATAATTTTGAAAGCGAAATTCAGGCTAAAATAATAGAAGGATTTCCATTATGCTGAAATAGAGTCAGCTAACACTGATGAAGGTATGTATTTTATGTCCTCAGCAGACCTAGTAGACCTGATTTTTCTCTGATTTTTATGATTGCATTATTATTTGAAACTGTCATTTTGTATTTCTGACTCTGTTTCTAAAACAGATGAGCTGTGATATTGGAAAGAAGTGTCATGCAGTCAATGATATAAAAAGCCTAGGTTTTGAAGCCCAAGTGGATTTAAATTAATTTTATACACTTGCAGGTGATTTTTACTATCTGTTTCTGGAAAGGACTATTAATTTAAAATATTTGCTTTTATATTTTGCCTACTTTAGCAGGGTCTTGCCTCTTTTCCCTCCTAATCCTTCCTGACATCTGTTTTTCTTTTCTCTAGCATTTGTACCCACATTATTTGTTCTGACATTATCTTAAGGGCACTGTAATTGAGCCCAGAGTCACAGTGGCAGATGCTGTGCCTGCCAAATTCATGCCTTCTTTTTCTTAATCACAAAGCTAAACTATGTGTCCCAGTATCCCTTGTGGTTAGGGGTAGTCATCTGACTGAAACTAGCCAATGGAATGAGAACCATTGTGAGGGGCACCACTTACAAGCATAGCCCATGCAACCCAACCTTGACTATCTTCTATGACCTTTCTCAACCCAAAGCTGGATACAGAATCCTCCAAGACTCAGAATCCTCCAAGACTCAGGTTTACTTATGGTGACATGAAAGGTCATCCACTCATCAGATTCTGGCCTCAATATGAGCAAGAAATATCCTTCTTTTGTGCAAAGCCACTGATATTTATGATTTATCTGTTATGACATCCTGGGTAACCTAACTGGGACCTCTTCATCATTTATTTGCTTAATATTTTATTGTTGCTGTTAGGCATTAACATTTATAGCACCTAAGTTTAGCTTCCATTATTCAATAATCTTTATTCTTTAAGATAGCCAAAATCATGCCTCTTCATGTCTTCCAATGACAGAATTGTAGGAATATTGCTAATAAGAAGCTATAGTACAAAATAATGATCAGTTGGTGCTCCACCAAGCCACACTTCATACATACTCTCTCTCTCTCTCTCCCTCTCTCTTTCTCTCTCTCTCTCACACACACACAGTGTATAGAGAATAGTGTATATAAAGTTTGTAACTCCTAAAAATTCTTTAAAAATAAATGAACTTAATTTTGCTGAAGGAAAAGTCAATTCCCTGTAATAAATTGGGCACCCTGAGAAATAGAAATATTTTAATAGGTTCAGCATTTTCTGAGTGCATTTATTAATGATACAGAAGTGCCTCTCTTACCTCCAGTTCTCAAGTGGGTGACTCTAACAGGTCACTGCATTTTGGAGTTGCTAATGGATCCCATTGATTTGCTAATCTGTGCCCCTTTCCAATTATAGCTGATGTTTTAAAATCTAGTTGGATTGGGTTCTGTTACAATCCAGCTTCTTAAAATTATTTTCTTCATTCATATTTGATTCTATTTAATACTGTTACACACGATTAAATAACATGATTATTTCTGGAAAAAAAAATTTGAGAAATTACTAAATTAATAGTTAAACTGTGTCCTGCAAAACAATGTAAATTAAGACACTGGCTAATGTAACAGGTTGGGGAAAGTATCCTTCTACTTGAGTCCTCTCTCCTCTGAAGGCTATGTGTGCCATGCTACCATGATT
Source organism: Homo sapiens (assembly GCF_000001405.40). Taxonomy (NCBI): domain Eukaryota; kingdom Metazoa; phylum Chordata; class Mammalia; order Primates; family Hominidae; genus Homo; species Homo sapiens. The sequence continues at coordinate 109,193,723 of NC_000013.11, forward strand.
TTGACGCTTGTTTTCCTCACCTTTATTCCTAGGCCTTACCTCCTTTCCTAGTTATTCACGACTCTATTGTTACTCCAAAGCCAACTGTCAAATCCTATACCCGTATCTCACAGAGCTTTTCTCTCTCTTGGTTTTATAATAATTATATACATGTAAGCAAAATATGAATACCATTTGTTATACCACTCAACTCAATTAGCCTTTCTTCTTGTTGTGTCCTAGTCATCCTTTCAATCCAGATCAAATCACATATCCCAGTGGCCATACTGCCTTTAAATGTGTTGTTTCTCTTCTGTATTCCAACAGCAGTAATGACATGCATAAGTTATTAATCAATTAATGCTATCCTGCCTCGTGAAATTTTTGTACTTGTGTCTTGTCTAAGCATCTTTATTCATATAATTTTTATGCACTTATGTCTTGTTACCCAATTTGAATGAAAGCCCCTCGATGGAGGTGGTCAGATTGTGTGCATCTGGCTTAGTCCTATAGAACCCACCACAGTTCCTTGCATTTTCATAAACATATGAAGCACATTTATTAATTGATTGACACGGAAAACTTTTTTGGAAGGCAATGTAATTAATACATATAAAAACTGACTAAACTCAATTGTACCTGAAATGGCATTTTGACTCTACCACTTTCTAGCCAAGTGACTTTAGGCTTGAAAGGTGACTTTCTGCATCTGTGAAATGAAGATAATGATATTGAACCTGCATATTTCACACGGTTGTGAGTGTCGACTAGAGTACTAACGTGAAAATGTTTTAAGGATATAAATGATATCATGAAGATGATACTAGAAATGGGCTTTAGAAACCTTGAGGGGGCATCTATCAGGCAGGGAATTTTAATTCGGACGTACAAACCAGGATGACTGTAGGGAAGAAAAGTAGAATTCCAGGGTGTGTTCCACATATATCTGGTTGGGTTGAAATATAGAGACTGTGTCAGAATGGATGATGACGAGGCTAGAATAATTCAGTGTGGCCAGAAAATACAGAACTTTCTCAAAGCATATGGGCTTGATTCTTTCTTTAGGCTAGGGGAAGGCAGTGGCATTAAAGATTTTTGAGCAAGCAAATTATATAGACAGATTTTTTTCTCTCTAAAGAAAGTGGCAAGAGAACAGAGTTCATACAAGATCCTTATCCTAAATGTCACAAATTAACTATATTGCATGATTTGTAGTAAAATTTTTAAGTTTCTATTTTATAACTTTCAGTTATAAATGTATAATGTATAACATATACATTCACTCATCAGAGTCCATTTTTACTCATAACTATGTGTGGAGAGGTTAAAATCAGCTGCCAAATGCAAAAAAAAAAGGTACTTAAATTATACTAAGTGTGTTCCAGTATAATGTTACTTATTATAAAAGTAAAGAATAGTTGTTGATTTTTTTTAAGAAATTAAAGCATCCAGATAAGGTAAAAAATGCAAATCCTCTCTCTTGCTTCCTTCCCTCACTATTGTCCAGATATAGCTCCTCTTGTTTCCAATAAAACTTTTAACGTGCCTTTTAAAGGATATTTTCCCCTTTGTTTAAACCTTAAGCAACAAAGAAACAAAATCCCAAGAATGAATTTAATTGTATTGCTATATAAATGAATATTTCTGAATTAGGAAGGACCAACTCTTTTAAAACACCACAAGTGCTATTTTGACTTTCAGATATTTTTCTTGGTTCTTTAGAAGTGTAGATATATGTAAGCTTTTAATCAAAGACTTTTTAAAAATCACACTTTATGCTATATCTTTAGGATTTATTTAAGTAGACTTCGGTTTTATAGACTCTGTTTTTTCAAATTTCATTTTTCAACATTTTTTATTCTTCAACATCTTGTTAGCTCCAAGTAGAAATGCGATTTGCATTTGAAACACTAATATTCACTATTCAGTCAGCCAAGACATTTCCTTCTTTTAATTTCCATAAATGTCAGTAAATGCCTCTTTTCACCTTTGGGTGAATAGTCAATAGAAAAATCAATTCTGTGACAAATGAACAGCAACATGATTTTACATATGAATTATTTAACAAAGACTATTTTTATCCTTGAAGGGAAAGACTTAAGTTAAAAATCGGTAGCAAATTATTAATTTACATTTATTAATATGATCCACAGGAATGCATATCCATAGAAATTGAAGAAATTTTATATCTTATGTTTAATTGGTTCATGCCCTAGACCTCATAATTGTCCAATAGGAAATTATTGAAAATTAGTAAATATATAAATAATCAATAAACCTCATTAAGCCTTTAGATCACGTTGTATTTTCACCCAGGTTGTGAGAGATTTAGTGTTTTGTAATGCCTGAAAATAAGTGAACTAATTACAAGTGTCTCACTTTAGAGAAAACACTGGCATCACCTCCGTTTTTACATCACTTTATCAAACTCCATCTTCTTATCTAATTGATGTCTCCTAGATGTTGAGAGACACAAGATTCTTTACAGTAAAGTACAGAAATGGAAAGTAGATTCATGTCTTGAATGTCTAAATTTCAAATCACCAAGGTTTTCTCAATAACAGAATAAAATCATTTTTTAAATCCCCGTACTGAGTTGTCGAGTTAGTAATCACCAGTATCTTAAGTAGCATTGTAATTTTCTAAGAATTACCATTTCTATGAAGGAATCTTCTTGTTGAAAACCTAATAAATAGAAGGGAATTTGTTTGAGGGTGAGTATCCCAACCCATAGGGAAATGGGTCTGGACCATGATCATTTATATATCTGTTTGCATATCCTAGGAGCTTGAAATGCTTTTCTGGTGTTCAGAGGCACAGACATTCATTGAATGTAAATGACTTAGCTTTTACCTTACATAATCCTGTCTTAAGAGCAGAAAGAACATAGGGGTGTTAGAGGTTTAACCCAGGCCACATTTTAGGTGGTCCAAACTGACAGGAGCTTGTTTATGAGAAATGCTGGCCCCACCCTAAGGGCTCCAGTAATACTGCCTTGGCCACAAATGTTTGTGGAATGGATCCCTTTGTCAATTTCTTTGGACGTCAGGTTTTCCTAGCTCCGTATAAACCGTGACTTTGCTCTCTCATTACAGAACTGCAAGTGGCCCCCAAACTTTGAAGCTTTCAGCTCTCTTTTGAATGTCAACTTTAAAAATAAAAATTACAGAATAACTAGCAAGTGTCTTATTAGCTTATTCACCAAACAATTTTGTTTTTAAAGACATTAAACTGTCAGAGAGCCTGTGCACTTTTCTAAATGCCTGGATTTTGTACCTATTATAGAACAGTACAATTTTTTCCGTGCCATCCCAAAATAATAATTTTGGACATGTAAGTTTATTTGATCCCTTAACCCTAAGGCACTGCATTCTTTGGCCACCAGGAGTCTGTGGTGACTGTCCCCCTCTCCTTCAGCGGCTCCGCCCACTAGCCATTCAGATCTATTTAGGCATGTTGAATTCACAGCAAGAAACGAGCATGGGACCACCCACACCCCATGTGATTTCAGAGCAGCCGAGCATTTTTAATAAGTTCCCAGAGCTTTCTAGTGTTTGAAAAACCCTTCGCTGAATCTGTGAATGTGAAATACAACTCACGTGTAAGAATGCGTTCAGGGGAAGCCTGGCGTTGCTTGAAGGCACTCTCTTCTGTTCTATTTCCTGGACTTGATGGAGCTGAGTTGCCCATTTACCCCCAAGGTTTTTTTTTAAATGGACCCACACATTTAATACTGTGTGATAATGTTTCTCCCTTCTCTCAAACGTGGGCCATGCATTCATACGCTTACTCCCTTTAAACTCTCTAAGCAAGTACACTGGATACTTTGTGCTGGGTAGAGATTAATTTACTCATTTTAGGCTCCAAGGACACCATAGTCTTGTGAGGCAGTAACTAATTCTACCCACATGCAATAGATCAACATTACTCCAACTCTTGTAATATACATGATACTTTTTAAATGAAAGAAAAACATCCCCTTGACCCTTAAAGTTTCTTAAATTATTTTACAATGTTAATTAAATGTATAGACATACAGTGTTACAAATAATCTCTTTACTCTTTGAGCTTTCATTTCAGCTATAAAACCAAGGCAAATTGACCACTTGAGTAGAATAAAAGTCTACAAAAGCAAAATAAAGGTAAAATTCACAACATTGATGTTAGGCATGAGATTTTGTTTAGCTGAAATGACATGACTGTTGGAAACGTGCGCTGACTATTCTATTCATCAAGTTCCGTCAAGCTTTGTGTGTTTTTCCCACTTTATGCCACTGGCTAACCAAGCCCCTACCACTATTTCTATTTGAAATGACAGCCAGCTTTTGAACTTACCCTGCTTTGCAATATCACATAGCTTTTCTTGCAGGAAAAAGAAAATCTATTACATATTAAATCCATCTGCTCTTTTCTCATTAACCTACAACAGTATAAATAATATTACTTCTGTCATCCTACTCATAAATAAAATACAAAGACATAAAAAAATCTCATTGAGTACTAGCTTGAAATATAGATATTCAAGATGATACAAAGTACAATTACTTTAAAAAGATATCATGAATATATAAACGCAAATAAATTTTAAATTGTTGAAGGAATTTGAGGACTCCTGAAAATACAAACCCTAACTTCAGAAGCATTGCATTTAACAACTGTTTAAATAGGTCACTAAAATCTCTTCATACTCTTTGTTATCTTACCCCTAAAATTCAAAAAAGCTGTAAGAGTTTTCTAATTTTCTTCCTGTAGAACTTTATTTAGTTTTGAGTCATATATAAATCATAGTTATGTTTTAAATCTAATGTGTTGCTCAGTATTTTCTGGGTTGCTTTTTAGTAATAAAAGAATATATTATGTTATATTTATAAAAGGCCATAAATCGTGAGAAGTGCACCTATTTAGCATTACTTAACTGAGTCATCAGGATAATCATAATTCAGCAGTGTTTAAGGATTTTGTTCAAGTCAAGGAGCTAACCATGGTACAACTGTAACAGCTCATATTTAAACAGCACTCACTACTTTTGTGAGGCTTTCTTTTAAGACACCTGCATATGTGACTCATATAATCCACATCAAGTTGTTACAAGGTAGGTAATTTCTTGTGGTCCCACTTTACAGGTGATGAAGCCAGCGAATGCTTGTTCAGCATTGCACAAGTAGCTTGCATAGTTGGGTTCCATCCCAGGCATTCCGGCTCCAGAGGCCAGGTTTTTCAGCCACACTGACTGTGCTCAAAACCATCCTCCAATTCCACATGGGTTTGTCATTTCATCATAGAAAATGAAGTTTAATGTCATTCCTGTCACTTGTCTACGTCAAATCCTGTGGAAACCCTTCTCCTCGCATGTTCTTCTCCCCTGTTCTAACTGGTTAGGTGCCCATCTCACTTCTCAATATTCAGATCAAAGGTTAATTAACTTGTGAAGCCTCCTCAGACTTTCCTCCATAAAGCTTCCTTTCTCAAGTAAATGGTTTAATAAAAAAGGTATATATATATATATATATATATATATATATATATATATATATATATACCGTCATTTTGCCTCGCTCCATCTCTGTGCCCTGGGTAACACTTTAAGACACGTGTTTTGTTTGTCTAAAAGCTCCTTGAAAAGCAGCTCAGTTGTCCCATTCATGAAGCAGGGAGCTCCTAGAGCAGAGGCATACGATGCAAGCGTGAAGGTTTGCAGATGTGGAGTCCTTTGTACTTTCCCAGTCATAACACTTGCCTTCTGGTTCTAAAAGATAATGATTCTGTGTACAAAGACTATTATAAAAAGTTCCAGAAAAGAAAATAAATAAGTGACTCATTATCTGAAGTGGTGATATGGGGTGAAGATAATAAATCTTTTAAAGCAATGGAAAATGAGCTTTAAGTTAAAAGATACCACTATGGCATCCTTTATATTGTACAAACAAATCAGGATAAATTATACTCAGTGTGAAGCCAGCTGACTCCAAACTCACGCTGCCAGCAGCATCCTTAATCCCCAGAGGCAGTTTTTCTCTTTCCAAAAAGAAATGGTATCAAAACTAAAGCTTTTTGTTACAAAATCACTATTGCTTTTTTAATGATAATATTTAATTTACTGTGAATATCAAATAATGGTAAAGGAAGCCATGAGTGTTTTTGTTGTTACCAGTAGTACATAAAGTTTAAAGAATGGATAAACACTGATTTACATGATTTTACAGCACTGACTATTTTAAATGCTTTGTATTGTTTATATAGTACTGGACTGCCATTTAGATAGCATTCATGATTGTATTTGTTTGCTATTCTAAAATTTTAAAGCTTTTTCTCTATGAGAAGAGTAATTCTTGTGTTTCAGAATCTAATAAATAGATGGAAATAAAGCAGATTAAATATTGTTAAGGAGTACTGGCCTCCTCTTCTGATCTTCTATTTCTTGGCTCACAGATGATGATTTTAAAATGCCCTCTCAGGTAGGTTGAAGGTAGTGGCCTATCATAGTCTTACATAGAATTATAACCTTCATTATAACGTAACCTATGAAAATTCTTTGGTTTTATTTTAAATCAAGATCAATAAAATAAGATGTTAGCATCTTATTTCAGCCATTCTGGCAATTCTTATATACCTAGTAGATTTTACTCAATAGCTATTAATGTCTGTAATAGAAAAGAAGAAAATTTCCATGAAATCCCTCAATAAAGGGGTTTATTCTGAATGTTAATTGGTTATTGCAAACATCAGTCAAATTTTTGCTTATCAAAGAACTATGCAAAGTTCTTGTTTGTTGATTCAAATATGGTGTCCTGTACTCACTACATTATTCAATACATCAATACCCTCATTAAGAAAGGGCTTTCAAAGGGTTTATGTGTGTAAGTTTCACCTTTTATAAGGTACTTGGGAATTCAGATATTTTTAGTAAACACTGAGAAGCTTTGAAAGGGTAAGACAGCATTTTTTTCCAAAAAGAGAAGCAATGACTCAGGGGATCTGGGACTTTTTTTTTTTTTTTTGTCAAAATCCTTCCCGACAAGCCTAATTCAGATGAGCAGCCACTGAAAGTCACTCTCAGCAGATTGGCACTGCTGCTATGCTTCTATAGAGTGACTCAAATCTTTAAGTCTGTTCCTGTTATGAAGGTTAAGCAGAGGGTCACATCTAGTATATTTTGGTCACTATGAAACACTGCTGAAAAGAGTTTAGGATTTAGAGGAAATCTGGAGTGGATGTATTTTGTGCTTGGTGTAAGCACAGAGTTGTATGGTCTATCAAACACTAGCATTGAGATAAATACAGCATATGCCATAAGGAGATGGAAGAGTAACACCAACTGCTGGGTAGAGATTTGGATTCTGTTTGTTTGTCTAGTTTTTATGCTTTACTTTGTCTTGTTAGGAATTGGTCTCTATTTTCATATCCTTTTCTCTACAGTTCTTGCGTTCTTTTAGATTAATTGGATATTTATTATTTCACTGTTACATTAACTTTGATTAAATATTATATTATTCTTTTAGTAATTTCACAAGAGAAGACAACATGCATCCTTTACTCATTGCTTCCTAACAGATTTGATCACTTTGACCACTTTCTAATACTGCTAGAACCTTAAGACCTCGAAACTCTACTTAATCCCAATAACAAGGTTTTGCAGCTATTGATGGCATGCACTTGTGTTATTCATGTAATTTAAAGTCTATAAACATTTCAAGCATATAATTTATAGTTACCCATGGGTTTACTAATTCCAGTGTTGTTAATTCCCTCTTACATTTCCATTTTTTCCATCTGGAATCATCGTCTTCTACAAAAAAAAAAAAAAAAAAAAATCTTATTCTTTCTATTAATGTAAGAGGTTTGATGACAAATTCCCTCATTTTTGTTTGTCCAAGAACGTCTTTATTTCACTTTCTTTTTAAATTTCTTTTATTTCCATAGGTTTTTGGTGAGCAGGTGGTATTTGGTTACATGAGTAAGTTCTTTAGTGGTGATTTGTGAGATTTTGATGCACCCATCACCCAAGCAGTGTACACTGAACCCAATTTGTAGTCTTTTATCCATCATGCCCTCCCACCCTTTCCTTCCAGTCCCAAAGTCCATTCTGTCATTCTTATGCCTTTGCATCCTCATAGCTTAGCTCCCACTTATAAGTGAGAACATACAATGTCTGGTTTCCCATTCCTGAGTTAGTTCACTTGGAACAATAGTCTCCAATCCCATCCAGGTTGCTGCAAATGCCATTAATTACTTTTTATGCCAGAGTAGTATTCCATCATATATATATATATGTACACACACACACACATCATATATCTATACATCATACATATCATATATATGATCATACATATGATCATATATGGGGTATATATATATCACATACATCATCATATACCACAGCTTCTTTATCCACTCATTGATTGATGGGCATTTGGGCTGGTTCCACATTTTTGCAATTGCGAATTGTGCTGCTATAAACATGCATGTGCACGTATTTTTTTTGTATAATGACTTACTTTCCTCTGGGTAGATACTCAGTAGTGGGATTGCTGAGTCAAATGGTAATTCTACTTTTAGTTCCTTATGGAATCTCCATGCTGTTTTCCATAGTGGTTTTACTAGTTTACATTCCCACCAGCAGTGTAGAAGTGCTCCCTTTTCACTGCATCTATGCCAACATTTATTATTTTCTGATTTTTTGATAATGGCTATTCTTGTGGGAGAAAGGTGGTATCACATTCTGGTTTTGATTAGCATTTCCCTCACCAGTAGTGATGTTGAGCATTTTTTCATATGTTTGTTGGGCATTTGTGTATCTTCTTTCGAGAAGTGTCTACTCAAGTCCTTAGCCCACTTCGAAAGAAATTATAGATGATGCGAACAAATGGAAACACATCCCATGCTCTTTGATGGGTAGAATCAACATTGTGAAAATGACCATACTGCCAAAAGCAATCTACAAATTCAATGTAATTCCCATCAAAATACCACTATCATTCTTCACAGAACTAGAAAAAGCAATCCTAAAACTCATATGGAACCAAAAAGCCCACATAGCCAAAGCAAGACTAAGCAGCAAGAAAAAATCTGGAGACATCACATTATCTGATTTCAAACTATACTATAAGGCCATAGTCAAACAACATGGTGCTAGTATAAAACAGGCAGATAGACTAATGGAACAGAATAAAGAACCCAGAAATACACCCAAATACTTACAGCCAACTGATTTTCAACAAAGCAAACAAAAACATAAAGTGGGGAAAGACACCCTATTCAACAAATGGTGCTTGGATAACTGGCAAGCCACATATAGGAGAATGAAACTGGATCCTCACCTCTCACCTTATTCAAAAATCAACTCCAGATAGATCAAGGACTTAAATCTAAGACCTGAAATTATAAAAATTCTAAAAGATCACATCAGAAAAACTGTTCTAGACATTAGCTTAGGCAAAGACTTTATGACCAAGAACCCAAGAACAAATACAACAAAAACAAACACAAACAGGTGGGACTTAATTAAACTGAAGAACTTTTGTATGGCAAAAGGAATAGTCAGCAGCATAAACAGACAACCCACAGTGTGGGAGAAAATCTTCACAATCTATACATCTGACAAAGGACAAATATTCAGAATCTACAAGGAGCTCAAACAAATTAGCAAGAAAAAAGCCAAACAATCTTATCACTTTCATTTTCGAGGGGTATTTTTTATTCAGTGTAGAATTTTATGTTGACTTTTTTTTTTTTTCTCTCAGTAATTTAACCAGGAACATGTTGGCTTCTGGCTTCCAGTGTTTCCATGAAGACATCAGCTTTCACTCTTACTGTAGTTCCTCGCTGGGCTGTGCTGGAGAACCAGTCTACCCCTGGTTCTCTCCTAATCCTCAGGCTTGATCCGCCTTTGCCTTTCATTGCGAGGTCTTTGTTCCTCAGCCCTGAAAGATGACAGCAAATCTAGCCCTGTGTTTCAGAGCTCCCAGCCTGACTCTGCAGCCTTGTGCCCCACACACTTTCAAAATCCAGAAAATGTTTTAAGATGAGACTGGTCACATGCTAGAGGCCATCATCACCCCTGCCAGGGTTTTACTTCTGAAGCACCTCTGTCACTGTAGGAGGTTTCATTCTGCTTTCTATAAACTTTGGCCTAGGGCGCCCATCACCCATGCAGGTGAACAGCTAAATGAGTGTCCCCTGTGGACGATGGCTGTGCATTTGAGGACCTATAAGTTTCCAATTTGTTTCTTTAGTCCCATGAAACTCCAAAATATCATGTGGTTTATCTTCCTTCCAGAAAAAACTCTCTGGATCTGGGGAAATGCTCAGAATTGGCAAATGTCCCCGGGAGGAAAAAAGCAGCTGGTAATTATCTGTTCACCTCAAAAAGCTTCACTCCATCTGGAATTCTCTCCATTTGTCAGAATTTCCTGATGTTTTAGAAAAATGACTCTTTTTTGAAATTTTTACAACAGGAACAATAACATGCTATAGCTCTCCAGAAGTGAACGTTCCTCAGTTTGTTTTCTAAATAAATGAATATGAAGTTGTGTCATTTAGGAAACATGGTGTCTTAAGAAAACTTGGGGAAAATAATCAGTTGACATGGTAGCGATATTCTTCCATCAGTTAAATGTTGTTTCCTGATCTGGTGACATTGTTTTCAGAGATCACTACTGTATGCTGAGTGTGTGCCAAGGAACATAAATATGAATGTTCCATGTCCACACTAATGAGACTGAAGGGAATGTAACCAGCACAGCACACACTGGTGGAGGATGACGGAGGAGCTGGCACACACTCCTGGACAAACATAGATGACTGTGGTCCCATTCAGAAAAAGAAGGGAAGAGGAACATGGTACAGGGGACTCTGATCCTTAGCCTGTATCAGATCCTAGACCACAATAGTTGGGTTAAGCACAGTAGACTCACAGCTAAAAGCATATCTTCTTTTGAGAATTGTCTACTCATGTCCTTAGCCCACTTTGAAAGAAATTATAGATGATGCGAACAAATGGAAACACATCCCATGGACTCTTGGGCCAGGCTGCCAGGATCTGTCATTTTCCATGTGGCTTTGGCCAGATTACCTGACTGCCCTGTTCCTGTTTCCTGATCTGCAACATAGAAGTACCCACTTTACAGGGCTCTTAAGAGCTGACGAGTTAATGCCTGGAAGGTGCTTACGAAAGCACCTAGCACACGTGTAGCCAAAGTGTTCACTAAATAACCTGATTTCATGCAAGCTCCCACCACCCTGCTTTCTTGGCTCACTCTGCTGAGAGTAGAAGCAATCTGGCTTCCACAAGCATCTGCCCAACAGAATTTCTCATTTCCAGGCCATTCTGATGCAGCCCTAAAGAATAAAAAAAAAATACCCTTTTAAGAGGCCCACTCTGCTCTGCAGCTCACTCTCTGTTATGTCTAGAAATTGCTTTAGGGACTGAGTAACCATAGTCCTCTTTTCTACCCTTAAGCTCTTCTTTCCTCTGGTTGTCTGTAAATTCAACTGGGGAGGCTCCTTTTACTAATAACCAGCTCCAGAACTCTAGTTACAGACTCTGAATATGGGTTTGACCTTCATGCTGTAAACATCATCTCCTTGATCCCAGCCTTTAAAATCCTCTTTCTGGGGGAAACAGTAGGCTCAGGTGTTGGTGTTAGAATTGGGCCTGGATGGAACACTCACTCCCTTTGCTGCTTTCAAGTGACTGTTTTCTACATAAGTGCATAACCACTTGTGTTCTGTTTTGTTTTATTTTCTCTCATTTTAATGGAGAGGGTTGTGATGAGATAGAAGAAGTGCTGGAACAAAGTAGTTAGTGCTTTGGAGGTAGGATGAGTCATCTCATTTCCTCTGAATTCTCCCCAGTATTCCTATTCGGATTTCCAGAATCTCATTTTTTTTTTAAACCAGTATACTTCCTTAGAATTGCCAGAAAAATTGATATCTGCAATGTCCAGCTACTACAGACTTCTGGCGGCTGGCAGAAGAAGGGTGACCCCAGCTACATAGCCAGCTTGTCTTGTGCCCTAGCTGAAGTCAGGGGGTAAGCTTGGTCTGCAGGGTGTCTCTCTTCAGGGGCCATAGTGACACAAGATGATGTAGCCAATACAGTTACATGTTTTGATGCTTTCCTGCAAAGGCCCATAATGTTCCCATCTTTGAGGGCTCAGCGTCTGAGAGTACACAGTTGCTAATTTAGCTCATTGCTTTGTCTCACTGCCACCAAATAGAGCAGGCAGGTAGATACACCAAAGAGGCTTCAAATATTCTCAAGCACAGCTAGCCCGCCTTGAATGAGCTCATTGGATATTTTAGTGACTGCCTTTTGGAACACCTAATGCTTGAAAACATTTTCTACATGAGTGTGGTGTGATTGTGTATTGTCTATGAACGGACCCTCATGAGTAGGGGTCCATCTTTGGGTCCATGCCTTATGGTCGGAAGTGAGGTCATGTAACCCTAATAGTCATGTTTGACTATTAACTATGTGGACAGATGGAGGAGCAGCTCCGAGGATGGAGTGACGCTTGAGGAAGCTCTGTTAATAGGAGAACATCTATTATGGATAGAAATTAAATGAAGAGAAAGTACAAGATGCCATAAGAATGTACACAGTAATCGAGGGCATAGGTCAAGCAGACATTTGATTCTTTCTTGTAGCCTCTGGAGGTGCAGCACACCTTAACACTCTACCTAGTTCCCAATGTTTTGTTGCAGTCATTGCCTTAACTCAGCAATTCACAGCCTCTCTAGCCCAGTGCTGTTTCCAGAGGCAGCAGTGCATGGAGATTGAGGAAAGAGGCTGCCTCTTTCAGCACCAGTCCTGCCCCTTTGTATCCAGGTGTTGCTATCACACTTCATACTCATTCACAATATTTGGTGCTACCTGTTTTTTCTGCCCCTCTTCCTCCCACAGGTAATCCATCAGCTGAGGCTCTCAGAGAATGAAAGTGTGGCCCTGCAGGAACTCTTGGACTGGAGGAGAAAGCTCTGTGAGGAAGGACAAGACTGGCAGCAGATCCTGCACCACGCTGAGCCCAGGGTGCCTCCCCCACCACCTTGCAAGAAGCCCAGCCTTCTGAAGAAGCCGGAAGGGGCCTCCTGCAACAGGCTGCCGTCTGAGCTCTGGGACACCACCATTTGATGTGGCCTGAACTGCAGACTTACAAAATAGAACTGCCTACTGATTCCGGGCTGCAACAACAGAAGGCTGCCTTCTGACATGCGCTGGGGCTTCTCTCCACGCATTTAGACAAAAAAAGCACAGGACACAGACACTAAATATATGAGATCCCGTGTGTGTGTGTGTGTGTTTGTGTGTGTGTGTGTGGGTTCTTTCTTATCCATCTCGTGGTGATACACTCTGATTTTCAAGCTCCTCATTTACGGCTCTGTGCTACCCCTAGGTAGCAAGAGAGAGGCTGGGAAAAGTGTGGACGTGGCCAGAGCGAGAGAGTAGCGGAGGAAAGGAGCAATCCATGCACACTCTGTACAGTTGTTTTTCTACGGTTCAACAGTCTGTTTATTGTACTTCCAATGGTTTTATTATAATACAGTATACGGGACATATATTTTATTTCTTTGTAGCTACTTGTGTTTTATTGGTATTATAAACCTGATAATTATTTACATGTTTATTACTGTAATTTTATAAATTTATGCAATTGGTGGTGCTTCCTTTCTTCAAAATACAGATTTTAAAAAATCATTTCTAGATTATTTTTTTCCTCCACAGTCCTTTTTTTTCACCTAACGCACCTAAATCTTGAAACTACATTGTTGTTTTAGCTTCGCCAGTGTCACCCCTTGCAAAACTATGAATTGAGCCCCATGTTTTAGGTGTTACTCATGGATGAGGAGGCTGTTCTTTCCTATGCCCTGTATTTCTGGATAAGTGGATTGTGTACCCTTTAGTTAAATTTCACCTCCCGACTTCAGCATAGATCACAGGAAATCACATGGCACACGGTTAAACACGTATGGCTTCAAATCCATAGCCGGTGGTGTAAAATGATCATATTCATTCAAAGGCCTACACAGTACAAATGAGCACGCTGCCATGTACTGGTTTGAGCAGTAGGGGCTGCATCGCACAGCGCTCGTCCCCCGGGACTTACACTGCATGATTCCCTCACTGTATATCCTCAACCCTCCCATAATGCAAGGCCTTGTTCATTGATGTGCTTTCGTCGGCTGTCGGAAAGTTCTGAGCAGTGGCTCCAGACCACCTTGTCTTGCTACTTGGAACTTTTTATTCATACCAGCCTTTGAAAAGTTACTGTGCCAATAAAGAGGTACAACTGTGTTCTTCTATTGTTTTTGTTGTTGTTATTATTGTCTCCCATGAACTCTTGTGTTTTCTGGTCAGAGAAGTAGGGACAATGAAGTGATCTCACCCAGACTCCCTTAATGTGGGGGCCATAGCATTGTGCAAACTTTAGACACCAATGATGTTTTACAATACAGGCTTTATGATGATTCCAGTATGGTGAGACCAACAGGTCTGGAAGGGAGTCCCATTGAAAAGACGGCTTGTCATCCTCAGAAAGCTCAGAGAAGAGGACACATAGTGCCATCAGAGGGCCACACCAAGGTCAGCCAGGAAGCAGAGGGCATAGGGGGAGCCTTTTATTTTAGTTTGCACAACACTAGGAAAGGACAAGGCAGGATCAGCAGGCATAGAACTGACTGCTTTGAGAAATATCGGTGGGTTCTGGGTTAGCGGAGCCATCCCTACCTGTCTGGGACCTAGCCTTGAGGTGATTAGGGTGGGTGGAGAGTGGCCTGGAATGACAGCCCTATGAGAGCCCACAGGGGAGACTTACTAGGGATGTGGGCTCTAGATTGGTTGACTTGTCTTTGAAAATCATGTTCTGGGGTGAGTCATCATTATCTTTTGGACGTGGCTAACCCTGGAAATGGCAATTCCTCCAAGGTCAGCAGGGCCCCAGATGCCAAAGCATCAGAACACAGCAAATAAAAGCACATGGTCAATATGTAGTTACTGCAATGTTACTGCAGCCACCCAGCAACCACAAGGAAGTGTTCTGCCTGACCTCCAGCCTGACGACAGCCGAGTCCCATTCCCTGCCTATTTCTCTCATGTTTTTCCCTTCTGACTTCCACCCCCGCGAAGAAGCAATGGAAGAAGCCAACTTTCCCTTGATACATGGCTTCTTGGGCCATGCTATGGACATAATAGGCACTTAATGATCTTAGTTGAATTAAAACTTTGAATTGCATTCTCCTCCCCACAATATATTTAGGCCAGGGTGAAAAATAAACTGTTTAAGCATTGCACATTGCAAGAACTTGCTTCAAATGTTCACTGAGCATTGTGCTGACTGTGCGAGGTGCTCAGCCCATGTGATTCCTAAACTGGCTATTTTGGTTAGGGCTGCTGTAACAAATGGCCATCAGCAGGGTGGCTTCAACAACAAGCATGTATTCCCACAGTTCTGAAGCCTAGGAAGTCCAAGATGAAAATTTCCACAGATCCCGTGTCTGGTGAGGGCCTGCTTCCTGGATTGCAGATGGCCATCTTCTCATCGTACCCTCGCATGTTCAGAGAAGAAGGGGAGGAAGCACCCTCTCCGGTGTCTCTTCTTATAAGGGCATGAATTCCATCACGAGGCCTCTGCCCTCATGACCTAATCATATCCCAAAGACCCTGCCTCCAAATTTCATCATACTGGGGATCAGCGTTTCAGCATAGGAATTCTGGGAGGACATAGTTCAGTCCACAGCACTGACATATGCCTACAAGGTAATTTTTATCATTTTTGTATTGATACTGAAATTGAAGCTTATAGCTTTAAGCAGCCCATCAGATATAAACTCTCATCTTTATGATTCCAATGTCCATGCCATTTTAATTTGATATACAGAAATTGCCAACTTACTTTATGAAAAGACACCTGAAATGATGATGCATGACCATTGTAGGGAGACCTTACGTGAAGTAAGGAAGTCACAAGCCACATGTGTGTCCAAACCACACAACTCCCTATTAACCCAAGTTGAAGCACTGGGGCCTGTGTCATCACTAGGTAAACATTACAGTCACCTATTAGGGTACTATGAGCATCATGAACATGAAATATTTAACCTCTCAGTAGTCCCTCTGCCTCATTTAAGGTTTGTTGACCTTCAGACACTAGAAGCCAACCCGCTTGTAGATAGATTGTTTAAACACAATCTTCTAAATCAATGTGGACAGACCCTTTAAACACAATCTCCTTAATCAGTAAGTAAGCCCTTTTGTGTTTAGTTGTTTGGATTCTCCGCTGTGGAAAGAGATTGCAGGTGTGTGTTAATCACTACATTAGGACCATCTGATTGTGCCTGTTCTAATTACATGATATGAAAATCAGCAGAGGCTCAAAAGCATCAATAGCCATGACAGTAGTAACAGTATTAACAGTCACAATAATACGAAGTCCAAGCCTTCGTGTGGATTAAAGTTACTCTCAGAATGGCTCTCTAATGATTATACTTTGTCAAGAAAATAAAGAGGTAATATTCTGGGTAATAAAGTACTGAATATTATTCTACATAAGCAAGATTTCAGCTTTTATGTGTGTTTGCAAAATATTTAATGGTGGTATTTTAATTGCCATCAGACCATAAGGTATGAATTAGGATGTATTATTGAGGCTTCAAACTTATGTTCAGCAATATAATTGGTATGAATTATTACCCTATGTTCAAACACTGCCCACTTCTATTGCTTTTTTAAAAAAATTATTTATGAGAGCTCTCTAAAAACCACTATCCAAATGTTTACAATGAGTTAAAATGATTTAAAATGTATTTCCCAGGATGGAAAAATATATCATCACTATTCTTAAATAGTGGTATCTAATTTAGTTAGAATTATGCTTATATAAATCTGCTCAATAAAAGCAACAACCAATTAAAATCTAAGATTTATGAATGGACTTCACAAATAAACATTACACAACTTGGACAAAAGGTATATTATGAATTCCAGAGTCTGAAAGGATGGATGAACTTTTGTCAAAATTCTATTGCTGTCAGTTTCCAGCCAGACATCAAACTCAACTCGTATCACAATAAAGGGCATGAGGGTATTAAATAATAACGTTCTTCAATAGGACACGTTTCACCCATTGACCGTCACTTGGAACTGCTCATTTTTTCCTAATCATTTAAATGTAGTTTTTGATGAGAAATGAATGGAATTGATTTCTATTTCTCATCAGGAAAGTTTCAATAAAAAAGATTCTTAAATTAGCTGGAGGAAAAAAAAACTCTGTTCCAAGTAAACATTTAGTGTAATTTTATTACATTTTTCAAATTGTTTTTAGCTGCACATAAAAATCCATATAATGAAGACGAAAGCAATTAAATTTCTATTTACTGTGGAATAGTGAGTTCTGTGTGATACTCATGGGATCCCAAAACAGTAGCACTGCTTTCAAAAAACTAAAAATATCATCTCCACCCCCATTTTTCTTCCTTTACATCTTATTCATAAGCAATGACTTCATAAAACAAATTCTACTACCAACGATGTTCTGTGCTGCAAGGCGTCCACGTGAGTTACAAAGATACCCATTAGATAGCAAAAGGTTGTAGCATGCTGAGTTACAGACTGGGAAGAATAATCTTTGTAGTTTTTTTCACTTTACCTAAATACTCCAAACCCCTGCGATGTTCTATTATTGTGGTTTCAGTAAGTTTCTCTAAAATCCAGGATGCTTTATAAACTTTAAAGATGTTATTTTTCAAAGGGTATGTCTTAATAGGTGCCTATAATTCATCTCTATCACCTGTTCTAATTTCTCAGATCATTTTCCAGGCTTTTTGAAATGTGCTTATACTTTAAATATCATTCTTGTGTGCTTCAACATCAGCATAATATAATCTGAATTTTATGTAGTTTACCGGATCATTATAATGGCAGAAGAAAATGTTGATGTCCTCTCATAAGAAAATAATTAAAGGTGAATAAATCTATGCATTCATTTCTATTGTTGTTTTATAATAGGAATGTATCAAATGTGTCTTTTCTTTCCTTTGAATTAGTCATGGGACAGACACCCTGCATATCTGCCAGCTTGCCTTTCCCTGTAGCCCCAGGGAACAAGCGCTGCTTCAAAGGAAGGCCAGCGAGCCTGCTCAGATGACATTTTCCTGATGTCACCATTTGGCTTCTGAAGTCTAAAGAAAATGAAAGAGAATGAAACTATTGATAAATTCCAAGGGAGGGGGGGATCAAAGCTCTAAAGAAAAATGGAATAAAACCAAATTCAATTTGAGTTTTTGATCTTTTAAGATTTCAACAAACAAAAGGGTTGGAGGGCCATGATCTAAAACAATTAATTGAAAAATGTATACATTCTGTCATATTTGAAGAGAGGTTTTCTTTCCGAACTTAATGTTTATGATAAATTGCATTAGACTTTTGTGTGGCAATAAGAAGAGCATAGCCACCCGACCACTCCCTATTATTCTTCATCAATATTATTGTTGAATAAGATAATTACATTTAATATCACAAAGCTAGTGTTTTGGACACTTTTTAATACAAATAGGTCATCTATATACACCTGTTTTGTAGGGGAACTAGTTCTTCAGACAATTATAACTGCATTTTGTGGTTGGAGAACTATTGTCATTCCCTTGGGCTTAGAAACTGTTACATAAAAGGATGACCGTCTATATTTTTAAAAGCAAGAAAATTTTCCCAGCAAAAGAGAAAAAGAGGCCACAAGAAATCCACCGAGTCATGGCCTCGGATGCTCAGGGTGTCAATGGTAAGGAATTAGGAAATCAGAGGTGACACTGTCTCATTACTGACGTGTTTTTATCCCGTACCAAGAACTCTTATTTTTCAGCCTCAGAAGGAAAGGCAAACCCTACAAAGACATAATACTTGCTGCCCACAGTCTTCAGAAGCCAAAAGTTTGCCCACAAAGACTCAATGAGAAAAATTCATTAAAGGTACAAGTCACTCTACCTCCCAGTTTTGCTCCTGACAGTTGGTAGGTGGCACTTGTGGGCAGTTTTCTTATTTGTCTTGACTTCCCACCCCTATCTATGTTTGTTACTCAAGTTGGTTGTTTTAACAACCACAGGCTCTAGTGGTTTCACACAATAAAGCTGTCCTTCTATTTTAGTATTCTCTCTTAAGTCACAGTTGACACAGTCATTCAAAGATCAAGGGTCCGTCCGTCTCATGGCTCAGCCTCCTCTAGGCCTTTGCGGGTGCTCCTTGCTTAGCCAGTAGATGAGGATTAGAGCACAGGGAACAGACCCAGGAGGAATTCATGGCCTGCCTAAAAATGGCTTAACGTGCCTCCACATTCCATGGGCCAGAACTCAGTCATGGAGCTGCACCTGGCAGGAGGGGCCTGGGACATGTAGACCTACTCTTTGACTAGGGGGAAAGGGATGCGACTTGGTTGATGATCCGCCTGTATATACCACACTATGTGAGGCAGGGAAGTCCTAACTATAACTACCTAAAAGCAATTTTATATTTCCTTCTGGGCTCAGAAGGTGCACAGAGCCACTAGCCTTCTGCCAACCATGAGATGCAGAAAATTCCCTACATCAGCAGCCGCCAGCCCACCTTCCCAATGGGCCCTTGTAAGTCTTCCTGTACCCAGTGCTGGAGGGTAACGAGGTAAGGATGAGTGGGAGGAGAGGGGGGATATAGGGAGTCCCTCACTTCCCTGGAAAGCTTCCCCTCTCCAGGCCTGGCAGCAGTTCAAGCAGGGAGCACTGGGAGGGCCTCGTGGAGGAGCAAGCTGACTCTTCTCTGGGAAGATGCAGTGGGCTCTGCAGACTATCTATTGGGTCCTCTCTCACACAAGCCCTAGGCAGACAGACATCTCTCTGTTCCTAGAGCTCCTGAGGCTCTTTCCTGAATTCGTGGACATCAGGAGGAATCTTTGTCCTCCTTCTCTGAAGTCTCTTCAGTCTCTCCCACACACAGTACTCTGTGCCCTTCAAAGCGTGGTCCAGTGGCCAGCAGCAATGGTATTGCCTGGGAAACTCATCATCCCAATCCTAGACCTGCAAAGTTAGAATCTGCAGGTGAGCCATGTGCACATGGACATTTGAGAAACCCTGCTCTGGAGGTCCCCAAGTGGCACCCACCAAGCAGCTCACATGCAGTTGTTGGGAGCACCCTCAAGCAGCGCTTACCCAGCAGAGCAGGCTGAGCCGGAGCAGGAGCAGGAGCACTCAGCCCCGCCTCCAAAGCGAGTCAGCAGTCTTCGTCATGGGCCAGGTACTAGTTCTTGGGATCTCCCCAGTGCAGTAAGCACATTTTCCAGTGCTCCCTGGGGGCTTTGGGGGAGCACCCTCATTAGGCTCAGCACTAAGAGCAAATGCACTCTCCAAACCCCTCCTGAAAGGGCAGGATGGAACTTACAGTTGACCAAATAAATATTTTCATCAATTTTTCCCAGTCCTCTCTCTGACTACTTTTTGTACCTTTAATCCTGCTGAAAGGCCCAAGAGATAGGAGCAGGTTTCCTTCCTCTCCCTTGTAAAGTATGCATCTGACATATGCAGGGCCACCTGTCTGATACTCCCTTGGTATCCCAATCACCATCATTTAGAAATCAGTGGAAATTGAGGCAAAAAGAGTCTCAATCTGATATCCTGTTATAACTATATCCTGGAAAGTATATAAACTATGAAATTTATTTCAAAGTCCCATAATTCTTCACTAATTCACACAGGCCTTACTCTAATAACACAGCTTGAAAAAAAGTTGCTGTCAATGGCAGTGAACATGCCTCTTTAAGGATTTTCTGCTTTTATCACTCTGCAGCTAAAGAAAGCATGACTCAGGTTTGAATCCATCTTCTACACTTTGCTGGCAGAATGTTACTACTAAGATGAAAACTTACTGATGAGAGGATTTCTCTGAGTCCATTCCTAGTGCTAGACAAATAGCTTGGGCAAAAAATGTTGATGACGTTGTGCCCGACAGAGAACTTCCAGAGAAAAGGTTGAGAAATTGTATTAGTCTGTTCAAACACTGCTATAAAGAACTATGTGAGACTGGGTAATTTATTTTTTTAAAAAGAGGTTTAATTGGCTTATGGTTCTGTAGGTCGTATAGGAAACATGGCTGGGGGAGCCTCAGGAAACTTACAATCATGGTGGAAGGTGAAGAGGAAGGGGGGATTTCTCACATGGCCAGAGCAGGAGGAAGAGAGAGGCGGGAGGTGCCACACACTTTTCAACACCCAGATCTCCTGAGAACTTAGTATCGTGAGAACAAGGGGGAAGCCGGCCTCCGTGATCCAGTCAGCTCCCAGCAGGCCTCTCCTCCAATGCTGGGGATTGCAATTTGACATGAGATTTGGGTGGGGGCACAAATTCCAATCATATCAGAAATTAAGAATCGACTACCATGCAATCAAGGGACATGGTCACATTTGATACTCTAGATGCCAGCCAGCACCACTCTAATTAGAGACCAGAGAGCTTTCATTCAGGGCAGTTCCTCCTTTTGTTTCAACTCCTTGTAGTGACTTGGGATTGGGGAGCAAAGGCTGGAAAACCTGTAGACGGGGTTTAGCTTAAACATTGCACCCATTGAGCTGTCCTCATGAATAATTTCAGTTAGTCTGTCTCCTTGTAGATAAGATGCAATCATGTCACCCATGGTGTCACCACTCTCATTGGGTTGTTAGAAATATCAAAATAAAATTAAGTGTGGGAAAACTCTTGGGAATCTACAAAGGGCTAAGCAGAATGAGGTGTTGGCATCCTCCCTGAGAAGGAAGGTGAGGTAATGATAGGAAGATGAGAGGGGCAGGACATAAGCTAAAGGGTCTCAGGACTGGCTTATCCCAGCTAAGCCCCAGCAGGCAGTACAGGGCAGTCTCAGGCTCCCTGCACCCTCCTCCTGCTCACAGGGGCAGTTTGTGATCTCTGAGAGACATGAGACCTTCTTTCTTTCCATATCAAAGAATGAGAAATTAGATTTCTGACTCACTGCCTTCCTTTTAGGGGAGAAGAGGGCTCTACGATGCGGTTGGGCTTAGAGGAAAATAGCAGCTCCTCTGCTGTGATTCTAGGTCTCCTCCCTCCCAGAGTCTCAGGATGTGCCTCCAGAGTAGCCACCATGGAAATGACATGTGTTCTTCTGCTTAGCTAAGCATGTGTATGTGATTCTATTTAATTAATTATTGATATTTATTAAAATACAACGTGTAGATTTCTATTTTCATTTTGCTGCCAATACACTGAAAAAAGACATAGTTAAGTTCCAATGACAGAAACATATGTCAATATACAAATCAACTATTTGTTGAGTTGAGTATTACATGAAGACCTACCGTGTTGCAGTGTGTGGCAGAGAAACCATACTTTCCTGAATATCATCACAAACCTGTGAATCGGATAGATTGCTCCTCTAGGCAGATGCAGTATCTGATGAAGTCAAAGGTTCTTGCCACTCTTCACCTTAGTTTTCTGGCTAAAAAGAGCCTGGAAACGTTTCTACAGAGGACCAATGTCAGCCATGGGATCTCAAAGATGAAAACAATTTCCTAAAGACACAGGTTCTTTTCTATGCAATTATTACTGCTGACGCCAGTGTTGCCCCGGCAAGAAAGATGATAATATTGGTGAATATGATAGCTAAAATTTACTCAGTGCTTACCATGTGCGAAGAATTTTGCTAGGAGCTCCTCACATATTTACATGGTCTGCATTTAACTCATTCAATCTTAAAGGAAATGTATGAAATATGTTCTATTATTGTGGCTGTAAGTGATGGCTTGAGAATATGTCTGCAAGTCTCTTAACAGTTAATACTTTTTTTTTTTTGGAGATAGTCTCTCTCTGTCACCCAGGCTGGAGTGCAATGGGGTGATCTCAGTTAACTGCAGCCTCTGCCTCCCAGGTTCAAGGGATTCTCCTGCCTCAGCCTCCCGAGTAGCTGGGACTACAGGCGGCACCACCATGCCTGGGTAATTTTTTTATTTTTAGTAGAGATGAGTGTATTACTCAGGGTTCTCTAGAGGGACAGAACTAATTGAATACTTATATATTCAATTATATATATATACTATATATATATATACAAAGGGCAAACTAATTGAATAAAGGGCAAACTAATTGAATACATATACTCAATTATATATATATATAAAGGGCAGTTTATCAAGTATTAACTTAATGTACATAATATATATTATATATATTATATTTTATATATTATATATTTATATATATTTTCATATATATAATTATATATTTTATATTTTTATATAATAAATAAATATAATATATATTTATTTATTTATTATATATAATATATATTATATTTATATATTATATATAATATATATTATATTTATATATTATATATAATATATATTATATTTATATATTACATATAATATATAATATATAACAGATATATAATATATAATAGATATATAGTATATATAATATATAATAGATATATAGTATATATAATATGTAATATAACAGATATAATATATATATTATATATAATTATATATAATAATGATACATATAATAAAATATATATTATATATAATTATATATAATGATATATAAAATATATATTATATATAATTATATATAATAATGATATATAATAATATATATTATATATAATTATATAATATATATTATATATAATTATATATAATAATATATATTATATAATTATATATAATGATGATATATAATAAAATATATATTATATACATAATATATATCTATTATAAATATATAATATATATTATATATAATTACATATATATTTTTTCATATATATATATATATATATATATTAAGCTGGGTGGGCAAAATCTAATCAGCTGCCAGTGCAGCTAGAATATAAGCAGGCAGAAAAATATGAAAAAAGAGACTGACTTAGCCTCTCACCTTACATCTTTCTACCTCGCTGGAAGCTTCCTGCCCTCAAATATTGGACTCCAAGTTCTTCAGTTTTGGAACTCAGACTGGCTCTCCTTGCTCCTCAGCCTGCAGATGGACTATTGTGGGACCTTGTGATCGTGTAGGTTAATACTTAATAAACTGCCCTTTATGTGTATATATATATTATATATATTAAGTTATACATGTATTATGTATTATATATATTTAGATATATTATATATATAATATATAATATGTAATATATATAATATGTATTATATGTAATATATAATATGTAATATATATAATATGTAATATATAATATATATAATATGTAATATATAATATATAATTATATATAATATATAATTATAATTATATATTATATATAATTATAATTATATATTATATAATTACATATATAATATATAATTATATATTATATATTTATTAATTATTAATTATATTTTTATATATATTAATATATAGTATATAATCTTATATATATTTATGATAGATATATTATATATTATAATATATTACTATATATTATATATTATAATATATTACTATATATTATATATAATTATATATTATATATTATTATATATATAATTATGTATTATTTATATCATAATATATATTTTTATATATAATAATATATAATTATATATATTGCATAATATAATATATATTATATTATAGAATATATATAATTTTAAATAATATAAAAATATTAAATATATAATTATATATAATTATATATTATATGTACTATATATTATACATTATATATGATATATAATATATCATATATCATATATATGATATATAATATATATTATATTATATACGATATATGATATATCATATATAATATGTATATTATATATATTATATAATATATATTATATTATATATTATATATTATATATGTATATTATATATATTATATATGATATATTATATATAATATGTATAATATATAATATATAATATATATTAATTATACATAGTTATATATTTAATTATATATAATTAAATATTTATATATATTTAATTATATATTTAATATTTTTATATTATATATAATTATAGATATTCTATAATATAATATATATATTATGTAATATATAATTATATATAATATATATAAAAATATATATTATATATATTATATATAATATATACTATTATAACATATATATTATATATAATATATATTAATTAATATAATATATACTAATAACATAATAATTAACATATATATTATATATCTATGAATATATAATATATATTATATATGTAACTTTATATATATATTGTATATATATAATATACATAAAGGGCAGTTTATTAAGTATTAACCTACACAATCACAAGGTCCCACAATAGTCTGTCTGCAGGCTGAGGAGCAAGGAGAGCCAGTCTGAGTTCCAAAACTGAAGAACTTGGAGTCCAATGTTCGAGGGCAGGAAGCTTCCAGCGAGGTAGAAAGATGTAAGCTGGGAGGCTAAGTTAGTCTCTCTTTTCATATTTTTCTGCCTGCTTATATTCTAGCTGCACTGGCAGCTGATTAGATTTTGCCCACCCACCTTAAGGGTGGGTCTGCCTTTCCCAGCCTACTGACTCAAATGTTAATCTCCTTTGGCAACACCCTTACAGACACACCCAGGATCAATTCTTTGCATCCTTCAATCCAATCAAATTGACACTGAGTATTAAAAGTCCACTCCTTGTCAACTTGAACCCATACACATCTCCTGAGATCATACATAATCTTCAAATAAAGCCAGTAATAAGGTAATAATTATGCCTAACATAATACAAGTATCCTTCTTACAACCAGAAACACACCAATCCCCAACCCAAATACTACCACATAAAGTTAACAATACTTAAATGCTGATGTGAAGTCAATAAATCTTATGTCACATGATAAAGGAGAAAGGAAATAAATTGAAGATATTTTCTTAGTAAAAGTGTATACATGCACAAACATGTTTTTAACAAAAGAAGGAGGAAATACTCATGACAATTACAGTCCTTGTTTCTGCAGCTGGTCATGTGGTGGTAGCTGGTATTGATGACTACCGTCTTCTACTACCCATTCTGTATTCCCCTTGCCTCCAGCAAGCCCCTCAGCAGGTCACG
The DNA here is from genome assembly GCF_000001405.40 of Homo sapiens. Classification (NCBI taxonomy): domain Eukaryota; kingdom Metazoa; phylum Chordata; class Mammalia; order Primates; family Hominidae; genus Homo; species Homo sapiens. The sequence goes on from NC_000013.11 coordinate 109,219,757, forward strand.
TTTTTTATTTTTTCGTGGTGGAGTGACCCCAAACCTTTATTCCTGAAGGGTCTGGGTCATTTGTAGTCCCTCTTAGATTGGGCTGTTGTAGTTTCCTAGTGACCTTAATCACAGGTCATGGTAATACTAAGAGACACCCTAATGGAGCTCCTGTACTCCATGGATACTCTTCATTACCTCCATTGTGGAGTAGCAGACTGATTTCACCTTGATAGTCCGGGTCAGTCACCCCAGTCAACACCGTAACTCCCTTCTTAGTTGACTTAAAAGTAGTAGAAGCCCGAAGAGTCCACATGGCAATTTTAACTTCTAGTTTAATGGAACCATTGCTGTGACTCCTGGTGGCAGCATTCCTCCCTCTGGAACTAAGACCTCTAGACCAGCAGAACATAGTGTTGTGGGAACAAGAAGCAAAAATTTTGCTAGTGGATCACTATGGGTGATGGTGACTGGTGCCACTTCCACTTCCATCCCTTGATTTCTGGACCCATGAATCTTAGCTTTGGGAGAAACAGTACCATACATTGGACACCGACTGAGAGAACACATGGCCTTCTGAAGAACTCTGCCCCAGGCTTGCAAAGTATTGTCACTTAGTTGGCCTTGGAATTGTGACTTCAAAAGGCCATTCCATCATTCTATCAATCCACTGCTTCAGGCTGATGGGGAACATGGTGAGACCAGTGAATTCCATGAGCACGAGCCCACTGATGCACTGCTTTAGACATCAAGTGAGTGCCTTAGTCAGAGGCAATGCTGTGGGTAATACCATGATGGTGGATAAGGCATTCTGTGAGTCCAAAGATGGTAGTCTTGGCAGACGCATTGCATGCAGGATACGCAAACCCATATCCAGATTAAGTGTCTATTCCAGTGAGGACAAACTTCTGTCCTTTCCATGATGGAAGTGGTCCAATATAATCAGCCAGCTACCAGGTAGCTGGCTGATCACCCTGAAGAATGGTGCCATATCGAGGGTTCAGTATTGTTCTCTGCTACTGGCAAATTGGACACTCAGCAGTGGCCACAGCCACGTCAGCCTTGGTGAGTGGAAGCCCATATTTCTGAGCCCATGCATAACCTCCATCCTTGCCACCATAGCCACTTTGTTCATGGGCCCATTGGGCGATCATAGGGGTAGCTGGGGAAAGAGGCTGAGTGGTGTCCATAGAATGGGTCATCCTATCCACTTGATTATTAAAATCCTCCTCAGCTGAGATCACCCATTGGCAAGCACTCACATGGGATACAAATATCTTCAGTTTTTGACCACTCAGAGAGGTCCATCCACATACTTCTTCCCCAAATTTCTTTTTCCAGTCATGCTTATTCCAAGTCCCTGACCATCCAGCCAAACCACTGGCTGCAGCCCATGAATCAGTATATCATTGCACATCTGGCCATTTCTCCTGCCATGCAAGGTACACAACAGGGTGCACTCCTGGAAGTTCTGCCCACTGGAAAGATTTCCCTTCACCTCTGTCCTTCAGGCATGTCCTAGAAAGGGGCTGTAGTGCTGCAGCCCTCCACTTTTGGGTGGTGCCTGCATATTGTGCAGAACCATCTGTGAACCAGGTCCAAGTCTTCTCCTCCTCTGTCAACTGATCATAGGGAACTCCTCAAGAGGCCATTGGTACAGGCTGGGGGAGAGAAGGCAGGGTGGCACAAGTGGAGACCATGGGCATTTGAGCCACTTCTTCATACAACTTACTTGTGCCTTCAGGACCTGCTTGAGCCTCATCACATATACATCACTTCCATTTGATGATGGGAAGCTGCTGTGCATGACCCACTTTATGGCTAGATGGGTCAGAAAGCACCCAGTTCATGATAAGCTGTTCAGGTCACATGGTGACTTGATGACCCATAGTCAAACATTCAGTTTCCACTAAAGCCCAGTAATAGGTCAAGAGCTGTCTCTCCAAAGGAGAGTCGTTATCTGCAGAAGATGGCAGGGCCTTGCCCCAAAATCCTAGAGGCCTCCGCTGTGATTCACCTATGGGGGCCTGCCAAAGGCTCCAAACAGCATCCCTATCTGCCACTGATACCTCAAGCATCTTTGGATCTGCTGGGTTATATGGCCCAAGTGGCAGAGCAGATTGCACAGCAGCCTGGACCCGTTGCAGAACCTTCTCCTGTTCTGGACCCCACTCAAAACTGACAGTCTTTTGGGTCACTTGATAAATGGGCCAGAGAAACACACCTAAATGAGGACTGTGTTGCCTCCAAAATCCAAATCAGCCCAATAGGCATCGTACCTCTTTCTTGGTTGTAGCAGGGGCCAAATGCAGCAACTTATTCTTCACCTTAGAAGGACTATCTCGACAGGCTCCACACCACTGGACCTCTAGAAATTTTACTGAAGTAGAAGTTCCCCAAATTTTAGTTGGATTTATTTCACATCCTCTGGCATGCGAATGTCTCACCAATAAGTCCAGTGTGTTTGCTACCTCTTGCTTACTGAATCCAATCAGCATAATGTCATCAATGTAATGGACCAGTGTGATATCTTGCAGAAGTGAAAAGTGATCAAGATCCTCTGAATAAGATTATGACACAAATCTGGAAAGTTGATATACCTTTAAGGTAGGACAGTAAAGGTATATTGCTGGCTTTGCCAGCTGAAGGCAAATTGCTTCTGCTGGGCCTTATGGACAGGAATGAAGAAAAAGGCATTTGCTAGGTCAATGGCTGCATAACAGTACCAGGAGATGTGTTAATTTGGTCAAGCAATGAAACCACATCTGGTACAGCAGCTGCAATTGGAGTCACCACTTGGTTAAGCTTACAATAATCCACTGTCATTCTCCAAGATCTGTCTGTCTTCTGCCCAGGCCAAATGGGAGAGTTGAATGGGATATGGTGGGAATCACCACCCCTGCATCTTTCAAATCATTTATGGTGGCACTAATCTCCACAATCCCACCGGGGATGTGATATTGTTTTTTATTTACTATTTTTTCTAGGTAGAGGCAGCTCTAATGGCTTCCATTTGGCCTTTCCTACCATAGTAGCCCTCACCCTACCAGTCAGGGAGCCAAGGTGGGGGTTCTGCCAGCTGCTAATTATGTCTATGCCAGTTATACTTTCTGGCACTGGGCAAATGACCATAGGATGAATCTGGGGGCCCACTGGACCCACTTAAGTCAGACCTGAGCTAAAACTCCATTAATAACTTGACCTCCATAAGTCCCTACTTTAACTGGAGGACCATAATGATGTTTTGGGTCACCTGGAATCACCATCAGCTCAGAGCCAGTGTCCAGCAGTCCCCAAAAGGTCTGATCATTTCCCTTTCCCTAATCCACAGTTACCCTGTCCTTAAAAGGCCAGAGGTTTCCTTGGGGAAGGATGGGAGAAACATTCACTGCATAAATTGTCAGAAACGTAGTGGGGTCTTTCCTCAAGGGGACCCAGCTTCCCCTTCATTCAAGGGGTTCTTGGTCTGTAAACTGGCTCAAGTCTGGAAATTGATTGAGGGGCTGTGATTTTCTGTCTTTATAATTCAAATTAATCTTTTGTCCTTTCGACCTAGAAGGTTTCTGCTTATATAAATTAAATAGGAATGCAGTAGGCTTCTTATAAATTTCACTTCTAGGAACACCGTGATTGATTAGCCAATGCCAGAGCTCTACATGGATCAGACTATTCTGATTGCTGCTTTGCTTCTGCTGTCTCTTATGGTAGCTATGCCCACCTTACCTTTGATGGTTAAGTGCCGCTACTTGGCCCCTGCCCCTCGGGATCCAATTATTCCCATTGTATTTAAATTTTGTAGTTGAGTGACTGTAGTTCCCACTGTTAGATCTAACATACAGAAAAGAGCAATTACAGGGCTTTTCAAAGATGTAGGTGCTGCCCTCACAAATCTATTTCAGAAGACATTGGTCAAGAGTATATCTTCTGGACCCTCTCAGCTGGTGTGAGTAGATCTAAAGTGACTAATCCAATCCACCATCCCAATGCCCCTAAGCCTTTGGACCCCTTCCTCAACATTAAACCAAGGGAGATCAGACATTTCCATCTCACTCACAGTGGGCCATATTATAATGCATATTTCAGCTAACCAAGCAAATAAACTATTAGAACCTTTTCTAACTCCCCAAGCTGCAGCATTAAATGTAGAGTTCCTACATAGTGGGCACAAATCAATAAATTCAGCCTCATCCAACTCTGTTTTTTCCACCACTATCCCACACCCTTAATATCCACTCCCATACCTGTTCTCCAGATTTCTGTTTATATAAATTAGAAAACTCAAGCAGTTCTTTTTGAGTATAGCACACCTCCCTCATGGGTCACACTCTCAACCTCACCTCTTGGAGCCCACTGGGACTTTAGACTAGTTATAGGTCTAGAAGCAAAAAGGGTATTGGGGGTGGCTCCTGAGGAGATTCATTATCTTGCCTGACAGCTGCCTCAGGGGAGGCCATCACTGTTGCCTCAGGCAGCGCAGGGTTTATCTCCTCAGACAAAGGTGGAGAAGCTGATGGCAGCATGAGTCGGGTGAGGGGGGAATGTTGCCACTACTGACGATAGGGAAGCTGTTTCTTCTGGCAAAAAGGGTTCATCAGAGTTTACAAACTCAGTGTCCCCAGCTTCATCATGGTCCTCCCATACATTCCCATTCCAAGTTGCAGCGTCCCATTCTTTTCCAATCAATGCCCTCATTTTATCAGTAGACACCTGGCAAGGCTGTGCATGCACCTTTTGTTGCAGGTCAGCCACTCACATGATAAGAGTTTATGTCTGTTTTTCCACAATTTCAGCTCTTTCTCTGCAAGAGATAAGACTCTCACTCAGGGCAGTCTTAACAGAGTTGAAGCTCAGTATCTGCTTCTGAAGCCAGGAGACAGAATCACTGAATTCATAATTTTCTTTAATCACTTTGTCCATTGAACTTAGGAGCAACCAACCAGCTTCATTATATTCCTTGGTTCTCCATATATGGTCAAAGGTATTATGTATAGAGTCACTAAACTCATTGCCCCTTATGAGCAATGAATCGGAAGTGTAAAATGCATTTATTTTGCATAACTCTCTGAGCAATTCATGCCAAGGACTATCAGTGTTCTCCATACTATTAGAAGTAGAGTCCCTAGCATTTTTGGGTCTAATCATATTAAGAAGCCAACTCCAGAAAACCCAAAACCAACAAAAGAACCCCATCCTTAATATTCTCTTCCTCTAGAACAACTCCTGGTACCAAAATCTGTATTAGTCAGGGTTCTCTAGAGGGACAGAACTAATATATATATATATATATATATATATATATATATATATATATATATATATGTATAGGGGAGATTTTAAAGTATTAACTCACATGATCACAAGGCCCCATAATAAGCTGTCTGCAGGCTGAGGAGCAAAGAGAACCAGTCCAAGTTCCAAAACTGAAGAACTTGGAGTCCAATGTTTGAGGTCCAGAAGCATTCAGAACTGGAGAAAGATGTAGGCTGGGAGGCTAAGTCAGTCTCTCTTTTCATGTTTTTCTGCCTGCCTATATTCTAGCTGCATTGGCAGCTGATTAGATTGTGCCCATTCAGCTTAAGGGTAGGTCTGCCTTTCCCAGCTTACTGACCAAATGTTAATCCCCTTTGGCAACATCCTTACAGACACACCCAGTATCAATGCTTTGTATCCTTCATTCCAATCAAGTTGACACTCAGTATTAACCATCACACAGAGTTTCTCCATGTTGGCTAGGCTGGTCTCAAAATCCTGACCTCAGGTGACATGCCCTCCTTAGCCTCCCAAAATGCAGGATTACAGGTGTGAACCACCACACCTGGCCTTAACATACTTTCTGTTGAGAGATGGAGTACAGTCTGCTTCTTTTGAATATAGCCTTATCTTAGTGACTTGCTAATAACATATTGATGCTGCCTGACTTCTGAGGTTGGGTCATAAAAGGTGACACTGCTTCCATTCGGCCCTCTTGAGATGCTCATCTCTGGAATCCAGATACTATGGTGGAAAGAACTCCTAGCCACATGGAGAGGATACATGGAGGTGCTTCTGTCAACAGTCCCCACTGAAGTCCTAGTTAATATCCTACATCAACTGCCAGCCAGGCATGTGAGGAAGCTTTGCTGTGACACCAGCCTTGGTCACCATCTGAATGCAACTGCATAAGAGGCCATGAACACAAACTGTCTAGCTGAGGCCAGCCTCCCCTAGAACTCAGAGGGCGGGGGGGTGATGGTAATAAATGACCATTGCTTTACACCAGTGTTTTAGGGTTCCCCAGAGGAGTGGAACCAATAGAATACTAGTAATGTAAAATTCCTGCTTAAGTAAGATTATCGCTGAACAGTTATAATTTGACAGCATGAAAGCATTCCAGGCAGTCACTCAGAGGGGTCCAGCCTAATGGAGTGCAGGCCCCTTCGACACATGGCCCCCATACAGAACTCAGGCTCCTTGGGCACACAGCCCCCATACAGAGATCAGGCTCCTTGGGCACAAGGCCCCCATGCCAGCATGACTTTCACTTCCCAGTCAGAGGAATGTGAGGAGCCCTGGGAAGCACATATGGGAGGTTTTTATGGGCCAGACCTGCAAACAGTGGGCAGTAAGTTTGTCATTTCATTGGTGACAGCTAAGTCCCGGGACCACGAATAACAGGAAGGGAGACTGAGAAAAATGGGTCAGACAAGACAGCCCAGGAAAAAAGAAAATGGCATTGGCTAAAGGGAGCCATTCTCTGTCACAACATTAGGAAACAAATGGAATTCTACCCCTATCATGATTGTAGGCTGAGACGGGAGAGTTTGGCAGCATTGTTTTGTGGAGGTCTAGACCTGGCAGCTGGTGAAAAATCAGTCTTGAACCAGGAGAATACAGAAAGAGGAAAATACCTCAAATGAATGATTTCCCTTTGGAAAATGATGTTGAAGTATTGAGAGGTACTGAGTGAAACTATCTAAAGGTTGTTGAAAATATGGATCTTGTATTCTAGAAAGAGGTCCAAGCTGTAGATAGAGACATTCAGCCAAGGATAACTCAACCTTCCTTGGCAGCAGTACCAGAGTTTTAACAACTCTGCTGGATATCATTAAGCAGTGGCAGCGAAATCACCAGAATAAAGCCAAACCTCTTATTTCTCATAACTTGCTGTGGTCAGCAGATAGGCATCCCTACATCTAAACTTTTGAAGTTGCTCACATGCATTTTGAAAACCAGGAGCCACAGATAATTAGAAGACTTTGGGAACTTCTGCAAGCACTTTTTTTCTAGAAAATGATTTAGTGAAATATTCAGGGAAAAAAATACTTTTACCAATTATGTTATCTAAAAATAATTGTTCTGTTCAAAAGACCAGTATGATGCCCCTTCTTCCAGATGTTAAGTAGATGATGAAGTGAGATGTACTGGTTATCTATTGCTGTGTAACAACTTATTCCAACACTTAACTGCTTGAAGAAGCAGGTAGTATCTCATACTTTCTATGGGTCAAGATTGTGGGAGTGGCTTTGCTAGGGTCTCTGGTTCCAGATCTCTCCCAAGGTTGCAAGCAAGATGTCATTCAGGAAACTTACAATCATGGCAGAAGGAGAAGGAGAAGCAGTCATTTCAAGGTCAGGCTTGGGGAGATCTACTTCCAGGCTCACTCATGCAGCTGCTGGCAGGATTGCATTCCTTTTGGGTTGTTGGATTTTGGGGGCCTCAATTCCTTGTTGGCTGCTGGCTGGAAGCACCCTCAGTTCTCTCCACACGGGCTTCTCCACAGGGCAGCTTGCAACATGGCCACTGGCTTCCCTCTAAGGGAGCGAGTGAGAAGCACCACAGAGCAGGATAGTGAAGGGCATTCTATTAATACTGCCATGTTATATTTGTCAGAAACAAGTAACCAGTTCCACCCCACATTCAAGGAGAGGAGACACAGGTCCTGGATGAAGAGGTAGTAATTATTGGGAACCATCTGAGGCCCTAGTGGGGTCGTGGTAAAGCAACCGCTATAAATAGAAAGTCCTTGCAGCAGCTAACTCCAATTCCCACACCCTGGAGTGACTTCTGTTTCAGTGAGCTCATAAATCCATTGAAGTTTTCTCAGTTGAATGTCAGAGAGGATGCAGAAATTCCATTTCTGTTTCTGTCTACTGACGGTGCTTGCCAGTGCAGAGATGGTGTATTAGTCTGTTCTCACACTGCTATAAAGACATACCTAAGACTGGGTAATTTATAAAGAAGAGAGGTTTAATCAGTTCATTGTTCTGCAGACTGTACAGGCTTCTGCCTCTGGGGAGGCCTTAGGAAACTTACAATCATAGCAGAAGGATAAGGAGAAGCAGGCACTGTCTTCACACGGCCAGCAGGAGTAGGTGAGGAGGTGCCACACACTTTCAAACAACCAGATCTCATGAGAACTCTATCATTGGACAGCACTATGGGGATGGTGCTAAGTCATTAGAGACCACCCCCATGATCCAGTCACCTCCCACCAGGCCTCACCTCCAACATGGGGAATTACAATTCAACATGCGATTTGGGTGGGGACAGAGCCAAACCATATCATTCTGCCCCTGGCCCCTCCCAAATCTCATGTCTATTGCACATTTCAAAACACAATTATGCCTTTCCAACAGTCCCTCAAAGTCTTAACTCATTCCAGCATTAACTCAAAAGTCCAAGTCCAAAGTCTCATCTGAGAAAGTCAATTCCCTTTGGCCTATGAGCCTGTAAAATCGAAAGTTAGTTACTTCCAGGATACTATAGGGGTATAGGCATTGAGTAAATGCATTCATTCCAAGTGGGAGAAATCAGCTGAAACAAAGGGGTTACAGGCCCCATGCAAATCTGAAACCCAGCAGGGCAGTCATTAAATTTTAAAGCTTCGAAAGAATATCCTTTGACCCCATGTATCACATCCAGGCTACAGTGATGGAAGGGGTGAGCTTCCAAGGCCTTGGGAAGCTCCACCCATGTTGCTTTTCAGGGAACAGCCCCCACTGCTGCTTTCATGGGCTGGGATTGAGTGCCTGTGGCTTTGGCACATGGTGTAAGCTGTTGGTAGAACTACCATTGTGGGGTTTGGAGGACGGTGGCCCTGTTCTCACAGCTCCACTAGACAGTTCCCCAGTGAGGTAGGTCTCTACTTGGGGACTCTTAACACCACATTTCCCCTCCACCCTACTCTAGTAGAGGTAATCTGTGAGGTTTCTGCCCCTGCACCAGACTTCTGCCTGTACATCCAGGTGTTTCTATACTTCCGCTGAAATCTAAGCGGAGGCTACTAAGCCTCAATTCTTGCCCTCTGCACATCCACAGGCTTAACACCACATGGAAGCCACCAAGGCTTGGGGCTTGCACCTTCTGAAACAACATCCTGAGCTGTTCTTTGGCCCCTTTTAGCCGTGGCTGGAGCTGGAGCTGGAGTGGCCCTGATGCAGGGTGCCTTTTCTGGAGGTTGTGCAGGGCAGTGGGGCCCTGGGTAAGGCCCATGAAAACATTCTTTTCTCCTAGGCCCCTGGGTCTGTGAAGGGAGGGGCTACCACGAAGAGCTCTGACATGCCTTGGGGGCATTTTCCTCATTGTCTTGGCTATTAATATTTGGCTCCTCTTTACTTACGCAAATTTCTGCAGCCAGCTTGAATCCCTCCCCAGAAAATAGGTTTTTCTTTTCTACCACATCACTAGGCTGCAAATTTTCCAAACTTTTATGCTCTGCTTTCTTTTTCAATAAAGTTCCAGTTTTAGATCATCTCTTTGTTTGTGCAGATGAGCGTTGGCTTTTAAAAGCAGCCAGGGTACATCTTGAATGCTTTGTTGCTTAGAAATTTCTTCCACCAAATACCCTAAATCATCTCTGTCAAGTGCAAATTTCCACAGGTCCCTAGAGTGGGGCAGAATGCTGCCAGTCTCTTTGCTAAAGCATAGCAAGAGTGACCTTTGCTCAAGCTCCCAATACATTCCTCATCTCCAGCTGAGACTGCCTCAGCCTGGACTTCATTATCCATATCACTATCAGCATTTTGGTCACAACAATTTAACAAGTCTCTACAAAGTTCCAAACTTTCCTTCATCTTCCTTTCATGTTCTGAGCCCTCCAAACTGTTCCAACCTCTGTCTGTTACCCAGTTCCAAAGTTGCTTCTACATTTTCAGGTATTTTATAGCAATGCTCCACCTCTCTGGTACCAACTTTATGTATTCGTCCATTCTTGCACTGCTATAAAGACACACCCGAGACTGGGTAATCTATAAAGAAGAGGGGTTTAATCAGCTCATGGTTCTGCGGGCTGTACAGGCTTCTGCTTCTGGGAAGGCTTCAGGAAACTTACAATTGTCGTGGAAGGCGAAGGGAAAGCAAGTACATCTTCACATGGCCAGCAGGAGAGTGGGGGTTGGGGGAGGTGCCACACACTTTGAAACAACCAGATCTCATGAAAACTGTATCATGAGAGAGCACTAGGGGAATGGTGCTAAATCATTTGAAACCACCCCCATGATCCAACCACCTTCCACCAGGCCCTGTCTCCACCATCGAGAATTACAATTCAACATGAAATTTGGTGAGGACACGGAGCCAAACCATATCAGATGGGATACTCTTGAATTGAGTGGAGTGAAGGAATGGAGACTCAAACTGAGGTAACTAGATGGCCAAATTAGAAAAGCTAGCAAGGTTTCAGGGAGAAAATAAAACAGAAGCAGCAACATGCAACAGAGGGTAGTATATTTTGGGCAAGCACAAATGAGTCCTGAGCATCAGATGGTTTCCAGGTGTGGCCTATTGACTCCTGTGTCCTGAAGGAAGATATGGTAAGTGATGGAGACTTGGATGGGATGGAAGAGGGGATTGGAAATATGAGCAGGATGGAAGCAAAACAGAAATGAAGGCAGGGTCTGATGTGCATCAGTCATACAGAACTGTGTCTCCAAGACAAGGCTGAAGAGAGGGAAATGGGATCCAACCTGCAAATGTGGTGAAGGAACAAGCTAGAAAACCATCCCCATGAAGCTGACTCATGAACAGAGGTCCCAACTAGTGCCTGCAAATTGGCACACAGTCATAAGGTGAAGGACCTAGGAAATCTTAGTACCTTCAAGTCTTTTGAAAGGGGGACCAGACAAGTAATCTATCTTCTTAGCTGAGGGAGATGTGACTCTTCCCATTTTATTTTTCTGATAAAACCAATGCAGTGTATGTAAAAATACTTTTGGGCCTCTTTTTTTTTGTTTTTTTGTTTGTTTGTTTTTTGACAGAGTCTTGCTCTGTTGCCCAGGCTGGAGTCCAATGGCGCAATCTCAGCTCACTGCAACCTCCTCCTGCCAGGTCCAAGTGATTCTCCTGGCTCAGCCTCCTGTGTAGCTGGGATTATAGGCATGCACCACCATGCCAGGCTAATTTTTGTATTTTTAGTAGAGATGGGGTGTCACCATGTTGGTGAGGCTGGTCTTGAACTACTGATCTCGTGATCTGCCCACCTCAGCCTCCCAAAGTGCTGGGATTACAAGCGTGAGCCACTGTGCCCGGCCCTAAAAAGCCATTTTTCTAATCATTTAGTTAATAAACGTTTACATCATGACTTGAAGGAGCAAAAAAGATAGTCTTGCAATTGAGCATGTAAAGGAAGATTTTTGCAGAAGAAAGGGTAGCAATACAACAGCCAGCAGATGCAGGTTCCATTAATGTGCCTGAAACACACACAGAACAATGTTAACATAGTAAAGCAAACACTGTAAACCTTAAAGTGAGGAGGCCGAGTTCCATGTGCATGTGTGTCACCAATAAGCCTTCTGACCTTAGACAAGTCACTGCACCTTTCTGCTGCCTTAATAAAATGAACAGTTTTACTACCTCAACATTTCTTTCAGCTTTAAGTATTCTAACCAACAAGCAAAGTTTTTTAAACTTTCTCCATATTAACTTTCTTATCAAAATCTGTAAGATGGAGTAAATGAACATGCATGTCCTTCTAAATGATAAACTCAGTGGGATGCACATAAGGGTAGTTTGGAGGGTCACTGGATGCAGCAGATCTGAGGCTTAGTGTGCATGGGGCACTGCTTTGCATCCAACCACCCTACACTTGCACCCTAATATGCTTTTGTCTGGCCAAAAGCAGGAAAATTGTTTTTTTTATTGAATTTATCTCATTTATTCCCCTCAAACATAATGCGTTAATCCTTCTTCTATAGTTGAGCAAATTGAGGCTAAGAAAGGACAAGGCAGAGGTCACCCAGCATGAAGTTTGATCTAGGGCTCTCTGTTTCCAAACTTTCCACTTCTCTGTATAAAGACCAGCTGCCAAACCTCTGCCCCACAGGCAGCACTCACAGCACTATCTGTGCATGGAGGTTTGGCAGCCTCTCTGAAAATAGCACATCTATATGATTTCTATGTTTCCTAAAGAAATTACTATTTGGTGAATCATGCTAATGGAGAAAAGACAGTTGAGACAACCTCTAGAAGGAATCAACTGTTCACAGGATTTCGGCATTCTAGAAGGTAGGAATAACCAGCCATGGAATGAGACTCCAAAAGCATCCTGAGTGTGGCCTCCCATGGCTCCCTTCTGAGAGGCAACTCATCTTTTGTAGACTGCAGAGCATATGCACATTGGAACAGGTTACAAAGACTGGTGTGAAAATTCCCCCATGTCCCTTAACATGATACCAAATCCCACTTGCTTGAAATAACTTGGAGTGGTCTCACCTAAGGACAAAGGTAAAAAAGCAAAATGAAACAAAACAAGTTCTCATCCATCTCAAAGGGATAAATGGGATAAGGGTTATTCATTTGTTTTACTTTTGCCTTATTTTGTTGAGAATCCATTTGGGAAAATAAGTTAAAAACGACACTAGAAAAAATGCTGTGAATTCTAAAGGTCATTGATTTCTCTTCTCCCTGGGCTTGCATTTTCACTCTAATTTTGGGGGTTGTGACACTAATACAGGTTAGAAATTGTGCAGATAAAATTCATGTCTTTTTTTTTGTTTTCTGCACAACTTGCGGAATTTCAGTAATAGTTTGTTCTATGTTAGTCTCAAGTCATACTGATATTTTCATATGTAACTATTCCTGGTTCAAAATTTCAATCTAAAATTTGTTTAGAAGTTTTTATGTTATACCTAATGTTGACTTGGTTTGAATTTCCATGCCTTAATCAAGAATAAACCTTCCCACAGCTCCTGTCAAGCCATTAATGCCAGGTGAAATGAAGTAAAAAAAAATGTGCTACCAATGAATTCAGTTGACATGTGGCCCATGCTTTCACTGTAATCTCTAAATAAGAAAACATATGGTGATATATTACCTTGAGAAGCATACCACTGGAAAATAAATCAAAGAAAAGAATATTCCAAAATGTAGTACTTTGCTTTCAGCTATCAGACCCACGTTTACTTTTTGGATGCTTTCTTGCTTCCTGTGGTTTATTGTTGGGTGTTTTTGTTGTTGTAGTTGTTGGGTTTTTTTGGGGTTTTTTGTTTTTTTTTGTTTTTTACTTTACCTCTATTCACGGCCTCTTTATATCCTCTCCTTTTTATGGCAGTTACAAGAGGACTGTTCACACATCGAAAAATGTTTGCTCACTCAGAACTGTGACCCGGATCATTCATTGGATGAGAAATGACACCCCAGCACTGGGTAGCTGTTGAACGAAAGGGTCCCTACCCCCTTGTTGAATGGCTATCTGTGGTGGGCCTGCCAGAAGCTGGTGGAGCTGGGATGTGGCCGGGACTACTTGTTCCTCTCTTCAGCCAGATGAAGAGGGCAAAGAGAGAGCAGCGAAAAGAAATGCAGTTTCACTCTCACCGTGGATTAGTCATTTGTGTGAGAATGAGACTAAGTTAGTGCATGCATTCTCCTTGCATTTTCAACTGAGAAATAGGTCTGATACTTTGGTATGAAATTCACAGAGAATCCCACTGAAATTTTCTCTGTGCATATCCTTATCCTTTATGTATGGATCACCTAGAGCAAGTTCATTTATTCACATTTAAACATAGATTTCTGAAACTCCTCCTCTGCACATTTGGCATGGAATACGTATTGATGTTACAGTAGGCAGAAAAACAGAATAATTCCACATATAACCATTTGAAAAGTGGTGTTGTCAAGCACTATGAAGGCAAAAGTACAAGGCATAATAAAAATTTAAAGAATAAATCAGGTTTGCTTAAAGGAGTCATGAAAGTATTTTCCAAAGTGGAATTTATACTGAGACATAAGAATCAGTGAAAACTGGCAGGTGAAAAAGGAGATGAATGTAAGACTCCATTACCATGCTGGACATAGAGAGTCCCAGAAATGGGAAGCTCAGATGTACTCTCTTCTACTAAATGACTCTTCCCTTCTAAGTTCTCAAAACTCCTCTGCATACACCTTCACTGCAGCACCTGCCAGCTGGTGTCATGATTTCTGTCATTCTCACTCAACTGTGGGGATGTAAGAAATCTTCGTATGTCTCAGATTCCAGAACAGTCCTTGGCACACAGAGAACAGCAATATACTATTAATGGATGAATAAACTAAAGGGTGCATAAATGAATGAATGAGAACCGGTTAAAGAGTTTTCAAGATATCAGGCTGTGACACTTATGGTATCACTTATGATATCCGCATCATCCCAAATTTCTAAAAACAATGTAACAAATATTGGTTTAACATGTAAATCATTACACAGGACTTTTGATGGATCAGAAAATGTGGGGGAAAATCCCTTAAATGTGGAATGTAGTGGCAATAGAATTGCAAAGGAAATCACAGCATAACATGCATGCAGGAGGGCCATGGCCAATGGGGGGCAGATCCCACAGCACTCCATGGACACAAAGGGGCACCAGGACTCCCTGAAGATACTTAGCTGGGATACCCTCATAGGAGAAGCCAGGTGTGCAACACAGACATCTCCCCTTTTCCACTATTAGCCAAGCAGAATATATAGGCTTAGCACATGTCAAAAGGCTCAGTCAGAGAGAATGGCAGGACCCCAGTGCTATGTTCTGAATGTTGGTGTCCCACGAAAACCATATGTTGAAACCTAATATCATATTAAAACATGGGACCTTTGGGAACTGAGTAAGTCATGAGGGCTCCACCCTCATGAATGAGATTAGTGCCCTTAAAAAGGGGGTGTGCGTGAGGTCCCTTGCCCTTCCTGACACTTGAGGATGCAGTGAGAATGCACCGTCTTCAAAGCAGAGAGCTCTCATAAGACACCAAACCTGCTGGTGCCTTGATCTGGGACTTCTCAGCCTCTAGAGCTGAGCAATACATTTGTGTGGCTTATAAATTGCCCAGTCTATGGTATTTTGTTATAGCAGCCTGATATGGTTTGGCTCTGTGTCCTCACCCAAATCTCATCTTCAGTTGCACTCCCATAATTCCCATGTGTTGTGGGAGGGACCTGGTGGGAGATAATTTGAATCATGGGGGCGGTTTCCCCCATACTGTTCTTGTGGTAGTGAATAAGTCTCACCATATCTGTTGGCTTTATCAGGGGTTTCCGATACTGTTCTCGTCGTACTGAATAAGTCTCACAATATCTGTTGGCTTTATCAGGGGTTTCCGCTTTTGCATCTTTCTCATTTTCTCTTGCTGCCGCCATGTAAGAAGTGCCTTTTACCTCCTGCAGTGATTCTGAGACCTCCCCAGCCATGTGGGAGTCCAATTAAACCTCTTTTTCTTCCCAGTATCGAGTATGTCTTTATCAGCAGTGTGAAAATGAACTAATACCCAGCCCTAAGAACTAAGGCGCTTGGGTATCCGGGCCCCTCTGTCCACTAAGACTTGTCAAGAGGTAACGTTCAGCCCTCCCATCTCTCAGGGAAAACAATGTCAAATGGAAACCACGCTGCACATTCCACCCCTTCCCTGAGGTGGCAGCACAAACAAATTCAGCACAAAGTCTAATTGCCTCGGCACAAAACATGAAAGCACCAGCAAGGGTCACCAGGTACTGGAGGGAAAAAAAAAAAAAAAGACAATAACTTCAACACAAGCATGAAATTCTGCCCAAAGAACATCATCATTAGAGCAGCAGAACACTGTTGACACAGCATGTGGTCACTAATTTTGATGACAGCTTTCCAGTTTGGCAGGGGAGGAGCTGGCCCTGGAGCTGGCTTCCTTGTTCTGCAGGCACCTTCCTGATTTTGTCCAATTCAACATCTCTTGTGGCAGTCTGGGCTTGTAGTACAGGGATCTTTCCATCACGCTCAGTCTGGAGACTGTTCTTCAGCCCCACTTAAAGACTCTGTAAGTCATTGAATATCCTGTAAAAAAAAAGTGGCTAAACTAGCTACAGTTGACTGTTTCTTCACCTGGACTTCCCTCGATACAGTAATTGGTACCTGAGGTAGCTGGAGACAATAGACTGTCAGGGAAACGGGAATCTGAAACGCGTCTGAACTGGTTAGATTTGAAGGCAGTAAAGTTTCTGCCAGCATTGAAGGATGAGACACTGGCAGTCCACAGTATCTGGTGGTGAAAGAGATACTTAAATTATACCCTGTGCTTGTGGGAAATAAAGTGCCCATTGAAGGAAGGCTTTGGCAGGCTACATGTCTACTGTCGAGGGCAAGTATGGCAAAAATGAGAAGCACAATGACTATGGAGTATGTCTGGCTGTATTCAACTGTGTTCAAAATCTTAAAGTCAGAAAATGAAACACTCAGGACTTTTCATTCTCAGCTTATGACGTAGTCAGTGGACCAGGTAACATTTGTGGCTTTAAGGCTATCTTATCTCTCATAGCTATGAGGCAAGCATAAAAATAAAAATAAAAAAAATCAGCATCTGATTCTAAGTGTGGAGTTTGCAGACTCACAGGGCTTTTAAGATTAAGACATTGGTTGCCAAAGGGCTGGGCGTGGTGGCTCATGCCTGTAACCCCAGCACTTTGGGAGGCCAAGGCAGGTGGGTCACCCTGAGGTGAGAAGTTCAAGACCAGCCTGGTCAACATGGTGGAACCCCCTCTCTACTAAATATACAAAAATTAGCCAGGCATGGTGGCGGGTGCCTGTAATCCCAGATACTCATGAGGCTGAGGCAGGAGAATCACTTGAACCCGGGAGGTGGAGCTTGCAGTGAGCTGAGATTGCTCTACTGCACTCCAGCCTGGGCAACAAGAGCAAAACTTAAAAAAAAAAAAAAAAAAACACATTTGTTGCAAAAATTTGGAGCCCAAAGAACTGGGGCAGGGACTAGTGGGCAAATTTAATTACTCTGAATACCTAAAGATCTCCAAAACCTTGAACTTCTCCAGCCACCGAGAGATGCTCTTTCTTTCTTTTCTCGTGGTCCTATTCCTGCCTTATCTAAAGACCATAGAATTAACTCATCTCAGTGAATTTCCCAGGACTGCAGAGCTGCTTGGCCTTGGCAGCAGATTAAAATCACCTGGGATCTTTCAAAAATTCTAGTGCCCAAACTACATCTCAGACTAATCAAGTTAGAATCTCTGAATGTGAAACCCAGACATCAGCATTTGTATAGTTCCACAGGTAATTACAAGATGCAGCCAAAATTGAGAATCCTTGTTGTGAGGGGGTTCAGTGGATCCTACGTCATCCTCTACCAACTGCTATTTCTTACTACCTTCCCTTAATAGCCTTCTTGGGCCAAACTAAGCATAATTACAATTTTTCCACACTGCCTATTTACCTTCTGTGCATTGTTTTCTCTGTGACATTTATAGCCATCTGACATATATTTTTGTGCTTGCTTTTCTAGTACATCTTCTATGTTTCTATGGTAGAATATAAGATATATTCTACTGGGGTTGCCGAATCCATCCTAGTGAGCAAACAAATTTTGTTTACTCTCCTATGTAAGATAGAAGTAGGGAGGTAGGTGAATTCACAAACAAAGGCTAATGCTTTGTCTAGATAGTCTGAGACTTGGAAAAAACAAAATCGGAAGACTGGTGAAAGGAAGATGTTTGTGAAATAATTATGAGACTGGAGCTTTCAAAATTGAGTCACGTGAATATTCTCCAAAAGAACTCATTTTGGAGGATGTTGTGCAAACCAAGCCCACTCTGTGGATGTCAGTCAGCCTCATTTTTTAGCTACCCCAAAGACATTCTCAAAAAGACTTGAACAAAGTGGCCATAGCAAAGGTGATGAAGATCAAGCATGGCTTAACATACATACTGCTGCTCAGAAGGTCTTATGAGGTTGCTGAAACTTCTAAATGCCCAATCTTCCAAAAGATGAGACCAATAATGAATACCTGTTATGACCTCAGGGTTATACCTGTTATAACCCATAGGCACCAGCCTATAATGTTTAATTGACCATGATGGGTTAATGAAAATGAACCTCTGCAATCATGGAGGAGAAGATGAATCCTTGCTTGTAGTGATACATTCTGGTGGTGAATTTGTCATCTCTTCTTGCCAAGCTTTTTCCAGCAATACCATCCATAAAGTCACAGAATGCCTTACAACCATCTTAGTATCACATAAAATTCTTCTGACCTAAAGCCTCATTTTATAGAGAAGTAAGTATGCTGATGTCTGATGCTCATGGTATCCACTGGCTTTCATTACTCAGGAGCATTTTGGCCTTGAAAAATGATGACATGGCCCACTGAAGACCTAGTTATAGCACCAGCTGGTATTCAACACCGTGTAAAGAAGGTGTGTTGTCCAATAAATTGAAGTTTACTTCCTCAAACAGAGACAATATATGGTACTGATTCTTCCATAGCCAGCACAGATGGGTAAGGGATCCAAGGACGGGAAATGAGAAGAACAGCTCATTCTCACACTGAGTAGCATGCTCACACAATCTATGTGATTTCAACATTGGACTCTACGAATATAATGGCTTGAGATCCAAGGAAGAAGTCCTTCCATTGACACCCAGGTCACATGTTCATGGTGGGTCCCCCATAACCCTAGACCAACAGTGGATTCTGTGTAAAGAGTCATTTGTCTTTATGGTCAAGGGAAAATGCAATGTAGGAGGAATACATATGGCTTGAATTAAAGGGATTCTATAGTTTATATCCTACTAAACACATGTCCTGTAGTGTAAATTAAATAACAGAGTACAGTAGGTCTGCAATAATTTAGGTTGGGGTGCTTCACAAGGGAAGAATCCTCTTTGCCCAGAGCAAAGGAACATGGAAGAGATCATGGAAAAAGCAAGTCATAAACACCAGTGCAGAAGTGCCACATTAGCTCAAAACAAGAACGGAAGCTGCTATCCATATAGTTTGCTTGTTTTACTATTTGTGTGTACATATATGCACATAAGGAGGAATACAGAGCAAAACATATAGGAGGATAAAATAGAGGACTGAAAGATAGATGATGACTAGTAGATAGATGAATAAATACTGGAACACAAATTGGAAAACTACAGTTTTCCTTATTTTTTCTATTTTCTTTCCTGTACTCCTTTTATGTAGATGTATAGTAAGTCTAAGTGTCAGTAATATTTACAATCAAATTCATAGGTTGTAGGATATTGAATCATGTTGTGATTTAAATGGAAGAAGAATAAAAGCCATCTGCAGGTACACTACAAGGCTCATGAAATGCTGGGTCTACTTTCTGAAGAAAGAGAGAATTGGTCTCTAGACAGGAACGTGCTGTTGTTACTACCGTTGCTTCAAATTTAAGAATATAAAAGACACCAATTTCTTACCTTTCAGATTTATAAACATTCAAAAGTTCACTAACATGTTCTGATGGCCAACACAAAATGCTACAAATACTATGTAAGGCAATTTCGTCACATCTAACAAAATTACATGTGCCCTTGACCCTGCAATCTCATTTCTACTCATTTATGTTGAAGGGCACCTTTTCAAATCTAAAACAACATATGCACATGGTCAACCATTGCAGCATTATCTGCAACAGCAAAATATTGGTGACAATATTCAATAATAGGAAACTGATGGAATAAACTATGATATCTCCACACAGTGTTGTACTACATGCATCTGTTTAAAAAGAAGAAAGGAAGATCCTACAGCTTGATAGGGAGTGATTTCAAACATCCATTGTTTATTGAAAAAAAGGAAATTGGAAAAGAATATATGACATATGCTATACTTTATGTCAGAAAAAAGGAAAACTAAAAAGACTATATATTCAAACCTCATGAAATATTATAGACGATCAGTGAAAATGGGGTGGAAGTAATAGAATTGGGAATAAGAAATCTGAGTATCTTTTCTTACATAATTTTTGACTTTTGATGCATCTAAATGCCTTATATATTAAAAAGTACAAGTTAATCAAAATAATAAGTAAACTCTAAAACTAAATAAAAACTGATGGAAGTGAACCAAGATTTAAATCAAATTACTAACCATATCACATATAATAAAAAAATTAATTCAAGTAGCTTTTGAACAAGTATTCTAACTATACATCTTTACTAGAATATAGTTTAAAGAAATCTTGAACTTAGCCACTCTGTTGACACCATGGTATTATTAAAATTATTCTGAAGCTATTTTGTATCTATTTCAGGGTTGAACAAATGAGTTTCTATGTTGATGTTAGGTATCTCCATTCTCACTGTAGGAGAAGGGAGATACAAATATAGAATGAGGAAAGATGAGGAAGAAGCCCGTGGTTTCAGATTTGATTTGAAGGTTTCAGAATAAGGCATAAAAACATCCCTTGCTCTAGCCTCTGAACGCACCTGGAAATCACAAACCCCAGCAGCAGTGCATGCACCTCGCACACAGAGCTAGGTTGCTAAATGGTGGATTTCACCTCTGGAGCAGAAAGAATATGTGGTAAGCCTGGAATAGCTTGTTGAATCAGAAAGCAAGGAAGTAGTCATGACATCAGAAAACAGGAGCTGGCTTGAAACGGCTCCCATTGGCCAAACCGAGGACTCTTCATATTAAATTTTTATGAGGAACACAAAATAACTGATATTGACAGTTTACATTTCAAGCAAGTAGAGAAAAAAATTAAAAACTGAAAATCTAATCCAACTAAATAACAAAGAGGCAGGAATTAAAACATGAGTAGGCAATTTAGGAGCAATGTTGATTAAAAGGGAGGATACCAGAATTCTTCGAACACACAAGAAATCATAGTAAATGTGAGTAGATACTCACTTATGAAAAGGTGGTGAAACTTAAATTGTATTTTAAAAAGAAGGAAGAAAAGGGAAAGGAGAAAACAAACATCTGAAATAGAATTTTACGTCAGAACATGGTATAATTTCCTTCCCATATGCTGAGTGTTTGCGCATGAAATATTTATTGCACTGACATGACCCTCAGTATGCCCAACAATAAATGAAGGGTAATATTTATATCTGCCATAGGAAGTAAAAATGCATAGTAAATGAAATGGTACAGGTGAAAGTAGCAAACTGTGCAAACATTAATTATCATTATTCTATCTAGAGTTACTACTACTTTGTTACTTAACTATTTATGGCTCTCTAATAGCAAAATACTTAACTTTTGCTTTTCTTAAGTGATTTAAGACAGCCCTGAGGTAAAGAAGACAAAAGAATAAATATGCATCCCATTTGCTCTCCTATTTTACTTCAGGAAAAGATAAAATTAATAGGCCAGTCATCATGATGAGCAAAGAAGTCTGATACGCATTCATCCATAGTGAACGTGGACAGGAGCCATAGGAATCTGGATGTGGCTTTTGGCTTAGTAGTTAGCTTGCTATTTTTGGAAAGAGAGAAAGAGTAAGAGAGACAGTTGGGGACAAGGAGGTGAAAGGCTGTGTAGTACATTTCTAAACAATAGCTTTAAAATGTTATGATCTTATCATAAGGGGATCATAAGAGGATAATTGATGCTTTTGAAAAAATGAGATAGAATAGCCAAAAGATTGTTTTGTCCCAATCAGAAAGTATAAAAGATAGAGAAGACAAGTCTCTAATCAGAGGGAAGAATGAAACTTACTCAAAGTAAAATAGTAAATTTTATGAATATATACATAAGTTTACAGAAAAAAATACCAGAAAAGTGACTTCAAGAATCAGCTGAGATAGAAACATATGCCCATCATCTTCAAAGTACGCACTGACACTTATCCCCTAGACAGCCATTTCTTTTTGAATGATGACAATAAAAATGATTTGAAATTGGGAATAAAGCCCTCCCTCTAATGATTTGACAGTGTTAGACCTTGCCTAGGGCAAGCCTAAGGAAAAAGACAAAGAAACACAATGAATTCAGAGTGCCAGAATTTATCAAAGTCAAAATAGTATCTTCTTAAAAATGTAAGTAAGGCTTAAAAGATGATATAATAGAAATGAACATCTAATCTGACCAAGTGGGGAATTAAGGGGGAGGTATGGAATCTGTGAATGCATATTTCTTCCAGGATAGAGCACACCAGTGAAGGTGTCAAAAGATACTTTGAAATCTAAAATTAAGGCAATAACTGTAAAATGAAATTTAAGACATTGGTTTATGAGTCTTTATAAAATCTAGGAAAATCATGAAATCAAATCAATTAAAAAGGCCCTTAGATGCTGCTGCATTGCACATTTTAAATACAGACTGCCATTAAAGCCATTCTAATTAGACAGATAGTGTCACTTTTTTCAAGTTTATTTGTTATGTACTTGTTTCATCTATAATGACCTTTTCCCTCTGATTATTCTGAGAAAAGAAAAAAAAATATTCAAAGTGAATGAGTTGCTAACTGATAAATTGCAAAGGAAAAACGTGGCTTCTTGTTGCAATCAATTAATCCATATTTTGAGCACTTATGACATGGTAGATTATATAGTTTGGCTCTGTGTCCCCACCCAAACATCATCTCAAATTGTAATCCCCATAATCCCCATGTGTTGAGGGAGAGACCTGGTGGGCAGGTGGTGATTGGATCATGGGGGCAGTTCCCCCATGCTATTTTCATGATACTGAGTGAGTTCTCATGAGATCTGATGGTCTTATAAGCAGCTCTTCTCCCTTTACTCATTTGCTGTCTCTCTCTCTCACCTGCTACCATGTAAGACGTGCCTTTGCTCCTCTCTCACCTTCCTCCGCAATTGTAAGTTTCCTGAGGCTTCTCCAACAGTGTGAAATTCTGAGTCAATTAAACCTCTTTTCTTTATAAATTACCCAGTCTCAGGTATTTATTTATAATACAGTGTGAAAACGGACTAACACAGTAGACTTGCAAGAGTCCTGCGGTTCACAAAACCAAGAAGTCCAGAGCTCCAGATCATGGGTACGTAACAATCTGGACTGTTGAGTAAAAGAATAATAGCAGTAAGGCTATTGTTCTAGACCAAAATCTAGCCATTACGAGAACATGTTGCTTGGAGATGAGATTAAATAACTGATAGAACACAGAGGAGGAGGAAGGGTACATCCCAGTTTGCCATGTGCCATGAAAACTTCGGAGAAGTGAAGATCAATTACGACTGATGAGATAATTTAATGCAAAGAGCCAGGTAAAACGTCTGCAAGCATTTTAAAACTGTGTATGCGGGACACCAAAGAAGAAATAATGTCCTTTTGAATAAGCAATTAGAGAAATGCATTAACAACTAATGAAGGAGTGAATTATTTTGTGCGAGCTCAGATGTTTTTTAAGCTACCTTTGGTGGTTTTCATCCACCTCCGCATTTAATCTCATCTCAGGGTACCAAGTGTGTTTCTGTGCTCCTCCCCTGGCTTTATCTGAGAGGACAAGTGGGCCTGGTTCATCCAGATCTGAACTCCCCTTTTTGCACTAATCCCAAACCCAGTAGCAACAAAAATGCTTTCTTTTTGACCAGATGGAAATCCGAGGCTAGCCTAGGACATGACATGCATTTTAATCCAATGACTCAGCATAGGAGGACTGGATCAACCCAACTCTAGTGAAACCAGGTCTCTCTTTCCTGCTGTATACATTGGGAGGGTGATCAAAATCTGTCCACCTTATTTTAAATCAGCTGTGGGTCACCACCACACTGTTTCCATGAGGTCATTTCTTGTTCATCATCCACTAAGGCGTTTGCCACGAGCAGCAGTAAAAAGCACAAAGGACAGAAAGCCCTCGAAAGGAGAAAATGAAATGCAACACAGCCAGCTCACATACTTTCCATGCCACAATCCCCACCACCTAACATTCCGTTCTCGTCGATGAGGAAACAATAGAATGTACAGCCCTGTCACTGTCGCTATTAATAACTTGGAGGGCTTCCAGAACCACACGGGTTCAGGGGAATATGCTGTCCTTAGCAGTCACATCAATGCTTAGGTATCTCTTCATGAGACTGTGCCTCTGTGTCTCCTGCCTGCCATGTGTGAAAGTTCTAATTTTCAAGTCACACATAAGCCCTGATTAGTGGTGATAAGGCAATAAGGAGGACCGGTTTTTTTGAGACTATGAAACCACAAAGAACTCTGAGTTCCAAAACACTCTATTAGCACTTTCCAGTCCTATTTTAGAAAACCAATGGGAAAAATGTAAAATGGAGTGGGCTGGGAAATTTTTTCATCAAAGT
Source organism: Homo sapiens (assembly GCF_000001405.40). NCBI lineage: Eukaryota > Metazoa > Chordata > Mammalia > Primates > Hominidae > Homo > Homo sapiens. The sequence goes on from NC_000013.11 coordinate 109,244,167, forward strand.
ATAATTGTAATTTTAAGTAGGAGTTTTGTATTTAAAGCCCTTAATGGCAAGCGTGATTAAGAGAAGCTTGGCTTCACTGTTTACAGCAAACCTTGATTAAATACAAACAAGCAAATGAAACAAAAAAGAAAAGAAAAATGAAAAGAAAAAAATCTTTCTGGAGTGTCCTGGGGTCCTTAGCCAGGAGAATTATCTTGGAGGGGAAAAAAAAAATCCATGGAGTCAGCCATCTGTCTCTATCCCCTTCCTTCCTATTTTCTTCAATTCTTTGTCCATCTGTATGATTTGCCTACACTGGTCTGTCTTTTGAATTTCAGCTTTTCAAAAAGCAGATACCACACCAGCTTATTTTATTTTCAGCATCTATCACTGCAGGCTTTATTAAATGTTAAGGAATAATAAGACCTATTATTGCACTGCGACTCCCTGGGATTTTTTGTAAGTCAGTAAGGCCCAGTGTCATGTGTTTGCATTTTCTCTGGGCTGTAGATGCCAGGAGACCAGGACCATTAAAAGAGGAGGGAGAGAAAGGGAAGGTTGGCGGGTTATTATGCACTCTTGGGGGTTTCTTTCCTACAACGCTTTCCCCTGCTCCCTTCTGTTCCCGCTTCTATAAAAGGAGTAAGCACACAACAACCGTCATATAAACCAACATCAGAAAAGCAAAAAGAATTCATCTGTCAAGAAGAAAGAGAAAATCTGTTACGGTTACGAATGGTTATAGCAAAGTGAGTAAGGAGAAGAATGTTGGCAATAAATGGGAACTTATTTTATTGCAGAGGGTCCAGCTCTGTGCTAAGGGAAAATCTGCAAAGTCTTAAAGAAGCAGAAGCATGATGGAGTGAGTAGGTAACACTTACCTGACAGCCTAACACATGGCAGGTGGTATTTGGGGAATGAGTCTGTAGACGGGCAAGGCTACGGAGAGCAAACTCAATGTCGCCACATGGATTGGAGAAGGGTCTGTGGGAAAGTTCACTCTCATGGAAAACAGTTCTTATAATTATGAAATAGTTTCATTGTTCTGATTGAAATTGAGCTGAGTTTACTGCCTCCCCCTTCTCATTTTCTTTCTTCATCTTTCTCCCACTTCTCTTCCTCCGTTCCCTTCCCTTTCTTCTTCTTCCTAACTGCCCATACAAGTAGCCATCGTCTGCTGCATAATATCATTAATTCAAAATGATCTTTCTTATTTCAAATAGGAAATGTCACTTTGAATTAATGTGAACTATGTCTCCTATCATCCTTTTTACCTGACAATAATATAAGGCCATGTGTGACTCTCTTTATTTTCTTATGTTCATGGATTTTAAATAAATTCTTTTCTCTCTTAGAAAACCATCTATTGGAGGGTGGTATCAGGTTCTCCCTAGTTTTGCACTTTGCTTCTTACCACCTCTTCCTCACCTATATTTGATTTTGTTTACTATTTAAAAACAATTTGACTGTCTCCTTCTCTGGTGATTTTCCAACACATATCTTTTCCCCACCTCTAGACCATGTGAGGTACATCAATATGTATCAATTATTGCACTTAGCATGTGAGATTACAATCTATTCATTTGTTTTGTATTTTGGTGAGTGGAGGTGTTGTAACACTGGATTATACAATCAAGATGGAGGGGCATTTTTAAGAAAAGGAATACAAAATTGTTAATGCAAAATTTGATATATGACAGAGATTTCTGCTTCTCTCCAAGATGGAGTAGAAAGACTGGATTTATCCTCTTGCATGAATTTAAAAAAATGACAAAATATATACAACAAAGGTTTTCAAGACACAGGATATGAGGCATCTGTCCTTGCGAGAGAGAAAACAAATGAAATAAGCTCCAAAGACTTGTCCAGGTTCCGGCCTTGAGAATTTTACAAACCACAGATCAGGAAAGGGGAGCTGAGGTGTGTACTGGTGGTCCCTCTGAGTTGAGTAGGAGGAGCTGGAAGACCACAGTGACTACAGTTCACAGGAGAGGGCTGCAAGGAGGGGGCTCTTCAGGGTTGCAGAGGGCACCCTGGGGTCCTCAGATGATTAAGGACATGTTTCTGCATGTGAGAAAGCCACCCAAGGCTGGGAAATAATCACCCAAAGGATTAGTGGTAACATTATCTGACACTCACAAAGGTCAGAGAACAATGCCTCTTCCCTTGAGCTAGACTTGACAATGTCCTGATTCTCAGGGCACTGGGTAGAGTGCATAGAAGTGTCTTGTCTGAGTGAAGGGGGATAATTAGCCTAAACTGAGGACTACTCCAACCCCTCCCAACAATTCTTAACAGGAAGAATCAGTTTCCTAGATAATTAACTGTATACTAGAACCAAAATGAAGAATATTTATATAAATACACAAGTTTATAGCACCCAAAAAGATATAATTCATAATGTCTGACAATCAATCAAAAATTACCATGCAGAAAATATAATCATTAAAGAATAGAAAAATCAGTCAACTGATACTGATCCAGAAATGACACAGATGTAAGAATTAGCAGGCAAGAATATTAATACAGTTATTATAACTATACATTCAAAAAGTTAAGCAGATATATGGGAGACATAAAAAAAAGAACCAGTTCCTAATTCTACAAATGAAAGCTGCAATATGTAGGATGAAAAATACACTGAATGAAATTAATAGCAGTTATGTATTTAGAAGAAAAGTTAGTGAGTTTTAAGAAATAGGAATACAAACCATTCAATATGAAATATAGAATATAATTTTTTTTAAGTATGTTAAAGAGTACCAATGAGCTCTGAGAAAACTTCAAGCAGCTTAAAACACATGAAATTTAACCCCCTAAAAGGGAGGAAGGGGGACATACTGGAAGATAGAATACCTGAAAATTCTCTACATTTGATGAAAATGAGAAACTTGCAGGTACAAGACACTCGACATACTCAAAGCATAAGAATCATGATGAAAACTGTACTAAGGCAAATCAGAATCAAATTGTGCAAAAACAGTGATAAAGAAAAAAAATTAATAGCAACCAAAGGAAAAAGATTCCATGTAGAGGAACAGAGATAAAGATGATTGCAGATTTCTCATAAGAAGCAATGCAAGTGACAAAAGAGCTGGGAAACATCTTCAAAGTACTGAAAAAAAAGTCAATTTAGAATTCTGTAACCAGCAAAATACCTTTCAAAAGGAAGCAGAAATACTTTTCCAGACATACAGAATGTGAAAGAATTTGTCACTAGCAGAATGTTAAAGGAAGTCCTTCAGGCAGAAGATAAATAATACAAAATTGCTATGTGAATCTACACAACTAGATGAAGATCACTGGAAATAACTACATGGAAAAATCTAGAAGATATTTTTATTTCAAAAATATCTTTAAAAGAAAATTGAATTTTTTAAAATGCTGTGGTATTGTGGGATTTATAACACCTGTGTAAGTATAATGTATGAAAATAATAGCACAGGCCTGGAGAGGAAAAATGGAAATATACTATGGTAAGATTCTCTTGGTATGTGTAAAGTGCCATCATATCATGGATGTTAGACTGTGATACATTAAAATGCATACCATACACCCTAAATATACCAGTAAAATAAATAAAATGTTATATTTATATAACATTACACATATTATCGCATGCCATTATATATATAACATTATTATATCTATGTAACATACCAGATAAAGTAGAATTATAAAAAAATGCTCAATCTAAAAGAAGGCAGGAGAAAAATGAAAATTAAAAAAGAACAGATGGGACAAGTAGAAACAAGTAGCAAGATGGTTAGTTTAAACCTAACCATGCCAATAATCACACTAAATGTAAATGCTCTAAATATCCCAATTAAAAGATGGAAATGATCAGATTAGGCAAAAAACCAAGACCCAACTCTATGCTGCATAAAACAAACACACATTAAACATAGACACTAAAAAGTTTAAAAGTAAAGTATAAAATATACATTATACTATAACCAATAAAAATAAAACTGGAGTGATGGCATTAGTATCAGATAATGTAGATTTCAGAGCAAAGAATATCAAGGATAAAGAAAGTCATTTAATCAAAGGCTCAATTCATTAAGAATAAATAATATTCATAAAACTTTATGCACATAGCAATAGAGATTATAAATATACAAAGCTACAAATTACATACTGACAAAGGTGTTAAAAGGAAAACTTTAGACAAATTAACAGTCTAAGTGAGCAAAGAACAGTTCACGATTGGGCACTACCCAAACCAGAATAGGTTCAGAGCAACTCCAGGGTAGCCACATAGTCAGATAATATTTACAGACAAAAGAAAAGTGATGTACAGAAAACAGAAGGACAGTCCAGAAACAACTGGATTGGTTACAGCTCCTAACATTTGCTTGTTTGAATATGGTTTGAACAGCTGGCTGCCTGTGAGTGGCTGAAACTCTGCGATTGTACAAGAGTAGGTTACAGTCTGTTTACACATCCAGTTAGGTTGCAGCTTACTACGTGCAAGCTTTGGTGCCAAAGTTAAAATATGTAAGGAGGCAACTTCAGGCTAAATTTAATTTAACAAGGACATGCATCCAGAATATGTGTGGAACTCAAACTCAGTAATAAGAAATCAAACAGCCCAATTAAAAAACTGGAAAAAAGATTTGAGCAGATACTTCACCGCAGAAGATATGTAAGTTGCAAATAAACACACAAAAAGATACTCATCAATAGCCCTTAGGAAAAGAAAAATTAGAACCCCAATCTGATGCCACTATACATCCATTTGAATGAGTAAAATTACAGATTGTTAATATCAATTATTGGTGAGAATGTGAAGAACTTAAATGTTCATACACTGGTGTTAGCTGTGTGAAATGATAAATTACTTTGGAAAACAATTTAGAAATTTCTGAAAAATGTAAACATACATCTGTCAAGTGATCCAACCATCCCTCTCCTTCATATTTACCCAAGAAAAATGAAAGCAGATGTCTATACAAAGAGTTGTAAGTGAATGTTAATAGTGGCTTTTTTTGGTAATAGCCCAAAACTGAAAACAATTTAAATGTCCATCAAAAGGTAAATGAATAAACAAATGGCTGTCCATCCATATAATGGAGAGCTACTCAGCAATAAAAATGAATGAACCATTGATACACACTACCACGTGGTGACTCTCAAAATAACGAGGCTGTGGGAAGAAAAATAGACCTGAAACAGTACAGACTCTATTATTCCATTTATATTCATTTTTAGAAATTGCAAACTAATCTATAACGACATACATTGGAACAGTGGTAGCCTGAGGACAGGGAAGGGGTGGATTGAATTACAATGGGACCTGAGGAAACTTGGGGGCTGATGAATGTGCTTTCTCCTTTGATTGTTTTGGTAGTTTTATAGGCATGTACACATGTCAAAACATATCAAATGATATACTTTAAATATATGCACTTTATTACATGTCAATTATATTTAATTAATGCTCTTGGAAAAAGAAAGGGAAAGATTAATTACAGGGCTCAGGAAAGAGCTATTGCAGGTGACAAGGCATAGAACTTAAATTTTAGAAGCTTAATAATAAACATTTCTGTTTACATATATGTCTATCTTGTTAGTAAAGCTTCCAAAACATTCATCTTTGTATCTCTGGGCCTAGCAGAGTTCAGAGTGGCTTTATTTGTACCTGCCTAAAACTGAAAACTGTTTAAATGTCCATCAAAAGTCAAACAATAAACAAATGTTAGACTATCCATTTTGTCACATGATAATTGTTCCATTAATTCTTCTAACTGACTGGTTGACCAAAGAAACCAATGCTTAATCTCTGGGTGGTATCCAAGGTCCTGAGATAACACCAGACAGAAAGTGAATGCAGGGTTGTAGAAGAGACCTAGAGATTGAATGAGTCAGCTTTATATCAAAGAAGCAGAGCCACTAGAATATAATGAACCCCTCCCTATGAAAAAGAATTTGATTTAGGTATTTAATCTTGGGTAACTGTAGGGGTGGTTAAATGTTTATTAAGAGACCATTTCTCAGATTTCTGGTGCTGCAGGTTGAAGTCAGCAGGTAGACAGTCGAGAAAGGAAAACATAGGTGGAGTGGGGAAGACAAGACCAACAGGAAACACCCAGGATGAGTGGACTCCACAAAAACCTCCAATTTCTCACTGCCCCTAATCCTCCACCCTGAATGATAGAGATGTCTTTCAGGAGAAAGTAATTCCTTTGTCATGGAGAAGAAAAGAAAGGTAATGACAATGGTCTTAATCACACATTCCTTGTTTCACTTGTAAAGTTTTAAAAAATGTGTTCATTGGCTGGGCGTGGTGGCTCATGCCTTTAATCCCAGCACCTTGGGAGGCTGAGGTGGGCTGATCACAAAGTCAGGAGTTCGAGACCAGCCCGGCCAATATGGTGAAATTCCATCTCTACTAAAAATACAAAAATTAGCGTGGTGGCGGGCACCTGTAGTCCCAGCTACTCAGGAGGCTTAGGCAGGAGAATCACTTGAACCCGGGAGGCAGAGATTGAGCAAATATCGCACCACTGCACTCCAGCCTGGGTGACACAGTGAGTGAGACCCCATCTCAAAAAAAAAAAAAATGCATTCATTTAGTTAGCACCTTGTCTATCTCATTATTATCCAACATTGATCTTTTACTCAACTGCTTTTCTTATCAATCATTATTTTCCACTCTCTCGAAGTTTAGTTCTAAGGCTCCTTTAGCATATAAGCGTCCAGGCACAGTATGAGTTTGTAATTTTTATATGCTACACAGTAATGCTTATAGTTCTGTGGGCCCAAAACCTGCCTTTTGTTTGGGATATTTATTTAAAGAGTGAAAGCCCAATAGACACTTTTCGTCTGACTGATTGACTAAAGGCTCTAAAGAGTGTATTGGGTCTACAGAGCAGCCTTATTTCCTATTACTGTTTGAGCAGTTGCCAAATTTAGTTTGACTCCCCTATCTGTGAAGCCAATGAGATTCATTCAAAGTAATATTGGGAGTTTTCTGGATCAATATTGCTAAGTGTTCAATGTCAAGAATCCGTGGAATACCACTTGAAAATAGGTTGATTTGAGGAAGCTAATTGGTTTCTTCTAAGCTCCTTGAATTAATGCTGCTATTATTTTTCAACTAAAATTCCAGTTTTAATACTTCACAAGGGCATTTTATGAGCTCATTACAAGACATAGGGTAAGTGCAACACATGAGAGGTCATTTAAATGAGTGAAGAGATGTAACAAGAAACACCTGAAAAGTCAGAATGACCAGATGACATTGTATTTTCTTCTCTAACATTAGTTTTTTTTTTAAATCATATTCATGATACAATGAATATCCAGTTGGAAAGAATCACAGTATATTGAAATATGTATTCCCTCTACTGAAACATATTCAAAATAGTTTTTCTCATATTAAATGCATAATATGCTTTTCAGTTAGAGGGCCTGAAATATGATGCAATGACCAAGTGCTGCTTATTAGGAAACTGATCAAATTTTAAAAGGTGGGGGATGGGAGAGACAAATTCAGTTTGGAAAGGAAAACTGGTAGCTTTTGGTCTGATTAAAACTATGAACTGTAACTTTATAAATCTTTTTTCTCCTTTACCCAAAGTGCCAAAAACAAAGCTGTATTCCTTTGATAAAGATTTCTGAAGACAAAAATAGCAACGTTTTTTTCTTCAGAAAGTCAATAGCTTCTAATTGGGACTACGGAGCTTACTGTCAAGGAGATCACAATGTCTGCACCGAGAATTTTCTAGATAATCTTTTGTGGCTAAGTCTCAAGAGCTTCAGAACTGGCAACAAGACTCAAAATGCTGTGAGAAGAATATCACCCATAATTGGATTAGCACAATTTTCTAAGTTAGGGTTAAAAGAAATTTTTCTTACATATGGAGGTTCTGTTAAGTTTGCTAAGCTAAATCATTTAATACTTTTTCCAGGAAATGGCTGTTTGTTATTAGGGAACTTTATGTTTTTTGAAGAAGCATGAAAATTCCAGGAAGGAATTCCAGAAGTGATGAATGGGGATGTTTGTTTAGTGAACCACTTTCTGTTCTGGCAATCCATTGAACGTCAATTTCACATCCCAAGATTCTCAGGACATTAGTGATTCTTTACATTGGTGGGCTCCAACATGGGTAAAACCTCTATGTTCTGCTGCATACACTCGTTTTGACACAACATCTTTGATCTGTACCAAAATTATTGAGGATAAGTTTGATGAAACAGTATCTGATGTGAAAAGCTGAAACTTTTTATAAGAAAGTAAAATAAGCAGGAAACAAAATATAGGTATTAAAAAGGAGACAATGAATTCAGAGTAAAAATAAAAATAATTCCATGATAATAAGATAGCATACATTTTTGTTTTAAATTTTTTATTACGCAAAATGACAAATATAAATAAGAGGATAGTAAAACAAAGCCTCATACACCTATACCCTAGCTTCAAAAATTACCAACTCAAGGTGAGTCTGGTTTTGTTCCCACCCCACCCACTACTTTCCTTTACTATTTTGAAGAAAATCCTAGTCAGCATATCATTTCAGTTGTAAATATTTCAGTATTTCTTAAATGAGTAAAAGCTTATGAAAAAGAAATGACCATAATATAATTGTCACATCTAAAAGTTGGTAATTCCTTATATCATCAAATACTAAATTACTGTTCAAATTTCCAAATGTCTCATAAATGTCATATGTTTTAAGTTTAAGTGAGAATCTAAATAAGATCAACAATTACAATTAGTTGATAAGTCAATTAAACGTTTTATAATGTAGTAGGTCTCTTCCCTCCATTAGTTTTTTCTTGTAAATTATATTTTGAAGGAACCAAGTTGTGTACCTCCTAAAGTTTTCTTGGTCTGAAACATGACATTTTTTTAAAGTAGTACATCCAAGAAGTCATATCAATGCCCACTGTTGAATTTTAGGTGCCCGCTCGATTTTGAGTTCACTAATGGTATTAAGAGAAATTTTATTTGTCATTGAATAATTATTTTTACAACATTCCTGCTATCTTGTTAGATCATCTCAATTATTTTGTTTTTGGTCAATTTTGTGACCCATGAAGAAAATCATATAGTTGTCAATTATCTCTTGAGAGTTACTGCCACGGAGTATCATGCTAAATTTAAATAAGGTATTGTGGCAGACACAATGCTATGTTTTCATGAAACTCCATCCCATTTTTCCCTCCATGGGCACACAAGGTCTACAATATCTAGCCTCCATTCTAACGTGATGCCATATGACCAGCTCCTGGCCACTGGGTGTGGGCAGAAGCCATGTCCTAGCCTGGCTATAAAAGCCTCTGCACATTTGCCAGCAGTCTGGCTCCCACATGGTTAAGACAGTAAGATCAGTGTCTTTAATACACACTAGGAAGGCAGCTGCCTGACCCACATCAGACTGGAACAGGAGTGAGATGTAAAGCTCTGTGCTGCAGTAGTTGAGTCTGGGGATTGTTACCACAGCATAGTCCAGCCTCATCTATCTCAACCAATACTAAGACTGTTAGACTGAAATAGAGACTGCATCATTTCCAGTCTGGTTGAGAACACTTCCAAACTTCTATTTGAGTAAGACTCTCCATGTAAGTCTCATTTGGACTTAAATGAGCCAAAACAGAGATTGAAAATAGACAATACATATATAGGCTATAGAGTTGGTTTTTTTAAATTTATTTTGTTTTTTAAACATAGTAAAATACTTAAATATTTTCATCACATTTACTTTAAAATCTAAATGCTTATTTGACGTCAATATATTGAAAGGGAATAAAATGGATACTGGAAGTAGGAGCGACCAGTCCTTCAGTTTAATATCAGCTCAGCATAGAGGAAAACATCTTAGCTAAATGTTTCATTTGAACGCAATTATTTTTCAGCATTGAGAGGAGTTTTTGGCCAAATAATCTACTACTTTGAAAAAGACAGCCAGAACCTACTTTTCAACGGAAGTTCTTTCAAAAAGCCAGAAAGAAAAAGTGTAGGAGTCATTGATGGTGGTAGAATTTTGAGTCCATGCCCATATAACCCAGGGCCTCTCTGTCACCTGAAGGGATTTTCTGAGACACCAGGAGTGCCCTCTGGGCCACTCCTTAAAAGTCCATTCTTATGCCCACCACAGGTCAATCTCCATAAATCCCACTATGTTATTTAACCAAACCTGTTCTTATCCTATCTTGTTGATGGTCAAGTAGACAGGCAATAGAGATGAAAAGATAATAAGCATTTTATCCAAATGAAACAGCATAGGTTCACAGGAGTTTAGCATGGGAAGTCATAGAGATCATGTGACCTAATTCCTTTATTACACAGACAAAGAACCTATGCCACAGAAAGCCTAAGGGGCTTATCCAAGGACAGAATGCAGTCAGGCCGTGATAGACACAGGCAGCTAGATCCAGTTTCCTGACTCCTGCTTCTGAACCCTTTTCCTGTCCCTTTAATGGAGCCTCACTTTAATACAACTTACATATGCTAAATAAACTGACTTATTACAAACCTGACTGGAAGATTCTTGGGACTTGGAATAAATACTCTTTTCACTGACAGACATAAGAAACCACATTTTTTTTTTTTTTTTTTTGAGGCACAGTCTTACCCTGTTGCCCAGGCTGAAGTGAAGTGGTGCAATCTCGACTGCAACCTCTGCCTCACAGGTTCAAACGATTCTCCTGCCTCAGCCTCCTGAGTAGCTGGGACTATAGGCATGCGCCATCACGCCCAGCTAATTTTTGTATTTTTAGTAGAGACAGGGTTTCACCATGTTAGCCAGGATGGTCTTGAATGCCTGCCTCAGCCTACTAAAGCGCTGGGATTACAGACGTGAGCCACTGCACCTGGCCAAAACCACCTTTTTAAAAAAATGTAGAATGACCTAGTGAGAGGCAGATTATTAAAATGGAGAGAATGGGTTTTGAAAGTTTTGTTCTAATCTTATCGCTATTGTTCTAACCTTGGAAAAATTGCTTACACTGTATGAACCTCAGATTCCTCATTTGTAAAATGGGGAAAATAATACCCCCACACAGAATTAGTGCCACGGTTACCAAGTCCTCGGCATCAGGGAGGCACCATAAGGCAGTGGAGCTTGCACTCAGTGAGGCATATGTGTGTGCCTTGTGTTACCAAAGATCTTGGAAAATCTCAATTTAAGATTTGGGGACACATGTCGTTGCTAAATTTATTACAAGTTTCAACTTTCAATTTTGAGCATCCTGGCAAACAAACCCACAGTAACCTATTTAGTATACCACTGACATAAATATGTTTTCTAGTGAAATCAACACTGTATATTTTTAAGGAACACAAGTCTACAAAATCATATCTTGCTTTCATGCCAACCTAATTGCCACAACTACCTCTAAGACTCCATTTTAAACCCTAATTGCTTCAAGGTGGCAAGAAACATATAGAACTTTATTTGTTTAGGCTATTTGCAAAAGGCAATACAGCCTGTCATCATGAACATTCTATTGATGTGGTATGTGGTTGTTCGCTGTGAAAACAGAACCATTTAAAATTGTGTAGCACTAAACACACCCTGGTATGATGAAGTGTGAGAGAAAGGAAACACAGAACTCAAACACCAGGAAAAATGAACACTCTCATTGCAGTGAAACATTGGTATGAAATTGGCACAAGGGCAAAAGGAATTCAGAAATGACACAACAAACTTACTCTTTTTCTTACTCTAAGTCATTTAACCCTTACTTTCACCTTCTAGTAACAAGCATACATTTTTTACATAGAAAGAAAAACACAGTTATAAAAGATTATTTCACCCCTACTAAAATCAATAGTATATATAAAGGGCAATGATACACACAGGTTACAGCATATGAATATGAAATTTGCATATGCAAATGAAATTTGTTTTTCCTTTGAAAACAACACAGGTTTAATCATGTTATTAAGCAGAATTTTAACGAGCAATTATGAGCGCTACTCTGAAGAGTGTAAATGATAAGTGCTACTATTCGCAATAGCAAAGACATGGAATCAACCTAAATGCCCATCAATGGTCAACTGGATAAAGCAAAATGTGGTACATATACACCATGGAATACTATGCAGCCATAAAAAAGAACAAAATCATGTTCTCTGCAGGGACATGGATGGAGCTGGAGGTCATTATTCTTAGCAAACTAACACAGGAACAGAAAACCAAATACCACATATTCTCACTTATAAGTGGGAGCCAAATGATGAGAACACATGGACACTAGAGGGGAACAACACACACAGGGGCCTATCAGAGGGGAGACTGGGAGGAAGGAGAGGATCCAGAAAATAATTAATGGCTACTAGGCTTAATACCTGGATGATTAAATAATCTGTAAAACAAAACCCTATGACACAAATTTACTTATGTAACAAACCTGCACTTGTACCCCTGAACTTAAAATAATAGTTTAAATAAAGATGCCTGGTGCAGTCCCAAACATAACAGAGGCTGTAATTCAAAATATCGCTATTCAATTACTTTAAAATAAGCTTTCCTTAATACTTTTAAATTGTAAATGAGAAAACAGATATGTACAGAAAAGACCATTAATAAAAGTTTAGGTTTTTCAAGGTGTTGTTTGTTTGTTAATTCATGTGTTTGCTTTTGTTTCAGTTGTTGTTGTGTGTTTGGGGGTGAGGCTGGGGATATTTGTTTCCTGAGGACCTCTGCATTTTCTGACTTTTATTTGAATGTGCTAAGGCAAACTGAGAAAATTCAAAATTGTGTCCAACCGTTTGACTTCTCAAGTCACATACCAAAACAAAAACTATGGGATTACATCAAAGGGCATAGTAGGGATTCCTGGGTTAAGGAGAAAAAAGTGTGTAACATTCCTAACTAGAGTGATGGAGTATGAACTATATAAGGAAAGCTATCATCACCATTGACAAATATTTGTTATGTTAGGCACTAGCCTCCCTGTAAAGGAAGACAATACCCATGAATTCAGAATGTAAGCCACCCACAGCCCTATACTGAAGTTATCCTGGACTTTCCTGCCTGTGTCCACACAGATAGGAATCCTAGTCATGATGAAACTGAACATCCACACTGGCAGCTAGCTCCATGATAGGACATGTGAGCACAAATAGTTCAAATTGCTCAGAGGGAGAAAGTCAAAAGCACATTGTGCAATCTGACTCTTTGGAATGTCAATGTGAGGCATGAATCACCTGACAGAATTTGCCTCGGTCCATTTAAAGACATTATTCAAAGAAACTCATCTACACATCACTGCCCAACAAGGAGACGTTTCTATTTCAAAATTAAATAAGAACCTCAGACAATTTTTTCACAGCAGTTATCATGATTATTGAATATGTGATAATCCACAGTGTATTCAATCCTTGTGGATTACAAAGGACACATTGTAGAAAACTGCAGATTTGGTGACAGCATTGGCACTAAGAGTCAGAAATCCCAGATTCTAGACCATGCCAAACCACTTCCCAGACAGGTGACCTTGGACAAGTACCTTCATCTTGCTAAACTTTTTTTTTCTTTTTTGTTAAAAATAGTAGTAAGAGTTCCTGAATTTTTCATCACACACAGGTTGCACAGGAATCAAAAGAAAGTCTATAACAATATTTGATAAAGTGTAATGCATATGGACACAATAACCATAATAATTACTAAAATATTTTTATTATACAAGCAAAAACTTATAAAAAGAAAATGTTTAATTCAAGTCATGGGAATAAATGAGACTCTTCAGAGAACTTGTAATATAAGTCAGAAAGAAGTAAAAGAAAAGAAAAGCCATGAGGAACACTAATACTTAGAAATAAGGCAGACGGCCGGGCGCAGTGGGTCACACCTGTAACCCCAGCACTTTGGGAGGCCGAGGTGGGTGGATCATGAGGTTCAGGAGATCGAGACCAACCTGGCTAACACAGTGAAACCCCATCTCTACTAAAAATACAAAAAATTAGCCAGGCGTGGTGGCAGGCACCTGTAGTCCTGGCTACTCAGGAAGCTGAGGCAGGAGAATGGTGTGAACCCAGGAGGTGGAGCTTGCAGTGAGCCGAGATCACACCACCGCACTCCAGCCTGGGTGACAGAATGAGACTTCATCTCAAAAAAAGAAAAAAAGAAATAAGGCAGACACAAGAGCCAATAAAGAAGTGAGAAGGTGGGTTTGTAGAAATGTCAGGGAACTAGGGATGTTCTGTGTTACAGATGCCAAGAGAGGGGAAGAGTAATCATCAGCAAAGTACCTCCCAAATGGATCAAATAGGATGATCACAACTAAATTAAAATCATTAGCTTTGGTAACTAGAAAGTCACTGCTCTGTTTCTATCAACTGATTTTTTTTCTTGGTAGGGTCACATTTGCTTGCTTCCCCACATGTCTAGTAATTTTAATTGGATATTTGACATCACCACTGTTGTTCAATGTCTGGATTCCTGTCTTCCTTTAAAATACTCTGTACTTTGTTCTGGAAGGAGATTAATCTCTTTGAGGATGTTTGACCTTTACAGTCTTTCTTAGGATGTTTTTAAGCTTTGTTAGAGAAGGTTTAGAATAGCTTTTGCTCTGGGGCTAGGTGAGCCCTGCACTTAAGATGTGGCCTTTGTGGAGCCTCTACTGAATGCCCTGGTCTTTCCATTCAGGCTAGCTGGAGCCCAAATGTCTCCCAGCTCTACATGAGCTCCAGTGGTTTGTGTTTGTAGTTCCATGACAGTTATCTTTTCTTGATAGTTGTTCTGTACCCTACACAAGTTCAGGTTACTATTCAGACAAAGACTCAGGGAAAACTCTGAGTAGATTCTGAAGCTCCTTCTCTGCTTGGCCCTTCCTCTCTAGTACCCTGCCCCAAAAATTTCAACTGTGCATTTCCTGTGCAAGTACCTTTATTCTCAGTCTTTCTGAACTTTGATCTCTATCACCTCATCTCAGTGAGACTCCAAGTTCTGCTTAGGCTGCCTCTTCAGGGGCCTTGGTCCAGAAGCACTATCCAGGCAGAAAGCCAAGGCATCCAGGGCCCACCACATTAGTTTTTTCCTGCCATGGATTATATTCCTATGCTGCCTTTTGTTTAATGTCTAAAAACCATTTCTTTTTCAGTTTCTCTAGCTCTTTATGTCCGGAGGACTAGTTCAGTACCAGTTACTACATTTTAGCCAGAACCAGAAGCCCACTGGAGATCTTAGGAAAAGAATTTTGAGTGGATTTAGGCATAAATGAAAGAAAGTAATGAGCCAGCACATATAAGCAACTCTTCAACAAAGGGACAGAGGTAGACTGAACAGTGACTTGTGCAGAGATCTTCATCCAAATTATTGCTATTTTGTTATTTATGACTTAATCTCAATAGTATTTCTTAATGTTTGACTCTATGTGGCTAATAACTGTGTCTACTTTGGTTAGTCTTGTATCTTCAGTTAACACAATTCCCATAACACTGGCCCATAACTGGGACTTAAAAATACTTAAAAAAATACTTGCTGAATAAATAAATAAATAACAAATAAATGAATGAATGACTGGAAGAACCAGTCTCCATTTTCCAAATGCTTAAAAGTGTAATGTTATGTGAATATAACACTTGTATGTCATATTACCTGGAAATTTTATTTCTTTATCAAGCCTCCTTTAAAAACAATTTACTTTGTTTTCTAGTGGAATGTGTCCTACTTGAATCTAGAACATGACCCTTTTGCGAAATTGGTTGTCATTTTGTGAACTTTGAGGAATGCCAACCAGGAAGGAACAGTTTGCATTATGAGAAATTTGAGTAGGTACACCAATCAGATGACAGCCATACTTCAGAAACACATCTTAAAATAAATGAATAGCTCTACCTGGCCAAACATAACCTCAACAAATGACTGTTCCAGGCATCTTAACAACATACATGAGAAAAAATGAATTCAGACTTAGCATACAAAATAACTAAAATGTTTTTACCTGCAAGACATATTTTGTAAGTGAAGGCAAGTAGCTTTTGCCTTTACTGGCTGATACCAGATTACTAATTAATCACGTGAGATATTGCTAGATCAGACTTCTAACGAGTGACTTTCAGAGTCTGACGATGAAAAAGTTAAAATCTTTAGTGATGCTTTCTGCACGTATTGTCTTCTTCTCAAGAGACAATTGAGGATTTATAGGTTCTGTTAGAATGAGAAGTTTTCTCAATTCAACATATTGTGATACTTATTCTCCCTAATTTTGTGATGCCATATTCCTCCTCTACACTAGCAAAATAAGAGGAAACTAAAGCAAAATAGCTGGAGAAAAACAGACAATCTCATACATTGATAGAAATACAAAATGACCTTATCTTATAAAAAGGGAATTTGGAAATGTGTAACAGGATGACTTAAGCATTTATCTTTGACCCAGCAATCTCATTTCCAGAGATCTATCCTAAAAGTACATGGCAAAAATATGAAAAATAGAGGTGTGCAACTATATTCCTTGCAGCATTATGACTAATAGAAAGGGTGCAAGAACAATGTTTTCCAATATTTCAATAAACTATGCTATGTCCTCACAACAGAGTACTATAGAGCTGTACAAATAAAAGATGAATACTTCTAGAAGCTTCAATGTGTAGAATATTTAACTAAGAAGAGTATGTGTGTATATATACATATATATCTACAGAAAACATGTTTTATTTTAATAACTTAAAAAATTTGTACCTACAGAGGGTTAAATACATACAAGAGAAAGGAATAGAAGCAAGTCTTCCCTGAGTATACATTGTTTTGTACATTTGACAAATAACTCATGTAAATGCTTAACATTATATTAAATAAAATTAAAATTACAAAGGCCATTCTTAAAATCAAAAGCAAATAAAAAATAATGAACCTGTTTATCAGGTTAGTAGCATATTCACAAAAAGACAAAAATTTCAAGTAACTTTAAAGAATATTGATTTACTATACCCCCTATTGGGTTAGATACTAAAGACCTGAAGAACAATCTTCAACTCTTTTCAATAATCACATTATTTGTGACAGAAGTGATATAACTATTCTGAGAATATGTCATTATTTTCTGTATGTAATGAGTAATTATCGTGAGATAAATCAAATGAACTATTATCATTGAGGATTGGCGTTTTCACCATGAAAGGAATGAGATACGGATGTAAGGTTGATGAGATGAATAATAACCTGTAGTCTTAAATTGTATTTAAAATTAGTAATCAATATGAATTCACATTGTATATCATCTTTATGAATACATTGTGTGTGGGCATGTGCGTGTGTGTTTCTTAGCTTTGTCCTCTAGAAAAGTCTAGAAACAGTGACTAACTCGGTAGCAATTAGCACCTCTAGCACAAAGATCATGGTCTCTAAATATGATTTCCCACTGCAAGGAACCAGAATTCCTTGGTGAAATAATTGCTTTCAGCTTGAGAAAGAAAATGTTAAAGATGAGTCTGAAATGTCTGTTCTTCCCAGACAGTAAGAAGCTAACAAAGTCTATTGAAATCGTGAGCAAATAATTCAACAGCCACATTCAAGAGTTTTTCATTAGCCAATGGAGGGCAAATTTGGCCACAAATAAGATTAACAAATGAAATAAATTACATTAAGCATGTAAATTCATGTGTTTATAATAATACTGTAATAGTCTGTTCTCATGCTCCTAATAAAGACATACCCAAGATGAGGTTATTTATAAAGAAGAGAGGTTTAATGGACTCACAGTTGCACATGGCTGAGAAGGCCTCACAATCATGGCAGAAGGCAAAGGAGAAGCAAAGGCACGTCTTACCTGGTGGCAGGCAAGAGGGCATGTGCAGGGGAACTCCCCTTTATAAAACCATCAGATGTCATGAGACTTACTATCACTAGAAGAGCATGGGAAAAACTTGCCCCCAAGATTCAATTAACTCCCACAAGGTCACTCCCACAATGTGTGGGGATTATTATAATTCAAGATAAGATTTGGTTGGTGACACAGAGCCAAACCATATCAAATACTTAAGTCAAATTTCAGTGATCATCTTCAGAGAGTGAAAGGAAAACAATTTATTGTTTTGAAAACTAGTGGATAAGAGGATATAACCAAGAACTTACATTGCTTTTCCTATAATAATTCTACCTCAAAGTAAACATATAATATACAATGGAAAGGCATTGTTTGTAGATACACTACAGACAATAAATTTAAAAGAAATGATCACATTAAGACATCACCATTTTGTAACTCTCTTTTTTTTATGTATTTAGTCAGATTAGTCATCTACCTTTACAAAGAAAAGAGATGGCTAGACAATGTACACCTCCTAATAACAAATATAATTCTGCCTACAAGTATTTTTGAATACAGAGTAAAATACAGTAAATAAAACCCAAATCCTACTAAAAGTTTAGGTTTACTAGTTTATAAGAAATTCAGGTTTCAAAGGAATTACACAACACAATCTGGACTGTAAAAATTTCTTTAGGACAAACAACCTGTTTCTTCGACCAATAAAATGCAAGGAAAAAGCCAACAAGTTCTATATCTTAAAAGAGGTTTAGGCCAGGCACGGTGGCTCATGCCTGTAATCACAGCACTTTGGGAGGCAGAGGCAGGTGGATCACAAGTTCAGGAGATCGAGACCATCCTGGCTAACATGGTGAAAACTCATCTCTACTAAAAATACAAAAAATTAGCCAGGTGTGGTGGCAGGCACCTGTAGTCCCAGCTACTTGGGAGGCTGAGGCAGGAGAATGGTGTGAACCCGGGAGGTGGAGCTTGCAGTGAGCCAAGATCGCGCCACTGCACTCCAGCCTGGGCAACAGAGCGAGACTCCATCTCAAAAAAAAAAAAAAAAAAGAGGTTTAAAAGATAAATCAATCAACTGCAAGGTATAGATCTCTTTGGGACTTCTGAGTCAGGCAAATTGTAAAAGAAGAAAAGAGAATCAGGAAAATTAGAACACTTAGTAGATATGTAATAGTATTAAGGGGCTGGGCTTAGTGGTTCATGCCTGTAATCGCAGCATTTTGGGAGGCCAAGGCAGGCGGATCACTTGAGGTCAGGAGTTCAAAACCAGCCTGAGCAACATAGTGAAACCCCATTTCTACCAAAAATACAAAAATTAGCCAACCGTGTGGTGCACACCTATAATCCTATCTACTTGGGAGGCTGAGACAGGAGAATCACTTGAACCTGGGAAGCAGAGGTTGCAGTGAGCCAAGAGTGCCCCCACTGCACTCTAACTTGGGCAACAAAGCAAGACTTCAACTTTAAAAAAAAATAGTATTAAGTAATAATTTTTTTTTTTTTTTTGAGACAGAGTCTTGCACTGTCGCCCAGACTGTCATGCAGTGGCAAGATCTCAGCTCACTGCAACCTCTGCCTTCCTGGTCCAAGCGATTCTCTTGCCTCAGCCTCCCTAGTAACGGGAATTACAGGCACCCACCACCACACCTGGCTAATTTTTTGTATTTTTAGTAGAGTGGGGTATCATTATGTTGGCCAGGCTGGTCTCAAATGCCTGACCTCATGATCCACCTGCCTTGGCCTCCCAAAGTGCTGGGATTACAGGCATGAGCCACTGTGCCCTGCCTAAGGAATAATTTTTAATTTTTAAGTATGATAATCATATGGAAATTAACCTTTTGAAAGAGGTCTAAACTTTCAGAGATGTATATTGAAATATTTATGGAGGAAATGATATGATGTCTGGGATTTGCTTCAAAATATTTGGTGAGGGACAGGGTGCAAGATAGGATTATAGAGGACGCAAGACTTGAACTTTCACCCTATTTGGTTGTACTTTCTGAAGTTCTATGGACTAGATAGTCACACAGGGGTTAAGCTGTGTGTTGTGGCTCATGCCTGTAATCCCAGATAAAGGAACAGAAAGGCCTATATGGAAACATTTGAACACCTAGTCAGGCTAATAATTTAGTTCCTCAGAATAAATATATTTGTGAAATGTATATTAAGAGAAGCTAAGCACTGAACAGGGAAGAACAGAATGGAGGAATTAAAAGACCACCGAGTCAGTGCTTTGATCACCTTATTGTCCTAAACCCTTGATATCCCCACACTCATATGCCCACTCAGCTGAATAAAGCCCATGAAGTTACCAGAATATTTAACTATTATATATTATTTCCCAAGCGTTCCCCTTGAAGGAATCACTCCCAGAACCAACCAAGGGGCTTATCAAGATATAATTCCCAATCATGTACACTAAGTCATCTTTCAAAGATAACTTGTGGAGAATACAATTTCTTCATCTAATCCAGGGGGCTTTGGCATTTCTCACCAACTCCCCTCACTGGCAACTGCCTCCCTTCACATGGCTTCAGAGAATTTTCCTGCTAACAGAGATTGCTCAGGAAATAGCTATAAACACCTATTATCTCCCTTCCCAGAGCTTTCTTTAACAATAAGACCCTTCCCTTGGCCATCATTTCCATCATTATTTTGACTTCTCCCTTGTCCCTTAAGTCCAATTAGCTGATTGGAAACCTTCCCACATAATCTGCCATTCTTGCTTCCTTTCCATTCCCAATGCCACTGGATTTGGCTGGACCCCATAGTGAGCGAGGAAGTAAAAAGAGAATAGCTAGGCAGATAGCTAGGTCAAAATTCCTCAGTAGAACTTCCTTTCTCACAAAAAGCAGCCCAAGAAAACACGTGTCTCCTAACAAAGAGCAGCCTGGAAGATTGTGCTGCAAACATAGATAAGGAAGCTGGAAGCTTGCAGCTGGGAGCTGCCGCACTAGAAAGGGGTACCTGGGGCCAGTCATGTGCACCATGAGGGCTCCGCCTCCCACTTTTTTTTTTCTTTTTCTTTTTTTTGCACCTGCACAGTAGGAAAGCAACATGGAGTAGCTCAGGCAAAGGACCCGCCTCCATAATAAAAGGCTGGGATGGGGGCTGCCAGAGATTCGCACTCTATGCTGATGGTACACCTGGTCTTAACTGTTTTTTCACACCCTATGTAGGTAAAATACTGCCTCCCCACTAGGTCACTTATAAAAACTGTCAGGCCTCTGAGCCCAAGCCAAGCCATCGCATCCCCTGTGACTTGCACGTATACGCCCAGATGGCCTGAAGTAACTGAAGAATCACAAAAGAACTGAAAAGGCCCTGCCCCGCCTTAACTGATGACATTCCACCATGGTGATTTGTTCTTGCCCCACCTTAACTGAGTGATTAACCCTGTGAATTTCCTTCTCCTGGCTCAGCAGCTCCCCCACTGAGCACCTTGTGACCCCCGCCCCTGCCCACCAGAGAACAACCCCCTTTGACTGTAATTTTCCATTACCTTCCCAAATCCTATAAAACGGCCCCACCCCATCTCCCTTCGCTGACTCTCTTTTCGGACTCAGCCCGCCTGCCCCCAGGTGAAATAAACAGCCATGTTGCTCACACAAAGCCTGTTTGGTGTCTCTTCACATGGACTCGAGTGAACTTTGATGCCGTGGCTCGGATCGGGGGACCTCCCTTAGGAGATCAATCCCCCGTCCTCCTGCTCTTTGCTCCATGAGAAAGATCCACCTACGACCTTAGGTCCTCAGACCAACCAGCCCAAGAAACATCTCACCAATTTTAAATCCAGTAAGCCGCCTCTTTTTACTCTCTTCTCCAACCTCCCTCACTATCCCTCAACCTCTTTCTCCTTTCAATCTTGGCGCCACACTTCAATCTCTCCCTTCTCTTAGTTTCAATTCCTTTCATTTTCTGGTAGAGACAAAGGAGACACGTTTTATCTGTGGACCCAAAACTCCAGCGCTGGTCACGGACTGGGAAGGCAGCCTTCCCTTGCTGTTTAATCATTGCAGGGACACCTCTCTGATTATTCACCCACGTTTCAAGGGTGTCAGACCATGCAGGGATGCCTGCCTTGGTCCTTCACCCTTAGCGGCAAGTCCCGCTTTTCTGGGGAAGGGGAAAGTACCCCAACCCCTTCTCTCTGTGTCTCTACCCGTTCTCTGCTTTTCTGGGGAAGGGGCAAGTACCCCAACCCCTTCTCTCTGTGTCTCTACCCCTTCCCTGCTTTTCTGGGGAAGGGGCAAGTACCCCAACCCCTTCTCTTCTTGTCTCTACCCCTTCTCTGATTTTCTGGGGCAGGGGCAAGAACCCCTCAACCCCTTCTCCTTCACCCTTAGTGGCAAGTCCCACTTTTCTGGGGGAGGGGAAAGTACCCCTCAACCCCTTCTCCTTCACCCTTAGTGGCAAGTCCCGCTTTTCTAGGGGGCAAGAACCCCCAATCCCTTATTTCCACACCCCGACCTCTTATTTCTGTGACCCAATCCCTTATTTCCACACCCCAACCTCTTATCTCTGTGCCCCAATCCCTTATTTCCATGCCCCAACCCCCCTTCCCACTTTTCTAGGGGGCAAGAACCCCCAATCCCTTATTTCCACACCCTGACCTCTTATCTCTGTGCCCCAATCCCTTATTTCTGTGCCCCAACCCTTTCTCTGCTTTTCTGGAGGGCAAGAAACCCCCACCCCTTCTCCGTGTCTCTACTCTTTTCTCTGGGCTTGCCTCCTTCACTATGGGCAAGCTTCCACCTTCCATTCCTCCTTCTTCTCCCTTAGCCTGTATTCTTAAGAACTTAAAACCTCTTCAACTCTCACCTGACCTAAAATCTAAGTGTCTCATTTTCTTCTGCAATGCCTCTTGACCCCAATACAAACTCTACAGTAGTTCCAAATAGCCGGAAAACGGCACTTTCAATTTTTCCATCCTACAAGATCTAAATAATTCTTGTCATAAAATGGGCAAATGGTCTGAGGTGCCTGACATCCAGGCATTCTTTTACACATCAGTCCCTTCCTAGTCTCTGTGCCCAGTGCAACTCATTCTGAATCTTCCTTCTTTCCCTCCCGCCTGTCCCCTCAGTCCCAACCCCAAGCGTCACTGAGTCTTTCTAATCTTCCTTTTCTACAGACCCATCTGACCTCTCCCCTCCTTGCCAGGCCAAGCTAGGTCCCAATTCTTCCTCAGCCTCCGCTCCTCCACCCTGTAATCTTTTTATCGCCTCCCCTCCTCACACCTGGTCTGGCTTACAGTTTCGTTCTGTGACTAGCCCTCCCCCACCTGCCCAGCAATTTACTCTTAAAAAGGTGGCTGGAGCCAAAGGCATAGTCAAGGTTAATGCTCCTTTTTCTTTATCCCAAATCAGAAGCGTTTAGGCTCTTTTTCATCAAATATAAAAACCCAGCCCAGTTCATGTCTCGTTCGGCAGCAACCCTGAGATGCTTTACAGCCCTAGACCCTAAAAGGTCAAAAGGCCATCTTATTCTCAATACACATTTTATTACCCAATCTGCTCCCGACATTAAATAAAACTCCAAAAATTAGAATCTGGCCCTCAAACCCCACAACAGGACTTAATTAACCTCACCTTCAAGGTGTACAATAATAAAAAAAAGGAAGTTGCAATTCCTTGCCTCCACTGTGAGACAAACCCCAGCCACATCTCCAGCACACAACAACTTCCAAATGCCTGAACCGCAGTGGCCAGACATTCCTCCAGAACCTCCTCCCCCAGGAGCTTGCTGCAAGTGCCAGAAATCTGACCACCAGGGCAAGGAATGCCTGCAGCCCAGGGATTCCTCCTAAGCCATGTCCCATCTGTGCGGGACCCCACTGGAAATCGGACTGTTCAACTCACCTGGCAGCCACTCCCAGCGCCCCTGGAACTCTGGCCCAAGGCTCTCTGACTGACTCCTTCTTGGCTTAGTGGCTGAAGACTGACGCTGCCTGATCGCCTCAGAAGCCCTGTAGACCACCATGGACACCGAGCTTTAGGTAACTCTCACAGTGGAGGGTAAGTCTGTCCCCTTCTTAATCAATATGGAGGCTACCCACTCCACATTACCTTCTTTTCAAGGGCCTGTTTCCCTTGCCTCCATAACTGTTGTGGGTATTGACAGCCAGGCTTCTAAACCTCTTAAAACTCCCCAACTCTGGTGCCAACTTGAACAACACTCTTTTATGCACTCTTTTTTAGTTATCTCCACCTGCCCAGTTCCCTTATCAGGCCGAGATATTTTAACCAAATTATCTGCTTCCCTGACTATTCCTGGACTACAGCTGCATCTCATTGCTGCCCTTCTTCCCAATCCAAAGCCTCCTTTGCGTCCTCCTCTTGTATTCCCCCACCTTAACCCACAAGTATAAGATACCTCTACTCCCTCCTTGGCGACCGATCATGCACCCCTTACCATCTCATTAAAACCTAATCACGCTTACCCGACTCAATGCCAATATCCCATCCCACAGCATGCTTTGAAAGGATTAAAGCCTGTTATCACTCACCTGCTACAGCATGGCCTTTTAAAGCCTATAAACTCTCCTTACAATTCCCCCGTTTTACCTGTCCTAAAACCAGACAAGGCTTACAACTTAGTTCAGAATCTGTGCCTTATCAACCAAATTGTTTTGCCTATCCACCCCGTGGTGCCAAACCCATATACTCTCCTATCCTCAATACCTCCCTCTACTACCCATTATTCTGTTCTGGATCTCAAACATGCTTTCTTTACTATTCCTTTGCACTCTTCATCTCAGCCTCTCTTTGCCTTCACTTAGACTGACCCTGACACCCATTAGGCTCAGCAGCTTACCTGGGCTGTGCTGCCGCAAGGTTCCAGGGACAGCCCTCATTACTTCAGCCAAGCTCTTTCTCATGATCTACTTTCTTTCCACCCCTCCACTTCTCACCTTATTCAATATATTGATGACCTTCTTCTTTGTAGCCCCTCCTTTGAATCTTCTCAACAAGACATACTTCTGCTCCTTCAGCATTTATTCTCCAAAGGATATCGGGTATCCCCCTCCAAAGCTCAAATTTCTTCTCCATCCGTTACCTACCTCGGCATAATTCTTCACAAAAACACAGGTGCTCTCCCTGCTGATGGTGTCTGATTAATCTCCCAAACCTCAATCCCTTACAAAACAACAACTCCTTTCCTTCCTAGGCATGGTTAGTGCGGTCAGAATTCTTACACAAGAGCCAGGACCCCACCCTGTAGCCTTTCTGTCCAAACAACTTGACCTTACTGTTTTAGCCTAGCCCTCATGTCTGCATGCAGCAGCTGCCGCTGCTTTAATAATTTTAGAGGCCCTAAAAATCACAAACTATGTTCAACTCACTCTCTACATTTCTCATAACTTCCAAAATCTATTTTCTTCCTCATACCTGACGCATATACTTTCTGCTCCCCGGCTCCTTCAGCTGTACTCATTCTTTGTTAAGTCCCACAATTACCATTGTTCCTGGCCCAGACTTCAATCTGGCCTCCCACATTATTCCTGATACCACACCTGATCCCCATGACTGCATCTCTCTGATCCACCTGACATTCACCCCATTTCCCCATATTACAAGCCACTAGCCCATCTCTTAGAACCTCTCATTTCCTTTCCATTGTAGAAATCTATCCTCAAGGAAATAACTTCTCAGTGTTCCATCTGCTATTCTATCTGCTATTCTGCTACTCCTCAAGGATCATTCAGGCCCCTCCCTTCCCTACACATCAAGCTCGAGGATTTGCCCCCGCCCAGGACTGGCAAATTAGCTTTACTCCACATGCCCCGAGTCACAAAAACTAAAATACCTCTTAGTCTAAGTAGACATTTTCACTAGATAGGTAGAGGCCTTTCCTACAGGGTCTGAGAAGGCCACCGCAGTCATTTCTTCCCTTCTGTCAGACATAATTCCTCAGTTTAGCCTTCCCACCTCTATACAGTCTGATAACAGACCAGGCTTTATTAGTCAAATTAGCCAAGCAGTTTTTCAGTTTATATCCCTTATAGTCCTCTGTCTTCAAGAAAAGTAGAACGGACTAAAGGTCTTTTAAAAACACACCTCACCAAGCTCAGCCACCAACTTAAAAAGAACTGGACAATACTTTTACCACTTTCCCTTCTCAGAAGTCAGACCTGTCCTCAGAATGCTACAAGGTACAGTCCATTTAAGCTCCTTTTTATTAGGCCCCAGTCTCATCCCAGACACCAGACCAACTTAGACTGTGCCCCCAAAAAAACTTGTCATCCCTACTATTTTCCGTCTAGTCATACTCCTATTCTCCGTTCTCAACTACTCATACATGCCCTGCTCTTGTTTACACTGCCAGTTTACACTGTTTCTCCAAGCCATCATGGCTGATATCTCCTCATGCTATCCCCAAACTGCCACTCTTAACTCTTGAAGTAAATAAATAATCTTCGCTGGAAGGACTATGCTGAACCTCCTTAGGCATTCTCTAATTAGATGTCCTAGATCCTCCCAATTCTTAGTCCTTTTATACCTGTTTTTCTCCTTCTCTTATTCCATTTAGTTTTTCAGTTCATACAAAACCGTATCCAGGCCATCACCAATCTTTCTGTATGACAAATGTTTCTTCTAACAACCCCCTCAATGTCACCCCTTACCACAAGACCTCCCTTCAGCTTAATCTCTCCCACTCTAGGTTCCCACGCCGCCCCTAATCCCGCTTGAAGCAGCCCTGAGAAACATCGCCCATTCTCTCTCCATACCACCCCCCAAAAATTTTCACCGCCCCAACACTTCAACACAATTTTGTTTTATTTTTCTTATTAATATAAGAAGGCAGGAATGTCAGGCCTCTGAGCCCAAGCCAAGCCATCGCATCCCCTGTGACTTGCACGTATACGCCCAGATGGCCTGAAGTAACTGAAGAATCACAAAAGAACTGAAAAGGCCCTGCCCCGCCTTAACTGATGACATTCCACCATGGTGATTTGTTCTTGCCCCACCTTAACTGAGTGATTAACCCTGTGAATTTCCTTCTCCTGGCTCAGAAGCTCCCCCACTGAGCACCTTGTGACCCCCGCCCCTGCCCACCAGAGAACAACCCCCTTTGACTGTAATTTTCCATTACCTTCCCAAATCCTATAAAACGGCCCCACCCCTATCTCCCTTCGCTGACTCTCTTTTCGGACTCAGCCCGCCTGCCCCCAGGTGAAATAAACAGCCATGTTGCTCACACAAAGCCTGTTTGGTGTCTCTTCACACGGACGCGCATGAAAAAAACCCTTTCATTTTACTGTGGGACGGCAACCCTTTCTGGGACCCCTCTCTGCAGCAGAGAACTGTTCTCTTTCTTTCACCTGTTAAACTTCTGCTTCTGCTCTGACCTCGTCCTTGGTGTGTCTGCATCGTCGATTTCCTCAGCTGTGAGACCAACGACTTGGGCACCCACCCAGGCAACAAGGCCTTTTCAGTAAGGGAAGTGGTAAAATGTTTTCAATCCCTGTTGCCAAAAATCGGCCTAAGGCTTCCCAAAAAAAGTAACCCAAAGCAGACATGGCAAATATTTGCTACATTTGATAATAAGCCAATAAATTATCTGCTAATAAGTGACTGAAATATTTAGCACACATCTGCCTTATTCTGATGACTGATCACATTTCTAGCTCCCCTGTGGACTAAAACAATATGCTTTCCTTCTCTACACAAGCAATGCTTTCTGCAGAGACACAAACTTTACATCTGAATACAAATGCAGCACGTTTTAATTCTGCCTCTCATTCTCCAGCAAAATCATGGGGAAGAAGGAAAACATCCTTAGTCAAAAGGGGTACAGGGACTTAGAACCTCACCATGCTGCAGTCACACAGGCAATAGAGAAAGATGGCGGTGGTTCCCTGGGGCAGTTCCCCTCTCAAGCAAGGAGACAGGGGCAGCACTCCTACCATCTCCCCAGGGATATAGGAGTTAAGAAGGAATTGCTTAGGCAGATAGCAAGGGCATGGGAGTCCTGGGTAAGGCTTTTCTTTTTAATGAAAAGCAGCCCCAAGTCATTTTCTAACAAAGAGCAGCCTGCAAGCTGGGAGCTTGCATAGGTGAATGCCAGCAGGAACTAAGGACTAGACATTTTCAAACTGGTGGCTCCATCTTCCCTTCCCTGCCAGCCAAGTGTATTGTAAGGAGCAGAGAAGATGGCTCTGATCAACTGGAAAGCCTATTTGCATAATTAGATTAGGGTGGGGCAACCAGCCTTCCCCCGCACACTATGTAGACGTCATACCTGATGGAACCAGTCTGTGAGCCCTATGTAAATCAGACACCGCCTTCTCCAACTTATTATATCTGTTTTGGTCCACTGCCTCCCCACTTTTCAGATGTCTCTCTCTCTCTCTCTCTCTAAGAGCTGCTCTCCTCTCTCCTTTCTTCTATCTATTAAATTTTCCACTCCCTAACCCACCCACATGTGATTGTGTCCTGAATTCTTGGTGTGTGACGATGAACCCCAGGGTGTATACCCCAGACAGCACAGCCACTTCACCAGCAGGGACAGCAGCTGTCACATGAACTGGAGATGAACTGGAGGTGAGTCTGATGTCTCGGAATTTTGAGGAAAGTGGGTAGAAAGTTGCCAAGCAAGCTGAAGAGACAAGCAAAAGGGATCATATTCCAGAAGAATTCTTAGCAAGACCACAGTCAGAACTTCAATCAAGGTGATTGATTGGTCTGAAAGGGGGAATAGAATGTAAATAAAATACAACCATGAGAAACCACATGTATGTTGTTGAACCTTATCTAGACACTAACTGTGAAAAAGCCAGCTTGGATTATTGATGAACGACATTCAGAAAACCACAATTTTGCCATGCTTATTTAGAGAACAGAGACAGTGGTATTATCAGCCTATAGCTCAATTGTAAAATTGGGATGACTAGATGTCCCGAGACTATTCTGTTCCTCGGCCCTCTCGACACTCACCTAAGAAGCTTCCAAATTTACCACTTCTCAGTCATTGTAAGGATGCTGCATGTCATAAGGATGATTATGGAAGATTATGGGCATGTTCTACATAGAGAACAAGAAAAGTCACAATATTTTCTTTTATAAATTTATATTTTGGAATTTATATTAGTTCCCCTAACTCTAAATAACCATGGGAATATTGACAAATTTGATTTTCCAGAACTTTAAAGCTGAGGCTAGACACTAACCACAGTGACTTTATCTATGTAGTAGCACACTCTACCAGCTGGGATGTCTGGATAACAAGTTCCCCAGATTGCAGCCTCCCTCCAGCACCAAGTAGGATTACGAGTCTGTTTGGTTTCATTTTAGCTATGTAGATTTGTCAAATTTTGTCACCTCTGGACTTCAGTTTTCTCATATGTAAAATGATGCATTGGCCTGAATGTTTTCGGAGAACCTTCAATCTCTGTGAGTCTCTTCACTGAAAAAATTGTTGACTTTCTTTTTTTTATTGTTCTGTTTTTCTTTTCTATGTCAAAAAAGCACTATGGTAAAAGTCTTTCAGTAAAACTTGAACCTTGGGGCTTGTTCCTGAGTTTGACATGTTAAACAAATGAAAGAACTGTTTTCAACTGATTAGTCATATCCTTCAATTCCTACGGGAATATGGGTTCGTTGTGCATGAGAAAGTCAGCCAACTTTGGCATGAAGATGTCTTTCAGGTAGGTAGGCCACCTGTGATGAAGTGAATCATTGAAGAAAGTCTATTTTCTTGTGGCATAAATACAAGCCTGAAGATTACACATAAGCTGTCATACACGTACCTCCTAAATGCAATTCCTCAGAAGTGACATGCTATCATCATTCACATTAATGTCTATTTGTGCAACTACATTGTTTAAAATAATCAACCAATTCATCACAATAGATATTTGGGAGGAGTGAGGGAGCTTTCTCTGTACTAATGAAAGAAATGACATTTCTGTTTACCATTTGTCAGTTTTAAGTAGTTAATAAATATCTGAAATGATTTTCATATTTTGATATGGTATTCACTTGTAAGGATATGCAATTTTTAAGAGTTATGGTGAGAATGTTTCTTCCATAACATTCAGCTTTGAAAAGTTTTAGGAAACTATTCATTATGTCTCAAAAGTTAAATGCACGACAAATGAAATGCCTCTTATTGGTTGCAATTTTCTAAAAGTAAGTAATGCCTATTACTTTGATATTTAACTCAAATATATTAACAATAATTGAAAGCTTTTGAGTGCTACAGGTTGATAATAAACCTGAAAGTATAGAATAATCATCTGTATTTTAAAATTTTTATTCTTAAGGCCAACAAAACAAAGTAAGAATTATGTCAGTGTTTCTAACTGTCCTACCCAGATCTAGCTCCTGACTGATAATTGTCAACAGAGTCAAACACGCCTTCCTAAGGCCAGCTCCACTTCTCCAAAGCAAGCTCCTCTCACTTTGCCACCCAGAAGCCACACTGGAACCTGGAATCTAAAGAATGTGTTTGCATTATCAAAGAACTCTCCCTCTCCTAAAGGGTCCACCCTGGGATTCCATTCTAGTGACTTGACAAAATGCTTCTAATTACTCCTTAGTTAGTTCCCATAATCCGCTTAAGGACTTGTTTACTTGTTGACAGGCAGGGTAGGAATTCAGCCTTGACAGTCTGTGTCAGTGCAACATCATAAATAAGATAAACATTATCTGAAGTGATCACAATGTTCTTGAACATCTGTGCAACATCATAAATAAGATAAACATTATCTGAAGTGATCACAATGTTCTTGAACATCTGAGCCGGACAGAATCAAGCCTGCGTCATCTTCCTTCTGATTTTCCAAATGAGCACACAGGAGAGGCCACTCTAAAGTCACCCTGGGAATGTGTCTGCCTCCAGCCCCATTCACGGCCCCTGGCACTGGCTTGTCATGAGATGGTGTTCAATGAATGCTTGTGGAATTGAATGAACACAATGTGGATTTACACCCTTTCCTGTCAAATAGCTAGTTCTAAAAAATACAGACCTGCACTTCAGCCATGCAATGCCTTTTAAGATGTTTCATACTCTGATGCAGAGGAAGATGTCTCTTGCCATTACAGAACCACACCGAGAAAGATCAAACAAAATCACACCAAGAAAATTCATGTGCAGATCATCTCATTTGCAATTATTGCAGCATGCACCAAGTCCAACACATTTCACCCACACTTTATCAGCAAAAAAGAAAACACCTGAGGGTCAGCGTCTTCTCCAGGTCCTGGCACAGGACTACCTGAACCACGGAGATGTTCAGTGGGTTGTGTAAATGACATTCCTTTCATGGAGACGAATGGGCACATGGCGTCTAAAAGCCATTCTGTAAGACATATTCCAAAAATAATTGTTTTAGTACCTTTTCAGACTGTGCATTTAAAAAAAAAAAAAGCCCTTAGCCTCTAGGTCACATGTACCAAACAGTAGTTCATTACGATGCAATACGGCCCCGCCACACTTACTAATTTTATACCAAGAGGATGAAATGATGTTGTCTAGGGAACAGGATAAGAGGAAAGGGGTTTAGGAACTCAGAATTTTATTCTGGCTCTGATGCTAATTTTCCTGTGACCTCAGCCAAGTCCTATAAATTGTTACTATCTGCAAAGTGAAGATAATGGACAAGTCTCACAGGATAGTTGTGGAGATTAATTAGGCAGCTCATTTGAGATTCAAAGTGCTGTGAGCCCACAAGAAAAGTCCTGGGGAAGAACAAAGGCGGGGCCCACGCTTCGTTTCAGCAGGCCGGGGACCACACCAAAGGCACTTCAGGGATGCATTTGGTGGCACCCCGGTATTTGTTAATTTACTGGTATTAGGAAGTCATTATGGTTACCAGGGGTTAATGGAAAGATTGAACTTGCTAAAATGGGCCATAGAGGCGTAAATCGAGGGCTCCTTTGTTCAAAGGAGGATTGGGCCCTTCAGCATTAAGCCTAGCTGCAGTGTGCTTCCTGGCCTTGCAGATATCTTTCAGAAATCCAAAGCAGGCTGTTGGTAGCATGAACATTTTATTTTTCAGTGAAAAATGAAATCTTTTACTTCTCAATATGTCCAAGAGAAAAATTATTTCAGAGAAAAAAAAGAGAACAAGTTAATTAGTATGCCTTTAGTGATCCTCTGATGGAAGAGTTCCATCCCTGCATCCCTTACACCTGCAGCTAGGGGGTGAATGCTCACATGCGTGCACACACACACACACACGCACACACACACACCGAGCTGAATGAGAAGTCTAGGAAGAAGCCAGCGTAACACTCAGGGAAGGAGCCCAGAGGAGTCTCCAGCTTGCACAGAAGGAACTCATGTGAAGTGCACAGCATATAGAATGAAATAGATCCCAGAGTTTTCAAAGCGAGGCTCAGCTTTGCAAGAGAAGCTCAAATGAATACAAACCAGTCAGGGAAGTTATAGAAGGAAGTGAGATGTTTGACTTTTTATGAAAGGTGTCTTTTGAGGGCAAATTTTGTGAGAGTTGTAAGAGGGAGGGAGGAGTATGGATAAAGATCAAAAGTACTACATTCCCTAGGCCTGTTTCCATGTCCCTCTCTTGGTGGAGGCCAGAGTGTGCATTTCAGTAGGTGCACTAAAATCCTGACATCTCTAACCAGCCCCGGTCGTCCTATTTGAATATGGCTCTATATAGATGACAGGCATGAAAAGCCACACGTATTGCAACAGCCATTCAGTCCTTGAAAGAGCACTGCAATTCTACCTTGCCAGGAGAATCTACTTTGTAAAGAAGAAAGGAAAGAGGGAGAAAGATAAGAGCAAGCCGTAAATAAAGCAGGACTAAGAAATGAAGCAGGAAGATGCCGCTTGAAGGACAATACAAGATGAGTAACAGGGACCAGAACACGCTACCCTAGAATATGACATGCTGGCATTTAAGGAGACAGCAGAAGCAGGAAGGTCTCTCTGACCTTCTTCCACCATTCTCCCCTGAAGCAGGCCATGAAAGAATTCTCTGGCCTTTCTCTAAAATAAGTCATAAGACTCTCATTACAGAAGACTGTTCCTTATATTGGGGGGAAAGGAATGAAGACAAAAAAACACCAAGACGAATCTGAACAAAGGCCTTGCTAAGTTCCCCTCATTTTATAACCATTAGGTCACACCCACTTTGTCCAATCATATTTCTGCATGACTGTCCAAGTCTTCATCAAACCTAAACATCCATAGATTTCCCTGTTTCCTTGGGTCTTCATTTCTGAAGGCTCCCATGTTACATAAAACTTACATTGAATACATGTATGTGCTTTCTTCTTGTGCATCTGTCTTCTGATATAGTGAGTCTCAGCCAGGCACCTCCATGGCTGAAAAGCGTAATCTTTTCTCCTCTAGGCCCCCTTTCTGCCCATTCCACTGGCTTGCACAAAGTATTGGAATACTTATTGAAGTGTCGAGTTCTAGTCACAGGGCAGTAGCTACCTTCTAGATGGGCATCCATTATTTCCACTTAATTCTCATGGCTTGAAGACACACAGTATGGTCTTGAAATGGATTAATGTCTGGAAAAGCCGACGGTGGGCCTGACACTATGCTCTGCACAACATGGATATTCTGTATCTAGACCTAAGTGCCCTCCAGAGAGAAAAGACTCATTTTTCAAGATTACTATCTCTGACATTAAGAACACTGAGCTGGGGTTTAAGGTTGCTTTCTCTCTGGTCTTGGAATTTCTGTGGCTTGGGCTGACAAACCCTGCCAGTTGTTAGGGGCAGGGTAAGGGGCAACCATTTTTCTTTAAAGTAAGGGGGGCCTTTCTCTTCCA
Source organism: Homo sapiens (assembly GCF_000001405.40). Lineage (NCBI taxonomy): Eukaryota > Metazoa > Chordata > Mammalia > Primates > Hominidae > Homo > Homo sapiens. Next base: position 109,277,630 of record NC_000013.11, read on the forward strand.
GCCTTGCAGGAGCCTTGGTTGTCTAAGGGGAGTAACCTGGGGAAAGATCCCAAGTGCAGGATTTATCATCACAAACACAATGGAAAGGGAAGCCAGCTCCCACACACCCAAGGCAGCACGAAGCCTGTTCTTCAGAAGGAACCCTGCCCTCTCTCGGCTCCAGTCTCTCCATGGGAAGCTCTGGGCTCCCCAGCAGTGTCCACTGGCTGGCCCTGTAACTGCAGCCCAGTCTTGTCTTCTCTAAAGAACAGCATCACTGTGTCATGCAAAATCCTCCAACACTTTGACTATGTCCTACCACAACAAACCTACAACATATGTACTTGGCTTTCCAGATTTCTCATAACATAGCTCTGCCCTGCCTATTCGTAAGCATTTCCCAATATTTCCCCAAACCCACTGGGGCCACTTGGGCTTGGCAGTGCATCGTCTTCCCCATGATCACGCCCTGATGCACCTGCCTGAATGTCGCCCAGCGAGTGGCTTGCATTTCCCAAGGGATCAGACCCGTCCTGTCTCCCTACTGAAATCCTTCCCCAAAGACCTTCACTGACATTGCCATGACCCAGGGAACTCCCTCAGCATGGAATTTCTTGGCCATTTGTATTTTTGACTCCAGGGCTTCATGTTAAGTCACTGTGTTTGCTCATCACCTTTTTTAAAGAAGACCCTGCCCATCACCCTTTCAACCTCCACCTTGCTTAATTTGTCTTCATAGCATTTATCATTAACTTAAATTAACTTACATAGTTATTTAGTAATTTTCTCATGATCCTAGTGATAGATATATCCCATGACGGCCTGTACTTTGTTTATATTGTAAACAAAATGTGTCCCCATTGTCTATATCTGCATGGAAAACAAGAACACAATTAACCACAAATGTTTGCATGGCACCTATGTTGGAGCACACCATTCTAAAAGCTTTCTTTATTTTATTAATTTAATCCCCACAATAATCTGATGAGGTGAGTATAATTCTTTCTTTCCTTTTTTTTTTTTTTTTTTTGAGACAAAGTCTCACTCTTGTCCCCCAGGCTGGAGTGCAGTGGCATGATCTTGGCTCACTGCAATCTCCCCCTCCCTGGTTGAAGTGATTTTCCTGCCTCAGCCTCCCAAGTAGCTGGGACTACAGGGGTGCACCACCACATCTGGCTAATTTTTTTGTATTTTTAGTAGAGACAGGGTTTCACCATGTTCGCCAGGCTAGTCTCAAACTCCTGACCTCAGGTGATCTGCCCACCTTGGCATCCCAGAGTGCTGGGATTATAGGCGTGAGCCACCACACCTGGCTGAAGTAAGTATAATTATTACCCCATTGACAGATGAGAGAACTGAATAACAGAGGGTGCGCATAAAACCCTTATGCACACTGCTAGTATGTGGCCGAGCCAAGACTCAAGTGCAAGAGAGTTGGGTCCAGAGCTCGAGAGTTTAGCTGATGGATGCTACATCATGCATACTCAATAATTACTTTGAATGGTCAGAATAGTAAAAATCATTTTCTATCAAATGTAGGTTCTTTATGGCATGGAAGCAGGCATGCACTTTCTAATCCCACCCCCATCTCAGATCTAAGCAGGTAACATGACCCTTAGTAAATTCAGTGCCCCAGGACTAGCCAATACCACAGACCCTGTATCTGTGCACATGACTACGTGCACACGACTAAGAAAACTCTTCACCAGCTCTTCAATCTCTGCTCCATACATCAAGGAACACTTGGGAATTGCTTTGCAGGAAGAACTTTAAAAACAAAAATGATGCCTGTTAATATGTAAGTCTCTTATCAAGAAGTGCTCAGGCACATGACCTGTAGAAGCCTGATGGTAACTTGGATTTAAAGGGGCCTGGGTCCCAATGCCATTATCTTGCCAAATGACCTTGAAAAAGCCTTTAGCCATGTGCACCTCAGTTTGGTCACCTGTACAATTATGATGACACTGGTATCTCCTTCCTAAAGTCTATGTGCCTCAAACACAGTAAGGACGAAGAGACATTAACTATCATCATTATTAAATATCATCCACGACTCACATCCTACTTGGATGGGAGGAAGGGAGAGTTCTGAACATGAGACAAGTGGCCATAATACAGACTTTCTAGGATTGTTTAACCCTAAGGTTGTATGAAGATTTTTATCTACAATATTAAATAATGCCATTTGTATGTTATTCCACAAATAGTTATTGAGTGGCTAGGATGAGAAGGGATGACCTACAGTGGTAGATCTTAATCCTAATTCCTCCTTTATCGTGATTTTGATACTACAGTGTTTTGAAACCCAGGGGAACACCATTGACATTCCTAGGAGTTAGGAAAAGGAGCCGTCAGTCACAGGGGCCAGAACTGAGGCATTCAGAAACAAAAGGCGGGCTGGGCGCAGTGGCTCACACCTGTAATCCCAACACTTTGGGAGGCTGAGGTGGGTGGATCACTTGAGGTCAGGCCAACATGGTGAAACCCCATCTCTACTTAAAAAAATAAAAATAGATGGGCATGGTGGCATACACCTATAATCCAGCTACTTGGGAGGCTGAGACAGGAGAATCACTTGAACCCGGGAGGTGGAGGTTGCAGTGAGCCGAGATCATGCCATTGCAGTCTAGCCTGGCTGACGGAGCAAGACTTCATCTCAAAATAAAATATATAAAAAAAGGGAAAGAAACAAAGGCAAGATGATAACAACTGAGGGCTATTGAAATCAGAAAGGGATTCCCCAAATTTAGGGCTATGGTGACAATGTATCCACAATCACGTCAGAAGGTAAGTGGTCCTAATCTTGCAAAGGACAGAATCTATAGAATAGATAATGAACAGTTTCAGAGTATCTTTCTTCTGAGGTGATGAGAGAACATGGGACAGGGTGTTGAAGGTATAACAACAGTAAGGGTCATGGCTTCATGCTAGCCAGGGCTGGAACCTAAAGAAGAAGAAGACCAAAGATTGGAGAAAAGAGCTGAGTTTAGGTATTGTCTGAATCACAGAGAAGAACAAAACTAACCTCTCCTTCCATAGTGATACTGGCATTAGGATTGCCAAATAAAATACAGGATGCTCAGTTCAGTTTGAATTTCAGATAAACAATGAATATTTTTTTCAGTATAAGTATATCCCAAATACTGCATGTGATTTACTTATACTAAAGTATTTCTTGTATATCTGAAATTCAAACTTAACTCGGCATCCTGTATTTGTATTTGCTAAATCTGGTATGACCACTCTATCCAAGATGTCTACCTGGAGTCTCTAAAAAGAAAAGCAAGAAATGGCAGATTATAAGGTGGCAGGTGTATTAGGGTTCTTTAGAGAAACAGAATAAACAGGGTGAATACACTGTGTGTGCATGCACGTGTGTGTGTGTAGCGAGAGAGAAAGACAGAGAGAGAGAGAGAAAAACAAAAAACAAGAGTGGGGGGAGAGAGAGAGAGAGATTTATTTGAAGGATTGGCTCATGCAATTATGGGGACTGTTAAGTCCAAAATTTTCAGAGTGTACCGGCAGGCTGAAGACCAGGGAATTGTTGACGTTGCAGCTCACAGTCAAAGGCAGTCAGCTGGCAGAATTCCCGCTTCTCATGGCATTCAGGCTTTTTCTATTCAGGCCTTCTACTGATTGGATGAGGCCCACCCACACCATACAGGGTATTCTGCTTTACTCAAAGTCTGCTGATTTAAATTTTAAAATTAAAATGTAATTTAATGGAACTTAAATTTTAAAAATACCTTCACAGAAACATCATTTGACCAACTATCTGGGTACTGTGGCCTAGCCAAGTTGACACATAAAAATAACTAACACATTAGGGAAGACAGCTGGCTTCCCTAATCTGGTGAATTTGAAGCAATTAACAACATATTCACGGGAATCTCATCACAGAAGGACGTGTTAAATCATAAAGCAAAACAGCAAACACATATACTGCAACAGCACAAGTGCTCTGGGCATATGCCTTGCTAACGGGAACCTTTTTTCTTTTTTGAACCGGTTGCCTAGAGATGCTTTGTTTTGCTTTGCTTTTTTTCCTTTTTTAAAACATTGATCCTTGGATGAAAGGAAGTGAAGGTTACTATTTGTTTTATCTCCTGCTCACAACAGAATGGCTGTGAGAGAAATAGTGAATTTGAAAGGGCTTAGCTTGCTGAAGCCAAGCAGAATTCGAAGTGTCTCTAGATCACTGTAGACAAAACAAGTCGTATGGCCAACGCTTACTCATTTGGCCACATAGGCACTTGCCTGGACTCCCAGTCTACGGCTAAATTTAGCAGAACAATTGTCAGCCAGCTTCCCTGTTTGAAGGTGAGAGCTCACGGGGACAGCAAGCTCCCAGCGGGTCTTCATTTACTGCTTCATGACAAGAGGTTCCATGCTGACAGCATCTGGGGAAACCTCGCTGGGCCTCGGAGGTCCTTCCTATGGGTGATATGCCACCCACCCTGGGTCGAGAGTCAGAGAAGCGCGGCCGGTCCCACTGCTGGCTTCGCCTGCCTGTTTCCCACAGCTTCCCTCTAGTCATCCACCTACACCTGCTGCCCAGTTCCCTAGAAACCTGCCTAGTGTAAAAGGAAGCAACTCTGGAGAACAGAATGAGAAATCAGAAAGCAAGGCCCTGTCCTCTGAGTTCTGTCCTGGATGGGGACTGAGGAAGGTAAGCCCAAGCAGGGGGTGCTTCTGCCACACCCAGGTTGTGTTTATTTGTCTCTTCTGTAGATTGAGAAAAACATCTCCCTTAGCCTCCAGAGGGAGAAAACAGGGCCATATTTCCCCGAGCCATATGAGGAAAGTGGGTGATTTTGAGCTCTAATTAGAGCTGGCTCTAAGAAAACACACCATGTGCGTGAGAGCTGCTTCTTCTCACATAACCCAATTGAGGAAATTTCCCCAATTAGATCTTGTTTCTTGTCTCTTTTAATCAGCAAGACTTTATACAATGATGCTCCTACTATACTCTCATCCAATTTGCAGATCCATATATAAATAACAATGAGCATAGTAGGAAGTGTTTTATTCTTATTTATTGAGTGCTCATCCACTTCCAGATACTGTCTTGAGGAATTCACACTTACTAACATACTTACTTCTGGAGGTAGGGACTACCATGGCATCTGGCTTCAAAGCTCACTCTGTTCCTCAAGGGAAATCATTTTTTGGACATTTCATAGTAATAACTATTGACATATTAAGTCTTATAAAGCTTTTAAAGGTGTTTTTACGAACTCACCTTCTTTCCTCTTTATTACTACTTCTGAGATAAGGTGGGCTTTTGTTTTTTTTTTCTTAACATCCTCATCACCTCCATTGGAAGAGTGAGGGAGATCAGACTGGGAGAGGTTGAGGGATTAGCCTGGCCTCTCCTGGGTGTGCAGGTGAGCTGTGTGACTGTACCAGATGCTCTGTCTGCAGAGGCACAGGTCCCCTTGCCTGCAGTCTTCCAATGTAGTATCAGAAATCCAGTTCCCATCTTAGTGTCAAAGTCTTCCCAAATGCAACCATAAGCCAAAAATAAATGTATACCTTCCCTCCATAAACCATTATTCCAAATTCTTCTGCTGTTGCCAGTGACAATCATCTGCCTTCTAGTCTTCCAAAGGAAGAATCAAAGAAGATGCTTCCAAAGGAGGCATCAAAACCTAATAATCATCACTGATAATCTCTCTCCTTCTTGTGCCCATGTCCAGTTGGTTGAACAAGTGCTAACCTAGCAGTACCACATCCAGCTATGATGGGGCAGGTGCAAAGATGGAGGAAGAAAGATGGCCCCAGAGATCACGGTTTTGTAAAGTCATGAAGGAGATAACTGGAACATGAATCATTATCAACTGAGATAGGAAATAAGAGGACACAAAAGAAGTAACATAAAACATTCTTACTAATGTGAGGGACCTCACAGGAGGGCATGTTTACTTCCAAGGGTAGCAGAGAAGAAACAGAGAAGGCATATAGCATCTGAGCTGAAACTGGAAGGACTCAGGACCTACAAAAATAGGGCAAGGCTGATGCTCAGAAGTCGTAGTGAAAAGACAAAGCAATGAATGTTGTATTTTGGTTGATTTTTAGGAGGGAATGAAACTGAAGAAACTAGGGCATAAAGCTAATTTTTTAAAAAACCATCCATTCTTCTTCTCTGTCTGCGCCATCGTCACTGGGTCCAGGCCTTTATCACCTAAAGCTTAAAATGATGCATAACCTCCCATCTGTGCAGAACCGTGTGGGTGACATTGATGCCATCCAGCGCTGGTGCACCCTCAGAAATATTCATAATTTATTGTTAGTCTATGTGGACTGTTCCCAGCACTTCATGTGCTCTCTTCCTTTGCTCTTGTTGCCTGGAAGAAATATTCTACTGAATTGAAAGCCACCGCTTTCCTGTGTGCTTCCATCTCAGGTCTTCTCACCTGCTCAGTCATCATAGAGTATGAGTGTCTGTTCTCTGTCTTGTGTAGTCAACATTTTCCTTACTCCTGGATTCTTTCTATCTTCATTTAAGTATCTCCAAGTCTCTCTCATTAAAAAACGTATCTTCCTTGGGCCCCCTGAGTCCCCGACCTCATCATTCTCATATTCACCCCTCTTCCACCCCACTTCCCAACATCCGTCAGTCAGGATTCTTTCTGCTTCTTCTAATACATGGTATTCTTGTGCATACAGAGAATGCTGTTAATTTATCTTCTTGGCTTACTTTTATTAACTCTTTGGGTTTTAGATTAATGATGAATCTCTGTAAAAGTGCTTAGCTAACTTGGTCCACAATTCCCAGTTTTCCTTGAAGTTTCTGTAGAATAACATTAGCTAGGGACTCCAATAGAAGCAAGCATCACGCATACAATGTTGATTAATGGTCAATAACATAACCGCATAGTTTCAGAAGTGTATTTTTGGGAGAGACAGACATAGTGTTCACATTACAGGTGTAAACACTTGCTAACTACCATATTTCACTGAACAAAATATGGACTTTTTTTACATGCTAATATCTCTGAAGTTAGTCTTTCAGTAAGAGGCATTTTATATTGCTAATAGGCAGCATTTTAATAGTACATATATCTTATAGTTGATAATAGCTCAGATTTGATTGATTATATCATGTAACCTTAGGCAAATTACTTAATCTTTCACTGCCTAAGTTCTTACTAAATTGTACAATCTGGTAATACCCAGATCTCAGGGTAGTTATGGTAATTAAAGAAATATGTTATACATAAAGTACCTTAAACAATAATGTCTGGCATGCAGCAATTGCTCACTAAATGTTAATTATAATTATTGCCTTTTGTAGTATTCAGGGACATGAAATGAATTGAACAATATCTGATCTTTCTCAATAGACCATGCAAGAACTGCATCTATTTTATTCTCCTGTATCCCTAGTTCTTAGATGTCTGTCCTATCCTTACTTTTTTTGAGACAGAGTCTTGCTCTGTTGCCCAGGCTGGAGTGCAGTGGCTCAATCTTGGCTCACTGCAAGCTCCGCTTCCCGGGTTCACGCCATTCTGCTGCCTCAGCCTCCCGAGTAGCTGGGATGACAGGCGCCCACCACCACACCCGGCTAATCTCTTGTATTTTTAGTAGAGATGGGTTTTCACCGTGTTAGCCAGGATGGTCTCGATCTCCTGACCTCATGATCCGCCCACCTCGACCTCCCAAAGTGCTGGGATTACAGGCGTGAGCCACCGCACCCGGCCTATATATTTGTTTAGTGTGGAGTTTATGAGGGAAAATGAATACAGTATGATCATCCCTACCCGTGTGACTAATTTTTATTCCTGATTTTTCAATAAGAGATTCTCTTGTTTGTATTTCTGTTTTTCCAACAAGAAGTTTCCCTACCATCAACCTACAATAACTCCACCATCAAAAATCCAGTCCATTCAATCAACAAATACTTCATTTAATATATAAAAATCACAACATCCCAAATACACTTTAAAATACTTAAATAGCACTTTAAAAAATTAAACACAAAATTACCTTTGCCCTTCCAATGTCACCCTCCAAAATCATTGTTTATTTAGTATGAATCTTCCCAAACTATTTTTGCGATACTTTTACAAGCAAGTAGTATGCACTGAGTAAAACAGTGATTGTGCAAGATGTTTAAGCTGTCACGAGCAATGTCACACAAAACCAGGACAAAATCTCACCTGGCCAGTGGCAAAACTACCCAGTCTCCCAGGCTTCTGCCCTCATGGCTTCCTCCTCCTGATAAGGATGAAATCTGGAGAAAGTTAGGTGCACTTATTGCATACTTCCTCCATGGGTGAAACCTCTGGAAAAGGCAGAGATATTCTTGAGAGCTCAGAAGGGTCAGTGCATCCAAAGCACACTCAAGAGGCTCAAGATCCCCACCATGTATAAAATTTTAAATGCTCTCTTCTCCCATCTGCCTGGGATTAACATCAGGCACGCTCTTCTTTATGGAACTACAAATTTTTCAACCTCTCTAGATGGCCATCTGGCAAAATGAATCAAAATTCAAATGTCGACAACTTTTGATCCAGCAACTGCACAGGCAGAAACTGATTTAAAGAAAGAAAAAGACAAGTGCAGGAGTGTGTATGTAAGAATGTTCAGAGCATTGCTTTTATTTTTTTTAACATTATTTACTTATTTATTTCAATTAACAAATTAAAATTGTATATATTTATCATGTACAACAGGTTGTTTTGAAATATGTATAGATTGTGAAATGGCTCAACTGAGCTAATTAACACATGCATTACTCCACAGACATCTTTTTTTGTGGTGAGAACACCTAAAATCTACTCTCTTGGCAAGTTTCAAGAATACGGTACGTTGTTATTATCTCTAGTCGCCATGTTGTACAATAGATCTCTTGTACTTAGCCACTTGACTGACATTTTATATCCTTCTACCAAACTCTCCCCAATCCCCACCCCTATCCCAGCCCCTCCTAACCACCATTCTACTCTCTACTTCTGAGTTCAACTTTCCATAGCATCGCTGCTGAATAAAAGATATCAAAAGCTGAATTAACCACTGATAGGGGTGTTATTAAATTATTGTAGATTTATGCAAAGACCATTATGTGTCATTTTAAAACAATGAAAAAAGGCCAGGCATGGTGGTTGGCGCATGCTTGTGATCCCAGCACTTTGGGAGGCCCAGGTGGGTGGATCTCTTGAGGTCAGGAGTTCGAGACCAGCCTGGCGTACATAGTGAAACCGTGTCTCTACTAAAAATACAAAAATTAGCTAGGTGTGGTGGCACATGCTTGTAGTCCCAGCTACTGTGAAGGCTGAGATAGGAAAATCATTTGAACTGAGAGGTGAAGGTTGCAGTGAGCCGAGATGATGCCACTGCACTCCAACCTGGGCAACAGAGACTCCATCTCAAACATTAAATAAATAAATAAAATTTCAAAATAAAATAAAAAATGATAAAACAGGTCTATATTGGTATAAATTTTTTTAATGTTAAGATATTTTTTGTTTTGAATTATTACAGATTGTCCTTTTCAGAATTATATACACAAATATGTAAACATGGAGTAAATTCTGGAAACAGATTTCAAAATGTAGCGGAGTTGGTCTCTAAGAGATTACTAAGTGATTTTTTTCTTCTTTATAATTCACAGTATTGTCTGCTTTTTTTAAATGGTCATATTATCACTTTTATAATAAACTAAACTATTTTAATTTGGGAAAGTGTAAAGTCTGTCTTCACTGTGTTTTCTCTTTACTTATCTCCCAGTTTTATGTGGTCCAGAGAGGCTGCATCAGTCTCAGGCCCCTAAGCCTTGCCTGGTTCAACAGTATTATTTCACTCACGCTGGTCACCCCATTGTTAGAAAGAGCAAGGAAAGGAGGATGAGAAAGGAAGAGAGGGAGGGAGAAAATTGTCCCCAAGAAAAGGAAACTATTGTCTGGTAAGATTCAGCCCACTTTTCTTGTTAAATGATGTGAATTCAAATTGTTGATATATATCACCAACTTGACATGTGAAACTATTGTCTCAAAGCATATTATAAAATACTATATATGAAAACATTGACAAATATACTGTAGTTGATGAGTACCAGATATGATTATTGTTCTTTTCATGTGTGATTACAGGTGATGGACAGATGGTTTCCTCAATTTATATAATTTAAGATACAGATCATTCCCAATACAACTTAGAATCTCATTAGTCAGTACAATTTTCTGAAGGTAAGACTGTGAGTGTCACTCTTTCTTGTTTAAGTGGAAAGGGGTGATTGATTTCTGGCAGACTTGTTTTAAACAGTTTGCAAAATCTATTCTGGATTGGTTTCTGTGTTCCTGTGTTTTGTAGGGTTGTTATTATCACTTGGAGAAAAAAGTCCCAAAAGAAAAGCCTTGTAGAATCTAAAATGTAGGATGGTTTTTTTTTTCTCAGATTTTGCCCATTTCTGTCTCATACTGCTGATAGGCAACTGAGAGGCCCTGAAGACAGGGTGTTCTAAAAAAAAAAGTTGTTCTTCCCCCAAATCTATGACAGCTGAAAGAAAACCCACTTTCTACCTATATCCCAGCATGGAAAAATGACAACTCCACCTTGACAGAAAGGCCAGGATTCTATGAAAAACTAAATAGCCTACTATCTCCAGCTATTTCAACTCTGTCCTTCCTACACATTTGGCTGTTTGTTTATTTTTGTCAGAAAGACAGACTCAGTCTTTTGCCAGGGAATTTTCTAACATCCTGCCACCAACATCTGCACAGAATAGAATTCTTTGGAAGGTTAGATGAAAAGAAAAAAAAAAAAAACTCTCTCTGAAAGGGGTGAGAAAGATACTAGTGTTTCTGTTTGAAGCAACAGAATGTGTAAGAGTAAGTGCCAACTAAACCATATCAATGAACCCTTGTGCCTGGCCAAAGCCTCAGGCTGCAAAGGAATCTGAGGCTGCTTCACAAAGGTGAAGGAGACATGAAGTGACTTCCCGCCGTGGCCACGCAGAACGATTCTGGATAGAACAACCATTCTGCGGGCACTCACTCTCCTCCTTAAGTAAAATACTCTGAAATTGCACTTCAAAGCGTTTCTCACTTTTTATTGTTTTTCTTCTCCATCAGATTATAAATTCTAGAAAACAGAAAATATGGCTGATATATTCTCCAATATAGACTCAGTGTCTGCCACAGAGTAAATACTAAACAAGAGTTGAAGGAAAGAGGAAAGGAAGGAGGAAGGGAGGGAGGAAGGAGGAAAGGAAGAAAAGAGGAAGGGGAGAAGGAAAGGATTTGTGTATTTATCCAATTATATTTCCTCCGCCATCCACACTAGATTGCTTGCTTTCTGAAAATGCATCACGTTGGCTGGGTGCAGTGGCTCACGCCTGTAATCCCAACACTTTGGGAGGCCGAGGCAGGCAGATCACGAGGTCAGGAGTTTGAGATCAGCCTGGCCAACATAGCGAAACCCCATCTCCACTAAAAATACAAAGTAGCCGGGTGTGGTGGTGGGTGCCTGTAGTCCCAGCTACTGGGGAGGCTGAGGCAGGAGAATCGCTTGAACCCAGGAGGTGGAGGATGCAGTGAGCCGAGACCACACCATTGCACTCCAGCCTGGGTGACAGAGTGAGACTCCATCTCAAAAATAAATAAATAAAAAGAAAATGCATCACGTCATTCTATGCGGCACCTAGCACAGTGCCTGGCAGGGAGTAAAATAGTCAATAAATGTCTGCTGAATTCAGCAGATTCTTTAGTGCTCATTAGGTTAACAATAGACTAAAATTGATATCATGGTTTAAAAGAATGCTAATATAGACACGCTTATAAATAAGCACTTTAAATGAATTAGTTTCATAAAAAGAAGTTTTTGATCCATTCTGATAGCTAATTATTTCTGTCACTAAATCTACATGCCAGGCATATTTCTAAGGCTGGAGTAAGTGGCCGTCAACATGCCAGGATTGGATGGGTCAGTTTTGCACAGGCAGGCCGATTTCCTGTTCCAATCGGATTCGCTCTGGGCATATCAATTAGGAGAACGCTTGGAGGGCTAGTTCCATTGGCCTAGAAAGATTATGCCTCAACTCAGCTGTTGTGATACTTTAAGATTATTCTGTTGTCCGAGGTGGAATGACCAGCTCCCACAGTCCCCTCCTGGGAGGACAAACCCATATTAAGATGCTGTGGGAGAGGGAAGATGGGAAACCAGTATCAGATCCTATCTTCTCCCCAAAGCTCACACTCCCTGCTGCTCAGAGCCATCACTACAGCTAGATGAGCTATCTCTAAGCTACAGCATGGATGAGAACTGTCCGGGTTCAAATTTCAGCTTTACCCGGCTAGATGAGTGCTTTGAGCAGGCCAGAGTATCTTTCTCAGTTTTCCAATCTGCAAAATGGGAATAAGTAATCCCTGTCTCAAGAATAATTGTTGCAGTGATTAAACTAAAGTGAGCTCCAGCATTGTCTCATGCAGCATTAATCACTATGCACATGCGTTGCTGCTAGATGTCTCCAACGAGTCCTTACTGAGTGTCAAGAATTTTGCTAAGCACTTGAAGTGCGTCTAAAATCCACAACAAACCCATAAAGAAGGTCATAGTCCTAGTAGCAGTACCTTCTACAGATGTGGAAATTCATAGACAGATGTGAAAGACACATGCTCCACACGAGAAAGGTGGTGATTTTATTCTGGTGATTGAAATCAGGAGAATGACTCAGAAATAGCTCAAAGGAAAGAAAGGAGCCTGAGATCCCACACAAGCAGGTAGACGTGAGTCCTGTGGGAATCTGGAGGAAGAATGGACCAGGGACCTGTCACTGAGGAGAGGTACAGGAGGGGGACATTTGGAATATATGGTGAGCCATTTCCCGGCACACAGAAGTGGTGGAAGTTCTCACTGGTGCTGTTTTCCCGAAAGCACAAGACTGAGGTAAAATCCAGTGTTAAAATTCATGGGTCTGTAATCCCAGAACTTTGGGAGGCCGAGGCGGGCAGATCACTTGAGGTCAGGAGTCTGAGACCGGCCTGGTCAACATGGTGAAAACCCATCTCTACCAAAAATAAGAAAATTACCCAGGCATGGTGGCATGCGTTTGTAATCCCAGCTACTCGGGAGGCTGCGGCAGGAGAATCTCTTGAATCCAGAAGGCGGAGGTTGCAGTGAGCTGAGATGGTGCCACTGCACTCTAGCGGTTTTGGCAAAACAGCAATTACTTGTTCACCCCAATCTAATAGTAGTGATAGTAAATAGAGTCTTAACAATGATGGCAGTGCTAATAGGAAACAGTTATTGATGGTTTGCTGTGTGACACGTCCCTCATACACTAAAACCTTTGCATGCTTTATAAACATGTACAATAATCCTGCAGGGAAATTTCCTAATGATTTTTCTGTTTTACGGGTCAAAATGTCAATTTTCACAGAGATCAGATGAAACTCACTCAAGTAAAACTGACACGAAGTGGAAGCATTGGCTTTGCACCTGGGCTCTGACTTCCCATCGGATTCGCCCCGGACAACACAGAAGAGTTTCCACGCAATGAGACCTCTTTATATGTTCAGCAATGAAACAACTCTCTTGATGAGAACAAGAGAGTTGTTTCGTTGCTGCAGTTCTGTTTCTTTTCTTTCCTTTTTTTTTTTCTTTTTCTTCTTCTTCTTTTTTTTTTTTTTTTTTTTTTTTTTTTGAGGTGGAGTCTCGCCCTGTCACCCAAGCTGGTGTGCAGTGACGTGATCTCGGCTCACTGTAACCTCCACCTCCCGGGTTTGAGCAATTCTCCTGCCTCAGCCTCCCATGTAGCTGGGATTATAGGTACCCGTCATCATGCCCAGCTAATTTTTGTATTTTTGTAGAGATGGGGTTTCACCATGTTGGCCAGACTGGTCTTGATCTCCTGACCTCAGGTGATCCGTGCACCTCAATATCCCAAAATGCTGAGATTACAGGTGTGAGCCACCGTGCCCGGCCAGTTCTACTTCTTTTCTTTTCATTTTCTTGTTTTAACGTACAGCATCACACGACGTGCCTGAGTCTTCCAAGACCCCTAAGTCTTCCAAGATCTCTGGTTAGGGATGAAAACTTACATAATAGTGGCTTTAAAGATTAAGATGGTTGTCATATTAATTTTTAAAAATGGCTAGAAAAAGAGGTCAAATATACAGGAAAGTCAATCTAGAGAATATCTTTACATTGATTTCCTGATGCGCTACATATCACTGCATGCATTGAAACCTGGGATACACAAAAAAGTTATGCTGAGGTATCATCTCTAAGAATCCAATACAGGAGTGAGGTCGAGATTGCCTTTTGAGAGTAAATCCAGAAGCCAACTTAATAGATCAGAGCAGAATTAAGGCAAAATTACTTTAGGATAATGGAAGGTCTCCCTGACCACAGCAAACCTGAACTGAAGGAATTAGCTTATTAAAGAAACAATGTGTCTTTTAAAAAGAGAAAGAAGTAGAGAGTAGTTAAAGCAAAGTGAAAAGGCAAACACAGACCCGTTGCACCCAAGCCTCGTTCGGGGAAAGAATGTGGTTTTCTATAGGTACGTGACGTTCATGCCCTTCAACATCTGACGCCAACTAGTTAAACTTTCTCTTATTTCATGCTCGCTATGCATATTAAAGGCGATCAATAAAAATCTTACTGTCGGCCGGGCGCGGTGGCTCACGCCTGTGATCCCGGTACTTTGGGAGGCCGAGGAGGGCGGATCGCCTGAGGTCAGGAGTTCGAGACCAGCCTGGCTAACATGGTAAAACTCCATTTCTACTAAAAATACAAAAAATTAGCCGGGCGTGGTGGCACACGCCTGTAGCCCCTGTAATCCCAGCTACTCGGGAGGCTGAGGCAGGAGAAGAACTTGAACCCGGGAGGCAGAGGTTGCAGTGAGCCGAGATCTTGCCATTGCACTCCAGCTTGGGCAACAAGAGCGAAACTCCATCTTAGGAAAAAAAAATCACTGCAGATAATTACACAAATGATTTGTACATATCTTATTTTGTTCAGACTCATTAAAACATATAAATGTATATTCATTTACATTGAAGTTTTCACTAATGGTTGCACTAGCTGGACCTTGCCATAATATTTCTTGCATTAACACACAGATGACAAATTATAAATGGTCTGTTTCTTCCTATTTTGGTTAAGTCAGAGTAAAAATTTATTAACTCCTGTGAAACAATTTAATTCAGAAAAGGTAGTTCTAGAGTTTTCTCCTTAGTATTTCCTGTTGTCTCATCAACAATTAATTTGGAAAAAAAAAGTTTTAAAGATTAAACTATTTTGTATGAGAATATGAACTGCTGTATTTAGAATATTGTTGCAAACCCACCTTTAACTAACAGTGTTTATGATTAGAAGGAGCTTGTTAAGACGGCATCCCACCCCTACACAACCCAGGGTGGACATTGCCTGCAAGTTCCCATTAGCAGTGAAGCGCTGGTGCCACATCTCCTGGCATCTCTGTTGGAAGAACTTCATACCCTAAGCCAAGGACACAGGGTGTGCTGGGTCCTTACATTCCCCTATCCCTGGGAATGGGGTGAGATACTCCAGGGGCCCTAGGACAAATGTTCACTGAGTCAAGAAATGCCCTTAGAATTCTCCTGCAGCAGCGCCCCTCTTTCAGGCAAGCAAGGGGAGGTCTGTCTGGGGTTCTGCACTGTAGAGTGACTCATATCACACACATGCACACCCCTATACACACACCTACACACGCACCCTAACACACACCCTACACACACACATCTACACACACCCTACACACACTCCCCTAACACACACCCGATGCACACACACCCCAACACACACACACCCCTACACACACTCCCTAACCACATAACCTACACACACACCCCTACACACACACCCACACCCCATGAACATACCTACACACACACATACCCTTACACACACACCCTACACACACACATCTACACAACCCTACACACACTCTCCTAACACACACCCTATGCACACACACCCAAACACATACACCTATACATACATCTATACACACACACACCCCTACACACACTCCCTAACCACACACCCTACACGCACACCTCTATGCACACACCCACACCCCTATACACATACCTACACACACACAACCTCACACACACACATTCTACATACACACATCTACACACACCCTACACACACACTCCTAACACACACCCTATGCACGCACACCCCAACACACACACCTATACATACACCTATCCACACACACACCCCTACACACACTCCCTAACCACATGCCCTACCCACACACCCCTACACACACACCCACACCCCTATACACACATCTACACACACACAGATACCCCTACACATACACACTCCCCTAACACACATCCTACACACACACCGCTACACACACCCCTACACACACACACCTACACACACAATCCCCTACACATATACCCTAACGCACACCCTACACACATACCAACACAGTCCCCTAACATACACCCTATGCCCACACACCCCTACACACACACACCCATACACACACCTACACACACACCCATACACACACCTACACACACACACCTACACACACACCCCTATACACACACCCTAACACACACCCTACACACACACCAACACACACACTCCCCTAACACACACCCTATGCACACATGCCTATACACACACCTACACACACACATAGCCCTACACTCACACTCTAACACACACCACACAAACACCTCTACACATACACCCCTACACACACACTCCCCTAACACACACCCTACACACACACACAACCCTACACACACACTTCCCTAACAAATACCCTATGCACACACACCCCTACACTCACACATGCTCATACACACACTTACACACACACATAGCCCTACAGACACTGTCCCCTTACACACACCTGTACACACACACCACACATACACACCCCTACACACACTTCCCTAACACATACCCTATGCACACACCCCAACACACACCCCAACACACACACCTATACACACACCTACACAACTTCCCTAACACACCTCCCTACACACAGACACCTATACACACCCCTACACAAACATATCTACATACATACACACCTACACACTCCCCTACTCACACAACTTTACACACACCCCTACACACATATCTACATACATACACACACCCTTACACACACCTACCTACATACATTTACATACATACACACTCCTACACACATACCCACCTGCACACACAACCCTATACACACACCCATACAAGCACAACCCCCTACACACACACCCCAATACACAACCATACACACATACATCCCTAATACATACTCATCTACACACATACACATCTACACACACATACCTACGCAAGCACGTCTACATACATACACACCTACTGTATCAGTCTGTTTTCACGCTGCTGATAAAGGCATACCTGAGACTGGGCAATTTAAAAAAGAAAGATAGGTTTAATGATCTTACAGTTTCATGTGGCTGGGGAGGCCCCACAATCATGGTGGAAGGCAAGGAGGAGTTAAGTCACGTCTTACATGGATGGCAGCAGGCAGAGAGAGAGCTTGTGCAGGGAAACTCCTCTTTATAAAACCATCAGATCTCATGAGACTTATTCACTATCATGAGAACAGCACAGGAAAGACCTGCCCCCAGGAGGAGCAAATCATGTCTTACATGGTTGGCAGCAGGCAAAGAGAGAGGGCTTGTGCAGGGAAATTCCCCCTTATAAAACCATCAAATCTTGTGAGACTTATTCACTACCACAAGAATAGCATGGGAAAGACCTGCCCCCATGATTCAATTGCCTCCCACCAGGTCCCTGTCACAACACAAGGGAATTGAAGATGAGATTTGGGTGGGGACATGCCCAAACCCTATCACCTACACAAATGCACAGCCCCCGCCCCACAACCCTACACACACACAACCCTACAGGCACACCCCTACACACAAACACATTCACACAAAGTTATACCTGAGAACATGAGCACCCCTGCCCCTGAAAACCCAACATTCTGTGCTGGGGCAGTGCTGCCTGTGACCTTCCACATCCATTCTCATGACAAAGGCTGCACAGACAAAATTCAACTCTTGCCCACATCTCTTTCCCTAATGCCCTCTAAACAAGAAGAGATCATGTCCAGATGAAGAAAAAATTTGTGTTGTGTCCCTGTCATGTCAGACACGGGTCTTGCTTAGATGTGCAGCATGATTTAAGTGGCCCTTGAATGAGAGAAATGACAAATTAGCCAGCCACACCTGGCTGCTGCAAGGTTGCTGCAGACCTGCATAGTGGAGTCTTCTTCTCCAAGAGTGCTGACTTTCTTCCTGCTGCTCCATTTTGTGGGTCTAAAGGACCTCAAACCCTTGCCCAGTCTTCCCAGCAGCTGCAGAGGACAGCTGCAGAGGAAAAATAGTTTGCAATACTAAAAAAATTCATGTTACTATTCAATTTATATGCTATGCATTTTTAATTTTTAGTCATCTAAATATTGCTGTCCATGAAGAGAACACTGTATTAGTTTGTTCTCATGCTGTTAATAAAGACACACCCAAGACTGGGTAATTTATAAAGGAAAGAGGTTTAATGGACTCACAATTCCACATGGCTGGGGAGGACTCACAATCATGGTGGAAGGCAAAGGAGGAGCAAAGGCATGTCTTACATGGCAGCAGGCAAGATAGCTTGTGTAGGGGAACTCCTACTTAAAAAACCATCAGATCTCGTGAGACTTATTCACTAACACGAGAACAGCATGGGAAAGACCTGTCCCCTTGATTCAATTACCTCCCACTGGGTCCTTCCCACAACACATAGGAATTATGAGAGCTACAATTCAAGATGACATTTTGACGGCGGGGGACACAGCCAAAGCATATCAAACAACCAGACGCTCACAGTGCTAAAGAAATTACTTTGTCTTCAGTAGCTTGCTGACATCATTAATATTATAGATTTGCATATGCTGTTTACTTTGTAATTATGAAAATATATTTGTGAGGGAATGGGATATAGAATATTTTTTACTCAATGAAATTTTGGTACATAACCTGAAATTATTAAATGTACAATATGTGGGCCCTCACTGCTACTTTTGCCCTGTATCTGCAAGGCCCATCTGTGATGATGGTGACTTTTATAAGCAGAGCATTCCCACTTCTCTGTTTGCAGTGTTTGCTGCTAGAACCTTTCAACTTGCTCTTACATTAAGATAGTTGTTGATATGTCTTTATTTCCCCCTAAGATTATTTTCTTTATAATTGAAAGAAGAGCTCTCAAACATAGCCCTCATAGAGCTAAACAGAGCAGATGACCATTAGACCAGATGCAGCTGTCATATGTATGAAGTCTGGCCCTTTTTTTATGGAGGGAAAAACAAGTCGAAGTTACTGATATTTACAAATTGGAAAAGTTCACAACAACACTAGAACATTAGATGATCTGAAAACCCTGGCATTTCTTCAGAGCAATGATAGGCAAAGCTGAGTCTCAACTGACTCTGTCTGAAGAAGGGGCCTGCCATTTGTCACAGACTCCACTGCTTCCTTTTTCCAGACACTAAGACCATTGCTGTTTCTCACCATTCTTTCATTGCTGTTCATCAAACAACAGGTTCAATCTTTCATTTCTATTCTCTACCCTGGCAAGAACGTTGGAGCTTACCATCATAAGTGACAGGAATGAACATTGGAGCTTACCATCATAAGTGACGGGAATAGCATTATCTCCAAACCTGAGATCCTTCCAATGGGAATTCTACAACTCCTGGGAGTTTATGATTCACACATGTAGACAATGTCTGTACCTATACTCAGAGATGTAGACTGGCCTCAATAGAGTTCATTGAGCTAAAACAATACTAGGTAAACAATGGAATTTATTTTCAAGACTGAACTCAGTTCTCATCAGTTCAAGGTTAACCTCAACAAAATGAATCCAGTAATGGAAAGAAAATGAAAAAAAGAACAAACAAAACGAAATGACTGCACTACGTATTTAGGCCCAGCTGACAGAATCTCAACACTGAATGATACTGATAAATAGGTTTCCTTGTGTATCCAGTGTGAAGTCTTGGTTGTTATTCGTTTTCCAACGAACATTAAAGTCATCTTTGGATTCTCTGCATTTCTAAAGTCTGGAAATGTTTTATTCCACCCAGTGGCAAAACACATCTCAGCTATTGAGTGTTTGCATCTGAGATCTGGAATAAGCAGAACTGTGGTTTGTGTTCTTGCATCTGGGAAATGAATCAGAGCTCCTATTAGACATGATTGCCCTTATTAGTGGATGTGACTTTTCAACCAGGCCTTTGGGGGTTTTATGACTAACAGGATTGCATGGAAATTGCTCAGGAAAACAGAAGATCTTACTCTAGCAATCTGAATGAAAAAGAAATAATGCAAAATAATACTGACATTTTGATGACAAAAAGGAGAGAAAGTTTAGGCTGAGGTTGCCATGTGAGGTTATTGGATGTGATTTTGCAAAGGATGCGACCAGCTTTATGTTGAATAAACCCTGGAAGTTTAACAGTTACTGATCTTTGGCAAGGCTCAGCAAACTGCAGTCGGTGTTTCTAGCCATTGTTTTTGCTGAAATGCAGTTATCCTCATTCATTTACCTATTGTTTATAACTGCTTTCACACCACAATGGCAGAATTGAGTAGTTGCCACAGAAACCGGCTTAACATATTTACTACAGAGCCCTTGACAGAAACATTTTGTCAATCCCTGCCCTAGACAGAAGTTTCTGCCTAGATTCCAAATGATTATTTAAAATTTGACTTTGCAGCAGTGTCCCCAAGAACATGTGTGTTCTCTAGAGGTAGATGGACCTGGATATAAAACCTGGTCTGTGTGTTCAATGAATGAATATTATGGAAATGTCCACTCTGTGCTAGGTACCAGTCTAGGTGATGAGGATCAAAGAGTGCACAAGGCAGGACCCTCCACTCTCAGAGACCTTACATTCCAACAGTCCTATCAACTAATATTAGAAACTACAGGAAAGGTATTTCTCAGAAAACCTATTTCCTCAGTAGTAGGGTGTACTAGTACGTTATTTATAGAGTTACAATGGCAATTACAAGGTAAAATATGTAAAATTGCCAATACAATGTCTGGCATGAAGAAATAGTGCAATAAATATTATTTTACTCTCAATAAATGGGTGAAAAAGTACTTTATTTTGTTATTTCAGGGTCAATTCAGCTAATAAGTAATTTAAGTTAGGGTCATATTGTGCTCAAGCTGATTATGTTGATTTGATGAATCCTTGGAAGTGAGGTGGGTGAGGTGGGGTTGGGCCCACCATGACACTTGACGTGTAGCTGATGAAATTGAACTTCACAGATGAGGGCCGGGGAGTACTTTGAGAACGACTGTTAGGATGGGTGGATGATAATCAGATCCATGTTTTAGAAAGATAGTTATGGCACATGTTTGGATAATAGGTTGATTTGATAGTTCTGATTTTGCAAAAGATAAATAACTTAGACCTATGCTGTCAATACAATAGTCACTAGTCAATGAGGCTACTGAAATTCAAATAAACTAAAATTTAAAAAGATAAAAAAGGGTCCTCCAGCAGAATAGCCACATTTCAAGTGCTGAACAGCCAGCTGGGGCTAGTTGCAACTACAGATATTGGATATTCCCATTATCACAGGCAAGTCTACCCAGTAATGCTCAGTACACTTTGGAAAACATATAAGTTAATGCTTTTCAAACAAATGATATACTGTAATTGTTTGGAGTTGATAAATCTGGCTTAATGGCTCTAGAAATTTGATGATTTTTTGGTAGGTAATGAGGGAGGTTGTTGAATGAGAATAAAGGAAATTCCTCTTCTCATTGGGACCTATGATTTGGGCCCAGACCGTACAATATAGAGCAGCATCGAGTGATTCCAACAATGAGAGTGTGTTTTGCCCTGAACTTGTGAATTCAGACCAGGAGCAAGTGCTAAATCCAGTGCCATTGTGATTGACACTAGCTCCAGCCTCTAAAGGCAGTTCTGTGAACTCAGCATCTTCTACGACAGCCAATATCCAAGACAACACTTGTGGAGACTTTTGGCCTTAATTGGACACATCTGAGTTGGAAATGTATTACTGCAATCAATATTGGCAATAAGGATGCACATTGGTCACCAAAATTAGTAGTATACCCTTTATGTGGTCCAGCGGGACAACACTGGTTCCCAGCCCATGCAGCCACACACAGCAGACCAGCAATCTCAGAGAGTCACCAGCTGTTGAGGCAGCAGCTACTGACAAGAGGAAAGCCTGGAAGGGAAGAACATGCAGAATGCTTTCTGGATGACAACAACTTCTCAAAAACTTGCAAAAGTACCTGGGAAACAGTTTGAGGCAAGCTAATATCTATCAAGTGAATAGCTTATATTGCATACTACAAAAACTTGGATGTAACTGCCAGATGCTGTGACCACATGCAGTCCCAGCTACTTGGGAGGCTGAGGTAGGGGATCACCTGAGCCCAGGAGTGAGCAGTGAGCAATAAGCTGTAATCACACCAGACTGGGAAGGTGATAGAGTGAGACCTCAACTCTTAAAATTAAAAAAAAAAAAAAAAAAGCCGGGTGCGGTGGCTCACGCCTGTAATCCCAGCACTTTGGGAGGCCGAGGTGGGCAGATCACGAGGTCAGGAGATCGAGACCATCCTGGCTAACACAGTGAAACCCCATCTCTACTAAAAATACAAAAATTAGCCAGGCATGGTGGCAGGCGCCTGTAGTCCCAGCTACTCGGGAGGCTGAGGCAGGAGAATGGCGTGAACCCGGGGAGGCGGAGCTTGCAGTGAGCCGAGATTGCGCCACTGCACTCCAGCCTGGGCGGCAGAGCGAGACATAAAAAAAAAATAAAGAAAAAAACTTGGATAGAAAAGAATATATACTCTCATTTTAAAGTCAAAGCCTGGTGAGGTCTGATATATGGGAATAATCTTTTCTCATAACCAAAAAGACAGTCATTTGAAGGCCTTTTTGCATTATTGAAATTAAGAATTTGTAATTTTCTTTTGGAATATAGTAAAGTTTCTTAATTGAAATGAATGAACCCTGGCAGACTAGTCTAACAAACACTATAGTCATCAGTAGGCTTACTTTTTCCTTTCTTTTTTTTCTTTTCTTTTTTTTTTCTTTTTTCTTTTCTTTTCTTTCTCTCCCTTCCTTCCTTCCTTTCTTTTTTTCTTTCGTTCTTTTTCTTTCTTTTCTTTGTTCTTTCTTTCCTGCTTTTTTCTTTCCTTCTGTCTTGCTTTTTCTTCTTCCTTTTTTCTTTCTTGATTCCCTCCTTCCTTCTTTATTTTTGATTTCTTGAATCAGAAAAAGAAAATGGGTTACTTCTTCATTTCTCTGATAGACAGTTGTAGATTTACAAAGTTTTATTTATTTAGTGGGATCTTCTGAATATGTTGTAGGGCTTAATGCTGGACAGAATGAAAGTCGTCCTCTCCTTACATATGTGAGAATGTGCATGTGATCCGCATGTAGGTAGTTTTTCAAAGGCCCCTGGATGATTTGAATGTGCAGCCAGGATTGAGAGTCACTGTGGAATAGGATAGAGATCCACTAGAGAACTGTGGGCAAGATCATGATGCCTTTTGAGGTGTACTTTTGAAAGTTTATTCTCATGGTAGTGCAGACGAAGGAACAGGAGCAGGTGAATTCTGGTGGCTTGTCTATAGTTATTGTCAAGAAACTGAACTAAAGTCATGAGATAATTTAAATAAATCTGGACAGAAGAAGCTATAATTTGGAAAAGAAGTGAGCTCCACCTTGTTTTAAAAGCTGAGCCTTGACCATCTCAGCTCAGGTGAGAGAGACGTGATTCTTGTAGGATCTCTGGCCCCCCGCCTCTGGGGAGCTGGATTGATGGTGAGCTGGTGGCTAGCTCCAGGGAACTGGCAGTGAGTTGTGCAGGTGTTAACATGCTGGTAACAGGCCACGAGGATCACCACAACCCTGCGTTCTCCCCTCTTTTGAAGGTGACATATGTACTTGCCTCTAATAGAGAATGAGAGATTCCTCCAGAGAATATGGGTCATTGGCAACTGGGCTTTGCCTTAGTAAGTGCATGTGCACACATAGGGTAAAAAAGCTCCAAAATCTGTGTTAAGAATGCAACTGTGCACTGGAAATCAGACTCTGGGTTCCAGCAGCAGCTGTCTTGGGACTGCAGGCTCCTGCTGAGCAGCCCCTCTCCTGTGTGACTGGGATTGGTATCATGTGCCTCCCCCAGGAGAGCTCCTGGCATCTGTTCAGAACCTGCTCTGGGAGCCATGAAAGGCTTGCTTGCGATCTGAGCCTCCTATTAGGAGATGACAATACTCGTGGTGCTAGACTCGGAAATCACCATATGTGCCACCATCTTGCAACCATCTGTGGCCAAAAACAATATAATTCTGACCAGACGTAAGGGCCAGACTTCCAGCCAGCTACTCTGTTTTGATCAAATGAACCCTCCTACCAACCTCAGGAAGTCTGCCGACCATTTGTGTTTTGCATAAGGCCACTTTGAGTGAAAGATGGCACTGATCTACCCTGGATTGTTGAAGTAAGTCCCTCAGTCCCCCTGGCCTCAGCAGGGGCTTGGCTTTGAGTCAGCTCTCCTGGGAGTCTTGATTTCTCCTAAGAGTCCCAGACTCCAAGCCTGCACAGGTTTATTGTCTGCTCACATGTGTTTTTGCTTGGATCTAGACAAAGCTCATATTGGGCTTTAGCACTGAAAATCAAAGATGGGTTTCAGGGGATATGAAAGGGAGGTATCAATGGTAAAGAAATTCTCCTGTAAAAAAATAAAACAACTGTATTTCTACATTATAAGTGCTGTATTTGTAAAGACAATGTGGAATCATGTTATCTTTGTGAGTAATCAATATTAGTTTAATAAAGACCTACAGAAATCTAAATTATCTTCTACATAGTCAGTCATCACAGCTACCCTCTTTCATAGAACCATTACTTCCAAAACTATACACACATCTAGAATACATAGTTTTATCATTTTGCTACAAACCATTAAAGTTTTATGAGACACTGAACTGTCATTGAATAGTAAGAGTTTTTAAATGCATTTGTAGAGCTAAGATTTAAGCAAGGTTAGATATACTACTGTGACAAATATTTATAAAACAGAAATATTTTTATAATAAAGCTTTAAAGACATCTTGAATATATCTGTTTCTTTTCCTTTTGGTCTAGTTAGGTGGGAAAAATTACAGTCCTTGGCATCTTAATTAAAATAATATTATAATGTTAGCAAAACAAAACAATCATTCAACATATTCATGTGGTAATTACATTAAAAAAAGATTACTCTCCATTATTCTTCCTGATTGTACTAAGCCATCTGTGCTTGTAAAAATAATAATAGACAATGAATATCATATGCCATATGTACTATGCTGTTTAATACTAATTAAGCAATAATCCTAAAGCAATCACTTGTTAACAGTGATCATTGTTTAAAGATAATTATTTTGTAATAAATGATAATCAATTATTTATAATATTAACAATAGTTTTATTAAGTTTTTTACCTTCAAAAATTGCTGGTGGCCATCGCCTGTCTCATCAGCCACGTCGTAAATTAGTAATTCTATTCTGTTAATGACAGGTTTTCCATGAATCAAAATTCTGGTTATGGTCTACTATATTTGTAATATGTGTGTATTGTATTCTCAAAAATAAGACTGCTATAAATAGCTCATCTACCTTGTTATTAAAAATAAATGGCTTTAGTAAAACTTGTAGTGAATGTGAAATGTGGAGGGATCAATATCAAGAAGCACAACATAAACGTGAAAATAGCAGAGTGTTATGGCCCCAGTAAGAATATGTTGATAGAAAGCCACATAATTGAATTTAATTTGGGGAAGGTGGGAAAACTAAACTATAACTGCCTATTCCAGTTATTTATTTTCCAAATATATTACTACAGATTTTAGCTTTAGACAACCTACTAAGTCATTTCGAGAAATGACGTATAATCTTAAAGTGGGGCATCCCTTTTAACAGAGGGGTGACTAACTAAACAATGAAAAAATTTAGGATTCTTATGATTCAAAGCAAGTATTTTGTTTTACTTTTAATATGGCAAAAATAATGTGTTGGAGTATGCTTTGGGAATTTCATATTTAAGGAACAAACCACTTGGTACAGTCTCTTTACTCTGAGTTGCTGTCCTGACAATAAAATGCCCAGTAGAACACGTTCAACCATCTCTAGATCAGTGTTTCTCAACTAGGAGTGATGTTGTCCACTGGGGGGGGTTTGGGAGCATCTGGGGACATTTTTGGTTGTCATAGATGGGGAGGGTGCTCATCGCATCCAGCAGGTAGAGTCCAGGGATGCTGCCCAACACCTGCTAGGCACAGCGCAGCCCACCACAAGGAATCATTTGCCTAAGATGTCAATAACACCGAGGTGGAGAAAGCCTCATTTAGATTACTTGTTTTGCAGTTCAATAATTCACAAAGGAATTAAAGCATTTCAACTTTGAAAGTTTCAAAGCAGAATGGAAATACCTAACTTCCAGGAACGCTGTCCCTCTTTCTTTCCACCAGAGGAAAGAAGAAGCAACCCAGGGACAAAAATTCTCCCTTCAAGATAGGATATTAAACTGCAAGTAGGAAAGTAAGACCGAAATCTCCTCTGGCTATTTTATACAAAAAAAAAAAAAAACTTTATTAAAGAAAATTAGGTAGCTCAAGAGATCATCACTAGGGCTGCCTTAAGAGGACAGCGGCTAAGCTTCTTCCAATGATGCTGTGAGCCACATCACAGAAACTCCATTTCTGCAGCTGCTGCCAATGCCAGCACATCTGGTAGCTGGGACTGCAGCCTCTATCATCACCCAGAGAAGGAGAGACCCCTGCAGAGGCTTCACGCTTTCTTTGAGTATTGCAAAACCAAGAGCAGTTATCTCTTATGGAGGACCGAGGGCATGTAGACACCACGGCTTCAAGGGGACAGCAGAAGAACTCGTGTACCTTCTGGAGACAGGATTCGTGATACAAGAGCCTATCTGAGTGTGGTGCTGTTCAAAGGATGACTTGCGGCCACAGACAGTGGTGCTTTCTACTGATCTGGGGGCCACACAGCGGAAACAAAAGAAATCTGATCGATTTGCTTTCGGAAATAATAGAGCTGGAATGATTGCATCTCAGCACTTCAGGGTTGTAAAGGATAGAAGATATTATTTATTCTGAATATGATTCCTCTTCACCTCCAGCCTCTGCTTCCATCGATGTTCAGTTTATCTCTCTTATTTTTTCTCTTTCTTCCTTTGGTCCACCAATAAATACCTATTGAATGATTACTTTCTGCAAGCCTGTTCTAAAGGACATTGCAGGAAGTAAAAGAGGCATCATCCATGCATGTGTTTTTCAGATCTGGGGAGAGAAATTTTAAAAAATACGCAAAGTTTTTAAAGTATCTCCAGCTCTTCAAACTTGGGAACTAAACACATACACGTACACGTTTGAATAAATCTCTTGTTATCCAAATTCTTGTTACTTGCTGTCCAAAATTCCAGCACCAAGCAAATTCGGATAATGTATTATCGCCTTCTACTCAAACTCGGTATCCCAACTCAGGAATCAAATAGAACTGAGATGTGAAGGAAACTCACGGTTTTTCAGATGGTTTTCAGATGGTGATAAATGCCATAGAGAAAAGTGAAACGATGTGGCAGGGGGTGATAGTGATAGTCATGGCAGGGAGGGGAGAGCTGCAGCTGTAAATAGTGTGCATGGCCACAGTGAAAAGGTGATACTAGGGAGGAGTTCCAAGCAGAGAGAGAAGCAGGTGCAATCATTTAGGAGAGGGAGACTTCTGCTGGGCTTGAAGCACTGCAAGGCAGCCAGGAAGTTTAGGACAAGAGGAGACAGAAGATATCAGAGAAGTAGCTGAGCTCAGATCAGGAAAGCTTTGAAGACCTTTGTAGGAATTTTGGTTTCAGAGACGAATGAAGACTCATTGAAGGGTTTTGAGCAAAGAAATGGTGAAAGTGTGCGGACAAGTATTTAGAGGGATCACTGTGTTGAAAAGGTACTGTAGGAACATGAGAATTAATGCTGGGAGCCAGTTAGAAGGCGAGTGCAATAATCTCTGTGTGCCCTGATGGTGGCCGAGACCAGCCAATGGAATTGGTAAAGTCAGATTCTGAATACGTTTTGAAGACAGAGCCACAACAACTTCCTGGTGGATTAGAAAGATGATGTGACAAAAAAAAAAGTCATAGATGACTCCAAGAATTATTGTTAGAGAAACTAGAAAGATGATAGAAAACACCAAAGCAAGGAAAGGACATGTGTGCATTTGTGTGCCTGTGCCTGTGTGTGTGTGTGTGTGTGTGTGCTCATGTTAAGAGGCAGTGGTTCTGTTTTGCACATGCTGCACTGGAGGTACTTCTTAGACGTTCAAGTGTAAATATTGAAGGAAATATGCATCTGTGGTTTAGGGGGAGTTTTGAACTGAAGATAGGCATTTGGGAGTCCTCAGAATAGGGGTGTTATTTAAAGGAGTGCCTGAAGTCACCAGGGGAATTCATGAGGATAAAGAAGGGAACCAGGCCCAGAATCCTGGCATGCTCCAGTGCTGGGAAGTTGGTAGTGATGTGGAGGAATCATCGAAGGAGACCAAGATGCAGCAACTGAGAAGCAGAAGAAAACACAGAAAGTCTTTTTGGTTTTTCATGGATTTACAAATTAAATATGTGAGGCACTGCTGAAAACTCAAAGAGAGGAAGGCTTCGAATTGCTCATTGTGAGCAGCAACATGGAAGCCATCAGCACCGGTCCAGAGTGGCTTCAGCAGAAGGGAGAGTGAGAGCGGAAGAAAGTGTGAGACAGGATGGAGGGGAATGGGAGATAACAGAAGAGAAAGTGTAGGGAGCTTTGCCGTCGAGGGAGAAGAGAAATGAGCAAGCAGTCGGAGCAATGGGATGCAGAAAATAACTGCACATTTAGATGGTGATAAGAATGATTCCGCGGAGAACGAGAGCGGACGATGGAGAAGAACAAACTTCTAATTAGCCATAGGAAGGTCCTATGGGATGAACTGGGTTTTACCCTTAATAGGTCACTTGCCACCTTTGACTAAGCCCTTAAGCATCTTGAAAAGTCTGAGTCTCCCTGCAATGCAAGTTCTCTCCAGCTCTGGTCTTGATCTTCTGTGCTAGGCCTTCAATCTCAAAAGTGGGATCACCAGTTAATTTTCTGAGTTCTCAGAGAGCATTTCTACTCCTGCCTCTATAGCCAGAAGTGGGACCAAACCCCTTATTTCACTGATACTAAATTATCTTAAAATTATTCATAAAATTTGTTGACCAAATACCTACTCCCATGGCTACTTCTCCTATTATTTCTGTAGACCCTTCACTCTCTCTGCACCATTCACACAACCATTCACAACCCATGGTCTGGAAGCTCTCTAACCTAGGATGTGTTGCGGGTGCTGGAAAGTTTTACCAGCAGGAGACTGCATATGACTATTATCTAGACACAAATATGCCACTCCCTCCTGTCAGGTCTTCCCAAGGTCTGAGGCCCTCAACCCTTTGCTTTTTGAATGCAGCTGACTTTTCAGACACATTCACAGCATTTTCATCCACCCTCTGTCATGCACAGTCCACCACAATCCTACACTCAAAGGAGCACACTCACCTCTTAGGGACCCAGTCGTTAGCTCACAGATGTAGCAAATCTGAGGAGGAGCTGACTGGCCTCCTTACGGCTGGGTTGCTGTCGTGCTGGTTGAAATGTTTGCACTGGGCCGGCGGGGAGTGGGGCCTTTCAGGACTCCCTCATTGTCCTCTGGTGCTCTACAGACTCCCATGGGCAGTGTGGGAGGCACTGCCCAAGCGGCCCTGGGAACACCTGCAAGCTCCTTCACAGCCTGAACTGCTCATCAACTGCTCAGACCTCCTCAAAGCATAACTTAGTTCTAGATACTCTGGAGTGTTAAACTAATACTGTTTTTCTTTCCTGAGGAGCAACGTGGATGAACAGAGGCTAGATTCCAGAGCCCAGAGACGTTAATGGATGTGCAGGAGATGGAGAAATAGAATCTACAAGGAAAGTGAAACGAACAAGCTTGGAAAGCAGGAACGCTTCAAGAATTTGATGTACAGCAAGATGGTTATTTATCAAAAAGAGAAAAGGGCAAGAAAAAGTTGGGGAAGCCAAGTTCAAATGTGCTTTATTTATTTGGTTATTCCTTGGTAATAAATTCATAGCAATAACCCGTGGTGTGTTGATAAATGTTTGGCAAACAGCTGTCCAGGAAAATAAAGAAGCCCTGATTAGCAGCAGTCGCCAATTTCTATGGTGTAACTGATCACATCATGGCTGTTTTCCAGCTACCAAGATGATACCCCTCACTGAAGAGGGTTAAGACATGATGTGCACAACTAGCTTTTGTGAGCTGGTCAAAGCTGTCTCCAGCATACCCTGAAATAACTAGTATTTATCATGATTGCATGTCGCAGGGCAGGATTTTGCAGGGTGGACCCTGAGTCTATGATTTGGATGCACTTGATTTATTAAGGGCATGTTTCCATGGGGTCTTGTGAGGCAGGGAGAGAACAGGACAGAGATGGGAAGGCAGGCAGGCAGGGGAGTGATGCCGAAGGTTGCTTCCTTTGGGAGACTTGGGAGGACAAACTATGCCTCTGGGTTTTCCCAGGTCTTGCACAGAAAGTTCTTCAGGATGTCACCTATTCTGGTTGGGAGGTAATGGTGTGGCAGCTGAATGCTGTATTGCCTTCTCCAGCTCAAGATGCAGGGGGAAGAGTGACCCCCTTCACCAGCAGCTTGGGAGGCGGGGGGAGCAGAGCCTTTATTGCAAAGGTTAACCCTGTGTTGGGTTTTGTAGGATTAACCGGGGCTATAAAAGACAAAAATTGTGGGGACGGAATTTCAGGGACAGAGCAGAGCATGTGCTTATCCAAAATGATCGGTTTCAAGCCTGACTGCACCTTAGGATCACATGGGAAGCCCTAAAAATGTAGACCCTGAGCCCTGCCATCAAAATCTAAGACTGATTACTTTACACATTGGTAATTTTTTTTTCTTTGAGACAGAGTCTCACTCTGTTGTCCAAGCTGGAGAGCAGTGGCGTGATCTCAGTTCACTGCAACCTCTGCCTCCTGGGTTCAAGTGATTCTCCTCCTTCAGTCTCCCAAGTAGCTGGGACTACAGGAATGTGCCACCACACCAGCTAACTTTTTATGTATTTTTAGTAGAGATGGGGTTTCACCATGTTAGCCAGGATGGTCTTGATCTCCTGACCTCATGGTCCGCCCACCTCAGCCTCCCAAAGTGCTTGGATTAGAGGTGTGAGCCACTGCACCTGCCCACGTTGGTAATTGTTAAAGCTCTCAATGATTTGTCTGTGTTGTCAAGGTTGAGGATCGGTATAACAAAACTCTGAAGCAACAGAGCATTTTTTGAGAACTAAAATAGTTTAGTAGTGAAGCACGTGGTGGTGGTGGTGTGTGTGTGTGTGTGTATTTATGTGCGTCTATAATGGAATACCTTGCATGATACTGTTTTATATGTTATATTCAGTTGCATTTTGTACATAAATAATTTTGGCAGAGCTACCCATATAGATACAGAATAAAAGTATTTCAAATCCAATTCAATTTTTATGGTTTTTTTTCAAAAAGGCTATTATTTTATTCAACACTCATTAAACTCCTCCTTTCATAAATCTGGTCATATTTATACTCAGTTAAGTACTTGACTACTAAATTGTATTATTCTCTAATTACTTCTTGCCCACAAATCTTCTTGTTCAGGTTATAAGTTCTATTAGAGAAGCATGACGCCATCATATTTTTCTTGAGTTCTCCATGACCAGGCCCTCACTGAGGGAGGGGGGCACCCTCTTTCCTGGGGGCCAGTGAGGAGTCTGACAGGTTGTAGATCTACCTAAGATTTCCAGTCTGTAATTCAGCATATTGCATCCAAATAAAGTATCTCATTTTAGAAAAAGACACCATTTTAGGAAAAGATGGCAGCAATTTGATGATTGGCCTCCTTCGTTTTAAAATAATTTATAAGTTTTAGGTGAAAAGCTAGAGGTCCTAGTTGCTTTAGTATGACAGCTATAAAACCCTGCTTATCCGGACAACATTAAAGACACAACTGTGGCTGTCTGTGTTTTGGTCAATCACTTTTTCTGGTAGTGTCAAACCTGTGTTATTATCTACCACATGCCCCATGTTGTAGAGCTGTGTTTACATTGTGCTAAATTAAGCAGCAGTTGGGCAAATACTTGCACAATATGATCAATAACTATACTTAATACAGTCACTACTTGGTAATATTGTCAGAAAATTTAATTTGTTCTTAGCGGAAGAAAATAATTGGCTTTGCCATATTGCCTAGCATAATTTGGAAGAAAGTGTGCAGGTGTAGTTAGCAACCTATGCAGAACGATCAATCAGACTCACAGCTGAAGGACCTTGGTGAGATGACGTCATTGTACAGATCCAAAACGCTGCACGAGACGACCTTGGTTCCCATCATTTTCCAGCCCTAGCGGTGTGCTCTAAAGAGCTAACGTTTATCTTAACTGTTTTGAATTCAGCTCAGTAGGAGATCTCACTGAAGGAACAGGCAAACAGCGCAACTTCCTCTGATAAGGTAAATATTGTGTTAAGATAATTGTTAACTTTGGAATGAGCACCACTGCAGGGTATGTTTAACCGCCAGCCCAAACTGTACACACCTCTCTCATTAAGCAAACCTCCCCTCCTCACAACACAAGGCTGCTGAGAGCAAACTAAGTACAAATAGGCCTGATTCCATGTTACAGTAAAGCCCTGGATCATATTCAGGATGAAGTGTGGGAAATTTTTCACCTTAGTACCAAAAGTGTCCCCAACGGTTTAAAGAATATTTAATTAATAATGACAACCATTATTTGAGGACATACAGTCTGCAAGGCCTGTCCTGCCCTTTACAAATAGCTTACATTTTACTTCTCAAAACAATCACAAACATAAAAGTCCTGAGAGAATATGTAACAGGTCAAATGCCTCCTGCACCAAGAAGTCTCCTGGGATGTTCCATGGATCAGACAGGCTGCCCCTCTTGGGACATTTCATGGCCCTGTCACCCTCCTCATGCACTGAATGCATCTGTGACCATACTTCTACCCTGAACTGTAATTATTTGTCTTTCATCATTATAATTCAAACTCCAGGAGACAGATGATTGCATCTTTTTGAGAGTCAGATGTTACTTTTTAAGTCTGCCTGGAGACTCTCCTTCAAGAATTGCCCCCTCCCCCTCCCTCTCCCCCGCCCTCTCCCTCGTCTCCCACTTTCCACGGTCTCCCTCTGATGCCCAGCTGAGGCTGGACTGTACTGCCGCCATCTCGGCTCACTGCAACCTCCCTGCCTGATTCTCCTGCCTCAGCCTGCCGAGTGCCTGGGATTGCAGGCACACGCCGCCACGCCTGACTGGTTTTTGTATTTTTTTGGTGGAGACGGGGTTTCCCCATGTTGGTCGGGCTGGTCTCCAGCTCCTGACCGCAAGTGATCTGCCCGCCTGGGCCTCCCGAGGTGCCGGGATTGCAGACGGAGTCTCGCTCACTCAGTGCTCAATGTTGCCCAGGCTGGAGTGCAGTGGCGTGATCTCGGCTCGCTAAAACCTCCACCTCCCAGCCGCCTGCCTTGGCC
The DNA here is from genome assembly GCF_000001405.40 of Homo sapiens. Classification (NCBI taxonomy): domain Eukaryota; kingdom Metazoa; phylum Chordata; class Mammalia; order Primates; family Hominidae; genus Homo; species Homo sapiens. Next base: position 109,311,280 of record NC_000013.11, read on the forward strand.
TCCCAAAGTGCCCAGATTGCAGCCTCTGCCCGGCCGCCATCCCGTCTGGGAAGTGAGGAGCGTCTCTGCCTGGCCGCCCATCGTCTGGGACGTGAGGAGCCCCTCTGCCCGGCCGCCCAGTCTGGGAAGTGAGGAGCACCTCTTCCCGGCCGCCATCCCGTCTAGGAAGTGAGGAGCGTCTCTGCCCGGCTGCCCATCGTCTGAGATGTGGGGAGCACCTCTGCCCCGCCACCCCGTCTGGGATGTGAGGAGTGCCTCTGCCCGGCCGCCCCGTCTGGGATGTGAGGAGTGCCTCTGCCCAACTGCCACCCCGTCTGGGAGGTGAGGAGTGTCTCTGCCCGGCCACCCTGTCCCAGAAGTGAGGAGCCCCTCCGCCCAGCAGCCACCCCGTCTGGGAAGTGAGGAGCGTCTCTGCCTGGTCACCCATCGTCTGGGAAGTGAGGAGCGTCTCCGCCCGGCAGCCGCCCCGTCCAGGAGGTGGGGGGCAGCCCTCGCCCGGCCAGCTGCCCCATCCGGGAGGGAGGTGGGGGGCAGCCCCCGCCCGGCCGCCCCGTCTGGGAAGTGAGGAGCCCCTCTGCCCTACCGCCACCCCGTCTGGGAGGTGTACCCAACAGCTCATTGAGAACGGGCCATGACGACGATGGCGGTTTTGTCAAATAGAAAAGGGGGAAATGTGGGGAAAAGAAAGAGAGATCAGATTGTTACTGTGTCTGTGTAGAAAGAAGTAGACATAGGAGACTCCATTTTGTTCTGTACTAAGAAAAATTCTTCTGCCTTGGGATGCTGTTAATCTATAACCTTACCCCCAACCCCATGCTCTCTGAAACATGTGCTGTGTCCACTCAGGGTTAAATGGATTAAGGGCGGTGCAAGATGTGCTTTGTTAAACAGATGCTTGAAGGCAGCATGCTCCTTAAGAGTCATCATCACTCCCTAATCTCAAGTACCCAGGGACACAAACGCTGCGGAAGGCAGCAGGGCCCTCTGCCTAGGAAAACCAGAGACCCTTGTTCACATGTTTATCTGCTGACCTTCCCTCCACTATTGTCCTATGACCCTGCCAAATCCCCCTCTCTGAGAAACACCCAAGAATGATCAATAAATACTAAAAAAAAAAAGAAAAAAGAAAAAGAATTGCCATAGATTACATAGATCATAGATAGATAGATAGATAGATAGATAGACAGATAGGTAGATATATATAGATGGACAGATAGGCATATAGATATATAGATAATAGACATGCAGATAGGCAGAGAGATAGATGATTGATTGATTGATAGATAGTTAGACAGATAAATAGATAGATTGACAGGGTGACAGATAGATGGATAGACAGACAGATAGATACATAGATAGATGACAGATATGCAGATAGACAAACTGACAGATGACAGATAAATAGACAGACTGACAGACATATAAATAGACTGACAGATGATAGATAAATGACAGAAAGATATATAGATAGATAGCAGATATATAGACAGATAGATAGATATGCAGATAGATATACAGACAGACAGACAGATAGACAGATGGCAGACAGATATAGATATAGGCCATGTTCTGTAAAGATCTATGCATCATGTGATTGTTTCATAATTGTAAAGATAAGACCCCCAGCTCAGAAATGTGGAATTGTGGCTTTTGTTGTTTATTTACCTGCATGCAGGGAAAAGTGAGGGGGACTGACCACCAGCCCAGATAGGAGATTCTCACATCTTCTTTACACATTGGGTTTCCAAGTTCTTTATATGCTTAAATACAGCCTAAGACCCTACCACTAGCCCTCCACCGGCTCTCACATTTCCAGGAATTACTGTGGGTTCATAGGAAAGGAAGACGCTTATACTCAAAAGTAAACCAACATGATAATATGCACTTTATAAGTTATTCAAGTGTACATTTTGGAACACAGAAAAAAACTGGAAACAAAATAAAATACATATTTGAAAAGAGGTTCAAATATACATTTAAAAAATATGCATAGTACAATAAACTAGGCAAATCCATCCATCCATCCATCCATCCATCCATTTGTCTATCTGTCTGTCTGTCTGTCTGTGTGAAAGGAGTTGCAGAAATGTATTTTAAAGGAAAGGTCATTGTTAAGAAGAACAAAGAAGAGAGTGACATCAATGGAGTATAATAATGAAGGGTTTTGTTCCACCTGACACATGATACAAGAATCTTAATCATGGGAGGGACAATTTCCCCCATCAGCATGCCCTAGTCTAAGCAGATGCTTGAGCACTGCACACCCCTGAAGACAGTGACTGTTATGGGAGAGGGACTATCTCTTCTTTTGCTGAGATAGAAACAAGAAAGCCGTGTGATTCTAGAATTCCCAGGACATTTTTCTGCTATGTTGAGAATGTCTACCAAGAATAAAGCCAACTTGAAAACCCGAGACCCAGAGACTGGGTGCCTTTAGTTGAGCTTCTGGATTCACCTGTTCTAGAACACTTTACCAATGTAACTTTTTAGTAATGTAAATAGAATATTTCCATTTTTGCTCAAGTTAGTTTGACTTGTGGTTTTTGATTACAGTATTTTAAAATGTTGCTACCCAAAGCCTAGGAAGTGTCTGGATCACTAAGGATACTAAAAAAAAAAAAAAAAAAAAAAAAAAAGCCAGATAAATAAATAAATTAATTAATTGACCTCACCCTCTGGAGTAAAAGTCACCTAGAGTCAGTTGCCTATATCATTCACTTTATTTGGTTTGGCATCAATTTGATTCAAAATAAGTAAAAACTGGACAGAAAATGACACTTTTGGTCATTTACCCAGTTTCTCTTCAAATATAAGAATAAAGGAAATATACAATATATAGATATCTCTGCTTTAAAACAAGAGCAAAATCTCCCAGCATCAGAAAGAGAGAGTGGAGTGCAGGCCCTGCAGCGATGGGGCTCGTGGGAAGCAGCCTGGGCCTGAGCACGGGTTGCTGAGGCTTCAAGGCCATGTGAGAATTAGGGCCAAGCAGCACCAGGAGCAGAAACAAGCATTCTGTGGGAAGCCATGGCGGGAATGTCTTCTGGGAGGGTGAACTGGGGCTGACATAGCCTTAGTCACCTGATACTGCAGATAGAAACGTGATATGGTTTATGCTTTAGAGGAAAATAGGCAGTGGCTGTGAAAGAATGAGAAGTAGGTGGCATTGCAGGTAGTGTGGAAAACCTGGAATTTGGCTGAGAATTTTCTTTTTTTTTTTTTTTTTTGAGACGGAGTCTCGCTCTGTCGCCCCGCTGGAGTGCAGTGGCGCACTCTTGGCTCACTACAAGCTCTGCCTCCCGGGTTCACGCCATTCTCCTGCCTCAGCCTCCTGAGTACCTGGGACTACAGGCTCCCACCACCATGCCCAGCTAATTTTTTGTATTTTTAGTAGAGATGGGGTTTCACCATGTTAGTCAGAATGGTCTCCATCTCCTGACCTTGTGATCCGCCCGCCTTGGTCTCCCAAAGTGCTGGGATTACAGGCGTGAGCCACCGCGCCCAGCCCGATTTTTTTTTTTTTTAATTGATATGGAGTCACTTTGTTGCCCAGGCTGGAGTGCAGTGGTGTGATCTTGGCTCACTGCAACCTCCGCCTCCTGGGTTCAAAGTGATTCTCCTGCCTCAGCCTCCTTGGTAGCTGGGATTACAGATGCCTGCCACCATGCCCAGCTAATTTTTGTATTTTTAGTGGAGGTGGGGTTTCACCATGTTGGCCAGGCTGGTCTCAAACTCGTGACATCAGGTGATCCACCCAAATCCTCAGCCTCCCAGAGTGCTGGGATTATGGGCATGAGCCACCATGCCTGGCCTGGCTGAGAATTTTTGAGAAGATACAGTTCAGGTTGTACAAACAGAGGGGAGACAAAAGGACATAAGCAGGGAAAATCTACTTTGCAAAAGCAGATGTAGAGAATACTGGGGGGAAGAAATATTTGAGGGAATAATCATAGAAAACGCTTCCAGACTTGAGGAGAGATGAACATTTTGTTGAAAAACTGAAAAATGCCAAAAAAGAAATATTTTATGAAGGAAACCAATATTCCTAAAAATGGACCTTTCAAGCAGCCACACTTTAAACCCTGGAAGACAAATTTCAATATGGTGACCTCTTCATCTACTAAATCTCTTTAGTAGATCTCTTCATCTACAAGATCTCTTCGTCTACTAAATAAACTAGGAGACAGTGTGATGTCACATTTCTGGAGCAGTGTCAGAGTTGGTGCCATGATCCAGAACGTAAGGGTTGCAAGTGTGGCAGCTCCCTCCACATCCTTATTCAACTTGCTCTTTGGTCTGTGCACGTCTCGGTAAATGATGGGAGAGCAACACAGACTTAGTGAAACAGGGACTCCCCTGGTGACTGACTGCTGTTGCAGATATGCTTTAATTTTTGAAGCATGTCAGCACTCCCCTCCCCACTGCCCCGCACTCAGTATATAGCTATTCATGTAAGTGCACTTTTCCTCTCTAGACCTGTAGATAAGGACCACAGAGGCTGCTTGTTTTCAGGAGGCAGTGGTGGCAATCAGCCCTCCCTGTCATCCCTCAGGATCCATCATATTCTGGTCATCAGGGTCCTTGTTCACTTCTCCACTCCCCAGGATTTCACAGTGGACACTCACGATACTGACTGGTGAGGAGGAAAAGCCATTCTCCTAGATGTCTGGGTGAGACAGCCTGAGAAATTTAGGGACCTGCCATCTAGATGAAATCTCCAGGGCCATCTAGATGAAGTCTCCTTCCCTTCCAAGGTGAAGGACGAGTGGATGTGCCTGACCCCTTTTTACCACTAAGAGAATGAAGCAATGCCTAGTAACTCTCTTTGGAATTTTGAGGTATCATATACCTAATTTGGACATAGTGCTTGTGTTAGTCAAGGTTCTCCAGAGAAACAGAACCAATAGGATATACAGAGATGTGTAAGAGAAGCTTTATAATGTGAATTGGCTCACTCAGTTATGAAAGCTGTATTAGTCCATTCTCATGCTGCTAATAAAGTCATACCCAAGACTGAGTAATTTATAAAGAAAAGAGATTTAATTGACTCACAGTTCTGCAGGGTTGCGGAGTCCTCAGGAAACTTACAATAATGATGGAAGGTGAAGCAAATACATCCTCCTTCACATGGCAATGGGAGAGGGAAGAATGAGTGCCCAGTGAACGGGGAAGCCCCTTATAAAACCATGTGATTTTGTGAGAACTAACTCACTATCATGAGAATAGGATGGGGAAAACCACACCTATGATTCAATTATCTTCACCTGGTCCTTCCCATGACATGTGGGGATTGTGGGAACTAAAATTCAAGATGAGATTGGGGTAGGGACACAGCCAAACCATATCAGAGGCCAAGAAGCCCCACAGCATTCCATCTACAAGCTGAAAAACCAAAGAAACTGGTACTATAATTCAGCCTGAGTCGGAAGTCCTGAGAACCAGAGGGGCCCTGGTTTAAGTCTCAGGGTCCTAAGACCTAAGAATCTGGGGCTCCAATGTTCAAGGATAGGAGAAGATGGGTGTCCCAGCTCTAAAAGGGAGAGCAAATTTGACCTTTCTGCACCTTCCTGTTCCATCCAGGCTCTCAGTGGATCAGATGATGCCCACCCACACTGGGGAGGGCCACATGTTTACTCCGTCTACACAGTCAAATGCTACACTCTCCTGGAAACACTTTCACAGGGACAGCCAGAAATGTTTTATGAGCAATTGTGCATCCCTTAGCCCAATCAAGTTGACACATAAAATTAACCTTCATCTTACTCCAGCCCATTTATTTAACTATCCAAAATGCGGCCAACAGAACAGATGATCATGGTGGACAGGGGGAAAGAATAGATTGCAGCTCTGACTTGGAAGGACAAAGCAGCATGCAGAAGCTCACACAGTGAATTTTAGTTCCAGAATTATTGCAAGAACAAAGCAGGAATCCCAAGAGGACCCACAGACCCTCTCAAGGCAGTGGACTGCTCCTGCAGGACCTGGGAGACACCCCAAATACTATGAGTGCCCCAACTGCGGAAGTGGGAAAGGGAGACCCTCCACTCCCAAACACACACCCCCACTGGGGAAACTGAAGGTCTAGTTTGCGGGAGAAGTTTCCAGCCTTACCTGGAGCTGTGTCAGTTTAGAGAGCTGAGGGAAATACAGGGGTAGAGGAAGGAGCTGGAAAGGCCCTGGGAGCTCTCTAGGTCCCCAAGCAGACCATTCCTGCCTGGCACCACAGGGATCCATCTGGAGGGTGGCTAGAAGCACAGGGGAAATCACCACAGGGAGAAGGAAGTCTCCAACTGAACTTTGTAAGAATATGAATTGGGCAAGAATTCTCCTGACTAGAACTCAGGAGAGGGTGCTAATCCAGTGTGCAGACTCCACAGGTGGGTGAAAAACCAAGCCCTTTTCTTTTGCTGCTGGGCGGGGGGAGCCTGAGGCAAGTTCTCAAGCCCTGCTCACCCACTGCCTGGAAAGAGATTCAGGGTTGTTGGGGGTGCACAGTGGGAGTGAGATCGGCCCTTTGGATTATGTAGGAGCTGGATAAGTCCTGTGACTTCCAGCTTTCCCCCACTTCCCTGACAACCTGCATAACTCAGCAGAGGCAGCCATAATCCTCCTAGGTACACAATTCCATTGACCTGGGAATATCACCTTCGTCCTCCACAGCAGCCACAGCAAGACCCACCCCAGGAGAGTCTGAGCTTAGACATGCCTAGCCCTACCCCCACCCTGACCCACCCCCTCACCCCCCGGCCCACCCCACCCCCCCACCCCCATGAGCCTTCCCTATCCACCCTGGTAGCTGAAGACAAAGGTCATATATTTTGGGAGTTCTAGCACTCTGCCCACCACCGGTTCCTCTCCACACAACCACAGCTGATGCATTCTGGAAAGCACTGTGTCCAGAATTGGTGGATTCTTGGTCTCGCTGACTTCAAGAATGAAGCCACAGACCCTCGCAGTGAGTGTTACAGTTCTTAAAGATGGTGTGTCCAAAGTTTATTCCTTCAGAGGTTCAGATGTGTCCAGAGTTTCTTCCTTCCGGTGGGTTCGTGGTCTCGCTGACTTCAGGAGTGAAGCTGCAGACCCTCGCGGTCAGTGTTACAGCTCTTAAGGTGGCACGTCTGGAGTTGTTCGTTCCTTCCAGTGGGTTCGTGGTCTTGCTGGCTTCAGGAATGAAGCTGCAAACCTTCACAGTGAGTGTTACAGCTCATAAAGGCAGCATGGACCCAAAGAGCGAGCAACAGTAAGATTTATTTTGAAGAGCGGAAGAGCGAAAGATCAAAGCTTCTGCAAAGTGGAAAGAGACCCGAGCCAGTTGCTGCTGCTGGCTCGGGCAGCCTGCTTTTATACCATTATCTGGCCCCACCCATATCCTGTTGATTGGTCCATTTTACAGAGAGCTGATTGGCCCATTTTACAGAGAGCTGATTGGTCCATTTTACAGAGAGCTGATTGGTCCATTTTGACAGGTGCTGATTGGTGAGTTTACAATCCCCGAGTTAAACACAGAGTGCTGATTGGTGCAGTTACAATCCTCTAGCTAGACATAACAGTTCTCCAAGTCCCCACCAGATTAGCTAGATACAGAGTGCTGATTGGTGCAGCCACAAACCCCAAGCTAGACACAGAGTGCTGATTGGTGCATTTACAATCCTCCAGCTAGACATAAAAGTTCTGCAAGTCCCCACCTGACTCAGGAGCCCAGCTGGCTTCGCCTAATAGATCCCATGCTGGGGCCGTGGGGGAAGCTGCCTGCCAGTCCCATGCCACCACCTGCACTCCTCAGCTCTTGGGCAGTCGATGGGACTGAGCGCTGTGGGACATGGGGCGGTCTCCCTCGGGGAGGCTTGGGCCACGAGGGAGCCCATTGGGGAGGGGGAGGTGGGTGATTGGGCATAGCAGGCTGCAGGTGCCGAGCTTTGTCCCATGGGGAGGCGGCTGAGTCCCTGCGAGAATTTGAGTGCAGTGCGGATGGGCCAGCAGTGCTGGGGGACCCAGCACACCCTCCGCAGCTGCTGGCCCAGGTGCCAAGCCCTTCACTGCCTGTGGCCAGCCCGCTGGCAGGCCGCTCCGAGTGTGGGGCCTGCTGAGCCCACGCCCTCCTGGAACTCTCTCGTGCTGGCCTGCAAGCGCCGTGCGCAGCCCTGGTTCCCACCCACGCCTCTCCCTCCACACTTCCCTGCAAGCAGAGGGAGCTGGCTCCGGCCTCGGCCAGCCCAGAGAAGGGGACCCACAGTGCAGAGGCAGGCTGAAAGGCTCCTCAAGCATGGCCAGAGTGGACACTGAGGCTGAGGAGGCACTGAGAGTGAGCAAGGGCTGCTAGCACATTGTCACCTCTCAGCGTCACCTCCCAGCAGGAGGCCAGCCAGCATAAAATAGAACATTAAACCACCAAATCTAAGAACACTTACAGAGTCCATTTCACCATCCTGCCACTTCCACCAGAACAGGTGCTGGTATCCATGACTGAGAGACCCACAGACCGTTCACATCACAGGACTCTGTGCAGATAACCCCCAGTACCAGCCCGGAGCAGGGTAGACTTGCTGGGTGGCTATACCCAGAAGATAGATAGCAATCATTGAGCTCGGCTTACAGGAAGCCACATCCATAGGAAAAGGGGGAGAGTATTATAACAATGGAACACTCTGTGGGACAAAATAATCTGAATAAAAGCCTTCAGCCCTAGACTTCCCCTCTGACAGAGCCTACCCAAATGAGAAGGAACCAGAAAAACAACTCTGGTAATATGGCAAGACAAGGCTCTTTAACACCTCAAAAAAGTCACACTAGCTCACCAGCAATGGATCCAAACCAAGAAGAGATCTCTGGTTTACCTGAAAAAGAATTCAGGAGGTTAGCTATTAAGCTAATCAGGGAGGCACCAGAGAAAGGCAAAGCTAAATGCAAGGAAATCCAAAAAATGATACAAGAAGTAAAGAGAGAAATAATCAAGGAAACAGAGATCATAAAGGAAAAAAAATCAAAACTTCAGGAAACATTGGATACACTTATAGAAATGCAAAATGATCTGGAAAGTCTCAGCAATTATAATTGAACAAGTAGAAGAAAGAAATTCAGAGCTCAAAGACAAGGTCTTTGAAATAACTCAATCCAACAAAGACGAAGAAAAAAAGAATAAGAAAATATGAACAAAGCCGCCAATAAATCTGGGATTATGTAAACAACCAAACCTAAGATTAATTGGTTTTCCTGAAGCAGCGAGATTGAAATGGTAATTTAAAAATTACCAACAAAAAAAGTTCAGGACCAGATGGATTTACAGCAGAATTCTACCAGATATTCAAAGGAGAATTGGTACCAATCTTTTTGATACTATTCCACAAGATAGGGAAAGAGGAAACCCTCCCTAATTCATTCTATGAAGCCAGCATCACCCTTATACCAAAACCAGGAAAGAACATTACAAAAAAAGAAAACTACAGACCAATATTCTTGATGAACATAGATACTAGAATCCTTACCAAAATACTATCTAACTGAATCCAACAACATATCAAAAAGATTATCCACCATAATCAAGTGGGTTTCATACCAGGGATGCAGGGATGGTTTAACATACACAAGTCAATAAATGTGATACACCACATAAGCAGAATTAAAAACAAAAATTGCATCATCATCCCAATAAATGCAAAAAAAGCATTCGACAAAATCCAGCATTGCTTTATGATTAAAACTCTCAGCAAAATTGGCGTACAAGGGACATACCTTAATGTAATGAAAGCCATCTATGACAAACCCACAGCCAACACAATTCTGAATGGGGAAAAGTTTAAAGCATTCTCTCTGGGAACTGGAACAAGACAATGATGCACACTCTCAGCACTCCTCTTCAACATAGTACTGGAATTCCTAGCCAGAACAATCAGACCAGAGAAAGAAATAAAGGGCCTCCAAGTCGGTAAAGAGGAAGTCAAACTATCACTGTTTGCTGACAATATGGTTGTTTACCTAAAAGACCCTAAAGACTTCTCCGGAAAGCTCCTAGAACTGATGACATAATTCAGCAAAGTTTCTGGATACAAGATTAAGTTACACAAATCAGTAGTTCTTCTAGACACCAACAGCAACCAAGCAGAGAATCAAATCAAGAACTCAATCCTTTTTACAATAGTTGCAAAATAAATAAATAAGTAAATAAATTAAACTACTTAGGAATATACCTAACCAAGGAAGCAAAAGACCTCTACAAAGAAACCTACAAAACACTGCTGAAAGAAATCTCAGGCGACACAAACAAATGGAAACACATCCCATACTCACGGATGGGTAGAATCAACATTGTGCAAATGAACATAATGCCAAAAGCAATCTACAAATTCAATGCAATCTTCATCAAAATACCACCATAATTCTTCACAGAATTAGTGAAAAAACAATTCTAAAATTCATGTGGAACCAAAAAAGAGCCTGCATAGCCAAAGCAAGACGAAGCAAAATGAACAAATCTGGAGACATCACACTACATGATTTCAAACTATACTATAAGGCCATAGTCATCAAGACACCATGGTGCTGGTATAAAAATAGGCATATAGACCAATGGAACAGAATAGAAAACCCAGAAATAAACCCAAATACTTACAGCTAACTGATCTTTGACAAAGCAAACAAAAACATAAAGTGGGAAAAGGACACCCTTTTCAGCAAATGGTACTGGGATAATTGGCTAGCTACATGTAGGAGAATGAAACTGAATCCTCGTCTCTCACCTCATACAAAAATCAACTCCAGATGGATTAAGGACTTAAATCTAAGAGGTGAAACTACAAAAATTCTAGAAGATAACATTGGACAACCCCTTCTAGACATTGGCCTAGGCAAGGATTTCATGACCAATAACCCCAAAGCAAATGCAATAAAAACAAATATAACTAGTTGGGACTTAATTAAACTAAAGAGCTTTTGCACAGCAAAAGGAACAGTCAGCAGAGTAAACAGACAACCCACAGAATGGGAGACAATCTTCACAATCTATATACATCAGACAAAGGACTAATATTCAGAATCTACAACAAACTCAAACAAATCAGTAGGAAAAAAAAATCCCATCAAAAAGTGGGCTAAGGACATGAACAGACAATTCTCAAAAGAAGATACACAAATGGCCAACAAACATATGAAAAAATGCTCAACATCACTAATGGTCAGGGAAATGCAAATCAAAACTGCAATGCAATACCAACTCACTCCTGCAAGAATGGCCATAATAAAAAAATCAAGAAATAGTAGATGTTGGCATGGATGTTGTTCTCAGGGAACACTTCTTCACTTCTGGTGGGAATGGAAACTAGTATAGCCACTGTGGAAAACAGTGTGGAGATTCCTTAAAGAACTAAAAGTAGAACTACCATTTGACCCAGCAATCCCACTACTGGGTCTCTACCCAGAGCAAAAGAAGTCATTATATGAAAAGGATACAAGCACGTGCATGTTTATAGCAGCACAATTCACAATTGCAAAATGGTGAAACCACCCAAATGCCCATCAATCAACAAGTGGATAAAGAAACTGTGAGATATATATGGAATACTAGAATACTACTCAGCCATAAAAAGGAATGAATTGCCAGGCGAGGTGGCTCACACCTGTAATCCTAGAACTTTGGGAGGCAGACGCAGGCGGATCACCTGAGGTGAGGGGTTTGAGACCAGCCTGACTAACATAGAGAAACCCTGTCTCTTCTAAAAATACAAAATTAGCCGGGCATGGTGATGCATGCCTGTAATCCCAGCTACTCGGGAGGCTGAGGCAGGAGAATTGCTTGAACTGGGGAGGCGGAGGTTGTGGTGAGCCGAGATCACACCATTGCACTCCATCCTGGGCGACAAGAGTGAAACTCCGTCTCAAAAAAAAAAAAAAAAAAAAAAAAAAAAGGAATGAATTAACTTCATTTGCAGCGACCTGGATGAGATTGGAGACTATTACTGTAAGTGAAATAACTCAGGAATGGAAAACCAAACATCATATATTCTCAATGATATGTGGGAGCTAAGCTATGAGGATGCAAATGCATAGAATGATACAATGGACTTTGGGGACTTGGGGGAAGAAGGGGAGGGGGATGAGGGATAAAAGACTACAAATAGGGTGCAATGTATACTGCTTGAGTGATGGGTGCACCAAAATCTCACAGGCTACCACTAAAGAACTTATGGCAGGGGTTGAGGCTATGCACGTGCTCAGTACATGAGCTTTCACACAGGAATGTTAATCTGATTCCAACCACTGCTGAGTGCCCGCCCTGCCAGCACTCCAATCCTGAGTCTCCAATATGGCACAATCCACTTTCTGGAAAGTTGATTAAAATAAGAAGCTTCCTTCATGAAAGGAAGTCACTTTGTTCTCATTACCTGAAATGCTTTGCCAAAGTCACTGTCTGTGAGTTTATCAAACGCATCATTCACTATTGTGGTATAACATCCGTCATTGCTTCTGATTAGGAAATACGTTTTGCTATGAATGAAGCACAGCAATTATCTCTTGCTCATGGATGTATTCATCTTAGCATGTACCTCATCATCTTGAAGCAGCTGAACTGATAAGACAGATACACAGCTTGTGAATGGATAGTTACAGTGCAACCATGGAGACAACACATTATGGTACTGGGCTCACGTCTTACGGGCTATGATGCTCTCTGAGATGGCAATGAAGATGTAGTGATGCTTCTCGTTTAACCCAGCTTCAGACCTGAGAATCCAGGTGGAATTCATTCCCTAATTCCCTTCCTCTCACTAATACCCTAGAGATACAAGTTTATCTTCTTGTTCTTGCAATTTTGGACTCTGTTGATTGATAGGTTTTTGTTCCCAAGGGAGGAATGCTTTCATCCAAGCCCACATTTACTGGTTCCATTAAATGGGAAGGTGAGAGTGAACACCTCTGCTTCTCATACCAGTGGGTCAATAGGCAAAGAATGGGGTGACTCTACTGACTGGGGCAATCAATTCTGATTATTAAGGAGAAATCGGGCTTCTACTCCACAATAAGGGCAGGGAAGAGGGTGACTTGGATATCTCTTAATTCTCCTATGTCCTGTCAGGAAAGTTAATGGAAAGCTACAACCATCTCATACACATAGGGCTGTTAATGTCCCAAGCCCTTTAGAAATGAATGTCCAGGTTACCCCACCAGACAAGGAACCATGATGAGCTGAAGTTCTTGCTGAGATTAAAGAAATATGAACTGGGTATTGGGGAAACCAATGTATAAATACAAGTTTTGACTCTGTGTCTAGATGCAGAAAGAGGATTGTCATCCTTGCGAGCATTTTCTCCTTAACTTTATATAAATATATTTGTGTGTATCTATATTTAGAACAATCTCTATACCAGTTTTCTTCTTTCCCTTTTCCCATTCCCATACTATCTAACATAAGATGTGATATTAGAAGTTAAGCTATTATCTTAGTGTTTATTTTATAAAATATCAATAGAGGAGTATGACAGCAAGAAAAGAAATGAAGACAACAAAAAATTTTAAATTAAAAAATGAGGTTTTTGAATCCGACTTTGGGGAGAAGACTAGCATGCTTTTGGCTGTGTGATACACAGTTGCATCACATCAGTCTGACAGTTTTTAAAGTATCTTTGTTCGGACAAATATCCAATATTCACGTAGGTGGATGTGGACAAGTGGACAAGGCTTGCACTATCTGGGTTATTTATCATCAGCTTTGTCAAGCTGGGAACTTTGGCCCTCAGAATCCCTTTCCTCGCATGGCCCTGCACTAGAGTTGGCCATAAGTGGACTTGGCAAGATTGGGAGGCAAAGTGAAGCCACAGATGTTGCTCTGTAAGTGAAGGATAGACAGAGGTGCTTGGTGGATTCTAGACGATGCTAATTCTCCTCCCATCTGTTCACAGGGACTCTACCTGCCTGCTGGTTCTGATATATCCTCCTCTAAATATCCTCTCTCTTTATATCTCTCCTCTCTTTTTCTCTCTCTCCCCACAAATATATGTGTGCCTACGCACACACACTCACACACACACACATTCTTTTGGTTTGGTTTCTCTGGAAAACCTTGACTAATAAAGAGAGGAAAATAATGTCTTAGTATTAAATAAATTCTACTTAATATTATGCTGTGGCCCCTTAAATATAATAGCCATCTTGTCAACAGATTGAATTCAGACTACAACTAAATTTAATGTCATTTCCAGAGAGTTAGTCAAATAGCTATTCTGTGATTTTAAAAGTTCAGAATGACTAATAAGTTGCCTATGCTTCTTGAGTAAAAGGGAGCACATTAATTAATAAGTATTAATTAATTAAGGATATTAATTTCTCGGTCATACAGTGAATAGGTTCTCTGTGGAATACTAAAACCTTTTGTCTAATTTAGGAAGAAATCTAGTAAATGTGGGACAATAATAGATCACATCAGTTGTTTAGAGTCACGTTGAGTCAAGCGGCCACCAGAGTGAAGACACGTTTCATTGTTTCCAGCTTTTGTAGACACAGCCAGTGTTCTTAGGTGCTCTTCATATCTATCTGTAACTGAGGAAGGCCTCTGGGATGACCAGACAGAGGTAATCAAGATGATAAAAAAAATTATACCTGTGCTATACAACAATGGCTAATAAAGACAATTAAAAACACCAAAACTTTTCTATTTGGTAGAAGCCAATGTTCAGAAAACAAGGTGGAATTTTGGGTGAAATCAAAAGACACCAATGCATTCTATGTCAGAACACCATTGTTTGTCTATACAGAGATGCCAAAAATGTGTTTGCTGTCATGCAGATTAACCTGGTGCACTGCCTGGTCCCCAGAAGTGCCTCATTCATTACCAACATGAAGAGAGAGACAGGGAGAAACATTGAACATTTAATCAGGTGATGTTTCATGTAGCAGGGAGCTATTCTTGTAGAAACCAGTTCTTAGGAAATTAGGCATTATCTACGGTAGAGGAGGATGGAATGTCAAAATCATCTAAAATATTCTTAAACTCTGCCCCTTTACCCCACCCAGATTCTGATAAGCTGGAGATAGCTGTATGTGTTTTCCAGTGAGAGATGAGGAAATGGCAAGAGGTCGTTATTGATAGGTGTGTATCTTATTCTTTATGTTACGTCGAGATAGGAGAAAATACTGGCTTTGAAATATTTGAAAGCAAAGGAAAATTGTGATACACTTAGTCGTCACATACTTTACCTAGGGGAGGGCAAAATGTGTAAAATTGAGGTACATCTACATTGCATATTCTGTTAGTAGAAGGTAGAGAACTCCTCTTTCTGAAATTTGGAGACTATCATCGTTTTGAAAAATAGAGCAAAAAGTATGTGTTGGGTAGAAGCTGGTTCTAAGCTGTTTAGGTGTCTAAAGTGACCTAAATTATCATTCATAAACGTCATCTCCCTCGCTGAGCTTGATGCAAGGCAGCTTAGTTTCTATCACTCTGCTTGGGTGAGGTAGTCAGTCAAAAAGAATATAGCATTTAGCAGAAATAGCCATGCGTGACAACCTGACACGTGGCCCCTAGAAGTGTGTTCGGCTCCCCATGCTTCATCCATGAGCCGCCGGGCTCAGACTGATTTGAGTCCCACTTCTGCATCACTAAACATAATTTTCAATTGAAACATATTTTCGTGAGAAAAATATGGTATATCCTCAACGTAACCTCTGGTTAGTCAAGGAGAGACTCAGTAAAGTGATCAGTTTTCTCTCTTTCAAAGCACTGAATGCCAATTGTTACCATTGGTGGCACACAAATGAATGTTGTTCTCTCACTGAAGACTGTGAGATGGAGCACAAGCTTGAAAAATGACTCCCTTCCCTCAATAAACTATATTGATGAGCAAGTCCTCATAGACCTAACAAAACTGCCTCCCAAATTTCACAAGTATAGTTCGTATTCATTCTGTTTCTCTAATGAATTAGTCCCACGGCAGCTGGTAATTGGCTGGGCATCCTCTATTTAGCATGGGGGTGAGGTAGAGAGTGTTCAGGCTTCATTCTCCCCTTTGTAGGAATTGGGGGCTCAGGAGAGCAGAGCCCGGATATGGAGCGTTCGACTCCATAGCAATCCTCAGGGCACAGCTGGGCCAAGAGCTGATGGGGGCTGGAGGCCTCCGCACCCTCCACTGTAGAATTTTCCTCCAGTGTAGACATTTATTCTTATGAGATTATCTCAGGAGACAATGAAAATAGACACGTGACCCTGAAAATCAGCCTTGGATCAGGGAGGGGCTGAGATCGCTGTTGTGCTTCAGGCAGCTGCTCTGTTCTGTTCCGGCTACCGCTTGGCTTAGAGGAACACCACTGCCATTTGGGCTACAGGTTGAAAGTGCCCATTACTGATGCCTCAAGTGAATTAGACAGAATGACTTCAGAGAAAATAATATGCCACTGATGGTCACTAACAAGTATAGTCATATGGGCTATCATTTTTGAGAATGGCGTCCGGTGAGTCTAAAATTATTCCAGCTTTTGGAAAGAACATGAAGTTCCTATGCCCAGAACCATATTTTGCACATATATAACCTCTTGCAAAAATTAGATTTTATCACTTGATAAGAATTCTCCATTTATTTGTAAATTCATGGGGAACACTGTAAAACACGACACTCTTGGTGAAAGAAAAAAATAAGAATGTGGCTTGAATATCAGCTATGCATGTGCACCTTCAAATTCAGAAACAGAGAAGAATGGTGTAGGTTTTGGTTCAGCATCTATGCTTTAAAGGAACCAATTCTGTCTGCCTCATAGAGTAGTTGGTCTATTCAGCACACTCCCATAACCAATTGTCTATTAATATAATAAACCATTTTGAATACAAAAGCAATTGGATAAACTTTCTCCTTCCCACTCAGTCACGTCCTTCTGCCATTATTGCTGAATTAAATTCTCCGGTAACAAAGCTTGGAGAGAAGGATACTAGTAGTAACTTTGGGTAACTACAGAAACTCTTGGGAAGGTTGGGACTTCCAGATGGAGCTCCCCTTCCCACATCTGTGAAGTGTCAGGTTCCTACATGGGTCCTTAGAACAGGAACTGATTGTGTTCAAGTGGATCTGGATTCCAAACCCACCACTCCTATTTGCCTGCAGTAGAACCCTGGGCAACTTGCTGGCCCCGCTGAGGCCCAGTTTCCTCATCTGTGAAATGAGATCGATACTGACTCCTGCCTCACAGCCTATTGTGAGGGTTCCATAGCTCATGGGAAGCTCTCCATTCAGTGCCCACCACATAGGAGACACTCGGAGAATGTTAACTCTGATTACATCAGTATATTTGGATAAACTCATTATAAAATGTACATGTTTTCTACTTGATGCATTGACAAAAACACTTCTTCCTCCCAATCTAGTTCCTCAGAGAAGCAGCTGCAGTAGGGAATGCGGCCTTATAGAAAGGAACTGCAGGTGAGAGAATAGCAAGGGAATACTCACATCCACATGCCAGGAAGCATGAGTTGTACTGATTGTGGGTTAATTGGGACCTGAAAATCCACTGAAACTTTTGCAGACCTTTAACATCAAAGGCCACCAATCATCTTAAGGTCTCTTCTGCATTTATTATTATGTGACACTTTCTTGCAGAAAAATTACTGGTGAAAACTAAGAAACCAGTACATGGACTCCACATTTTTTTGTTTTTGTTTTTTGTTTTGTTTTGTTTTGTTTTTGTTGGCATCAAATACTCTTAAAATTAAAAAAACTCCAATTTGTATTTAGCTTTTTAGAGTAGCATATATCAAACTCTTAGTTAAAAAGTGCAGAAATTCACGCCAAAAATAGAAATGAGAGCAGAGATATTGATAATGCACTAGACTTTTGTAAGACTGGAATAGTTGATAGTTGGCTGGTATATACTCTAAGACCACCATAGAATCTGCATCAGGCAGTGTATACTCAGTTATGCTGCAGTAACAAACACCCCCAAAGCCTCTGAGCCTTAAAAGCATCAGGGTTTCTTTCTGGCTCCACTGACCTTGCATCACCAACCATCTGGGGCTCTGCACTCACAGATCATCCCCGTCCATGATGGAAACACAGAGAGCAAGACAGTGGCTTACGAAGGTGCAGAACAGAGGTGTGTTCTGGGGGGAGTTTCCTAACATCAGTGGAATATTCAATCCGATAAGGACATGTGGGCCATATCTCACTGGCTAGAGCTGGTCGCATGGCACTGCTCCATGATGGGAATCAGGAATTGTGATCCTTCCAGGTACTCAGATGTGGGGAGAATAGGAAGATTCAGCAAACAGCACAGATGAGGCTGTATCATTTTCCTTTAGAATGTTTCTCCTAGCCTCAAAGCTGGTGCTGTAGGCTAAAAGATGAACCAGGGACAAGAGTGGGAACCATGGCAAGAAAACCAAATGTCTCTGCCAGTTCTTGCTATGACGTGGGCAGTGATAACTCAGGGCCTCAGTGGACAGGTCATGGGCATTGTAGAAAAGATCCACAGATTCTGCAATTGTGGATAATTCCTCTTTCCGGTGATGCTGTCAGCTAAATAGCACTAGGGGAGAGAAAATGATTCCAGTGCCCTGAATCCATCATTTCAGCCTTGGACACAAACTCAGAACAATGAAACAGTGCTAACAATGGTTTATTTACAGCGTCTAAATCATCTCAGTATGGCTCAAACTATTCCAAGCATAGATGGAATAACATTACTACTCAATGGGTATGTTTCAGAGTTGACCAGAAATTAAAGGTAGAACAGTGAGGCTTAAGGGCTACCCTCCAGATACCTCCAGAGAGAACTCACAACACCTTATTACCAACTGGGCTGTGTCACCATCAGCCAATTACAGACATGCAATCATTTGATTTGGGGGTCTGTAGTGGAAATTCACTGGGTTGTAAAATTGCAATACCAAACTCTCATGTTATTAAATTATATAATTGATTTGTGTTTTACATTAAGATGTGTATTTTTGTACAAACCTACCATAGTGAAGTGGTTCTCAACGTCTAGTCCCTGGATAGCAGCATTAGCACAACTCAAGAACTTGTTAGGAATGCAGGTATTCAGGTCCAGACCCAGGCCTACAGAATCAGAAACTCTGAAAGGCCGGAGCTGAGCAATCTGTGGTTCAACAAGTACTCCAGGTGATTCCCATGCACGCTCAAGTGTGATAACCACTGCCCTAGAACACGCTATTTTAGGATTAAAGGAAATCTTAAGAGGTCATCCAGTGCAGTAATTATCAATCCTGGGTGCAATTAGAAACATCTGGAGCATTTATTATTTTTATTTTAAAAACATTTTTAGAGACATGCTCTTGCTCTGTCGCCCAGGCTGGAGCACAGTGGTGTGATCATAGCTCACTGCAGCCTCATACTCATGGGCTCAAGGGATCCTCCTGCCTCAATCTTCAAAGTAATCGAGGCTACAGAGGCACACCACCATGCCCAGGTAATTTTTTTTTTAAATTGCCTTGGCTGGTCTTGAAATCCTGGCCTCAAGCCATCCTCTTGCCTTGGCCCCCCAAAGTACTGGGATTACAGATGTGGGTCACCACACCCAGCCCTGGCACATTTATTAAAATGCACAGATGCTTGGGGCTCACTCCCAGAAGTTCTGTTACTTTTAATGGCAAAAACCACCATAACTTTTGCACCAAACTAATAATTCAATTTGTTTGAGATGGGACCCCAGCATCATGTTTTAAAAAATACTTGCCAGGTGGTTCTAATGTACAGTGGAGGTTGAAAATCACTGATGTTAAACCCATCATTTCACTGATGTGCACAAGGAGGCCCTGGGAGGCTGAGTGGCCCAAAACCCAAAGCCAGTCAGCATGCACTCAAGCACAGTGAACTGTCTGTGTGGCATTGGTGGAACCCCATGTGCTGCATTATCACACAAAATCAAATAATCAATGCATAGTTTCAAGATTCATAATCTGTTTTTGACCTGGATGAGTCACAAGCAGGCATCTCTGTTATTGCTTCAACTCTGAATTCACAATCTCTTCGCTTTCACAATGATCTTAGATGTTTAAAAATATACATAGAAAAATGGTTCACCTTGCAAGATGAAAAAACCTTTGACGTAATATTGATGTAAGCAATGGACCAACAGGTCATCATTTTCTTGTTAAATTTAATTAGGATGCTTTCCTCCTTTTATCTTACAAATCAACAAGAATACATATTATGTATCAAGGACAGGATACGTATGATCCTTTAGAGTAAAAGACTGGATCTATTTTTATACTGGATGGCTCAACCATAAGTGTAATGCTCTTAATTTCTGAGTCAATTTAATTTTCAAAGAAGTAGTGCATAACTTTTGCTTTGATCTAAATATCAGTGTGGCCATTAAAGTGCCATGTGGAGACCATCGATGCAGCTCAGCACCCCTTTCTCCGGTTGACTTTTCCTCCCTGCACCTCCCTGGAATTGCAAGCCATGCCAGCAGCTGGACAACTGATGCGACTTTAGCTGCTTCAGGCTGTATGCTAGAAACTGCCATGCAAAGAAGCAGATGGAAAATGAAGGCGGTGGTTTTCAACCACGATATCTATTTTTCCATTTATATACAAAAGAATAATTTCACAGATTGTACTTTTTTTATTTCCAACATCTACCATTAAGGATGATAGTTGTGGAGAATATGGAATTGATTCCACACCTCGGGGAGACAAAAGCACAATTCCAACACAATTGTTTGATGATGTTTGAGATCAATATTTGCAAACCGGTGTTGTTTGTGACGTGATGTTTCTCCACCCCACCTTCCCGAGTGGCAGAAACCACACTCTCTGCTGGGAAATTGGATGTTCGTCACACAGGATGTTTTACAGTGGCATCTGCCCTTGTAACCTGATATTTTCTTCACTATCATGGGCTCGGTAATCACCAGCATGTCATAAAACAGGCTAGAGGTTACTATAGCAACGCTAACCAAACCAACGTAGGGGAGGAGGCTTGTGGACCGGGAAATGTTGTCTTTGCAGCCCCTGACGTTCAGGGTTTGGAATACGACTCTAAACTGACCTATCACAATACAAGACATTTAGCTTTTCAGAAAGCATGGAGCTGCAGGGTGTTACGTTTCCAGATAGGACTCGAAACCTCTTGCATAAATCAGCTCATTACAGAGGCCATGAAAAACATTTTCTGTATCAGTCATAATTTGTAAAAACAGGTGTCTGACCTCTACTTTCAAAACCTCTTGATAGCCTAGGCCAGAGGAGTTTGGAAACAGCAAACAGGTCTGGTGAAGCGGAGCCCCCACCCTTTGCTGATGCAGCAGCCCTTTGAGAAGAGCTTGGTGGTCTTGCAGAACAGCACCTAAAAGGGAAGCCTGAGCACCATTTTCATTCTGGCCAAGGTGGCTTAACTGTTCTAAGAAGATGCCCGCCGGGAATCCTGACTCTCCCATACTGTACCTTCCTTTGTAGACTGTTGGCAGAATCAACAGCAGGCTTCCAGTCACACCCCTTCCGCTTTCGCTTCATTTTTACTAAGTCCACCGGACCTGCCGGGTGTAGCAGAGAGCAGGAGGGAGTGGGCTGTTCTCACGTGCGGCTGCTGGGAACCCTCGCTCTGCCACTTACTCACCGCACCAGCGGGGACACACTGCTTATCTCCTCCAAGTCTCTTTCTTTGCTCGGAATGACACCCACCTTGCAGGGTTTGTAAGGAGGAAACGAGAAGAGAAAGATGAAGGTGCAAACTTGCAGCCAGGGTTGTTCTTAGAGCTACACGATCCTCCCACGAGAGAGCTGGCCACGTGGGGCTCACTCCTTGCCCTAGGTCAGGGAGGGTCCTGTCCTGGCCTATATGCTATAGAGGCCCCCATTTCCGGTCCTCCTCTGGCCTTGCACTTTTAACGATCAAGGGGACATTGCCCCCTAGAGCTCATGCTTCCTTTTCCAGTCCCCTGGCTGCAGGCCCGGAACCTGGACGTCCCAAGGAAACAGTCTCCAGTTTACATCCGATGCCTGCAGGCGCGCATTCCCCATCTACCTTGCTGAGGAGGACTCCAGAGTCCTAGGTAGCCAAGGGGTGGAGGTTTGTCGGGGAGTGAATAGAAACCAGATTCAAGGGCCAGGACACACCTGCACACACCCAGGGCCCAGCGTGGGAAGGCGGGCCAGGCAAGCAGAGTCAACACTCCTTGCCTCTCCACATTCTAGCTTGGAAATTGGAAGAGTCTGAGAATTGTCCATTCCAATCTGGCCTTTTAGGTCAGTATC
Organism: Homo sapiens; assembly: GCF_000001405.40. NCBI lineage: Eukaryota > Metazoa > Chordata > Mammalia > Primates > Hominidae > Homo > Homo sapiens. The sequence goes on from NC_000013.11 coordinate 109,333,469, forward strand.
TGGATATGTGTGTCAAGGTAGGTAGACAGAATATATCATGTTTAACCGTTTTCTGGCTGGATAATTACTTTATAATATTTCTACAGATGTTACGAAGGCTCCATTTGTGTTGTTCAATAAGCCTTTGCAAGTGTCAGGGGCAGACTTTACACATATAATACATGCATCGTATATAACATAGGATGCACATGAACATCAAGGGACTATCACATATGAAACCCTTCAATTTGCTTATTGAAAATTCAAAAGGATTTTTATAGTGATTGACCAGGTAACCTCTGAATGGACACACGACACCCACAATAATAAGAAAATCTGGAAAGAACTCAGAATGGAGGTAAAAATAACAAAAATTTGCTCCGGGTAAAAAATATCCCATTTAAGCATCCCTCTTTCCTTCTTCCTAATGAGTTATCTACAATTGGTAATGCCACAGAAAACATGACAGCAATGCAAAGAACTAAATATCCATGGTTGAACCAGAACATAAAGGTGGTATAGTTTGGGAGGGAGGGGTGGTAAAAATGTTCTGTTTTATATTAGAATTCATTTGAACCGTTTTTCCACCCTGACCTTAGATTGTCTACTTGTGATATGGATTCACCCAGCAGAGATGAATTAAGTTGTGCCAGGGACAGATTTTACAGGCAGAAAGAGCAGGTGGTTGCCTAGGGCAGTAAAATGTTTTAGTGACACTATTATGGGAGGGTCTGTAAGCTGTGAGGGGGCAGTGGGGGATTGTGGCTTCTTTTCCCCATCTTGCCTAGAGCAGAAAAATCCCAGCAGCACCCTAGGGTGGTATCAGGCAGAACATTTGAATATATTTACATCTCTAATTGAATCTGGGGCAGAGAGTGGGGAGGAGAGAGCTTGCTTACTATTTCATGTGCTTCTGATGAGCATTTAACTTTTGCACAGCTCCTGTGACACCTCGTGGCTGGAAGAGACGCTCACCGAGCCAGTCTTTTGTGTAGGTGACATGAAGGTCACAACAGGATGTGCCGACACAGCAGACCAGAGGCACGGCTGGCACTCCTGCATTCCTCCTTCTTCCCCTGCCCCTCTCTGGAGAGGGAGTGTAGCAGCAGGACAATATGGTAGACCTCTGCTGACGCCGGTCCAAGTCCACACCTGGTTCCCCCAGCTGCCAACACCATCTGTTCAGGTTGTCTAATCTGAGGAAGACTCCGGGACAAGAGCACATTCTGAAAGCAAGCTGGTTCTTCCGCGGTGCTTATCCACTTTATGAAGGAAGCTGCTCGTGTGTTTTAGTCAAACCTAAGAGTTCATGAAATGCAAGTGAAGTGCAAGGTGACATAATGTGCCATACAAGGAACGGGATGAGCCCAAGTGGATGCTGGTCAGAAACTGATGCTGTGTTCTGTAGATGGTGCTATGTGAAATTATGAAATTATCATTCACAAGTTCAAGTTCGTCATAGGAGACAGAACGGGGCGGGATAATAAGCTGTCCAGAGGAAGTCTGGAGGCTTGATCTGCTGAGATCTAATAAATTTTAGGAACCACTGAAGAAGGGCATCTTCAATTAGTCAAGACACTTGGAAAAGTCTCCAGAGTCAATTCAAGGCCACAAAGGGAAGTCTTCTGACTGAAGAGACTCCGTGGACATGAGACCATAGCTAGTCACATTTGTGTCCCTAGGAGGGTACTGTATAGCCAGTACATGACACTCTCCTTTCCATCACAGGCAGTGCAGCTACAAAGAGAACGACTTTAGATGGCGAGACTATGGCAAGGAAAGCTAATGACAGGACTCTTTCCGAATGTCTCTCACTGGGAGAAGCATTCCATCATACTTGGGAACTATAGTTTGGCATCCTCTCAAACCAGATCCTTCCCTAGGTCAGCAAAATATTTTTCCTCTCTTTTTTCAAAGTAATTTTATTTTATTTTTCTGATTTCCTGGGTATATTTGTTTGGTTTCTTTTAAAGTACTTCCCAATTAACAAAATGTACTCTACACATAGAGCCCAAGGGATCTATTCTTATGTCAATATGTCCACATAATTCACTCTTATTACCATTAATGGGAACTAAATATGCACATCAAAGGAAAAGATCCCTGCACAACCTAAATGAATAAGCTTCATTAATGCAATGTTATGGCTTATTTTTTCTGAGAAAATGCATTTAAACCTAAAGGTTAAAACAAATCTGCCAGCAGACAGAAGAGTCAAAGTCAACCCAAAGGGACTGAAAAGATGAAGTGTGTCAGGACTGCGAGACTACATTGGAGCTCGAGGTCCAAGGCTTCTGGGGGAAATGTGGGACCTTAAGTCAATTGCAAAATGCTCTGTGACCACAGGCAGTTGTCCATGGGTCCAAAAAGAGGTGGTAAGGAGCTGCACCTTGAAGACAGAGGTAGACACTTAACAAAATGCTTAATTTTTCTGCAATAAAAAGTAACAAAGCCCACAACATAAAATACATAAAATATATAAAACAAAGCCCACAATAAAAAATAAAAAGTAACAAATCCCACAATAACACAGTTATGGCACAATTTCTGTGCCATAACAGGGTACATGTGTTTTCTTTATGCCTGTGTAAAACATGGTCTTGTGCATACTTGTTCATTATTATTATTAAAATCCTGGTGCTATTGTGAATAGATGAAAATCAAATTTGGACTACATTTATTTGTATGTTCATAAAAATACAAGGTCAATGACACAGGAAGAAAACAAAAATATCACATTTGGGATGCCTTGCCTTCTTTCTGGATTGCCTGTTACTGCATACCTTGTCTGGCACTTTTTATTGGTGTTTTCTTAGACAATTGGTAAAAGCTGAGACATATTACTAGATAATGAGAAAAACTGGATTTTGGTTTCATGAATAAAAATGTCTATGCCTATTTGAAGAGTGAAGGCAATATAATCAAATCCTCACAGTGAAAAAGCAAGTCATGGTGCTTGCAGGTTTAATGCACCGGTTGAATTTAAGCCTGTGCAAAGTTAGCCTTGAAGACGAGCCAACCATGGGCTAAGAACCAGGTGAAAGTATTAACATGAGCCACTTGCTTTGTCTGTGCTCACTCTGGTTTTATCAATTTCAGTTGCAGTGATTCTGTTATTAGAATTCAATTCATGAAAAGGAACTTTTCATCCTCCATACTGCCTCCTTTACTAATGGAGAAAAGAAAAATAAAGAAAAACAAACCATATAGTTTATCTGTCAAATATATTCTAATTTCTGTAAACCTTGGTAATTCACAAGAAATAAAGAAAACACACGCAAGATAATTTGACAAAATCTCAGTACTCTTTATTGCCAAATCTTTCTTTCATGTGAGCATTTGCTCATGCCCAGTATCTCCATAATGATTGACTGACTTCTCCAAATAGTTAGATTTTGAAGATATCTTTACCATTTTTTTTTAAGTCTCCAGTTGAGTAATGAGCTTGGCTTGTTATGTGAGAACTCTGTTAAGGGAATCTCATCATAAAATTCCTGAAATGACTTTGAGAGGTAGCTGGCCGTGAACAAGGGCCATGAAGTACAGGCTTTCTTTCTGACTGTAACCCAAACAAACATTTGTGTTAACCTTTGCAGAAATACCTCTATTCACATATAAAATACAGGAGGAAGAGTGGAGTCAACAGGCTCATTGTTTCTTAAAGTGTGTCCATTGGAACACAAGTTCTGGAAGATCACTTTTGAAAAAAAATTTCTTAAATGAGGAAAGACCATTTGTTATATTGTCTTAATGATTCTTTTTCAATTAAAATATGTGAAATACCTTTAGTTTAAAAAGTTGTTTAGAATTTTAACTCATTTTTCTTTGCAGTCTCCATAGACGCTAAAAAAGCCTTTAACAAAATTCAACATCCATTCATGATTAAAACCACTCAAGGGAATAGTAACTGAGAGTTGTTTTCTTAGCAAGGATGTGCTTACCACACACATAAATAGATGTGTCTATCTATCTATGTGTGTATACGCGTATCTATCTATCTATATATATGCGTATACATATATATGCGTATACACACATACATATATATATCCCTAAATTTACCATGTTATTCCATAGAGAAACATTACAGATACTAAAGACATTTCCAGTAAGATAGGAAAAAGGCAAAGATTCTCACTGTCTGTGCAACCTGTGCATATTCTAACAGAGGTACTAGCTAATGCAATTGTATAAGAAAAATCAGCTAGAGACATGAGAATGGATTTTAAAAGTTCCTCTACTTGTAGATAATATGATAGTATACTTGTAAATCTCCAGAGAATGAATGATAAAATTAATTCAATGAAAGAATGCAGTGATGTAATAAGATATAAAACTAACACATAAATATCAACAGAGTTCATACATAAAAACAATAAGCAGTTAGAGAAATTTTCACTTACAATAGCATAAGAAATACTACTTAGAAATAAATGTGACAGAAAATGTGCAAAACTTCTATAAGGAAAATTTGGAACTTGTGAAAATTGTAAAAGTAGACATGACCAAATAAATGGAAAGTCAGTCTAGTTTTGGGGTCAGGAAGACTCAGCATTTTAAAGATGTATCTTCCCCCAGGTTGATTTACAAAATCAATGCAATCCCAATAAAAATGCCAATGAGCTACTTTATAGTATTAGACAACTTGATTATAAAGTTCATATGGAAAAACTAGCATGCAAATATACTTGGAAAAACACTAAAACCCAAAAAATCGAAGAAGGGGGAGTTGCTTTTACAGGTATTAAAACATGTAATATGTCCTGTATAATTAAAACAGCGTGAGGCTGAAACATGAATAGACAAGTAGACAAGTGGAAGAAAAACTGTGTAAAGTCTAAAATTAGACCCAAGTACATAAGGAAATGTAGTATATTACAAAGATGGCATCTCAAATCACTGAAATAATGGTGGACGTTTTAATAAGTTTGGCTAGGACAAATGAATAGCCATTTGGAAACAGGTAAAATTAGATTCATGTCTTGTATCTAAGAATATACTCTAAATTGATTAGAAATAAATATATTAAAGAAATCAAACAATTAGTAGAAGAAAATGTATAAATTCTCCCTAACATTGGTGTAGAGAAAAGCTTTCTAACTATGACTCAAACTTCGTAGGCAATAAAACAAAAGATTAATACATTTTACTAAATAAAAAATATACCTCTTCAAATTTTACATGATAAAATCTCCTCATAGCAAAATCAAAAGGCAATTGAAAACTAAGAGAAAATATTCTCAACAAATACCTCGGAAAAGTGGCTGATATCTCAAATATAGAAAAACATATTAAAATTCAGAGACAAAGGCAAAATATTATAGGTAAGTATGAAAAAGACATGAACAGACCTCTCAGATCTCCCTCTCTCTCTTGCTAGAGGCTTGCCAAATTTTATCTTTTCAAAAAGCTAGCTTTTCTTTCAATAATTTTTTCTCATTTTGTATTTTACTAAAATAAAATATTAATTTTAATAAATGAAAATAAAATACACAATGAGAAAAAATCATTTGTTAGTTCATTCTGTATTTTATTAATTTCCATTCTCTCTTAATTCCTTATTGCTACCATTTCTCCTATTTTGGTTTTGATTTGATCTTCTTTTTATCTTCTTAGGATGGAAGTTTAGATAACTGCTTTTGAATCTTCCTTCCCTTCTTATGTAATCATTTAAAGCTAAAAAATTTCCTCCTAAGCATTGCTTCAGCTGCATCCCAGGGGTTTTGGTATGTTGTGATTTTCATTTTTTCCCATCCCCTTAATTTTAGTAAATTTTATTTTTGGAACAGTGCTAGAAATACATGAATATTGAAAAGATACTAGAGAGAGTTCCCATACACCACACAACAAGTTCCTTTATCAACACCTGTAATATTGTGTGTGGTGCACTTGTTACAATGATGATCCAATGTTGATTCATCATTATTAACTATGCCCATAGTTCTTCAAATTGTCTTATTTTACCTCATGTATTTTTCTGTTCTAGGATCCCATCCAGGATCCCATGTTACATTTAGTCACCATGTCTCCTTAGTCTCCTCTTGGCTTTTGGAGTTTCTCAGTCCTTGTTTTTGATGACTCTGGACAGTTTTGAGGACAACTGCTCAGGTCTTTCGGAGAAGGCCTCTCTATGGAACTGCTCATGATTAGAGTGGGCTTATGGCTTTTCAGAATGAAAATCACAAAGATAAAGTGTCATTTCTATCACATTATATCCCGGGTGCATACTGTCAACATTACTTCTTTCTGCAGATGGTGACCTTGATCACCTGGTTAAGGGAGTCTTGGTCAGGTTTCTCCACCATAAATTTGCTCCTTTCCTCTGGTCCTGTACAATCAGAAGGACGTCACTGTTTGCATACTACACTTAGCGAGTGGGGAGTTATGCTCCCTCTCCTTGAGAGTGAAGCATCTGCATACATTATTTGGAGTTCTTCTGCATGGGAGATTTGTCTATTCTCTCTATTTCTTTATCCAGTCAGTCATTTGTATCAGCATAGAAAAATTGGTATGTATTTTAAATTTGGGTTATAATCTGACAACACTTTAAGTATTTTGTTTCTCATATCATCTTGTCAACATGTATGTATATTAGTAGAATAAATTTCTGGAAGTGGAATTATTGAATCAAAGATTATATACATTTTAAATTTTGATAAATGATCAGATTGCTCACCTTAAAAGTTATTCACATCTACTCTCCCCCAAGAAAAGCCTGAAAACATCTGCTTCATGATACCCTTGTTAATACATTGTGTTATAAAATGTGATAAGAATTGCCAGACCGGAATCTCAGTATGGTTTTAAGCATTTATGTCTTTGCTATTTATTAATTATGTATCACTTACTAAAATGAAATTTAATTTCTAATATTGGTCTATGGAGATATTCTATATAATTAGTTATTTCGAAAACCTATCATAGGCTGAAAGAATTCTATACTTGTTTTTGTCTATAATTCTCATGATTTCATTTTTATCTAGAAGATTTGCTTTCCTATGTTAATAATGTTATTTTATGCATAAAATTTCATGCCTTCAGTCTTCACTGTGGATAGCAACAATTAACATATAAAATGCCTTTGTCTTTTTTTTTTTGGTGTTTTTTGTTTGTTTGTTTATTTTCCAGAATGCAACCCTATCTGATATTAAGATTCTGACCCTTTACATTCTTGGCATTTTCATAGTATGCCATTCTCATCATGTTAACTTAAATATTTCTGAATTACAACTTTTTAGTTTGTCTCTTAAATATATATGTGCCGATTTCTTGCTTTGTTTTTTTCCCAGTTTTATTGGGGCGTGATTGACAAATAAACATGGCATATATTTAAGGTGCACAACATGATGACTTGATACGTGTACACATCCTGAAGTGATTCTCCCAATCAAGCTGAGTCTTTTTCCTTTACTAGTTAAGAGGATGTCAGATATATTGATCACTTTTACATGGAAAGCTTTCTTTGTGTTCTAGCGTTTTATGTATATTTTTTGCTATTATAAATCTTACACTACATAATATTTCACTACATGTCTTCTATTTATTTTTTCTGTTGATCTGAATTTTTTTTTTAGTTTTCAGACTAACTTTACCTGTAACTTTATATAGTATACTTCATTAAATACGTATGTATTTTTGGTAACAGCCTTATTGAGATAGAGTTCATATACACTACATATACCATAAAATTTACAGTGCACATTCACTGTTTTTCAAATTTATATATTTACAGAAATGTACCACCATGACCACACTCAGAACATTTTCATTATCCCCAAAGAAACCCACACCTTCTGTCATCTCTCAGCCCTGCCAGTCCCCTCTCCAGCCTTAAGCTACCCACAAATCTACTTTCTGCATCTATAGATTTGCCTCTTGTGGGCATTTGATACAAATGCAGTGTGAGGTCCATTGAGCCTCACTTCTAACAAACAGGGCAGGACAGAAATGATGACATGAGTTTCAAGGCCTGCCTCTTGTTCTCTTGGGTCTCATTCTGGAGGAAGCCAATTGCCGTACTGCGACTGTAGAAGACGCCCAAGCAGCCTCACCGATGCCGGCACTGCCTTCCATCCTGTGAGAAGGCACCTTGGACACAGACCCTCTGGCCCAGGCAGCCTCAGATGCCTGGAGTCCCAGCTGCCATTCTGATGGCAACCTCACTAGGCACCCTGAGCCAGAACTGCCCTTAAACTGCTCCCAAATTCTTCATCTGCAGAAAAGATATGGATAATATGTCGTTTTTGGTGTGTTGTTGACACTAAGTTTTTGAGTAATTTGTTAGGCAGCAACAAATAATGAATACAAATATTTTCCATTATTTCCCTGCCACTGTGGAAAAATCTACAGAAGTTTAGTTTTTCTTTCCTTCTACCTTCTAGACGAACTTTTCATTTGCCTTTTATGGTTGGCAGAATAATGCCACCCTCTCTCCAAGATGTGCTTCACCTAATCCCTGAAAACTGTGGATATGCTACCTTAAAATGGTAGCAAGGGACTCTACAGATGGGATTAATTTACTGATATTGGAGTGGGAAGATGATTATGAATTATCCGGGTGTGTTTAAGGGCCTTGGTAAGAAAAAGGCAGGAGCACTAGAGGCAGAAAAAGAGCTGTGAGGACAGAAGCAGAGGTCAGACAGATTTGCAGATGCCATGAGGCTGGTTTTAAAGGTGGAGGGAGGAGCCGTGAGGAAGGAAGTATAGGTGCTGGGCAAGGTGAGGAGGTGGATCCCCTCTAGAGCCTGCAGGAGGAATGCAAGTGTGTCAGCACCCTGATTTCAGCCCCAGAAGACTAATTGGACTGCCAATCTCCAGAACTGTGAGATCATAAATTTGCAGTATTTTCAGTTACTAAGTTTGTGTATTTTTCTACAGTAGCAATGGCAAACAAATACATCTTCTAACCTCAGGGTCCTTTAAGGTTCAGAAAGTTTACTAGCTATGTCTTATGGTTGTCTTTTCTACATGGATTTTCCTCGGGACATAAGATACCCTCTCAAACTGGAAATGTAAATATTTGTTTTTTGAAGTTTTTTAAAATAATGTTTTTTGAATATTTTACTCTTTTGTTATTTTGATACCCTATGTGATGGTTAATACTGAGTGTCAATTTGAATGGACTGAAGGATGCAAAGTATTGATCCTGGGTGTGTCTGTGAGGATGTTGCCAAAAGAAATGAACATTTGAGGCCGGGCGCGGTGGCTCACGCCTGTAATCCCAGCACTTTGGGAGGCCGAGGCGGGCGGATCACGAGGTCAGGAGATCGAGACCATCCCGGCTAAAACGGTGAAACCCCGTCTCTACTAAAAATACAAAAAATTAGCCGGGCGTAGTGGCGGGCGCCTGTAGTCCCAGCTACTTGGGAGGCTGAGGCAGGAGAATGGCGTGAACCCGGGAGGCGCAGCTTGCAGTGAGCCGAGATCCCGCCACTGCACTCCAGCCTGGGCGACAGAGCGAGACTCCGTCTCAAAAAAAAAAATAAAAAAAAAAAAAAAAGAAATGAACATTTGAGTCAATGGGCTGGGAAAGTCAGACCCACCCTTAATCTGGGTGGGCACCATCTAATCAGCTGCCAGCATGGGCAGGATATTAAGCAGTCAGAAAAATGCAAAAAGGCTAGATTGGCCTAGGCTCCTGGCCTAGGCTCCCAGCCTACATCTTTCTGCTGTGCTGGATGCTTCCTGCCCTCTAACACAGAACTCTCAAGTTCTTCAGTTTGGGGACTCAGACTGGGCTTCCTTGCTCCTCAGCTTGTAGACGGCCTATTGTGAGACCTTGTGATCATGTGAGTTAATACTTAATAAACTCCACTACATATATATATAGATATAGATATAGATATAGATATCTCCTAATAGTATATATATATATCCTATCAGTATATATATATATCCTATTAGTATATATATAATATATATCCTATTAGTATATATATAATATATATCCTATTAATATATATATATATCCTATTAGTATATATATATCCTATTAGTATATATATATATATCCTAATAGTATATATATAATATATATCCTATTAGTATATATATAGTATATATCCTATTAGTATATATATAGTATATATCCTATTAGTATATATATAGTATATATCCTATTAGCATATAGTATATATCCTATTAGTATATATATAGTATATATCCTATTAGTATATATATAGTATATATCCTATTAGTATATAGTATATATCCTATTAGTATATATATAATATATATCCTATTAGTATATATATAATATATATCCTATTAGTATATATATAATATATATCCTATTAGTATATATATTATATATATCCTATTAGTATATATATAGTATATATCCTATTAGTATATATATAGTATATATCCTATTAGTATATATATTATGTATCCCATTAGTGTATATATATATCCTATTAGTGTATATATATATCCTATTAGTATATATATATACACACTATATATATATATCCTATAAGTATATATATATATACACACTATATATATATATCCTATACTATATATGTGTGTATATGTATATGTATTTATATGTATATATGTATATACACACATATATATGTGTATGTGTATATATATAGTGTGTGTGTATATATATATATCCTATTAGTTCTGTCCTTCTAGAGAACCCTGACTAATACACCCTACTTAGGTAAATCCATCACACTTTCTAGATTTTACTTGCCTTGTTCCATAACTACTGTTTTTCACTGTAATCCCATTAACTCTTTGCTCATTTTCTTTATATTTTGAGTGTTTTTCTCAGTACAGTCCATTATGTGCAGAGCTGTATTTTCATAGTATTTCTCCTTAGTGCTGCTTCCCATTTAGCTATCATTTTTTCCTGTGCATTTATATTTTTCACATTTTTTCCTGAGCTACACCAGCTCACATAGCACATTCTTCTGAGGTCCCAATATATCACCCATGAACTAATGTGTTTCTGCTGCGTGTTTTGTTTATACAGATGATGGTTTCATTTTGTTGGTAATTTGTGAAGATAGGTTGGATCATAATCTCTCTTTGTGGTAGCGTTTTTCTAATGCAGGTTTTTGTCTGCATTAGAAATTAATTTCTCTGTTCTTTCTTCCCATTTGTAGAATTGTACAATCTTTGTATATTTTGCTTATTCCTTTTAAATTATTTCTCGAATATTTCTCATGTTTGAACAAGACAAGCTCTCCACATATTGACTATCTGTAGGAAGTCCATGTGGGACCTGGGGCAGCGTGTGCTTCAGGATGTTAGGAATTCTCAGAATGACTCAGGACTATGGAGTGCAGATGAGCTTCTGGACTCTCATTTCCTTTCATCCAAGCAGGATCAACATTCGGGGGACTCCCAGTGGAACTTCTCCTTGCCTCACCACCTGCCTCATGTTGTCACCAAGGACAACCTTCTGAAGACACTTTGGCACGGTGCTCTCTCAGCCACTTTTCCTCAACTTTCTCTCAGAGCCAGACGAACTCTGGGGACGCTCTCAGGGCCGGGCAGAACTCATCCCCATCCTGTGACCCGAGTTTAGATCTAACCTGCATGGCTGCCATCTACCTTGAACAAGTGGACTTTGATGGCCTTTTCTGAGGTCTGGGACCATAGGTGTCCACCCTCGAGGGTTTCCATGTTTGATTGTCACTGCTTTTGAGAGGCTAGGCTTCTGTTTTATTCTTTCTTTCCTTCATTTTTATTTTTCTTTTTTAAAAATTAAAGATGAAGTTCATTTGTTTGTTTTGCTTCTTATTTTGGAGTTAGTTTCTACAGGAGGAGGAAAAGAAGCCAAATTTTATTCACCAAATTCAATTCAAAATTAAATACAAGTCAAAAGCAGAAATTCTTACCAGCTCTGGCTTGATGAGGGATCTATCTTGTTTCAAAGGATTTCTCAGAAAGAAATTTCCAACACCTTCTTTTGTGCTTCATACTGGCATCCCTAGATTATTTAAATCTTGATACAGTCATTTGCTGTAGTAGACATTCCCACAATCATTAGATTACCCACTTATTTGAGAAGCATGTTTTCCATGCCTTCAAGTAAGTGAATGATAAAAGCATTTGACTGGATTTAATCGTATCAGAACCTTTTGGCTTACTGCTAATGACTTCCTTTCAGGCTGATATCAGTACATTAATCACCACTTTTTAAAAAAATAGTTATTCACTGCTTTACGTTGCATCCGATTTTGCTATCAGTCCATTCATGTCATCCTGCTGTGCTTCCGTGAACATATTAAACAGAACTCTGTCACATGCTTTGATGGAACCCAGCTACCCCACATCTATGTCATCTTCCAAGCTGCCAGTCCAGTCAAATGTCAGAAAGCAAATGAGGTGTGACTCGCTGTTAGTGAAGCCATGCTGACTCCTGAAAATCATGACTGCTTTTTCTAAAGGGCTTATAAGTCTGTAGCACAATAGTCCATTCCACAGGTTTACCAGAAAATACCATCAAGTATGACTATTTGAGGTTTCCAGGACTCGTGGCTTTGCCCTTTCACTTTCTTTGTGATTCTTCAAAGATAGTTGAAATTGGGTTCTGCACACTTTGGAGTAAAATCCAGCTCTACCTGGAACCTCAGCCCCATGCACGTCAGCTGCTCTTATTGCCTCTGAGCTCCGGGACCCCACTTCCCATTGCACCCATTTGTTCTCCCTGCTGCCCCTAAAGATGGATCTTAAAGGAGAAAGTTGGGGGGAAAAAGGAGCAGAGGAGCAGCTTTGTCCTCTCTCATCTCTCTTATCTGCTCATTGATCCCAGATTGTGGGCTCATGCAGTTCTCCCTAGGGTTGCCTGTTCAGAGCAGTCCTGAAAGTTACTCCTGGCTGTCAGTCCTGTGGCATATCATGAATCCTCTCGGAGCTAGATCTCACCCTTTTGTAAGTGGGGACAATCAGCCCTGCCTGATAGGACTTCTCAATGGCTGAGATAAGACATAGAACAGCATATAATGCCTGACACCTGGGAAGCACAGAATAAATATTAAGTCTCTTATTGTGATCATCATTCTCCATGGCAGATTAAAGGGTAGGCTCATTACTCATTACTTTTAATGGCAAAAGCTGCAATTACTTTTGCACCAACATAATACAACAACTATGGAAAACAGTGTGGAGATTCCTTAAAGAACTAAAAGTAGATCTATCATTTGATCCAGCAATCCCATACTCTTGTGTATCTACCCGGAGGAAAAGAAGTCATTGTGTGAAAAAGATACCTGCACGTGCAAGTTTATAGCAGCACAATTTGAAATTGCAAAAATATACAACCAGCCAGATGCCCACTAATCAATGAGTGGATAAAGAAAATCTGATATATACCTATATATCACATGTATATATATCTATATCTATATGTGTGTGTATATATATATATATACACATACACATAGACACATGGAATACTACTCAGCCTTGAAAAGGAATGAGATAATGGCATTCGCAGCAACCTGGGTGGAATTGGAGACCATTATTCTAAGTGAAGTAACTCAGGAATGGAAAACTAAACATCATATGTTCCCACTCATAAGTGGGAGCTAAGCTATAAAGATGCAAAGGCATAAGAATTTTACAATGGACTTTGGGGACTCAGGGGAAAGGGTTGGAGGGGGATGAGGGATAAAAGACTACACATTGGGTACAGTGTACACTGCTAGGGTGATGGGTGCACCAAAATTTCAGAAATCAACACTAAAGAACTTATTCATGTAACCAAACACCACCTGTTTCACCAAAACCTATTGAAATAATAAAACTGAATTCTTCAGAGAGATCCCTTTAGAAAAAGCATTTTATTATCAGCCTTCCCAATTCTTTTTTTCACCAAGTTCACTGGTGATATAATAATTAGGATTTTTAAAAATTACTTATGTGTTTTAAAGTGATGCCCTCTTTCAGAGTCTCTGACCATGGATTACACCCGTTTCATCATTGCTCCCACCTTTGGCCTTTCCCAAACCAGGTCCTCCCTGAATTCCTTTCTGGAAAGACCTGGGATAGAATTGACCAAGCCATCTTTCACTTTCTTTCTTTTCTCTTCTTCTGCATAGCTAACAGATCTATCAAGTTCTGCTGATTTTACTTCCATGCACTTGTTGAATCTGCCTTGTTCTCTTCATCACTCTTGCTACCACCTCACACTGTTTCCTTGCTTGTGCCCTTTCTGTGAGTTGGTCATATTCCCTGCCACCAGATCTGCTCTCTGCTGCCAGAAGGGTATTTCCAAGACCCTATTTTAATAGCACTACCAGATTGATAAACATTCTGTAACATATTGAAAATTTTTCTAGGTCAGGCATGGTGGCTCATGCCTATAATCTCAGCTCTTTGGGAGACTGCAGCGGGCGGATTGCTTGAACCCAAAAGTTCAAGACCAGCCTGGGCAACATAGTGAGACCTCACTCCTACAAATAATAATAATTAAAAAAATAGCTGGGCCTGGTGGCTCATGCCTGTAGTCTCAGCTACTTGGGAGGTTGAGGTGGGAGGGCCAGTTTAGTCTGAGAGGTCAAGGCTGCAATGAGCCATGACTGTGCCACTGCATTCCAGCTTGGGCAACAGAGTGAGATCCGAAAAGAAAGAAAAGAAAAGAAAAGAAAAGAAAAGAAAAGAAAAGAAAAGAAAAGAAAAGAAAAGAAAAGAAAAGAAAAGAAAGAAGGAAGGAAGGAAGGAAGGGAAAGAAAGAAAGAAAGAAAGAAAGAAAGAAAGAAAGAAAGAAAGAAAGAAAGAGAAAGAAAGAAAGAGAAAGAAAGAAAAAGAAAGAAAGAAAGAAGGAAGGAAGGAAGGAAAGAAAAAGAAAGAAAGAAAGAAGAAAGAAAGAAAGAAAAAAAGAAAATTCTTCTAAATCAATAATCAAGAAATGTAATTGCCAATTTAAAAATCAAATATTATGACTGATTATATCATGTTTAGATTTATCTCACGTATCAGCAATTAATATACAAACATGATAAATTTAACAAAGTGACTCTTCTATAAGCATTAACAAGTTTTCTTCAATTAAATTTAGAACTTTGAAGGACAGTGATCCTAATAAATAATTATTATAAACTTATAAAAAGAGAATACATTTTTTTTTACCCATTGATGTTTCCTGTAGTTGTCTTAATTCATGGATCTACCTGAAAAACTGTGGGTTAATTTTACCTTCTTATTCTGGCTTGAAAATTTTTAATGGAGCTGTTTTGGTGGTGTAACCCATTAAATGGTCATCAAAATGCATGAGGGAAGAAAAATGCTAGATGAACTATGAGTCATTGGTACTTACTAATTCTTCCATCAAAGCTTTTAAAGTGTTTACTCTCGTTCGAATAAAATCTACTATGGGTAAGAAAAATTTAAGTAGGATGTTTGTCCAGAGAAATTTGAGTCTAAATGCACAATTAAATTACCACTTAGTAGCAAAATTTATTATTTGAAATATCTTCCAAATATCTGTGAAAATGAATGACAAATCTTATCACATTCTAACTCCCGAAGATTTTTTAATAGCACATGTTTGAGATATAATCACTGTTTGAAGTTGTAATCTAAATGCTTTTAACTTTGTCATTACTGTTGTAGTTTCACTGACTTGAAAAAAATACTTTAAAATAATGACTAAGGAGATTCTTCACTCCTACTATTTCCCTGCAAGGAATAAGGACAGGGTGCTTGGTGCAATCACTCAGTAGATAAATTCTTGTTACATTAACAGTTTAAGTGAATAAAAGGAGACCCATACAGAAGAAGTAAAGTGACTCATAGAATTAGAATTTCCTAAGATCTACAAATTGATCTTATACTTTGAATAATACCATACCAACTTTTTGCATTTGTTTCAGGAACTTTAAAAATTGAACTACTAATGTAAAAATAAGCCAGGAAAAAAAACAAGAGGAATGAAGAAGAGAGAAGTACCCAGAAACCACATGAAAATGTCCAAATATAGAAGTGGACGTGACCAAAGGTGAATTTCTTTAATTTGTCCAGAAAAATAAAGCATGTGTTTCTGGCACTGTACCAAACTTGTGTAGGTGTTACTCTGTTTGCCATTTTTGGTTGTATATATCTTGAAGATTCTTTTAAAGACAGTTCCATCCTCAAATAGGATAATTACTAAATAGATGCTACATTCAGAGGATGTTATACAGGAAAAAAAATGACAGAAATGCCTAGTATACCAGTGTAGCACAAAGAGAAGTGGATAAGTCTCTAGGGGAGGGGATGAGGCTGTTAGAGAAGAAAAGGTGAGTTAGCTGCGTTGAATTGAAGGGTGAGCTGAATATTGTGTGCAGGCAAAGAGCTAGGGAAGGTCTGTTAAGCAGGGACCACATCCGATGCAAAGGCCCAGAAGCAACAGCACAGGCTGCTTAGCAAGCTGCAATGTTTGCTGTGGATGGAGCACAGAGTCTGGAAGGAACATGGAGTACAGGTTGAAGCTGGAAGCCACGGAGGTAAAAGAAGGCATCATGTTTGGTACAGAAGGTTGTTTCAGTAAATGTCCTATTACCTTAAGACCACCCTCAATAAGGGGCAGAGATTCTAAGATTTAAAAAAATCACCTGAAACCCATAAATACACATCAGTAATTACAAACACACGTCAAACACTGAATTAATAAATATGTTTTCAGGGTGCGAAGAGATGGTGTCACGAATAGCTTTCTCCTGGGGCACGACCTGGATTCTGTCCCAATCATGCTGCCAATACATTGGCAAACCAAACAAAAGTTTCTAGTTTTCTTACTCTTTGTAAGTCACAGTGCTCTCTGCAGAAAGAAAGAATAATAATTGTAAACTTGGAGAAATAGCTTAAATGCTAAGCACATAATTATTACTTCTCTAAAAACCTTTGCAAGCAAGAGTAATCACCCAGATATTGGCAAATCTGAACAGTTCTGCCATTTCCAATGGTGTGATAGTGTTTAGCATCATAATTACAAGATTTTTAGAGACGTATAAAGGAATAGTAATTACAAATTTTAAAAATATACTATACATAATTAAAAGTCAATACACTGCTGTTCACTCACATTTACTGTAATAATAGAGTATGAACAGACAATACAATTGGGTCGAAAGGGATGTTCTCTGAGAGCTAGGACATCCGGAATGAAGTCTTGGTTGATGGCCTTCTAGAGTATAATGATAAGGTGGCAAGTGCTGGTTACATATGTCTTCAAATCGCGGGGACTGAGTAGATGCTATCCTTTACCACGTACAACCAGTCACCTTGGATCATGGCTGAGAGGCATGAAAAATTCTTTTAAATCCCTGATTTTCTCTAGTGTTCCATAATTAAATCACATAAAATCTGGCATGAGAAAATTTAATACATTTCTAAGAAATAATTGACTTGGAGAAACAATAAAAAAACTGAATATGGTAGTCTCTGCCCTAGAACTTAGATTGTAGGCATTGCCTTGGGCTACAGAGTATTGAATGTGTGTACCTAGCTCAAGAATAACGGATCGGGATTCAGAGATGAGATGTCTGTGGGGAGTGGTAGATGATAAGAGATGTTGAATCCAACTGTTAAGCTTTATTTTTATGATCTGAGCCAATTTTTTTTTTCAGCTTATGTTCTTATGCATTGACACACTGATGTAGGCCGCCATAATAAAGCCTGTTAATATCTGGAATTTTATTCCAGGAAATATTGGTCTGTGTTTTTGGAAGTCACTTCTGTCTGTAAGACCTCTTGCAATTAGGATTAAATCTTCCCACGTTAAAGATTATCATTGTCCAGAGGCAAACAACTGGTGTTATTTAAAGGGAATACGAATTATTGACCTCAAAATATGAGCTTACCACACTCAAAGACAGCCAGAATATTAGAAGTTTCAGATTACAGAGTGAGGCTTTTAAGAGGAATATTTTGCAGCATGTATTTCAACAATCACCCATACCCTAGGATCCTTCTGTGTTTGGCTGAGTTCAGAGATTCTGCTCATCAGTTTTTGAAGACATGTATTATAGGTTGGTGCAAAAGTTATTGCGGTTTTTACTGTTGAAGGTAATGGCAAACACTGCAATTACTTTTGCACCAACCTAATAATTTAGTATATACACTATATATGTATGTCTTCATATATAGTATATATATGTAATATATTGTGTTATGTATAATAAAGAATAAGTATATATTACATAGTATACATACCATATTATATAGTATATGTAATATATACTACTATACATGGTAGTATATAATTATTACAAATTACATAAATATACAACATATATCACATATGTAAGTTACGGACATGCCACTATAATTTAAAGAAAAGAAAAAGTGTTTCAAAAGATTATTTTAAAACATACCACTATAATCAATAATAATATCAATGATAGTAGGTAACATTTTGAGTTTTTCATCTATGCCATATACTCTTCTAAGCTTTTTGAGTATTTTCTTTTCACCTTAAAAACAAACCTGTATACATTTACCAAAACCCATCGAATGGGCAACACCAGGAGTGAACTCTAATGTAAACTGTGACATTTGGGTGATGATGATGAGTCAATTTAGGTTAATTGATTGTAACAAATGTACCCCCTGGCAAGGGATGGGGATAATGATGAGGGAGGCAGTGTGTGTGTGTGGAGGTGAGAGGGTGGGGAGGTGTATGGAAATCTCTGTACCTTTTGCTCAGTTTTGCTGAGAACATAAAGCTGCTCTAAAAAAAATAAAGTCAATTTAAAACCAAAACACATCATAAGAAGTTACTCTCACCATCTCCATTTTACAGATGAGTAAAATGAGGCAGGGGAATGCCCAGCATCTTCCCTGGGTTCACACAACAAGCACTTGGTAAAGTTAAGATTCAAACTGGCACAGCCAGCTGCAGAGCTCACACTGGTCTGTATAAAGTAAGAAAAGACATCTATTCCCATTGATATGGTTTGGCTGTGTCCCCACCCAAATCTCATCTTGAATTGTAGCTCCTGTAATTCCCATGTGTCATGGGAGGGAGCTGGTGGGAAGTAATTAAATCATGGGGGTGGGTCTTTCCCATACTGTTCTCGTGATAGTGAGTAAGCCTCACGATATCTGATGATTTTATAAAAGATAGTTCCCTCGCACACACCCTCTTGCCTGCCCCCATGTAAGATGTGGCTTTGCTCCTCCTTCGCCTTCTACCATGATTGTGAGGCTTCCTCAGCCATGTGGAACTGTGAGTCAATTAAACTTTTCTTTATAAATTACCCAGTGTTGGATATGTCTTTACTAGCAGCATGAGAACAGACTAATACACCAATCTAAAAATATCTATATCACTATACCCTTTCCTTATGTGTTTGTTTTAAAAGTAATGGAGATAGGCTGAGGGCAGTGGTTCACACTTGTAACCCCGGCACTTTGGGAGGCTGAGGGAGGAGGATCGCTTGAGCCCAGGAGTTCAAGACCAATCTGGGCAACATAATGAGACCTCATCTCTACAAAAAAATTTAAAAAATTGCTGGGCATGGTGGTGTGCACCCGTGGTCACAGCTATTCAGGAGGCTTGAACCTGAGAAGTCAAGGCTGCATTGAGCTCTGATCACACCACTGCACTCCAGGCTGGGCAACAGAGCAAACCCTGTCTCAAAAACAGAAGAAACAAACAAAAATAATGATAAAAAATAAAAATAGTGGTGATGTTGACGATTAAAAATAATGCCTAGGAGTTATTGAATATTTGTCTTGAACTTCGAGAGTTCACAGATAAATGCCAAGTAAAAGACCCGTTTTAAAGAAATAGCCTGAAGAAGGATTTTCAGGTTTTGCAACTCCTTTTCTCTTTCTCTCTCTTTATCACTCTTTCTATGCCACATCATCCTTCCAAAGAGCACCCTACTATATCCTGAAACCAGTAGCTTAAATAGCTGCTTAAATAACTACATAGAATTTTTTCATGAATCTGTATCTTAATAAATGTACCCTCTTTTCATACTGTTTGTCTTTTTATTAGAATTATATGCCAATCACTATTTTATCTTCATTTGATTTTGCAGGTGTTTTTCTCAGATAGCTGTCTTTCTTGGAATGTTGTCTTCCTCTCCAAGTTGCCAAATCCTAACCATCATAGAATCCCATTTCCTCCAAAACATCTTTTTCAATGATCTTGGTAGGAAAAGACGGCGCTCTTCTCTAAAATAAGGCAGCACTAATTGTGTGCCTCTGCCATCAAAAGCAACTTTTCATATTTCTCATATCTCCAGGTTGATGGTCTTGTATTTCTTTATGTAGGACATACTCTTGACTCCACAGAGCTAGGTGAAGCAGGCAGCATATACAAAGTAGCCAATGTTTTAATACTGATTGAAAAGATTTCCTTTGGCAGTCACCGACAGGAACTAGGTATAGTGAAATTGCCAGGTAAACCAGGAGAAAGGAGGTTTCTGGGCAGCGTACTCATGTAATACTAAAAAATTATATTAGATTTAGATGGAAACACAGAGTAGTAAAAACAAATTATATCTTTTATAATTTAGTCATATTACATACAAAAAATATTTCCAGATGTTTGACTAATTAAAGGTACTGTGAATAAAACTTCATTTTACTGCTCTAGGTTGCTTAATTTCCATAAGCAACAGAAATAAATAGTGAAAAATACTTTATCCTTCCATATGGAAAATCTAAATTGTCTTACATCTGTGGAAACCTTCGGCTAGATATAGGTATTTCTATTGTGCTGAAATCCTTTTCATCAGTGAAATTCATCCCTAATGCATTCAGATACATCTTATTCTTTTTTTAAAAAAAAGTTTATATTTTAGCACTGACAACTAATTCAAACTTTAGAAAATCAAGGCTCAAAAGCAGTAAAATATTTAACCTATTTTAGAGAAGTATAATGGTAAACAACAGTTTACCTAAAGAAGCAGAATTGCATTTTTTTAAATCATTGCCTTACAGTTTCTCACGTGAGAATGGAAGTAAAGAACTTCCCCACGTTCAGCGCCATCCAGGGTGGAAGCCGAGAGCCCATCAGTCCACTGAGTCCTTGAAATGTGGGTAGTGAAGAGTTGCAAGTGGAAAACACAAAAGGAGAAAGTAAAATAGGTCATTAATAATATTTATGTTGATTATATGTTCATAGAGTATTATTTGGATATACTGGTTTAACTGAAACATACATAAATATTTGAGATGGAATCTTGCTCTGTCACCTAGGCTGGAGTGCAGTAGTGTGATCTCAGCTCGCTGCAACCTCTGCCTCTCAGGTTCAAGCGATTCTCCTGCCTCAGCCTCCTGAGTAGCTGGGATTACAGGCACCCACCACCACGCCCGGCTAATTCTTTTGTATTTTTAGTAGAGACAGGGTTTCACCAGGTGGGTCAGGCTGGTCTCGAACTCCTGACCTCCCGCCTCGGCCTCCCAAAGTGCTGGGATTTCAGGCTTGAGCCACCGCATCTGGCTTGAAACATATTATTAGAACTAATTTATCTTTACTTTTAAAAATGTAGCTATTAGAAAACTTAAAATTACATGTCCGTCTCACCTTCTGTTTGTCCTGCACAATGCTGCTCAAGGCAGGAACTTCTAGGACGATTTCATTAATCCCCCAACAAAATGTTAGAATTACGTTGGTCACAAAAGAACTCGATTTTTGCTGAAATGTACTAGCGCAAGGTTTCCCTCCATCTCATAACAAGAAACAAGAATGATTTATATTAGTTCGAACAGGAAAAAAAAAATAGAAAAAGAAGGAAAAAAGTAATTAGGGTTTAACCTTTAAATTACTTTTAATATATGATTTTTAAAACATACCCACAAACACCAAGGCTTTCAGCTTTGGGCAGAAAAACTGATTTCGGGGAAAGATTGATCCCTTGTCCACCAACACAACAAGAGTGATAGTTAATAGAGGAAACAGATCAGCTCATAAGAATGCGCCTCCATGGGCACTCCAGAGCAGATGTTTCCTTCTGTGCCATGTTGATAGAAAACTGACAGGGGACATTTAAAATTCATTGCTGGGAGACCCTATATTATAATGAATCTCATTAATAGTAATTAGAATTTTTCTTTTCTCCCAAGCTACCACGGTCGATCCCTTCCCTTTTATAGGTCAAAAGAGCTTAAATGCTCTATAGTCCCTAAGAACTGGCAACATCATTTTGTTTCTTAAAACTATGTCATATATTTAAGCAACTTTTACTCAGAAAGTGTTGATTTTCTTCTTGCCCGAGTGTCCACATTGGCCAGACATGGGCATATTGCAGGTTGTCTAAAGTCATGACTGGGAATGGAAAAGCATACTTGTCACAAAATCACCAGTGACTTTTCATCACGGTCACAGGCAGGTGATAGGTCAAAGCAGGCACTTCTCTTTGCTTGTCTGAGGAGCTCTCTTGGAATTCATTATGGAACATCATGACCCCTGCCCTGGGAACAATGCTGCGTAAAAATGGTGGGATGTGTATGAATGTAAATGGACAAGACGGACTGTTTTCTTGCACTAGGTTCAGCCTGGAACACTGCAATCTAATTACTCTTTGCTTGCTTTAAAAATGCAGACATTTGCTTCTGAGGCAGGAGAAGCTGAATCTTTTGGCAGGGACCTCGCAAGGTGGAACCCTTCCGTATCCACAGACCAGTAACAGGACGGGCATGCTGGCACCATGGCGGGGCACGGGAGAGCGCACGGGAGGGCACGGTACTAGAGAAGGGTTTCTGCTACATTACCCAGGAAGCCTGCCCTTCACGCGTGTCCCTGCCATTGTGCTGCTCCGAAACCGCACGGCTCTCGAATGTTAATGCCTACCTAATTATATATTTTGGCTTCCGTTTTGGCAATAGGCTGTACTTAAGCAAAATTTAGTACTGTCTTATGTGTTCCTACAGCTGGATAATTACAAGGCATTTCGGTTTTCAGAGCAGGAAATTAATGATACGAAGATCAGCAGCTAAAGGCAGTTGTTCTCTGCACTTACACGGACCTGCTGCTGGAAACCACGTCAGTCTCTGCAGAAGACAGCCCCGAGGTGGAGGGGACAGGCGTAGTTTTGATTCAACTTCAGCATCAAAAGTTTTTTTTTTTTTTATGCTTTAGGTGGGTCAATGTAGGTGTCAAAGACAGTCTCTACAAAAAAACATTTCCCATAAAAAATTCTTCTGAATCCTCCCTAATAAATTAAGCAAATAAATTGAGTTCTTCAGTAGGGGATTGGCTGGGTAAGATTTTGGCAAGGCTAAAAGCCAGGAAAGTGTAACTCCCAGTATTCAAAATCTCCTGATTGAGGGAACAGATTATAAAACATTAAAGACTGAAACATATAACAGAGGAGTTATTAAAATGTTTCACTTCTGACAATAAATAACTCTAAGCAGAGATGACGTAAAATCCTGTAAATCAGAGAAATTTGGGGCTGCCCTGGGTCCCTGGTTGCTCTCAATAATCTCATGGTATGAAAATCCCAGAGTTGGTACACTCAGGACTTTTTGCAACATAGAAAACCGGCTTTTTAGATGTAATTATTATATTATCAATATTCTGTATATCAAAACCTTTAATATATAAGTTGAAACTCTTAGCTAATGCCCAGCACAGAAAAAAAGAAAAGAGAGAGAGAGAGGGAGCTCATATGAGTCACAAATTGTGCTCCACCTTGCAATTCCATTTCCAGATCAGCAACTGAAATAGATTGCTTGGCCTCGATACTAAATCTTTAGAAAATGAGACCTGTTTGTATTGAAAATGCTTTAAATTTCGCAGGTCAGAATCAGGATCATGAAATACTCCATATGGTCACAGGTGAAAATATTCTGAAAGAAAGCCTGTATTAGGCAAAATAAAGTCCACATATGAATAAAGATCCTTGAACTTAGCAGAGGAAGACAAACACATGATTATAAACACATGTATTCATATTCTTTCTGAATGAAGAAGGGACTTGGCCTTTGTCATTTTGCATTTGGCCTTGACATCTATGGAAGGAGAGACAATGGTTATTACTGCAAATTCTTCCAAAGCAATGAAAGAAGGCCTGGCTCTGCAGAGGGTAATAGATCCTCGCAGGGCTTCCCTGGGCCTTCTGCTTTTGGATGAGGAGAGCAACAGTGCCCAAAGCTGCCCCTTGCCTATCTCAAAATGCTTCCTTCCTTTCTTTTATTAAAAAAACACGTGTTCAGATGTGAGTCTGTTTGTGTGTGAGTATGTGCGTGTACCCAGCTTTTGATTCAGAGGGATATGAATCCACATCATAACTCCATCCCCACTAGGTCTGTCTAGATCCTCAGAGATCACACTTCATGCTGTGTTAGCCCCTCCAGGAGGGCTTGTTACACTACAATCGTTGGGCCCACCTGCAGAGTTTCTGATTCACTAGGTCTGGGGAGGGTCTGAGAATTCGAATTTCTGGAAATTTCCCAGTTGATGCTAATGCCGCTGGCGTGGGACAATGGAAACTCTGTCTTTCGTAAAATGGGAGAACCTATCCCTCCTGGTAGAGTGGTTGTCAGGAATAAGGTATGTAAAGCCTCCAGCACAGTGCCAGATAAAATAAATAAGTGAATAACCACCAGCTATTTGTATCAGTTTCCTAGCGCTGCCAAAACAAAGGACCACAAACCGGATGGCTTGAAAAACAGGAATTTACTCCCTCTCAGTTCCTGAAGCCACAAGTCCAAAGTCAAGGTGCTGCAGGCTCAGGCTGTCTCCGCGCTCCTGGTGCTCACCAGAGACCTTGTTGTTTGGGGCTTGTGGTTGCGTCACTCCACTCTCCGCCTCCGTCACCATTTGGTGATCACCACGTGTCCATACTTTCACAGGGCACTTTCCTCTTCTGTAAGGACATTGGTAATATTGGATTAAGCCCTGCCTGATGACCTCATCTTGATTACATCGGCAATGACCTCGTACTTAGAAAGAAGGATGTATTCACAGCTTAGGAGTGAGCAGACATTTTTGGGGGACACGATGAGACCCACAAGGCTGCTACTATTTATGAAGCCAAGGAACATAAAATGTGTGTAGGTGTCTTCTCTACACACCACCTTCTCCTTCACTCCCCTTGAGAGTGTCATGAACGGAGAGCAGCCTCGGCCTGACGTGAGGCATTGGTCTAACCTGCTTTCATTCTGTGCTCACTGGGGTCTCTGATGAGTCAGGAAGAAAAGATAATTGGTGCATTGGTATCCACGTGTTTAAAGGGTGCTGCTTTTTCATCTCTATCACAACAAAGAAAATTAAGCCAATTTGAAGGGTGCCAAACCATATTCCATGGAAATGGGATACCTAGGAATTCTGTTTTTTATGACAAACCAGAGAAATAGTTTGAAAAGCAATTTCAGGTCATTTCTGAGACTTAAACGTTGTGATGAAGCTGTTTCAAAGATTGTTTTCAATATGTACAAATTACTTAGTTCTACTCTATATGAGAACATAGGTATCATTTTCCGAAAGCTCTTACGATAGTTTCTTTCCTTTTATAATGAGGTTCAATAGTTTGTGTACCAGTTCAAGTTTCAGAACAAAGACATAGACAGATAGATCCATAGATAGATACATAGATCAATAGCTGGATAGTTTTGGTCTTTTATATGATGGTATTCAATTACACTGATTCCATTTTAAATGTCTCTTTACTATAGGAATTATCAGTTTTTAACTTTCCAACAAGCAAATAAGACATACTACGTAGTATTTTCCCAAATTATTTCATCATGGAACCCCTTCGTATAGTCTCACATAAAGACAAGAAGTCTTTAGGCCTTAAGTTGGAAGACGGCTGCAAACTGAACTGGATACAAGGGTGTTGCACCCTATCGCCATCCTTCAGTACTCATACTAAATCTAGAATTCAATATGTTGGCTTTAAAAACAATTCAGAAAAAAAAGTGTTCAAAACATAAAATTATCATTATCATAGTTCTCTCTCTTTGTACTTGGCACTGCCCTATGTCTTTGTTGTTCACTAGTGATCTATTTGAGAAAGTAGAGAAAATAAACAGTTGACAACTTTGCTCTTCATTTGCCACACGAAAAATACTTTCAGGTTTAAGATGAAGATTTCCAATCACACGAGCCTAATATTTTAAGATTCATCTAAGTTCTTTTGAATATTTCAATAGTACTGGTTTAAAATCCAATGTAAGTACTCGTCCTTCCTTGTGTTAAAAAAAAAAAAAAGAAAAGAAAAAAAACAATCTTTCACGGTAACAGCCTCACAGGCATGAAATATTGTAGCCCTTGATTAAATTTCGTAGCCTCTGATTGCATTAGAGCTGTGAAATATGGCTCACTCACTAGCTGCCAATGGATAGGTTGTTAATATATCTATACTGCTACTGTATTTAGGTATATCCAGATCTCTCTGTCTACTCATAGGTAGATAAATGGGGAACAGTGCAATGACCATATAATACAGATATGTCAAAAAAAACTAAAAAAGAGAAATTCAATTACTTCCATAATCCTTCTTACATTTCTACTTTACATAATTCTTCATCATTACAAGAGGCCACCGGTTCTTTAATTCAGTTTTCATTATTGACTGTCTTGCCATTGCCTGCTCATAATACTCCAATGCAGGCTACATACTTGGCTGCAAAATTCTAACACTTTCAAACAGAAGCTTTAGACTCTGCTTTCTACATAATCAACATGACCCAGATCCATCAGAATCTTTCCCTGTATTTGTAGCTCTAACCTGAACTACTGTAAGAAATAACTAAAGCCATGCCCAGCAGGCAAGTTATTACTTAAGGTACAGACTTCATAGTGTTCAGATCCTCATATTCCAGGTGCCAGGCACTTACCCAGTTGAAAAGAACTAGTTTAATGAACATATGAAAAGCAAATTAGAGCTAATGCAGTTATCCCAGCCATTGGGGGTAGCCCTCTGTACTTCCAGATGACATATAGACATACTCACAGAAAAAAAAAAAATTTTGATGTGCTGTAATGATAGATGGAATTTAAGTTTTGGATTTATCATAAAATATCTGCTATATTGTCACATACTTATTAAGTCTAATTTCCCTGTGGCCTTGTCCCTGATCCCTGTTTCAATTTTTTGCTCACCTGGCCCTGGACTCCTATTTCTGCTCAGACCCATTAAGTCAATATTTCACACAAAGTGGTAAGGATGGGACTCATGCTACAAGGACACGTCAGCATCCATGTTTACCCCAAGCACAGACCCAAGGCCTGTGGCAGCAAGATTAATGCCACTCACAGCCTGAAATGGGAATGCATGCCTAGCACTTCCTTCAAGAGACCAAGAAACTATCCGCTAAGATATCCACCGGTTGGTAGGGAGTTCAAGGCAGAAAGGAGAAATCAAAGGTGTTGCAACGTGAAGGCAGGCCACAGCATCCCTTGCCTTTTTAAACTTTTAATCTATGCATTCCACTTAGTAGCATCAACTGAGAGCAAACAAGCTGAAATCTCTGTTGATTTTGGGAAAAAAGGGAAGGAATGATCAAATCACGTGTCTTGTAACTTCCATCCAAGTGAAGAATGTCAGCCAGCACTTACATGGTCTTGTTCTTGTCCTCTGCAACAGGTGATTGTCTCCCCTTATGCCACCAAAGTTCCTCACATGGCAGTCTTTCTCCATGACAAACACTCTGCTTTCTGGGGTTTCCTTCTGTTGTCTCTTCTTAGAAAGCTTTCTGGGGTTTCCTTCTGTTGCCTCTTCTTAGAAAGCATTTGTGATGTTTCTAACATCTTACTGATGAAATTATGGCTCGTTGTGGTGCAGTTTTCCACTTTAGGGATATCAACAGAGTTGTCCTCTGGAGCTAATGAGCAATCAGCATAGCCCAGATCTCCATTTTGCATTCTTGCCCCCACACTATCCACAACCCTGATTAGAGGAGCAAACACGTGTGCACTGAGTGTCTGCTGGAGTGAGCATTATGATGGGCCCTTAGGATCTGCCTGCAGGTACCTCATATCCTGGAAAAGTACCTCTTGCAAGAGCAGCCTGGGAAAGGCCAGAGGTCTCCTTAAAACTTCTTAGAAAGTTAAAATCATGATTCCAGTTCTACCTTTCTCACCAGGTAGCTGAAATAATCAACCACAAGAAAGATAATTACATTTAAACCAAGTAATTTATAATCTATAAACTATTCCACTAATAGAATATAACACTTGTTAATATTGATCAGCAAAGCCAAAAAAAAAAAAGGGGGAATCATAAGTGAGATTTGACTAGAACTTGGCCTTGAAGGAATTGGTAGGAAAAAAAAGGGAAATAAAAAGAGGGAAACCCTAACCCTTTTGGCCAACTTTCAATTACGGGCCTTTTTCTGTGTTACTTAACAGAGCAGTGCCAGAGAGTAGACCCACAGACACGGAACTACGCAGGCCGTCTGCACCACTAAACGGAAATGGATGTGTGACCTGCAGCTGATCCATCAAACAGAACACTGCCTGAAGACAGAAAGCCGGAGAGTGTCTGCAAAATATTACCCCACCCCCGCCATTCATTACCCCGTAAGTCACACACAGGAGAGGACAAGATTCACAGTTTGTATTAAACCATGATCAGTTTGTCATTCCTAGAAATCTCTAGGAAAACAAAAGAACAAAATTGATGAAATAAATAAATGAAATAACCCGAGTCACACAGTATTAGAAAGATACATCTTCATACATGCAGTCACAAAAATTGATTGCCCTTTCAGCTTGCAGCACACCACATAACCGTATATTATCATGTATTTTACTGTCTTGTCTTTGCAGTGCTATCATATGCGGAATGCATAAAACTTGCATCCATGTGTTGATGTTAAGCTGCCTCAAATCCATGCTGAATGTAGATGGGATATCAATCAAAAATAAATGAGATATGTAAGAACTGTTGGCTTTTAGTGGGTGAATGGAGGTGAGTACAGTCAGTGAGTGCCCCTGTGCTAGTTTTAATAAAGAGAAAAGTAGGAACAAGTTAGTTGCAAAATGGACACAAACACCAATCTATTGCTGTTTTACTAAACAAATTGCCTGTGCTTAGAAGAGGAAACATAGGGCAGAATACATATTAATTTAAGGAGGGTTTGCTTTTAACTTTTGTTAAAGGTTTTTAAGTAGGACCGATTATTCTCATTTTTAGATGAGGATCTAGGGCTTGGAGAACTCACAAGAACTGCAGTATATCAGTTCTCGCGCTGCCATAACAAAGTCCTGCAAGCTGGGTGGCTTAAAACTACAGAAACCTATTCTCTCACAGTTCCAGAGGCTGGAAGTCTGAAATCAAGGTGTCTACAGGGCATATTCCCACTAAAATCCGTAGGAAAATCCTTCTTCACCTTGTCCACCTTCCGGGAGGCCCAGGCATTCCTTGGCTTGATGCCAATCTCTGCATCCCTCTGACCTGTGCTCTCAGCATCCCTTGGTGCTTTCCCTGTGGCTGTCTGTCATCACATGGCTGTCTTCTTCAAAGGACTCCAGTTATCCTGCATTAGGGACCCATCCTGCTCCAGTATGACCTCATCTTAACTAATGACATCTGCAACAACCCAATTCCAAATATGGTCACTTTCTGAGGCATGGGGTGGGGGGTGGTTAGGACCTCAGCCTATCTCTTTGGGAAAGACACAATTCAACCCATAGCACTTACCTAAAAGAACCAGGAAATTTAATGACATGATTGTGATCTTGCACTTCAGTATTCCCACTCCCCTTACAGGCACAGCAGAAAAAATATTTGAAGAAAAGGAAGGAGGGCAGGAGAGGGTGGATACTCTCATGCATTTCTGCATGGGAGCAGCCGCTTCCAAAACACCAGGCACTGTTGCAATTGTGGCAGAGACAACAGTGAGTGAGAGGATGCTGGTCCTAATGTCATGGAGGTTCTATTTTGTGGAGGATGGAGAGAAGCAAAGCAAGTGATCAGTCCATCAGACAATAAATAACAACGCAAATTAACAAGAGAAGTATAAGTCCATGTTAAGTACTATGTAGAGAAAAGACTAACCTCATACAATGCGGTCAGTCTGGCAGCTGCTATAGCGTGGGCATCCCAGCATGACTGATTTGGTTGAGGTTTGCAGCTTTCCACACTGGATGGTACACACAGCCTCTCTTTAAGTTTCTCTGGCCCATTTGCTAGTTTTGCATTGTCACAATTTACAAATTGCAGATCCCACATACCTTTAGTTACAAAATTCCACATATCCTATTGCTCAGAGTTCCACTGTGACCCCCTCTCCACAGCCCACAGGACCCGCCCACGGCTGTGCTGCGCTTGTGCTCCACCCAGTTCCACCAAGCACATTCTATCGTGGGAGGTGTGGACTCCACGTGGGATGTTGCTGGGTTTTCGTGTTACATGACTGAAAATTAACATCTGAACTCAACATGCCCTAAACCTGCATGTCCTTTACAGAAGGGACATGAAACAGGACCTATAATCCAAGACCCTGCCTCTGTGATTGCTCCACTCTCAGAGACAGAGTCAACCCTTCACTGTCTGGTATGTTCTGTGTGTGTGTGTGTGTGTCTGTGGGCACAAAACTTTCCAGAAAGCATTGCCCCTTCTAAACACGACCCTCTGGGGTGTCAAGCTAAGGTCAGTTAAAAACAAAGACAATGTTAGCTCAAAGATCCCTAGGAAAGTGTGCCACGTTCATGGGTGTTCTCCACAGCATGGAAAGTAAGCAGTCTCCTGGGCCAGGACTGACTCAGAGACAGGCCTTGACAGGGCTTTGTAGAAATCAAAATGGCAAGAAATTTTCATCTGTGTTTTCCAATTCAACCTTCTCCTTGGCACATGAGTTCAATTACCCCACATTCCAGGGTTGGGTGGTGCTGGGAGGACCTTACTAGTGGGCTCCTTTGCCTTGAAGTTTGTCCTCTACATGCAAGTCCACTGACATCGGGCCTCCCAATGTCCCCTGCTGAGCCTTAGCCAAAAAGGAAAGCATTCGTTCTCCACTTCTCCCACCCGTAGGCCGGTCAAAGTCTGAAGCATGGTGGCGTGCTTCACCAGAATACTCTAGGCCCATTAAAAAGGAAGAGAAGGTGAAGGCTCAATCACAGCAGTATGCAGATGTGTGCACCGTTAAAACCCAATTGACTTGAAGAAACTTCTAGCATCAAACAGGGAAGGGCTGAAGTAAGGAAGGATTCTACACATCAAGCTTACCACAAGATGACCTAGCCATTGTCCCATTCTCAGTTTCATTTTATGAACCTATTTCTTGATTGTCACTACCCTCACTCACTTGGCGGGAATCTTGTTTCTGTTCTTGTTAAACCATGGGAGCTCCTCGCTGGAGATCTCCCAAAAGTCCATCGTCTACCAGATGCTCTACTGCCTTTGGCAGCCAACACCATTCTCACCCAGCAAGATGCTTCCTTTTGATCTGGGATCACATTAATTTTCCTCTTATCTCTCACACTGATCCTTCTCAGTTTCTCTCCTAGGCCTTTGTGTTTGACTTCTTAGAAGCCTGTGTCTTCTAAGGACATTTTCTCTTTTCAACTTGCTGGCCTGGGAGTGAAATCCTGGCAACCTATGAGCTGTATGACCTTGGGGAACTCGCTTTCCCTCCTTCAGCCTCTATGTATTCAATGACAAAATGGAGACGATTATGGCATCAGCTTCAGTGGACTGTTATGAGGATCAAATAAGGCAATGTCTGCACACTGCTTAGCACATCACACAGCACATGGACAGCAAGGAGGTAGCGTGCAGCTATCACTTGCATTTGTGCCTTTGAAAGAGCAGCTCTTCTTTTGGAAAAAAAAAATTCCGTAAGTTATTGGGGTACAGGTGGTATTTGGACTGCCGTCTCCTCTCTGTTCAGCTTGTAGAACTTCAACTCATCTTTAAACGTCCCCTCAGTCACTGTTCCTCAGAGAAATGGGGCTAGCTTCCTCTTTCTCCCACCATAGAACTGAGTGAACTGCCCTCTCCCCAAGTCTTCAATGGCATTTTGTCCATCTCTCTAGTAACATGATTATTTTATTGTTTTTGAGTTCCATTACTTTATTATATTTGGTGATTTTCTTCCATAGACTGTAATATTCTTTCTTCTGATATAGAGTCTTGCTCTGTTGCCCAGGCTGGAATGCAGTGGTGTGATCTTGGCTGACTACAGCCTTGACCTCCAAGGCTCAAGGGATCCTCCCACCTCAGCCTCCCGAGTATCTGGAACTACAGATGCACGCCACCAGGACCAACAAATTTTTGTGTCCTTTTTTGTAGAGATGGGGTTTTGCCATGTGGCCTAGGCTGGTCTCAAACTTGTGGCCTGAAGTGATCCACCTGTCTCAGCCTCCCAAAGTGCTATGATTACAGGTGTCAGCCATCATGCTCTGCTGAGTGTAAGATTCTTAAAGACCAGAGACTTTGTCTTGTCCCCAGCTCAGGGTAAATGGAAAATTGATGCATGTTGATGACTGTATCAGCTATCTATAGCTGTGTAACAAATTATCCCAAAACTTAGCAGACTAAGACTTGTATTAGTCTGATAGAGCTACCACAACAAAATACCACTGATTATGTGGCTTAAACAATAGGAATTAATTTTCTGGCAGTTTTTGAGGCTGAAAGTCCAAGATAAGGGGTTAGCAGGTTTGGCTTCTCCTGAGGACTCTCTCCTTGGCTTACAGACAGCTGCCTTCTGGCTGTGTCCTCACATGGGCTCTGTGTACAGATCCGTACCGTAATCCCTTCTTCTTATAAAGACACCAGCTCCACTGCATCAGGGCTCCACCCTCATGACTGCATTTAACCTTAACTACCTCCTTAAACACACTATCTCAAATACAGTCCCATTGAGGGGTAGGTCTTTCACATAGGAATTCAGGGGGGACACAATTCAGTGTGTAAAGTGGCTCGAACAACACATATTACCCCAGTTCTCATGGATCAGAAATCTGGCCATGACTTAGGTGGTCCTTGGGCTCAGAGCCTTTCCCAGGCTGGGACCAGGTTGTCATCCAGGCTGGTGTCACCTCAGTGCTCCACTGGAGAGGGCCACCTCTGGGCTCACTAATGTAGCTTCGTCAGGCTTCACTTTCTTGAGGGCATTGAGCTGAGGGTCTTAGTTGGGGACTGGCTGGAGGCTGCCCTCAGCCTTTTGTCATGTGAGCTTTCTAGCTGCATCTGTCAAGGCAAGCATTTCGGAAGAGATAAGTGGAGGGGAGGACTGAGATAGAGAAACAGAAAGAGAGAAGAGAGGCAGGGGGCAGGCAAGCTAGCAACACAGAAGTCCCAGTCCTCTGTGACATGATCTCAGAAGTGAATCCATCCCTCCTGCCGCACATACTCTATTCCTCAGAAGCAAGTCACTAGCTCCAGCCCACACTGGTGGGAAGAGGATTATGTAAGACCATGAAAGCCAGAGATGGGAATCCCTGGGACTCACTGTGGAATGCCACCCACCACAAACATTGGCCCCTCCTGGCCTGGGGATGAGACTACACACAAAACAAGGAGGCCCTGCTTGCAGTGTTGAAACAGGTGATGATGATGATGTTGGCATGACAGTTCCATTTGTGTCGCAGGTAAACATGTACAAGGTACTTTCTTAGAGAATGTTTCTGAGAGATTAGACTTTTGACAGAACACATTGCCCCCATCTCAGGAGCCCTGAGTGAAGCTGGGAATCATGATTAGGTCTGCACCGGCAGCACTCACACCTGCCACCTGTTTGAAGTGGCAAGTGCGTCATTCCTCCTTTCGGGTGTGTGTGAGCAAGCTCCAGCAGCAGGCTGTAGGGATGCTTAGAAAGGAGCCTCTTAGGGGGTAGGGGGTTCCCTGCAGGCTTAGCTGCAAAGGGCCAGAGGTCGGCTTGCTCCGTTTAAGATTAAAGTGACAGGCACACGCTTGCCCAGAGTGTCCTTTCTAACAGAGGCACACTCTGAGCCCAGGGTTGTAGATTCTGTGGCCAAGAACGCTATGTAGTTAGTTTGAGTTATTAAACATTTGTTATGAAATATCTAATATTTACCAGAATTGTTCTTTTCTATCTACAACATCTTTTATTGCCAAGAACTATATGCTGGTAAAGCTACTAGCATCACAATAACTGTCCCTCGTGTAAGTAGGGTTATGAAAGATCAGGATAAACATTTAATTTTAATGCTGTTTGTGAGCTTTCTCTGATTACACAGGAAGCTGTGTCCAGGGGTCTTAGGAGCCCCTGACAATAAACAAGTTCCACAGAACATGTCACCCAGGTAAAGCCTGATTTGGCAGAGCAGAGCTTTCTTCAATACCTGTTGTGGGGTAGCTTGTGTCCGCCAAATGCATGCTGGAGTCCTAACCCCCACGACCTCAGAATGTGGCCTTATTTGGAAATAGTCTTTGCAGAGGGGATCAAGTACAGATGAGGCCATGAGGATGGGCTCTAACGCCTCGTGACTAGAGTATCTAGAAGGAGCAATTTGAACCTAAATGCACACAGGGAGAATGGCATGTGGAGACAGAGGTGCAGCTCAGGGTGATGCTTCCCTGAGCCAAGGAGCCCACAGATGGCCGGCAGACCCCCAGAGGCTGGGGAGGGGAGCGGAACGGATGCTTCCTGTAGCCCCTTGCTCTTGGACTTTTGCCCCCTGGAGCTGGGAGGCAATCGCTTCCATGGCTCAGGCCCCTCAGGTAGCACTTTGCCTGCAGCAGCCCAGGGAGCATCAGCACCTCTGCTTTCAGCCACTGGGCGTGACTCTGGAATTGAGGGCTGCAGTTACTTTGGGACAATCTCTTTAGCCCTTTGACTCCTCCCTTTTTTATTAAATCCCTCACAGACCCCATCTGCAGAACCCTGCTGTAGGCCTCCATTTCATTATGTGGTTTCATTCCTAGAATTAAGGAGAGTAAATCTTCAAGGATTTGGCCTTTGAATGGGCCTCTTTTTTTTTTTTCCTTCACGCTTGTCTAATATTGCTTGCAGGTTCTTACTTAGGCTGCCGTTTAGTGTTAGGATGACCCCACATGAAGGAATTTATACTAACGCGAAGTCCTTCTAAACATGCCCTAAGTGAAATAAAGATTAAATGAGAAAAAGAAAACCTCATGCAAATGTTTGCAATGATGTCATAACAGACTGAAACAAAGA
This sequence comes from Homo sapiens, assembly GCF_000001405.40. Taxonomy (NCBI): domain Eukaryota; kingdom Metazoa; phylum Chordata; class Mammalia; order Primates; family Hominidae; genus Homo; species Homo sapiens. The sequence continues at coordinate 109,368,443 of NC_000013.11, forward strand.
AGACTTCTCTTAAAAAAAAAAAGCAAGAAAAAGATAAGAAAAAACAAAGAAATGTATTGATTGATTGATTCACTCACTGTATAAGCATAGTTTTAGCAAAAATTTTTGACCAGATATTGTACTAGGTATTGAAGATAGGAAGAAAATTGGAATATTCTCAGTTGAGTATTTCTGATTTGTCTTTTGCCTCTTCAATCATTTAATTTGTAAAGGCTTCTGCTCCAGAGCAGCTGCCCTGGGACACCAAGAAGACGCTGGGTCTCCTTCAGGGATCCAGGGTTGCTTGGATGCTGGGAGCCGACCTGCATTCGCTGAAGGAAGTGGAGCCCAGACCTCATGACAGATAATTCCAGCAAAACCAGTACCTCGCCTACTGAAAAATTACCTTCACTCATCATCTACCTTGCTTAAACTCATCGGACATTTCTCAGTTTTCTACTCCCCGGTGTGCTTTAAGCTTTGCTATAAAGCATCAACATCTATCATCACCCTAACTTCTTAAATCAATTTTAGTGCCTATTAAAAGTTGCCATCAAAAAAGACTATAGTTAATAACAATGTGTTGCATATTTGAAAATTGCTACCAAGGCAGATTTTGAGTGTTTTCACCACAAAACCTATGTGAGATGATACATATGTTAATTAGCTTGATTTAGCCATTTCCTCATGGGCACATATTTCCAGACATCATGTTGTATACCATAAATACAGGATATACAATTTGATTTGTCAATTAAAACAAATAAATAAAAAGGCCTCTGTGTGTGTTTGCATGTGTGTGTCTGTCCTCATATACTTGTCCCTTTTGTAAAACTTCTGCAACTGAAGTTTTAGGGCAAGAGCAGGCTGATTTTTTAAGATCTTTGTTATAGCAATAAGTTACCAGAATGCTAATTTATAGTAAAGAAGCCCCTGCCAGTGGCATGACAAAGAGCCACGGGCTGGCAGAGAGCAGATAGCACGCTGCAGAGGGATACTGTGTCTCTCCTTTGTTCCAGTTTCTCTGGTGCCCTGATTTTTCACAGCCTTGGCCCAGTGTGTGTTGTTTTTGTCTCCATCCAGGCAGCAAGCGCTGTAAAGAGTAGAAAATGCCAGAATCTGTCGGCGGCAGCAGAGGCAGTGGCAAAAATAGAAAAATCCATTCAAAGCATGTGGGTCACCAGTCTCAGAATTCCCAAATGGGAGCAGGCAGAAAGGAGGGATTCAACAAAGCTCCACACCCTCCCCGCCCTCCACCTCCCGAGTGGGAAGCTGGGCACCTGTGCCCAGTGGGTTCCCCTTGGTTCGGCCACTGTGCCTTGCCACCATCCTGATGGAAGCTCACTCACTCTTTCCCTGCTTGTTCATTCTGCAGACTTCCCAGGGCCCTGGGGATCTAAGCAGGGTAATGAGTGTGCCGCCTTATCAGGCACGAGGGCTCCTATCTCTGCCAGGCACCTGCACCCAAGAGGGAGAGGAGCCCATGACGCGCATCACTTGCTGGCCCAGAAAAGAGCTTCCTGGGGATTCCCAGCCCTTTGAAAATCCAGAGGGAAAAGTTCTCCCTTTTTTGTGCTCTCCCTGCTTGACTTTGCAAGCCCGTGAGCCTCCAGCAGTGTCCTGAGCGTGAATGGCACTCGGTCCTCACCATGCCACCCTCTGCTGAAGTGATGCCTCAGCTTGCAGGCCAAAGGCACAGAAATCTGAGTTTCCTGAGGAGGCCCAGGACTCCCTTCGTCATCTCATGAGGGAGAAAGCTCCTGTAGAGCAGTGGAGAAGCAGCTACGAGTGCAATGCACAGACAGAAACCAACACGCTGCTCCAAGTGGTGTTATTCGTGTGCCCCCAACACTGGGGGAAATCCAGGAAGTCACCGGAGGGAAGGGACAGTGTCTCCCGCTGTACTTAGCTTGTCCTCAGCCAGAAGCGTTTCCCAGTTCCTGGTGCTGCTATTGCAATGTGCACACTTTTCTCCTGTGCTCACCCCACTGTTTTCCAAAAATCACTTCCCAGGATGATGGGAGGCCAAGGGAACACTGCCTCGATTCCACACCCCCTCAGTCTCCCGATCCAGCAGTAGCCCACCCACGTTCCCCTCATTCCTCTCCACCTTCATCTCATAGGAAGGGTGGCGGGGAAGGAAACTCACACAGGTCGCACACCTGCAAGGTGCCAGGCACCTGTCACCGGCCACGTGTGCCTTTCTCCAATCTTCACCATGACTCAGGGACAGGGTGTTCTGTGACCGCATCACAGCTGTGCCTCACAAAGGCCTTCCAGAGCACTGGCTGTGTTCAAGCCAGTCCTCACTAACTGCAAATATGGTCAGACCAGCTCCGGCACACCCTCTCCTTCCAACCCCAGCAGGCTGATGCACTCTCACGCCACGCATCGCACTCTCCTTTCCTTTGTCATCTTCCTGTCCTGTCCTCTGGGGTCATGCTTGCTGAATCCATGCTGCCAGCCTCCCAGCACCTGCCCCCAGCATTTTCACCCAGAGCTTGTTCACATTCACCCATGAACTGGACGTGAAAAGCAGGACACTTGCTGATACCGGGGACAAGGAGCCACAGAGAGGACCCACCAGAAGTGCCTTTAGTGGGGAAAGGGCTTGCGGGGAAAAGCGCCCTCAGCCCTGCGCTAACTCAGAAGTTAAGCTACCGGAGGCTGCAGCTCCAGGAGAGGCCGACCTGTCTGACTCTCAAGCCCTCTGTGGGTCGGGTTCATGTCACTTCTTCTGTGAAATACTTCTGTAAAACAAATTAACACCGGCGGCCCCTGCAGTGCACAACCCGCTGAAACCCCTGCACTCCTCCCCAGGGAAGCTGTGCCCATCTGCCCTTTGGAAAATTCACCCCTCTGGGCAGGAGGAAATGGAAACAGGGCTGTCCCTCGGCGCTGGATTTGAGCCCTAAAGACATCTCAGCCTGGAAGTGTTTGTGCAGGGCACATGACTGTGATATATATATCATATATATCATAGTAAGGGTGTAGCACACTTAGTAATTTACACTCATACTTTATTCAGAAAAATATTTCAGAAACCATGTTTGATGGAGCCAATTGTACACAGGGAAATATTAAACTATGCGGCACTTAAAACAGTTCCAGCTTCTAGTGTAACAGAAGAGCTGTGTCTACATTGATTGACACAGCCTTCCATTTTTAAGCAAACATTTTACAAGCTTGTACTCATTCTCTCCACGTTGTATTAAGTTTTATATTTGACATTGTATTTAAAGCATTTACCATATTATTTCAATAGTATTTTCTACGAATATTTCCATATAATTACAAAGTTTCCACAATCATTAAACAGCTAGCTTGGTATTCTGCTGAATAAATAGACAAATGTGGCTATAATAGTCCCTCTACTACTTTTCTTTTTCCTTTTGTAAATAATTTTGTTCAACGTATTTCTTCATCAGGCTTTTTTCTTCATATTTAGATACATTACATTAGGATGCATTTCCAGAAAAGTAATAATAAATCAAAGAATGGTGCTACTAAATTGCCACCTAAAAGATTATACCAACCCAGGCTCCCATGAATGGGAGGGAGGCCTATTTCACAGAACTCTCGTCTGTGTTAAGTATTATTATTTTTAAAATTTGGATATTTGAAAAGTGGAAAAAATAGCCCTTCATTGTTTATCTTCATTTATTTGACATATAAACTTAAATATCTTTTCAAGTATTTGCCAATTTTCACTTGCTGTGTAACCTGTGCCTCTGTCCCCACCAAAAGGCCCGCATGCTTTTAAACAATGGAATGATTTTACACCTGCATTGCCTTGTCCAGGTGGCCACCCCACCCCAGGACCCCCAGTCTCCAGTCTGGAGTGACCCCTCTCTGGTGGCAGTTGCCCAGCACGCCTCTCTGTCAGGGCCTCTGTAGCTAAACACTGGGGCCAGGTCCCCCGCGGGGTCACGATTCCTTTCCTCCTGGAATCTTGGCATGAGGCACTGGGGGGGGAAATCCATGACTTCAGAAGGAGCGAGAGCCTCTTCCGGTGGAAACAGCCCTCTGAGCCTAGAGTCTCCGGACCTCCAGAGCCCAAGCCACAGGACTGGAACGTAGCTCCCCAGGTCAGTGAAGAGGGTGATGAGGGGCCACTCCTACTTCTGACACTTGGTTCCCAGATCATCATTGGCTGGCTCTCCACAGCACATCACTCTTCTGAAGCTTTGTTCTTCTCTTTTCCTCTGCCATGGCAGTTCCAGCATTTTCAGTTCACTGAGTGAGACCCCTCATCTTCTCTAGGCATCCACAAGCCCTGACAGCCTCAGCACCGTTTCCCGGGGTCCTTGCTAAGGCATTAACTTTGTACAACAGGAGCCTCCCATATCAGTGGACTTCCCTCTCTTACCCAGTGTCTGGCCCCCATATATTTGAACACCCTTGGAATCCAACCCCACCTCCAGCCTCCTGGCTCCTGCTGCGAAGATTGGCTAGTCCTGTCTCTCCCTCAGTGTAAAGTCTCTGCCTCCCTTTGCAGATGCTGTCCTTTCGTAATTGAGGCCTGTTATGACCTGGAGGAGTTGGGGGATGGATTCTGCGTGTACGTGGAGGGCATACCTTGCAAGGTCTCAAGCAATGCAAATGTTAGCCCTTAATGGGACACACAGGCCACTCCTGTAGGCTCAGAGGGTTGGAGGCATCTAGGGAGTCAAGATTTCCATGTTCACTGGCCCCGGTATCCTGGCCCTGGTGTTCAGAGACCTGAGCTTGCCATGGCAGATTTGCTGAGGTTATGAATTCAGTCTTCTCTGGGGCCCCACGACCCTGACAAGAAAGTAGTACCTCCACTTCTCAGCTTCTTCTGTCCTCCAGTCAAAGTAGAGAATAATCCTGAGATTTTGCCAAGTAGGGTGTCTTAGTCAGCTCAGGCCACCGTAACACATTGCTGTAAGCTGGGCGGCTTCAACAACAGATGAAGTCCAGGATCAAGGTGGAAGCCAGTTTGTTTCCTGGTGACGGCCATCTTCTTGGTTGGGGGTGGGGGGCAGCCACCTTCCTGCTGTGTTCTTACACTGTTGAAAGAGAGAGAGACAGAGAGAGAGAGAGAGAGAGAGAGAGAACGCTCTGGTGTTTCCTCCTCTTCTTTATCAGGGCACTGCCCATCACACAGTCTCTACCTTCATGACCTCATCTAAACCTAGTCGCCTCCCAAAGGCCCCTCCTCCCAATACCATCATATTGAGGGTCAGGGCTTCAACATATAAATTGTGTGTGGAGGGGTGCGGGGTGAGGACACAAACATTCAGTCCCTAATAGAGGTCCCAATTTGCCTGAAATTAAACACTCTCAGCTTTCATTTTCTCTCCCCAGTGCAAGGTTTCTCAATTATGGCACTATGGGTATTGGAGCCTGAACATTCTTTGTTTGAGGGGCTGTCCTGTGCACTGTAAGGTGTTTAGCAGAATCCCTGCTCTCTACCCACCAGATGCCAGTAGCAACTCCCCTCTCAACTGTCATAACCAAAATGTCCCCAGACATTGCCATATATCCCGAGGAGCACAATGCACCTTTGATGAGAACCATTGCTCTATTGCATCAACAGCCTTTAGAAAGCAACACTGGCAACACCCAGATAATGCCTGTGCCTGTGGGTTCCCTTCCACTCCCCTCTCAGCCCAGGTCACCTGGAAGTTTTGACAGTTGCAACACTATGGCATTCCAGAGGCCATCTATTCTCTGAGTAGCATGAGTGATGGTTCTCACAGCTAGACCACTGGCTGCTTCTGCCGGCTGCCTTGGCAGTAGGTCTTTTAGGTCAAGTTCCACAGGAAGCAGACTGTGAGATGTACATCTGCATACAGAAAGGACACTGGGGACCGTAGCTGGAACAGCACCTCTTGGGAGTCAGGAAGCAGGACTACACAGAAGCTGTTGAACTGTAATGCCGGTAAGTCAGAGGCTTCCGCTGATTTCACTGGGAGCATGGAGCTGGAATTAAGGCAAGGGCTCGGTTTTTATGTGCCTACATCAACCAGTCACCGGATGGGGCTACCGTGAGGAGGGATAAAGTCTTGCCCATGGCAGCTCCCTTCAGCTCAGGCAGGTCCCAGAGAGGGACTCTGCGGTAATGCTGCAACAGCCAGTGCTCTGGGGAGCGGGGAAATGAGCTCCTGTCCTGGAGAGGGGATTTGGGCTGCATACCACGGTGGCCATCTCTTCTACATCTAGTCATATAAGCTATCCTAAAATAAACCCCTGTTCTATTTACAGGACCCCTTTTTCTGTCTTTCTCAGTGAACTCTGTGCTCCTGGAAGGCAGAGGTCAGGTCTTACTTACCACAACCCCCTCAGCTGCCAGCAAAATCCTTGGCCCTGGTTCAATTCAATTTATGTTTGTTTTAAGAGTAAGTGAATGAACCAATTTAACAACATGATTTTCAAGCAAAATACAACACCTTCCATATTTACAAAGGCTAATGATGAAAGACGAAAAACATGTGTTCTCCTCTTGTAAAATCTCTCCTGAGCTTAGAGCCACTTTCAGCATCTATCGTTTGTGGATAGTTTCCCGTTGTGCGTTTCTACTGATTTGCTGCAGGGAATCGGACCACGTGGGAAGGCTTCTTCCGAGGTGCTCTGTGCCTTTCAGCAGCGTCTTGGGACAGATTCCTTCGGCACCATATGCCAGCTCCAATTGTGAATTGGACTTAAAGGTACAGCGTGATCACATTATCTAATTAATTAACATTTAAAAGACTCTCTGAAGAAGAAATCACTGGGCAGACGATGTGATACCAGAATGTGTAAATGATTAAACTCCAGATTTGGGGAAATTAAAATATTTTAATGGGCACCCAAATGTATGTCCTGCGCATATCTGTTCAGTAGAGCTTTAGATTTTGGGAATATTACAAGCAGGTGCCCGATTTATAGTTTAAGTTGGAAACCTTGAACTACTCAAACTAAGTCCTTAAGAACGTATTTTTATCACTAATTACATAAGTTGTTGGCCTGTTTTCTCTTACGAAAAGGTCTTCTTATAAGAAAATGAAAACTTTATGATAATGAGCCCTCTGTGCTTAGTGACAGTACGAGGAGAAAGGCACTAACAGCCATTATCACAGCACACAGAGGATGATTCTCGGAGTGTTTCCCGCCTATTTTCACCCTTCTGAATTTGTTCTCACTAAAACAAGCCAACAGTGTGGGTAATGAAAAGATATATATTAAGGAACTTAATGTGAGTGACTGAGAAGTTTTCAATTGCATAAGGAAAAAAACTTGTCTCTTTTTTATTCTGGGAGCCAGTTACTCCAGGAGCGAGCTGCCCTCTGTCTGCATTTAGTTGAGTCATGACACTAACTTTTTGGTTTGCAGTGTGAACTCGGGACTGAGCAAATACTCTCCACTCTTTTCCCCTTGGATAACCCCAGCAACCTCATTTCATTTCCAGCATTTATTTATTTATTTATTTAGAGACAGGGTCTCATTCTGCGTTACCTTGGCTGGATTGCAAATGTGCTATCAGGGCTCACTGCAGCCTCAACCTCCCAGGCTCAAGTGATCCTCCTGCCTTAGCTTCCCTCCTGAGTAGCTAGGACTACAGACACACACTACCATGCTCAGGTATTTTATTATTATTATTATTTTTTTTTTTAGTAGATACAGGGTCTTACTATGTTGCCCAGGCTAATCTTTTAAACTCCTGAAGTCAGTTGATCCTCCCTCCTTGGCCTCCCAAAGTGCTGGGATTATATGTGTGGGCCAGCAAGCCTAACCTAATCTCTAGATTTTAAGATTTTTTTTTTTTTGCTACTTTTTCACTTTCCAAGCATGTAGCAATAAGACCTTTTCCAACCACCTGCTGAAATGCCTGTAGGAAATGAAATCCGAGGCACCAGAAAGGCTCTTACACCCCTGTTGGATTGTTTAAAGATGCCATACGGCCAGTTGGTGAATGTGCCCAGTGAAAAATACTAAAGCCAAGGACAGGTTTCCTGTGAAAGGTGTCTAACTGTGTATTTTCCCACAGAGTGCATTGGAAAATAAGGCCTTTTATCTTGTTAATGCAAAAGGGGAAAAATATTTTCTCTTAATTTTCCTAAAATTTTCCCCAAAATTTTCCTTTTAGAGTGGTTCACCTTAACTCTCAACTTGACCGTGCCTGGGTGAATTTCCTTATTCCCAGCTCGGAGAGCAGTAATACTTAGCTGTCCATCCTCAGAAAAAGCATAATGGACATTTTGAAATTGCACACGAATGCTACAGGTAGGAAGCTGATAGGCTTCCCTAACAGTACTTAAAACAGATCAACAATTTCACTCTTCTTTAAAGGCAGAAAAGGTCAGGAGAGTTATTGCTGTCATTAGCTCATTAATAGCCTCTCCACTGAAACCAATAAGTACCAGCAATAGAATCAGATCCAAATAGCCATAATATAATATAATATAATATAATATAATATAATATAATATAATATAATATAATATATAATCTTTTAGCTGAAGGAAGTTTCCAAATATAAAATCCCAATCACCTGCTAAGCCTTCATCTTACCCCTTTGATCAGGAAAAGAGGAAGGACTCTAGAGGCTCCTCCATGTACTGATGGAAGAAAAGAGTTTTGCTCTCGCCCTGGTGGAAAATGCCCGGTGAGATAACAATACGTCTTTGATACTAGACAGGGATATTGATCTGGGTGCATCTGTCTCAATCCGCAGCTGAAAACGACACCACATGTAGGCGACTTCCTGCGACTGAAGCCCAGAGGCTTTGCAGGGGCCAGGGCTCAGCCGGGCCAGCCCCATTGCCCTCAGCAACTTAGAAGCCAGGTCCCTCTTGCCTCAGCAGACACACCCGGAGTCCTGCTGCCCAGCACTGTAAACAACTTGTTTACCTCTTTCTCAGGGTCACTTGCTTTATTTCCATTGGCTGTTGGAGCATACATGGAATATTTTTTAATAAATAAAACTCTTACAAAATAAACAATCAGAAAGAAGACAGCCTTGAAGGAAAGCAGTCTTTCTAAAGCCTTGATCCTCAGAGTGAGTGACATTATTTATATCCGTTGTTTTCATTTCCAGTCAACAGTATTGTAATGATGCAGAATACATTATAGCTTAAAGAAAAATAAAATACCATCAGCCCCATCCATACACGTTCCCTGGTAGGGAACACAAATTAAACCATGCGGAAGGTACCCTGAACTTTGAAAACCCATGAAGAATCTTGGGCAGATAAAATCTTACATTAACATTTTCTTTGATTGTACCTGAGCAATGTGTCTTCAGCAACATGATTGTCCTCCAGGAAATTCATGTCTTTGGTAATTATTACTTTTACTCAGTGATTTAAAAATATCTTATACATGCCGAATGAGTATGTTATTTTGGATTGGAAAGTTAAATGCTTAGGGTTGAAAATATAATTATTTTAAGAGACATCAATTTCATTCATGTTTATTTTCTCTATGTTTTAACATGCAGTGCTATGTGTATTTCCCTTTAGACAAACCATAATTGGATTTATTCTGTGGTGATAATAGGAAGATAAGAGTAAGAAGGAAAAGAACAGCAATGAAAGTAACACTCATCTTTAAAGTCTGAATTATAGAACCACAGAGCTAAAAGGGGCCTCAGAGATCATCTTCTTTGTCAAACATTAACATTTTGTAGACAAGGACATAAGGCACCATTATTGGTTGAATCCTGTCCCCAAAATGATACATTCAAGTCCTAACTCCCTGTGTATGTGATGTTCCTATATAGGAAGTAGAGTCTTCGAATTTGTTATTGAGGTAAGATGAGGTCATAGGGTCGGCCCGAATCCAACAACTGTTGTCTTTAAAAGTGGAGGCAAGCCGGGCGTAGTGGCTCAGGCCTGCAATCCCAGCACTTTGGGAGGCTGTGGTGGGCAGATCACGAGGTCAGGAGATCGAGACCATCCTGATCTCGATCTCTACTAAACCCCCGTCTCTACTAAAAATACGAAAAATCAGCTGGGCATGGTGGCAGGCACCTGTAGTCCCAGCTACTCGGGAGGCTGAGGCAGGAGAATGGTGTGAACCCAGCAGGCGGAGCTTGCAGTGAGCCGAGATTGTGCCACTGCACTCCAGCATGGGCATCAGAGCAAGACTCCGTCTCAAAAAAAAAAAAAGGTGGAGGCAAAAAGGCACTCAGCTCCAAAGGTGCTGACACACAGGAAGAGTGCCAGGTAATGTCAGAGACAGAGATTAGAGTGGCGCATCTACAAGCCCAGGAATACCAAGGCATGGTGGCCACGCCAGAGGCTAAGAACAAAATCTCTCTCAGAGCCTTCAGAGAGAGCACCGCTCTGCTCTCACCTGAATTTCAGACCTCTGCCTTCGGAACTGTGAAAGAATAAATTTTCATTGTTTTAAGCAACTCAGTTGCAGTAATTTGTTCTAACATCCAAAGGGAACTAAGACAGGCACCTAGGAATCAAGTGATGGCAGAACAGAGGCTGGAATCCAGTGGGGGACTCCTTTTCAGTCCACCCTATTGTGTCTCTAAGCTGGAAGCTCAAACAAGTCTCTAGAATTCCAAGTTGTTGCAGTAGGATTCCCAGAGAAAATTATTTCCACTTTAGTTTGAGTTACCATAAAAGCAGAATTTGAGAAGTGTCTGTTTATATCCTTCGCCCACTTTTTGATGGGATTGTTTGTTTTTTTCCTGTAGATTCTGGATATTAGCCAGCCCGTTGTCAGATGGATAGATTGCAAAAATTTTCTTCCATTCTGTAGGTTGCCTGTTCACTCTCATGATAGTTTCTTTTGCTGTGCAGAAGCTCTTTAGTTTAATTAGATCCCATTTGTCAATTTTGGCTTTTGTTGCAATTGCTTTTGGTGCTTTAGTCATGAAGTCCTTGCCCATGCCTATGTCCTGAAAGATATTGCCTAGGTTTTCTTCTAGGGTTTTTATGGTTTGGGGTTTTACATTTACATTTACATTAAGTCTTTAATCCATCTTAGCCAGAAAAAAATCATGTCCTTTGCAGGGACATGGATGAAGCTGGAAGCCATCATTCCCAGCAAACTAACACAGGAACAGAAAACCAAACACCGCATGTTCTCACTCGTAAGTGGGAGGTGAACAATGAGAACACATGGACACAGGGAAGGGAACATTACACTCTGGGGCCTGTTGGGGGTTGGGGGACAAGGAGAGGGAGAGCATTAGGACAAATACCTAATGCATGCGGGGCTTAAAACCTAGATGATGGATTGATAGGTTCAGCAAACCACCATGGCACCTGTATACCTATGTAACAAATCTGCACATGTTTATTTTACTTTAAGGTCCAGGATACATGTGCAGAACTGTACATGTATCCTGGAACTTAAAGTAAAGAACAAAAAAGCAGAGCTTGATTCAATGATTTGAATAAAAAGAGTGCATGTGAGAGGCAATCTGTAGAGTAGGGTTTTGAGGCAGGAAAGTTGGTAATCAATAGTGGAGCAGGACTGAGCAGACGCCTGTTGTGGGCAATAAGGTACAATCCTACTGGGTCTTCTAGGAGACTACACGGAACCTGCTTCAGAATTTCCCACTGTGGGGTATGAGCTGGAGTACTCAATTACTCTTCATGCATTAAGTTGGGCTCGCTTCTTGTCTGCCCTGGTGTGTCTAGCATATTCTTTTGAACAGAGAATGTTTTCAGGCCAAAAAACAAAGAAAGCTTCAAGCATGTCTGCAAGTTCTATTGAGGGTGGGTTGGGCGAAGGTGGGCAGGGTACAGATAGTGTCTGCTACAGCTTCTTTTCCATTGCTTAATTTACATGTTAACAGCAGCAACGCATGTGATCCTTTGTGAATTCAAGGGTGAGTACAAAGAGTATCAACCAAGAAAAACTTTTATACATTTCAAAGGATTTTTCTAAAAAGAGAAAGTTACATAAGCAAGACTGAGAATATTCAGAAGTGACAGTATCGGTATTGGCAAAATAATATTTTAGTACAGGATAGAAATGCTTTCAATGATCCTTTCAGAAGTGCAATCAATCTTTATTATTCACAGATCCTGTATCTGCAAACTTGCCTCCTCATTAAAATGTATTTGTAGCCCCCAAGTCAATACTCATCGTGCTTTCAAGGTCATTCACGGACATGTGCAGAGTGGCCAAAATTCGAGTCAGCAGCTGAGGCTGAACAAGGCGACATTTTGCCTTCTTGTTTCAGCTCTCATAATGTAAACAAGTGTCCTTCTTTTGGTCCATTTAGGGGCACATTGTCCACTTCTGTGATTTTTATTGATGATCTTGCTATTTAAAATGGCTCCCAAGCTAGTGCAAAAGTGTTGTCGAATGTGTCTAAATGCAGGAAGGCTGTGATGTGTCCGAGACAGAAAATACACCTGTTAGAGAGGCTTCATTCAGGCACCAGTTAGAATGCTACTGCCTGTGACTTCAGCGTTGATGAATAACAATATATATTAAACAAGGTGTCTTTAAACAGAAACACACATAAAACAAGTCTACATGTTGATCAGCTGACAAAAATATTGTGACCAGAGTCTTGAAGGAAACGAACTCTGGCTTTCCCCTAGAAGAAATGCTTCAGTATTTGCTAATTCTGGGTTTGTGTTGCCTTTATAAAACATAACTACGCCTAATAATAAGAATCATTTATACTATAAAACTTTTGATCAATTATGTATATATTGTCAACTCCGTCTACTTTTATATATTTTAAACTCTCTTTCTGCAAAATATGACTACAACTGGCTTTTCAGTAAAGACAATACTATCTAAAATATCATTTCTTCATTTTATTTTGTTGGACTATTGAGTTTAGGTACAGTAAAAGGGTGAGAATGTTTTTGTTTCATTTTGCTTAACCTCCCTCATCAAATTGGTGAGGTCTTTGGGATTGAGAATAAATAAATGCATACATACATGCATACATAATATTATTCACTTTTGTTTCTAAGTGCAAGGAAATATAGGTTAAATTAAAGTCATATGTTCATTTATTCCAGTTAAGACTAAAACTGGAAAAACCATAAATTAATGAAAAGTAACTGAGCAAAAACGATTGTTTGTGGAGATTATTGCATCAGAGAGCTAAACTAGTAAACTGAGGTGGGGAAGTTTAGAAAGAATTTATTGCAGAATGTTGATGATAAAGAGAGGATTAGGAAACTTAAAACCAAGTCTATGTTTAATTACAGATTTCAAGTCTTTTAGATATTTTAGCTCAAACCCCTAATTCCTCTCAAGGCAAAGTATTGGTGTTTACTGTTCTTGATGGCTGATTTTAGCAATTCTTCAAAGAATGAAGGAAAATGTGTGGGTGCCCAGCAAGTTGGAATTCATGTGTGTTCCATAATCTTTGTCATGTTTTCCCAATGATGACTCGAACCACATGCTTTTTAAATTCCATCTGGTTAGAGAAATTAAGAGCAGAGACTTTCTCCATTATTTCAGTTCCCCAACTGGAGAAAAACAGAGCATTATTGTTCAAAAGAGTGAGTTTTTCTAACTGACTTACCAAGGAGAATATTCATATTGTTTAACAAGTTCTCAAAATGCATGAGAATCTTGAGATTTTTGAGATTCTGACTCAGCCAGCCGTTCTCGTTTTTGTTCTTGTTTTTGTTGTCTTCTCTAAAATGTTCATAAAAACTTCCTGTCTAGAAGGCACGTTTGTGTGAGATTCCAGATTGCTTGGGTGGCTGTGGTAAGAACTGAATGTGGGCTTTAAAGTATTCCTATGCAACCAGAAGAATGCAGTCTTTGTTCAACATTTCCCTCTGTAAATCAAAAACCGCTCCCTGTCCCAGGAAAAGGCACCCCTCTTTAGGTACATAATATCCTTTTTTCTGCCCCCAAAAGCCCATAACATCTGACTCTGCTCTTCACTCCCTGCAGCTCTTCCCCATCCCTTGGCCTAAGCAACCCCAATGCAAACTCCTGTAAGTTTGCTGAGACAAACAGGGCGGTGCCTGAGTCAGCTAAAGGTTCCGTTCACTGCTAAAAAGTATAGGCTGGTGGCTCACACCTGTAATCCCAGCATTTTGCGAGGCCGAGGCGGGTGGATAACGAGGTCAAGAGATCGAGACCATCCTGGCCAATATGGTGAAACCCCATCTCTACTAAAAATACAAAAATTACCTGGGTGTGGTGGTGCACACCTGTAGTCTCAGCTACTTAGGAGGCTGAGGCAGAAGAATCACTTGGACCCAAGAGGCGGAGGTTGCAGTCAGCCAAGATTGCGCCACTGCACTCCAGCCTGGTGACAGAGTGAGACTCTAAATATATATATATATATATATATATATATATATATACACACACACACACATACACATATATATATACACATATATATATACACATATATATATACACATATATATATACACATATATATATACACACATATATATATACACATATATATATACACATATATATACACACACACACACACACACACACACACACACACACATATATATATATATATATATATATATATGGTGGGTTATCACCATGGACTGTGGAGTAGAGCTGTGAAAAATGAACATCTTTTCATATTTCTGTGAGACCAGAAAGAAAAAAGAGTGGAGAAGATGATTGTTAACAAAACGTGACTAAAAGTGGAGAGCTGAGCAAAGAATCCATTAGAAAGGAGAAAATACAAGAAAAAGGATATTAAGGAAGAGAAGAATTGTAAGAGAGGTTGAAGAATCAGAAAGCCAGGCTCAACACTGTTCCACTTAAGTCACGTGGCCTCAGCATCACTGTTGCTAAAGAAAAAATGACAGTACCTATCTCATAGGATGGTTGGGAGGATTGGGTAGATGATGGTGGGAAGTACCTATCTCATAGGATGGTTGGGAGGATTGGGTAGATGATGGTGGGAAGTACCTATCTCATAGGATGGTTGGGAGGATTGGGTAGATGATGGTGGGAAGTACCTATCTCATAGGATGGTTGGGAGGATTGGGTAGATGATGGTGGGAAGTACCTATCTCATAGGATGGTTGGGAGGATTGGGTAGATGATGGTGGGAAGTACCTATCTCATAGGATGGTTGGGAGGATTGGGTAGATGATGGTGGGAAGTACCTGTCTCATAGGATGGTTGGGAGGATTGGGTAGATGGTGGGAAGTACCTGTCTCATAGGATGGTTGGGAGGATTGGGTAGATGATGGTGGGAAGTACCTGTCTCATAGGATGGTTGGGAGGATTGGGTAGATGATGGTGGGAAGTACCTGTCTCATAGGATGGTTGGGAGGATTGGGTAGATGATGGTGGGAAGTACCTATCTCATAGGATGGTTGGGAGGACTGGGTAGATGATGGTGGGAAGTACCTGTCTCATAGGATGAGTCTTACTGCAGACCCTGGAATGCACCCATTTCTCACCTGGGCAGTAACAGGGGGGCAGCCCTCCCTGCTGGAGCATACAATGCAGGACATCACATTCCAAAGATATGTTAGAAAACCCCAGGCGATTTCAGGGAGAAGTGACTCATATACTGAAAGGAAACAGAACTGTGGCAGTGGGAAATGAGACCCAGAATGCATAGCCTAATAATGAAGCAAGAAGTTAGACCACACACATTTTATACAACCCAAAGGCATGAAACCTAGACCAATGGGTGTCAATTCTAGGCAGGTAGATTCTAGCTAGAGATAAAACAAAACAAAAACAAACAAATAAGTACAACTACAGCAAGGACCTTGGGGGCTAAACTCAACTCTCTAAATGTGTAAGCGATCTGTTATCAGAGCTAGTAAATTCACCATTCAGGGATTAAGATAAGCAGTTTAAATAATTTGCAAGGAAGAGGTAGAGGCAATTGAAGCCTTGGATACAGCTTGGAGTATTATTATTTCCTTGTAGCACATATCGGCATAGAGTAGACCTGAGACTTTTTCCCTTTTGATGGAAGCCTGACCTGGGCCTCGGAGGTGCCTGCTGCCATTTGCAGACTCCAGTCCATGTGAGGATTTGTCTTGTTAAAGCAAACTGAAGATGGCCTGAGAAGGACTCCTACCTCTATATTTGAGTCCTCATGACGGAACAGTAACCTAGCTTAATAGGCAGACAAGATTGAAAACCAAACATAATAGTATGCACCTGTAACAATAGCTGAGTGTTGGCCAATCCCAGCGGCTATACTTCAACCACTCACAGACTGCTGAGTGTTCAAACTGTCTTCAAATAAGGCAAATGCCAAGGTGCAACCAAACTCACAGTTTCTGTACCTCACTGCCAATTCCTGTACGTCACTTTACTTTTTTTGTCTATGAATTTGTTCTGACCACAAGGCACTGCTGGAGTCTCTCCACATCTGTTGTGATTCTGGAGGCTGCCTGATTCGTGAATCATTTCTTTTTTTTTTTTCTCAATTAAACTCTATCAAATTTAACTTGTCTGAAGTTTTCTTTTCTGTTCTGTTTTTTTTTTTTTTTTTTCTTTGAGACAGAGTTTCACTCTCTCACTCAGGCTGGAATGCAATGTTGCAATCTCGGCTCACTGCAACCTCTGCCTCCCAGGTTCAAGTGATTCTCCTGCCTCAGCCTCCTAAGTAGCTGGGACTAAAGGTACCAGGTGCCAGGTTTATTTTTACTAGAGAGGGGGTTTCACCATGTTGGCCAGGCTGGTCTTGAACTCCTGACCTCAGGTGATCCGCCCACCTCGGCCTCCTAAAGTGCTGGAATTACAAGCGTGAGCCACCACACCCAGCTTTTGAAGTTTTCTAACAAGTCTGCAATGCCTCTGCTGTGCTAGCACCATGCACATCCTCAAGGCAGAATGAAAAGACACTGTCTCTCTTCTCACAAAATAAACTTTTATATGGATTCCTTTGTGGCCTCATAGGAAGTTTTAAAACTCCTGCGGGGAATAGATGATCCAAATCAATAGCATTCCTTCAGTTCCTGGGAGTGTTTAATGACACAATACAGGAGGACCAGATATCTTCCTGATGCGGACGCCCACAAACCCAAGGCAGCCTGAACTATTCAGGCCAGGGGAAGTGGGGGCCTCATGGTCTCATTCGGGGTGAGCAATTGCTATGAGTTGGCCAAGTTCCCAGGATGCTGGGGAACCACACAGGGTATAATGGTGGTTGGCAGCTCCTGTACTCTCTTTACTGCTCTGGACCCTGTAACTGTTGCAAATACACAGATCACACGCACCGCCTCGGTCAAGGACCAGAGTGGGCTCCTCTAATGTATGTGGCCTTCTGCGTTCCCTGGCTCAGCTTCCCTGGGTCAGATCTCCCCAGAATGGTTGCTTGGTTTTTACTTGGCTTTATAAGGTATGTCACAGGGGATTTTATAGAAACCAAAATTCTATTAATTTGTCCTTTTCTTTTTCCTGGCTATAAGTGTTGTCTCTATTATAAATAATGATTACTAAGAATTTGTTAGTGACACTGAAAATGCGCACACTCTATGTTAAGGGAAATAACCCTGATGTAAACTTGGAAGTTGTATGTACAGTGTTGGGAGAATTGAGTGAAAAATAATGACTGCAAACAAATTAGATAGCGTAATACCAGACACATACGGTTTAATAAAGACCAACTCTTATTATCTTACCATTTCCTAGCCATAAACATTCTTCCATATTTGAATTGGCTGTTGCTGCTATTAATTCTGGCTAAGACACGTTTCACATCCTCCTGTGGTTATAATGATGCCAGCGCCTCACCCATAGTGTTAACGCATTTCTTGCTGGCCCCGCAAGGGAAGAGACAGAGGCTCAGCCTGGGATAAACTGTGTACATCGTGGAAAGTAGCGTAAATTAAAGGCCAGCTAAAGGTGGATTAGTGCTTGTGTTTTGCCTTCCTCGTAGCATCTCAGCGTTAAGAGTAAGACATGCGGTAAACAGCGCTTCTTCAAATCATAAGAAGCAACGATGTCACAGAAAAATTCATTGACTTGGTGGAGGGAGAAAAGAGCTCATACTGTTACAGGAATCATTTTTTTTCTCTTATGGAGCCTTAATAAATATGAATTTAAGAGACACAATATCTGTTTAAAAATTAATCGCTTTGGTGGAATACTACTCAGCAATGACAGGGAATGAATGTTTGCCACCAAAACATGAATGGATCTTAAAATAATTCTGTGGGGAAAAAGCAGCCAGGCAAAAACGACCATGCATGACATTACTCCATTTATATATAATTCCAGAACATGCAAAGTAATCAGTGGTGACAGAAAGCTGAACAGTAGTTGCCTGGGGAAGGGGTTGAGCAGAGGCAGGGCAGGAGAGATTACAAAGGGGTGAGAGGAACAGCTGGGGGACTGGGTTATGCATTTCCTTCAGTGCAGAAGGGCCTATTGGTGTGCACATATGCCAAAGCTTATCCACTTGCACACCCTAGTTATGTGCCATTTATTATACGTGATTCATATTTCAATCAACCTGTTAAAGAGTAAATCTATATTTTTCTTCTCATAGAGTGGGTTGGGTGTCGACATACACTCATGGTTTGAATATTTCTCCAAATATTCAAAATATTTTGCCAAATTAGCCTCACAGATGGTTAGTTATCCCCAAACTCAGAGAGTTGTATATATTAAATATATACAGCTTTCCATGTCAATCAAACCTCGATGAAACGGTTTAAAAATAGTTTACCAAACCTAAAATCTTGCCAAGATTTTTTCCTACCACTTCACTTTCAGATCAGAGTGAATTTTCTCCTACTTCTCCTTGTGCCCTTTCATGGGTTCACGTCATTGAACCAGTTTTTCTTCACTGATGTTGCAAATGCTTAATTCAGGATTCAGTGATATATCCTCAAGTTTACTCAATATTTTAGGTACTTCTCATAAGTATGAACTGGGATAAAATGATAAAGACTGTTTTCTAAGTTTTCTCATGAAGTCTAATTTCCTTCTTTTTGGTTTCTCAAATGAAGGCTTCGTTATAGCATGTAGTTAAGTTTATAACACCTTCCTATATTAAACACTCAGGTGCCTACCTTCAAGAAAGAGAAGGAAGACAATGTTGTTAGCAACCTACTAAGTCAGGGACTTTATATGTGGCCCCCAAACCAGCTCTCCTTATGTTGAAGGCACTCTCGAGTCAGAGAGATTCTCTCAGATGTTGACTGAACGCTGCCAGTGTTGGTCGCTCTAATGGGAATTGGCCTGGGAAAACTGTCCTCCTGGGTGGTGAGTGCAGCGTTTTCAGGCACTCAGCAGCCCCAGCATGGCTTCCAGACACCCATGCAGGGTTTGTGCACAGCTTCCTCTCTGCAGGGATCTGATGAAACTTGCTGCGGCATTGGCACCACCAAAACGGTCACTGACCGAGGAAGACTCAGCCCACTGCCTTCCCACTCCACAGGGCAAGAGACAGCCTTGGTCAGCCTTGGGTATCAGAGATGGCCAGAATGATGCACCCTCTCGGTAGTCTTTTCCACTTTCCAGAAGGAACTTAAATTTGACTAGAGGCAAATATCCAATTGACTAAGGGCTCCACATCACTCAGCTTGCCTGTTTGGGGAGAAGTCTATATAATGAACTAATTTTAGTTCTTAACTTGCATGTCCATGAATGCAAGTTAAAGAAAGGCAAATCTGGTCTAAGTAAAATATCTTTTGCTATGAAAATTCTTCAGAAAATACTGTCTACATAAAATGTTCCTAGGCTTTATCCCTACATTTCACTTCTGAGAATGTATTTTAACTCTACAACCAAAAACACATATAAGGATTCATATAAAAGATGTAGCTGTTTATAATTTCGTAATTATAACAGTATTTGTAAGACAAAGTGAAAATATTTACATTATTTGTACTAATGAAAAATTGGAAACATCCAATTGTTTATGAGTTACATAAACCTGAAATGCTACATCCCTCCCACAAAATATGCAGGCATTAACATTTACTAAGAATTTTAATGATATGGAGAAGAACATACAGTAAGATGCTAAAGGATAACAATAAAAAATTGCATAGTTAATGTAAAGTTGTCATGAGAATTAAATGTACAAATCAGATAATGAAATTTCAGTATATACCACAGTGCCAGTACAGGGTGTTCAGTCAGTGCTATTATTTCAAATAATATACATCTGTGCATAAGAAAAAATCCAGAATATGAAACAAAATTTTCATATAGTATTTCGGGTAAATTTATTTGCATATCCTTATGCATATTCTAAATTTTCTGCAGTGAGTTTAGGATGCATTATTAATTGAAACAAACTTATTTACAGATAGGAGGGAAACTGATATCTGAATAGTCACAACTTAGGCCAGGCGCAGTGGCGCACTCCTGTAATCCCAGCACTTTGGGAGGCCGGGGTGGGCGGATCATCTGAGGTCAGGAGTTTGGGACCAGCCTGACCAACATGGTGAAACCCTGTCTCTACTAAAAATACAAAATTAGTTGGGCGTGGTGGCACATGCCTGTAATCCAAGCTACTCGGGAGGCTGAGGCAGGAGAATTGCTTGAACCCTGGAGGCGGAGGTTGCAGTGAGCTGAGATTGTGCCATTGCACTCCAGTCTGGGCAATAAGAGTGAAACTCCATGTCAAAAAAAAAAAAAAAATTGTCACAACTTTTCTTAAAATAGCAAATAGTTAATCCTGGCATCCACAAAATGAGATGGAAAAATAAAGTAATCATGTGGGGAGGTGGAATATAATATCACCTCTAAATCGACCTATTTTTCACAGAAGTAGTTGTTACTCATTTTATTGAATGACACAGTTATTCTGATAATTGTTGAGTTACTTAAATTTGCTGATTAGTAAACAGGAACTTAATGGCAAAAGAGTTTTGGCTTTCCAAAATTCATCTGTTGAAAGGGTAGGGTTGGGGAGAGGGGAGAGAGAGGGAGAATGCATACATTTATGTGTTTTTAAAATCATGTATTTTACCATGTTCCAGGAAACTTTTAAGGCAAATTGATTTGTGATGGGCTATCAACAGTCATATGTAAGTGAAAAATAAAGCGACCTACTGGAATAAAATGGCATCCTTCCACACCTCTCAGGAGACCACCTCCTGTATCTTTAAAGTCCACTGACTCTGCGTACTACAACTGATTCATAATTTCATGTTCACTGTAGACCTGTAGCGAGCTTGTGGGCCTTCTTCATCGCTTGATGAAGGTGGCTTTTGTTCCTGAGAATGTCACTATTCAAAATGCTGAATGAGCACTTGAAATCAGGAATAAATTATGAATTCTTTAGGGAACACTGTTCCCAGCAGCCCATTTATGGTGGCCTGAATGCATTTTTATTTCGTTTGTCACACAGGCCTTGCAGACAGTGGAGCCATGTGGTTTTCTGACTATAGACCTCTCTTCCCCGGGGCTTCCGAACCACCATGGAATGTGTCACCTGGAATTGAGTCCACTCCTCAGTTATTACTTAGTTAAGCATAAAACATCTGATTTGACTAGCCACTATCCATTCCCATAATTTGTAATGGAGTTGTTTTTCTGTGTCTATATTCATTTCCTGATACTTATAAAGAGCACTAAATCAATTGATAAACCACCCACAATAATTAACCAAACAAAGTGAAATCATTTGTTACTCAAAACATGTTACTCAAACCTGCATTATGACACAGGAGAAAAACCCACTACCCTTTGACAGTTATTGCTACACGATTGCAAAAGAGCAAGTGGGTGAAAGTCGTAATTTTTTTTTCAGACACTATATTTGCCAGAGAACATAGATTGCACCATTCCTGTTGCTCATACTTGTAACTCCATAATATGGGCTGTTTTCATAGGCAAATGAATTTGCAAAATCAGACCTACCCTTCCGGCCTACGCTGCCATCGCTACAAATATCAACGAAGTCAGCAAATAAACAATTCTCAAAGGAGCCTTCCAGCAAGTTCTGCTAGCATCACTGGATTCCTTTGGGAAGAATTATGCAACTGTTGTTTATCCATCTACCCCGTTAACCAAATCAATGAATATGTATCGAGCACCAACTGTGAGCAAGGTGCTGTGTTGGGTGGGGAAGAAGACACAATGATGAGTAAAACACAGTCCTACTGCTTTGGCGTTTAACTGTAGTACAGAAGGTAAATTATGGATGCAAGTATATAAAAAATATAGGAGAAGGTAAATTACTTCTAAGCAAATCTAAATGAAACCAGAAGCCCCACCCTCCCTTATCCTCCATGCAGAACTCAAAGCAGGAAAGGCAGGCTTCACCTCCCAGGTAGATTTCAAGCTTGCCTACTTCTTGACATTCCTCCTCCCTGCTGGAGCAAATGGCACTGGGCTAACCTTGGCTAACCTCCTTGATAGCCTTCCTGTATCTACTCTTGTCCACCTGCAGTAAGTTCTCCCTACTGCAATAAGCAAGATGTTTTAAAAGTCCAGACCTGAT
The DNA here is from genome assembly GCF_000001405.40 of Homo sapiens. Taxonomy (NCBI): domain Eukaryota; kingdom Metazoa; phylum Chordata; class Mammalia; order Primates; family Hominidae; genus Homo; species Homo sapiens. The sequence goes on from NC_000013.11 coordinate 109,390,740, forward strand.
CACTGAAATACCTGCATAAAACTCTTCAATCGCTTTCCATTTATTTTTATTTTTATATTATTATTGTTACTTTTTTTTGAGACAGAATTTCACTCTGTCACCCAGGCTGGAGTGCAGTGGCACGATCTTAGCTCACTGCAACCTCCACCTCCCAGGTTCAAGCAATTCTCCTGCCTCAACCTCCTGAGTAGCTGGGACTACAGGCGCCTGCCACTACACGCAGCTAATTTTTGTATTTTTGATAGAAACAGGCTTTCACCATGTTAGCCAGGCTTGTCTCGAACTCCCAACCTCAAGGATCTGCCCATCTCAGCCTCCCAAACTGTTGGGATTACAGGTGTGAGCTACTGTATCCACCTCTAGTTTTTTGTAGAATAAAGAACAACATTCCCACCCTGGTCTACAGTGTCATAGGTAATCTGGCCCCTGCCTGCATCTCTAGACGTATGCTGGGCCACTCTTTTCCTACTTTACTCTGCTGAAGCCACAGTCTTGGGACCTTTGAAGTGCCACATTCTCCTGTTTTAGGGTCTTTGAAATACCGTTCCCTCCACCTGCACTTTACTGTTCCCTCCTTCTATCACTTTATTGAACTCCAAACCTTCTCTATGATCTAAACTTGAAGTCTGCTACTCTGGAAAACCTCCTCTAAGTCCCTTGACTGAATCGTATTGCATGTTCTTAGAGACCCCTACATTTTTCGATTGGTAGCCTTTATTTTAGTTAGACCAAACGTGCATAACAGGATACTTGAAATACCAGTGGCTTAAAACAACAAGGCTCTACTTTCTTATTTAAAAAGAGCAGGGCTGAGTAGAGCCACATGGGCTCGGAAGGTGCCAGGAACCCAGGGTCCTTCTAGGATCTCACTTGAATCAGACTTAAATTTGGCTTCCACTGCACTGTCCCCAATGACTAATTCAGCTCCATCCAGCAGTGAAAGCTACATTCCAAATGGCAGGATAAGGAAATTGAAAAAAAAAAATTTTAAGGCATTTCTCCTCACTTCAAGACTACATCTCATAAGCTGTACACGACATTTCAACTCACGAGCTGTTGGTTAAAACTTAATCACATGCCACATCTAGCTGCAAAAAAAGTCGAAAAATGTCGTCTATGATAGGTGGTCATTGTCCAGCTAAAAATAGTGGGATGAAGAGACTGGAGTTACTACTGGAAGTACTGTCTCTGCCACAGTGCTTTTTCTAGGTGGTGACTGCTTGTAGGCAAGGCCCACGTCAATTTGCTCACCACTGTATTCCTGGAAACTACATGCCTACTCCCAGCACATTGTAGATAATTTATAAACACCTGTTGAATAACCAAGTGGATGAATGAATGAATCAATGTTTCATGGGTATCCCTAGAGAGAACATTCCGAATGGAGGGAGGTGAAGGAGGTCATCAGAAATGTGTCATTTTAAAGGTATAATTTGAACTGGGTGAAAAAAATTGGCTTATTTCCCTTGTGGAAGTGGGATGTGAATATTCCTGCCAGGAAAATGTTGTGAGCACTGGCCCAGAAAGAGTGAAGCTCCAGAGAAGACTGGAGAGCAGGAAGAAAGCCATGGCGGGCCAGGCGCTGTGGCTCACGCCTGTAATCCCAACACTTTGTCAGACGGGAGCAGGCAGATCACTTGAGGTCAGGAGTTTGAGACCAACTTGGCTAACATGGTGAAACCCCGTCTCTACTAAAAATACAAAAACTAGCTGAGTGTGGTGATGCACACCTGTAATCCCAGCAACTTGGGAGGCTGAGGCAGGAGAGTCTTTTGAATCCAGGAGGCAGAGGTTGCAGTAAGCTGAGATCACACCACTGTACTCCAGCCTGGGTGACAGAGCGAGACCGTGTCAAGAAAGAGAGAAAGAGAGAGAGAGAGAAAGGAATGAAGGAAGGAAGGAAGGAGAGAAGGGAAGGAAGGAAGGAAGGAAGGAAGGAGAGAAGGGAAGGAAGGAAGAGAAGGGAAGGAAGGAAGAGAAGGGAAGGAAGGAAGGAGAGAAGGGAAGGAAGGAAGGAGAGAAGAGAAGGAAGGAAGGAAGGAGAGAAGGGAAGGAAGGAAGGAAGGGCAAAGTGGAGAAATATGAGACAATGTCAGAATTGTAGATGGGGCCGAAACTGCAGAGCATAATTTAGTGAGCACACCAACATCTGGGCAAAGCACCACTAAGCTCAGTGACCATCAGGGGTTCTGATGATGAGAGCACAGCACGCAGGGCCAGTTGTCCCATCAGTCCTGGAATATAGACATCTTAGGATGTGCAGATCACAGCCAGATCAAAATAGTCCCTGTGGAGGGTCCACCACGTTACCACACAGCACCTCCTAACCATTGCATCTGTTCATCCTGCCTCATCCCAGGTTAAGAAAACAGAAAGAAAGAGAGAGGAACTCATCTTACTGCCACCAGCTCTACCAGCCTAACAGCTGTGGGGCTTTCCTAGATCTCGGCTTTGCCTGAGGTTTCAGAGGATGGCATGTCCTTTGTCCTATCAAAGGTCAACCAAGCATTTCTGCTCTGCTCCTATCACCTCTCTCCTCAGTCATTACCCCTGTCTTCCACACCACCCTCTCCCTCTACTGGGCCATTTCTATCTGCATACAAACATGCTCTGGAGTACACTTTTGTTTTCTTAAAAAATGTTGCTGTTTTGATTTCCTATTTCTTTTTTTCTTTTCTTTTCTTTTTCTTTTTTTTTTTTTTCTGGAGATGGAGTCTTGCGCTGTCACCCAGGCTGGAGTGCAGTGGCATGATCTCAGCTCACTGCAACCTCTGCCTCCTGGGTTTAAGCAATTCTCCTGCCTCTATCACCCAGGCTGGAGTGCAGCGATGCAACCTCAGCTCACTGCAACCTCCGCCTCCCGGGTTCAAGCAATTCTCCTGCCTCAACCTCCTGAGTAGCTGGGACTACAGGCGCATGCCGCCACGCCCAGCTAATTTTTGTATTTTTAGTAGAGACGGGGTTTCACCATGTTGCCCAGGCTGGTCTGGAACTCCTGAGCTCAGGCAATCCACCCTCCTCAGCCTCCCAAAGTGCTAGGGTTACAGGGGTGAGCCACCATGCCCAGCCTTGATTTCCTATTTCTATGCAATAAATGCCTTGTTTCTTTGTTCCTCTGGATGACAGAAGTTCTTGAAAGCATCTGAAGCCACAGCCTCTGCATTCTCCCCTCTTGCTATGTCTCTCACTGTCTCTCACCAGGCTCTTTCCACTTCATTCCCCAGAAGCCAAAGCCGTTCTTTTCCACCTCACTTGGAAAGTGGCTACCAGACCCAGATCTCACCTCCCTCTGGCCTCTCCAGTCCTCCCAGTAGCTCTTAGCATGCGTGGATACACACCACCTCCCAGGACACGTTTTCTCTCAGCTTCCATGGACCTCACGCTCATGCTTTTTCTACCTCACAGTCTCCTTTACTGAACCCTAAATGGTGAGTCTGGATGGGATTCCTCTGCTATATGTTCTAGATTGTCCATTTTTATCCAGCGGCTTTAAACACAGTCTATATACCAATGACCCTCTTGTTCATATCTCTAGCTGTGACCTCTACCCTGAATTCCTGGCTTGTACACCAAACATGCAGCTCTTCATTTGTCATTTCCCCTTGGAAATCTAATGGGCTTCTAAACTTAACCTGACAACACAAAACTTTTCATTTCTCCCCCAACATTATCTGCCTGTTAGTTGACCCTACAGTCTCCCCAAGTGTTCCAGCCAGTTCTTCAGACAGATCCTCAATTCAGTGTCTTTACTGACCTTCTCCACCCAGTTCATTGGCAAGTCATAATGACTACATCCAAAAGACATCCCAGAGACTTTCCCTTCTCCCTCTCTGCTGTATCTACCCAGCCACAGCCTCTACCATTTTACTCTTGGCACGTGTAAGAGACATCTAAGTGGGCTCTGCTTTTTGCTTTTTTATTTGCCTTTCTTGCTGTTTTCTGCACATCATAGCGAGGATATTTTTTAATGTACATCACTGCATGTCAGTATCCCGTGCCGCACACCCCACTTACAGGCCTGTCTGAACCCTTGGCCCTGTCCACCACTCCTGATGACCTGGCCCTGTCCATCTCTCTGAACTTTGCATATTGACTTGTCCTCTTTCCCATGACAACCATACTCACTTCCCTTCTTTCCGTGCCTCGAACGTGCCATGTTTCCTTCTCCTTAGGATGCTTGCTTTCATCGTTCCTCTACCTGAGATGTCTTTTCCATACATCCTGCATGACTGGGACTGACTTTATCATTTACTTCTTTTCACAAATGTCTCCTCCTTTGAGAGGATGTTCCTGGTCTTTCATTCTAAGTTACTTTGTAAAAACTCAGGTTTTGTCACACCACTTTTCTTTCAACAAGACTCGACATTATCTGGTTTTTTGTTTATTTAATTTTCCCTTTTGTGAGTCTGCCTCCCCCCACCTCCCCAGGGTAAGCACTAATGTGGCAGGAGTTTATCTGATGTGCTCGCTGAGCAGCCTTGCACACAGCACCGTGCTTGGTACGCAGCATGTGCAAACGTGTGCAATATGTGCTGGACAAATGAGGACAATAACAAGGACAGTGATCATTGCTGGCAAGTGCAGAATTAGCCACAGATTCTGAGTAAATACCAATGACCAGAAAAGTTTAGAGGACTTTTAAATGTCTCTCCCACCCTATCTGTCATTTAGATTCATCCTGTTAGGACTCACTTACTGGTTGGTGTTATGCTTAGGGTCTGTCCCTGCAATGGGCTCAATGCTCATGTTCCCCTGCCCCAAACCCCATCCCCAAGGTGATGTTATATGGAGGTGGAGCCTGTGGGGGGTGATTAGGTCATGAGGGAGGAGGGCTAATGAAATCTCATTCCAATTTTAGAACACGTGCTGCAGAAGCAAACACGTCATGAAATCTCCTATGTTGAAATGCCATCCTCCAGGTGATGTTACTTGGAGGTGGCACCTGTGGAAAGTGATTAGGCCATGAGGGAGGAGGTCTCATGAATGGGGTTCATGAGCTTATGAAAGAGGCCCAACAGAGCTCACTTGCCTCTTCCACCATGTAAAGACACAGTGAGAAGACGGCCCTCTAGGAACCAGGAAGCGGGCTCTCACCAGACACCGAGTCTGTCGGTGATTTTCTCCTGGATTTCCCAAACTCCAGAGCTGTGAGGAACCAATTTCTGTTGTTAGAAACGACCCAGCTTATGGGATTTTGTTATAGCACCCAAATGGACTTAGGCCTTGTTTTATGATTTCAAACATGACAGGAGCAAGTTGATCTACATTAATTGACCTATCTAATTAGTCTTTTCCTGGAATAAAGTTTCTCAGAAAGTGGGTATAAAATCTTAGAGCAGTGATTACTTTATGGGTAAATAGGCAAATATAATTTTCATTTCAACACAGTTACTTTCAGGGTGAAATTGGCTACTATTGATAATGACAACAGGACAACAGATAGAAAACCAGGATTGTCCTGGACACCATGGAAAGTTCTGGAAAGGAAATTAGAAACAAGATGAACAGAGAAAAGAAAGACACAAGGATATGCTGAAACATTTTGAAACACTGTCACAATGACTAGTAGAGGAACATACTAGTATGTAGTAAACAAACTTAAGCTCACTGAAAAAGATGGAGTAAAAACATAAGCGTAGGAAACAGCCAGTCTCTAGAACAGTAAACATCCCTGTAAATAGGCCACTGCTGTGACCACAGGGCAGGAGGGCAAACAAACAATTGCATGTATCCACATTGTAGAAAGAACATCAGGTTCAGAATGATTCATTCATACAACTCTGTCTCGGCGTGAAGGATTCACACATATACACAGACAAGAAGATAGGAGACGGCCAGGCGCGGTGGCTCAGGCCTGTATGTAATCCCAGCACTTTGGGAGGCCGAGGCGGGTGTATCATGAGGTCAGGAGATCGAGACCATCCTGGCTAACACGGTGAAACCCCGTCTCTACTAAAAAAAAATACAAAAAATTAGCCGGGCGTGGTGGCAGGTGCCTATAGTCCCAGCTATTCGGCAGGCTGAGGCAGGAGAATGGCGTGAACCTGGGAGGCAGAGCTTGCAGTGAGCCAAGATCGCACCACTGCACTCCAGCCTGGGTGACACAGCGAGACTCTGTCTCAAAAAAAAAAAAAAAAAAAAAAAAGACAGAAAAGAAGATAGGAGACGTCTCAGCTGCACCATGGACAAGCCTCTCCAGGCATAATCTTCAGTTTATCCTAAGAATATATTAACCGGCAACTTGTTTTCTGATTATTCACTAAAGTCAACTCAGTTATAAAACAACAGACAGTTTACAAAGATAAGGATCATAGAGTGACAGGAGGGGAAGCCACCTAAAGAAGGCATTGATGATCAAGGATAGAAAATTGCAAAGCAGATGTAGAGGGGTCAAGGAATATTATATCTTGAGTACAGTAAAGGGGGGTGGATGAGTTATAATTCCATCTTGCTGCCCTCAGCTCTATTGATTCTTCGGCTCCTTAAATATGAAAATAGAAGAAAGGCAAACACTTAACAGGTATTTTTAAAAATCTGGATGGGCTAAGCTAAATCCATATGGGCCCATTCCACTTGATATGCAGGTGAGCACATAGTCCTTTCACGGCAATGGCAAAGGTGAAGTTACACCTGTATTGCTTTCTTGGAGCCCTGGGAAATATTGGTCACCTGAACTCCTCAAAAACAAGTGTGGAGAAAGGGAAGTGAGCAACAAGGTACCTGGTGTCATTGTCCTGGTAGAAGCACTGCGGGGAGGAGTCCTGCAAGCTGCAATCAGCTGAGTCAGGGAAGGACAGGACAGAGGCCCTGGCCAAGTTTCCTTTAAGAAAATAGCAATTTTCTCCCACAAGTAACGTGACATTCAATTTCACCCAATATCCACACCTGACTTTTGAAGGTCAGAGAACTGACAGTGTGTTTTATTTTGTCAGCAGTCAAAGAATACGGGGAATGTGGGAGAGTACTATTATGCCTGGTTTTTTTGTTTTGTTCTGTTTTGTTTTTTAGACTGAGTCTCAGTCTGTTGCCCAGGCTGGAGTGCAATGGTGCAATCTCAGCTCACTGCAACCTCTGCCTCCTGGGTTCAAGCTATTCTCCTGCCTCAGTCTCCTGAGTAGCTGGGATTACAGGCATGCACCACCACACTGGCTAATTTTTTTGTGTTTTTAGTAGAGGTGCGGTTTCACCATGTTGGCTAAGCTGGTCTGACCTCAGCTGATCAGCCCACCTTGGCCTCCCAAAGTGCTGCTGGGATTACAGTGTGAGCCACCCCGCCCAGCCGATTATTAGACCTGTTTTATGATGTACAATTTGATTTAAGAAATCTTAAGGAAAAACAGCAAATGCAAGATATTTAATGCAAAGCAGAGATAGTTTTCCTTTAGTAGAATTGTCTTAACAATCATCATACTGTCTTCCACAATGGTTGAACTAATTTACATTCCCACCAACAGCATCAACACGTTCCTATTTCTCCACATCCTTTCCAGCATCTGTTGTTTCCTGACTTTTTAATGATCGCCATTCTAACTTGCGCCATTCTAACTGGTGAGACGGTATCTCATTGTGGTTTTGATTTGCATTTCTCTAACGACCAGTGATGAAGAGCTTTTTTTCATGTTTGTTGGCCACATAAATGTCTTCTTTAGAGAAGTGTCTGTTCATATCCTTTGTCCACTTTTTGATGGGGTTGTTTTTTTTTTTCTTGTAAATTTGTTTAAGTTCCTTGTAGATTCTGGATATTAGCCGTTTGTTAGATGGATAGATTGCACAAATTTTCTCCCATTCTGTAGGTTGCCTGTTCACTCTGACAATAGTTCTTTTTGCTGTGCAGAAGCTCTTTAGTTTAATTAGATCCCACTTGTCAATTTTGGCTTTTGTTGCCATTACTTTTGGTGTTTTAATCATGAAGTCTTTGCCCATGCCTATGTCCTGAAAGATATTGCCTAGGTTTTCTTCTAGGCTTTTTATGGTGGTTTGAGGTCTTATGTTTAAGTCTTTAACACCATGGAATACTATGCAGCCATAAAAACGGATGAGTTTATGTCTTTTGCAGGGACATGGATGAAGCTGGAAACCATCATTCTCAGCAAACTAACACAGGAACAGAAAACCAAACACTGCATGTTCTCACTCATAAATGGGAGTTGAACAATGAGAACACATAGAAACAGGGAGGGGGACATCACACACCTGGGCCTGTTGAGGGGAAGAATAGCATTAGGAGAAATACCTAATGTAGATGACAGGTTGATAGGTGCAGCAAACCACCATGGCATGTGTATACCTATGTATCAAACCTGCACGTTCTGCACATATATACCAGAATTTAAACTACAATAATAATTTTAAAAATCACTAAACAACAACAACAACAACTAAAAACCATTCATCATATTGTGTCCTGAATTGGTTCCTTCCAGTGGGTTCTTGGTCTCGCTGACTTCAAGAATGAAGCCGCAGACCCTCGTGGTGAGTGTTACAGTTCTTAAAGATGGTGTGTCTGGAGTTTGTTCCTTTAGATGTTCAAATGTGTCCAGAGTTTCTTCCTTCTGGTGGGTTCGTGGTCTTGCTGACTTCAGGAGTGAAGCCACAGACCTTCGCAGTGAGTGTTAAAGCTCTTAAGGGTGGTGCAGAGCCAAAGAGCAGCAAGATTTATTGTGAAGAGCGAAAGAACAAAGCTTCCACAGCGTGGAAGGGGACCCCCGCGGGTGGTCATTGGTGGCTCTGGTGGCCAGCTTTTATTCCCTTATTTGGCCCTACCCACGTCCTGCTGATTGGTCCATTTTACAGAGTGCTGATTGGTGTGTTAACAATCCTTTAGCTAGACAGAAAAGTTCTCCAAGCCCCTACTCGACCCAGGAAGTCCAGCTGGCTTCACCTCTCAGTATTATCTCCCCTAGCCAATCAAAAACGTTTAGGGTACCAGATATGGTAGCTCACTCCTGTAATTCCAGCATTTTGGGAGGCTGAGGCTGGCAAATTGCTTGATCTCAGGAGTTTTAGACCAGCCTGGGAACATGGCAAAACGCTGTCTCAAAAAAAAAAAAAAAAAAAAATTGAAGGGTGTGATGGCCTGCGCCTGTAGTCTGGCTACTTGGGGGTAGGGGACTGGAGGTAGGGGAGTGAGGGTAGGGGACTGGGGGTAGGGGACTGAGGTGAGGGTTTCTCTTGAGGCCCAGAATTCGAGGCTGCAGTGAGCTATGATTATGTCATTCCATCCCAGCCTGGGTGACAAAGTGAGACCCAGTCTCAAAAAAAAAAAAAAAGAAAAGAAAAGAAAAAAAAAAGTTTAGGGCACTATTATTTCCTAAATGTAATTATAAACTGAATTCCTTGGAAATATTCATTTGAATTGACTAAAACATGATAATATTATGTCAATTTACGTTTCTAAATGTATTTTTATTATTTTCATCCTTATTAGATTATTTCCTAGCTGCTTTCAAATTAGTAATCATAATTATGCAAAAACAAACGTAAGTCATCAAAAGGTAGGCATGTCAGCATTAAACCTGCTATTTTTAGGATAAGATCCACTTTCCGTGAAGTTTGTTTTATTGCTTCCTAGTTCTCTGTGCAGAAATGTGCTCCGGGAGGCCTGCCCTGCTCCGCCCAGCTGTCAATCTGCTGCGCGTTTCCCTCACCAGCTACTGCTTCCTCCTGGGCCTCCCGGCATTCACCAGCCAGGAGGCAGAACTTGGCCTCCCTTAATCCTGAATAGGCATGCAGGGTTACATGCTAGACACAAAGGAAGCCACAGCCAGCAGAAGGCGAGCCGACAAGAACAAGGAAATGGTTCTGCCGTCACATCCCCTGGAATCTCTGTGCCTTGGTGTCTCCGTTGGTAAAGACAGGATGTCCTAGATCTCCAAGGTTTCTTGAAAAACTAAAACCCATTATTGTTTAATGCCTTCTAGAAGTTGCCTAGGAAACACTTCTTAGAAAAGATTCACAAACAGACCTGGAATGAATCCTTCTCGCTCTTCATACACTGAGACAGGTTGAAATCTAAGACCATGGCAGGGAGAAGCCGCACGCGGAGTCGCACTGTCAGGATCCAGGATCGGTAGGAAACAGGCTCTGTGCCCTGCTCTGGCACCAGCCGGGCTGGCCCTTATCTGAATCCATTCCAAATGCTTGACGCTACCTTAAGCCACAGAACTCAGAATTAGATATAATAGGCGAGGCAAATGCTCACTATTCATGATACAAGATAAATCCTGATAAGGATAATAAAAGTAGAAGTTATCTGTGATTAGCTTTAAACAAAGCTTTGCTGCCTTGAAAACACTTTCTTTTCCCATATCTATATCATTTTCTCCCACGGTAATTTCAAATCATGACCTTTTATTTGGAATTTGAGCTCTGTACTTTCCCCTCTAAATGAACTATCCTTAGAAACATTAATTATCTTTGAAAGCATAATTTCAGTAGCAGCAAAAGAATTCACTGTAATTTAAAAATTCTAGTATTGGTTATTTCTATATTTTACTAATACAACTAACGCTGTCATAAGCACCCTTGTGATAACCCCTTGCTTCAAGACTATTTCTTATGTTAAATTACCATAATTTTTTTTTTTTAATTCATGCATTCAGATCTTAATCAGATTGCAAGTTCTTCAGGCTTGGAACCATATCACCACAATGAACAGCCAAGTATAAAGGGTCCCTGGGGAAACCCCAACCGGCCTGCGCCCTGGGAGAATGGGGTGGAGCCACGGAAGTTCACGCGCTTTGCAGAGGGGAGGAGCCTGGCCTCTCCTGATCCTGGATAGTACCTGAGATTCAATCGCTGAGGCGGGAAAACCCGCTAGCAGGACTGTTGCTTTGCTGAGAGTCCCTGTTTCCCTTTTTTTCCTTTTGGCCCGATAAATTCCATTTTTCTCACCCTTCAAAATCTCTGTGACCCTAATCTCTCATGGCCATGTGACATGGGCCCTAAAGAGAAAGTCCTACAACAATAGCTTTCATATGATAATATCAGTGATAAGCTGTCGTTTACAATGGACGCCTCTCAGGAAGGTGTCCCTCAATAACTTGAACATTTAAAAAATTAAAAGATTGATTGTAGAGAGTCCACCTATGAAATGAGCACATATTAGGGCAGAGCGAGAAAATCAACGTAAAGAAACAGAGCAGCTGGCATGTCTACAAAACTCAACTTGAACATAGTGGGGGATATTAGCATAACCGAAGAAAACCGCTGTCAGCAGTTTGGGAGGGAAGGACTGGGTCTGAACACACAGACAAATTATAGCAAGAGCCACCAAGGTGGACGTTGCTTACCCAGTGCTCATGGAGTGAGTCAGAGCCCAAAGTATTCTTCCCCTGAGCAAAGCCATCTCTATTGTCAGATGCAGAAGCCCCAGCCAGGGGCCCGGAGATGCCTGGATTCTTCTAAATCCTGCAGGTCTTCGAGGCCTCTTGCAACTGTAATTGAGTTTCCTGTGTAGGTGCTCAGGGGAGAGAAAGCTCGGTTATTGAGACTTTCATTCTCCTGGACTTTGTAGAGTGATTTCTCATTGAATTTAAGAAATAACACACAGTCATTCAATTAGCAAAGCTTTAGCATGCAGCAGCTCTTCGCCAGGTCTTATGCCAGGCCCTGGGGATGAAAGGACGAACAAGATAACCCTGCCCTCAGGGAGCTTCCAGTCCAAAGAAACCCAGGAGGCTCAACACAATGTGATGATTTCTGTGACGTGGTTAAGTCCGGGGGGCCATAAAAAGCGGGGCCTCTAACCAGGTCTGTGGGCAGGCGAGCACTGGAGAAAGTTTCTATGAAGAGACAGCGTATCTGGATGAAAGCACACAGAAGAGTGTAAATTAGTCAGGTAAATGAATGAGGATGAGAGACCAGGGCTACGCAATGAGGAAGAAGTGGCTTCCAGGTAGAAAACAGGTGTGAGCCATTTTGTCCTCAAGAATCTACAAACTGTTGTGTGTGGACGGGGCACAGGTATGAAGTTATAGACCAGTAAGAGATGGGGCTAGACACACAGGCATGGAGACTCCTCCCCAGCCATGTGCAGGAGATCACTCTAAGGTTTGTGAGCAAGGAAGTCACCTACCATTTACTTCTGCAAAGGTCTCTATCATTACAGGGTGACTACTCTGCCCAGTACTATTGTAAATACTTCCCATACATTGAGCTGCACACTGGGGCTTATTATTCTCATTTTACTGCTGAGAAACTGAGTCCCTACCTCTTGGGCCCTTGCCCAGAGCCACACATGTGGCAGCTGCAGAGCTGGTGCCTTGACTTGGGTCCCCTGAGCCTGGAGTCTTGTGCACACAACTGCCGTCATGCTACACTGCCAGCGGGCAGGTAGACTGAGACCAGGGCATGGCCCCTCATCTGCATGTAAGCAAGGCTGCTGCTTCTCTGTGTGGGTGATGCTGGTAGGGTTTCCTAACCCAGGCCAACAATGAAAACATTAAGTAACACTGGGTTCAGGGCCACCCATTGCAAAATACGTTGGTAAGATCCTGTTAGGTCTAAATTGATCTGTTTTTTAATGGCTCAGTTTCAGCTCCAGGCTTCAGCAGATGTGTCGTTGAGGCGGTGTAAGATGAAAGTACATATGGCCGAGGCCGTGAGCTAAATGCAGCAGTGGGCTGTGTCTGGAGAAGACAGCCTTTTGAAGTGTGTTGAAGAATAGTTAATGGCAAGAGAGAGTGCTTTGGACACATTGTGTGGTTTTTAAAGAAGGCTATAAAATTGATATGCTGTATAGTGGACATTGTGTTTCACATGTACACACCCAATGTATAAATAGAAAAACACAGGAAAAGATTATATCAAAATACAGAGTGGCAGACTTATACATGATTTTAGCTTTCTTCTATTTTCCACATTTTTTTATGATAAACACGCACTGTTTTGTATATTCAGGAATATTTTTTCTCCAAGAAGTTGTCACCAGAAACTTAAGAAAAAGCCTTTTTATTGAAATATGCATTTAAAAAGTGCACAAATGAAAATTTTACAGCTTGACAAGGCCCCAGAGTCAGCCCATGATGTAGCCGGTGCCCAGGTCTACCTAGGAGGAGAATATTACCACCCTTTCCAGAAGCTTCAGGCTCTGCAAAGATAAATTCTGATGCCACAAATAGTTTGCCTGTTTCTGAAGTTTATATAAGTGGAGTGCAGTGCAGTGTGTACCCTTTGGCATGTAGCTGATTTACATCAACACTGTGCTTATGAGGATTCTCCTGTGTTCCTGCAAGCGGCAATCATGTTTCCTTCTCTTTGCTACATCATGCTCCACTGTATGAACATGCTGCATTGAGATTGTTCCCGCCATGACTAGCTGGGCCCAGTTAATGCAAGTGCTCCACTTTAATAAGATTTTCAGAGTTTTCCAAAATGATTCTACCACATTACACCCTTGCTAACCATGCAGGTGAGTACTAGTTGCTCCACATTTTTACAGACACCTGTGTTCATTTTGCTCTTTCTGGTGGGTATCTAATGGGATTGTAGTGTGATTTCAATTTGCAATTTCTTCATGACAAATGAAGTTATGCACCTTTTCATATTGATGGCAGCGGCCATCACAGCAGTTGCAGCAGGGAGGCGCAGCTAGGGCTGCACACTCCATGGGGCCAGTGGACCCTGCCCCTTCTGAGTTGGGGCGGGAACTCCCTGGGTGCTGTTGCAGCCACCCAAACTGCAGCTGCAGACCCAGGCCTCCTGCTCTACAGAGTAGGCAGGAGCTGGGAACAAGCAGGAACCCTGCCCCTTTAGAGTCAGTGGGGGTAGGGAGCTCCTGGGTGCAGCCCAGGCACAGGACCCAGGCATCTCTGCAGCCTGTACCCATGGGGTCCTCAGGAAGGAACCCCCCATGTCCCTGCAGTCTCAGGAGTATCTTCCCCCACTGCCTGGCCTCTCTTTGTGCCACGAGCCTGCTCCCATCTCAGAGTAGGGATTGGGGCCAAGCCCCAAGGGCCATGAATGGCAGTGGGAGGCAGATTGATTCCTGAATGGAAATGGGCAGGTCCCCATGAAGGCCCCCCTTCAGGCTAGGGAGGGCCTGAAGGCTGGAGTGGGGACTCATGGTGCCTCTTCCAGCCCCACCCATGGCTGCCCATGGACCAATCAGCACGCATTTCCACCCCTCTGAGGTCCATAAAAGCCCTGGGCTCAGCCAGAGCAGGGCAGAGGATGGCCAGAGGACCAAGAGGGCAGAAAGAAGAGGAGACAACCAGCTGCAGAGAGGAGTACCCTCTCTGCTGATAGTTGGAGATGATGTGACAACCAGTTGCAGAGAGCAGCTACCATCTCTGATGAGAACTGCTGTGGGCAGAGATAAGCCACCCTCTCCAGGGCCTCCTCTCCGCTGAGAGCTGCAGACATCTGGAGGACTAGTTGAGAGGAGCTACCCTCTCCAGGGCCTCCTCTCTGCTGAGAACTGAACACTCAACAGATGGCCTGCCTGCAGAGAGGAGCTACCCACTGCAAGTCTCCTCTGAGCTATTCTAACACTCAATAAAGTTCATCTTCATCTTGTGCACCCTTCACTTGTCTGCATAACTCCTTCTTCCTGGACACAGGACAAGAGCTTGGGTAAAGGTGCTGTGGCCACAGAGGTTTCTGGCCAGAAAAATCGACACCCCAAACATCCCATAACAATATGGTTAATGGCTATGTGGATATTATCTTTTGTAATGTGACTTGATGGTTTTTTTTTAAAACCAATCTTTCCATTGACTTAATTGTCTATGTCTTACTGATTTGTAGATCTTGTTTATATCTTCCAGATACAAGTCTTTTGTATAATATGGGTAATTGCAAATATCTTGTTCTGCTCTGTTGATTGCCATTTCACCCTCTTACTGGTCTATTTTGATGAACTGAATTTATTCATTTTAATGCAGTCCAATTTATCATTTTTGTAAAAGATTCATGTTTTGGGGATCCTATTTAATAAATAGTTTTCTACTCAAAGTCATAAAGATATTCTGTTTTACTCTAAAAAGTGCTTTGTTTCACCTTTTACATTATGATATATTATCCATCAGGAATTGATATTTATCTATAATGTGATGTATGGGTCATGATATGTTTGTTCACTTTTCAAGTCTTCCAAATTAATTACCTAAAAATAATTTTTAAATTCTATACAGCACTCCCCCCCTCAAAAGACAATGGCCCTTCCTGAAAAAATAGTGTATAATAGCAAACCAAAGAAGAGTCCCTGATTAGGAAAGAAGGAGGCAGAAGCCATCAGGTATTGGACAGCAGTCATATATGTTTTCACATACATCTTTCTATATAGATATAGATATGTATGTACTTATATATCCTGTGAGCTGTGTCTTTGTATTCCCATTTTATAGATGAAAATAATAAAATGATAATAACAGAAATAAAGCAATTTGCCCATGGTCATACAGTTTGTAAATGGCAGAGACAGGATTCAAATTCCCATCTTATCTCACTCCAACAGCAATGTCCTTTCACTATTCCACACGCACGTAGCAAGGAAAACAGGTAATGATTATTCACTAGGATTCAGTTCCAAACCTACTTTCTCTAAGACTATCACTTGCAGTCCCACTGGCCGGGCACCATTAATTTTGTGCTTCCAATCCTCCAGATCAATAGGCAGGCAACTGAATGGATGGAATATATCCAATCTATTTCCTAAAATGGCTACAGTAACTGGATTGATTCTGCTGTGGTCCAGTTATTTCAGATATAAAGACAGTCCCTAGGAATGGATTATCTAGCCTGAAATGTCTCTCTGATAAATAAATTAACACTGCATTTGTCACTAACACCATTTGCATTTGAATGAACTTCTCAGACATCTCCGCAAGAAAAGAAGATCCCATACATAACCCAGCCTCTGGGACCCCTTTTGCAACACACTGCAAAGAATAATTTCTCTGAAAGTGACCCTGATGAAAAAGCATCACTTGCCTAATTGTTGTGAAAATGAAAGCTTTATCTTGTGTTTTTCTATGCCCTCTTTCCACAAACACATTAGGAGGCAATTGCTACTTTATGGTCTAACGCATTTAAGAGGGAAGAAAGCTGGGGCAGCTCAGCATTGCACGAGGCAAGCTGGGTGCAAAGAGGCTCATGGCACATGGTACAGGGCATGAGTGTTTCCTTGAACCACACTGGAAATCAGGCTGATAGCTGGCATTAGAGCTCAGGCAGTTCTTCAGCACCTCACATCTACCTGCTGGAATACATTTGCTCCTCTCATGACGTTAATATTCTAAAAAAACAAAGGTATACACCAATCCAATCAATACATTCTGAAACTCATGACCATCAAAGTTATGGAAATGTATTTTTTACATCTTCAATGTTCAGCTAAAAATCAATAAAAATCCATTATCTAATATTTCAACCGCTACACACTAGAGAAACAATTAGAAATAAATCTCTGCAAAGAAAAAAGTTAAACTGTCTTACACAATTACTAATTATTGATATTTATTTGTTATAATAGTATACCTGGTGGGCACTTACTGGTAATTAAATCTATATATAGTAGATCGAGACCTTGCATATATATTGTGACCATTTCAGTGAATAGTAAGATGCGAAGAGATGGACACTGGTTCAATATTCTTGGTTACTGCTCTAAACGCTGATTTAGTTTCACAATGTTTATTTAGGCACCACAGATCATTAATATTAAGTGAACAAAATGAAATACTGTAACAATCTAAAACTATGCCAGATTTAGTAACTGAGAAAAGGTAAGACGACGAAAATGTGCTTTGCTGTTCGAACAATAACACCCAACAAAACATGTTTGGTGAAATTGAGAATCTGGAAAGGAAGTCGAGACCCAAAGAATTAATACTGGTTCAAAAGGAGAAATTTCAATGCTGAGAATAGCTACAATCAGATGCTGACTTCTTTAAAGCACCCCACACCCCCACCCAAAGAGATGGCCATATAAGGTAGACTTTTTTTTTTTTTTTTTTTGAGATGGAGGCTTGCTGTGTCGCCCAGGCTGGAGTGCAGTGACAGATCTCGGCTCACTGCAACCTCCGCCTCCCAGGTTCCAGCGATTTTCCTACATCAGCATCCTGAGTAGCTGGGATTACAGGTGCTGGCCACCACGCCTGGCTAATTTTTGTATTTTCAATAGTCAGTGTTTTGCCATGTTGGCCAGGCTGGTCTGGAACTCCTGACCTCAGGTGATCCACCTGCCTTGGCCTCCCAAAGTGCTGGGATTACAGGTGTGAGCCACCATGCCCGGCTAAGGTAGGCTTTTGATAGATAAACCTTACAAGCACGTGTCTTGGATAAAGAAATTGAGGCTGAGAGAATGATCTGATTGACGTCATTGAGTCAGTCAAGGCTGTAACTTGGGTCCAGGCTGTGTCACTCTCAAGACCTGCTCATTCCCATTCATGGGAGGACTTCCCTGTCCAACAATTCCATCTAAATTTATTTGCATTTTTTAAATCATTTATTTTCTTAGGCCTGAGCCTCTTTAAATAGGGTACACCTTCTTAGAAAGCAAAACATTACAAAAAATATAGCATATCCTAAATGTCACAAGGAGGAATTATTTTTGGTACCTCAATGGTTCAAAAATCTGTTTATACACAGTCATAAACTTTAATGGAGGGGCCCCTATCCATTCATTCTCTTAACAAACATTTTTTAAGCATCTACTACGTGCCAGGTGCCATGCAGAGCACTGGGAATACCAGAATGGGTGAAAATCATGCCTGCCTATGAGAGTTCAAGAAGTAGAGCAGAAAGCAGTGGCTAAAGGAAATGGCATTCACCCTGGATTGGCTCATAACTCAGTTGGGGGTGCTCAAGGGAGTTTTTTGGGGGGCAGGTGAACACAGATCTGAGTTTTATGTGACAGGTAGGAGTTTTGTCTGGGTAGTCTGGGAAGCAAGGACTGGATGTTGACCTCAGAAAGGCTTGAAAACGTGGGACTCACTAAAGAAATCAGTCTTTTTTCAGTCCAGCAGTTCAGAGGTGTAGTATTAGAAGATTGGGAAAGATTGCAGATTGTGAAATTTGCTGGCCAAGCTATGAAGTTCAATTTAACTCAGGGTAATAGGGAGCCACTGACAGGTCTGAAGCAGAGGAATAACATACTCACATTTGGCTTTTTAAAATAAATTACTCTGGCTGCTTTGAAAGGAGATAAATGGGAAGGGAATGAGGATAAGAATGAGGTCCAGGGAAACCAGTCACGAGGTTCTCAGCCATGGCAAAGTGAGAGGCACGGCGCAGACATTGTACAGGCTGGAACCAGCAGACCAGCCGTGGCTGATGCCTGATGACACAGGGTGAGGGCAGAGGTGGAATCACGGAAAGTCACGAGTTTCTTGTTGAAGTCTCCACTGGGTGTGTTAAAGCAAGGTTAGCCTCAAGCTGCCTCCTTCCATGTGTGACATTCGGCCAAAAGGTTTCTTGGTACGTCGTGAACTATAACCTAAATAGAGCTGTAAACAGACTGTAGCCTACTCTTGTGCCAATCACCAAGTGTTGGCCTATCAAAGGTGGCCAACTTTTCAAATCTTTTCAAATAAAGGGAACGCGGAGCTGTAGCCATCTGGCCGTTTCTGCACCTCACTTCCGAGTTCTGTCCATAAATCTTCTTCCACCCAGTGGCTGTGCTGCCAGAAGACTGCCCAATTTGCCAATCATTCTTTGCTCAATTAAATGCCCTTACATTTAATTTGGCTGAAGTTTTTCTTTTAACAGATTGAAACCTCAGTGTGGGAAGACTGGGAATCCAGGAGAAAAAGAAGGTTGGTGGGTAGATGGATTCAGCTTGGGAAGTTATGTTTAAGGTGCTTGTGTGAAATGCCTCAGGTGATTCCACAAACAGGCTGACTGTGCAGGAGGCCAGGCTGAGGACTCAATTGTGGCGGTCAGGAGAGTGTAGACAGCAAGCCACATGTGCCAGCGTATGCGGGGGACAGCCACAAAGCGAAGAGCCCCCAAATGGACTCAGAGAACTGGAAACACCTGAGCAGCAAGAAAACAGAGCCTGAGAGGGAATTTGAGAAGGAGCTCCAGGGAGGATTGGAGCAGCTCTAGCCCCAGAAACCAAGGGAATGAGCCAGGCAGGGGGGCCGTGTCTCTCCAGCCCATCAGCACATCATCTCCCCGTTTACTTACCGTATTTTGTTGTTGTTGTTGTTGAGACGGAGTCTCATTCTGTCACTCCGTCAGACTGGAGTGCAGTGGTGCAATCTTGGCTCACTGCAACCTCTGCCTCCTGGGTTCAAGCGATTCTCCTGCCTCAGCCTCAGGAGTAGCTGGGATTACAGGCGCCCGCAACCACGCCTGGCTAATTTTTGTATTTTTTAGTAGAGATGGTGTTTCGCCATGTTGGCCAGGCTGGTCTTGAACTCCTGGCCTCAGGTGATCCAACTGTCTCAGCCTCCAAAAGTGCTGGGATTACAGGTGTAAGCCACTGCGCCCGGCTGGTATTTTCATTATTTAAAAATTAGTGTGGGTTTATTGGTTAAAACCTAGACAATGGAAAACCTCATAAGAAAATATAATTTTTCCATAATTCTATCCCTGCAAAATAACCACTTTTCACACGTCTTTCAATTATATGCCTTTATACTGCTTTTACCTTAGTACCTTGAAAAAAATACTAGAAGATCAAAGTTGAGAAATAATTGCTTTTTTAGTTTTTCTGCAGTTGACTTTTGTACTTTTATGTACAATGATATCCACTTTTAGCTTTTTGAGAAAAATTCACTGATTATTCTGATGTTGAAGATAAAGGAGCAATAAACTTTTCCATGGGACTACGTGGTAAATGAATTTTATTTTCTTTCTGTAGGGAAATAGTTTTTATGATGGATTTCTATAAATATGTTTTAAATTCTTAAATATATAAACACCGAAAAATGTAGTTTAAAATTATTCTAGTCCAAAATCCAAAGGAAACAATTTTTTAGCTTTTTTAACTCAGAAGGTTTATACCACTCTCACCAGTATTTGAAGGACCCATTTCAGTACAATTGTTTTTTCCTGTGCTTTGTGCAAAGTACCTATTATTTGGGGTCTTTCAATGTTTTGAATATTTTGTTTTCACATTTTCTCCATTCTAGTGACTTATCTCTAGGCTTCTGATTAAAGACAATTTTAGGTAATATGTCAGGCATAAAACCAAGTACTGGCCCATATGTCCAGAGTCTACAAAAATAGACTAAAATAGGTGTGCTGTGCATGGCCATCTGCAGCTCGGGCAACCTTTGGTGTGTTTGGCTGCGTGCGAGCAAACCTTTGACTTTTCCTTGGCCGGGCTCTATAAGGACAGGGGAGCAGGACCAGGACCAAAGATAAAGGTAGGCCCAACTTGACTTTCCAACTCCTGCCAGCTCCTCCGTGTTTAGTGCCGCGTTGCCTCCATGTGTCTGAAGACGAGTTCATCGGCAGACTCCAAGACTGTCGAGAGGGTGGAGATCACCTGCCCACAGAACATGACTCTGTCTTGTTTCCGTAGACTGAAGAACTGGGCAGCAGAATGGCATAATGCCCACCTCTACTGCTGCTCACACCTTCTTCGCCAGCGGTATAACTTTTAAGTACGGACAAGTTCTGAAAAATTTCCTATGCGGTATCTTTCAGAAAACTCCCGTACCCGTTAAGTTTTTTAATTGCACCTTGAAATGACCGTGGCAGAAATAGCCACATTCTCATATTTTAAAATGCTGCAATGTTTTGAGTGAAGCAGTGAACATCTTCAAGATTCTGGCTAAATTCCATAGCCGTATCTCAGACAGTGTTTCTCAAATCTGTGTCATCTCTAGACAAAGGCAATTAATTGCACTAGTCTGTAAGCAGAGGAAACAATTTTCATTCTTTAATAGGCACCAACTGGAATGAACCCTGAGATACATGAAGCCTTTTTTTTCTCCATGTGCAAATCAGCACATGGTACAAGTTGTTCTTAGCCAGGTACATTTTGCTATGTCACTTGGTGCAGAATAAATCATACCAGAAAAGGCACAATATTACCTTCCCTGCAGTCTTCAACAAGGGATGTATCCAGGAGCAAATTAGGATTCTTGCACCCAAAATTAACACAGGCTGTAGTTTTGCAACCAATAACAACCAACAGCTATTTAGAACAACAAATGTGTTCTCCTGTCAGACAAGGTAGAAGGAGAGCCAGGCACCCTGAGCAGGGAAGCCACATCACCATCTTTTGTAGCTGTGAACTCAGGTTGAAAAATGAAGAGAAATGTTTTAAAAGTGTCAAATTTACCAAGTCAAGTTTTAAAAACCTGCACCCTCCTGATAACATTTTATATGCTTTCTTTGGAACACAAAATCCATGGAAACTTAGGTGTGGCCTACATAATTGTTTAAATTCTGAGTTTTTGCATTTTTGAATTCTGAGGTTGAAAACTGATTTTAAAATAAAATATCAAAACAGAATTTTGCCTTCCATGACAAGCAATGTCAGACTCAAAATAATTTACTATTTGCAGTTGTGTCATTAAAAAATCTAGGTGGCATGTTGTTGTATTGAACTTGCGTTTAAATTTGAGGTCAAGAACCTAAGCCTCATTCGTCTCATACAGAGAACTGCACACTTGTGTGCACACAAATACATGCATGCTCAAGGGTGCACACGCACACACACATACACACACACACAGCAGACACTACTGGCTCATCCGTCCTGTTAATTATCCCTGACCCTTGCAGTTTTTCCCTCTTCCCCTCCCTCACACTGGGGTGTCTTGGAGCCCTCAGCAGCGTGGTGTGCTACATGGACTGTCTGGCCTGTGGAGACCTTTCTGTCTGGGACAGTACCATTCTGTCTAGACAGGGAGGGACCATATGTTTTGGTTGTTATTATCAACACCAAAAGCACCTCTCTACAACCCTTTGCTGAGACTCCTTTTAAAAAATTTTTAATTCCAGAAGCGCTTGTTGCAGAAACCCTGGAAGGTCAAACCCTGATTCAACAGCATTGCGTCTCTTCCTTGATTCTGCAGAACAGTCTGCCCTCCCCCGTGGCGAGTGGCTGCAGCCGCTGCAGTTATCTGTGCACGAGGGCCGTCTTGCTTGCAAACGATGAACACAATTCTGCCTGGTTGGGAAGGGGAGTGAGCCTGGCCACGCAGACAGGCAGAGCTGGGTTTAAAACGCTGCTGGTTTAGAGGAGCTCAGCAGTTCACAGCTCCCAATTAGGCTGGCTGTAAATGCACAGGCTTTAACCTCCAAAGGCAAAAGCTTAGATGTGCAGGGCGATTCCAAGAAATATTAAACATCAAATAGAAATATCATAATCCACACAAAGCTTATTACTATGCAGGTGTTAGCCCAGTAGTTCAAAGGTACTCCTTATATTTAATGAAGGGAATTAGTTCAATAAAAGTTTATATGCTGCATGTTTTCCATATTGTACATGCATTCTTTACATTATGTGTTATTCTACTTGCCATAATGAAATCTTCAAAGAACTAAAATGCCCCGTGGCTAACAGATTTTACAGATCAGACACCATGGGACAAATAACTTTTGCACTTTTGATTGTACCTAGTGAAAGGGGTTTTATTTTGTTTTTCATTGTACTCAGACAAAAATCCAGAACTCCATTTCTGAGACATTTTAAAGGACCTATCAGTAAAAGGAAGAAGTAGCCTGTTCACTTTGAACTTGTCCTAAGTTTCTTTGTCATAGAACTACTATTCCCCAAAAGGTATGCTTTGAAGAGATATTTTGCGTTTGTTTGTAAACGAGTCTTACTATAGCTCGTACTGAACTAAAACCCCGACGCATAGAACTCATTTCTTTTCTCAAAAAATACATCTTAAAGAATCGTCTTATATTTAAGAAAAAGAAGGCAACAATATCGTTTTATGTCAGGAAAATAGAAAAAGCTGGGTGCAGTCTGTTCTAGTGCATTGAATTTCTCTTCTACATTTGCAAAACTAATTTGGAAAATTCAGACTGATACTAACCCCGTTCGGGGTTCATGCGGATATGTTTTAATACCCCACGCGCTTCTCAGTAGTAGGAAGTCCTCCTGCTGCTGATCCTGCCAGTTTTCTCATCTCAGCTTGTCCCCTGCACATACATTGAGTCACCAGAGGTTTGATAAAATATTCTAGGTTTATTAAATATTTGATCCTTACAGACATTAAAGTGAAGTCATCTGATTTTTTGGCTTCTGTCTGACTGATTAAAATACTCCTCCTCCTCCCACTCCTCCTACTAATAATATTACTACGGAGAAGATATGGCTAGTACTCAAGATCATGTAGCATGTTAGGAATAAAAAGGAAAAAATTTTGCTTTGTTCATACCCTAAACTTATTAAGCATCTTTGTTTCTAACAAATCGGAAAAATAGGCATATTAAGTACTATAATTATTTTGCACTTTGATGTCATTAAATTGTAATAATAAATAAAAAATAAAGCAAGAGGAAGAGAAAAAAAGACAAAAAGAATGAGAACAAACTCTTCAGTTTAATTAGATCCCATTTGTCAATTTTTGCTTTTGTTGCAATTGCTCTTGGCATCTTTGTGATGAAATATTTGCCTGTGTCTATGTCCTGAATGGTATTGCCCTAGGTTGTCTTCCAGGGTTTTTATAGTTTTGGGTTTTACATTTCAGCCTTTAATCCATCTTGAGTTAATTTTGTATATAGTGTAAGGAAGGGTTCCAGTTTCAGCCTTCTGCATGTGGCTAGCCAGTTCTCCCAGCACCATTTATTAAATAGGGAATCCTTTCCCCATTGCTTGTTTTTGTCAGGTTTATTGAAGATCAGATGGTTGTAGGTGTGCAGTCTTATTTCTGGGTTGTCTATTCTGTTCCATTGGTCTATGTGTCTGCTGGGGTGGGAGGAGGGAGAGAATCAGGAAAAATAACTAATGGGTACTGGGCTTAATAGCTGGGTGATGCAATAATCTGTACAACAAACCCCCATGACACGAGTTTTTCTGTGTAACAAACCTGTACTTGTATCCCTGAACTTAAAATAAAAGTTAAAAAAAAAAAAAAGTAGGATGCTGGGGGAAAAATGAGAAAAAGAAAGAATATTTAACCACAACTGCAGCCCAGGCCACTCAGTTCTCCCAAATGCTGAGCTTCTGGGTCTCTGCGTTAATTCCCGTCAAATAACATGAAAGCTGGAGGATCCAGAGCCGTTCCTTGCAGAAACTGACTTTCAATTTGGCACCTCTTATGCTGTCTTGAAGAAAATATCAATTTAACTGACAGTTTTTGAAGGAAAGTGGATATCATAATGTTTTAAAATTTCCAAATATTAGCTCATGCTCATGACTGTCTTAGAACATGTTGTACTCAACTTAATCTCACATCCCGAGAAACTGAGGCAAAAAGTGGGCTCTAGTTATTTGCATAAAGGCATGGAAACTTAAAGAAAAAGTCATTTCAGAATCTCCGTGTTAAAGGGGACACTATCTCTTAATCATGCCTTATACACCATAATTTCCATAGTTTATCTTGAGATTTCTTTTCTTCCCCCTGTTTTAATAAAAAATTTCCCAGGAAATTGCCCAATAACTGCCACATAAGGGAGACAGATGTTCTAAGAAAAGAACAATTTTATTTTATAAGGTATCTTTTAACATACGCATGTGAAGTCTCATAAATTGTCTAAGAGTAACAACATTCAATAAAAGGTAAGGCTATAACGGAATTTTAAAAATGTGATTCTGCAAAAAGCTAATCTAATATAATTATGTGCGTCTGAAGATAAAAATGTATCAAGGAAAAAAACTCCGAGTATCTAGGGTAGTGATGGGTAACGTGCCTCTTAGGCTTACCTCATTTTTCCCAAGTATAACTTCTCCAACTCTAGTTTTCTTTCACCCCATATGACTATAATAACTTCGGGAAAAGGGTATTTTTTTTTTCCTTATTATAAAAGCAAATAATAACTATTGTGAACATTTTAGAAAGAAAAAAAAATATGAAAGACAAAACTAAGAACTCCCCACAACACCATTACCTGGATGAAACTGATGTTAATTTGTCTTATTTATTTCTAGCTCCGTTTTTTCCTCTGCAAGGGAAATAGGAGAAATATATTGAAAAATACATGAATACAGATGTGTTGCGTTTCTTTCATTTTCATTTATGAGATGGCCTCCGTAGTCATCTCAAATACACAACTGTCTAGAGGAAATTAAGATTTTATCTCAGAGATACCCAGAGAAATATTCCGCTTCTGACATTCAAAATGGGCATTTTTCCCCCAGAAGACACTGCTGCAAAAGACAAGGATTTGGTTTGTTTGGATCTCAGGCTCAGAAGTGTCAGTCATTCACACTTCTCGGTTCACGGAACATTTTCGTAATTGTTTTGAGCTGGGAAAGGGTTTTGTAAATTCCACCATCTCTTCCTTTCACAGGTCAAAATGTCCTTGTCCATTGAATCAGCCAATGAGGATCAGGAGACCGAGGGCGGAGCGAGGCTGGAGGAGGTGTTCCTGGCTCCTCGCCTGCCACTTAGAGTTGGCCTTTACTGCAGACCTGGGCTCCTCTCAGGCTCTAGAGAGTTGCCCTCCTCAGGTGCTGGAAGCCACCCCCTCCTCTTCACCCGCCCATCCAGGGTCCACGGAGGCATTCTGCAATTGCTAGCCCCAGACCCACTTTCCACATTTCGGTAGTTTGTGAGTAAGCCGTTTGTTTTCTGGGGGCGATCTTGGCTGACACAGAGTGACATGCAAGTCCCAATTTCCCCTACAAAATGCAAACCCCTAAGACAGGGCAGTGGAATAGAAAAGTGAGGGGACACCAAAGGCAGAAAGAAGACACTAGTCCACCTTCCTGAGTGAACCTTTTGGGAGAAATCTGTGTGCAAAGTCAACTTGACCTAGTGAAGAAATCAAAGGACTGGACTCAGGCCACCAGGGAATCAACTTTCACTCTCAGCTCTCCTGGCTCCTCAACTCCCAGGGCAGTGTGGTGTGGCTCTGTCTGTCTGTCCGTCTCTCCATCTGTCATCTGTCTGTCTGTCTATCTATCTATCCATCTGTTAATTTGTTTATCTCTCCATTGACATCTATCCATCTGTCTTCTATCCCTCCATCTATTAGCTATCCATCTATCATCTATCCATCATCTGTCTATGTCTCATCTATCCATCTATCATCTGTTTATCTCTCCATCATGTCTCTTTTTATCACTCATCTAGCCATAATCTGTTCATCTTTCCAGCTATCATCTATCCATCTATCATGTCTATCTCTTTCTCTCCACCTATCATCTGTTCATCTGTCAATCGATCTCTCCATCTATTATCTATCTATCTATCTATCTATCTATCTATCTATTACCTATCCATCTCTTGTCTATCATATCTATTTTCTATCTACCTTTCTATTTATCATCTACATATCTATTATCTAGCTATCCTCTGTCTATCCTTCCATCATCTATCGATCCATCCTCTGTCTAATTATCTATACTTTATCTTTCTCTCCATCAACACAAAATATTTAAGTATCGTGTATATTGTAACCATATTGCTATAAAACTTTGATTTCTATTTTTTCACCACAAGTTATGAAACTTTTTCTTGTATAATGGCTGTGAACTAGCTCAGTTTTAATTTGTTGAACAGCATAGTGATGACCAAGCTCACAGCCTTATTAGCATACACAATTACTTTGCTTAGAAGCGGGGGATAGAGAGCTCTAAAAACAAAAAACAATTCTTAGAAAATTCAGAGAAGCCCCCAATGTTCTGAAAGCTCCAAATAGATGCTATGAGGTTGGATCAACTGTCTTTTCTCTTTTCTAGGTGTGTGATACCTATTAAAGTTACAAGACTCATCAAACACATCAACTTAACAGTAACATACTTAATAACAACGTATATTTAAGCACTTTAAACTTATTGTCCTTTTTGGGCTTTTGGTCTAGTTTGGGCTTGTCCTGTATATAAAGCCCAAGCTGGCTTTTCAATATCATATCATCAAATAATATATAATAAATATACAATTTTTTTGTTGCTTGTACTGCAGGCTTTATATAAATATACTGCACTTATACGTAAATTAAAATGCTGTTCTGAAAATTTTTATAATATATATTTTTGCATACAACTCTGATTATTTCTTTCATCATCCAGAAGTGTGACATAGAAAAAATGGTGAACACTGTTAAGTTTCTTGGGGGTATATCAATAAGCTGTCTCCAAAAGGAGCATATGATTGTAGAGTCCCACCACACTCACAATGCACACTTTTTTCCACTCTAAATTTTTGTGTTTAATTTTTAATTTTAAAGTAATTACTGACTTTTAAAAAGTTGCAAAAATAGTACAAAGAATCTTCACCTTCACCTCAATTCTCCCAGTGATAACAACTTAAATAGCCACAGTAAAGATAGAAGCATTAGAAAAAAATAACATTGGTACAATACTGTTATCTAATCCACACACTTCATGTCAGTCTCACCAGTTGTTCCATTAATGTGCATTTTTTTGGTCCAGGATATAATGCAAAATCACATGTTGATTGCATGTAGTTTCCACTTCACAATAATCTTTAATCTGGGTATTTCCTCAGTCTGTCTTTCAAGACTTTATGCTTTTGAGGACTGCTGGCCAGTTATTTTATATAATGTTCCCTATTTCAGCTTGCCTCACATTTCCTCATGACTGAATTTCAGTATTATATTGGTGACAAAAGAGATGTATTCTTGACACATTGCACTGGTGATGTTAACTTTTTAGATCATTTGATTAATGTAGTTTTTGGCTTGTTTTTCTAATGGTCAGGAAATCTGCCTTTACAATGTAATTCTAATTAAAATGTGGAGAAGGAATGATAGAAATAGAAAATCATTTGGTAGACACCATAGGTGGTGGTGTCTGCAGGTCATCCCCATCAAGAGAGAAGTCTGAATCTTCAGTAGAATTCCAACTAATAAACATAGAAAGAATGATAAAAAATAGAAAATACAATTTGGCAAACTCCACAGTAATTATTGTTTCAAGCAAAAATCATCACTGGATGCTTAAAGTAGCACCCGAAATGTGAGAAACAAGGCATGTACAACCTCAAAGTATCTCTCTACATGATATGTATTAATTACAAAGGGGAAATAGTAACTTTACAGCAAAAAACTTAGCAAACACCATGATATATTTTATAAGCATCCTCAGTGGGGAGAAGCCATTAGCATGATAAAAAAGTTGTTTAATTTGAAAAGAGAGAAAGATATATTTACCATATATGCTAGTTACATGTTTTTTTCTTTTTTTAATAAATTGTCCCTTATCATTCTTTGCAAACATTTCTCTTAGGTCTTTCACGGTTTCACCAACTGACTTATACTCTGTTTTTATGCATGAAGTACATTCATCTATTTTTTGTCATGTTTGTTGCAGTTTTCCCTAGGTGGTTTTTTCCCTTTTAATATTCCTTATGCCGACTTAAGAAATAAAGAAGCTTTCTATGTAGTTGACTGCACTGATTGTTTCCATTATTCTCTCTTCCATTATTTCTGTGACTATATAATTTTTCAACATTCTTGAGAAGAGAAAAATATTCCCTCTGAATTTTCCACCATATGTAATGTTCTTTTTTTTTTCTCAAAGGATAATACGTTGTTTCAGGAAAAAAAAATGTAACTCGTAATCCTTCTGTTTTCACAATTTTGTGACACTGCTCTTATCATTTATTGTTTCCAAAGTATGATAGTGTGTTTCTAATTCATTTATTTAATACATCGATCCATTCACCAGACCCAAAGTGATCTGCCCATTGAAGTTTTATGTCTGGACAAAAATGGCCCTTGTTTCTCTTCTTTCTCAAAATGTTGCCCTTTAATTTCATATGATTGATCTTCCTGGCAAACTTTGGTGGAATTCCTGTGCCAATAACCTCCACCTTCCAAATTTCCCGAGCATTTTGATTGAAATTGCACTAAGCCTACAGTATTGGCTAAGTTTGAAAGGAAATAAGATCCTTGTAATAATCGATTTGCTGTATTTTCAGCTTTCCTTTATTTAAGTTTTCTTGATGTCCTTTTGGGAAAAACGGTAGTTTTGTGACACTAAAATTTTTGACAACTGGTATGATAATAAACTATATTAATATATTTTCATACAAATTAATTAAATATATGCCTCGAAAGTAAAATATACCCTCCTTTATCCATTAACTGACTGAATTAAACTATATATATATATTTAAGTGCTTACCATGTGATACATTTAGCACCATTTTCTCTAAAATCATCAATTCCAAATTATTTGTTTATAAATGAAAAACTGTTTTTGTCATTTGTTTGTCACTACTCTCACCAGCTAAATGCAGTGAGTGTAATGATTTGACTGAGGGAACTGCATCAAAGTCTTCCCAAGACGACTCATTGAATGGGTGGACATGAGATAACTTGTAGTTTAAGCAGAAAAGGTGTGTCATCGATGTCATCCATCATGCTGCTGATTGCTCTCTCACGTTCTTTTGCACAAAGATATTATACTCAAAATATTTGCTAGCCTCAGTATACAATCTGAGATTCATATATACTAAATATCTCTGTTATCAAAGTCACAAATGTTGCTTATTGGCATGTTCGATTCCTCTGTTGACTTAGCTTTATTCATTAGGTCATTTTGAATCCAAGGAGATTTGCAAGAATGGGACCAACCTGAATCACAGAAAACAGGTCTCTATTGTTTTTTCTCAGAATGAGTTTCATTAAAATAAAATTTCCAAAAGAATTATTTTCTCATGCCTGTTTCCCCACTGAATTACTATTGTACATTTTGATATAATTTTTAAACTTTTCTTGCTGCCCTGGCACTCTTGTCCTATACTACTATGCCACTATCGACACTTCCATATTCCTCTGGTTTTTCTTATTTCAACTCTATCACTTCAGACATATGGTTTAATTTTCTTTAGTATTTATTTGGCATGTAGTTAAAACATGAGATTTATCGAAACTAGTGGTAAAGTGATTTATTCAATTTATATTGTTTATAGCACACCCATAGATGGGTATCATGACTTAGATGTTGCCACGTTTAAATATGTACAAATGTTTCTACATTTTGACTAAAACTTCAGACTTTCTCCATAGATATATCCTAATGTAATCTGTACAAAATCTAATCAGATTTTATTGTGAATCTCTTTAAAATATTTTTCTCTAAATATATTCACCTACTATATAATCCCCCAAGTTTAAAATAGAATAAAAAATAAAATAAAATATTTTTCTCATGTACCAAAAATAAGGTCTAATGTTTTTTAGATGACATTCCTTTCAGCTCCCTGAGATCATCAAAATACATTACTAACTTCAGAAAAATGGCATTTTACCTTTTCAGTAAATTGTTAAAACAGCTTGATGTGAAATACTTATCAAAAATAGCAATTGAAATTTTAGTGCCCTGATTTTTAAGTTTTTTCAAAAAGTTACTATTTTATTTGGATAAAATTCTTGTGATAAATACTCAAAAATCTAATTTTCAAAATAATATCTATTCTGATGTTAATCTTTTTAAAGTTCTATTTAATATTTAGTGTCCAAAATGCTCAATATTTTCTTGTTTATTTATTTATTTGTATTGTAGATTCAGGGGTACCTTTGCATATTTGTTGCACAGGTATTTTGCATGATGGTAGGGACTGGTCTCCGGTGTACCCATCACTCAAATATTGAACACTGTATCCAATATGAAATTTCCCAACCCTCAGCCCCCTGGCCCGCCTCATTGCTCCCACTGTCCGTTATAAAATGCTCAATATTTTCTAAATGTTGAATAGTGTTTACAATTATGGTGGCACATTCTAAGTATTTTCTTTTGCTTTATCAGCACCCTTTTTGGTTTTCAAGAGTTTTTGTTTTTCAAATGCTTTATAAGAACTAAATGATTCATAATGTTATCTTAATTTTCACCTTATTGATTATAGTAAGTTTTCTTTATTTGAACCATAAAAATAAATTGTATGTGACTGTTATGAAGAAATAAATAAAAATTTGGCATGTCCCACTTTTAATGATAAAAGTTGTGAACAACATTTGCATTCAATATTTATACCACATTATTTTGTTGTTGAAAACAGTCATTGCTTTTCCTTAACAAATGCAAATTATTTATGTTGATTCTTGTGCCATCAAAAGACGTCCTGGGCTGTTCAGGTTTTTATACACTATCAGCAGATGTTTGTGATAACATTTCATTATTAAATAAATGTCTTTTAAAATTTTTTTTGCAATCTAGAATATTTATGTTCATTATATTTAAAAGGAATGTTTACAATTATTTAAATATTGTCACCAATTCTTCCTGGGTTTTTAAAGTGTTTTTATAGATGAAAACACCCCACCTGTGAGCCCTTCCTGCATTCTTGCTAGTTTTCAACCTTTTAATGAACTGTACATTTTAGTATCAGTGTCTCAATATCTTTAAAAGTCCTCTCTATGATCATGGTATATTCTTACATGTTTTAAGAAAATATTATTTTCTGCAAAAAGGACTTGCACATTTAAGTTTTTTTCTTAATGTATTCGTTTGCTAGAGCTGCCATAACAAAACCACATAGACCAGGAGGCCTCAACCACAGACACTGATCATCTCACAGTGCTGGAGGCTGAAAGATCAAGGTGTCAGCAGAACTGGTTCCTTCTGAGGCTGAGGGAAGGATCTGTTTCGGGCCTCTCCCCTTGGCTTGCGGGTGACTCTGTTTTCTCTGTGTCTTCACGTCCTCTTCCCTCTGTCTGGGTGTGCTACAATTTCCTCTTCTTGTAAGGACACCAGTTGTATTGCATTAGGGGCCATGCTAATAACCTTCACTCTAACTGAATGACCTCTCTAAAGACCTTATCTCTAAATAAAGTCACATGCTGAGATACTGGATTTAGGTCTTCCATATGGGAATTTTTCTAGGGACACCATTCAGCCCATGACTAAATAATTTATATTCTGGGTGTAATTTAAAACATCCTTTTAAATTTCATTTTGTAGAATTTTGGTGTTGCTGTATTTTGAAATTATACCTGGGAAACTTGTAGACTCTCTCATGAATCTGAAAAGCTTTTATATTTATTAAGGATTTTCTGTGTAGATATTCATATCATTTGTCAATCATGATAATGTTGTTTTTTTTTTTTTTTTGGAGTCTCACTCTATCACCCAGGCTACAGTGCAGTGGCACAATCTCAGCTCACTGCAACCTCTACCTCCTGGGTTCAAGAGATTCTTCTGCCTCAGCCTCCCGAGTAGCTGGGATTACAGGCATGCACCACTACGCCCAGCTAATTTTTGCGTTTTTAGTAGAGTCGGGGTTTCACCATGTTGACTAGGCTGGTCTCGAACTCCTGACTTCAAGTGATCTGCCCGCCTTGGCCTCCCAAAGTGCTGGTATTACAGGCGTGAGCCCCCGTGCCTGGCCAATGTTGCTCTTTTCTTTCCAATTTTATTTGACCTTAATTTCCTTTTTTCCTATGGTGCTAACCAGTACGTTTTTCAGAAGTGGGGCTCATAGGTACCTTTGCTTCTTCTTCTCATTTGCCACCATCCTCAGCACTTTCCCATGATAATTTACATCTCAAAATGCACTAAACCATCATGATTGTAATTATATTTAGATGACTTGCTTTACAGGGAGCTTTTCACTAGCAAACGCAGGTGAAAGGTAGTTTCTGAGAGAAGGGTGAGCAGGAATCATTCGCCACTCCTCAGCTGAGTTCACTGCTCTACTCCAGTGACATCAGCCTTGGGTCATCAGATACATTCTGCATTTTCAGAAATATCACCACATCACATATCCTTGTGAGTCTTTGTGCATGCATGTGTGTTTGTGTTGGATGCTTATTTGGATTTATTTCTGTTGAATAAATCTGACAAAATAGCATTAAATAATTCATTAGTTATCCAACCATGGTAAAATCTCTAGTGAGAGCCTCAGAATTCTGAACTTGACCCTGTTCTGTCTGATATATATTTTCTATAACAACTTTATTGAGATATAATTCACATGCCACAAAATCCACTTTTTAAGTGCACAATTTGTGATTCCTAGTATATTCAGAGTCATGTAACCATCACAACTGTCTAATTTTCATCACCACATCAATAAAATCCGTACCCCTACCGGTCACTCTGCAAATCCCCTCTCCCTCATCCCTTGGCAACCAAGAATCTACTTTCTGCCTGTGGATTTGCCTATTCTAGGCATTTCACATAAATGAGATCATACAATATGTGACCTTTTGTGACTGGCTTCTTTCGCTCAACATAATGTGTTCAAGGTTCACACATGTTGTGGCATGTGTTCGTAATTCATTCCATTTTATTACCTGATATACTCCAGTGCTGTTATAAATTTTTCAGTGGGGAGGTGGTTGCAAAGGTTACAGCAGATCAGCTATTGCTGGCTAGCCTCCAAATTGGTCTCTAATTTGAGGTTGATCGGGGTTTATCGATTACAGAACAGGCTCCTCTAGAGGGATATGAAGCACCGCCAGGTCCTTTGAGTTTTAAGCTGTGGCTCGTAGTGTTCTGGCGAGCAGTTTTGTTGATTTAACTGTTGAGGTTTAGGGCTAAGCATAGTGGGGTATCTAATCCCAGTTTGGGTCTTAGCTATTGTGTGTTCAGATATGTTAAAGCCACTTTCGTAGTTTATTTTGTATCAACTGGAGTTTTTTACAACTCAGGTCTCTGTTGACTGTTGCAAAATGGTTCAGATACAAACTCTCTAACACATTGTTTCCCTTTTTTTGTTTACCAGAAACACAGGATTCAATTCAATACTTTTATTTACTTCATTAAAATGAAAATAGGTTGAAAAAGAGGTAATGTAAATAATAGCTAACATTTATTGAGTGGTTACTATGCACCAAGCACTGTGATTTATATACACAACTCATATAAATGAAATTGTAACAACATACACAGGGAGTAGGAACTATTACTGTCTTTATTCCACAGCTGAAGAAAATGAAGCTTAGAGATTTTAAATACCTTGCCCAAAGTCAAACACAGCTAGTAAATGATGGAGCTGGAATCTCAACCCGTATCTCACAGACTTTGCAGGAGGAAGAAAAAAAGGGAGAAGGCGAGAAGGGAAGAAAAGGTGAGAGAAAGAACAGGAGAAATCTGGTCCACTGTTCATGTATTAACCTCCAGGTAACTGTGGTTTTTTAAGTCTTCTTGCATTAGATTTACATGCAAGTACTTTGTCTCCTTAAGCACACAACCGACAAATTTAGCTTCTATAGCAAAGGTTATTTTTTCTATTTCTCTTCAATGTCTTCACAAGCCCTAATATAACACTCTTCTTGGTGCAGATAAATAAATGATGTTGACAAACACCCAAGGTAAACCATTCCGAGTAGACATGTGTAGTCTCCAGGGTGTTATATTGGAAATGACAGCCACACCAGGGTGAAATGCTCAAGCATTTAAAACAATATTCTGGAATTTATGAGTTGGTGCTTAAAAATAATGGCCCCAAAATGCCTCAAAATATGCACACACCAAACAGAACCTCACCTCTGTATTTATTGTTGAGTAATAAAAATGTGTAGAAAAAGGATTTGATGGTAAATAGTCTTATTAAACCTAGGAGCCATGCACACAGCTACGATGGAGCATTGGGCCAAATAATGCCCATTGAGCTGTAATTCTGTCAAGAAGGGACACATAAACACCCCTGATGGAATTAGAGGCTTATACTGGATGGTAAATGTACCTTCTTGTTTATAAATATAATGTCAGATTAAACTGTGGTGGTAGCCATCGTGTCATTACTTCTCAGAAGCAAAACCATGTATGGAATCCTTTAGTTTTTCTTAAGAAAGCTGAAAATGAGACTCTACACATGGGTAAGGTGAAGGGGGCACACTGCTGACTGGAATGAACATGGCAGGAAAATTCTCTTTAAGGAAAATATATAAACAATACAAAATGGTGGGCATTAAAAAAGATTAGCTCTGACATGGGGTGGGGATTTTTTTTCTTTGTCATTGTTCAAAGCTGAATAGCAATAAGATTGCAAACTGCAGCACTTCATAATAGAATTAAACCTCCTTGTATAATGAGGTTCATTATAAATGACATGCATAATTCCAATTCTATTCTGTGTTGATTCCATCTTTTGTTGCTGAGACAGACTGCTTTAATGGGCAAAGGAACCAGGCCACACTTAAAACACACTTAATATTTTGCAGGAGTGTTTTGTTTCCTTTCTTGTTTCAGTAAGTCAGGGTATGCTTTACACAAAAATATCCATTTGGATGTAGCGTTCTTATGTAATAAAGTGTACACCATTCAGGAGAGTATTTTAAAAATCTTCAGTGATGAAATAGTGTATGTAAAGATGTATTTCCTGAGTCAATTTCATCTGCTATTAACCAAAAAAGGCAAACAACATAGGAAAATTGTTTGATTAGTGTGGATTTTCAAGGCTGTATACTTATTACTGCCAGCCCACCACCTCCACCCTCACTACTCAAATCTTTGGAGAAAATCAAATGCAGTAAGACACGATGGAATATCTGAGGAGAAAATAAAGGAAACAGAACTATACAGGATAAATAAAAACAAAGACAGTGCAGGTAAAAGATACACGTAGTCAACTTAACAATGGATTTTAAAACTCCACTGAGTTAAACATGGGACAATGACAAGGTGAACCCACTGCTAGAATGTCCACCACCTCACTCAGCCCCTGCCCCTTCCTTCCTTCCTTCCTTCCTTCCCTCCCTCCCTCCCTCCTCCTTCCTTCCTTCCTTCCTTCCTTCCTTCCTTCCTTCCTTCCTTCCTTGCTTCCTTCCTTCCTTCCTTCCTTCCTTCCTTCCTTCCTTCCCCCCACATCATGGCTTTCCCACAAGGCCCTGGAGAGCGCAGAGAAACACATTTCCAGGGATCTGGTCTCTAGGACACTGCACACCTGGGGAGTCTGCAACCTGATGTCAGCTATTTTATCTGTCCGCTCTGTTCTCTTCTTGCTGTTTGATTACAGAGAAGTGAAGAAATAAGTGCCCATGCTTGAGAAGTTCTCTTCCAAGTGTGGTATCTTGGGCTAAGCTTATCTACTCTAAGAGAATTTCAAATTTGCACATGATTTCCCCACACACTCACCCCAATCCAAGCACAAGCCAGAGAACACTGTGGTTTGCATGGTTCTTTCTGGCACCATTATTCAAATCATTTTGAAGTTTCTTGAATTTCAATAGGAGGCAAAGGCCACCAAATGTCTTAGGTCCAGAATATATTCCATCCTTGCTGCAATAACAATAGATGATTTCATAAACATTCACGTGAATGTGATATACCACATCCAGTCAGGACCAATGAAGAGAATCATGGATTCCATGGAGAAATCAACACATTCCTTTGGCCCTAGGTTCTGTATCATTTCCCTCTATTTACCCATAATAAGGGTTTAAATGTACATCACAGAAAATGAGTTCTACCTGGGATTTCTTCCTTCTCTGTTAAATGTACAATGGTGCTTCAGAGAAGTCTGCAGTTTACAAGTAGTTTCCTGAAAGGGTTGACATCAAACACTGAGAAAAGTCCCAAGAGAAAGTTGCTATGGTGGAGTGAAGGAAGAGATGCTGGGTCACAAGTGCAGCACATTTGTGTGGGCAGATGAGAACAACCACAGGAATGAAAAGGAGGCCATAATTAGAATCATATAAATTAGACATAAAAGAAACCTATTAGTTCATCTCAATCATCCCTAAAGGGGCCAGCATAAGGCCGTTCCCTGCAAAGCATTTTCAATACTTTGTCTATATCATTTTTAACAGGCTTATGAGATGATGTGCTTTCATTATCTGGGTGGAACGGGGCTGTAATTCTTTTAAATAATAAGGAATCTTTAATCTTAGCAGTGAACATTTTAACAAGGAGTTAATGTTTGCAAGACATGTACGGAAAGCAGGGTTGTCCACGTGTTTATGTTTTCAAGTACACATGAAACGTCCCTCAACACAGTCATTTCACAAATATTACCCAACGGCACTCTCAGGTACATGTGAATATTTGCTCTTTTTTCAAGAATCTTGCAATCGATAGTCCAAGGAAATAATCTGTTATCTGTGAAAAGGCTAAAATCAGTAAAAAATAAGAAATGATTTCCTTGAATTATTGTTCCCAGAATTCTTAACAAAGAACAAAAGAGGAAGAGGGGAGACAGGTGGGTTTGGCCTCTCTTCCTGAAGATGGCAGCACTTGACTCAGCAGGTTCAAATACACTTTTGGTTCTGGATCAATTGCCCTAATGTCACTTACAGGGAGAGTGCACGATCTTCTACAATACATGGAGGTGGGGGCGAGACTGTAGGTGAAATCCTAAAACACCTCATAAAAGGGGTAGTCAGCCCTAAAAATGGAAGCTGTGACCTTGAAAGCTTGGAATAAGTCAAGTGGGTGGCCCACAACCAACACGGAGAAGCTAAGTCAAAGATGTTTTTACCAGCAGCTATGCAGAGGGAAGGTTGAGATGCTCTTTGACTTACCAGCTGCATGATCTTTGGCAATTATTTGATCTCTCTAAAGCCACAGTTGTTTCATTTGTAAAAGTTATTTATTTTTTCTTTCAAGAAATACTAAGCATCTACTACGTGCCAGGCCCTCCACCGGATGCTGAGATTACAACAGTACACAAATCCAGCAATGTC
This sequence comes from Homo sapiens, assembly GCF_000001405.40. Classification (NCBI taxonomy): domain Eukaryota; kingdom Metazoa; phylum Chordata; class Mammalia; order Primates; family Hominidae; genus Homo; species Homo sapiens. The sequence goes on from NC_000013.11 coordinate 109,428,354, forward strand.
TTCTTCCACGCATGTAATGAGGGTGCCAACTCAAGGCTGTGGTGAGGACTGAATTAGGTCATGCTATGGAGCTTATGTTTTGGCACATGGAAAGTGCTTAGTGAGTATTAGCTTGATTGCTGCTATGATAATATCTGGAATTGAGTAAGCCACTTTTATAAGATTTCTGGATACTTATTGATATGGTTTGGCTCTGTGTCTCCATCCAAATCTCACCTTGAATTGTAATAATCCCCACTTGTCAAGGGAGGGACCAGGTGGAGGTAATTGAATCATGGGGTTAGTTTCTCCCATGCTGTTCCCGTGATAGTGAGTGAGTTGTCACAAGATCTGATGGTTTTATAAGTGTCTGGCATTTTCCCTGCTGGCACTCATTCTCTCTCCTTCCACCCTGTGAAGAAGTGCCTTCTGCTGTGATTGTAAGTTTGCTGAGGCCTTCCCAGCCATGTGGAACTGTGAGTCAATTAAACCTCTTTTCTTTATAAATGACCCAGTCTTGGGTCCTTCTTCATGGCAGCGTGAGAATGGACTAATACACTTACCTCTGAGGAACAGATGACAAAGTATGCACTGTATAGTAACATATTTTGGAAAATTGGTATCTTTACATTTTTATTTTCTTAAATAATCACACTTTCAGAAAGAAGAGTTCACTTTTGCTTTCTCAAATTCCTTCCCTCTGAGTCATTCCTAAACGAATGTGGGTTCTCTGCCCACCACTACTTTCAGTTTAGCAATTCCTTTTTGTGCACCTACTGCATGCCAGGTGCTATGACAATATGGGAAACTGCAACAGGGGCTCAGGAACCTCTGAGAGGAGCTCCTGCAGGTGATGAGCAGGAAGTATCAGGCCGAGAGGCAGCACAACCAAGGAAGGAGAGCCAGCACATGAGAGTAATGGGGTCTGGGGCCCCCAAAGAGGTGCCACCATTCACCCAGTTGGTCTTTTCAGAAACGTTTGCTCTGTAGCTCATGCCTAATAGGTTCCAAATTCTGTAGAGTCCACCCCTTAAACATTTTTGAAAATTCAGCCATTACTCTTTATCTCTATTGTCATGTTTTCAATTCAGACATGTGTCCTCTCTCAATCATTGCCATGACTCAGGAATTGAAACTCATTTTGCTGCTGAAACACTAGGGGTTCAGTCTTGGTCCTGCTGCTTGCTGCACAGAAAGCCAATCACTGAGATGATGAGTACTGCCAGAGAAGAAGGCTTTAATTGGGTGCTGCAGCCAAGAAGATGGGAGATCAGTCTCAAATCCCTTTCCCTGACTGACTAAAATTAGGGGTTTATATAGAAGAGAAGAAATGTAACCTTGTGTAGTAAAACAGGAAGTAGGGAGGAGTGAGGAAGAGGAGTTGGTCAACAGGTGGCAGGCAATCAGTTTGGCTATTATGATCGTGATGATGAGGGGTCTGGAATCTCATTGTCCAGATGTGGTGATCTGGTGAGTTTCAGCTCCTGATACTACCTGGGAGCCCTGATGGTTGTTTTTTGAGAAAAGAACTCAGATAAGAAAAATGTATCCTTCTCAAGTTTTAAGATGGGAGGATCAGTTTCTATGTTTATTCAAAGAAACCATAAACATCAGTTCTATGAGATAATTGGGTCAGTTTCGGATTCACCCTGTAGAGTTCCTCAACCTTGGCATTGTTGACATGTGGGGATGGATAATTCTTTGTTTTGTGGAAAGTGCCCTGTGCATTGTAGAATGTTTAGCAACATCCCTAAGATCTATCTACTAGATAGCAGCAGCAACTGCCTCCCCCACTGTGACAGCCAAAAATGTCTCCAGATACTGCCAAAGTCCCCTAGGAGGTAAAATATCCCCAGTTAAGAACCACTGCAGTGCCCCAGATACTGCCAAAAGTCCCCTAGGAGGTAAAACATCCCCATATAAGAACAACTGCAAAGCTCTTCATGAAATTCATGCATGTTTTGTTCACTCACCTGCCTCTGGTCTTTGCTCAAATGTCCCTGAATTGGTAGGGCCACACTTGGCCGTCTTATTAAGATTACAGTTCGTACCACACCTCTGCTCTACCTCCATCTGGCCACTCCTTCTCATTGATCACCTTTATTTAGATCCCTAACATTATCACCACCTGATGTATTTTGCCTCTTTAATTGGCTTAGTGTCTGTCTCTCCTTCCACATTAATAAGAGTGAGCTCCATCTCCATCTTTTTTGTTATTTGTCCACCTCATGCCTTCTTAGTAGTGTCTTGGCTTTGGTATCAGCTCCCTATGTTCCTTTTTCCCCAGTCTAACTCCCAGATATCAAAACATCTCTAATCATCACTGAATCATGAAATCATGATAGCATCATCCTACCCACAGTTTCCCATTGCACCTGTCAACAATGGATAATGTTCTGAAACCGCTCACGTGACCAGCTGGGGCCCTTGCTCAGCCATTCAGCCTCTGCTTCTGTCTCTCCCTCCTCCAACTCATGCTATGATCCAGGATACAGTCAGATCAGCTTCCAGTGACTTCTGGCTTGTGTGCGTCTTTTCTGTCTGTCCTAAATGCTCTCGCTACATCTTTCCACCAGGTAAATAACTGCATCCTTCATGGATCACCTCAGGTGTTAACTGTTGGATAAATCCTTTCCTGATTCTCACATAGAGCTTGGTTCTCCTTTTCCATGCTTCTATACATTGTTCCTACCTCCATAAACATACATATTTAATTCCATGAGGAAAATGGACTGCATCTTAGGTTCTTTACAAGTTTGTTTTCAGAACAATGTACCTTTACATCCTGGGCTACCAGTACAGCACTGAGCATGGAGCAGAACTCATAAGTGCCTGCCAAATACCCAAATGAACCTTACTTTGTATATTGTCTTGTTTCATGGATGTCCATGAAACCTTGTATTACCCTAAAGCTATTGTTATCAAACTGTGTGATGAAGTGCCCCAAGGGGTCACAGAGGACATGCAGGGGACCATGGAATATTTTGTATACTTAAGGGAAATACAACCACATTCAACATCTGTTGGCCATCCCATGAACCAGTTCCAGGTAATCCACAGTCTCAATATTAGGTCATGTGACACTTCATTTGATGACATCATATCTTGGTAAAAAACTGGATTTTTTACTATTACTGTGATGAAAAGCAAGTCCCACATGAACGACAGTGTGAATAGGAATTAAAGGTGTTGTGTTCAATCTGATCCAAGATTTGTCCGATTATGAAGTTCCCAACAGATATACATATGATCTTACTAATTATTTAAAAGTGAAATAAATATTTTTTCATTCAATATATCTATATTATTTTTTAAATGACTACCACATTTTAGGATATAAGCACTTATTAAGATGTTTAAACCTAACTGCTTAGTAAGTATTGTATTAGCCAGTTCTCATGCTGCTAATAAAGACATATCTAGGACTGAGTAATTTATAAAGGAAAGAGGCTTAATGGACTCACAGTTCTAGATGGCTGGGGGGCCTCGCAATCAAGGCAGAAGATGAAGGAAGGGTAAAGGGATGTCTTACATAGTGGCAGGCAAGAGGGCATGTGTAGGGAAACTCCCCTTTATAAAATCATCAGATCTCGTGAGATTTATTCACTATCATGAGAACAGCATGGGAAAGACCCACCCCCATGATTAAATTACTTCCCATTGGGTCCCTCCCATGACACGTGAGAATTATGTAAAAATTATGGGAGCTACAATTCATGATGAGATTTGGGTGGGGTCAGAGCCAAACCATATCATTCCACGCTGGCCCCTCCCAAATCTCATGTGCCCACATTTCAAAACCAATCATGACTTCCTAACAGTCCAACAAAGTCTTAACTCATTTCAGTATTAACTTCAAAGTTCACAGTCCAAAGTCTCATTTGAGACAAGGCAAGTCCCTTCTGCCTATGAGCTTGTAAAAACAAAAGCAAGTTAGTTACTTCTTAGATACAATGGGGATACAGGCATTGGGTAAATACACCCATTCCAAATGAAAGAAATTGGCCAAAATGAAGGGGCTACAGGCCCCGTGAAAGCCCAAAATCCAATGGGGCAGTCAAATCCTAAGGGTCCAGAATGATTCCCTTTGACTCCATGTCTCACATCCAAGTCATGCTGATGCAAGAGGTGGGCTTCCATGGCCTTGGGCAGCTCCGCCCCTGTGGCTTTGCAGAGTACAGCCCTCCTCCTGGATGCTTTCATAGGCTGGTGTGGTCTGTGGCTTTTCCAGACACATGGTACAAGCTGTCAGTGGATCTACCATTTTGGGGTCTGGAGGACGGTAGCCCTCTTCTCACAGCTTCACTAAGCAGTGCCTCAGTAGGGACTCCATACGGGGGCTCTGACCCCACATTTTCCTTCTGCATGTCCTAGCAGAGGTTTTTCATGAGGGCTCCACTCCTGCAGCATACCTCTGCCTGGACATCCAGGTGTTTCCATACCTCCTCTGCAATCTAGGTGGAGGTTCCCAAACCTCATTTCTTGACTTCTGTGCACCCACAAGCTCAACAGCACATGGAAGCTGCCAAGGCTTGGAGCTTGCACCCTCTGAAGCCATAGCCCGAGCTGTACCTTTGCCCTTTTTAGCCATGGCTGGAGCAGGTGGGACACAGGGCTGGAAGTCCTTAGGCTGCACATTGCAAGGGGGCCCTGAGCCCAGCCTAGGATATCATTTTTTCATCTTGGACCTCTAGGCCCATGATGGGAAGGGATGCTGTGAAGGTCTCTTACATGCCCTGGAAATATTCTCCCCATTATCTTGGTGATTAACATTCAGCTCCTTGTTACTTATGCAAATTTCTGCAGCCAGCTTAAATTTTTCTCCAGAAGTGGGTTTTTCTTTTATATTACATCATTAGGCTGAAAATTTTCCAAACTTTTATGCTCTGCTTCTTCTTGAATGCCTCGCTGCTTAGAAATTTCTTCCCCTAGATACCTTAAATTATCTCTCTCAAGTTCAAAGTTCCACAGATGTCTAGGGCAGGGGCAAAATGCCACCAGTCTCTTTCCATAGCAAGAGTGACCTTCACTCCAGTTCCCAACAAGTTTCTCTTCTCCATCTCAGACCACCTCAGCCTGGATCTTATTGTCCATATCACTATCACCATTTTGATCAAAGCCATTCAACAAGTCTCTAGGAAGTTCCAAACTTTCCCACATTTTCCTGTCTTCTTCTGAGCCCTCCAAACTGTTCCAACCACTGTCTGTTACCCAGTTTCAAAGTTGCTTCCACATTTTCAGGTATCTTTATAGCAGTATCCCACCATCTGGTAGCAATTTACTGTATTAGTCCGTTCTCATGCTGCTAATAAAGACATACCCAAGACTGGGTAATTTATAAAGGAAAGCGTTTTAATGGACTCACAGCTCCACATGACTGGTGAGGTCTCACAATCATGTCAAAAGACAAAGGAAGAGCAAAGGCACATCTTATCTGGCAGCAGGCAAGAGGGCATGTGTAGGGGAACTTTCCTTTATAAAACCATCAGATCTTGTGAGACTTATTCACTATCATGAGAACAGAACAGGAAAGACCCATCCCCACAATTCAATTACCTCCCACCAGGTCCCTCCCACAACACATGGGAATTATGGGGGCTACAATTCAAGATGAGATTTGAGTGATACACAGTCAAACTACATCAAGTATTAAGTATAAATAAGTATTTAATAAACATATACTGTTAGGTAGTTGTTTTGGCCTGGGCATGCTAGAGGAAAAAAAAACAGCTGAGGCACTAAGGGTCAGAGAGTTTAGAAACCTCTTCCCTAAAGAAGGAATTACTGGTTAGAGTCCTTATTGGCAAGCAATAGATGCTGATTCTGGCTGACTTCTGCAAAATAAATACATTTATTAAAATAGTATTACGGAGTTTTCAGAATCACTGAAATAGCTTTAAGATGAAGCTTGGAGCCAAAACTTCCAGGAACAATGCCCACAACTACAACCTCTAGACCTGACAAGAGAGAACTTGCAAACGTGCTTCTCTGTGCTGGAAACTCAATATTGCTCTGGAAATAGAGAACAGGGAGACAGAGAGAGGAGAGAGAAATACAGAGAGAGAAATACCGAAAGAGATAGAAAGATTGAGGATACATTAAGAGAGACAAAGATGTATTGAGAGAGAAAGAGAGAGAGACTGAGGCAGGAAGAGAGAGGGAAAGACAGGCAGAGAGAGATTGGAAGAGACAGGAAGAGAGGGATTGAGAGAGACAGATTAGGAGAGAGAAGTAAAGGCATATTGAGAGAGAAAGAGAGAGAAGGAACTATTGGGTAAATAGGTATAAATACTTTAACAATAGAATTTTTTTATTATTATACTTTAAGTTCTGGAATACATGTGCAGAACATGCAGGCTTGTTACATAGGTATACATGTGCCATGGTGGTTTGTTGCACCCATCAACCCGTCATCTACATTAGGTATTTCTCCTAATGTTATCCCTCCCCTAGCCCCCCACCCCCTGACAGGCCCCATTGTGTGATGTTCTGCTCTCTGTGTCCATGTATTCTCGTTGTTCAACTTCCACTTATGAGTGAGAACATGTGGTGTTTGGTTTTCTGTTTCTGTGTTAGTTTGCTGGGAATGATGGTTTCCAGCTTCATCCATGGAGAAAATGTTTGCAATCTATCCATCTGACAAAGGGCTAATATCCAGCATCTACAAGGAACTTAAACAAATTTACAAGAAAAAAAAAAAGCAACCCCATCAGAAAGTAGGCGAACAATATGAACAGACACTTCTCAAAAGAAGACACTTATGTGCCAACAAACATATGAAAAAAAGCTCATCATCACTGGTCATTACAGAAATGCAAATCAAAACCACAGTGAGATACCATCTCATGCCAGTTACAATGGTGATCATTAAAAAGTCAGGAAACAATAGATTCTGGAGATGTAAAGAAATAGGAATGCTTTTACATTGTTGGTGGGAGTATAAATTAGTTCAACCATTGTGGAAGACAGTGTGGCGATTCCTCAAGGATCTAGAACCAGAAATACCATTTGACCCAGCTATCCCATTACTGGATATATACCCAAAGGATTATAAACCATTATACTATAAAGACATTTGCACACATATGTTTATTGCAGCACTATTCACAATAGCAAAGACTTGGCGCCAACCCAAATGCCCATCAATGATAGTCTGGATAAAGAAAATGTGGCACATATACACCATGGAATAGAATGCAGACATAAAAAAGGATGAATTCATGTCCTTTGCAGGGACATGGAGTTTATTTTTTAATAAAGTTAACACAAGATTAAATAAACTATTACTATTTTAAAATATAAATAGCATATTGAAGTAAACCCTTCATGTATTAAAATAAACATTTTTCAGTATTTTATATATACTGAAAAAATAAATATGAATTATTTTTAAGATAAAAGAGGAATAGAATTTGACTTTCCGTATTATAAATAACATCAATAAAAAAGGGCACAATGAATGAGTCAAAGTATTCCTGTAGATTATAAAAATCGTGAAATTCCGAAAAGATGAAAAGAAGTATATTTTAAAACAAACTGAACTCCCAGTCAGAATAATGATGGCGGCTGAAACTCTTTATGCTAGCCGCCACTTAAAAAGGATGGTTTCCACGTCCAGGAGAAATTGGTTTCATACATGCAAGGACTCCTTCCAGTCTGTGCTAAACAAAATAATAAACCAAATAAGAATTGACTTCTAGTGAGCTGGGAATAAACACGTACTTTAAGGTAAAAAATGGTTCTCTCCCCCATCAGTTTAAGTCAGTTCCTCTGGGAGGAGTGCAGCTAGAGTTAACTGAAAGATATGGAGAGACACAGAAAGATAGTTGAGTTACGAGTACGAATAGGAAGTTGGTTGTCTGTTACAAGCTTTGGGAAGTACTTTGACAACTGGAGAATGAGTGTTGTCAGTGATAAATCATCCCTGATGGAAAGCTGTCACGAGCTATGGAGAGAGTGTGTGGTTTATGCAGTGACTGGAGTAGAGGAGAATGAGCCTGAAGCCTACCTTTGTGTTGTTCATCTCAGAAAAAATGTTTTTGGCCGTTGGGCAAATGAGTTAAGTCTCCTGTGCTTTGGTTTTCCAAGCCAAAGCATGTCAGGCCATGCCCAAGTGGCATCCTGATGTTTTTGGCACCGGCAGGTGCCTATCACTCATAGTTTAACAATCTCAGCAAAATGGACTTGCATGCCACAATAGAGGTGTTCTCTATGCATGGGTACGCCAGTGCATCTATCCTGTGCTAACCATATTTAGTGGCGCTCTTGGGAGACAATCATCTGTTTACTAGGCAGGTGGGTGTAGTTTGCTGGCCTTTCCTGCTAATGAATGTTTCAGTAGATGCCTGGTCATCTGCAAAGCTGAGAGGTGAAGCATTTCTTGACATTAAACAACATTTAAATGTTCCTCAGTGTAGACATATTGTCTTTGTTTATTCATCAATCCCGTATCAGAATGTGGCTGTGCCAACCCAATCACTATTTTGGCCACTGTTATAATCAATACCAATTACTCTGGCCGACTTGATTGTATAAAGATTGTCTTTGAGCTAGAAGGTATTCTAATTTACTGGAATGATTGTGCTAAACTGAGCTGGTTGCTCTTTTTAGTGGACTAGACTCATCTAAACTAGTAGTTAGTTGTTTAGCATTGAGTACTGTCTTACCGAGCTATGGTGGAAAAGGCACAAATTTAGCAATCTGGAGACCCACATTTGAGTTGAGTCACATACCTTCTGGTCATGTGATCTTAAAATATCTCTTAATCATCCTGTGTCTCAGTTCTCTGTCTGGAAATCAAAACCAATTATTTCCTATGATTTCCTTTCATTAGGCACTGAGAATTTTAAAACCTTAGAATACTTGGCAATTAAATTTTGTACTCAGTCCTTTTCACATCCCCAGTCCTGTTTATCTGATACAAATTTTCCTCTTCCTTTCATTCCGTCTTATTATTTTCAGACTTACTGCAAAGTATTTTATGCTGTGTAACATGCTCGTGTGTTTTTTGCTCTTATTAGCAGGCAAATTATAAATAGCAAATAAACTAGGATCTGAATTATTTTCCCAATCAAGTATCTGCAGAAATATAGTTTTTAAGCATGTGAAAATATTTTGTAACTGAAAAGCCCAGGTATACAATATTTATATATAGTATAGATACTACATTACTATAAATCTGTGTGCATACCTATATACATACATACACACATATGCATGTGTGTGCATGTTTACCTATTGAGAGGTGGGGGAGAGAGAGATAAGCTACCAATGAAAGTATAGAAGAGACAACATAAGAAACACTACTATCTTTTACTTTTGTTCTGGCCTTGCATACACATCCTCCCTGTCTAACTTATTCAGCCCAGCAAGCAGACGTGGCTGTGGGAAATCAGGCTGCTTGGACCATGTGGGAGGGAGCTGGACTTCATGCCCAAGAGCACATGGGAAGGTCTCCTTGCTTGGCTGACCACCAGGGCTTCCATCACCTCTGTGTTCCATAGTTCTTCACTTTCATTTGATAACTTGATTAAATAAAGCAGCCACGCACCTCTGAATGGCAGCACCATACCTACTTTAATTTTTCAAGAATTTTGACCTATTATATGTTAAATTCTTAAATGTAATTAGAATTTGGGTTCATTTGTGAGATCCATGCTAATTGATCTTTTTTGACCTTTTATTATTGTTATTATTATTATTACTATTTTACTTTTTGACAATAGTGGCTTGCCTGTTGGATAACTTTCATTTTTCTGCTGTTTGGTATTTTGTACTCTGGTGATTTTGAAAGATGTGCCCCTTCATTTCTTCACAGAAGAATGCTTTAAAAAATGATCATATGAAAGAGTCCTTCCTCTGGTTTCGTAACTGTGGGGAAGATCCCTCCACACCACAGCACTCTCATAGACTCACACACACAGTTCAGCTCTTCTTCCACTCAGTTTATCCAAGGGAAACTAAGCTACGCAGAGGTGCCTGGAGATAAAGACTTGACCTATCCTAGCTCTCATGCCATGAGAATTGGTACTGCACGTGTGACTTCTAACCTGTGTTTGAACACATAACTTAATGAAAAAGTAAAGTAAATGTTCTAACATCTGTTTCTCCTTCGTACAATGCATCTATTGCATCTCTTCTCCTTTCTACGTTGAATATGGATTACTGTGGGGGATTTTATCTTCTAAAACACTATAAACCTTTAGCCAGGGACTGGGAAAAACACACCCTCTGTCTAAGGAGTGTTCTCAGAGAAACAGCCTTTGGAAAAGCTGTTAAGCAGGAAAGGTTTACAAGAGAAAACTATTCAGTCACAGATAAGGTAATTAGGTCCCAATTGTATCATTAACAATACACTTCATGCTAGAAAGTTTATATAATAGTTCATTTTTAAGTAAAATATAATAACCATTCCTATTCTTCCTTCATTGTATTTATTTTTTAAAGCTGATTTCTATACACAGTTCTTTCACTAGCCAGTCTGATCCCACAACTTAATAAAAACTTCTCACTACAAAAATATTCAGAAACATCCATATAATCCATTAATTTATGATCATTTTTGATTATTTAAAAGACATGTCATTAAAAGTCAAACTACTAGTGTTAACATAAAATAAAAATGATACAATTTTCAATATGATTAAAGAAATACAAGGGAATAAAGAAGCAGAAACCAATGGCAGCCCAGGTGTTGTTATAACTTTTTAGTGCTTTATGAGACACCACAGATTAGTTGTATCTTTATTTTCCCTTACAGTTATCCTAGAGTTCATTGATCATTTGTCAATTTACACACTCCTTTAGACTGAAGTTTGATTTTCCTTTAGAACTGCCTTTATTCTTTTCCGTTCATACACTAGGAAATTGTTGAGACTATAATTGTTTTATTTCTAAAGACCAATACTTGGCTTTGGTACATTTATTAATTCAGTAACTTCTTAGTGAGCATGTTCTAATCATGAGATTCAGACAAATCCTCCTAGACTCTACATCCTTTTGAGATATTCTCCTTTTGACCAACGCTGGCAGAGTCCTGAAAACACTGTTGGATTTATTACTGGATCAAGGAGCTGACAGAGCTGCCATTGTTTCCCCTCAGCATAATCCTCCTCTGAAATGCTACTATTTGGCTGAAGCCCTCAGGTGGAGTGCTGCCTGCAAGAGTCAGGCACAAGTGATGTCCATCCTGGAATGGGAGTTTGCCCCTAACAAATATGAAGACTCCTTGAGCTAAGAGAGAGAAAATAGAGACCAACATTCAGTACCAGATGCCATAAAATGATGACTGCACAGTCAAGTGAAGGGTTAAGTAGAAGCATAATCAATAGAATGAAGTGCAAGACTGAAGAAATTGAGAAGAACAGTGTGTCCACACTTAGTGAAGCAGGTGCTCAGTGCTTATGTCCAAAAATTCTGAGAATCTGGGCATCCATCAGGGTTGTCCAGAACTGTGAGGGCTCTAAGATCCTACCCTACATCCAAGCTGACAAGTTAAACTGTCACAGTTGCATGGATGGTAGCAGAAGACACAAGATTCCTGGGACAGAAACCAAAGACTTTATTAGCTAGATGCAGAGGCTCACACCTGTAATCCCAGCATTTTGGGAGGCCGAGGCCTGTGGATCACTTGAGAGCCCAGGAGTTCAAGACCAGACTGGACACCATGGCGAAACCCCGCCTCTGCACAAAAATACAAAAATTAGCTGGGTGTGATGGCACATGTCTGTGATTTCAGCTACTTGGGAGGTTGGGGTGGGAGGGTCACTTGAGCCCAGGAGGCGGAGGTTGCATCGAGTCCAGATTACATGAGTGCACCCCAGCCTGGATGACAGCGACAGACCCTGTCTCAAAAAAACAAAAACAAGACTTTATTATTCATAGCGCAGCAAGCAGCTAAGCATTCGCCTATTTGCATCAATGTCCTTGGCCATCAAGTCCCACAGGGCAACACAGATGGGCACATGCAGCAGGTTGCCTTACAGGAGAAAAATCCACATCTATTTTATGGACATTAAGCCACTCTGCACTCTGCTCCAAAGAGACATTCTCACTGTTTTGCAAGGCTGTTAGCAAACCTCCTCTTTTCTCTGCAAGGAAATAACATCTCTCTCTTCGAAGGCTTTTTGCTATGGAAACATCCGTGAAGAGAGTTCAGAACAGAGCTACGAGTGGCTCTGTCATACAATGCACAGAAGAATGAGAGGCTCACAAAGAACAGTCTGTCATAGGGGCATTCTTCATTCCCTTCTAATCTTTTGTATAACAGGCATCACATTTTCAAAATATTTAGTGAATAATCATTCTTTCTAAATCACTTTTTTCCTGACGGTATTTCCACTGGGGACCAGGGAAAGGCCACTGGGCAGAGGCATGGGACAGCATCAGAGGAAGGAGAAGGTGGCTAATGTCGCTTCAGAAAGAGGGAAGATATGGCCCAGAGGATGTATCAGAGGCACAGGCAGAGCGAGGGGAACTGATCTCTGAAAGATTCCCAGGGGATGAAGGAAGAAAGGAGTCAACAGATAAGGAAAGTAGGTGACAAGACGCTGGTGTCCCAACCTCTCTGGAGCCTCAGGATAGAGGGGATGGGGCAAAGGAAGTTGGAAGCAGATGCCATTTTCCTTACTTCCTGACTGAGGTTTATAATTTGGGTTCTCTAGAAGCAGATGCTGAGATGGAATTTGGGATGCAAGATATTTATTAGAGATCAACAACTGTGGAAGAGTCAAGGAGAAGCAGAACTGGACAGAGAGATGTTGAACTTCAGAACAGGACCAGCAAGGCATCAGCCAACCTCACAGGGAACCGAGATGTAGATGGCATGTTGGCATCTTCCGGGATTGAGCCAAACTAGCCAGGCAGTTATTCCCCTGCTGCACTCAACCAATGGATGTCCATTGTCCTAAGAGAGGTGGGCTCTTAGGTGTGGCAGCTCTGGAGCTGAGGCACACTGGGCAGGGGCTGACAACTGGGAGCTAGGATTGTCTGCTGACCACATTCCCAGCTGCTGTGGCAACAAGTTCTTCCTTGAATGGGGAACTAGAAAGGTCCCTGCTGCATTCCCCACAGTCTACCCCTGTGTCCCTTGGGTCCTCTTTTCCCTGTAAGTTTGTTAAGCAGTGACTCCAGGATCCTGGAGAGCCCTTTTCCTTTTTTTCTTTTTTCTTTACTATTATACTTTAAGTTGTAGGGTACATGTGCACAACATGCAGGTTTGTTACATATGTATACATGTGCCATGTTGGTGTGCTGCACCAGTTAACTCATCGTTTACTTTACGTATGTCTCCTAATGCTATCCCTCCCCTCTCCCCCCACCCCAGAACAGGCCCCAGTGTGTGACGTTCCCCTTCCTGTGTCCAAGTGTTCTCATTGTTCAATTCCCACCTATGAGTGAGAACATGCAGTGTTTGGTTTTCTGTCCTTGTGATAGTTTGCTCAGAATGATGGTTTCCAGCTTCATCCATGTCCCTACAAAGGACATGAACTCATCCTTTTTTATGGCTGCATAGTATTCCATGGTGTATACGTGCCACATTTTCCTAATCCAGTCTACCACTGATGGACATTCGGGTTGGTTCCAAGTCTTTGCTATTGTGAATAGTGCTGCAATAAACGTACATGTGTATGTGTCTTTATAGCAGCATGATTTATAATCCTTTGGGTAAATGCCCAGTAATGGGATGGCTGGGTCAAATGGTATTCCTAGTTCTAGATCCTTGAGGAATTGCCACACTGTCTTCCACAATGGTTGAACTAGTTTACAGTCCCACCAACAGTGTAAAAGCATTCCTATTTCTCCATGTCCTCTCCAGCACCTGTTGTTTCCTTTTTAATGATTGCCATTCTAACTGGTGTGAGATGGTATCTCATTGTGGTTTTGATTTGCATTTCTCTGATGGCCAGTGATGACGAGCATTTTTTCAATGTGTCTGCTGGCTGCATAAATGTCTTCTTTTGAGAAGTGTCTGTTCATATCCTTTGCCCATTTTTGATGGGGTTGTTTGATTTTTTCTTGTAAATTTGTTTAAGTTCTTTGTAGATTCTGGATATTAGCCCTTTTTCAGATGGGTAGATTGCAAAAATTTTCTCCCATTCTGTAGGCTGCCTGTTCACTCTGATGGTAGTTTCTTTTGCTGTGCAGAAGCTCTTTAGTTTAGTTAGATCCCACTTGTCTATTTTGGCTTTTGTTGCCATTGATTTTGGTGCTTTAGTCATCAAGTCCTTGCCCATGCCTATGTCCTGAATGGTAATGCCTAGGTTTTCTTCTAGGGTTTTCATGGTTTTAGGTCTAACATTTAAGTCTTTAATCCATTTTGAATTAATTTTTGTATAAAGTGTAAGGAAGGGATCCAGTTTCAGCTTTCTACATATGGCTAGCCAGTTTTCCCAGCACCATTTATTAAACAGGGAATCCTTTCCCCATTTCCTGTTTTTGGCAGGTTTGTCAAAGACCAGATGGTTGTAGATGTGTGGTATTATTTCCGAGGGCTCTATTCTGTTCCATTGGTCTATATCTCTGTTTTGGTACCAGTACCTTGCTGTTTTGGTTACTGTAGCCTTATAATATAGTTTGAAGTCAGGTAGCGTGATGCCTCCAGCTTTGTTCTTTTGGCTTAGGATTGTCTTGGCAATGCAGGCTCTTTTATGGTTCCATATGAACTTTAAGGTAGTTTTTTCCAATTCTGTGAAGAAAGTCATTGGTAGGTTGATGGGGATGGCATTGAATCTATAAATTACCTTGGGCAGTATGGCCATTTTCACAATATTGATTCTTCCTATCCATGAGCATGGAATGTTCTTCCATTTGTTTGTGTCCTCTTTTATTTCATTGAGCAGTGGTTTGTAGTTCTTGAAGAGGTCCTTCACATCCCTTGTACGTTCGATTCCTAGGTATTTTATTCTCTTTGAAGCAATTGTGAATGGGAGTTCACTCATGATTTGGCTCTCTGTTTGTCTGTTATTAGTGTATAGGAATGCTTGCGATTTTTGCACATTGATTTTGTATCCTGAGACCTTGCTAAAGTTGCTTATCAGCTTAAGGAGATTTTGGGCTGAGACGATGGGGTTTTCTAGATATACAATCATGTCACCTGCAAACAGGGACAATGTGACTTCCTCTTTCCTAATTGAATACCGTTTATTTCTTTCTCTTGCCTGATTGCCCTGGCCAGAACTTCCAACACTATGTTGAATAAGAGTGGTGAGAGAGGGCATCCCTGTTTTATGCCAGTTTTCAAAGGGAATGCTTCCAGTTTTTGATTCAGTATGATATTGGCTGTGGGTTTGTCATAAATAGCTGTTATTATTTTGAGATACTTCCCATCAGTACCTAGTTTATTGAGAGTTTTTAGCACGAAGCGCTGTTGAATTTTGTCGAGGACCTTTTCTGCATCTATTGAGATAATCATGTGGTTTTTGTCTTTGATTCTGTTTATATGATGGATTACGTTTATTGATTTGCGTATGTTGAACCAGCCTTGCATCCCAGGGATGAAGCCAACTCGATCATGGTGGATAAGCTTTTTGATGTGCTGCTGGATTCGGTTTGCCAGTATTTTATTGAGGATTTTTGCATCAATGTTCATCAGGGATATTGGTCTAAAATTCTCTTTTTTTATTGTGTCTCTGCAGGGCTTTGGTATCAGGATGATGTTGGCCTCATAAAATGAATTAGGGAGGATTTTCTCTTTTTCTATTGATTGGAACAGTTCAGAAGGAATGGTACCAGCTCCTCTTTGTATCTCTGGTAGAATTCGGCTGTGAATCCATGTGGTCCTGGACTTTTTTTGGTTGGTAGGCTATTAATTATTGCCTCAATTTCAGAACCTGTTACTGTTCTATTCAGGGATTCAAATTCTTCCTGGTTTAGTCTTGGGAGAGTGCATGTGTCCAGGAATTTATCCATTTCTTCTAGATTTTCTAGTTTATTTGCGTAGAGGTGTTTATAGTATTCTCTGATGGTAGTTTGTATTTCTGTGGGATCAGTGGTGATATCCCCTTTATCATTTTTTATTGTGTCCATTTGATTCTTCTCTCTTCTTATCAGTCTTGGTAGCGGTCTATCAATTTTGTTGATCTTTTCAAAAAACCAGCTCCTAGATTCATTGATTTTTTTGAAGGGTTTTTTATGTCTCTATCTCCTTCAGTTCTGCTCTGATCTTAATTATTTCTTGCCTTCTGATAGCTTTTGAATGTATTTGCTCTTGCTTCTCTAGTTCTTTTAATTGTGATGTTAGGGTGTCAATTTTAGATCTTTCCTGCTTTATTTAGTGCTATAAATTTCCCTCTACACACTGCTTTAAATGTGTTCCAGAGATTCTGGTATGTTGTGTCTTTGTTCTCATAGGTTTCAAAGAACATCTTTATTTCTGCCTTCATTTTGTTATTTACCCAGTAGTCATTGAGGAGCAGTTTGTCTAGTTTCCATGTCATTGAGCGGTTTTGAGTGAGTTTCTTAATCCTGAGTTCTAATTTGATTGCACTGTGGTCTGAGAGACAGTTTGTTATAATTTCTGTTATTTTACATTTGCTGAGGAGTGCTTTACTTCTAACTATGTGGTCAGTTTTGGAATAAGTGTGATATGGTGCTGAGAAGAATGTATATTCTGTTGATTTAGGGTGGAGAGTTCTGTAGATGTCTATTAGGTCCACTTGGTGCAGAGCTGAGTTCAATTCCTGGATATCCTTGTTAACTTTTTGTCTCGTTGATCTCTCTAATGTTGACAATGGGGTGTTAAAGTCTGCCATTATTATTGTGTGGGAGTCTAAGTCTCTTTGTAGGTCTCTAAGGACTTGCTTTATGAAACTGGGTGCCCTTGTATTGGGTGCATATATATTTAGGTTAGCTCTTCTTGTTGAATTGATCCCTCTACCATTATGTAATGGCCTTTTTTGTCTCTTTTGATCTTTTTTGGTTGAAAGTCTGTTTTATCAGAGACTAGGATTACAACCCCTACTTTTTTTGCTTGCCATTTCTTGGCAGATCTTCCTCCATCCCTTTATTTTGAGCCTATATGTGTCTCTGCATGTGAGATCGCTCTCCTGAATACAGCACACTAATGGGTCTTGACTCTTTATCCAATTTGCCAGTCTGTGTCTTTTAATTGGAGCATTTAGCCCATTTACATTTAAGGTTAATATTGTTATGTGTGAATCTGGTCTGTCATTATGATGTTATCTGGTTATTTTGCTCATTAGTTGATGCAGTTTCTTCCTAGCATTGATGGTCTTTACAATTTGGCATGTTTTTGCAGTGACTGGTACCGGTTGTTCCTTTCCATGTTTAGTGCCTCCTTCAGGAGCTATTGTAAGGCAGGATTGGTGGTGACAAAATCTCTCAGCATTTGTTTGTCTGTAATGGATTTTATTTCTCCTTCACTTATGAAGTTTAGTTTGGCTGGATATGAAATTCTGGGTTGAAAATTGTTTTCTTTAAGAATGTTGAATATTGGTCCCCACTGTCTTCTGGCTTGTAGAGTTTCTGCTGAGAGATCCGCTGTTAGTCTGATGGGCTTCCCTTTGTGGGTAACCCGAGCTTTCTGTCTGGCTGCCCTTAACATTTTTTCCTTCATTTCATCTTTGGTGAATCTGACAATTGTGTGTCTTGGAGTTGGGAGAGCCCTTTTTCTTTAGGGAAATGTGCGGAAGAAGGTTGGAAGGAAAAACTACAGGCCTCATCCCCACAGCTGGCCTCAAGGCCACAGCTGGTATGAATCGTCCTCCTTTTCCATTGTCTGTTCTAGACTCCCCTTACCTCAGCCTCCACCCCTGCTGGGCATTGTGGTTTGCCCAGTGGCATGAGCTGCATCCTCATCCTTGAAGGCTCTGACCCCCTGGTCATGATTCCCTTCTCCAGAAAGTGTGCACTCTCCCACTGGCTGAAAACATTGTGTAGGAGCATGCCAGTGGGGGTCTGTGTTCCTCCCTGTCCATGCTGTCTAACACCAGCCCTACCCCTCCTAAGGAGCAGATGCAATTCCCTCTGCCAAGATGGGGAGTTGTCTTCTTACCTGTTTGTCTTTGAACACAAGGAGTCCAAAGTGTCCCAGCAGCAGCCAGAGCATGTAATGCGATAGAACCCTTGCTGGGTCCCCTGATTGAAGGGAGCCTCCTCTGGGGACTTGGGACTTTAACTTTGCTGAGCCCAGGATTAGGGTGACCAGCACCATAAATCCTCTCAGTTGTTTGTTCAGAAGCATGACAATTGAGATCACACACAACCTTCCTTTCCCAGGCCCAGGTATTCTTCCTGTGTGAGATGCAGTACCCTCCAAAGGTGCTTGGTTGGATGTGCACAGTGCCTCGGACGATAGTGCTGCATTCTCGGATAGCATCTCCCCCAAGCCGGAGCTCTGACTGTACCTTACACAGGGTGTTCCAACCCTCCATTCAGCTGGTGAATTCCAGGTGGAGCCTTACGTGGCACGACCAGTGAATCCCATGGTTGCCACAGTGGGCCTCTGTACAGTACCCCTCATCTGACAGATGTGGTGTGGAGGCTGTGTTAGTCTGTTCTCACATTGTTATAAAGAACTACCTAAAACTGGGTAATTTATAAAGAAAAGAGGCTTAATTGACTCACAGGTCTGCAGGCTTTACAGGAAGCATGGCTGTGGAGGAATCAGGAAACTTACAATCATGACGTAAGGCAAATGGGAAGCAGGCATATCTTACATGGCAAGAGCAGGAGGAAAGACAGGGGAGGTGCTACACACTTTTAAACGGACAGATCTCAGGAGAACTCACTCACTCTAATGAGAACAGCAAAGGGGAAGTCCACCCCATGATGCACTCACCTCCCACCATGCCCCTCCTTCAACATTGGGGATTATAATTCGACATGAGATTCGGGTAGGGACACAAATCCAAACCATATCAGGCTAAGCTGGTGATCATGCACTATGTGTGCTGCCTGACACCCTGCAGGCCATGCACCTGAGGCCAGGCTACCTTGTCTGAAATAGCAGCTGCAGCTGTGGCTAAGACATGATTGAGTTCACTGACATCCTTCAGGATCCATGTGGGATTTTTTTGGGGAGTCAGTCTGGCAAATTGAATGTGGATACAGTGGATCCTTATCCTTAAGTTCTCCCGTAGCCTGCCTGGTGGTGGTATCACTGGCCAGGGAGACATTTTCAGAGGCTTGTACGGGATTGTCCCAACTGTGATAGTCCTCATCCTGCAGGACAAGGACCCAAGGTGGGATTCTGCAAACTAGTAAACACATCAATCCCAGTTATACATCTGGGGACTGGGGAAAGGCCACTGGGCAGAGGCATGGCACACAATGAGAAGATGAGGCTGCTGGGTACCCCTGTGCTAATGTGGTTGCCAGAGACTGAGACTGGACAAGCAATCCCAAGAAAGGAAGGGACCAGAACTCCCGAGTTACTCCCAGGCGATGTTGGAAATGATGGGCAGACTCAATGGGCTTCCCTGCTTCCCTGAAGGGAGATAAGCCTGAAGCCATAAGGTTTCCCAGCCTGCAACTCCACGCAGGACATTATAGGTCCTCAAGGAGGCTGGGGACCTAGCAAGGGTCACTATGGGATACATCATCATGCAAGGCCTGGCTCCAGCACTGCCAGAGGCTGAATCAGGAACTGCCAGTCACAGGTTTCAGTGGATGCCCATCACCCATGGGGACAAGGGACGCCACTGTAGACAGGAGATAGTGCCAAGACCTATGCCCCCCACCCATCACCAAACACTGCCAGCCTCATAGCCACCACCTCACTCACCACATCATCGTCTGGGAATTTAACAAGGGCAAGAGGAGGAAACCTCAAAGCAGATGAATTTCAGTTCTTCAACAAACATTCACTGAGTGTGTTAGGCACCATTTTAGGTGCCTACCCTGGGCAACCTAAAGACGCTGTTCAAATGGTAAGATCACACTGAGGATGACAAATCTGATTGCAATTATCTCTCCTTCTATCCAAAATTTTAAGAACGTATGAGAAAGACAGATTGTCTACAAATAAAATAATGAGGTTTTGCTTTTTTGTTGTTTTTTTTACATATTTGAGTGTCAGTGTGGGTAACTGTGTGACCACCCACCCCTAACTCCACTTTAAAAAAAAGTTATGTATATATATTAGAGATGGGATCTCTCTATGTTGCCCAGGCTGGTCTCAAACTTCTGGGCTCAAGTGATCCTCCTGTCTCAGCCTCCCAAATTGCTGGGATTACAGAAATGAGCCAACACAGCTTTTTGTATCTTCATTCACCGTGGACAAGTACATGCTATATTTTAATTACGTGTCCACTTGGATATACGAGTGGTGATCAAAATAGACACCATCACTACTGTCAGTCTACAGAGAGTGTGGAGGAAATATAACATTAAATCACCAATTGCAGAATTAGAAATGGAGAGAAGTAGTGTGCGTAAAAGTCACAGTGCTGAGACTGAGGATAATGTTGGGGACAGTGCAGGGTGGGACCATTCCAGAAAAGATCTGGCTGCGGAGGAAGGAGGCTGCGACTTGGAGAATGCAGAGGAGCCCGTTCTGGGAAGAGTGATAAACATACAGCTCTCCAAGGAGAACACACTAAGGCAGACACGAGGGAGGCTTTTTGGAAAATTCTTACATTTTCTTACAGAAGATGAAAACGTAGACATTATTAGCATTTCATGATATAATCTTCCAGGCCCCCTCCCTCGCTCCACACGCACACATTTTGTTTAAAATTATTCGGTGGATACTGTTTTGTGTTGTTACATTTTCTTCTACATTATGTTAATGGCTGTGGCAATACTTGTATGAATATGCTATGATTGATACAAACTCCTATTTTTGGATATTTAAATCACCTCTACTCTTTTGCTATTATAAATAGCTCCCTACAGAACATTCTCATTTCCTTCAAATAAATTTCTAAACGTGAATTGGCTGATGCAAGGAGAATCCAACATTGGCTTTGAAACCTAGTATTTAATATAAAATTGTAAAATTCCTCCTACTTGAACGCTGGCATGTTTCATCATATTGTGATATTGTGGGATATATATAAATATATATTTGTATATATATTTATACATTTATATATTATATATGTATATATATTTATATATATAATATATATTTATATATTATATATTTATATATAGTGTATATATTTATATATTATATATTTATATATAGTGTATATATTTATATATTATATATTTATATATAGTGTATATATTATATATAATATATGGTGTATATATTATATATAATAGTGTATATATTATATATAATAGTGTATATATTATATATAATATATAGTGTATATATAATATATATTTATATAATATATATTTATGTATTTATATATATATTTATATATTTATATATATTTATATATATTTATATATTTATATATATTTATATTTATATATTTATATTTTTATATATATTTATATTTATATATTTATATATTTATATATATTATATATTTTTATATATTTATATATATTATATATATTTTTATATATTTATATATGTATATATATTATATATATTTATATATATTTATATATGATATATATTATATATATTTATATATATTTATATATATATATTTTTATATATTTATATATTATATATATTTATATATATTTATATATATTTATATATTATATATATTTATATATATTTATATATTATATATATTTATATATATATTTGAGACAGAAATATATATATATATAAAAATATGTATATATATGTGAGACAGAGTCTTGCTCTGTTGCCCACACTCAAGTGCAGTGGCATGATCTTGGCTTACTGAACCTCCACCTCCCCAGGCTTGAGTGATTCTCATGCCTCAGCCTCCCAAGTAGCTGAGACCACAGGTGCCCGCCACCACAACTGGATAAATTTTGTACTTTTGGTACAGACTGTTTCACCATGTTGGCCAGGCTGGTCTCAAACTCCTAACCTCGAGTGATCCACCCACCTCAGCCTCCCAAAGTGCTGGGATGACAAGCGTTAATCACCACGCCCGACCAAAACTTCTATTTAGTTGAATAATTTCAAATTAAGTATGTGCATGTAGTAAATAATTCTAATAGCTCAAAAAAGGTAAGTTTCCTTCTTGCCTTCTGCCCCCAGCACTCCCAGGCTCAGTGTCTCCCTCCTGGAGGCAATTTCTGGTATGTTTCTCCATAAATGTTTTATGTGTACACAAACATGTGCATGTGTGTGCATTTTTTTACATAAATCAGATATTTTAGAAATCAATATATATCTTCATATTTTTACCTAATGACCTTTTTATATCAGCCCATACGGATTTATCAATTTGTTTTTAATGGGGACAGAGTATTCCATTTCCATAGCTGTACCATCATTCATTTAGCCCATCTCTTATTATTGAATATTTAAGGTGTTCCTGTTTTGCCTTTTAAATATTTTT
Source organism: Homo sapiens (assembly GCF_000001405.40). NCBI lineage: Eukaryota > Metazoa > Chordata > Mammalia > Primates > Hominidae > Homo > Homo sapiens. The sequence goes on from NC_000013.11 coordinate 109,450,742, forward strand.
ATTTAGATATATTTTACATACAATGAAATACTCAGATCTGAGGGTTCCTGTTCATGGAGTTTTACAAATTTCACACACATGGAACCCACACTCTTGTCAAGACACAGACCATTTTCATCATCCCAGAAAGTTCCTACTCATTTCCCAAAAATTGTCACTATTCTGATTTCTTTCACCACAGATTAGTTTTACCTGTTCTAGCATGTCAAATATACGGAAACACAGAGAATGTAATTTTTTTTTGGTCCGGCTTTATTCAGTACAATGTTGGGTTTTCCTGTGGGATTCATCTGTGTCATCTAATTAACATACTTTTATTTAATGATAAGCGATGTCTTATTATTTGAGTATACAGCCATTTGTTATCCATTCTCTTATCATTGGATATTTGCATTGTTTCTACGTTTGTGCTACTGAGTCAAGCTTCTACAAACATCTTTTCATATATCTCGTTGTGACCATGTATTTCATTGCTTTTGGGAGTGCAATGGTTGGATCACAGAGTAGGTGTGTGTTCGACCTGTTAAGCAGCTACCAAACCACTTTCCACAGTGGCTATACCCTTTGATGCTCTTGCCAGGCGTGCATGAGCATTTGGGGGAATCAACAGTCTCACAGTCATTCACTGTTAATGGTCTTTTCAACTTTAGCTACTTTAGTGGTTGTGGAGTTGTATCTCATTATGGTTTGAATGTGCATTTGCTAATAACTAATGAGGACACAACATTCCAAGAAGAAATAATAACATTTTTGAAGACCCTAAAGCAAAAAAGGAGTGTTTTTTGAAATTTCTTATATGTGATTGTATAGAAAATATGTATATAAATATTATTAGCATTTCAGATTATATCTTTCTAGATCTTTCTCTCTCCACACACACACACATTTATTTAGTATAATTTTTTAATGTTTTTCTAGTAATATGTTATATGAATAACCATAACTGGTGCAGCCAAATCCCTAATTTTTGATATTTCCTAGTGCCTTTGTCCTTTTACTCTTTGCTCTGAAATTTGTTTGGGTAGAACTAGAGTAGCCCATCTCCTAAAATGTGGTCTCTCTTGGGTTGTGATTAAATGCCCTGGATATTCTGGGAGGTATCTTCTCTCTGGCTGGCTGGAATTTCCGTCTTCCAGCACCCTGTGGTGCCAGCATCCCCTGCAGCTTACAACTTCCCAGAGCTGTGCTTTTCCAGGCCCCAGGGATTCCACCCTACCTACACATGCACAGCTTAGCACTTGGCTAAAGACTTGAGAAAACCCTGCACATTTTTTTTTTTGTCTCTTCACTGCACAGCTTTCTCCTCTCCAGCGTGCTGCACTAGAATTCCAGCCACTCCAGAAGCCTCCAATCCTGCCTCACTTGGGCTCCACATTCCTGCCTCTTGGTCCACAAAGGGCCTATAGCAGAACACCGGGAGGATTATGGGGCAAACTGTGTGCATTTCTCTTCTCTCCAGGAACACAATCCTCTGCTTCTTGTCTGACACCTGAAAATAGTTGCTTCCTATATTTTGTGTAGTTTTGTAGTTACTTACACCAAGGGGGCTAGTCTGGTACCAGTTACTTTATCACATTCAAAAGTTATCTTCTTGTTTTTTTGTAAAATGAATTTGTCATAAAAAGTAAATCTTCAGTGGACATACATATAGCTCTATAGCTGTATCTCTACAGACACCTCAAATAATTTTCTTTATCTATTGAAAGTAATAATGCTGAGTCAAGATGTACAGTTTTTGAAATTTGTCTCCTATTTGTGCTAGTCTTTCAGTTATACCCTGGCTTGCTTCAACAGTAAATAGGCAATTTTTAATAATTACTTTCTAATTATAATGAAAATAAATACATGTAAACTGTACATTTTTTCCCAAGGAGTAAAGCAGAACTATAATGAAACAGAAATTTTTCTTCTGGATCAATACTCATCATCTTTAGAAAGAAAAAAAATTAATAGTTTTCTTCTGTATGTTTCAAAATTTTCTAGTTCTAAACATTCAAATGTGCAGTTTTTCTGCTTTTTTTTCATACAAATGGAAATATATTTTTGCATTCTTGTGCAATTTTTAAAAAGTAACAAAATATACTGAATAAATTTTTATATTAGCACAAATGTAGCTATCACATTTTAAAAAAACCTATAAATTATTCTTTCTACATGCACCATAATTTAATTAATAAGTTTCCCATTGATATGGTTTGGTTGTGTCCCCACTGAAATCTCATATTGAATTCCCATTTGTTGTGGGAGGGACCCAGCATGAGGTAATTGAATCATGGGGTCAGGTCTTTCCCAACTGTTCTCATGATAGTGAATAAGTCTCACAAGATCTGATGGTTTTAAAAACGGGAGTTTCCCTGCACAAGCTCTCATTCTTTCTTGCCGCCACCATGTAAGAAGTGCCTTTTACCTTCTGCCATGATTGTGAGACCTCCCCAGCCACGTGGAACTGTAAGTCCATTACACCTATTGTTCTTCCCACTCTTGGGCATGTCTTTGTCAGCAGCATGAAAACAGATTAGTACACCTATTGATGGACATTTATGCTGTTTTCAGTTTCTTTCAGTATTTTAAATAATGCTACAAGGAAAATTCGGTGCAGGCCTTCATGTAGACATAGTAATATACCTGTAAGGTAAATTTCCCAAAGTAAAATTGGAAGACCAAAGTAAATATGCATTGCATTTTGACAGACATTGGAAAAATGCTCTCCAAAGAGATTCCACCAACTTACACTCACACCAACAGCAAATGAGACCATCTGTTGGCCCACATCCTGTGCACAGTGTGAAAGATCAACTTTCCAATCTTTGCCAATCTGATAGGTTTTAAAAAATAGCATCTCATTTCGATTTGTGATTTAATTATGCATGAGATTATGCTTCTTTCTTTTTCTTCATATTGGTGTATGTTTGAACTGCTTATTCGTATCCTTTAAATAATAAACTGTAGTGGGGTCAAGCTGGGCCTGGTAGCTACTGCTGATGCTATTGAATTATGGTGAGTTAATCTAAGCAAGAAGCTCATGGGCCATGTAATTCACCCCAAGAAATGTTTCTGAAGTTGTACGGGTTTTTTTGGCATTGATTACAGGTTTAACGACTTTTACTCTCAAAATGCTTAATTCACATTACATATGTGTGTATGTTTGATTACACCAATGTTTCTGCATACTACTGCAAAATACTCTTTAAAATCTGGGGTCACATCCTGTTTCACAGATCTGATAATGAGTAAAGCCAAACTCTTAGCTCATGTTTGGGTATCTGGCCTCCATTAAGCTGCTGTCTCTATTACCACATAGTCCATTCAACATTCTCTCAATGTCTTGGAGGTGTTAGGGCAGAGGCTGGCACTGTACGTATTAATAAGATGTCCGGCTTAGTGACAGGAGGTCTTGTTTATTATAATGAACAAATGAAGGTGTTTCAAGTATATTTATGTGGCTGCTTAAGAGCCAACCTCCACTGCTGTGAGACTTAGTAAGAGGTGGCTACCAAGGACCTGCTCCTGCAAGCCTGTTCCCAGGCTCCCCCAAGCATGGCTCTGGGACACGGTGAGAGCTTTCTGTGAGCTTGTGTGAGACTCAGTCCCAGACAGAGGCTGCCTCCCACTTCTCAGCTGAATCCTGGGCTTTGGAAACCCTATTGTGTGCCAATATAATCAACCTACACATGATGTCACAAGACAGAGAAAACACTATAAATGGTATCCAAGTTCATGGCACTGAGTCTCCAAGGGCTGTGAGAGAAAAGGTTGGTAATGCTGGCATGATTGCTTGGCTGAAAGAAGGGCCATGGCAGGAAAGATGTAACTGAACTGAAGATGCAGCCACTGCTTCAACGTAAGACCTCACCTCGTTAATTTGGGTGATCAGAAAAGCAGACATTACCTCCTCCTGTCAATCGCCTTATTTTGGTGAATTCTTAAATAGCCTCTTAGCCACTGTTGTGACTCAATAATTGTGACCTTCTAACAGTTACCATGGAAAGAATTCCTAGATTATAAATAATGACAATGTGAGTTTCCTAGTTACCAAGTGTATTTATAAAATGAATTCCAAAGGTACATGACATTTAATTCCAGCCTATTTTTAGACACTAAAGGATAATAAAGGAAAATACTTTTTTTCCAGAAGAGGAAGAATTGTAACATTTTTCCAAATCTAGTTATAGAGCAGCACATCTATATGACTATAAGGAAAAAAAGGGGGGTTTTAGTAATATACTGTCCTTGGCAATTTAAAGGGAGCATTTACAATAATACAGATTTCACAATTAAATGGAGTCTCCAAAATCATGTATAGAATTTGATCTATACAAATTATCTTGGAAATAAAAAGATATAGTGTCCTTTAATAATTTTTTAAACACATAAATTGGGAAGACTTTTATGCCTTCTACTTTACAAAGTATTTCTTATTAAAGGAAATCATTATGTTTCATAAAGAACTCTTTCTTATTTTTTTTAATAGACATGATAGGGTCTTGCTGTGTTGGCAAGGTTAGTCTTGAACTCCTGGTCTCAAGCGATCCTCCCATCTTGGCCTCCCAAAGTGCTGGAATTACAGGACTGAGCCACTGTCCCTGGCCCTTCATAAAGAACTCTCGGAAGCACAAGTTTACCTAGTCAAAGAGTTACAATCCAAGAAAGAGGAGTGAAGATTCTGAAGGAATACATTACAAAAAAGAAAAGCTACTAAATGGTGTCTAAATCACATTTTAGTGTGCTGCAGAAATGACAGTTCAAAAAAAATTAGAGCAATGGAAATACAATAATTTTTATGTCCTGTCTAGTATTTTGTCTTTTCCAAACACTGTTCCAGGAGATACTTCAAAGAAGTTGATGTATAATGTTTCTTAGACTTGCATGCAATGGTCTCATAATTGAAACATTTTCTTCTTTCTGAATCTTGAATCAAATCCTATCTCTTGTCCATACTCTGAAACATGAAATTTGAGAATGGCTATGGTCCCTTTCTCCATCTTGAAAGCCAGCAACAGCAAATGGAGTCCTCCTCACATTGCTTAATTCACATTCTGTGATCACATCACCGTGACCTCTTCCATCCCAAGTCTCCCCCAGACTCTCACCTCCTGCCTTCTTCTCCCTCCGATGATGACCCTTGTGGTGACCTTGGTTCCACCTGGATAACCGAGGATACTCTCTCCATCTCAAGATCTTTAGCTTTTAACTTAATCACATCAGTAAAATCCATTTGCCACTAAGGTAGAACATACACAAGTTCTGGAGATCAGGATGTGGACCTCTTTGGAGAGGGGGACCATTATTCTGCCTGCCACAAGCATTTGTTTATTCTCTCAAAAATATTTCTTGAATATCTACTATATTCTTGATACAGTGCTGAACAGATGATTAGAAGGAGAATGGAGGGTTACCAGGGTATCTATGCATAAGTCTAGTAAAGGAATCAAAGGACTGGTGTTTGGGGCCTAGCATTTTCCCTTCTAATGCTTTTTCTATGTGTTACTCATTTTCTTCTTTCTTTTCTTCCAAATCTATAGGAAATCACAGTGTTATGAAATTAAAAGGTATTTTTGACTAAATATAATAATCACATTAATTAGTTTAGTTAATAGCAGGCAACTCATTATCCAAATTACAGCTCAATGTACTAGAAACAAATTAATACAAATTTTGTAATGATGCTAGTTGCAGGTCAATTTTAGTTCCAGAAAGAAGCCATGACTAGCAATTACATGCCTTCCTTTCTTTTCAAAGCTGTCATCTTTGAAGCATCCTCAAATGTTTGAAATAGAACTGGGTCAGATCTAGAAGCTAAAGTTTAGTGAAAAGACCATCATCATCAAATTCTGAGAATGCAAGGGAAATCAAGTCAATTATCAGCATCCCTGTAGATTTCAAGGTCATTAGAAACAGCAATGATCCTTACATGTCAGGGCAAAGACATAGCAGATTCCAGAAATGCTCAGAATATTCGACAAAATTCTGCCAGTGCCACCCCAGACTACAGCAGACTACAAAAGCCAATGCCTTTGCAACAAACAGGAAGGGGACATGGAGGAAGAGAGAATGGAAATTTGCAGCAGACAGCTGGGATCCCACACAGCAGTAGTGGCCATGGGAACTTGTACCAATGCCTTCATTGTGGTGCTGAATTTTTTGTTAAATGAAGGTTTTGAGCTGTTATCAATCACCTCTAAGATTTTTTTTTCATTTAAAAAGTATATGTCTTTGTCTGCAGTTCTCAAGTAATTTGATCTCAGGATCCCTTTACCTTCTTAAAAAATTATTGAGGACTCCACAAAGCTTTTGTTCATGTAGGCTATATCTACTGACATTTATTGTATTAGAAATTAGGGCTTAGAAAAAAATTTTAAATAGTTATTAACTTATTTACAGTTGATAACAAACCCATCACATGGTAACACAAATAACATATTTATTAAGAAATAACTCAAAACCAAAAACATTTACAACAGAATGGCATTGTCTGATAGCGAGGGAAATTCAGCCAGATATCGGGCAACTTCCAAAATCGCTTAGATGTCTGGCTGAATAGAAGAAAGCTGAATTCTTAGACCTGATTCTATATTTCATGTGTTTTGCTATCACAAGTCATACAGTCTTGGGAAGCTCCATCTGTGCTCTCATGAGACAAAGAAAGTGAAAAGGCAAATGACGCCTCAATATTATTATGGAAGTAGTTCTGAACTCTCAAAATCCCTAACAGGATCTTGGGGTTCCCCTCAGTATGTTCTACCATCAGGATTTAGTGGTGCCTCCCCACCGGGGGAGTGATCTGTGGGGTCTTCTGGAGTCTTCTGAAGTGGGAATGATTCAAATCCAGCTCATTGGTCTATACTGTTGGTTCTCATTCCTGCTATGAAAGCCATAGCTCAACAGTCTAATAAGTTCTTCAAGGTCAAGAAGAACCCAGGTCCTATCCCTACTGTTGCATTTCTTTCTTGCACTTTTCACTATACCTCATAGTACCAGGTAACTGACATGATTTCAAGCATCACAGGCATGACAATCATTATCTTTGACTTCCTTTAGGGATTTTTGTAAGAGCAAAGAAATATTTCCCAAATCTCCCAGCAAACCTGTTCTGTAACAGGTAACTAGTAACAATTGGACCATGTGCCTTTACCTAAACCCAATTCTAAAGAGGAGAATCAGCCTCCAGGATGGACTTAAGCTAAGGCAGGCTCACCCAACAACTGCAGCTGGACCCTGGTTGCCCTAAAGCTGTGGCTACATGAAAGAGAACTTTTACTTTCTTTGTAGAACTGGCTGTGGCTAAAAGGCAGGCAACCCACAGTTTCTGGCACAAAGGATTTCATAAGTTATAATATAGATAAGAAACAACTGAAAGAATACTTTAGCCCCTTAGAAAAAGATGAGTTGATCCTTTCATCACACCAACTTCTCTGTCTAGATGATTAAAGGTGGCCTCCTTTGTACTTGAATGGCACAACATCCACCAGAATTTAGGGTTATTCATTTTTATGCCTGCATACTGTTCCATAGTGTATATATACATTTTCTTTATCCAGTCTATTACTGATGGGCATTTGGGTTGGTTCCATGACTTTGCTATTGTAAACAGTGCTGCAATAAACATACATGTGCATGTGTCTTTATAGTAGAATGAATTATATGCCTTTGGGTATATACCCAGTAATGGGATTGCTGGGTCAAATGGTATTTCTGGTTCTAGATCCTTGAGGAATTGCCATGCTGTTTTCCACAATGGTTGAACTAATTCACATTCCCACCAACAGTGTAAAAGTGTTCCTATTTCTCCACAGCCTTGCCAGCATCTATTGTTTCTTGACTTTTTAATAATCGCCATTCTGACTGGCATGAGATGGTATCTCATTGTGATTTTGATTGGCATTTCTCTAATGATAAGTGATGTTGAGCTTTTTTTCATATGTTTGTTGGCCACGTAAATGTCTTCTGTTGAGAAGTGTCTGTTCATACCCTTGGCCCACTTTTTGATGAGATCAAATCCTTTACAGGGACATGGATGAAGCTGGAAGCCATCATCCTCAGCAAACTATCACCAAACCAAACACAGCACATTCTCACTCATAAGTGGGAGCTGAACAATGAGAACACATGGACACAGGGAGGGGAATAACACACACCATGGCCTGTTGGGGGATGAGGGGCGAGGGGAGAGAAATTAGAGGACAGGTCAATAGGTGCAGCAAACCACCATGCCACATGTATACCTATGTAACAAACCTGCATGTTCTGCACATGTATCCCAGAACTTAAAGTTAAAAAAAAAGAATTTAGGGCTTTTAAACATTTTTATTATATATTGTCAAACTACAGTTATATGTATTTATGGGATACAAGTGATGACATAATTTTTAAATACAATACGGAATAATTAAATTAAGCTAATTAACATACTCATCACCTCAAATATTTAATATTTTTGTGATAAGAACATTTGAAATGTACTCTCTTAGCAAATTTAAAGTGCACAGTATTCAATTATTAGCTATTTTCACCATGTTGTGCAATAGATCTCGAAAACAAACAAACAAACAAAAAAACAGTTATTCCTTTTATCTAATTGGGGTTTTGTGCCCTTTGTCTTTCCTCTACCCCTTCTCACAGCAACCTCTGGTAACCACCATTCAACTCTCTGATGCTATGAAAGCAATTGTTTTAGATTCCACACATAACTGAGAACAAGCAGTTTTTGTCTTTCTGTGCCTGGATTTTTCACTTAGCATAATTACAAATTTCATCCATTTGCTAAAAATGACAGAGTATCTCCCTTTTTAAAGGCTGAATAGGATTCTATTGTGTACATACACCACATTTTCCTTATCAATTCATCCATTGATGGACATTTAAGTTGATTCCTTCACTTGGCTATTGTGAATAGTGCTGCAGTAAACGTGGGAGTGCAAACATCTCTTCCATGTACTGATATCAAGCCCTCCAGGTAATTACCCAGGGATGGAATTGCTGGATCATACGATAATTCTATTTTTAGTTTTTTGAGGAAGCTCCAAACTATTTTCCACAATGGTTGTGCTAATTTACATTCTTACAGTGCACAAGAATTCTCTTTTCTCCACATCTTTGCCAATAGTTGTTATCTTTTGTCTTTTTGATAACAGTCTTGTTCTAAGAAGTATGAGGTGTTAACTCATTGGAGTTTTACTTTGCATCTCCCCAGTGATTAGTGATGTTGAGCATTTTTAAATGTACCTGTTAGCCATTCACATGTCATTTTTTTGAGATATCTATTCAAGTCTCTCGCCAATTTCTTAATCAGATTATTTTTCTTTCTGTAGAGTTGTTTCAGTTCCTCATATATTTTGGATATTTATCCTTTATCAGATATAAGGCTTGCAAATATTTTCTCCCAGTCCACACACAGTGTCTCTTCACTGTGTTAATTGCTTCTTTTGTTATGCAGAGGGTTTTATTTTGATTTAATCTCATTTGTCTATTTTTGCTTTTGACACCTATGCTTTTGGGGTCAAATCTAAAAACATCATTGCATAGACTGATGTGATGCAGTTTTTTTCATATATCTTTTTCCAGTAGTTTTACAATTTCATGTCTTACATGTAAGTCTTAATCCATTTTGAATGGATTTTCTTATATGGTGTGAGATATGGGTCTAATTTCATTCTTTTGCATATAAATATTCAGGTTTTCCAGTACCACTTACTGAAGACACTGTCCTTATCCTTCTGTGTCTATTTTTATGTCAGTACTATGCCATTTTAATTACTATCACTTTGTAGTATAGTTTAAAATCAGGTAGTGTAATGTCTCTAGCTTTGTTCTTTTTGATCATGATTGCTTTGGTTATTCAGGATTTTTTATAGGTCCATATAAATTTTAGGAAATTTTTCTATATTAATGAAATATGACATTAAAATTTTGATAGAAATTGCATGGAACCTGTAGATCACTTTGGGTAGCATATACATTTTAATAATATTATTTATTCCAGTCTATGAAAACAGCATACCTGTCTATTTATTTGTGTCTTCTTTCATTAATATTTTACAGTTTTAAGTGTAGGGTCTCTCATCTTTTGGTTATTTTTTTCCTAAGTATATTTTCTGTAGCAATTATGAATGGGATTATTTTAATTTATTTATCAGATGGCCTGTTGTTAGTGTAATGAAACATTACTGATTTTTTGTTTTAATTTTGTATCCTGCAATTTTATTAAATTTATCAGTTTTACAGTTTTTTGGTCAAATCTTTATGGTTTTCTATATATAATGTCATATCATCCACACACAGTAACAGTTTCACTTCTTTCTGTCACACTTGGATGCCTTTATTTCTTTCTCTTGCCTTATTGGTCTAGCAAGCACTTCCAATACTATACTGAATTAAAGTGATGAGAGTAGGCATCCTTGTATTGTTCCAGCTCTTACAAGGGGCCCTTTTTAAAGGGTTCCAATTCTTTTACTATTGAGTGTAATATTTACAGTGGGCTTATTATATATGGCCTTTATTACCTTTATTGTGTAGAACTTCCTTACTTGTATACCTGATCTGTTGAATGTTTCATGACAAAATAATGTTACATTTTGTCAAATATTTCTTCTGTATCTAATGAGATGATATGATTTTTGTCTTTCATTCTGTTAATGTATTAACTGTATATCACATTTACTGATTTTCAAATGTTGAACCATCCTTGCATCGCAGTGATAAATCCCACTTGATCATAGTGAGTAATCCTTTTCATGTGTTGTCAAATTTATTCTGCTACAATTTTTTTGAGAATTTTTTCATCTATGGTCATCAAGCATAATAGCCGATAGTTTTCTTTTCTTTTTGATGTCCTACTAAGGCTTTCATATTAGCGGAATGCTGGGCTTATTGAAGGAGTTTGAAAGTATCCCCTCATCTTTGACTTTTTGGAAAAGTTAATTGAGAACTGGTATTATTAATAGTTCTTCTTTCAGTGTTTGGTAGAATTCAGTAGCTAAGCCATCAGGTCCTGAGCTTTTCTTTGATGAGAGATATTTTATTATGGATTTAATTTCTTTATGCCTTATTAATATGTTCAGGTTTTCTATTTCTTCATGATTTAATTTTGGTAGATTGTATGGATTTAGGAATTTACCCATTTCATCTAGGTTATTCAACTTGTTGATGAATAATTGTACATAGTAGTCTCATGATTACTCACATTTCTGTAATATCAGTTATAGTATCTCCTCTTTCAGTTCTGATTTTATTAATCTGAATCTTCTCTCATTTTTTTCTTAGTCTACATAATAGTCAATTTTGTTTATCTTTCCAAAAAACAAACTCTTAGTTTTGTTCATCTTTTCTACTGCTTAGCTTGGCTCTGCTACATTTATTTGTGCTCTGATCTTTATTGTTTTCTTTCTTTTACTTAGTTTGTTCTCCTTTTGCTAGTTCCTTAAGGTGTAACATAGGTTGTTTATTTGGGATCTTTCTTCTTGTTTGATGTAGGTATTTATTGCTATAAACTTCCCTCTTAGACCTGCTTTTGGTGCATTTTATAAGTTTGGTATATTGTATTACCATTTTTATTTATTTCAAGACATTTTAAAATCTGTCTTTTAATTTCTTCCTATATCCTTTGTTTATGCAGAAACATGTTTAATTTCCACATATTTGTGAATGTTTCAAAATTCTTATTATTGATTGCTACTCTCTTTGTGGTTGGAAAAGATACTTGATGTAATATCAGTCTTTTAAAATAAGTTATGACTTGTTTTGTGGCCTAACGTAGTTTTTCATAGTGCGGTATGTTTCAAACCTTTGTGTGTGTGTGTGTGTGTGTGTGTCTCCTATAGATTTTTGCTTATGATTAATAAAGATCACATTAAATATCTCACTCTTATAACAGCTGATAAAAACTTAACTTTGATTGCATACAACTCTACAACTTTATTTCCCCCACACTGTGTGTGTTTCTGATGTCTGAACTTACCTCATTTTGTAATATGTATCCCTTCACAGCTTATTTAGCTATAGCTGCTATTAATAATTCCATCCTTTCACCCTCATACTAGGAATAAAATAACTTTACACACCACCATTATACTCCTAGAGTATTCTATATATTGCTCTGTATTACTTACCTATTACTTACACATTTTGTGGTTTCTAAGTTTTATGTTATTGATTATCAGCCTTTAGTTTTAGTTTAAATTGCTTCTTTACCAGTTCCTGTAAAGCAGGCCTAGTGGTAATGTACTTCCTTAGCTTTTGTTTGTCTGAGGAAGATTTTACTTTTCTCCCATTTCTGAAATACAGGTTTGCTGATAAATTATTCTTAATTATCAGGGTTCTTTGCTCTTCAGCATTTTTAATATATCATCCCACTTTTGGCTGACCTTCAGAGTTTCTTCTGAGAAATATGCTGATACTTATATTGGGACTTTTTGTTTTGTGACATATTTCTTATCTCTTACTGTTCTCAGAATTTTTTCTGTCTTTGAATTTTGATAGTTTTATTATTATGTATCATGGCAAACTCTTCTTTGGGTTGAATTTAATTTGAGACATCTGTGCTTCCTGTACCTAGATACTGGCTTGTTTGCTCAGATTAGAAAGTTTCCAGCGATTGTTTTCTAAGGATTTTCTGGCCTTTTTTCTCTTTCTTCTCCTTGAATTCCCATTATGTGTAGGTTAGGTCTCTTAATAGTGTTCATGATTACTGCAGACTGTCTTTATTTTTTAATTATTTTTTTCTTGTTGCTTCCCTAATTGGTTAATTTTAAATGTTCTGTATTCAAGCTCATTGAGTCTTTCTTCAGGTTAATAAAGCCTGCTATTGATGTTTTCTGCTGCATTTTTTAGTTCAGTCATTGTACTCTTTATCTCTAGGATTTACTTTTATTTTTTTACTGTTTTTATTTCTTTGTCAAATTTCTTATTTTGTTTGTGCATTGTTTCCCAAATTTTATTAAATTATTTATTTAAACAAGTAGGTTAAAGTTTACTGAACTTTTATAAGATAATTTTTCTGAATTTGTTTTTCTGTCATTCATAGATCTTTCTTTTTTAGGGCCCATTGTTGGAGCTGTGTTTTTTTTTTTTTTTTTTTTTTTTCCGGAAATGTCATAATTTCCCAAGTCTTTGTAATCCTTATTTTCTTGCATTTATGTTTGCACATTTGCAAGAGAAAGCCATCTTTTCTGGCTTTTATATGTATTCTCTGACAAGAATAAGACCTTCACTATTTAGTCTACCTGTGATTCTCTATGAGAATGTATTACTATTTTAAGTGTTGGTTACAATTCCTAAGAAAAATTAGAAAAGTGCCAGGATTTTCATTCCACAGCTAATTTTTTTTAGCATTTACCAAATGTACTATTTCAGCTAGATGTTAAAACTTTGAATAAGGAAACCTCAGTTTGGGGCTAGTTTATCTGTTCATTTTTGTGTTCTGCTTATTCTTGGATTTGAATTTTTGCTGACTTTTCTAAATATGTTTGAATTTATGCTGATTTTCCTAAATACTTTTATAAAACTGTAGTTTTATTATTATTTGTAATTCAAGCTTAAAATGTGTACCCTTGTCTCTAGGTATTTGATACAAAAAAAAAAATAGCTTGAAAAGAGCAACGGCAAATAGTTCCTGTGGCTTATTACTGTTTTATTGTGAGTATAAATTCTTCCTTCCAATCTACACTGTGATTATCATTCAGAGGAAGCACTTAGTCTCCACTTCAAATATAGGAAGACTTCCCATTAACATCAACTAAAAGACTGTGAGCAAAGCAATAGCAGACTTTATAAGCACAAAACAGATGCCTTAAAGCAAAACATATGAAGCTTCAAATGACCCAAATAAGTCCATGAGAAATCCTGCCCTTTTCTAAATAAATAATTGATTACAAAATCATTTTTATGCTTAAAATGTGTGTAGCAGAGTGGAAAAGTTTATATTCCCAAAAAAGGAAAGAAAGAGAAAGAGAGAGACAGAAAGAAAGAATAAAGGAAGGAAAGAGGGAAGGAAGGAAAGAAGGAATAAAGAAAAGAAAACGAAAAAGAGGAGAAAATAATATAAACTCAGTTTAGGCTAAAAATGGCAACTTTTACACATAGGTAAATTTATGAATGTTTTCTTACAGTGAACCTTTAACAGACATCACAGTGATTAGAGTAAAATCGTACCCTATCGCAGTCAACAACAAGCAGAACATCCACTTCCTCCAATCCTAGGATGCTTTGATCAGCTGTCAGAAAGAGAATCTGGGACTGGACATTGCAAAGGCCAGCAAATTCTTTATTTATTTACAGCAGATGTGGGTTTACACAAATAATGCATGAAAGCTGGAATTCTGCCATAAATTAAAAGTTTATGCTGATGTTGCCTATAATTACCTAGAATGTATGGTACCATGTTCTTATCACACGATTTTGCAAAAATTGTTCCTGGAGTCTTAAATTGATTAAAGTAAAATTTTACAGCACTTTGTTCAATGTTTTGGTGAGAAGAAGAGAGTATTACTGTCAGTTACGAAGCCTTGGCTTATCTGATTTTGATTCCTGACTTCAGTACAGCTGTTTCTCCATGTGCATGCTGCAGAAAAGCGCAAGAAGGTGGGTGTGGTTGCCATGAATTGCATCACTCAGCTATCCTTCTGCAGGGATCATAAATAGCTGATGCTGTAGGCACTGCCACTCTGGACCCACCATCACAATTACTCAGCAGTGATGCTCCTCACAAGCTGTTCCCAGCCAACAACTAAACATGACAGGTAGTTCCTATAAAGATGTAAGACTCTGCTGAGTCACTTTCATCCAAGGACCCTTCACTGGACTGGCTAAGCCTCACTTAAAACTGTGCTGTAGTGTGAGACTCTCGCTATTGAATCCATTTTCCTTTCTTCTCTCGTTTCATAGGTATAGGCCTGTGTCATGGTCTGAATGAACTCTGCACTGGGTTCTGCACCCACCCCAATCAATCTCTCGTCTAATCCTGTCTTGGAATCTGCATATAGACAGATCTGTGGGAACTCGCTTTGCTTCCCATAAGTTCATCAAAAGACATCACATCTGAATAGAATGCAAGGTCTCTGATGAATAATAAAAACTAACTTATGTTCAAAATATGAATTATAGAATTTTCAAGAAATGAAATTTTATCATAGTCCAATAAACACACCATAATTAAAGTAACAAGGAATTGGCCAACAAAGTACCTTTAATAAGTAAATATTGAAAGCATGTATTATATCACTTCTTTGGGAGGAAAATGGGCCAACTCTATATGTGGGTCTAAGCTGCAAATGAACTGCTACTGTACTGTAGCTCCATCAGGATGCCACTGGAATCAATGGTGAGGAGAAACTTTCCCAGTGGGCAGAGTTTCAGAGTTTTCACCTGTTTATCCACATTGTGTAGAAAAAAAGTGGCAAGGTAAGAATTTAAAGTGACTCATTGGTAGTGGCCAATGGCTTGGCTACTGTATATTACATATAAAATGTCCAGGGAAGACGCAAAGATATATCTATGGGGACAGTCACTAGTAAGCAAATCTTCTTATTGCACATTAATGTCCATCAGATATTATTTACCGTGGAGGAAATACAGAGATACCATGTAGACAGAAAGGCTTGGCCAGGTGACACCAGCCAGCCTCTTCACTGGCTACCCTAGCTCTGGCACAATGAGCACCTCAGAAGAGTTACCATCCTGTCAAGAATCAAGAGTGTCTGGAGCCCCAAAAGCAAGGTCTTCCCTTTTCCATGGCTGTTTGAGTACTGCTACTGCAGAATATTTGACCTGCGAGCAATGAGGACCAAGGGTGAGCTCCCCAAAATGGCACCAACCTTTGAGGGGGTCAGCTAGCTACGTGGTGGGAAGTCGGTTTCTTGGAAGTAACAGTAATTTGTCTTGCCTAGAATTGACATATATTCTGGCCATCAGGTTACCTCTCCTATCTTGTAAAATGTTAGCCCACACCATTCTCAAAGGACTTACAGAAGTTGAGTTATCTCACCTGGCATTTCTTCATGTACATTGTGTTGAACCAAATGACCCACATTACAGCATAGCTGCAGAGGCAGCGACCATGTGACTGTGGGATTCATGGGCTCTCTCACATACCACAGCTCCCACAAGGCTGCTGGCCTGACAGAGCAACAGGGTGGCCCTTTGAAGGCAGACCTAAGGTGCAAGCTTGTGATACCATGTGACAATGGATGCCATCCTCCACTATATGTTATGTACCCCAAATCAAACACCACTAGGCAGGAAGGTCAAACTTCATTCATCGCTGAGCTGACTGCACCAAAATGGTGGCTCAGAGCTGTTTGCTGTGCCCTCAATAGGTAGAATGCTTGGGGCCATGAATAATGGTGTGGAAACTGGAGTGGCTCTGCCAATCCCCCAGTGATTCACCTGGAAAATGTATTTTTCTTGTAGCTAAAATTTGAGACTCTGTGGATCTATAGGCAAAATATATCCACAATGATACACAGCAAGAGTCCCATTAACTTTCAATTATGCCTCTCGTTCAGTCACTTCAAGCTCCTTGTGCCAAGAGAGCAGCAGCAAGGAGAAGAGCTACCCATCCTAGCTAAGTGAATTAACCATGATCATGAAGAGAAACCAGGGATCTTATCACAAATGGGAACTGGTAAAAAAAACGTATTTGACACCCAGGTGATCCACTAGGGCATCCATTTATACACCCCTATCTGATTTTCATGATGACTAAACAAATGCACAGCCTGTAAAAGGAACAATGATCAGAAGCTTGAGTCCCTTAGGGATGATGGTCTGGGTGCACCAGTAAGCTACACAGATTGGCAGAGATGCTAGCCAAGATTAGGAGGCATCTAGAATGGGCAGTAGAAAAAGGAGATGATACGCACCATTTGAAGCCCTATGACCAGCTGTTGTGTTCTGTATTTTGTTCTGTATTTTGTAACACTGACTTTACACTCAATGGATTCCCAGGGCAAAGACCAAACAGCATCTTGGAGGAGCTGTTCCCAGTAGGGTAAATGAGTTAAGACTAAGAAAGCAGATCTGAGTGGTGCAGGGAGGAGACTGCAGTGGGTGCAGCGTGTCCTCAGGCTCTCCCTTCAAGATGGAGGCACTCATTTCCCCACCTGCCAGGAGTTTTCCCAGCCAAGTTCTTCTCAGAAATGGTATTGGCTGAGTGGGTGGTAATAAAGGGGAACCAGGTTACCATAGGTTTGTCTTCAGTCTGGTCCATTTTAAGAAGGATTACTTAAGGAATTCAAGGATCTTGAAATAAATTTTCTTAAAGCCACCCATTTCCCCCAATACCACAGGCAAGCCCTATGTACCTGCAAGGGTATTTCTACTTCAGCTTAAGACTCCCCCCGCTCATCATCCATTCACACTTAGAATATCATGGCTTTATCCTTACTGGAATTCTGGTGTGCACTTTTCCATGCCACCTCTTTAGCTCCAATGTTATGGTTACTGTGGCCAGTGACCTTTTATAAACTGAAATCATGCCTCTTTGATAATTTTCTCAAGGCGACTTCCCAGGGATCTTAGGAGACAGAAGCTGCTTCCCAGCAGGATGCACGGGCCTTGCATGGTCCAGCGCTCTGGGCTCTGCAGCCTCCTGCACTCACCAGGGCGGGGCGTCATGGACTGCAGCTCTTTCCCTTCTTCCCAGCACCTCCCTCTCACTGCCCTCCTTCTGGAATGACCTCCCCTCTTTCCATTCCCTTCACTCAGCTGTGCTCTAATCAAACTTCAGCACATCAGCTAGAATTTTACTTTCTTGGGAAACTTTCCCAAATCAGAGAGAGTAAATCTTCTATAACAAAGGTGACCATGTGTCCTGGTTTGTCTGGGCTGTCCAGGTGTCCACCAGTAGTCTGCTTACTGCCCCTTCTTTGCTAAACTAAGGCTTCTGGTCCCAACCTGTAACCCACTTGGAGGTGCAAAATGTAGGCACAGAATATATAATCCACTTCAGTTTCCAGAAGCCTCATAATAATATATTCTGTATTTGTGCTTTACAGGAATTATCCCAAATATTTAAAATAGTATTTGTGCCTCATAGATATCATCTCAACTATTTAAAATATGTATTATCTTATTTGTTAATATATGTTTCCTTAGAGCAACAGTAAGAATCATGAAGGCACTATGTTTATCTTGTTCATCATTGAATTCCCAGCATAGGGTAGAGTCATTGACAAGTTGTAGATGCTCAACAAATAATTCTTGAATGGAAGAGAGGTTGAATGAAAACTGTTGGCATTGAAACATTATCCAATTGCTTTAACTGAGAAAGAACATTATCAGTTTATTCTACCAATTATTATGAAATACTATATGTTCCATATAATATTCAACAGTATGGAATTTTATCCTTTTTAAAACATTTTACCAGGAATAAAGTGGTTTCTGGTCTTGCTTTAATTTGCATTTCTTTGGTAGCTAGGAAGGTAGACATTTCTCTTTACTATTTATATCCCATTGTGAATTTTCCATTCATTTCCTGAGCTCTTTCATTTATTGTGATCTTAGTAATGTTCTCACATCTGCAAATACATTTATTTATAATAGGTATTAATCCTCTATCTCATATATGGGATGCAAATGTCTTCTTTATTATTGTTTTCTTACTCATTTCATTTCTATTGTTTTTCACATTCTATATGGTTAACATTTTATGGTAAAAGATCTGTCAACCATTTGTGTTACGGACTAAGTGTGTTTCCCAAAATTCATGTGCAGAAATCCTAATCCATAGGGTGATGGTGTTAGGAGGTGAAGCCTTTGGGAGATGATTAGGTCCTGAGGGTGCAGCCCTCTGAATGGGATTAGTGGCTTTATAAGGAGAGACGTGAGAGCTTTATCCCTCTGCTTTCTGCCACATGAGGACACAATGAGAAGGTGGCCATCTGTATACCAGGAAGCCAGACACCAGATTTGCTGGGGCCTGGATCTTGGACTTTCCAGCCTCCAGAACTGTGAGCAATAAGTGTTTGTTGTTGAAGCAACCCAGTCTGTAGCAATTTGTTACAGTAGGCTGAACTGACTGAGAAATTTTTTTCCGTAATTTCATTACGTGTTTGGCATACTTCTCCCAACATTGTGAGAAATCCTTTTTAAAATGTTGTTCCTTGTTTTTCAAGAATTTTTAGGGTTTTTTTTTTTTTTTAGTTTTTAGCCAAATTTTCTTTTGACATATGATATATACTATGGATTTAAATAATTTTCTCTCCATTCCTCTTTGCTACATAATAACATTTTAAACATATCTAGTTAAGGATAAACTTTAGTCCAGCTCCTTCTAATTCAGAATTATTATAGCTCATCCAAAGTACTGAGGTGTTGTGTGTGTAAAATAGTATCATGAACAGGACGGGGGCACAGTGAGATCAGCCCCTGTCAAGTGATACCTGGGAATCTAGCAAGGTGAGCGCACAGTCTTCTCGTGGATTATGTTGTATTTGCGGCTACCTGTGGGCCTCTAGGGTCCCTTTTTGTATGATGTCCTTCAAATAAACATTGTCTCCATATGAATGACACAGGAATCTGGGACAGTTTCTCCTTGTACACAACATGATCATTCTACAAAATCGTATCTAGGAAGGAATCTAATGTTTAACAGCAAGATTTCCCCACAGCCACTGTTAGATAAATCTCCGTCTGGTCATACAGAGGGGAGGCTAGAGAGAAGTGAAATTGTAAGCATGAAAACACACATCTCACTTCTCATCTGGACTCTAGATGGAAGTCAAAGATGACAACAGTAGTCTGACATTCTTAAGTCGTATCATTTGTTAATTTATTTATATTTGCTGGTACCCTTCCTAGATTCTTACACACCCTGCCCAGACTCTTACACACATGACCCTGTGAGGACATGCATGTATTTAAAATAAGGTGAATGATACCCAGGGTGTAGTCTGTGCTTACGGAAGTACACACGCCTGACCCAAGGGAATGTCGAACTTCATTCACGGCTGAGCTGACTGCACCAAAATGGTGGCTCAGAGCTGTTTGCAAAGTTATGCTTTAGAAACAGACGCGAATGGGGGCCAGGTTAGGCCACATGTAGCTGAAACTTCATGCACCAAAAGTACATCCTTTTAGATGAAGTTGAGCTTCAACACAAGTCTGAGCTTTCTGCTAACGACACTGATAAACCATGTGCTGTCAAAAAGCGCATTCCTGCAGCTGACTTGAGATCATTAGTTTCCAAATGCCTCATAATAAACCTCATTTGTATTCTTTCTTTTTCTCAGGGAATGAAGTGGATCTTGGCCCATTTCTTTTCATTTATTTGAACTAAAAATTAGGTCTCTCATTTGTTTTACTGCTTTCATTTTTGAGAGAAGAAAATGATGAATGCATCCATGAATTTTTTCAGCAAAGAATGGCAATAAGAATTCTTCACTGCCCAACATATATCCATTGTATTTCTAACTCCCTTTTTCGCTGTTGGATTAAAATTTGCTTTTATGAATATGAATACCGCCATTTCCTTCTAAAAAAAATTGTTCTGTTTTCTTTGTTCTATTTTCTCGGCTCAGCTGACCTTGTACTTTAAATATGATGGTGACTTCATTCAAATAATGTTACAAAAGCTAAAATGGAAAATGAAAATAAAAACTGTAAAAAGAAAATTGAAATATCAGTTTCTGTTTGCTTGTATTTAAGATTTAAGAATGTTTTTGAATAACGAATGCATTGTAACTGGAATATCAAACTCAGGCAATATTGAATCCTGCTTTTAAAAAATGTCCTTCAAGTTTTAGTTGCCCCCTTCTCAAATGCAAATCAGTCACTCGGCGCATCTTTATCTATTATGCTAGTTACCATGATAGATGTTGGCATTACAGCATCAAACAAAACAGACAGAAATTCCTGAGCCTATGCGTTGAATACCCAGATGGGATCTGTCTTATATATCCATCCAATGTTCTGTTTCTGTAGCCCAGGGTATACTAGTATCTCTTATTTCCTTTCCTTTCAGCCTGGTTTTGAAAGAATTTTAATAGTGCATACAACTGAAACCAGGTTAAAGATATCCTGAGACCATGGCTGTTTACAGAAAACTTTGTAATGTTTACGATCCAGTTAAGCTGGGCTGTGGCTGAGGCTCTTGACACATGGTGCCCTCTATATTTCTATAAAAGGGAGAAAATATATTGTACTTCTGGTCCTTCAAGTCATGGTTTAGGCTGAGACAAGCATTCTTTAAAAAAAAAAATCACCTTTGATAATCTAGTATCTACAAGCCAAACGCTGTCATGTCTAGCATTTAAGTATTTTAAAGATTAAACAATTTATCCTCAGAAAGAAAATAAGAAAACCATTGTTGTGTGTTTACCAGGCCTGTCCTAGGCCTATTCACACGTGTTATCCAAATTCAATTATTGCAGCCACCATTGAGATTATATTTTTTACACTTGTGAATACTTTGCTCAAAAACCACACATCTAGAGTCATGATGGATTCCCACAAGGGCAAGACCAGGGAAGGGGAGGACCGCTGGCCTTCAGGGAGTCCCTGGTAGGAATGGTAGCCTTTCCCTCTGTGGATCCAAGGAGGGCCACAAATCTCTAAGGCACAGATCCAAGGCAGAAAGTCAGACCTGAATCCAATTTCATGCTTAGGTGGTCAGGACAGAAGAAAAAAAAGAAGAAGAAGAAGGGGAAAGGAGCACCTTGTTAGACTTCCATTTGCCCATGACACTCTCTAATATGAGGGGTATGATCAGAAATAGGACACAGTCCTCGGCAATGTGCCTGACAAGCAGGGGATGAAGACAGCCAGTGCCTGTTCAGAGACGCAGAAAGACAGAAGCTTCAGACACCCCCTGCCTGGAAAAGCGAGGGACCGGAAGACAGTGGGCTGAGGTACGCCCAATGATCACTAGTAGTAGATGGAATTTGTCTGAAGCTAGGAAAGAACTGAGAATCAAAACTCAAACCCGTGTTTGCCAAATGTGACACCCGACATGAAATGGAGGCTACCATGCTTAGCTCCATCTAAAGGAGGTGTAGTGAGACCAAATGCTTGTTAAGCCCTGACAGGCAGCCTTGTGCTGTGCTGGAGCTGGCTCAGTTCACCAAATGAACTCAAGAAACGGGAGCCCGGTCTTGTATATGGAGTCATAAAGGAGAAATGCTGGGATAACTTGGAGGGAGGCTGAAAATCTAAACAAGTTTTTAAGCTGTTCTTGTCATTGCTGATGGCATGTTTCTGAGGACAGGGGCCAATGAGTGAAGGAAAAAGACTGAAGGAAGCTTCAGGAGGAGGATTCCGGGCTGTAATTGTCTTGCCTTTTGGAGTTGTGTTTCATTCTCAAGTGTTTAGCTCTGCAGCATTCTCCCTTCCTTGCATAAACCTTTTTCACCATGGCTGAGTGGATTTGTTTTTTAAATTAAAGTGCATTAAAATACATTTTGTTGATAATAGATTGAAATGTTTATATAAATATAATTACAAATGTACTTTTCTGTCACAAAGCAAGAATGGAAATCACTAATGTACCAATTTAATGCTGCTGTGAATAAATATAAAAAGAATTTAGCTGGTAGGCTGAAAAATCTTTACCCACATTTGAAAAATTTTGTAAATAAAGCTAAACACTCATCAGTAGCTTTGTACTTATTTTAAAATTTGTATTGATACATAACTGAACCTGTTGATGGGGAAAGTGTGATATCTGGATGTTCACATACAATGTGTAATGACCAAATCAGGGTAATTATCACCTAAACAATCACCTAAAACATTTATCATTTCTTTGTGCTGGGAACATTTAAAATATTTTCCTCTATTTTGAAATATATGATAAATTATTGTTGACTATAGTCGCCCTACTGTGTTATCAAACACTGGAACTTATTTTTTCCATCTAATTCTATGTTTCTACCCATTAACCAACCTCTCTTCACTCCTCCCAGCCTCTGGTAACTGTCAATAAAAGCATTACCTTGACTGAAGTGTGTTTCTCTTTGTCCGTCTTTCCAGAAGACAACCCTGGCACGGGAGGTTTTCTGGTCTTACTGGTGGATATCCATTTTTGGCAGCTTTCTGACACTGTTTCATAATTTCTATGGCCTGCTATTTGCTTTTCTGTTAATGTCTGTATATATTTTCTAACTTGGAACCAACCAGACGGGCCTCCTTATCCAAAGTATTTCATGCTGAGATGCTGAAGGGGAAAATGCTCTTCCAGCAATTGCTTGGCCTCACTCCTCTGAGGCTAAACCATTCTGTCAGTTGTTACATCTGGCACACCTCTGTTCGGTCGCATTTCATCTGGCTTTATTCAATTCTAATTCAGCAGCTAATTCTACTTGAAGAACGAACACAAGATGGAGTTGGTCAGATTTACCATAGTATATGAAGACAGAGATGTGGGGACCTAGGCACTGTCCCTTCTGAATCCATTGTTAAGTTGACAAAATAATTTTGTATGAAATGCTAGCAGTCAGGGTAGTTGGCCACGTTACGTAGTCAACAGGAAGGTCAGGCAAAGGGGACAGGGGAGCAGCACATTCAATGATTAAGCTTTTGCTGTTCACATACATTTTCATGGATCACAATTTCAATTAAAAACCCAGAGGTCCAAGCAGTGAGTAACTGCTGCCAGTACCATTTCAAGAAGTTGAAAAGAAGACGTACATGGGAAATGTTAGCTCTGAAACAGTATGTTGTCCAGTCCAAAAACACAAATAAAATGACCTTTTAGTAACTAGGGTGGGACGAGACTGAGAAGCCCAGAGTCAACCCTTTGCTCATGGCTTCACAGGCACGCTGCCTTTCCAAAGTAATCCCTGGCCACTTCTGGGCTAGTGTCAAAAGTGGCCATTTGAATGGGCCATGGTGCTCATCAATGTTGCCTGCGTGATCAGGTTCACTTTGGAAACATAGTGGTAGAACATTTGATAACAGAGATTATATGACACACCGTGGGCATTGTCTCAGAAGCCTGTCTATCTGCTTTTTTTTTTTTAACATCCATTTATTTAACAAAGGTTTATTGTACCAAGCACTGTGCTTTGTGTAGGGGAAACTAGAGTGAGAAAAAACAGATTTTGTCTGTTGCAAATCCGTATATACGTCAACGGAACCCGTTATTCAGTAAACAGGAATGGATCCACTTCATTTTGTTTTCTGTAAACTGGGAGCTGTCTCTTCTCTGTGGCATGAACGCAGAGCTGTTGATTTCCAGCCTTACTCTTTTATTTGCTCATTTCATGGTCTTAAGCCATAGAATCCCTCAATTTCCTCATCTATATAAATGGGGAAAATAACCCTAAACTCCCAGGGATTAACCAATTAGGGATTTCAAAGGATTTGAAAGTCTCTTTCATGGTTTTTCAGTGTTATTTTTCTAGCAGACTTATTAATATGCTTCATCTGTTGTAGTTTTGTAAATTGTAACCAACAAGTTCTTTGTCCTTTATTATATTCACCACCATGGATCTTTATTCTTGATTAAATTTGTTGTTATAAAGATCCCCTTTCACTCTTGGAATTGTATTTTCTATTCCAAAGAATTCCTCAGCATAGGGAAGATGGTGTTTTCATATGCCCCCTTCCAAAATACAGTGTTTGTATGTTTTTTAAATTATCTAAGTATTTCATATTACTTCAATACAGAGGAGGGCAAATTTGCTTGAGAGAGAAATTGAAGGAAGGAAGGAGAGAAAACACATTTAAATGTTCCTCACAGAAGATGTAACGTCTAATAGCAGACTGTTTGAATATATAAAGAGTCTTCAATGTATTTGTATATGTTGAAGAAAAACAGAATTGATGAACAAAATATTCCAATAAAATTCATGAAGCCAAAAATATATCCGCTATCTGTGTACAGGAACACATAAGTGCAGTGAAAATACTTCCTAAACTGTAGTTAAGTACTAAATTATACGACTGAGCTATTTTAAATAATACTTTGTTTATAATAATCTTTTTATTATCCCTAACTTCTAATTAATGCAAAATAAATCACCCACCTAACACGTTCTATAACTTCCAAATTACTTGCATCTCATAACCAAATCATTCTTTATTGTATTTTAAAATCATAAGTATACGAAAATGTCTTTCACTGACAGTATTTTTGTAAGTTTACCAATTCTCATATTTTTTCTGTATGTTCAGCAAGACTAAAATTTATGTATCTTTATCAGTCAGGCCAAAACTTAATTTATTTATGACACCGTGACAAGGGTATATTCTCCTTTCTTAAACACACCCCATTCTTATCCAAGAATATTATGTCTCTTCCATTTCACTCACAAACGCGTTCATTCTATATATGGCATACCCTGCAAGCAATTATGCTTTTTTTATTTTTCAAGCAACTTTATTTACTTATAAAATCCTCAAAAGGGCACAAGCGACAGCCTCAGCCTTCTGCCACAGCCCTTATTGCTGTGCATACTGATGAGCAATACATAAAATATTAACCAAGTTTGTGTCTAGGGTAAAATATGAGGTAGAGGTTTGACAGTGAGCTGTGTAATCAACTGGAGGTTTCCATTTTATGCTTCAGAAGGTGTGAGGAAGGCAGTTTTTTCAGCTTTCCCTCGCAGGGCCAGTGGGGCAATGTTGGTGGACAGCGTGAATCCGTGCACTGAGACGCAGCATTCTGGGTTCATGACTAAAGTATCTTCTTCCCTATCTTCCTGATGCCCCTACCATTTTTATGAATCAGAGAGAAAGAGAAAGAGAGCACTGTATCAAAATGAGCTCCACTATGAGATGTGATCAAGTTTTCAATGGAAAGAAATGGTGCTGCACTAGGAAACAGCAGTGAAATCTATGTGATATTGTGAGAGCATTTGGACTGAGACATGCGGAGTGGAAAGCCCGAAGCCTGGTGAAGTGCAAAGGGAAATGTTTCCAGGTGAGGGAAAAGCAAGTGCAAAGTCTTCTCATGAAATAAAACATATCATGTCCACGGGGATAATCGTGATCTCTACAGCCCCTACGTGGAGTACAGTTAAGTTGGCTACAGACTACAGGTTTAACAATGATTATGTCCATGAATGGCCATGAGAATTAGGTGTCAGTCAGGAACAGTAAAGTGAAAGCAACAATTAAATTTCTACGGGGGCAGACAGGAAGGGTTGGTGTGTACACTTTGCCCAGCACAAGCACATAGAATATTAAAGCAGGTCCTTAGAGATTCTGTTTGTAGTGGGCATCCAAACTGAGACCATAACGAGGGTGTCCAGGCAGGGGGAGGAAAGCCAAAGAAGATAAAGAAGATGGTGTGGCCTAGGGAGACCCAGAGCTCCAGATAAAGTGGGCAGAGACCTGAAGTGCCTGGAGACAAGTTGCGGGCAGCAGTTTGTGTTCAGCCCAAAGAGGAGCAAGGGCAATAAGCCATGCAAGGTGGTGTCATATGGTGACCCTCCAGACCAAGTCCTGGCCGTCTGCCCCACAGTCCTCTCAGTGGGCTGGAACAAACAAAGAGAGCCAGGTGCCTTTTGGGAGCAAAATTAAAACACCTGCTTCCATGCCAAACTTTTGAAAGTTAGGCGAAGAGGGCTTCTTTGTGCAACTTGATTATGACATGCCTCAACATCTTTGTCTTAGCGTGTGTGTGTGTGTGTGTGTGTGGTGGTGTGTGCATGTGCATGCACATGCTTGGAGTGGTTGAGCTGCTGGGATCAGCAAGTGTATATTTTTCATTAATTTGAGACATTTGGGGACATCAGTTTTCAAATATATCTCTTCTGCTTCTCCTTTCTTCTCTCCTTTAGAAACTCTAATTATACATACATGAGGCCACTTGCACTTGTGCCACAAATCACCACACTGTTCATTTCTTGTCTTTTGTTCTCTGTGTGTTTCATTTTGGATAGCTTTCTATGTTTACAAGTTCACTAATCTTTTCCTCTGCAAGGTCTAATCTGCTAATGACCTCACTTATATTTTTCACCTTTGCCACTGTCACTTTCAACACTAGATGTTTGATTTATCTTTATATTTTCTAAGTCTCTGCTGATAACAGGCTCATTTTCTTTCTGCAGTTTTTTGATCATATGGAATACAGCTACAATTCCCATTATAATGTCCTTATTTACTAATTCTATCATCTATGTCTATATATTTAGATCTGTCTTGGGAGATCTGTTTATCTCCTTCTTTTTAAAATAGATAGATAGATAGATAGATAGATAGATAGATAGATAGATAGATAGATAGATAGACAGATAGACAGACAGACAGACAGACAGATAGATTGATTTTTTGTTTGTTAGGTGGGGCCGAAACAGCCTTAGTTTAGGGCTGCATGTGCCTCCTGCTGAGGCAATACCCTTCTGTGTGCCCTGATGATGTCCCATGAATTACAAGCACTTTTCTCCCTGGTTGGTGGGAATACATGATGTTCATGGCCTTGTGTGAGCTCCAGGGCTATTCCTCCAGGTTTTTTTGAGTGGTTCTTTCCCCAGCCTAGGGTAGTTTCCTGGTGCTCCCATGATGTAGTTCAGCTAAAGGCTTGAGGGAGGCCTCTGCGAGTTTCAGAGCTCCCTCTCTCTGTGCAGCTCTCTCCTCCTGGGTACCCTCCTGGGATGCTCTATCCACTTGGCCTCTACGGGTTCTCAGCCCCACCTCCTCAGTACAAGGATGAGCCAGGTCCTCCTGGGGAACCCCCGCTGCACAGCAGCCTGAACACGCTCTCCCGGCAGGAGGTAGCGGTGCTTCCAGAGCTGATGCTGTTTCCCACCTCCGACGGTCATTGTCCTGTACTGGCTGATGCCCAGTGTCAGAAAACCCCTGTTTCACGTTCTGACTGTGTCTTTAGCTGTTTCAGGTAGGAGGGAAATCCATTCACTGTAACTTTATATTGGTAAGAAGAAGAAATAACCAAGATCTACTTTTCTAAACTTATTAAAGACCCTTAGGTAAGTGCAAGGAGAAGTGAAGCTAGATGGAG
Source organism: Homo sapiens (assembly GCF_000001405.40). Classification (NCBI taxonomy): domain Eukaryota; kingdom Metazoa; phylum Chordata; class Mammalia; order Primates; family Hominidae; genus Homo; species Homo sapiens. The sequence continues at coordinate 109,478,637 of NC_000013.11, forward strand.
CAGAGAATTGGTCACAAACCGCATCCAATAATGACAAATTAAATAACATAAAACAACCAGAAGAGTGGCTAATATTTATTAATGGCTTCAGAGTACCTGGCAGTATTCTAAGCATATGAATTATTTTACTTATTACTCTAAATAATTCTTTGAAGTACGTACTTTCAAAACCCTCACCGCATAGATTTTTTTTAACAATGTAAGAAAGAAATTAAGTGAATTGTCCAAGAAAATGTAATTTTCCAGAGCTGGGAGCGGACCCAGGTCAGTTACGTTGGGTTTAGAGATGGATTTAGAGATGGGACTGTCACAGAGCAGAGAAACTTCAAAAGCTACTCAGAACAAAACAGAAGCTACAGGAACCTTAAGGAAGGACATTAAAATAAACCCCTACTAGCTTTGTTAGATATTCAGTCTCATCATAATTATTGGACACATCCTTGTCTTTTCCTCAAGGCCAGCGCAGTCTGGAACAAACACAACTCTGTACTGCTATGAAATCACAGCTTGCTGTGTGGCCCTCAGCCTCTGCACGCACACGACTTTCTCCTTCTCTGAAGACCATAAGCCAGACACCCCCATCTTGGTCTTGGTCTTGAAGTGTTCTCATGTTTTAGACAATACCACCGCCAAAAAGTATCCTCTTTCCTTTGTTATTTTCTAATATGTCTGTGCTCAATGAACCTGTCAAAATGAACATACTCCACTATAAAAACACATAGATACACCTCATCTACCCATGAATTTCAAGTAGGGATAAGTTCTTAAATGATTGAAATTCACCCATCCAACTTTCTCACCATCCATCTCTGGCACTGTTGCACAGGACCTGTGAAAGCCATATCATACCAGTATAATGGTACAGGTGAATTTCCTTTACCATTCCCTATCTTTTAAGATTTGATATAAATGTGTACAGGCCATAGTAGCACATGGGATATAAGCTTGTGGAAGGATGTACAGGGGCAAGCTCTTTGTGGCTTTCATGTTTGAGGATCCCACAATGCCTCTGCTGGTGCTCTGAACTAACATAGCACCTGTGCCTACAGTGTGCAGCCTTCGCCCAGGGTAGGCCAGGCCCTTCTCAGTCTTGCACCTCCTCCAGGTTATCCCTGCCACCCTCCTCCGTCATGTGTCCTCCATCACCTGGGGCAACATCCCTGGACCAGAGGCCTTTCTTGAAGAGCCCACTGTGCAACTTTTGTAACAAAAATGTATACAGCACAGCATTTCCTAAGAAGGAGAAATAGAACCAAGATCCTATAATTTGAGGGACAAAAGAGCTAGAGAAGCTCCAGGTGCCAATTAATGGTGACACATTAGGAAACACTCAGAGGTGAGAAAATATCAGCCAGGCAGTCAAGAGTACACTGTTCACTAACAAACATCCATCAAATTGCAGAGGCTATGGCGGCACACATTTCCGTCTCCCTCGTGTTACAGGTCTGTCTGGGGTTTGGTTCTGCTCAACATTCTGTTCAATTTATGAGCAAGTCTGATGGAGTCACTATCTGGGACACTGCCAGTCTTCAAAGCAAGGCAAGATAAGGGGACTCATGAGCCAGCTATTGACACTTCTGCTCAAAGATGACGCAGGTTATTCCTTCTCATATTACGCTGGACACACAAGTGGCATGCCACTCAGCAAAGTGGGTGCTCGGCTTAGGGGGACCTCCTAATTCTCCCATCGGGAAGGATATTGCAGCCCCATGGCCAAGACTGATATCCTCTAGGGAAGGAGGATAAGAATCTAAAGCAATAATAAAATCTACCATGAGGAGTAAGGAATTTCCCCATTGCAACAGACTTCACATGTGACTTTAACTACTCAGCCTTGGGGCCTTGCAGTGATAAGCAGAGTTGCAAACGATGTGGCCTTGCACATAGAAGGAAATGTTAGAGTGTGTCCTGGATTACAAGAATTGCCACTGGAGCAGCTAAGTTATTGCTGTCCCCAGCAGGGTACAGGCTGGAGTAAAAGAGCTACTGACACCAAAGACCTTATCACCATGTAAAAATGGAGTGAGACCCTCAGTTTCTGATGGGCAAATAGCATGCAAGTCTAAGTGATTCCGACTGGCATCCCCAGGGTGGCAGCTCAACCCCACCTTGTCCTGTCCGTGTAACACAAGTGTGAGAAATTCAGAACACAGATGTCAGTCAATAAAAGAATGAAAGCCATTCTGTCAGAGGATTGAACAAAGATGTTCTTTCAGTTTAAAGACCTCACAGCCCTGGGGAAGCCAGGTAAAATGGAGTTTAATTGTCTCATTTAAGAAATTGAGATTATTTTATTCACATAAAAATGTCTTCGATAAAAAAATATAATTGCTGAGACCATAGACAACACCCAGGAGAGGAGCTCTCTGAATTGGCAGCAAGTTTAAAAGCTTCATTTCTCTCTTTCAAATGTGATGCTGAAGATCAATTTAGCTATGGGATTAGGAACAACAAGCTGCATAGAAAATTACTGAATGAAATCTACAGGAAGGGCTGACTTAGAGAGGACGTCATGTTATGGATCATTTTGAAAACAGGGCACGCAGCATGGAGATGTTTTCATTGACCTCCACGGCCGTTGCATAAGACTACATCGATGCATTCGGAAGTCCCCTTGCAGAGAGCATCAGCCCACTGGGGCAGAGCTTCAGGCTGACTCACCACCCATTCCAGCAATTTCCACTGGTTCAGAGCTTTCCCTGACTGGAGATGGGACTCTGTACTGAAGGCCAACCATTATTGCTGCTGTAACTTCACTGTTATTATAGATAATCACGAATAGTGCATCAGCACATAACTGTGTATATGCAAAGTGGTTTACAATACAATTTTTTTAAAACTGATAAGAACATCAGGAACTGCACCCCCCACCTCTCTCTCTCTGCCCCTCTCTCTCTCCGCCCCTCTCTCTCTCCGTCTCTGACACATACATACTCTCTCTGTATGTAGTACACAGATACGTTATATATACTACATAGCCACATACAATGTGTCCACTAGTTATATTGCCAGCAGGCCATACTAAATAAGAGAAGACTATAACAACATAATCAAAATGTAGCACTATAAACAAACAAAACATCTCACAGTGAGTCTGATCCCATGTGTAATCACGTTCCGGATTGCTATGAGAGAAAGGGCTCCCCAAGGGCCTTCACCTGGAAAATGATTCAGTTGATGGGATCGGCAACAACAACCAAAGGACACAAGGAATGGCCCATACCAAGTAGGGAAGCCAAGAGAAAAGAATCAGAAATAAGGAGTTTATCAAGTATTGAACAAAATAAAATGAGAATTGAAGAAAGGGCACTGAATTTGCTGTATCTGAAGCCATTGGTGACTTATTTAAGGAGAGTGGTGGGCAAAGTTATATTGTGTTGTTTAAACCATTCAATCTCTCATCTGTCCAAGTCACGGGTCCACGGGAGGAGTCCCACACAGGCAGCCCCTGGCCTCATGGAGCATCTACTCTATCTCTGTAATTTCCTACATTTTGGACAATGATCTCTTATAAGAGATGCATTTTCCACTACAAAATCATATGTGGGCACACACATACACAAACGCACACACCCCACTGGAACAAAATTTCATTAAGGAACACCTGTATTTACCAAATGTGATCAACATCTCTTTTCTGTTCTATTTAATTCGATTAAAAACCTAATGGTGATGACCAACTGAAGCGATTCCACAACCACACACTGGGTTTCAAGCAGTGCTGAACACACATGCAGCCGATACGGTGCCTGGAGCTTGCAAGCCCTTCCAGCCCTGGGCCTTTACTGGAGAGGAACTGGGTGTGGGGGGCCTCAGTCCTCAGGAGCAGAGGCGGCCCCAGAGGGGATTTCAGATCCAGGAACTCAGGGTATTGGTGAGGGAAGAAAAGGGGAAGAGGGAGAGGGAAGCAGGGGGCCGGGTCAGTGGGAAGACCTGGACCCCACAAGGGATTCCAGGTTCCAATTCTGCAGCTGAGAGGACACGGTCAATAGGAATCCCCAAACCCAAGATTCTCTTCCTGCGAGAGCTTCCACTTCAGTCCATCGGTATTAACTGACGCCAAGGGCAGGACCACCCAAGGATGGAGTGATTCTGGTGGAGGGGGCAGGCAAGAGGGCCGCCCTGGGGCCGAGTGGCTGAGCAGGCAGGACATGCTTTCTCTCCTTCCCTACATTTCTCTCGCCTTCGCTCTGCCCTCATGAACTTTGCAGACCTTGCTCTGCTGTGCTTTCCCTTGTGCTCCAGGCAAAGGCGGAAGACATGGCAATACTCCAGGGTTCTCCAAGGAGGGTTAGGTCACTCCGCTCCTCTCAGGACTCAAGACTGAGCTAGAGCAAGTGAAGGATGGGGTTGGGCCTTGGAGCTTCTTCCCCTCCTTTTCTAGGTCAGACGCATGTCTCCTTCCTGCTCACTCCCATCCCCTTCCCCGCTCCTCCTCTGTCCAAGGAGAAGATGTGCAACACCTGCACTGTGCATTTCATGGGTGCATAATAGGTACTAAAGGAGGCCTTTCCTTCGGTCTCCCCAAGACTACATGTTGCTCTGCCAAAGTTCAAAACACTGACGTACGTGAAGATGAAGGACAGCATCCCAGGGGGAGCTTCACAGCCATGCGTTCTGCAGGGGGCACTCGACGGCAGTGAGAACTCTACTCTCAGCCCTTCTCCTGGGAGCTCACACATGCACAAGGGCACACGAGGCTCTGGCACATGGCCATGGAAGGGCTATCTGTGCTCTGGGTCCCACATTTTCCAGCTTCATTATTCTCTTGGATTCTTTTTCTCTGTCCCCACTTCCAGCTGACCTGGCAGTGAACCCAGAGTTGAATCCCTTGGCCGTTTTCTATTTAGTATTCTGTCCTGGTATCTCCTTGGCTACTTCCCCTCCTGGTGGAGAAGGTGCTGTTGAGAGAAGAGTGAAGTGACGCAGGGCCAGCCTGGGAAAGGATGTTGACAAAAAGCAAAGTTCCCCTCACTTCCTGCTCTGCTCAGGACAGAGCTGCTCTCTCTCCACTGCGTGCAGATGCAAAGTAGAGATCGTTTTTGTCCATACCAAATACAAACTAATTTTTCCGTATCACTGGCCACAAAAAATATAATCAAGTCACCCACAAAAAAAGAAGTAGGGGCCTAAGATTTTTTATTCTCTAAATTTTTCTCAAAGTAGATGACCCCAAAAAATACTTTGATAAGATTAAAGACTGATTCCGAAATAGAGATTAGACATGCTTGAATTCGCTAGCCTTTGCGTATATAAAAGTAAGGGAACTCTAGAAATAAAACCCTCAGCACACTATTGATTTGATATAAATATCTATTTTGTGGCAAAGCTGTTGTGCTAAGCACAGAATTTCCCATAAATTTGCGTCACAATTTGAGATAGATGCTATTAGCTCCATTTTGTAAGGAAAAAAATGAAGAGACAAAGAGGCTAACAACCTTGCCCATAAACACAAGCAGCGAGTGGCAGGTTCGAGATGTGAATCCCACGTGGCTGCCAGCCCGCTTGCTTAGCTACAAAATACATCCTGTCAGCATTTAAGGAGCTCTAAGGAGCTACGAAAAGAGCCACTGTTGAGTATTGGTCCTATAATTATTGTCCCAGAATGTTGCTTTATAAGCATAATATAATGAATTAAATACTGTTATATCAAAAACAACTAGACACTATCCTTCAGGTACAGAACATAGGAAAACACACAAACAATAATCTAAATTAACTCCCCAAGCCAAAGGGTAAAGCCAGCTTCAGTGAAAGGCTTAAGAATATTGCTTTGTTCATTAAGGAATGTAGGGAAAATGACAGACATTGGCTGTACTGCTTGTTTTAAGAAAACCTCTTCTCTGCTGGAGACACGGGTTGCACAGGTCCAAGTCAGTCATTGCCACTGGAGACCATAAGCTCGATAAGTTTACCACCATCAAGCAGAGTGTTGAGTGAAGCAGAAAACCCGCCTGATTTTTCTATTTGTCAGCAATGTTAAAGATTAAATGGGAATAAGCTGGAGGCATTTTCTTTGCGGGCAAGGAGAAAACTATCTAGTCTCTGTCTGTTACTCTGTTTGTCTTTATTTTTGCTCTCACCTGGAAACTTTGATGTCAAAAATATTATCAATTTCAAAACAGTGTGATAACCAGGCAACATACACTTAAATGATTCCGTTTATAAGAAATAGCTATGTGTCCTTTTTCTGAAGGAAAAAAAACACTCTGATTTTACTGGGATTAGACAGTCGGCACATAATACAGTCACTTAGAAACTTTCCTTCCTCACACACAAATGCAATATAAAATAGCTTCAAACAAAGAGATCAAGTGCTGCTAACTAAAGATATCTTCCCAATGCCCAAATCCTTTGCCAACGGTTACATGTCCTTTAAAATCTGTTCTGAAAGATAATCTTTTGTCTTATGTCATGGATGCAAGCTATAACCATGCAGAGATTTTACTTTTGTTATTTGCCTTAAAAACACTGCAAGCCATTTTGCTTTCTAATTTATGATACAAGTTTGAAGCATCTAGATTTGATTCAAGGCTCTCTTATAAAGTTTTCTTTTTTGCCATTGCTGTTAGGAAACGTCCTAGCTAAACTTTCAGCCAGTTTCCATCTTTTCGTTTTTAAATTTTGACTTGAGCTTTGACTGGCCAAAAACCTATGCCACGTGAGACAACAGAGTGCCCCCCGCCCGCCGCCCCTGCCCCGTTCTCTGCCTCACAGGTGATGGAGCGCGCTCAGGATGTGTTTCGTTACCCTTGCAATAGCAACACTTACACTCAGGTCTTTGCTTCAGAGATAAACACTTTTGAGCATCTTCTCTCATTTTCAAATTGGTTGGAATAATGAACAAGGTTCAGAAAATTCTTTAACTGGACGAGATCCCAGGTCCCTGAAATTTCCCGAACACTTATCTCCTTCTTCACCTTCTGGCTCCCTCTGACATTCTATCAGGTGGGCAGAGTCCAGCTCTGCCTGGCATAGAGCCAGGGCCCAGCACATCCTAACTGCTCAGTATATATTTGCCAAATACACACACAGATTAACATAAATTATTTTTGATAATAACCTTTTTTATTGTTTACATTATAGATTTTTATGGTAACATAAAACATACATACAGAACAACACCCAGCACAAAGGTATGGCTGAGTGAAACATCGCAAGGGGGATATTCCCCATCAGGGTGTGGAGACAGAACTTTGGTAGAGCCCTCAGAAGCGCTGCCATGGGGCCTTTTGAAACTTCCCAAAGACCTCTTCTGCATCCTCATTTTTGTGGTAGTCACTTCCTTGCATTTCTTTATGGTTTAATCACCCAAGCATGGACCCCTACAAGCTACTGTTTAAGATTGCTCACTAAAAATGTTTTTAAAAACTAGATGATATGATTTGGCTCTGTGTACCCACCCAAACCTCATGTTGAATGGTAATGTGCAATGTCGGAGGAGGGAGCGGCTGGGAGATGACTGGATCATGGGGACAGACTTCCCCCTTGCTGTTCCTGTGATAGTGAGTGAGTTCTCACGAGATCTGATTGTCTAGAAGTGTCTAGCACCTCCCCCTGCTTTCTATTCCTCCTGCTCCAGCCATGTAGGACATACCCTCTTCTCCTTCGCCTTCTGCCATGATTGTAAGTTTCCTGAGGCCTTCCAGCCATGCTTCTTGTACAGACTTCAGAACTGTGAGTCAATTAAATCTCTTTTCTTCATAAATTACCCAGTTTCAGTTTGCTCTTTATAGCAATGTGAGAATGAACTAATACACTAGACTTGTCCTTTAAGTCTCTTTCACGTTACCTTCCACAGCCCTTTATTTGCCTTATAATTTATCTGCTGAGAATTCTGGACATAGTATCTGACAGTACCATCTCCTTCAGCCTGTTTTTTGCTGATTGTACGTTCCTTGTGCAACTCAATTCACCTCTCTACCTTTTGTTTTTCCTGCAGATTGACAGCAGTATCCAGAGACTTGATGAGACTCAGGTTTGATCTCTTCGGCAAGAGTATGGGTGCCACTCTATTGTTTCATCAGAAAGCAAAAAATATTGACATTTCATTCATTTTTGGTGGTAGTGCTGTTTATGGTCAAAGCCTACACCTATTCTTTCACAAGGGTTGCAAAAGAATGATATCCTAATTCTATCTTTTTTAAAACTATCTGGAATGATTTTTAAAAAAAATTTCTTCTCTTTTTTTTATTATCTAATGCTACATTTAGCATTTTAAAAGCAAGTACAAGTGCCTGATTCTTTTCTTGCATTTACCTAGTTTTCAAGACAATGAATTTTTCCCTGTCATCTTCAAAATGCGACTAGTTGTTAATTTTTAATATCATTAAGAACTTATGAATTTAAACCTATCTGTTGGGTTTCAGTTCATTAAAATTTTTATCCCTTTCGAAGCTCAAATTGTCCCATATTTGGTCAAAGGGGCCTTTTAAAATAAACTCCTGAGTCTTTGAAGTGAGTCTACAAATCTTTGATAGCTTCCTTATTATCTGGTATGTCAAGATGTTCCGACTCTGTTCTTTTAATGGAAAATGACAATTCAAGGCCACAGTCTTGGCATTAAGGACATTCATTGCTGTCTGGTTAGTCATTATTGTTAGGCCTTTTCAATAGAAAAAGCTAGGAATAATAGACAGGTAGATATGTAACTTAATTATCTATTTAAAGATAAAATACTTCTTGAGGACCTACCAATGTTTTTGATTTAAACTTCAAGTCAAAGCATTCATATTTCTCCTCTTCTAATTAAATATCTAACTTCATTCTTTAATACCAAGAATCCTGGCTCTCAAAGACACAGAGGTTAATTTACAATATCCCCAAAGGGTTCACTGCTTTCCCACATTGCACAAATAAGCCTCAGAATAACAGTACTAGGCTACTACCACTGAGTTTGATTATTAAAAATAGTTTAAATATAAGTATGTATGCTCATTGTCTCTCCAATTTTTATCTTGTACTTTTCTACATTGTCATGTCTTGTAACCATTTCATACTATGCTGTCTCTTTTATCCATTTAGTATTAGTTCCACCAGTAAGTATACACTTATTTCTCTCTACTTAGAATAATGTCAATTTATCTGCAGTCATTTTGGCTTTCTGAAGTTTACTCTCTAGGTGATTCTGTAGGAAGAAGTCAGGAAAGAAAATTCCCTAGATTATTAAACGTTGACAATTGTTTGTCTGGGGTTTGTGTACTCGAAGGCCAGTTTTGCTAGTTATAAAATCCTTGGCTCACATTTTTCTTTACCGTGGGTATTTTAAACATGTTACTCCATTTTCTTCTGGCATAAAACATTGGTGTCTTAAAAAAAAAAAAAAAGCTGATGATAATCTAATTTTCTTTTCTATATAAGCCATGTCTTATTTTGCCTAGATAGTCATCAAATTATTATTGTTCTTTTTCTGTAAAATTTAGTAATTTTACTAGTATATGTCTTAGTTTAGTTGTTTCACTTGATATTCCCTGGTTTATAATGAGTTATTTTGATTTATTGTTTCAAATCTATTTCTTAATTGAAAGTTATTGATCACAAATTTTAGTATTTGTCATTATCTGTTGTTTTGACTGCACACATCAATCTCCTATTCAGTTGTCTTTATCTGTTTTAAGTGTTTGTCACTTTCATGCTTTCACTTATCTTCATTGTCTTTTTAATTTTTTTCCTTTTTTAACTTCTGCTTCTCCTAAGGCAATATAAGTTGTGTCCATTCAACCTTTTTTTTAAGTCTGTATTTCTAAAATTTTCATTTTGTATTTATATTATTTCTTAAAATTTTCACCTCATTGCTGAAATGTTGGCAATTATGATTTATGTTCTTTTATGTCTCATATCTTTTTTTAAACCTCTTATCTTATTCTGAAATTATACTTTACAATTTTGCTGTTTTCTCAGGATGTCTTTTTATCTTGTTTTCGTTGTTTACCAAGATGTTATTCTACTTCTTATTCTCTTTTTTCTTAAAGTAACTTTGTATGGAATTTGACCTCCATGCTTTCCTGTTGCTTTTACGTAAATTTAATTTTCCTGGATTTTTAGAAAGAGGCTTGTTTCAAATAGCTTTTTTATTATCTTGTAAAGAACTCCCTTTTATGTTGTTTTGTATCATTTTTAAAAATACAGCAGCTTGCTTTTTGACATGTCATGTCCCTATTCCTCTCCTCCACTTTCTCTTTCTTTCTTTTCCATGGTCATTTTCTCGCTCAGTTATAATCCTCTAAGCTGGGGTCCCCGATCCCCAGGCGGCGGACTGGTATGGTCTGTGTCCTGCTAGGAACTGGGCACACAGCAGGAGGTGAGCGTCGGGCCAGAGAGCATGACCGCCTGAGCTCCGCCTCCTGTCAGATCCCAGACAGCATGACCGCCTGAGCTCCGCCTCCTGTCAGATCCCAGAGAGCATGACCGCCTGAGCTCCGCCTCCTGTCAGATCCCAGACAGCATGACCGCCTGAGCTCCGCCTCCTGTCAGATCCCAGACAGCATGACCGCCTGAGCTCCGCCTCCTGTCAGATCCCAGACAGCATGACCGCCTGAGCTCCGCCTCCTGTCAGATCCCAGACAGCATGACCGCCTGAGCTCCGCCTCCTGTCAGATCCCAGACAGCATGACCGCCTGAGCTCCGCCTCCTGTCAGATCCCAGACAGCATGACCGCCTGAGCTCCGCCTCCTGTCAGATCAGTGGGCATTCAATTCTTATAGAAGCAGGAACCCTGTTGTAAACTGTGCATTCGAGGTTTTCTGCTCCTTATGAGAATCTAAGGCCTGATGATCTGAGGTGGAATAGCTTCATCCTGAAACCATCCCCTCCACGAAACTGGCCCCTGATGCCAAAAAGTTTGGGGACTGCTGCTCTAAGCAATTTTCCTCAGTTCAGCACTCTACCCTGGAAGGATGCCCTGGAAGACTAGTTTCAGGAGTTAATAAGGTCCAGACCCAGCCTCTCTGGACTTACCACAGACCCCTTGCATGCAGACTCAGAAAAATCCTGTTTGAGTTGCTACCTCCAAATTGGCACATCTCCCTTTCTCTGTCTATTGGCTCTTTGGGGACCCTTGTGTCCACCTCCCTGGGGGTCCTTGTGTCATGTCTACATCCCCGGGGGTCCTTGTGTCTACATACCTAGTGCTCTCTGACATTCCTCTCCATATAGGTGCTGGCAACACATGACCTGGTGGGCATTGCTGGCTTGCTCCAGAGACTTGTAAGTGATCTTTCAGGGGATATCTTACTGTTTTATTTTATTGAAAATGTTGATGTTGTTGATTGACTTTTTTTGGAGGGAGAGAAAAATCTAATGGCTGTTTTTATAGAGGGATTCAGGAACGTCCAAAACTATGCTGGCACCACCAACACCATCCTTTTAGAACTCCTGGTGCTCATTTTTCAAAATCTTCTAATTAGCTCATAGATTTATCTCGCTGCCTGAGCCACATCCTGGATTCTTTTAGGAGTGAGGAATTTAACACAAATCTTCTGTTTTATGTTCGCTTAGGGTAAGTCTAGTGTGTATGGCTCAATAAATGTGAATTATTAAATACATTAAGTTAATGGAAATTTAGAGCCTGTAGGAATTTTAAAGGTTAACTAGACTAATGTTTTCCATTTACAGCACTGGAATTTGTGTTTTAAATATTTTTTTTTCCGAATCTGTCATTTTTTTTTTTGGTGTTTTTATTAATGGTTTGAATAAGTATAATGTGATAAATACATCAGTCCTTTTAAGTTTTCTGATTTTTGAGCATTATTAGAAAAGCTTTCTCCCATCTAAGTTATCAAGAAACAAGTCCTCATGAAAACCTGCATTATCTGTATGTTTGTCGGGGTTATTTTTGTTGTTCTTTTTAACATTTAAGTGTTTAATTCAGCTGAAGTTATTTTGGTGTTGGCCAAGAGGAAGGGAATCTCACTTCATTATTTTTTTTCTGCAGATGACAGTCATTTGCAATTGTTCCAACATGATTTATTAAATAATCAAACCATTTTTCTCAAATACTTATAAATGCCATCTTTATCACATACAGAACTCTTGTATGCGATAATTATGTTCCTGAATTATTTATTTTTTCTCTTATTTTCTAAATTTGCATCCCTATTCCTTTCCTCTTACCTAACAGTGCGGATAGCCTCTCTGAAACATCACATATGGTGATGATAGTAAACACCATTGCCTGTGGCTGATCTTACCAGGAAAACTTCCTCATGTTTGCCTTTTAAGCATGATATAATATTGGATTTTGAGTTGATACATAGAAATATTTGTATTTTGCTACTATCTACTAATTCCTATTTTGGTAATTATTTTGTTAAATTGGAAATAGATGCTTAATTTAAATAAACAGATGCTAAGTTTTCAGCTTCAATAGAGACAAGCTTGTGATTTCTTTTACTATTTTCATATAAAAATTAAAGAATTTTCTAATATTGAGTCATCTTTGTATTCTAAAAGTAGACCACCCTACTTCTTCATAGGGTGTTTATTATAATAGAAGTTTGGATTTCATAAAATAATATTTTATTTAGCATTTTTGCACCATTATTCATAAATAAGATTGATCTGTAACTTTGATTTCTTTTCCTTTTAACTGTCTATGCAAGAATTAAAAACAGAATTTGCAATTCTTTTTCTGCACTTTCAAGCAGTTTAGATAGCAATGAAGTTACCTGAATATTGTAAGATTGCTGGGCTTCACCTATGAACCTCTTTTTTTTTTTTTTTTTTTTTTTTGAGACAGAGTCTCGCTCTTTCACCCAGGCCGGAGTGCAGTGGTGCTATCTCGGCTCACTGCAAGCTCCGCCTCCCGGGTTCACACCATTCTCCTGCCTCAGCCTCCCAAGTAGCTGGGACTACAGGTGCCCGCCACCGTGCCCGGCTAATTTTTTTGTATTTTTAGTAGAGACGGGGTTTCACCGTGTTAGCCAGGATGGTCTCGATCTCCTGACCTCATGATCCACTTGCCTCGGCCTCCCTATGAACCTCTTTAAGCCTGCTGCATTGTGGGAATTAGCACTTAGTCAACTTTTGTTATTTCTTGCTCCAATAATTTGTCTGCTTTGTTTATTCTCGTCTGGGATCAATTTTGTTAATGTTACCAAACCACTTATTTATCCTGATTCTCAAATTTATGTGCACAGGGTTAAGCAAAATAATCTCATATAATTCATCCATTTTTTGTCTTTCTGTTTCTGTTAAGATTCTTGTTTCTTAAAAATCACATATAGAATTTTTTTCTTTTCTGATTCACATATTTCTCTTTTTATTAGTACCTTCTATTGCTGTGTTAGGTGATATTTCTTGTTCTTTTTCAATTTATTTGTGTGTTTACTACCTTGGTTTTTACTCTTACTTATGTAAATACTTAAGGCTACTAATCACCCTTTGCGTGTTGTTTTTGCTGTGTGGCACAGATTCTGATGTAGAGTCTCCTAGTATCGCTATTTTCCATATATTATAACATTTTGGTTTTGATTTTATCCTAGGGTTGAGATTTTTGTTTTGGTTTTGTTTGTTTTCTGATAAATACAGGTAATTATATGCAGTCATGGTTTTGTTTGTTTTCTATCTTTAAAATTAATTTCAGACTTAATTCCCTTGTGACAAGGGCAACAAAGAAAATCTGTCACTCGACAGTTCTGAAAAAGTTAATGGCTAAACGTGACTTCCTCTCCTAAGGCCGCACCTCCCTCTTGCTCTCATCTTGTCTGTCTTCCTCACACCTTGTGAGTAAACATTTATACAATTATCCTAAACCAATAGCACTTTCAAGCAGAGAAACTCCTTTTTATGAGGTCTTTGTACAAAGTAAAGAAAATAATAATTATTATTTACAAATATTAACTCCGCTAAATTCTGATGGTTTTTCAAATCTTAGCCATGAAATTTTAAATCAGCAGTGATAACTGAGGCTTAAACTTGTAACTGGCTCCTGTGCACAGAAACACCAAGCCAGTGATTTTTGTGATGGTAGAAGCTAGTTTTTTCAGTTGAAGACTGTGATTACAGCCAAACAGTCTTTATGAGATTTGATAATGCACATTATAGGTAAATTGAAAATAGTGGCAAATTCATTGATCCCATTACAGTTTTCCATTGCTGGCATAAACTATTTGACTTGAAAACTAAAGTGTGCAATGGTTCCTATTTACCTGCCCATAGGAGATAGAAAATGCTATTAGGCTATGACAAACTTTTTTATTGACATAAAATGTATAACTATGTGATATGGTCACAGAGATTTAGGTCAAATGTGACTGATGAAGAAACAGGTCTGAGGTACTCAGGAAGGAACAGAAGGCCCCAGGCTGGAGTCTGCTGAATATATATCTGCAAGTTAGGCACACTTTTCTTCCAGAAATCTTCTCTTTTTTTAATAAAAGGGATAATCTGGATAACAGGAAACTAGTGAGGATAGGGTGATTGATGATTTATCTGATATTAATATAGACTCCAAAATCCCTCTTAGTTCACTAAATGAAAGGCCATTATGAGCATCAGCATCATATTAGCTAATAATTACTGTGCATATTCACTTTACCTACAGATTTCATTTCATTATCACAACTACCCTTGGAGGTAGTTATTCTTATTATCCTAATTTTACAGATGAAGAAATAAGAAATATTTATTTTACTAAGCACTTTAAACATAGTAAGTCATTTCACAAGACAATTTTAAGTGTCAATTATGGAGTATTAAGAACTATATGAGGCTTTCTAACATGCTGGGGTTTTTTTTAAATCTGGTGAAGTATTCCTCATTGAAATGATATGGATGTTGGACACACTTTTTAACTGTCAGGCCCCTGTTGTTATACTACAGAATGTCTCGATTTCAGAATAATATATTGTTCTGAAATGTTTTCTCCATCAGTATTGTAAGTTTCTGATTATTCTTGTCAAATTTCCTAACTACTGACCATCCTGGGGAACTTCTCATGGCATGATCATTCGACAGTTACACAGAGGCAGACATAACTAAGAATGTAAAGTTAATAAGTAAAAATGGAGAAAGAGACCTACTGCCATAATGGGCATACCTGTCAGGTTGAAGCATTGCAATACCTGGATGAAGGTGTGCATTCTAATTTGGAATTATGGCCCAGAAAATATGACTGATTTAGTTAAAAGCAAGGGATAATATCCACAACCAAGCCAGTGGAGAGAAGAGAGCACACGAAAGGGTTGAGACAACTCCACCTAATCACAGCTGGCAATACTGCAGTCAAATCTTTCATTTGATTTTGTCTTAATTTCTCTTAATTTGTGTCTGTGCTGTATCACTAAGGGTAACCTTACTTGACATTAAAGAGATGATAAATGAAGGTTCTACAATTCTTGAAGGTCACTGTGTCTATTCTATTGTGTAGCTTATTCACAGAGACATCACCGCGTCACCCAGGATGCCCTGGAAAGACTTAAAGCCTGGACTTGGCCTGGCGCGGTGGCTCACGCCTGTAATCCCAGCACTTTGGGAGGCCGAGGCGGGCGCATCACGAGGTCAGGAGATCGAGACCATCCTGGCTAACACGGTGAAACCCCGTCTCTACTAAAAAATACAAAAAATTACAAAAAAATTAGCCGGGCATGGTGGCGGGCGCCTGTGGTCCCAGCTACTCGGGAGGCTGAGGCAGGAGAATGGCGTGAACCCAAGAGGCGGAGCTTACAGCGAGCCGAGATCGCCTTGCTGCACTCCAGCCTGGGCGACAGAGCGAGACTCCATCTCAAAAATAAATAAATAAATAAATAAATAAATAAATAAGGCTGGACTAGGGTGGCAGTGGACCATGGGTCATCTGTGTGACCTTGGGCCACCATTTAACCTCTCTGCCCCTTGGTTTCCCCACCTGCAAATTGAGGAGATTGGGCCAGCTGATCTCAGAGCCTCTTGCAGCTCTTTAATTGGATAGAATTTGGGATTGAAATTCACCACATCCCCGGCATTTTACCAGATGCTTCCTCCAGCACATGCAGTATTATTAAATACATGTTTCCCCTTTTCTTTTGCTCTCAAGAATCCCTGTAAACTGCTGCTCACCTGGGCACATGGCTATGACTAAATCGCCCCTCTGACGCACTAATGAATGGAAACAGCAGAATCATCACTCTCTTCCTTTCAAAAATGAGGCAAGCCTAGACACAAGCAGAGAATACTGACACCCTGAAGATTAAATACAATGTCCACCTATTTCCCAATTAAGGTGACCACTCACAAAATAGAACCACAGCAGCCCCAGACCTGGCCTCTCAGGCAAGCGGGGCTGACCCTCCCACCCCGCTCTCCCTGCTGCCCCTCATCTCTCGGAAACTGTACATTTCCATCAAGCTGGAGACCTCTCTTCTCTCCTGATGGTGTCATCAAGTGCTATAATGTACACGTATCGTATTTGCCAGGGATCGCTTAGCAACAGAACCCTGTGTTCTGCCAATTTGCTTTTCATGCTGACAACCTAGATTTCACAGAAGTTGTGTTTTCTAGAAGGCTTTACAGACCGGAAAGGGTGACAAAGGGATGTCTCATCGCAGATGCAGACAGAGACTGGCCCTGGCCGCCCCTGTTTATGATTTCTGGGGATATTTTAGATGCTATAATGGCACACTATTCAAAAACAATTTATTTTTAATCTCCGGCTATTAATCACAGTAGATTGACGTCAGTTAGCTCATAAAGCTGAGGATATAAAGTGCTGTATTTGTGAAGAAATATCAACTTGATTTTAGCCACAAACATTAAAAGCTAGCATAAAACTAATATATTGCCAATGGGGTGTTCATAGTGCATTAGCGATGTCTGCTCACCTTGCAAAAAATGTTATTTTATTGGAGAAACATTCATTTTGAGAACTTAGACTTTTCCTGTGGGGTAAAGGGGACAGCATAGAATCTGAGGTGATTTTATCTTTGTCCTTCCACTTGTCTTTACTCATGCTGTGTGGGGAGAGGAGGCAAATAATGTAGCACACATTGCAAAGCAGAATAATGTTACCAATGTTTGAATGTAATAAATGCTTCTCATTTTAATGCTGGCCTTATAAAATAATTTAATATGTATGATTTATTTTAAAAGAGTATCTAACCAGGGCAATAACAAAGTACACAATGGATTATGGAGCGTTGTTCCCTCTAAAGAAGTCACTGCTTCTCATTAATTATTCTCCATATATACTATAATAACTAATATGATTAATATATAATAATATAATTAAGCCAATTCATTGGCTGATGATAGTTTAATCTATTTTCCCTCATATTTCTTCATGAGATTATGTGAGTTTGAATTAAACATGGGTGAATTGGTTTAAAATTATGCACCAATTTTCCAGAATTTCTCACCCCAGCCATTGCAATAAATGAACTGAATTTCCCGCAGGTAAGTTTCCAGACCAATTACATTTTTCTCATACTTCTCTTTTGAGGTATTTGGGGCTAAATTATGAAATGAGTTATTTTATGTTCAGACGGTCTGCAGCTTACAGAAATTAATGGACTCGTGGTGGTTTAATAGCAAGCTGATTGGCAAGCTGGACTTTGTTATTTGTTCTAGTGTGTGCTCTAAAGGACCCCAGCACTCAAATTGTTTCTGCTCATCATTCATTCAGCATTTACTTAAGGAGCATCTATTATGTCCCAAACATTAGAGAGAAGCAGAAATGTAGTAAGAATCAAGTTCTCCTAGAGCTTACATTCCACTTGGCCATGAAAGGAAGGGTGTTGCCTCTCCAAAAAATAAATGAGTGAATAATCCCCAGGGTAAATTCAAAGAGCGGCGAGGACTCGGAAGAGGACAATACAGCGTAACACTGATGTGGCCATGCTCACATGGCAAAGGGTGTCATGGCTTGGACTGGCTATAAGCTTTTAGAATGTGCTTCACAAAAACGCTCTTCCTCTCCTGACCGCATCCTGGTGGGTTTCTTGGAAGCACACGTTTACAACTGCAGGCTTGTCCTCTACCATTTGAACTTTCTAAATGGTAACACTAGATCCACGATAAAAACATGAAGTACCCCACTCACAGAAGTTGATTTTGTGAGCATAATATCTTTGTTCTGTCTCTGCCTTTGAAAAAAGATAAAAGACAAAAAGTTTTCTTTCTACACATCATATAAGGAATGCATTGTGAAAGTTACCTAAGCTTCTAGGGCACAGTTGGTTTCAATTATGTCTTCAGTGTTTCAGGGAAAAGTCTCGATTTTATTGTTCCTGCTTTAGTAATTAAACCTTGGTGGGTATTTATTCCATGCTTTTGGATTGAAGTAAAGAGAGCTCCACTGGAGGCAGGAAGATGTTCAGAAAGAGAAAAACCCAAGAGTGGTCCACCTAGGGCTGACTTATTAAAGAACCACCTGTCTAGGGACCTGTGGAGAGTGTGTCACATGAATTCCTATCAACCTGAGTCTGGATGTGAGGTGGCACAGTAAGCAGTATGCCCTCTTGGCTTATTCGGTACCCAAAATCTGACAGAAAATAAATGTGGATAATTTGTATACATTTTTAAAATAAATGAGGATAAAAATGAAAGCAGAGAAGGTGAGAGGGAAAGGAGAAAACATCTCGTTTTCTGCCTCTGTCTCTGTGTCTCTCTCTCTCTCTCTCTCTCTCACACACACACACACACACACACACACACACACACAACCTTATTAACAGGCTTCAAGCCATTAAGCAAGCTGAAAATGGTTGAAATAATAACTATATGAAATGTTTCTAGTTTTTCAAGTTGGAGCTGGTGGCATGGTGGTGTTAATATTCCCAAGAGAAAAACTGTTCTAATTCTTTAGCTCTTGGAGAGGAGTATGAGTGGTTTAGGGTGCAGGCTTTGAAGTCACACAGATCAAGGTTTAAAACCCAACTTTGATTCTTCCTCACTGTGTCAACCTGGACAAGTTAGTTTATCCTGCAAAGCTTTGGTGTCTACAAACACAAATCAGCAGGAGAGAGGTTTCCACCATATAAGGTCTTTGTGAGCACGTAGGGAGTATTGCACATGTGGTTCCTGAACACAGGGCTTGGTGGAGAGTGCCACCGAGTCAGTGACAGCTTCTTCTCTGTCTCTACATTGGGGCAGTTCAGGCTCAGGGTCTTGCCCCTCCAGGTTGGATAACAGCTGCTATGAATTTATCTTGGTTGTCCCATTAAAGCCATTTGAATCTAGGAACACAAATACAACTATTATAAAGCAGTCGTGGGAATGGGAGAGTCAAACATAAGGCCCAATCCATTCTTGTTTTTCACAGTAGCCACATTCTACAGAGTCAGGCAAAGGCAGAGTTAGTGGACACCGAAGCTTTGCTCCTGAGTAAGTACAGGGTTAGGTTTCTGTGAGCCTCTGGTCACGTTTTTATCAACTGATCA
The DNA here is from genome assembly GCF_000001405.40 of Homo sapiens. NCBI lineage: Eukaryota > Metazoa > Chordata > Mammalia > Primates > Hominidae > Homo > Homo sapiens. The sequence continues at coordinate 109,497,989 of NC_000013.11, forward strand.
ATACATAACCTGGTTTTCTGTGTGTGCCTGTTTAAAGACACCTCACTTAGTATATGTTGTTGGCTCATTAGCACTGGATCACGCCAAACAGCACCGTCACTCACGCCCTGGCACAGTTCGTCTCACAGGCCGATTCTCTCTGTCAGATGCGTTGCAGCCTCCTTGCTCTTCTGAACATTCAGTAGCAATTCAGCACAGTGCACAGAGGCCATTTTAAACAGCAAAATCACCAACAAAAAGCATGCAAATGTGAAACACAAGGCACCCAGTAGACCATGGCAAGGACGTCGGTTCACAGTACGGGCTGAAACAAGAAAGCTGAGCCCCTGTGTACTACAGCTGGGAATGTGCAGGCTGGGGGTCTCCAAGTGTGGGCTACTTTCTTTTTCGCCATGAAGAACTACAAAAGCACCAAGAGTATTCATTTGGGTGTTTACAAATAAACTTTGGTGAGTAGGCAAATTCACAAATACAGAATCCACGAGTAATGAGAATCAACTGTATGTAACACTCAACCCATATGCTCTAATGGGCAGAGTTCATAAACGCCTGGGAATGGCCACACAGCGTTGAAAGAGGTTGTTTCCACCTAAGTTACTAGGAAGTCTTGTGGGGTGATGGAATCACACTCAATGTCCCTAGTTATTAGTTAATCTGTGTATTGGTGAAGGAAACAAATTGAAACCATTAAAAAAAGTAGTTTCCGCAAGATTTGCCTGATTTCAGTAACATGTTTCGTCACAAATGGCAAAAGGCACAAAAGTTTTGGATCACTTTGTCCATTATTCTTCAAATATTAATTAAACAACGACAGTACTTGTAGTCATTCGGGAGGTGCTATGAGAGGTAACAGAGAAGGAGAAGATAAAATCTCTACCCTCCTTTAGGTTAGAATCTAGGATTCCATGACTCTATATACCATATTTAATATCAGATTTGGGACTCATATGCGCTTCTCAAAAGAGTGGCCTCAAGACTAGGTGGGTCAGAGCTGGTGGTTCTGAGACGTCAGCACAGAGACAGCCATGGCAGCAACAGCAAAGGGCTGGCCTCATGCCCCAGGAGTGCCCTCCCGTCCCATCCATCCTGTGCAGGAGGGCAGTGCGTGCCCATGAGGGGGTTCTGGAAAGCGAGGTGTGACCTGTCCAGACCCACAGCTTCAGAGTATCCTGCCTCTGCTCAGTATGTGATGTTTGGAGAGGTCAGGGAGAAACGCCCACTGAGGCCAGGTGCTGCTGGCTCCAAGAAGTGTGGTAGGAAGGCAGGACCTCCCTGTTCAGGTACCTTGATGGCTGGGAAACAAGGATGCAGAGAAGATTTGATGGGTATTTGGGATGGAGAATTTAACTCGATTCGCTTCAGCAAAACGGCACGAACCTCTGCTATACATGGGCAGGAGGGGCAGGTGCTGGACATAGAACTGTGAACAAGATGACCCCAATCCTGCCTGCAGGGAGCTTTCAATTGACACAGGTTCAGCTTGTCTATTAACAATCATAAATTAGGTAAGGCAGGACACTGAAAGTCCAGAACACAGTGGGTCGGCTGGAAGTAGAGTCTGGAACGACTTCTCTGAAATGGACTTAAAGTGGAAAAGAAATTAATATATTGAAGAAGGGTGGCTCTAGGCTAGGGAAAATCAACAGAAGCTGCAAAGGCCTTGAGTGAAGAAAACATAAACTTCTGGCATGGAGGTTAACAGCTGGTAAGGTGCTGTGTACTTTGGAAGAATGAGAAAGGTCATATTTTACTTTTTAATTATTGTTTTTTGCTTACTCTACAATCTGCATTTAGGATCATCTTGAATTTGAGTTCTTAAATCCCTGCAGATAGAATTTCTCAAAACAGATCTCAAAGAGCAGGAAAGCAGGAGGATGGTGCATTTGGGAAAGGAAGTCCCCTCTGTTGGATTCAGATTGCTGTTATGGAAATCAGTAACATTTACAAGGTGGAATAAGGTAATAATGTTCAGAACTTCAGTGACTGAAAGGATTAAAGGGGAATCATTCAAACTTTCTTAATCAAGTCATCTAAAATAATCCATTGGGGTTTTCTTATTCACAGTGTGATCAATTGCTTATCCCAAATAAGAGGAAAAGTCCAGGTGTCTTCCCAAGGCCTCACAAGCACACTTTGCTTCTGCAGGACTTTTTACATAAGCATTAAAGAAGGCAGTTGTAAGAAACATAGAGACCCTAGGGGTGGTGCTCTCAAGACTGATTCACCAGGTCAAGTCAGTGTCCGCACACAGCAGCACAGTTTGTGGACAGAAGCAGGATGGGGATAGGAGGAAGGACAGCCACGAAGCCAGGCAGCACCAGGCAGATAACTCTCCATCGTTCTAGGCAAGCAGCCACCAGGGGCAGGGGAGTGGGAGTGTGAGCTGTGAGTTGTGAACTGTGAGCTGTGAGACAGAAGCAGAGACAGCTGCAAGGCAGGGAAGACTGGACTTGCCCTGATTATCCCCAGGAACTGCCTGACAAAGAAGATTTGACCTGGACTTGTGTTGGGGGAACATCAGAGTCTTTGCTTTTAGAAAAAGAAGGTTTATGGATATGTCAGGATCAAACGAAAGTAAACAGCTTCGTCACTGGAGGGCATGCATCACCAGAAAGGAGGAGACTACTGCTATTGATATTTTCAAACATATTACTATTAAGAAGGATACATAACATGTATGTGCAATAAATGTATGGAGGAGTCAATGAGATAAATTAATGAATTGTGTTTCTTTTCCATGCGTTTATCCTTTTAGTTTTGTCATTTTTTAAAAAACAGGATTTCAGAAATTACATCAATTATTTTACTTGGATACAGACCATTAACAGGGATATTATATACAAAGACATATATTCTTACAGATATGAAAGTGACAAAATACCTTATATCATGAGACTGGACCTTTTCTTTAAAACTATGCATTCAGTCCTAAATTGTTTTTGAAGATTCCAGGTTTGGAGTCCTGATTGTTCTCCATATAGGCCTGTGACCAGAAGCCACAGGAAATATGTATGAGTAAAAATGAGATATCAATGTCTGTCTATCAAAATGGCAAAATGAAAAACTATGCAACCTATATTGGTGAGGGTCCACTTTGAAATAGCTGTTAACAATGTAGAGACTTTGTGAAGGGTATTTTGGCAGTCAGTATTAAAATACTAGAAATTGGTGCATATCATATCCAGCAATCATATTTCTAGAAAATTTTCTTAATAAAATAAACAGGGATCTGCACAAAGATTTATCTACCATGGTAATTGGAGCAGTCCTCTTTATAACACTGAAAAACTGGAAATAATTTAAATGTCCAAGAATTATGACATCTTCACAAACTGTCATTATGTCATGTTGTGTTTAATAACACAGAAAAATGTAGATTAAAAAGAAAAATATAAATAATAAAAGAATGAGATGTCTGTTATGTTATGTAGAGTATACCTACATGCATATATTTATGAATAGAAAAAGAAAATATGTCCCAAATGTTTAAAAAAGTTTTATTACAAAAAATTTGTAATATATGCCAAGTGAACATAATAGTATAATGAACTCAAATGCAGCCATTTACTCAGCTTTAATAAATATCAACTCATGGCCAATCTTACTCCATTTATATCCCGGTCTATGCTCGCCCACCCCCACTGCCATCAGGAAATTATTTGGAAGTATTCATATCACTTCATTTGTAACTGTTTTATTAAAATGACTAAAAGATAATGGCTCTTAAAAATCAAATCATCACAATTTAATTATCACAGTCCAAAAAATCAAAATAGTAATTTCTTATTTTATTAAATATCAGTCAATGCTTAAATGTCCTTAATTATCTATCTATCTATCTATCTATCTATCTATCTATCTATCTATCTATCTGTCTATCTATATCTACCTACCTACCTACCTACCTACCTACCTACTGTCTATCTATCTATGTTGGTTCTCTTAAATCAGAATTTAAAATAAAACAGATATTGCGATGTTTGATTATATCTTCTAAGGCTCTTTTAAATTTTAGATGATCTGCCTCCCCCCTTTTCTGCTATTTATTGTTGGAAGAATTTTGCTGATTGCATTTCTATGGTAATGTTTAACATGTTTTTCTGACACTTACATTTGCTAAAAGCTGATGTTAACTGTGATGTTAACTAATCCATTATTTCATTATGGGTGATAAAATGGTGATATTCTAATTCTATCATTATTTTTTTCATTGCTAAGCCAGAAAACTTTTATAAAATGAAACTTCACCTCATCAACTCTGATTACATTGTGTCCCTTTAGGAAAGGCAAAATAAATGCTTGAGTCTTTGAGTCTTTCCCTTATTTTTTAATTATTATACTTTAAGTTTTAGGGAACATGTGAACAACGTGCAGGTTTGTTACATAGCTATACATGTGCCATGTTGGTTTGCTGCCCCCATTAACTCATCATTTACGTTAGGTATTTCTCCTAATGCTATCCCTCCCCCAGGCCGCAACCCTACCACAGGCCCCGGTGTGTGATGTACCCTACCCTGTGTCTAAGTGTTCTCATAGTTCACTTCCCACCTACGAGTGAGAACATGTGGTGTTTGGTTTTCCATCCTTGCGATAGTTTGCTCAGAATGATGGTTTCCAGCTTCCTTCATGTCCCTTCAAAGGACATGAACTCATCCTTTTTTATGGCTGCATAGTATTCCATGGTATATATGTACCACATTTTCTTAATCCAGTCTATCATTGATAGACATTTGGGTTGGTTCCAAGTCTTTGCTATTGTGAATAGTACCACAATAAGCATACGTGTATATGTGGCTTTATAGTAGCATGACTTATAATCCTTTGGGTATATACCCAGTAACAGGGATTGCTGGGTCAAATGGTATTTCTAGCTCTAGATCCTTGAGGAATCGCCACACTGACTTCCACAATGGTTGAACTAGTTTACAGTCCCACCAACAGTGTAAAAGTGTTCCTCTTTCTCCACATCCTCTCCAGCACCTGTTGTTTCCTGACTTTTTAATGATTGCCATTCTAACTGGTGTGAGATAGTATCTCATTGTGGTTTTGATTTGCATTTCTCTGATGACTAGTGATGATGAGCATTTGTTCATGTGCCTGTTGGCTGCATAAATGTCTTCTTGTGAGAAATGTCTGTTCATATCCTTTGCCCACTTTTTGATGGGGTCATTTGTTTTTTTCTTGTAAATTTGTTTAAGTTTCTTTGTAGATTCTGGATATTAGCCCTTTGTCAGATGGGTAGATTGTAAAAATTTTCTCCCATTCTGTAGGTTGCCTGTTCACTCTGATGGTAGTTTCTTTTGCTGTGCAGAAGCTCTTTAGTTTAATTAGATCCCATTTGTCTATTTTGGCTTTTGTTGCCATTGCTTTTGGTGTTTTAGTCATGAAGTCCTTGCCCATGCCTACATCCTGAATGGTATTGCCTAGGTTTTCTTCTAGGGTTTTCATGGTTTTAGGTCTAACATTTAAGTCTTTAATCCATCTTGAATTAATTTTTGTATAAGGTGTAAGGAAGGGATCCAGTTTCAGCCTTCTACATTTGGCTAGCCAGTTTTCCCAGCACCATTTATTAATTAGGGAATTCTTTCCCCATTTCTTGTTTTTGTCAGGTTTGTCAAAGATCAGATGGTTATAGATGTGTGGTGTCATTTCTGCAGCTTCTTCCCTGTTCCACTGGTCTATATCTCTGTTTTGGTACCAGTACCATGCTGTTTTGGTTACGATAGCCTTGTAGTATAGTTTGAAGTCAGGTAGCACGATGCCTCCAGCTTTGTTCTTTTTGCTTAGGATTGACTTGGCAATGTGGGCTCTTCCAATTCTGTGAAGAAAGTCATTGGTAGCTTGATGGGGATGGCATTGAATCTATAAATTACCTTGGGCAGTATGGCCATTTTCACAATATTGATTCTTCCTATCCATGAGCATGTAATGTTCTTCCATTTGTTTGTGTCCTCTTTTGTTTTGTTGAGCAGTGGTTTGTAGTTCTCCTTGAAGAGGTCCTTCACATCCCTTCTAAGTTGGATTCCTAGGCATTTTATTCTCTTGGTAGCAATTGTGAATCAGAGTTCACTCATGATTTGGCTCTCTGTTGTCTGTTCTTCGTGCATAGGAATGCTTGTGATTTTTGCACATTGATTTTGTATCCTGAGACTTTGCTGAAGTTGCTTATCAGCTTAAGGAGACTTTGGGCTGAGATGATGGGGTTTTCTAAATATACAATCATGTCATCTGCAAACAGGGACAATTTGACTTCCTCTTTTCCTAATTGACTACCCTTGATTTCTTTCTCTTGCCTGATTGCCCTGGCCAGAACTTCCAACCCTATGTTGAACAGGAGTGGTAAGAGATGGCATCCCTGTCTTGTGTCAGTTTTCAAAGGGAATGCTTCCAGTTTTTGTCCATTCAGTATGATATTGGCTGTGGGTTTGTCATAAATAGCTGTTATTATTTTGAGATACTTCCCATCAATACCTAGTTTATTGAGAGTTTTTAGCATGAAGGGCTGTTGAATTTTGTCAAAGCCTTTTCTGCATCTATTGAGATAATCATGTGATTTTTGTTGGTGGTTCTGTTTATGTGATGGATTATGTTTATTGATTTGCATATGTTGAACCAGCCTTGCATCCCAGGGATGAAGCTGAATTGATCGTGCTGGATAAGCTTTTTGATGTGCTGCTGGATTCAGTTTGCCAGTATTTTATTGAGGATTTTTGCATCAATGTTCATCAGGGATATTGGTCTAAAATTCTCTTTTTTTGTTGTGTCTCTGCCAGGCTTTGGTATCAGGATGATGCTGGCCTCATAAAATGAGTTAGGGAGGATTCCCTCTTTTTCTATTGATTGGAATAGTTTCAGAAGGAATGGTACCAGCTCCTCTTTGTACCTCTGGTAGAATTTGGCTGTAAATCCATCTGGTCCTGGACTTTTTTTGGTTGATAGGCTATTAATTATTGCCTCAATTTCAGAGCATGTTATTGGTCTATTTAGAGATTCAACTTCTTCCTGGTTTAGTCTTGGGAGAGTGCATGTGTCCAGGAATTTATCCATTTCTTCTAAATTGTCTAGCTGATTTGCTTAGCAGTGTTTATAGTATTCTCTGATGGTGGTTTGTATTTCTGTGGGATCGGTGGTGATATCCCCTTTATCACTTTTTATTGTATGTATTTGATTCTTTTCTGTTTTCTTCTTTATTAGTCTTGCTAGCAAGTCTATCAATTTTGTTGATCTTTTCAAAAAACCAGCTCCTAGATTCACTGATATTTGGAAGGGTTTTTTGCATCTCTATCTCCTTGAGTTCTGCTCTGATATTAGTTATTTCTTCCCTTCTGCTAGCTTTTGAATTTGTTTGCTCTTGCTTTTCTAGTTCTTTTAATTGTGATGTTAGGATGTCGATTTTTAGATCTTTCCTGCTTTCTCTTGTGGACATTTAGTCCTACAAATTTTCCTCTACACACTGCTTTAAATGTGTCCCAGAGATTCTGGTATGTTGTGTCTTTGTTCTCATTGGTTTCAAAGAACATCTTTATTTCTGAGTTCATTTTATTATTTACCCAGTAGTCATTTCAGAGCAGGTTGTTCAGTTTCCATGTAGTTGTGTGGTTTCTGACTGAGTTTCTTAATCCTGAGTTCTAATTTGATTGCAGTGTGGTCTGAGAGACAGTTTGCTGTGATTTCTGTTATTTTACATTTGCTGAGGAGTGCTTTACTTCCAACTCTGTGGTCAATTTTGGAATAAGTGTGATGTGTTGCTGAGAAGAATGTATATTCTGTTGATTTAGGGTGGAGAGCTCTGTAGATGTCTATTAGGTCTGCTTGGTGCAGAGCTGAGTTCAAGTCCTGGATATCCTTGTTAACCTTCTGTCTCGTTGATCTGCCTAATATTGACAGTGGGGTGTTAAAGTCTCACGTTATTATTGTGTGGAGTCTAAGTCTCTTTGTAAGTCTCTAAAGACTTGCTTTATGAGTCTGGGTGCACCTGAATTGGGTGCATATATATTTAGGATAGTTAGCTCTTCTTGTTGAATTGATCCCTTTACCATTATGTAATGGCCTTCTTTGTCTCTTTTGATCTTTTTTGGTTGAAAGTCTGTTTTATCAGAGACTAGGATTGCAACCCCTGCTTTTTTTCCTTTCCATTTGCTTGGTAGCTCTTCCTCCATCCCTTTATTTTGAGCCTATGTGTGTCTCTGCACATGAGATGGGTCTCCTGAATACAGCACACTAATGGGTCTTGACTCTTTATCAAATTTGCCAGCCTGTGTCTTTTAATTGGAGCATTTAGCCCATTTACATTTAAGGTTAATATTGTTATGTGTGAATTTGATCCTGTCATTATGATGTTAGCTGGTTATTTTGCCCGTTAGTTGATGCAGTTTCTTCCTAGCATCAATGGTCTTTACAATTTGGCATGTTTGTGCAGTGGCTGGTACCAGTTGTTCCTTTCCATGTTTAGTGCTTCCTTCAGGAGCTCTTGTAAGGCAGGCCTGGTCATGACCAAATCTCTCAGCATTTGCTTGTCTGTAAAGTATTTTATTTCTCCTTCACTTATGAAGCTTAGTTTGGCTGGATATGAAATTCTGGGTTGAAAATTCTTTTCTTTAAGAATGTTGAATATCGGCCCCCACTCTCTTCTAGCTTGCAGAGTTTCTGCCGAGAGATCTGCTATTCGTCTAATGGGCTTCCCTTTGTGGGTAACTCGAGCTTTCTCTCTGGCTGCCCTTAACATTTTTTCCTTCATTTCAACCTTGGTGAATCTGAGAATTATGTGTCTTGGGGTTGGTCTTCTCGAGGACTATCTTTGTGGTGTTCTCTGTATTTCCTGAATTTGAATGTTGGCCTGCCTTGCTAGATTGGGGAAGTTTCTCCTGGATAATATCCCGAAGAGTGTTTTCCAACTTGGTTCCATTCTCCTCGTTACTTTCAGGCACATCAATCAAACGTAGATTTGGTCTTTTCACATAGTCCCATATTTCTTGGAGGCTTTGTTCATTTCTTTTTACTCTTTTTTCTCTAAACTTCTCTTCTCATTTTATTTCATTAATTTGATCTTCAATCACTGATACTCTTTCTTCCACTTGATTGAATTGGCTATTGAAGCTTGTGCATGTGTCACGTAGTTCTCATGCCATGGTTTTCAGCTCCATCAGGTCGTTTAAGGTCTTCTCTACACTGTTCTTTCTAGTTAGCCATTCATCTAATCTTTTTTCAAGGTTTTTAGCTTCCTTGCAATGGGTTCAAACATCCTCCTTTAGCTCAGAGAAGTTTGTTATTACTGACCTTCTGAAGGCTACTTCTGTCAGCTCATCAAAGTCATTCTCTGTCCAGCTTTGTTCCATTGCTGGTGAGGAGTGGCAATCCTTTGGGGGAGAAGAGGCGCTCTGGTTTTTAGAATTTTCAGCTTTTCTGCTCTGGTTTCTCCCCATCTTTGTGGTTTTATCTGGCTTTGGTCTTTGACATTGGTGACTTACAGATGGGGTTTTGGTGTGGATGTCCTTTTTGTTGATGTCGATGCTATTCTTTTCTGCTTGTTAGTTTTCCTTTTAACAGTCAGGCCCCCAGCTGCAGGTCTGTTGGAGTTTGCTGAAGGTCCACTCCAGACCCTGTTTTCCTGGGTATCACCAGCGGAGGCTGCAGAATAGCAAGTATTGCAGAACGGCAAATATTGCTGCCTGATCCTTCCTCTGGAAGCTTCATCCCGGAGGGGCACCCGCCTGTATGAAGTGTCAGTCGGCCCCTACTGTGAGGTGTCTCCCAGTTATGCTACATGAGGGTCAGGGACCCACTTGAGGAGGCAGTCTGTCCATTCTCAGAGCTCAAACACCACGCTGGGAGAACCACTGCTCTCTTCAGAGCTGTCAGACAGGGACGTTTAAGTCTGCAGAAGTTTCTGGTGCCTTTTGTTCAGCTATGCCCTGCCCCCAGAGGTGGAGTTTACAGAGGCAGCAGGCCTTGCTGAGCTGCAGTGGACTCCACCCAGTTTGAGCTTCCCGGCTGCTTTGTTTACCTACTCAAGCCTCAGCAATGGCAGATACCCCTCCCCAAGCCAGGCTGCTGTCTTGCAGGTCAATCTCAGACTGATGCGCTAGCAGTGAGCAAGGCTCTGTGGGTGTGTGACCCACCGAGCCAGGCACAGGATGTGGTCTCCTGGTGGGCCGTTTGCTAAGACCCTTTGAAAAGCACAGTATTTGGGTGGGAGTGTCCCGTTTTTCCAGGTACCATCTGTCATGGCTTCCCTTGGCTAGGAAAGGGAAATCCCCCGACCCCTTGCGCTTCCTGGGTGATGCAATGCCCCCCGCCCTGCTTTGGCTCACCCTCCATGGGCTGCACCCAGTGTCCAACCAGTCCCAATGAGATGAACCAGGTACCTCAGCTGGAAATGCAGAAATCACCCATCTTCTGTGTCGATCATGCTGGGAGCTGCAGACTGGAGCTGTTCCTATTCAGCCATCTTGGAACAGAATCCCCCCACTGTTTTTTTTTGTTTTTGTTTTTGTTTTTGTTTTTTTGAGACAGTTTCACTCTTGTCACCCAGGCTGGAGTGCAATGGCGTGATCTTGGCTCACTGCAACCTCTACCTCCCAGGTTCAAGCAATTGTCCTGCCTCAGCCTCCTGAGTAGCTGGAATTACAGGCACCCACCATAAAGCCCAGCTAATTTTTTGTATTTTTAGTAGAGATGGGGTTTCACCATCTTGGGCAGGCTGGTCTCAAACTCCTGACCTCAGGTGATCTGCCCACCTTGGCCTCCCAATGAGCTGTGATAATAGGCGTGAGTCACTGTGCCCGGCTTCTTTTCCTTTCTTTACCAGTTACAAATAATTAGTTGTTTCTCTCACATCTTCCCAAAGAACAAGAAGGCAAATGAGGTATCCTTTTGTTTTTCAATGTCATCATGCACCAATGGATTTAAATGGATCTTACGTATTTCAGTGCAGTTATTATTGTTGATGTTCATATTGACCATTGGCCAAGGGGAATTTATTCAAGTTGACTTGCATCTTTCTGACATTACCCCAGTAATCTCTGATTGTTCTCAGGTTGTGGGGAGGCCTCAAGTGGCCCAAGGAGAAAAGGAAGGAAAGAAAGAGGAGGGAAAAGCAACATAGAAGAAAGAAAAATAAAAAATAAATTGGCTACTTTTTGATTCAGCTTCAATTTAGGCCACTTTAATGGCACTGATGAATGCACACTCCCTACTAAATGCACAACCACTGGTGATTGTAAACCCATATCCATAGTTTCAAACAAAAAGAGATGCAGCACCTTCAGGAAAGCCTGAAGCATTTTTATCCTTGTTAAACCAAAGCTGAGTACTCTTCCCCCAGTAAAACATCTGTGAATCTGTGATGGTGTCTCAGAATCTGACCACAGACATTAGGGCTGCTTCCCAGCTGTGACTCATAGAGTAGTTCTTCATCTTCACTAGGATGATTAGGGTATGTGCCTAAATAATCATTTTTCATTTCATTTCCCATTTAAATAAAGCTTGGTATAGTCTACTACCTTTGAAGGAAAACAAGACTTATAAGACTGGAGTCAGGATTTGCTTGTGTTTGTGATACCTTTGCTTCACAGAGCTGAACTTTGCGCAAGTTTTATGCAATGGGTACCCTGTATCATTGCAGCCATATCCCAGGACAACACTCTTGAGTGATAGCTGCTTCTTGGGGCAGGTTCAAATAAGCAATTCAGTTGCTAGGTACATCGTGTCCCAGTATGCAATGTTGCTAGGTACATCGTGTCCCAGTATGCAATGTGGAAAAACCAGTCCTTTCTACCTACACAGGATTTTCAGGGCAAACAGCATCCTTGCTAGACGGTAACACTGGGCCCATGTTTGGAGTTTTCATAGCTCATATTCCAGTTACTTAGAATTGACTGGGTACATCTATGTGTTCAACACCATGAAACTCCAAGTCCAGCACAAAAGAATGGCAACAAGAAAGAGGAACAAATTGAGGGTAAATAGTAAATATTTTTATCTAGGAGAGACATTTATCCACTTTTCCCTAGCAACACCCAGCATCATTCAGGAAGTTTGGTTTTTATTTCTGGTTCTGAACCATTGATGATTGTTTTCCAAGGTTTTGACCGTTGGCTATGGAAGTGGCTGAAACCTGCCTTTGCCTGGAGAAAGAAGAGGATTGAAGACAGTAATTGAAGGGACTCTGGGATGGTACAGACTGTGCAGATTTGGAGGGAGTGAGACTGTCGCTTGCATTCCTGAGCTCCTACCTGACCTCTGTACATGCTGAGGAGCTGACCTGAGGCCAGTGCATGCCAGAATATCACTTGAGAACTTTATTAGTCTATTAGTGTAAATACTTTAGAGATAACTTAGTAAACCTGCGCTTCTATTATCATAAACTCTTCCCTAATGAAAAGGTAGTTTAGGCAATCCTGGTTGAAACCATGCCTCTCTATCTTCTATTTTTAAACTGATGCATGGGCTTATTCCGCCTCATTGCCTGGACTTGGACTATGAAGATCTTTATTGCTTTTGAGTAAAGATGTTTTCTTTCCATCAATACACAAGCACTCGTTAATAATTACAATATTCTGGAACACCCTTTCTGAACCACTCACTTTGGCTTTCTTTAATCTTCCATTATTCTCATAAAAGAGAAGTTAAAACTATTTCTTTTTCAAATGAACACCTGTAACATATCTCCTAGCATCTTGTAAGATCTGGAGAGAGATAGTAGTATAATAATTAGCATTGCAAAATTTTCTGTTCTCATTTCTATTTATTAAGCAAATGTTCTTGGAAAGGTTCTTAAATTATAATTTAAATATTACATATACATACATATTCTTAGAATTCTACTCAGATTTTTCTGCATAATTTTAATGCCTTAAAATGCTTACATTTGCATTTAGCTACTCTTCTGAAGATTAATAGAACCAGCAAAAGTAATCACATTATGAACAACTTAAATATAGAATTTTGAGCATGCACGCCCCTTTTTTCCCTTTTCATTTTTCTCAACTATCATTTGGCCCGGAATCTCAAAGATCTGAGGAAACAAAAAATCTAAATTACAAAGCATCTTGGTTCTTTATCTCTTTCTTCTTTGACCCCTTAAGAATATAAACTCAATTCTGGGCCCTTGGTTTATGGCTATTACTTGTGATTACTCTTAAAGGGCAGCCCTTGCAGGGTTACCTAGGAGAAAGAAGTGACAACCTTCTGCTGGGGCCGCTCTGAAAAGAGGGGCAAGGACCCCCTGCTTCCCAAAGGATATCCCTAACCCCAGGTGGGAACAGCCTCCAGAGAGGCAGTGAACTCTTCAGTACACAGAGAGATGCAGTCACATTTGTTTACTGGCCAGCTGAAACCTAGCAAGATATATCTTTTTTTCTCAGCCTTTGGTGAAAATCTCTCTAAAATGTGCACTATTGTAATAAGCAAAAAAAAAAAAAAAAAAAAAGATGAATATGATTGAGTTTCTTGCTTAATGCCGAATATTCATATAATGACCTTAATTATTCTGACCCTCAAATATTATAGTATCACATATAGAGCAGTGTTTTTTCAAAGTGTGATCCCTGGACCAGCTACATTGGCAAAGCTTGGAGAAATGGTTCAGAGTTAGACCAAACAACCAATAAATGAGAATTTAAAGGCTTACGAACTGGGAAAGTGCATTTTAACACATTTTTAATAATTCTGATGCTCACTGAACAAGTGACTGAATATTAATTATACCACAGGAAAACTACAGCATAAAAAAAGCTAGGGTATAATGTTTATGAGACTAAATTGAAACAATGACAATGCCAGCACAGAAGATGATACTATGTCTGAGAACCCATCTCTGATCACTGGAGGCAAGTAGTGTAGTGATGGTATAAAGCTTTCTTGTTTTAAAACCAAAGTGGATAAAACCCCAATGATTTATTCACTTGACTAGCTCATTATAGATTTTCTGTAGCATGGTGGCTGGCACCATGCATTCAGTGGTACAGGTTTGTCTTCAACCCTTAATTTCCTTCTCAACTGAAAGCAAAGAAACTATGTGCAAAAGAGGCAAGAAATGAGTGGTTCCCTTTTTGTCCAGGGGACCAATTCTCTTGCCTGGAAGGGTAAATGCATTGGCACATGCAGTGGGAAGTGGCATGTGGCCTCAATGGCACCAATATCAGGGTTGGCCAAAGGACTCTCCAATTTCCCTCAATCTACGTTTTCCTGCCCCACTCCAACCTGGCTCCAGAATAGACCCAGTTAACATCACTGTCACACGGAGCACTAGGTGCAGCGGGAATGCTTCAGTTCTCTAATTACTTCACCCAATAATAGCATCTAACCCCGGTGACCACAGCTTCCTTCTTGAAGCACGTTCTTCCCTTTGTTCTCCATGACACCACCTTCTTCTGGTTTTCCTTCTATTTCTACAGTCTTCCATCCAAATTCCAAGTGTTGGAGTTCCTCAAAGGTTAATCTTAAACTCTTTTCTCTGCTTTCTCTGTAGTCTCTTCCTATTTGTCAACATCTACAATTGATGTGATTAAAATTTTCAGCTATGAGGCCAGGCGTGGTGGCTCATGCCTATAATCCCAGCACTTTGGGAGGCCGAGGTGGGCAGATCACATGAGGCCAGGAGTTTGAGACCAGCCTGGCCAACATGGCGAAACCCTGTCTCTACTAAAAAAAACAAAAGTTAGCTGGGCATGGTGGTGCATGCTTGTAATCCCAGCTACTTGGGAGGCTGAGGCACGAGATCTCTTGAACCGGGGAGGTAGAGGTTGCAGTGAGCCAAGATCGTGCCACTGCACTCAGCCTGGGCAACAGAGTGAGACTCTGCCTAAGGAAAAAAAAGAAAAGAAAGACATTTTCAGCTATGCACAGAGGACTTCTAAATTTGTATCTTGAACATGGAACTCATCTCTGAGCTCCAGATTTGTGTTTCCCACTCAAAATCTCCATCCGGGTTAGGCTCTTATGATGTTATTTATGCCCTTGTAAAAAGAAGAGACATGACATATCATTCTCTTCACTACATGAGGATATAGAAAGAAGGCAACCTCCTGCAAATGAAGAAGCAGGCCCTCAGCAGACAACAATAAATCTGCTGGCAATTTGATCTGGACTTCTCAGCTTCTAGAACTGTAAGAAATAAATGTTGTATTTTTAAAAAGATCTCCATCTGATTGTCTCAGAGGCAGATAATGTTGAATAGAGTTTTATCTTCTCTTCACTTCACCCCTAATTTGGCCTTTCTCCACTAGTTCCTATTTGTGAATGGCCTCTCCATCTGTCTGATAGCCCATCTTTGATTTGTTTCCCTTACATCTCATATTTAATCATCAAGCTCTGTCCTTTTTCTTCATAAGTCTCACCAACACTCCCCCATATATCTCCAACTCCACCACCGCCCTTGTCTAAGCTACAGTCATCTCTCACCTGGACTGATGCAAAGGTCTCCTGCTCTGTTCTATTCTTTACACCACAGTCAGAAAGAGTTTTAGATAATGACTATCTTGGCTGCATCGTTCCTTTTTTAAAGCCATTCAATGGCCTTCTCCATTCAACTCCACTCCTCCTGTGGGCTCAGGGCCTGGGTGACTGATTCTCCATTCAAGTCCACTCCACCTGTGGGCTCAGGGCCTGGGTGACTGATTCTCCATTCAAGTCCACTCCTCCTGTGGGCTCAGGGCCTGGGTGACTGATTCTCCGTTCAAGTCCACTCCTCCTGTGGGCTCAGGGCCTGGGTGACTGATTCTCCGTTCAAGTCCACTCCTCCTGTGGGCTCAGGGCCTGGGTGACTTCTAACCTCCCTCTGAGCTTCTCCCTGCATCCTCACTGGGCACCAGTTCCTCAGTAGGAGGGGTTCCCTCCCACGCGGGGCCAGTGGACTTACTTGCTGTCGCCCCTGCCCAGATCTGTCTTCTCTTTCTTTCTTTGACCGGCTCACTCTTCATGTGTCTTTAAACTCAGATCAAATGGTGTTTCCTCAGAGCAGCCTTCTCATCATCAGAAAAGCCTGCATCCCCATTACAGTCTCTCAGAGCTCCACAGAACTTCATGTCCTTCCTTCTTATCACAGGTTGCACATTTGCATTTATTTGTTTAATTTTTGGATGAATGTGTATCTTTCTCAGGAGACTGGAAGCTTCTCAAGGACAGGGACCAAGACCTTCTGCCCTGAATCATGATCGTTGCAAACCAAGCCTGCGCTGGCTGGTGCTGAGCAAAGACTCACAGCCCGGAAGACAAAGGCAGGGACCCACAGCACCGAGCCTATGCCCGTGGCCAACTGAATCCCTGTGGACCGGCCCCGCCTGTCTGCCTTCCTCACATCCCTCCACCTCACCGGGAGGCCCTAAGTCGGCTCACAGGGAGCCCTCCTAAGTCGGCTAGATCTTCTCCCTTCACTCTTCAACACACCTCACAGGTGTTCGGGGAAAAAGGTGACGACCAGGGACCAGGAAGCACAGGTATGAAGGCCAACTCGCTGCAACCAAGAAGCCACGCGTAAATTGGTTTAGCCAATAGTTACTGCTACTGTTATTGTTCTTATTATTATCACAGGTCTAAGCATCTTACATCTATCTGTTCCTGAATGAGATCAGCTCATGATTTTCAGTTGTCTATACTTTGTTTGATTTTAATATCAAGGTTATACAAGACTCAAAGAATGGCCGGGGGAGTTTTCTCTCTCTTTTTCTATTTTTGAGACAAGTTTGTATCACTTTAAAACTGTTTTTTCCTTAAAGATTTGGCAGAATTCACCTGTAAAACTGTATGAGTCTGGTGTTCTCTTTGTGGAAGGATTTTAAAATATTCATTCAGTTTGTTTAATACTTATGAGATTATTCAGGCTTTCTAATTTAAATACAGCTAATCTCAGATTTTTTGAAGCTAGTTTTGGTATACTTCTAGGAATTTGTTTAAAATTTTAAAATTCTTAACAACCTTTGAAATCTACCTATGATCTCCTCTGCAGGTCAAATATTGAGTATTTGTGACTCCTCCCTACATTTCTTGGTCAGAGGTTTATTTTTAATCTTTTCAAAGAACCAGTTTTGACATCGTTGGCCCTCCCTGTTGAATCTCTGTTTGTTATTATCTCCTTTTTTCTACTTTCTAGGCTTCCACTGTTATGCTTTTTCTAACTTCTGAAATAGAAAGATTAACCTGTTAATGCTTTACTAATTTTCTCTCCTCACATAATCTTCTACACTTCCTTTTAGGCCTTACTTGAACTGTCCCTCACATATTTTGATGTGGAATTTTTATTGTTGTTGAGGTGCCTTCTTTTCGTTTGCATTTTGAATTTTTTAAATTGATGGTTGACATTGGAATTAGAAAGCTATAAAATGTCAGAATATGTGCATTTTTAATGTTGTCTGTCTCTTACTGATTTACAACTTGATTGCTGTCTAATCAGAGAATGTGGCCTGCTTTAATATAATCTTTGAAATTCATTTAGACTTCTTTTGTGACAGGGCACATGATATTTGTGTAGATTTTCTCTGTAGTAATGAAAATAATGGCTCTCAAATTGTTAAGCAGTTTTCATTATATGCCCACTAAATCCAGCTTGTTAATTGTCTGGTTCAAATATTTCTATCGGTACTAAATATTTTCAGCCTGGCCTATCACTTTCTAACTAAGTTATATGAATATATTCAAGGGTATTAATGAATTTGCCTATATCTCCATGTAATTCTGTCAATTTTTCTTATATTTTGTGGCATTTTATTACATCCATAAATATTTAGATCTTTATAACCTCATGGGCAACTTAAACTTAAATAAAAATATAATGACCCTCTTCATCTGTAATAATGGTTTTTGCCTTTTAGGCTTTTCCTCTGATATTAATAGTACTATGCCAGATTTCTTTGAGTTGTTATCTGCCTGGCATACATTTTTCAATTAATTACCTAAGTATTCTATTCCTATATTCTTAGGCTTTAGGCATATCTCTTGCAAAAAGCATATAACTTAATTTTTTAATTCTCATCTGGAAATCTTTGTCTTTTTACCTAATCCATTCCTTGTGATGACTAGTGCATTTGGGTTTATTTCCACCATCTCATTTTTGTGCTTTCTATTTTTCTGTTTCCTGTATCATGCTTTTTTCTTATTTCTTGCATTTACTTACTGTATTGGCTCTCCCTGTATATATCCAATTAAAATAATAAATCTAAAGTGAATTTAACATATCTACCCTTTTCGTGAATAGAACAAAGACCTTAGGATTTTTTTTATCATCCTCCATCTGACTAATCTGCTATCATTGTACATATAATTTCATATTTTTAACTTTAGCCCCAGAAATTAGACATTTCCATTGGTGTTCTATAAGCCAATGTTGGTTTAGACTTTCCCGCTTGCTCTCAGTTCCCTCAATTATCACGTCTTCTCTTGGGATGCTTTGCATTCTTTCTGAGGTTGATCCTGCCAAAGTTTCTCTAGGTACGACTCTCGTTGTAAGTGCTTTCAGTTTTTGCTTTTCTGAAAAATATTATTATCCCACTCTTGACCTTGGGAGATCACTTGATCATGTACAGCAATTTGGATTGCATTTGTTTTTCTAGTTTTTTTAAAGATACCATTCCACTTTCTCCTGGTGTGTCTCTTTGGTTTCCTTTATTTTCATCAGTTCTGAAAACTTATCAGTTATATCTTCCTTGTTCTCTCACTTATATTCTTTCAATTTTCTTGGCTATTTTTATTTGGTATTTAATCTTTACAGTGACTGAAGTCTTTGAGAATGGAAATAGATTACTTGTGGCTTCCACTTATTCTCACTCAGTGACTTTTTTCATTGCATGGTTGTGTGTGTGTGTGTGTGTGTGTGCGCGCACATGTGCAGGCACTAATATTTAGCCAAATATAATATGTGAGAATCCCCAGGAACCAAGATTCAGGATGATTTTCTCCAGAGATTTACCTGAAAATATAATGGGTGCTGCCTGCCTGGAAATGTTTAATGCCTCAGCCTGGGGCTCCTTGAGCATGGTGTGGGGGTGCACATTTGGACTCCAGGTGCACAAGACCAAGCTTTGCTCCTATATTCTCAGGGAGACGATATTTTTTCCATTTGGAAAAAGGACAGAGCTCAAGATGTTCTTCCTTGGTTCTCTTGCAGGCAGTCAGATTTTTTTTTTCACCCACCATTTCTCTGAAGCTAGAGTTCCTCCAATTGTCCTGCCTTTGTGTAGGAGGTTTTAATTCAACTATGCAAATTGGCAAGCAGATTCAGAGCCCAATCTCTCATTCCCCTAAGTGGCCACAATAATTCCCAAAACTATGTTGCCAGTTTTGACTTTTGTATGCAAATTTTGGCACACTGGCTTCTATGATTGCCTTCACCCAGCTCTGGTTTTATTTTATTCACATTTTTTTTCCAGCTTTTAAAGAGTTCTGGTGTGTGTGATTGTGTGTGTGTGTGTGTGTGTGTGTGTTGAGCAACAGACACTTTAAAATAACTTATCCACCATGATGCCATTTTAGAAAACCTGATCTACCCCTCTTCCATCAGCAGATTTCCTAGAAAAGCTCTGTTCTTCTATAAAAGGGGTTTTTTGACTATTGGATTTCCTTAAATGTATAGCTGATGTTCTTCTATAAAATGACTGAAGCAGAGTTGGTGCTAGATATAATAGAATGTGTGTGTTTTAAGGCAGAGATTGGGTTAAAATAATTGCTAAGACTTCTTTTAGCTTTAGTATGCTCTCTTTCTTTCTCACCAGTGAAGAGAGTTGGATGAGTCATGTAGCACAGTGCTATTACTGGTCTGTCAAGGACTCTCTTATTTCATTTCATTATTTTTCCCTTCATTGTCCATCAATGACCCAATCCTTCCCTTACCAAAGCATCAACTCAATTGTGTTTATTAAATGTCCTTGGATACAAATGTATCCTTGAAAGATATACCATATATATGTGATCTTAAGCCACACACTTTTGTGTTACAGATCCTGTTTTCCCACTCAGTGCTGTTTTCGAGATCTCTCCATGTTGCTAAATTGTGTTTCTCACTGTGGTATGGAATTCAACAATGTGTTTTCACTACATGGTACCTACATGTTCACCTAGCGATGGACACCTAGGTTTCTTCTAACTCTCTCCTCCCACAAACAGTGCTGTGCATATCTCTTATGAACCAGATAAGTCTCTCTGATTCCCTGAATAGATGCATGCTTGCCTTTAATAAATGCCACAGAATTCTCTGCAGGGTGACTGTGTCTGATTCCTCTTCCCACAAGGAATAAGGGTGCCCTTTTCAATTTCACAGCTATTTGAACCAAGATGGTCTAAGGTTGGACCAAGTAGCAGCAGTAGGAGTGGTGAGAAAAAGATTATGGGTATATTTTGAAAGTAGGTTCCAAAAGATTTTCTGGTGAAATCAATATGGGATATGAGACAAAGAAAGGAGTGAAGGAAACACCAAGTACCTGGCACTTAGTAACTGGAATTCTCATCAACTGAGATGAGGGCTGCCCAAGGTCCAGCTTTTGGGAGTGAGAAGAAAAGGTCAGGAGTTGTCTTGGATATGTTGAGTTTGGGTGTTTAATTAGAGATCCACAAGGAAATATGGAATAGGCAATAGGATATACAGTCCGAACTTCATGAGAGATACCTGTGCTAGAGACAGCAATTCAACAATCAGTTGCATACAGATGGCGTTTAGAACCACAATGCTGGGTGAAATCCCATAGGAAAAGCATGCAGCCAGGGAAGAAAAGAGGGACAAATCCTAAGCCCTTGTCTATTCCAACTTGGTGAGGCTGGAGACAAGGGGGGGATAGTCTACAAGGAGCAACCAATGAGACAGAAGGAAAACCAGTGGAGCGCATAGTCCCAGAAGGCAAAAGAAGAAGCTGTATCAATGAGTGAAGAGGGATATGCTTTGCCAAATACATTTGGAAGGTCAAGTACAAGAATGATAATTAAAAGCCAGAATTCTTGAGGAAAACACTATCAGTGAGTTGGGGAAGGGAATTGGAGAGGTGTGGTAAGCATCTATTTTGGATTGGGTTTGACGAAGAAAGAGTGAACACAGACAACATTTTTGAATAGTTTTGCTTTTAAAGGGAAGCAGAGAATTATATGGGGGCAGTAGCAAGACAGAGACAGATCGCAGTTTGGGATTTTTTTAAGATAGGAAATCTTATAATGTAAAGATGTCATAATGGAAGTGATTCAGAACAGGGAAAACTGATGGCATCAGAGGGAAGAAAGAATTGCTAGTTCAGTATCGTGGAGTAGGCAAGAGGGCTTGAGGCCTGCAAATATGGAGAGGCTCGCCTTACATGGTGGTACAAACAGTTCCCCTCTGCTAGTGGGGGGAAGGCACAGCGTTCCATTCCTGATGTTTAGATGTGGGTAGAAGCAATGAAGGGAATTAAGTGAACGAGCTCATTGGATGACTCCAAGCCTGTGAGTGAGGAGGGGAGATTTGTTGGGGGCTTCAGGAGAGAGGGGCAAGTGGAAGATACTCATGTAGATGAGGGAAGAAACAATTGGAGCAGGGACGAGTAGTGTAAATACCAGCAGCACCAAAGCCCCATTGAGGTTCATGGTTGTTAAGTTAACGTGAGACCCGTATAGTGCTCGGCTTTTCTCCAGCGAAATTCAGGCTGAATTGATGCACACAGGGATTAGATGGAGAGCGACAGCCAAGCTGTGGTTTCCATGGGTGAGGATCAGGAAGCAACAGCGGGGAAGGGAGCTGTGTGTGTTCAAGGGCATCATGATGAATGGCCGTGGCAGTCACAATGGGTGGTGAGAAGAGAGGACTTCCGTGGACAGAGCGACAACGAAAGCTTGAGGTGATCCATGGATTGTGGCTCGAGGTGGAACCAAAGGATGGTTGAGAGTCAGGGAAACAGGGGAAGGGAGCTGGAAAGATGGGAGGTGGTAGCCAGAGTGCAAGATTCACGCGTCTGAATTCGAGGTGCAATGGTATTTGTTGGTAATGACAAAGCTGGATTGTTGACCTTGAAGGTGACTTTGTGTAGTAAGGTGAGAGACAGGGCCAGTGGAGTGTGAATATCATCCTAGACTCTTCTCATGGTGCAGTAAGGAGAGGGATAGGACCAGGGGAGAGTGTGTAAGTACCATCCTAGACTCTTCTCGTGGTGGGGCCAGTCTCTCTCTCAGGTCTCTTGACCTTGTCCTCTGGACAATATAGCTGGTCTTCAGATTTTAATAGAATCTGCTTGTAAAAAAGCATGGGCCTTTTTTGCTCATAGAGGTCTTCTCTTCCTATTAATTTTTTCACTTGTAAAAAAGCATGGGCCCTTTTTGCTCATAGAAGTCTTCTCTTTCTATTAATTTTTTAATGGTCATCTGTTTATTTTTTCTGTGACTTTTTCTGACCCTCTTTGGTATTTTATTTTTTTCCCCAGAAATTTGCCCTATCAATTGGTTTTAGAATGTATTGTCATTGTTTCTAATACTCTTTTTTCTTTTAAAATCAGTTAAATCTGCAGTTATTTTTCCGTTTCCTTTCAATAGTTTTTAAATTTTCTTCGCCAGAGATTGTTTTTCTTACTAACATTTCAGAGAAGCAGATTTTATTATTTATCAGGGTTTTTTCCTGAATTTTGCTGATTTTTTAAAAAACGTATTTTGTTCCCTTCCATTTCTTTGTGTTTACTCTTTTTTTCCCCTCACTTTCAGGGTTGCATGCTGAGTTCTTTTGCTTTTTTATTTTTCTTATTTTTAATTAGTATTGTCACAGTTACAAATTTCTTTCTGAAGTACAACTTTAGCAGTTTCCAACAAAGTTTAACGTGTAGTGCTTTCACTATTATTCAGTTCTAAGTATTTCCCATTTTTAACACATTTAATATAGATTTGTTTCTTTCCTCCTATATGAAATTTTAAAATAATTCTTTTGCTTATGGTTTTATTGGATTGTGGTCAGATAATATTGTTCAGAGCTAGTTTGTGATTTAGAATTTACTGAGGTTTTCTTGATACTCTAACACAGAAGATGCTCATGACGGCTTCCTGTGTCTTCAACAAAGTGCATTTTCCACTGATGGGGAACATGTGTGCCTATTGTCACCGTTATCCACTTTGTTGAATGTGTCATATTATCAGTAGTGTCCCCTCTGTGTTCTTTAGGACTATTTTGCTCTAAATCCTGTGTTGCCTGGTAACAAACTCACCATCTTAACTTTATTATTGGCTTGTATTTGGTAGCATATCTTTCTTAAATCCTTTATAAAAAAAAAGTCAGTACATATTGTTTTCAGTGTGTCTTTTCATGACAACTAACTGCTGGATTTGTTCATTTTCTTCATCAAGCAAATCTGAGATCTGTCCTTTGGGAAGTTTAGCTTCTTTGCAGTTACTGATATTTCTGATACCTCATATTGTGCTTTATTTACTAAACTTCATTTTATTTCTTTTTCTTTTCTTGTTATTTATAATTAGGTATATTTTCTTCTACTGCTTTAAAAAGCTATTTAATTTTAATTTTCTTAGACTTGTCTTTATTTTATAAAGACCTATAATTTAACTTTTCCTCCTAATTTCCATCTTTCCTGGAAACAAGATACAATATTCACCTGCTTCTCATGGTCTCATATTCTGATATTCTGTCAGCCACGCCTCCGCCTCTGCTGCCGTCGGGCTCTGCACTCCAACGGGGCCTTGTCACTGGAGTTTGGGTTCTGGATTCCTGTGCTTCTCTTTGTTTTGTTGATGTGATTTTGGTTTTAGTCACTGCTTACTGAGAATACAATCAAACGCGCCCGTTTATTTACTGAACCTTGCTTTCCATGTATCCCCGTGTGCTCCTCAGTTTGTATCTCCTCATAGGATGGCATCTCTCAAGTATCTTTTGGAAGAGGAATCTTGTGGTCAACATTCTGTGGTCCTTTGTACTAGGGAATTCCTTTCTGCCATCCTCGTGGTGCGCTCGGATCTCGGGCCCCGGCGTGGGCTCCGCGGCCGCCGCTCCCTTGGCGCTTTGGGTTCCTCCTCCCTTTGCTGCGGGAGTCTTCGCTTCGCAGGGCCCCGGAGCACCTCACAGTTTTCTTTGTGTCTGACATTCTTTTTTGAGACGGAGTCTCACTCTGTTGCCCAAGCTGAAGTGCAGTGGAGCGATCTCAGCTCACTGCAAACTCCGCCTCCCGGGTTCAAGCGATTCTCCTGCCTCAGCCTCCCGAGTAGCTGGGATTACAGGCACGCACCTGTATTTTTAGTAGAGACAGGGTTTCACTGTGTTGGCCAGGATGGTCTCGATCTCTTGACCTCGTGATCCGCCAGCCTCGGTCTCCCAAAGTGCTGGGATTACAGGCGCGAGCCACCGCAACATAGCCAAATGCGGGTCTCCCCATCTCTTCTGCTTGGCACTCTACACTTTTCCATCCTAGGCCTTCCGACTTTCTTTAATACTGGAAGGCTCTCTGTCATTATTTAACAAAATATATCATCTGGTTTTTTTTTCTACTTAGTCACTCATATTAGGACTTTCAATACTTCAACTTCTTTCTTCCATTCCTCTTAACTTTCTTTTTAAATTTTTCCATCCATTTATCACTAATGGAATTATTTGGAGACCTCCTCTCCTGATTTTTCCAGCTCACTTCTGCCTACTGTGACTACAGTCATTTTGCTATTAGGGTGGTGTAAAAGTAATGGCAGTTTTTGCAATTAGAAGTAACGGCAAAAAAAACGCCATTACCTTTACACCAACTTAATATTTAGCCCTTGTGTTTTTTGTCTAAGCAATTGTATTTTTCATAAAAAATATTTTCATTTCCTTTACCTGGTGACAGCCTGATCCTAGCTCATATTTCCCATATGTTCTGTTAGGGTCTCTTTGAGTTCCAGTCTGCGGGCCCTGTGCCTAGACTTCCTGGTCCTAACTGAAATTCTGTCTCTTATTAGCTGTGTAAGTTTTAGAAAGATTCTTAGCTCCTCCTTGCTTGAGTTTATTCATCTGCGAAACAGAAATAAGTGCCTATGTCATAGAGCTACTGAAAAGAGCAAAAGAAACAAAGTAGGTAAGTTGCTTAGAACAGTGCTTGAAACATAATAAATACTAGCAATTATTGTTCATTTAAATTGATTTCTGTATTTTCCAGTAATTATACTCCCCCTGCTAAAAGTTTCTCAGCATGTGGTCTTTCTTTTATGGGGTGGTACTGGATAGATGGCTTGTGGCTGTTCTTTTCTGTGAGCACATATTCAATGAGAGCTCAAAGAGCTCTGATTCCCTAGAAAATAGTCACAGCTTTCTGTTTAGATTTCCATCAACTTTCTTACTTTTTTGCTATGGCCTGGGATAAATTCAGAGACAAAACCACCAGAGTCCAAAGTTAGTCACCCATCTTATCCTCTGAGGAGTCTATTGATGCTTTATTTTCCTGTTTAAATTATTGATAGGAGTAACAGGAAAGAGAAAATGTGGAATTCTAGCATGATGGCACTCAAAGATGATGAGGGATAAGATATTGCAGTGTTGGACCTGTGAAGAAACATCCTCCTCCTCCCACCAAACATATATACTGGCACCTTGAGCATCTGAGTAAAAGTATTCAGGAATGAGGGTGGCAGACGAAAAACAAGTGGAGAGGAAGGGGAAGTCTCATCTTAGGAGCAGACATGACCCTAGTCCATCATATTGAAGAAAGATGGCTGGGAAATGAAGAAAAAAAACCTCACTTGCACCTGCTTCTTACCTGACTGCTCCTCTCACCCACGGTGCTCCACATAAGCAAAACGCAAACATGCACAGCTGCGCCAGAAACAACAGAACTGGAGACGTGTCTGTCATGTTCCATAGGGTGATGGTACTTCACAGTTGGAGCCAGATACTCTCAGTCATGCCTATTGTTTCCATGGAATTTTGTGGGTTTTTCTGTTTTTTTTTTTGAGACAGGGTCTCACTCCATCACCCAGTCTGGAGTGCAGTCTCGGCTCACTGCAACCTCCACCTTCCGGGTTCAAGTGATTCTCATGCCTCAGCCTCCCGAGTACCTGGGATTATAGGTGCACACCACCACTTCCAACTACTTTTTGTATTTTTTGTAGAGATGGGGTTTAGCCAAGTTGGCCAGGCTGGTCTGGAACACCTGGCATCAAGTGATCCACCTGTCTTGGCCTTCCGAAGTGCTGGGATTACAGGTTGAGCCACTGTGCCTGTTTCTGTGTAATTATTAATGACACCTCTTTCACTCCCAAGAATGGGTCCTTATTTGCATGATAAATTATATCATTATATCTGTATCATATATCTGTACACTTTATAAACCTTTTAAAATGCCACTAGAAATGTAGCATTTGAAGATGAAGCAATGCATTGGTTTTGTGTTGCTGCTGTCACAAATGACCACAAACTTAGTGGCTTAAAACAACAAAAATGTATTATCTTGCAGTTGTGAAGGTTGGAAGTCCAAAATAAGGTTCAGCATGTTAAGATGGAGCTGCCTGCAGAGCCTCATTCCTCCTGGAGACCCAGGGGAGAATCGTTCCCTTGCCTTTTCCAGCTTCCAGAGGCACCTGCGTTGTGAGGCTGGAGGTGCGTTCCCCCTTTTCAAAGCCTGCAAAGGTGAGACAAGTGTTCTGATTTTGGAGGACATGTTTATGTGGAGTCTCCTACCTCTCCTCTTCATTTCTGAGAACCTTGTGATTACCTTCGGTTTGTCCAGATAACGCAGGATCATGTCCCTATTTTAAATTCTTGACTATTCACATTTGCATGGTCTCTTTTGTCATGTAAGGTGACAGAGTCCCAGGTTCTGGGGATTCGGGCTTGTACAATTGGCGGGGGGTTGCGGGGGGCGGGGGTCAGATTTCTGCCTACCACAGGTGATTACAGAGGCTGTGACGGTCAGGTCTGACTTGGAAGTGGCAGCTTCCTCTTCCAAGGAGATGAACTCAGTGATGTTTGATGGAGCAGGACACTGCAGGGTCCTTCAGCTCAGACCCGTGGGGACATTGGAGTGAGCATGTCCTTTCAGAGTTCTAAAGAAATAACACAACAGCAACAACCAACACCTCACAGCCTTGTGTGGAGTACTAACAGAATGATCAGCATAAGTGTGGGGGTTAGGGAAGAAAATCGATAGCATGGCACAGGCAGCCCAAGTCCCTGGCACCCTCCATGCCGGAGGAATGAGCACTCACCACAGCACCAGGAAAGGTGACCAGGAATACTCAGGGCTCATTACACTCAAGAAGGACGCAGCAAGCAGCACCAAGAAGAAGTCATTGTTTTATACCTCCAAGTGCTTTATGCCCCAGGCCAGCTCAGAACTCCTCTGTTCTTCCCCTTTTCTTGTGCTTCAGCCTGCATCTCAGCTAGTGGGAAACTTGTCCAGGGGGACACCCAGACCCCATCCTCCGCTGAGCCCTGAGTCCTCAGCCACCAGCCTCAGGGGCATTTTAGAAGGCCTCAGCTTGGGGACTGCAAAGGGGGTTGCTGGATTTCTTAAGGCGTTAGAACTAAAAGGGATGTTGGAATGACTAGGGTGATACTGTCAGGATAGAATTAGACCTGTCTTCAAAGCCTCGTGTGGCATCCCGGAAAGAGGGTCCTGGCAGTCACATAGGGGCATCTTTAAAGCTGCCACCAACCCCTTGCTGGTGCTCTCCTGGCCTTTTCTTAGAGACTTCACAGAGTTCTCTGAGTTTTTGCTTCTTGTCAAAACAGTCTCAAGCGTCCTCTCCCAACAGGTGTCTGTGGTAATGCATCTGGTTCTCTCACCTTCTGTCATTTGGTCTGGAAATCACCACAACAAAATTTTTATTTGCTTTATGTAGTATAAATTGTTTACATATATGTAAATTATATGTATGTATTTATGTGTATATGTAATATCAAGTATGTGTACTATCAAGTATCTATGCACAACATAATTAGATACAAAAATCACACACACACACACACACACACACACACACACGAATTGTCTTTTCTGGGAGAAGCACACGGCTGCTGAAATGGTAGATAAAACAGGTGCACAAGGATGACCCATAGTGTAACAAATGTGCATATTCACTTTAAGAACCTAGTTAGGATGTTAGCTTGTGTCCATGTGAAATGATAAAAGATGGCATGCAATGGTATGATTCATTGTGGCACTAACTATTAATACCCACTGCCAAGATTGTCAGTTTGTATGTCCCCTTCCTGTGCCCTCTGTAAACGCACTCCAGTCCAGCATTTTACCCCTTCTATCTCCTGGCCAGAAATCCTTAAATGGCAAATAACTACCATTTGATGGTAGGAGCATAATCTCCTACCTTACTCACAAAAGGACCAGAGTGGACACCTTGCCCCGTATCTGCAGTTGCAGTGTAGCATGGAGTTAAAGCTAGACTACAGGACCATCTGTCACACCCCCACAGACACATAGAGAATCCGAGACCAGGGTCACCGCAACGTAGTGCCAGATGCTGGATACGAAGCCAAGTCTGGACGTTTGCCTACTACTTCTTCCTACCACTACCTTACATTCCAGGTTTATGCTTGGAGGAATGAAATTAATCCACCTTAATTTAATTGCTTAACTTAGTTATTCACTGTCTATTCCACCAGACAACCTCTTTCTGTAGGGAAAATCAATGCAATGCCTTGACTGTCCTGAGCTCTACTTCATGTCAGCAAGGCAGGAATCATCCTTGGGTGCTGTGTGTGCAAACGTGTCTGGCTGGAACACCATGGGCTGGAGTGTGAGTGAAAAACCAGTCCCACCCACACTGTGTCTACCTTTCACCCTTTGCTACTGAGCCACGTCACTTTTCCCCTGGCACAGGGTCATCTCTGTTCTCCCACTGTCAATCATCTCAACTTGACTCAAACATCCATCTTTCTGTTAGAAACTTTCCACCCTGCGTCCATGGGATTTCAAAGTTGTTGCATTGGCTGTCAGTTTATTGACTAAATCTGCAATGATGAAAGAATCCCCAAGAGAACTCCTGCAGAAAGATATGGTGCCCCTAAAACCAATTTGCACTGCCCCTCATTTTAGTCCCCCAAACATTTCACCTAAACGTTTCAAACTTCTGTTGTTGGAATGAGACAAAGGGGGCCTTTGACTTAATTACACTCTTTAAAAGCATCTTCACTCATCTCTGCCAAGGATTATCTTCCCTGTGTGAAAGTGGACCCACCTTGCACAGAAATACACCAAGTTGTAATGACCACAATTACAGGCAGTCGGAACAGCAGCACACCAACACCAGAGCTAAAAGCATATCTGATTTTCAAATGGTGCTGGAGTTGCTTGCTACAACCCATACTCTATCTTGCCTGGCAGGACTAGAGGAAAAAAGCAAATGTTCCTCATATTTGAAAATTCAATGACATTTTATTTCCATGTTACATTTGCATTTTTCAAATCTACGTTTTCTTTTTAATCAGGGTCATGAATTATACCTTCCCTGATTATATTTATACCCACTTCGGTTTTCCCTTTTCCTTCTTTTTTCCCTCTCTTCCTGCCTTTCTTCCTGCTGTCCTGCCTTCTTCGCTGCATTTTTTCAGGTACATCTTCTTCATGTATTTTTAAATTTAGTGACATATGGTTGGCTTTTGCATTTTTGGATATCTAGTCTGAGAGTGTTATCTTTTAATATTTTAAGCCACTCCCAATGAATTTTTTTAAAAAAGGACTAACACCAATGTGTCAAACATTTTGTTTTCTGTTTCCTTTCTTATACTCTTCTTTCTTCCTGTTCATTCCTGACTTTCTTTGTGCTGTTCACCATTTTTCTAACACCTGCACCTTGCAGGCATAGTCGAATTCTT
Source organism: Homo sapiens (assembly GCF_000001405.40). NCBI lineage: Eukaryota > Metazoa > Chordata > Mammalia > Primates > Hominidae > Homo > Homo sapiens. The sequence goes on from NC_000013.11 coordinate 109,527,717, forward strand.
TCCCTTCCACAAATGTGGCCCAGTCCTTCCAGCTGCCTGTCTGGCACATACCTCATCTGTCTATTGTCACTGCCTTCACTTGGCTAGTTCTTATTCATCCTTGATTCTCACGTTGAATGATTTTGCCCTGAGAGACCCTTCCTCAGCCCTCTGCTCCCATGACATCCCTGACTTCCTTATCTTAGAGGACTATGCACTGTGTCAATTTTCTGGGTATAAGGATAAGCTCCATGAAGTCAGGAATGATCTCATACACAAGTGCTTAGCATGGTTCCTAGGATAAAGTAGACATAATAAAAATTCATGGAATAGTTCCATGAGTAGTTGATTACTTAGAGAGTCTAATTAGCCCACAGACTGTTGAAGACTGTAGGAATGGCTGGCAGCCTTTGCTGAAGGAACTTGATCTTTGTTGAGCTTCAGCTTCCTTTGTGCCTGAAATCAGCTCTCAATTTTCACATCCATCTCACGCTGGCCTCTACGGAGTGAGTGTAATCCAGCAAAGTGGCACCACATCAGTCAGTGGATCATTTTTGCAACTTGTGGGTCAGGGTATGAGCTCTGTCAGTGACTCTGAGCCCTGTGCCTCCTGGCTCTAAGTCTGGTAGTCTGCGCTTACTCTCTGTTTCCCGATTTCTCATCCACCAGGTGGAAAGGAACAATGATCCCCTTGACTGGCTTCTCTGAAATGTTAGGAAAACTGTAGGTTTATTTTCCACCAGGACCAGGTTAGACCATCAGAAGACTCTATACCTGGATCACATTGCTTCGCCTTTTCACAGAACTGCATTGAAGGACATTTTAAGAACCATCCTCCTGAAATGTATTAAAGTTATTTAATATGGAAGTCCCCATGATTTCACATGTTCAGTATTTGAGGACCCATGGGAAAAACCCCACTTGTATGTAAGTATTAGAAGAAGACGTGCTCTTCCTGCCTGGCTGCTCGTTTGCTGTCTGTTTAATCTTATCATACTGGAAATCATGTATCCATCTTTGACTTGATTGCCAGAAAGACCTGGAGAAAAAGGTGTTGCCTGCCCCTCCACCTGTTTGGCCACAGGGGTCATCCTGGGTCCTGCCTGACTTGTTATATTTTCTTCTTGCCCAGATCGCCTTACCTATTGATTTTATCTTTTTTGTCTTATAAGTATTTTGTAAACCTTCCTTTTTTAAAATAGATGAAATAGTTTTTCTACCCCAGGGACTGACAGCAAAAAAAAAAAAAAAAAGCAAAAGATAAATTTTTGAAGCCTAGATTTTCACTGCTGTTCCCAATCATCACAGTCAATAAGGAGCTGATAAAAATTTTCCTTGAAGTCTTGATACTCAAAAAACCTATTACCATTATGATTATAATCTTTTACTTAATGGAACGGAGAACGTTTCTTCCTTTCTTTCATTTTCTATTTCTCTATTTTCCATGAATTTATTTATATGTGATATAAATGCTTCTGTTTTAATATCAATTTTTTTGAGACGGGGTCTGGCTCTGTCACTAAGGCTGAAGTGCAGTGGTGCAATTACAGCTCACTGCGACCTCGACCTCCTGATCCTCCTGCCAGCCTCCTGAGTAGCTGGGATCACAGGCATGTGCCACTGTACCCAGCTAATTTTGTTTTTAATTTTTAGAGATGAGGTCTCTTTATGCTATCTAGGCTGGTCTCAAACTCCTGGGCTAAAGTCATGCTCCCACCTCAGCTCCCCAAAGCACTGGGATTACAGGCATGAGCCACTGTGCTCGGCCCTAATATCAATTTTATAGGTTTGTTTGTTTTTTAAAGACAGAGCCTTGCTCTGTCACCCAGGTTGGAGTGTAGTGGTGCGATCTCAGCTCACTGCAACCTCCACCTCCCAGGCTCAAGTGATTCTTGTGGCTCAGCCTCCCGAGTAGCAGGGATTACAGGTGCCCACCACCACACCCAGCTAACTTTTGTATTTTTAGTAGAGATGGGGTTTCATGATGTTTCCCAGGCTGGTTTCAAACCCCTGACCTCAAGTGATCTATCTGCCTTGGCCTCCCAAAGTGCTGAGATTACAGGCATGAGCCTCCATGCCCAACCAATTTTATGTACCATTGCTATTCTGTCAGCGGTCTGATATTCATAAAGCCCAGGACTAGAGAGAAAATGTGAGCTCTGCTGCCTCTCATATGCAGGAAGCATGGACGTTCTGAGGACAGGTACAGTGCACTCATGGCCTGGTTACCTCTCACCAGTTCCCCTCTTCCTAACTGTGCTCTCTTTCTTCCTTCATTTTTTATAAACCCGTAATGCTTGTAAAGAATGTTCACATCTCTTTTAACAAACACTAAAATCCCCCGAGGGAGTTATTGCCTTCATCCTCAATTTTTCACACAAGAAAACTGAAACTCTGATGGGAGTCTAAGGGTGGATGCTGTGTCATTTGCCCAAAGTTGTGCAGCTGGCAAGGGGGCGACTCAGCATCTTCATGGAGAGCATCCTCTCTGGGGCTGGCTGGAGGCGGGTTCAGATGGCAGCTTCTGCATGTTCCCTGTGTACCATTCTACTTAGCATCTCTGCCTTAATTTCCATAACAGCAAATGTGGATAACAAGTGAACCTGCTTAAAGGCCGTTGTGAAGTTAAGTGAGACAACAAATGCAAAAGTATCCAAAACATAATAAGTTCTCAACAGATGTTTGTCAAAAAGATAAATGATAAAACACTGGGTCTGAATGTAGCCCTTTTGACTCCAGATCCAGTATCCCTTTTAATTAAACTACCATCTCTGTTGGCAGGTGGTTGAGAGATTTGTGAGCCACGTGGAGAAGACCTGAAGCTGTGAACTGGATACCATGGCAGCTGATGTCAGGACAGGCCGTCGATAGATGACCAAACCCTGCATCCAAAGTGAGCTTTCCTGTCGGTGTTTTGACTTCTCGTGTGAACAATGACTGAGGTGGTTCATTCCTGCAGAGAAGCCCCTTCCTTCTCACCACGCACCATCTGGGAGGCTGGACTGCAAAGGTGAAATGGACAATCAGCCCACTGGAAAAGTGACTGCTGGGCTGTAGGAAAGGGCAGGGCTCATGGCCTTGCTGTCCAAACACCACTCACAAGTCCAGCAAAGGAAGGGTTGAATGAATTTTCAAAGCACTTTGAACTTTCAGGGGAGAATAAAATAGAATGGAAAAGAGTAGAATAAAATAACCCAGACCAACCCACTCAAGTCCAAGGTAACCCCAAAGAAAGACTTACTAATTGTGATCTCAGCAATCACTGAGATACTAGGTGAGCCTCTTCCATCATTGCTAGTGTCTCACTGGAGTACTACATCTTAGCAAATTCTTTATTATTATTATTATTATTATTATTATTATTATTATTATTATTATTTTTTGAGACGGACACTCGCGGCAACACCCAGGCTGAAGTGCCGTGGTAAAATCTCGGCTCACTGCAACCTCCACTTCTTGAGTTCAAGTCATTCTCCTGCCTCAGCCTCTCGAGTAGCTAGGACTACAGGTGTGCACCACCACCAAGCCTGGCTAATTTTTGTATTTTTAGTAGAGACAGGGTTTCACCATGTTGGCCAGGCTGGTCTCGAACTCCTGGCCTCAAGTGATCCACCTGCCTCGGCCTCTCAAAGCACTGGGATTACAGGCATGAGCCACCGCACCCAGCCCATCTTAGCAAATTCTTAAGCTGCGTCTGCACTGAGAGGAAAAGCATTCACCCATCAGTGATAGTTACTTTGAGCCCAGGAGAGGGGGAAATGTCCGAATATGAGCAATCCTTGTCCTGGAGATGAAGTCTCCCCTCACCATCCCATCTATGGAGTTATCTGTGGAACTGGATAGAGAACTATATTCTTCCTATCCATTAAATTACAGAACATATTACAAAGGAAAATCGGGTATCCACAAGACAACATTGTATTTTGGGGTGGTATGATACTACCATGGCTCTTCTGGTAATTGAAGGATATAAGCTATGCAAAATGATTCTCACTGCGAATAAAACATTTGCTTCAGGAGCTTCTAAAGGTGAGGGCAATACAATTTGTGTTTGTTTAAAACATAATGTCATCCATAACTAATGGCATAGCTCTGGCTCAGTAAAGCTTGAAACTATTGTATATATTTGAAGCTGGATTTCTGAATCCTGAGATGAGAAATAAATTTACCCTTAAGCTTTTATTTTATTTTTTCATGGTAAAGGTTATTTCAGTGACTGAACATTTGGTTCCTTTTCAGTATGTTTTCTAGTGTTATTTACCATCAAGTTATAAGAGCAAGAAAATTGCTGAAACCAGCTTTCAAATGGTGGGCCTGAAAACCAGGAGTATTAACTTAGGTTACCAAGAGTTCTTTTAATGCTGTTTCTCCATACTATAATTTAACCTCTTGACACAGTCTTTAGAAAGATTGTCTTTTAAAAAGTCAGTTAAAAGGGTTTTTATCCATCTGGATATACATTTTTAAAAAATTTAAAAAAAAATAATCTATTACGACATCATTGAAATCTACTCAAAAATTATACATCTAAATGCATGCAAGACAGCAATACAGAATGACTCTTAGATGATCATATCCCAGTGGAAATGATGCTTAACCCATGTGCAGGGAACTGTGACAGGGATCATACAAGGGGAATTTTAAAAATTCATTTAGTCAGTCAGCCTTGAAAACTTTTTATTTTTTGTTTGGCTACATCCAGCATGTAAGTGTATTAGTCCATTTTCACACTGCTATAAAGAACTACCTGGGACTAGGTAATTTATAAAGAGAAGAGGTTTAATTGAATCACAGTTCTGCATGGCTGGGGAGGTCTCAGGAAACTTACAATCAGGGTGGAAGGTGAAGGGGAAGCGGGCACCTTCTTCACAAGGCGGCAGGAGAGAGAGAGAGTGAGGAGGGAAGTGCCAAGAACTTTTAAACCATGAGATCTCCTGGGAGCTCACTCACTATTATGAGAAAATCACAGGGGAAACCACCCCCATGAGCCAATCATTTCCCACCAGGTCCCTCCCTCAATATGTAGGAATTGTAATTCAAGATGAGATTTGGGTGGGGACACAGAGCCAAACCATATCAGTAAGGTTTTACACTTTGACGTGATTCATAGACAGACACTTTCCTGTATGAATGCTTAAGTAATTCCAACACAAGGAAGATTATGGCTACTGATTTAAGTAGAATATGGGTATGAGTATCATGTATAGTGGTTCAGGAGGACAGGGATTCAGAGAGATTCCATAAAAAAAACTGGTGCACTTGTGGGGGTTGAAAGCATGGAACAATGTTGACAGAAATCAGTAAGAGAAAAGGTAATCCAGGTAGGCAAATGGCTGGAGCAAAAGCACAAATAGAAGGTTGCCTAAAATAATCAGCCAAGACTCATCTTTTCACCCTCCACAGAAAAGAAAATCACACCAGGAAGATGACTAGATAAGGAAGAAATGGTATTTGATACTAAATTGTAGGGCTCTTGAACGACTAGCAAAGAGAGTTGAAATTTATTGCTGACATTATAAATCTTTAGAGCTGTGTGTGTTTGTGTGTGTGTGTGTTGTTGTTGTTATTGCTGTTTGTTGAGCTGGAGAATGTCCTGATTAAAACTATGTTTGGTAATAGCAATTTGATAAAGTTGAGAATGGTGGATATAAAACAAAGGAATTATCAAACAATTTCAAGTCAATTAGGGAAAAAATACTCAGAAAGAGCAAAACACTAACCAACGTAATCCCATCAACACTTACACGCATGCGAGGAAGGCTGGCTGCATTCAGCCTACAGAGCGCCCAAGGGGCCTGGTTAGGAGCTGCGAGAGTGAGCAGAACCATCAGGGGCGGGATGGGAATGATGGAGTGAAGGAAAATCCAAAGGGCCCAGAGGACGACGGTGGCAAGAACCAATGGGAAGAACAAGACAGTGAGGCCTCCCGTCTGTGCTGGAAGGTGAGGCAGTGCCATCCTATTGCCGTGACACCAGCTCAAACCCTCCGCTCTTGTGAGCTGGCTCTGTGAGACCCAGCCTCCACCCACTTCAGACCAGGCACCTGACCTGACCATTGGGTCTTTGGTAACCTAACTCAGACTGTTGGCTGGTGATTATGTCTCCAGTCCTTTTATTTGTACCTATCAATGTTCTCCATCTCTAGTTTCCAGTGTCATTAAAGAAGCACTGACATATTTGCTGGTCAGCTAAGGATGCTATTCCATTTTCACTCAACCTGCATTCTACATAAATCCTTTAACTTCTCCCTACTTCCATTTTTTCATACTTGAGGGGACACGTTTGGACTGACATTCTTCAGATCTAAAATTCAATGGCTGTCTCCCTCATCTGTGAGGTGTTCTTTCTGTCCAGTAGCCTATGCCCTTTCTCTAATTTTCCCCAATGTGGTTTCAGCAATTGAATTAAATCCTCCAAGATTAGAGGTACTGACTTGTACTTGTCCAATTGACCCAGACATTAAGGAAATACTTTGCCCATAGATTTTTAATCATAACAATTTGTGGAATTAACACAGGAGACAAACATTGAGGAATAATTTTATATCTCTCTAACAGTATATAAAACTCTGTGCTAAAGAGAATTTTCTGCTGGCACTTTTACATCTAATTGGAGGATAAAAACTTCAATAGATAACTATTGACAATCAGGTGGCAAAAATTTTTTTAAAACTGAAAAGGTATAGTACTTAGAGATTTACAAATATGCAATCCTTCTGAAGTGGGGTAGCATTTTATGTAATTTGACATAGTTCCTAAAGTATCAATACTAAAAAGCTAAGGAAATATCTGCCCTTTCTTCCTAATAGGAAGAAACATACTTTATTCAGTTTTATCCTCAAGATTCTTCTGGAATATAAAATTCTCAGGAGCTTTCTGAACTAAAGCCAGTCTTCACTGCATCAGTCATTTTTTCATATTAACCTTTCTAATCACTGGGCAGTTTTGTTGTCAGAGGGACCATAAATATTATACGATGCAAATCAGCAAAAGCAAGGCGATAGAAAATGTTTTGCTGACAATCACATGTTTTGGTAGGTCATATTGAAAGTAGGCCTGCAACGCAGGTATGAACCAGCTGTGCCTCTGTAGACTTGCTGAACCATCACAGCTAAACCTTATATTTATAGAGCTCTTTATCCTGGGGAATACTGATCTACTGGGCTGCTCCCTGCCCTTCTCTTTTGCACTTGATATCACTTGAAAGCACTGAGAAAGCAAGATCATTCCCACTCCACAAATTGGGAAAATTAGGTAGAGAAGGACAAATTCACTCATCCTAGAAACTAATGCCTGATTTACATCTATCAGTTTCCAGAACATGCACCAGCCTCTATCAAGCCCACCTTCACCTCTGGCTTCAGTTTCGCTCTTAAACTCTCAAGAGTTGCAGCGCCTTCTTCTTGCCCAAGGGCTACTTGTCACTTCTCGGTTCTGAACCCCTCAGTTTATCTCCTTAACTTAAATTGCTGAGCCCCAAAACCTCCTTCCAAGGCGTTTCTTCTCCACCACCATCGAAGAATAGTTTTCCTCAATTTTTTATCACGGTTATCTGCATGCCATCATAATGCTGATGTGAGTAGAAACCCCTCTATTTCAACATTTGAACATTTATCTTTTCTTCAGTGGGCATTCTAATGCCAATGACTGGTTTATCTTCTGTGTGCCAGGCACTGTTCTAAGTTCTTGGATAAACACAACTGAACAAAATAGACCCAACTGCCTTCCTTCATAGGTTGTCATTCTATCAGAAGGAGGGTAGATAATAAATACTGGGCATAATAGACAATTAATTACAGAACATGTTAGAAAATGCTACGTGATACAGAAAAACAGAAGTTATATCAGACTAAAGAGAGCCGGAAGTGACAGCGGAAGGTCATCGTTTTAAACAGGGTTGCCTGGATATACTTCAGTGAGAAGACTTGGACAATGACCTGAAGGCTGTCTGGGGAAAGAGTGTTCTGGCAGAGGAGCCAGGTAGTGCAAAGGCCCTGAGGCCAGCACATTCTTCATTTGTTTAAAGAACAGGGAGGAAGCGAGGGTGGCTGAAGCAGAGTGGGTGAGAGAGGGAGAGTGTTGCCACCAACAAGGTCAGACCAGATAGGGCCTTGTAGTCCTTTTAAAAACTCTGGCAGTTATTCCAGTTGAAAAGGTGAGCCTCTGCGGGGTTCTGATTAAAGGGTTCACTCTAGTTATCGTGTCAAAATAGAAAAGAAGCAAGGAAGAGTAAAAGAAGGCAGACCAATGAGGAGGTGATTGGAGCAGTCCAGGCAAGAGTGTTTGAGGGCTTGGAGCAGAGGGGCCACAGTGGAGGAGTGAAAAGTGTTTGGTTTTAAATGCAGAGTATTTGGAGGGCAAAACCAAAAGGATTTTCCAATAGATGGTTTGGTGGCCTGAGCAATAGGAAAACTTGCTGCCTCGCTTAGAGAGGGGAGGGCTGCAGACGGGGCAACTTACATGGGACAGATCAGAAGTCAGTCTTGGACGTGCTGAGTTCCTGGTGTCCGTGAGACAGTCAAAGGGAGATGCTGAGATGCCAGCTGGTTAAACAGCACTGGGGCTTGGGAAAGAGGCCTGTGGGGGCTTCAGGACACTGATGTCTTTTACATCCCAGGGACTGGACAAAAATTACCAGGAGAATAAGCAGTGATCCAGAAGAGAAGAGGGTCAAGACCGCTGCTCTTGAGAATTGAAAAGGTTGGCCGGGTGCGGTGGCTCACACCTGTAATCCCAGCACTTTGGGAGGCCGAGGCGGGCGGATCACCTGAGGTTGGGAGTTTGAGACCAGCCTGATCAACATAGAGAAACCCTGTGTCTACTAAAAATACCAAATTAGCCGGGTGTGGTGGCACATGCCCGTAATCCCAGCTACTCGGGAGGTTGAGGCAGGAGAATTGCTTGAACCCGGAAGGTGGAGGTTGCAGTGAGCTGAGATTGCACCATCGCACTCCAGCCTGGGTAACAAGAGCAAAACTCCATCTAAAAAAAAAAAAAGAAAAGGAAGTGACATTGTTTGGTCACTACTATATCTTCATTGCCATTCAATTCATATTTATTAATTTAATATTTTCAACTTCATAACACAAAAAGCTTTATGTAACCACTGAATTCTCAGTATATACAAAGTTTACTTTCCTTTTGTACCACCCTACCATTTATCCTTCCCTCAAACACTCACTTTCCTCAAATGATAACACTAAAAAAGTTTTATAATAAAATATTTTTCACATGGCAATGATGGCTTAAGTGAAAGCAAAGCAAATCCCTCAGCATTTTTTTACTCAAAATAGAGAAAAAGGGATCCAACTGTGTGATCAACCACTTAGAGAATTTGCATCAAATCCATTTTTATGCCTAATTGTTTTAATGATAAATTTACAAAAGGATGTATTCATCAAGAAATACCTTGAGAACACATATAAAACATAATTAGAATTTGAGCTTTTCTATTTCTTCAAAACCTTTTGCGGAGGGAGGTATCAAATTATCATTCTCTAGTGTTAAGAGCAATAAATAAAGGTAGCAGAAGGAATGATAATAGGACTATTATGAAGTCCACAGAGAGGAAGCCCCCATTGTTCACATTATAAGCAATAAAATAAAACATCCACTGCTGGGTTTGATGTCTGCTAGACAAGGAATACAAGCTTACAGAATGGCTACTGATCCCTGTCCAGAACATATAGACAATTACCCTGAGATCTTTCTATTTGTTTTCCTTTCTGTGAAATGACAGCCAAGAGCTACGTGAAACATTCACCAGCATCATTGTAATATCCTAGAAAACCCAAAGGGAACTAGGAATAACAAATCTGAAACACTTCAAAAGGAAGGAAATGTAATATGTGGAGCTATTCGTCGTTACTCAAATATACATATACACTACACTAGGTGAAGTATTTGCCTCTAATTTTACAACGTACCTAGTTTAATGGAACAAAATTAACATTCCATTCTTCATGCAGTTCAAGGTCCTTTTACGCTGAGGTAAAGCCTGAGAAAAATACTTCATAAAGTACTGTTCCTATGTATGTAACTTGGGACATGCTAGTTAGCAAATATTTAGCAAACAAATCAGCGTATCTGCTGCTATGGGAGAGGCAAGAGCACGTTCATTTGGTTTCCAGCTTCACGGAGTTTATCATCCAGTGGGAGGGACAAGGTGTGGACGGCAGAGGCACTGAGGGGCTTCCCTTGCTTTGATCGTAGCCCCGTTCTCTGTGGGACCTCCAGGGCGTGAAACGTGCCACGTCTCCAGACGCCTTGGGCACCTCTCACCTGCTTGGTGCGGTGTGCTTGAACCACAGTGGCCTCCTTTCTTTTTTTTTTTTTTTTTTTTTTTTTTTGAGATGGAGTCTCACTCCTGTTGCACAGGCTGGAGTGCAGTGGTGCCATCTCAGCTCACTGCAACCTCCACCTCCCAGGTTCAAGTGATTCTCCTTCCTCAGCCTCCCGAGAAGCTGAGATTACAGGCATGCACCACCACGCGTGACTAATTTTTGTATTTTTAGTAGAGACGTTTTTTTGCCATGTTGGCCAAGCTGGTCTTAAACTCCTGACCTCAGGTGATCCACCCGCCTCAGCCTCCCAACGTACTGGGATTACAGGTGTGAGCCACCGAGCCCGGCACAATGGCCTCCATTCACACCCTCACCACGGTCATTCTCACTCCAGGACTCTCCCCACGCTGCTCCCATCCGTCTGGAATGTGCTGTCTTCTTCTCTGCTGGATTTACCCAACCATTCCTCAGATGTCAGCTTCAATGTAACTTTCTCAAAGACAGTTACCCTGGTTCTGAAAAGCCAACTGGACTCTCATGCTAACCTCCCTCAAAGCACCTATTTATACACATTTGTTTATGTATTTAAATGTACTACCTGCCTCTTCTATGTACTTGTAAGCTCCATGAGAGAGGAAGTGAATCCGCTGTATTCACCTCTCTTACACCTTGGCTAGCATCATTCATGGCCCATATTAGGCGCTTGACAAATAGGGTTTGATTAATAAACAAATGCATTTAATTTAAAAATTCATATAATAAAATTACCTACACATTATCATAATTCTATGTGGGATCAAGATCATCATTCCTGATGTTTACAGAGGGAGAAACTGAGGCTGAGAGACCTCTAGTCATTTCTGGAAGGTTGTTTAATTAACAACTGGATTCTGAAAAGGTGATCTTTCCAACTTTCCATGCCGATGTAAATGTCTTGGTCTAAAATATCTGGGTTCCTGAGTCTGGAGGGAGATGCAGTTTATAAGGCATGTGTGGTGAGAGTGAAATGAGACTGACTTTGCCTTCAGGTGCCACATCCTGAGTCCTGGCACTGGGAGCTGGACTTGGAAAGATGGAGTGTGAAGAATGCACCCAGCTTCTATCCAGGTGAATCTCCAAGAAGCCTTAGGTTTCTCATCATCTGAAAAATGAAAATACTAACAGTGATGCACGGTGGGATGCTGGAGAACCTTGAGGAAGGCCAGCTTCCTTAATTCCACGCACCTTTATCTCAGATTAGGGCAATGCCCAAAGCCCATACGCCCAAAGCCATGACTGGAATGCTTATGACAGACTTCCTGCCCGGGGGTGTGGCTGTAGCAACACTCTGGCCATACAACCCAATACACCAAGGCTCGAAGGCACCAACCGCATCCTCGTCTGGACATAGAGCGAGGAGATACAACTTCAAATAGCAAACGTTTTCCACTTCAATTCCTCTAATGCTTGGGGAATCTTTATTTTAACATTTCCAGTTCTAGCTTTACCATCACTAAAGTGGTTAATGACAAGAAAACTATTAATTATCTGGGCAATTGCTTACACTACTGCCATGGACTGTATAATGAATAGCCACTAAATGGAAGAGGGGTGACATTTGGTGAAGTCCTGTGCCATGGACTGTATAATGAATAGCCATTAAATGGAAGAGGGGTGACATTTGGTGAAGGCCTGTTTCTTGATTGCTTCTACAAAAACTACATTTCTTTCTAAAAAACAAATGGAAATGTTTATATGAAATTGTGAGGCTACTTGGTCATTGTCACAACTTCCAAACCCTAATATCTGAGGGCTTCTTAAAAGACCAGATAAGAAACATAAGAGTTAATATTGCTTTAGGTTGACCCATCTAAAATAACTTTCTCTCTCTTTTTTATTGAAATGAAATTCATCACTCAAAGTTTAATTAAAATCCTGCCTCCAATACGAGACCTTCCCTGACTACACCATATTAGCATCCTCGCTCTTGAACTTGTGTAACATTACTCATGTATAAGGCTAATTTGCATGATCAATTATCACTTTGTTTAATCAGTGTCACTGTTGTCTAGACTCTAAGCTCCCTGAGGGCAGAATAATGTAGTCAGAGAAATCTGGCTCTTACGTGTATCCTCTTCATCCCCTTCATCCTCATGCCTAATGAGATTTAAGGCAGGGACTCACTTCTCTTCTTGCTCTAGGTCTGCCCAAAGAAAGAAGGGATTTGGGCTCAAAGTTCTCTCTCTGTTTCTCTCCATTTCTCTGGAGCTATGAGCGTGATACACACATACACCTTCTGCTGAGCCACCTACCCTATGCCACATTGGAGGAAATTCTAATTCTATGAGGTAGACTCTTGGGCCAGGCATTAGTAGTGGGTAGGATTGCTGCCTCATGGAAAAAAAACACTCTTCGATGAGGTTACTTTGGTAAGTGGCCAGATCTGTTGGCATTTTGCAGATGAGATCCACAGTAAGTGGGCGGAGTGTGGCCCCTCATCCCTAGCCTACCTTGATACCCTCTGCAGTTACATGGCTAAATGGAGTCTGACTTCAGGGAAAGACTAAGAAGCAAAAAGCCTTGCGTACCAGCTCTTAACTTTGCTGAATCATTAACCCAAATTGTTGAATTCAGCATTCACCAGATATCAGGGAGCATCAGGGGCTGGCCCCACTGTCTGGAAAGTCGCATTCCGCTTCACTCTCAGCTGTAGACATTTGTGTGCATGGCAAGCTCAGCAGGGATCTTCAGAGAACAGAAGGAACAAGGAGGAATTCCGATCCCAAAACCCACCCCAAATCACTGCAATCTTATATCTCATAAATATTATTCATAAGAAGATCTGTCCTAAAATAAGGAATATCAAAAAATAGCACATTCTCTAAATAGAACGGTGGCTGCTGGGGTCTGGGGAAGGTAGAAAGAGCAGCGATGCAGAGGTCCACAGGAACGGAGTTTCCGTCTCACAAGATGGAAAGTTCTGGAAATCTGCTGCACAGCACTGTCCCTGGAGTCAATGCTGCTGTGCTGCACACTCAAAAACGTGTTCAGAGGGTGGGTCTCATGTGATGCATTTTTTGCAGTAATAATAATAATAAATAGCACACTTTCAACAAACGCATTTAGAGCTATTCATCTCCAGAGACTCCTCACCCACTGAGTTCCTTTTAAAGGGAGCTTCTGCTTTGTTTTCTGGTTTTGCCTTGTGTTTCCTCCCACTTGAGGAAGGACAGAATGTTTGACTGATAAACACTCGCCAATGCTTGAAGGTCAGATTCCACTACAATGATCTCTCCATGACTGTGAGCAAAGGCTTGTCCCTTGATGGGACACACACATCTGCACATCCTGTTAAGGCTTCTGAACCACACACCACACTGGGATTGGGTGAGTGGGTCTTTCTCTCTCTGATGGTGCATTTCCACAATCCCAGCATCTGTCTCTCTGTCAGAAGTACAGGGAGTGAGGGCCACTGAGGCTGTCCGTATCCACACATGCACCTCCTAAATGAGATCCTTCGGCTTTAATGTAATTTGCAAATCATGTAACATAAGATATCTTGAAATTATTTTTATTTTGTATAACTTCTTTTATTTTTTAATAAACAGATGCTTGGGATTAGAAACCTTTTGCATAGACTTTTTCTCTTGGTGCTCTATTACAGCACTCACTCTATTGCACCGTAGCTGGGATTGCAGAGTCATCTTCCTAGAAGTGAATTTCACGACCGAAGATGATTTGACTCATTTCTGCATTTGTAGCCCTAGCAGAGCTCTGCGACAGACGAGGGGCACACATATTATTGGCAGAACAAAGATAAACCTCATGCTCCCTGCTGTGACCACCATATTATATAAACTGTGCACTATCTGATAATGCTGACTATTGAAGACCGATTCTCTTCTTCCTTCCTTTCACTCTTCCTCCTTCCTTTCTGATGCTATCCCACATGCAACTTTGGAAATTCACCGAGCAAAGCACAAAACAGAAGGGGATGGATGAGCACTGATGGTGACAGATGTGATTCCAGGGACAGAGGGGTTCTGCAGACAAGGGTGGCTTTGCTTCTGGAAAGTGCTCATGAGTTAGAAACGTTCTGCTCTGAACAATAAAAGCATCTTATCTTTTCTATTTGAAGACAGAGCTGTGCACACGATTACTGAGCTGTGTGCTGCAATGCAGTGTCTTAGTCTGTCCATGCTGCTGTAACAAAATATGACAGATGGGGAGATTGATAAGCAACAGGCATCTCTTTCTCATAGTTCTGGAGGCTGGGAGTCTAAGAGTCAGGCACAGTGAGGTTCGGCTGTGTGGTGAGGGCTGCTCTCTGCTTCTCATTCCGGCCTTCAACATCGTGTCCTCGCAGGGAGAAGGCAAGAGGGCAGAAGGAGAAGAGCTCCCTCAGTGAAGCCCTCTATCAGGGTACCTAATCCCTGTCACAAGGAGGAGCCCTCATAGCCTAATCACAACCTAAAGGCGCCACGTTTTAATACCATCACATTGGCAACACCTGAATTTGAGAGGGGACACATTCAAATCTAACGTGGGCGCATTTAATTATTTAGCTATGTGATAAACGCCCAGGCTGGAGTGTAGTGGCACAATCTCCACTCACTGCAACCTCTGCCTCCCAAGTTCAAGCAATTCTTGTGCCTCAGCCTCCCAAGAGCTGGGATTACCACCCAGCTCCCTAGTACCTCCCAAGAGCTGGCATGCACCACCACGCCCAGATAATTTTTTTCTTTTTTTAAATTAGAGATGGGGTTTTGCTATGTTGCCAGGCTGGTCTCAAACTCCTGGCCTCAAGTGATCCACCCGCCTTGGCCTCCCCAAATACTGGGATTATAGGCATGAGCCACCATGCCCAGCCTGTAATTTCATTTTTTAAAATAGATTCCTTTATTTACATTTATTTCCTAATGCAGCCAGAAATGCAGGAGAGGTGCTTTAAATTGGAGGAAAAAAAATGCTGAGCTATATGCCACAGAAATACTTTGTTTTACATTTCTTACCCTCCCTTTCTTCTTCTCACCAGGAATACTCTTCCTGTGATAGGGTCGCTGTGTTGCCCCTCAGCCCAGGCCAGCCAACCTTGGCTGTTTAGTCAAAGAACCCCACGCCATTCCACACCACAGAACCGATGTGGCCAATCAAAGCCTGACCGCCTGACCAAGGACTTTCCTACCAAAGCTGTCAGTAAACACTGACCAACTTTACAGGCAATACTAAACTAGCAGTGAGTTAAGAATTCTTGGCTTCCCACCTGCCAAGAAGCTCTTTATCTGCCCATCCTAGCTGCCATGATGCTAATTCATGCAACTATTCTCTCTGCCTACTTTACTCAACTGTTTTCACCTTGTCTCTTGGACCCGTAATTGATTTTTCTGCTTCCTCATGTATGCTTGCTCTGGTCTGTTTTCTACTCAGCTGTCAGAGTCTAGCTTCTAAAGTACAAAGATGATCATAGTCATCCATCAGTATTTTCAGAAGATTGATTCCAGGATCTCCCTTGGATACCAAAATCTGAGGATACTCACGTCCCTGATATAAAATCTCATAGTATTGGTATATGGCCAATGAACATCCTTCCATACACTTTAAATCACTTCTAGATTACTTATAATCCTAATACAACATAAATGCTATGTGAATAGCTGTCATACTGTATTGCTTAGGAAATAATAACAAGAAAAAGTCTGTACATGTTCAGTACAGTTGCAATTTTTTTCTGAATATTTTCTATCCGGTTGGTTGAATCCGTAGATGTGGAACTCACAAAAGAGCTGACTATATTTATTATTTTGCTGGAAATATTTAAGTGACTCATGCTAAAGCACCAACTCCTTTAAAATGGTTTGTAAAATGCATCATAATCCTGTTCACATCCCCATCTCCTGCCTAGTACCACTTTAATCTTCCTTTTTTACTGTTTTCCAGCCATGCTGAGCTACCTGCAGATTTTGGAAGATAGTGCTCTTTTTTGTCTCTTTGTAAGAGACAAGAAATTACCCTTTCCTTCCTCTTCCTGTCAGCATTTCTCTGCCCAGCTTCCTCTGATGTGTTCCCGTGATGCTCTGTGTGCCCCTTCTCTAACATTTATATCTCACTGCAGTGTAAATGACAATTTTCTTGTTTTTCTTGTCTATCTGTCTCTCGGAGGCAGAGACGTCATAACATGTGCAGAAACAACTCCAAGACCATGCGCAGGTGCCCTGTAGCTGCCATGATTAATTCCAGAGGGAAAGGCTGGATGAGAACTTGCAGCTTGAAGAATGAAGATGTAACCTCAGGAGTGCTAACATGTGTGTTCAGGTAGGAAAAGAAGACTGAGCAAAATAAATGGAGAACATTGTCCAAGAGACAGATAGGAAAAAAGGCATTCGAGTCATGTAGACAGAGGGAGGACATGGTGTCAGCATTAGGGACTGTCTCAAGCAGGATTAGCAGATGCTTGCTCACCCACCTCCAGGTCCGGAAACTTCGGGTTGGGAAGAGTCTATAGGATCCACTTCCATGAAAAGTTTCAATGCAACAGTGGATTGGCAAGTTGGATGTGGTGGATTGTGGAAAGTAAAATGGAGAGTCAGACGGGAGGATGAAAGAAGAGAGGGAGGAAAGGGGAAGAATGCCCCAGAGGATTTTAAGTGTATGAATGATTTTCACAAATAGTTTCAATCACGTGGGAGGGCTAGAGGGCCAGCTGCACATAGTCAATGATTGGGAGTGGTGATGAAGGGAGAGTTGCTTTTGCACACACTTGGCCTTGAAGGGGAGGTCTGGAATAGCCTGGATGATGGCAAGGGGAGGAACACTGCTGCAGAGAGTATATTCCTATCTGGGAAAGAAAGAATGAGGGAAGAAGTAGAATGGGAGATGAAACACGAAAGGCCATAATCAGCGGGAGGAAAAGAGAGATCGGGTAACCTGACATCTTGACCTTACTTAGCTTGTAGAGAAGGCCATCTGTTGAGAGTTATTGGGGCTTGGGTGGAGAACCTGAGGAATGGGGAAACATTTGGTGTGTCCTCTTGTGAGGACACCGATAGGGAGTCCTCAGATGCTCAGGGCTCTGCCTCATGAGTCTCGGTCCTTGACGCAGTGTGTGTGTGAAGCAAATTTACACAATCCAGTCAGACAAACCTCATCGTGCACACCAAGACTTCCCAAAGATCTAAAAAATAAACTATTTTATACAAAGTTGCGTGTATGTGCATGTGTGTGTGTGCGTGTGTGCATGTGTGTGTGTGTATTGTAACAGGGCTTTGTAAGATAACCCCTCAAGCTTCCCATCCACCCCCTCCAAAAAAAAAAAAAAAGGCCCAAGGGAAAAGATTTATTTCATTGAAAATTTTGATAATTTTCAAATAAAATGATACTGATTAAAAACCTTTCTGCAATTCTAAATCCATCCAGGCACAAACATTTGCAATGAAAGGTTTTTCATGACTCTAATGCCTACCCTGAGAGACTTTTCTTTCTCTGAAATACGAGTTGTATCTCAGAAAAATACACAAGCTACCAAAGAAATCATCTGAGAATTCTCTAGAAATCTCTTAAGCAAACATGTAGGTTAGGTCAAACCAGGCTGTGAGAGTTGGCCATAAAAATTGCTTTCCAGGGTCATTTTAAATACCTCCCTCCATGGGTACAAAACAAAATTGAGATGGTTGACTTAGATGTACATTTCTGGGCCTGTGACCTCATGTTTAAAAGATCTTTGTAAGTTTATTTTGCATGTGTAGAGTTTTAAAGCATTGACCATTATTGCTTTCGACTTCAAACCATTTTTACGAGCTCCATAAATGGAAGGTAATGATGTTTTTTAAAAAGGTGTTTTCACTCTCTTGCATTTTCTCCAATGAAAAGCTAAGTACAGGAGTGTGTGTTTCTGTCACAACTACAACTGCCCTTCACCTCAGGACCTAATTTCCATTCCCTCAAAAGAATAAACACAAAAGGAATGCATCCAGCTTGTTGAAAGAGAATCTCTAGAGAGTCGTTTCCCATTTAGTTTGGAGCTCTCTTTTTTTCTCTGTCACCAATGCAATGTTCCCTGCCTGCAACCCCATGCCATCTTTTGGAACAGGCCACATGGCTCTTGGAGAGTCTCAAAGATCTTTAAAAGTGACACAAGCTTTGGTCTCTCCCAAGAGAACAGAGGGTCTCTCGTCTGTGATAATTGGAGTCTCTCTCAGCCCAGGGCACAGGATTCACTTCCTGATCAGGGTCCTCACATGCCACACTTCTTGGCTGCAGAGGCTTCAGGAAGACTTATAAATATGCATTAGAATCGCATCCCTGCAGAGGGGCAAGCATAAATCCCCATACACTGACGCTATGCAAAAAGTAAATCGCACAGCGCTTGCCTCAAGAACTAACTCTTTTCTCTTTTTCCCCTTAAAACAATTTAAGCTTTTTGTTTCAGAAAGCCAAGATTCTCTCTCTCTTTTTCAATTTGATTTTATAACCTTAAAATTTTCTCCCAGTGACAATGTTTGCTAGTCTACATCCTGTCAATGTTCTCCAAATTGCAGCTCATTCACCTACATTCTTTTTACATCTTATCTACCATATTCATTTTAAAACAATATGCCACTGAGGGTTTTCTAGCATTATCACTTCCATATACCATTGCAAATATCTGTCGAGGAAGCATTACAGAGGTTCTGGGGGTTGTAATGATAGAAGGACAGATCCTCCCTTTTCTCAAATGCAGATATAAAAGATAAATACAAGATGATATTGCAGATTACATCTATGACAAAAAAGAGGGGATTAACCACAGGCCTTTCTCTTCCTTCTCCCAGATACCTGCCCCTCCCCAACTCTGCCATCTGTACTGACTCCTGCACTGGGTTTCTTGATTAACAAAGCCCCACCTATTGATTCTGCTTTAATTCACCCACCCAAGCTCCCCTCCCTCTTCTTTCGCCCCCAGAAAACATGATTTCTAATAGTGATCCCTTTGTCTGCTGAGTTATGTCCTGAAAAAGCAGGTTCTCCCCTCATGGGGAAGGTTTCCAATGGCAGAGGGTTTCCAAAGTCCACTCAGGTTACAAATCAGAAGAAAAAAATCAGAGTTTAACTATTCAAATTTCTTTCAACAGTTTCTGAAACTGACATGAGAAAGCATTCAACAAATATTTTATTTAGTGCCCCCAAAATAATAAAGCCTTCCCGCTGAATACTGGAGCTTATTAGCAAACATTGTACTTCACCATACAATCAGCATGTTATTAAAAAATTAATGCCTGTGAAATGAGTTTTTGATACAAAGCTGCATGGCTGTGACTTTTTTTTTGGTTTTTTAAAACATTAATATCCTCAATAATTCATCTTTTATTCCTTTAGCCTTACTAAATATTAAATGGGTTAAAGTTAAATATTTGAAAACTAAATACCAGCTCAAACCTCAGAGAGGGCACAGCCATGCCCCAGCTCTGAGGGTGCTGCCTCTTGCTAGCGTTTTGTCAAACATGGTAACTGGCACGCCTGCTGGCCCTGGGCTAGTCACTTTCTTCTCTTGGATATTACCTGCTGGACAATTGAGCTTTCTGCATGCACCTTGTCACCTCTGAGCTGCTAATGACATTACAAAGGGTTACCACAAAAATGAGAACCTCAAAACATAAGAGGAGGTGTGCACTGATTGGCTACCTAGGTCCACTGGGCTCAGAGAAAGGGAGAGCTAACAGTCATTGGCCATAGTCAGCACGGACAATCTGGCTGAGTTACCAGACCACCCTCTGGCCTTTGTTCACTCACCCCCATCCCTGGTCACCATCACATTACCCCCAGTAATCTGGTTAAGTGAGGCAACAGCAGGGGCCCTTCTCTGCTGAATAATCTACATAATTTTATCTGAGTTGATCTGAGCCAAGAGACTTACATTCCTCTCTCGTTTGGCCCCTTGATAGCAGACGCCTTTTAATTATTAGGAGTATTGTTTCTACTAGACTGAGAAATTAATTTTATGATGCATGCTTGGGACATAACTTTCAGGGTAATATTCATCCAAGGGTTTCCATTGCAATTTATCAACGTTGCTCATCTATCAGCGTGAGAATTTGTTAAGGTTGACAACAATTACTACACTACTGATGCTAAAAACAGACGAACTTCTTTTTCTTTGAAACAGTATTTGCATATGGACTGAGAGATGTGGTTACTTTGAAGTAAATAGCTTTCATTTTAAATGTCCACAATAAGAGCAACTCAGGAGTATTCTACAACGGCCTACAAGAAACCTCCCGGCTAGAACTGAGAAAACTTGCACCTGCTCCTCAAAAACAAACACCAAAGAATGAATGCCTCAAGGTCAAACTATGCTGCAGTGACAATTCTGAATCCCATAACCTAACAATATTTCAACCTCATAGAAGAACGTAAACTGTACCATATCTAAATTTGACCTTCTGCTTAGCAAGCATCCATAAACAAGCTCATAATGTCATCACTCAAAAAACAAAGTGGAATTGGTATGTGGCACTAGGATAGGCTGTGGTGACACTGACGTTAACCCAACCAACCACCCTCTGTCCTCCTCCTGACCCTCCATCAGACCTCCCCAACCAACGTCAGCACAGACACTCTTCATGCTGTAACTACTAAACAGAGGTTTCTGATGACAGTAACAGTTTTTCACAGAGCAGCATACGCTGTAAGCTGTGACTGGACAGGAAATACAATGAAAATGCTAATTGGCATCACAGATCCCACTTTCATGTTTTATTAATGACAACTGCACCATATTTGTAAAATAATTTACATAATATGTTAATTCTCCAAAGAGGAGGGAATGGGAGCTCATAATTGCATATGGAATCAGCACTTTCTCTGCCTCTACCAAGACTACATAATGCTTTAGATTTTTCTAATAGTGGCTCTTTTTAGGATGGGTTACATTTAAAAGTCAGTCAAGATTAAATTTTTAAATCTACTTTTTGGGATATAGACGCATTAGTAAATGTTCATGGTGGCTTTAGACCTGGCGGTGCACTAGTTTTATGTTAAAGAATTAGGGAAGATTCAGTAGTAAATGAGTGCACACAAAATGAAATGCAAGACTGCTTGGAACTCATAAAAGCACTTGGAATCTGGTTGCTGATACTCTCATAAGATTTCCTGGATTTCCAGTCTTTTTATTGATATATTTTTTATTCTGGAACTTTTTTCATATGATTTGGAAATGCCACACTATGACCGTTTTTTTGAGACGGAGTCTCGCTCTGTCGCCCAGGCTGGAGTGCAGTGGCGCGATCTCGGCTCACTGCAAGCTCCGCCTCCCGGGTTCACGCCATTCTCCTGCCTCAGCCTCCTGAGTAGCTGGGACTACAGGCGCCCGCCACCACGCCCGGTTAAATTTTTGTATTTTCAGTAGAGTCGGGGTTTCACCGTGTTAGCCAGGATGGTCTCCATCTCCTGACCTCATGATCCGCCTGCCTCGGCCTCCCAAAGTGCTGGGATTACAGATGTGAGCCGCCGCGTCCGGCCCATGATCTTCTTAAATGGAGGGACTTGCCAAAATTGCTCTAGAACTTTCGATGAGTTAGGCAAAGGAACCACCAGCATAAGGAAACCAGAGTTCAGGCAGGGCCATGCTCCATGGGCACATGATGAAGCCAGAAGAGCTGCCCACTCATAGAATCCAGTGTGACCTAAGGCTGCTTTTGATTTTTAAAATCATGGGCCATGGTCACATAGGCAGCCCCACATGGCTCAACTGACCTCAGCCTTTTTAAAGTTTATCAACTTGCTCCTTTTTTTTTAAACATTAACGGCACTAGTCGTATAAGCATGCCTATTTTGGCGATTTTTAAAAATAAAATTGGAATTCGTCTTATTCCCAGTCTACTGATGATTTGTGAGTTAAGTTTGTAATTATGGTGTAACTTACAAGCTAGGGTGGTAAGTAAAACCACTATGTTCTGAAACCTGATAAAGGAGGCTTTCTAGAGAGCATTCCTCAGCCCTGGAAACATCATAGTAACTGGAAAATCTCATTTTTCTCTGTATTCACTGCTCTCAAATGAAGAGGATCAGATAGGAAGATGGGGCTCCCTCAAGTTTGTGCCTTTGAATTCTGGAAGATGCTGCTTATTAAATCAAGGCAGTATGTAAAAGTGGCCAAATACATAGTAATGACAACTAAATAAGAAGATGCAGAAAAAGGAAAGAAAATATGTTTCGATACATTACCTACCTTCTCCCCTATTTTAGGAGTTTAGGAGTCTCCCAGGAGCAGTGACCACTGAGAACCAAAGGTTGTATTCTTCAACCCTGGTCCTAATAAAACACTTGTCACATAGAGCTGGTTACCTTGACAGATGCCAAATTGCCTGAGCTACACAGTTTCTCGCTTCATCTTTAGCATCAAGATAATTTCAGGCCCTTTTCAGGATTTAATTATTTTAGTTATTCCATGTGGTTATTCACATGCATAAGAATTACATTTCACTCGTTCTGTTACTCGTTGATTAATGAGTACATTCACTGAACACCTATTACGTGTCAGGTACTGTGCTCTCTGATAGTACTGGTACCTCTGAAGGGTGCCTCACTGACAGAGGAAATTGATTTCTCCCTCCACCTTATTTCCCAATGTCAAATTTCTGAGTCCTAATTAGTGTGTTTGTTGTTTTTTGTTTTGTTTTGTTTTTTGCCTTTGACAATCTGTTTTCTTTCTATGAAAATGGGAAATAAAAGAGGATGCTTGGAATGTTGACACCACTTCTGGGTGGATTATTATCTCTCTAGATTAACTCTATCTTGGCTTCCTTATCTATTCAAACACCGGTAGCCTGAACCAAAAAGCTACTGAACCAAACTGGCAACTGAACCAACTGAACCAAAAAGCTGGCAACTGAACCAAAAAGCTACAAGAAAAATTGTGGGAGGCCTCGTGGTCCTTTCAACAGCAGAATTATTTTCACTGGAAAGCTCAACAGACAACTGATTCTTCAAATATTCTCCCCAACAATTCCCTCAAACAAGTCAAAGAACCTGAGACAAACGTCAATGCTAAGGTAGGCTGCGTGTTCATTCCACCACTGTGTAATACCACAGAGACAGGTACGAGAGTACTAATCGAGGCCTGCGTTTCCACATTTAAAAGGTGCAAACCAAACTAGCAAACTACTGAATAAAATATCACCTGCCTTCTAACTGGATAAATATATCCTTATAATTATAAAATTAATTGAATGTGCATAGACCTAAATGTCTCCCTAGTCTGGAGAGGTTTAGATAAGTAACAAAATAATTACATACAAAATTCATAAGTTATATCTCATACAATTTTTTCTTATCATTATTTTAGAAAATTCACTAATTAGGGGGCTATAATAAAGATTCTTCTGCATAATTTGTGTTCTACTGACACAAAGTAAGCAATTTTGGGGGATCACCATAGCTTTTAAATTTTTGCAGGAAGTTTTTTGTTATTTTAGATTGGAATAACATCACACTGCTGAAGCAATAGACACTGGTATTATTAATAAAATTCACAAAGTAATTTGTAGATTTGAAAATAAGCCGTGAGCTTTACATCTAGCATTCAAACATTGTAATAAGGTTGTATAGGATGAATCATTGTCATTGTAGAAAATGTGAAAACATTTTAATTTTATCATATAAATGACTACAATTTACAAAGCAGTTTTTGGCTAAATGAGTAACTAGATTCACAAAGTATTTTTAAAATTCTTCTTTCAAATTTTTCACTGCAAGAGAATTTTAAATTAAACCAAAAATAGAAGTATGTTGTTCATGGTCAGAACAGTCTATATAGAAATCCATTTGAAGATCATTTGCATATGAATCTTCTTTATTATAGTCATGCAAAATTCAAATCATGATAATGAGTAACAAAATTTTACACAAAAATATGTAAGCAAGCTACAATGCCCTTTTGAAAATTTAATAGAACTCTTATTAAATACTTTTATTCTCAAAATTCACAATTTTGTGTTCAATATCCATCGAGTTCCCATGTAAAAAAAAATTGGTTACGTGCTTCAAAATTAAATATTTGGAAATACATATGTATATATAAAAATTTAAGAGCAATTTGACGTATTTAATGTTAGAAAATGTTTCTCAGGCCATCTCATACAACTGTTGTGAAATGTGTGCTAATTCACAAATACCTTCTGAACAAAATTTAGTATATGAAGAGAAGGAGGAACCTAGGTGCTCAGTGTTGCTGAGGAATGATACTTCATTATGCAAGAGTCTATTGCATCTGTGCTCTCTGAAAAGAAGAATTTGACAAGCTAATTAATTTGTCGTTTCTTTTATCTAAGTGTTTCTGCCTCATATCCCCTCTGCCCTGAAAAGCAGCATCTATCTTTGGTGTTGGCAGCAGCACAACCCCAAACCTTCATGCATTTAGTTTCCTTTATGTCAAGGACACAGCAGTAGATGTGGGAAATGTATTTCTGGGAATCTATGTGGTGCTATTATGGTGAGATATTTGGAGTTATGGGTTGCATTGGAAAGTGCTAACAACCTCCATAGAAGCTGAGCAGAAGGTGGACCTGGAAAACTCAAAGTAGGGGCTATTTTACAACTAGTACAACCGTACAATCATGTGCCAGTGGAATAATGCATTTGCCTGGCACCTACAAGGCAACCACAATATTTATTAAATAAATTAATAAAAAACGAATGAAGACAGAATAAATGAAAAGAGGATGTTGTGTCCATCATGAAAACACCCAGGTGTATCAATAATTATGTTACAGTTTGAAGGAAGTATATTGAAATTGGGTATAAGTAGAAAGGAATAAGTATCATTTGGCAGTATCATTACTGCCAAAGAAGAATTTTCCTCTACAGACCTGATCATCAGGTGTGTTTTAATACAGAGATATACAAACCTGAGCAGTCCCAAGCTCACCCCTGGCCTCCTATCACTCTCTCTCTCCCTCTCTCTCTCTCTCTCTCTATATATATATATATATATATACACACTGTATGATTAGGACAATTGTCAACTTTTAAGTGTTTGGTTAACAGTTTGAAGTTTTACTTCTGAAACCCCAATACTTCCTTGCAACCCAAACAGAAATATCAGAATACAGCCAGGTCTGTCCTTTTGGTATTTCCAAGCCCAGCTGAAATCAAGCAAGCATCATTCTAGTCATAATACCCCAGAACAAGCCAATTGCCTTGAGCCTGGAGCCCATTCTAGGCTGCAAATGCAGCCAATGCCTCTGCACTTATACCATAACTTTGAAGGGGGAGAGGTGGGGCCATAGAACAGAAGGAAAAATAAGCTCAAGAAACTAAATTGAGAGTAAGAAAGACCAAGATGGCAGAGTATGAAAATACCAGCCTTCATCTCCCCACAAACAAGCAAAACTAGATAGCTATTCACAAACCAAACCAGCCCAGACAGGGTTCAAGGGACCATTAAAGAATCTTCAGCAACACCATGAAGGAAAAACAAAAAAGAAAGAATACTCAAATAGAAAAGATCATTGGTGAGATCAGCATCCCTGAGATACCAGGAGATGGTGAAGAGCAAAGAAGAAAGGCAGAGGCTATTGGCATCAGACACAGCGGAAATCACAATGGTCCCCAGTGTCCTGCTCCACAGAGGACACCAACATCTTTTGCCACTAAAGTAACCAGTAGCCATTTCCACCAAGGAACCCCAGAAAGGAAGGTGTGCCTGCATATCCCTCCTCCGCCAAGAAGCAGCTGATGATGAGCTGCTTCAAGAAAGGAGCCACGACCTTTCCCAAGTTCTCCCATGCCCTAGTACTGGAGCCTCACTTTCCCACAAGTGCCCATATTCCAGACCCAAGCTCTGTGGCAGTGGTGGGCCTGCCCATGTGTCAGACACCACAGGTATCACCACAGTGAGCTAGCTGGCACTCTGGCCCTAGAGCCAAGCCCTTGATGCTTATACCTATACTCCAAGACCTGGCTCAGCTGCCATAGATAACTAGGCCTCATCCCAATCCCAGAGCCACCGTAACTTTGCATATACCTGTGCTCTTATTCTCAGTTTCCCAGCTGTTTCACAGACATTCATCTCTCACAAACATTACCAACGCAGTAGCAGAAGAGCTGCCTGCACCCTGAGCACCAATAACATTACTGCCCCCCGAAGCCAGAGTCCTTCCATGTACACCCATGCTTCAGGCCTCAGCTCCATGGCCGCTACAGAGGTGGCACTCATCAGACACTCATGCCACCACTACCACAGGGAAGCCCACAAGCCAGACCCAGTACCAACAGGGATCCCCTCAGCCACAACTTCATTAGTGAGAGAAAAAGAGATCTGGAGGACATTAGCAGCCATTGCCACTGAAGATCTCATCAACTCTCACCACCACTATGACCACCCACAACATTAGTCCCTGAGAATCCCTGTAACCTTCATCAACACTGACCTCAGCTGACAGAACTGCTCAGAGAATACACAGCTGTGCCCTCATCAGTGGCAGAACTCTTGCACACCACAGCAAACACTCTCAAACCTATAGGAAAATAAATTTACACAGCAAAATTAGCCCATAAAGTCTGCAAGAGGTGATCTCTTCACCAAATGTGCAGAAATCAATGTAAGGCAACAAGAAACATTAAAAAAAATAATAAAGAGACATAACATCACCAAAAAACCCCACAATAATCTTTCAGTAGCTGACTCCAAAGAAATGGAGATATGCAAACTGTGTGACAAAGAATTCAAAATAATTGGTTTAAGGAAGCTCAGCAGAAACAATTCAACAAAATTAGAAAAATAATAAATGACCAAAACAAGAAATTTAACTGATTTAAATCATAAAAAAAATCAAACAAAATTCCTGGAACTTAAACATATAATGAAAGAAAGAAAAAAATGCAATAGAAAGTGTCAAGAGTAGAAATGATCAAGCAGAAGAAATAATTTATAAACCTGAAGACAGCTTATTTGAAAATGTACAGTCAAAGGAGAAAGAATGAGGATGAATGAAGAAATTTTATGAGATTTGTGAAATAAAATCAAAAGAGCAAATGTGTGAGTTGCAGGAGTTAAAGGAGGAGAAGAGACAAACAAAAGAGTGCAATGATTATTTTTAAAAATAATAACAGAAACATTTCAAATATGGGGAAAATATAAATACCCAGTTATAGAAAGTCAGAGGTTGGAATAAGATTCAATCCAAAGAAACCTACACAAGATATATTATAATCATACTACAAAAATCAAAGACAGAGAGGATTCTGAAAGCAACAAGAGAAAATAAGCAAAAAACATATAAAGGAGTTCCAATAAGGCTAGTAGCATGTTTCTTGGCAGAGAACTTACAGGTCATGAGAGACTGGGAGGATATATTCAAAGCGTTGAGGGAAAAAACTGCCAAGGATAGTGTACACAGCAAAGTTGGCCTTCAGGGGAAAAGTGAAAGAAGGATAAAGACCTTCCCAGACATAGAAACACTGAAGGAGTTCACCATCACTAGACCTATCTTACAATAAATGCTAAGGAAAGTTCTTCAAGCTGGAATACAAGAACACTAATTAGTAACACAAAAACAAATAAAAATGTAAAACCCATTGGTAAGAGCAAGTACAGCGTCAAATTCAGAATACTCTAATAATGTGTTGGTGGTATGTAAATCCCTTATATCTTTAGTATCAAGGTTAAAGGAAAACTATTAAAATATGTAGCCCTAATAAATTAGGGTATTTTCAACAGAAAATTATGTAAATTGTGACATCAAAAGCATAAAGTGTGAGACTGAGGGTGGTAAAAGTATAACTATTTAGTACAATCAAATTTAAGTTGTTATCAGCTTAAAATAGGCTGTTAGAAGTTTTAGATAAGCCTTATAGTAACCACAAAGCAAAAAACTATATTAGATACACAGAAAATTAAAAGTAAGGAATTAAAGCATACCACTAGAGAAAATAATCTAATCACAGAAAAAGGCAGCAAAAGGGGAAGAACAAAAACATTTACAAAACAACAAAATAATTAACAAAATGGGAATAGTCTTTCCCTATGAATAATTACCTTGAATGCAAATAGATTAAATATTTTATTAAGAATCATAGAGTGGGTGAATGGATAAAAAATGAAGACCCAACCATATTACAAGAGACCCATCTTATTTTGAAGGATACAGATGGACTAAAAAGTGATGGGATAGAAAAAGATATTCCAAACAAATGGAACAAAAAGCAGGAATAGCTACACCTATATCAGATAAAACAGATTTTCAGTCAAAAACTATAAAAATAGACAGAGAAAGTCCTTAAATAACAATAAATGTATCAATGAATCAAGAAGCTATAATAACAATTAATACATATGCACCCAATATAGGAGCACCTAAAAATACAAAGCAATTAGAGAGAGACTGCAATGCAATAATAATAAGGGACTTAAATATACCCACTTTCTACCATGGACAATGATCCAGACAGAAAATCAGTAACGAAACACTGGACTTCAACTGAGCCTTTGACCAAATGGACCTAATAGACATACACAGAACATTCCATCCAACTGCACCAAAATACAAATTATCTTCAAATGCACACAGAATATTCTCCAAGATAGGTCATATGTTAGGCCACAAAAAACATCATAACACACTTTAAAAGACTGAAATCATAGCACATATCTTTTCTGATGACAAGAATATGAAATTAGAAATCAATAACAAGAATTTTGGAAAATTCACTAATATGTGGAAATTAAACATGTTTCTATACAAAAGATCAAATAAGAAATTTAAAGACAAAATTTAAAATATCTTGACATAAAAGAAAATGGTAATACAACATACCAAACTTATGAAATGCAGCAAAAGCAGATCTAAGAGGGAAGTTTATAGCAATAAACATCTACATCAAAAAAGAAAAAAATATCTCAAATAAAAAACCTAAAGTTCACCTCAAGGAACTAGAAAAAGATGAACAAACTAAGCCCAAAGTGAATAAAGAAAGAAAAACAATAATGCTCAGAGCACAAATAAATTAAACAGAGACTAGATAAACAACAGTAAAGATGAACAAAACTAAGTGTTGGTTTCTTGAAAAGATGAACAAAATTGACAAACCATTATCTAGACTAACCAAGAAAAAAAAGAGAGAAGACTGAAATAAATAAAATTAGAACCAAAAGAGAAGACACTACAGTTGATACACAGAAATGCAAGGGACCATAAGAAACTACTATGAACAGTTATTCATCAATGTGTTGGATAACCTAGAAGAAACAGATAATTTCCTAGACCCATCTAACCTACCAAGATTGAATCATGAAGCAATCAACAATCTGAACAGACTAATAACACATAAAAAATTAAATCTATAATAAAATATCCCATCAAAGAAAAGTTCAGAACCTGATGGCTTGGTTGCTGAATTCTACCAAACACTGAAAGAAAAACTAGTACCAATCCTTCTCACACTCTCCCAAAAAAATAAATAAAAGGGAATACCTCCAAACTCATTTTACAAGGCCAGCATTACAATTATACCAATCAATGACAAGAAAACCAGAAGAAAAGAAAATTACAGACCAATAACCATGAAGAACTTACATGCAAAAATCCACAACAAAATACTAGCAAACCTAATTCAATGCACATGAAGAATCATTCACCATGTCCACGTGAAATTTGTTCCTAGGATGCAAGGGTGGCTCAAGATATGCAAATCAATAAATGCAATGCACCTCATTAACAGAATGAAGGACAAAAATCACATGATCACTTCAACAGATGCAGAAAAGTCATCCAACAAAATTCAACCTCCTATTATGACACAAACTCTCAACAAATTAGAAACAGAAAAAAAAATGTACTTCAACACAATAAAGGCCATATATACCAACCCAATAACTAATATCATGCTCAACAGTAAAAAGTTGAAATCTTTTCCCATGAGATCAGGAACAAAAAAAGAATTTCCACTCTTGCCATTTTGCTTCAACATAGTACTGGAAGTCCTAGCCAGAGCGACTAAGCAAGAACAAGAATTAAAAAGCATCAAAATTGGAAAAGAATAAGTTAAAGTTTCTGTTTTCATATGACATGACCTTATATGTGGAAAACTCTAAGGACTCTACCAAAAAAACTGATAAAAGTAATAAACAAATTCAGTGTAGTTGCAGGATACAAAATCAATATACAAAAATTAGTAGCATTCTATTTTTTTAGTAGTGGATTCTATACCCTAACAACAAACTATTCAGAAAAAAGATTAAGAAAATATCCCATTCATAATAGCAGCAAACAAACAAAGAGGAATAAATGTAGCCAAAGAGGTAAAAGACTTGTACACTGCAACTATAAAATGCTGATGAAAGAAACTGAAGACAAAAATAAAATGAAAGATATCCTGTGTTCATGAACCAGAAGGATTATTTTGTTAAAATGTTCACATTTTAACAAAATGTGAGCAATTTACAGATTTAATGCAATCTCTATCAAAATAACAATGACATTTTTCACAGAAATAGGAAAAAATCATAAAATCTGTATGGTGCCTCAACAGACTTTCAATAGCAAAACCAATTGAGCAAAAAGAACAAAGCCAGAGGTATCACACCACCTGACTTCCAAATATATGATA
The DNA here is from genome assembly GCF_000001405.40 of Homo sapiens. NCBI lineage: Eukaryota > Metazoa > Chordata > Mammalia > Primates > Hominidae > Homo > Homo sapiens. The sequence continues at coordinate 109,558,537 of NC_000013.11, forward strand.
AAGCTATCATAATCAAAAGAGCATGGTATTGGTGTAAAAACAGGCATACAGACCAGTGAAACAGAATAGAGAACACAAAAATAAATCTCCACCTGTATAGTCGATTAATTTCAACAAAGGTTCCAAGGATACATGATGGGGAAAGAGTTGTCCCTTCAATAAACGGTATTAGGAAAACTGAGTATCTACATGTAGAAGCATGAAATTGGATGTTTATTTCATACCATATAGAAAAGTCAACTCAAAACAGATAAACAACTTAAATATAAGACCTGACACTGTAAAGCTGCTATGCTAGAAGAAAACATAAGGAAAACATGACATTGGTCTGGGCAATTATTTCTTGGATCGGACTCCAAAAGTACAACAATGAAAACAACAATGGACAAATGGGATTACATGAAAATAAGAAGCTTCTGTGCGCAAAGTAAACAATGAAGAGAGTGAAGAGATAGCCCATGAAATAAGAGAGAATATTTGTAAACCATACATCAGATAAGGGGCTAATATCCAAAATATATAAGGAACTCAAACAACTCAATGACAAAAAAACACCCAACTTAAAAATGGGAAAAGAATCTTAAGGGATATTTCTCAAAAGAAGAGATATGAATAGCCAACAGATGTATTTAAAAAGTCAGTGTCTCTAATCATCAGGGAAATGCTAATTAAAACAATGAGATAACATCTGACACCTGTTAGAATGGCTATTATCAAAAAGATGAATGATAAGTATTGGTAAAAATGTGGAGAACAGGGAACTCTTGTGTACTGTTGATGGGAATGTAAATTAGTATAGCCATTTTGGAAAATAGTTTGGTGACACCTCAAAAAACTAAAGACAGAATTCCCACATGATCCAACAATTTCACTTCTGGGCATGTATCCAAAGGAATTGATATCAGCACTCCCATGTTTAGTTTATCACTATTTACAATAGCCAAGATATGGAAGCAACCTAATTGGTCATCAGTAGGTGAAGGGATAAAGAAAATGTGGTATGTATACACGATAAAGTACTATAATCTTTATCTTTTTTTTTCTTTTGAGACACGGTCTTGCTCTGTTGCCCAGGCTAGAGTGCAGTGGTGTGATCATGGCTCACTGCAGCCTCAACCTCCCAGGCTCAAGCAACCTTCCCACCTCAGCCTCCTGAGGGGCTGGGACTACAGACATGCACCACCATGTGCCTGGCAATTTTTTGTATTTTTTTATAGAGACAATGTAATACTATTTGGTTTTTCAAAAAGAAGGAAATTCTGTCGTTTGTGACAACACAGATAAACCTGGAAGACAATGTGTTAGATGAAGTAAGCCTGTCACAGAAAGACAAAGACCACATGATCTCGCTTATATGTGAAATCTAAAAAAAAGTCAAACTCATAGAAACAGTAAAATGCTTGTTACCAGAAGCTGAGGAGTGGAGCAATTGAGGAGATGTTTGTCAAAGGATACAAAATTTCAGGTAGACAGAAGGAATAAATTCCAGATCTCTATTGTATAACACGGTGACTACAGTTAAAAACAACATATTGTATATCTGAAAAATGCTATGACAGATTTTAAGTATTCTCACTATAAAAAAAGTGTGTGTGATGTAATGCGTATGTAAATAGCTTGATTTCGCCATTCCACAATGTATACATATATTAAAACAACATGTTGTACACTATAAGCACATACAATTTTTAATAAAGAAAAAGAGTAAGACTGGAAAAAGACAAATGTTAAGTTTCACCTGACCCTCTAAAAAAAACTGAAAGAAAAAGAACTTGATATGGAAAAACAGAAAATAAACTCTAAAATGTGATCACAACCTACAGAGAAATTCTGGAGGAGCAATGGATGCACCTGTTCAGCTTACCCTTATCTGGCCTCCACTCCTGGGTCCTGAACTCTGTGAGGAAAGGACTTCGTACTATTCAGCCTTGAATTCCCAGGGTTCACATTGTGTCTGGAAAATAATGGGCGTGCGAAAAATGCCGCTGTTGACTGAATCTCTGCAGTCTATAAGTGGCATATTACAAGAATTCAGCATTAAACTCTCATGACAAACACCTCACCTTGGCGCTTAAGTTATGTAACCCCCCTCCTCTTTTTGTGCCAAATGGGGGTAGTTTCAGAAAGACTCATTTAGTGAGATTTATCTTTCCCAAGCACTGATTCTATACTACAGTTTAAGAAGAAAGCATTTGAATTTTAAGTTTTGATGCAATGTATATTAAGTGAGGGTCTTTAAACAGGAACTTGAATCAGTTCAGGATATATATATATATCCTGATGTACATGTATCTGTACATGTATCTAGGATACATGTATCTGTACATGTATCTGGGATACATGTATCTGTACATGTATCTGGGATACATGTATCTGTACATGTATCTGGGATACATGTACAGAACGTGCAGGTTTGTTACCTATGTATACACGTGCCTTGGTGGTTTGCTACACCCATCAACCCATCATCTACATTAGGTATTTCTCCTAATGCTATCCCTCCCCTAGCCCCCCAACCCCAACAGGCCCCATTTTGTGATGTTCCCCTCCCTGTGTCCATGTGTTCTCATTGTTCAACTCCCAATTATGAGTGAGAACATGTGGTGTTTGGTTTTCTTTTCCTATGTTAGTTTGCTGTGAATCATGGTTTCCAGCTTCATCCATGTCCCTACAAAGGACATGAACTCATCATTTTTTATGGCTGCATAGTATTCCATAGTGCATATGTGCCACATTTATTCAGTCTATCACTGATGGGCATTTGGGTTGGTTCCAAGTCTTTGCTATTGTGAATAGTGCTGCAGTAAACATACATGTGTATGTGTCTTTATAGTAGAATGATTTATAATCCTTTGGGTATATACCCAGTAATGGGATTGCTGGGTCAAATGGTATTCTGCTTCTACATCCTTGAAAAATCACCACACTGTCTTCCACAATGGTCGAACTAATTTACACTCCCACCTGTCAGGTACTAGGAATGATTACAAGAAACAAGTGAGCCTCGTTTATATCTAATACCAAAAAGATGGGCTGAACATTCACCAATCAAGCAGAGATATGCATTGTGGATTTTCTGCAATAGCAAAATGATAAACATCAAATAATCCTGCAGAGCAGGCTATTTCAATTCATTTTAAAAGATCTCTATTGTAGTTAATTCTTCTCATCAGTCATATTGGAAGTCATGTGGCTTGGGGCAGATGACTACCTTATGCATTTCTGTAGCCTCAGTACTTTACATGGGGCCCTCAATATAGTAGCCACTCAATAAATGCACAAGGAAGAAAGGAAGAAATGAGGAAAAGAGGACAGGAAGAGAAATAAGGAATCGAAGGAAGGAATAATTCTTCCCAGTGTAACTGGCAACACCAGCTCTGAGATTTTTTTTTTCCAAGTGAAACCCTTTTTGTGCAGTTAGTTACCAAATTTCAAAATGTCTAAGAATAACTGGGGAACACATTAAACTACGTATTCCTGAATCCTTCAGTCATCTCCCTGTCAATATTCCTACTCAGCAGGTCTGGGGTAGGACCCAGGAGCCTGCATTACTCACAAGTACTGCAGAAAATAGGGTAGAGATGGTCAGGGGACAACACAGAGAAGCACTGCTCTGTGGTGGCAAGCTCTGAGTCCTTAGCAGAATTAATATATGTTCATATTCTACAACAGACCCCACCCTGCTTTTGGAGAACAATTCTGGCTTTGCCTTTAGCTACCCCTCCACCCCACCTCTGTGTTCCATAGGGTAGACTTCCTATTGGGTTCCCTGATTTTTTAAAGGAAAGAATGACTCTACCCCTGCTTATCTGGTTGCCAAGGTCTATGTTCTGTCCCTAATCAGCAATTAAAGCAATCCGTATTCCAACGAATTAATATAATTGTTATCTCCTGCCATTCAGCGGCTTGCCAAAGGTTGATTTCCATCAAACAACACTTGAGCAAGATAATCTAAAGGATGCTACAATCTAAAGAGTCTAAGTTCCATCTTTGGACCAAATCAAAGACTAGATGAAATTAACATTTTAATAAAATAATACCTCCATATCATATCTGACTTTCATGAAAGGTTGCTTAGAGCTGTACGCGGATGAATACTATTTCTATGTTTGCCGTGAAATGGTTGGGGTAAGAGTGCGCATCTTAGCCATCTGAGTCTGCCAGGTCAGTCAGGGGAATGGGAAGAGGAAAGTTCTCTCTTGAGGGTTGCTGTGTGTGCCCAAGCTTTTACAATGGAGTTTGTATAGTGCTGTATCTACTGCTTTCCTGTGGCTGCCACAAAGCTTAAAGCTGGGTGTCTAATGTGCACTTAGCTTCTTCATCCTGCTTGGTTCCAATTTATCTGAATTTTTCATTTGGTGAGGTATTCTTTTTGTTTTATCTTTTTTGTTATTGTTCTTTATATGATGACTTAACTCCTCCCTTTTGGAAAAAGGAAAGATGTACATTCTTTAAAAGTTGAAGTGTTATTATAATAAATGCAAAATCATTGAGGGCTACTTCATCATATATTGTTAATATGCTCTACTAGTGATAATAGTCATTGCTGCTAATTGCAAACAATCCATGTGCATATGAGTGCAGGCTTGGCCACCCAACCCTCATCATGTAGGAGGTTGATCCACCAAGACAAGGTCATTGTTTTCTCTTTACTCTCTTCTATCATTTTCTTGCATCTAATGAAGGAAACTAGCCTGATTGTTTTGTGAAAAATAGTCCACCTTGGAGTTCTGACCTTGTCTCTCTTCTAATCTCTACCTTTCTACATCGGTGGGCTTATTCCCTCCTGTGGCTCTAACTGCCTCTGTATGCTGGTGGGTCTCAATCTAAACTTCCAGCTGCAGAATCTCTTCAAGTTCCAGAGCTTAGGAAAATCAAATAACCTCTCTGCTACTGTAGTGAAGCTCCTGAGTAAATATTGGACACATCAAGGCCTTGGTATTCCATTCAGAGAGTTACTGTCCTCAAGGAAGATGAACGAGCAGAAGTTAGGATGAGTTAATACCTGTGTGTCTTTAAAAGAAAGTTCTATTTTGTAATCAGGATTGTCTAGATTCTTCTTTCTGTGCACATAGAAACTGCCAACAATTACTTAAAAATGAGTTCCATGATCAATTAGTGTGATGTTCCTTGTCTCCTTAGACACTGATTCCTGAGGATCTATAAGGGCATCAAAGTACACCTGTGGTGTAGTGAATCCCAGACACCATTAATTAAGCTTGTCCAGCCCATGGCCCACGGACCACATGTGGCCCAGGATGGCTTTGAATGTGGCCCAAAAAAATTCATAAACTTTCTTAAAACTTTATGAGACTTTTTTGTGTGTGATTTTTTTACCCTCATCAGCTATCATTAGTGTTGTATTTTATGTGTGGCCCAAGACAATTCTTCTTCCAATGTGGCCCAGGGAAGCCAAAAGATTGAACACCCCGGCCATTCATCATAGGGTGAGCTATTGTTCTATGTGCCACGAAGGAAGAAAAGCACTGCCAAATAAACAATGCTATAAAATGTTCTTCTCATTTCAAATTTCTAATTTGTACTTATTGAGAGGTTTAATATCTTTATGAGGCATGATTGACACATGATAAACTGCATATCTTAAAAGCTTTGATACGTTTTACATATGGGCATACCTGTGAAGCTAGCACCACAATCTAAGAAGGGAATCTGTCCACCACCTCCCAATCCAAATGTTCTCTCATGCCCTTTTGTAATTCCTCCCTGACATCCTTCCTTTCAACCTACACTCTTGTTCAAAGGCAAATACTTCTCTGATTTGTCTCTCTCGAACAATTTTCATTTACCAAAATGTTATTTAATTTTATACCATTGTACAAATTTCTTTTTGGGTCTGACTTCTTTCACGACACACAGTTATTTTGGGATTCACCCATGTTTTCATGTTTATCAACGGCTTATTTAATTCTTTGCTGTGTAGTGTTCCATTGTGTGGCTGTATCACAGTATGTTTATCCACTCACCTTTGATGGCATTTTGGGTTGTTTCCAGGTTTTGAATATTACAGAGTAACATACAATAAACACTTTTATATATGTACTTGTGTGGACATGTGTCTTTATTTCTTTTATTTTATGGCCAAATATATAGTCTTTCTGTGTGCATTTGAAACACTGTGTGCTTTGATTGGTCTATAAAAGTCAACTAGGTCAAATTGGTGGGTGATGCTGTTCAGATCTTCTATATTCTTAACAATTTTCTATCTATTTTTTCTATCAATTATTAAGAGACAGGCATTGAAATCTCTGAATTTGTGGAGTTTTCTATTCTCTTTGCATCTCTATCAGTTCTCAGTCCTTGTTCCATGTATTTATAAGCTCCATTAGGTGCATAAGCTAACCCCCTTCTTATAATGAAACATCTTAGTTTTTAATTCCTTAAGTGTTTTGTTGCCTGAAATGCTGAGGGGTTCCCATTGCCCCAACATGACCTAGAATGACAGCTGAGGTCACACACAATGAGGGCAATGGCAACTCCTTTTTTTTTTTTTTTTTTTTTGAGATAGGGTCTCACTCTATCACCCAGGCTGGAGTGCAGTGGTACAATCTAAGCTCAGTGCAACCTTCACCTCCCAGGTTCAAGTGATTCTTGTCCCTCAGCCTTCCGAATAGCTGAGATTACTGGTGTGTGTCACCACGCCTGGCTAATTTTCTTTCTTTTTTTTTTTTTTGGAAACAGGGTATCACCATGTTAGCCAGGCTGGTCATGAACTCCTGGCCTCAAGTGATCCACCAGGCTCGGCCTCCCCAAGTGCTGGGATTACAGGCATGAGACACAGCACCCAGCCGGCAACTCCATCTTGAGTGCTCCTGGCCATCAATGCTTGGAAGATGTGCACACTCTTCATAAATGTTAAAATGTAAAACATCAACATGTGTTTGATAACCAATGACAATATTATGTGGTGTTTGTGAAGCTAATTAGCTGCAGTGATTATTCTTAATGGAAATCTCTGAGGAATAGTCTCTGACAAGTCCTTAATTCACCTTGAGTTATGCCTGTTTAAATGGCCCAAACTCTGTTTAGCTATACTATAGAGTGATATGGAAAATGGGCATCGTCACCATGGGTATGACCAGGTTAGGGTGAGAAGTCGTGACTATGCCTCTCTGAGGGGAAGAGGAGTCTCAGAGGTCAGTGAGGCAGCCCCAGACCCTGCTGCCCTCTCCTCAGGGGTATGGCTTTGCCTGTGTCAGTCTTGAAGGCCCTGGGTCTGTATTTTGTCAGAGATTTCCTTACACTTGTAACTCCATCTGCATTCTGGTCATCTCTATACAGGGGTCTCACAGCATTTCAAACAGAAGACACCCAAAGTTGAAATTCTTATATTTCAGGGGCTGCTTCTCCATCTCTCTTGTCATCTCAGTTAGTGCATAAGCATGGATACAACCACACACGTGCACGTGCACATACACACACGCACACACATACACCGTGTTCCACAGAAGCCATTTCAAATACCATGGCCAGTCATTTCATCCCTTACAGTCTTGCCCCAAACGCCCCTGTAAACGTCATCTCTCCCCATCCCATCCCAGCCTCAAATGACACTTGTGTTTCTGTCACCTTGAAATTCTCACTCTGTATCAGGTGCCCCTTTTTCTTCAATTGACTCATGCCAAGAACATACTTAACTTTTACATTTATATCTAGAAAGTTTTCTCATCCTCTACAACGGAACTCAAAATGTTTTCCCCAGCAAAGAACTCCTACAGTCCCCAGGCAGAAGGGGCTTCTTTCCATACAGCCCCGTTCTCCACTTCAAGCTGCATTTTGGGACAATTCTGTGCCCATGTGCCATCTTCCTGTGTGCTCCTGCTCTAGGCTGTGCTCTGAGGAAACAAAACATGTGTCTACTGATAAATGGAATTGGGAGGGCATTTCTCACCTACCTACCTGTCCCTGGAGATCCCTCTGTTTTGCTTTTTTCCTCTTACACTTGCCTATAGATAACTGGTTGATATGGTTTGGCTGTGCCCCCACCCAAATCTCATGTTGAATTGTTGTTCCCACAATCCCCACGTGTCACGGGAGGGACCCAGTGAGAGGTAATTCAACCATGGGAGCGGTTTCCCGCATGCTATTCTCGTGATAGTGAGTGATTCCTCACGAGATCTGATGGTTTTACAAGGGGCTTCCCCCTTTGTTCAGCTCTCATTCTTCTCATTCCTGCTACCATGTGAAGAAGGATGTGTTTGCTTCCCCTTCCACCATGATTTTAAGTTTCCTGAGGCCTCCTGAGCCCTGCAGAACAGTAAGTCAATTAAATGTCTTTCCTTTATAAATTACTCAGTCTTGAGTATGTCCTTATAGCAGCATGAGAACAGACTAATACACCGGTTGCCTGTGAAGCACCCGCCTCCTAGTTCTTGCTGCTCCTGCTGCTCTCCCAGCCACTAATGCCTGGCGCCCAGGCCTGGGGCTGCTCTGTCCAAGCACCTATCTGATGACCTGCCTGCCCTCAGTCTTTCTTGTGAGGAATCCATGCTTCAGGCATACACTTGACACTGCCCTTGATGGATACGGATAGTTCTCGGGTTATACTGTGAATTCTCAACTTGATGGAAGGGGATATTTACCTACCCCTTTTGGAAAAGCATTAATTCTGGGGAAAGGGCCTGGACTCCTGGCAGAGGGGACCCAGGAGGACCGCTGCCCTCTAAACAGTCTCACGGCTGCCACATCTAAACTGCCAAAAGCAATAAGTTGTGATACTCACACTAAGTCATGATAAGATGAGAAACTAGTGAAAGTAGTTGTTTTAAAATCTCAGTGTGTAAACACTAAAATTGTAGTTTCATATCATTGATCTTTAATTATGGCCATGTGTGCAAATGGGATGCAAAATTGAGCAAGCATTATGTAAATCATTTAAAAAATTGTGAGTAATCAAATGTCATTCACTATTTTATATATTTCTATCCATGCTACTTTAGCCAAATATTGGTCAGTCCCTCTGCCGGGGGCAAACGGAAATGAACAGAGCTTGATTCAGAGATTTCCAAAACAGTGAAAGTCATCATGGTTTTATGTATTATCCAAAAGTGGGGGAACTTCTATTAATGTACTTATTTTAAAACACAGGAAATCTTATTGGTTTTGTTTTTGAAGTGATTTGTCTAAAACTTCAGTCAATATTTTTATTTTACTTGAGAAAGTCCTCTTAAACATTTTAAAAGTCAGCCAGTTTTTTACAATTAGACAAGTATCTTCCAAGAGTTGTGGAGCTTTTAGGCAGAGTTCCCCAGATTATAATGGGAAAGATAAACTTTAAACAGTTTTTATGTAGTCTAAACAAGTATGTCTACATTCTAAGTTGTCATATGAATTTTATTCAGATGTCCAAAGGTTTTCCAATAGATATGTTAATGTTCTGAAAATAAAATATTTTAATATATTGCCGCAAAGTATTTGGATTTTTAAATTTTAATATCTTTTGTTTTCCCATTCAAAAAGTAATATCATCTTTTAGTAAAAAAGTAATGCAATTCAGAGGATTTCCTTCAGCTACATAATTTTTCTTATTAATTCATAATGCCTTAGGAATTACAAAAAAACCCAACATATTGTTTACATTAATTTTTGCTTAGCCAAATTCAAAACTCATTTTGAGCCTCTTTTATATTAAGATTGGTTTTTTCCATTTATTAAATTTATTTATGCAAGAGTTAACAAAAGCTGTTTACTTGGAGTCTTAAACAGTGTATAATGTTTTCAGTGTGTTGAATAATTTTTGTTATCTTTGCCTTTGAATTATTGTGGGATAAAAAGACAGAACAGACTAGTCAGCTGGCCTAACTCCTTCTTGGAAATTTATAGTTAATTTCTGGTCCTACACTGACCATCTGTGCCCGAATATCCAACGTAGATGTTTTCAAAAACAGTTTCTGCTCTATCAAAACAAGAGTTCATGATTCACTTTCAGACTTTGTTCTTTCAACTAACTTGTTTGTTCAGGAAAACAGATTTCCAAGACTTGCACACACAGCAGGATCTCTGTGCCCTGTTTTTACTCCTGGGTTGCTCAGATGACACGTCTTTTGGTCCATAAAACACATGTTAGAGATAATAGATAATTGGAGGAAAGCACAATAATCTTGTGACTGTTTTTTCCAAAGATTCACCAGCCTCTGCCTAGGAAAAGCGCAGGCATATAAAAAGACCCTGTGCCCATGAACAGGAGCTTTTTATCATCACCCAGTCTGGAGGGAGGCCAGAATGCCTCTCTCTGTGTATCTCTTTTGCCTGGACCTGAGAACATGTCAGCATTTCAATGCATTTATCCAGGTTCCATTCCCATTTTTCCCATTTTCCTCTAAACAGGCTGCCTCTACTCTCCAAGTTGACTCCATTCAATCTCTTGCGGCTGCTGCTTCCCTAACTCTGAGTCCTTGCCTTCTGCTACATTTGGTTACAATTAACGTCCAGCTTGTCTTCTAGACCTCACCTGCTCTGGGCTCTGGACCCAGGTGAGTAAGTCATCCTTTTTTGTCCTTACCAATAAATCAAGTCCAACCTCAGGAGAACTACTTCATACATTTCTAAGTGTATGGGAAAACAAAGCAAAACAAAAAACTACCATAGAGGATGTGCCGTGCAAATCTGCTGTAGTGTAGACGGCTCCCTCTCTCTAAATCTACTGTAGTGTAGACGGCTCCCTCTCTCTAAATCTACTGTAGTGTAGACGGCTCCCTCTCTGTAAATCTACTGTAGTGTAGACGGCTCCCTCTCTGTAAATCTACTGTAGTGTAGACGGCTCCCTCTCTGTAAATCTACTGTAGTGTAGACGGCTCCCTCTCTGTAAATCTACTGTAGTGTAGACGGCTCCCTCTCTGTAAATCTACTGTAGTGTAGACGGCTCCCTCTCTGTAAATCTACTGTAGTGTAGACGGCTCCCTCTCTGTAAATCTACTGTAGATGGCTCCCTCTCTATAAATCTACTGTAGTGTAGACGGCTCCCTCTCTATAAATCTACTGTAGTGTAGACGGCTCCCTCTCTGTAAATCTACTGTAGTGTAGACGGCTCCCTCTCTGTAAATCTACTGTAGATGGCTCCCTCTCTATAAATCTACTGTAGTGTAGACGGCTCCCTCTCTATAAATCTACTGTAGTGTAGACGGCTCCCTCTCTGTAAATCTACTGTAGTGTAGACAGCTCCCTCTCTGCAAATCTACTGGATGCAGATGGCTCCCTCTCTGTAAATCTACTGTAGTATAGACAGCTCCCTCTCTGCAAATCTACTGGAGTGTAGACGGCTCCCACTCTGCAAATCTACTGGAGTGTAGACGGCTCCCTCTCTGCAAATCTACTGTAGTGTAGATGGTTCCCTCTCTGCAAATCTACTGTAGTGTAGACGGCTCCCTCTCTGCAAATCTACTGGAGGCAGACAGCTCCCTCTCTGTACTTCTAAGCAGTGGAGGAGACAAGGGACAGGACATTTAGAGCACCTTGTCACTCAAGCACGAAAAGGAAAGAACAGGGCCTGTTGGTAAGTTATAAAGTACACGACACAAGTATCCCACCATGCCGTCCCGCTCAGTGTGGCCTCCATGTGTACTGACTGTGGTAGCAATGGCATCGCCCTGCAACCTTGCAAGTCTAGTCACAGCCCTCTGGTTGGAACTTGAGCTTTGGCCCTAGTTAGGCAAGAGAAGGAAAACTAAAAGACGAAAGATGTGCTTGACTTATGCTTGAGTTAGGATTTTCCTTATGTGACAATTCAGGTAAAGACACCCAAGCTGAAGCTAAATTCTGAGGTCACGGGCCCTGTTCTTCCTGACCCTCAGGCCCTGCATGTATTTCCCACAGAGTTTCTCCAGCTTTTAGGAAGAAATGATATCCATGAGTGTTTTTCATACAATTGGTTGGATAGAAAGCAAAACTGAAAGAACAGCCAGGTCGGCGGGTTTCTGCTTTCTCGTCCCCACTTCCTAGAGAGATAACCACAGGCAGGTTGTGGGCCTCTTGGCAGCATCAATGTTCAGCTGCTCCTGACACTACTGACATGCAGTGCTTCTCTCACAAGGTTGTTTGAGGATCAAATAAGAAAGAACTTGGTAAACAATAAATTATCACGTGTTTCTTCCTGTCTCTTTCCTATTTCATTTCTTCTAGGTCCTTCTTTCATTCCCTTGTTCTGTTCCATCCTTTCTTTTTCTATTTTTTAATTGATTTTTTTTTTATTTCAGTAGGTTTCTTGGGGAACAGCTGGTGTTTGGTTACATGAACAAGTTCTTTAGTGGTGATTTCTGAGATCTTGGTGCACCCATCACCCGAGCAGGATACACAGTACCCAATGTGTAGTCTTTTATCCCTCACCCCCTCCCACACTTTCCCCCGAGTCCCCCAAGTCCATTGTCTCATTCTTATGCCTTTGCATCCTTATAGCTTAGCTCCCACTTATAAGTGAGAGCACACGATGTTTGGTTTTCCATTCCTGAGTTACATCTCTTAGAATAATAGTCTCCAATTCAATTTTCCTTCGTCTAGTCCTTCTTCCAGCAATTGCTTAATTACCTTCAGTTTGTTTTTTATCTTCCTCATTTTCATCTTCTTTACTTCTTCATCTGTCCCCATGTTTAATTCTGTCCTTCTCTTTTCTCTATATAAGTGAATTCAGGAAATATAAATAAAAGAATACCTTACTATTTTATGATAACTACCAATGGAAAGAAGAATAAAACCAGATTAATCTAAATTAGAAACTAAAACAAATTTCATATACATATACATATATATATATATATATATATTTCCACTTACTATGGAGTGAAGGATGAGATGGTACATCTTAGATAACTTTACCAATAGATGTTAATAAAGTATAATTTTCTGCTAAAGGTCTTCAGTCTGAAAATGAATTTATTCTGAGAAGTTATTTTATTTTAATAGGCAGACACACAGACATACAGACAAAGACATACACATGGGGAAGTAGTGGGGATGAGAAAAGTGAGAGACAGGAATAGAAGAGAGAGAGGGAAAGAGAATCGGAGAAGAGTCAACTAAAATATAAATACTTGGATGCATAATATGGAGCATTAGTTCTAAAAATTCTGTGTATGAAAAAAAAATGCTAGAAAAGCTTCATCTAGATTTTAAGCCCAGATCCTTGGCCCCCAACTCATATGAACTGACTTAGTAGAGCTAGGTGTTAACCTGGAATCGCTATTGTTTAACATGCACCCCAAGAACTTTTAATGCAGTTGGTCATTTTTCAGGTCATTGAGACTGATTTCAGATATGGTTTTTACAATAGATTCATCTGGGAAACTTTGACAATAAGGATGTCTGATGTTGAATGAGGTCCAGACACCTGTCCATACCCTCAGTGATTCTAATATTCAGCTGCAGTTGGGAGTTATTACCCTGAAGGATTTCAACTTTGGGCACAGAAAAGCCAGGGTTGTAATCATAGCTCCAACACTCAGATGTGTGGCCTTGAACAAATAACCAAATCTCCCTAGGCCTCTGTATTCTCCTCCGTAAATTACGTGACAATAATTTTCACTTCAAGCATTGGATCAGTGGGCTCTCAAACTTAGCTATATATTAAAATCATCAAGGGAGGTTTTGAACCATGCCAGGCCCCATCCTATCTGAATTTGAATCTTTGGCAGTGGACTAAGGCATTGGTGTTTTTATAAAGTTTCCTAGGTGATTTAAATGTACACTCAAATTTAAGACCTGTGGATTGGGGAATTAAATGAGATCCTGCTGTCATTATCAATCACCTACTACTAGTAATGGAAATAGTAACTGGCATGCACTGTGTCCTTGCTAGGTGGGAGGGACTATTATTCTAGCATTCCACAGGGGATGTCTTGGTTTTATCCCCAACACCTGTGTGGGGTAGATTCTATGTTTCTGTGAAGCATCTTCCTTAGTTACCAGTTGCTAGGTCAGCTTTCTGTTTCCCAGTATAGGCAGAAAAAGAGCCAAGGTGTGTCAAGGGAAGGCGCACCCTGTGGGCCCATGGCAGCAGTGCCCTCCCTGAAGCCGTGGGTCTGTGGGCAGCCTGCCCTGGCCGGCCGGCCTTTGCTGCAGTCGCAGAGCCTGTGGCTGCGGGTTAGGGGTCATCTACTGAAGGCAGGCACATGTCCAAGTGGAATACAGCATTCAGGAGGGAGACTAGCAAAAGATTGTCTTAGGTCTATGACAAAAGAGGAAAAACTGAAAAGATTGCATTTGATACCAATTAGCAAAAGCTTTGAATGAGACCTGTTGCCTTTTTTTTTTTTTTTTTTAATATCTTGAGTTGAGGGGCCAGTGAGAAGTCAGGAGCATCTTAAATCTTCCTCCTTTCAGTTTGCATACTACTTTCTTTTCCTGGGAGAGTACTGACACTGATGTTTTCAATCTTTTCAACTAGGAAATGGGTATCTTTTTGGTATCCACCTGACCTGAGAGTCAGTACACATCTGACATAAATGATTATATAGCATAAAATAGAAAGTCTCTAAAAGTGCACATGAGCTGTAAAAGTTTCCCCCACTATGATTACCTATTAAAAATAAAAGAAAAAGAATATCTTATGTTTTCTCTGCTCTTCATACATAAAAACCATGCTTTGGTACTGGCATAAAAACAGACACATAGACCAACGGAACAGAATAGACAACCCAGAAATAAATACATGTATTTACAGCCAACTGATTTTTGACAAAAGCATCTGGAACATTTGGTGGGGAAAGGACAGCCAATACAATAAATAGTGCTCTGAAAACTGGATATCTGTATTCAGAAAAATAAAACTAAACTAAACTAAACTAAACTAAACTATCTCTTACCATATACTATCTCTTACCATAAACTATCTCTTACCACATACAAAAACGAAATCAAAATGGATTAAAGACTTAAATATAAGACCTGAAAGTATGAAACTACTAGAAGAAAACATAGGAAAAATGCTTCAGAACATTGGTATGGGCAAAAAATTTTATGAATAAGACTCAAAAGCACAGGCAACAAAACCAAAAATAGACAAATGGGATTACATCAAACTAAAAAGATTCTACACAGCAAAGGATGTAATCAACAGAGCAAAGAGACAACTTACAGAATGGAAGAATATATTTTCAAACTATTCATCTGACAAGGGATTAATATCCAGAATATATAAGGAACTTAATTCTGTGAAAGATCTAAATAGATATCACTTAAAAGATGACACACAAATGGCCAACAAGTATATGAAAAGTGCTCAACATGACTATAAAGCAAATCAAAACCACAATGAGCTATCATCTCACTTAAGATGACTGTTATCAAAAAGACAAAAAATAAATGCTAGAGAGGGTACAGAGAAAGAGAAACTCTTATGTACTGTAGGTGGGAATGTAAATTAGTACAGCCATTATTAAAAAAAAAAAACAACAACATAGAGGTTCTTCAAGAACTAAAAATAGAACTACTATTGTATCAGCCAGGGTTCTCTAAAGGGACAGAACTAATAGGATAGATGAATATATGAAGGTGAGTTTGTTAGGAGAATTGATTCACGTGATCACAAGGTGAAGTCCCACCATATGCTGTCTGCAAGCTGAGGAGCAAAAACGCCAGTCCAAGTCCCCACACCCCAAAGTAGGGAAGCCAACAGTGCAGCCTTCAGTCTGTGGCCAAAGGCCTGAGAGCCCCTGGCAAATCACTGGTGTAAGTCCAAGAGTCCAAAAGCTGAAGAACTTTGAGTCTGATTTTCAAGGGCAGGAAGCATCCAGCATGGGAGAAAGATGAAGACCAGAAAACTCAGTGAGTCTGCTCATTCCACCTTCTCCTGTCTGCTTTATTTTAGCTGCACTGGCAGCTGATTAGATGGTGCCCACCCAGATTGAGGGCGAGGCTGCCTCTCTCAGTCCCTTGACTCAAATGTTAATCTCCTTTGGCAACACCCTCACAGACACACCAGGAACAATACTTTGGTTCCTTCAATCCAATCAAGTTGACACTCAATATTAACCATCACAACCATATTATCCAGCAATCCCACTACTGGCTATATATCCAAAGAAAATGAAATCAGTGTGTCGAAGAGATATCTCCATTCCCATTGTTTTGTTTTGGTTTTGGTTTTTTGCAGCACTTTCTACAAATAACCAAGACACCAAATTAACCTTGTCTATCAGCAGATGAATGAATAAAGAAAATATGAAAATATGGTACATATCCACAATGGAGTACTATTCAGCCAAAAAAAGGAATAAAAATCTTGTCATTCACAGCAGCATAGATAAGCCTGGAAGGCATTATGTTAAGTAAAATAAGGCACAGAGAGATAAAATACCACCACTTCTCACTCATATGTGAAAACTAAAGAAGTTAATCTCCTAGAAGAAGAGGGTAAATATTAAAAGCTGGGAACTGAGAGGGGAAGGGTTAGAGGGAGAGGTTGGTTAAAGTATACAAAATTTCAGCTAGCCAGGAGGAATACATTCTAGCATTCTATAGAACTTTATGGTGACTACAGTTAACAACTTACCATATATTTTTAAATAGCTAGAAAAAGGAAGTTTGAATCTTCTTAACACAAATAAATGATAAATGTTCAAGGTGGTAAATTTGCTAATTATACTGATTTGATGTTACAATAATTTAAAAAGATAAAAATATGCATGCTTTTTAATGTATTTCTACAAAGAGAGTGCCACGCCAATTTTATGATTGCTACTTACCATAAGAATTAACTAACAAAAAGCTATGTGGAAGATCATTTCTTTCCTCAAAAATCAGAAGCTATCATGAAACAGGGCCAGTAATCTTACTTTAATGAAATGGAGAGTCTAATCCACTACATTTTGTAAAGATGTTAAATCAGAGAAAGCAATAAAATGTGTTCCCATATCAATAAAATGCAATTCTTTATGTTCTTATTATGTAAAACAATAAGCCAGGCTCCCTGAAGAAGACAGTGTCTTGTCTGATTGCGTTTTTCATGAGCACCTTACAGTCTATTTCATATGCAGTTAGTGAATAAACAGGGCTGTTTATGAAAAATTCTGTTCATGATGCCAGTAGATTGCATCTGAGGCATTTTCAGTGGTAAAACAATTTGCACTGCAGATATATGTTTATGGGAAATTAGCGGAATGGTAGAGCTTAATGCATAAAAGTGGAGAATTAATGTAAAATAAGTAGGGGTACTGAAGCCACACTTTCTAGTAATCCTTTTAAATCTGTATTTCATCCAGAAAGCTTTTATTTTAAAACCAATTTAAAAAGTCAATAATTATTAAATATGCAGAGACATTTGTGTGCTTCCTGCTTTGTAGCATTTTATTTGACATGCTTCCAAATTAGGCTATTAGTGTTTTGTTTGTTTGTTTGTTTGTTGCATCTATAGGGATCTGGGTGATGTTGAAACCTATTACACTGGACTCCCAGAAGGTAGTGCTTTTCCTACGCTCATAGAGAGGTTGTGTGACAGCATAACCAACCCTATTCCTTGACTGGGCCCTTGAGGAACCAAATGAAGAGCAAGCTCTCTGCTGCCAGGGTTTCCCAATGCCAGAATTCCACCATCACTGCCCTGGTCCCTCCTACCATCTGGCCCAGTCATTAAACCTATGCCTGCCCTTTCCAGGATATTTATTTCCTTTTCTCTTCTCTGCTAGGAGAGCCCCGCATGTGGGCTGCAGTCTCCCTCGCTGCTTCCTCTTGGATGGATTTCATTTTGCCTGCTTCCCACCTTGACATTTTGACAAACCAGCAATGGCCCAGAATTGTTCCTATGCTCTTTTCCCTGAGCTCATGCCCACCCCTGTGATTGATAGGACTGGCTTTTAGCTTGGCAAGGTGATCCTTTTTTAAGGGCATGTCCAGAGGGAGCACATAGTGACCTCACTCTGGCCAGGACATTGCTGGGTACAGAATATAACTCCTTGGTGTTTGGCCTCCTGAGTCACTCATTCATTACATAAAGTCTTTATCTTCGTGCATATCCTGGAACAATACTCTTAAATAAATACTCTCGGAGGCATTTTACTCCATGGCTATTTACTTTGCATTTCCATGATCTCAATGGAACACAGAAAGGGAGGAGGTAGAAGGCTTGGCAAACAATCATTTGCCACCATCTACGCACAAGGGGACAAGTGCGAAGGATATTGTTTTGTTTAAGAGAGAGACACGTCATTGACTTGACATAATCCATCTGTGTTCGGACCAGAGTGGATTAGAAAATTCCACTTGGCAAAGCATGCTAGATAACCTCTATCTTGAGAGAACAGAGGCAATTTGGGTTTGGAGTTAAAAGTCCTGGTTTCATTTCCCAGCTTATCCCCCTTAGCCTTGAGACCTTGGGCAAGTCCTTGAACTTTTCTGAGTCTCAGTTACATTCCACCATCAAGAAATAATAATGGGCCTCCCATCTACTCCTTCAGATTGCTTTGAGTTAAAATGAGATAATGTCCCCTGAATGCTAAAGTGTGAAAAATCTGAAGAAAAAAATATAAAGCCATGAATTAGCAGCCTGCTCTTAAAATGATTACTAATGTTGGTCATTATTACTAGCTTCAGCATCATCATATATGATTGTTTGATTTTTAAAAAACCTGATGAGATTAAAACTTATTTTGAAAGGATGTTAAGTCCACAGATAAAAATGCACTGGGCTATCAAAATTTTAGACCCACCGACATTTATCGGTGAGATCTTACCTGCCCCTTTTATCTACCTCTTCCTCCTATTTATCCTTCTCAATTCACTATGAACAGAAAGATCTGCCCTCAACAAATAAATACAGATTCCCATGAAAACCTGCCAAAAGGAAAACCAAAAGAGGAAGAGGATATAAGATTTCTCAAGGTTCACTGTGTTTATTTCCAGTTAAGCCAACCTGACTCCATTCATGCCCTGAGACAGCATGTGCTTATTTTTACAACAATTGCCAGTCCATAGGCCATCCCAAAGGGCTGCTGGATGTCTTCCCAGGAACCCAGTGGAGGGGCAATCTGTTTTTTATTTCATTTTTAGAAAGTGGGAAGGATCCAGCCATTGGCTGCCCCCAGAATCTTGCTGGACTGGCCCATGACTGGGACAGGCTGGAGACAGTTACACAAGTCCAGTCATAAGCAGGCTTCTCAAAATCTGACAGAGAACGAGAGCTACACACCTGGCCACTCTGTAGGTATTGGTACCCACCCCTTTCTCTTTACTCACGTAGGTAGACAACTACATGATATAAGATGTTGATGTGGTTTGGCTCTGTGTCCCCACTCAAATCTCATCTCAAATTGTAATCCCCATGAGTTGACGGAGGGACCTGGTGGGAGGTGACTGGATCATGGGGGTGGGTTTCCTCCATGCTGTTCTCATGACAGTGAGTGAGTGAGTTCTCATGAGATCTGATGGTTTAAAACTGGCACTTCCCACCTTGCTCTTTCTCTCCCCTCCCTCCATGCCAGATAGGCACCAGCAATACTTCTCCGAGGAGTGTGCTTCCCATTCAGCAATGATTGTGAGTTTCCTGAGGCCTCCCCAGCCAAGTGGAACTGTGAGTCCATTAAACCTCTTTTCTAAGTTACTTATATATAAGTGTGAAAATGGACTAATACAGCTGTCTTTTAAAAACTACAAACATAGGAACTCAAATGCTTTCAACCTAATTCACCAAAGGCAATGTAATCACCTGGTAGACCATGCCTTTAATTCAGTTGTCCTTCCACTGTTCAAAACATCCTTGGAACTCATTTTTTAAAAATTATCTTCAGAGAATGTAGCATCTTCTGGATATCCTGAATGCATGAAGTTTTCAAACTTTTAGTGTAAGTATGATTTTTGAAAGCAGTTAAAGACCGTGATGCTAGTGTAGTAAATGTGGTCAGGTCTAAAGCTAAATACAATTTGTTCATAGTGTTAAAGGAAGTGCAATCATAAAGTCAAGGGATATTTTTGGAAGTGATTATAAAAATGGCTCTGAATGGAGCTAGATTTTACTGATGGCAGCATCCTCAGGGATAACTGAATGGCTTCCCAAAGTAAACTTTTGAGGGGGCCAAAAATTTAACTCTGTTACTTTACTCTGTAGTTGTCATGCATTTTATGAGATGCTGACACTTACCCTTTCCATAATAGATACTGGTAAAATAGCCTCTTCCCAGCTGCAACCTCTACCACCACCAAGTTTACAGTATGCATAGAAATGGTATGGGGTTGCTGAAGAAAGAAAGGAAACAAATTCATGCTCAAGTAGAGCAACTTCTTACACCTCTAGCAGAGAAATGATAAGGCTTCTGAGACCATCATGAGGAAGGGATGGAGCCCAGAAATGTCTTTCTACAGTGCACCCTAGTTCCACCCACTGGACCCCCGCAGTGGATCAGCATACTCCTCAGAGAGCTATTGCTGGTGCCCATCTGGCATGCTGATTAAAAAGCAATACGTACGCCATGATGTCTTTGGAACCATTGTCTGATGTGGAGGGGAACTGTGTCAATAAATCATGATAACAGTTAATTCAAGTAATAAATACTTTTATGGTTGAATATTATATTATTTGTTTTTAAGTCTGGCTGATATCTATTATAATGAGATTTTCCTTTACTATTCCATTTCATTATAATTGACAGTATTTGTGTGAAATATTGAGGGAGCTCTGATAGCCACATTCAAAAATATAGTCAAGGTCTGTCATGGGGCATCCCATCTAAGACAGAGCCCTCGGGGACAAGCCACAAGGGCGCATACTGAAACAGAACCCTGGGGAACGCCTGAGCTAATATCAAATCATAAGACAAGAAGCAAACTTATGTTCAATAAAATTTGATGGGGGCATCTTGAGAGACAATGGTAAGGTCTTGAGGTTGCTGTTTAAACAGTATGGAAATGGATAAGAAATCACTGCCTCAGATTTGGTTGGTAGCCAATAAAGGCTTAGGGATTAGCAAAAAGTTAGAAACTATTGAAAATAATGAAAAGATAGGATCTAGCCTTCACCATCTCTATACAAAATAAATTAATTTAAATTAGTACAATCCTAGGAGGTCCTTCCCATCAACTACGATCATGAGCAAGCAAATAGTTAAAATGGAACCATGTGTTGTTTCACGTAAAGAAAAAGGCTTGAGTTTTTGGTAACAGTTCTACCTGTAAAATAGTAAAGCTGTAGATACCTATAGCATTGATGATGGCAGGGGGGAGATGATATTATGTCAGTGACAGCGAGCCAAGCCCCATCTAAAAGAAAGGTAAGCTGGGAGTTTTACTTAAAAAGCCTACCTAAATTGACAGCTCTCACAGAATGCACTGGAATTTGGGGGTAAAGATAGAATCTTCCCTCAGGTTTGAAAAACAAGCTCTTATTCACATTTTCTATTTTCCCATTGACATGAAAATTGCCTAAGAAAAGTAGACGAGATCCCAGGGGCACACTGCTTTTCAACTTGAATCTTTGCCTTCCCTTTTCATTTTTTACTTACAGTGAGTACATGCATGTATGCATGCACATGTGTATGTGTGTGTACACGTTTGTGGGGGCGGGGAGGTTGTCCATGGAGATTTTCTCTTAAAGGAAAGCCTATTTCCCTCAGCGGTAGGAAAATTGAAGCCTGCACCCTCCTAATACAAGACCTACTCTTTTCTTTAAAACATAGAAGACTTATCTTTTGAAATGGGGTAGCCGCTTAAGGAATAGATAAATTCCCTGCGATATTTACTCCCAGAAAGAAAAAAATAGTATAAAGAATAATTTTAATACTTGGGTCACTGAGATTTTGGAATGAGCCTCAGGCTGTTTCAGAGAGAAGTCTGTGTATTCAGGTTGCATGGAGAGCTGTGTTTATTTGGAAAGGCAAATTATATATGATATACTTGGTGTTATTCAGTGTGCAAAATGCTACAAAAGCCTACTGTATGCATACTTACTTGTTATACCCACATTTCATTAAACCTCACAGACATTGTTACCCATAGTTCACACTCTGGACTGCCAAGGGGTTACCACCCATTTCCTAATATACCAAAGATACCCCAAAAGAGATATGACGGGCAGATGTAACCCTCTTTTTCAACTACTATGGCATCTTTAAGCATTTAAACTACTATCACATCTCTAAGTATTTAGGGAGTGTGATTATTAATGTTGTACCTCAACTTGACTGGGCCATGGGGTGCCCAGACGTTTGATCAGACATTCCTCTGGGTGTTTGCCTGCCAGGGTATTATTGGAAGAAACTTGCATTTGCATCAGGAGACTGAGTACGGTAGATTGCCCTCCCTAATGTGGGTCGGCGTTGTCCAATCAGTTGACAGCCTGGATAGAACAAAATGGCACAGTAAGAGAGAGCTCCTCCTGTTTGACTGCTGAGTTGGGACATCAGTCATTTCTGAACTTCAGACTAGGACTGAAATATCAACTTTTGTTGGGTCTCGAGCCTGCCAGCTTTCAGACTGGACCTTACACCAGTGGCTCCCCTGTTCTCAGGCTTTCAGACCTGGACTGGAACCACATGTGGACTCTCTTGTTCTGCCAATTGCAGAACTTGAGGCCTCTTGGGCTCCATATCACATGAGCTAATTCCCGATAATAAATATGTGTGTGTGCATGTGTGTATGTGTGTGTGTGTTTGTCTTGTTGGTTCTGGTTCTCTAGAGAACCCTGACTAATATAGGAAGTAAGGGGTAAAACTAAGATACATTTCCTTAGTTATAAAATGAAAAAAATAAGCTAAATCATATAATTATTTTGATGCTTACATGAGATGTTACATTTCTTGTTAGATACTTGTATTAGTCTATTCTCACATTGCTATAAATAAATACCTGAGACTGGGTAATTCATAAAGGAAGGAGGTTTAATTGTCCCGCGGTTCTGCAGGCTATACAGGAAGCATGGTGCTGGCATCTGCTCAGCTTCTTGGGAGGCTTCAGGATCTTACAATCATGGCAGAAGACAAAGAGGAAACAGGCACATCACATGGCCAGAGCAGGAGCAAGAAAGAGAGAGGGAAGTGCCACACATGTTTAAACAGCCAGATCTCATGAGGACTCACTGTACAGTACCAAAGAAGGATGGTGCTAAATCATTTAAGAAAATCCGCCCCCATGATCGAATCACCTCTCACCAGGTCCCACCTCCAACACTGGGGATTTAATTGAACATGAGATTTGGGTGAGGACACAGATCCAAACCATATCAGTACTCCACACTGTGTTAGGTGTAAAGAAAACCTAACCAGTGGTTCCCCAACCACCTTCTCCCAACACCACATGTTCATCACCACAAACTTTCTTTCTGTCCTTAGATCTGCCACCCACCAAAGGAAGAGCAGTACAGTCTTCACTCAGTATTTGCAGGGGATTGGTTTCAGGACCCCCAAAGATACCAAAATCCATTGATGCTCAAATCAATGAAATAAAATCATGTAGTGTTTACATATAACCCACTGCACATTCTCTCGTATACTTTAAATCATCTGTAGATTATTTATAATACCTAATAAAGGTAAATGCTATACAAATATTTGTTGTGGTGTATTTTTTTGTATCAGTTTTCATTGTTGTACTTTTTATTTTTTAATTGTTTTTCTTGAATTTTTCAATCTATGGTTGTTGAATCTACCGATGCATAACTGCGGATATGGAAGGCTGACTGTATTAAAGAATATTAAGAAATGAGAGAAAACAGGATACCATGATCAGTAGGGGACATCTTGATGAATGTCAGAGAGATGCCAAAGAAAGGTTCTCTTTTCCTGATTCTTGTTGATTCCATTTTTAATAATAAATCACAGTAATATACACAAAGGCCATTTATACACACGTACATAGTGTATCAGTCTAATACAGAATCATTTTCTTTCATTGTTCCAGAGCAGTTCTGAAACAGGCTTTTCCCAGTTCATAGCCCACATGCAGGGTCACCATCAATGCTTCCCAGGATTTGGGAGATGCTGGTTTTCTTCTGAAGATTTCTCATTTTTTTTCTGAACACCCTTTCTGGTAGTCCCTGATTGGGCCTGGGGCAAGGGTTCCAATGAACATCAAAGCAATTTCAAGACCTTCTTAGTAAATATACGTTATCATCAATACCAATGAGCTCTTACTTACAGGAGTATGTTCTTGTTTAAGGATGGAGTAAGTACCTACACAGAAGGCATATAAGAAGAAAGCAAGGAAGAACAGAACAACTTGAAAGAACAAAAAGGAGATGCAGAAGGTGTTTGGGGGTTGGGAGGGGTCAACTGGAAGATTAAATAAATATTCTAGCTGGGCGTGGTGGCTCACGTCTGTAATCCCAGCACTTTGGGAGGCCGAGGCAGGCAGATCACCTGAGGTTGGGAGCTGGAGACCAGCCTGGCCAGCATGGTGAAACCCCATCTCTACTAAAAATACAGAAATTAGCTGGGTGTGGTGGCAGGCGCCTGTAATCTCAGCTACTCAGGAGGCTGAGGCAGGAGAATCGCTTGAACCTGGGAGGCAGAGGTTGCAGTGAGCCAAGATCGCACCATTGCACTGCAGCCTAAGCAACAAGAGAAAAACTCCATCTTAAAAATATAAATAAATAAATAAAATAAATAAATATTCTGCTACTGTAGATGAAGGAGTGGTTGTTAAGATGAGCCACTGGCTTTCACATTATGCCTTCTCTCCTTTTTTAAATGTTCCTATGTCTACACATTAACAGCCAATTTGTATTTTAGTGCATTCAATTTAATCTCCCAACATGAACATCAATCATCAATATGCTACACCTCACTCTATAACCAAATCAACCGGGGTAAAAAAAAAAAAGTCAATTTACTGCCAATAATATAAGGATCAGAGTCATGGTTAAAACTCAAGATCTGCAAATAAGGGCTGTGACCACTACCTAAAGGACATTCTTTATGCACCTGTACGACATTAGGGCTGTCAGGTGCCTCACCTGACAGGTACAGCCACACCTGTACCCAGGAATTAATCCGTGTCCAAGGTATCATTTTTCAGTGCCAGAATTAGTTCGTCTATAAGACTGAATGTGTGATGCCTACAGATCTCTCTTACCAGAATAGTACTTTTGTCATTGATACGTGAAGTATAAATACAAATGTGTGGCGTGGCTGGCATTGGTTTATTGATTTTGGATGGTTCTAGCTCCTTCGGAGGTCATTTCCTGAGTAATCCCATCTGGAAAATGTAATTTGCCATTCACTAGTCACCACAGTTTGGATTGCTGTAATGACCTACTTGGGATGAAAGAAAAGGTCTTTCCATTTCTATTCAATACCTGGATTCCTTTCAACAATAATAGATACACAGCTTTATTACCCTTTCCCAACTGGCCAGCATCGGAGGTGACAAACACCCCAGCTGTCAGTGGTACAGACAAGATTCTCTCCTTCCCCAGATGAGCTAGCTCTTATAAGCCTAAAGCCATGTCCTCCCCTGGCTCTTAGGTCTGTCTTGGGAGATGGCCATCAATGTGTCCTTCTAAAAATACAGAATTACTAACAGTTTGGTTTTGTGTCATTGATCCATGGAGAAAGCGATGGAAATTATAGGTTAGTATTTACATGAATAAAATATTTTGAAATAACCTGAATAGTATGCTTTCCCCTGTCACATTCTTAGAGAAGTTAATAAAGACTCATGAAGATATTGCAACAATTGAAAGCAGACTTGGGGTTTGTTTTCAATAGCAAAAGATAGGTAGATGAAAATTGGAATTTACAACTCAAGCAGTATTTCTGAGCCTTAGCATGTGATGAGAGTATGCCACACTGAATTGCTTAGAAGAGGCGTAAGGGGAAGAAGAGAGGGCTAACCACTGAAACATGAGAGGTTTGTTGTTGTTGTTGTTTGTGTGCATGTGTTTTGAAAAATAAATCTAAAGACTAAAAGCCAACATTTGAGGAGGTCTCCATTTGTTTAGAAGCATTACCAGTTTCTGCAATGAGAACACATGCATAATTTATGGAAGTGCCGGAATGTCCAAATGTTTCTAACTGTCCCTTATAGCTGACTTTCTTAATGTACAGGATCTGACCTGGAATTTGTACCAAACATAATCTCATACCGGAACAGACCACACATGTACCAAAAAAAAAACTAACTAAACATAAATATTCACTCTAGGCTCACCTACGAACTGAGCACAGGTAGATTGATGTTAATTTGTTCATTTTGTTTA
Organism: Homo sapiens; assembly: GCF_000001405.40. NCBI lineage: Eukaryota > Metazoa > Chordata > Mammalia > Primates > Hominidae > Homo > Homo sapiens. The sequence continues at coordinate 109,584,662 of NC_000013.11, forward strand.
TTATACCTAATTAGACTGCTTAATTTTCCTGTAAGCTAAATCAGAATCTGTGTTTTATTTAGGCCAACCTGTCACCTGCTAATCACTTGGCGACATAAATTCAGACACACATAGCTTTGATTTTGAAAAAGAATCTGGGAAACTTCATGACATTTCAGAAGAGAAAAGCTTTCTTGATTTCTTTGTATAGCCAAGAATAATTTTAAAAGTTTGCAAGCCACAGAATTCTAGGAGTATATTTTATATTATCAGAAACTGATCTTCACATCATAGTTCATTAAACTGGTTGCATAGTTTACACACAGGTAAGCCATCTCACCTCAAGACTGGAAAAATATCTGCACTAAAAGTAGAAGAAATAGAAAACTGTGAACACATGAGTGCCTCTTGAGTTAAGAATGCCAAAATGTTGACATAAACATTCCAAAGCAGATAGAATCTCTACTGCTCTATCCTTTCTGAAACCACTTTTTCTCCCAACGCTCTTTTCAAACGCCCCTCCCCACATAAGCTCCCCACTCTAGGGGGTAACAGTCATTCTAGGGCTTCAGTAATCCCTGATAGCCACAGAGAGAATCTGCGTATTTCATCCACACTAACTCCTTCCTTCTCTTTCCGAAGAATAATGAACAAAGCATGGTTTCCCCTTGGATTGAAATGTGCCCTGTACATACAAGCTGTGAGTCCTCGGGCAGGATGCAGAATCTTTCTCAGCCTCAGTTTCCTTTTCTATACAACAAAGATGATATCTGCCTCATAGGGTGATGGTGGTGACAAAGCTAGGTAGGATCTGCTCAAGTCCTAACACATCCCGGGGGCTCTCTCCCGGCCCCTTTCCCAGCTATTTCCCCTCCTCCCAGCCTCACCCGGCTCCAGGCACATCCCGGCAGCTCTGCCGTCTTCCAGTTCATAACTGTTCCTCAGCGTGCATCCTCTTTCCTCTATTTTCATTTCTCTTCTTAATCATTCTTTTTTATTCTTCCTAGGCTCTTTTAAGTAAACCTTTAAGGCTGAAGTATAACATAAATGCAGAAAAGATCACAAATTGCAAGTGCCCAGAGAATTTTGGGGAACATACATCTGTGCAACCTGAATTCAGCTCAAGAAGTCAATCACTGCCAGCACCCCAGAAGCCTCCCTTGCATACAGAGCCCACGCACCCAGAGCAAATCTCCATTCTGATTTATTTCACTGTAGATTAATTTTGCCTGGACTATATGACACCTACTCTTTAGAGACTAGCTTTATTCATTCACCATCATATTTGTGAAAGTCTCCCTTTCTGTTTGCTAATTTTACTGCTGCATAGCAGGGGTTAGCAAGCGCTTTCTTAAAGAGCCATGTAGTATGTATTTTGCCTTTCAGGCCGAAAAAGTCTCTCTGGCAGTATAGCACAAAAAGCAGCCACAGACAATACATAAGGAAATGAATCTTGCTGTGCCCTAATACAAATGCATTTATGGACACTGAAATTTGACTTTTATATAACCTTCACATGGCATAAAATCTCCTACTTTCAAAAATTTTACATCTAAAATGTAAGAACCTTTTTTAGTTTGCAGGCTCTAAGAAGCAGGCGATGGGCCAGATTCGACCTACAGGATGGAGTTTGCAGACTCATGCTGTGTAGTATTCTTTTGCACGAATATACCATCGTTCATTTATACATTCTACTCTTCGCAAATGTTTTCTTTCAAGTTTTGATCCAAAAAAAGATTTCTATTAAAGCTGATATATAAAAGCAGTGGCGGTAATAATCCCACATCTAAAAGAAAATGAAAGCCATTAATTTTTAAGGAAAATTGGATATTTAAGGGGAAAATTTCTTAGTCAACATCTAATATTTTTAAAGATACATGTATTAATAAATCTCCTTTGGAAAATCCACAAAATTGCCTATCATTTCATTTTCCCCATAATAAAATCGGCTTAATCTTCTTTATCTCAAGTATGAGTATTTCCCTCAAAAGTAGAGGAGGCAACGCTCTAATTCATTTTTGTTTCAACTTTGAGCATTGCAAAACCTTGTTCTCTTTCATGTGGCCATTGCATCAGTGTGGATTTTCAAATGTTTTACTAGCACAATGGGCTTGGATAGAGTGATTTGGGGTCTTATCACCCTCTAGTTTTAATAGTGTCTATTACACAGGCAATTTAAAAATTTAGGATTGCCTATAAAGATAGTTCATTTAACTTTTTTTTTTTTTTTTTTAAAAAGCTACTTCCCCTTAAACTCCAATAACTGATAAGGAGATAAGACAGGATATCGTGGAGGAAAGAATGTCTATGCAAACACAATCCTGGCACTGTGAGGCATGCTGCTGGTCTTGACAAACATTGCTCTAATCAGGGGCATATCACAAACACTTCTGAAACTTTAGAAAAGGATGCAAGGTGCTGTGTGATGAGGTGCCAAGTGAGTCTAAGAGACGACCTGCACTCAAGATTCCACAGGTGGGAGACGTCGGCACAGGAGAGTATGGGACGGAATGGACTGATGAGGGTCAGGGAGAAGGCTAGAACTGAGCTCGGCTTTTGAGAATGGACACAGGGGAGGAGCCTTGTGGATGAAAGGTCATCTTGAACAGAGGAAGTAATGTGAGCCAAAGAACAGGGTGCGGGAACAAAGCAAAGTGGACTTCCTTGTCAGAGGAAAACCCCATGGTGAGACCTAGGTAGAAACTGAAGGCAGACTGCAGTCAGAGTTTGGTAGGTGAGGAAGACTGAAGAGTAAAGGATTGGTAACAGCAACATTTTTAGGAATGATTGACCCCAAAACCATACTAAGATGAAAAAATAAAAATAAATTAAAAACTGAAGGCAAATCTGTCAGTCCCAAAGCCAAGAAAATAAATATCCCATGTGAAGTGATAAGATATGACAGCTATGAAAATAGAAATACACAGATGTGAGAAATATGGCAGTTCATGGAGAGGAGGAATCAAATATTCAACTCCATGTTGTTAAACGTGTATGAGTTGGAAAGTGTTGCTGTCATTGCCAGAAATAGGGAAATCTGGGGCGGGAGCTAATTTTAGTAGAAAAGGGAGTTTGGTTTTAACTGTATTAAACTTAAGCATGAATCCACAATGGTTCCACCCTGGATCACAGCTTTGATTTTTCCAAAGGAAATGTTATAGTCTAAGGCAAGGGAAGGCAAACTACAGCCCACAGGCCAATCCTGCTGACTGAATGTTTTTATAAACAAAGTTTTATTGGAACACACCTTGCCCCTTCATGAACATGTGGCCTCTGGCTGCTTTTTCACTTCAACAGCAGCATTGAGTGTTTGTGAGAGAGATCATTATAGCCCACAAGACTAAAATATTTACTATCTGGCCCTTTACAGAAAAAGGCTGCAGATCTTTAGTTAAAGTTATAGAGGGCTGAAATCAGCAGGAAAGATTTGAGGTTTTTGAAGAAAGTCCTCAGACAAGACAAGACTTCCTGAGATGAAGTGTGTGGGATACCACAGAGCAGAGGACCGAGCGGTCCTACCACGGCCAGCGTTTCACAAAATGGGAGAAATCCTGGGATGAAACAGCTCAACCTGATATGCTGCAGGCATCTACCATCATGCAAGAAGAGAAAAGAACCCGAGGTCAAGAGAAGGCCTTACCAATGTGTGTCCTGGGAGGACTATTTCCAGAGGGTGATATTCAGACTGTATACAGGTCCTCTCTCCTCCACACAGGATTCCTGGAGAATTCCGAGGCTGGAAACAAGGGCCAGTGGCCTCTCATAGGTGTGTTAGTGCTTGGTGAAGTTGTACAAATGTCAAAGAGAAGAGTCAGAGGGTAGCTTTAGGTGATATTTTGCTAGAGACACATGAGATGGGAGTGTGTGTCTGAAGAAAGGGTTATCTCCGCGGGCTGTGAACGGATCAAGGAGGCAGCAAACACAGCATTAGGATACAACTCTGGAAAATACCCCAGTGTCACTTCCTTTCCTAATCAGTTTACCTAAAAAGTCCTCTTCTCCCCTCCTCCACCTTTCCCCGAGTGCCACTTAGCCTTCAGGCTCAGCTTGCCTACATTTCTGCAAGAAGGGTTTCTCTGTCCCCAGGTGAGGTTAAGGCCTTTCTAGCATAATAATAACTAACACTTAGAGACTACTTACTGTGTCTGGACCTGTTCTGGGAATTTCGCATGAATTCACTTAGTCAAGCCTTCCAATAATGCTGTGAAATGTTTACCGATAGTATGTCCTTTCAACAGATGGGCAAACTGAGGCACAGAGAAGTTAGGTGATTGATCCATAGTCACAGATTTAGGAAGGAGTACAGCCAAGTTTCAAAAGGCCACATCCAAAACTCTCTGCATTTGTCTTTAGTATTTGTATAATGTTTGTCTTTGCTGCTAGACCCTAACCCCCATGAGAGTAAAGACTGCATCAGCTCTAGTCCTCATTGATCCCTGAGCACCTAGAACATTGCCTGGCACAAAGCAGATGCTCAGTGTAATGCAGAAAGATGTGTAGAGTGAATTGACAACACCTTGACATACTTAGGTAAGGAAAATCAAATCAAACAACAACAACAAAAAACCTGTGGACCCATATGTCTATTGTCCAATACCCAATGCATAATTCATAATGCGAATTTGAGACTATAATTTAGGGTAATAAATGCAATCCTACAAAGTACTTTGAGCTTTGGCCTGGTGGGATTTATGACTAGAAAATGGTGGCAGAAGGGTTTGCACTGTTAAGTGGAAGCAGGTTTCCCAAGTGTCATGAATTGAATTGTGTCCCCCCAAAAGTGATGCTGAAACCTTAAAACTCCCAGCACCTGTGAATGTGACCTAACTGGAAACAGTATCTTTGCAGATGTAATCAGGTTAAGAAGAGGGCATTAGAATGAGTCTGAACCCAAAAGGACTGGTGTCCTTATAGGTAGAAGAGTTGGAGATGATAGAGAAGGGCAATAGCATGGGAGGGCAGAGGCAGAATTGGGGAGCTGCAGCTGCAAGCCCAGGGAGGGAGGAGGCAGGGAAGGACTCTAATCAGTCTCAGAGGGGCATGGCCCCCTTGGCACTCTGATTTGAGGCTCCTGGCCCCCAGAACCCAGTTCATGGTACATATGGCAGCCCTAGGAGACACAAGCACCGAGGGAGAGGATGGAGCTGTGCTTTTGGAAAACTTGCAAGCTGGAGGGTTGAGCAAGTTCGTCAGATCTCGGTGAAGATGGATGGTTATATTAACTTGGAAGAGAGTGCATCACAAATCACTCACTGGAAGAAGGAAAAGGGAAAAGTTTGATGCCGTGATCCTGGTTTACCTGTAAACCACACAGAGGCAAGATGGAGGAATGACTGGAGACCAACTCTCCACCTGCGAGGCTGAATCCAGAGTATTTGGCCAGTTATTAGCTCATCATGCTGACCATTTATCTCCCAGGTTTTGGAAAAAGCATTGATGTTGACTGCTAGTTGACAAAGGGGAAGAAATAGGTTCTTCAGGTGGCAGCAATCAAGAAAACAAAGGCTTCCCAAAGTCACACATGCAACCGGGCACTATCAGGGCTGTCAGAGTTTCCAAGGACAGGGAGAGGGAGGCAGATCCCATGAAATGAGGCTGGACAGGAAGTCCTCCCAACGAGGTTATCAGGCAAATCAAGAAGAGTGGGAAGTGCCCGAAGACAGGAGGCTGCCTGCCAGCGACTCCACGGGCTCAGGCTGTTTGTAGTTCATGTGCATAATTTTTAAAGATAGACATAAGACATACCCCTGAAGATGAGTACAAGAGAGAAAGACAGGGCTCTGAAAATACTGCCATAGGCTCAAGTTCCAAAGTGCTGGAGTTACAAAAGTATAAAGGACAACGCAAAGGACTTTTTAGCCAAAGAAGAACCAGAAAGGTAAAACAGAAAGCAGGAAAGAGTGTGGGCTCTGGGGCTGGCTGTATCTGTGTTTGAATCTTGGCTTTGTCCTTTACTTCCTGGTGAACTTGGGTGGCTTTTGAGCCTGCATACACCTTGACTTGAGTGTGGCTTTCATTTGTAAAATGTTGATGATCCGTGGGCCTACCTCAGAGGTTTGACGTGAATGAAATATATTTGGTGGAGTGCGTGGACTGTAGCGAGAATTCATCACATATTTGCTCTTATCACGATTATTAACTAGAATAATTAAGACCATAGTGTAAGAGCATTTAAGGAAGGGAAGCATACATTTAAAAAGTAAGCTACAAAATAGTATAACAGTGTGATTACACACACACACACACCCACTTTAAAAAGAAATACACCAAAATGGTAATTTTAAAACACTTGGCTGGTAGGTAAAAATAAACTGGAACACAATCAGAGGAGAACAATCATATCTCCTGAGGAGCAGCTGAAAATGGGTCTATTTTCCATGGAGAGAAGTGGACACGGAGGAATTTTAAGGGGTTATTCTGGTTTTGTAGGATTGCAGCGGCTACATCTAGAATCAACGGGTGGAAGTTATATGGCATAAATCTCAGATCAGTGAGGTCAGTATCATTTGATGCTTATCTGAGCTTTCAGAAGGAGGAATACTTTATCAAATGAGTTCTTTATGCCCTGGGCCCTGCACTGAATGAGTTACATGCATTCTCTTATTTAAACGTTCTCTCCAACAGGAAGAGTCCTAGGGAATTGGAGACGTCGCGAAGGAATGTTGTAAGGAGAATTCAAGCCTAAAACGGTGATAAATCACAGTATCTGCAATATCTTTTTGAAACTCATGGGCTTTGGCCTCCATGTTCTAGCCTTGGCAGGACAGAAGGGTGGTAAGAGCAGTATCTGGTAGGGGGTCAAGAGTCTGGCTCATGGTGGAGGCCAAGCAGAAGAGTGACCTCATGGGGACCGCGCCTGGGTTTGTGTGCCCACTGGAGAGCTCGTTCCTATTGCAGGGCCATAATGTAAAGCAGAGGGTGCTTCTTTTCAGAAAGCTCACCTATAGCTCCTTCAGGCCTGTACTCTTAGGAGGGAAAAAGGAAGGGAGTACAGGTTCTGGAATTTAAAGAAACAAAAAGGATTATTCTGAAACATAAAGACTTTAGAGGACATGTGGGTTCATATTTTATGTCTTTTTATTTCTTTATTCCCTTTGCTTTCCAGGCTTCAACCATATATCTGGCCCTCACGTCCAAAAGCTCGAGTTGATATGTTTTGTTGCTGTTTGTTTCTTATTGTCCACAGAACTTGAGGCATGGGCCACAGTACTGGGGATAAGGAAGGTGTAGGGAGTAACAGCCAGAGTAGTTCCTTCTCTCCTTTTCCCAATGGCAAGGCTGAGAAACCATTTATCAAGCATTTTTATTGACTGGGACAGCTTGAAAGCACTGTCATTACCTGGGCCCATTTCTCTTCCATTTTCCTGGTAATTTCTGTAGTCACTGAGGAAGCCCACATTCTGGTTGGTCCACGGATTTCCTTATTGCAATCATTTATTTGCCTGCACTATAGGCTTAATTCTCCTTCCTCTTTTGTACCAAGAGAGGTGCTAAAAATCCTATCAATATCACAATTGACTCCTAAGCTGAAGAAGAAAGTTATTTTCTTATGTGACGTGTAAAGTGATCCTCAATATAATCCCTGAAGTTGAACTTCAGAAATGTTTCGTGCTGCAGCAAAATTGGGGGGAAACATTGGCAAAATCTTCCAAGAACACATAGGTCTTGGGATGGCCACATGCATTTGGCTATCTACATTCCTGCACATCTGTGGAGAGAAAAAAAGTTTCTTTTTTAAAATACGGAGTCATACGTTTATTCTTAGGCTACTCCAAAGATGCAACAAGGTGTTTTGTTTTTATTTTTTCAAAATGGGTTTGACAGTCTTTCTGCCTACTGATTGTCACAGCTAATTGCTCCTTCATTCGCATGAGAAGAGAAAATAGAAGAGAGGGAACGTGATGGCCCTTTACAGCAGCTTCTAGGAATGAATGTGTATAAAATAATCTACTGAATGGAGCACAGAATGAAAGCAACACATAAGAATTCAAAGGGTACATTTTAATGATGGGTGCATATATATTACCAACTTGGGGGAGAAGACATGGCACCTGCTACTCTGCCTTCACTCAAAGTGTTAAATGAAAACCTCTCAAAAATTAAAAACCAGCTGTCTTATGACTGACATTTAATTTTGAAAGATGTGATTTTCCTCCGTATTTCCTGTGCTCTTTACAAACCTGTTTATCAAATGTATAGAAGACTTTTGTTTATGACAGTTTATGATTAATCATTCACCAAGGACACGAGTCCTTTGTACCTATTATTGTCAAGCATTTGTTTGGACTGTGTTTGACCCTTTGTACCGAAGTGGTCTGTGTTGGAACCTTTTGAAAACAATCTACCAGGCTGAATGTGCTCATGCCACTTACTGAAATATCATGGCTCTGTTGCTGTGACATCCTGTTACATGGGAGAGACCAAAATTACAATTTTAGTGACAATATCAAATCTATTGTTACGCCAGGATAAATAGATTCATACCCAGTTAGTTGTAAGTATTCTAGAGTGAAATTTTAAAAAACATTTTAAGAAATGTATGACTGTCTGGTGACCAGAGTTACATGAATAGTATGCCTCCTTGAAAAAAAAAAAAAAAACGGAAAAAAAAAACAAGAGCAATCTAGCGTCAGATCTATATTCTGCTTTATGGGACAATCAAAGTCCTTCCCAAACACACCTCAAGGGAGTATATCCATATATCTGATTACTTAGTGACCAGAGAATCTCAGCTACCAAAACAACAGCACAGGTCAAAAGGAAGAACAGTATGAGTTACTGCTCCTTGTTTAATCATTCACTATTTGGACACCTCTTAGATGAGTAACTGCTTCAATTTTAATCTCTTCTCATTCACTCATTCAGTCAACAGACATTTATTGTAAGGTTGCTATGTGTGAAGTACCTTGAAAATATCAATCTGGGTGGTCGATGACCTCCAAGAATTCATAATCTAGCACTGGGCACAAACATGCCCACATTTAACTTCAAAACAAAGTTGTAAATGCACATGCCACATGTCTGATACAGATAATAAATGTTAGGAGTTCAGAGCAAGGATAGATACTTAATAGTGTTCAGAAGCCATTGTACAGAAATAAGTGGATTTGAGATTAAGGAATGGCTAGTAAGATTTTCAGGGAAAGAAAATGCCAAGAAGAGGAAAGGGAGGCAGTAACATCAGATGGTCAAGAATTAATTTAGAGAGGTTGGCTAGACAGAAGAGTTCATGAACAGGATTAGTTGGAGATTGGATTGAGAATGAAGTTGAAGGTCTCTGATTTTATTTTGAGGTATGATGAGCTATCAAAGGATGGAAAGGGCATGCTACGTTATGAAGCAAAACTAGAATACCTGTTTAAACTCAAGAAGGATTAACAGACAGTATAATACCATCATTCTCAGCAAAGTAACACAAGAGAAAATCAAACACCACATGTTCTCACTCATAAGTGGGAGCTGAACAATGAGAACACATGGACACAGGGAGGGGAACATCACACACTGGGGCCTGTCATGGGGTGGGGGGAGTGGGGAGGGATAGCATTAGGAGAAATACCTAATGTAAATGATGAGTTGATGGGTGCAGCAAGCCAACATGGCACATGTATACCTATGTAATAAACCTGCATGTTGTGCACATGTACCCTACAATTTAAAGTCTAATAATATATAAATAAAACAATGTGATATTGACCAATATTGTAACATTTTTATACTTGAACTTAAGAATTTCCCTATGAGAAATCTGATGTTCTTTTTATCTGACCTTAGAGTGTGCAAATCCATGTAAATAAATCGAGAAATTCTCAAAACCTTTAAAAGTCAATTAATCTGACCTGCCATTTCTACCCTCTCAGGTTCTGAGCACTGATTTCATCAAGCCGATGGAGGCAACAGTAAGTATGAATCCAGTCTCTGTGTGTTGGTTATTTCAGAAAAAGTCCAACGATAATGACCTTCATGTTCTTTAAATAAGCAAATTGTCAGATGCAAATAACTATCACCCAAATCAATACAATGAAATAAGTGAAGCCTGGCGATTTTTGCATTTTGCCAAAATACATTCAAAAATGGACAGTGACCCCAAATGACATTTGACATTCCTTTGACAAAGGAATCTCAATCAATAAAGAATATGATAATATTCAGTAACGGCATTCCACTCAGTTCTCTTTACCCTCTGCAAACAATAGACATTCCCAAAGTGTTATCCTATTGGGAAAAATATACACAGGCACACACACACACACAGAGGCACACACATGTACATAGGTACATATATATAGAATATTGGTTTAATGGAGCTTATGAGAGAAAACCAATCATTATAGACTGATGAAAAGCCCTGTGCTGCCTCAATACTTCTTTATTCCTATAAAGGTATTTTACAGTCACATGAGGTAAATAAGAACTAGGTTTCACTCCAAAATAATTACTTTTCAGGAAGCGTTGTCCTCATTTTTGGTTCAGAGGACTATTACATGGTGTCATGTCTTATTAGAAGTTCTTAACATCACTCATTATAGACTTAGGTAACAAAAGAATCCTTTGGGATGCATTCTGTACTTAAACCAAACCACAAATATTTTTAGATATTTTATTTGTTAAGAATGCTTCAAAATTTCAATGCTTATATTGGAAATGAAGGAAGAAGCGAACCTTAGAACTAGGGATGGGGACAGCTCTGAAATCCAAGTTTATATACTCCGCATTGATCCATTTATATATATATAACTTCAGACATTCGTTCATGAAACATATATCAAGCATCAGCTGCATTCCAGAATGGGTTGTCCTTTAAAATTGTCTTAACTCAGAGTAAAAGGATTTTTTTTATTGCTGGTTGAAGGTGCTCCTCAAAAAGGCACAGCTTTGAGATAATGCATTTAATCCTCCCTTAACTATCACATAGTCTATGCCCAAGAAAATACAAAGACAAATAAGAAATGTTCCCTCAGATAACTTGCTCAGCTGGATCTCATATCCAAACCAGAATCTCGTATTATGTAACTCCATAAGCTTCTGTATTTATCATCATTGGAATGTGTTTAAATAAGACCATCTGTGAAAGTATTGCAAAAACATATCTATTATCATTCTGATTCATTTATGGATGATTTTCTTCAGATGTTTGCAAACATAAAGTTTCAACACGTGAAAAAAATCACTTCTTATTACTTGGTTGTCTTTGTTTATCTTAAAAATTGGTTTTATTTCATCTGAAGGCCAAACACATCCCAAAACAACTAGTTAGATAGTGATCATTTACAGAAATTAATCAGGACAAAGGCTTGAACTATCTAAAAGAGCTCAACAAGATTTTTATAGCAATTTATTGAAATATAATTCACCTATCATAAAATGCATTCTTTAAAGGGTATAATTCAGTGATTTTTAGTTTATTCACAGAACTGTAAAACCACTGACACTATCTTTCATCATCCCAAAATAAGGCATATTAGCAGTCCCTCCTCACTTTCCCCAAGGCTTCCCCAAAGCTCTTGGCCTCCACCACTCAACTTTCTGTGTCTACGGATTTACCTATTATGGGCATTTCCTATAAATAGAATTATACAATATGTGGCCCATTAGTACTGCTTCTTTCACTTGGCACAGTGTTTCAAGGTTCATCTGTGTTAGGGCATGGATCAGAACCTCATTCTTTCTATAAAATGTCAAATAATATTCCATTGTGCAGACATACCACATTTTGTTTATTCACCCATCTGTTGAGCATTTGGATTATTTCCAATTTAGCTATTCTGAAAAAAGCTGATAAGAATATTTGTGTACAAGTTTTTGTGCAGATGTAAGTTTTCAATTTTCTTGAGTCTATACCTAGGAGTAGAATTACTGGGTCATATGTTAACTCTATGCTTGACATTTTGAGGGACTGTCAAACTGTTTTCCAACGTGGCTGCCCTAGTTTACATTCCCACCAGCAAAGTATGAGGGTTCAAATTTCCCCACATCCTCACCAACACTTGTTTCAGAAAGATTTCTATACAGGCATGTGAATAAAGTATCTTAATTTCTAAGAATAGAATAAATTCATTTCAAAGAAAATAATAAAAGCACACTATACCAATGTTATTTATGGGGAGATTAAAATAGTATCATTTTTCATCCTGACAGTTTCTCAAATCCCCGCACCAGGATTCTAGGAAGAGAATCTCTTGCAGCCATTGTATATTCTCCCTGTGGCAGAGTAATTCTTAAACTTTCCCTGGTGCAGGAAGGAGCGTCATTGGGGGGTCTTCAGTGAACACCTCTCCTGCAGATAAAGAATATGTTGTCCAAGCTGTGAGCAATCAAGTGGCATGTGTTCCTTAGGGCTGCAAGGCTGAAGAGTTTTTATTTGGTTCCCATCTCATAGAAGTTATTTATGTATCCTAACTGGAATTTTGACTCTTGCTATGATTACTATGTACCTTTTACCAAGCCTATGCTCAGTCATTTGACAAATTTTATAGTGTAAATGACCAAATATTTCTCTCAGACATATTCCTTAGGGAAAATTAAGATGCACAGTATGCTTCAAGATGATGGCCAAGAACAACCAACTCAACGAGCCTTCAGGAATTCATGATTTGAATATCATGTTCAAGGTAGACACCTTTTTAAAGTTAGGACAATTATTAATGATTCACAAATACTTGAAATTCTATCAAAAGTCTATGATATGATAATTTACAGTATGCTTTGGGGAAAGAATTCAGCCTTACTCATTCTAGAGCTAGCAGAAGTGAACAACTATAGAATGTAATAACTTTAGAAACAAGTATGTGTGTGAATGCGTGTTGCATCTTAAGAGTTTAGGTTGAGTCCTAGGTAAGTTATGTTGGCATGTATTCACTACACACTGCTATTTGAAGCTGTTAAATCACATGCACATACTCATGTTATTGGACTGCACCATCCATAATTCTTATTCCCAACAAACTGCTGTCATGAAGTGCTTAGTAGGTCCTGGTGTGGTTAGTCCCTCAAAATGTACTCTGGGTATTGAGTCGATGTCATGAAAGGTTGCTGATGGATTTTATTTGTTGGATAGAATAAGAGGCAAATAGAAGGAGGTTTTATTCTATCTCCAGAGACCTCTAGTGTCTTCTGCTTTTAACATGAGGATGTTGTTGCTATTCTCTGCTTCCAAGATCTTTGCAGTACATGGCCAAGATCTTTACGGTACTGGCCAAGATCTTTACAGTAGATGCAATGAAACTGGCAATGCACTTTCTTACTTGCTAAGGGTACTGTAGATCACCACTCTGTCTGGTTGTGAGATCACAACAATAATAACCACATTGCCTCAAGTACACTGTTAAAACTTGGGGAATGCTTAGACATGGCTTCAACTTGTCCAGGCTGCCTTCTAGATAAAGATCAAACCAAGAAAGTCCATGTGTCACTGCTCCGTGAAGGCTCCGGGTGGAACTCCCTGCCCCACTCCACCTTTAAGATTTCCAGCACAGTGTCTTCACCTCCTTCAGCGCCCCTGTTTACATGTCCATCTCTCTCTTTAGAAGGTAAGCTGCAGAGGAAGTATCAGGTCTCGATCATCTTTATATCCCGACGGCTTACCGTGCAATAAGTAAATGATAAATGTGTAACTGTGGAGCACCGTAATCCCCTAAATTCCTTGCAAAAGAAAAATTCTGTTTACACTTTCACTGCAATGCATCATAAACTTTGTTAGCTTTTATGCAGATGATGATAGTATGCCCTTCATAAGGTTAGAGGGATAAATTGTGTGTGTGTGTGTGTAAACTGCCTGGCACTTAACGAATATTAATAATTGCTTTTAGTTCAATAAAATAATCTATGTAGATTAATGATGGTTCTACTAAATTTGTCAAATGGGGTTCCCTAGTATTACATAGAAAGTGTTAAAAATTCAAACATATTTACCTTGCACATAAGCTCAAATGATTTTAAGCTGAAGTTAGCTTATAAAAATAAATTATTAATTTAGTTAGTAATCAAAGTCCAAACAAATCCGTAATCATGAAGACTCTAATCATTTGTTTTTGTTCTTCCTAGCTACAGACATCAGCAAACTCGAGAAAAGAAGGTTTGCTCTGGGAGATTCTACATGTGACCTGTTTATATGTAATTATATTATCTATTACTCAAGTATTTGTCTTGTGCTGTCTAAATTATAAGCTTCTCAACTGTTTGCCTTGAGTGAGATGTGCACGCTAAAGCCTCTCAATAAATATTAATTGAATGAATAATTGAAAAAAACCCTGACTGCCTTTTTACTTAAATCCAAGCCTTTGCTAAGTTTTAACTTTCTTGATCCTACAATCACTTACAATTTACAAAGGAAAAAGTATAATAAGTGGTGAATCACTTTTCATTTTAAATTCCACTTTACATTTTGTTCCTAGCACAAACATTGCAGATTTTATAAGATTTATGTATTTAACTTTCAACTAAATCTAGAAAACCATCTTAGAAAATCGCTGAGTTTCCCTTTTGAGGACTCTCTAATTCTGTCTGTTCATTTAACCTGGTTTGATTTGAATCATGCATTCTTCCCTCTGCCTGACTCAGGTGACCAGTGGTTATGGATGGGGAAGTAGATGACGCTCCATTCTGGGGAGATTCAGCTTAGTGCCGATTTTTTTTTTTTAAAGATCTAGTTCAAAAGTAGTCAGTAGAAAAATGGGTGCATTCTTACTTTTCATTCCTAAACTACTAACATTCATGATTGAACTCTGATTCATGATGTAGCATAAGACTTAAATCACAGTTGGGGCTACAAAGAGAGAAAACAGAGGATTGGCCAGGGCAAAGCCACACATTGGCTTCTGCCACCAAGGGGCACCTCATGGGCAAAATCCACACTTATGAACTCTACTCAAGGGCCATTTTCTCCTTGATAGAATCTCTGTTTCTCTATCTGGTTATAATGATGTTGTGAGCACAGATCAAGACCTCCTCTTACATAAGAACAAATCTACATGTGGAGGGGTCTTATTTAAAAAATGAATTCAAAACTTCAAAAGTGAATATATTTCTCTAGCCAATTTTATATTTGATAAGAGTAGTAGTCAAATTTGGCATAATGAGAACATTTATGATGTGGGAAAATCTCAAAACAAGTGTGTTTTATTTTCTTTTCAAATTGAAGAAAACCTAGGAAAAGGCGGCTAGTTGCTGAATCGCACGAATGAAGAGAGAATAGAGATTTTCTTTTGGAGACAGAGGAAGAGAAGTGATTTTTTTATTTGCATACTTTGAAAACTTGAAGGCGGAAGTGGTTTTCTTGCTAGTAGCAGGTCCAGGCCCAAAGTAAACGATTCTAATGAAATAGTACAGGGTTGTGGATAAACGACATGTTTCATGGGTGAAGCATTTAGGAAAACAGCTTAATGTATCATTTTGCTATAGGTTCTCTGGCAGCCGACAGCCCTCCCCGTCTCCATCCCTGCACCATCCCCGCACACTATTTATGTATTTTCATTTGCATGAACCTACTCTAAGGTTTTGCCCGGTTGATTTTTCAAGTTAATGATAGGGCACTTGGGGAAAGATTAATGTCAGGAATGCAGAGGTTCAGCAAATTGTTGAAGAGTTTCACCATACAATTAATCTCTCTTTCCCATATTACAAAAGTGCAAGAGATGGATGCAGGGAAGTGGTAATGATGCTGCTATCACAGGTCTCTAAGAGCCGGGGGAGTCAGCTATAAAGATGATGGGAAGACGGCTTTCTGCTCTCAGAAGGATTTATAAATCATTCCCTGTTCCCTGTGCCATCCATCCTTGCCAAGTGATTGTGGCACCCCTTTGCTGTTTCCCATTCAGCTGTCATTGACTGGGTGAGAGTCCTCTAAGGAGCACTATGGAGAGCAGGGACACCATCTCAGTTAAGATGACTGCCAAGCCCCCAGTCCATGGATGCCCCTAATATCGACTCTTTATTTCCAGCTTTCTCATCATTCAGCTGCTAACAATTCGATTTCTGCAATGTGTTCTGTGAATTAAGTACCTCTGCCCTCCAAGGCAGTATTTTGTCAGAGACAAGGGTGATATTCACAATAGTTAACTGGTATGGCCCAGAAACGGATCTATGAGAAAGGACAGTTTCCAGCTAAATCCTTCTTAATCCCTTAGTTACTGGGTCTTCAGGTTCTGGGCTGCCTACAGAGGAAGAGGGATGCTGAGACCGTGGAAGTTGGGAGAGCTCCAAGTACTCGGGGCCATGCTAAAAGTGCTTCAATACTGCATCAGCCTTGCAGGTAGCAAAATCTGTTGTTGGTCCTCTCCGCTTCTCTTTTCCAGCCTCTCAACTGAGCATATCCAGCTCCAGGCCTCAAGGCATCTCAGTGAAATGTTAACCCAGACACATCCCCTCTCTCAGAATAGGCTTGACAGAGACTGGTCACTGCGTCCTCCCTCCCCCAGCCCAGGGACTTGGCGGTCGCTTGCTCACTGGGTCCCCTGAACAAGGAAGGCAATGTTCCCTCAATTCACAGAACCTTTCTATTCCCAGCCGTGCCCAGCCAGCATCCTCACTGCTTCAGATGTGCCATGGGCTGTGGGCTGGCAGCTTGAAAACGTGCCTTGGGATTATCAAGCCCAAATATGAGCGTTGCTTTTTGAAAGGAGAACAACAATATTTTTTTCCCTCTAACTCCAGATACATAGTAATTCTAGAAGAAAAGTGTAATATTCAGAGGCCAAGCCACCTTGTTCTCAGGATGGGCAGGAGCTGAGTGGGGCTGAGTCCCTGGGGAAGCTATTGCCACACCAGCCCTCTCAAGAGGAGCAGATCACAGCTAACAGGGCAGAAGAAGCAGAGGACCTAGACCCCCAGAAGTGGGGAGGGGTCTTGGGAGAAGGAACTTAATGATAGCTGGAGCTCCCTCTTAAAAATGGGGCTTCACGCTCTTTATGACATGTAGATAGATCTGTTATAAACATTTGGCCAGTGGCCTTCAAGCACAATTTTTGAACAGTACATCTCATCTCATATGAATTTGAGGACTGCCTCTGTCACTAAGGGTGGACCTTCAAGATTCTGAGCAGCTATCAAACTTGATTTCTTTAAATCGTTTTGTCATCCCATCTGAGATTTTGGTGAGACAAGTATCTGACTCTTAGTCTTTTTGTGCTGCTACAACAACACACCAGAGGCTGGCAATTTATGAGTAATAAAAATCTATTTATCACAGTTCTGGAGGCCAGGAAATCTGAGATCAAGGCACCAGCAGGTTTGTGGCTGGTGAGGACTCACTTCTGCCTCCAAGATGGCGCCGTGAACTCTGTGTCCCAACATGGCCAAAAGGATGCAAGGGCAATGATGGTCCCAAGCTAGCTCCCTCCAGTCCTCATGACTTAATCACTTCCCCAAAAGGCCCCATTTCCTAATACCACCATTCTGGGGATTAAGTTTCAATGTGAATTTTGGTGGGGACACCATCATTCAAACCATAGTAGACTCGAACAAACAAAACTTGCAGACTCCTGCTGGACTGTGACTAGTTCAGCATGTTAATGGTCTCATTTATAACTTCATATTATGTGTGAGGATCTCAGTTCTGGGATGAAATCCCACTGTGAACTCTCCCACCATGCCAGGACCCCAGTGAGCTGGCAGCCCCTCCCAGTGCCTCCCCACCAGACCACCCAGCTCTGCACAGGTGGGCTGCCTGACACGGTGTGTGGCATCAGTCAATGTGTGTGTTTATATCTGTGCCTGCATGTTTAAATCTCAGGCTTGAGAGCCTGGAGGATCCCTAGGAGGGCCTTTCGCTCCATTCCTCTACCTGCACAGCCCAGAAAGAAATCTACTTTGACAATTCAAAAGCCTCTTTGTTGATGCAAGGAAGAAAAAGACGTAACTTCTCTTACTTTACCCTCTCCTCATCTTTGTGGTTGAGAGGTGATTCATTCATCATTCCACCCTTGGGGTGCAGAGCGTGCCTTACGCAGAGGCCTTGGCCACACCCCAGTCAAAGAAGAGAGGGTCAGACACAGTGTAGCTATGGCCATTATCTTGTCCATAAAAGTACTCCTGTTAGACTCTCAGGGTGGAAGTATCTTTAGTGCCTTTTTGTTTTTATTTGCTGCCAAGGCTATACGTAAATATTGTCATGGTGGTGTGGTCAGAAGCCCCAACTCCACCCGTCCCATGTCTCACAGCTATATAGACTTGGAAGCTGGAAAGCTTTCGACCGATCCTCACAGCAACCCAGAGGATTGGCATTAGCATCCTACAGATGTGGCGCCAAGGTCCCAGACAAGTGGGCACATTGTTTTCAACTGTACAGCTTGTGAGCTACCTTTCTCTTGGTTCCCATGACAACATACGTGGCAAGGAAAAGTGAGAAACTACAGTTGACCCTTCAACAACACGTGTTTGAACTGTGCGGGTTCACTCATATGTGAATTTTCTTCCGTGAATGTCACCCCTGAAACAGCAAGACCTCTTCCCACTCTTCAGCCTGCTCCCCATGAATAAGATGAGAATGGAGACCTTTATGATGACCCACTTCCACTTAATAAATAGTAGATATATTTTCTCTTCCTTATGGTTTTCGTAGTAACATTTTTTTCTCTAGGTTACTTTATTGTAAGAATACAGTGTACAATACATGTAAATACAAATATGTGTAAATCAAATCTTTATGCTATCGGTATGGCTTCTGGTGAACAGTAGGCTGCTGCTCACAGTTTTGGGTGAGTCAAAACTTATACTTAGATTTTCTACTGTGTGGAGGTCAGTGCCCCTAACCCCTGCATTGTTCCAAGATTAACTGCACTGTCAATTACAAAAACGCAGTCCTGTCACTTTTGGCCTCTAACACGCACTCAATGTTTAGGGTGCTAAGTATGTCTTTCTAAGCAGTGTAAAAAGATGAAGGGCCTTTCCATTAACCCATGTGCCAGGAATCTCAGTTTCTTCTTCCTCAGCCACACTTCCTGCTGAAGTATAGCTCTGGCCTTAACAGTCCTGGAGAAAGGGCCCTCCCCTATAAGGCTGCCCATCAATGCCTGCTGCTAGCCACAGCTGATTGCATCCTGATCCAAGTGGAGCAAATCAGATTTTTTACCACAAATTTGGTGTTAAAATACAGAGGCTGAGGCCATGAGAGCTATGAAGTCAGAGATAATCAATCCTCATTGTTGGTGGATTCCTTATCTGCCAATCCTCCTACTCACTGAATTTGCTTGGAGCCCCAAAATCAAAACCCTTGGTGCTTTCTTGACCATATGAGGGTGGGCACAGAGCAACAAAACATTTAGCCACTGGCTGCTCATGATCTCACCTGAGGTCAAACAGAGCAACACCCTGGCTTCTTGTTTGATTGGTCATACTATATAAATAAGTGTCTTTTGCTTTTGCAGTTCATTTCATACCACATTTTTTTGCATTTTTGTGCTTTTTGTTGGTTATTTTGCTGTTTAGAATGGCTCCCAAGTGTAGTAATGAAGAACTGTCTAATGTTCCTGCATTGGGGAAGGCTGTGATGTGGCTGATGGAGAATGGATGTGAGTTAGAGGAGCTTGGTTCAAGCGTGAGTGACAGCCCTGCTGGCCGTGAGCTCAGTGTTTATGAATCAGCGAATACATAATAAATATGGTGTCGTGAAACAGAAACACACATAAAGCAAGTTTATTACTTACCAGTTAATGAAAAAATCTTGTGACTGGAGGTTCACAGGAAGATACCCTTCTATTTTTCCTGGAAGCAGTTATTTAGTATTCACTAATTTAGCATTCATGGCAACTTTATAGAGGATAACTAGTGTGAAGAATGAGAATCAACTATAAACTGGTCAAGCCAGGTAGAAGCAAGGAATCCTGATGCGCAGAGAGGGCTAGGGTCTAGATGTTTACATTCACAGATGGCTGGAGGTGAGAGCCTTGGAGGCAGGGGAGCCACGGCATGGACAGAAACTTCCTGATCACCTTCCTGTTCACACGCTGCCCCACTGGGCTTCCTGCAGCAGTTCCTGTGAGATTCCACATCCAATGTCACATGCGCATGGACTCCAGCATGCATGGCTGCTTCTGTGCTCCTTGCATGTACATTTCTGTAGACTGGAACCACCCCCAACGTTACCAGTAAACACCTCCTAAGATCTCTAATTTCAACTATAATAAAATGCAAATATCTATCAGAAATAACAGTTATTCTCATCCTTAGCACTAATAAAATGGAAGAGAAATTAAACAGATAAAGTTTAGATCCTGATCAATGATGCAATCACCTTTTTCCTATCCTCTTGAATTTCCAGTTACCTTGAATTTCTTTGGAATAACTTCTACTTTTTCTTTTTTGTAAAACAAAAAGTCGGGGTTGGGGGGGCGGGGGTTAAAAAGCATTTAAAGTTTCTCTATAGCCTTCTGCCAAAGAACTATCTTCTCTCTTTCATGCTTGATCTTAGTGAAAGAACTGACCAAGTTGACCTTTCTCAGGTAGGGCATGTTGATTCGAAGAGTCAAAGGTCACCTGACATCAGAGCTAATCGATAGCCTTTTGATTCTGTGGTTTTGTAAGAAATATAAACTTACTCAGCTTTGCAAAGCTATTTTCATTTTTTTGCTCTTCAGGATAATTTGTGCCTAGTGCTAAAGATCAAAGTAAAGCAGAAAAAGTCCAGAAAATCTAACATGCTTCCTTATTTATTTACCTGCTTTAATTTAAAAAGCAATAATTACTACAATTTATAGAACAACCACACCATGCCAACTACTTCATGTACATTGTTGATAATGCACTTGACAATCTTGCAAGATTGTTGTCATGAACACTGATTTAGTCGGAAGAGAACAGGTTTCACACAAATTAGATGAGTGGACGAACGTCACATAGAGGCAAAGCTGGGATTAAAACACATATCTGTTTAACTTCAGAGTCACAGTGTTTTCACCTGACTGTGTTCATTCATGGAGAAGAGAAATCAAGAACGTGCAGGGGCGTCATTTCCACAAACCGAAACAGCAGAAATGGACGTGTCACACAGGCCCCCACCAATGGTTCCCAACCCTACCTTGTAGACTGGCACAGAAAACAGCACACTGGTCTGCCCATTCTCAATGACATTCGTCATCCCAATGACATGGATGTCTTCACCCTAATAGCCAGAGGGCCAAATCCTAATCCTTGGACACCATCAGGCTGTGGCTGGCCTGACCTGAGCCCAGTCCCAAAAGGCGTCTGTGTCACCCACGAGCTCTCCCCTCTCTGGAAGATAATTTCATTTCCATAAAGCAATTGCTTTTATGGACATGAAAGGAGGAATCTGAAACTTCCAGTTTTACAATCTCTAACTTGTAGTTGGCTGAATTGTAGTAAATAGGGGCAAATCTTCTTGTTTTTAAGAATAAATATGTTATACATTATACACACTCAAAAGCACATGGTTCAAATTATGTGCAAAGTACATGCAGTAGAGCACATGCAGCTGGAAATATTTGACCCCACAGTGAATTTAGCATATTTGGTTCAGAGCACTTCCATTACAAATATATAAAGTGTTTATGTAACCCATTGATTGCTCTTATGGCACCAATAAAACCCAACAAATGGCAGAATTTTTTATACATACTAGCTGATGTCCATGCATCACATCTTTATCCATGGTATCTCTTCAGCCCAGTGCTTTTGGAAGTTCTTCTCTGCCTTCAGTTTCATGAATTGCGTGTGTGTTTTGTGATCAGTGTGAAAATGAGAAAAATTAAATATCATTCTCCTAGGGAAAAAATCAAATGACAGTAAATATATACATGTAAGTTCTAGCTATAAACCTACACTGTGGTTTTGTCAAATTTGACTTGCAACTACAGACAGTCAGGCACATGTAAAAATGGTTCTTACAAAGCAATGTGACTAGGTACCCTTACTCACTTCTGCCATCAAATAGACATCAGGTCCAGAGCCTCCTCTGCTCTGTCTTCAGAAACTGTCAACACCTGTACTCTTCATAAGACTTGAGCTGGGTAGGCAAGCCACGTGCTTCCTGCACTCAGATTCCTTTGTCAACAGAATCTTAGGGACTTCCTCAGGGTCCCCAGATAGTCACTTCACTCTCTCCTTCATCTTTCAACAAAATACAATGTCATAAAGCAATTGTGCCAAGAGTTTTCTAGAATTGCTCTGACTGAAATTTGAGCTTTAGTCTCTAAACTTGATATTGCAAAACCTCCTTTACTGATACAGCTCAACCCTCTATTCTTAACTGTCCACACCAATTTCTACTGCCCTTAGGCAATAAAGAGCTGTTTTACATGAAAAGTACTCAAAGTTCCTACCGTGAAGACAGCAACTGCCATGGGCCCGTACTGCTTACCACCTCCCATTCAAGCTGGAAAAGATTGTGGCCACTTTTTCCCCCCAACTCTTTTATATTTTTATTTCTAGAATGGCCATTTTTAAAAAACTTTTATTTTAGACTCAGGGCTACACGTCAAAGTTTGTCATATAGATAAACTTGTGTCTTGGGGACTTGTTACACAGATTATTTTGTCCCCCTGGTACAAAACCTAGTACCAAATATTTTTTCTGCCCCTCTCCCTCCTCCTCCCACCCTCTACCCTCAGGTAGGCCCCAGTGTCTGTTGTTCGCCTCTTTGTGTCCACGTGTTCTCATCATTAAGCTCTCACTTATAAGTGAGAACATGGGGTATTTTGTTTTCTGTTTCTGCATTAGTTTGCTAAGGATAATGACCTCCAGCTTCATCCATGTTCCTGCAAAGGACATGATCTCATTCTCTTTAATGGCTGCATAGTATTCCATGATGTGTATGTCCACATTTTCTTTATACAGTCTACCGCTGGTGGGTATTTAAGTGGATTTCATGTCTTTGCTCTTGTGAATAGAACTGGAAACATCCCCCTAAATCTCTCCTAATCATCTGTCAGGAAAGGGGTGGATGCATGCACACATCTTGGGATGCTCTGTCCCCAGAATGAGGGCAGCACAGCTGGCTACACAGAAACGTTCCCTCCATTCTGTGGCTTCCTCCTCCCAACATTTAAGGTTGAGGGCCACAGATAACCCATGCACATTCATGTGTTTTGGCTCAGTGATTGTGTAAATTACAAGATTGGGATTGTTCCCAAATTCTACAAAGGGGAGAGTGTGTGAAAAATTGTGGCTGCAAAATAAGTAAGCAGTTTGAAGCAAACCCTATGTATTTATCTGGTTTTACGTAGGCAGATAAAATGTGGTGGTTCTTTACAAACCTTGCTAAATTGGAAGGGCTTGAGAGACCTCAAAAAAAGCTATGGACAAAGTTAGCTCTGCCAAAACGGAATTTTCAATTCCAGGAAAACCGAGGATTTTTAAGATTGAAATTATGGTTGAATCATTGCTCTTCAGTTCACACATTTATTTGTTTTAGCTTCATTTGTGAAATACGATATCATCTTCCTACTTAATGGCTTTATAAAATCATCAGTGAAACCTGGCAAATTTGAATTATCTGTGCACAACTTGTATCTCCAGTAAATAATGGAGGAAGGAGATGTGGAATTCTGAAAGCATCCATAGGATAATGGAACCAGAAGCCATAATCACTAGATGTTTGTGAGACACAAATCATCCCATAGACAACTTGATTGCTTTTTTGATGGAATTGCAAGATTTACAGATGAAAGCAAGGTAGTTGATGTGATACATTAGAATGATGATTGTAATACACTTGATATAGTGTTGCACAAAATCCCACTTGCAAAACACATTTGTGTACAGTAGGACTGTCACCAGAACAAAAACTGAGGACTGACTGTCGATGAATGAGTCGGAACAGGATAATACCGCCTCCTTTGTGCATACATCAAACCCTGACTTACAACAACAAAAACAAATGGCCTCTGATATAGAGTTTAAAACCGTTTAAAAACCAACAGTAGTTAAAAGATTATAATACATGTTGACCTTGTTGAATATCTGAGATTTTGACAGTTGTACAAAAAAAAAACTGCTGGACTATGGATCATCCATAGGTTCATGAGCAAAAACTAAAAGCTGTGATACAAAGAAGTGTAGTGCACCCTGCCTAAGCTCTGAAGCAGGAGGGCGTAACTGACGTACTGGAGGCATTCACTAAAAAGTAACTCACTGTAAAATGCACTGCATGCCAGGGACATATAGAGTTTCACAGGAAGAAGTAACAGGACTTAAGAGCAGGGAGAGATGTAAGAAAGAAGCTGTATTGTGAGCCCATCATCTAGGGACAGATCCAAGTTGCGGTGAATGTGTACAATGGGTGGAAGGTGGCTTCAGAGATCCCTTCCCCCTGCAATATACACCCTCTTTATAACATGCTCATGCAAGTGAATTTTAAATGCAAAAGTAAACAAGAACAACATACTGAGAAATAGAAATCAAAAGGTACAGCACGTCCTAACAGTGACGTCGGCTATTGAAGAAAAGAGAACAATGCATTTAAAATTCAGACAGAGAATAATCTTCAATTTAGAATTCTAAAAGTAGTCAACCTATCAAGTACAAGGAAAGAATAATGACATCTGAAGACACGTGAGGGCCTGGGGATGGAATTCAACACAAATGAAATGGGGAAAAAGAAAAAGGAAGACATTTTTCTCCAGCTAAAATGGTGATATAAGAAAGGAAATATAATTGTAGTATGCCACCTGGCTCTGCAAGGGATAATGGAAATGCACAGATGTGCCCGTGTTCCTGATCTATTAACAGTGATAGAATGTGTTGGTGAGGATGTGCTAGAGAAGGTGAGGTGTTGCTTATGGCAGCTCATTCATGATAAAACAAAGAAAAAAGGTCATGTCTAAGTTAATAAATGATGAGTGGAGATTATAAATACATGGAAGAGGTTAAAAAAAAAAAAGGAAACATCCACAAGGGTGGAAAGTGATTGGCCCTAGTGAGTGGGATCAAGGCCTGGGGAGTGTTGGCCTGGGGGTTGCTGGGTTTTGTCATATGCTTTCTTTCTCTTTGATTTTATTTAAACACACACGTATTACTTGGGTACAATTAAGTATTTAAAACCAACATCATAGCATACCTCAGAAAGCAAATAGAGAGGGAGAGAGGGAGAAAGGAAGAGAGTCAGAGGAAGAGACAGAGACAGAGGGAGAGCCATGAGAAAAACAACTGTGGCTGAGGATGTGTGCGTGTAGAGGACATCGCTGAGTGAAGGGGTTCAGCCACATGGGCCTGGACGCAATACAGCATCTCCAGCGTGTGAAGCCCAGATCCAGCCCTAGGACCCGTTGACTCTGATAGACACCAAAAGGGGAACCAACCAGACCTTTAAGCTTTGGATCCTGGACTGCTGGGAAAATACTGGTGTCTGGGTTATTTTTTCCTGTTTTGTTTTGTTTTCCTAGACATAATACCTCTCATGAGCTACTAGTGAAAATAAAAAATAATTGCCATCATATCACATGCATGGAGGGCTTACTGCATTCCACATGATGATCCGAGCACTTCACATAAATTCATCCCCTCAGTCATTCCAGCCAACCCCGGGGTGGGTTCTGCAATCGTGCCCAGCGTCGTGGAAGCTGGTGGCCCCCACACTGGGCTGGTGCACTCATCACCCCCCGACACACAGCTGGCTGTTAATAACTCAGAGATATTCCCTTCTCCCCAACTGCCCTGGACAAAATTAAAACACTTTTCCTAGGAAGCTATTTCCATACCTCCTGGCCCCCACAAGAGGCAGTTGACAAGCTGCAGCCTACTAACACTGGGTTACAAAGGCCAGTCTGTGCCACAAGCTGAGATCAACTTTATACAGCGATTTGTTCTCCAGAGCTCCCATGGAACCAGGCAGAATGCAGACTCCAGCTGAGACCACGCTTTCGCCAGGATGGTCTCGCATCCCTCCCTCCCTTTTTCCTGAGAGCATTCCTCAGTGGACCAAACCCATCTCATGCTCTGCTTCCACAGAACTTGACTTAAAAAGGAGTTCACAGATGAGGAAATCGAGGCACAGAAAAGCTCAACGACTTGTGCTAGGGCCATCACTCTTAAGTGGCAGAGCCAGAATGAAACCCAGGCTGTCTTGTGGGAGCCCCACCCGAGAGCTGCTGGAAGCCCCATGAGAATGAGGCCACATAGCCAGCAGAGGGCAGAGGTGGGGAGTGCAGTGGGGTTCCTGTCCCTGTCCCATGTACCATGAGGCCCCTACTGCTTCCCACCCCTCAGGTGGGCCCATGACACCCAGCCCTAAACTGTCACTTGCCAGTTGCTCCAATTGGGTTTCCACCACTTGTGACAAAGAATCCTAACACAGGATCCTTGACATAAATAGGAAAGTTCGGGGGAGACCATTATCTCATTTTAGAGAAAAGATAATGAGTTTGTTCTTCAATGCATTTAGGTAGAGATGCCCAAGGAATGCATAAATCTGTAGACAGCCCTTTGCTGAGAGAGAGAAGAATTGATGATGTGGTCAGGGAATTAAATCGTACGATGGATACTGATGCTTTGCCCTGAACTGAGGATGCGGGAGGGAGGATTCCTGGCGAGTCGTTCAAGCTCTGAAATTTACTAGGCTCACCAGATTGGATTAATAAAAAGAGAGGATTCTCAGTTAAACATGAATTTGCTCTAAACAGTGAACAATTGAAGCATAAGTATATCCCATACAACATTTGGGATCAACTACGCTAAACTTTTTTCACATTTTCTCTAAATTTAAAATTTCACTGGGTATTCTGTGTTTTTTTTAATCACTTTGTGAGGCACCCTTGTAAGCTAAATAGTCATTGAATTCTGAGGACACTAGATACCACTGTTCTTTTTACCCTTTTTAAAAGAAAAATTGCATTTCTAAAATGCTAAGTGCCTACATAATGAATGCAAAATATATATGGTTTATGAATAACAACGAGATGATCATTCTGATACCCACTGCCTACTAGTTTAAGAAAATGCATTTTCACCATAAAATATATATTGGCTCTTCCCACAAAATCAAACAACCATCTTAAATTGCCTACTTAGCAGTCCCTTGGATTTTCATTTAGTCGTGCACTTTACCACCCATATGTAATACTACACAAAACATATATACAGCAGAAGGAATTGTAAGGAGAAATCTATATAGCTACCATCCAGGCTGAGAATTCGTTCCTTGTCAGACCCCAGAAGTTCCCATGAATTCTTCCTCCATTGTATTCAGCTCCTTCCTTCTAGAGAAAACCACTATCTAGACTCTTCATGAAAATCCTTTTCTTGTTTTATCATCCTCATCTACATTCCTAAACAAGATAATTTAAGTTTACCTGTTCCTGAAATTTATATAAATGCAATTACCAAAAAGTGTGTATTCTGTATTAATGTGCTGGGAATGCCATACCAAAATACCACTGACTCGGGTGGAGGGACTTAAACAACAGCAATGTATTGTCTCACAATTCTAGAGGCTGGAAGCCCAAGATCAAGGTGCCAGCAGATTTGGTTTCTCCTGAGGCCTCTTTCCTTAACTTGCAGATGGCCCACTTCTCACTGTGTCCTCACATGGTCCTGCCTCTGTGAGCACATGTGCCTGTGTCCTAATATCTTCTTGTGAGGACACCAATCATATTGGGCCACACCCTTATGACCTCACTTAATTACCTCTTTAAAGACCCCAATACAGTAGTTACCCCCATATCCGAGGGGAATTTGTATTAAAACCTCAGTGGATGCCTGAAACCACAGACAGTAACAAGCCCTAGACATGCTATGTTTTTCCTATACATACATATGTATCATAAAGTTTAATTTATAAATTAGGTACAGTAAGAAATTTACAATAATACAATAATCATAGCAATACACTGCAGTAAAAGGTATGTGTATGTGCTCTCTCTCCCTCTGTCTCTCTCTCTCTCTCATCTTATTGTTCTGACTCACCTATT
Organism: Homo sapiens; assembly: GCF_000001405.40. Taxonomy (NCBI): domain Eukaryota; kingdom Metazoa; phylum Chordata; class Mammalia; order Primates; family Hominidae; genus Homo; species Homo sapiens. The sequence continues at coordinate 109,612,495 of NC_000013.11, forward strand.
TTTGGATCCTGGTTGACTCCAGGTAACTGAAACCACAGAAAGCAAAACTGTGGATAAGGGAGGACTGCTGTCAACCCCTTGAGGGGTTACAGCTTCAACATATGAACTTTGGGAGGATGGGAGGACATCGTTCAGTCCATAACATGTTCTTTTGTGATGTTGCCCCCACCCCAAATTATTTTTGTGAAGTTGATCCATTTTGTTGAAAACACTTATAGTTTTTCATTTTCACTGTTGGCTAGAATTCCGTAACACATGTCCAGACAAATTTACTATATCTGTTTTCTTTGGTGGACATCTAAGTTATTTTCAAATTTGCTTTTATAAAAAAATACTGCTTTGTACAGTTTTTTAAAAATGTGTATTCTCATGCACAAAAGCAATTGCTTTTCTGAATATATATTTAAGAGTAGAACTGCTTTGTCAAAAGATTTGAACATCTTCAAATATGTTAGATAATGCCAAACTATTTTCCAGAGTAGGTTTAACATTCCCATCAACGTTGTGTCAGAGACCCCTTTGCCCCATATCTTCCTTCACAGTGTTGCCTCTGACTTCTCTTCTTTTTCTTTTTTATATTTTTTGCTAGTTTTGTGGCTAACTGCTTCTCATTTTTGGTTTTAATTTGCACTTATCTTATTGATTATAAGGTCAAGCCTATTTGAATATGTTTGCTGGCCATTCAGGTATGTGTTTTTGAGGTGATTCTTCAGATTTCTGACCATTTGTCTATTGGATCACCAGTTTTGTTTATTATGGATTAATATGTTCGGGCATGAGTGTTTTGTTGATGAGCTATTTTACAAATATCTTCTTTACAGCATGTCTTCATTCACTTTAGTAATACAGGTTGAGCGTCCCTTGTGCAAAGTGCTTGGGACCAGAAGTGCTTTGGATTTTGGAATATTTGCATATACATAATGAGTCATCTTGGGAATGAGAATGAAGTCCAAATATAAATTCATTTGTGTTTCATACACACCTTACACACATAGCCTGAAGGTAATTTTATACATCATTTTTAAGAATTTTGTACATAAACAAACTTTGTGTACCGTGAACCAGCACAAAGGTGTCCACCTCACCCACCCCCTCCCCCACTGTGGACAATCTGTGGTTATTTGGCATCACCATTATTCCTGACTAAATTTACATGCTACATGCTACAGATAAGCAACCATTTTCTTACACTTATTCTCACGTAAGTATTTAACAGTAAAAAATACGATATGCCATTAATACAGTGAAAAAAATAAGTGTTCTTGGTAGCTAGCCAGCACATTAGCATCCCTGGAACACCTGCATCAGCTGTCAGACAACGGCAGCAACAAACAACGCAGCTCCCAGCCTCCATCTACAATGCTGTGTTTTGATTAAAAGGTTACTGTACATTGTGTTTTATTTTTTTAGAGCAGAAGAAATCTCAGAAGCAGTTAAAGGACCAGAAAGCGGGTCCTCTAGGGATGAGGAGGCATTCTACTGGGTGGCTTTTCAAAGTGTTTCCACCAGAGTCATCTGCCTCATTAACAATGTTCTGTGTCTCCAACATCTCTTTTTGATTTTATAAGCTAACATGATGTCTTACTCTGCTGTGAATGCATGCTGCTCTGTTCCTTCAGTGAGACCATGACACACTTTCACCATGTCATCTGTAGGCATTGCTTCTGCAGTGTTGACAACAACATCTTCATCATCACCATGATCATAACCACCTGGATTCAGAACCATTTTGGCTATTTCAGGAGCTGTCAAACAATGAACAACTGGAGCCTTACTATTGATGTTAAAAACTTTTTTGATATTCACTTCTCCCACGTTACTGATGGACTCTGAAAGCATATTTTTTGCATATGTAAGGAGATCAAAAGACAGAATCCTACAAAGTCACCACCTTATTCATCATCATCACTGAACATAATCGCGGCACCACTGCGTCTTTAGTCAGTGTGTTCCAGCCATTGGCAACAGCATATTGGGCATCCTTCATGCTAAACTCCTTGTGAAAACCTTCCGCACCTACACCTCTGTTCACTGCTGCTGGCATGCTGCTCAAGATAGCATTTCATGTTTACTCTTCATTAATCTCAGGATATCCTAGTCACATGGCTGAATTAATAAAGTCACATTTGAAGGAAAGTCCATGGCACAAACATTATTTTTGATGAGAATTTCAGCTGGGGCATGAGCAGAACAGTTGTCTAGGAAAGTCAGTCTTGCGGTTGTGATACAGTCTAGCTTCCCTGCATGAGCATGAGCCACTGGTATGAAATGTTTGTGGAACCAATCATAAAATATATCCCTGGCGACCTATGCCTTTTTGTTAGCATAATAATTGATGGATAAGAAATTCCCTTCTTGAAAACAGAGAGGATGCAAGCTTTGCCTACCAGGCAAGTTTACACTTAATGCCTGCCTGCTGCATTAGTGCACCCCAGCACAGTTATTCTGTCCTTGGCATCCTTAGACCAGGGGTCATCTTGCCACCTGTAGTCGGTGTCTTTCTGGGGCAATAATGTCAAAACAGTGATGTTTCCTCAGCATTATAGACTTTTTATGGTGTCAGATTTTTATCAGCAATGACCTTCGCAAACTCATCAACGATTTCTTCACTGCTTCATGATCAGATGATTTATCACCACAAAGCTGTAAAAATCAAATATCATGTCTTTTCTTAAATGTCTGCAACCAGCCTGTTCAGTGTTCACAGTTCCCTTCAATTTTCAGTTCATCATGATAGAACCTCGCTTGTTTCATAATCAGAATATCATTAAGTGGCATGTGTTCACTGCCATGCCGACAGATGCAATCATCTAATACACAATTGAGATCTTCATTTTTAGCTTTACACAGTATTTTTTAAAAAGTTTTCATTAACTTCTGTTTACCGCTTTCAGCATAGAACTTCAACAGTTTATCCTTCTGTTTCGGCAAGTCCTGTATGGTCATTTCCACACCACGCTCTTCTGTAAGATGTTTCACACTGGCACTGCTGTGCAGTTTCTCCAGCAGCTTGACTTTCTGTGCTAGAGACAAACATAAGTGCTTCCTCTTTGTTTAGTCACTGTTACCCATAGGGGTATCTACAGGCCTTTTATTTTATTTAAGTTATAGTATACATGTGCAGAACGTAAGGGTTTGTTACATAGGTATACATCTGCCATGGTGGTTTGCTGCACCTATCAACCCATCGTCTAGGTTTTAAACCCTGCATGCATTAGGTATTTGTCCTAATGCTCTCCCTCCCCTTGCCTCCCACACCCCAACAGGCCCCGGTGTATGATGTTCTTCTCCCTATGTCCATGTGGTCTCACTGTTCAACACCCACTTATGAGTGAGAACATGCGGTGTTTGGTTTTCTGTTCCTGTGTTTAGTTTGCTGAGAATGATGGCTTCCAGCTTCAGATATTTAACACCACCTTCACACCACAGAGTAGAAACTAAGCAAAAAATAAAAAATAAATAAAAATAAAAAAAAATAAACCCACAGTGGGTAATGCACGTAGGTCTCGGCACCACATGGCGTGCAATGGGGAACCTGTCACTGGCGAGTCCAGCCTGTACACATGACAGTTTCTTACCCTTTGCGGGCTGCTAGTGTGGGGAAATCTGGGCTTGTGTGGAAAAGATATTACACAGCTGAAAGGGGCTAAGATCATTTTTTACTTTCCCGTGGGGATGCTGAATAAACTGGAATGTCTGCATTTTGACTGCAACTTGTCACATGAAGTCAGCTGTGGAATTTTCCACTTGGGGCATCATGTCCAAAATGAGTCACAAGAATTTTATCTTTTCCTAAATCTCAGATATTCTATCTGGTATACCTTTCTTTCTGCTTAAAGTAATTTTTTTTTAGAATTTTTCTTAATTTGGGTATTTTGGCCTCAAATTTTCTCACCATTTGTTTTTCTAAAAATAAATTTATTTTGTCTTTATTATTTTAAGATATCTTTCTGGATCAGAATTCTAAAGTATTTTTTTCCCAGAACATTGAAGATATTCTATTATCATCCTCCTAATATTGTTACTGTTAACAGAAATAATTCTGTTATTCCTTTGGATATATAATTTGAACCTGAAATGCAGAGAATGTGGGTTTATACTGCCCGTTTCACAGGGGTATTGATATTCCAAGTCCCCAGGTTTATGCAAAGCAAACAATTTCAAGCCCCAACCCTGTAGGGACACTTTAACCTCCAACCCTTGAATTTCCACTAGCGCCAATGCCTAGGCCATCTCTGGCTCCATTAACTACCTTCTGTAGCACCGGCTCACCTACTTACTGCTATGTCTTCTCAGTGCTGGCTTTCATTCCGGCATCTTCAAGGTTCCCTTTGTCTCCTGGAGCTTAGCAATGCATTAAATTTCTGTGCTTGTATTTTTACTTAGCATATCTAGGTATTTGTAGAAGGCATGTTCTATGTTAATGTTGCCAAACATGATGCCGGAACCAGAAGGCCCAATACTGGCAATATTTGCCTAATTTGTATTCAACTTTTCCACAGCATAGCAATATGAAAATCGTCTTAATCAATTCAGTGACTCTTGTATCATCTTGTTACATTTCTTAAAATTGTACTCATGGCCAGGCACGGTGATGGCTCACACCTGTAGTCTGAGCACTTTGCGAGGCCAAAGCAGGAGGATCACTTGAGCCGAGGAGTTAGAAATTGCAGTGAGCTATGATGGCACCACTGCACTCCAGCCTGGGTGACAGAGCAAGACTCTGTCTCAAAATAAATAAATAAATAAACAATTATAGACATAAAAAGGAGAAACTACTGGCCAACTTCCCTTATCAATAGAGATTTTTTTAATTTGCAGATTTAATCCAGGAGCATAGTCAATGAATACTACATTATCATCAAGTAAAATTTACTCCAAGAATATAAGAACAGTTAAATATTATGGAACACATGAATACTAGTCAACACGTTTCCAAGAATAGTGGCTTAATGGTAATTATGGGATAATATTAATTTTAAAAATCAGGATATTAAAAGTATATGGAGAATAATTCTACTTTTATGCCAAAACTATATGTATCTATATGCAAACAAACAAAAAAAGACATGATTAAAAAAACAGTGAAACTGTTCTACTGCATCTTCCTTGGTGACAAGTTTACAAGTGACTTCTGTGTTCCATTGTGCTTTTCTGTGTTTTCCAAATTTTCTACAATAGGCATTCCTTTTAATATCAGAAAATACTGATAAGATAATAAAGTTTCATTTAGCTGTTCACAAGGCAAATCTAACATTTCACCCAGGCAGGGAGGAACCCCTCGAACTGCCTGCCGGCTGCCACCTCTTCTAATCACATTCCCTCTACCTGTCTCCTCAGGAAGATCTTTCACAGACGAGCATTTAAGGACGACCTTTTAAGGTCACAGTCAAACACCATGATCTTTCTCAAACCCACTTTATTTTTTAGATTCTTTTGCCCGCTTTCTTATTCTCTCATTCCTAGTATTTACGGAGTCAAATGCTCTCATTTTAAATGCCCATTTCTCCATTCCTGCCACTCCAAATTCCAATCTAATAAAATATTGAAGATTTTAATTTTTTCTCAGTTTCTACAGTCCTGAAATCTCCTCACACAGTGTGGTGGTGGATTACATAATGATTTGCAATCTTTCCTAGTCACTCAGTGCATGTTAACCCTGTCTCCAAGACCAATTTGCGCACATAAAAAGCATAAACTTTTTCATTGTTCTCATTTATTTTATATGTTTATTTTATAGCTCAGTGACTAGCACATTCCATAATTCAATATACAAAATCAATAAATCAACCTGGCTAATTGGCTATTAGTGAGGAAACAGCACTTTTGAGAAAATAAATCGAAAAAAATAAATTCAAAACCCAACATATTATTTGTCTCTCCACTATAGTAAGACAAGCAGCAAAAAATAAATTTCAAAAGAGAAATACACTACAGAACTATGTGTACCTTCGATAAAATTAGATGGACTTTAAAAAATCAAAATGTAAATAAAACATTATCACCTTTTCCTTTGGGGTTACAGAGGAATGTGGGCAAAAGGTGACCACAGAGAAACAAAAGTCTATTGAGAAGAAAAACGTGCACAAAGGCACAGATTGAAAGAAAAAATAAGAAAGACCTTGATGTCATCTATACAGGAGGTCACTAATGAATGTTTAAGTACATGTATAAATTAAGTTCCCAGTCAGTTCTTTAGAAGAATGTTACAACCAAAATGGATCATGGTTTGGGTTTTCTTCCATAGAGTTATCTGATTATATGCTTTAGTTATTCAACTCATCCTGTATGTTTGGGCCACCTAACCTGTACCCCAGTAAAGATGGGACACCAAGACTAGGGACTTTCTACGAGCCTGTGGCTTAACAAGTTAGATTTTGGAGTTTCTATTCTCATGTTTAGCTCACTTCAATGCATTCACCACTTTCCCATTTGTGTCACACCCCTTAGTTATCCCCCAACATCACCAAACTGCACCCCTTCCTATGCCAGTCTCCAGCACTTAACCCACTGTATTAGTCTGTTCTCACACTGCTAATAAAGACATACCCAAGATTGGGTAATTTACAAAGAAAAAGAAGTTTAATGGACTCACAGTTTCACATGGCTGGGGAGGCCTCACAATCATGGCAGAAAGTGAAGGAGGCGCAAAGGCACATCTTACATGGAGGCAGGCAAGATAGAAAATGTGCAGGGGAACTGCCCTTTATAAAACCATCAGATCTCATGAGACTTATTCACTATCACAAGAACAGCATGGGAAAAAGCCACCCCCATGATTGAATTACCTCCCACCTGGTCCTCCCCATGACATGTGGGAATTATTACAATTCAACATGAGATTTGGGTGGGGACACAGAGCCAAACCATATCACCCATGCTCTACTATGAAGAAGCCTCATGTCCAAAACTCGCCACCATTCTTCTCTTTCTTCTACCTGCTCATCTTCTGTTGAATCTTAAGAAACAGATGGCACAAAGTAAAAATTACCACACTAAAATCAAAGAGTTGAAAACAAGCTCGCCTAATATATAAGCAAAAGATACGATTTTCTAAACCAAAAGAAAAATCCTTAAAAAAAAAAAACACTTTAAATTGTGTCACTTACCCTGCATTTCATGTTTCCTCTTTGTATTTCTTTTCAAGTTTGTAGAAAGTCACTGTAGAATCTTTGCAATAAGAATTACAGATTAAAATCTCTTTTCTAAGGCACCAGAACCAGTTCTAGATGCCCCCCTGAATTTCCAGGCTACTGAACCCATAATGCAGTGGGTGCAGCTCCTTCTTAGACTGTTCATATTGAAAATGTCCATAGTTTCTTTTTAATCAGTTTGCCATGCTGTAGAGCCTCACTCAGGAATGGGGTAAAACGATGCTTCCCCAGCTGTATCATCTGAGTAGGGCTACATAATTTTTGCCATATCCACACAGCATTGATACTATTGTTTACTTAATATATTTCTTTTCTTTTTTTTTTTTTTTTTTTGAGACAGAGTTTCTCTCTTGTCACCCAGGCTGGAGTGCAATGGCACAATCTCAGCTCATAGCAACCTCTGTTTCCCAGGTTCAAGCGATTCTCCTGCCTCAGACTTCCAAGTGGCTGGGATTACAGGTGCCTGCCACCATGCCTGGCTAATTTTTGTATTTTTAGTAGAGACAAGGTTTCGCCATGTTGGCCAGGCTGATCTCAACCTCCTGGCCTCTGGTGATCCACACGCCTGGGCCTCCCAAAGTGCTGGGATTACAGGTGTGAGCCACCGCACTTGGCCTACTTAATATATTTCTTTTTCTATATTTTTCTGAGTTTCTCTCTTGTCACCCAGGCCGGAGTGCAATGGCACGATCTCAGCTCACAGCAACCTGTTTCGCAGGTTCAAGCGATTCTCCTGCCTCAGACTACCGAGTGGCTGGGACTACAGGTGCCCACCAGCACGTCCGGCTAATTTTTTTGTATTTTTACTAGAGATGGGGTTTCACCATGTTAGCCAGGATGATCTCAATCTCCTGACCTCGTGATCTGCCCGCCTCGGCCTCCCAAAGTGCTGGGATTACAGGTGTGAGCCACAGCACCCAGCCAATATATTTCTTTATATTTGTAATGTTTTACTTAAGGTTGATTTAAATGGAGCCTCCACATTCATTGCTATATTGCCATATGGCATTACCACTTGCCATAAGTAGAGGGTAGCAATATAAATAAAAGCATAACCAATAACCCTAAAAGCACCTAAAATCACCTTGCAAGCCATACGCTGTGTCACATTTTGGGAAGTGCTAGAAAAAAGGTAGTTTCCACAGTCACGGGAGAATAGCTAAAGAAATTATTCAAAGAGAAAAGTAACTGTTTTAAGTTACAAGTAACTGTTTGAAGTACAAGTCTAAAAACTTGTACTTCATCTTGCCATCCCCCCTTTTCCAATGGTCTTTCCACTGAGGAGACTGAGAAAGGACTTCTGCATAGTATTTATAAACTGTAAGAGCCATGCCGTTTTGAATATTACTATTACTTTCTGATTGCACAAGAAAATCATTATCAATTATATTTTCCCCTATCTTTAAAGTTCAGTCATATTATGAGTACATACCACTTTTAACATAATGTTAGTTCACGTAAATATTTTCACATGGTAACATTATACACATATATAGTGTTTTCATACATTCAACATGCTAATTTCCTCACACGTTCCTATGAAATCAAATATTTGGTTTATTTCCCCACCTCTCTTCCTCCTCTCTTCTCTCCTTTCTTTTTAACAAATCCCTCACTACCACTCTTTTGTAAATTGAATAACTGAGGCAAAAAGGTTAAATGGCTGACTTGCAATTTACAGTGAGTTACATTTACCAAAATCACATAAAATGTAGGCTCAAAATGGAACCATTTCCCTGGAGATATTGGGTTACCTAGACCATAATGAGAAAAGTGCTCAAAAACCAATTTAATTATGGGGAGGAATAAATCATTATTTCCAACGGAAGCACTATCTCCTGAACGTTAACTAAATAATGTTTAATTAGTTAGATGTGTCCTAAACACAATGGAAACTTACAGGTACAGAACTACAGGAGAAAAATGTATCCATAAGTTATTTTGCATAAAACCAGTATTGTAATCCATCTTAATTTTTAGTTTTTATTTTGCCACCCAATAATGTCATCTAATAAATCTTCCCCGCAGCACTGTATTGAAGCTAGGAAGCATGGATATGTGGATTTGCTCTTCCATTGATTAGTGACAGTCCCTGCAACAATAATTTAACTTTTTGCATCATAATTTACCCATGTTTGAAATGAGGACACAATACCTACATTAACAGCTCCACAGAACAGATTGTGAGAATGGTGATATGAAGTAAGTTACCGGTAACTACTTTATCAGATTTTTATAGATTGGAAATAGTTCTAAAATTATGGTAATTGGGGAGAGGTGTAGTATATATAAATTTAATGAAGTACTTGTTTGTCTCTCTCTAAAAGTAAAACATACGGAAGGAAGGACAGATTGCAAAGACATCAGGCTTCTGCTCCCAGCTACGACAAGTAGCCTGTATTAGGACAATCCTTCCAAGAACAACTATAAAAGCTGAATACAGTTCCAAAGAATACCAATGTCAAGGCATTCCAGAGCAACCAATGCAGCCAGGACCTAAAGATCTAAGATTCCAGGAAGAAGGAAGGAACACGGAGGGAAGCCCAGTGCCACCTGCTGCTCAATTTCTGATGACTTTGCCAATCTGACAGCTCTGCCAGTGCCTAAGGAGCAAGCTCCAAATGCCCAGCCCCTCAGAGGTCATGTCCAGCTTTCACACGTGTCTACCTGGATTCTGCAGGTATCCGATGCAGTGTCAGAGAAGCCACTGGGCAGAAAACAAACCAAAAAAAAAAAAAAAAAAAAAAAAGCATGGCATAATAGGTTGAATACCATGTTTCCAGAATTTGTGTCCATCCAGAACCTCAGAATATGAACTTACTTGGAAATAAAGTCTTTGCAGATGTAATTGGGTAAATTAAGATGCGCTCATACTGGATAAAGGTGGGCCTAAATCCAGGTGTCTCTATAAGAAGAAGAGGGGACACCAAGAGACACAAGGAGGGAAGACCATGTGAAAATGAACACAGAGATTGGAGTGATGCCTTTACAACAGGGGTCCCCAACCCCCAGGCCACAGACCAGTAGTGGTCTGTGGTCTGTTAGAAGCTGGGCTGCACAGAAGTAGGTGAGCTGTGGGTGAGCAAGCATGACCACCTGAGCTCTGCCTCCAGTCAGATCAGCGGGCATTAGATTCTCATAGGATCATGAACCCTATTGTGAACTGTGCATGCCAGGGATCTAGGTTGTGTGCTCCTTATGAGAATTGAACTAATGCCTGACAATCTGAGGGGAAACAGTATCATCACCAAAGCATCTCCCCACCAACCCCCAACCATGCGACTCCCCCCCACTCCCCTCCCCTCCCCTATTCATGGAAAAATTGTCTTCCATGAAACCAGTCCCTGGTGCCAAAAAGGTTGGGACCACTGCTCCAACAAGCTGGGAAAGCTGGGGAATGCCAGGAGACACCAGGAGCTAGCAAGAGGCAAGGGAGAATTCGATTCTTCCCTAGAGCCTTCAGAGAGACATGGCCCTGTTGACATCTTGATTTTCAGAGTTCTGGGCTCCAGAATTGCAAGAATATAAATTTCTGTTGTTTTAAGCCACCCAGTTTGTGGTCATTTGTGACAGTATCTCTTGGAAACAAATGGTGTGGGCCCCAGATGGGGTGCTGTTAGTTGGAAGCTTTACAAAGCTACCTGAAGATTGTGCAGATTAGGCTGCTGAAGGAGTAGGAAGAAAGGGAGGCCTTCACCATGGTGCCCAAGAGGGATCCAGCACACTGGCCCATCTTCTCATTGAAATGTTAATGGCTATTGCACTGGAGTTTGAACGGGTTACTTGGCCAGTTTGGTTTCCTTCCTGTTCTCTAAAACAGGTGCTTATTCCTACTTTCCAGACACTACTTGAGCTCTGAGTTGCCCTACATCCAGCCCTCTCACTACAATTCCAAATCCTGCACATGGCTCCTAGCCAGGTGAAGTGCTGCCTCCTAAAACATTTTACAACTCATTTAATTTTCTCTTCTCTGAAACCATTACTCCCTTATTTCACACAGGAAAACACTAACCCCAAGAGAAGTCAAATGGTTTGTCCAAGGTCAGCCAGCTAGGAAGAAGAAGGACCAAATTAGAATCTCAGGTTCTCTTGCCCCCATCAATTTCCATTTCTGTAATGCTACACTGCCACAGCCATCTTTGCATTTCTCTCTCTTATGTAGCAAAAACATACTTTCTTTAGCAGGTTGTTTTCCAGTGACTGGAATAATGATTGAGCTCCTGCTTCTTCCTTGATCAGAGGAGGGGAACTAGATCTATTAGCCCTGCCACATGTCTTTTGTGATACTAAATTATATTTGATTGCTACTGATTTTATTTGCAGCAGCAAAACTGATGCTCTACTGTGCATCTGACTTGTCACTAGTTATGTACAATGTTATTGATTTAGACATTGACCCTAATATTTGCTAGGGCTCCTTTACCCTAATGGTTTCTTTAGATTTATAAATTGATTATTTTGATAGTTTTCGTTGTACTAATAAACTTTTCACATCAAGTGAAAATGCAGTTGCTATAATTTCATTATTAAGCCTATGCCTAGTGGACTGCATTGAATCGGGTGCAGCCTGCGATATCCGATAATATATGGTTATTGAGAAGCTGTGTGCCTGATTTCTGATTTATAATAATTTTATGGTCTGTTATTTGCAGAGTTTATAATGTTCCTGGCAGTTAAACACAAAGCCATAATTTACAAAGGGAAGATTTAGAGTTTCTAACCTTCTCAGTTTTGGAGATGATGGTTGCTGGAGTTACATAAGCTCAGACATTATCGATTCCCATTGAAGCTAAGTCTGCAGTTTATACTTAGGTTTAGGCCCATCAAAGTCAATTACCGGAAGAAGTTACATGTATCGCCAACTATCATTGCTTTTTTCCCTCCATTTTTCTCCAGAAGGGTTTATTGATCATTACTTTGTTTATTATTTATTGGCCTTAATCCTTTGAGTCTCAAAATAAGAGCCTTAGGTGAGTTTTTCCCACCAATATAAAATACCTATTGTCATGCTTCGTTATGCATTGACATTATCTTGTGCGAAAAATGCTTATGGACCATACTTTTGATCTATTTTCCCATTCATTTACTGGTATTCTTTGAGAGAGTTTGTCTATTTTTATACTATTTAAAAGCTGCCTTTATTTGTATAATCTGTACTTGACTCACTCTGTTCAAAATGACAATGAAGTGTTTTATATTACAAACATTTTTGAGTATACAGCATGTGCCATGCCCAGGACTTGCTACCTGACGCTTGATGGAACAGAGATTTAAAAATGTATCCCCTGCCATTGAAGAACTCACAGTCCAGTGACAAAGCAAAATACACAGAAATAATTAAAATTCATTATACATCAGTTAGGAGTAGGTTCCATTGCAAATAATGTGGCTTATTAAATAGAAATTCTCTATTTGTCCAAGGCTGATATGGTGGCTTTACCACCAAAGACCTTAGAAACTCACATTACTTCTAGTTCTACTCCATAATTTCTAGGGTGTATCCCTTTAACTTCATGTCCTAAAAAAGCTGCCAGAGCTCTGGTGATTATAAGTGCATTCCAGGCAGTAGGATGGAGGAAGGACTATGAAGAAAAAAATTTTTGAGACAAAGCCTTGATCTGTTGCCCAGGCTGGAGTGCAGTGGGCAACCATGGCTCACTGCAGCCTCACTCAACCTCTCAGGCTCAAGCAATCCTCCCACCTCAGCCTCCTTCCAGAGTAACTGGGACTACAGGCACAGCTAGTTCTTCTATTTTGTAGAGATGGAGGTCTTGCTATGTTACCAGGACTGGTCTCAAACTCCTGGACTCAAGCGATCCTCCTGCCTGGGCCTCCCAAAGTGCTGGGATTATAGGTGTGAGCTACTGCATTCAGTCAGGACTATGAAGAAATATGAAAGGATATGCATGAGCTGTCTTGTAAGATTCTTAGAAGCTGCTGGTCAATGCATGTGCTTATATCTCATTGGCCAGAATTTATTCTTATGGCTACACTTACAAAATATAGTCTTTCTAATGGGTAGCCACTGGCTCAGATGAAAATTAGGGATTCCATTTCTATTAAGGTGAAAAATAGACAATAAGAAACAACCACTAGGTTGAAGTATTAATATATGAAATTACTAATATCTGATTTTTTTCATCTTCAAAGAGTTAGTTTCACATACTTCACTCTAAGAGTGGTCTTGGTCCCATAGTGCAGCACAAATTATAACTCAGAATTGTGCATGCAGAGCAGACTAGTGAGCAAGCACTAACTGCTGAAAGGTCTGAGGAGGTCTAGTGAGGATGCTTGGGTTGATTTTGAAGGATGAGTTCCATTCACTAGACAGAAAGAGGAGGGGTGTGGACTCCAGGCAGGGGGACAGTTTTCTTGAATCATAGATTGTAGCTGTGTTATCACTGATAAGCATTTGGATGCCTGGGGTGTAGGTGCCTGGTAGGAGTGGTTGGAAAGATTTATAGGACCAACCTGGAGGCTTTTAGATGTCATGCCATGGGGCTGGGACTTGTCCTGGAATCAATAGGGATGTCACAAAGTTAGGCTTATTTTTAGAAAGATAATTCTTAAGGGGATAATAAATGAAATCTACATTTTCACTTTTTAAAAAACTTTCTAAAAGGGTCTTTTTAAATATTTGCAAGTGGTACATCTGTCTACAAAGGCAGGTTGCCATTGCTGGTTTTATTTTAAGCCTATTACTCTATACCATTTTAGTGAAGGACAAATACCCAAAGAGGGATGGTCACCATCTCTGTTCTTCCACTCAAACGTGAAATCCAGCCTGGCAAGAGGGATCATCTGCCCACGAAACACCTTGGGCCAACAAGGGCAATTCTTGTCAGGGAAATCCTTAAGTCAGAGAGAACACTGTCAGAAAGCCAAGCTTCCTGCTGTTTGAGGAAGACAGCTGAGCCTGTAAGGAGACTGACAGTGTCTCTGAGTAAGAGCCTCACACTACCTAGAGCAATGCAAAACTCAACGTGGCCAACTCCATCTGGTCATTTAGATTTCAGCTTAAATGGTAACTCTTAAGTCACTGGCTCTCCTGTCACCATATTTAGCTTCTCTGCATGCTTTCTGCCCTCCCGCCGCTCCATTTATTTATCTGCATGGCAAGCAACCGTCCTCCTTTCCCCTCAAGAATGGAAACTCCATGCAAGCCGGGCATCAGCTGCCTTGTCTTGAGCTGTATGTGAAGCCCCCCAGAATAATGCCAGGCTCATAGTAACCATAGCAGCATACCCAAACTCTGCAGCTTTCTTCCTGCCATTTTGCTAATCAATCCTGCTCATTGACTGGAGATTTTGCTGAGTCAGAATCCTCCACACTAACTAATCTTGCCATCAGTCTGCAGGAATTCTGTGACTGTGCAGACAGACTGTCAGTATCTTGACCACTCGTTTCTTTACCTCTTCATCTCTACTTCATTTTCCACTTGTTAGCTCCTGAAGCTGCTCTGCCACAAAAACCATTCTTCTAGTACAGTTACCTTCTATTCTTCCTCTCCCCATCATCTCTCTCCCTCTTCACTTCCCCACCTTTTCAGCTTATACTCTCTTGTCAGCAATTTCAGTTGCCTTCTTCCCAATATCCTAACCAATTTCTACTCATCAATCCAACTAGAAAATGATGCGGTGGGGGTGGGATGAGTCTAAATTTCCATCTGATTTGCATCTGTATAAGATATTGAGTGATGCTAGAGAACGTCTCACAACCACGTGTATCAGACCACAAGAAATTCATGCTCACAACTTCAACTGTGCACAGCATGATAACACAAGTCTACCACGTTCTTTAGTCAGTGTCTCTGTCGCAGGCTAGACCACACCTTCCTCATTGATTGTGGCAGCATGGGTCTGCCTGAGTTCACTGTGATTCCTACAGTCCATTTTCCAGGTTGTAGTTACCTTCCTGAAATACAAATATGTCTTACTTAAAACTCTTCAGTAGCTTTCCAATGTGATTAAAATCTGACATCCTTAGTCTGGTTCTTACAAGTTCTTCCATGATCTTGTGCCTGACTCTTCTATTCTATGATCTCATGTCACTCTTTTTTTCATTCCTATCTGTGCTTTAAGTGGTACTGTATTTTTTTTTTTAACTTTCTTGAAACTGAACCTCATACAGTTTCAGATCTGAGATGTATGTGCTCTGCGTCTTTCTGCCCAGAGTGCTCTCTCAGCCAGCTCTCCACCTCTTAACTCAGCCAACTCCTTCTCACCCTCAAGTCTTCACTTTAAAGTCCCTTCCTTAGGAGGGCATTTTCTGAACCTTCAAGGACCTCACTGATAGGCTCACACTGCAACATTTACCCCCTTAGTTATGGTTATCACTTTTTTCATTGTTTATTTAATCTCCAGCTTATCACTCTAAGCGTTCAAGTGCCCTTTATGGTTTCTCTCTGCTGTCTCTCTCAGACCTAGCAGAGTAGCAGCACACAGCTGGAAGTGAACTGAAGGAGTAAAAGCTGCTCACTGGGGACTGGCACGACCTCAAGGTCCAAATTTCAGAACCACATGATTTCCCTCAAAAATCCATTGATAGAACTGCCTCAGTGCCTGCTACTTCTATTTTGGTTCATGGATGCCATTCCTCTTTGTTATGAGAATTTGGGGTGAGGGAACAGGAACATAAATAAGCAGGAGAGTCATAGGTACAAGGAATGCTCCAGATGACTCTTCAGCCTGTGACCATTTGACTACCATGAATCACACGGATTGCACTGGCACAGAGCTCTCATTCCTGAAGGTTTGACAGCAACTTCAAGCCCAATAAATGACATCCTTACAATAAAAAGCAACATTCTATAAAAAGGGTGAAGAGTTAATATCCTCATGGATTTAAACCAGAGGTCTAGTACAGATATAGAACTTGAGTGATTCACAGGCCTTATGTATTTTTAATATCTGAGACCACAGGAAATGTGTCCAGGAGAATGCTGCTAATGATACCATAATACGTGTCCACAGGTTTCTTACAGAGCTGTTGTCATTTTAACCCCATGACATAAAGTACAAATGACCTAATTGCCAAAGCAGAAATGTTTACCTAATCAGGATTCAGTGTGTTTCGGAAAAGAGAGAGAATAAGCTAAAGCTGTTACTTTACTTGTGCACTTACAAGATGATGCTGATATGGTTTGGATTTGTGTCCCTGCCCAATTCTCATTTTTGAATTGCAATCCCCAATATTGCAAGAGGAGCCCGGTGGGAGGTGATTTTATCAAGGGGGCGGATTTCCCCTTTGCTGTTCTCGTGATAGTGAGTGAATTCTCATGAGATCTGGTTGTTTAAAAGTCTGCGGCACCTTTCCCTTTGCTCTCTTCCTCCTGCTCCAGTCATGTAGGAGGTGCCTGCTTCCCCTTCACCTTTGCCATGATTTTAAGTTTCCTGAGGCCTCCCCAGCCATGCTTCCTGTACAGCCTGTGGAACTGTGAGCCAATTAAACCTCTTTTCTTTATAAATTACCCAGTCTCAGGCAGCTTTATTAGAGCAATACGAGAAGGAACTAATACAGATGCCAACCGGTTTTTCCAAGAAACTCTGTAACTTAACTAGTGTGTTCTCAGCACCTGAGTGAAGGGACATAGAAGCCCAGGCTGTTGAGAAGCCCTTCTTTCCCCTGGGAAGGAAAGGCCACTGCAAGTCTAATTTTTGCTTCTCTGGCAATGATAGTCTGGAGACACAGCTCTTCAGTTCCAAGAACCCAGTTTCTATTGTCGGTGGGAAACGTAATCACAGGGGGAGAAAGGAAGGTGTTCCCGATGTCAGCGAGCAAGAGCTGGGAAAGGAAGAGATGAATGGGAACAGACATAGGAGTTTGCCTGTGAGGACAATTACCTGAGTTGTGAGCAGTGACGACCGAATGAAAGGAAACCCACTGTAATTAAATAGGGTGGCAGTACGAGGAGCTGGGCCAACAGTTTCACACATCAGCTTTGATAGCTTATTTAGGAGGGGAGGGAATGTTCAAGGGGGAACAATCAGGGCTTATTGCATAAATGAATGAATGAAAGTTCCTAGTAGCCTGGTCATCACTCAAGGAGTGGCTGCACGCTCTGGAATGTCAACACTATAATGCCTCAATTTGCCTAGAAGAAAATTTAAATAAATAGATTTTCTATACAATCTTTTCTCCTCTATTGTTCCTTTCTGAAATTTGGTAGTTTAAAATGTACATCTACGTTATGGCTGTGTTTGTACTGAACATCTGAACCAGACTTAGTCCAGCCAAACTGTTCACTCTTGCTCTCGTCACGATCAATACCAGTCAAATCAATCTTGCAGCAATCTGCACCAATCACAGGAATGACCAAAATGAGACCAGCCAAGCTGCCATCCAATTTCATGCCAAGGGACAGAGTCTTGGTGTCATTTGTAGTTGCAATTAAATCTGGCATAAAACATATTTAGCATTCCATCTTGTTCAACAGCTAAGTACCACTTATTTCAACATAGCTTCATCAGAATATAAGCATAGAAAGATTAACCCTTTAGCACAAACAGGGGAAAACACCGGGCCAGTACAGATTGCTGCTTCAAGTACTTTCGGTCTCACTGGTCAGAGACTAACTCAAATTCTGTCACCTGCTATGCAGAAATCTCCATGAGTGCTTTAAAAGGGTAGGCTATCTCCCACTTATTAATATTTAATGGCTTTGGGAAATCGTGGGTTATCTTACTCCCCTAGAAGGAATTATATATTTTGAGTGTTGTAAATATCTGTAGGCTTTAAGCTGCTCTGTGCTATGTAAACAAATGGCCTTGGTCATCATTTATTCCTGAAGTTATGAACCATGATGCATTTTACTGGCAGCATTTAGTTCTCATTACCATGCCTGGGCAAGTCTGCAGTTTCTGCTCTCATGGATAAGAGCGGCTTTATCTTTTTTTTCTTTTTGTTTAAGGCAGCGTCTCACTCCATCGTCCAGGCTGGAGTGCAGTGGCACGATCATGGCTCACCTCAGCCTCGACCTCCCAGGCTCAAGCAATCCTCCCAACCTCAGTCTCCTCAGTAGCTGGGAACACAGGTGTGCACCACCACACCTGACTAATTTTGTTTTATTTTTCACAGAGACACTCTCACTATGTTGCCCGGGCTGGTCCTGTACTCCTGGGCTCAAGTGGTCCTCCTTGCACTGCCATCAGTGCTCCCCAGCAGCTCCTTCCCTGAAGGAAAATCTGTGCTGCACTCACCAGCATGCTGAAGTAGCTGCTGCCAGTTGCTCTCAAGTTTGCCTTTGCCCACTGCCCAATCTAAAAGAAAAAGGGGCAGAAAGCTGTTATAGACTCAACTGTGCCCCCACAAATCCATAGGCTGAAGTCCTAACCCTCAATGTGACTGTATTTGGAAATAAGGCCTTTAAAGAGGTAATTAAGGTAAAAAGAGGTCATTGGTGTGGGACCCTGACCCAATAAGACTGGTGTGTGTCCTTTTGTAAGAAAAGGAAAGGACACCAGGAGCTATCATGCATGGAGAAAAGGCTACATGAAGACACAGTGAGAAGGCTGCAGGTGGGAAGAAAGGTTGCATCAGAACCTGAGCCTGCTGGCATCCTGATCTCTAACTTCCAGCCTCCAGAGCTGTGAGGTAATGCATTTCTGTTGCTGAAGCCCTCATCTGCAGTGTTTTGTTATGGCAGCCGGGGCTCACTTGTGCAGAGGTGGACGTGCCACTCACTCCCGTGGCCAGTGCATGACCATTCTGCTCCACTTTCCCCAGATCACCATCCTGGGGCTTATTTGTCCTTCTGGAATTATTACACCAGAGACTATCGCAAACGTAGTATAATGACTGGCTGGCACATGCAAATAACTTTGTATTATGATAAAATATACATAACATAAAATGTACCATTTTAGCTATTTTGGACTGCATAGTTCAGTGGCATTAAGCACTTTCATCTTGTCATACTACCATCACCGCCATCTATCTCCAAAACTCTTTCATCTTCCCAAACTAAAACTCTGAATCCCCTGAACAATAACTCCACATTCTCCCCTCACCCCAGTTCCTAGTCACCATTATTCTACTTTCTGTCCCTATTAAGTTGACCACTCAAGGGACTTCCTATACATGAAACTCTATATATTTGTCTTTTTGTGTCTAGGTTATTTTACTTGGCATAATGTCTTCAAATTCCATTCATGTTGTGATATGTATTAGAATTTCCTCCCTTTTTGAGCTTGAATAATATTCCTGTGTGTGTGTGTGTGTGTGTGTGTGTGTGTGTGTGTGTGTAATTTTGTTTGTCCACTCAGTGAGTCACTTTATATGTTATATTAATCCATTCTCATGCTGCTATAAAGAACTGCCCAAGACTGGGCAATTTATAAAGGGAAGAGGTTTAATTGACTCAGTTTCGCATGGCTGGGGAGGTCTCAAAAAACCTACAATCATGGCAGAAGGGGAAGCAAACATGTCCTTCTTCACATGATGGCAGGAAAGAGAAGTGACAAGCAAAGAGGGAAAAGCCCCTTATAAAACCATCAGATTTTGTGAGAACTCACTATCATGAGAATAGCAGCAGGGGGGTAACTGCCCCAATGATTCAATTACTTCCCACCGAGTTCCTCCCACTACATAAAGGGATTATGGGAACTGCAATTCAAGATGAGATTCAGGTGGGGACACAGCCAAACCATATCATTTGTTAACTTCTTTCTGTTACTTAGGTAACTTCTTTTTCTTGTTCTTGAAATCCTTCATCATCTATCACAGTGGTTCTCAATCCCAGGGTGATTCTGCACAATTCTCACCCAACCCCCAGCACATTTGGGAACCTCTGAAGACAATTTTACTCTCACAACTGGGGGGTGCCACTGACATCTAGTAGGGAGAGCCCAGGGATGCGGCTAAACACCCTGCAATGCACAGGACAGCCCTACAGCAGAAAATTATCCAGCCCAAAGTGTCAATCACCCAAGGTTGAGAAATCTTGATCTATAATGTCCGTATTTAACATGGGATTGGCCCATTTTAAAATGGTGGCTCACGCCTGTAATCTCAGCATTTTGAAAGGCCAACATGTGGAACACTTGAGTCAGGAGTTCAAGACCAGCCTGGCCAACATGGTGAAACCCCGTCTCTACAAAAAAAATACAAAAATTAGCCAGGAGTGGTTAAT
The DNA here is from genome assembly GCF_000001405.40 of Homo sapiens. NCBI lineage: Eukaryota > Metazoa > Chordata > Mammalia > Primates > Hominidae > Homo > Homo sapiens. The sequence continues at coordinate 109,632,778 of NC_000013.11, forward strand.
CCCAGCTACTTGGGAGGCTGAGGCACGAGAATTGCTTGAACCTGGGAGGCGGAGGTTGCAGTGAGCTGAGATCATGCCACTGCACTCCAGCCTGGGCAACAGAGTGAGGCTCAGTCTCAAAAAAAAAAAAAAGTCTCAAAAACAAAAAACAAAACAAAACAAAAAAACAGGATCATTTAGTGCTTTAGGGCTGCGACCTAAGTGTTTCTTTACTTCATTATTCCACAGACCCTTCCAAATACTCCACACCAACCAAGAAACCGCACATCCACCATCTGAACCAACTCAATTTCCCCTTCCTCCTTGCCCCCTTACCTTCTGCCACACAGGAGATCTTCTACTCTGTGTCTTCTTTGTCTTCCTATCACCTAAGTGCACCTTACTCTCTAGCCCCAAGTTGATAACCTTGCACTTCCAAGTGTGTCCAGATTCGTCTGAATAGTCACTTCTTTAACCTTTACAAACCATGGCTTCCTTCCCTCTGAACTGCAGTCATGTCTGCAAGGGCAGCGTCAAACTTTGTGTGATCTTTATTGTTATATATTTTATCTCGGCTGCTGGACTCAGCTTGTTTTTCTACAAAGCTGCTTGACCCCACTCTGAATATATATTCTCTAGGATTAATTGACCTTTACTGCTTTACCGCTTTAATTTTGTCACTAAGCCATCAATGAGCTCACTGCCCCATCCGCATAGAAGCCAGTACCATGGCACTAGCTTTTCAGAAAAGAAAACTTTATTGTGAGTTGACTGGTAAGGAGACTTGAGGAAAGGCTCAAATCTGTCTCCAGAGCTGGAGGATGTGTTGGGTTTTACAGGCATAGGATAATGACATATGATCTAATTGGATATTCAAATGAGGTGATGCCAGGAGGCATGATCTGACTGGATCCTGCCATGTGGTGACACCAGGGTTTGATCTGATTGGATGCTGGATCCTGCCACGCTGTGTCCACTTCTAAATTCTGTCCCTTCTCCTCAGTCTGAACGCTTAGGTTCTGCCCATGCTTGCCAGCTTGGGTCATCTGGGCATGCTCAGTTTCCATGACCTTCAACCTGGGGTTCTATGGCAGCTAAAAAACAACTCACAACTTTGTTACATAAACGTCGAGCCAGATTGGTCGGGTGCAGCTGCAGTTTCCTTAATATTTTGCTCTCATTTACAAAGCAGAAGTGGAGAGACAAAAGAATTGCACTCCTTTTTCCTCTCTAAATAACCATATTCTTTAGCTCTTGTCTTTTCAGTCTTCATGATTTCAGTGACTTATTTTTTGGCCAGTATACACACACCCAGAACAATAGCCCTGTTTATCTCATCCTCATTCCTGTCATTGACAAAGTTCTGTATCATTCCTATTTATTTATACCAAAATCTAGGTGGCAAACATGGAGAGGTATTTACAAGTATTGCCTTCCTGGCTAGCTTGGCCTGGCTTCTGTTTCCGCCACTAGAGACAGCCTGCACCAATGATCATCAGTGAATTTCTCACTTCCAAAACCTGTGTTTATTTCATATTCACAATAACCCCTCAGAACTTGACACAGCTAAACTATTTTAAAATGTTGAGCTATTTACTTTACTTTCGTGGCCCTAAATTACCTTGGTTCAATTTGCTTCTCGCTTCTGTATCGCTTCATTGGCTTTCCTCCTGCTTCCTCCCTCTAACAACTTCTTAAATATTAACATTTTTCCAAGCAAATTCATTTACATTTACTGGTTTGTTCTCATACTTTCTTCACTAGAAAAATTATCCGCAAGCCAGCTTCTTACTTGAAGATATTGAAAAAAATTTCCATTTTTACTTTATTGTGACTTAAATTTAATCCATCCAAGCCAAGTTGACCATCCCTTCCATCAAAAGATGACCATCCCTTCCATCAAAAGATGACCATCCTTTCCATCCAGAAGTGACCATACCTTCTACCCCAAGGTGACCAGCCATTCCATCCCAAGATGACCATCTCTTCCATCCCAAGGTGACCGTCCCTTCCATCCCAAGATGACCATCCCTTCCATCCAAAAATGACCATCCCTTCCATCCAAAAGTGACCATCCCTTCCATCCAAAGATGACCATCCCTTCCATCCCTAGATGACCATCTCTTCCATCCCAAGATGACCATCTCTTCCATCCCAAGGTGACCACTTACTCCATCCCAAGGTGTCCATCCCTTCCATCCAAAGATGACCGTCCCTTCCAACCCAACGTGACCATCCCCTCCAACCCAACCCAAGGTGACTATCCCTTTCATCCCAATATGACTACCACTTCCATCCCAAGGTGACCATCCTCCTTTCGTCCCAAGATGACTATCCCTTCCATCTCAAGGTGACTGTCCCTTTCATCCCAAGGTGAGTATCCCTGTCACCAAGGTGACCCTCCCTTCCATCCCAATATGACTATGTCTTCCATCCCAAGGTATCCACTCATTCCATCCCAAGGTCACCATCCTTTCCATCCCAAGGTGGCCATCCCTTCCATCCATTTCCCTATTTTGGTTAATGGCACTAGCATTCTGTCCATCTCCCATCCTACAAACTCTTCCATTATCTTTACATTACTTAGAGCTAGGAAATAACCAAACCTTGTCTATTATCTTTAATTTTTTTATACCTCTTATATCCATCAATATTTTTCAACTTCAGCACTACCTCCATAACCCAGATCTTTTTACCTCACAAGACTTTTAAACCCTCTTAACTAGTTTCCTTGCTTCCATTTTTTCTTCTGCTAGTATATTTTGCACCATGTTGTACATTTAATACTTATAACACATTGCTTTACATATCATATTCCTTGCCACTGGTTAGTTAACTAAAAGATGGCTTGGATGGGGGAAGAGCTAAGCCAAGATTCCAGGTGGAAACAGAGTACTCACTAAACCTAAGCATTTAGCTACAGAACTATGATTAAGATTCTACTTTTCTAGCAATAGGCACTTGGAAATATGAGTCTGAGAAGTTGAGTAGCAACGGGAAAACTGTCTCAAGGTGTGTGAAGTGTACATGCCTCGCAAATAAAAACCAGGAGCTGTCCACGACAGTTAGCATAGCAGGGACAGGGAACTGGCTGTGTCTATACCATTGGAAACTGGCAGGTTCGAGCAGATGGGCAGGAATTTTAGAGATACCGAAGCAGACACTGAGGGTTGCATTATGGGTGCTATAGGACATGTTGGCAGCAAGCCTAAACTCTGCAGAGTGTGAGCTATGTGGAGAGTGACCTAGAAAGCGTGAAGTACAATACAGTGTGGGGGTTAGTTTCCCAGCCTCAGAGCAGGACCTGGAACAAGGCTGGATGATGAACAAATGCTCTACAGAATCAGGACATCCTTCAATCGCCCTGCCTGAAGCTAGGCTGGGTAGAGCTGACTCCAGATGTGTACACCCAACTGTCATAATTAGACAGTCATCATTATCTAGAAAGAAGTGGAAAACCAACATGTATTCAAAACCCATCAACATTGACTCCTTTTCTATAGGATAACATCCAAATTCCCTAGCATTTCAAAAGGGACACCTTAGAATATAAACTTGTTTATCTTTTAAATCGAGGATCCCAATTTATCTCTTAGATAAAACATAGATTCTCTATTTTACCTTACTTCCTGAGCCCCCAAATACACATTTTAACCTCCTTATAATCCATATGATCGCTCAGAAATATCTCAATGCAACCCACTGTTAAAAATCAATTTCTACACCTCTTCCCCAGTGAGATTTTTCTTGATCAAACATTGCCCATTATATCTCTCTCATCTGGACTCCCATGGCAGCTATTGTCTAAATAATTTATTTCTCCGTTAATCATGGATCTACTGCATTAAGATAATTGTCTGCCCGTTGTCTTGAACTTATCTTTAACTTCTCATGTGATTATGTCTCCGTTCTCCAATCAGAATCGCAGCTCCTTGAGACCAGATCTTATTTTTGCCTTTGTATCTCCTACAGCTCTTAAAATGGGTTGTTTAAATAATAGATAACTGCTAAATATTTGTGACTCTAATTTAATTGTTACTATCTCCTTTAAGATACTAAGGCCCAAGGATGATGAGGTTTTTTCTGCGTTCATGGTTTACTCGTACATTTTGTCAGCGTTACTCTAATTTCCATTCCTCTTCTGATAAAAAGTGTTTGCCATAGTAACAGACTTTCCTGGGGATGCTCAATCCTTAGTAATAAGCACAGATGCAGATTTCTTGGCCAAAGTTAAAATGCACACACTGACAATTTAAAAGGCAATATGTTGGGAAAATATACCAAAAGATTATTTTTCTTTGTTTTTCCTCTGAGCCTTTATTTAAAGGTCTTTTCCAAAAGATAAATATTGTCACTCATTTATTGTGTATTTCAAATTGCTTGAGGTTTTATGGTTTTGCTTTTCATGTTTTTTTACACAAGTCCAAGAGCTTTGAACACTGAGTCTACTAGGTCTGGCGAGAATACCCTGCAGCTTGATATAAATTCTTTTTTGCTTTCTTCAAGATGAGAAATCTGTGGTAGAATAGCACTCAGGGAGAAAGGGAATTGTAGACAGAAGACAGATTAAGGCTACATTTTTTTAAATAAACCATTGAGTTGGCATTAGAGTAGCCTCATTTTGCCTCTGCTCCCTCAACTCTCAGGGGACTTAATAATTGTCACCTAGTGTATTTGTCTAGGTAAGCCAGGTGTCAATCACACAGCTCCTCGGAAGAGAGTTTAAGAAGGTGACCCAGATCTCTGGTGACCTATCTTCCCTGAAATCCCTCTTCTTGTGCAGGAGCTTGTGTTCCTCTAGACAGCATGGGGTCCTATTGATTCCTCTGCCTGACTCACTCTCCACAGTGGGCAAAAGGACCGGCTTCAGCAGCACCGGAGGTAGCACATCTCATCAAAGTGGTTGTGCTTTCACCAACATTACAAGGTCAGACAAGCTAAGTAGCTATGATTGTTCCCCAAGAAAGTGTGACTTCCAAAGTCTAAGCTTCCTGGAGGGACTTAATTATAAAAGGCAGCCCATGTTCCTTTTGGCTTTGAAAATAAGCTGAGCTCCTTGCTGGTAGAGAAAAACAAGAACATATTGACAGATTGATTTCTTGTCGTGCACTGATTTCCATCATAAGCAAAAAGTCTGTGCTGTTCAGAAGCAGAAGAAACAGAGGGTACCAATTTGCCATATTTCATTTTTGTGTTTCCAGTGCTCGCGTCACATTCGAAAAGGAGGCTCAGGCTGACCAAGGTTGAAGACAGATGGCTAGAGTCACACATTATTCTTTTGTTTCACTACTTTTCACACTGCCCACCACCTATTTTTTTTCAATCTCTTTATATTGTTTAATTGATTTGAATTTCCTTTCTCCACCAATCTTTCCATTTTTCTTAGTTTCACTGAATTGGCAAACTCTTAAGAGTTTGCAAGTTTGGAATTTCATTTGTCCAAATGAGCTACTCTTTGGGAGAAATGAAGGCCAAGTTAGGTGATGCAGAAACAAGCAGTTTTTCATTAGTGATATTAGTCCCTTTCCTGCATCTGCCCTGCCCCCACACCACGGATTATCTCTTATATCAGGCATTTTCACAACTGATTATATGGTCTGTACAATGAATTCAAACTGTGCAACAGGTTGTCACAGACACCAAAACAATGTTTTGGTTTGTTTTGATGCAGTTGTTTTGCTTATGCAATTGCCTTCAGGCCTAACACTTCAGAGCACTCTATTTACACTAATGTTTACATAAGTCAAATTCGACATAAATGAATCTGAATCAGCTCTTCTAGGTCAGAAAATGAGAAGACCCCTAATTTTCTGATATTTTTAGAAATTTCTCTCTACGTGGAAAATGACTGCCTAAAGAGGACAATTGCTGATATGGGTTGGCTGTGTCCCCACCCAAATCTCATCTTGAATCGTAGCTCCCATAATCCCCAAGTGTTGTAGGAGGGACCCAGTTGGAGGTAACTGAATCATGGGGGTGGTTACTCCCATGCTGTTCTCATGATAATGAGTGAATTTTCATGAAATATGACGGTTCTGTAAAGGGTTTTCCCCCTCTGTGCTCAGCACTTCTCCTTCCTGCCACCATGTGAAGAAGGACATGTTTGCTTCCTCCTCCACCATGATTGTAAGTCTCTTGAGGTCTTCCCAGCCATGCTGAATTGTGAGTCAATTAAACCTCTTTCCTTTATAAATTACCCAGTCTTGGATATGTCTTTATTAGCAGTGTGAGAACAGACTCATACAATTGGCCTGGTGAAACCCCTGAGTCATGATACACAAAATGCAAATTGGTGTCTGGCAACTTAAAGAATGTTTTAGCACTTAAATGTTCCTGTTTTTGAAAAAAGTAACATTTATCAAAGACATTAAAAATAATTATAAATGTAGCATTGTTTGTTTGACTTAATTTTATGTGATTATTATGTTTCTGGAGAAAATCAATTTATTAGAAACTATAAATTTTCCTTATTGCCTCCACATGAAAGAATCTTGATTGTGACAAGAGAGTGGAGACACATTTGCAAATATCGTGAGGGTTCTAGAAGGGTGTTTCTGGTGATGACATCCTCTGCTAAAATCCTGGCTTGCAAAGGAAAGCAGCCAGGTGTGAGGCAGCCCATACACAAAGGGGCACAAGCATGAAAAGGGAGACAGATCTTTTTTGTTAAGTCAGGCCATAAGCTGAAGTTAACATTTTCGAGACTGAAGTCACCACAGTTTCCTGCCACCACTGAAGGCCTGCCTTGCTAGAGGAGGGCCTGCCTTGCTAGACGAGGGCCTGCCTTGCAACTGGGCCTGGGCTAATGTCTGTTTTGTTTTGTTTTGTTTATGGAGATGGTGTCTCGCTCTGTCGCCCAGGCTGGAGTGCAGTGGTGTGATCTCGGCTCACTCCAACCTCTGCCTCCCGGGTTCAAGCGATTCTCCAGCCTCAGCCTCCTGAGTAGCTGGGATTACAGACGCCCACCACCATGCTTGGCTAATTTTTTTTTTCTTTTTGTATTTTTAGTAGAGACGGGGTTTCGCCATGTTGGCCAGGCTGGTCTCGAACTCCTGACCTCAAGTGATCCACCCACCTCAGCCTCCCAAAGTGCTGGGATTACAGGTGTGAGCCACCACACCCCACTGGGCCTGGGCTAATGTCTTGGGGCAGCATCACATGTTTGTCTTCCCCCAGGTTGAGAATAAGAAAGATGCTTCCCAGCCTTGAACACCAAATACAACATGCACAATAAACAAGTCAGGGCAAAGAGGAAAGTTACTTTCTTCGGTACACTAAAAAAAGGGTGGGGGGAAGGGGGAATTAGTGCAATTGGAAATTGAGAAGTGAGTGGGATAGAAAAGGGAACACTCTCTATGCGGACATTTATAGGCATCTGAAAATCAACAAGGCTAACGCAGAACACTTAACCATCTTCCTCCAGTCTTGTTTCACCCCTGTCTCTACCAGCTTGGTTCACGGCACCGTTGTCTGCTCGGTACCTAGAGCCAGAAGCACAGGAATCATCCTTCTTGCCTCCTTCACCATCACCCTCACACCCAGCCCATCCCCAGCCATCTGTCCATCTCCCACCATGACCACCTTTGTCTGTGACTCCACCAGCTCTCCCCAGAATCGCCAGCTGCCCTGGTTCACTGCTGCCCCCGACAGCTCATCATTCCCATGACAGGTACATCTACCCCACCTACAAGCTCTGTCTCACAGCTGCAGTCACCCCCACCATCCCCACCACCCCATGCACGATAGAGCACCATCACTGCCTTGTCTGGGCAGAGGCCTGCCAGCCTCCTCGTTGCTTTTTTACCCTGTTTATAGTACTTTGCCGCTCAGCAGCAAATGGCCTTCTTAAAATAAAAATCAGATCATAGGACCACATTATTTGAAAATCCTTACCTGATTTCTCTTTGCCTGCAGAACAAAATCCAAACTTTTCCCATAGCCTACAGGGTCAGCCCTGACTGAGCTCCTACTGTTTAGCTCCTGCATCTTTTCCTGGGACTGACACATAGCACCACAGGCTTGGTGGCTTAAACAACAGAAATGTGTCCTCCCACAGTTCTGAAAGCTGGAAGTCTAAAACCAATGAGTTTTCAGGGCCATGCTCCCACTGCAGGCTCAAGGGAGGACCCTTACTTGCCTCTTGCAGCCTCCACTGTTGCCAGAAGATGTGGCGTCCCTTGGCTTGCACGTGCATTGCTACAATGTCTGCCTTCCTCTTCTTCCTCTTGTGCCCAATTTCCCTCTTCTCATAAAAACACACTCACTGGATTAGGGCTCACTTTAGTCCACCTCTTTTAACTTCATGGCATCAGCAGATACCCTATTTCCAAACAAGATCTCATTCACATGTTCAGGATGGGTGAATTTCTACAAGGACACTATTCTACCCAGCACAACTATCCAGCCTCAGAGCTCATATTTGCACCTTCTCTGCCATATTCAGCCACATTGGGCTCTGCTTAGCTCCTGCTGTGGTCTTTGCCCCTCAGGATATCCCATAGGCCCCAGGCTTGGGATGTTCTCCCCATCCACAACTCGTGTCTGGTTGCTTCTCATTGTTCGAATTTCAACTTAAGTGTCACTACTCCAGAGAAGATTTCCTGCTCACCTACTTAGGATAGGACATTCTATTTTTTTAACTGACATTTTACTTGTTATTTCCTCTCCTTTTTCCAGCTGGAGTATAATCTCCTTGGAGGCAGTTATTTGTCTGTGGTGTTCACTGTATTATCTCAGTGCATGGCCCAGCAGGTGCAGCTCTCCTTTGATTAGTTTTGGGATCAATCAATGGTTAGGTAATTGACCAAACATCTTTGTGTCCTGGTTAACCCATTCCTGGAAGACAGAGAGGTGCAGACTGCAACATTTGCATATGGACTCCATTTCAGCAATGTATATGTGGCTTAGTATCACCAGTGCACTCTTCCTCTGCATCAGTGTCCCTCAGCTGCTTTCATTATCACCTTCTTAAGGAGCCTTTTAAGACATTTTTTCTTAACCCTCCTCATGAAATTTTAATATCATAGATATATGGTATATCTGTGTGTGTGCTATGGTCACTTGAAGGCCCACAAACTACTGCACAATCTAAGGGTTTTCTTGCCAGCCAAGCATCAACTTTTGCCTCCTGGGGATAATAGCACACCTTTGAAGAATGCATGATCTACATAATCAATGATTTCTCCATTCTGTGTTTAGGAAAGGTGCATGGGGATCAACTATATCTTTTGAAATTCTGTCTTCTATTTCCAACTGAATAGTTCTTAATATACAATCATCCTGATCTTAAAATTTGGTGAGATGTGTGTGTACTTTCCTATGGATAGAAATGTCAACATCTTCCCTTGGAGGATGGAAGAGTTTCGAAATGTATTACTGGCTGAGCGTATCTTCCCTGTCTCTGACTTTGGTTGGGGATTGAACAAAAGAGATAAGAAGGAGAGGAACAGGCAAGTATGTTGTTGAGCCTATACCAAGTGACAAGTACCATATTAGTCACTTTGCATCATGAATCAGAAAAGAAAATTCACTATGTAATACCATGATAAAGAATATTTAAATATCTTAGGTGTTAAGAATTAATAAATAAAATACATATTAATTTTTTAATGCCAAGCCTCACAGTATCTCACCACCCCTCAACAAGGGAGGCTTCCTGGCCTTTTTGCAGAAGGAAGCAGACCCCACTTAGTTTGTTTCCATGAAGCAGTCAGCCCGGCCAGGAACAGAGTATATTCCCTGCCGATGCACACTTGTGTCTGTCCTCGGTTGATGCCTCTGCTCTCTGTGTTTGTGACTGAAGTTTGAGCGTGGGCCAGATGCCAGGCCAGCAGATGGCCGAAACGATAAGCATATGTCCAGTAGCAGGTATGTGCAGCTCATTTGATCATTAATCAAAAACTGTCCCTTGCAGGTCACAGGCGTGATTCTTACAGCTTATCCTCACGTGAGGGGTAAGGGCTGTGCCATCTTAACCTGTGCTGAGCACTGGCTTAACCCTGCAAAGGTTCAGAACAAAAACTCCTTCCAGCTGCAACTCTTGTGGCTCTGACAGATCGAGGTTGGATGAAGGGGCTCATCATGGTTTCCCTTCCTGAGAGCACTCTTCCAGCAAAAGTCTGTGGATAGCAGTGGATTCCGTGATCTACCCTATCTCCTGGCAATTGCTGCTACTCTCCATGGTGAAAGACCCATAGGCTGTGCAGGGTGGTAACCGCCCACACGTGTGTTCCTTTAAGAAACCTAGGGGCCCTCCTGGGATGCTGCAGCCCAATCGCATGAGGCTGGCCTGTCATTACAGGTTCTCACCATCTGCAGTTTGTGTGTTTGGAATCTTCTCTCACTATGAGACATAAACCGGCCAAAATGGCAGATTCACTTCTCATATTGGTACTGCTCATTCCAGATGCATTTAAACTCTTTTAAGTTGATTCAGACAAGAATGACCAGGTCCCCACCCACGAGACCCCTGTAGCACTAGGCCTTCCTCATTCACTGATGAAAGCAAACCCAACCAATAAGGCAGCCCCCATCCTGATGCTTGGTCAAGAGAAAGAAGACAGGAACCTGGAATGACAGCTCACAGACCCTCCCACAGGCTGCAATGACCTTCAGCAATGTTGGAACCCGCTTTCTATTTCCAGCACCAACCACAGAGCTGCACATCTGGGAGCTGTTCAATAAACACTTGCTGAGTAAATGAATGAAGGAAACTCTCACAACCTCCCGGTGCTTTCCACGGTGAGGTGAGGTCTGACAGTTTCTACTTTTTAAATTATTATTATTATACTTTAAGTTCTGGGGTACATGTGCAGAACATGCAGTTTTGTTAGACAGGTATACATGTGCCATGGTGGTGTGCTGCACCCATCAACCCATCATCTACATTAGGTATTTATCCTAATGATCTCCCTCCCCTAGCCCCCCAACCCCTGAGAGGCCCCAGTGTGTGATGTTCCCCTACTTGTGTCCATGTGTTCTCACTGTTCAACTCCCACTTATGAGTGACAACATGCAGTGTTTGGTTTTCTGTTCCTCTGTTAGTTTGCTGAGAATGATGGTTTCCACCTTCACCCATGTCCCTACAAAGGACATGAACTCATCCTTTTTAATGGCTGCATAGTATTCCATGGTGTATATGTGCCACACTTTCTTTATCCAGTCTACCATTGATAGGCATTTGGATTGGTTCCAAGTCTTTGGTATTGTGAATAGTGCTGCAATAAACATATGTGTGCACGTCTCTTTATAGTAGAATGATTTGTAATCCTTTGGGTATATACCCAGTGATGGGACTGCTGGGTCAAATGGTGGTTCTGGTTCTAGATCCTTGAGAAACATTTGCTAAGAGTGATGGCTAGGGTCTAAGACATATACTCCCACTGGATTCTCAGAGCAGTTATGAGAGGAAGCCGGGCATACGTTACACCCCAGTAATATGAGATGATGGTGACTTGTCGTATTTTACCCATTTGTTTACTCAGCAACTATTTGTTAAACATCATGTGTCAAGCTGTGCTTAAAGAGCAAGGAATATATAGAGAGAAACCAGACAGGCAAGATACTTGTTCTCATTTGAGTCACCAGGTCCAGGTCCACAGTGCCACAGAAAGGAGGCTGGCAAGTATGTGGAGGCCTGAGAGGGCCTTGTTTTCCACAGTTAGAAGAGTGGGCTCCCTACTAATTAAACAGGAGGAAAAGGCATAAAGTAGTCATATTTGCAGTTCAGAATGTCACTCCAGCATCACTGGGGAGAATGTACTGAGACTGGGAACATTCTGAGGCCAGAGGCAAGGACAAAAGTGCAGGAGTATTGGATAATTGTAAGCAAATGTCTAGTGGAAAGAATCTGTAATAGGATATTCAGCAATCCTTACAAGAAATCTTTGCAAAATAGTAAGGAGGCCAAGCGCAGTGTCTCATGCCTGTAATCCCAACTCTGGGAGGCTGAGGTTGGAGGATTGTTTGATCCCAGGAGTTTGAGACCAGACTTGGCAACATGGCAAGGCCCCATCTCTACTAAAAATACAAAAAGTTCGCTGGACATGGTAGCATGCACCTGTAGTCCCAGCACTCAGAGAGGCTGAGGCAGGAGGATCATCTGAGCCTGGGAAGTTGAGGCTGCAGTGAGCTGTGGTGGTGTCACTGCACTCCAGCCTGAGCGACAGAAAAAATAATAATAATGATAATATAATTAAGGAAAAGGGGGGAAGGGATGAAAGGGGTGGCATAGACAATTCTTGTTAAGTTATTGAATGTAGATCTTGGAGGAAAGAAAAAATTAGGGGGAGATTCTGCTGATGGAATCCGCTGACTGGAAGGACACCTTCAGGAACAGCTCCGCTTCCACCCCACCCCCATCTTCACATGCACTTGATCCAACCAGGGGCCCTTCCCCGGCTGGGTCTTTTAGCTTCCCACTCACTTTCCAGGATTAGAAAGTTCAACCCAAGTGTCTTAGGTTTTGTATCTGTCTCAGTGCATTTTCCCTCCATTCACTCTGGCTTGACCTCAAGGGGAGAAGAGGGAAAGGTCCTTCGTGCTGCAGTTCAACCTCCCTAAACCCCTGTGAGGCTTCCTACTCTTCATACCCCAGAGCTTCCCCTGGAGGCTGAGGTGAGGGAGGCCGTGTGAAAAGGAATGAAAGGGAACCTGAAAACATATTTCCACTTAGCTGATGCTGGGCCTCCCTCTCTCATTGGCCAAGGCCCCGAGTCATGGCAGCCATTCAAGGCTGGCTTCTACATTGCGTGCAGTTGAGGGTCCTTCTGACTCCTCACCCGGGAGCTCCCCGTCTCCACAATCCGCTGGCAGGGTCAAGGCACTTCCAGCTCTCTTGCCTTTCCCAGCCCTCAGCTCCTGCCCTGTGGTCTCCCTGCAGGTCCTTTTTGCTGCAGTCCTTTTGCTCCAGAAACCCTCCCTCCTGACTCAGGTCTTTCTGAGATGGATGGGCTCTACTCTCTTCCCTGGCCTTCACTACCCACAGAAAAACTCATGGTCCATGGTCCTTTCTAAACTCATGGTCCTTTCAAACAGCTTGGCCACCTGTTGACCTCTGCCTCTTCTCCATGCTACAGGTATCCTTCTACCTTCAGGACAGGGACAGGCACAGGCACTGGTCCCTAGGACCACTGCACTAGAGGACACAGTTCCACATCTGCTGAGACCAGTCTCAGGCCTCAGTTCAGCAGGAGCACTGAGCAGGCCTGCAGTCCACTGAGTTCAGCAAGCGACTGGCCAGCAACCACAGTGATGCTGCGCTTCTCACAAGCACTGAGCAGGCCTGCAGTCCACTGAGCTCAGCAAGCGACTGGCCAGCAACCACAGTGATGCTGCGCTTCTCACAAACCCCCAGATCTCTCCCTGGGATTCTCACAGGCCTAAGATCTCACTCACACGTGGGAGCAGAGAAGTGCCCAGCGAGTTTCACTTTACAAAATCACATAAATAAGTTTCTATCCCACAAAATACATGTTGAGTGTTTTCTTAGACAAGCTCTTTGAGGTGGGGACCATAACAACAATTTACTTATCTTTTTGCAAGTGCTGCATGCCTGAGTTTTGTATTTCTCTGCATAATATGGGGAGGGAGCACTCATTATCTTCAGTTGGAGACTTCAAATTCAGAAAAAAAAAAAACAGGAAAAGCAGCATTGAGCATCCTCCTGCAGAAATGTCAAGGTCATGTGATTTGGAGAATCTCTCAAATATAGCTCATTATTGGAATGCATAAAATATAAAGCCACAACATCCATTTTCTCAGATTTCATTTTTATAGCTGGGGTCAGTCAGCTTTTTCTAAAAACATCCAAAAAGTAAATGTTTTCAGTTTCAGTTTTGCAGGCTACGCAGTCTCCCGTGGTGCGTCGCATTAGGCCCTAGGCCATAGTTTGCTGACTCTGGATTTATATAGCATTGAAACCAAACTGTCATGGTTAACAGAGTACACATCTGTGAAACAAGACTTAGCAGCAATTATACAGTATATAAGACATGCCTTTCAAAATGTAAGTTATCGAGTAGGATTTTGAAGCATGGGTTCTCATTTGGAGGTACAGAGATTGCCTGAATCCCTCAAAATTGTAAGCAAAACTGTGTGTAACTGTATTTTTCTAGGGACTCAATCATAATAGCCAGGAGGTTCCCAAAGGGTTAAAAAAAAAAGATTAGAAACACTGCTTTAAAAGTAAATATCAATATCAAAATGGACAATGTAACATTTTCTTTCTTATAACAATAGTTGCAGTACTCTAAAAAACTCTAATCTAGAAAAGCATGTGTTTAACCGCTAGTAATGATATTTTCTAGCCTAGCTGATTTGCCCAGTCACATTCCTGGGCCCCCTAAGCTTCACAGGGAAGGCAGGAAAAGGGGAAAGTGAGCCTCTGTCACAAACCCATTGAGTTCTTCCATAACACCCAAGCTCGTCTCCTCCTTTCAGCTCCTCCTTCTCACAAACTGCGCAATCCCCTTAGGGTGTAGCGAAACTCGGGGGTATTCCCAGGAGGATCAATTCCCTTTAGACAGGCCAAGCAGGAAATAAAATTGGATTACTCATAGGTAGGAGAATGTTCTTAGAAATTCCTTTTTACTGTTGTTTTGTTTTTCACTCAACATGCCAAAAACCACACCTCGTAACTCTGGGAAATTCATCTTCCCCCACTATATAAAGAAGTCTTTAAACCAAAAACTGTGGCTCTTACAGGTGATCTAAATGTGGCATTAAAAACTTATAAAAATTTGTTTAAAAACAGCATTGTGCACATAGTCACCCCAGTAGGAAAAATAAAGCAAAATCAAGAGATTTTAAGTCAATGAGACCGGAGTTAAAGAGATTCAGAGAAGACTTACATGCAAAGATTTTCAAGAAATTTGTATATATAATATCACAATTTGTCACATAAAAAGAGATAGAGTGGAAAAGCCATATCTCCAAATGTTATAAAATTTTTAAAACGATCAATAAACTCCAAATAGCATAATATTGAAGAACAAAATTGCAGAACTAAAAATACCCAAACCTCATGAGTTCCTGTAAAGCTACTATGATCAAGATGTTGTGGCACTGGCAAAGTAATAGAAAAATAGATCAGAATAAAGCAGAACAGATAGCCCTGAAACAGACCCACGTAAACACAGTCAACTGATCTTTGACAATGGGACAAAGGTAATATATTGGAGTGAAGACAGACTTTCCAACAAAGGGTGTTGAAACAACTGGACATCCACATGCCAAAAAAAAAAAAAAAAGGAAAGAGAAATGACCAAAAAAGAGAGAAAAAAACAGAAAGAAGGAAGGAAGGAGGGAGGGAGGGAGGGAGGGAAGGAAGGAAGGAAGGATAGAAAAGAAAGAAAGAAAAAGAAAGAAAGGAAGGAAGGAGAGAAAGGGAAAAAAGAAAGAATCTTAACACATACAAGTTTTACAAAAATTAACTCATAATGGATCATAGACCTAAATGTAAAATGCAAAACTATAAGACTCCTTGAAGATAAACATCAGAGAAAATCCAAACGGCCTTAGGTTTGGCAATTATTTTTAGATACAACACCAAAGATACAATCCATGAAAGAAATAAGCTGGACTTCATTAAAATTAAAAACTTCAGTCTGTGGTCAGACACTGCCAAGACAATGAGAAAAGGTAAGCCACAGACATGGAAAAAATATTTGCAAATAACGTAAGTGATAAAGGAGTGTTATCCAAAATATATAAAGAACTCTTAAAACTCAACAATAAGAAAATGAACAGCCCAATTTTTATGTTTTTATTTTTGTGACTTTATTTCCAAATTATTTTAAGTTCAAGGGTACATGTGCAAGATATACAGGTTTGTTACATAGGTAAATGTGTGCCATGCTGGTCGGCTGCACAGATTATCCCATCACCTGGGAATTAAGCCCAGCATTCGTTAGCTATTCTTCCTGATCCTCTCCCTCCTCCCACCCCCAACCCTCTGACAGGCACCAGTGTGTGTTGTTCCCCACAGTATGTCTATTTGTTCTCATCATTCAGCTCCCACTTACAAGTGAGAACACACAGTATTTGGTTTTCTGTTCCTGTGTTATTAAATAGTTTGCTAAGGATAATGGCCTCTAGCTACATCCATGTCCCTGCAAAGGACATGATCTCATTCCTGTTTATGGCTGCATAGTATTCTGTCATGTATATGTACCACATGTTCTTTATCCAGTCTATCATTGATGGAACAGCCCAAGTTTTAAAAATGGGCAGAGAAATGAGGATGTTTCATTATAAGAAGGGGGTTAATTCATCGAGGAAAGTGAGTGGTGCGGTTTCCTCTTACTTGGGGGAAGTCAGCCTTTTTGTTCTGTTCAAGCTTTCAACTGATTGCATGAGGCCCACCCACACTGGGGAGGGCCCCCCCTTTAGTCAGTCCACTGATTCAAATGTCAATCTCATCCAGAAACTCTCTCCCCAAAACACCCAGAATAATGCTCGACCAAATATCTGCGCACCAAATATCTGGCCCAGTCAAGTTGAAACATAAGGTTCACTATTACAGTGGGGGACTCTGTGCATGTAGAGGGGAAGGGGTGTACAGAAACCCTCTGTATCTTCCCTTCCATTTTTCCGTAAACCTAAAAAACTGCTCTAAAAATAAAATCTATATTTAAAAAAAAAAAGTTTAACTCAGAAAGAACAGCACACTCTTCAAAAAAGTAATCTCCAAATGTAACTACATGAAAAGTGAATGACTCTTACAGAAATACATTTTAGTTAAATGGAATTGATTAGCTAGATTTAACCGACTGTTCAAAAGTGCCCCCAAAGCAGGTGTTAACTCACACCCTTCCTTATTACACGAAGATAATAGTAAATGAGCAATTTAAATGTCTATAATGATTATTCTATCAGCATTGTGTATGAGGATTTCTGGATACAAACAGAAGGAAAGGGAGAAATCTTTAGCATAAGGAATTCAGCCCCCTCCAGTCTAGACCACAGGACAGGAGGCCTATTTAGATCCTTCAGCACAAAGCACACTCAGTCCAGGACAATACAAAAAAGACCCTAAATGCTTTGGTAGCAATAAGAGAAGGTATATGTGACTGACTAGTACATCAGGCTTGACGATGAACCACAGCTCAATAAAGTCAGAGACTGCCAAACTATTGCTTCAATATGGCCCCCCCACTTTTCTGTAAATAAAATTTTATTAGAACTTGGCCATGCCCATTTGTTTACTTACGTCTGTGTCTGTTTTTGTACTGCAAAGGTAGAGTTTAGTAGTTGCAACAGAGATTATATGGACCACAAAGCCTGAAATACGTACAGTTTTGGTTTTTTCTTTTTTTTTTTTTTTCTGAGATAGAGTCTCACTCTTACCCAGGCTGGAGTGCAGTGGCGCGATCTCGGCTTGCTGCAACCTCAGCCACCCAGGCTTAAGCAACTCTTGTGCCTCAGCCTCCCATGTAGCTGAGAACACAGGTGCCCGCCACCACACCCAGCTAATTTTTGTATTTTTAATAGAGACATGGTTTCTCCATGTTGGCCAGGCTGGTCTCAAACTCCTGGCCTCAAGTGATCTGCCCTCCTTGGCCTCCCAAAGTGCCAGGATTACAGGCGTGAAGAATCATGCCTGACCAACTCTCTTGTTGTTCACAGAATAATTCTGTCAAGTCTTTATAAAGTTCATCATTTTTTTAAAGGAGAAATTTCTGCTCTTTTTAATTGTATGAAGAAAGGTCCTAAATGCAATGTGGTTTCCTGAAGGAAGCGCATTCACTGATAACCTAGTCAAATCTGAATAAAGTCTGTAGGTAAGTTAAAAATAACATAGTGTGTTAGTGTCTGGATTTTAATAAATGTACCATGGTTGCATAAGATGTTCATGTTAGAAGACCTCTCTGTGCTCGCCTTGCCATGTTTTTGTAAATCTAAAATTTTTCCAAAATTTTTAAATAGGCTTTAAAGAAAAACTCCTCAGCAAATAGATATTTGCAATAAACATGCACAGTGTGAAATAAGTCGGTCTCTAATCATAGCAATCATGTGGCTATGGGAGTCATTCTTTTATTCAATAAACATTTATTAAGAAATTGCAACAATGATAACAAAAAACTACTTCACAAATATATGGATAAAAATCAGCTTGCTTCCCTAATGTTGGCAATTTTATCCCAGCCATATGTTAGAAACTATAAAAACATTGCTGATACAGTTAATAATATAAAAGTAAATGAAGAAGAAAAATGACAATCACATTGTAAGCAGGAGCTATAGATGTGTACATCACAACTAATTCAGAGACCAAAGTAATCATGACTTTCATTTTTAACCATCCTAGAGGAAGGCTAGAAAAAGAAGTATGAAATGAATACTACTTCCTTAAAGTAGTACTATGAGAGGAGAAGGTTAAAAGCATCTTCGTTTATCCAGTCTGTCACTGATGGACATTAAGGTTGATTCCATGTCTTTGCTGTTGTGAACAGTGCTGCAATAAACATCCGAATACACATGTCTTTATGGTAGAATGATCTACGTTCCTCTGGGTATATACCCAGTAATGGGACTGCTGGGTCGAATGACAGTTCTACTTTTAGCTCACTGGATAGAGAAAAGGTGGTACATACACACCATGGAATACTATGCAGCCATAGAAAAGAACAAGGTCATGTCTTTTGCAGGAACATCAATGGAGCTGAAGGCCATTATCTTTAGCAAACTAATGCAGGAACAAAAAACCAAATACCGCATGCTTATGAGTGGGAGCTAAATGATAAGAACTCATTTAGGGCGCAAAGAGAGGAACAGCAGTCACTGGGGTCTACTTGAGGGTGGAGGGTGGGAGGAGGGAGAGGAGCAGAAAAGATAACCATTGGGTGATGAAGTAATCTGTACAGCAAACCTCTGTGACACGAGTTTACCCATGCAACAAACCTCCACGGGGACCCCTGAACTTAAAATACGAGTTAAAACAAGCATCTTTGAACATCTGCTCTTTGCACAGGTTGTGTGTCTCCTCTCCTGGTGCCTGCCAGATCTGAGCACCAAGAAGGCATTTACCCACCTGGAGTAAACCCAAATTACCCAGGCTCAGGGACCAGTCTGGATATACCCTTCTGTGTGACAGCAGATCAGAGAGAAATTGTTTATAACCCTGACAAAAAAAAAATACAATATTATGCAACATTCAAATGGTGTTTTGGATTATGGGAGGCAAAGCAAGTGGGACTGAAAACACACACCGGGGAATGACTGAACGGTGAAACCAGGACAGGCCCTCAAGCCGGCCAGACAGATGTCAAGAGGAAATAAACAACACGACAGCGGTGCCCGCATAGGGAGATTTTGCAAAGTCCTGGGGTTTTACTTTCTCATCAATTGCACAAATTAGGAACTGTTTTCTGCCTAATGACTGTCCACACACATGGGTAGGTAAATAGCTCTGCTGCCCACAGGATACAGAGATAAAGAGTTATGGGGAGCAGCTATTTAGGAGAGCATATTACCATGTCTCATTCCTCTAAGATTTAGACTCTAGTATTCAGACTCTGCGAAGTTAAGAGGAACATCCACATACACTTGCCCTCTCCCTTCTCAGTCTGTTTCATCACCTGCAAATTGAACAGATTAGAATAATAGTAATGAATGTCCCCTTCCATCCTGAGATTTATGATACTATAGGTGAGACCAGTGAGTTTGGGCATCTTTTTTACCCCATTAGGATTCCTCGTCATAGGAAAAATAACAAAGAGTGGAGAGTTAGAGTCTACTCAAACCATTTGGGCAAGGCAATTCAGACATTCAAAGTATGTGTATATACAAGTCCTGAAATGCATGGGATGTTTGTATGAATTCAGCCTTTGGAAGCCGCTGTTATAATAACCAGCCAAGATTCAGCAAAAGCAACTATGGACTTCTCAGAGAGGAAATTTGAGTCCAGGGTGAAAATGTTATTGTTTGGATACTATTTCCTGTCATCAAGTTGCAGCCATGATTTTCTCTCCCAAGCCGGAAATGAAGTATTTCCTTATTGCCAAAGACCTGAGATACAGGGTTAAAAGCCTCAGGATGGAAAGTGATTCAGTGGCATGTAGAATTTCCCCAGGAAATGTTGGAGTAGTCAACGTGTGACAGGCACAGTGCAAAAAGCTTTATATAAATTTTCTAATTTAACTCCACACATCAACTTGATGAAGAAGAGATTGTTGTTACCCCAGCTTTATACAAGAGGAACTGACTCTTAGGTTTAACAACTCACCCAAGGTCATAGAACTAAGAAGGATCTCAAACCCAAGTAGCCTGGAGGTCATAGTCTATTTTCTTAACCGCTAACATCCACCTGAACCCAAGGACATGGGGTGTGAATGCCCAGAATTACCGTCCAAAAAACCTGTCCTACTACACGAAAATTCTACTTTCAGTTATTTTTTATTTTTTTTTTTTTTTTGTGGCAGAGTCTTGCTCTGTTGCCCAGGCTGGAGTGCAGTGGCATGGTCTCGGCTCACTGCAACATCTGCCTCCCAGCTTCCAGTGATTATTGTGCCTCAGCCTCCCAAATGGCACAATCTCGGCTCACAGCAACCTCCACCTCCTGGCTTCAGGAAATTCTCATGCCTCAGCTTCCCAAGTAGCTGGGACTACAGGCGCATGTCACCACACCCAGCGAATTTTTTTATTTTTAGTAGAGACAGGGCTTCGCCATGTTGCTCAGGCTAGTCTCAAACTCCTGGCCTCAACTAATCCACCTACCTCGGCCTCCCAAAGTGCTGGGATTACAGGCCTGAGCAACCATAGCCGGCCAACAATTCTTTCTTTCACAGAAATTAAGTTTGGACTAAAACAAATCTCCCTTTCTTCACTATAGTCCTAGATGGCTCAGGCTGGAGTTCCTCCATCCTACAGGATTCCTAAGACTTCCCATTAGCCAACTGACCCATCTCAGAACACCACCTGGGTTGTTCTGGGGGGCTTCCTAAGATGAGTTGACATTATGAGCAATTGGCTATTTGAAAACTAGGGTTAAACGTTTGCTATATAACTTCTCAGTTATAAGAAAAACTCACATGAGACTTGCTCATGGGAGCTTCATTTAGAATAAAAATGCCTCATCTTCACATAAGAAAGACACAACTACCTTTTTTCCCCTCTCATTAAATGATAGTTACATAATCTGTTTTTTATGTCATTCCCATTTAAGCTGTTATCCTGGATCTCTGGTGGCAATACTAGACAAAATTTGCAAAACTGTTTTTCTTATTCAGGAATATATTTGCCTTCTATGACTACATTGCTATTTTTCATTCATATGTTGGGAATTTGTTTACCTTATTTTAATTTATTAACTTAATATATTTTAAGGTTTTCTGCTTTACCTTGAGCTAGTTTTCACAATTCTTACAAAAAGGTCCAAAGTCAGACTCTTCTTATATCTGAAATTTCTAACCATGTTAACTTATCTCTAAGGAAAACACACAAAATTCATGATATTCACTCATTTTTAACCTACCAAAATTGTAATTTCTTACAGTTTTGCTCACTATATCTGGTTGAACAAAAAGCAGAAAGTCTTATAAATATCTTAAAGCTAATGAATGAAAGTAGTATTGTTGATTTATATATTTATGCAAATATACTTTTCTACATGCATCTGAATAACTATATAGTGATATACTTTATATTAGACTGCCCATGGTATTCTTAACACGAGGAGTTAAAACCACAATTCAGTTGTGTATCAGAATTGGCAAAAAGTGTTTTGGTCTAAGGAAGCGATGGTGATGATAGTGATGTCGTAATAGACGTCTGTGATGGGTCTCTCTGAGACACACTGTTCTGTTCTTGTCAGTTCCTGTTAATCTAAATGTGACTTCTGAAATGAGGAAGAAAGAAGGCAGCAATCTAAGAAAACAATTTGTGAGAAAAAAATGCAAAAAGTGAACATACAGGGCTTGCAAATGATGAAGAAGATTAAGAATGTAACTTCTGAAAGATATGCTTAGCAAGCATTTGAAGGGACCCTGGGACTGTGTGTGCATGTGTGTGTGTGTGCGTGTGTGTGCATGTGTGGTGTGGTGTATGCATGTGCTGTGAGCGTGTGTGTGATGTGTGCATGTGCGTCATGTGAGCATGTGTGGTGTGGTGTATGCATGTGCTGTGAGCGTGTGTGTGTGTGATGTGTGCATGTGCGTGCGTGTGAGCATGTGTGGTGTGGTGTATGCATGTGCTGTGAGCGTGTGTGTGTGCATGTGTGTGCGTGTGTGCATGTGTGGTGTGTATGCATGTGCTGTGAGCGTGTGTGTGATGTGTGCATGTGTGTGCATGTGAGCATGTGTGGTGTGGTGTATGCATGTGCTGTGAGCGTGTGTGTGTGTGATGTGTGCATGTGGGTGCGTGTGCGTGCGTGTGAGCATGTGTTTCTATATTCATAGGAGATGTGCCAAAAAGTGCCCATTGATTTGAACTGAACTGGCTTGAACTTCAACACACTGGAATTATATCAAAGGCATCCCCAGAGATTTTGGAGAGGAAATGAAGCAAAACCTCTGTTTCCAGTTAGGGTGGAATTAACTCTGTAATTGAGTCTGGCAGAGTAACTGTGCAAGCTAGGAATTTTGATAAATGGTGTTTTGTGAGCTAAGGCAGGCTGATGTTTCAACATAAATGACACACTTGTTTCCAATTTCAGGGGAAGAGTTAAATTCTAAACCAAGGATGTCTTCATTTCCCTTTTTTTCCTTCTCTTCCTCTTGAGTTTAGAAATAACAGAGCCATCGAATGACAAGTAGGAAATTTCTCAATGGCTTCTCCCACAGCAGCAATGGATAACAAGAGAAAAACACATATCATGAGCAAAATGGGGAGGAATGAGTCCCAAAGCAACTATGCAGAAGCTGAAATAGGTTTAATCCTAGACATGGAAATCCTTGTTCATATCATGCCTTCCAAGTAAATCTCTTTAAGGTCCACTCAAAGAACTCTGTCCTGGCTGCAGGATCCCCGCACCTGAGATCCCAGATCACTCTGGAGCATCCGAGGGAGCCTGAGAATCAGGGTTTGCACAGACCAGCTGGCTGTCCTCCTCCAGCCCTGGCTAATTCCCCCTGGGCCTTTCACGGTCCCTCAACAGCCACTCCAGGGAGATCAGGCATGGTGCATGGGAACACACTCAAGGTTGCTATCTTGGTTAAGAGCAAGCGCTCTGGAATTAAATGCCTGGGCTTGAATCTTGGCTCCCCCCGCTTCCTAAAAGCCAAATACATGTTTGCCTCTCTAGGACTTAGTTTCCTCCTTTATGAACGAGGAATATGCAAAACTACTTTTGTGAGGAAAAAGTAAGAAAGTGGCTGGAAGAGCCGAGGGCAGGGCCTAGCACTTACCAGTGAATAGGTGGCTTCCTACGGACCCTGCTTTCCATCTGAGCTCCACAGAGACTCTATCGGCTAGAAGCCCTGCAAGGCCCTTGCTGGGAAAGAAAAGAGCCAGCCAGATGCAAAGTGGGAAGTATTGATAATGTATAGAAAAGGACAGGAAGAGGGAAAAAAACCAGGAAGTAAGAAATGGTTGGACACCATAGACGCTTCCACCATGATGCACAATTCCTCTAGACTCCTCCAAAATTTCTAAAAGGAGAAACATAAGATAGCTGCTTCCCACATCCTCAAAATTCCTCTTCTGCGTTTTCTTTTAAACTGTGGGAGTTTAATGTGTTTGGAGAGACTTCTGCTAATTCAGATGACAGGAACAAGATCATCAAGAAGTTGGTCAAGTGGTGATGTTTAAACAGTAAAACTTCCTTCACCCATGGGTCCTGTATTTGCTAATTTTGATTGAAATACCTATCCCATGGATAATCTGCAAGTGGGAGGAACCTCACAATGTTCAATATGTTCCCTGCAATTTAAACTGCAAAGGCTTACGAAGCCTTGCCACCTGACCGGATCGCCTAGCTCTCATATCCTCATGAATCTCATACTTGACATCTTTCTTCTTCTGCTTCTCTCTCCTTCCCACTATCCCATCTTTGTATTAAAAAAATGCAAATAATAGGAAATTGTTGTCCATTTTTACTGGTGACAACTGAATGCACAAGCACAGCATTTCTCACCTCATGTCGGCGGAGCATCTGAGGAGTGGGGGAGTGGGCCCACCCAAGACCGCACGGAGCCCGAGGACCCTGCCTGGGCTTGAGGCTGTCACACAGTCAGAATCCAAACACTGCACTTTCGTAGGCTCCTGAGTCTCAGATGTGCAATGCACAGCTTTGGCTTATATTCTTTAAAAACTCAAGCCCTATCAAGCATTATAGTAAAGGTGAAATTGTTTAATCTGATGGAAGAAGGAGTCTCAGGGGATTCAGAAGGAAGCAAACAAAACAGTGCATTTTTTTTTGTTCTCTCTTATCTTAAGCCCTGTATCTTAAGCCTTAAGAACATAAATAGAAGCCTTTATTTTGTATTTATGTACCTCTAAGTTGACAATATCGATATGCTCCACACATAATGATATATGTGTGCTTACCAGGATAAACTGAATTATAAAACCTGTTCATCTTCCTAGATGGACTCTTGTAAACTACAAATTCGGAAATCCTAAAAGCAAATCTTAATAGAACAAACACAGCAGTTCTGCCATGGAGGAGGATGTGGTGCTCTGGGACCGGAGCCCATAGGCTCCAGCTGTGATTTTAAAATATCATTTAAAAATAAAAAATCTGTCTCTCTGTGTGTATCTGTATCAAACTAACTGAAATCAGTCTCCAAACTAACTCACACCAACTCAATTCTGATTTTGGTAATGTCTCGCCAATGTTCAGGGAAAATAATTACATGTGGATCTGGTATCTGTCCCTGATGAATGCTGCTGCAGATAAACATATCAGCTTTCCCCAGCAAGCTCGTGTGATTTCTCGTAACTGCTTTACAATAACAACAGCCACGTCTCCGAAACATCATGTCCTTGTCTCAGGAGATCAATCTACAAAGCATATCTAGTGTTTACCTGTTCAGTAAGGGCATATTAAAAAGAGTCAGGTTCCAGAGAAAATGGAGAAAAATATAATAAATGGAAATCGTTGTTTTTTTTATTTTTTAAGGTAATCAGTCCATTTAGATATCAAACCACAACCTTACTGGTTCTGAAATGGGCATGGTAATCTTGAGCCTACTGACTATTCTCTTATTGTACACAGTATATTTGAGGAGTGGAAGGAGCAGTTGCTCTAAATTTCATGCAATACAGGTAAGTAATTAAGGTTTTTTTGGTACAAATATAGGAAATATATGCAAATGTAGAGTGTATTCCATGGTTTCTACATACTCATAACCTGTAGCACGTTATAGTTCTGGGCTTCCAAACTGGTCAAAACTTTAATAAAAAATAAGTTTTAAAAATCACATATACATATTAGATGTAAATATATAGACACACATACATGCACACATATATATAATCCCAAACCTGAAAGTCAAGAATTTACCAAAGATATAAAAGAGGGATTGTCTTATTCTATTTTCTGTTGCTATAACAGAATACTACAGACTGAAGAGTTTATAAAGAAAAAAAAAACACTTCTTACCATTTTGGAGGCTGGAAAATCTAATATGAAGGCACAGGCATCCAGTAAGGGCACCTTCCTGCACCGTAACTCGGCAGAGCACACACCAGTAAGAGAGCAAGAGCATGCCAAACCAGCTTTTAAACGGACCTACTCCCAGGATAACCCCTTAATCCAGTCACCCACTAATTCACTAGTCCGCGAATGGATTAACCCACTCATGACGGCAAACCCCTCATGATCCAATCACCTCTTAAAGGTCCTACCTCTTAATACTGTTACATTGGAGATTAAGGTTCAACATGAGTTTTGAGGGGGACAAACATTCAAAGCAATGTGGGGATCTTACAGAGCTAAGTAAAATAACATAGTGATATAAAGTCAGAAAATTACTTGAATAAATGAGAATGTATTCCACAATTGAATACTTCTAAGTCACCAAAATAGTGTTGGACACATTTATTTGATGACGGAAAGCTGCTTCTCAAATAATGTTAAATGGAGAGAAGAAAATCTGGCTACAAGACATTATGCAAGGTATGATTGCTTTTTTATAAAAGAAACAAAATGCATAAAACTCTGGAATAATAATTACCAGAGTTTTAACTGTGATTAGCTCTGGCATGGGAATTGTGGGGTGCTTTTCTTTCTTATTTTCTATATTTAGTAATTTATCTTTCTTGAACATAAGTGGCTTTTTCTTCATAAAAGGAATAAATGGGTGTTAAGAGAGATGGAGATAGGGTGGGAGGCAGCTAGGTTGAGGGACAGTACATTGAGATTATCTAGTGAGCCTCTGAAAACAGGTGTAAGTTGTGGAAGTTAATGAAGTTACCAACAAGAAGTAACCTAACTGAAAAAGAAATTTTAAACATCCCATTTATGATAGCATCAAAAACTAAATTTAACCAAGGAGGTAAAAGGTCTGGACACTGAAAACGATATAACATGAATGAAAGAAATTGAAGAAGACACAAATACATGGAAAAATAAATTCAAAAAATCAATGTGATTAAAATGTCTATACTACCCAAAGCAATATGGAGAGTCAATGCAATCCCTATCAAAACCCCAATGGCATTCTTCACAGAAATAGAAAAACCTATCCTAAAATTCATATGGAACCACAGAAGACCCCAAATAGCCAAAACAGTTCTAAGAAAGAAAAACCAAATTGGAGACATCACATTTCCTCACTTAAAATTATATTACAAAACTATTATCATCGAATAGTTCGGTACTGGTATAAAAACACACACAACAGGCCAGTGGAACAGAATGAAAAGCCTAGAAATAAATCCAAACATATAGGATCAACTAATTTTTCACAAGGGACATATGGGGACACAATGAGGAAAGAGTAGTCTGTCCAATAAATGGTGTTGAGAAAACTGAATATTTGTGTGCAAAAGAATGAAATGGAATTCTTTTCTTACACAAGGCAGAAAAATCAACTCCAAATGGATTAAAAATTCTTAACATAAGACCAAAAACTATAAAACTCCTAGAAAAGATGGGAAATCTTTCTGGACATTAGGTCTTGGCAAGGATGTTTTTGGTTATCACACCAGAAGCTCAAGTCACAAAAGCAAAAATGAATACATAGTACTACATCAAACTAAAAAGAACTGTTTCCTGCAGAGCAAAGGAAACAATCAACAAAATGAAACAGCAACCAACAGACCCGGAAAAAAATATTTGCAAACCGTATATCTGATCAGGGATTAATATCCAAAATATATAAAGAACTCATACAACTCAATAGTGGAAACACAAATAACCTAATTTTTAAAATAGGCAAAACACCTGAATAGACATTTCTCCAAAGAATACATAGAAATCACCAACAGGCATAGGAAACGTGCTCCACATCATTAATCATCAAGGAAGTGCAAATCAAAACCACTGTGCGATATCACCTACACCCTTTAGGATGGCTATTACCAGAGACAAGTGATAAATGTTTGCAGAGTGTGGAGAAAAGAGAATTCTTGTACACTGTTGGTAGGAATGTAGATTGGAAGAGCCATTCTGGAAAACAAAATGGAGCTTCCTTAAATAAATGAAAAATAGAACTACCATAAGACCCAGCAACCCTCTTCTGGGTATATATCCAACAGAGAGGAAATGGCTACCTTATAAAAATATTGGCACTCCCATGTGCACTGCAGCATTATTTACAGTAGCCAAGGTATGGAAACCACCTAAGTGTCCATTGACAGACAAATGGATGAAGAAATTCCTCGATGAGATTGGAGATTATTATTCTAAGTGAAGTAACTCAGGAACAGAAAACCAAACATCGTGTGTTCCCACTGACATACGGAAGCTAAGCTATGAGGATGCAAAGGCATAAGAATGACACAACGGACTTTGAGGACTTAGGGGGAAGGCTGGGAGGAGGATGAGGGATAAAGGACTACAAATATGGTGCAGTGTATACTGCTCAGGTGATGGGTGCGCCAAAATCTCACAAATCACCACAAAAGAACCTACTCATGTAACCAAATATCACCTGTTCCCCAATACCTTATGGAAAAATAAAATAATAAACTAAAATAAATAATGTCACATATGTACAACAGAATGTTATTTGGACCTCATAAAGAATGAGATCATCCCATATGCCACAACATCGATGAGGCTAGAGGACATTATGCTAAGTGGAATAAACCAGACACAGTAAGAAAAATATTGCATGATCTCACTCATATGTGGAATCTAAAAAGAAAAATTCAAATGGAGATAGAAAATAAAGCAGGGTTCTGGGGAGATGCAAGTTGGAGGACACAACGTAGCCCACATGCAAGATGAACACCTCTAGAGATTTCAGGCACGAAATGAGGACACTAAGGGCCCTGACCACCCTGGAGTAAGAGCTGACACTACTGCCTTCCCCTGCCTCGGGGGATCATCACCAGCCACCCAGTGGGTGAAGAGGAACAGTAAGAAAGAAGCCATGGGGCTTCCCGCAATAGCTCGGTGTGGTAGAGTCTATCTAAATGCAGAATACTTTGATGGAGGTTACTGGCTGGGTCACTGCCACTGAGTCTCTATCAGGAGCTGGGACAGGGTGGCTCCCATGCCTGGTTCCACAGCCAGAGACCTTGCTGAGTGACATGCAGATTTGAGGGACATGGCTCATCTTCCTGCCTGCTACTCTCTAGGGCTCACTGATGAATTTCTAGTGACAGTGTGTTCTAGAAGTTAGCTCTAACTATAAAACATTTTTTCAGGTCTTCCACTTTCTGAACAATCTGATCCTAAAGCCACTGTGTGTATCCAAACAAGGGGGATATCCGCACCGATGGAAGGGACCACAGAGGAACATAGTGAGCAAGGATGGGATTGGGGGAGGTTTGCAAGAGCCCGAGCTGGGCATTGGTAGGGGACGGTGGCGGTCCACATGGCTGGGTCATGGTGTCAGAGCCCCAGTGCAATGAGGACCGGGCTCCTGCAGGAGTAGGACCATGGGACTTTCAGCCTGAGTAGGGTAGAGAGAGTGTCCAAGCAGGGGAAGGGACTGAATGGAAGGGTGGCAGGCACCCAGAAAAATGAATGGGGTTTAAGGGGGAAGCAGCTGGAGCAAAGTGTGCCTCTGGGCAGGGCAAGGAGGGCTTCGGTGTAGGAAGGGAGGAAAAGGGGCTTTCATGTGGGCGGATGGTCCAGACAGGAATGGCACAGCATTACTGGGCAGGGAGGATGCTGGCCTGGGATGCAGGCCAGTGCCTGGCCTCAGAGATCATACAGAATTTGGAATCGGACTGTGCAGGGGGAGGTGGCAATGCTGATAGAAAATGGCAGGGGTGGCACAGGGTGTGAATGAGAGTCACAAATATACAAAGGAAGAAAGTGGGGTGGACTCTGAGGTGCTTGAGTGAACTGAAGATATTAGCACCAACTCATGGCTTTCCATATAGACAGAGCTAGAGACAAACATAGACATAAACATCTGTGTGTGTGTGTGTGTGTGTGTGTGTGTGTGTGTGTCTATATGCATATGCTGTCCAGCTCTGTGCACTGAGGTACACCCAGATCATGGTATCTAAAGCCCATTCTCCTCTTGGGATTCAGCTCTTTTTGGAGAACCAGCTGACCCATGATCCAGAGCAGGCAGGGTCCACAATGACTCAGAAACATCTTGAGGACCTGCTCAGAGAATGACAACACACGGGCCAGTGGGAACAGCTTCCAAACCCCAGCAAAGGTGAACAGTAAGATAAGTAATGATAATTCCAGGTTATAATCCAATAAATAAGATAGAAAACTACACATCCATACTGACATAAATACAACATAAATGAATAAATTAAACGTTGAATGAAGAGCAGAGTATTTACACAGTTTTAAGCTAGTCCTCCATGTAATACTAATTAATTACAAAGGAAGAAAGGAGTGAAGAAACCACAGACACCACCTCCATCAGGTCACCAGTGTGAACATCGTCAGTAACCGGGCAAATTGCAGTCCTGCCGACCTGAGAGCACGGAGTGAGGCGGTCCCAGGGTCGCTCCTGGGTTCTCCTGCCAAGGACGCTAAACCTGAATCTGCTCATGAGGAAGCATCAGGCAGCCCCGTGCTGGGGGAAATCCTGCAATGTAACTGGCCTAGAGCCATTAGAGTGTCAAGGCCACGAAAGTCACAGAAAGACTGAGGAACTTTTCCAGGTGAATGGAGCCTAATAAAACACAACAGCCAAATGCAGCATGTAGCTCTGAGATGGTTCCTTTTGTTTTTAAGGATGTCTGGGGGCAAATATGAACAGGGTCTGAGAATTAGGCATTAGGAATATATCAACGTTGATTATCTGATTCTGTTAACTCTACTGTGGTTGTGTAGGAGCATATTTGTGTTGGTACAAAATACACACTAAAGTATTCGTATTCAGGGATGACAAGATATCATGCAGGCAACTTACTCTCAAAAGGTCCAGCAAAAAAAAAATTATTTCTGTTGTCCTTGCAACTATTTTGTAAGTAGTTTGTACTTGTTAGGAAAAAAAAAATTCAGACTTCTTATAACTAATATCCTTATGTGTGAAGAAATGATAAAAATTTCCAATGAAAATAAATTCCCAAACACCTGGGCAGCCTCTGCACCCATTTGGTAAACTCCTGGCTTTCATGCGCTGTAGTTTTGACCTGCAGTGGTTCCCAGGTCACATGAGTCTCTGCTGTAATGAGACAGGTATGCCTCACGATGTCAGTGCATGGCATCATGATGAAAACCCCCCTAAGTTTGCCAGTGTCCTCAGTAAAGGACAGTGAGACCAACAGATGATATCCATCAGCTGCCAACCCAGGAGGGCTGGAAAGATTGCCTAGCCCTACCAGTGTGGGTCAAGTAATTTTTGTTCTTGGAATCTAGTCAAACGAACACCCAATAGGAAGAGATCAGAGAATCTTAGGACCCAGGATAAGGGCAGCACTAAAAATAACCAAAGGTATCATTTATTCTGTGTGATAAACCTCCCACTCACCCCATCGCGTGCCATCATCGCAATAGTCTGGGGAAGTGAGTACCGTTACTATCTCATATGGGCCATGAGAAACTGAAAGCTCAGAAAGGAACTCCAACAAATTTACAAGAAAAAAACAAACAACCCCATCAACAAGTGGGTGAAGGATATGAACAGACACTTCTCAAAAGAAGACATTTATGCAGCCAAAAAACACATGAAAAAATGCTCATCATCACTGGCCATCAGAGAAATGCAAATCAAAACCACAATGAGATACCATCTCACACCAGTTAGAATGGTGATCATTAAAAAGTCAGGAAACAACAGGTGCTGGAGAGGATGTGGAGAAACAGGAACACTTTTACACTGTTGGTGGGACTGCAAACTAGTTCAACCATTGTGGAAGTCAGTGTGGCGATTCCTCAGGGATCTAGAACTAGAAATACCATTTGACCCAGCCATCCCATTACTGGGTATATACCCAAAGGATTATAAATCATACTGCTATAAAGACACATGCACACGTATGTTTACTGCAGCACTATTCACAATAGCAAAGACTTGGAACCAACCCAAATGTCCAACAATGATAGACTGGATTAAGAAAATGTGGCACATATACACCATGGAATACTATGCAGCCATAAAAAATGATGAGTTCATGTCCTTTGTAGGGACATGGATGAAGCTGGAAACCATCATTCTCAGCAAACTATCACAAGGACAAAAAACCAAACACCGCATGTTCTCACTCATAGGTGGGAACTGAACAATGAGAACACATGGACACAGGAAGGGGAACATCACACACTGGGGCCTGTTGTGGGGTGGGGGTAGGGGGGAGGGTAGCATTTAGAGATATACCTAATGTTAAATGACGACTTAATGGGTGCAGCACACCAACATGGCACATGTATACATATGTAACTAACCTGCACGTTGTGCACATGTACCCTAAAACTTAAAGTATAAAAAAAAAAAAACTTGGCTACTGTCACTCCACCGTGTGTATTCATCTCCTAAGGGAGATGCTTACATTCAAAGGGGGTGCAATTATTCTCTCTCTCTCCCTCACAGAGTAGGAACCTGAGACACAGAAATGATCAGCGGGCTGCCTGAGATCACATGGCTAATGAGGGATGAATTGAACATTCTCAAATTCTCATTCACCACCAACTCCTCATGTCCTGTGCTGCCCCACCTCCCAGGTGGGACTTGCAGGTCTTTTAAGAACTTGCATTCATTGACACTATTTTGACGACAGTAAACTGGTAGCAAAATTAATGTGAGCACATTCAAATACAATTTATTTTTTAAGCAGCCTGGGAGAGTGGAAAAAGCACTCCTGGGCTCAGCCTCCATCACCTGCTAGCTGTGAGCTTCTGTACAATCTCTTCACTTTTTCCAATCCCCCCAATGTCCTTCCTTAGATTGAAATCGACTCTTTAGAATCAGCACATTCAAGGAGGTAAAGTCACAGCTTGTCTTGCAGCCCAAACCTCCCATCCAATAGGCCCATGGCAAAGAACCCACAGGCTGGGAGCTTCGCATCAGGCGTCCTTGTTTTTGTTTGAGCCTTTTCTTTCAAATATATGGATAATGACCACGTTTGGGGCTAAACATAAAGCATTCTATTCATTAGGACCATGTCACGGACTTGTGGCATGTGGGAAATATTACCATGGCTACGGAGGAGGTGCGTGTGGATGCTGGCAGCGGGGAGGGAGCCCATGCCTGCCTGGTTGCTGCTAAACAATAAGTCAATCTGTGTTTCACTGGGGTGTTAGTGTTCTGTTCCCTCTCACCTCCTGGAGACCAAGGATGTCTCCCTGACATCAAGCTGAGCAGTGGGAAGCTGAGATATGAGAGAAGAAAGGGCCTCCGGGGGACTGTGTGCAGGTGATGGCCCTGGAGCTTCCATTCAATTATTCCACCAGCATGCACCGAGTGACTGCCATGTGCAAAGCAAGCCAGCAGTAAGCTACATTCTATCAAGGAGACAATATGGAGAAACTCTGCAAGGAGCTTCCACACACCGGATGCCCTTTCATCACTCAAAGACATAGTTTCCATGCCAGTCTTAGGGCAGTAAGTGAAAGGCTACAATTAGAACAGACGAATCCCAAAACGCAGAGCCTCTGCTGTGCGCGAACCATGAGTCAGCACCTCCACGGTGCACTAAGCGTGAGCTGGCACCTCCACGGTGCACTAAGCGTGAGCTGGCACCTCCACGGTGCACTAACCGTGAGCTGGCACCTCCACGGTGCACTAAGCATGAGCTGGCACCTCCACGGTGCACCAACCGTGAGCTGGCACCTCCACGGAGCACTAACCATGTGTAGGCTTTGAACTAGTCTGTTCTGGAACCTTGCTTTGCTCAGGAGGTTTTTTCCTGTTCCTTCCCTGTGTCCAGTCCTCTTGAGAGAGGAAAACCAAACCATGCTGCCGCTATTCCCTTTCTTGATAACAATCTGAAATCATTCTGGCCAAACTGGGATGGGCACAGTGCTTTTCCACATTGACTTTTTTTCTGCTTCCCATGTTTAGGCTCAAATTTCTAAAACGGACCAGAGATGTAAAAGGGATATTCAAGTATAAAGTCCTGTATAAACGTAAGGCATAAATATTATGATCCTCATCACTTTTAGGAGAGTGAGGTAGAATGATGATTTTAAAAATTAGGAACAAAGTTACTTCTTTGATCTCTTTATTAGCCACTTCTAATAATCCCTGTCCCACTCATCCTAAAACCTCCAGCCCCCTCCAGTCTCCCATCCAGCCACACACAGAATTACCACAATCTAAATGCGCCCTTTGAATCAGACAATACTCCTATTGCTATTAATAATAATATATTGGTTAGTCACCATTATAAAGATTTTACAAAATACATTTATGGCATCACCAGCCAACACATAACAGGTTACTTTTATTAAGTTGCATTTGTTATCCCTGATCTTCACAGGATTCTTACAAGACAGGTATTAATATGCCCACTTTTATGGTTGGGGAAGGATGATTCACAGTTACGGAAACTTGCTCATACTCAGGAGGAAGCTAAGCCATCTTTCTGGCCCACTACCATTGTTTGATTTCACAGTGCTGGACAGCTGGTGTCACCCTCAGAGGCCATAGGTAACCACATCCCCAGATCCTTAACAGCCAGGCCCCCCGCCACCACATAACTTTGGGAAACACGGAAGCCCGGAATGCAGCCCCATGGGCTCTAATCCAGGTCAACTGGGTGGGACACCCCGCCCCCGCGTACAGGCACCCCCACCCCGCCCCTGCTACCTCTCTAGGTCTGAAAGCCCCAGCAATAAGTCTCATCGGACCCGAGCTGCGATTATTTATGCCTTCCTTTCATCTTTGCTTCGGTCTCTTGGTCAGGGTGATTTCTTCATCCTTTTTGTAGAAGGCTTCCCTTTGCATTAGCAGCTTTGCTATAGTTCTAGAATAAATGAGCACAGGAAGAAGACGCTGTCATACGGGACCGATCCGTGTCCACATGAAGTCATCAGATCGGTATGGGTGAGTGGCAGGCAAATCCGGTGTGGGGAAGCGGCAAAGCCTGAGGAGCCTGCACTTATCAAAGATTAAACACTTTCAGGTTCTTTAAAGGACAAACTCTGAGTTTTCCCAGCGTAGTATTTGAGCTATTTGAGGGTCTGAAAAGATATCACACAGGTTACCCTGCGTTTTGACAGCCTTTCCTTACTTTAATCCAAGCCTGTGGCAAACTGGTTGTAAACTATTACTGAAGAAATGGCTCTATATTTCTATTCTCTCTCTCTTTCTCCCTCTCTTCCCGTTTGAAATGAAAACACAGTTCTTTCATTAGCTCATTAAAAAATTTACTCCTTTGTGAATATTTTGAAATCACAGAGCAGATATATATTTTATATCAAAGACTCCAGTGAAATATTGATCACCTGTGTGTTTCACTCCCTAAATTCACCATAACTGTGCCTACGTGGCTTGTTTCAAATACACATCTTACCCTCCAGTTTGAAGTTTAAATCATTGTGGTAGGCGTTGTACAGAGGATTGCTTTTTTATTTTCTGTGCTTAAGTGCAGGGCAGCCAAAACAAGAACATAATTATATCGTCAGAGTCGATAAGCGCATCAAGCCTCTATCAGATCTTGCTGGGCTCAGCAACTGCCTCACAGGAAGTGCTGGGGAGCTCTTCCGCCACCAAATCCATTTGGCTCTATTTAGGAACTAAGTACAGGAAGGTAGTTATTGTACAAGATTAGTTTCCTGTAGGCCATAAATTGGCAGTAGCAGAAAAATACAGGATGAATTTATTAGCGTGCAAGGTCAGCTAGAAGGAAGACAAGGCTGAGCGATTGCGCTTGTTTTCTTTCATTTAGCCCACCTCCTGGACCTCAGGGCTGAAAAAGACCCTCTAACTACTTAATTACTTCTTAATAGTTTTAAGCAAATTCAAAAGGCCTGCGCGTTGCTAAGTGCCTGAGGTAAGAGCTGCCTGGGCTAGGTTAGGAATGCCTGTTTGGACTAGAGTTTCTGAAACCTGACTAGGCCCCTTATAATCTGAGGCTTTGTGAGTTTTCTGCGTTTTTTTTTTTTTTTTCCTGCCTTATTTGGTGTTGATTGGCCAAGCATTTACTTTGAAGCTAGAATTTTATACTTGGGAATAAAGGAGTAGCTTCTAATAGTGAAAATATAAAATCCATCAAGTCAAAAATATTGTTTCCAACCAGAGGTATGATAATGTGATAAACATCTCTGTAGATATTTGCTTTAAAGAGAACAAGGACAGATTGCATTTAAAAAAATTTTTTTTAAAGAATACCACTTCAAAAACACTCATTTAAAGGTAGCCCAAAAGGTGGAATGACCTCCTTACACAGACATTTCTACCTTCAAGGAGAAAACCTCGCTCAGTTACCTGAGCCTCTTTACCATGTTAGACACATGTAATTCACATTTTAATTATACTCAGCATCTGCAGTGAGTTATGGGAGACCCCTCCTTCTCCATCCCTGCTTCCACTGGGCCTGCTCACGCTGCCTCTCCTCACAGATACCCTGGTGGAGCATACAGGGCTGGATGCCTGAAAGTAGAAAGGCAGAGTCCTCTCTGTTCCTTCCTAGAAGACAACCCTGTTTTGGAATATGCTTTCCTGATTTCTTAGTAAACTGCAGCACTTTGATGCTGTAAAAAGCCTCATGATCAGCTAGCACCAGCTCCTGTCCTGCCATTTGCAAACAAAGGGCCCAGTTAACCTTCACTGGGTGAGGCCATCCTCCCCTGAGGGCAGCCCCGAGGGGTGAGAGGAGCCTGAGGGAGGAAGGCCCGTTCAGAGACAGACAGGGCTGCTGTTCCCGGAGGTCCAAGGGATGTCACTGCTTCTCTATTGTGGACATTTGTCCAAGCTGTACTGTCTTGATAAAAGAGTTTGAGAGCATTTCGAAAGCGCAGGTCTTAAAACAGATCTCCAGGTGAATTTCACAGCCCCCTTCCCCAGAGCACAGACGCAGAGTACCCCACACAGTGTTCAGGTGCCCAGCCTTGCTCTGGGGTAGGGTGGGGGCAGGCATTGCAACGCTCCGACATTTGCTGAACGACTGGGTCACAGTAGCTTGGCTGATTTTCTGTTCCTGTCACTCCCTGGAGATGTGGGTCTGAGGTGAGCTCTGGCACCAAGCCTACCTCTCTGGCATTGGCTAGAGCCTCCGTGTCAGGCCAGAGTCAACCTCTCGTAACCTTTCCAAAGCCAATTATCACAACACAGATTCAGAAATTAAGGGAGAAGTTCAAAGCCCAAATTGTGCCAGAAGGAGCCTTCGCAAGGCAGTCTGAGGCCAAGCAGTCGCAGGCAGTTTCTTCATTTACTCACCAGGGAAGCTGAAGCCCGGCATTCCTGAAACAAAGATAGCTTTTCTTTTCCTTCCCATGTTGTTCTGAAGTAGGTTTTAGCCAATCCCAAAAAATCTCAAATCAACAAATTTTTAGCCCTAAATAATGATGGGCCCAATTACCTGCTCTCTGCCAAGCATACGACAAAAAAAAAAAAAAAAAAAAAAAAAAAAAAAAAAAAAAAAAAACATAACACAATTCTTCACTGAATCTCCTGGATTTCTTAGTCCAGGCACCCTCAGAGACATATGCTTAGATCCTACGTCTGCTTCTATAGAAAATACAAAGGAACGTAGCTCTGGAAAGGAGGGAGCGTGAGATTCTGAGCCAGAAATGTTCCTGATAGACTTTGAAAATGATTTGGAAGTTCTTGCTGACTATCTCCCTGCTATGAAGCCGCCCCGAGTTAGATGTGAAGACTAAAGTGGAAGCCTTCAGCAGCCTGTCCTCACCAGCCTGCTCCTCTGTCTTCCACTCTACCCTGGGCTGCGACCCTGAGCAGAGCAGCCAGCTGCAGTGTTACTCCATTGCTGGAGGGCTCCTCTGTGAACCCACAGGAAGGTCCCTGCCTCACAGTGGGTGACGGTGCATCCTCCACCTGCTGAGTGGTGTGACCTCCACACCTGCTGGGACGCATGGTGGCTTGAACCTCACTGTCTCCACTTTGCCCAGCAGCAATCTTGCCTTTCTCCCCCCACCTCAAGACACCCACCACCTACCTCTGTGGCTTCACAGGGCAGATGCCCTGTTAAGTTGTGGTGCCTGTCCCCAGCACTGTTTAGGGTTTTTTTTGTTTTTTGTTTGTTTGTTTTTGTTGTTTTTTTTTTGACGGAGTCTCGCTCTGTCACCCAGGCTGGAGTGCAATGCCAAGATCTTGCTCACTGCAACATCCGCCTCCTGGGTTCAAGCGATTCACCTCCCTCAGCCTCCTAGTAGGTGGGACTACAGGTGCCCACCACCAAGCCCGGCTAATTTTTGTATTTTTAGTAGAGACGGGGTTTCACCATGTTGGCCAGACTGGTCTCGAACTCCTGGCCTCAAGTGATCCGCCTACCTCGGCCTCCCAAAGTGCTGAGATTACAGGCGTGAGCCACCGCTCCCAGCACATGTTATTAAAGTCATGGACACCACCAAGTGCTCAGCTTCAGAACAGCCATGACTGTAACTGTTAGACCCAGGAATGGGAAGAGGAAAAAGAGTCTTCAGGGCCACCAAGTTCTTTTGCTGCAAATCTTGAAAGGTTATCAGAAGCATAAAATTGATTATCTTCACCCACACCCAGCAACCACACACACGCACTCCTGACTTAGGGAAAGTTATATGCTGTCGAAGAACCAGCGGTAGCAAATGCTTTTCCTCACCAGTGAGTTCAGAAAATCCTGCATTTATCTGGCCCAAAGTCCGCATCTCAGATAAAGTCTGAACGTGATAACTGCAGACCAACAGCAGTCCTATCCCAAAGCTCAGTCAAAGCCACTCTCAAGCCAGAGAACAGACAGGACTCAGACAGGGTCAGAACACAACAGTGCAACATCACTGAGGAAGTAAACAAGTCACCAAAGAAACACCAGAGAAATTCGTGGACAATATTCCAGGCATTACCATGTTAGGGCTAGCATGTTAAAAGACAGCATATTGTATTGGTGTGTTTTTTTAAATTCTTACTGAAAAGTTAGAAAATGAGGAAACAAAATGTGGTATATATCTCTTTAATGGAATATTATTTAGTCATAAAAAAGAAATGAAGTGCTAGCACACACTACAACGTGCATGAACCTTTAAACATTACGTTAAGTGAAAGAAGCCAGACACAACATATAACGTATGATTCCATTTATATGAAATATCCAGAGTACCCAAGTCAATCATGACAGGAAGTGGACTAGTAGTTGTAAGGGACTAGGAGTCAAGAGAAATGGGGTGTCATGGCTATGGGGCTTCTCTTTGGGATGATAGAACATTCTGAAATTAGATGGTGAAGATGGTTGCCAACTCTGTGAATACACGAACAACTACTGAACTACACTCCTTTTAAAAGTTGGTATCATGATATGTGAATTACATCTTTATGGTGATAAAATAAATGAGGGGCGGTGGCAGAAAGAAACAGAAATGAATTCCCTTATCCAATATGTCTTCACATTGGCCTTCATGTTGAGCCACTTTTATGCAGCAATCTGAGACAAAGGCCACTAGGACTTGGATGGGTACCCAATGTTACAATGAAACCTTCAAGAGGACCTAGTCAACTCAGTTTCCTGGCTAGCTGACATGTCCCTCTTTGAGTTTTAGTTTTAATGAACCTGCTAATTCCAGTGGAACTAAGGCCTCTAGAAAGAACTGCCAACTTGGTCAAGACCTTAGTAGTCTGAATAACGTTGGCCTGGAAACCATGCACGTTTACCTATTTTGTAACAAAACCCCAACTCAATGAAATGTGTTTGTCTTTAACTAGTCTCAGGGGATTTACATTTTGCCATCTATAGGGCAGGGTTTCCTGGCCAACTTGAGCTGGATTTGCAGGCAAGCAGATTTCCCAACCTAGGTACTCTAGCTTTGTGTTCCCTTATGCACTTTTCCAATGACCGGATGATGGCAAGCCCCCTGGCTCAGATCCCCAAATTTCCACATCAGTAAATGTTGAGAAAGAAATTATATTTCTTAATTGCTTAGAAACCGAAGACATACAGGGGAAATGGCATCGTGTCCTACACTCGTGGATCTTGAAGACATGAAACAGACCTAATAAAATAAGAATATAAACAGACAACAGAGATTTCGTCTCTCCCAATCGTCAGGCATTTCAGTGGATCTGTGCTCCTTGTGAGCCGCTCTACGGTGGTTAAGTCAAAGAAAAAAAGCACACTTCCCAGGGCGACAACGGACTCTCTATTAGAACCTGTATAGTTTCCTAGTTTTCCCTTGTTTATACCTAGTTTCCCATTATTATCTACAAAGATGTTTGCCAGTTCCAGTCCTTAATGATCCATGCATACATTCCTCTCTGGGTTCTGACCTCTCTCCCTTCAGTCTCACCTCTGCATCCTGCCTAATTGTGGCTTATCCTTCAGCTTTGCCCTGTTGATTCTTGATGCCAATTCCTGGAGAGGCTAATCCTCAACTCTCTCATCCCTCAAAAGAAATAAACAAATGAATTCCTTCCACATTCTGCTGACCATAATCACTGAAGGATGTGCACAGCGAGGGCTAATTGCTTGCTGGCTGGCTGGTTGTTTGGTTGGTTGGTTGGTTTGTCTCTATCTCAGCAATCTCTGATTAATTCATCGTTCCCTCTTCTAAATTCTAGGACCTGGAAAAAAATGCCTGCCACATACGAGAAATTTAACAACTATATGCTAGATGAATGACGGTTAACAGAACTTTGTGGCTTAAATTTGAGACACAAAACTATGTTGTAGGCTCTACGGATCCTTAAATGTAAGAACTGGGTTTTTTGTTTATTTGACTTGGTTTTTGTCCCAACATCTCTACCCAAGCTCTATGCTTGGTGTGCCCAAGCATAGAGCTAGGAGACAGGACACTTGGGCTTGAATCCTGGCTGCCACAGGTCTTTTGATGACCTCAGATAGGGGATGCGTCCTCTCAGATGGACAGTCAGCTACATAGAAGCAGAAACTGACAAGGGACTCAAGGAGGAAGCTCCAACTTGAATTTCAGCCTAAAGGACAGTGCAATGAGTATCTCCTGGATTCCCAGTTTCTGGGACCATGTGTGCTCCCCACACTTCTTGGAAATCATCTGTTGATGAATCTGGCTTCTCCACTGGAGTATGAGCCCCTGATAATGAAGGCTGAGTCTTGTTTACCTCCAGGCCTGCACATAGTAGGCACATAATGAACAGCTGCAGACAAGCTGAACTTCAAACATCATTTGAAGGAGAGTAAAGTCTGAGTCAGATCTTTAGTATCAGTTGTTTCCTGTTAAAAATAACATCTTTTATTTGAAAAACTGTTTCAAGATTGTCTGCCAGGGTAAAAGTCAAGTCAAGTTCCTTGCTGTTCCCAGTGTAAGAATAACATGAGTAAAATTCACAGTATAACCCGCTGGGACTCTCAGAAATCTCCTTGTTCTTTCCTTAAGGCTCATGATGCCATAGTAAAGACTATGAACAACCAATCCATGAATTCTATTACAAAACTAAAAATAAACAGGGCAGTGCTGTGTAATTTTTTAAAGGCACTATGAGTATACCAGATAAATAGTCTTTGTTGGCAGTAGGAATAAAAACTTCCAATACTCCTGCAAAGTTATAAGCAAAATTTGTTAGCTTCATTTTTTTTATTTTGCAGAGCAATTCTATTATTATTGAATAGCATGTGATGTGGTTTGGCTCTGTGTCCCCACCTAAATCTCATCTCTAATTGTAATCCCCCTGTGTCAAGGGGGGGACATACCTGGTGGGAGGTGATTGGATCACAGAGGAGGTTTCCCACATGCTGTTCTCATGATAGTGAGTTCTCATGGTTTAAAAGTGGCAGTTTTCCCTGCACGCTCTCTCTCTCCTGCCGCCATGTAAGACTTGCCTTGCTTCCTCTTCATCTTCCACCGTGATTGTAAGTTTCCTGAGGCCTCCCCAGTCATGCAGAACTGTGAGTCAATTAAGCCTTCTTTCTTTATAAATTACCCAGTCTCAGGTAGTATCTTTCAAGCAGTGTGAACATGGGCAAATACATCACGCCATGATGATAATTACCGTTTTTAAGTGCTTATGCCTGTTAAGAGCTGTTTTACTCATATTACCTCAGTGGAACTCTCCCATTCCTCAGTAAGGTAGCCACTGGTATCACCTCTATTTGACAGGTGATGACACCTGTACACAGATCTGGTAAGTGTGAGGATTGAAATTTAACTCAGGCTGTCTTGTCCTAGCACTCCCACCTCCACATGAACCTCTTAGCACTGCCACAATAATCAAAGCACAGCTGTCAGAGATGGCAACCCAGGGCAAGATGATTTTTTTATTCTACATTTTGTATATTGAACCTTTAGAGCATTAAACAGTAAATGCCAGAGCCCAACTTATAAGGTCTATGAAAAGGTCAAAGTCTCCTTTTACTTCATCACCACTGGAGAAAAACCTAAACAATAATAGTAACCAAAGTCCATGTCTTCTTTTAGAAGACCAAAATTTTGAGTTCCTCTATTATGAGTCTTTGATGGAGACCTGCTTAATTTTCTTTCTGGGGATTTACAACAAATCTATTTTTTTTTAATTCTTCATTCTCTGTTTTTGTAATGGTTTTAAGGGATAATTACTATTTTTTTAAAAAAACTTAATGAGTTACAGAACAGTGATCTCTACTTAAAATTTTGGTACACTGCTTTCACTGGTAACAGTATGGGTTCGTGCTCCAACCCCAGCTCTGCCACTTACAGAACACTGGGGACCTGGGCCAAGTTATTCAACTTCTCTTTACCTCAGTGTTCTCTGTAAAATGGGAATAACAATAGAACTTCTGGTATTAGGCTGTTATGAGGATT
Organism: Homo sapiens; assembly: GCF_000001405.40. Classification (NCBI taxonomy): domain Eukaryota; kingdom Metazoa; phylum Chordata; class Mammalia; order Primates; family Hominidae; genus Homo; species Homo sapiens. The sequence continues at coordinate 109,675,124 of NC_000013.11, forward strand.
AAAAAAAATTCATATTTACAAATTGCTTAGAAGAGTGCCTGGCATATAATAAGTGGCTCTGAAGGTGTTTGTTGGATAAAAAACAACTTTTGTGGTAATTTTGGGCTGGAGGAAGGACAAACAAGCAAACGTGCTGAGCCGAGAAGACTCAGGCCGCACACCTCCCGTTGGTGGTGCACATTATAGATCCTGCCAGAACTGAAGAGAGAAGCTCACACAATAGGGTGAAAAGGCTGGGCTTGAAGTAAGGTTTTGCTAGGGAGAATCAGATTAGAACTGCATTTCAGAAAATCTGATCTGGCAGGGATGGATTGGAGAAACAAAAAACTGGAGGTAGAAAAGAATAGCCAGGAGTTAGAGGTACAACCCATCTGTGAATCAAGGGAACCCAAAGGCAGATGGGGTTGGAATGAGGGTGAAACAGAGAGAAGGGAATGGGAGGGTTGGGGGGAGGCACTGGGGTAACTCTCAGGCCGAGAATTGGGCAGCAAGGGCTCAAGGCTTCTGCAAGAAACAGGTAAAAGGGGAGCTCATTTGAAAGCAAGGTTGAGTTCAAATGCTTTGAATAGTTTATGTCAAAGGCAAGGGTGGGGGTTCAGGTGGAGATGGATACCGTGCAGTTGAAAACATGGACTAGGGTTCAGCAGTCAGAGGGATTAAACTGGGGATGTGGAAGTCGTTTGCCTAGAATGAAAGTTGACATCTTAGAATGGATGCAATTGGCTTAGATTGAGGAAAGACTAGATGAGAAAAGAGGGTTAAGGGAAAAGCCTGAGAGAACAACATTTAGGGGTTGGGAAGGAGAAAAAGAACCAGTGGAAGCAAGAGAGATGAAGCAAAAGAGCCTCAGGATGGAGCTTTCCGGAAATGGAGAGTTTCCACTGGGTCAGACTCTGCAGAAACTGCAGAGGCTAATAGATTAAGAAAGCCATCAGACTGGGCAGTAATGTGGTTCCTAGTGACACTCAGCAAGCAACGTCAGTCATTCAAGGAGATGGGGTGAGTAGATGATAAGAAAGTAGATAAATCCAAGCTTCCCAAACTGCAGAGGATAGGCCTATGGTTCCCAAACTACAGTGGATAGATCTATGGTTCCCAAATTACAGTACCTAGTTCTCATAGCTTTTTACGGGCACGCTTACTCCCACACCCATCTCACTGGCCATGATTTAATCAGAAGACCACAAATAAGTGTAAGCAAGACTAGGAGATGCAGCCTTTATCCCAGATGATGACGCACTCAGCTAAGCACTGAGAATTCTGCACCTAGGAAGGAAAACGGACATCTGGTAGACCTCAGCTTCCTCTGCCTCATGTTGGGACAGATTATTTATTAAGAAATCCAAAAGCTAGGCATGGTGGCTCACGCCTGTAATCCCAACACTTTGGGAGGCTGAGGCGGGCAGATCATTTGAAGTCAGGAGTTCAAGACCAGACTGGCCAACATGGCGAAACCCCGTTTCTACTAAAAACACACACAGAAAATTAGCTGGGTGTGGTGGCACATGGCTGTAATCCCAGCTACTCAGGAGGCTGAGGCAGGAGAATCGCTTGAGCCCAGAAGGCAGAGGTTGAAGTGAGCCGAGATCGCGCCACTGTACTCCAGCCCTGGCAACAGAACAAGGCTCAATCTCAAAAAAAAAAAAAAAAAATTCCAACCATCAATGGGCAGGAAGGGATAAGGGATTGGCTGTAAATTGGGGGATGGCAAAAATCAAAAGTTAGTCTTTTGTTTTCTTTTTGCTTTTTTATTGTTTTGTCTTTTCCTCATAATTTGGGATCTGTCTAAATATATAGGTAAAACAACAGAGAAACACAGCAGGGGTGCTACTGAGAAAGATTCCTAAAGAGATGGGAAGGAGAAACTCCAATCCAAATTCCATACATGCAAGGTTATTTTTTAAGTCTTGAGAACAGATAAAGTAAAAAGTGTTGCTTTGATAGACTAGTCAGAAATTTAAAGTTTCTATACATGCAGAATAATATATCATATTTGTTTCCTGACCCTTCTATAATAAAGTACCACAAACTAGAGGCTTAAATGACAGAAATGTATTGTCTCACAGTTCTAGAGGCTAGAAGTCTGAGATTCAGGTGTTGGATCTGCCAGACAGCATGGCTCACACCTGTAACTCCAGCACTTTGGGAGGCCAAGGCAAACAGATGGCTTGAGCTTAGGAGTTCAAGACCAACCTGGGCAACATAGAGAGACCGTGTCTCTACAAAAAATACAAAAATTAGCCAGGAATGTTGGGGAACACTTGTGGTCCCCACTACTCAGGAGGCTGAGGTGGAAGGATCCCTTGAGCCTGGGAGCCGGAGGCTGCAGCGAGACATGATTGCACCACTGCACTCCAGCTTGGGTGACAGAGCAAGACCTTGTCTCAAAAAAAAAAAAAAAAAGTCACCGGATCCTTCCAAGGGAAAATCTGTTCCCCGTGCTCTCCCAGTGTCTTCTGGCCTTGGCCTCCCTTGGCTTGTAGGTGGCTGTCCTCTCTCTGTGTGTCTTCACATCATCTTCTTCTACAGGTGTCTCTGTGTCCAAATTTTCCCGTTCTATAAAAACATCAGTAATATTCTACTAGAGGCACTCTAATGGCCTCACCTTAACCATCTGCAAAGACTCAACTTCTAAGCGAGGTCACACTGGTGAGTGAGCATGGAGAGTTAGGACTTCAGCATTTTGGGGGACACAATTCAACCCCTTAATTTAAGAACAGTTATGACAATGTTTCTATTTAAAAACAAATTCCATTGTTATATAATTTCCTACCTAATGCTATAAAATCCCCAATTTCATTCATTGAGGTTCTCTATAAAAATTTAAAATGTAATTAATACTTCTGTACTTCTGTCAAACATTTTATATATTTGCTTTGGAAAGTTTCCTTATCCATATACATCTGAACACAAATTGGCAACCAATTTTACTAAAGCCAATTTTACATAAGGACAGAGAAATTATGTTAAAATTCAAGGTCAACATTCAAATTCTGAATCTTAATCAAGAGTAATTATGAAAGCAAATGTTATGTATCACATGGAAAGCTGTATAGGAATGTACGGAGCAGCTTTATTCATCATCACCCAATGGCCCAATGGTGGAATCAGCCCAGGCATCCTTAACAGCTGATTGGTGAAATAAACCATGGTACCTCCCTACTGAGGACTGCCGTTCAGAAACGCAAAGGAACCAAGTACTAATACAACACGTTGAATGAATCTTCAGAAAATTATGCTGAGTGGAAAAATCTAATTCTCAAAGATGACATATGATTCTTTTTTTGTAACGTTTCTGAAATGACAAAGTTTTAGAAATGGAAGACAGATTACGGTACCCAGAAGTTAGGGATGGGGGAAGTGGGGTGAGAGGGAAGAGGCTATGGAATTGTTCAGTGTCTTGACTCTGGTAGTGAATATAAAAACTTACACAGGAGAGAAGTGGATAGAACTTAACACACACAGAGACACACACATACACATGCACACACGTGTGCACACAGGCACGTGTACACACATGCATGTGCACACATGTATACACATGCAGGCACACACTCGCAAATACACATGCATACACACACACACACACACACACACTACTGGCACTACTGAGGAAATCTGAATAAAATCAGTGGACTGTGTCAACGCCCATATCCTGGCTGTAATAGTTCCACCATGTTTTTGCAAAATATCACCATGGGGGCAAGTGGGTACCTCAAGTCTCTCTGTATTATTTCTTGCAACTGCAGGTGAATCTACAATTATCTAAATGAAAATAATTATCTAAATGAAAAGTCAATTATCTAAATGACTATTTTTGTAATGAAAAATAGTCATCTCGAGCCTTGGCTTTATGTATTATTAAACCTATTTATTTTGAAAACAATTTTTATACTTTTTAACTACAGAGCTGTGATGAAATGCAATACAAATATTATAAATATTATTTTTTTAACACATCAATTAGTCACCACAAAGACAAAAAGCAGAGTTAAAAGGAAAAGTCAAAGAGGAAATGCTATTCTAGGAAACTAAAATAGCAAAACAACATCCAGGTAGATTAGAGATGAGAAAGAAGACTAAAGAGAATCCACTCAGATAGATAGATAGATGATAGATAGATAGATAGATAGACAGACAGACAGATTAAATATTAGGTACTCTGGTCCTTGATTGAAAACTAAGATTCAAAGCCATTTATTGTGGGTTCATAAATCTCCCCTTTATAATAAAAACTCTACCTCATTATTCAATTGATTTCATTATTTCTAGCAGACTTATAAAGGCTAAAGAAAAAAGTAGCTAATGTTGAAAACCCACAAGCCTTATTTACAAATTACATTCCAAATAGAAATTCTTTTCCATTTATGCCTCTGAACAATTATCATATTAAATGCAAACTTTGCTCACCTCTCTCTGTATCTGAATTGTCACATTGTCTCAATCAGGTTCAGCCTGACCACCCTGCTTAAGATTGCCCTTAGCGCATCACCCATATCTTTGTTTTCCTGTGTGTACAATATTTATGATATTCTACCATACTGCATTATGTACTTATTATGTCTATAGTTTATTATCTGTCTTCTTCTTCCAGAATATAAGTTTAATAAGGCAGGGATTTTTTTTGAAGGGGCGGGGGAGGCATACGTTAATGTACCTGGAACATAGTAGGTGCATAATCAATATGTATTTGTTGAATGAATGAATTTTAGGCATTCTATGGTCCAATTTTCAGTGCAAACTTTTTAGGTAGAGACTAAAAAAGGAAATAAAACTGTGTGTAACTTCTTGTTGTTGTTGCCATTGTTGCACAGACATTGTTTTTATGGCATAAACACTCAGACTGAGGCAAGAACAAAGGAGTCGACCTTGCCATCCCTACAATAAAGTTCCTAAGCACCTATAATGGGAAAAACAGTGTGATAAATGTTGAAAAGTATTTTAAAAAACCAAGACATGGTCATGTTCTTGGCAGTTTACAGTCCAGAAGGAATGCCAAAACACATCCACAAATACCAACCCCACCAGCTATAAAATGATCAATACCATAAGAGAGATATAGGCAAATTCTACCAAAAAAAAAAAAAAAAAAAAAAGAGCTGACTCCTGAGTGGAGGGCATCTGGGACTGGATTTGAGGATGGAATAGCACTTCAGTTTATGGAGATAAGGTACTTTCTGGGAGGGAACCTTGTGGAGAAGCTGAAGCCTCAGCCCATATGGGGAGCTTTGATTGGCTTAGGAAGCAGAGATGGGACACGAAAGGGGAAGAGGTAATAACGGGTCCAGATGAGAAGGTCCAGGGACTAAATAAGGAATATCGTACATGGTGAAGAGCCAAGACGGTGTGCAGTTAACTAGAAAACACAGAATTACACAATAGTGCTAATTGTAACCTATGAACCATAGAGCCAAGGTTCAGCAATGGGGGCATGTGCCATTAGGGCCCAGAGCAGTGGTGCTGGTTGTCATGCTCAGAAGCAAGGCAAGGGTCTCCAAGCTACCTTCTCCAAGCAGAATTGTCTCCAGGTGTTTTATCAGCTCTTCCCCTGCCCTCATCAGACAAGGACATCAATGATGGTCTGTGTCGTGGAGACCCTACATACTTCCTGGATGTATTGGGGTTAGATGTGATGGGTATTAAGGGTGGAAAACAGAGTTATGTATTCACAACGGAGTTATGTATTCACATGAGATGTGTTTGCTGTAACTAACTGCACTTGGGTTCCATCGCAGTTCACCATCTCTGTTTATTTCCCGATAGAGTTCAAGGCTTAGGCTCAGTCTGCAAAGTAGAATCTACCTGGCTGTTCAGATGATGAGTAGCTGGGGCAAAACCTTGTCTTCTGGATACTTTACCAACTTTCCAGCCAGCTTCTCCACGAATCCCAACATTGCACACAAGTGAACATGTGTTTCCAAACACAAGGATGGACTGTGTTGACTGCCCATCCTCTCCAGCCACCTGTCCCTCATCCTGCACCAGGGCATGCTCTTGTGAAACAGCACACCAAGGTCAGGGGGCATGGCAGAGCTGTGAGCAGGACCAGTGGGAGCGCCACATTCCAGGCACAGGGCCTAAACAATGACATTGGCCACTTCGCCCACATCCTCCTTTTGGCTATGTGCGATGCAAAAACTTAAACAAGTTTCTGCTTTAAATTGTAAATGCAACAAATAAAAACATTTATACTAGGCTTGTATTCCAGAGTATTATTTTGTCATCTTTTTGTCAACATTTTAAGTAAATTTCAGTAACACATTTTTCCTTTTTTATAATCATGGCTGATTGCGTTTTTTTTGGGGGGGAGGCGGGAGACAGAGTTTTGACTCTTGTCACCGGGGCTGGAGTGCAATGGCACAGCCTTGATTCACTGCAACCTCCGCCTCCCGGGTTCAAGCAATTCTCCTGGCTCAGCCTCCCTAGTAGCTGGGATCATAAGCATGCACCACCACCCCCAGCTAATTTTATATTTTTAGTAGAGACAGCGTTTCACCACGTTAGCCAGGCTGGTCTTGAACTACTGACCTCAGGTGATCCACCCACCTCGGCCTCCCAAAGTGCTGAGATTACAGGTGTGAGCCACCGTACCTGGCCCTGATTGCTTTTTATACATAAAAACAGAAAATTTTTAAAATTAGATCAACATACAGAAAGAGCTTTAATTTGGAAAGAATTTCCAAATTGTTCTAATAACTCCTTGTATAACATGAAAACCAGATTTATACCATAACAACGTATGTATTTGTTCATTTTGGGGATTTTGGAAGGAAAGGGGCTTTTTCCATAATCGTATGTCATAATCATTGTCATCACCCACTGAACTAAACACTTACCATGCAATAGTTATTTCATGTCTTCCTCATAGATGTCCGGGACTGATGATTTATTCATCTTATTTTCCAGCTGATGGAAATGAAGTTTAGAGTGGCCAAACACTGCGATTACATAGCTGACAAACCTCAGGTTTATGATTCCAAATTCTATGCTTTTCCCCAAACACTGCATTCTTTGCACATAGCCAGTGCTGGTGTGTACACACACATACACATAAGCACAGAGCCTGCGAAGTTCTGAACACCAAGCGGTTCACTTTAGTGCCTCCTCCTTTTCTTCTACAAGTTACAAGCTCCCCCCAACGTTATTTCAAGCAGAGGGTACTTCAGAACTAAAACAGTATCTGACAGTGCCTGGCTCAAACACTTCCAATTCCTTCCTAGAGTAAGTAGGAAAGCACAGAAAAGGATAAAAACACAAGCACAGACAGGTGGACCTGTCGATCCACAAACCCCCTGCCAGACTCTGGGAGATGCTGGTGACAGGAAAGGACAGCAGACCTGGACCGGGAAACACAATCCACAGCCTTGTGCAGAGGCTGGAATGAAGTGCGCAGGCGGCTTGAGGGAGGAGCCCCACACAACTCTCCTTACCTAGGAGCTGGCTCACCTGACCCACTAGAGCACAGCAACTGGTTTTGTGAAAGAAAAAAAGAAAAGAAAAAACAGTGATAAATAACATAGGTTCAATTGTTTTGACAGTAAAACTCATTCCAAAATACAGCAGAGGCGTGTGTCCTCCACGTCTCGCCTTCCCCACAGAGTGAGCCCTTCATCTCTCCAAGGTCAGTCTGTTTTTAGCCCAACGTTGCTTGAACCTGTCATCTTCCCTCCAATTGCACCATCACTGTCAATGCTCCCACCATCACAGTGCTCCCACCATCATTAGCCCTCCCTTGGCTTCCTAGAAAGGTCACCCTGCTTTAATCTTGCACTATTTTAATGAGTTCTGCACTGAAATCAAGAGTGTCTTCACAAATACCAACCTGAGTCTCCTTTCCTCATGCTCCCATACTCATGAGGGGCTCCACCAATGCCAACACGTGCCTCCTTTCCCCATGCTCCCATACTCACGAGGTACAAAGCCCATGCTCACCTTTTTTACCTCCCTCCCTCCAGTCCACACCTGGCCATCTTGTCCTCCCCGAGCTTGGTTCAGCTAAATAGTCCCTGAATGCATCAAGTTTGTTCTCAGCCCCTCACTCATGAGCTTTCTGCTCCCTTTCTCTGCCTAGAATGTTCCCATTCCCTCGGTCCTCCTTCACTGGACTTACTCCTTTTCATCCTTTCAGATGTAGCTCCAGGAAAACCTCCCACCACCCGTAGGCAAAGTCAGAGTGCTTTCTCCACTGCAGTTCTGAAGACATTCCCCACACCCCATCACAAGCACAGTTGAGCTGTGATCAGGTGCTCATGTCTCCTCTACGGTAAACTCCTGGTGATGGCTTCGGTCATTCCTTCAAAAGCTTTTTATGAGCCCCTATCCCACAGCCAGCACTCCCAACATACAGCAGTGAAAGCACAGGCTCTGTGACTTCGATGCTCGCAAATAGGCAATTGTATAAATAAACAAGATAATTGCTGAGAATGATGGATGCTTCACAACTGTAGCTTTTTCTTTTCTATCCCCCAAGATCCAACCCCATTTTTGACATTTAAAAAAAAATGCTCAATAAATGTGTTAGATGAATATAAAATGGCAAGTACCATCGTGATGACGGTAATAAAGTTTTGAGTGTAGAAAATGAGTGATAAACAGAAATACAGAGAGGAGGAGAAGGAGGAGATGAAGGATTAAGGAGAAATTTAACATTGAAGGTTTAGAGAAGGTTTTTTCTTGACTTTTTAAGACAGTGGCAAAAGGGTAGAAAACAGAGGGAAGATGACAGATTCGTTGATACATTGATAGGAAAAAAAGCAGTATTGAGTGCCTTCTTGAAAAGCAAAAGGAATAACTTCTCTGATATGAGCTTAAAACAGGTATGTGAACAGGTAGAAATGAGTTGGTAGAAAAGTAACCTGAAAGTTGAGGGGGTTTGTCCTGATGTATCTGTTTCCTTTAAAAAGTCAAAATCACAGTTGGGTGTTCAGTGTGGAGGGTGGGGAAGGGATAAGGTAGGAGTTGGGGGAAAATGAAAATGGTGAAAGTATGCAATGACCGTTGTAGGCAATGGGAAAGGCAGCTTTCTAGAAGCTGAAACAGGACACCCCTCCCCCCAGCCCCTGCCAGCAGCATCAATGCAGCCACATCCCTGGGTATAAACTCTGTGACTTCCCATGGAAGAGCTCTACAAGCTGAGGTGCAGAGAGGGAACACTCGCTACCAAGAAAAACTCAAAGCCTGACAGGTCTTTGGGTCATGAAAGCAAATAAACCACAACAGGAGTTCACGTCTTCAGAAAATGACTTGTGCTGGTGTCTAATGATGCCTGGGGCTGTGGGGTGGCAGGTGCAAGGTCAGAGCCAAAAATATAATGCAGTTTGGAAGTTTTGCTCCACAAAGCGAAGAAGAGTCATTAGTTTCAACTCCACCAAGTCAGGCAAACACAGTATATAAGATCATTTGACCCTGCTTCCAGAACGATTTGGCCTAACCCAGCAGCCTGCAGTTCTCCGACTTATCTCCACTGTATAAAATATTTCCTAATGTTTTATGACATAACTAATCTGCTAGCACTGGGCTTTGCTCACACACCCAGGATCAGGTCAATCCACCTGTGTAACAGGGCCCATTCCAGGACACACCTGTCATCGCCCCAAATGGTAACCCTCTTAGGCACCCCAAGAGGAAGTGAGGGATGGGACACATCTAGGTCAGACCTCAGCAGACATGATTAAAAAGAGATGTGTAGTTGGACAGACAGCTCGCACACTTTTGAAAATGGCACGCAGGAGAAACCACCTTCCCCTTGGCTTCCTCGCATTAGGTTTCACTGGATCTGAATAAATGTTACGTGGCTCTCTGTGGCCCAGCAAATACAAAGGCTGGAGCATTGTCTGTGCTGGCCTCAGTCACCGCCTCCCTTGGAAAAACCAAGTGTGAGGCAGAGACATTGCTCCTGTGGGAAAAGCAACTTGGCCCACAGTCAAGTCTAAGTTTGTAATTGGAGCAGGAAGGGGTGGGTGTGTTTTCAGCAGAGGCAGGTCAACTAGGGAAAAGGTGATGTTTACTTCGGGGCTGGGGAAAGCAGATTTGCTGCGTGGAAAGAGCTGAAATAGCAGCAAATGCCACCGTGCCCGTGCAAGCAGCTCCAGCGAAGAAAGACAGCTCTATCGTGTTTAGGCGAAAGGGGAAAGTTAGGCAACCGTTTGGAATTAAAAAAAATAAAATCCGGAGCCCACTAAGCCTGTGTCAACGGGCGAAAATGAAGTGAAGGGTTGAGAAAATGAACTGGGTATGGCAGCCCCAAGTCCACCATGGGACAGCCACCTAAGGCTGGACCCGGCCTCTGTGCAGGTTAGAAATGCGAAAACTCCACTCAGAATCAAGCTTGGAGCAAGCCTCACATGCCCAGCAGGGGAGAGGGTGGAAGGAGGAGTGGGAGGGAGGGAGAAAGGAAGGAAGAGGCTATGTGGATTTTTAAAAATCCAGATGCTAGTGTAGAAGGGATCATTGTGCTTTCTCCATTGATTTACTTATGCTTCTGGAATTTGCCATTCACTGCATAATTGCAACCGGAATGTTATGGTGCTCTTCATTAAAAATCTCTTGGAGCAAGTTGAGCCTTTATTGGAGGCTAAATATAAATGTTGTTGGACCAAAGGTACAGCGGTAAATCTGGACTTTTGTGTGTACAGTGTAATGTTGTGGCTGACATTTTGGGGTGTGACCACGTGGTCAAAATGAACTGAAGCACTGAAACATTATTTGGGACAATCAGATCAATGGAAAGAGCTGCTCTTCATCCCACAGGAGAAAACAAAGTCGGCTTAAGTAAAACCTACTCCTCCTTATTTTCTGTAGCACATTTATGTGCATAAATTGTCCTGAAATAAAGAACTCAAATCATATTTTTGATTGTCCCATAAAGCCAGATGTCTAAACAAGGGTTCTTAAAATTACTTAGGGAATGAAACATCAGAAAGTTACGAAACATGATAAAATATCAATGTTTACCTCTGTTTTTTGAACTAGGGTTATTTTAGCGATTAAAAGTATGGCAACATTAAAATCACGCAATACAAATTCACAACTATGAGCACAGCTGTCCATGAAAATCCAGCTGTCAGGCTAACTCAGGTAGCTATTTCCAAGGTACTCGGTTGAGAGTTTGGTACTTGTTCACTGTTTTTCTTATCAATTTAAGTGCTTTCCAGCAGAGAAGCAGTAGAATTTCCAAAGATTTAAGAAAAAGTTATTGGGGAACTTTTTAAATTGAAAAAAGCCTATCCCTTTTCTCAACCTTGTATGTGCACCTGGAAACGATCATTATCTCACTTTAATAGTAAAACCCCAGGTTCAGCCTCCAGAGTACACGTTTTCCACAGGAATCAAGTTGGAGAACCATCGTCCTGTGATGTTTTTCACTTCCCATGCTCTGTCTTAGACTATATTAGAAATGTATTTTTAGAATACAGATTTTCTGCTACAAGAATGAAGCCACTCTTATTTTTCTCTTTGCTCTGATTTCAGGATCTATTTTTATATTATTCTATGTACATTTTATAAGACACCAAAGATACCCTTTTGAAGAGGTATAAATAAGTTGCTTAAATACAACACAAACAAAAAACAAACACTAATTCACTCTAAACTCTGGAGTCTAGAAATTTAGCATTTAAAACTTCTATTTAGTCATTTATGTAATCATTCATTCAGTGAATAATTAAAGCAAACTAATTCTACTCCAAACATTGGTTCAGTCCTGGTTATTAAGCACATACCAAGGATGCTGGACATAGTAACTCACACCTGTAATTTCAGCATTTTGTGGGGCTCAGGTGGAAGGATCACTTAAGCCCAGGAGTTCAAGATCAACCTGAGCAGCACAGTGAGACCCAACAAAAAATTTAGAAATTGGAGCTGGGCACAGTGGCTCACGCCTGTAATCCCAGCACTTTGGGAAGCCGAGGCGGGCTGATCACCTGAGGTCAGAACTTAGAGACCAGCCTGGCCTATGTGGTGAAACCCTGTCTCTACTAAAAATACAAAAATCAGCCGGGTATGGTGGCATGCACCTGTAATCCCAGCTACTCAGGAGGCTGAGGCAGGAAAATCGCTTAAACCTGGGAGGTGCAATGAGCCAAGACTGCACCATTGCACTCCAGCCTGGGCAACGACAGTGAAACTCCGTCTCAAAAAAATAATAATAATAAATTAACCAGGCATTGTGGTGCCCACCTGCCAACCCAACTACTCGGAAGGCTGAGGTGGGAGGACCACTTAAGCCCAAGAGGCGGAGTCTGCAGTGAGCCGTGATGGCACCACTACACTCCAGCCTGGACAACCAGGGCAAGACTCTGACTCAAAAAGCAAGAACAAAAAAAAAAAACAGGTGCCTGGTCACAGAGAATTTACATTCTGGAAGGGATAAACAGGAGATAAACAATGCAATATGCATTTAATAAAATAAAATGTCAGATGCTAGTGTTATTGAAAACTGGCAGGATCAAGGGGACAGAAAGAAAAATTCTTCTTAGAGTGGTAAGGGATGGCCTTGCAGATAAAGTGACATTTAAACGGGAAACCGAAAGAAAAATTCAGGGCAAAGCACACAGCTATCTGGGACAAGAGCATTCCAGGAAGCAGGAAGAGGGACCAGCAGGTGCACCGGCTCTGGGCAGGGTTTGCTCTTTAACCCTCCTAGAACTAATTGGTCCACAAAGCCTTTGTACCTTTTACACATTTAAATAGCCTCCAAATGACTTCTTTTATGAGATAAGCACAAAGTCAAAGTCCTTTGGATTGAACATTTCTGTCTTTTCAAAATTCCAATATCACCTCTACCAGAAACTCCTGTTGGCTTGATCTCAGATGCAAGTTTCAAAGCATTCTCTTTATGGTTTCCACTAATTGTGCTCTTATTTACTTTCCCTGCACCAGGGACAAAGAAAGATGAGCTCCTGTGGTGTTGGAAATTCACTGTGACTTCGGGCAGAAGGCCTGCTTTGAGAACGTACCTAATTCCTGCCAAAGCTCATCCCTGTATTTCCTCAAAATTGTTGGCGGGTTTCTCATTTGACCGAGATTTCTTTGAAATCAACAGCCAGGAAAAACAAGTAAACAAGCAAGGGCAGCCTCCCAGGGTCACCCACACTTGGTGAACAGTAGCCAGGATGGGAGCACGCAGGCCGCGTTGTCCTCCGCAAAGGCCTGGGTTTCCATGGTGCTAGGTCTGCAAAGGGCAGTGTTCAAAATCAAGCCACTGCGTGGTGAAACTAGCACCGCAAAACCCCAAATGCTTTGGGTGTTGGTTTTACAAAGGATTTACACTATGTCGTGGGCATAGAGGTTCTACCTGATCACTTTTTGGAATAACTCCAGGATGCTTTCCATCTCTCACTACAAATCTCACATCACCTCTCTCCAGGCCTCAGCTGCTGTTTCTCCTAAAAATATGGCAGTGGGAGGGGATGGCTGAGCCCTCTGAAGTTTTACTAATATCAGGGCGCAAACACTTGCCTCGAAATGACTTCCTTCTCCTGTGCAATAACAAAATTAATAAAAGCTCGGTGGCCACTACCAGATAGTGACTTTTTCATAGAAATGTAGAGAACATCACCATAATCCTTGTCCAACTGTGATAACTCCAACATTTATATTAAGTTAAGTGATTGAGGTCTGCAGTCTTTGCTTGCCATAGTCAACTGTACAGCAATATATTTTATTTCCTAATCATGCCCCCAGAAACCCCTGTCTGGAATATGCTATTGGACAGAGGACATAATATGCAAATACATCTTATCCATCATAAAACCAAAGCTAAGGCTGGAAGCAAAAAGGACATTTGTTTGCAACTCAGCTCTTCTCTTCAGACTCCCCATTTCCCAGCTCATGTTCCTCTGAGTGCAGCGTCTGCATCTCACCATCAGAGGGAAAACCTCCACGCAGCAGTGTCTTTAACTGTTTGACTTCATTGCTTTTCAAAATTTTTCTTAAATCATTGAAAATATCTTAGAAGTCACAGTAAGAGGTAGAATGGGCTTCCATAGCATCTAATGTTTTAATTCTTTAAAAACTATCTGAGGCGAATGTGGCAAAATGCTAAGATACAGCAAAGCTGAGAGGTGAGGACTTGAGTGTTCCTTAGTCTGTCTTTTCGCATGCATATATTTAACAATAAATACCCAATAGTAATAGATATTTACTAATGAAATGCATTAGTGAAAACATCCCTGGATGTTGTGACTTCAACTAATTGATAGAGCTAAATATATCTGCATACTGTTTTCATGTACAGCATTTGCAATTCATGTTTAGACTTCCTCCCTCCTCTCCCCAGAAGTTTCCAAAAGGCAGGCCACGTAATTGCTTTACATTATGGTATCTATTTTTTGTTAATTGATGTCTTCTTGTGGCAGGACCTTTCTTCCCGCTATCCTGAGACTCAGCAGCTGCCTGTGGGCATGTAACCCAGTGGAGGCCATCAGCTGGTGTGGTCCCCAGTCTCAGTGAGCAAGGGCTGCCTGCAGCCTGGGGTCCATGGGCTAAGGCCCTTAGCTGATTGCACACAGACTCACCAGGGCTTAGACACAAAGGAGATGGATGCTGAATATTTCACCTGAGTGTCACCTGCTTTCTGTTTTCTTTTTGAACTGCCCTAGAAATCCCTCCTCAAGAAAATTCATCAAACGAAACCAAAGCAGGGTATTTCTGTCGTCTCTTCTGCTTAGTACTGTCCTCTTTACAAATTGTTAGTTGTCTCAACATTACATATGAGTCTACTTTAGGGCTGTGAAGTATATTATTCAACATTGATTTTTCCTTCCTTCAGCACTGGCGACCCTGGATCACTGGCCACTGTTTAAATCACCCTGTGCTGGCTTCTTCTGAGCCCGTTAGCACCATGTGGTAGCCCCAGTGCCGATGGCATCCCAGCCTGCATCCAGGTCAGAGGAGGCGCATGCTTCCGTCACGCACGGGCACACTCCTCCACGAAGAACCCCAGTTCACCGGGGCTGCCCTCATGCCATAAAAACAGAGGCACTGCCGGCCGGGCATGGTGGCTCACGCCTGTAATCCCAGCACTTTGGGAGGCTGAGGCGGGTGGATCACCAGCCAGGAGGTCGGGAGATCGAGACCATCCCTGGCTAAAATGTGAAACCCCGTCTCTACTAAAAATACAAAAAATTAGCCGGGCGTGGTGGCACATGTCTGTAGTCCCAGCTACTCAGGAGTCTGAGGCAGAAGAATGGCATGAACCCGGGAGACGGAGCTTGCAGTGAGCCGAGATCGTGACACTGCACTCCAACCTGGGTGACAGAGTGAGACTCCATCTCAAAACAAAAACAAACAAACAAAAAATACGAAGGCACTGCCATTAGGACAGAGTCAGAGAGAGCCACACACCTGACATGTGGCCTCTTAAGAGGACAGAGACGTGCTCTGCTGGAAGAAGGAAAACGTTAGAAGAGGTCAGTTGCCTTGCCTGGCCACATCAGTCCAGTGTGGACTGATATATATCTTATATTCCAATTTCTTTACTTTTCAAACATGCTTTTAGCCCAGCACAGAACTGTGTGTCTCTCTTTACGGCAGGGAGGGGAAAGTGCAAAGATGAGATCAAAATCAAACATTTCAAGATTGCGAGGAAGAGTTGGAAATTGGTACTTTTCACCCTTCTCTTCCCCTAAAGTCATTCTCACCTTTCCCTCAGCTCACAGGCGAAAGGAGGGTACCTGACAATCCCCTCAAGGGGAGGTTCAGCAGATACAAATGAGGACTGAACAAAATATTAGAACAGTTCAAAGAAAAGGTGACTGCAAGTTGGAAATCATAAACATCACGTGTTCATACATTACATACTCATGCACCAATATTTGCTTTAAGGATAAAGGCTTTTCTTAAAAATGGATCAGGGCCGGGCATGGTGGCTCACGCCTGTAATCTCAGCACTTAGGGAGGCCAAGATGGGTGGATCACCTGAGGTCAGGAGTTCAAGACCAGCCTTGCCAACATGGTGAGACCCCATCTCTACTAAAAATACAAAAATTAGCCGGGTGTGGTGGTGCATACCTGTAATCCCAGCCACTTGGGAAGCTGAGGCAGGAGAATTGCTTGAACCCAGGAGGTGGAGGTTGCAGTGAGCCAAGATCATGCCACTGCACTCCAGCCTGGGCAACAGAAATGGATCAGTCGATTAGAGTTCGGCACTTATTATTATTATTATTATTTGGCATACATAACACTGAAAGTGTCTATTCCTAAATTCTAGTTGAGATGTCTTTCAGTAACTTAGGAAGCCATTGGGAAACAATCTGAATGCAAACTTTTTCTAGAGTTTTTGTTTGCCAATTTTTCACAATCATCACATCTAGGTATAACTTAACAGAGAAAAGTTTGTGACTCGACTATACTCTTTCCAAAGTTTTAACTTTACAAAAAACAGCTTGATTTTCCCCTAATAGTTCTTTATTATGTATGCATCCCATATATGTTTATATATGTTCAAGTGTACAACAAAAATTCACAAAATACTATAAAGGATGTACCTTGTGATTTTCCATTCTAGCCCAAGGAAGTTGAGCCAGTTCTATTCTTTCAAATGCAGACCACGACCCATTAAATTGATTTAACAACCTGCAAATAGTCAGGCTCCCCAGCATGAAAGGCACTGCTTCAGTAGCTGTCTGTAAGCACCAAGCAGTGAGGGCAGAGAGGAGAACCCCTGAGCACCTCCCCATACCACCGACTGCATCTCAGTGTAATGTCCCAATAGCTCAGAGGAAACATAGCAAATGCTTAAAGTATCAACACTACTGAAATCAATGATGTAATCTTTGAACTCACAGTTACACTTGTCTTTGTTTTGTGAAAGCATACAAATGTCTTGTTCTCCATCAAGACAGGAAAAGAGCACACAGACAGCTTCAGTGCCTGCTCCTCCCTGTGCTCAAGGTTCACTCCATTCTTCCAATTTTTTTCCTCTAAGTTCAGAGGCTGGCAAACTGCAGTCCATGGGCCAAGTCTGGCCAGTGCCTGTTTTTGTCAAATTGCGTCGGAACACAGCCACGCTGGATTTGTGTGTGTGTTGTCTGTGGTTGTTTTCAAGCTGCAGCGGCAGAGTTGTTTGATCGGAGAAGGTCTGCCACACAAAGCCCAAGACATTCACGAACTGGCCGAAAAGATGGCTCACCCCCCGCACTAAGTCATCTCCTAGCTCTGAGAAAATGGCGATCCTCTGAGAACTCAGAAGCTCTTTCCCCATATTAAATTATTTGCTCACAAACTTGTTTACTGGGATAAGAAGAAGGTGGTATTATTTCCATTGCCATTTATGCATCAGAGCAAACAAATGATCAAGTCAGACTTAGAGATAGGACATATCTTACAGGTTTGAAATGAACCCTTTCCACTGTCTTAGTTTACTTTGCTTTGTTTACCACAGTAACAGAGGAAAGAAATTTCAGGGCCCTGCAACCATGTTCATATTTTTTCATCTCATGTTTAGTTCTAAAGATATATGTAATATACGCATCACACTTTATACTGTAGTTATGTTTATATTAAAATACTTTAAATTGCTTACCTTCAAGTAAAACTTGTGGTCCCAGAAAACTCAGAGCTTCAAGAAACCAGTGACATTAAATAGAGCCATATTTCACCTCAAAGTGCCATACCGCTGTTTGAAAACATGGAAGAAGAAATGGACATCACCAGGAATTATGAGGACCACCTCATGCCCACTGAGGGTGTTTGGGGACAGCAGCTACCTGGGCTGGGATGAAGGGAATGGTCTTGCCTGGGGTACAGAAAATTTCTGTTAAAAGATAATTCATACACGATAAGTAAGCCAAGCAAAACTGGCCTGCTTTTATCCCAACAAGAGAGTCATTCCAAACACAGTTAGTGATGAAACAGTCCTACACACACACACACACACACACACACACACACACACACAATCATTTGTTGATGAAAGTTCTAAATAATTGCTCTTGTGACTGTTGAGTTTTCATTACATATATTTGGGTGTGTGTGTGTGCGTGCACGTGTGTGCGCGTGTGTGATGGGTTGAAATGCATCGCCCAAAAAGCTATGTTCAAGTCCTAACCCCTGGTACCTGTGAAGGTGACTTTATCTGGAAGTGGGGGGTCTTTGCAGAAGCAATCAAGTTAAGATGAAACCATACTGAAGTATGGTGGGTCCTTCATCCAAAGTGACTAGTGTCCTGATAAGAAGAGGGGAAGAAAACCAAGACAACACAAGAGAATGTGGAAGATGTGAACATGGAGCAGAGATCAGGCAATGTGTCTGAGAGCCAAGCAGTACCCCGATGGCCCCAGCCACCACCAGAAGCTGGAGAGAGGCAGGGGGCCGATTCCTTCTCCCAGCCTCCAAAGGAACCAGCCCTGCAGACCTCCAGCCTCGAGAACCATGAGGAATACATGTCTGTTATTTTAAGCCACACAGTTTGTGGTCATTTGTGACAGCAGTCTGGCGAAACTTATACACCTATGCAAGCTTCAATCAATTCATTTGTATCTTTATCACTTAATAAACATCATACTCTACAGGAAAGTTATTCCAGAAAACTCCAAGTTATTCAGCTGACCCTGGCACACAGGCACCCAGCCCCCCGCCTTCATGTGAACGGAAGGAGCTGGATGGAGTAAACTATTAACACTGGTTCCAGGTGCTTCTCCAACCCCGGGGATAATACATATTCTCGCACTTAAACCTTAGATTCTAAATTAAACGTGACAGGACAGTGCCTGTCAAAATAAAGGAACACAACTTGACTTATTTTAATTCAGTCATCAGAGGGGACCATTTGGAAGTTTGTGCTTAAAATCTAAAACAGTGCAACAGGGGACAAACTGCACAATGTAATATTTTTGTTTAGTAAATGCAAATGTCAGTTCATAAAACATTTTACTGAATCTGAAAAATTTTTTTAAAAATAGAAATGTATAATTTTAACTGATTTCTACTCATTTTAATATTAAAAGAAATATAAATATATAATATATATAAATATAAATTTATATATAATATATAATATATAATATATATTTAATATATAATATATATTATATATAATAGTTATATATAATATATAGTTATATATAATATATATTTCATATATAATATATAATATATAGTTATATATAATATATATTTCATATATAATATATAATATATATATATCATATATAAGTTATGTATAATATATATTTAATATACAATATATAATATATATATTTAATACATAATATATAGTTATATAATATATATATTTAATACATAATATATAGTTATATAATATATATTTAATATATATGTTATATATAACATATATTTAATATATAATATATAGTTATATATAACATATATTTAATATATAATATATATAAATATAAATAAATATAAATATATAAATATAAATATATATTATATAAATATAAATATATATTATATAAATATATATAATATAAATATAAATATATATTATATAATATATATTATATAAATATAAATATATATTATATAATATATATTATATAATATAAATATATATTATATAATATATATTATATAAATATAAATATATATTATATAATATATATTATATATTATATAATATATATTATATAAATATAAATATATATTATATAAATATATATTATATAAATATAAATATATATTATATAAATATATATTATATAAATATAAATATATATTATATAAATATAAATATATATTATATAAATATAAATATTATAATAAAATATTTAATAAATAATATTAAAGAAAGTCATTACTACTACTGAGTCTTACATGATCATTACTAAAAGTAATTTTGTTACGTGCAGGAGAGAAGTGTGGAAAATCATCTGTACTGTATATCACATGTTCTGACTACACCTTAGTGGGAGCAGCCACGCTGTGAGCACTCTCTCTTAGTTATTCAACTATGCAAACACATAGCAATCAAGTTAAGATGAAATCTTCACTAGGCTTTGAGGTTGCAGAGATGACACAAACATGCAGGCACAGAGTCCTGTTAAGCAACCTGTAGTGTGTGCGAACGACCAACATGTAAGTGATTATTCCGGCTCTGGCTCCCAAACCTGGCTGGGCCTCAGAGTCAACTATGAATCTTGTTTAAAAAATACAAGCATCCACTCTCAAAAATGGTTTCACAGGCTCTTATCAAGGTAAACATGCCCTTACCACATGACTCAACAATTCTGCTCCTGGGTATTTATCCCAGATAAATGAAAATATGTCTTCACACAAAAACCTGTACATGAATGTTTGTTGCAGCTCTGTTCATAATTGTCCCAAACTGGAAACAGCTAAAATGCCCCTCCAAAAGTGAGTGAATAATCAGCTGTGGCTCCTCCACACAATGGAATACAACCCAGCAAGGGACAAACATGAATCAACAACTTAGATGGATTTTACAGGCATTACGGTGAGCTAATGAAGCTGACCTCAATAGGTGAGGGCCGTATGATTGCACTGGTATGACAGCATTGGAAAGATACATCGGCAGTGATGCAGGACAGAATAGTGGGTGCTGGCGTCAGAATTCAGGAGGGTGAGCCTATAAAGGGATAGCCCCAAGGAGTTTTGGGGGTGAGGGAATTGTTTGTAACCTGATTGTGGTAGTGATCACGCAAATCTATATATGAGTCAAAATTGATAGACCTATGCACTAAAAAGAAAAAAGTCAATTTTACTGAATGGCTGAAGGGCCCATGCAGTAGTGCATAAAGACTCAAGAAGCAGGTGGCAGGGCTGTACAGAGCTAGAAAGAGGTTTCAAATGCATTCTGGAGGCAATAGGGAAACTAAAAATTTTTCCTCATGAGACAGACATGATTAGATCTGGGTTTTAGTAGGATCATTCTGTTGACAGATTGAAGATGGATTGGAGGTGGTTACATGGAAGAGAAGGAAGTCAATTAGTATTCCATGGCAAGAAAGATCAATTAAGGGCAACAGATAATGAATTCAGCTCTGTACATAGTGAGTTAGAGACACTCACAGGGCATTGAAGCAAAGATGTCCATGGGGGTGGAAGACAGGAGTCTGAAGCTCCGGAAAGAGCCCCAAGCTAATAGTAACAGTATGGTAGTTGAATGCATGTGTACAGATGAAGTTGTCTTGGATGAACTGTATGTAGGGTCAGGGAGGAAAAAAGCAGTTTGGGATTAGAGTCAAGGGGAACTGCATTATCTGGAAAAAAAGAAAAAAACATATAGAGAGAAAGAAGAAACTGATAATGTGTAGTCACAGAGGAGTGCTTCAGAAACTAAAGGAAGAAAGAAGAAAGGAGTCAACGGTTTCCACCCCTAGTGCATGAGTCTGGATGCTATCGTCTAACTGCACAGAATAAGCAACTGGGCTGTACACAGAATCACAAAGCCACAGGATTTGGCCACCAAAAGAGATCTATGTGATCGCCCAGTCCAAACCCTCATTCAATAGCTAAGGAAACTGAGGCCAAGGAAGACTAGCTGGTTTGTTTGAGGTAACACAGCTAATGCACGGTAAGGCTATGGCAGGCATCCAAACTGCCAGATTGTTGGAATAAAACAATTGAATTCTTCAACAAGTCTTCCATAAGAAAATTTAAATTTCAATCAACACATTATCCCCACCAGTTTCCCTTACATCCACTTATGAGAGAAAACCATCTTCTATCCCAACACAGAAAAGTAAGAACCAGGATGACTGGATTCATCCCATTTATCTACCTGTTGCTTACATCAGTAGATGCCAATCTACCTGATTAATCCATTTACTTTCCTCTTTCTGTCCAGTAGGAGAATACAAACAGATTTTGAACTACCCATATAGCTCCCCAAATTTGGCTCCTAGATAAATTTATCAGATATTTGTGGTGGAAATTCTATTTTTCCTCAGCCTTGACTTTTCTGTTTTCTATTGCAAAATATTTCTCACTTGCTACTCACCAGGCTATGGAGAGACTGTGAGGCACACAGGATTTCCTACAAAAGGGGCCACTTACCCAAACTTTCTAATGGCTTAACAACTAGAACATATAACTTTTTAAAAATCTTACACGTTTCAAAAATGTACAATTAATTCATTGTAAGACCAACATTATTCTTTCCAGAAGGGTTAAATGTCAAGCATTTCAGCTCCAAATTTTTGGCTCATTTGATTCTTTCTGAGTAAATCTCAGTTAATAAAAAAAATACACAATGCAAACATGCCAAAATTGCTTTCTGATTTAGAGATTCCTTAAGAATTTTATTTTGCATAGTAAATTTGGATGGAAATTTGTCTCTAAAAATATAGCAAGAAGATAAACTAGTCTAGAACTAAAGCTATAGACATTTAAATGAGTGTGATGCTGTGAAAATCTTTCTTGGATAAGAGAAGGAGTGTGAAAAGCAAACAAAGACGGCAGATCAATAACATGGGAACGAGAGAAAGATCTGGCGAGTTCTGAAGTAGCCACTGGAATGGGCAAGAGGGTTCATGAGCAAACTTGGGTCCTGGCGGAAGTGGTGTGTTAGCAGGACATTCATACGTGAGTAGGTGTCAGAGGCATAGAAGAGAAGTTCATTTCAGGATAAGAGAAGAATGGGCTGTGAAAACAAAAGGTATATTTTGGAAAGCTCAGTGACACACAGCTCATAAATAAGTGGAAGATGAGGCAGGACAGGGTGCAGACTTGTGTCATGTTGCCAGAATTTGGGTATGTCTTTAAATGCACTGAGAGTGTCTGAGGTTCTAGAGGAGCGGTATGATTCTACCTCAGCTTCTGGAAAGGGGTTCCAGCAACAGTGTCTTTGTAAAGAGACCATCACAAAAAGATCCAAGTGAAGGAAAATGGGGCCCGAGGCAGTCATGTGAGTGAGGAGAGTAGGAAAAGAAGGCAGAGAGAAGGATTTGGGAGATATTTCAGAGGGAGAAGCAAGAGGACGTGGTATAGGGGAAGGGTCAGACAGGTCCGTGCTAGGGATTGACGTCCCGCGGGAGAGGCTGACGTTCCTACCCGGCAGCTGGGACAGCTGCAGTTATCAGCAGCTCAAATGTGAAATACAGGAGAAAAGGCAGCAGGGAAGGAAGGCCCATCAGATTAGGGCACGGTGAGTTCTGATGACTGCCCAGATGTCCAGAGAGCCTTTGGAAATTCAGGCCTTGCCATTCATAGAATGACATCAAGATGTAGGTCTATCACTCGAAATCAGCAGGTTTGAAATTATCAGAGTGTAGGAGGTTTGTCTAGACATTTGCTTTAAGGCTTTGGCAGTGGAAGAAAAACCCAAAATACACTCAGGAGGAGAATATGGGGTAGGGAGACATTATTTTTTAATAACTAATTACAATCCCTGGCAAGAGTTTTGCTGGTAATTTTACTTCCTACTGTGGTTGCTATCCATGGATGTACTATACATATAAAAGAGATAATATCAAATAACTTGTTTCTGTGACATACTAAAAGAAGAAGTATGAAAAATATTCTACCTCATCTAAAATTCTGATACCTTCATATTTTGGAAAGGCACATACGTATTAAAGTATACAACTGTCAACAATTTGTAAATATTCCACACCAAGTGGCTGCTAGGCAAAGCCTTACCTTGTGTTGATATGACATCTTTTATTTCTTGAGTCCTATTGCAAAAATTTAAAAGATTTCTCGTTATATCTTTTTCATGTCGCTCACACTTTCCAATAAGTATGTGCCAAGCTTTTATTCTTCAAGGTCAACAAACCCTGGCTTAGCCATCATAATCAATCAAACTGCATTTTTACAAATGTAAGTTTCAGCCATCTGATAAAATGAGCAATTCTGCAATGTTTTGTGGTTTTTTTATTTCCGTTTGAAAACAACTCATTTTAGAGGAACTCTGTTCCCTGTGGTTCTTAGTCATCCTTATCCCAGAAAAGAGTAATTTTTCAGTGTCCATTCTCACTAACTCTGGAATATATTGTATGATTAGCTAACTTTGAACCTCAAATACTTACATTAAAAGTGCAGAAACCATGATGGTTTGAATAGTTTTGTTTTGTGATTTAGAATTCAAGTAGAGCTGGATAATAACTGACAACATAAAATGTGGAATCCACAAAGAGTCAGTATGATTCAAAGTTCACCATTCTAATTCAAATAAAATTTTAAGAATTAAAACTGATGTCCAGCCCAATATAGAAGCTCAAGCAAATTCAAATGGCTGATGGAGGAGCTGGCTTGGCTCCAATTTTTCTATTCCTCAAGTTACTTTTGAGAAAAATAATACATATAAATGAAAACATAACATTACTGGAAAAGAGAAAAATGAAAATAGCCATGGAATAGAAATGTTGAAAGCTTCTTCCCAAGCAAGCCTAGAAAAAGCTCTGAGAGCAAAGTCAAGGAGGCAAAGACCTTGCCATGAGTCAAACATTAGGGCGAGAGCTGGAACGGCTCACTACAGCTCCTACCACCAATCCCCCAAAATAGAGTCGAAAAATGACGGTCGGAGAAATTGTTTCTCCCAAAGACAAAGCCCAAAGACTAGTTTTTAAAGAAAATTAATTTGTCGGTGAACTTACAGGGCCTAAAAGAAGCACAGCAGATCTTCGCCCCGGCAAACCCACAGGGGCGCTGTGGAGTTTCTTCATTTTTGAGAGAAACACAACCTCTTGGACATCCATCAGCCCCTCCATGAAACGTCTGCTCTAGCAAAGCCACCGATCCAAGGCTCAAGAGCGCTACTTTACTTTCCACGAGGCCCTGGCTGGATGTTCAGCAGGTGCTCTGATAAAAAGCAGGCCCCGTATGAAAACCAGCAGGGAACAGAAAACGCAGCAGGGCTCTCCAATCTCATGCCAAGGTAGGTGAGGCTGTGCTGTCCCCAGCAGGCGCGTGCAGCGCTGCTAAGTGATGGGAATTTCAGAGCAAAAGAAAAGATGGGTTGTTTTTTGTTTTGTTTTGTTTTTGTTTGTTTTTTCTTTAAAGGTATATGTATTGGTTTTTCAAACAGTTACTAAGTTGTTAGGGCATGCATAATTATGTCGTTTGGCTCTAACTACTTATACACAGAACTGTTAAGAAGTTGCTCTGGCCTAGGGCCACTGTAAAAAAATTACTGAAACAATGATAGAGACTTGAACCAAGAAAGCGAGGAAGTCTCTGTGCTGTAGTTATCGGCTCTCAGGAAAGAAAAACCCTCCTGGCTTGGCAGCTGGCCCAGGAGGGGCGTGGGCAGGAGGAGGTCCCCAGGCTGCTGGATAGTTCTTCCTGCTGTTGGAGCCTCATCCACAGACACAGGCCTGTAGTTAGCCAGGCAGGGAGGAGGCTGAGCAGGAAACAGATGTGCCTGGCTGCAAAGGAAACCCACAAGCAATCAACCCCATCTTCATTCATAAAAAAGAACCAAATCAAGTGCCACCCAATACAGGAGGCAAATACCAGGGTGGAGGATAATGTGAACAAATAAAACAGCTCACCTGAGAGGAAATAGAAGTAATAATAATAATAAAAATCCAACTTGATACTGAGAGATTAGAGAGGAAATTGCACCCATAAAATTAGAATTAGCTACAATTAGGAGGAGGAGGAGGTAGGGAGGGTAAGGAACAGGGAATAAGAAGATAACAGCACTTACGAAAAAGGAAGAGGTATGGTAAATAAAATTTAACTGACAAAATGAAAATTAAATGGAACTGCCAAGCTGGCTGTCCAGAAGAGGGGCTGTTCCACCATGGAGACCAGGCAGCTAGAGGGTCGAGCCAAAGAAACCTCCCAGATCTAAAAGGAAAAATAAACAGACGAATGAATAAAAACCTAAAAGTCTTGCAAGATATATTCAGGAGGGTCAAACTAATAGAGACTTTTACAAATAGAGAACAAAAATATTAGAAAGAAATACTAGGAGAAATGATTGAAGCCTCTTTTCTGGAGCTGAAGTTCCTTATACAGTGATCCACTGAGGGCTGTGTGTCCACCCACAGGTCCCCTGATAAAACTTATAGACCCCAAAATAAAAGAAAAACTCTAAAAGCTCCCACAACACAGAAGGGGACAACATGCTGTGTAGGAACCAGTGGCTGCCATCAGAAGCTAAGAAGACGCACAAAGGTTGTGAAAAAGGTCCCGCAGATCTTGGCCTTAGGTCACGCTTCGAGTAGTGGGAGTTTTGGTGACAGATAGCGTTTCCCTTGCTACAGGTTTATTTATTCACCTTGTTTCAAAGAGAATAAAATATGCATAATTATAATACCATGTGCTGACGTGGAGGGACATCCATCACATGAAAAACAAGTTGCAAAACAAATGGATAATAGGATCCTACTGAGCTTAAATACACATACACAGGCACAACTAGACAAATAGGCAGATAGATAGATAATAGGTAGGTAGGTAGGTAGAGAGAGAGGAATTTAAAAATATCTAGAATACGTAGCAGACAGCTGAGATTGGGGAGTAGAGGAGGTGAAGATGTTTGCTTTTAATCTTCACCACTTGATACTCTCATTTTTTAACAGAGTATAAATTTCTTTTGAAATTAAAAAAATTATCGTACTTTTAGTGGAATAAAAGCAGCATCAGGCACATAGTAGGTAATTAATCAATATTTGTTAAATGAATGCGTGAATGCAAAATATATGCCTTTCTACCATCAGAAGTATAGCTCTATTCAAACTTTCTTCAGTATCTCCTGTAGCACTGACAAATTAAGTTTTCTGTCTCTTCTTAAGTCATATTTGGTAATATATTTTCCTAGAAATTCATTCATTTCAGCTAGATATCAAAATGGATTATCTCATGGCTGTGGACTGCAACCTCCTTTCCATATTGCTTGTTTTACATAAGAAACACATACATATTTTCTTTTTGAAACCCTGTTATAAAAGTACTCGACAAATTGTATTAGTCAGTTTTCACACTGCTGATAAAGACATACTGGAGACTGGGCAATTTACGGAAGAAAGAGATTTAATGGACTTACAGTTCCACACGGCTGGGGAGGCCTCACAATCATGGCGGAAGATAAAGAGGAGCAAGTCACACCTCGGATGGCAGCAGGCAGAGAGATCGATCTGGTGCAGGAGAACTCCTCTTTATAAAACCATCAGATCTTGTGAGACTTACTCACTATCACGAGAACAGCATGGGAAAGACCTGCCCCCATGATTCAATTACCTCCCACTGGGTCCCTCCCACAACATGTGGGAATTCAAGATGAGATTTGGGTGGGGACACAGCCAAACCATATCACAAATGGTAACTCAATGTAATTTTTTTAACAGCACTATGAGCCGTGGGAATCCAAGGCATGAGACAAGAAGGCTGGACAGCGTTCCTGGATCACACAGCTGAGTACCGGTGAAGTCAACCCAGTGTGCCTCGGCTAAGGGACTGCTCTCACCACTATGCCTCTCCCCAGTGTCCTGAATTCTAATGCTGAATATTTGTATGTTCTCTGCTTTTCTCTTAGCCTTCCAAAGATTTGTCATCAGTAGTATTTAATATCAAAGAATAAAGGTTTGAATTACTATATTTGTTATAGTTTTTCAGGTTCTAAGTCATTAATTTCTACTATATCTTCGTTTTCTTACTCATGCTTTTGTTGGGGCTTTTTAAATTATTTTTTGCTTCTGCAGTAACATGGATATTTCATTTGCAACTTTCTTATAAAAACCTTGAAAACTTACAAAGTTTTCTCCTAGCACAATGTGGGTTACATTCCATATATTATGGCATCTTCTAAACAATCTCTTTATTCAGTTTTAATTTTCTCTATCATTTTCTTTGAGTTAACAGCTCATGGATTATTCAGGGAGTATTTTTAGTTTCCACATGGTTTTAGATTTGGTGTTAAACTTTTTATTACTTAAATTCTATTGTTTATTGTCAAAATATGGCTTATGGGAATGCTTTGTATTGAGCTTTTTTTTGACACAGAAGCTATAATCAATGTTTAACTATACGATGCACATTTGAAGACATTTTCTTTAAAGAAATACTGAGTAAATAAAACATATTAATTATTCAGTTCTCTGTAAAGTTTATGTACATAACATAAAAAGTAGAGATATTGTTAAGTAGCCTGTTAAGACTGTGCTTTGCCAGTTTCTTATTGCATTTATAACAACTTTTATGTCTTTTGATGCTGTTATTTGGTTTTTAAACATCTCTGGCTACTACATTCTCATAATAAATTATACTTTAGAAAATTAATATAAAGTAGCCCTCGCTCATTCCTTATTTTCTCTCAAGTTCCACTTTGTATGATATTAATATTGCACTTTGGGGTTCATTTTATTTTTTGTCTTACATTTAAGAATTTACTCATCTATTTTCTATGTCATTTTGCTTCGTACACATGTATGTGTATATAAAATTTAATATGACAATATCTTTTGTAAAGGAAGTTTGACCCATTTATATTTACTGTATATTATCATGAGTGATCTTCTTGATAAGAGTTCTGAAACACACACACATATTACTTTTGGCATCATTCACTGCTATTAACACAGGTATATGACATTTTAAAAAATAAATCACCCTGATCTAACTTAAGGCTTCAAATCGTTCATTTATACATTTGCTCCAGGAATATTTTGTAAAGTCTCTATTACATCATGGAATTGTACTAGCCACTGAAAACCCTTTGGTGAAAAAGATACATATGAGTTGCCATCTTGAAGCTTACCTTCTAAAAATACTAACAGCAGGACAACAATGCAAATCTGTGTGCTTTCTATCCAAGGGCACTGTTCTCTCTGCTTTACTTACTTTATTAAATTTTCACAACTAAATGACTTTCTACCAATGAGCAAATTGAGAATCACAGAGTTTTAAAAACATACCTATTGTTATCTACTTTGCATGTGGTAGATCCAAGTTGCTAATGTATATCTGAACACAGAGCCGGTCACTATGAACATGCTACCCACCAACATGTGCTCTCTCTCTCTTCGGGCTCCAAGCTTTCCATAACGCTTCCAGGTTGCCAAACCGTCAATCCCAGCCACTTTGAAGACCCCTCCTAATGCTTCCCTGCCATTCACAACTACACCTTGTGGTGACTGAACAGCTGTTCTGTTTCGCTTCAGGCTGTTTTCCTGGGAACCACCAGCCATTCCTCGTGCCCACTGGGTCTTACTCTCACTGGCCCCATGGACCCCCTGAGGTTGTCAGTGACTTCTGTTGGGTTCCAGGTACAGGCACCCTTTGCCACAGAGATGACCTCTGGAATGTTCTCAGCCTCCTTCCATGCCCTCCATGTACCTGTGGGAATGTCTTGATGCTTTCCATGCCACAGTGACAAGGACAGCAAGCTCAGATCCTCACTCTACCTATTTGAGCTGTGCAGTCACTAGCACTGTGAGAAGACCACCCTGAAGTGCCGGAGCAGGGGCATCCTACAAGGCCGTATTTGTGCACTGCCCCTCTGCCCTTGACAGGCGACCCTCCATCTTTCTGGATTTTTGCCATGCACTCCCACCCTCACCCCACATCCTGCCCATCAACCTTGAGGAGAAGGCCCCACACTTGGCGTGGACAGGACCTGGCACTGTGCTGCTTTACACTCTGCTTTGCCTTCCCTGCCCCATGGTGTGGCACCCGACAGGCCATCCCTCTTCTCTTTCTGTTCCACCACACCTTCCAGACACAAAACTCTATGATCAATTACACTTTGCCTAGCTTTGAATATGCCAAAAAGGGAGCTTCCCAAACTGGGAAATATTTTTCTTTCTCTACAAAGCTTGGCCTTCGGGCCTCGTGTGTTTCTGTGAACTCAGATAGCTTCATTAGCATGCAGAACCTGCCCATCCTTCCCCGTATGAGTAAACCCGCTGTCTGCATCCTGGCAGGTCACCCTCCTCCCTGTAGGGCAGGAGGCTGCCCAGGTTGCGTAGGAGAAGCCCATATACCGGGAAATGCAAAGCATAAAATTACATCAGTGTATCTCAAAACTGTTTGCCCTATTTCGTAACAACTCGAGAAGTACATGGCACGGTGACATCACCAAAGAGAATATTTGCCTACTTTGAAACTGAAAAAAAAAGATTCCTGAAGGAGTAATGCTCGAGGTGAGTTTTGAAGAACCATAGGAAGCACCTGGTGGAAGAGGAAGTTAATTTTCTTTCCGGGCAAAATGAATGGTGTCTGCAAATAGCCAGAGGCCACAGGAGCATCTGTGTTTAAACAACTGAAGAAAGCCCACAGGGCTGCAGAACGGAGAGAGAACAAGAGGCATAAGGAGATGCCAGACAGTGGGCTTTGGCAGGGCAGGGAAGGCTTGCGTTTGTCAGGCGTGGCCATGTCTCCCTGCTCTAAAGGGAAGGAGAGGAAAAATGGGAGGGGCCGGCAGCGGATACTGTTGCGGCAGCTCTGGCACAGAGCACATAAGATTACAAAATCTGATGCCTGCTAGGGTTGGTTTCATGCCCCTTTCAGCTGACGCACTCATGATCCACAGGCTGAAGGAGGCAAGGGTTGTGAGCCCCAGGTGCCAGCTCTGCCCAAGGACCGAATCCCGGCTCCCTTCCTGCGTTACCCCACCTTCTTCCAAGCGGCCCCACCCTCAACTGTGGAATTTAATTCTCCCAGAAGGCCTGGCACGGTGGCTTACACCTGTAATCCCAGCACTTGGGGAGGCTGAGGCGGGCGGGTCACGAGGTCATGAGATTGCGACCGTCCTAGCCAACATGGTGAAACCCCGTCTCTACTAAAAATCCAAAAATTAGCTAGGTGTGGTGGCGCACGCCTGTAATCCCAGCTACTCAGGAGGCAGGAGAATCAGTTGAACCCGGGAGTTGGAGGTTACAGTGAGCTGAGATCGTGCCACTGCACTCCAGCCTGGGTGACAGAGTGAGACTCCATCTCAAAAAAAAAAAAAAAAATTCTCCCAGACATGCTCAGAGCCAAAGCAAGCAAAATGAGGGTCCTCCACTGAGTGATTCTCCTGCACCCTCCTTAGCTGTCCACCAACACTGCCTCCAGTTGTCCCAAGCCTGAAATGCACTTGAGAACACGTCCTCAAATCCAGTGGAAAAGTCTACATTATTTTGGGAGAACAGAGCATCAGACAGAGCTCCCAACCCCACCGCTTCCTGTCCTTTGCCTTGAGGACCTCCCTCAGGGTAGGGGGGCCTGTGGGCCAGGAGTGGGCAGCCCAGCCCCTTCGATTTCACAACTGCCTGGTTTCCTCTCTGGTGGAAATGCACAGGTGGTGACAAAACTGGATGAATTTCATCTTCTTTACTCTTGTTTTAGAGCTGTGAGTTCGAGTCAGTTACGGTGTGTGACTTACTAACCCATGTTTGCATCTGTGTGCTTCTGATCTTCACACACGCTGAGCACATTAGGGGCGCCTTCCTGTGGACCGGGCCCCACACTGGCAATGGGGCAGGCGCACAGTTCCTCCAAAGAACCTCACAGCTGTGCCTTGTCCTCTGAGAAAAGGTGTCAGCCAGTTCCACTGGACAGCCGGCACTGTCAGAAATCCTACCTTAGCAGCTGGACCAAGGTCTCACCGGAGAAGATGTGTCAATTCAATTTCAAGGTCCTTTTATACAATTTAATCAAAGGTCATCATTAGAAAAAAAAATCATGATTAAGAAACGAATAAAATTCAAGTCATACTGTTACCTCTGTTTTAAACAAAACAATGTTTCTTTACATATAAATTTTTATTTCAAAACATTTGATCCCAGGAAAGTCTTTCACAATAAGTGAGTTTTTAGCAGACCAGGAGAGTCATCAGTGGATAAGAGTTCTGGGGTGAAGGTTTTCACAAAGTGCCCTAGATTGTTGATGATATTTTAATCATCTATCCTTGGAATACAATGGACATAAAATCAAGAAGTGTACTGAACCTTGAATGAAACAGCAGAATGAACTCTGAGTCCCAGAAAACACCTAAGAACTAAGAATGCGTTTTTAATGCTCATGAAAAACAAATGGCAATATAGAATGTGGGACTAAAGAATGGTTACTTGAAGCCAGAAGTGGGTGTTCTGCAGGTGAAACCCAAGCGCGGCCCCTCCCCAAGGCTCCTTTCTGTGTTGTGAGTGCCCCACTCCCCAGGGACAGCACTTTGTTTTCTTTCAGCTTTTCTGACATCATATGATGCAACCTGATGCAAAGCAAAGCGATAGGCATCTTGTCACAGGAGAAATTCACAGAGAGGAGGGGGGCACGCTGCAGCTGGTGCGGAAATTCTCAAGAGAGGCCTGGGAGTGGAGCTGAGCCGTTGCAGAGGAAGGTGGAGAACCTCTTGAGAAGTTCATGGACACATAGCGTGGTTCAGAAGAAAAGTCAGGTTCCAGTGATTGAAGAAAAAAGCGAGACATTATTGCAGGCAAGGATCTCCATGTTGGGATACAAAGGCAATGCTGATTTCAGGATATCTGTGTACGTCTGTGTGTCATGGGAAGGGAGGCTGCAGTTGGACACGAATAGAACATCTGCTCAGGACGAGGACACGTGGGATCACATCCTCAGAGCCCCGTCGTCTTCAGAGCCCTTCTCTAGGCTGGAGGCAGTGAGGACAGGATGGGAGTGTCTCCTCCCTTCCCTGTTTCCCAGGGAGCATGGCCAGCTTGGTGACTGTCACAGCAGGTGAGCAGCAAACTCCCAGGCCAGCAGGGAGGGGCGACTGTGAGCAGAATGACAGCCACATGGTAGGTGTGTACTTTAGAGCAGGGGCCTCTCCTCGAGGTTACCCCAGCTCATGCCCCAGCAGATAGCTTGGTGGGAGTGCTGTGCCTGACCCTCCCATAACCTACGGAGCCCAGGTGGGGAGAGTCACTCTCCAGATCTTACATAAAAGATGTAGCACCTCACACACTGCTGTTACAGAGCAGATAATAAATATTCATGATATGCAATTGAATAGTTATTTAAAATGTTTATCTATGGATGAATGAATGAACTGAACAAAGAGCAAAATATACAGACAAGTAAGGTGTCACAAAGCTGGCTCTGAGTAACCAGCCTGTTATCAAATTCATTTGTACAGTAATAAAAGAAAACATATCCCACCAGCCATGTGCCAGGCACTGACATGGGAGCTTCACACATATGAAGGCGCAGAGCAATCGGCACAATCCTCTGCTTCATGGAAGAGGAAACAAAAGCCCCAAGAGGCTGGGCCGGGAGCCTGAGGCCCAGCGGGGCCAGCTTCGGGCCACCTCACTGTGTTTCAAGGCCCGCCGTCCATCACTGCGGCTGTCACAATCCCTGTCTTTTCTTGGTTGTCATATTTGCTTCTCACCTCATCATGTCTATTTTCCATGTGGTTCAAGCTTTTAGGTTACATGGCTAATAGGTTAACCCAAATAAACCACATTATGGCTTGTTTATTGCTCTCTGTACAGCACTACTAAGACGGGTGTTAAACCCAACTTCCTCCTCGTGAAAGAACACCTAAGCCTGGAAACTTCCCACTTCGCTGTTCATTATAAGGTTCGAAAAACACAAACTCCATGACAGTGCTTCAGAGGTGCTTTCCAGCAGCTCTAGGCACAAGGAGTACTATCATTTGAGGTTTTCAGGATTTTATGTTAGATGAAGCAGAGTTAGTAAAATCATTTTAAATTTTCTTCTAAAGAACTATCAAGATTGTAAGGACATTCAAAAACAAATTTTATGTACATAGTACTAATAACATCCACGTATTTCCAAACATCTAAATACTTGAAATTGTATGTAATCAGCAAGTATCATAGTATACCTTTATCATGACTGATAAAACCTTTGGAAGCTGAGTAAGTAATTTTCAAAAATTATTAGTTCCTGAAAGACCCTGAAATCTGTTTCATAAATTGGAAATGAAATCTAGCTATTAATTCAAGATCCTCTAGATAAATCATACCCTGGGCACCTTGAAAGAATCAAAGATTTTCAGTACTTTTTTCCACATACTCAAGGTATAATATTATAAGACAAGAAAGGAGATAGACTGAGGCTTCCATTTATCTACTACTCATTAATCATTTATTGAGCATCTACACTGGGTCAGATATTATGTTAGGTATTGTGGATACAAAGATGAATGAAGCAAACTTCCTGTCCACAACTCATTGTAACTAGAGAGAATAATTTTAGCAGGGGAGAAGTAGAATTGTAAGTTGGGAAGGCAGATTTGAACAACAGTGTGGTAAATCTCAAATATTAGACTAAAGGTTTTATCCTGTAATTATTGGAGAATAGGGAATTATTTGGAAAATAAAATTAACATAAAAGAAATAATTAAAAACATACTACCAGCGCCGGAAGTAGCTTTAGAGCAGGGGTCCGCGAGCTCCAGGGCATGGACTGGTACCAGGTCCATGGCCTGTTAGGAACTGGCTGCACCGCAGAAGATGAGCCACAAGCCACGGGGAGCATTACCACCTAAGCTCCGCCTCCTGTCAGATCAGCACTTGCATTAGATTCAGGAACATTGGAGCACAAACACTATTGTGACCTGTGCATGCGAGGGATCTAGGTTGTGCACTCCTTATGAGAATCTAATGCCTGATGATCTGTCACTGTCTCCCATCATCCCCAGATGGGACTGTCTAGTTGCAGGAAAACAAGCTCAGGGCTCCCACTGATTCTACATTACGGTGACTTGTATAATTATGTCATTATATATTACGATATAATAATAATAAAAATAAAGCACGCACTTGAATCATCCCAAAACCATCTCCCCACCCCCAGTGGTCTGTGGAACAGTTGTCTTCCATGAAACCAGTCCCTGGTGCCAAAAAGGTTAGGGACAGAATATCCAGCCTCTACTCTCATCCCCTCTGGACTGGAGCCACTTTATATCTAGAAAGGCGATTTATTTGTTTTGTTCTCTGCAGTGCCTGGTAGAAAGTAATCCACTCAATATATGTTTAATAAATAAATGAAAGAAACAGGAAAGTATAAACCCAAGTAACTGATTTAATGACTTGCCTGAGGTCACCCTGAAGTGGCCAAACCCCAGGTTCCCTGTTCAGCTATGACCAGAGCCCATTCTTCATTCATTGTTAAACATAAACTAGATGTTTTATCCACACAGAGATAGCTATCTAGAGATATGAACTTCCAGAAAGTTGACCGTATTTTTTGTTTACATGTGGATATCTGATATCTTGAAAATATACACATTTAGTCATTAAGTTTAAAATTAAAATATAGGCCTAAAATTTTTTGGAGCCATACTTCCAATAATAATATTATATGGATGCACAAGCTATATTACATATTAGGAAAAACAATAAAGCCCCAAACCTACAGATTTCTCTCTCTCACACACACACACACACACACACACACACACACACACACTGCTCACCAAGATTGTTGATTCTCCAGTTTTCCAAACACTTTGTTTCTCTACTGTAGCTCTAGGTGAAACAAGACTGATCCTGAGTTTATAGCTGCTGAAGCTGGGTGATGACTCCATGGCTTCTCATTAGACCATGGCCTCTTCATCTGTATATTTTTCAATTGCCCATTAAAAAATGTTTTTAAATTGAGAGCCAAAAAAGAGTATCCATTAACAAATAAATGTATCATTCAGTCGGCTTATTTAGCAGCAGTCAGAAGAAAACTCCTTCTGAACTGAGCAGGTCAGGCATCTATATAGAATTGTTTCTTGGCAGATGGCTGAGCTGTCCAGGAGTACCAAATGTAGGCACCTGCCCAAGGTAACTTAGGAGGTTTTCCCCTTAGAAGGGAGAGAGAGAGAGGAGGATGGAGAACGTCTCTGCAATCCCTTATATCTTATTGCATAACTTTCTGCTGAATGGAGAGCTGCCTGCTTGTTTCAGGGAGAATGTCATTTTTTTATACCCAAAACTTAAAAAACAATATTGTTATGCAGAAAAGATTTAAAAAATTTCTAGAGTTGTAAGTGAAAACTAAATTACTAGGAATCATTCATCAAATTTTACCAACTCTAGATTCTGATTTTATTTTTGTATGTGTGCCAAAATAGATGTTTACCCATGGGTACAGATCACAACCAATTTGCAAGAGCAAGTGGGAAGAAAGCTGACTACTCCTTCACCTCTGCTGCACTTCCTAAGTTTGACCATTGATATCTGAAGATAGAAGTCACATGTGCATGTGTGAATATAAAATATACCTTCCTCAATTAAATATACAAGACAAAGCCACTTTAGGAAGCATATTCTCAGATTGTTGGCTGCAGTCTTTGACCAACCCAAATAAAGATTAGATAGTTGTAACTGTAAGAGCTGAAGAAACTGAAAACTGAGCATATTTCCTGAAATTGTGAGCATAGTTAAGTGTCTTCACTTTTTCAGAAAAACTGAAATGGGATGAGGAGACAAAACCCCTCATAACCTAAAGCTCTGTTATT
Organism: Homo sapiens; assembly: GCF_000001405.40. Taxonomy (NCBI): domain Eukaryota; kingdom Metazoa; phylum Chordata; class Mammalia; order Primates; family Hominidae; genus Homo; species Homo sapiens. The sequence goes on from NC_000013.11 coordinate 109,711,410, forward strand.
TTTTTTTTTTCTTTTTTGGAGATGAAGTCTCATTCTGTCGCCCAGGCTGGAGTGCAGTGGCGCAATCTTGGCTCTCTGCAACTTCTGCCTCCCGGGTTCAAGCGATTCTCCTGCCTCAGCCTCCCAAGTAGCTGGGATTACAGGCGAGCGCCACCACACCAGCTAATTTTTGTATTTTCAGTAGAGACTGGGTTTCACCACGTTGTCCAGGATGGTCTTGATCTCCTGACATCGTGATCTGCCTGCCTCGGCCTCCCGAAGTGCTGGGCTTACAGGCATGAGCCACTGCACCGGGCCCTGAACTATATACATTTCTATCTGCACATCTAATGTCTAGTATCCGCTGACCACAGAATAAACTCAATAAATGTTTGCTTTTGAACATATAAATCATTGTTGTTATAACTCTAATTATATGAGAATAAATGGAAGATACTGGCATAATCTATATACATATTTACATATATAGGTATATGTCATCTATACATTGTTCATACAGATTTGAGCAGAAAACCTTAATGAGCGAACCCTGACACATGGTTGCTTCAGCTTTAAGTGTGTCCAAATGTCTAAGAAAATATGGAATAGAATTTGTAATAGGGTTTTAAGATCAATGCATAAAATATGTCACTATGTTTATGAAAGCATAGACCGCCTGAGCTGTAACAGGTACAGAGTTCTGGAAATATGAATTCTTCCTTTCACACACTATTAAGATGTCCTGCAGGAGTCGAATCGTTTTAATGTTTCTGTTCTGGATGAAATAAGCCACATTTACGCAGCTACAATCTCTAGCTAACACAGATGAGTAATAAGTTTTAGGCCGAAATGATTGTGATGTGATGCTTTCAAGTGAGGAAGTGCCGTCCAGAGTCACTGGCTCTCAGAATTGGAGGGAAATTCATGCAGTGGGGAAGCTCACAGAGGATCTCGCTAAAGACTGAGTTAAATGGCCTGGAACTCAACTTACAAGCAGGTTAAAAAATAACAACCTTCCTTCCTTGTCTAGCTCCTTTAAGTGAAGTATTTTCTATCTTGGAGGCCTCTTTTGAAATGCAATACTCCTGAGAGTGGTCACACCTTAAGTTATCAGCTAACACTTTCCGAGGGATTAGCAGACAGCCGGCAGAGAAAAAGAAATGGGATTTAGGCAAAATGCCTGAGGGCTGGAGGGGAGACACTGCCTGGAGAAAGGTTAACTAGTCTGTTGATTTGCTGATAGACAAATTTCACGTACTCCAGAGCATTTGGTCTACAGTGGAGACTCCCAAATTCTGGATTCTATAACACCACCAAAAAGCCTACAATTTCCCAGATTATCTTGCAAGCAACTTAAGTCTGCATGGAATACAAACAAAATAAACCCACTATTGGCCTTTGTATAATTGAAAATTATTAACTTTACTTAGAACATATTCAAATTATTTCTGAGGATTGTTTATATACATGAGATCAGACTTTTTAAATTATAAATGCATTTTAAGAAGGTAAAGGACACAGTAAAAATATAGCAAGTCTTAATAAGCCTACACAGTGAAAACTCATCAGATTCTTCTAGATTGCAACTAAGATACACTACAAAAAACCCCAGATGGGCCAGGCACGGTGGCTCACGCCTGTAATCTCAATACTTTGGGAGGCCGAGAAGGGCAGATCACAAGGTCGGGAGTTCGAGACCAGCCTGGCCAACATGGTGAAACCCTGTCTCTACTAAAAGAAACATTTCTGTTCCGTATGAAATAAACCACACTCACACAGCTACAATCTCTAGCTAACACATACAAAAATTAGTCGGGCATGGTGGCGGGCACCTGTAGTCCCAGCTACTCAGGAGGCTGAGGCAGGAGAATCTCTTGAACCCGGGAAGCGGAGGTTGCAGTGAGCTGAGATGGCGCCACTGCACTCCAGCCTGGGCGATGGTGTGAAGCTCCTTCTCAAAAAAAAAAAAAAAAAAAAAAACCCAGATGTGCCCTGCCTTAGGATTTTTTGACTTAACAATGGCACAAAAGCAACACACATCCAGTGGAAACTGTATTTCCAGAGCTGAAATAACCATTCCGTGTTTCATTTTCAAGAGGCTGTTCAGTCAATTATATGAGATATTCAACTCATTATTATAAAACAGGCTTTGTGTGAGGTGGTTTTGCCCAACTGTAGGCTAATGTTAAGTATTCCGAACACGTTTACGGTAGGCTAGGCTAAGCTATGACGTTTGGTAGGTGTATTCAATGCATTTTCGACTTACATTTTTAGTTTACAATGGGTTTATAGGAATGTGTATTAGTCCATTCTCATACTGCTATAAAGAAATACCTGAGACTGGATAATTTATAAACAAAAGAGGTTTAATTGACTCACAGTTCCACAGGCTCTCCAGGAAGCACGGCTCAGGAGGCCTCAGGAAACTTTCAATCATGTGCGGGCGAAGGGGAAGCAGGCACATGGCTGGAGCAGGAGGAAGAGAGTGAAGCGGGAGGTGCCACACACTTTTCAACAACCAGAACTCACTGTCACAAGAACAGCAAGGGGAAGATCCACCCCCATGATCCAATAGCCTCCCACCAGGCCCCTCTTCCAACAGTGGGGATTGCAATAAGATTTTGGCAGAGAGACAGACCCAAACCATACCAGATGTAACTGTATCATAAGTTGAGGGACATTGGTATATAGCTTATATAATAGAAAAAGAGAATTTCTCTTCAGTTTTAGGAATCTTTTTTTTCCCCAGGAGCCTATTTTTAATTGTTCTTACTACTCTGGGTATAGTATGTTACAGTCTTAGAGTATTTATGCTTTATCTTCAAATGTCAGCTTACACTGATCAATTTAGGGCAGAAGCCTGTTATAGTCCTTTCTTGGAACCACACCACATAGAAGAAATAATTTTTTTTTAACTTTTTTTTGTTTTATGCTTTTCTGATACTTTTTCCTACGGACTTCCTGGAGGCAACAAAGCTAAACAAGCTCTTCAAAGTTTAATCGACCTCTTCGGATCTATGACTGTATGGGTAGGCCCTAATGGACTTAAATATTATCAAAAGTTGCTGAGCACAGGCTTTGTAAGTGCACATTTCGTTAATATTGCCTCCACTTCTCCATTTATGATCATGGGGAACACACGCAGCACAGACAGAAGGTATCTCCCCACTCCATTTTTTTCATTGATTTGTATCTTCTTTTGCCATGAAACTTTTCACTATCACCAATAACAAAGAGCCAGACAGAGATGAATTTACATTCATTACCTTACCTTATTTTTAACCTTAGGCAACCATAATCGTGAGCAAGTGAAGGGTCAAAGCTATTAGTATTCCTAAATGAATAGTAGATTTATTTTGAAAGTGATCATTAAGAGGAAATGTGCTTATTCCTTAGTGCTTTAATTTGGCAAACACATTTGAGTTTCTCTTGTGCCCCAGGTACCGTGCTAGGCTCTGGGTGTCAAAGGATAAGGACAAACACAGCTGTTGCCTCTCAAGATCTAGCATAAGGCAACAATTAGTAAACTGGGTCTAATTTGTGAAATAGCAGTATGTGAATTCTGTTGAAAAATACTGAACTCATGCCCAAAAGACTCGGTTTATCATCCCAGCGTTGACATTTACTAGTTATGTGACCTTGAACAAGTCACTGTGTCTCCCTCACCTCTAGGTTTTTCTCCCAAAAAGTGTGACATTTGACCACAACTAGATGATTCTTTTCTGTTCCAAAGCTGTATGATTCCCTGGTCATAGTCAAGCCCATCGATGGGGAAAACTAGAATAGAACTTATTGGATGGGTACCATGCATGCCATCATTTAACGTCGCCTTGTCCTCTGGGGGCCGTTATCCCACAGGACTCCATGGCTTCCTGCCTCTCTACCATCTCCTCTCTCTGTGGAAGCAAGGGTCGGCTCACAGTTTGGAATCTCAATTGTTGAGAAAGTGTAATTGTTTACAAGGACAGACCAATGAGTAAAACCAGCCATATTTTCACACACACAAAAAGGGGCGATAGATCTCAACTTCTCATTATGGATAAAAATTTCAAAATATCAAGTCAGGTGAAGGACATGTGCAGCGAGGACTGGTGTGACCTCAGGACTCAGCATTTATTTTACCTCATTAGTGTAAGAATGTCACAAGATTGACAGGAACAGCAATTCAATCAATCGGCTTCAATCAAGGCTACCAAAAATGAGAGCCAATCTCTTGCCATTAGATTTTGGGCTTCAAACAATTTTAGGAAGAAGTTCTATTCGCTAGCTGTATAAACACTAGAAATTTATTGCCTGAAATCTTTGTATGAAAGATTATTCCCTGAAGTCTTTGTCTGAAAGTTTTGCGTGTAAGATTAGCAAATCTTTTTAAAAAGCAATAAATATCAAACAATAAGAAAAAGGAAGTTGAGAAACTCAAAGACCACAGTTTAATCTGGAATGGATCCACTGGAAAAGTATATTGTTAACATGAGTTCATCTAAACGTACACGCTAACTTGTAGCAACTGAGTTTCAAAGCCCCTCCCTCATTCTGCCCCCACTGGCAAACAATTTCTAGGTCTGCTAGGAGAAAAAGATCTTCAATTGCCTCAGTGAGAGGATGGGGGCAGAAAGGAGCCTCAAATCTTCCATGTCCACATAAACCCTTAGTCATCTGTCACATGTGAAATCCCTGCTGTCAGCCCTGACCCACATGGCAGGAGCCAGGCTCATTCTGAAGCAACACTTGTTGCTGTTGCAAGGAGTGACCTGTTCATATAAAAGCCTACTTCACAGTGCCAGGCTAACTTTTGTTCAGGGACAAAATCCTCTGTTGCCAGAAACAACAACAGCATTTGCTCCTCAGGTCAACGTAATACCTCACTAATGAGATTACCTTCTTCATTCTAACAGATTTTTCTGCTATGTGGAGACCAAGAATATGAGAATGCCTACTTAATTTAATGTCCTCTGAATATTATACTGATTTGAAAAAAAAAATACTGTTGTTTCAATGTTGCTGTTGACATTTGAGGCAGAGGGACAGTTTACAATGGGACACGCAGGACTCACATCCAGTGAGTAGGAAGGACTTTTTCAGCCTGGGGGAAAATAAGACAAAGTGATGGTTAAAGGTGATGGCTCCAGAGTCACAGGTGTGGGTTTGAACCCTGGGTTTCTCATCTACTAGCTGTCTGGTCTTGGATAAGTTTCTTAATCTTTAAATCTTAGTAGTGCTGGTAATATGAAGGTTTGGGTGAGATTTAAGTAAGATTCTGCACTAAAAGCAATTTTCACCATACCTTGCACGTAGCGAAGGCCTACATTTCCATATATATATTATTCCTATTTGTATTACATTACCATGGCTGTCACAACAAAGTACCCCAGACTTGGTGGCTTAAACAATAGAAATTGATTATCTCACGGTTCTGTGGGCCAGAAGTCCAAGATCCAGGTGGTGGCAGGGCTGGCTTCTTCTGACATCTGTGAGGGAGGCTCTGCTCCAGGCCTCTCCCTGGCTGTAGACGCCTATCTTCTCCCTGAGTCTCTCCACATCGTCTTTACTCTATGCTTGTGTCTATGTGCAACTTTCCCCTTTCGCTAAGGACAGCAACCATAGTGACCTTGATTACCTCTCTAAAGACCCTGTCCCCCAAATATAATCATATTATGTGATGCTGGGAGTTTCAAATTTCATCACATAAATTTGGAGGAGACACAATTCAATCCATACTGCTGTTGATATAGGTAATAATAACAACTATTATTAGTATCATGTTTAGAGCAGAGGTCATCCACTCCAGAAAACTGCATGTCTTTGAAATGGGAAATTCTTTCCTAGTGCCTCGAACGTAATAAATGACTTGAAGTGGGTAAGAAGAGGCTACAAGAATGAATGAGTGAGTGAGTGAACGTAATAAATGACTTGAAGTGGGTAAGAGGCTACAAGAATGAATGAGTGAGTGAGTGAGTGAATGTAATAAATGACTTGAAGTGGGTAAGAGGCTACAAGAATGAATGAGTGAGTGAGTGAGTGAATGTAATAAATGACTTGAAGTGGGTAAGAGGCTACAAGAATGAATGAGTGAGTGAGTGAGTGAATGTAATAAATGACTTGAAGTGGGTAAGAGGCTACAAGAATGAATGAGTGAGTGAGTGAGTGAATGTAATAAATGACTTGAAGTGGGTAAGAGGCTACAAGAGTGAATGAGTGAATGAGTGAGTGAATGGTGGGCAGGATATGAGGAGCCTTAAGGATTTACCTCCAGCAGGGATGGGGCAAGTGACCAATGGAGCTCCAAGCATCTGCGGGAGGTAAACAGCAGATGTATAAAAGGAGCCTTCTCGAGAGCCTGCAGGTCTAAGACCACAGCGATAGGAGGACAGGGCAAGAACCTCTGTTCCAGAAGGATTGGGACCAGGAAGAAAGCTGCAGAGAGGCAGGCTCGTGCTCACCTGCAGTCATGCCCATCTTGCCCACCTGCTGTCTGCGACTAGGCCAACTCCTAAACCTCTCTGAAGCTTAAGACCTGCCACAGTGGGCTGTGCCAGAGTTGGAGTGGAGACTCACTGAGATCATCTAGAAGAGGCACCTGCCTCAAAGCCTTCAGGTAATACCCACACATAAACCTTAGGGTTTTTCCTACCTGCAATTCTGTGTTCTGGCCCCTTCACGATGACCCAGCCAGCCTAGGCATCAAGCCACGGAAAGTCCTAGAGGAAGTGGGACCTGGCTGAAGTGGGTATAAGCATGTAGAGACCAAAGCTGGCAGAAGATGACCCCGGCTATCCATCCCCATATTTTGGGAACTTCCTGGAGGAAGCCATCCTACGAGGTGCCCCAGAGGAAAGGAACCTATTTTTAATGAGGTTACATTGTAACTAAATTGATAGCAGGGAGGGAGAAACAGAAGCTTCTGAGGGAGTATAGGTGTGGTGGATATTTGATAATACTCTGAAATATTTTTGGTCTTATTTTATTTGCTTTTACTACAAGAAAAGAAAATCTGCTTTATTTAGAAAGCCATTTAGAAGTCCTTACTGGCTAATAAATACATAATAAGTAAATATTTATTATACTTATTATAATATATATAATACTATATAATATATAAATACTATATAATATAGTAATATATATTAAGTAATATTGTGACTTCTTAGGAAAGTCACATTATACATTTATTAGCCAACTTAAACTCAAAAATGAGAAATAAGAATGTCCTTTTATAAAATAAACAAGACACACAAAAAAATCTAACTCCAAATATCTAATTCAAGCTGCTGATTGAAAGTTGGATTGTAAGTGGCCCGTGGGCAACTTCTACTTCCTACTACAAAATATGTTGTTTTCCTTGCAAAAGAGTACTTGGAAATTCTTCCAGGCAACAGCAAATTCAGTAAGCAGATGAGGGACTCTGACTGATTAATATAAATGAGAGTCTAGAACAGCAGAACTCTGGAAAATGAGCAAGTAAAGAAGCCCTGAAAAAGAAAAAGCAATAAAGCTTGCCTGTTGATTCAGGAAAACAGCCTCCATTGTTACTGAAACTTGATTCACAGTTGATGGTGAGTTATGGAAAGGGCAAAAGGACAAAATCCTTTTATAAATATAGTTCTGTAGGGCATGGGAAGCAATCAAATGGTGCTGTGAGACTGAACACAAATCATGCTTTTTTCAAGGATAATTATTTTGAATCAACAACCTAAGTATTTCCAGTGCACTTCTGCAAGACAAATATTTTCTTGGGATGAAAAAATAAATATGTTTTGCAAAGAAATCGAGACCATATCCAAAAAGGCTGAAAAGGGTGTGTGTATACACATATATACGCCTATATAAACACATCATATATGGTCTATGTACATACACCACGTGACACCATGTATCACATACATGCAACATATACCACACAAGCTAGTAATAATTATTTGTACCAAATCTATTTCTTAAGACTGTAATACTGTGTTCACACAGTCACCATTTAGAGATATATTATCACAGTGTCAATCACCAGGACTACAGACTATTCTTATAGCTTGCTGAAGTTTAGTTTTGTACTTAGAAATCAGAGCTGATCTCTCATACACAGCAGGAATTAAATATTTAACAGTTCTCCATAGAACTTCATAAAAAAAGAGTAAAGGAGACAGAAATTACTGCTTTTGTAGAAGAAGAAAATTAGTGCTTTGTGTAATATTTACAGGGACTGCTGATGGAGTCTCAAAGCAAGAATTGTTTTTTAGGGTAAAGAAGTGAATTGGCAATACCTGCGTTACTGGACAGTCCTTAACTCCTTGGTGGTATTCTGTTTAGGACCTTTGGTGAAGGGTCAGTCATGGGATTTTGAAGGGTGCATTGATCTCATCAGGAAACATTCTGCTGCCATTGTAACCCTTGCCCACTGTGATTTTCTCTAAAAGAGTGGAGACTTTTTAGAACACGGAATGACTCCAACAAGGGTCAGACTCTAACAACCAAACAACAACAATCAACAACTACTTCACAGTTCTCAGAGATCAGCCCTGCCACGGGAAACGCACAGTAAAGCAAGAGCAGGGTTGACATTCTCTGTGAAATGGCATCAGGCATGACTCTGGAGCAATCTTACAGATGGATAGCCTTGATCTCCTTCCACCAGTTGGCTAAAGGATTGAATTTTTTACTATCTGTAGGAGATAGTCTATGATCTTGTTCCAAATATCTGAATAAACTTTAAGAACCACAGTGCAATCACTTGGACACGATCCCAGATCCATCCGTCCATTCATCCATCCACCCATCCATCCATCATTCACGATTGACTCAATATCCTGCTGGGAGCTGGGAAAAAAGAGACATGAAGTATCCCTGCCTCTGAGCAGCTTTCAGTGCAGATGGTATGCCAGGGACAATATACAAGACAGAATAGAGTTCATTCAAGTATTCTATGTTTTGTTATTTAGTTTTCAAATATGAACCCTGGATGGAACCAGGCTTTGTTCCCCCAAGTTATCAGCTAAAGAGAAAGAGCTCAGCCAAGTGACAAGGTGTTGCCGCAGTGATAACTCAATTTTGTGGTTTTCAGAAATGCAGAAGAAAGAAGGTTGGAAAGAATGGGCTGGCACTCCCCGAAGAGTGGGGCTCAAAGTTCTGGTCTCAGCAGATCTTTGAGGGAGACGTAGGGTCTAGGCCGGCAAAACCAGAGAGAAGGATAGGCTTTTAGATGCTCATCCCACCCAAAACCATGAAATAATCTCCCCTGTCTCCTGATTAGTATTTGTCAGCCTCATTTACCCTTAAGATTTGTGCAAATGAAAAACGTTAAATGCAGTTCCTGGATCAGTAATTAAACATAATTATTTCAGTGGAAGAGATTTTTGTTTTCATAATCTCCTCTTTGTCTGCATAGAGCCAGCTCTTGGTTACATCTGCCACTGATAGCCTTTGCTCTGTTTACTTTAAAGAATAAGCCACTGTTTGATTTGGTTTCTTGTTTTCAATATGTAAACCCTGGTCTCTTGATTCCCCATTCCAGGAAGGAAAAAATAAAAGAACAAGGCTCTTTAAATATCAGAGCCATGATGACTTAACAGATACACGCAGGCTCAATATTTTATGTAACAGCCACTTAGGAAAATGCGTAAGAATTTCCCAGCTGGCAGCCCTGATTTGGCAGGTGTACCTCAATTGAACCAATCGCTTTTCATCTGGCTGTCAATTTGTTTGGTTTTTCTGGCTACATTGCACCAGAGTCTGTGTGTATTCCAAAAGGTCGTTCACCTATTCCACGGTTCAAAGGGATCATTCTGTTCACTTAAAGGGTCACTGTAATCATATATTGAAACATAGCTAAGTACGATGAGCTAGAATTTTAGGAGGGGTAAAACTAATAGGAAAATCCAGGAGTATAAACCACAAAACACACATAAAAAAAGAGATAAAAACAGAAAACATAATTCCTCAATTAAAAAAAAAAAGGAACCAAAAAGAAAAAAAATCTATAACAAACCACACTGTAGGAGTCTCACTATACACTAAAATTAACAATCACAGCTGGGGTAAATACTTTATTTATTTTATTCATATTCTGCACTGGCAGCATATTCTAGTTGCCTGTTTGATTTCATTAATCCAAAGCAAAAGAGAAGTAGAGATTTATGTAAATTTCATGTTATGCTCAGATTGTAAGGGAGCCACTAATTGAACTTCAGGTCTTCCTTATTGGAAGGAAGACCTGAAGATGAATGGCTTCATGAAATAATCGTAAATGAATAATTCCCCCACATCCGTAAGTCAGCCTACTTCTGTAAACAGAAAAACAAGGTAGTAGTCCCATAGTCTATTTTTTAATCCAGAAAAAGTCATTCTTGCAGCAAGAATAAGGGAAACTATGTCCCAAAAATACCAGGTTTTCCAGATATAGGGATCATGTTTGACCAAAACAACCCTTGGCCTAAAAATACTGCTATATTCAAATAAGAGGAGTTGCTGTTATTTAATTTTACTATACTATTTATACTTACATGGGATTTTTATAATGATACTACTGTGGTTTTCACAGATGTTTGGCTTGTAAAAATGCTAAAGATTACAATCTTTAGGTCACCAACTACCTGTATTTATGGAGGCTACAGGACAGAGCACAGAACAGCCAGGAAGCCAAAACGCGCTCGAATTACCTCCAGCACTTACTGCCGCGGGACTCAAACCCGAGTCCTTTCTGGGACTGCTTTTCCTTGAACATAAAAATGGGGGTGATATCACCTTCCACAGGGATCTCCTAACTGTACAGAGGGCTTAGCACACTGTCTGGCACTCAGAGGCCTTGCTGGATCGTGATCCGCCCCCTCCAGTCAGCGACTGAGACCCCTCACTGGTTCAAGGGCAAACACAGTGCTGAGAGCTGTGTGCCTGGATCCCGCCAGCAGGTGTGCTGGGGTAGGGAATGGAAGTCAGGCATCTTGATCTCCATATGTATCCACCGATGGACACCCTGCCTGCCTTTCACTGGGCTCACCCTAAAATGGTGAACAAAGAAAACAGCTCTCACCTCTGGAGCCAACACGGAGGGGTGGGTATGAGTGCAGATGTGGTGGGGGTGCTGGTGGAGGCTTGCTGCCCATCTGGCTTTTCCTGTTATTGACATGCTCAGATGAAAGTGGGCCCTGTTCACAAACATGGCATCCATTCCTGGGACTCATCCCGAGCAGAACCTCAAATAAAAACCAGAACAAACTACACTAATTTGCTGAACCCCAAATGGAGCCAAATTCAAAGCTCTTACGAAACTACAAACAGAACCACAGTTTCAAAAACACCAGGAAAATAGTCTCAACAAGACATTACCTACATGAAGGATGTCTGAAATCTATTTTAGTGTAAAAATGCTATAAGTTTACTCTCCTACTTTCTAAAATTACTGAATTAGTTATTAAAATAACAACCTAAGTAATCTGACTGTAAATTGAGCCATATTTTATTTACCCTAAGATCTCTCAATCAAATGGAGATATAACAAGGGTTATCAATTTCTACTGCATCTATTCCTGTAACATATTAAATCTCCATCTCCTTGAGAGAAGTACATTGATTTTTCCACAGGAGAATTTTTTTCTAGCTCCAAGAACAGCTGAGGGCTGCAAAACTGAGCAGATGGCCACATGGAAGAATCTGCTTGGTTGATAAGATAGTTTAAAAGAAAAATCACCTGACTGCACATCCCAAATACCTGTCAAAGTAGGTCATGAACACTGCTTGATTGGAACAAACCAAAATATTTAATGGATCGAATCTTCCAGAGTTCATGATAACTGCCCCACCAAAGGTCTGGGCTTAAGCACTGATGTTTCCTTTAATTATAAAGCCCAGATTGTAAGGCAAACACAGCCCTGCCAGTGTGTTTGTAGGTCCAGTCAGTGACTGTGCTGCGTCCACAATGGTCTTTATCATTGTCACTTGTTTGACCTGACTATAACTGAGTAAAGCATCATCATTACAAAATGCAGCATGCGGGATAGTAATCACCTAAAGATATGGTTCAAGCACTTCACCAACCTCTGAACCTGAATATGCCTAATGAATTTTGTAAACCTTACAAAAAGTGAAGCCAGGTGATTATCAGAAAAAAGACATGTGTCATACTAAAGAAAGAGCATGTTCTGGACCTGAGAAAACAGCAGTGCAGAAGGGAATGTCTTTTCTCCACAGTGATATGTGGCCACAGCCTTGAACAGCAAATTTGCAGATTAATGAAGATAGTAAAATAGATCACATCCTCCTGCCTCCAGGTATAATATTTTATTCATATAAGAGCTATGTGAGCCTTGATTTATATGAACTTTCATTAGTAGGCAAAATTCAATCATAAGGTTTCCTCTTTTCACCTCTAGGCGTCCTTAAATTCAACACACAGTCAAATGGTGATTGGCTTCCCCTCTCCCTAGGTAATACCCCACCCCCCAGCCTCCCAAAAAAGACAGAAAAAGAGGAAAATGAAAAACAAGCACGTTAGAAAGGTGGCCAGACAAAACGGTTTGCATCAACAACATAACTTCTGATTTGTTCTCCCGCTGGGACAGTCTAATGCAGCCTCATTCAGCTGTGCATTTTCAATATTATTCAACAGAGCCCACTCAGGTCAAAGTAGAGTCTTTTCCTTCACAAGTACAGAGATACAACACTAGGTTTACGGGAGGGCTATTTTCAATCTTCTTGAGCGGTAATGTGTTTCCATTATGGTTCCATCTATTTGTGATCTATAATGCTTTCCAAATAGCCCCAAATTTCAAAGAAGCTCTAGTTGGTTCCAAATGGAAATGAGATTACATATTTAGTATTATTTTATTCTCAAATGTTAGATTTAATTAGGTTGGGAGCATTCATTCATCTGCCCATTGTGTTTGTTGACTTCATTAAGGGACAATCACAGAATTGCAGGGAAGTCCACGTAGGGCCCCCCAAACTGCGATTGCTTTTAGCTTTTATAAACCATTAAAATGTAAGTCAAGCACATAAATATATCTGCTATGAAAAGAAGTGGTATTGCTAAGTTCCCTGATAGATGATGACAGGACTTCTCAGAATTCGAAGGCCAGTGTTTTAATCTTCAGGTTCTCTCAGGTCACGTGCTTGCCAATGACATTGGACCAGGAATCTCCAGAGGTGAGAAAGCCCCGGCCAACCCCAAATGCAGCTCTTGCTTGGTGAAAGCAGAGATGGGGTGAGGACAGGGACACAGGCAGAACCCTGCCGCGCTCCAGCTGAGCTGCTCACTTGCCACTCCCAGAGAAAACAGGAGGATCGACCTTTCTCTATGCAACGTCTAAAATTAATTTGGTGCTTAAAATCAGAGGTGGGTCAAGCAGTTGATTACCTGAGGTTGCCTTTGGACTAACAAAGGCGTCTCTTCAGCATGGTGAATTGCTCTGATGGCCCTGGGCCCGGAGCAGTGATTTGAGAAAATCACCCATGGCAACCATTAGGCAATGAGTCTCCATTGACTGCCAAAATCTCACTGAATATTGAAGGAAAAGAGAATTTATATGTAATCCAATTCAGAGCAACAACAACAACAACATCAACAATTCAATGTTCCCCAGTTCTTCATGGGAAAACTTCAATCCAGGTCCAAAGAGAGCTGCAAGAACAGCGCAGTTCACACAGAAAGTCTGCATTCACAGGCTGGGCTGGGGTCGCAACTCTGCGGGCCTCCCCACCCTGCCACGCTTTGTACTGCTGTGTGATTTTAGCGGAGGCATTTAGCTCACACAGCCTTAGTTTCCTCATCTGTAAAATTGAATAGCTACCTTCTAGGCTTTGGGAGAATGCAATGGAAAAAGAATCTTGCCTAGGGCATCATCAGCTCAGTAAATAATAGTTATTATCATGATGATTATCCTCCAGGTAGCTGTGATGTGTAGAAGCCCAGAACCAAGTAGCACAGGAGACAGAGGTAGTTAATTCAACCCTCCTCCAATACAACTGAGTGCCCTAATTATCCGAATAGAAGCTCCACTGCAGGAAAACTCTGTTTTGGAGCTCAAGGAAAGACCTACAAGGGAGAACCACAGAGCTGTAATTATCAGCTGAAAGAGGAAGGAAGTTCTAATCTCACAGAGCCCTTGGAGACTTGTGAACACCCGAAGCTTGGAGAAGGCTTCAACAGGGAACAAACGGTGAAAGCCACACAAAAATGAACTTAGCAGCAGGAAGGAGTACTCCACGTGCCCCTGCACCTCTCACCAAAGGGATACAGATATGTGATGGGTGTTTCTGTAATATATGCCTCATTTTCCAATGGAAAACCTCCATATACACATGAGTGCATGGAGAGGTCATAGTCACTGGTCAAGGAGTTAGAGATGAGTGGGGAAAAGTGATAGGGTGAGCATCCTCAATCTGGCCCCACCCTATCTGGCGCCAGACACCTAATGAACCACCTTTACTGGGGGAGACAGGGTCAAGGATGAAGCAATTTCCTCTTCATATCTAGCTATCATTTATTCTACATAGTTGATGCAGGCAATATGCTGGCTGTTTGAAGCAGGTGATATTTCTAATCCACACAATGGCCTGAAAGGTAAGTATTATGGAATCACTTATCTGGATAAATAAAACATGAGGTTCAGAGAGATTACGTAACTGGCCTAGATCAATAGGTGGGTAGGCAGACAGGTAGGCAGGTAGATAGATATAGAGATTGAAATATACTTTAAAAACACTCTGTTTGCCCTACATTCCTTGCTTTAGATAGGATTCTGAATGTGGGGCGGGCAGGAAAGCTGTCAGTCACGAAGGGAGCCTGCCCACCACAAGGCGAGTCATGTGACCCAGGCCAGAGAATCAGGTTACCCCACAGGGAACATCAGTGATTGGCCCAGGGGTAAGCAGGTAGCTCATGTAGCACCAGAGTCATATTTTTGAAGTTTTTATGGAAGTTGGAAAGATCTCTTTTGGAAATTACCAACTCCAGAGAGGATGTTAGCCTGGGAGTGCCAGGAACTTTCTGTGTCACTGGGGAAAGCGAGACTTGATTCTCCGGATATCATTGACCATCTGGGTCCTGTGGTGCCTGACGCTATGAGTTCTCAAAGTGGGGCCCCCAAAGCAGCAGCAGCAGCCTCATGGCCTTGCTGGAAATGCGAATTCTCAACCTCAGCTCCCAGACTCACTGCATTACAAACTCTGGAAGATGGAGCTGACTCAGTGAGATCTCTTTCCAAGCTCTCTAGATGGGCCTGATGCTTATTTTGAAAAGCACTGTTCTAGGTCAATCCAGGGAACTGTTAAACTTCATGAGCCAATAGATACCCCTCTTCTTGCCTAAACTTTGATTATAATAAAAGAAAAATACAGCAAGATAGTTTTGAGGGTTTTTTAATAAAAATTTACAATTATTTTTTAATCGCAAGTAAACTTAATTATTTTACCATTAAAACCTCTTCAACACAGAAATTCCTTTGAGGTTTTTAGTTTTGTTCTGTGTTTGTTTGTATGTGAGGCAAGACACCCCTGGATGCTTGCAAAGAAGAGGCAATTTGAAGTGAAACAGGCAGATGTACAATCTGATCCCATAAGTGACCCACTGCAGAACAGACAGCTGGACATATGGACATATGCAGCTGCCTGTCATTTATACACGAGAGTTAAACAGTTGGCAAAGAGAGTCTGGGCCACAGAGTGGTGAGCTGGCTAGAGGTGCGGATCTAGCCATTGGATAACACTGTACTTAAAACACAAAACTCTATCCAAGAAGAGGAAATGATTGAATACGAAGTATTTGAAAAAAGATTTGAAAGACTGAAAATGAAACACTTCCTTACATTCGCTAAGTGAGCTGAGAAAGAATTGCCCAGAAGGGTGATACGGAGGGCTAGAGAATGAAGACGACAGGGAGTGGAAGGAGAGAGCCCACCTACATGGCACCCAGCTTTGCAGAGGCTCCTGAAGACACAAGGTTGAAGGCCCTGGACTCAAAAATTTCCTTGACTCTGCCAGGCAAGAGGGTTAGCTGTTTCAGCAGAGGGTAGAGCCAAGCGAAAGCTGGAGAGTGAATAAGAAATGCTAGGAGCAATTGCGTCAGGTGGGGCAACCAGGACTGTGTTTGCCTTCGGACCAGGGCTGCCGAGTACAGATAGCAGGTGGTTTATGTGAGGCCTGGAGCAGGGGTCATTGCAGGAGACGGGGTTGCTGTGTGCCTATAAATGGAGTGAAAAAGTGAGTGCAAAGAAATGGAAAAGTTAGGAGATGCAGCATAACCTGTGAATCATGATCCCTGACAAAGTGGGGAGGCTCATGGGTGCAGGTGTAGGTGTGTGTGTGTGTGTGTGTGTGTGTGAGATCACATGGCTGTGGACAGAGGTGGGCTGGAACCCCTAACTTCCAGGAAACTCCAGGTTCTTTTCTTCTTCTACCCATAGGTCTGCATTGTGTTTTTCTAGGGTCACTCATCTATTCATCCAACAAATATTCAACAAGCACCTGTTACATACCAGATTATTACATACATGTGGCAGTGCACGTAACTGTGAAGCTGTGTACTACAGCTGCAGGGCGAGGACTGGGGCTTTAGCTCCCACCTTGTGCAATGTGGGATCTTCTCCATCGTCATATCAAGCCACCCCACGTGTATTTAATGTAAGTTGGAACACTGTGCTTGCTACAAAAGTCAGCTTCAGAAGAAGCCCCTCCGTGGATCACCACCTCCCTACAAGCTGCAGTCCTAATCTCCTATGTCAAAATCAGGGACTGCTGCTGCCCCGGGGGGTTTAGAGATGAAGACCCAGACTCTGACTGAGGAGTCTCCCAGTGAAAGGAAGGAGGCAGAAGCCCAGTCACCAGTGACGCCACCCAGCTGAGTGGACCGCGCAGAGGGAGGCGGACGCAGGGCACTCCAACATGGACCTGAGAGGCACACACTGCAATGCAAATCCTCCACGATAGTCCACAGGATGTACTGGGAGAAACTGGAAGGCCACAGGAGAAACGTTTGCTCACGAAAACACAGGCATTTCATGTGCCTGGAGCACGGGATGAAGAATTCCTTAGACTTTGAGTGCCAAGCTAGTGCTTGGACTTTCTTCTAAAGGTCATGGGTGAGCCCTTGGGGAATGTGGAGACCACTCCGGCCTGCGATGGAGAAGGAAATTGTGCCAGAAGCTGGGAAGTCAAAGTTAACCCTCCAGGCTAGATGTAAGTAACGCGTGGGGCTGCACATACGGCTGTGGCAGAGGAAATGGGACAGAGGGATTGATTTTAGTACAGAAATCCTAATTGGGCTTAAAGTAGGTATGGGAAAACCCCTGAAAGTGTGTGCTGATCTTGGTATGTGCAGATATTATTTTCCTCCTGGGGTAAACTTTAATTCTCAAAGGAGTCTATGACCCCCAAAAAAGTCATCTCCCTACTTGAAAGATGCTTGAGTGTCTAATGGCCAGGAGCGGGTGTTGGTGGGATACCAAGCGGTGGGAGGAACACAGTATCGTCCTCAAGCCTCTGACTTCTCCTAGACAGGGTAGCTAAGAGGACTTTTCAGATATGTTGCTTTTGAGGTGTCTGTGAGGAGAGGGAGGCAGGAAACGCAGGCACACGCACTCACAGTGGACGCGTCTTTAGAAAGCTGCACATTCTCTAATTGAGTTAATTGTTCACGCACTGAATGGAGCTGTTTCTGCTCAAGCTAGGGAAAGACTTGTCAGCTGTTTCTTCACTTCCATGACCTTGGAAAATCCGCTGTCTCCACCAGACACTGATCCTTGGCACAGCCACTATTTGATACACTTAACTCTGCTCAGGATTTTAGATCTCAACCCAGGAAATGAGCTACAGTCTCACCCCAGGCAAGTACAGAACATTTTCCTAACCAGGAGAGACGCCTGTGTCACACATTCCAAAGGTAGCCAGCAGCTAAGAAAGCCGCAACAAAGGAAATCAAACAGCTCTCTCTCCCCTAAACGCTGCTTTCAGGCAAGTTCCAAACAAAAATGGAGGATGCACTGCAAATTAAAAACAAAAGCCTGCCAGTCAAAGGCAGTGTTTTTAAACACAGAAAGAGCAATACCACTGCAGGGGGCAGATAAAAGAGCTTTTGAGCATCTCAGAAGCTACTCACACACAAAAGCACCTCTGTGCCTTCAAACAGGATCTCCTAGAAGTTTCCCAAGGTTTCATAACCCAAATACCGCTGGTAGTGATGTGGTTTGGAAATTAACCTTGCTTTTCTCCCCACTGCTGTTTTACATATTAATTAAAGTGTTTTCCTCAGATCAGGAACGCCTGCAGGCTGGCTAGGTTCTGCAGAAGGTGCCTCATTTTCCTGCCGCTTCCCGCCCCGGCCCCACTTGTGCATAGTTCAATGATTAAAACTTCCCCAGGTCAGCTGTAGACGCCTCCCCTCCCTTAACTGCCATCGTGATATAGAACACACACTTTAATGTGGCTTTTAAAAAGTAATCGCTTCCCCACCCCCCAAGAAAGATAGGTCGTGCAGAGCTAATTTCGGGAAGCCATTTAGAAGAAATTGTTGAGAAGGCATTGAAGTATTTGGGTCCAACTCTGCTTACCTCATTCATGGACCTGTTTCTTTTCTTTTTTTTCTTTTCCAGTGCTTGAAATAGGTGTGCAAACAATTCACATATTATAAATACGTTGACTTGGGCCGGGTGTGGTGGCTCACGCCTGTAATCCCAGCACTTTAGGAGGCTGAGGCAGGAGGATTACTTGAGGTCAGGAGTTCCAGACAAGCCTGGCCAACATTGCAAAACCCTCTCTCTACTAAAGTACAAAAATTAGCCGGGCAAGGTGGTCCGTGCCTGTAATCTCAGCTACTCAGGAGGCTGAGGCAGGAGAATCGCTTAAACCCAGGAGATGGAAGTTGCAATGAGGCGAGATCACAACAACCCACTCCAGCCTGGGCGACAGAGCAAGACCCTGTCTCAAATAAATAACTAAAATGAAAATAAATAAATTGATTTGTTTTCATTCATATATTTTGGGGATACAATGGAGCTTAAAGTTTGAAAACCAAAACGGAGCTGGCCACCAAAGGTGTGGATTTGGTCAACAGGGTGTGGACTCCAGCAGCCCGTGTCACTCTCAGACTCCATGTCTCAATTTGAATGTTTCCATGTCACTTAAAAAGTAGAATATTCATAGTGATGTTGAAGATACAAAAGATATACCAGGATTAATTTTCTAGTCAATTTTATGTGTCTGTGACCCAAGACAATAAAAGTTAAGTCATCGTTAGTTCCTTAGTTGCTGGACACTTTAGCCCAATATACCACCTTCAA
The DNA here is from genome assembly GCF_000001405.40 of Homo sapiens. Taxonomy (NCBI): domain Eukaryota; kingdom Metazoa; phylum Chordata; class Mammalia; order Primates; family Hominidae; genus Homo; species Homo sapiens. The sequence continues at coordinate 109,730,645 of NC_000013.11, forward strand.
TTTTGAATTATTATTTGGACTGTGTTCATGAGATTCTTGGAGTATGTTAAATCAACACATTTCTTTGTAATTATTGAGAACCTTTTGTTCCCTATAAAATCAAGTGTACGATGATGTAAACTATAAAACGCAAATTGTAGGGACAATTGGTAATCTGCAGTGAAAATAAAGTCAAAATAGCAAAGAGCAGATTATTCTCAAATTTATGTAACAGAGTTCTTACATGTGGAAGTGGATACAAGTATTAGCACATTCAGTTGATGTACTGAAAATAAAATGAAACTATTTTTCTACTTACTACTTGCTTGTGAAATCCAAAGGGGTGAATAAGAGCCAGGATTCATTGTCATGAGTGTAGGGGTGCCCTGGGAAGGAGGCCTCCATCCCACGTGTCAGTGGCGTCATCAGAAATTCCATGATCGTCGGCTTATTCTTTGCACACGTGTCTACAGGGTCCCTCCGCACACCGACTTGGTGTCCTCCAGGATGCAGAAAACCCAAATTAAACTAGTTTAATGAATAAGGAAACTAAGTGGCTCTTAGGACCATAAGCCCTGCGGTGACGCCTGCTTCAGGGCTGGAGGAGCTAAGTGTTCTCTGGTTCACCAAAGCCCCCAGTTCTTTCCGTCTGTCACTCATAGCTTCGGCTTCGTCCCCGGCTCACTGCCAGTGGTAATCAGGCTGCCCAAGAACTTCTGAAATCCACAGCCCGGTGTTTCCAAACGAATTATCAGTAGGGTTGGAATCCCTTCTCCCCAGCCCCAGCCCCAGCAAGGCCCTCCAACGCCACTGCAGTTCCCTGGATAGCAGGAAGAGGCCTGAGCCGGCTCTCCCGGAGCTCCAGGTGCAGAGTCTCCCCACATGGGAGTCAGTGTTCTCAGAGCAGCATTTGTTGACCTGAGCTAACCAAGTTCTCTAACTGAAAGCCTGGCTGTGTAAAGCCACAGATGTCTGGCATTAGAATAGCTCAAGGACAGGAGAAAAAACTGACAATCAGTCCAGAACGGCATCCCAGGACTTCTGCTCTGAGGAGAAAACAGGACTAAACCCCAGCTGAGGTCTATTTCCAACTCCAAGATTCTGCAATGTTATCTCTGTTTAAAAAGATATCCCACTTTTTGATGACAGTGTGTCTGGAATTGGTGGGTTCTTGGTCTCACTGACTTCAAGAATGCAGCTGCGGACCCTGGCGGTGAGTGTTACAGCTCTTAAAGGCGGCATGTCCGGAGTTTGTTCCTTCTAGGTGGGTTCCTGGTCTCTCTGGCTCAGGAGTGAAGCTGCAGACCTTAGCGGTAAGCTGTTACAGCTCTTAAGTCAGCGCGTCTGGAGTCGTTCGCTCCTCCCGGTGGGTTCGTGGTCTCGCTAGCCTCAGGAGTGCAGCTGCAGACCTTCGTGGTGACTGCTACAGCTCATAAAAGCAGTGTGGACCCAAAGACTGAGCAGTAGCAAGATTTATTGCAAAAGACGAATGAACAAAGCTTCCACACGACAGACACAAACCCTAACAGATTGCCACCGCTAGCTCGGAGAGCCTGCTTTTCTTCCCTTATCTGGCTCCACCCACATCCTGCTGATTGGCCCATTTTACAGAGAGCTGATTGGTCTGTTTTACAGAGAGCTGATTGGTCTGTTTTGACAGGGTGCTGATTGGTGCGTTTACAATCCTGAGCTAGACACAAAGGTTCTCCAAGTCCCCACCAGATTAGCTAGACACAGGGTGCTGATTGGTGCATTTACAAACCTTGAGCTAGATACAGAGTGCTGATTGGTGTATTCACAATCCCTTAGCTAGACATAAATGTTCTCCAAGTCCCCACCAGATCAGCTAGACACAGAGTGCTGATTGGTGCATTTACAAACCTTGAGCTAGATACAGAGTGCTGATTGGTGTATTTACAATCCCTTAGCTAGACATAAAGATTCTCCAAGTCCCCACCAGACTCAAGAGCCCAGCTGGCTTCACTCAGTGGATCCCGCCCGGGGGCTGCAGGTGGAGCTGTCTGCCAGTCCCACGCTGTGCGCCCGCACTCCTCAGCCCTTGGGCGGTTGTTGGGACTGGGCGCCGTGGAGCAGGGGGCGGCGCTCATAGGGGAGGCTCGGGCCGCCAGGAGCCCACGGCGGGGGTGCGGGGGCAGGCTCAGGCATGGCGGGCTGCAGGTCCCGAGCCCTGCCCTGCGGGGAGGCAGCTAAGGCCCGGCGAGAAATCGAGCGCAGCGCCGGTGGGCCGGCACTGCTGGGGGACCTGGCGCACCCTCCGCAGCTGCTGGCTCGGGTGCTAAGCCCCTCACTGCCCGGCCGCTCCGAGTGCGGGGCCCGCCAAGCCCACGCCCACCCGGAACTCTAGCTGGCCCGCAAGCGCCGCTCCCAGCCCTGGTTCCCGCCCGTGCCTCTCCCTCCACACCTCCCCGCAGGCTGAGGGAGCCGGCTCCTGCCTCAGCCATCCCAGGAGGGGGCTCCCACAGTGCAGCGGCGGGCTGAAGCGCTCCTCAAGCGCGGCCAGAATGGGCGCCGAGGCCGAGGAGGCACCGAGAGCGAGCAAGGCCTGTGAGGGCTGCCAGCATGCTGTCACCTCTCGACAGAGTCACAAAGCATTTACTGAATGCCTACTGTATGCCAGGCCCTTTTCTCAAGTCTGCTTAACCAGGAGTGAAGAAGGCTGACATTACCGTCCATGTCACATTCTGGTAGGAGAGGGATACAGAGAACACTACAAGTAGGTGAAATAGGTAGTACTTTAAAGAATGAGAACAACATGGAAAAGGAGGCTATGAAATACTGAGAATATGGCTGGAGTTTTCATTTTAGATAAGTAAATAGCCAAAGAAGCCTTGACTGAGGAAGCAGCCAGCCCTGTAAGAAAGGAGACCCCTGCCATGGTCCTGAGACAAGGGTTTGAGTGGTTTCCGCAGGAGGCATTTCCAGGAGGGGAAGGAGGGAAACAACGAGGGAAAAGTACAAGGTGTGCTCACCCCTGAATGAGTCCCCGGGGCAACCCGGATCCACCTGTCCAGGCTCCTCTGAGCACGTGGGGAGCACGTGGAGAGGGAGTGGGGGAGTCGTGGGGGAGCGTGGGCAGCGCTTGGGGGAGCCGTTGGGGACTTGGGGAGAGCGTGGAGAGCCGTGGGGAGGGCGTGGCGGAGCTGTCGGGGAGCCGTGGGGGCGCGCGTGGTCAGCACTTGGGGAGCGCATTGAGAGCCGTGGGGAGCACTGAGGGAGGATGCGGTGGCCACGGCTGCGTGGCACCCCCAGGCCATGGCCAGGAGACCCTCGGGCGGCGCAGGTGCCGGAAGCAGCGCCATCCGTGCTATGGACGGGTCCCCCCAATTGGCAGCGGTCTCGGGGGTGAGCCAGAGGATGGGGTGACTGAGAGGTGGCCGATGTGGGGATGGTGGTTTTCAAATAGAGGCGAGATCGGAGCAGGAGCTGGGAACCAAACCAGAAGGTTTTCAGGACGTGGTTAGACTTTGAAGCGGCCTAAGGCTGTGGCACATCTGACCCACTTTCTCACCAACATTGCGGTGGCTTCTTAGTAAGGAACGGGCTGAAAGGGGTAAGGGAAAGGGTGGGGGCAGGGCACTGGGAAACCACCATTGCCAACATCCAGGCCAGGCAGGGGCGGCAGGGGCTGGGCCAGGGCGCAGGGGACCCGACTCTTGCTGCGGCCGCTGGGAAGAGGGAATTGCCATAGAGCCAGAACAGGAGGCGCTGGGGCAGGGCTCTGCTGTGGGGCGGGGTGCTCAGTTTGGGACAGTGTTGACACTTTTGGAGATCATCAGCCATCCCAGTAGGTGACTCCAGGAGGCCACTGGATATACAGCTCTGGGAACAAAAAACGGAATCATCAGCCTATTTACAACTCTGGAATGGATGAGATGGCTGTGACGACTGGCAGCAGCTGCGCCTGAGCCCTCAGCACCTGCAGGGTCCCATGGGAGGTGAGGGCTGTAAGGGAGCAAGCAACTCCTCTCCCTGGAGCAGGCGGGCAGGGAGAACAGACCGCCACTGTGCTGCTCTCAAAACCAAGTGCATGGCCGGTCGGGGTGGCTCAGGCCTGTAATCCCAGCACTTTGGGAGGCTGAGGCAGGCAGGTCACCTGAGGTCAGGAGTTCAAGACCAGCCTGGCCAACATGGTGAACCCCCTGACTAATAAAAATACAAAAATTAGGTGTGGTGGCACACACCTGTAATCCCAGCTACTCGGGAGGCTGAGGCAGGAGAATCGCTTGAACCCAAGACGCAGAGGTTTCAGTGAGCCGAAATTGTGCCACTGCACTCCAACCTGAGCCACAGAGTGAGACTTTGTCTTAAAAAAAAAAAAAAAAAAAGTGCAGAGTTGCTTTACATCTTTACATAGAGGAGAATGGTGTAAGACGCAGCTATTTGGTCAAACCTATGTGATTGAAACATTTGCATAGAAAGAGAGAGAGAAAGGATGGGAGAAGAAAATATAAACTAAATAACTCTCCTTTTTCTTTGCTGGCTTGTGTGTTTGCATTTATGAACACCAACATGAAATTTTGAACCTTAAATCTAGTATAAAAATATGGAACAGCCAGCTTCCTAGAGTGAGGGCACCATTCTGTGTTTGCTGCCGGTGGACCTAGTGTGGGTTTTGGCGCCAATGTCCTTTTCTGCTAAAACAACTTGGCCTCTTGGAAGGAAACTTGGACTCTGTTGCCCTGACTCAAACTGTTGTTTCATTTCTTATGATGTCTCCTCATGTTAAAAAAAAAAAGAATGTGGACATTATGGGTTTAAACATAATTTTGAATGAATGAGGAAATTCTGGTAGAGGGTTTGTCATAATGCAGTATCAATTGGTTAGGTCTTCTAAAGAAACATGTAGGGTTCTCTTAGGAACTGGTTCATTAAATCTAAAAGGCAAAAAAATTAAAACACACTTTTGATATATTTGTTGGAGTTACATATAATCATATCTTTCAAGAGCAGATGTGCCAAAATATACACAACAGAGTGTAGCTGGGTGACCCGAACTGACCACGAAAGTCATTTATCAAAATTCAAAGTTAGTTCCCCACAGGCCTGAATTTTCAGACCTACACACAATTCCACAAACAAATGATGGTAAAGTCCCAAACACCACATTCTTGGAGGGATCCAATGCTATTGGCACTGATGCTTTAATCAGAAAGAGGCTCAAACCCACTGGAGTTAAGCTCTCTGAAAGTCTTTGCTCCTTGGCAACCACGAGCAAACCTCTACAGCTGACTTTTTTAGAGTATTTTTTACATTTTTAAAAGGATTATTTCTGAATTATAAAACCACCGTTACCACCTTATTCTTGTAACTCTAACTTATTATTTTGAGTCAATTTATAAAACTTGATTCATGAGAGTCAAGATTCAGGGTAGGCCAGACAGTCACTCATTCCTACCCTCAAAGAGCATACACTCAAATAGAGAATGAAACACGTGCCCCAAGTCAGAGGTAAATATTATAAGCAAAAGCCAAAGTGTTCTGGGTCAAACACTTTTTGGGGGGTCAGTGAGGTCTTCATGCAGGGGTAACAGTGGAGAAAGGCCTTCAAGGATGGGGAAGATTTTCCCAGGCAGAGTTAAGAACAAAGAGAAAGCAGTTTGCCAGGAGACAGGGAAGCAAGTGTGCAGGGAGTGAATTTGAGGCCTTCCTAACTCTGGGTGTGACAGCAGAGGGGACCTGCCCATGAGCTGTCCGAGATGCAGCCAAAGGTTTCACCGCCCACGTGATAAGGGGCTAGAACACTGAAGTGTAGAATTTGGACTTTATTCAGTAAGAACGGGGAAGTACTGGGGGTCCCTGAGTAGAGAAGTGGGATCCTGCAAGCTGAGCATCACAATGATTCGTCAGGTGATGTCTCAGAGTTTCTCTGAATGGCACATAAACCAGAGACAGGAAGGTGAGTCCAGCCGTTTCTGTGGCCCAGCAAGAAGTAACAAGTAATAAGTAAAGTGCTATCAGTGGGAATGGCAAGGGAGGGGCGGTTACAAGTCACATTTCAGACAGGAGTTGATTGGATGTGGGGAGGGCCCAAGGATGTGGGGAGGGAGCTGTCAGAAATAAGTGGCCCTCTAAATTTTAGCCCCAGTGACTTAGAGAAAATGGTCAAGAGATGGAATTGGTTTTCAGGGAAGACACTGATCCATTCTGGACATGTTGAATTTAAGATGCCATTAGGAAAACCAAATTAAGGCACCTTGCAGGGAAATTGCACATGTAACATCCTGGCTTCTGGGATTTGAGAGGTGGCTGCAAAGAGAGAAAGGCAGTAAGGGATCTCCAGAGAAGGAGATCACACAGGAAGGAAGTGAGGGATGGGAAGTCATTGTTGGGAAGTTGAGGGTCAAGGACATTTAGAGAGCAGAGGGAGAAAGAAGGGGTGGCCATTGCACTAGCCAAAGAAAATGTTCAGCCACTCGCCCTGCAGGGAAGGCGAGGGGCAGGGTGGCTGCGCATAGATGTGGAATTAGCCGGACTCAGGGTGAAGCCATGATTCTGCTAGTGTGGTCTTGTAACCTGGGACATCTATCTGAGCGCCCTGTCAGCGCTTCTCTGCATTGTAAATGGGAGTTGTTGCAAGGGTGAAATAAGACGTAAGGTGTTTGGTGCAAGGTCTTGTGACAACTAGCACTAAGGAATGGTGCCTATGACCTTTATTAGGCAGGAAGGAGTCAACAGAGTGAGCTGCTGCTGCAGGGGGTTGGGAGCTCTTGCAACGGTGGCATCGAGAAGGTTGTCAACACAGCCCTGTCAACGGCTGAGGGTGGCAGAGTCCATATTGCAAAGGAGCACGGCATAAGTGGCGAGGCAAGAAGTAGATGGATGTTCTATTTTTTCCTTTCTCTATCTGGACAAAGGTCTTTTTCCTTCCAAGGTGTAGCTGGATTTTCTCTCTATAGAGCTTCCCTGGGGCGGTTCCATTTTCTAGTGTCTCCATGAGTCTTTGTTCTTTATATGAGGTCCCAATGATGCCATCCACTCATTTGCTTTCTCACAGGCATGTTTTCCACCAGCCACCCACGCTGATTAGCTTGAGAGTGACTCAAGGCAGGAACGATGCCCTTGTCGTAGAACAGCCTCTGATCGAGTGCTTGCTGAACAGCTGGCTAGCTCTGAGCATGAAGCAAAATGCAGGAAGCTGGGGTGTGTGAGGAGGAGCAGGGACAGCTTAAAGAAGAGAGGAGGGAGAGGAGGGGGACTCCTGCTTGGGGCACCCCACCTCCTGGATATGAGATCACTTGTGTGGAGCAGGCCTAGTAGCAGGTAAGTGGGCCGAAGGGGAGGGAGTGAAAAAGTCCATGTATTGAGTCACCTGAGGTGTCATTTAAAGAGACAGGAATAACAAAACATCAATGGGACCTAAGTTGAGATTAGAATTACCGACTTGACTTGTAGTGTCACCTGCCACCCAGGGTGAGGAATGTCCCTTACCACAAGGTCACCTGGGGTCTGAGATTTGAAATCTGTCAGCCTTTCTGGGCTGGTCTCTTGCCTCAGTTTATGCTCACACAGCTGCCTCAGGATCAGTGTGGACAGAAAGGTACGTGAGACTGTGCAACGGAGATGGGCTGGGAGAATGAGGAAGAGGGGAGGGACAGGAGGTGTCCATCACCTGGACACGGGACTGAACAACCACACAACCTCATGGCGGACACCAGCACACCTTGACCTTTGCTCATAAGTCTGTGAGTCGGGATGGGGGGCTGGCGACGGCTCATCCTGCTGGGCTTCCTACGTGTCTGAGACAACCGGATGGACTGGTGCCGGCTCCGTGTGGTCTCTCTTCATCTCGCAGATTTGCCTGGGCTTGTTTCCCAGCAGACAGCTTCTGAGGATAGGTTTGGGACGGGCACCTGCCACTTCCTCCACATTCCATTGGCCACAGTGAGTTGCAAGGCTGGCCAGACTCAGGAGTGCAGAGAAATACCCTCTACTTCCAGATGAGAAGAGCCACAAAGTGACATCACCGCAGGCTGGATGCAGGGCAGGGCAAGACAGCGGAACGCGTGGGCTGTTTTGACAGTCAGTCTACCCCAGGATGCTCCAGGAAGGGGAAAAGGACAAGGGAAGAGGGGCGCTGTGGCCAAGCAGGGGAACTTCTGTGTTCAAAATCTTGGAGATGGATCACTTTCAGTTCCCGATAAGGCTTAGTGTATGGCCCTGAGACTTGCCGTTTGATACTATAATCTGTCATATACAATGTAACTTAGTGAATTGGGTAAAGGATCTTCAGGGTTTATTTTGAATGGTTGTCATTTATTATAAAATTAATTTATTTTATAATAATTTTATCTAATTGGCTGGGCATGGTGGCTCAAACCTGTAATCTCAGCACTTTGTGAGAGCAGATTGCTTGAACCCAGGATCTTGAGACCAGCATGAGCAACATAGCAAGACCTCATCTCTACTAAAAAAAAAATCCAAAAAATTAGCCAGGCGTGGTGCCATGTGCCTGTAGTCCCAGCTACCTGGGAGGCTGAGGTGGAAGGATCGCTTGAGCCCAGGAGGTCAAGGCTGCAATAAGGTATGATCATGCCACTGCACTCCAGCATGGGCAACAGAGCAAGACCCTGTCTCCAAATAATAATTTGATATCAATTTGTAATAATTTATTTTAAAAGAATTGTATGAAGGACCCATGCCTTGGGGCATAGGGGCACTGATAGAAGGTAGGTGATCAGTATAGATATTTGCTGCATTAATCTATTTCAGTCACCTGTGAGATGATTCAGGTAGAAGGAAAGTGAGGCCCCGAGAGGTCAAATGTTTGCTGAGTCCCACACAGGTGAACACACTTTTCTCCTGGATCCTAGTCTACCCCACCTTCTTTTCTCCTTTTGAAAATTAATGTTTTGTAAGTGATTAAAAAGAAAAATGATCGGGCTGGGCATGGTGGTTCATGCCTGCAATCCCAGCACTTTGGGAGGCTGAGGCGGGCAGATCAAAAGGTCAGGAGTTTGAGATCAGCCTGGCCAACATAGTGAAACCCCCGTCTCTACTAAAAATACGAAAATTAGTAGCGTGTGGTGGCACACGCCTGTAATCCCAGCTACTGGGGAGGCTGAGGCAGGAGAATCGCTTGAACCCAGGAGGCAGAGGTTGCAGTGAGCCGAGATTGTGCCACTGCACTCCAGCCTGGGCCACAGAGTGAGACTCTGTCTCAAAATAATAATAAAGAAAGGAAAAGAAAATGATTGAAGACACAGTGACATTAAGTTTCATAATTTTTATTTAATCCAAGTCTATCCCCAAAAGGATTATGCCTACTGTACTATATTATACGGCATGAAATAGATGATCCTGTAACATAAGGGATCAGATTCTATGCCAACTTCTAACACTGTGGCTTAAGAAGTCAGACCCAAGAATGTTGTTCAATTATTTTATCATTAGCCTAATTTATTTCCACCCTGGATTTTTCCATGATAACTAATTCCACACTTCCTCTGGATCCCCTCTTTCAGTTTCAGGATTCAGGAATGGCTTCGGGGAAAGAGCCCTTATGTTTTTGCTTTCAATCCACTTGTGTTTCCCTTTGTCAAGAGACAAATGGGAACTGCACCCCCAAACTGCATGATGTTCTTGGCAGAGAAAATCCCCAGACCACAGAGGAGTGGTATCTGCAGAAGATAGAACGAGAGGAAGCAGCTCAAAGACAAGGTTCCAGAATGAGCTTGCACCATGGGATGCAGCCAGTGGACAGTGACTGACCAGGAAACACCTGTGATGGCAAGCGGCAGTGACGAGCGAGTCAGAGGTGACCGTGCCGGAATTGAATGTGCGAGCACTGCTGTTATAAAGGAAAAGAGGAAAGTGCAGGCAAGGACTTTTATTCTCATGTGCTGATTATACCAATTCATATAGATGACGTCTGTGTGGGCATTCAGATGGGCATTTTCAGTTCAAATGATTGTGTGAACATGAATCGCCTAATCAAAATTAGATCTTTATTTTCTCCTTTCCCAGTCGTACCCTCAGCCCAACAACATTTAAAGGTGAATGGATGTGCAATATTGGCACGAATGGACGTGACACACAGTAGGCCTTTGTGCACCCTGGAAGGGAGGGCAGATTCTGCTTCAAGTGTGCTGGAAGACATGGGAGGGATCTGAACTGGCTGACGCTGCACTGTAGTAGGGAGAATGGAGTGGAATGAGGGGAAGGATGCCAGGGGGAGGCCACTTAGGAGGCTGCTGTGTAGCCCAAGCAAGAAAGGATGGCGACTTTTCTATCAGGGGAAGGGATGAGAGGAGGTTGGACTGAGACCGGGATATGCTCTGAGGTCAAGGCGACAGAGTTGCTGAAGGATGGAATGTGGGCTGTGAGATGGAGGAGTCCTGGCGAGTGCTCGGCTGGTTGGCCTGAGTGTGTGGACGGCTGGTGGTGCCGTTTATCGGTGCAGAGAAGGCTGGTGGGAGGGCACCTTAGGGGTGGGCTGGGTGGGTCTGTTCAGGAAAGACCACGCTTTGATCATGTTGGTTTTGAGGCATGTGCAGGCTAGGCATGTGGAGATGCAGAGTGGATTTGAGTGCCATCGGCATGCAGATGGACTCAGGCCATGCGATCTTGTGAGATGCCAGCCCAGGTCTTGTTCGGAAGAGGCAGAGTATGTTTGGCTGCAATGGCTGAGTGGGGCTTAGATTCAGCAGGAGGAGCAGGCCATGGCAGGGTGAGACCTTCTGTTTGAGAAGCTAGGCATGGGGCATCCATGGCACAGCCCTGGGAGTTGCCGCGCAGGCAGCAGTGGATGTGAGGGTGGAAGTCAAAGTTGAGGATGTAGATGAGGGAGCTGAAGTCATGGGGGGATGAGGGCACCTGGGGAAGGGGTGTCAAGCAAGAGAGCGGTGCACAGATGAGAACTCTGACCTTTATGAGATGGGAGACAAACGTGCGGATGAAAGGTGCGGTGTCACACAAACTCCAGTCGAGAGGCAATAAATATCTCACATCTCAGCTGCATCGTCCTTTCTAACCAAGCATGGAAATTCTGTCTGGCAAGCCGTCAGGTACATTTGCAGAAAAGGAGAAGGAAAGTCATTGAGGGCCACACTGGAGTGAGACAGGATCAGCAGGAAGGGAAAGAATCAAGACCATGATGTTTACATGACTTCTGGTTACTTCTCCCCAAGCTCCAGAAGGCAAATCTTGCATGGACCTCTGGCATGCATGGGTGGCTGCAGAGAGGCCTAGAGAAGAGGCATTCATTTGGGGTGAGGCTCCTCCTCTCTTTCAGGGATTTTACAGGGATCCTTCCAGCCAGTGGGTCTGTGCTGGATCCTCCACCAGACACCCCTAGTCAGGGCGGAGGCCCTCAGCACTCCAGCCTCAGAGCCCAGACAGTTCTGGTTCCCAGCTCCCTTCCTGCCATGTCTGTGAGTCCATCCTCCTGTTCCACCTCAGGACTTGTAAGGCGTATTACTGTGCCCCCTGGGTAAGGCAGAGTTTGAGGAAGAACGAATAAGGTGAGGGCCACTGACTTTCAGGATTTAGCTCCTCTTCTCAACATGCATTTCCTGTCTACTGTCTGCTTCACATCACCCACCCCTCACTGTCCGAAATGCGTGCCCCAGCCCAACATCAGCATCACCCAGGAGCTGGTTAGAAATGAGGCTCTCAATCTCCACCCAACCTCCTGAATCAGACTCTGCATTTTAACGAGATCGCCAGAGAGATTTGTGTGCATGTTGACATTTGAAAAGCATTATTAGGCACAGTGGCTCACGTCTGTAATCCGAGCACTTTAAGAGGCCATGGTGGGCAGGATCGCTTGAGGCCAGGAGTTCAAGACCAGCCTGGGCAACAAAAGAAACCCCATCTCTACAAAATATTTTTTTTTTTGAGATGGAGTCTCACTCTGTTGCCCAGGCTGGAATGCAGTGGCATGATCTCAGCTCACTGCAACCTCCATCTCTCAGGTTCAAGCGATTCTTCTGCCTCAGCTTCCCAAGTAGCTGGGATTATAAGCGTGTGACACCACGCCCAGCTAATTTTTGTATTTTTAGTAGAGACGGGGTTTCACCATGTTGGCCAGTCTGGTCTCAAACTCCTGACTTCATGATCCACCCGCCTCGGCCTCCCAAAGTGCTGGGATTACAGGCATGAGCCACCACGCCCGGCCAAAACATTTTTAAACATTAGCCAGGTGCGGTGCATGCCTGTAGTCCCAGCAACTCAGGAGGCTGAGGTGAGAGAATCCCTTGAGTCTGGCATTTCGAAACTGTGGTGAGCTCTGATAGCACCTAATGCATGCCAGCCTGAGTGAAAGAGTGAGACCCTGTCAAGAAAGAAAGAGGAAAGGAAGAGAGAGAGGAAGGAGAAGGGGAAGAGGAAGGAAAGAAGGAAAAGCAGTATCATATATTATTTAATGACACTTCACCCAAGGTTTTCCAAATAAAAACATCCAAAGAAACTAGACAACAAGCATCCTTACCTTTCAATAAAGGACTCACTTGACAATTTTAGGTATGTGCCAAAGCACCAAAGCAAATTGTTGATGTTCAGCTTAGTAACTGACATGGCTTCAATACCTACCCGGCATGGTGCTTCGCTCACTCTTTAAAGACTACCTTTATGCACTTTTACTATTTCACTGCCACGCTAAACATCTAAGCGATCATATCCTTATGCCTACTGATTATGAAGTCCATGACATTCAACAACATCAACCCTTTGCCCACTGCCCCACCCGACTTGAACCAAGTTTTCCCAAGTTCAATTCCTGGGGCCTTTGATAGTTTCATGCCTTCTCCACGTGCCAGAGACAGAGAAGAGTGAGCTCTATCGTTTTTGGGGGTCTACTAGTTTTGCCTTTATTATTTAGACAGCTTCAGGTCAGCTTCTTCCTTGTATACCAGTCACAAGTGGGTTTTTATTTTACAAAGAAAACATAGAAGTTATCATTTTCTAGAAAAAGGTACAATAACTATTTCAAGACATATTTTAGATATACTTACAGGCACACCTTGGAGCAGTTCAATAATTAAAAATTTCATCTGTCTGCCTGACCGCCAATGCAAAGGAAACATAATTAAAAGTTTTTTTGTTTCTTCTCCAAGATAATAGTTTATAAAGTAGCTTAATGAAACACTGAAAATCCAGAATGGAAGAGGACGTGTGAAATCCCCTTTCCGGTGTGAACTTATTCTTAAACAATCAAATGAAAGTGCCCGTCAGCCTTTGCAAGATGCTAACCATCTGGCCCCTGCATCCTGTCTGAGTCACCCGATAAATAGCTGCAGGTTGTTTTAAGCACACTGCGCCCTGCACAAGCTGTTTTGCTCTGCTACTCACTGCCCTTAGGTGCAGATATTTACACCCGGGGTTGAGCATATTTTCAGCCACACCTGGATGCCTCGAGGTAATTAGGAGGAAACTTTTAGCGGAAAGGAAACAGCATACCTTTGAGTAGCCCGATTGTGTATGCAGGAGAAAGGTTAAGTAGGAAGAGAGGGGAGTTCTCTCCTGAATTGAGTAGCTTTGCTTCCTATTGGAAAAGTGTGCAAATGAAAGGAAGTAGAAATGCTAAAAAGCTCTGTGACTGCCTCCTGCTGTATTCAATTAGCCTTCCAGAGGATGCCAGAAGGAAGGCTCAATTACCAGAGCGGCTCCAGGACTTAAGAGAAGGCTGGAGGGCAAACCAAAGGGGCTGCCATCTTGCAGACCTGGTGTGAGACCAAGGCGGGGCAGCTGTGTGATTGGATTATACACGGGAACCTTACTTTAGTTTCTATTGCATGGCCAGAGCTATGCATGCCACCTTTTGCATGGAGTCTTGAAAAGTCACCTAATTTTAATAAAGCAGAAGGGGAAAGCGATAAGAAGAGGGAGAGTGCATCTCTCTGAAATGCCTAAGCATCGGCCTTGCGGGAACCGGCCTCATCGAGGAGCAGGGCCACCACCGTTGGAGCATCGGAGGAGCATCGGAGGAGCCCTAGCTCTGGCCTCTTGGCTGGACGTCACTGTTTCAGGCCGAGCAGATAAAAGCAGAAGGCATTGACCGTGAGCCAAGAGCTCAGTGTTTTCAGAAAATGGACTGGACGGGAGGAAAGAGTGTGAGTGTGCTTTGAGAGCAATAAACAAACTATTGGCTGCCGGCCAGGGAGGAGTGTGCTGACATCTTCAAGCGGATCCTCGAAAGCTCCACAGAGCGGCTGAGGAAGCCTCCTTAGGGCTGTGGATGGGGTGGCGGGGCAAGGGCTGCCGTGGCGCCATGCAGCAGTGGGCATCGGGCCTCAGCCACACCCAGCAGGGAGGCCAACAGCAGAATCCCAGGCAAACGCCCCTAGGGTTCGCCCCTCATGCCTCCACTCCCTGGCCTGGCTCTCTGAAGGGCAGGGCGGTGGAGGAGAAGCAGAGCCAGGCGGTGCCCTCCGCCAGCTCTAGCTCAAAGGCTGCTGGGGCTGACGGGTGGAGCTTGTGTAGACGAAGCCCCTTACCCTGGAAGTGAAGGTTATGGGGTTTCCTGGAGGGAGGGCACTGGGCCTCGCTCTTAACTGAGGCTTCCCGTCCCCCGAGGGAGGGTGATGAAGGGTGTCCAGACACATCCACGGGGACAAAGGAGGTTGGCAAGGCTGACCGCAGGAGTTTCTCCTCTAATGCCTTTCAAATGAACAGGTCTGTGTCGCTGCTCCGGGAGCGCCTGCGCTCACATACCCCGCGGTGCACAGTTACCAACCAGATCCTACCACGCCACTGCGGACATCGCGGTTTCCGGGAAGTCTCTGGCCTTCGTATGAAAAGACAGCCCGACAGGTTGAATTCTTTAAAACCTTATCTTTGGTTATTTTAATAGGATATGACAATCTCCTCTCCTCAGCATGTCGATAAATGTTTATTGCCCTTTACTGTGTGAGAGCAGGGGTCCTGCCGCCGCTTGTTTTTATTTTCTTTTAGACGGCGTGAACATTTTTAGCACGTGTAACCAATGATGGTAATTAAGATTATAATAATGCTGATGCCAACATTTATATCAGTGGATACAGAAAATACACAGCCTGATTATTTTTTATTACTCGTACCCATAAAATTAAAGATCTTAAACATGGGATGGAGGGTGCATCCGCATCAAGATTTTGTTAGCATGAGACCGAACCCATTCAGCCACGGCCTTCATCAGAAGCCTTTTGAGTGATGAGACAGTGATGAGATAGCTCGCGTTATCCTGCAGCACAGAGCTGCGCCTGGTCACGGCAGGGTGCACCGGCTCTCGGGCTTCAGACAACAGCTTATCAGTACCTTGCCCGTGTGCAAGGACAGTACTCCTTGATGCCCTGAAACCTCCGCTCCTACTAACTGTCCTTGGACACGTCGGCATACAGAGAATCAATCGTACTCTCAGCAGTGGTTTCTGCAGCAACTCTGGGTCATGGAAGAAGCCAAGTGCATTGTTGAAACAGCAGAGCCCAGGCAGTGCCCCGATAGAAACCAGGTATTGAGTGCTTGCACCCGTTCCTGTGCAGGCGGGCGTCACGCACACCTTCTGCTGGAAGACACACTGTCTACGTGAACGCCCAGCCTCCCTGTGCCCTGCCTTGTCTTGTGGAATATGTCGGCACCCCCAAAGAATACACCTTCAAAGCCAAAGGGGAGTTTCTGTCTGTCTGCTTCACACTGTCCTTCCTCCTCTCCCACCCCTTCTCTGTGTGAAGAAGTAAAGCAAAGCTCTTAATGATCACCCTTAAATGGCAAGACTTTGATAGACTGTTTCTATAATAGGTTCTCATTGAAACATGGGAGTTCTAAATAGAGAACTGTTAAAAAGTGGAATGAGAGATGAGGGACCGAGTCGTGGCCCTCCTTCCTGGTCTCCACCATGTCAAGTATGCCTCCACCCCGGGGCCTTTGCACCTGCTGCGCTGCTCTTCCTTCAGGTCCCCACAGTAGGCCCTTTGGGAACTCTGATCAAGTGTTGCCTTCTCCGAGAGGCCGCCTCTGACCATCCCCTGGAAACCAGCCTTCTCTCCCCCACGCCTGGGCTATTCCTCCCGGTTCTTATCTTCATCTTGTGTTTCATATTTGTTTTACTTGCTGATCACCAGAAGAAGGCCTTATAAGTCCAGGCACTCAGGCTTCCTCTCCACTCGATCTCCAGTATCCAGAAGCATATCGGATGAGGAGGAGAATGCAATAGAAATTAGTCGCAGAAATCAATCATGGAGAAAGGAAATGTTCTCAGTGAGGTGTTTCAAATATGCAGCGTACAAGACTTAAGTGGAAGACTCACTTATAAAGTAGCTGACTCGCCCAGCAGAGGCACCCATTTTTATACTTTCCCCTTTCACCTTTCTTGTGGATAAAGCCAGTGTGATGGCTGGAGCTTCAGGAGCCACGTTGGACTATGAGGCACCTTGAAGACAGAAAGGTGTGCACTGAAAATGCTAAAGCTGAATGACGGTGGGAAGGTGGGTCCTGGGAAGTGATGGAAACCCCGTGCCAGCCTTGGAATGCCCACATCTGTCTAGTTTCATCTGAGAGAATAAAACATTATATATGTTCCAGCCATTGTTGTTTTGGCTTTTCTGCTATATATAGTTAAAGGTTTCCTATACATATATCAGAGAACCATTGGGATTCAATTTTAGTCACTTATTATAATTCAACGAATGCACTTTACTTCTCTGAGCAATGTTATGCCTTCATAAAGCCAATAAAACAGCGTAATTGTTGAAGAAATTGTGCAAATATAGAATACAATCATTCAAGGCAACCTAGTCTCTTAGCCTGCGAGTGTTCTAGATGTATACAAGACAAATGCATTCATTCAAATATTCAACAAATATTTGTTGAGTACCTACTACTATGTGTCGTGTATTGTGTTAGGTTCACTAAAACACAGTAGGAAAGAGCTGGAATTGGAATAAATGCTTTGAATTCTGACTCACTGCTTATTAGTTGTGACCCTGAGCAAGGTGTTTAACCTTTCTGAGCTTCAGTTTTCTTAATAGCACTTAGTTCTCAGAGGTGTGTGAATATGGAATGAGAGGTAGATAAATGTCTGAACAGAGTTGCTCAGCGGTTACAGTAACACAGTTTTGCTAGCTACCATGTCTGCAATGTGATCCTTTCCATCAAGGAGCCCCCTCGTGGGAGAAACACAGATAAACAGATAATACAGTGAAACTTGGAAGGTGCCGTAACAGAAGGGTAAGCAGAGTGGTTTGAGAATCTGGAGAAGTGGGTCACTAGCTCTGTTTAGGTGAGTTGAAATCAGGTTGCATTATAGTCATTGGAAGCATTCACTGGATATTTCCAGTTTTCCTTCTCCTGACACATGGTAGAGTTGTCTTGAAGAGTCAGTACAAGTCTCTAGATGAAGAAAGAGGTTTCAACACTCTAGGGCAAATGAAATTTTTATGCAAAGCCGAGTCATAAAAGGATTAAAATTTGGTGATAGGATCAGTGCAACTGTGACCAACGCTGGGTTCATGGGGTGGTAGAAGGCAGAAGGTGAGTCTGGTTAGGTAGATAGGGTTGTATATTTAGGGCACCTTTGTGCAAGGTGAATTTCCCCAGAGTAATTTGAACTTGAAAACCACTCATCAAAATCTCCTGATTCAATAAATAAGAAGGCTGGAGAAATGTCACAAACTTCTTTGGAAAGGCGTATGGGACCTAAGAGTGATCTACATAGCCAATTTGTTGCTCATCTATAAAGACAACAGGCAAATTACCTCTCAAATATGAGAGAGCTCAGGGAACAGAGCATATTAAAAAGTGTCTGGAAAGAAGTTTTGAGTTGTTTGTTTTCAGTAACAAAATCCAAGCAATTAATAGATGGTTAAAAAATAAGCATGTTCAAAGAACGGGTGGCATGAAATGGATCAATGTAAATGAAGGATAAGTATTTTAAACTCATAGGAATTACATTACAGAAAAAATGTATTTTTTTACCTTGAAAATGCAGAAAATAATGTAACTGACAAATGTTAAGGTGGGGAAAAAGGAGAAAGGAGAGGTGAATGGAAATGAGATGATGAATGTCCTCAGATTTCAAAGGAAGAAGTGAAGCAATGCTGTATAGCATTTAAATGGTATTTTTAAAAATGCTTCTAACTTGTTGCATACCTTTCCTCAAGGGATCTTTTAGGAAATAGTAACTCTTGGTAGATAAACATTTGTTTTTAGGTTCAGCAATTCTTTGTCTTTTCATTTTATGTTCTCCTCCTTACTTGAGCTAGGTGCACTTTATGTGCTCTAGGAAGGCTTAGGTGCAGACACAGGGAGGGGTGGAGCGGGAGGGACAGGGCCTTGAAGATGTGTCTGGGGAATTAGGCAGAAGCCAGTTCATATAGTGCCTTATGTCTCAGGCCTACCACGTTCAGGAACTTTGACTTTTCCTAAAAGATAATGGGTGAGTGGGGAGGAAGGAGAATTTGAATTATACATGCATTTATTTTTTTTTTCTTTTTTGAGACAGGATCTAGCTATATTGTGCAGTTTGGCCCCCAACTCTTGGGCTCAAGTGACCCTCCCAACTTAGCCTCCTAAGTAGCTGGGACTACAGGTGCCAGCAAGAGGGCCCGGCTATTTGATAAAGATCACTTTGTCACTTTGGCTGTCCTGTATTTAAAAACCTCTTTAAGCAACATGATTTAGAGCTGCTCTATCAGCATGATCTTATGATCTTATAATCTTATGAATCTGGACTATTCAGGATGGACCTCATACTCTGATCCTTCCTTCAAATTTCAGATCTTTCCTTCAGATTCCTAAATACTACTTTGGTAAACACTTTACAGACTAAACTAGGCAGAAAAAACTATGGTGATTCTTTTTGCTGATTAAATCCATGCTCAGTAGTTCTCTTATCCTCAGAGAAGCCAGGATCTCAGGCTTCAGGCCATGCCCTGTGCAAGTCCAGGGGAGCTGTTGACATGAGCAACAAAGGGGGTGGCTGCCTCCTCAGCTGTGCGATGCTGAGCCCCTGGGGGAAGGGGCTGGTCGAGATTATGTGGTCTATGTCCCCTCTCCCATCACTACGAAGAAAGACAGCTGCAAAGTCCTATTTTTTAAGGCCTCCAGGCAATGAAATCAACAATTATTTCAAAGTTGATATTTAATAACCCTCGTTATTATCAAATTATTTTTTATGGAAATCGGACACATTTTTCTAATTGTATTCTACCCCTTTCTCTGGTTTTATCATCTTTTGAGGAGGTCAGCTGACTAATCTTTATTTTATCTATAGCCCCTAATGTTATCAATGCTAATCAATCACCACGTAGTTTCCTCTTTTCCAGTCTAAATAGTCCTAGCTCTTTGATGTACCTTCAAATGTCCAATTTTCCAATCCTTTATATCTTGATCTTTTATAAAACAGCTTCCCATGTTGCACAAAATTTAATAACAAAAGCAAAGATACGTGAAGCCTATAGTGAAGCAATGACGCCATCCTCTTTTTGACCATGCTAGATTCATAATTTTGTTCTACTTTTACCCTATTTTAAATCCCCCCTTTCAAAATCGCTGTAGATGGAGATCATACATTAGAGATATAATTGCATTTGAAAAGGATGGCCCTTTCATTTTCTGCTGTTATAGCAGACACTGTTAGTTGCTACTGAAGTGACAGTACTCCTTTTTCCTGGTTTCCAATGCCCAGCTTTTGTTCAACTGTCTCTTCATGGGATGTGGACACCTCCCAGCCCTGGAGGGTGCATCTCTTTTAGTGTAAATCAGCCATCTCCTTCCTCATAATCAATGGAACCAGGAGCTTGGGACCCAATCCCAGACAATGGAAGTGAGGCAGAGGCAGCTGGTGGTGGGGTGGCTCTGGGGTCATTTGCATCATTCCAAAAAGACACCCCAGGAAGAGACACTGCTTTGCTGGACATTGTTATGAGATGACATGCTGCCTGGAGCTGCCGCAACCATCTTAGAAACACAGGGGGCCAAGCGTCTGAAATGAAAGCAAAGATCGGGAGGATGGCTGAGTAGAAAGATGAAGAGATCCAGGGCTTCTGTGCACGCCACTTAGCTGCCTAATTAACCAGCCCTGGGCTTCCTGTTGTGTGAGTTAACACATCCCTTTGCAATTTAGTGATTTTCACTGTGTGGTCCCAGACCAGTATCAGCATCATCTGGAAATTTTTAGAAATGCAGATTTTGGGGCCCTACCCCAGACTTGCTGAGAAGAGTCTAGGAGTGGAGTCCAGCAATCTGTTTTTAACAAGCCCCTCCAGATAATTCTAAGAAGTCCTGAAGTTTGAGAACTACTGCTCTGAGCTTGCTACAGTCTGAATGTCTGTGTCCTCCCACCACTCCTATATTAAAATTTGAATCCCCAAAGTGCTGGTATTAGGAGGTGGGGGTCTTTAGGAAGTGATTCAGTCATGAGGGCAGAGCTCTCATGAATAGGATTAGTGCCCTTATGAAAGGGACCCCAGAGAGCTAGGTCAACCCTTCTGTCACGGGAGGGCACTGAGACAGTACCATCTATGAAGCAGGCAGCAGGCCTTCACCAGACACCACATTATAGCAGCTTGTTCTTAGACTTCTCAGCCTCCAGAATTGTGAGGGAAAAAAAATACTATTGCCTATAAGCTACCCAGTCTATGGCATTTTGTTATAGCAGCTCAGATCAGCTAAGAGCCATTGAATTGAGGTTTCAATTACTTGCAGCTAAATGCATGCTAATTAATACAGCTCCTTTATTGTTTTATGCATCTTTTCTAGAAAAATCTATCAATCAGTATGTTTTCTGTCAATGTCATCTGAGAATTAAGTGTCATAACCAGAAAGATCTGGAGAGACAGGAGCACGTTGTACAGTTCCTGATATGTATTTGACACACCCAGACAGGCTGGAAAAGAGCTGGGGTAGGTTTCCTGGGGTATAAGTAATTTTCGTAAAAATTTAGAACTTTTTGAGTTCCAAGGTGAAAGGAGAGGATTTTGAAATGCAGAAAAAGAAAAGTTCAGAGGCACAAACTCAGACAGAGCTCCTGTCAGAGGAACCAAGTGCCTAAAATAGGACAGAGTCTCCAGATGCAGCGGAAAGGCTGTGAGTCATCTGACCGCTCAGGTAGGAAAGCGGGACCAGTGTGAAATGAAGGAGGCACTAATGATAAGAGGACAAGAAACCACCAAATTGCTATTTAGGGTCATTGGGATCTGCAGAGGGAAACAAGGCTGAAGAGACAAGAGGAAAGACACAGCTGTGAGGGTCAAAATCTAAAAGGAGCTCCTGAAGGGATGCTTAATGTTTTCAAGCTATCAACTGCAGCATGCTAGGTCTATCATCTGTGTATCATTGCCAAAGCAAGACCCATAAACATCAGATTTCACTTGGTTATAGAATTCAGAGAAATACTACTGGGGCAATGACAGGGAAGAGACACTGCACATTCTCAGTGGAGGAATCGTCCCCTCTGTCCTTCAACTGGTGCCATCCAAAAGTTGCTATGTCAAGTAATGCTAGCTTCACTCAAATGCTATTACCCCTGGTCAACTCACAGTGATATGCACTAATGAGCAACCCATCTAATCTGTGAAGCAATGCTTAAGGAAGGTTTGAGGAAGGACGAGCTGCAGATCAGCTCAAGGATGGGACTCAAATATCATGACAGTACCATGAGCTAAGGTGCCTCTTGCAAGCTGCCTGTCGAGGCCATCAGTGGGTTAGAACCAAATTCTTCCAAAATTATTGCAGCCTGCAGTCTTCTCATCTTGTCATATAACACTTAACATTCTGGAAAAGGCCCTGCATTGGTTTTGAGTGGTATTTCCAGAATCTGTGGACCTTTGAAACAACTCCATTTTGCTGTACTTTCTCCACAATGGCTCTTTCAGATAAATCACTTGTCCGTTCCTGCCTTAGATGAGGCCTGTGGAATGACTGCATCATTTGCCCTTTCATTGTTGAAATGGTTATCAGATTTCAGGTATATCAAGACTTGCAGATCAGGCCTCTTACTCTGTGTGACTAACAGGCTCCCCCAGAACAAACCATCCAGGCACAAACAGGGGATGCAGCCTGTGGCTATCCCATCACAGGTTTCCACACCACAGTGTGAGTCCATCTTGCTGACTTAACAACCGTAATTTAAAAATCACCTTCCAAATTGCACTGATTTTATTTGTTCAAAAGATAACACACACATTATTACATGACTATCATTTTAGGGCAAAGTGGATGCACGGACAAATGTTTCAAGCAAGGAGGTAAAACTCTCCTGGATAAAAATTCACAGCATCAATTTTCTATTTTCTGCTTCCTGAATTGCATTTTCCTGGATCTGATGATTTTCTTCTTTGTATTCTTGATGTATGCATCGGTATGTCTTCTTCTGTGTTTGTGTCATGGAGGCAGCATTCTTCTTCTTTTTTTTTTTTTTTTTTGAGACGGAGTTTCGCTCTTGTTGCCCAGGCTGGAGTGCAATGGCATTATCTTGGCTCACGGCAACCTCTGCCTCCCGGGTTCAAGCCATTCTCCTGCCTCAGCCTCCCGAGTAGCTGGGATTACAGGCATGCGCCACCACGCCTGGCTAATTTTGTATTTTTAGTAGAGACGGGGTTTCTCCATGTTGGTCAGGCTTGTCTCGAACTCCTGACCTCAGGTGATCTGCCTGCCTCAGCCTCCCAAAGTGCTGGGATTACAGGTGTGAGCCACCACGCCCGGCCGGAGGAAGCATTCTTAATGTATGCATTGGTACATCTTCTGTGTGCATGTCATGGAGGGAGCATTCTTGATGTACACGTTGGTGTATCTTCTGTGTGCACATCAGGAAGGGAGCACTAAGCAGAGGTGCATAAGCAGATTCTGGACTGCAGAGCTGGGGAGCGGTCCTGGTTTTACCACTCATGGACTGTGTGCTCTCACACAAGTCTCTTAGCATTTTTGTACCTCGGGCTCCTCCTCTGTAGAATGAGGATGACAATTCTTACCTCCTAAGATTGTCATGAGCTATCAAGAAGTTAATATTTGTTATGTATTTAGAATGGCATCCAGCACGTCATAAGGACTCTGTTTTGTAGAGTACATCGAATGTTCTGTTTTGTTATATAACACATTTACTTTTCATAAATGTTGTTATCTGGCAGGTATTTTTTGGCTTCCAGAATAAAAGTTTTAAAATTAAAAGGGGTATCCAAGTATTTTTAGGAGCCTAGTATTTCCTCACTTACTCCCAAACTCTAAAAGTAGATTGGCTTTATGTTAAACAGAGAATTCGTACAGAAAAAATCTTCAGGACTGTATTCATTTCATAAATAATGTACTTTATTTTATTGCATATGGCTATTAAGGAGGGCATCCATGATCAATACAGACTAAATACAATGCACTATTCTAGTCCAGTTTATTCTCGTCTCCAGCAGCATCACATTGACCCCTATATACAGCGTGTACAGTGGAAGACAGAGCAAGATAAGTTAAGTCTCTTGTCATATCACAATAGCAAGAAATATATTTAACATCTTGATATCCAGAAACAATACGTACCCAAAAAGAAAACACTGTTTAATAACTGTTAAAGTTTATATAGCAAAAAATATTTTAAATTTAAGGTAAGTCAGGCAAAATGTACAAAGACCCAATATACATTGTGAAGTTTTAGCAAACATAACATTTATACATTTTGGTTCCATTCTGTAAACTAAATTAAAAATGTAAATATTGCATATGCCTTTTTGTGAAATGTACAGGATAGAGGAAAATTTAGCATATTATCATCTGTGTATTTTGCTTGTTTTAAGCTGCAGTATGAACACGAACCATCTGTATAGTGTCATGACTACTCTACGGATAGAGGGCGAGTTAAATATGCGTCAATACACTGCTTTCAGCAGGGTCCATATTCAGTCCCTATCGTACCTGGGGGGAGTTACAAAGCAAATACCACCCATTGATGCCTATTCCCAAAACTAAATAAAAACTTCAGGATTTTTATACATCTTAATAAAGTATATCATACACTGAAATTGACCTTCCAGCTAACATTATATGGCCTATGCACTGCTGTGATGTATAATTTCAGAAAAGTAAAACCTTAAAAATGTTCAGGGAGATCACTTTACATTCAACTTTGTCTTGCAATACAATCCTCTGTTCTAAAGTTCAGCACGGAAGCAGGAAGACTTTTGCATTGCCATTAAATATATTTTTAAGACATTGAATTTTTTGGTCTTCCTCTAAAAAAGCCTCATTTTATTAATGCATTATTCTATAGCGATAGATATCTATTATATATTTATATATATTTTTCTAAAAACAAAACAAAACAAAACCAACAACTTACATCTCCAATGAATTAGTGTAACCTCTCCATGACTATCAGAGAAGATAGGCACTGGGGAAGCCCCCACGGGAGGAGAGGTCGACAGCCCTCCAATCAAGTGTCGAGGGAGCAGAAAACGGCAGAACATTCTGCCGGTCAAGTTCAGCAGTTTTAGGTAACATCTGCGAGAACTGCCACACACTGGTATTTTCAGAATACTGAAAACATAAAACAAGGGTAGTCTTGTCCGGAATTTTTTCGACAAGTAACATGTACTGCGAGATTGCTTTTCTTCTTTTTCTTTTTCCATCAATAACATAGGGGCTGGAATGCCTCTTTTTATCAGTTTCTTTCTTTCCTTTTTTTTTTTTCTTTTTGTTTTTTTTGTTCAGGGCAGCCTCACTGGTTGACATAATAACATTTTATTAAAGATAATACGTTTTTTAAAAATCAAATCTGCCAAACCCGGACCACCCTGGAATTGCTAGCACGCCTACAGGGATTTTTGGTTACAGAAAGGCATGCCCAAGATTCAGGAGAGCAGAGACATCTGAGCTTGTAAATAGAATAAAAGGCGTTTGCAATGTGAAGTACCTACATAAACATCTACATCGAGAAGATTAAACAAGTCTGTTAAAGGTAAAAAGAGATATTCATCCCCTTCCCAAAGCCCTTCCCTCCCACCTCCCACTACCCAATACAGTTGATTTTCAAAAGTAGGTTGCTTCAGTTACATATAATAATTATTATTTAGTAATCCGTCTTCAAAGTCCAATCCCAAATTTCACTTCCATTGAGAAATGTCAGTCCCACACTGGGCTCGGTGTGGACGTAAACATCGCAGGTACCTGCACTGGAATCCAACAAGCAGCTGTCTACTTGGACCATTTCAATAAGGCCGAGGACCGCGCTCCAGACACACAGCGCAGGGGCTACTACAGGAGGTCCTGTGGGACCCCCGCCACGGAAATCCGGCTTTACCTTGAACTGAGGTAGGACTGTGGTCGTTTTGAGTGTAAGCCAGTAAATACCAGATTTTACCACTTCCATAGGTACGGGTGCACTCTCCTAGCATGCTGAGGGTTATATCTGCTTTGCCAAAAGGAAAAGAAGAAGAAATTAAAAGACACTGGCCACAATTTAAGAAGGCCAATGAAAACATCCAATTTTCTTGAGAATAACTTCTTCAGCTAATTTTGTTAAAACAAAACAAAACAAAACGCAAACAGCACAATGATGAATGCCCCATCCGGGAACAAGGGAAAGAGGCAGGTGACCTTGCCTTGTTGGTGCCTCATCTAACAGAGTCCACAGATGTTTCCAAACACAGTCATTGCTCAGATCCAAAAGAAAACTGCAAGCAGCTTCGGGCTGAAACAGTGCTGAGCGTCTTCTTTTAATGATACTCTCTGACATGTGACATCCTGGTGATAAAGCCAGACAGATCTTCACTCTGAAAAAGAAAGGAGGGAAGTTAGCAGAGACCCTCAGGAGAACAGAGCAATCTCTGGAGTTCCAGAAAGGGCCCCTCTAACCCACAGCTAGGACCTGGGTCATTTTCATAAACTGATGACCTTTGAGAAAGAAACATGTATTCATTCTGTTTTCCAGAGGTGAGTTCAGTGGGAAAACTCTGAGTTTTCCTGGAAGCAGAGCTGTTAGGTTCATGGTGAGTTGTCTAGACAGTTAGGTTCGTATTTTCAATTTAAGAAAAATATTCGCATGTGTTTTTGTGAATCATTCTGTCGAACAAGATAGAAAAAGAAGGGCCAGTTCCTAGGTTGCACTGCGTGTCTGTGTGATGGAATGACCCCTGTAACTCCTTAGGCCTTGATGCTTCCTGTGTTGTGTGGGATACACAGAATCCACTTGCCTTCCTCCCAGGGCTGCAGAGATGAAAAACTATGACACACATTACAATGCTCTGTAAACTATGTTTATTCTACAAATGTGCATTATGTTATGAAAGTGGAGTAACTAATAACTCCACACTTCTGCCCTCAGAAAACTTCCAACCGGATCATCTACCTCTTTTTGAACGTGCCCAGCAATGGAAGGTTCCTGCACGGCCTCATGTGTTGTTGCATAACCCTCAACATTAGGAAAGGGTTATTTTTATCCACTCAAACTTTCATATGTTCCAGTTTAAGTAATTTACCCTTTCGCTGTGCTCAGAGGGGACAGGGACTGAGGACACGTGGCCAGATCTAATTGCTTCCTCCCTTCCAGGATGAAGGATCAAAATTCTTTAACCTTTCTCAATTTCCAGTGTTTTAGGCCTATTTTTACTTGATATATTCCTTCTTCAAGGGACAGAACAAATTGGAAGATTTTGACCTTTCACAGCGTGCTGTTTTCTTCTTTCTAAGCTTCTTGGCTTTTTAACCAAAATGACATACTGTTCATTTTCATCACTCAGCAACATGAGGGTGAGCACCGCTTTGCTCTCAAACAGGTACATTTCCTTCCTTTGCAGATGCATTTATACCAACTGCATTTCTGGACACTCTTCTAAAATCCTTTAGAATTCTGATCCTAGCCTCTTATCATACTCCCTGACTTACTTTTTTGTGAACCAAATTCTTTTCTCTCCATCTTAAGTTTAGAGGACTGAACTCAACAAGACAGAAACTTCCAGTGTGCCCTGAAGCTGAGAGTGAGTCCCTCAAAACCACATCTCCTTATGAACTCGAGGCACTACATGCTATAGCCCCCCAAAAACCCCAAAAGCTTTACAGAAAAAATACTTGTCAATATACAAAGTGGACATTTTAAAATTCCCTACAACGCGACATTCTGAGGCTGTTTTATCTATTTTATTTATTATTATTATTAGTCTTTTTTAAGATGGAGTCTTATTCTGTCACCCAGGCTGGAGTGCAGTGGCATGATCTTGGTTCACTGCAACCTTCACCTCCCAGGTTTGAGCAATTCTCGTGTCTCAGCCTCCCAAGTAGCTGGGATTACAGGTACGTGCCACCATGCCTGGCTAATTTTTGTATTTTTAGTAGAGACGGGGTTTCACCATGCTGGCCAGGCTAGTCTTGAACTCCTGACCTCAGGTGATCCACCCACTTAGGCCTCCCAAAGTGCTGGGATTACAGGCGTGGGCCACTGCGGCCGGCCTATCTTGTTATTTTTAAAAAGCTTTATGTCCATTATAAATTTAATAAGTAAACAATGTTCTGCCAATGAACCTTAACAGAATTAATTTCTTCCTAAGGAAAGATCTGTCTTTGAGTTATCTGATTCATTATTGTTGTGATTTTCAATCCCAGGAGACTTCAGTGAGAATCTAATTGTTTGTATCCCCTAAAAAAAAACAGGCATTTGCTAAAACACACCTTGAGACTTGTAATTCACCCTAAAATGAGCTTGCATTTTGTCCCTGAGACCCTGATTTGGGAAGAATCCCATGGCCACCACAAGCAGGTAACTGAGACTCTGCAAATCCATTGACAGAAGAATTTCTAATCAATTGCTTATTTTATTTTGACACTAACAATTAGCTAAATGTGGCTGAATTATCTCATGTTAACTCTAAGTCTGTTATTTTGAAAACAGCTAAACTAGTAAGTTCTTCAGTTTCTCAAACTTAAGCACTTTGTCATATAAATGGCGGGTAAATTATTGCTGAAAAAAATTACTTTCCATTTTCATTTGTGATTTCATGAGGCCACTGACATTTTCATTGTTTTTTTTAGGATGCTGTATCGCTGTAATATTCAACTCTTATCATTACATCTTTGCGAGCTCCAATTAAGTTGAACATGTAATTTTATTTTTTGGAAGTAGAATACAGTTATCAAAACGTTAATTTCTAAGCATTAGCATTATGCAAGAAAAGAGCTGATAAATGGCAAGGAAGTAATTCATCCATGCATTTATTCATGCAATGACCTTTCAACAATTTTCTTTTTTTAATTCTACTCTGGTGCAAGGCCTCACTGATAACTTGGGGGAAGATGGCTGACAAAAAAAAAAAAAAAAAGAAGGAAAGGGGAAAAGGAAGGGCAAGCGGAAGAGGAAGAGGAAGGGGAAGAGGAAGGGGAAGGAAAGAAAAAAAAAGAAGGAGGGAGGAAGGGGAAAGGGAAGGAGAAGGGAGGAAGGAAGGGTTATTACAGGAAGATGAACCTGTTAATGGCACACTCAAAGGACACAAGAGAGCTGAGGTGAGGGAGACCAGAAACAGGATGACCACCCGCTCAGAGCCAGGCATGGGGGTGTCAGCTGTGCAGCGTTTCACACACATCTACATGCACACACGTGCACCAGAGCAAGCACAACGTGCATGTGTCTCACCTAGCCTGTCTCCTGTTAGGTTAATACAACCGCTTTCAACGGCCGCCTCCTTTCACGGTAAAGCGAGAACTGTGGTCTGGGTGTGCTCAGCGGGCACAGGCCTGTGGTTTTGCTCCCCAGTGCCCTGCCTCTCACAGACCTGCTTGCTTAGACATCCCCCCACCCCAGGAGGCTGAGGCTGATTCCAGGTGACCCTTTGGGATGCTTGGAAGCGCTCGCGGTGATTTAAACAGAATTAACCAGCAGAAACAATCCTTTGCGGAGGTGCAAAAGGGCAGCGAGGAAAAGGCTGGAGCACACCTCAGATTGGACCCAGATGACTAGGACCTGCCAGCCGCAGCAGAGGGATTGGGATACAACAGAGACCTAAGAAGCATCAGTACTAAGAATTTATGGTGGAAAAAAGGGATCTGTTTTGAAACCCTAAGTATCATTTTTATTCATTTGTTAGAGAAAGAAGGTCTAAGACAGAAGCCATCTGCCTGAACTGATGTCTCAAATACCTTTTTCCAATTGAGCTGGTGGTAGAATCTTTGCCACACATACTATTAAAGGCCCCAGGCATAGGGCTAAATGATTAACACGTGCAAGGGCTCAGGAGGGCTCTCTGTAGTTCACACACAGCTTTCAGACACCAAACACCAAGAGCTGGTGCCCCTGGTTGAAACCACCACGGCAACACGATACCTACCACCCACCTGACAGCCACCCACTCATCAGTGACACTCCCCTACCCCAGGAAGAAGAAAGCTGGAAAACACTCCAGAGATTCAAACCTAGGAATGAGAGTAAACTTTTGCCTTTATATTCATTTACTTTCAAAGTAACTGAAGTTATCCCTCACCCTGAAAATCAGCCTGGTTCATCCTGACCAGGGGAAAAAAACACACCAACAATTTTCTAACACTAATCATCTGACATCCTCAACCTTTAAATATGATCAAACTTCAGGCTTCCTGAAGATGAGATTCCAGCAAAAATTTATTTGTTGTATTATCTGTGTTCATTTTAGTAGAAGCAAAGAATTATTAATTTTATGGCTGTTCTACCCTGAATATTCACTAAGAAGGAAGAGATTTTCTGAATTCATCAGCTGTAATGGCAAAACCAAAAAGAAAACAATAAGACTCACGTGTTGCTCATGAACACAATGACAGAACACCACACACCAGTTCTGCTGCTACAGGTAATCTATATAAAAAATGTAAACTTACTGATACTCATTGAATTTGTCACATCGCTCATTACACACTGTACTACTCTGTCCCTTAGACGTTGCTTTGTGAGGAAATCCATCCACAGACGTATCCACGTAGAGTTATTTGAGCAAATAAAACCAACAAACAAAAACACTTTTAGCAGAGATGAGAGTTGTTCCATGTGACATGTCGTGCAGTGTATCCACTCCGCATCTCCTTTCTGCTGTCGCTTGTGACAGATGACATTCATACGTGGGATACAGTCCCCTGTGCCACTCACCATAATGCCCTGCAGATGGGCAATAATTCCTCCCCTTTTCTCCTCCACTTACAAGAGCAATCAGAATGCAAATGAAGGAGAGAGCTGTCAGTAAAAGCTCCACCTTCAAACTGCTCAACTTGACTCCCCCGAAAGAGAGAAAGGAGGAAAGAAAACAAATCACTAGAAAACATTGTGATTAAGACAAGGAGGAAAGCTTCCTTGTAATATATGGAACAATGTCCCAACAATGACATGTCACACGGAGCTGGGCACCATGACTGCAATCACATTACAGAAAACTGAAGTGGGCATCAAGCCTAGAACATGTTGGAAATAAGGTCAATTTGCTCCAGCCAATAAAATCAGGCAGCATTTTCGGCACACAGTCTGACTCACCAATCCTTTTTCTTCATAATTTCTCCTGACAATTTGGGTTTGGACATGTTTGCCTCCAATGTTACATTTCGATGTTCAAAATCCAGGATATACACCTGGGTCGTGGCAGCTCTGCCCAGGGAGGCCCCGGTCCTCTCTGCAGAGGGGCTTACGGCCACCACGTAGGGCCCCATGGCACGGCTGTGGGACATGGGGCCTCACAGGCCTTTGGTGAGCAACACTGGACCACCCAGAGGCCAAATTCATGGAGTAGGTAAAGATGCTTTCACATTTTCAGCCATAGCTGAATTAGGAGTGTTACAAATACTGATGTACTTGACAAAATGAAACGATACACTTCTTAAAATTAAAATTTGTATTTCTAGTAGCAAATGTGATTCCGAAAGCAAGGAAACCTTCCATGAGCTCAAACATATCGTACAGGTACATCTCAGTGCCCAGTTTCAGCCTTTTATGTTAAACACAGAATTACAAGGGAAAATTGACTTTTCAGTTGCAGGAGCAATTCTGAGAAAAATAAACCCGATAATTTAGTATCTCCAGACTTTACTAAAGCAAGACACTCTAAGAACATGAAAAAAAAAAAAAGGTAAGGTTGGGTATGATAACAAAAGCCAGAGATTCTAGGAAAAACGGTTACTTGAACTTTTCTTTTAAATTGGAAAAAAAACTAACTTAAAAGGAAAATATGGAAGAATAAGTTCCCCATGACAAACAGGGGCAATAACTTGCTTTCCTGCTGCCCTCCTTGAGAAAGACTGAAAACATTCTTTTCTATGAGCTCATCACTTCCACTGACAATTAAAATCATTTCATTTTGAATGCTTGTTAGTAAAAAAAATTCCGAATATCAAGTTGCAACTTGATGTTAATGACACAATACAAAATAGGATGAGACAATCTAGTTGTCTCACAGGCTGGATTTAGTAAAAGGTATCTCCCCCTTTAACTCCTGTTTAATCCTGCACATAAGACCTGGTCTTAATCATCCAAAACTAGGAAAATCAGGCCTCCTAAACTTTTACCTACTGCACTTCCAATTCCCTCTACACATTCAACTTTCCTATACAGGAGCCTGTATAAATTTTACAGTGCACGGCTACAGCAGATTGTGTAACACAGAATGTACACGGTTCTTTTCTGAGTGTTATTGTTAAAAACCCTGCCATGTGCATGAAGTGAGCTATTCGTCTATGGCAAGAATTGCCCACTGCCCCTGCAGCAGCCGCCAATGCCATAGGAGAAACAGTATCGATGATTCTTCTGCACAAACACCTGAGATACAAAAAGTTCCAAGAATTGCGGGTGGACCCTTTCTTTTAAATTATGAAATGTTAGACCCTTTTTAGTTAAAACCCAGACCAGGAAGCACGAACAACTTGCTGAAGCCTCCCTGCCAGTCTGTGGAAGAACAGGGTCCTCAACTTCTCCCAGAACAC
Organism: Homo sapiens; assembly: GCF_000001405.40. Lineage (NCBI taxonomy): Eukaryota > Metazoa > Chordata > Mammalia > Primates > Hominidae > Homo > Homo sapiens. The sequence continues at coordinate 109,762,454 of NC_000013.11, forward strand.
TTTCCTCTCTGCTCCCCTTTGGTGACAATGAGATGGGTGGGACAGGGCAGGAGCAGAGACACCTGCAACTGTCACCTGGGGCCCCAGAGTGTCAACTTCCACAGTGAACCACTAGCTCTTTATAAAACTCTCCTCGAAGGACATTAAACAGCATGCTAGCATGTCACAAGATTCAGTGAAGCCTGTGAGTCGATGAGGGTGTGCTCCATGGTTGGTCTTCCTTGCCAGCTGATGCCCAGGCCCTGCCTTCTCACCTCCCTGTCCCCAGCAGCCAGCAGCCTGCTGGTCAGGTCCTTAGTAAAGCTTATAGGTATTAAATTGAAGCGAAAACCCCATGTGGTTCATGCCATTTCTCACAGGCAGAAATGCTCAATAAAGTTTTCTAAAAGAGAACAAAGTTTTCTAAAACAGAACGAAGCTTTAGGACTGCGTGAGACCCAGAAGAAAAGAAAACCCTTTCCAGCCCACTTGGAGAGTGACGTTCCAAGCAGAGGTCAGTAAAGTAAGGCCAGATCTGGCTTGCCTGTCTCTGCAAATAAAGTTTTATTTGGGCACAGCCGTGCTCACGCATTTACATATGGCTGCTTTCACACCATAAGCAGAGTGGAGCAGCTGTGACAGAGACTGCATGGCAATGAACCTAAACTCTTTACTACCTGACCTTTCACAGAATGTTTGTTAATCCTTCAAGGAGCACATGAACATGGCAACCTTTACTAAGGAAGACAATGCGAAGAAAAACAGGCAAATTTGTCAGAAAAACACCATATATTTCCATCTGTGTGTTATACTGGGAAACTAATTGATATCCCTTTGAAAATTATCTGCAAGCTTACGTACTTTAGAAATGCAATACTATCTACTAAAAACCACACTATCCTGTTACAGACCCTACTGAAAAAGAGGACACACATCACAAAATCATTTATGAAGCCAGCACACTTTTGGAATGAATTTCTCTTAGCTACCGCTATTCTATTTGATTTTTCATGCATAACACAAAAGTGCTCAATAAATCTAATCATTGCTAAATACATCCTACACTAGCATTCTTCCTTTAACAGAAGTAAAGGTTTATATATGAGATCTACAACTCATTAAGGGTCCAAATCTTTTCTCTTTCTTGGGTCATTTGAGAATGTGAATGTAAGCATTATGCTTCTGCCCTAAGAGTATTTGGGCCAAGTGATATAAGGTGCATTAAAATCGCAAATAGCCAATGAACGACGTAATTCTTTCCTCAGACTTAACACATGTTTATACGTATGGTTTTCTTACTAATCTAAAAAAATTTTATGTACACCATAACAATGTTTATATTGTTTATATCAGAAATTATAAAACCTAATTATATTTTTGCTGCCAAATTAAGAGAATGTAGAATAATTATTTATTCACAATATATCCATCTCCAGATAGCCTGTTGTTATATATCATTTCAACTGGACCTTTTTTCTACTTTAAAAGCTTAAATAACTGTAGGTAAATCCCCCCTCCTCGGTCTATAACATCTATGTGATATAGGATTTCAGCTTTGTCTCTCCAGGGACAAATCCATCTATCTAATTTAAAAGCCTCCTAAGAATCACCACGTAGCCTTTAACTGAGCCATCTACTAGAGTCAAGGTTGAAGGGTCAAATCCTACTTAGTCACTGAAGCGCAGGCTCTCTTTGCAGAGATCAAAGTGCCCATTCTTCCTAATCGGCCATATCAAAAACATCCTGCTCTTCCCTGGGAGCCTAGGAATGACTCCATGCCCCCATCTCTGTACTTTAAACTACATGCCATTCCCACGACTCTCAGGATACAGGTGTGAAAGGCGCTGTCGCCACACCAGAGCCGGGTCCCCAGGGCTAGCATCTAGGAACCACTTCTTACCAGCTGTGTAATCTCTACAGCTATGTCTCTAAGTCTGCTCCCTCTTATGAAGATGGGGGCACTACCTCTCCCACCCTGAATTCCCCAGTGGAGTCACAGGGAACCTGTCAAATGAGATTTCATGTATAAAATATATAAATAATTAATACCAAAAATGCGTATGTTCTTTCATTCATAAAGAAGCACATGCTACTAGCACAACTGGCATTTTGTGGTTGGCTTCCCTTTGCTTTGTGCACCTTCAAATAATGTATACATGTAACCACATGCTGTGTTCTCAACTACAGACTTCTTAAGACCAGGCAGCCCTGTGCTGCCAGGGAAAGACAGGCTCCTCCCACCCTTATGTTCTGGCTAATTTGTGGAGAGCCACAGTGGTGTCTCTTAGTGCATTTGTCATCACAGCTCTTCCTCGTTCAAAATTGTATTCGTGAATGATACCACGAACAACCACAACTGCAAGCAGCAAATAAACAACTGCCGAATGCACAAAAACAATGGCAAATTGCTCCTAAAATAAAATGAACAAACTTGTTTTAATTGGACAGAAGTGGAACAGAAGTAGAATTGTTTTTCTGGGGGTAACTCTAGGCCATTTAAAGCTGCAAAGAGTGCCTTTGCCTAGCTGCTTTCTTCATGTCCTGAGGACAGGACAAAATGCCCGGGAAGGGGCCTCACATGTCTACTACTCAGGCAGCTGCCCACAGAGAACATGAATCCCTTGCCACGTCACACATGCCAAGCACACACAATGCATCATCAACAGGCTGGGCTCCGCCTGGTCCAGGCCACTGGGGGACAGCACTTCCCTTCTCTCTGCTCTATACAAAAAGGTGCCCTAAAATGCAGGCCGACATTTAAGTTCCTCTGCCACAAATGACAGAGATTTACATCTAACTAAAGCACTATTTATTGAAATTTCAGTAATGCAAAATGGAAAACGCCAAGCTACCAACTATATAAAGTTCATTTACTGGAGAAGCAAATAAAATAAGACAGCAGCAGCTGATCACCAGTCCTTGCCCAAGGATGTGGAGACAGAGGAAATCCACATCTTTGGCTCCTCTTCCCCAACAAGCATGTAGATATCCCAGCCTCAACCACCCTGACTCCAACTCCCCACCAAGCATGTAGATATCCCAGCCTCATCCACCCTGACTCCAACTCCCCACCAAGCATGTAGATATCCCAGCCTCAACCACCCTGACTCCAACTCCCCACCAAGCATGTAGATATCCCAGCCTCATCCACCTTGGATCCAACTCCCCACCAAGCATGTAGATATCCCAGCCTCATCCACCCTGACTCCAACTCCCCACCAAGCATGTAGATATCCCAGCCTCCTCCACCTTGGCTCCAACTCCCCACCAAGCATGTAGATATCCCAGCCTCATCCACTTTGGCTCCTCCTCCCCACCAAGCATGTAGATATCCCAGCCTCAACCACCCTGACTCCGACTCCCCACCAAGCATGTAGATATCCCAGCCTCATCCACCCTGACTCCAACTCCCCACCAAGCATGTAGATATCCCAGCCTCATCCACCTTGGCTCCAACTCCCCACCAAGCATGTAGATATCCCAGCCTCATCCACCTTGGCTCCTCCTCCCCACCAAGCATGTAGATATCCCAGCCTCATCCACCCTGGCTCCGACTCCCCACCAAGCATGTAGATATCCCAGCCTCATCCACCCTGGCTCCGACTCCCCACCAAGCATGTAGATATCCCAGCCTCATCCACCCTGACTCCAACTCCCCACCAAGCATGTAGATATCCCAGCCTCATCCACCTTGGCTCCGACTCCCCACCAAGCATGTAGATATCCCAGCCTCAACCACCCTGACTCCGACTCCCCACCAAGCATGTAGATATCCCAGCCTCATCCACCCTGACTCCAACTCCCCACCAAACATGTAGATATCCCAGCCTCATCCACCCTGGCTCCGACTCCCCACCAAGCATGTAGATATCCCAGCCTCATCCACCCTGACTCCAACTCCCCACCAAGCATGTAGATATCCCAGCCTCAACCACCCTGACTCCGACTCCCCACCAAGCATGTAGATATCCCAGCCTCAACCACCCTGACTCCGACTCCCCACCAAGCATGTAGATATCCCAGCCTCATCCACCCTGGCTCCGACTCCCCACCAAGCATGTAGATATCCCAGCCTCATCCACCCTGACTCCGACTCCCCACCAAGCATGTAGATATCCCAGCCTCATCCACCTTGGCTCCAACTCCCCACCAAGCATGTAGATATCCCAGCCTCATCCACCCTGGCTCCGACTCCCCACCAAGCATGTAGATATCCCAGCCTCATCCACCCTGACTCCAACTCCCCACCAAACATGTAGATATCCCAGCCTCATCCACCCTGGCTCCGACTCCCCACCAAGCATGTAGATATCCCAGCCTCATCCACCCTGACTCCAACTCCCCACCAAGCATGTAGATATCCCAGCCTCATCCACCTTGGCTCTGACTCCCCTGCATGTGACCCACTGGCACTGAAACAGTGCACAAGTCATATTCAGTTACTGCACATGCCCTTTCAGCCAAAATGCCAAAGTGTCTATAAAGTTACTCAAAAACTTAAGTCTAAGCAGAGGAAACATACATTCTTTAGCCTCGGTAGAACCTAAAATGGCAAAGATCTTGTAGACATTTTCCAATGCTCATGGGCTGGGAGGAGCCTCACACACCAGAGGACCCAGATCTGCGAAATGCTTTGGTCAGGGACATGGAGGGAGGTTTGGATGAGTGGGCAGCCTAGAAACGTGGGCCCCAACTTCTCCTGGAGGGTCCAGCAGGGTGCCCTGAGTCACCAGCAGTTGGATTCAGAGTGAGGACAGGCCCCTTGCTCCTGCCTCTCAGGCCCAGGGACAGAGGCCAGAGGCTGTGCAGGTCAGTGTGCACCCTGGCTCCTGTCCAGGCGGGCCACACCGGGAATGTGGCCACAAACACGTCTTCTGCCCTCCCCTCCTGTCCAGCAAGGAGAAGGAGGTGTGGAAGGAGAAAATACCCAGCAACATAAAGATTCCATTTCCCAAATTGCCAGAAGTTTGGAAAGGGGAGAACTGATCAATTAATGATAAAGAAAACATTTCCTACACGAAAAGGAAGTTGGACTGTGTGGTGATTGACACAGTCACATTTCCTGGTTTCCCAAGGCTGTGCCTGAGTCCTTGAAGGCCTTTAAGAATGGATTCAAGAGAGATGTAACTTTCTAACCACCTTGTTAGTAACCAAGGTGACAAAACTGAGGATCAAGCAGATGCGTACAGAATAGACAGTAGTTCTGTCCTGTGTGTTACAGACTTAATGCCTTCTCTTCCCAGAGAGCATCACGCAGTGATATTCCATTCTGGAAAATCAGCTCGACCATTTTTCCTTTTTTTTTTTTTTTTTTTTTTGAGATGGAGTCTCGCTCTGTTGCCCAGGCTGGAGCGCAGTGGTGCAATCTCGGCTCGCTGCAACCTCCGCTTCACGGGTTCCAGCGATTCTCCTGCCTCAGCCTCCTAAGCAGCTGGGACTACAGGCATGCGCCACCACACCTAGCTAATTTTTCTATTTTTAGTAGAGATAGGGTTTCATCATATTGGCCAGGATGGTCTCAAACTCCTGATCTTGTAATCCACCAGCCTTGGTCTCCCAAAGTGCTGGGATCACAGGCGTGAGCCACCGTGCCTGGCCCAGTGTGACCATTTAAACATTTCTAGTTACATGATTTTGTAATATTCAATATATATGAAATTTCTAGAAAATAATTGTTATTTCCCTCATTTTGCTTAGAGAATGATGGACCATTTTACAAATTCTACTTGGAATAACTAGCAACACAGTTCAAGCAGATAATTCAAGAATTAGGTCCTCTTTCACCATTAGTTTTCTACATATTTCAGGAAAACTAAGTCAAATGGAGCCTAAATTCTGAAGATAGACCTAAATGCTCAACCACATTTTTAAAATTATGCAGGCTACAAATAACTGCACACAGTTGGCTGGAGCCCATTTATTAAACATGCACTTTCCTCACCAGCAGGCTAAGAGGACATCAGGGCACCCGTACACACCTAGCCCTCACCTTCCCCAAGCTCTTACGCCCTCAGCAAAACCCATGCCCTTGGCTCTTTCCTGTGAAGCCAGGATCTCTATGAAACAAATGGAATAATACATTGGAATAATACTTTTTCTGCACATTTTTTCTAACTTCTATAATTTTCATTTCCAAATTAGCTGAAGAGTGAAATTGATTTGTTTGATAAGCCGATGGTTAGCAGGTCCTAGTTAACCATAATGCACGGGGCATCCCGCCTCAAGGCAGAGTTCGAAATAAGCGGATTCAGCTTTTAGTCTGTCAGAGGGAAAGACCTTGTCTTTTTTTTTTTAAATGACGGCTGTGTGTTACCAGAAGATACAGAATCAGGCAGGAGCCAGGCTTGCCAGGACCACATCCTCTCTCTACAGACTGGGAAAGTTTCTCCAACAGCAGGAGCCAGGCTCAACGGCGGGGCAGGCATATACATGGCCTACCATCTTCAGGCCTCAGATTTTCCATTAAAAAACAGGGATAACAACAAGATCCAACCCTACGCATAGGTTATTGGGATTCAATACCATTTTTAAATGTCTTATGAATTATAAGGTACGCTACAAACGTTAAGTTTTCAGAATAAGGCATGTCATTCCATGATTACAAACTTGTGCTTTTGTTTTGCAGTTTATCCTGTAAGCACGTCCCAGTAGTTTCCCCAACCTCAATGGTACCTCAGCGTCTTCATTCCACTAGATCACTTCTAGGTCTTTTCAAATTTTATATACTTTTGAGGAAGAAATTCGAGTTGACGTATACTCTACCAAGTAACCACCACCACCCAGGGATACCACCACCATGATGATGGAATTGATGGCTACAGTATGAAAGTTTTTAAAAGCTCTGCATATTATTGTTCCCAAGGACTCTATCTCCCTCACACACTGTGACATGTGGGCTAACATCAGTAGCACGGCTGGCCGGGCTCAATTCCTCCTGGTCCCTTACTACCTCTTTCTCTTCACTTTCTCCTTTGAGCCTTAGCTCTCCATGCCAGCCACACTGGCCTCCTTCCTGTTCTGGAACATACCGGGCAACCTGCTGCCCCAGAGCCTTTGCACTGCTGTTCATCCCCTTTGCCTACTTGGATTCCTCCCTTAACATCTGTAAGACCGGCTTCCCCTGACCTTCAGGTTGCTTGGCTCAAATTTCCTTTCCCCCCTCTCCCTTCCCTGCTTCATTGCTAGAGCATTTCACCACCTGTAGTGCTTCATCTCCTAAATGCACATCCAAATTAAGTTTACTTCCTAGGTTTCAAAGGCAGACAGCTCACTGAAGACTCGCCCACTTTCTGTTATTCTTTTTAGCTTGAAAAACCAAATCTGTTTCTCTCTAGCCTATTCTTTCATATTGCTCAAATGGATGAAGTATTTTTGAGATAGTCTATATGCAACAATTGTCATCTTTGTAATGAAAACATGCAGAAATTTAACAGTTTGAATACATTTAAAAATTAAAGGGAGATCTCACCATTTTTGCCATCGTCCTTTCTGCCCCCAACTTTCTACCTTTCTCAAGCAACCCATAAGTAAAGTTCCTATTTTTCTTTTTTTCTGAAAACTGCAAAAGGTGGCAAAAGGTGAGAATGGGAGGAGACTCATCTGTGACTAACTCCCCCATCAGCCTCACGGGTGGGTGACTTGGAGCTCCCCAACCCAATGGGACTTCCTTCTTTCGCCTACACTGGCCACCACCATGGAGGGCAGGGAGGCCAAGAGCGGCAAGCAGCCCTTTGAGCCGGTGGGGGCTGTGGCTGGCAGGAAAGGAGGGGGCTTTCCTGAACAGGCTAGGGATGCCTATAGAAAGAATGTGATCAATACCCTTAACGCAGCCTTTGGGGCTGCCTACAAAAAGGAGCCAAGAAACCTGACAATGGGGAAGTTTCTGGAATACTACCATTTACAACAAAGACTGAGCACAGAATGAAGTACCAGGAGAGCTTGGAGGCAAGGCCGCCAAGAGCTCAGGGCAAGCTGACATCTAGGAATCGGGATAGCAGCAGAATCAAAGCTACTATTTTTCAGAGAAGAAAACTTACAAACACTACCTCATCTGATGCACCCCAGGTTCACGCAGGGGTGAAGGGGTGAAACATCTGAGTGGTCCCAGCTGTGAATGGGACCAGTACTGTGAATGTTCCAGCAAGGATATCCACTGTCGCAGCAGAGACATCCCGTGAAACATCCCATTCTCTGTGCTCAGCCAAGATTGCCTGCGGGGTGGACACTTATGAAAAGGATCAGAGGGGCTGCCCAGAAAATGGTGCCCGGTGGGATGCTGCCAAGTTGACTCTGAAGGCACCTAGGGAACAGAGGCCAGGCTTCACATTTCTTCTGCATCTCCCAGGACATCTACTCTTGTGCTGACACACGCTGAACTCTCAATACATTGATTGGCTTAAAATATCAACTGTGTTCTGCGTTTTGGAAATGGCTGAAGACCCAGTGATTCTAAACAGCCCAGCGAACCTGGACAGATCAAGACTCACACAGATGAATGTGTATCACCCAGACTTGTTCTAAGAACTTCATTAAATGCTCCCTGCTGGGAAAACTTGGACATTTCATTGCAGTGATTATTTCATCTCGAACTAGGAACACTGATAAGCTAAGCTGCAAATAACAGTAAGACGGCAAACTGAACCAAGGTGTGTCCTTTCTACTGGACCACTGAAACTTTCATCTGTCCCCAAACACCAAAATGCCCTTACATGTAGAAGCTACAAAACCTTTAGGAGAAATTCTCATTTAAAAAACTTGTCAGAACAAATAATCTCAACAATGTCTTTGCATCAATGAATGCAAATTCATGGATGTTTATATCTAAAAGGGTTTTGTGTAGCCTTTGTATCTAGTATTTTCATGCAGTTCAATATTAATATTTAATTTTTTTCTCTTTTGCTTTCTCAGCCAGCTAAATTAAAGTTAGTTTTCTGAAACTGCAATTAAAATAAATTTACAATCCTGGATTTATAATACTTTAAAAGAGAAAAAGAGATTTGGTACTTTTGCAACTAACACATTTTGCTAAAGCATACTCAAATATACTTTCAGTTGAACTATACATTTAGTAGATGTCTACTTGACAACATAAGTTATTTGTACAAGTCTCAGCACACTCACCTGATATATAGAACTGGAAGAGGGTATGGGTAGCTTATGGATTTGTTTTCTGTTTCATTTGCGTATGTAAAACGTTATTTTAGGTTGCTTTTATGCAGGAAGACAATAAAAAGTGAATACCTACTATCATACCAGAATAAAACTGAAGCAAAGCACTTTAGTAATTTATTTTTTTAAAATGCACCAAAGGTGTGGGGTAAGAAACTGACCACAAGACTCTACTTTTCCAGGAATTTCTGCTGTCTGGGAAGTTCAGAAGCCCTGCAATGTCCACAGTAAACTAGGGTCCCAGTACCTCCATTTCTGACCTCTTCAAACAGAAACAGTCTCTGCTCAATACACTCTAATCCACGACTTGCTTAATCCTGCTTATTGCGTGGAGTTTCTAAAGGATTATGTGCATGGTTTTTAAATTTAGTAAAGAAATTCTGGCCTATTTCCAAAACTTTTCTCCCTGCTTCACAATTCCCCTTATTTATCCATCCATCTGGGTATGGGAAGTCCCGAACAAAGAAAGGAGGGCAGAGAGGCTCACCCGGCATGCGCTGGGCCCAGGCAGCGCAGGGCAGTCATGGGTGAGGGTGGCCACTGAGATGACGGGATCGGGGGCGGCTTCTGCCGCAGACCCGGGAATTCACGTGGTCAGATGGTCCCTGACTTCAGTCCCTATTTTCGGTGGTTCATAGCACGGAGCGGTGCAGGTAGGTGCACGCTCTTCCCAGGTCCTCTGCAGAAGGCAAAAGTTCCCAGAGGCACCCAAACCTTGCTGGGGAAAAGGCTTCTGGCCGATTCATGAAGACCCCCAGACCACACGTCTGCATCAGTTTTCCTGACTAAATTGGTGGGTGCTCAACAAACCCATCACTGCAACACAGGGCGCTCCGAACGTGGCTTTCTTCTTAACCTGGAAGAAGGTCCGTAACTCCATTCGCCCGGATAGCAAAACTGCTTTCCTGCTTTGCTCATCCAGCCAGGTCTCCAATCTCACCTGCTGTTTGGTGGGTCACGGCGCTCACCGTTGGGGGTGCTGGCCAGGAAGGAGGTACTGTCTCTTGATGCTGAGAGGCCTGACAGCTTGCACAAAGCAAACACTGCACTGCCCACAAGAGTTCCAGGCCACAGATTTGCCTATTACATTTTTTTTTTTTTTTTTTGAGACGGAGTCTCGCTCTGTCGGCCAGGCCGGACTGCGGACTGCAGTGGCGCGATCTCGGCTCACTGCAAGCTCCGCTTCCCGGGTTCACGCCATTCTCCTGCCTCAGCCTCCCGAGTAGCTGGGACTACAGGCGCCCGCCACCGCACCCGGCTAATTTTTTGTATTTTTAGTAGAGACGGGGTTTCACCTTGTTAGCCAGGATGGTCTCGATCTCCTGACCTCATGATCCACCCGCCTCGGCCTCCCAAAGTGCTGGGATTACAGGCGTGAGCCACCGCGCCCGGCCGCCTATTACATTTTTTAAAGTGTGAATATCTTAAGAATTTTTATGTGTTTGCTAAAGTGTTTCTTTCTGCTTTTGAAAGTGAGGTTATACCCACGTCATTAGAATAATGGCAGCTTCTGTGAAATTAAATTTGTATGAAAACTATTTATCTTCATATAAAAATCCAGCTAAATGATTTTTTTCCTGAGAATTAAAAAAAAAGAAAAAAACAAGGGCTGTTAAAAATAAAAAGGCACTGACAAAATACTCAATTCCCCAGAAGATAACCACCTAGCAACAACTGATTAGTTAGTTATTGGTCCTTAGGCAAATTCTAAATTGATTAGTTTTCAAATAAACTCATTAAATAGGTTAATGACTCATTTCTTAGAAAAATGTTAATGGACTTATCCATAATGGGGAATATATGATATTTCACTTATAGAACAAGCACCTGTCTTAGAGACACAGAGAGCAGTGACCGAATGCACCCGCTGACTCATCACTGTGTCACCGCCCAGGCTGAACCTGTTACACAGAGCCGCCTTCAATTCTGCTAGATAATCTAGGCCTTTCGATTTCACTGGGGGTCTTCATGAAACAATAACTTTGTTTCCTTTTCTTTGATAAAGTAAATACATGACCTTAAATATTTGCCAAATCTTCTCCCCACTCAGTAGACACCGTCCACATAGTCATGAACAGCCATATTTCTCTGATTTATAACGCGTTTCTTCATTAAGGAATTCTGCATTCTCTATTTCTGGCTTTCAGGGTTTCTTTTAGTCTATGGATGAAGAAAGTTACTAAAATGTTCCAAAGTAAAAAGACTAATATCATTTCCACAAATACTAAGTTGTTCTAAAGAGCATAGGCTGTATCCTGGGAGAAAGTTATTCATCAAGATACAAAGAACCAACTGAGATGTGTCATTGTTTGTATCACATTCTCCTACTCTTTCTTGATGATATCTACAAACAACTCTACCACTAATTGAATCAGTGACCTTGACTAAGACTCCGGACCTCACACAGCCTCTGTTTTCACAACCTTAAATAACTAAGTTACATTCTATCAACGGTTCTCAACTCTTCCTTCTCAGAACACCCTTGTATATTTTTTTCGTATTGTCACCACCTGAGTTGCAAGAGTTTTAATGTATTTGATGGTGGCGGTGGTGGGGAGGTATCTTACCAAGTATCATATACAGTTTGCTTTACCAAGAGGTAATGAAAGACAGCCAGAGCAATCTAAGTTTTCCACTTTGTTGACACATCTAGAGGTCCAGGAAGCATGACTGGAGTCCCCAGAACAGATCCATCACCAACTTGATGGTCAACTTTAAAATTCACTAGTAACATCACAGCCTTGAAAATAGTATCAAATACTAAACTCTCCAAACCGGAGGATGTAAAAACTGATTTCAATAAATAGAGCGCTTTCCTACCAGTCTTCCTCCTCAATGGTCCCCATTTTCCTTTGAATTGATACCCAGTGGAAGAAAAAGGGGGAGATGATTAACTATCACTCCAGCAAAATATTAACTTAAATGTTGCTTGAGGCAAGGGTCTAGGATAAAATCCTAATGTAATTATTGCATATGAGCTTCCCAAGCAGACAATATGACATTAGAGAACTGGGCTAGGGATACCAAGATGTTATGAGGTTGAACCCGACACTCCTTCTCCTTTTGGCTCAGAGATCTGGAGCAAGTCATCTGGCCTCTCCACACTGTAGGTTCTTGATTCCAAAGAATGGGGTTCATGGTGGTTCTGCCTATGCCATAGGATTTTTTGGAATATTATACCATATTGTATATAGGAAAATGTCTTACCACTATAAAGGGAAGAAAAACACCCTTTGAATTTTACACAACTCTTTTAACCCCAAGAGAAGAGTGGCAGGCAGTTATCCGTCAATATTGATCAGAATAATGGTACATCGTCATTGCATTCAACTTCAATAAGATTCTTTCAAAATCTTCAGTTGCCAGTTGTCTACCAAGTTGTGGGATTATCTGTTACACTTATACTTTGGAGGCCAAAGATTGACTTATTTAAGTCCATAGAATGCATACAGAAAGCACTGTATCATATTCTTAAATATTAAAGATTAAGCATTAATACTATGCAAAATCTTTCTTTTTTTTTTTTTTTTTTTTGAGACTGAATTTCACTCTTTGTTGCTCAGGCTGGAGTACAGTGTCGCGATCTCAGCTCACTGCAACCTCTGCCTCCCTGGTTCAAGTGATTCTCCTGCCTCAGCCTCCTGAGTAGCTGGGACTACAGGTGCATGCTACCATGGCTGGCTAATTTTTGTATTTTTAGTAGAGATGGGGTTTCTCCATGTTGGCCAGGCTGGTCTTGAACTCCTGACCTCAGATGATCCACCCACCTCGGCCTCCCAAAGCGCTGGGATTACAGGCATGAGCCACCAAGCTCATCCAAGAATGAATCATTCTTAACATAAACATAAGGATTTTAAGGTAACAAAATCACACAGTATAATAGGATTGTAAAGTAACAAAATCACATAGTATAATGAACTATATCATAATATCTGTTTTTATGCATTGAAAACAATTGAAATTTCATACCACACCGTAATAACTGACTCAAGTATTTGTACTAACTGTATAGGGATAAAGTAGCAGTAGACTATGCTTAAGTTATAAAGTTTCAACATGAACAAAGAACACATCATTAATCCTTGAATTTCAGTTATGGAGAAAAATATCATATCCAGCCTCCTGGAGCATGACTGGATGAGATATTATGGAAACACACACACACACACACACACACACACACACACACACACACACACCAGCCCCAAATATTTGTTGCTGGAAAACCTGATACTCTTTAAAATGAATATTAAAAGATCCAGCATTAGGCCGGGCGCAGTGGCTTATGCCTGCAATCCCAGCACTTTGAGAGGCTGAGGCGGGAAGATCACGGGGTCAGGAGATCGAGACCAGCCTGGCTAACACGGTGAAATCCCATCTCTACTAAAAATACAAAAAATTAGCAGGGCATGGTGGCATGCACCTCTAGTCCCAGCTACTCAGGAGGCGGAGGCAGGAGAATCGCTTGAACCCGGGAGGTGGACGTTGCAGTGAGCCGAGATCACACCACTGCACTCCAGACTGAGTGATAGAGTGAGACTCCGTCTCAAAAAAAAAAAAAGAAAAAAACCCAGCATTTACAGGGTGCAATGCGTGTGATCAGTTATCTTTAAAAAATATATCGTGGGTCAAAATATTTGATCAAATATTCCAAATTTCAGTAAAAACACAGTAAGCAAGGAATATTTTATAAACCTTGTGTATATAGATATCATATATGACATAAGAAAACTGGACAGAGTTTCCAAGGCTTCACCTTTACCCATTCAAGTTTTACAGTGTCTTTGGACACATAAAAGTGACTCTATACAAACTTAGTATTTTCCTAGTCTAATAGAAAATTAATCAGAACCACCAAATTGACTATTTTATCATTTGTAAACATGTAACCCATAAGTTTTAATCCAATCTATTTCAGAATTCTTATGTAATGAATTCACTTAAGTAATAAAGCTATAACACACAGAAGCATCTTGCATTATTTGCACCTACAGAGCAAAATGTTGGTATACAACATATACTCCAACTCTTTCTACACTAACCTTCACCTATGCATTGTATTTTAGCACCCAGTTAATGTAAGTCTCTGTAGCTATCTTGAAAGAAATTGAAATCAGTAGCAATCATCAACCCCATCATCTCCTCCATGCCAAATGATGACTTTACTAGTTTTCTTCAGAAAAGTCTAGCACTGAACTCTGTGTACAATAATCTACCTGAAATGAGTCAGAATAACCACTGCAGTCTTGAAGAACCCACTCAAACTAAATATAGAAAGAGTGTCCCTATCTAAACTTGGACAGCATTCTTTTCACAAAAATCATGATCTGACAGTTAATGTGTTTATAACCAATACTTTTGGACATTCAGAAAATTTTGTTTTCATTTGTTCATTAAAACGCCAACATTAAAACGTTTTGTTCATCTTGTATAGAAATATACATTCTGCTGTCATCCGTACTAGAGAAATGAAACAGAGAATCCACCTGCATTACAGCTGTCCAAATGCAGGATGGGGGGCGGGGGGCACAGCACTTTGCCTCACCCAGTGTTTTCCTCATTCTACTTGGCAATGCAGATGAAAGAATAAAGTTACATTTTCCCTTAAGTTTATAAGGTGAAATGGGAACACTTGATTCTGTGCTACTCCCCCTAGAAAAAAACCAAAACAAACAAACAAAAACCCTTTCTACTTGCCAAATCTGATACCAAAATTAGCTCTTAGAACTACGTTTCTAAAGAAAATGCATTAGTGGGAATTTTAACAGAAAACCCATTATACTCATGCTGTTACTAAAACTTTTCCAAGTTCTTCTCTTCAGAAAAAAGAGCCTCATTTTAAATACTCATACTTCTAAAGAAAATAAAATATCAATTCTCTACTAAGATTCCTTTTTGGGTGGTAGAAAAACAAAAGAATCACGCATTTTCCTACTATGTTTGATAAGCACAGTGCTACCATCAAAACTGCAGGAATGACCACCCTCATTAAATCGACCCCAAAGAATGAACCCCCAGACTAAACAATGAGTAGTCAAACAACCTCAGGGTTCTGTTTTTCTTTCAATGCATTCGGCATTAAGAGGCGATTTTTAAAATGTATATTCTAATTATACATTTTCATCTTGTCAACATCTCTTAATATAAAAACCAGTAATAAAAGGTAATCAGAAGTTCAGTCTTAACATAGTTTCAGGATTACCATACTGTTTTCCCTAATTGTTACTTTACTATGTAATTTAGAACACCACTTTGTTACAATCTGTTCATAAATATCTATGAACAGATCTTAAGTTACATAAAGGGGGAAAACAATGGCTCTTGGGAGCCTGGAGCGGAACTAGCAATAAGCAGTAAAGGTAAGCAATTTTTAAGGTGCTGGCTCCATTTTCAGACTATGCTGTTACTGTTTGTTTCAATTTAAGAGCACCCATTTACAAAAGTGTCTTTCCTGTATACATTCATGGTTTCAAAGCAATAAGTATCAACAACTGGATTTATTAGCATCTTCCTTTAGAAGAGCTTAAAACACTCTTGATGTTTATGACCTCATTTACCTTCCAGCGGCCTTGTGACACAGAAAGGGGAGGATTATAATTACCCCCATTTTACAGACAGGGAAAGTGAGAAGGCAGGATTAAGTGGCTCTCCCATAGACACACAATGACTCATTAAGATCAGCAACTAGAAACCTGGTTTCCTGATTCCTGGTTTAGTGTTCCACATACTATGCTTCCTTCTATGAAGTACTATTTTTGTAAAGGTTTCTCTTTCAATAAAGGAAACAGAACAAGTCATGTGACTTTCATTCACGAAAGCCGGTGTGTGTTTTCATTAGCACCTTAGTTGTCTGCTCCTGCGAATAGGGCAGCAGCAGTGCACGCTATTGTCTTATTATGGCCAGAGCCAGCCAACTAAAGCAAACTAGCACCCGCCACAGCAAACAGAAAACTTGTGTGGTTTGTCAATCACCTCACTGGATTTCTGAATTTAGGAAAATTCTCTGCTTTACGACTTCAAAAGGCAAAACTTTTCAACATAAATCGTGATTTTATTGTCCCTTTGGAAACATATCTCTTATCATTCTTTCCCCTTAAGAAATGATAATCCTTTTATTCAACAAAATTTAAATATGGATACTTTCAGTAGTAATTCTGATCTAATCTGTCTTATACATACATACATATATATACGCCAATTTTAGAATAAAATCCCTAAAATCACTAAAAAGGAATACTAAAACAGCAAATTTTATGGCATTCATCAATCTACCATCCTAACACAAAAACATATAAAGTTAATTTTAAAAATCAGTTTTAAAGCACAGGAAATTCAGTAGCGTCTTTCCAATTCCCAAACAACAACGAAACCTAACAAATTGGTTAGAGTTTTCCACATGCACACACACCAAAAACACATGATAAGTAACCTTAACCTGCCCTCAAATAAGATGCATAATTTTGAGTTTGCTCTGGACTAATAAAAACAGATGTACCTGAGATATACTTTTTAACTGGCTCTTGCACTGAAAGCCCACCCCCATTCACGATTCTATTGTAAACAAGTGCCAGACATGGCTGGAACCTTACCTCTCTGCTATCACTTATGCAAATACCAAACATTACCCACATAACCCCAAAATTATTCTGCATCAGCATCACTAACGAGGTCTTCCCATGCAGAACAGGAAGAGCTCAGGGTGGAAACACAGGCCACTTCTAAGAGCCAGGCAGGGCAGGGGGCCGCCCAGGAAGTGCTTTCTCTATTTCATCTTCAAAGAAATGCTTTGCAAGTCGGCCTTCTACAAATCATTTCCTCAAAGGACACTGATCTACTGTGAACTCTGTATTTATGAGCATCCCAAACAAATTTCTAGTGCATGTATGAGTTAAATAAAAGTGGGTATTTATCCCAAGTTCCTAAATGCTTCCTTTCTGTCTCAACGGACCACAACTTTGGTGCTACGTGGACTAAGGTGACACTAGCCTTTCCTATTCTGCTGTTCTCTGTGTTCAACTTACTTTACTAGAAACCCAATGGGGCAGATATTTCTTTTTTTTTAAATGTCGTTGGGCATGGTGGACTGACTGCAGTTGTCTATTTTGATTTAAAAGATCCTTTTACTTCTTAGAAGAGGGTTCATCATGATACCCACACAAACTTCGGACAAACAGCAGCCCCAGTGATCTCTCATCTTTGTTCAGCAGCTACAGAACACAGGCTTCTGTCTGGACTTCAGAATCAAGAATCCTATGGGCTGAAAGGAATTTTACGCAGGTGGGAAATCTTAAACAAAAGCTCAATCCAGTCTCTAAATAAACTTATCTCTTAGAGTTCAACATTTTCACTAGCCTGAAAAGGGCATTATTTCCTATTTGGACCCCAATTCTGAATGTATCGGCTTCATCAGAAACGCCTTGCGTCCCTCCAGGCCTGGAGGCACAAATTCCAGCTTATGGCGCCTGCTATGGCAGAGCCCACTGCTGGGGCCCCAGCTCCACCCAGTCCAGGTTTGTCCCACCAGCTCCACTGAAAGCAGGAAAAGGTGTTATGTTCTTGGCTGTTTTCTGATTAGAATCAGATTCGGGTAAGATGTAATTTACTTTCATGTTCACTCTGGCATATACCCATTTGTGCAGACCATAAATATGTGTGTTTTTCCCCACTCAATTATACTGCTGCTGCTGCTGCTGTGTTTATAATGGTCTGTGTCTTATAAGGCAGCTAATCCTTCAACTTTCTGACACACTAGCAATAGTGTATAAGTAACTCCAACCAAAGTGACCTTCAGCTGAGAATCACTGTTCACAGGATACATTCTGGCGACTTCCAATGATTTAATTGGATGCTGAAGCACCACACTCCTGATAATTCTCTGTGACTCTTCATCTTCTAGTATACGGTTTTAATAAAGGAAATAGCTTTTCTCTATTACACTAGAATAACAGGGAGTTCACCCCACAGCTATAATTTTAAATCCCATGGACCGACAGTCCTAAGTATACTATAAAACAGATGCTGGATTTAGATAGCACTAAACTGGTCTATTTAAGAACAAAAGGCTGTGAATCTCCAGCCCACCTTGATCCTCATCTCATGACCCTTGAAGACTGTTTACACCTTAGGCTCACATCTAATCCAGCATCCAAATTTTACTATATGTTTCACTGTTCCCACAAAGCCTCTATCCTGCTAGGAACCCTACAAAGAAAACAGCTACAAAATTAAATAAAGTCTCCCGAATTGAGCATTCACCTTTCCCTCTCATCTCCCCGACCCCAAACACCATTCAAAGTTTAGACAGCCAGAATGCACCACCAGCTGCATTCTGCATCAGCTCTCTCTCCTCATGGATATTTGATCAGAACGGGAAGAACAATACCAGGCACCCTCCTATCCAATTGTTCTTGAGAAGACCTGTGTTTTTTGTCTTTCCCTTGTTTTCTCCAAAGCACTGATTGTAAATCCTGGCTGCACATTCAAATCACCTGGACAACTCTGAAAAATGTCCGTCCCTGCCTCCTAGCCATCTCATGTTTCACTTCAACGGGTCTGGGGTGAGGCCCAACAGGTAATTTTTCAATCCTCCCCAGGTGAGTCTCACCTGGGGCAGGGTCCTCACAGGGTGGTCCCCCGGCCAGCAGCATCGGCATTATGCGGAGACTCACTAGAAATGCACAGCCTGGGCCGCGCCCCAAAGCTACAGCATCGGAAACTGCGGGGTTAACACAGGCCAGAGATCCATGTTTCAGCAAAGCCTCCAGGTAACTCCCACATATGCTCAAGTTGAACACCACTGCATTAGGCTGTGTGCAGCCTTACCGTTTCACCCCTTCCGAGAAAAACAATGCCTCTGATGGAAAAGCTCCCACAGTTTGTGTGTAAAACGGAAATGGTTAACTGTCGCTATTAGCAGCCATCAAAATGGATGCTCATTTCTTAAATGACTTTCAGGTCTGAACCTTCAAGCTCACCAAGAATCAGGCGGAGCCCAGCTCCAGGAACACAGGGAAAGGTGAAAGCTGCGGCTGAGGGCAGCGGTCCGGACCCGAGGTCCTTCCAGAAGGACGGACCCACGCAGCCGGATGAAGACAGTCGGGTGCCCCGCGGCCTCTAGTGTGGCCGGTCTGGGAGAACTTCCACTGTGTTAAGGGACAGGGGGCTGTGGGACGCACAGAATGGGTGAATGGGTGGGGCCTCAAAAAATCAGTCTCCCTCCCACGCGGAAAACGTCACATTCAACTCCAAGACGAATGTTCCTGGCAAGTTCTCTGAAGGAAGAGAACAGGGCAGCCCGCAGAAAAACAAAACAAGGAGCCAGTGCCAGGCTGTCGGCTTCTGGGTCAAGGTCCCCAAAAAGTGGGAGCAGTGAAACCCAAGAGGCTCCCTCAGCGCCCCGCCCCTCCTTCCCGCCAGACGCCAAGGCAAAGGGCCTCCTCACCTTTCACGATGGTGGCCTCCTTCAAGTGGTGGGACAAGAAGTCAATGCTGGCGTAGGTGTTGGCAGGGGGCAGGGCACCGGGACCCGGCCCCCCGCACCCGCCGCCGGTGCTGCCGACGCCCACAGCGCTGATGAGACCCCCGAGGCTTCGGGTCCGGCCCCAGGAGCTCTTGTCTCCCGGCTGAGGAAGCGGCGGCGGCGGCGGCTGCGGCTGGGGTGGCAGCCCGGGCTCCTCCCTCACGTCGATGGCGATGTAGTTGAGACCATTCTGGAAGCCGGCAGAGGTCTCTCTGCGCATGGGCGATCCACCGCTCCCAGGACAACCGACCAAGCCCCCGGGCTGACCCGGGGTCCACGGCCGGCCCTGCGGTGCCAAAGGGGGCGCCGGCTGCAACTGTCGTGGGGAGGTGGGCGGCTCGTCGCCCCCTCCAGGGCCGACACCCACGCCGCCCTCGCTGCTTTTCCTGAGAGAGACATTTTCCACGGAGGCCGAGTTGTGGCGCTTGGGGTTGTGGGCGAAGGACGGGGACACGGGGGTGACCGTCGTGGTGGAGGAGAAGGTCTCGGAACTGTGGCGGCGGCGGCCCCCCTGCGGGTCTGCGCGGATGACCTTGGCGCCGCGGTGGGGGTCCGGGGGCTGGCTGGCCTGCAGGAAGGCCTCGACTCCCGACACCTGCTCCATGAGGCTCAGCCTCTTCACGCCCGACGTCGGGCTGGCCACGCGGGCAGCTTCTGGCTTCGGGGGGGCCGCGATAGGTTGCGGCGGGGTGGCGGCCACACCAAAAGCCATCTCGGTGTAGTCACCATTGTCCCCGGTGTCCGAGGACAACGATGAGGCGGCGCCCGGGCCCTGGGCGGTGGCAACGGCCGAGGCGGGGGGCAGGCGGTACAGCTCCCCCGGGGCCGGCGGCGGTGGCGGCGGCTGCAGAGACGACGACGGGGACGCGGACGGACGCGGGGGCAACGGCGGATACGGGGAGGAGGCCTCGGGGGACAGGAGGCCGTCCAAGGAGCCCACGGGGTGGCCGCTCGGGGCGCCCGGCTTAGGAGACTTGGGGGAGCTGAAGTCGAGGTTCATGTAGTCGGAGAGCGGAGACCGCTGCCGGCTGTCGCTGCTGGTGCCCGGGGTGCCTGAGCCCAGCGACGAGGCCGGGCTGCTGGCGGACAAGAGCGAGGAGGACGAGGCCGCCGACGCCAGCAGGGGAGGCGCGGGCGGCGACAGGCGGGCCCCGGGCTCGCCAAAGTCGATGTTGATGTACTCGCCGGGGCTCTTGGGCTCCGGTGGCAGTGGGTACTCGTGCATGCTGGGCAGGCTGGGCAGCCCCTCCAGGGACAGGCGCGTGGGCCTCACCGCCCGGCCGCGCTGGCCCAAGAAGCCCTCCGGGCGGCCGCCGCTAGGCCGCACGGGCGAAGGCACTACAGGGTGAGGGGGCTGCGTGGGGCCGGCCCCGAAGGCGCTGGCCGCCTGGCTGGGCCCTGGCGTGGCCTGAGGCTCCAGACGCTCCTCCTCCAGGATGCGCCCCACGGGGGAGCTCATGAGCACGTACTGGTCGCTGTCCCCGCCACAGGTGTAGGGGGCCTTGTAGGAGCGGGGCAAGGAGCTGTAGCAGCAGCCGGGAACGCCCCTGAGCGGCTCCCCGCCGGGGTGCAGGGCTGCGGAGAAGAAGTCGGGCGGGGTGCCCGTGGTGACCGCGTCGCTGGGGGACACGTTGAGGTAGTCCCCGTTGGGCAGCAGCTTGCCATCTGCATGCTCCATGGACAGCTTGGAACCGCACCACATGCGCATGTACCCACTGTCCTCGGGGGAGCTCTCGGCGGGCGAGCTGGCCTTGTAGCCGCCCCCGCTCGCCGGGAATGTCCTGCCCGCCGCAGAGGTGGGTGCTGGCCCCGCAGGCCCCGCAGAAGGCACGGCGGCGGCGGCGGCGGCGGCGGCCCTGGGCTGCAAGATCTGCTTGGGGGCGGACACGCTGGCGGGGCTCATGGGCATGTAGTCGTCGCTCCTGCAGCTGCCGCTCCCACTGCCCGCGAGGGCCGCGCCGGGCGTCATGGGCATGTAGCCGTCGTCTGCCCCCAGGTTGCTGCTGGAGCTCCTGTGGGAGCCGATCTCGATGTCTCCGTAGTCCTCTGGGTAGGGGTGGTAGGCCACCTTGGGAGAGGACGCGGGGCAGGACGGGCAGAGGCGGCCCGCGCTGCCCGAGAAGGTGGCCCGCATCAGGGTGTATTCATCCAGCGAGGCAGAGGAGGGCTGGGGCACCGGCCGCTGCCGGGCTGGCGTGGTCAGGGAGTAGGTCCTCTTGCGCAGCCCTCGGTCCAGGTCCTGGGCCGCGTCCCCCGAGACCCGGCGGTAGGAGCGGCCACAGTGGCTCAGGGGCCTGTCCATGGTCATGTACCCGTAGAACTCACCGCCGCCGCCGCCGTCTCGGGCCGGGGGCGTCTCCGCGATGGACTCGGGCGTGTTGCTTCGGTGGCTGCAGAAGGCGCGCAGGTCGCCTGGGCTGGAGCCGTACTCGTCCAGGGACATGAAGCCGGGGTCGCTGGGGGAGCCCGAGGCGGAGGCGCTGCCGCTGGAGGGCCGCTGGCCGGGGCCGTGGTGCAGCGGATGCGGCAGAGGCGGGTGCGGGCCGGGCGGCGGCGGGTAGGAGCCCGAGCCGTGGCCGCTGCTGGACGACAGGGAGCCGGGGCTGGTGGCGGCGGGCGGCGAGTGCGCCACGGGCATGGACATGGAGCGGCTGTGTTGCAGCGCGCCCCCTGCCGGCAGCAGCGCCACCTTGCTCCCGCGGCCGCCGCAGCCGCCGCTCAGGGTGTGCGAGCGGCTCAGGGGCGCGCGCACCGGCCCGGGGCTCAGGGGGCTCCCAGCCACCGACACCGGCCTGGCGCCCGCGGCCGCCGCTCCCGCCGCCGCGCCGCCGTCGCCCTCGCTGGCGGTGCGCACCCGGCACGAGCTGCACTTGGCCGCCGGCGGGGTGGCGGCCAGGCTGTCGGTGCGCGAGCGGCGCACCAGGCCCGTCTGGCTGGGGGGCAGGTTGACCAGGTGGTGGTGGCGGCGCGCGCCGGGGACGCTGATGGGGTGCGTGGCCGACGACCCCGACGATTGGCTCTTACTGCGCGGCCGGAACTCGAAGAGCTCCTTGAGCGCCTTCATGGCCTCCAGGATGGTCTCGTGGATGTTCTGCGCCACCACCGAGTCGTCCGCCTGCATCCACAGCTCGCCGGGGCCTGTGACGGCCGAGCGGCCCACCTCGATGAAGAAGAAGCTGTCCGAGTGGCCGCAGCGGCGGATGTTCATGAGCTGCAGCGTCACCGACGGCTGCTCGCAGTTGAGCTTCACGAAGCCGATGGTGCGCGCAGACAGGCACAGACGGTACACCCCCGTCAGGTTCTTGCTCTGGCCCAGACCCTTGGGCTTCAGGTTCACCTGCCACACCTCACGGTAGGCGGCCGTGGCGGGAGCCACCAGCCCGTAGCTGTCCTCGGCCCCGGCGGCGCCGGCAGAGCCGCCCAGGGCGCCGGGCAGGGAGGCGCTGCAGGACGCGGCGGGCGCGGCGGCGGGGGGCGCGTCTCCGGCGGCCGCGCGGCCCTCGCTGACCAGGTCGGTGAGCGCGCGGTACCAGCCCTCCTGCTCCTGCTCGTTCTCGGCGGCCACGGCGAAGTACTCGTCCTTGGTGTAGAGGGCGATCAGGTACTTGTGCTTGGCGTCGGCGCGCTTGTTGATGTTCAGGCAGCAGTCGAGAGCGATCACCCGTTTCGGCGCGCCTGCCTTGCTCCGCCACTTTTTCTCGCTCTCGTAGTACTCGAGCCGCGGCGGTTGCGGCGCCGACCCCCCGCCCGCCGTCGCCTCGTCGCCGCCCGCGCCGGGTCCGCGCAGCACGAAGAAGCGCTTGTGGCCATGCTTCTGCTTGCGCAGGTAGCCGCACTTGCGCACGCTGTGGTTGTTGTTGTTGTTGTTGTTGTTGAGGTTGGGGCCGTCTCCGCTCGCCGGCCCGGGCGGCCCGTGCCGCGGCGGGCTCGCCATCGCGGGCGCTTCAGGCCGCGCGGCCCGGGCCCGGCGCCCAGGGGTTGGGGCGAGGGGCGGAGGGGGCGCGGGCGGGGGCGGCTCCCTCCCACCCTTGCGCCCGGCCGCCCGCCCGATCACGCGTCCCTCGGGCCCAGGCGGTGGGGAAGGTCCGGGGAGGCCCGCGGGGGCCAGCACCGCTCGGCGGCGCCGCGCCCTCCGCGCTCTGGGGCTCCTGAGGATGCCCGGCGCGGGCGGTGGCCGCCCCCCTCCCCGGCTGCCTGCGGCCGCTGCCTCCTCGGGCTCTCGGGCGGCGCCGGGGGACGCGCTCGCTGGGCCGGGAGTCGGGGTCCCCGAGCCGCGGGGCCGAGCCTAAGGCGCGCGCGGCCGCACCGGGGCTGCTGCCGCCGCGTCGCGCTCCGGGAAGCCGGGGTGCGCCCGGGCGCTCGGGGTCCGCGCCGCCGCCGGGGCTGCTGCTGCTGCTGGTGTTGCTGCTGCTGCTGCCAACGGCGACCCGGGCTCGTCGCGGTCCCCGCCGCACAGTGAGTAACACATCGCGCACCGAGTGACTGAACTAAGAAGAGCAAAACAACATGTGACTCGGCGTTACGCAGGCACACACAGCGCGGCCGCCCCGCCCCGCTGCCTCGCATTGGCGCCGCGCCCCCCGACGGACGGCGCGCTCGGCCAATCGGCGCGGCGCTCGCGGGGGCGGGCCGCGCGCCCCCGCCCCGCCCCCCTTTCTCCCCGGGCCGCGTTTCCCGCCGTCCCCTCCCCCTCCCGCGAAGGCCCCGGCCCGGCCGGGCGGGGTGGGGCGGCCCCGGCCTCATTAATCAGCGGCTTGTTGTGGATGCCGGCGGAGGAGATGCCACCCAGGGCGGGAAAAGGGGCGCGGAAGAGGGGCGGGGCGGGCCACGGCGCGCAGGGCCCTTCCCTCCCGCCTCGGACTCAATTAATTGGGCTTGAGCTTCCGCCGGGGAGGGGGCGCCGGGCGGGGCCGCGGCTGGGCGGGGCGGGGGATCGGGATCGGCGGCGGGGGCTGCGGCCTTGCAGTGGAAGCATGGGCGGCGAGCCGGGCCGTGCTCTCGGGGCGCGGGGTCCCCATTTTGGGCGAGGGCGGCCGCTCCCGCGCTCGGGGTGGGCGCGCCCCATCCCCGTCCCCCGTTTCCCGTCCCCGTCTCCCGGCCGCATCTCCGTCCCCCCGCAGCCGCGAAACGCGGGGAGGTTCCAGGGCCCGCGGCCGCGGGTTCGCGAGCACCGCGCTCCAGATCGAGAGCGGCGCGCGCCCTTCCGTGGAGGACAGAGGGGCGCGGAGGGGGCGCCTGTGTCCCACCCGCTCGCGGGCGCTTTACGGGGCGTCCTCTGCGCCATTCACTTGTCAGCTTGTCGGGAAGTTGAAATCGCGTTTGGGAGGTAATAGGAGAAAGAGATCGGGGACGGCAGGCGGAGAAAGTGCGGTTTCCATAGCGCCGGGGAGAGGGCGGACCCGCGAGCCAGCGGTCCCTGAGCCGGGAGACCGCGCGGGCGTCTCTCCAGCCCCCGCAGGAGCGCCGCCTTCCTTCCGCAGGGGCGTCCTCTCCCCCCACCGCTGCAGGAGCACCCCCTTCCTTCCTCGGAAGCGTCCTCTCACCACACCGCTTCAAGAGCCCCCCCTTCCTTCCACAGGGGCGTCCTTTCCCCCTCCGAGGCAGGAGCGCCCCTTTTCCCCCCACAGGAGCGCCCTCCCCACCCCAGGAGCGCCCTGCGCCCAGCAGACGGGCAGGTGGGCGGGCGTCCACTACCTGTGTGCGCGGTGCGGGCGGTGACTGCCAAGTTGGAGATGCCCTTGGAGAACTGCTTCGAATTCATGTATCTACTGGGCTTTTGTGACTTTCAAAGCCTATAGCAAATAAGCACCCCTGCAATTACGTCTCCTCAATGACCAAGTCAGGGTGAGGTGAGGGCTTCCTGAGTTCAGATCCCAGCAAGCTCCCGATCCTGCGCAACGAAGAAAACTCAACAAAACAGGCTTTGGCTGTTTATTTTATTTTTTTTTTAATTGTGCCTTCATGAAATAATTTACAGCAATAATTTATCTTATAATATTGGTTATTGTTTTTAAGTCCCGGATGTTTACTTTTGGATGTCCTCTATAATTCATAGAAGTATCTTAAAAGTAATAAAATCTTAATCTAAGAGAAAATAAGTGTAATTTTTGAAAGAGTGATATATATTTTAATATGTTTTTGTAACATGTGACTTGAAGATTGTGTTGGCTAATTTTATGTGCCAAGAGAGCCCTGACTAGTACAAAGATTATAGCGTTTTTATTTTTAGCATGTATACAGTTAGGATTATTGATCAGTAGCCTGAATTTGGGAAGAATAATCATTGTGGCAAATATCACCCAGTGTGCCTCAAAAAGGTGTGTTTAAAGTTGATCTTCCATTTTTAAATCATACCTTAAAAAAAAATACCTCAAGAAATGCCATTTTAAGTCTGTGCACCTATGTGTGCATGTGTGCGTGTTTGTTTATATAATAGATTGTGTGATTGTGTGTGTATAGGTATGTGTGTATGATTGTGTGTGTTGGGGGCGCCACCTTTATGAACATTATGCTTCGGCGTTCTTTTTAGATCTTGTTACCTTTTCTTACGTTCACAAATGTTGCCTAGCAATATGTCTAGTCAGGAAAGATGAAGGGATTCTTATCTTGGTGCTTGAAGAAAATGTGGTGTAGTTTTATTGGCTTTGTGATCACTTACATCCCACTTTTATGAGGATGTAAATGGGCCACCTCTATGTTCCTGTATGTTGCCAGCCATCAGTAGACAATGCTAAAGGAACCACCAC
Source organism: Homo sapiens (assembly GCF_000001405.40). Classification (NCBI taxonomy): domain Eukaryota; kingdom Metazoa; phylum Chordata; class Mammalia; order Primates; family Hominidae; genus Homo; species Homo sapiens. The sequence continues at coordinate 109,788,866 of NC_000013.11, forward strand.
TTTTAAACATCATGTGATGGTTTCTTCTGAGAAAGTATATTTTGCAATCTTTTTCTTTTTCATGTTGACTTTTATTATGCAGTTGCATTTTCATATCCGTATTGAACATTTACTTGCTGTGCCTGTCACACGCTAGCAGGTGTCATCTTTTCCTGTTTGCTTGTTTCTTGGGGCCATCCTAGTGTTAAAGGCCAGTGTTTTTAAGGTGTCAGCAGCTCTGGATTGGCAGTTAGCACTTTCCCCATGTACTGCCTCAGTTACCAGACTGGGGACAAAAGAGAGAAGGTTAAAGAATTATCACCTATGTCCGTGGTATTCTGTCATAGAGAGTATAAATTTCCTACAGCAAACTGGAAATTAATTGCAATTCTGCAGTTAGAACCTCCAAATACAAATGTGGATGATACAATTTCAATTCTCATTGAGAGTCAGCCCATGAAACAAACCAACAGTAAGAAACTCTGTAATTAGAAGTATCCCAGTCCTCTTCCTCAACCGAGGAACTTGTTTTCTTTCCCCCTTTCTATTGCCAGATAAGCTATTTATTTATTTAAAGCTTGTTCTACACCTTGTGATTTTCCAACTGTTCTTCCATACTTTTTCAACAAAAGTCAGCTAATAACATCTGCCAACATGCTCTGCACGCAGGACTGGCTGGGGCTGGCATGGCCTCTTGCCAGCAAACAGCCTGGTTGAAATTTTTTCTCATGGTCCAAGATCTTTCCTTGGAAGCTTTCTTTCCTTTCACAGCTAATAAAATGGCCATATCTTTCAGCAGGGAGTTTTTTCTGTTTGTTTGTTTTTTCTATTTTTAACAGAATCATATACAATAATGATTATTTTATTAGAAGTCTTCTGAAATAATTACTTTTCAAGAAAGAATCAATTATATAAAAGTGTAGAGATTTAAAAATATGTTACAGGTTCACAATACAAATACTAGTAGCACTACCAATAATGAACATCACTAATTATTTTCTTTGTTTCATATAGGAAAGGCAAGTATGGGAGGAGAAAGGTGAATAGCATTTTATTGCTTGTGAAATTTTCTTTCTTTTTTTAGTTCTTTGCCCTGTAGGTGTTTGACAGTATTTTGTATTTAGGTGAGCTCAATCTAAAAACTAAGCAGATTAAGTGGAATGCTATATAACTAGTTAGAATAGCTTTAATTTAAAAGGTATTTTAAGAGGGAAAGATTTTTAACTTCACAGGTTTCTGTCAAAGGATATATTTAATCTTTAAAATGAGTGGCACCATTTCATTATATTTCATTTTATTAGATAATGTTGTTCAGTAGCTCATTTGAGAAATTCCATTCCTCTGATGAACGAACTGTGGACAGACTTTTCCTCATCTAGGGTTTATAAGGAAACTTCTTGCACTTTACCAGCAAATTTATTTGCTAATGTTTCAACTGAAATTTCACAAGAGTTTTGTAACATGCTAACTCTGTGTATGGGCAACAGAATGACTTACATGAGAGAATATAACTGCTGTTTGGATCATTTGCTATGTATGGCATTGCAAACATTTAAAGTATCAGGATTTGTTAATGGAATTGATCAGCCCCTTGGAAATTATAAAGGCTTTCTACTTGTGTGTTTATTATTCTTGTTAAAAATATGGATCAGTCTCTTTCCTAAATGTTCATTTTATGAGGGAGGATTTTCTAAAATAAATGATTATTTAATGTGCATATATGATAGAACAAACTACTATAACTTTTTTAAAGTCTTATCAATTGAATTAATACTGTTTAGAAAAATATGTTGTAGTTACAAATGCAGCTAATCCAGTATTCTCAACATTTTTTCATTATAAATATAATTATGTTGAAGAAATACATAAATGCCCAATTAAAAAGTGACTGCGGTTAGGAGTTGAAAATATTTATTAATATGCCTCTGGATTTTGTTCTGTTTGAATTTTGAGAATGTGTTTCTAGATTTAAGAAGCAACACAAGCTTTTTTTCCCAGAAGGCTTCCTATTATTGAAATGGAAATTATACATTAATGACTGTATAACACTAGTAGATATTTTTAAAATGCAAGAGCATCTTCTTAGATCATTACTTTTCCTTGGAATGCTTGGCCCCTGTAATATAATACACCGGTATTTTGCATGATGAAATTGATGTCCTGTGTGTTGCTTCATGTTGCTATCCTAGCTGCCGATTAAAACGTTTTTTTTTTTTCATGCCAGAGCAGAACAAAATTGTCTGCTTCTCAATCTGCACATCATAAGCAGATGACATTAAAAATGTCTGTAAGATGACACAGCTATATTTTCTGGGAGAGGGCGGGAGGATGCTCAGCGAGGGTGGCCCGGAGTGTCCTTGTACAGAGTACAGATGTTATGAAGTGGGGAAGACCAGCCTGTGTTCATTGATTCACCTATTGATTCCAGGAGCAAGCTCACCCTGTTTCATACACTGCTCAGGAGGTAAACAGGAGGAAGGGAGCCAGCCTGGCTTTTTTGCCACATGCTCTGCTGTTTGGTAGAACTGTATTATAGTCAGAAACCTTCCGCTTTTCTGCAGTTGTTTGCATGCTGTTTCCAAGGCTAGCCCTCTGAGTCTGTTTTCTAGAGTTGTTTTGAAATTCAACCTAAAGATAACAGAGGAAATGTGACCCTCTCTTGTGAATGCTGCCACCAACTGGCAATGTTTCTTCCCAAGGCAGATTCAGGGTTCTGGCATGAGTTGTCACAAATACAGTGGTGGTTGCTTTGAGAGAAAGGTGCTTACAACCTGACATAAATTTGCTTTGCATGAAACTTTAAGGAAATTAATAGAAGTAAGATTAAACAAAGAAATTTTGATAGTGAGTGACTAAGAGCAATATCAGATGACAAATGAGGGAAGAGAACATTAATAAGTGCAATACTTTATTTTTTATGGTTGAATTAAGTATCAAGCAAATATGTTCATATTTTCTAATGCAATTTATATCCCAATTTGCATAGTTACTTATACAGTTTAATAGAAATGTATATCACTGCCCACTTAAGAGTTTAGAATACTAGCCAACAAAATAAAAACAAGAATCTAAATTCAGTATTATTTTAGAATGTTTACCTAATCAAAAATAAGTTATAATCAAGATTTGCTTATCTGGCAAGCCAAGTGTTTTTTAATTGTATTTCTCCCCTACATTGACCTTTAAGTCTCACATTCTTTTTAGGATAAGCCAAAGTCATCTTGAAAGATTGAAAAGCAAATTGGAAAAAGTAAGATAGGAAAGAAAACATACTCTGAAAATGACACATAACAAAAATGTATTTTAAAAACATAAATAACAAATGGCAATAAGCATCGAATGTCACTATCTTTTTGATTGCGTAAAATTATTTGAACTTACATACTCATTACTAATTTGGCAATTCTAAATTTACAAATTACACCTTCCTTCTTAACTGCTTTATTCTCAATCTTTAGGCATTGCAAATAGAAGATATTCAAGTTAGTCAAAGTGTTCAGAGCTGTTATTCAATAGAGTGAAGGGATCTGAAAACTTATTTGCTACTGAACATGTCGTTGAGGTACTTTTATGGATGAAAAAAAGTTGATATATAAAATATCAATAATAGTAATAGCTTGTGAGAGTAGTTTGTCAGTATACTCACAAAGATCATGAATTTGACGCTTACTAGTATGAGGGATAAATAAAAAACATTTTATAATATGTAGCTACCATAAAGATACGATTATGACACAACTGAGAATTGAGCGGTCTTTTAATTCTCCTTTTGAGTAATCTTTACCAACCTGTCCTCTGAGCCTCCGTGTATATGCTATGTTTAAGACCAATGATTAGCTATTTATACATGAATTTTCCATTTTTCCTTGTTCAAAACACTTTTGTCACACAAATAATATTAACTAAACTAAAGTGACTTGAGGGAGTATGGATTAATGAGGTTCACAAGAAAATAAATAAAGCAACAACTTGTGAAATTTAGGGCAGATGCCATTTATTGCCATTTCCCGCTGACTGTTAAGTAGAGATTTCAGTTCAGATAAACACATTCTAAGAATTACTACTGAAAGTGTAAACATCAGCCTGCATTTTAGTACTTGCTGGTTCTTTAGTAAAAATTTCGAATGTCAGCCCAAGGTTGTCTTGCTAAAAGAGAAAAAAAATAGGAATTATATATTGAAAACATCTTAAAATTATATTTTATACTACAAAAATTTCCTTTTAGGTAGTAAAAGTGAGAATTTAAAAACATGATTCTCACTGCTACTAAAAGCACACAGAAAATGAAATACATATTTTTGAGACTTGATACTTACCTGTTTTATTTTGATAAACTTGTACCTAGTTTTAAAGTTTCTTCACACTAAAAGTACACCACAATTTCAAAATGGCACCCTTGTCTCTCACAATATAAACTTTAAAGGAAATTAATATCTAGATCATCATTTTGCTTTGTTGTTTTAAATATCATCATGTTTTAGTTACAGAATAATACAAAAGTGGGCTCACCCTTTATCGTGAAGGTGCATTTATGGCATTTTCAATTCAAAATATAAAAATCCGCAAACATTGTTACTAAAAATGTGCTAGATATTTGTTAAGCCTCAAACGTATACTAAGAATTACCCAGAACATAGGTCTTTGCCCCATTAGCTTTCTGTCTAAGTAATAAGGCACTATTTTCCTCAACTATTTCTTTCCTCAAATATTTTTTTCTTGTGTCTTTTGTTACAATATTGCCACACATAATTTGAAGATAAAAATTGCCATATATTATAACCATCATCTGGCTTTTTTAAAAAAACTTTCTTAGTGCTTGATTTTAATGTCCAATGCTGCAATTTTACCTTCTTCTTACTAATGGTGTAGAGTAGAGAAAGTGACTTTTATCTCTGAGCTGAGGAAGTTTCTAAATTTCATTTCACAGAAATTAGTTTTAATGAGTCAAACAGTAATTCTATTTCTTTTATTTTTAGGTTGCTTCCTTTAGAAGGTACCGTTTTGGACTCTTGACGCTGCCTGGGTCCATAGTGTGAGGACCCATCTGTGTAGTAGAGAATAATACTCAATAGATGTAGTGATGTAGTTATGCTGTGTGGTGGTAAATTCATTCTAACCCAGTGAAATGTTGGATTCGGTCAAATTTATCAACGTTTCTTAAGCACCTACTTTGTACTAGACACTGATCCTGTGGACATCAAAATGCAAACCGACCACAACCACTCAGCTGTGTCTGCTGGGAAAGGCCCTCCTCTGTGCGTCTCTCCTGCTCCCACGCCTGTTAGTGGGTCAGTGAAATACGCAAGACCCTGGCTTTGCTTTACTCAAGCCTTTTTTAAGGGTTGTGCTTGCAGCAAACCACACTAAGAGGTGAGGTCGCATTCCAGAACAAAGTGCGGGCCTGCTTATTTCCTGCTACAAAAATGGTGGATTACCCAAGTCCTTTGTGTCAGCCGAAACACAGCCCACTGCAGGCGTGGCATCCAACAGGCCCCGCCCTGTTGCCCCATGCTGCCCGGGAAGCAAGAGGAATAGAGGCAAGTCATGCCACTTTCTGTGCCATGAGTCTCTGACCGGAAAGGCTTACATCCTCTGCCAGCATCCACCTAACGGTGACGGGCTAACATTACTTTCTAAGGGAAAGGGAGTAAAATCTCAAACCCTGACAGTGTGCTTAGGAAGCTCACAAATCAGTGGGAGGTGGAGAACCTACATGAACATAGCCAAATCAAAAGGTCAGTTGTATTTGGTACAGAACTAAATCTAGATACAAGGGACAAAGCATATTATAAAGCTGGCAGTTTATTTCATTGGAGGATAAGAGATTATTCAGTAAATGGGGTTGGCAGAACCAGAAAATATACCTGTAGACACATAAAAATTAGATGCCTGTGTCCTTTCACTAAAATGTCAGGTGAAGCAAAAAATTAAATATTAAAACATGAAACCATAAAACCAAGTAGAAAAGTAAAGAAATATTGATAAACTTGACTTTCTAAAATAGGATTCTGTAGGGGGAATACAGTAAAAACAAAACAAAAACAGTAAAAGCAAAGTTAAAGTAGAAGCTGGAAGGAAATTGCAGCCAGTATCATAGATGAAGTGCTAATGATGCTTATTTAATACTTTAAAAGAGCGCTGTAAAAAATAAGAAACTAAAAACATTCTAAAAATTGGTGAATGACCTGAATACAAATTTCACAATAATGAAAATTAATGCAAGAAAGGCTTAAATGTGTGAAAGTTTGCTTAACCTTTCTTGTAATAAGATGAATGCAAATTAAAACCACAATGTGGTAGAATAGTTCACCTATCAGATTGGCACAGATCAAGAAGTTTGATAACACGGTGTGTTTGCCAGAATGTTGGGAAACAGGTTCCCACCCAAGGCTGCTGGTGGTACAGACTGAACAGCATCTATACAATTTGGCTGTATCTGTCAAAACGACAAATGTCTCATGTTCCTTGACCCACAATCTAATTTCCAGGAATTACTCATGTGGATGGGAAATGACTTCTTTATAAGGGTGTTCATTGCATTATTGTTAGGAATAGAAACTTATACACATGATTACAGTATTGTCTTGTAATGGCAAAGGTTTGAACCCTATGCAACTGTAACACAAACGAGGCAGCTCTGTTTATACTGACCCAGAATAATATTTGACTGTATAATGTGAGGTGGGAAAACAAGCTTCAGAACAGTGTGTATAGTATAGTACAACCATTTTTTTTATTTTTAAAACGTGTGGGTATGTGCACAGATACCTACTGCAAGTGACCTCACAAATATGGCAATGCGAGGAGCCAACCTGGCTTCCTGGGGAAGGGACGGGTTGGGGAGAGGACTCACGTTTCATCGTGTTACTTTTCGGACTTTCCGAATTTTGTAGCACAAGTATGTATCAAATATTTAACAGTGTAAAAATAATTGACTTTAATTTCTAAAGGCTCAGTAGCACTTGGTGATGATTTGGGGGTAGGGGAGGAAGAGAGGACCTTCAGTGTCCTGCACTGTCGCTGGGTGATGACAAGGTCTTCTCCTGAGATGGGGGAGGGAGAGTTAAGAGATTTATTTTGGACACACGAGGTTGGACATAATAGAAATCTGAGAGAAGATGTTGGATAGGCTGTTGGAGAGGCTTGGAATGGAGATATTAATTTGGGATTCATGGGCATCTAGCTGCATTTAAGTCCCTAGGATTTGCCGAAAGTGACTGTGAGAGATGAGATTGGAGCACCTGGGATTGGACCCAACTACTCTTAACATTTAGAAGTCAGGGACAGAAAGGTAATCTAGCAGAGAAAACGCAATGAAAGGGCACAGACTAGCTTGCTGAAGAACCACGGGAGTGGACAGCAGAGAGCATTGCAGCAGGGACTGGCCAGCCAGGGGTAACGAGGATGAGTGGTCCAGGCAGGGGACCTGGTGACATGGGAGCCATGTTGATCTAGTGCGTGGTTTCCTGGTGTGAGGAAGAGGGGAATGCAGCCTGGAGAAGGCATGACAGATGGGGCAGGATCCATGAGAATGAACTTTCAATAAATGAAGTCTTTGCATTATGAATTCAAAGTGCTATTTAGCAGAAACATTGGAGAACGAGAAGAATCCGAAGGAAAATCCAGGGGCAAAATAAGCATTATCCTCCGGGAGCAGAAGAGTCAGTGTCCCCAGGATGCAGCCAGCTTTCAGGAAAGGCTGAGACTCAGAAAGCATGGGAGTAGTGTTGCAATGGAAAGGACACTTGAGAGAAGACACTGGAAGTGTTTGGGAGGTAAAGGAGTGAAAAAGGGCTGGGTGAAAGGAAAACATCAGTTAGGATAACCCCATGGGAGAAAGTGGATAGCTCTAAGGGCTTCTACTGTGGGCAGAAATATGACGCATGGTAGGTTGAGTTGTTTGTTTCGTTTTGTTTTGAGACTGAGTCTTACTCTGTCACCCAGGCTGGAGTGCAGTGGCACAATCTCGGCTCACTGCAACCTCTGCCTCCCAGGTTCAAGCAATTCTCCTGCCTCAGCCCCTGAGTAGCTAGGACTATAGGCGTGCACCACCACACCCAGCTAATCTTTATTGTATTTTTTGTAGAGATGGGGTTTCACCATGTTGGCTGAGTTGGTCTCAAACTCCTGACCTCAAGCAATCCACCTGCCTCAGCCTCCCAAAGTCCTGGGATTGCAGGTGTAAGCCATCGTGCCCGGCCGGTAGGTTGAGTTTTAATGGTGTCTGTGAAGATGCAAGTTCAGCTGTAGCCTGGAAGTGTGACCTGGCATCTGAGAGGAGCACTGCAGCACCCCTTTTCTGTGCTGCTTGCATTGGCATCCATGGTGAGTGCAGCAATAGCTGTCATCAGTGAGCAAAGAGGCTCCAGCCAGGGGCCCTGTGGTGCCTACAGGGAGAGGCAGAGATCTGGGTGTCCCCAGGTTTTTCTGCTTGAGTCAAAGCCCCTGGGAGCCCAGGTATGAAAACCTAGGGGCTTCCATCATGTCCGGATGGTGGGTCTCCATCATTCCTCTTAATCTCATGGTTTTCTTGCAAAGCTGAAGAAGCCCCATTATGGGCTTTTCCTCAAATTGAATGTCATCTTGCAACATCTCTTCAGCTTTGCATTTTTGGAACATGGATCAGAATCTTTCCTTTCCTTGACTCCCTTTCTAGCAGCTTGTTAGAATGCATTCATGTAGCAACTGGGAATGAATGCGACACATTTACATTTAACACCTCCCTTCCATTGACTTCAGCTCAGACCTTTCCAGAGATTTCTCCATTAGAGGACTGTTAGATGCCACTAGACGTGTGAGACCAAATGATGTTGGCATCATCTTGGAATAGAGACGGAGACTGGGGTCTGGCCTTTCTTCTGGTCCTCAGTCCTGCAGGCTGTCCTTTCTCCACTGCACCTCCTCAAGGAGCATTCCTGGTAGCCTCTGGAACCTGCCCTGGGTGTGTTTTGGTTCACTCTCTATGCTTGATAGGCTTTCTCAAAGAACCTGCTGCATCGTAAGTGCTCAACACACTCTTTTCAGGATTGTTCTTTTATGTTTTTAGATTACAATTTTATGTAATTTTTTTCTGATTAAATACTTTTTGTGTGGCTACGGAAAAGTTCACATAAATTAACACATTAAAGACCTTTGAAAGCTCCTGACTGGCACAGTAGACACAGCCAGTACATATTGGCTATGATCGTTTGTGTTCTGTATCAGATTGGTTTACAGGCCACAAAGATGGGGGCCCTACGGATCCTCTCTGTTCAAGCAGTGAAGAGCTGGTATCTGAGGATAAAAGAAGCTTGTGTTGTAATGATGTGGAAATTCCAGAGGTTGTGATGGAATGAATGACCTAGAATAGAGAAGAGCAAAGCATGTTGGGAGCAGGGAGGTGGAAAAGGGAGTATAGGAAGAGGGGAAGAGGGGTCCCAGTTGGCCTCCAGGTTTCTGGAAGTACCAATCCTAGAGTCTTCTTGGTGAAGGGAGTTGGCCAAGGCAAGGAAACCTGAGCCCTTTGTGAAGGAGTCAGAGGAGGTTTATGACTAAAAAATGACAAATTATGCCATATTACGTATTCTGAACAAATATGTGTAAATACATGATTTAGATAAATTAGGTATTTATTAAATATTTCAAGATTTGGTTCCAGAAGAGTACAATTTGTCTCTTCACCATTGTTAGAGGGAAAAAAACAGGTAAAGCCAATCAAAGAAAGATGAAAGTTTTTAGAGGAAAAAAAAATCTAGTTTTGCAGCAAAGAGGATTAATCTGTAAAGTCTCATCTTATAGATGTGCTACTGTAGTAATCTAGAATTTGTTTCTTCTTATTCTTCATTTCCCAACAGTATTAAGATGAAGTGTGTAATCTTTAGAACTAGAGAGAAGTCTGTTTGCATCTGTGGGGTTAATGCAGAGAGGGAGGTGAGAGGTGATTCTTGCCATACTTGGTCACTTGAATAAAACTACCTATTCCCATGGCTTTCTCTTTAGGGAGTAGAAAACCCTCATTTCAATGAAATCAGTGTTTTTCATAATTGGAAGCCTACCTTCCAAGAGCTAATGGCATATAATGGAAATGAATTATCCCTTGCTACCTAAACACTTGCTTCCTAAACTCATATTTAACTGTGTAAGGATATTTATATTAATTTAGGAAGTTTATATCTAAGCAGGGATTTCCCTTTAACGAATGAAACAATATGCATACTGGCAAGGTAGAAAATGTTTTCAATTTGCATTTTGTTGTTTGGAGGCCTATTTAATTCATTGCAATCTTATTTATTCAGTGATGTATATTAAACATAAATGTATTAAAAATCTACCACTAGAAAGTACTAATTGTCATTGAATGGCACATTTTAAAATGAATAATTTCATGTTATGTAAATGCTGCCTAAAAACTATAATAGAACTGCCATGATTAAGACATTATGTCTACACAGAGAAGGTTAAAGTAACAATACCATAACTACTGTCCTTTTATAAATAAACAAATAAAAACATAATATTTATTCCAAAGGACATTCTTGTGTCGAAAGATGAAACAGAAAGAAAGTGGAAGATAGTAACAGAGAAAGTGGAAAAAAGGACGAGAAGGGATAGACATGCAAAACTCCAGCATTCCAAAGTTAAGGGAAAGAGAATAACCATGTTGTGCCTATAACCCTAGAAGATTACAAAAATTATTTCTAGCAAATTGACAACCCTTCTTTCTGAAGGTAGCTTTGGGCAAAAAGGTGCTGTTTTGAGCTTTTACCCTGAATCACCTGGGGTGCACTTGAAAAGAAGCCATTTTGCCAATGCATTAAAAGTGTCTGAGTGAAAGCTGCCACTTGATTGTCCTAAGAGGCTTTTAACCCCAGCCACATAATTATTTCATAACAAACAATCAGGAACATTTCTCTTCCTCATCAGTTTCCCAGACTACCTCATAGCACATGCATGATACAATGTGTGATTTTGCAGCCTTCCATGTAACATCGGAGTCCTAAAGAGATGGACTTGAAGAGGCTCATGGTGATTTTAATTGCATTTTGAAATGCCACACATATTCTAAGAGATGTCATTCTAAGAGATGTCATCAATCTCTTAAAACATGATTTTTAATGGCTGCATACCATTCTTCTACCCCATTGTACCATGATTCATTTAACCACCTCTTAATACTTGCTTCGTTTTGGTGTTTCTAATTTCTTGCAAATAAAAATTTAACTGCCCTTGCTAATGATTATTTGGTAGGTGATTCTTACCTTGATAAGTAGGTCACCATCTATCCAGTTGTGCAGCTGGAAACCTGGAAATCATTCTTGCAATAGTTTTCACCCCGAATCCCAATCCATTGCCAAATTCTGTCAATTTTCTATTCTTAGTATCTCTCAAGCTTATTCACTTCTTTCCACCCCTCATAAATATTTTTGCCGTAATATTTCTGAATTCCTTATTGGTTCAGCAATATACTAGGTATTTATTATCTTTTATTTTTCACACCTATCCATTGTTACTCTTCTTCCAATTTTTCTCTCAAATTTTTGATGAAATTCAGTTTATTTACCTTAAGAACTTTTATTTTTTACTTATTGGATTTTTATATTGTGCAACATAGTACACACATACAAAAAGATATTTAACATATATGTAAGTTATAAATAATAATACTTTAAAATTGGCATAGTCAAGCCTAAAAAGTAGGACATTACCAATATTTATTTTGAAGTCCACTGACTAGCCTTATCACAATCTGAAATTTTGTGATTATTGTCCTTTGGCTGTCTTCATGATTTTACTGGATATGTATGTAAACATTTTGCATTGTACTTAAATTTAAGCATTATACAAATATTATCATCCTATTAATATTCTTCTGCAACTTGCTCAACAGTATGGTTTTATTATTGAGATGTAACTTAGATACCATAAAAATGTACAACTTAATATTTTTTAGTATAATCACAAGGCTGTGAAATTGTCATCACACTCTAAGTCTGGAATATCTTCATCACCCCAAAAAGAAACCCCAAGAAACTTTGTGCCCACAGCAGTCACTTTTGAGTTCCCCTCCCTTCACCCCTGGCGGCCATAAGTCTTCTCTCTGTCCCTGTTCATCGTTATGTTTTTGAGAGAAATGTATTACGATTTCTGAAGTCGTAGTTCATCTTTTTCAGTTGTAATAAATATATAACTGTTTTTCACTTCTGCCAATAGAAATTTAGGTTATTTGTAGTTGTTTTTAAAATTTCTATTTGAACATGACTTGTTTTTTTAAAAAGTATGTTTCACAATTACACACCTTTTAACAATTAAAGTGCCTTTTAACAATTATTTATGCATACATATATATTCTTAGGCACACTGTTTTAGACAGAAGAATAGAATTGCCAGTGTTAATTCTGTCCACCTTTAATTTTAATGTGTAATAAAAATCATTTTCGAAAGTAAGTGTACAAATTGAAAATTCCACCAATAAGGTGTCATTGTCTTTTACAATTTTTCCCATTGGATTGTAGTCATTGTTTATAGAGGCCATGTGTTAATCTTTTATAAAAATCGATTTGTCAAATTTATTATTTGCTTTTTATTTTCTTTATGTTTTCTTTTGAATGAACATCAATTTTAAATTTTAACTGAGTAAAATTTATCAAGTTTACCTTTTGAGTTTTGTGCCTTTTTCATTTTGTTTTAATTTTTTTCTCTATCGCCAAATTTTCAAGTACTTACTCCTGTATTTCCTTTCTCTCTCTCTCTTTTTTTAGCTTTAATTCACCTGCATTATATGTTTGTGCATGGTGTCTGATAGTGGCTCAATTTCAGTTTTTTTTTAAATTGTTTCCGAGGCGTGTTTCAAATATTTGACTTTTTCCCACTGGTCTGAATAGTGCTTCTCAGATACGGCAAGTCTCTAGGTTTGCATGAGTCAGCCTCTGTGCCCTCTGTTCTTTTCCCCGATGTTCTTTTTGCTTCTTCTTATGCTATTACCACACTGTCTTAATTACTATATTTTATTAACAAATCTCACTTTCTGGTAGACCATTTCCTTCACCTACTTCTTCACTTTCCTTCAGGAATGTCTTGGATATTTGTAACTCTTTTCCTTATGATTTAGCATCAGCTTGACAAGTTTAATAAACCTTGTTAGGACTGAGATAAAATTAGAAAGATTGGACATCTTTAAGGTACTGAGTTCTCCTAGCCAGGAATGTGGCACGTTTCCCTATTTCTTTAGGGAATTGTAAAATGTCTTTTTATAACGTTTTATAATTTTCCCCATAGAGATCTTTAAAATATTTTGTTAGATTTATTCCTAGCACCTTATATATTTTGTTACTCTTGTAAAAAGTATCCTTTTTTTTTTTTTTTTTTTTAGAAACGGAGTCTCGCTCTGTCGCCCAGGCTGGAGTGCAGTGGCACGATCTTGGCTCACTGCAAGCTCCGCCTCCCGGGTTCACGCCATTCTCCTGCCTCAGCCTCCCGAGTAGCTGGGACTGCAGGCACCTGCCACCACGCCCGGCTAATTTTTGTATTTTTAGTAGTAGAGACGGGGTTTCACCGCGTTAGCCAGGATGTTCTCGATCTCCTGACCTCGTGATCCGCCCGCCTCGGCCTCCCAAAGTGCTGGGATTACAGGTGTGAGCCACCGCGCCCGGCCAGTATCCATTTTTAAAAACTACATTTTCTCTTTGTTGCTTGGGTAGAGAAATAAAATCAATTTTTAATTTATCTTATATCTGATCATTTTGTTAAACCCTCATATTAATTTTAATGCTTTAAAGATGTTTAGAGGGAAATATTTTATAAATACACAAATAATACCATTTCATGTGTCGCTTACAGATTTTCTCATCTTATTGAACTGGCTAGAGCCACCAATGTATGCTGTAAAAGCAACCTTGTTTTAATCCTTTTTGAAAGGGAATGTTCCAGATTCTACCATGTGGTACCATGTTTGTGCTAAGATTTTGGTAGGTTCAATTTTTTTCAGTTTAAAGAAGTTCTCCTCTAGCCCATTATGCCAATGAATTTAAGCTGAATGGATATAAAAATTAATCAAATATTTTTTAGTGCCTACTGAGGTGATCTTACGCCTTTCTAGTTTGATTTATAAGTAGGGCTAACTATATTAATTGATTTTTCAATGTTAAACAAAATTTACATTTCTGGAATAGATTTAACTTGGTCGTTCTTTAACTTTGCGTTCCCCTTAAAAAGGACCTTGAGAGAAGGGCTCAGCGTCTGATAGTTCCAGCATCTGGCTGTGGAGCTGTATGGCTGAGTCATCATCTGTTGGTTTGTTTGCTGACTTCCAACCTTTGTGCCTAGATATTGAAGTCACCTTCTCTCCCTTTGAAGGGCAGAGACTTTGTGTGTTTGTCCTTTCACTCAGCATGGCTCTTGGAGTTTCTGGCTGCATGAGAAGGTCCTGGGAGACTCTTCCCTTCCAAGAGCCTCCATGTTGTCTTCTGCCTTTTGGGGCTACTGAAACCGCAGCACAAGGTGTAGGGAAATTACCAGGTTCCCCCAGAGCCGTCGTTCCTTGCACCGCCTTTCCACGATGTGTGTGCCCCCTTTTGTTTTGTCCCCTGGGATTTCTCCTACACTCTTGCGAGGTCATTATGAACTTAAAAGGATGTGGATTTTTATTTTATTTTATACCTTAGAGGTCTTTTATAGCAGAGATTTTTCAGGGCATCAAGACTAGACGTTTTGCCCAAAAGGGAAAACCAGAGGCTTTCAATTTTTTTTTGAATTCTATCTAAAAACCTTTTTTATGGTTCATTCTTTGTTTTTGTACTAGAAAGAACATGTAACTATTTTATGTATAGTCTTTAAATGACATTTGATGTAAATACAGTGTCACAGCAATAGATAGCAATACCAAATAAAATACATTTCAAAGAAGCTGCTTAAAAATTTAAAGATATTGAACCCTAAAAGGATGACTTATTTCCTCAATAAATCATGTAGGAATGGAAGCTTATTTGCAGTATGAATTGTATTTTGTAGTATGGGAAAACAAAGGATAGAAGAGAAATCCTCCTTTCCTTAACTAGCATATTTCAGTAATGTGACACCCTGGGAGGAGATGACAAAGAACCTAGTTTTGAGAGGCACCTTTTGCCATTTACTTCTGGCTGGTCAGGAGTGCCACATAAAGCCACACACAACTTCAGGAGCACCACCCACAAATACTACACTATGAACAGGGCTCCCTGGCTGTGTACAGTGTGGCTGCCCTGATCCTGCGGCAGATAACATTCCTGAACATTTAGTTACTCACCTGTGACATCAGAATCATAGTAAAGTTCATGCAATGAATAAAAAGGATAATATGCATGAAATCACTATATAAATGTTATTATCCCCACCATGCACACCTTTGAAAGAACATTTAAAATTGCCACAAATTCTGCTTGATTTTTGCCACTCATTTAACTTCTTAAAAACTTTAACTTACATAATAAAGCCATAAAAACAGCTCGGTTGAAGCGAAGGGCAGCAGCAAAGAAACTTGCTCGTCCCAGTTGCCCGCCATCCACTCCCTTTTCATCTCAACAGTGAGTTAGGTAACGTGATTCCTTTTCTTTTTCTCTTTCTTTGGAACACAGAACATGTCTGTTAGCTCAGCACAACATGAAGTGAAAGATAGGATCACAGGAATTGTAACTGCTCTTCCTCTTGCTTTACATTCTCCTGTCTGCCAAAGAAGAATGCCTAGCCCCTCAGTGTCTGGTTCAACATACAAACACATACATTTGTCTCTAAGGGGACTCTTTTATCAGTTGGTATCTCCAGCTTTTCTCTCCCCTAGCCTGTGTCCCTCCTCCACATCTATCTTTCTTTCTTACTCAACTTGACGAGCCCACAGACACCTTCACTCCCTGTGAAGCGATGAGAAATGTCCTTATTTCAATTGCGGGTGGACAACCGTCTCCCACTGTCTCCTGGTGCCATCTCTAATCTTACGGCCTCACTGGAGTTATCCAAGGTCCTGAAGACACCCCAGTGACACTCCCCATCTCGCGGTTTGGAGGTTGCAGTTCAGGCATCAGACTCTCTCCAGGCAACAGACATCTGCACTGGCTGGACTGCTGCTACCTAGCGGGGTGGGGTGTGATGGACAATGGAGTCCTATACTACGGGCCTGTCATCCTGGGTCTGTTCTGCCCAGTGGAAGCTGCCCAGGCTGCTGCAGGAGTGGTGATGCTCATGCCACTTGGCCACTTGACCTTGCTCTGCATAACCTAATGACCGCCATCGTTTAATGGTTGCATCATATTCCATCACATGGTCAATAGTCATTTTTCTCTACTTTTTTATTGTTAGGTATTGCTTTTTTTCTTATTTCTTTCAATGATAAATGCTGGTTTGATGAATATGGTATACATTTATTTTGTTTGTGTTTCGCATTATTACTGGGGAAGAACAGATTCCTGAGTGTAGAAATACGGATTCAGAAGTTCTGCATGTTTTTAAGCTTCACATGTATATTGCTGAGTTGCTTCCTGCAGAAGTTAGCCCAATAGCATATAACCGTGCCTCTTTTTTCCCCATTCTCTTCAGCGCTGTTTTAATAGTGTTAAATATTTGTACCTCGTGATAGTGCAAAATTATGTCCCCATGTTTCAATCCTCTCTCCTTTGATTACTAGAAATGTTGAAGTGTTTTCATTATTAAGCACAGGTGTAAATCCATTTCTACAGTTTTGCTAACTTTTCTTGGTTTGGTAATGTCTTTATCACCAATTTATGTGAATTTAGATTATAGTAAGTTTATTAAACCTTTGTGATGTATTTGTTATAAATATTTTTCTGAATCATTAGATAAGTTATAATTTTGTTAATTATATGTGTTGGCCCACAGAAGTTTAAAATTGCTATGTACTCAAAATTTTTCCATTGTGGTTTACTTAATACATTTTCACACTTAGAAATTTCTTCCTTGTCTGGTGTTGCTTATGCTTTCTTAGAATTTATTATGTCCTTATGTATTTAATGCTTTTATTTTGATAAATGGTGAAAATAAAAATCAAAACACTTCTTCCCAAGACTGTGTATTTAATGACCTATCATTTCCCTGTTGATCTTTATTATTTTTTCAATTATAAATAATATTTTGGCAAATTTTGTTATTCATAAAGTTGTCATGATTTAAATTCTTCTGTAGGCATTAGTAAATATCCAGCGTAAGTGGGTACTTATTTTTACCAAAGAATATGTACAAAAATATTCCTGGCACTATTTCAATAGTAGCAAGGACTATAACAAGCTAAATATCCATCAAAAATAGAACAGACAAAAAGTTAGAATATATTCACAAAGTGAAACACTATACAGCACAAGCCGCGGCCCCTGGAATCTGGGCTCTCTGTCTCCATTTCTTACCCACATCTGTGGCTCTGCTGCACCCTTTTGCAGCCTCCAGTTGTAGCCCTGGGTGCTTGAGCTCTATTGCTTCTCAACCACCAGCTGAACAGAGAGAGAGAGAGAATCAGAAAATACTACCCCAGTACCTCAGTCAGAAGGTCTGGAGCTGACTCGCTGTCTCTGACCGGCTGACAGAGGTTCTGTGCTTGTTCGATGGGTCTAGGACACAAGCCATCCCTGGTGCTGGAGTGGATTCATCCTCCCAGGCCATTTTGAGTCTTTGTCACCTGACCTAGCAATGAATTATAGGATGCTTTTCAAATTGTGGTGTCAGAGCCATTCTCTTGAAGCAAATGTCAGTGTCTTCACAAGGTGGGAATGGGTGCTGGCATCCTGAAAACAGTGGTTTTCCACTCTATTAAGTCACCCTGGCCAGCACCTTGTCCTCTGTGTGTCTCAATTTTCTCATCACCCAAATGTCCAGTACATTATAGGGCTGATTATTGATTGTAATTTCTTTAAAAATGAGTTGCTGGCCAGGCGCAGTGGCTCACACCTGTAATCCCAGCACTTTGGGAGGCTGAGGCGGGTGGATCACCTAACGTCAGGAGTTCGAAACCAGCCTGACCAACATGGTGAAACCTCATCTCTACTAAAAATACAAAAAAATAAAAAATAAAAATTAGCCAGATGTGGTGGCAAATGCCTGTCATCCCAGCTACTCGGGAGGCTGAGGCGGGAGAATTGCTTGAACCTGGGAGGCGGAGGTTGCAGTGAGCCCAGATCATGCCATTGTGTGTAAACATATTGAGTTCACCGCCAGACCTTTCAGCATGTGGCCAATGTGTCTCCATTTTTTTGATGTAGGCCAGTTTGAGTTGGACTGTCTGCCACCTGAGCAAGAGAAATCCCACCTGCCAAGCCTCTCGGCAGACGGTGGTGCAGCCTCCACAGCCTGGTCTTCAGATTGTAACTCCGGCCCCTGCTCTGAGCTGGACCCCTCTAGGTGATTTTTAAAGCCTTGTTTAGTTTTAATATTCTCTGATTATCTATGTAGTAAAACAGATTAATTTGTCTTCTAGAGAAATGAAAGTGCTTAATTGAGTAAGGCATATTGTAAGTGCTCGATAAATTTTGGTTATGGGTTAGATGCAAAGTGTCTGGACAAGGAGCAAATTGCCTGGTTCCACAGGGACTGGTGCTGTCCTCTCCTGCCCTCCTCTGTCATATCTGTCCTCCTTTCATGGGGCTGGGGGGTACTTTGGGCCTGTTCCAGATGGACTCCCCCCTAAACTCTGAAGTCGCTTTGAGTCCTGGTCACCAAGCTATGCATTCAATTATACAGTGTCTTTTATTGTGGACATCTGATTCACCTCTGTTTTAGTGTAGTGGATAGGGGCCCAGACTTCCTAGGCAGTCTGCCAGGGTTCAAATCCCAGCACCACCACCGTTAGCTGTGTGTCCGCAGGAAAGTTACTTAAACTCTCTGTGCCTCAGTTTCCTCATTTCTAAAATGAAGATAAGGCCAATTCCTATCTCATAGAAAGGTTCAAGTAAATTAAATTATTGAGGATCACATAAGTTAATTTTCTGAACTGTGCTTACAATGTCTGGCATATATGGCATATAAGGTGTGAGCAGTCACTATTTTATCAGGGTAACCATAGGGAAGAGCTCAGAGGATTTAGAGTCAAATAAACCTGAGTTAGAATCCTGGCTCCAACCCACCTGTTGAGTGGTTCTGACAAAAACCATATGGTCCACGAACCCCCAAATATTGACTCTCTGACCTTTTGCAGATCAAGTTTGCAAATCCTGCGAGAGCCCAGGTGGAGCTTCTGACACGGTGCACAGAAGCAGCCTGGCATAGCGTGTGAGGAGTCCCCCCCCCACCCAAGCCTCCCAAAGACGCCGTCTGCTGTCACTGAGGGCCGGGGCCACAGCCTCTGCATCTCCCGAGCTCCAAAAGTTCCTACGGTTCAACGTTCATTATGCTCAACTGACAATCTGCTGCTAAGCACAGGACTGAGGCTGCATAGCCAGGGACTGTTCTGGAGGGATTTCCATGGACCCCAGGAGTCTGGCATGGACAGCTGTGGGCCAACACCTGCCTTACCCCTCAGTTGGCATCCGCGACGGCCTTGGCACCTCATTAGGAAAGTTAAGGCATCCTGAGACCATCCTGGCTGTCCGTTCCCCTGAAGGGAGCACTCTTTCTGCTGCAGGCAGCTCCCAGTTATCCGAAACACCGTCAAACCCAAGGCCTAGCAGCTCATTTCTGGTTTCGAGCTATGCTTGGGGGACCACTTTCTTGATTCCAAAGTGTATCCCGTGGCCTCAAGAAGAAGACAAATAGAATCAATTGCTTTTGTCCCTTTGATGGAAGCATTTAAATGTGAGGTCCTGACTGTGGCATGAGAGAAAGTTGGACGCCCTGTCCCACTAACGGTTGTTTCTGATGATTCTACACCCCACTCTGTCTCCTCCTGACAACCACAGCCATCTGAGCACCTGGGGTTCATGTAAGAACAGAAGTGCAAGCCTCATTCATTTAAATGCTCTTCAAGGATATGCCCTATGTAAATAAGAAATGAGTGTGCAATGAATTAAGACAGTATACATTCAATTACAAAACCACGAGTTGTGAAAAATAAATTATGAATATGCAAAGGAAAACAGTTCATGGGGAAATAAGATTTGAGTTGTGCCTTCTTGAAATTCATGTCTGCTGTTTTGGAAACATCAGTGTAGACTACAAGGGAAGGAGGTTACTTAAGCCCATCTCTCAAAAAGCAGCAGGGACGAGTTGATCTGGCTGCTGGCTCCGTAGCTTACACAGTCACCAGTGGTGGAAAGAACACACTTCCTTTTCAAAGGACCAAGGTCAAAATTGCATCTCTACTATTTCTTGGGCATGGGACTCTAGAAAAGTTTTAAAATCTCTCTGGGCTTTGTTCTTCTTGTCTTCAAATATAGCATGGTAATGTCTACCTAATAAGACTGTTTTAAAAATTGGGATACTTTATGTGGAGAGGCAGGCACAGAACTCGACACTTGATAAGCACTCACTAAGTGGTAACCGTCATTTTTGTATATTCATCCAACAAACATCCATGGGGCATCTGCTGTGCCCAGGCACAGTGTGGGTGCCCAACACCGCAGAGAGCAGACAAACGTGGTCCCTGACTTGACAAGGTTTCGGTCAGAGGTCCTGGAGAAGTGGCTGTGTGATTACATGTCTATTTTAGGAGTGGGTATGGAGATCCATGGGAGACCATCAGAGAAGCCCTTCCCCGGGGCTTAGGATTTAGAATATGCTTCCTAGGGGAAGCTCTATCTATACTGAGATCAGCGGACAGATACGTAGGAGCCTGGAATTGTAATAAGAGAAAGAAGTAAGGAATTGCCACCTGGGCAGAAGGAACAGGCTGTGCAGAGGCTGGATGCCTGGGAGTGCACAGCGTATGTGTGGAGTGATGTGGTGCACATAGGCATGACGCAGCTCCAGAATGTTTGCAGCTGCTAATCAGGAAATCTGGCCCAAAACTCACTCCTCTCGTGTTCTCATTGTTAGCTAAGCAAAGAGAGCAGCAGCAGGCCTCCTGTGTGCAGCACTTTGTGCCCCGCCCTGGAGGAGGGAGGAGTGTGAGAGCACCCCCTGGCCTGTGCCCTCAGCCATCTCACAATCGAATTGGACATAGACATAAGAGTCTGCATGATCATGGTTTTATGATGTACCGAGGACCTAGAGCATTAGGTTCTCGCTTAGCACCTTTCCCTGCCATCCTCTGTGGAGAAGCTCTGAGTGAGGATGTTTACCAGGAAGGACAGGAGGAGGCAGTTCCTGGGCAGCCTGAGGCTACTGTTAGCCCTAAGCTCTTGAAGGCACTGAGTTTGGCTCCAGGAGAGCTTGGGGTTTTAGAGAATGATAGATCCTCTTCGGGGGCAAGATGGCAACCAGACCACAGAAGATCCTGCCTCGCAGATGCCCCGGTCCACAGACGTGGTTGTTGTTTGGATGCTTCCAAAACACCCGACAGATGCCCCCTGCGGAAAGCCACTAGATGTCTTTGGTTGGACTGTGTCCGTGGGTTCCAGCAGCCCCTCCCTCCATCCATGCCCTGCTCCCAGCATTTGGCTCGGTCTGTTGCTACCCAGTATGACCGGGCTAAGAGGGTTCCTGGAAATGCCTGGCTTCACATTTATTTTAAAAATTGACTCAAGTATAAATATTTTTAAGCTATTGTTCTTTGTCTGAAGTCTTTGGAACAGCTACTCTATCTTGCACAGGCAATTTGGTAGAATGGAAGAAAAATGATTATGAGATTCTGCTATAACCCAAAAGGAGGATTGGCCTGAGAGAAGATGAGAGGTGTCAACAGGCAAAAGATTGAGCTGAGTATGGAAAAGAGAGAACTCCAATTCCCTTGCAATGAGACCACATTGATAAAAATGAAGGGATTCCATCAATCTTAAAGGCCCATAGCCCAATTTATTAACTCCCTCGAGTCCTCCCTGTCTGAGCAGGACTGGCATCACTACCCTCCGAAGCTGTCAAAGAGCACTCCTCTGTTGGACACAGTATGGCAGGTGCCTGCTGCCAGCATTCCTTCCCAGCCTTGCTCCGGCTGCGGGTCCTGCTGTCCGCGTCCACCGACATCCATTCTCCTGTTCTTTCTTTCTCAGGGTGTCAGGAAAGCCCACAAGCCCCTGGCTAAGCCGGCTGAGGCTCTCGCCTGCTGCCTTTGGAGCTTAGACATGCCTGAGTCACTGAGTTCCAGCTGAGGGGGTGCGAATAGCTGCCCTCTCATGTCACCGTCCTGTGTGGAATGGGCATGAGAACACACCTCTGGCTGAGTCCACTTGTGTCCGTGGGACCCAGAGCCACCACTTTAGACCTAGAGGTGAAAGATTTGTGCTGGGGATGGTGCTACCAAGTCCACCCTGGATGGGCATGTAGGAGCCCAGCCTGGACCCTGTCCCAGCCCCTCACACTGGCTGTGTATTCCCATCTCAGCCCCGCGCACTCCCATCCCGGCCCCTTGCCTTGCTGTGTGTCCTCACACTGGCTGTGTGTCCCCCGTCCCAGCCCCTCACCTTGCTGTGTGTCCCCGTCCCTTCCCCTTGCCTGGCCATGTGTCCCCGTCCCAGCCTCTCGCCTGCCTGTGTGTCCCCATACCGGCCCCTTGCACCAGCTGTGTGTCCCCATCCCTGCCCCTGGCCTGGCCGTGTGTCCCCCTCCTCTGGCTGTGTGTCCCCATCCCTGCCCCTGGCCTGGCTGTGTGTCCCCCTCCTCTGGCTGTGTGTCCCCTTCCCTGCCCCTGGCCTGGCCGTGTGTCCCCCTCCTCTGGATGTGTGTCCCCATCCTGGTCCCTCATAGCAGCCGCGTGGTATTGTGCATGTCCCACATCCCTTCCCCTCCCCTCTGACTCCAGCGCAGCAGTGTGGAAGATTCTGTGAGGCTGCAACTCCCCTCATGCCGACAGCACCTCGGCTTGAAAGTTTACCACTCATCTCTTGCTCTTTCCCTGGGATTTTTGACACTGAAGATGTAAAGAAAAGCCTTCTCAGTGCTCCCGAGTCCTTATGCTGCATGAAAGTGGGAGGGGTTCACCCACCGTGGGCAGCTCTCAGGCGGTGGAGGGTGAGAGTGATGGACACAGACATCCGCCTTTTCCATGTGACCAGCCAGTTCCTGTGGCAGAATGGATACGGCCTCTCAGAAGGTCCCCACGGGCTCAGGCACCAGCTGCTCATGGTGCGGCCACTTGGATGTCCTCTCTGGGTGGACGTTCTCCCTCTTCTGCTTTGCGCCCTCCATCCTCTCATTCCTGCCTCCTGGGAACAGATACCACATAAACGAGAACTAGGTAAGCCCTGGTCTCCACCTCTGCTTTCAGCAGAACAGAGGCCAAGAAAGTCGGAGCCAGGATAGCCGTAGAACACACACTCTCAGTACGGGATTCTGAAAGCGGGTGGTTCACTAGTCAGGGGATGACAAGGACCCCAGTGATGGCCAATGGATCCAAAAATATAGTTAGTTTCAATGAATAAGATCTAGCACTTGATAGTACAACAGGGTGGCTACCGTCAGCAATGATCTGTTACACATTTTAGAATGACTGAGGGTGTACAGTTGGGATGTTCATTACACAAAGAAATGATGAATCTTTGAGGTGATGGGTACCCCATTCCCCGGATGTGACTGTTGCACATTGCCTCCTGTTTCAAAGTTTCTCGTGTATCTCATAAATATATACACCTACGGCCTACCCATAAAAATTCCTTTCTAAGTGAAAAAGAGGAAGGACCTCATTGCAGGTAGGAAGTGGAGTAGGGGTGAGCCCTGGAAGTGCAGGAGCTTCATACTTGCCGGAGGCTCTCGCCTGCGGTGCATTAGCATGTCATGGGTCAGAAGGCCCAGAGTTGTGGGAAAGGGGAGGGGCCGACTCACATCAGCCTCCTCAGGGGGAAGTAGTGGCCCTCATCCAAGCTGTAGGTTTGGGCCACTCCACTGGCCCAGAGCCCTCCGATTTGAAGGCAAGGAGAAGGGAAAGCACTGAGGGTTTTTAATGTTTATTTTTTTGTAACTATGACTATCAAACAATATAGAACAATGTTATTTAAAACTCTCATGGAGTTGGTTGTATTTTGTTTAACTTATATGGGAGCCTTAAAAGATTAAGCAAACTCAGCTTTGCCAACTGTCAACAAAATTATACTGGGAAAGCCAGAAGGCTGCCATGCAAGTCTTCAAAGAACCCTGATTCCCTACAGCCTCAGAGCAGACTGTGCTGAAAATTAGGCACCAGGTTTAATTGAACTACAAAGCAGATTGAATATGCAGCAGGGACACAGCTGTCCTACACCGAATTCAAGGCCATGGTGAGAAACAGAGGGTCCCTGGGAGTGGGGTGGAGACCCTTGGTGGATAAGCCTGAGCAACTTGAACTCTCAGACTCCCTAGAGCTCCTTGCCGGCAGAACCCCTCTCTTCACTGGGGGAGAGCAGGCTTCCCTTTCCTAGAGACTGTGAAAACATCGCCAGAAGGGAATCTATTACAAGGTGGTGCCCACCCTCAAACTGCACCACCACTTCATGCATTACCTCCAGGCCAATAACCAGGGTCAGAGCTCTGAACAGGTGAACCTGAGAAATAGTTTCCATTCTGGAAGCAAATGCACCTGTCTGAGATACAGAAATGTGGAGTGGGTCCTCAGGGTGTTGGAAGGGATTATGGATAATAGACGTATACAGGGGAATTCTTTTTCCATGAGAACATTCATCTATGAAATAGGACGTAATGACTGGCAAGGACCTTGGAGCCAGTTTTAGTAGCTGCTGGAACAGCTTCCCGAATCTGGGGCTGTGTGATCCCTGCAGTGGATGAGGAGGAGAGAGTATTTAGGAACAGGTCAGAAGGCTCAGAGTTGTAGGAATACTGGAATGGGTTTCTTACTTGGGACTAAAGGGTAGACCATCTGATTATTGTTCCTCAGGGGGAACTGGTTGGGGAAGTGACCTCCCTGAGGAGCTCAGGGTAGAATGCCTCCTCCAGGCAGAGTCCACAGGAGGTGATGCAACCATGTCACCTGCATCATAGTGGACTCTAAAATCCTGGAATGGCAGAAGCCAAGCAGTGACACCTAATCAACAGGTAGACATAATTATGGGAATGAGCAGTGGGGCCAGGTGGCAAGCAGGGGCCTTGAATGGAAAGGCAAGGTGACAGTAGATAACTGATCATGGTGTTGAGGGATGATGTTGATGGACAGGACACATGGGCCTGTGGCTTCATAACTGGAAGAAGGGAAAGGGGAGGGGCAGACTCACATCAGCCTCCTCAGGGGGAAGTAGTGGCCCTTGTCCAGGCTGTAGGTCTGGGCCACTTCACTGACCCAGAGCCCTCTGATTTGAAGGGGAGACAGTGCACCTTTGAGAAAAGACCCACCGCCCCAGAATATTCTGTAAATAATCTTCCCAAAGTCACCAGCTGTGGTTCAATGGCAATGGCACACTGGGAAAAGAGAAATGCTCCGCTCTTTTGATAACTTTTGGGTATAGAGCTTTAACAGACACTGCTACTAGGAAACCGAAGTCACCATCTTGCCCCTGTGATTGCAGTGGGGGTAATGAGGCCAGGTGTTTCACCAAAGTCCCTGCAAGTTTAGTGGCTACAAGGACCCACACATTGTGTTAATTGCCCCAGTTTTTGGGTGTATAATTGGGGTAGATATATTTAGCACAGTGGTTCTCAATTGGGAGTGATTTTGTCCCCCAGGGGACATTTGGCAATATCTGGAGACATTTTTGATTCTCACCTGGGGCCTTGGGGATGGGGTGCTACTGGTACCTGTTGTAGAAATAAGAGATGCTGCTAAACATCCTTCCACACACAGGACAGCCTCCAGGACAAGGAGTTATTCAGACCAAAATCTCAATTGATCTGGTATTGAGAAACCCTGGATTTAGCAGCTGACAGAACCCCCAAATTAGCACCCTGACCTGTAGAGAAAGAGCCATCTTGGTAGAAAGAGGCAAATGGAAACTCCTAAATCTACATCCTCCTTTTGGCCTACATAGTAAACCAGAAGCTATGCTCATGATTGTTGGAATTAGAGAAATTAAATCCAACATAAGATTGACAGGATGAGGATATGTCAGCCTTCACTACATTCCCATCCCATTCACTGCTGTGGCCCCTTCAGCAGCAGGTGATAGTGAATGGACCGCCACAGTTTAACTCACCAGGTGGTCCTAATCACAGCACCTGTGCCAGAGATAGTCACTTTATAGGAATAGATTATCAGAATCTCTGTCATTTGGTGTGCAGTTATTGATCTGGTAAATGCATTTTTCATAATCCCCATTAGAAGGAGGATCAAAAGCAGTTTGCTTTTATGATGGAAACATAGTAGTGTGTTCACTGTCACATCAAAGAATTGTATGAATACTGATGTCTTTGTTATGATGTAATCTACAGGAATCACTATCATTTTGATGTTGTACATGCAGAATGTCATACTGGTCTACCATATTGATGAAAATAGACTTGCCCATTGGACTTGCCAAAATGTCTGGCAAGTGGCACCCTAGAATCATGCGTGTAAGATAGCCCTTACGAAGACTCAAACAACAAAGTTCACATCAGCAGAGCTCTTCCTCTCCAGTCATCTAAAGCATGCTACTAGACATCCACTCTAAGGTAGAGAGTAAGATTGGAATTGCACCTCCTACTGCTAAGAATCAGCACAGCTCTCTGGGTTTTGGAAGCAGCATGCGTCCAAATGGGGAATGGTTCTGATCCATATATGTGGTGCCTCTTGTAACTACCATTTTGAGTGGACTTCAGAGCAAAGGCAAATTCTGTACCAGGTCCAAGAAGGTATGGACTGACATATGTCACATAGGTTTACATCCCTGTGTTCATAATGGTATCTTAAAATTTTGGTTGCTTTCAGAAGAGGATAAGTAATGAGTTCATTATCTTGAAATATTTATAAATAAAAGGAAGAATAAAGCACTTTTTTTGCTTATCTTATATTAACTGTACCATAGGGAAGCCAAAAATTAAATGAAGGGAAATGTCCCCTTATATATTTATTCCAGCTAATAAATAAAAACAAACACAGAATTAGAATATAAGCATTTCGCAATCCCTGATGAATCTATGCATCTTGACCTTGATCACCAATGACGGTTATTTCAAGAAAGGAGAAAAAGCAGACATCCTGTGTCTCCTGAGGGGCGAGCACAATGCCACCTGCAGTCTTGCCAAAGGAAAGGGACCCGAATCTGATCAAACCTCTGAATCCAGCTGCACAGAGAAGGCACTGGATAATGCTGCATGCTATCAGCGATCAGCAAGATCTAGTCTGTAGGAAACACTACAGGATAAATGGCCCAATTCCTCAACAGGTGATCCATGAGAAAAATAATGGAATAGAGTGGGTGTAGATTTAAAAACATGTCAAATCTAAGTGCAACAATAAAAAAGGCAAGAAAGTGATTCATATAAAAGAGAGTAGTGGTTACTTTGGAGGGAGAGAAGAGCATGTGGTTGGGATATGGACACAGAGAGAGGCTTCCGGGCAGCTTGTACCGTTGAATACACTGACCTAGTAGCTGTTGCAAAAGCATTGGCTTTATAACAATTCACTGAGCTCTACATTTGTTTACTGTAGTGTCTGTGTTTTATTGTCTTTTCTCAAAGAATGCTCCTATTTTCTTCTCCTTCGTTTTTCTTTGAGGGTTCCCACCATCTTTTTGATTGTTGTTTAATGTGGTTCACCTCTTTATGCTGCATATGTGTTTGTAGAGACAGATGCACGCTTGTCTGTGTGGGTAGGGAAAGTGGTTTGATTATTAGCAAAGGTGAAAATTGGTCATGAACTTTCACATGGAAAATTACTGGCCTGCGTCCATCAGGAGAAGGCAGCATATTGATTCCTGTGTGGACTTGTTTACTCATGCACACACTTGTTGCCAAGGAGCAGGGGAAGAGAATATTCAGGACTTCTGCATATGCAGAAGGGAATTCCTGGGGGATGCCAAGTGAATGGCAGGGAATCAAAACATGGCAGTAATAAACCTGGCATTTACAGGGGCCTTCCAGGGAGAAAAAAGTATCTATAGAAATGGACCCAAAGGCCTCCGGAATGAATGAGAAACAGGAGGTCACATGTCCGAACTTCTTTGTTTGCAACAGATACAACCTCAGCTGAAATCATTGTAATGCAGTATTAAATTGAGCTTCCCTGGTGCCTCAGAGATTCAGTGGAGGCTTGGAGGCTGGGGACAGTGGGGCAGGATCGCCCTCTCCCCTAATGGGAAAAACCACAGGATTTGCAAAGAGTAGCCAAAATCATTTCTAAGATCCTTTGCCCATTACTCACCGCCAGTCAGTATAAAAAAAGAAGAGGAATTAAAGGAGATTGGTTATTGTGGAAACTTTCCTTAAAGGGAGTAACTGGTATAGTTTGGAGAGTTAGGAGTTTATGGCACTCCCTCTCTCAAGTCAAGAATGCATGTCTTTGAGAATCATCAAGCAACATAGGATGTACTTCCAAGAGGAGATTTCCTGAGCTGTGGATCTCACCAGACCTGCATTGGATTAAGCAGTGCATGGCCAGGAGCTCATGGAAGATGGTAGGGAGGGGTGGAGGGGTGAAGGGATGGGGGTATCACCTGGAATTGGTGGGCACATTTGAACAAAGAGACCATTGACCGACTCTTACCAAGCAAAGTAGAAAAGCAGAAAAGCTGGAGCAGCCCTTAGAGACAGGACAAAAAGACAAGGTGTCAGGGAGAGAGACTTGCTATTCCTGAATTGGGGGTGGAGGTGGGGAAGGAGGGACTCAGAGTTTCCCCAATAACCAGGTGGATGCCATGAAACGGGATGGAGCCTGGCTCCAAGGCTGCTCCTAGGAAGGCCACAGGGAAAATGAAGTGTGGACTCCTGCTGAGGAAGGGGCTCCTGAGAGATCCAGAGTTACAGAGAGAAGTATCCAGCATCTAGATATTTGCCGAACCAAAGGAACAAGCAGCCAAATTAGAAAAGCATGTCCAAGTCAGACATTCCTCCCTGCTCGGCTGGAGCTCCGAAAGCTGGAGGACAGATCCAGCCCCTCTCTCCTGGCTGGTGCCTGGAGTTCCAGGGAATTCCTGAACTAGGAAGAAGAGCTCTTTTGAACAAGAAAAAATAACAATGTTTTAATTTAGATTGGAGTGGGATTTTTAATGTCTGAGGTTGTGAGTGCTCCAATAATCAAAAATGACCAGAAATGTTATGGGAACGGCTTAAGATATCTTCAGGAGACAGAGAAAGGACAAGAAGCAGACAAGGTTTGAAGGCAGTGGTGTCTGCTGACCATCGTCTGTTCCGTCAACTAAGGCAGCTCAGTCCAAAAAAGAGGATCCTGTGTTCTGAGCACAAAGTCAGCAGCTGAGTGGGCTTCACAAACATTTGGATCTGGAGCTTAAATAATGGTGTAACAGAACTCTCTCTCTCTCTCTCCTTCATTTCTCAACTTATTTCTGTTTCACTTTTCCTGTTGTCTCCTGCCACAAAAGGACTGTCCCATGTGGTGGAAAGACAGCTGCTGGCCACACTAAACTCATTCCTGCTGTGAGTAGTCCCAAGGGAGAAGCAGCCTCTTCTTTCAGCACCTGCATGCCGGCTTTCACAGATGGAGTCTCACCTGACTGGTCCTGCCTGGGCTTGTCTCCACCCTTTGAGCCCATCCTGGGGAGGGTTTAATGGGGTACATGATTTACCAGGCTCAGTCGCACACCTCCTTCCGGGGCTGGACACTGGTGGGGGGGGGGGGGGTCCCAGAGAGGAGTCACTCAGCCAGAGTCATGTGGGATGACAGGGAAACATGCTCCGCTGGAAAAAGAAGTAT
The DNA here is from genome assembly GCF_000001405.40 of Homo sapiens. NCBI lineage: Eukaryota > Metazoa > Chordata > Mammalia > Primates > Hominidae > Homo > Homo sapiens. The sequence goes on from NC_000013.11 coordinate 109,818,594, forward strand.
CAGGTCAATAAAATCACATTTATGTCCTGCGAGGAGACCTGATGAATGAACTGGAGGGTGAGACACAAGCAGAGGTGCCACCAGGGCCAGATGTGGGAGAGCAGAGCATGCCAGGCTCCGGGCTCCGCTTCAGAGGAGCGGAAGTACTGCCAGGTGGCAGCTCCCATCTTGCCGCCATCTTCCATGGCACAGAGATAAGGTCCCACCTCCTCTTTAGCCTCTGTCTCTTGGTGTCTACAGCTGCAGCAGTCTCAGTGGAGGGGAAATGAAAGTATTAAGCTTATATTCACATTTTAAAGATAGATAAATTGCTGAAAAAAGAGTATATTGAAGGCCAACAGCAAGCCCAGCCATGTTGGAACTGTCTAAATCTCTCCAAAACAGCTTATTGAAACAAAATTGTACGTTAGATATGGCCAGTAGTGCAGATTTTCCCATATATGACTAATATTTTCTCTTTCGGTGTCTGACAACCAAGGGAATGCATTGTCATACATTATCACCAAGCATCTGGCATACATTTGAATGCAAATTACTGCATGGGAATGCAATTTCTTCTCACCACGCCCATCCTTCTCCCCGCCTTCGCCTAGGCCTGGTAACTCTGTCTTTGCCAAATTACTAAAAGACATTTAAAAATGTAGGTTTTTCTTCTTTTTATGGTGTAATTTAGTGAGAAAGACAAGTACATTTAAATAGAACATAGATATAATAATATAGTTACTTTTTATTCTAATATTTCCAGATGCTTAAAATGTGCTCTGTAAAACAAACCGTCCTAAATAATCATTAATAGACATATTGGTGATATGTTAAAAGAACTGCATTCCAAAGTTGTTTCCATCATGTTTAAGTTGATTGATGTTTACATCAAGCAAGTTGTAGATGACCAGAGGTGGTTCTAGGTTAGAAGAACTCTGTATTTCCTTCCAAACTTGTACACAGACATGTTCACACATTGATAGCCATTCTTCAAGAGTTCTAGTCTGGCTGGTGGTGGTGAACACTGCACAGTCCTCCCTGTGTAGTGGTAGGGTCCTCTCAGGGGATGTTTAAATCCTTAGAGGAGCAAGAAGCATACACATGGGTGAACACAGACAGAAGATTAAATAAAAGACTATGGAATGAAATGCAGAAGATATAGATGAGAATGTGCTGAAACTTCAGTATACACACTCCAGAATTGTTCTATTATTTTGCTTGAGTTTTGGTTGAATAAACAATTTGCTATAACCGTAAGCCCTGAAAACCTAAGACATGTGGTTCCTTCTCCATGCACGTCTCACACCCCTGCTTGGGTTGGGTCGCTGGCCCCATTAACCTTCAGCAGAATGTGTCCTTGTAGGAGAACTGAGGTCATAAACGTTCTAAAACCAGACAACACCATGATGTGGCGGCAACACGAGACAGCAACCAACAACCTGAATCCTGTTTCTACTTCCATGATTTAATAGCTATGTAATTACGGGCAGAGCACTTACCTTAAGTATTTCCTCCTCTAAAAACATGGGAGTGTCTGGCCGGGTGCTTGCTAAGTCTTCTTCCTGTTCTAAAAAATTCCATTCTTCTATAACATTTAAACCCAGAGCCTTAATTTTCTAAGCAAATTACTTGGCTTAGAAGCAGAGCTTTGGGGCTGTATTATTTTAATTAGCCAATTTATTGGAGAGAAATATGTGACGTACTGTGCCAGGAATTGGAAGATGAAAACTAAACCTTGACTGGGACCCACACTCATTGCTTCTCTGGCTTTTTCCTGGTTTGTCCTCCCTTCCTCCCTCAAGCGTGTCTCAGTGCCTGCCTCTACATCCAGCTTTCATTCTGCAATCTACTTACTATTTCCACTTCCTTGCAAATACCCTCCACTGCCTTGCCCCTCACTCACCTACAGCTTAAATGCTGTAGTTAAACTGCACCCATCCAGCTGGGGGCCACTAGAGCACACACACCATGCTGACTGGTCTTCCTTGAAACAAATGGACACCCACGTCACATTCACTCAGGATGGCTAAGCAGCGGTTCAACACTTCCATGATCCAGTGATTGTCCTCACACCTACTCCCCGCTCCTCACATCTCGGTCACCTCCTCCCCCACCCTCACTCTCAGCTGATGGGTGAGCTTCCCAGGGCTTAACACAACAGACATTGATTCTGTCACTGTTCCGGAGGCTGAAGGTCTGAAATCCAGATGTTGGCAGGGCCATGCTCCCTCGAAGGCTCCAGGGGAGGACCCCTCCTTGCCTCCTCCAGCTTCTGCTGGCAGCCTTCAATCCTCGGCTGAAGATGCAGTCCTCCATCCTTGGCCTCCATCTTCCCATAGTGTCCATCCTATGTGTCTCTCTCTCTTCCTTTTGAAGGGATTAGTCATATTGGATTAGGCCCCACCCTGGTGACCTCCTCTTAGCTGAATTACATCTGCAAAGATTCTATTTCAAATAAGGTCACATTCACAGGTAATGGAGATTAGGGCTTGAACATGCCTTTGCGGGAGACACAGTTCAGCTCACCGCAGGCAGGCTTGTGCCTTTTGCTTTCCTCTGTATAGAATGTTTTCTCCTAGATACCCACATCCCTACCTCATCCTAAGGAAGGAAGCCAAGTGCTTTCCAACAGCCTACCAGGAACTGCAGTGCCCGTGCTGATCCACTTCTCTCCCCTCCTCTCTGAGCTCCCTGCCCCTCCCTGCATCTGCTCTTCCTGCCACTCCAGGTGCACTTCTCTCTGGGGTCACGGCTTTGCCTGGACGATTTTGCCTGGAGCATCCTCCTCCCTCCTGTCTCCTTCAAGGCTCTGATCACATGTCTGCTGACTTGCTTCCCTTTGTTTTTCATAACATCAGTCACCCTTTAACTTGCAGTATAGAATGTCTGTTATTGCCACTGTGGGCAGTGTGTTTCCCACTGCTGGAATATTAGTTCCACTTGGTTCATGTTCACTGATACCCTAATTGGCTGGAACATAGTGGGTCTCTAATAACTTTATCAATGCCTGTAACAACCCCTTCCAAACACTGTTTTAGAATCTTCCAAATATTTTCAAGGACATGTCCCCCTGAAAAAACTCCTATCTGTGTTTTTGTTCAAAATTATGTTATGAGCCACAGATTAGGTATAGCAACTAAATACTTTAGTCAGGAAAATAATATAAAACAAATGTTGAGAAGTCGAGCTGGAATACGTTATTCTTGTCAAAAGTAAAAGCGTTGGTAGATTTTATTAATTAAAATTGTAGGAAAAATATGGTAGTATTGAAAAGTTTTTAAAGTACATCATGTTCTTTTGAGGGTTTTCTTTTTTTAATTCAATTAATGAAATTAAGATAGCATGCCATTCTCTTGGTACTTTCTAAGTGTGCATCAAATATTTATGCTTCTCGAGATACTTTCTTGAAGCATTTGTTTATTTTTCTAGCTAAGTATCATTGAGACAATATTTCTGTTATTAAAAACATTGTTTGGAAGATTTCTGCAGCTTGTTAAATTATACACAGTGTCAGTAAATACTCGTTGGTCAAATTTCAAATAAGAGATAAAACTTGGAAAAAGAAGAACATTTAGCATCTGCAAAATTATATCACATTAAAGTATTGCCAGAGGAAGTGCAATCTTGTAGGGAAATTGTGTGTCTTTTGGACTATTTGAAGTAAATGTATTCAATTGAATAAATAAGGGATATGGTTTAAAAATAGGAATGACAATTTCTTTTAAACAACATTCCATATGCAAGTAAATGTAACAACAGGATTTATATAAATATATTAAAGCATTATAATTTAACATTAGTCATGGTGACAATAATGTGTGCGTGAAGGTACTTTTCAGCCTAGAAAACTATATTAATGGAGAGGTTATAGAGTGTGACTTTAGAAGGACATTGTCTTATTAGATCAAATGTCACCTAAAATAACAATTAGATCAAACATGTATATTTGACTCACTTATTTTGTAGTTGTTGGATTCCCTCCACCCGTAATCCTGGAGTCCTGGATTGAAACTGTCCTCTTGAATCACAGGCAGGACCAATCAAATCCGAACCCGCTAAAGGAGGCTGATTTGAATGGAAGAGAGAGCCACATTTATACACAAAGCATCTGAGTGAGGTTGGTTTCTGTTTGCTTCAAATTTAGGAGCAGCATTCTATCTTTGCCAATGCTCACAATAAAAAATGAGATTTTTATTTTTTCCAGCAGAGACATTTAAAATTATATCAGAACTGCTAAATTATAGAACAGTATTTTCACAGAAATGTTGATGGACAATGTAGACATACCTTAAAATCTAAGCAAGGAATTGCTCGTTGAGTATTATGGCCTGTTGGGAGACTCAGCCATTGTTTACCTTGGGAAGCTCCTTAAATTTAGGCATTTCACATGATTTGATGAATAATACAGTAGTGTCCAGCAAAGGAAGTTCAGAGTCCTCATTTATTTACTCATTTGAAGCCAGCTTCTCTAAAAACATCTTGCCTCCTATGTTTCTTTTATTACTATTATTATACTTTAAGTTCTAGGGTACATGTGCGCAACGTGCAGGTTTGTTACATATGTATACATGTGCCACATTGGTGTGCTGCACCCATTAACTCGTCTTTTACATTAGGTATTTCTCCTAATGTTATCCCTCCCCACTTCCCCCACCCCACACAGGTCCTGGTGTGTGATGTTCCCCACCCTGTGTCCGAGTGTTCTCATTGTTCAATTCCCACCTATGATTGAGAACATGCTGTGTTTGGTTTTCTGTCCTTGTGATAGTTTGCTCAGAATGATGGTTTCCGGCTTCATCCATGTCCCTGCAAAACACACGAACTCATCCTTTTTTATGGCTGCATAGTATTCCATAGTGTATATGTGCCATATTTTCTTAATCCAGTCTATCATTGATGGACGTTTGGGTTGGTTCCAAGTCTTTGCTATCGCGCATAGTGCCACAATAAACATATGTGTGCATGTGTCTTTATAGCAGCATGATTTATAATCCTTTGGGTATATACTCAGTAATGGGATGGCTGGGCCAAATGGTATTTCTAGTTCTAGATCCTTGAGGAATCGCCACACTGTCTTCCACAATGGTTGAACTAGTTTACAGTCCCACCAACAGTATAAAAGCATTCCTATTTCTCCACATCCTCTCCAGCACCTGTTGTTTCCTGACTGTTTAATGATCACCATTCTAACTGGTGTGAGATGGTATCTCATTGTGGTTTTGATTTGCATTTCTCTGATGGCCAGTGATGATGAGCATTTTTTCATGTGTCTGTTGGCTGCATAAATGTCTTCTTTTGAGAAGTGTCCATTCATATCCTTTGCCCACTTTTTGATGGGATTGTTTGTTTTTTTCTTGTAAATTTGTTTAAGTTCTTTGTAGATTCTGGATATTAGCCCTTTGTCAGATGGGTAGATTGCAAAAATTTTCTCCCATTCTGTGGGTTGCCTGTTCACTCTGACGGTAGTTTCTTTTGCTGTGCAGAAGCTCTTTAGTTTAATTAGATCCCATTTGTCAATTTGGGCTTTTGTTGCTATAGCTTTCAGTGTTTTAGTCATGAAGTCCTTGCCCATGCCTATGTCCTGAATGGAATTGCCTAGGTTTTCTTCTAGGGTTTTTATGGTTTTAGGTCTAACATTTAAGTCTTTAATCCATTGTGAATTAATTTTTGTATAAAGTGTAAGGAAGGGATCCAGTTCCAGCTTTCTACATATGGCTAGCCAGTTTTCCCAGCATCATTTATTAAATAAGGAATCCTTTCCCCATTGCTTGTTTTTGTCAGGTTTGTCAAAGATCAGATGGTTGTAGATGTGTGGTATTAATTCTGAGGGTTCTGTTCTGTTCCATTGGTCTATATCTCTGTTTTCTTACCAGTACCATGCTGTTTTGGTTACTGTAGCCTTGTAGTATAGTTTGAAGTCAGGTAGCGTGAGGCCTACAGCTTTGTTCTGTTGGCTTAGGATTGTCTTGGCAATGCGGGCTCTTTTTTGGTTCCATATGAACTTTAAAGTAGTTTTCTCCAATTCTGTGAAGAAAGTCATTAGTATGTTGATGGGGATGGCATTGAATCTATAAATTACCTTGGGCATTATGGCCATTTTCATGGTACTGATTCTTCCTATGCATGAGCATGGAATGTTCTTCCATTTGTTTGTGTCCTTTTTTATTTCGTTGAGCAGTGGTTTGTAGTTCTCCTTGAAGAGGTCCTTCACATCCCTTGTAAGTTGGATTCCTAGGTATTTTATTCTCTTTGTAGCAATTGTGAATGGGAGTTCACTCATGATTTGGCTCTCTGTTTGTCTGTTATTAGTGTATAGGAATGCTTGCGATTTTTGCACATTGATTTTGTATCCTGAGACTTTGCTGAAGTTGCTTATCAGCTTAAGGAGATTTTGGGCTGAGACAATGGGGTTTTCTAAATATACAATCATGTCATCTGCAAACAGTGACAATTTGACTTCCTCTTTTCCTAATTGAATACCCTTTATTTCTTTCTCCTGCCTGATTGCCCTGGCCAGAACTTCCAACACTATGTTGAATAGGAGTGGTGAGACAGGGCATACCTGTCTTGTGCCAGTTTTCAAAGGGAATGCTTCCAATTATTGCCCATTCAGTATGATATTGGCTGTGGGTTTGTCATAAATAGCTGTTATTATTTTGAGATACGTTCCATCAATACCTAGTTTATTGAGAGTTTTTAGCATGAAGGGCTGTTGAATTTTGTCAAAGGACTTTTCTACATCTATTGAGATAATCATGTGGTTTTTGTCTTTGGTTCTGTTTATATGCTGGATTACGTTTATTGATTTGCATATGTTGAAGCAGCCTTGCATCCCAGGGATGAAGGCAACTCGATCATGGTGGATAAGCTTTTTGATGTGCTGCTGGATTCGGTTTGCCAGTATTTTATTGAGGATTTTTGTATTGATGTTCATCAGGGATATTGGCCTAAAATTCTCCTTTTTTGTTGTGTCTTTGCCAGGCTTTTGTATCAGGATGATATTGGACTCATAAAATGAGTTGGGGAGGATTCCTTCTTTTTCTATTGATTGGAATAGTTTCAGAAGGAATGATACCAGCCCCTCTTTGTACCTCTGGTAGAATTCGGCTGTGAATCCGTCTGGTCCTGGACTTTTTCTGGTTGGTAGGCTATTAATTATTGCCTCAATTTCAGAGCCTGTGATTGGTCTATTTAGGGATTCAACTTCTTCCTGGTTTAGTCTTGGGAGGGTGTGTGTGTTCAGGAATTTATCCATTTCTTCTAGATTTTCTAGTTTATTTGCATAGAGGTGTTTATAGTATTCTCTGATGGTAGTTTGTATTTCTGTGGGATCAGTGGTGATATCCCCTTTAACATTTTTTATTACCTCTATTTGATTCTTCTCTTTTTCTTCTTCACTAGTCTTGCTAGCGGTCTCTCAATTTTGTTGATCTTTTAAAAAAAACAGCTCCTGGATTTATTCATTTTTTGAAGGGTTTTTTGTGTCTCTATCTCTTTCAGTTCTGCTCTGATATTAGTTATTTCTTGCCTTCTGCTGGCTTTTGAACGTGTTTGCTCTTACTTTTCTAGTTCTTTTAATTGTGATGTTAGGGTGTCAAGTTTAGATCTTTCCTGCTTTCTCTTGTGGGCATTTAGTGCTATAAATTTCCCTCTACACACTGCTTTAAATGTGTCCCAGAGATTCTGGTATGTTGTGTCTTTGTTCTCATTGGTTTCAAAGAACATCTTTATTTCTGCCTTCATTTTGTTATGTACCCAGTAGTCATTCAGAAGCAGGTGGTTCAGTTTCCATGTAGTTGTCCAGCTTTGAGTGAGTTTCTTAATCCTAAGTTCTAATTTGATTAATTAGATTAGGATTAATCTAAATTGATTAATCCTAAGTTCTAATCCAAATGTGGTCAATTTTGGAATAAGTGCAATGTGGTGCTGAGAAGAATGTATATTCTGTTGATTTGGGGTGGAGAGTTCTGTAGATATCTATTAGGTCTGCTTGGTGCAGAGCTGAGTACAGGTCCTGGATATCCTTGTTAACTTTCTGTCTCATTGATCTGTCTAATGGTGATGGTGGGGTGTTAAGTCTCCCATTATTATTGTGTGGGAGTCTTAGTCTCTTTGTAGGTCTCTAAGGACTTGCTTTATGAATCTGGGTGCTCCTGTATTGGGTGCATATATATTTAGCATATTTAGCTCTTCTTGCTGAATTCATCCCTTTACTATTATGTAGTGGCCTTCTTTGTGTCTTTTGATCTTTTTTGGTTTAAAGTCTGTTTTATGAGAGACTAGGATTGCAACCCCTGCTTTTTTTTTGTTTTCCATTTGCTTGGTAGATCTTCCTCCATCCCTTTATTTTGAGCCTATGTGTGTCTCTGCATGTGAGATGGGTCTCTTGAATACGGCGCACTGATGGGTCTTGACTCTTTATCCAATTTGCCAGTCTGTGTCTTTTAATTGGAGCACTTAGCCCATTTACATTTAAGGTTAATATTGTTATGTGTGAATTTGATCCTGTCATTATGATGTTAGCTGGTTATTTTGCTCGTTAGTTTGTGCAGTTTCTTCCTAGCATCGATGGTCTTTACAATTTGGCATGATTTTGCAGTGGCTGGTACCAGTTGTTCCTTTCCATGTTTGGTGCTTCCTTTGGGAGCTCTTGTAAGGCAGACCTGGTGGTGACAAAATCTCTCAGCATTTGCTTGTCTGTAAAGGATTTTATTTCTCCTTCACTTATGAAGCTTAGTTTGACTGGATATGAAATTCTGTGTTGAAAATTCTTTTCTTTTTTTCTTCTTTTTTTTTCTTTTTTTTGGAGACGGAGTCTTCCTCTGTTGCCCAGGCTGGAGTGCAGTGGCGCGATCTCGGCTCACTGTAACCTCCACCTCCCAGGGTCATGCCATTCTCCTGCCTCAGCCTCCCGAGTAGCTGGGATTACAGGTGTCCGCCACCATGCCCGGCTAATTTTTTGTATTTTTAGTAGAGACGGGGTTTCACCATGTTGGCTAGGATGGTCTCGATCTCCTGACCTTGTGATCCCCTCCCCTTGGCCTCCCAAAGTCCTGGCACTATGGGCGTGATCCACCGCGCCCAGCCCGAAACATTCTTTTCTTTAAGAATGTTGAATATTGGCCCCCACTCTCTTCTGGCTTGTAGAGTTTCTGCCAAGAGATCTGCCGTTAGTCTGATGGGCTTCCCTTTGTGGGTAACCTGACCTTTCTCTCTAGCTGCCCTTATCATTTTTTCCTCCATTTCAACTTTGGAGACTCTGACAATTATGTGTCTTGGAGTTGCTCTTCTCGAGGAGTATCTTTTTGGTGTTCTCTGTATTTCCTGAATTTGAATATTGGCCTGCCTTTCTAGGTTGGGGAAGTTCTCCTGGATAATATCCTGAAGAGTGTTTTCCAACTTGATTCCGTTCTCCCCATCACTTTCAGGTACACCAATCAGATGTAGATTTGGTCTTTTCACATAGTCCCATATTTCCTGGAGGCTTTGTTCATTTCTTCTTACTCTTTTTTCTCTAAACTTCTCTTCTCGCTTCATTTCATTCATTTGATCTTCCATCACTGATACCGTTTCTTCCACTTGATCAAATTGGTTACCGAAGCTTGTGCATGCATCACATAGTTCTCATGCCATGGTTTTCAGCTCTATCAGGTCATTTAAGGTCTTCTCTATGCTGTTTATTCTAGTTAGCCATTCGTCTAATCTTTTTTCAAGGTTTTTAGCTTCTTTGCGATGGGTTCGAACATCCTCCTTTAGCTCAGAGAAGTTTGTTATTACTGATCTTCTGAGGCCTACTTCTGTCAACTCGTCAAAGTCATTCTCTGTCCAGCTTTGTTCCATTGCTGGCGAGGAGCTGTGTTCCTTTGTAGGAGAATGGGCACTCTGATTTTTCGAATTTTCAGCTTTTCTGCTGTATTTTCTCCCCATCTTTGTGGTTTTATCTACCTTTAGTCTTTGATGATGGTGACCTAGAGATGGGGTTTTGGTGTGGATGTCCTTTATGTTTGTTAGTTTTCCTTCTAACAGTTAGGACCCTCAGCTGCAGGTCTGTTGGAGTTATCTGGAGGTCCACTCCAGACCCTGTTTACCTGGGTATCACCAGCGGAGGCTGCAGAACAGCAAATATTGCAGAACAGCAAATGTGGCTGCCTGATCCTTCCTCTGGAAGCTTCGTCTCAGAGGGGCAACCGGCTGTATGAGATGTCAGTTGGCCCCTACTGGGAGGTGTATCCCAGTTAGGCTACTCGGGGGTGAGGGACCCACTTGAGGAGGCAGTCTGCCCATTCTCAGATCTCAAACTCCGTGCTTGGAGAACCACTACTCTCTTCAAAACTGTCAGACAGGGATGTTTAAGTCTGCAGAAGTTTCTGCTGCCTTTTATTCAGCTATGCCCTGCCCCGAGAGGTGGAGTCTACAGAGGCAGGCAGGCCTCCTTGAGCTGCGGTGGGCTCCACCCAGTTTGAGTCCTGGCTGCTTTGTTTACCTACTCAAGCCTCAGCAATGGTGGATTCCCCTCCCCCAGCCTCACTGCTGCTTTGCAGTTCAATCTCGGACTGCTGTGCTAGCAGTGAGCAAGGCTCCGTGGGTGTGGGACCCTCCAAGCCAGTCATGGGATATAATGTCCCGGTGTGCCGTTTGGTAAGACCATTGGAAAAGCACAGTATTAAGGTGGGAGTGTCCTGATTTTCCAGGTACTGTCTGTCACAGCTTCCCTTAGCTAGGAAAGGGAATCTCCTGACCTCTTGAGCTTCCCAGGTGAGGCAATGCCCCACCCTGCTTCAGCTCACACTCTGTGGGCTGCACCCACTGTCCAACAAGCCCCAGTGAGATGAACCTGGTACCTCAGTTGGAAATGCAGAATTCACCTGTCTTCTGCGTTGCTCACACTGGGAGCTGTAGCCTGGAGCTCTTCCTATTCAGCCATCTTGGAACCCTCTCCCTCACCTCCTACATTTCTTATCTGGATCATTCTACAAGGCATTCCAAACCAAAGGAGAAGCACTTTATTAACCAAGGCAGTTTTACCTTTACTGTTAATAAATTATTTACTTAGGTCTTGCATATATCCAGAATCTACCTGTGCACCTAAGTAAATAAATGTTTGTGGAATAAATAAAACTGGGTATAGCCTTTTCATCTGATGTTGTGGTGATTGGTGCAGAGAATTCACCTGCAGCCAAACATTCTAACAGAATGATGAAGCTTAGACTAGTCAGCTCAGCAGTGTTCAACAGGTGGCCTGCGAACGTGGGAAAATTGGAGGCTAGGGTAGTTTGCAAGGGTTCAGTATACTCACATCTTTCTAGCTCTGTGACCTCAAGCAAGTTAATCCCTCAAGGCCTCAGGTTCTTCATTTATAAAATAACTACACTAATAACATATACTTACACTTATAATGGCAAGTGGATAATTAGCACAATGCTTACCACAGGATAAGTCCCCAGTAAGTCATAGCTCTTATGATTTTATAGACTGAATAAATTCCATTTTATATGCTAGTATATTTTAGAATTTTGAGATTTTAGGTGCACATTCACTTAATAGAAGTCCTGATTTATTTATATATGTATACTTATTAATATGTGTGTATATGTATCTATATTTTTAATCAATGGAGAATGAAGGTAAATCTTATATGTGGTCAATATAGTTTTGTTAGGAAATTGGTCCTCATATGTTTAAAGCTTGAAAACCATAATTCTACGTGACATTTCAGAATCACAGGTTTGAAACCTGAAGTCCAGAGAGATGGAATGATGAGCTCCAGGACACGGTTGTCACAGGAAAAGCAGCATCCGGGTTGCAGAGTCCCTCTTCCCTTGTGACTTACTGGGCCTCTCAAAAGAGGGGAGAAGGTGGAGATCATCAGTATCCTTACCATAGAAAGTCCATAGGAGGTCAGGGTTATGTCCATTTTCAGATCAAAACTTGAAAAAATCATGGTCATACTTTTTATTATAAGCATATCAGAGGGTTTTTGTAAGAGTTACACTTTTTCAAGTCTGAAAATTAATTATTACATTGAAAATTTAGTAATAGGGTTTATATGAATCAGATGAGATTTTTCAGAATAGCAATGCAATTTTACAAATTGACATTGTTTGGATATAGGGCAGTATTATTGTTTTATACCGATTTAAACACTTCAAGATGTTTCTGTTAATCAGCGTTACTGAATTTTTTCAACTGCCTTCCTTCATGACTTTGTTAATTTCAGCCTGAGTTTCTGTGGTAGGAGATGAGGTATAATCATGGCCTCAGTTAAAAAAAAATTAAGCCTACTTGTCGACAAACATTTTCATTATTGCCAAAACTCAATTGCTATAACACTTCTAAAGAGCTCATAAATTACTTAAAACTGTGTGTTCTACACTTTCCCCAAGAAATCTCCATGGAAAGCAATGTAAATGGTGTGTAGTTTTTGATGAATTATGCTGCTCTTGCTCCTAATACAAGGTTGAGTTTCTCGTTATTAAATGGTCCTGAGCCAAGATTGTTGGTGGCCTAATGGTCAATTAAATTTCAAATGAACTTCAAAGACCAGGATTAAGATTTCCCTTTACTTTTAATTCTTTAATAATAATTTACTCAAATCCCTAGGAAAATTGTAAATGCACTTCATTTGCAGTCAGTGTTGAATAATTATAAAATATTGTTTTCTAAGTTTTTTTTTTTTTACAATGGAACCTTTTAAAATAGCAGAGCTGACAATCATTAGAATGACAATACAGTTAGAAGTAACAATGGCTATGCCACCATGTCACAAATGCAATATTGCACCACTGGAGATGTTTTAATTCAATTTCATTGTTTCTGACATATAATTTGCATCTTAGAGGGAAAAGCGCTATCTTAGCATTTTGTGCCACAAGCAGAAATCTTACAATAAATATGACCACAGGCATAAATCTTACAATAAATGTAAACAAATGGTTTTCAAAAATTTGATATTTGGGAAAATACTTGAAAAATTTTATTGTGTCTATTTGATTTTTCTCTCTTTGCTTCTTTATTAGTCTAGCTAGTGGTGTATTTATTTTGTTACTTTTTTTAAAAAAAACAGCTCCTGGATTCATTAATTTTTTGTAGGGTTTTTTGTGTCTCTATCTCCTCCAATTCTTCTTTGATCTTAGTTATTTCTTGTCTTCTGCTAGCTTTTGGATTAGTTTGTTCTTCCCTCTCTAGCTCTTTTAATTGTGATGTTAGAGTGTCAATTTGAGATCTTTCAAGCTTTCTGATGTGAGCATCTAGTGCTACAAATTTCCCTCTTAACACTGCTTTAGCTATGTCCCAGAGATTCTGGTACATTGTGTCTTTGTTCTTGGTGGTTTCAAATAACTTGATTTCTGGCATAATTTCATTATTTACCCAGGAGTCATTCAGGAGCTGATTGTTCAATTTCCATGTAATTGTGTGGTTTTGAGTGAGTTTCTTAATAGTAGGATTAAATGTAAAACCCAAAACCGTAAAAACCCTGGAAGAAAACCTAGGCCATACCATCCAAGACATAGGCATGGGCAAAGACTTCATAACAAAAACCTCAAAAGCAATTGCAACAAAAGCCAAAATTGACAAATGGGATCTAATTAAACTAAAGAGCTTCTGCACAGCAAAAGAAACTATCTTCAGAGCAGAGTGAACAGGCAATCTACAGAATGGGAGAAAAATTTTATAATCTCCCCATCTGACAAAGGTCTAATATCCAGAATTTACAAGCAACTTAAACAAATGTATAAGAAAAAAAACTCCATCAAAAAGTGGGCAAAGGATATGAACAGACACTTCTCAAAATAAGATATTTATGCGGCCAAAAAACATATGAAAAAAACCTCATCATCACTGGCCATCAGTGAAATGCAAATCAAAACCACAATGAGAACCCATCTCATGCCAGTCAGAATGGCGATTATTTAAAAGTCAGGAAACAATAGATGCTGGTGAGGCTGTGGAGAAATAGGAACACTTTTACACTGTTGGTGGGAATGTAAATTACTTCAACCATTGTGGAAGACAGTATGGTGATTCCTCAAGGATCTAGAATCAGAAATACCATTTGACCCAGCAATCCCATTACTAGGTACATACCCAAAGGATTTTAAATCATTCTACTATAAAGACACATGCACATGTATGTTTATTGCAACACTAGATAGCAAAGACATGGAACCAACACAAATGCCCATCAATGATAGACTGGATAAAGAAAATGTGGTACATATACACCATGGAATACTATGCAGACATTATAAGGAATGAGATCATGTCCTTTGCAGGGACATGGATGAAGCCAGAAGCCATCATCCTCAGCAAACTAACAGAGGAACGGAAAAACAAAACCACATGCTCTCACTCATAAGTGGGGGTTGAACAATAAGAATATGGACACAGAGAGGGGAACAACACAAACCAGGGACTGTTGGGGATTGTGGGGCGAGGGGAGGGAACTTAGACAATGGGTCAATAGGTGCAGAAAATCAGCATGGCACGCGTAAACCTATGTAACAAACCTGCACGTTCTGCACATGTATCCCAGTTATTTTTTTTAGAAGAAATAAAAAAAAAGGAAAATTTTAGTTGGGGTTTTCCAGTGTCCTCTGACGTCACTCATTTTACAAAGACTTTTAATAATAGTGGAAAAAGTACCTAGATCTCCTCCACCTCCCAAAACCAATGGAGGAAGATCCCGGGCTCTCCTGCCCTAGGGCCACTGCAAAGCCAGGGAGCACCCTCTGCTTAGCCTCTGCTATCACAACAGGGACGTGTCCGTGACACTGAAAAGTACCTAGAAAGCCATGTGTCCTAAAAGTTGAAAAACTTGGTGAATTTCTCCTCTAAAGTCATCAAAGTGTTTTAAAAAATCCATTTCAAGAGGTCTTTCATACATAGACTTGGACATAGATACTGACTGCAAAACAACAAAAGATGCATTACAAAATATGGCCATCCCGTTCATACAGTTGATATGCATGAACAGCCTGGACCTGGTGACCCAGAAGGAGAGAGACAGGGGAGGAAGGTATGGGGGTCCCTCTGGTGCACAGGCTCCAGTGCCCTTCCCAACTCTAGTTCTAGAGCCTGGTTGACTGCTCTTACCCTGCAACCCTGTGCTACAGAGGTGATGTACCCAGGATAAAGACAAGGAGAAGGACCAAATCCCAACAAAAAAAAGAGATTCCAGGGCTTTTTTTTTTTTTTAAAGAAAACCTTTTATTTTGACATGATTATAGATTAACAGGAAAATGCAAAACTAATATGGAGAGATCTCTAATCCACTTTGCGGCTTCCCTCTGTGGTTACGTGTTGTGGAACAACATTGCAATATTAAAACCAGGAAATTCATATTGCTACAATGTGTGTAGTCCCGTGCCATCCTACAAGATGTGTAGATTCCTGTGCAGAACTATGCCCTCAACAGAAAGGTCTCCTCCTGCTGCCCCTTCATAGTCACCCTGAGGCTATGATGGGAAAGAGCAGTGGAGGGCTGGTAAAGGATGAGGGCTCAGCAACTGCTCCTCTTAAGTGGTATAGTGACTTTCCATCATGCACAGCATCATCCTACTGAGGACAGCCCATGCTGCTAGGATTCAATGCATCCCTCGTAATTATTCCATAGTACTGGAAAAGGAAGAGCCTTCTCTGATTCACATAGACAGACGGTGTCACTCTGGGAGGAGCTCGTGGAAGCCCTGTCGGCACTGACCATAGTACCTTGACTAGGAGAAGTTTCTCAGGTATGACCAGGAAGAGGCGGGTGATGGTGATGATAGGCAAAGAGGCTGGTGAATGAGGCATTTTGTTATTTGGGGCTTCCAGTCCCGAAAGATGTGTGTACTACTATAAAAAACAAGAGCACATTATCTATAGTTATCAACATATGAACCAAGCCACCTGTTATCCAGAGTCATTAAATTAAGCCTTCCCTCTACGAGAACAACCTGTCTTGATCAATAAAAGTGAATGGTTTGACATATGGTGTTTGAATTCGACCATTCACTGGGAAGTTTTCTAAACTGCAATGTAGATTTTTCCATGTACCCCATACTTCACTGAACAGTTGTTGTGAACATACTGAGTGCTAGAAAGAACCCCATTCCAATGTGCTCTGAAAAGAGATTGGGTTGTAGCTGCACTTTTGTTTTCAGTGAGCTCAATTACTGAACAGCAAATTCACATTCTTGCAAACTCTTTGCTCTTTAGTCTTGCCGTTTTGAATTAGAAATGTCTTAGAACCATGTAGAATAATCTATGCTGGGATATTCCCAGTATGAGCAGCTCTTCCTTTATCTTCACTATTCCTTTTGTGGTATTAGAAGCCTGCCTAAGATTTTGCTTGAGAACAGAATCTGCTAAGAAATAATTTTAAAAACAATGGACCAGATGATCTCTTTATGATTATGCGATGTGAATTACTTTGTCCTAACATAGGGTTCACAGCCCTACTCTCGACATTTCCGAGGATTTTAAATATCTTCCCAGTAGATATTTCAGCCACTCATCATTCTCTATTTCTCTTGTGTGTTTTTCTTGATTTCTAGTGGCAGCAGGATTTCAGCCAATGACCCCGGCCGGGTCCCACTCCCTACACTGATGATGGACTTCACTGTGAACAGCATACTTGTAGGGGTGGGGGATGGTGGTGTAACGAGTAATTCCCTCTCATAAGGAGGCCAGAGACCCACTGACAAACATGAAGCTCTGGTTCAGATCCATTGAGACAAAAAAAATAAAAATAAAAATAACCCGGACCGCTTGAGTGAATAGTCAGGAACTATACAAGATTTGTGTTTTTGAAAAATTCTCCACGTCAGTGTACAGTGGAATGAGGAAATGCCATTGTGGGGGGAGGGTAAGGAGACATAGATGCCTTTCTGTAAAATTAATTAACAAATTAGTGGTTGACGTAACATTCTCTCCGTTGATTCTCTTGTCTCCGGGACGAAGCGCACACTCTGCCGCTGACTGCGCCTTTTGACTCATCAGTATCACTCACATCATCTGTTGCCTCCTGTCTAGCTTTTTTTTTAGTCTCAGATGAAACAACTTGTGCCTCTTCTTTCAGCTTGGTTTCCTTGTTTGTTGATGCAATGGGAACCAACCATCTGCCTAATCATTTAAAGAAAATTTTTTAATCAGGCTTTTTGGGTGATTTAATCCAAAACTCACACTTTTCCCCCATTTTCAAAAAAAATGAATCTTACTCGTGAGGACAAAACATCAAACCACAGTTCGCTCCAAATTGTTCTCGATGTTATATTTTTAACAGAATCCCAGGCATACATAATATTAAAAATTACATCCCTGATGCTATTGTGAGATTAAAAGTCTGGCATGGTGCCTGGATAATGGATCATATGATTATATTGCTTACAAAACCTCTTCTGCAATATTTCAGTTTCTAAGTAACACCCTCAACCATGGACTAAATCAATGGGGAAATACTAACAGCCAGAAAAGAAATAATGGAACCCACCCTAAGAAAGCATCAACAGGATAGCTTTATTTTTATTGCGTGAGCTTTTGATTCTGTGGCGCAACCACCAATTAGAAAAACAAATTGTCTGTGCTTTCACTTGTCCTCAGTAAGCGGCAGGTGAAGGGGCCATCTTTGCAAGCACTAAAATGATTCTTTCAAACACCTGAGGTTTCATTTTTTGGCTTCCTGCATTTTTTTAAAGACTAATCAACATCTGTAAGAATAGAGTTTTGCCAACTTGCCCATTTCGTTTGCATTGCAAGACTTCAGAACTTTCATCAAAATTCTTTCCATCCACTTTCTAATGACAAAACTGTTCTATGCATCAAGGGCCTTGCATTCTGATCCACTTTGAGGCTGTTAAAGGATAAACAAATTTATTGTTTTCCTTCCCCACATTATAAAGAGCAGTTTTGACATTATATGCTATTATTTCTGATTTATAAATGATAAAATTATTCACAGTTGCATGACATCCAATCAGGGAAGAATAATGATCACATTTGGAGAAAAAAAGCTTAAATTGTAATTGGGTAAAGAGTGACCTTGGGCTCCTCGTGCCCTCTACCTAGTAATTGGAGCCCTGCTTGCTGTGTCTGATGCATTCTCCGTTCAGCCTCATGGCTTCCTGGTCAAAGGGCCCCTCGGCTTCCTCAGGATGGTCATGAGGGCTGCCTCACCCACACACCCAGGGCTTTCCGGCTGATAACCTCGGTCTATCAGTTAGGCTTGTTCAGCTTGCATGTGTCCTCTGTGCAGAACCAATGCAGAGCGAGCACTTGGACCTGTGGCAGGTGAAGCTAGGCATTTATTAACTCAGGCTTCCTGTAAACACAGGGCACAGGAGCCGTCACAATGAGAACATGAAAATGAGAGTTATATGGGAATGAGTGCCTCAAGAGCCATCCCGTGACTGGTGCTTTAAAAAAGAGAGAAAGTTGTGAGCAGCGAAACCCAGGAGAGAGAAGCAGCATGGGGGCTCACACCAGGTCGTAGCCCTGCACACCTGCTGCCACTCTCACAGCAGTGCTGGCCTCCTCATCCAGCATCTCTCCTCCACCTGCTCCTCCACTCCAGCCTGGAGGTCTCTGCTCTGGTCCTGCTTGCCCATGAGAGGGAAACTCACACTGTGGCCCTTTTGCTACTTAGAAGTGCAGCCATTTGTTGGATGGTAACCCTGTACTCAGTGCTGGGATGACATGTCACTTACTTTGTCCAATACAAGTCTCAGTACCATCTCATGAGGAAAGAACATGATTAATCCACCTTCACAGAAGTGGATAAGGAGGCTCAGGGGTCCTGCAGCATTTTCGTGGTCACATGGCTGCTAAGCAGCAGAACCAGGAATACCAAGTCTGTCTGATACCAGAGCTGGATTCCAACCGATTCCCTAGACATCCTCCCCCCAGGCCAAATCCATTGAACATCAGCTGCACTCAGAGACGGCACCAACCAAGCACTTCCTGTGTATCTTTGAACTTAAATGAAATCTAAGTACTCTGCAGCCTTGTTCTGTCTCAAAAGCCCAATAATCTCCATTTCTCCACAATTCTCAGCAATTAGCTAACATAATTCTTATGCCTTTATGAACATATATTCATATAAAATTATGGACTGAATTTCCCATATCTACCATAGGACAAAAATAACCCCATGAAATTCTGGCATTTTTTGCTTTCAGGCCTATTATTCTTTCTAGACATTAATAATGATTATAAGCAGAAGAAGTTTAGTCCAAAGAAATGAGCAATGGGTACAAAATAAATAGAAAGAATGAATAAGACCTACCATTTGATAGCACAATGGGGTGACTATAGTCAATAATAATTTAATTGTATATGTTAAAATAAAAAATGCAATGGAATTGTTTGTAACTCAAAGGATAAATACTTGAGGGGATGGATACCCCATTCTCCGTGATGTGCTTATTTTACAGTGCATGCCTGTATTAAAACATCCCATGTACCCTAGACATACATACACATATTATGTACCCATAAAAATTTTAAAAAATAATAAAAAAATTTTTTAAAACCCTGAAAAACAAATGCATGAGCAACTCGAACAACAAAAGTAGAAACAGACCTTAACTGGCTCATTGTTTTGAAGTGCTGCGTTGGTTAATTTGTTTGGTTTGTAGGGAGCTCAGAAACTCGTGCCCTTACAATGTACTGAAAGTAGCGGTCATTACAGGCTTGTAAAATTAATACATTTCTTTCAAACATAGTTTAGTATCAAAGTGAAAGTGGAAGTGATCCCATTTGCCATTTTGAAGGCTTGTTTCATAGGTGTTGAGGAAACCAGCATTCCAACAAGATGAAAAATTAATTTGTGGATCGCAAATTGTATATATGTGTGGAATTTAGAAGGGGGCTAGATACAGTGTATACATATAAATGTGTGATTAAACTTACTCAGAAACTTACTGTCCAACACTAGAGGCAGTGCTCCCATTTCACCAACATTTTGGTGCCTAGTAGGAGAAAGCACAGTCCCATGGAGAAGCCATTCTAATTGTGGCCTTCCTGGAATCCTCCATCATCAGAACACACATGCCGTCTTTGCCTTGGTGTGCTTTGCTGTGTGAAGTCAACATCAGAAAGAATGTAGCCTCACTTTGTAGACGGACTTCGTAGTTCAGAGGCCTTACCTGATGTACTCAAGGCACAGCCAGCTCCACGCACTGAGGAAGAAGCCTGAAGTGGTGAGGAGGCGTGGAATCCAGGTGGAGGCTGGGGACACAGGTGTGAGTTGAAGCTGAACCACTTTCTGTCTGAGTTACTACTGCCCTGGGCCTCAGTCTCCTCATCTATATGACCAAGATGCTATTTGTTTTCCGGCATCAAAAGAACGCTTTATGTATTATAAAATGCCTGGTTTTAGAGCAGTTACTCAGGACTGCTATTTCTCTTTTTCTAGAAGCACTGTAGGCTGGCAGGTGCAACAGGACTGCCCATCTGACTTCAGTCTGGAGTCATCCTGTTGTGCCAATCAGCTGGGTCGTCCTCTGGGGTTATCTCTTCTTGGGATAGAACCCCTTGGACCCCCAGGTGCTGTTCCATCCCTTAGAAGGCAGCTGCACGCAGCCACGTGGGAGGTGGCCCTGCCTGGCAAGACTCCACCATTATTCCTTGAAGGCTGATCTCCTCCGTTTACCTGAATGTGGAGTTGTACAAATGACACCCCTTTCTGCCCCCTGGGTGAAACATGTGTATGGGCTCCCCTGCTCTTCAAGGACTTACCCAGTTACAGAACACGGTGGCCTTCCCCAGATCCAGGTCACAACCTTCTAACACTAGTGACATCCCACCTGCCATGCACCTGCAGTGGTGGGGAGATTTCTCACACCTTGAAGGGGAGCAAGAGTCTCCTGGTCTTTCTGTGAATTAAGGGCCCCCACTGCCCCGACTCTCTGGATATTCAAGGAGAGGTGGGAAGTTTTAAGTCTATGGCTTAAGCTTTCCAAATGCCAAGGATTTTTAAAAGTGCTTTTGCCCCACCTGATGTAAAGAAATTTCTGTCCATCCAAGAAATCCCCCCAATCCCTAGAAGCATAAAGAAGAAAAATCAAAATCATCAAAATCATTCCCAGGCCTCCCAACCAAAGATAAGCTGTCTTTTTTTTTTTTTCACATTCAGGGTCATAATATAACAGATTCGAACTCACTTTCCTGTTTAATAAACAATGAGGGCCGGTCTTTTCTCCCGCCATTAAACATTCTTCCTCGATACCCTTCCTTGCTGGCTATGGAATGACATATCCATTCTTGGCAGGGCATATTCTAACAGAGAATACACTTCATGGAAATCATGATAGATCAAAATAAAAATTAGTGCACTAATTGGATTAATTCTAGTGTGACTAAATTAACCTAAGCAACAGCCTTTGGTGTAATATGACATTTTGAAGGGTTTGGCAGGCAAAATATCTATTACTAGTAAGTTTTGAATAATATCTGCCACATAACTTAGATAGTTTAATAGGCTAATATATAAGTTAATCTTTAAAAGTCAGCCTATTTTTATAATTAAGAGAACTGATATGAATAGAACGAAGGCACAAGAAGCATTTTTAAAAATAAAATTGTGGAGGAAAAGAGGCATTTAAGAGACAAGAAGAAGAGTGTTTAGGACTGATTAGCCTGAACGTGGAGAAAATAAAGCCAGCATTATGTATGGGGTCTGCTTCCTGTGGTGTCAGAGTCAAGAGATTAACTGTGCCGGTGTGGCCGCTGCGTGCCGGCTGTCAGCGTCTGTATCCTGCTGAATGATCCCCAAGCCCTTGTTCATCTCAAATTCCTTCTGAAAAAGAACATTTATGGAACACATGGAATGTGGCAGGCACCTCACCAGTGCTGACACAGAGACGCAAGAGACTGGAACTGTGCTGTCAGTGACTCAAGGGTAGTGGGACAGGCAGGTGACAAAGACTTGTATCATAGCATTGAGTGACTCAGCCATTCTGTATGTGGTTTTGGGGAGCACAGAGCAAATGGCCTCAGACTGTGTACGTGGGGTAGGGACATTTTCACAGAAGCATTATCTGAACCAGCTCTTGAAGAATGAGAAGTTCAGCATCTGGGCAAGCAGAAGAATGGCTGGTTTCTGGAAAGTCAAACCAAACCAGCATTAAGTGATGGCACATGCGGCGTGCATGCCCAGGCCACTTCTGAGTGGCAGGAAAGGATAGAGAGGAAGTGTAAACCACAGCCCTTGTCTTCAGGATTAGCAGGCCACATTCCCTGTGGCTTAGCCAACCCTGATCCCCACTTCCTTCTCAAAAATGTGTGAAGTCATCATTTTGGACTCATAAAGGTTGAAGAACAGGAGTCAGCTGAAGTCCCAGGCCAATGTTGGTTGCATACCCATCATTTGCAAATCTGGTCTAAATCTTTCTCTCTGATATGTGTCTAAGATTCACTTGGAACAATTGCATATTCTTTTATTCTACCTCACTGTCTGTTCTGAGGAAGTCCCTGCCTACCTTGGCTGGTGACATTGATTCTACAGCCACTTTACAGAGGTAACTGAGAAGTGCAGCTGGCTGGGGTTGGCTGTGGCTGTGGAGTTCTTAGGAGGGTGAGACACAAACCCCAGAGCCTGCTCACTCCGGCCACCCAGGACCTCTTTCTCTTTATGCGGTGGGATTTTGTTCTGAATGTTATCAGAACAAAATACCTTCAGCATCGGGAGCCCATGGGTTTATAGCCAAAATACTATATTACATGAGTGATTTCGAGATCAGTGAACACACACACACACACACACACACACACAAGGCCATAATAGAACTTTCTTTCTTCATAATTATAAAACTAACTTAAAAGTTTGGCATCATAAAACTTACACTGAAATATTTTAATATTAGAGTTGCGTTTTGTTTTGACTAGGAGAAGCCATTTAGCTCAGCTCTTTAGACCCTTTCCTTTGAAGATGTTGTCCACCGCAACCACCCCCCCGCCCAAAATGCTGATGACCAGGGTTGGTTCCACAGCTCTTTCCTGCTACAGTCACATGGCAAAGCCATTCACTGGGTATCCAGAGATATACCACACTGGTCTTCTCTTAAGAAAACTGGCAGCCAGGCACAGTGGCTCACACCTGTAATCCCAGCACTTTGGGAGGTGGGCGGATCGCCTGAGGTCAGGAGTTTGAGACCAGCCTGGCCCACATGGTGAAACTCCATCTCTGCTAAAAATACAAAAAATTAGCTGGGCTTGGTGGCAGGCACCTGTAATCCCAGCTACTTGGGATACTGAGGCAGGAGAATCGCTTGAACCCGGAAGGTGGAAGTTGCAGTGAGCCGAGATCGTATCATTTCACTGCAGCCTGGGCGACAGCGCAAGACTCTGTCTCAAAAAATAAAATGAAATATAATAAAACAAAACTGGAAACTAGAAAATCAAAAGGCACTAGGTAATGCCCAATAGGTAAATCAAGGCAAAATAATGGTGCTTGATTGAGTGGACATCACTCACAATCCTTGGTAGACAATCGGGAACCTACTCTGGGAATTCTTCGTGGACTTGCTGGCAACGTTGATGGTAGTAACTTATCTAAAGTCACTTTTGGGTGTTTGGAAACTATCATGCACTACACAAGTGTCTCCACACCTGTGTTCTTTGCCTGGGTAAGTTAGGAATGTGGAAGAATGTGGGCAGTATCTGGAGGATGGTCAGGATCATCTATAAGCTTATTGCAAAAGAGAGGATTTGTGCCCTAGATGTGGTAAATATGCCGTTATTCATATTCCTCCCCCTGCACCATGTCTGATGGGTGCCCAGATGTGGTCATAGCTTCACAAGTCCCTGTTCCGCCTGCCTTGCTTCTGAGAACCATCACATCAGTGTAGGGAAAGAACCCTAACTGGAATGAACCTCCAGGGCTTTGGTTTCCTAAGCTTGAATATGCATGGAGGGTTTCAGAGATTCCTTCCAGCTGTGAGATTATATGACAAGAGAAGTTAGATGTATTAAACTTTGCAGTGAGATGATGGGCCTCCTCTGTAATGTGGTTGCCTTTGGAAAGGGCCCCCTGAAGAATAATAAATTAATGATCCCTGTGGCGAGGCAAGTGCTCCTAGGGGTCACAGCAGGGATCTGGCTTCGAGTGAACTCTGGTGCTGCTGGGATGTCCCCAGGGTCATGGAGGAGTGGGGGGCATGGAATAGGACACCTGCCTGGCGCCTGTAGAGCTGCACAGAGAGCCGCTGGGCTGTTTGGAGCCAGGAGAGCTTTTACCCCATCCCCACTCCTGGGCCTGGTTAGCTCCTACTGATCCTTCAGGGATGGCCCTACCCTAAACATCCCACCTAAACATCCCACCTCCCATGACTCCTTTCTGTGCATAGCCCTTGCTGAGTTAGAGGTTCATCCCTTTTACCGAGTCCTGTGAAGACAGGACTTATTTCCCTTTATGTTCCCTTCCGGTAACTGGGCTTGGCACTAAGAAGATGGCCAGTATGGAGGCTCTGCCCACTGACAACTGCCAAAAGGCACCGTCCACACCCCGCCTGGCAGAGCCACAGGGCCTGCCACAATGTGGGAAAGCGTCATTACCCAGCATCTGCGGTTCACTCCCACTCCAGCACCGTCATCCTCCAGGGAAGAGAAAGCAGCCACAGGCCACTCCGCACAAGAAATGCGGTAGAAAGTGTTGGTCTTCCACTAAAGTCACTCGAAAGGGACAACACATTCTCACTAGAAATCCTAGTGGGGGAGGGGCTGAAAACTCCCAAAGTGGGTGTGAACCCAGGCCTGGCACTCCGGTTCCGGGCGGACAGAGGGCCAGGGAGAGCGACGGGAACAAAACTGGTGGCTGACTTTGCTGCACTTCTGCCTCCCAGGCAAGGTTCTTCAGGGCCGGTCAGGAAATGCAGAGAAAATGGAGACGGAGAGAAGCCAGCAACCTGAGGGTTCCCCTGAGACAGCAGGAACCAGACCCTCAGAATTCTAGGTCTCACACATGCTTTGAGGTGAAAATGGCTACCTTCACTTTTAAAGTCACTAATAAATGAGTGATTAATTGATGAATAACGATGTTTTTAAGTACAGTTTTAGGTTTACAAAAAAATGGAGCAGAAAGTACAGAGAGTTCTCGTATACCTTTTCACTGCCCCACCCCACTGCTACGAGTTTTTCTCATTGTCAACATCTTGGATGAATATGGTACACTCGCTACAATTGAGGGGCTGATATTGATACATTGTTATGGACTGAAGTCCAGAGTTGAGAGTTCACCCTTGGCTTTGTGAATTCTGTGGGTCTTGGCCAGTGTTGAAGGGCGTGCAGCCTCCACTGCAGCACCACGCAGAGTGGTTTCACTGCCATAGAGTCCTCTGTGCTTTGCCGATTTGTCCCTCGTTCCTTCCTCCCCCAGCTCCTGGCAGCCACTTATCTTTTTACTGTCCCCATAGTTTTGCCTGTTCTAGAACGCCCTGCAGTTGGAATCTCACAGCATCTGACCTTTTCAGATTGGCTTCTTCGCAACTTGCATAGAGGCTACCTCTGTGTCCCCTTATGGCTCGATAGCTCATTTCTTTTTATCCCCAAATAATGTTCCATTGTGTGGATGTACTGCGGTCTATCTGCCCTCACTTTTCAAATGAAGAAAATGATAATTTTGGAGGAAGGTGAAAAAGAAAGTGTTTTCTTCACCTATTAATTATCTTCCTATTGTTTTTCTTCTCTACTGCCTTGTCCCCAAATAATGAAACGCTCTAAAGGTAAAGAGACTGGAAGTGAGTGAGTGGTGGGGTCTCTGAAGTGTAACTTTGTTGTTAGTGGGTCCTCGTTCTAGCCAGAACCTGCCCCGAGAGTACATATAAATACGCCGTGACCTCATTTATTAAAAATGGTGTGGTAGGCGAAGTCCTAACTGCCCTCGCGCAGGGACATCTTGGAACACTCCATCTAATTGCTGCATTTCATTTTGCAAAAATGCTCCAGGATATGAATCATTAAAGTCATTTTATTCACCAACCCATCTTTTCAATACCAGTAACACTAGACTTCATGTTGGGCAGATGTAGCCTGAGTCCTTAAAGAAATCTTAAACACGGAGGACTCCAGTACAGAGCCCTGAAGAAGGTAAACAATTCCGACGCCTGCTGAGTAATCCCAGCCTCCTGTGCCCGACAAGCTGGCACTTAGCCACTTTCTGGCTTGTGTTAGGTTCTTATTTTAAAGTACTCAATACTTTGTTCTGTGGTAAAAGAAGCAAGGTCTTTTTGTAAAAAGCCGCTCGAATGACTCCATTTACCAAGTGCATTACTTGGTTAATTCACAAGGAAGACAAGAATCTCAAAACATGTGTGAAATAATAGCATACCTGATCCCACACATGCTTTGGAAGGGATTCAGCCTTTCCCATATTTGGGAAGGACATGAACCATGTGTGGTGCCAGAGAGAGCATGGGGCAGCCCAGTGCCCACCCCAGCTGACAGATGTGAAACTCAAGACAGGAAAAGGGAAAAGGGAAGCCCGGTGCAGAGGCCCAGGCTGGCAGATGGCCTGGGCTCAGGAACCCCCAGGTGAGCACAGAGGAGGAAGGAGCAGGTGAGCCTGCTTCCCAAGTCCACCGATCAGGCTGCCCGGCTCAAGGTGAGAATGCCCCTTCCGCCAGCCCGCATCCCACAGGGGCATAGAAATACATCAGTCAGCTCAGGTGTTGCAGCCACACATTCCTGAGCCGGAAAATTCGAGTCAGTTTTTATTTGACCAGAGATTTAGGCAGGCCAGTGTTTAAAAAACAACCAAAAAAGTAAAACTACAGAGCACTTTTGATTGTCCATGGGAATGAGGTAACTACGCACAGAAGATCAAGGAAATGGATACTTTCTGAATGCTTGTGGGGCGTTCTTTCTCTTTTGATCCTCTTCTACAAATCAGCAAGAAGTGATAGTAATTCCCATTTTTACTGAGAACGAGGTTGCAGCTCAGAGAAGTCAATTAACCCTCTTACTGTTGCACAGCTAATAAATGCCAGAGTTGCAATTCAAACTCAGCTTTCTCAGCCCCAATCCATTTTCTTTCCCTTGCCCCACGCTGTGTAACCATAGATCTTATTACCATAGTGGATCTAACATATAGCAAACCTCTTCAAAAATAATAGGCTAGAGACTTAGCTTTTTTATTCTTTTTTTTTTTTAAAAAATGTCTAATGACAAGTCATAATAATTTAGGGGACAGCAAAGTCAGATAGCAAAAGAAAACCAAGCAAAACTCAAAAACTTCATGAGTGTTTCCAAAAATGCCAAGAACATGTTATGATCTGATCACTTCTCCTTGGTGCCAGCCGAGAACGCATTCCCTAGCACCTATTTGTGCTGTCTTCTGGGACTTTGTTTCTTAGCTGATTAGTGGTGGTATTGAACTCTGCATTTTGGGTTTATTTTGTTATTGCACGAAAAACCTCCCAACAGAGCACCTTCACTACTAGACATATCTGAAATTAGTCGAGGGCTTTAAGAGTTTTTTATGAAACAAAGTCACAATGATTTACTGTGGTAGCAAGGTACGTTGATGCCACTTTGGACATCCACAGATGGAAAGATGTGACTTGTCATCCTTTAGTAAAAATTGCCAGTTTTCGCTGAAGTGTTATTTTTCTCTTGGGAGGTCACAAATGCATGAACCCTGGATGGAACTCCCTGGACAAAAGCCATTCACTGTCTTTAGAAAGAGCAAGTGTCTCCATTTACCCTGACGGACATGAACCTTTAGAAAGAGAAAGTGTCACCGTCTTTAGGAAGAGAACATGTCCAGATTTAACCCTGATGGACACGAACCTGAATCCATATGGTTCCTCCAGCCTCGTGAGCAAAGCTCCACTCACACTGGAAAGTGGTGAGTGGTAGGTGGCCTAGGTAGAGCCTGGATCAAAAGTGACTTCCTCAGGAGCTGGGGAGAGAGAGACCAGCTCTGCTGAGTGACTCCACAGCATCAGAGAGGTCCAGCAGCAGTGCAGTGGGAGCTGAGAAAACTGGGCAAGAACCCCCTCCTTTTAATGTCTTAATCATAAATGTATACACTTAATCAGAATTTAGAAAATATATGCAGGAATAAAGGATAAAAATTAAGAATGATTGCATGGGTATATTTTTCTTTAATTAGGTAGAAATAGGGCGAGGGCTTTCCTGATGAAGAGAATGGTGTCTCTGGAGGACCAGGGATGGGGTGGAGGGTGGCCTTGACTGAGAGTGGTTGGGGGTAATCAGCTACTTATTGCCGCTGGGATGGTAGCTTAAGCGGGTGGTTTGCAGGGCTTTAAGTGTCAGGGAGCAGTCTGGACTTTAATCAACATGGCAAGGCGGTGTGTGGGGTGTCATTGAGGGATTTAGGTAGGCTGTTGTGTGTGCTTCAGAAAGCTGGAACCAAGGGCTGTGTTCACGCAGACCTTCGAGAAGGCCAGCAGGGCTGTTCCAGGGAGGCGACCATCCCTAAGCTAACAGGTGGCAGTGAGATCCAGAGCGGAAGGTATGAACAAAGAGGCAGCGGACTTTTCCCTCCCATGGGTGTGCAGGAAAAATAGTTGCTTATTTTTCTGATTGTTCTTCAGTTGCCAAAAAAGCAAACTCAGTTGTAGTGAGATGAAGTCGCTATACTTTGGAAGCCAAAACTCAGAAATGAAATTTCAATATTTAAAAATCAAGATTAATGTGTGACTTTTGTAATAGATTTTTAAATAATCTGTTAAGAAGTCATTTACGTTCTGTGGAATCCTAAGGCATGAGGATGTTTTACACATTCTCTGTACCCAATATTTCTTCATGTGGTTTAGTTTAATATCCTTTATGGAAAATTACCTATAGGACTTTGAAGTTTACTCACTAATTAGGTAATACACTAAATAACCTTCATTTATTTCATCCCAATCTTATTTTCAGTATAAAAAACCAAACATTTATTTATTTATTTTGATAAGTCCCTCTCTTGGGAAATTCCACAGATAAACATGTATAAAATAGTTACACCTTTTCTATTTCCTGTTCTAAAGATGGACTACTATTATTTTTCAATCAGTTTTGATCACTCTTAAAAGGATCTATCAAAATATTCTTACCAGAAATAATTGTTTATTTTCTCACAGAAATGAACTCACTCAGTGCCCAGCATCAGTGTCACAGCATTTTGCTGTTTTTAGAGATGCCAGAATAAACTTGTCCAAACGCCTTTTTTTTTATTTTTCACACCTGAAAACAAACCAAACCAACAAACCTTGTGATTCTGCAACCTTGTGGGTCACGTGGTTCTAGTCTTTTCTTATTTAGAAAAGATGAGGGAACATTTCCCAGTGGCACAGTGAACATGGTTGGGGCCGTGAAATGATGTGGCTCATTACTGGAATATCAAAATCGCTGCTACAAGGGAGAGGGAAAGGCAGGCACGGATCAATTCCCGGAACCCAGTGACATTTCCAAACAAGGAATAAATGTCAATAGTAGAGGTAAACACTTCAGCCCTCCAAGTTTTGTTTTCTTTTAATTAAGGAGGAAAAAATTACCTTACCACAGAGTGGGAGTTGTCCTGGGAGTGCCTGAACCCCCTGGCGAGGGAGGGAGCTCATTTTAGGGCTCTGGCTGAGGCTTCGCCTGGTGCATCTTGCAGTAATGTTCTTGGAAGGAGAATGTGCTACGCGGGTAGTCGCCACTTACTGCAGCCATTCCTTTTCTGGATGGAGGGTCTGGATACGTTCATTAACAAAAGAGAGAATGTGTTTTCCTAAGTATAGAACCATAGGAACTGTATAGGTCCACATTTAAAACAAAACAGTTTGGAAATGTTGATTCTCTTCGTTGTTCCTCTTCTGTGTCGATGCTGTCAGACTGTAAGGTTATTCTCATAACCATGAAACACATGCAAATATACATACGCTCTCCTTCACCCACCCGCCTGTTCTGATTGAAATCTATCAAAAAGTAAAAACCTATAGAGGTTGTATTTACCAGATTTCTTCTTTTGATTTTGTTCCTTAGGAGGGCTGCGTGGGATAAACACTTCATTTCATTAATAAAACAGTATTAATTCATTAATAAAACAGCATTAATTAATAAATAAAACAAGTCACGTTATTTTGGTTCTCTATTGCATCTCCAGTAGGTATTATCTCAGTAGTTCTATCCCTGGAGATGAGAGTACTCAGATCAATATCTTAGAAACATATTGTGTATTTGTTGTACTGTGAAATACTCTGCAATTATACAGTATAGATACAGCAGGATAAAATCTATTGGCATCCAACTTGCCAATTGTAATAATTAAAAATAGTAGAGACTTTATAAAAGGTTATATAATTATTTCAGGTGGTGAATCATAACACACATATGTCAAAAGAAAAATTTGTGAGAGACAATCCTTGCTTTCAAATTGTTGGGGTCAGGGAGGTGGGCCTGGTTTCCGGGAGATCAAAGAGGACGATTACAGGTCTGGTGGCCTGGGGTTGGGGCTGCAGGAGAGAGTCTGTGGAGCTTTGTTGACTATGGAAATTGAAGGGGACTTATAAATGAAAACAGTTCCATGCACGATTTGTCATGGCACAGAGACTGGTTTCGTGAAGGAAGGTGAAGAAGTACCTTTAGACAGAGAAACCTTTAAGTCTGCATGTGTAGAAGGATGATGGAGACGAGGCAGGAAAAGCGAGGTCTCCACAGGAGCAGGTTAGGAACAAGGACGGACTTGATTCTCTATGTGGATTGAGAGTGGCAACAGGAGATCCACTTGGAAATGACTGACAGGCATTTAAATGTGGAAGAATTCTCCCAGTAGAGGGAAGACGAAGAAACAAAAAGCCATAAAAAAAAGTACTGGAGGAGGGAGGAAAGACGGATAAAGTTGATTATATTTGTCTTGATAAAGATAATATAAACAAAGTGGAAAGACAAACAAAACCTGAGAGAGATAGTTGCAATATGTTTGATAGACACAATTTTCACTTCCTTAATATACAAAAATATATTTTACAAATTAATAAGAGAAGAATCTGCTACCCAACAGAAAAGGGCAAAGGATATGAATAGGCAATTTACACTGAAGGAAATACAAGTGGCTTTCAAACATATGATAAGTTGTTCAGCTTCTCTTCTAAGAAGCGAGAATTAAAACCACAAGGGGATCCTGTTTGTCTCTTATGAGACTGGAAAAGATCAAATTAGAAACACATCATGTTGGGGAGGTTACAAGGAAATGTGGAACCCAGAGTCAGCGGGAATATAAATTCATGCATTGTCTTTGGAGGTGAATTTCAGATTTTTCTCCTTTTTTTTTTTATTATACTTTAAGTTCTAGGGTACATGTGCACAATGTGCAGGTTTGTTACCTATGTATACATGTGCCATGTTGGTTTGCTGCACCCATTAATTCGTCATTTACATTAGGTATATCTCCTAATGCTATCCCTCCCCCCTCCCCCCACCCCACCACAGGCCACGGTATGTGATGTTCCCCTTCCTGTGTCCAAGTGTTCTTATTGTTCAATTCCCACCTATGAGTGAGAACATGTGGTTTTTTTTTTTTTTTTTGAGATGGAGTCTCGCTCTGTCACCCAAGCTGAAGTGCAGTGGTGCCATCTCGGCTCACTGCAAGCTCAGCCTCCTGGGTTCATGCCATTCTCCTGCCTCAGCCTCCCAAGTAGCTGGGACTACAGGCGCCTGCCACCATGCCCAGCTAATTTTTTGTATTTTTAGCAGAGACGGGGTTTCACCGTGTTAGCTAGGATGGTCTCGATCTCCTGACCTCATGATCCTCCTGCCTCAGCCTTCCAAAGTGCTGAAAATCTATGTCATGAAAGCACGTACAATCAAACATCCATTTTTTTGAATTTATCTTACAGATAATTACACATAGGCACACCAGGCTATTTTTGAGTTAAGATACAGAACAGTGTAAGCATATTTTATGTTTAAAAAGAATATCGACATATATGGATGATATATGCTTATATCTTCTAGAAGATGTTAGAGGGCATCAGGGTGACGAGCGTGGATGGGAAGGATATTAAACAGTGGAAGAGATGTGTATTAGTCCGTTCTCATGCTGCTAATAAAGACATACCCAAGACTGGGTAATTTTAAAGGAAAGAGGTTTAATGGACTCACAGTTCCACATGGCTGTGGAGGCCTCACAATCACGGCGGAAGGCAAAGGAAGAGAAAAGGCACATCTTACGTGGTGGTGAGCAAGAGAGCATGTGCAGGGTGGCTCCCCTTTGTGTGCATGTGTGTGTGTGTGTGTGTGTTTGTGTGTGTGTGTATACAGAGAGAGAGAGAGAGAGATTTATTCACCATCACGAGAACAGCGTGGGAAAAACCTGCCTCCATGATTCAATTACCTCCCACCAGGTCCCTCCCAAGACACGTGGGGATTATTACAATTCAAGGTGAGATTTGGGTGAGGACACAGAGCCAAACCATATCATTGATGGAAAAAACTGCTTAGCGAGGTGCTCTGAGAAACAGCACAGTGCCATCGGGCAGGACACAGAACAAGAGATCCAATGGGAAGCTGGAAAATTTGGAAGCCCGCTGGGCATCTGGAGACAGCAGACCCCTCCATCCACAGCAGAAAGAATTAAGGGAAGAAAGCATGAAGTGCAGGAGCCTGGAGGAGCAGGAGTGTGAATTCAACTTTGGAAAGTTACATAGACAGCTATGAAACTTGAGGTGCTGCTCAGTTTAAGGGGTGCCCTTGTCTCATTTAGTTTTAGTTTTATGTATAATGACAACAGAGTAAGATAACTCAGTGAGCAGGAATAAGGCAGTGGAGAGGAGAGGTGGAATGTGCAGGTATCAGGAAGAATAACCAGGAAAACTCCCCCAGGAGGGGCACAGGACCGGACCAAGGTGGCCGCTGGGTAGACTGCCAGCTTCAGAAAGACAGCGGGGAGAAAAGCTATTGTTAGGAAAGCTTTTAACGTATTTCAAGGTGGAAAAGAAGGTATGTGGGAGAACTGTCTTGAAACAGAGAGGCAGTTGGTTTTAGCAGAGGACTTGAGATCACCTGCCCAAAGCTAAGGGATTTCCTGATCAACAGTCATTGTTTTAATTACATTTTAAAAATCTGCTACTGAAAGAATTTCCTCCAGACTTGTTTTCTTCTGATTAAATATCTCATCCCTTGCATGTATTAGATATGGAAAAAGATAAAAAGGTGTAGAGAATATTCCTGTGAATAGACTACACAAAAGACCAGATTCTGCCTCAAAAGGGGATGATGACCTTAACAATATTCACCTTAAAGAGGTAGCTTTTCTTATTTCTAATGTGAGGGTCTGGCTAGAGTAGACTTATTCAAGCTCTGTGTTTCCTTAACTAGTTATTTCACTAACAGTATTTAAAAAATCAAATAGGCCAGGCGCAGTGGCTCATGCCTATAATCTCAGCATTTTGGGAGGCCAAGGTGGGTGGATCACCTGAGGTCAGGAGTTTGAGACTAGCCTGGCCAATATGGTGAAACCCTGTCTCTACTAAAAATACAAGAATTAGCCAGGCTTGGTGGCGGGAGCCTGTAATCCCAGCTACTCGGGAGGCTGAGACATGAGAATTGCTTGAACCCCGGAGGCAGAGGTTACAGTGAGCTGAGATTGCTCCACTGCACTTGAGCCTGGGCAACAAAGAGCAAAACTCTGTCTCAAAAAAAAAAATAAATAAAATAAAATAAATGGACTCTTTATTTTAGGTGACTATTTGTTAGCTTTAAACATTTTCCCCTTATTAAAACTTTTGGGGGTATATACAACTAATAAGTGTTCAGGGTGGGAAATTTTGCAAAGTGCCAAAAAGATACATAGAAGAATGGAATCATTTCTAGTAACCATTTGCAAACTGTGTTTTAAATATGCAGAAGTAAGGCAGTAGTGGAAATAGTAATGTATGTGGCACATTCTTTACCCAGAAGATGAAACATTTCTAACTATGATTTCACTGTGTATCAACAAAAGGCCACCATTTCCTCTTGCCTTTTTATTTATTTATTTATTTACTTATCTATTTTACTTATTTGAAACAGCGTCTTGCTCTGTCACCAGGCTGGAGTGCAGTGGCACGATCTTGGCTCACTGCAACCTCCACCTCCTGAGTTCAAGTGATTCTTCTACCTCAGCCTCCCAAGTAGCCGAGACTGCAGGCACCTGCTACCATGCCCGGCTAATTATTTTTGTCCTTATAGTAGAGACAGGGTTTCGCCATGTTGGTCAGGCTGGTCTCGAACTCCTGACCTCAAATGATCCACCAGCCTTGGCCTCCCAAAGTGCTGGGATTACAGGCATGAGCCACTGCACCCAGCTTCCTCTTGCCTTTTTGAAAATAGAAGACTATTATCTTGATAATCTAGGTGGTTATGACCCTTGTGACTACATATTTGTAGTCATTGTCTTCTAAGTATGTTTTGGGCGTTGCCTGGCAGGGACCTTCTGTGGCTGACATTTCTGGCTGGCGAGCAGTGAAGGACGTGTCTTCCATGACGCCGTGGAATTTTACCTTGTGACTACTCAGATGTTTTTCATCACCTGTCCTTATGTTGATTTTGGTTGTTTGAAGCTCTTACTCTAGAACACTCCTCAGAGAGGGCTAATGATAACAACGTTCCCTGAGTTTCTACACATTTATATCTATTTGCGACTTTTATATTTGACAGTCATTTGCTGTGTGAAAGTTGTCAGAATCGAAATGGAGTCATTTGTGTTAAAAACCCTGACAACTGGAGCTGGGGCAGGCTGTGAAGAAAGAATTCTCATGCACACATGCCTGACAACAAGAACTGTCACAAAAGGCTGCAAAAACCACAGCTTTGCACAAAGACCATTGCAACCCTACTTACACAAAATCCTTCTTCCAGGACATCCACCCAGCAACTGCCTGTCTGCCCCGGACTGCACCATCCTTGTTACTGATCCTTTCAAAACAATCATGTGATCCTCCGCATTTTCCTACAAAATGTCCTACCTTTGTCTTCCTCTACCTCTATGAATATGCACCTGGTTTCCTATGGCACGCACATTCCCATTGCAATGCTTGTTCCTGAATAAACATCATTTTCTTCTAGAGAGCCGCTCTGTTATTTAGGCTGACGGGTGAAATACAAAATCTTTGGCTCCCATATTGTCTCCTTTGGGCATCATAAATATAAATATTACTAAACATTGTTGTCAAAAACTCTGAAGCAAATCTGATTTTCTCTTCTTTATGAGTTGACTAATCTCTGCCTAGAGATTCAAATGATTTTTCCTCTTTTTTTAAGCAAAATCAATAATTTTCTGGGAATTTTAGATGTTGGTGTGCTGACTCCATATGCTCAGGACTGTGGTGGTCCATTTCAACAGATAGTTTAAGTCTTTCTTTTTATTTCAGGAAAGGTTGATTGAGTTACAAAGTTCAGTCATTACTGTTTCTTATTTGGGAAATTCTACTGTACGTATTGTGACACTTCTTTCCCCATCATCTAGGTTTTTCCACTTTTATTGAATTTTTTCCTTTTGATTTCTAAAAGTTTCCTCCTTTTAATATTCTATAAAGGTATGTGTTTCTTGTAATTTAGATCTCATTTCTAAATTTTTTAAAAAAGTTTCAACCCTTTCCTGAATTCTGTCAACTTTATTCCTGACTTATGTTGATCTTTAATATCTTCTATTAATCTCTAATTTATTTTAGATCATTTTGAAACACTGTGGTTTCAGTTTTTATCTGCTTTGTGGACTTATCCTGCAGGTGTAATCTCATTATCTGCAGGAACAATATTTTGTTCCTTATTCCTTTCCTTGGAGTGACTTTATATGGACTTCTGCAACCCTTTTCTGTTACTCATTTTTACCTGAGATTCACTTTCCTGAATTTTTAGGAGGGAGAGATGAGTCTAAAGAGTGTTTTCAGCTCCAGGCTCTGGACCTCTCTCTGGAGTTGTTTTCCTGAAACCATTAAGTGTGGGGCTGGTCCTTGTTCACCCACCCAGGATCCCTGTCCCTCCCTCTCCCCCCTTCTCTCTCCTCCCTACCATCTCTATCCTGCTCTTTTGTATTCTCTTCCCACCAGCTTCTCCTCTTTGTGGCATTGAGTCCTGGAGGGAGCTTGGCTTGTTGGTTTGAGAGTGGATCCCTAGCACTCATCCACAGGTTGGAATTTGCATAAAGAACTAAAAGTAGAACTACCATTTGATCCAGCAACTTCACTACTGGGTATCTACCCAGAGGAAAAGAAGTCATTATACAAAAGAAGATACTTGCACAGGCATGTTTATAGCAGCACAATTCACAACTGCAAAAACGTGGAACCAACCCAAATGCCCATCAATCAATGAGTGGATAAAGAAACTGTAGTATGTGTATGTGATGGAATACTATTTAGCCATAAAAAGGAATGAATTAATGGCATTTGCAGTGACCTGGATGAGATTGGAGCCTATCATTCTAAGTGAAGTAACTCAGGAATGGAAAACCAAATATCGTATGTTCTCACTCATAAGTGGGAGCTAAGCTATGAGGATGCAAAGGCGTAAGAATGAGACAATGGACTTTGGGAACTCAGGGGGAAAGAGCGGGAAGGGGATAAGGGATAAAATATTACAAATTGGGTGCCGGGTATACTGCTCAGGTGACGGGTGCACCAAAATCTCACAAATCACCACTGAAGAACTTACACATGCAACGAAACACCACCTTTTCCACAATAACTTCTTATGGAAATAAAATATTTTTAAAAAATTAATCCAAGCATAAGAAAAGAAAGCACCTCCTGTTTCTGTTGCAGTTCTCAGTTCTCATACAGGCTCCTGTGCTTCCCAGTAAGCATCAGCAGGCTACTTGGTGGTTTCCTTGTTCTCATGTCCAGCGGCTACCCCACTGCCTGCCAACCAGACGATGATGCCACTCAGGTCTTGTGGCTGTTGTGGGTAACTTTCTAGCATTTTGAATGTCATGTCACCTAGTTTTGTTGCAAATGTTTCTTACTTTCTGTTGTGCTATCCTACTTGTATTGTGAGTTTTTAGTGGGGAGTGGGTGGGATTTCAAGAGGATCACAAACAACACTACCATAGCCAACTTCCAAAAGAGTACTTCGGAAAGTTTTGTAGTCCTTTTATATGTTTCTTAGTCTAATTTTTGAATGAAAGGCTAAGAAACGCTGTTTTGTTTTTGTTTGTTTGTTTGTTTTAGCTAACTGCTGGTTTACTGGGAAGGGATAGCAGTCTTTCAAGATGATAATACTAAAAGTAATATATTTTACTATTTGAAAGGGTCAAATCAGAAAGATTCATAGAGAATATGATGGAAAATTCAATATGGCATCTTGGCAAAATAAAGATGAGGCTAAATATGGGACTAAACCCCCTTTATTTTCCTTTTGAGTTGCTTGGAATTTTTTAAATGATCTTCATCACCATTCAGAATATTCATTAAATCTTATTCACACTGAGGACTCTTTGAAATTGGAGAATCTGTAAAGTCAGTCTTTACAGGCAAAGTTAAAGAAGAGAATACAAGTCTAAACCCCTCCAGGCCCCCGGCCCCCACACACACCCTCACACACACGACTTTATTATTTTCTCTTACAGCTAGACAACAAATATGCTTTTATCGTCCACCCTGAAGATCACAATGTTATTTTCCTTCATTCTATTAATATAGACCAATTAAGTTAATGCGTCCCCTGGCATGCCTTAATTCCTGGAAGATCATATTTTACTGGACTTCTTACATTTGCTTTCATCTTTACTAAATTAGAATGAAAGTGAAATCCATTATGGATATTACAAGAAAGGCTGCCTTTGCAAGGGGAAAAGTGTTCCTTCTCTCTTTTTCTTTCTTTTTTTTTTCCTCCTAAATAGAGATGGCTCTATG
The DNA here is from genome assembly GCF_000001405.40 of Homo sapiens. Taxonomy (NCBI): domain Eukaryota; kingdom Metazoa; phylum Chordata; class Mammalia; order Primates; family Hominidae; genus Homo; species Homo sapiens. The sequence continues at coordinate 109,856,372 of NC_000013.11, forward strand.
TCATAGGGTAGAGATTAAAGATGGCATCTTCCAGGAGGCCATAGGAGGGGATATGCACTTGAAACTCAGCAATGCTTATCTGTTCGTCCTCTAATTATTATGCTACCAATGCTGGGATCCCACTCGCAGAGTTCATGGTTTAGGCCAGTCTTGGGCAGAGATGCCTTGGTTTCTTAATCTCCACAGGTGATCCTGGCGGACATCCAGGGTTGAGAAACATGGTCTAGAACACAGACCTGGAAGACAAGGCTAAGAAAATGGACAGACTCTAAACAGATCATAAAAGACCACGAGTGTATTCCTTAGGACTGTGGACCTTCATTTATAGGTAATGGGGAGACATTGCATGTTTTTAAGAAAAGGAATTAGAGGACTATACATATTTTTGAAAAATAACAGGTAGCAGTGGTCTGAGACTAGAGGTGAGAATTTAGTTAAAGGCTATTGCAGAGGTAACAGAAGATGAATTGCTGCACCACAGCAGTGCCATGCAGATCCCAGAGGGAAGGAGATTGTGAGAAAAACTGCTTGTAGGGGAGATTCCCAGGAGAGACCCTCTGAAACTGTGCAGCATAGGTCTGGGAGAGAGGAATGTTTTGGAGTTTTCTGGCATTCTGAGATAGAGTGTTTGCAAATAGAATCAACAGGTTTTGGTCCCTAACTGTAATAGAGAAGTAAGCAGGAATTAGCATTGGACCTCAGGGTAAGCAGGAAGATGATGGTGTCTCCTTAAGAAGTAGAAGCTGAAGAGCTTGGGGGCATTTGATTTTGCTGTGCTGGGATTCCTAGACTCAGTGGGGAGATAAGGCTAGAGAGGTCAGGCTGGTAAATAAAATTATAGGCCTAGAGTTCAAGAGACAGCTCTGAGCTGGAGATAGTTTCATGACCAATAGTTGTATAAGTAGTTATGGAAGTCACATGAATGAATGAGATGATGCTGGAAGAACGGGTTGGGTTTCTGAAAGGAGGGGCTAAGAACAGAACCCAGGAAGATTCTGAAGTCAAGGGAGAGAGGTCAAAGAGGCAGGCAAGCAAAGATGCCAAGAAGCAACCTCCAGGGAGGCAGGAGATGCATCCCAAGAGAGCAGCTTGGGATGTGCCCAGGGACAAGATTGTCTCAAGGAAGAGGGGATGTCAATGGGTTATAACCCTGCAGAGCTGAGCCTAGGGAACCACGTGGGGACCTGTGCCCCTGCAGATCCTGATTACGTATGTCTGGGGAGGGCTGATGAGCCTACCTCCCACAAGCTCCCAGGTGATGCTGACGACACCAGTATGCAAGCCGAACTGGGAGTGGTAGGGCCAGAGGGAATTGTGTTGGATGAGGGTGGAAAAAGAGAATTGGAAACCCGAAGCTTCATGAATGTAGCAGCTATACATGTCGTATTTTGTTAGATTAAGGAGAGAATCTGAGGTATTGACTAAGGCAAATGACTTTGGACTACTTTTAAGAATTTGAGCTTAGCTTCATATATTTCGCAGACGCTGAATTTGGTGGATCAGCTGGCACCACCCAGATGGATAAACTGGCTCATATGATCTTGTGGCCCCCATCCAGGAACTGACTCGGTACAAGAAGACAGCTTCAACTCTCTATGATTTCATCTCTGACCTGAGCAATCAGCACTCCCGGCTCATCAGCTTCCCCCGGCCCACCAAGCTGTCCTTAAACTCTCTGATCCTCGAATGGAATGTTCGGGGAGACTGATTTGCATAACATTAAAACTCTAGTCTCCTGCAAAAAAAAAAAAAAAAGAATTTGGGGTTAAAGTTGAGAGCAAAACACATCCATGTGAAAATCCTGTCCAAAGAAAATTTGCTCTAAGACCTGAGGACACATCTGCATGTTTTGCAGCTTGCGGGAAAAGAGCCAGAGAAGAAGTGAGGAAAGGACAAGGACCACACAGCCCAGGATAGCTACACACAAGAACACAGAAAAGAAGCATTGGCCAGGATGTGGGGAAATTGGAACCCTCAAGCGTTGCTGGTGGAAATGTATTGTACAATAGTCCAGCCACTGTGGAAAACAGCATGGCAGTTCCCCTGAAAGCTGAAAGTAGAATTGCCATATGACCCAGTTAACCCACTTCTGGAAATGTACCTAAAGGAATTGAAAGCAATGACTCAGATACCTCTATACACGTGTTCAAGGGTATTACTCATAAGTGTTCATCAATAAATACATAGATACACAAGGCTGGGCGTGGTGGCTCATACCTGTAATCCCAGCACTTTGGGAGGCCGACTCAGGTGGATTACTTGAAGTCAGAAGTTCAAGACCAGCCTGGCCAATATGGCGAAACCCCGTCTCTACTAAAAATATAAAAATTAGCCGGGCTTGGTGGCACGCAACTGTAATCCCAGCTACTCAGGAGGTTGAGGCAGGAGAATCGCTTGAATCGAGGAGGTGGAGGTTGCAGTGAGCCAAGATTGCACCACTACACTCCAGCCTCTGTGAAAGAGCACAACTATGCCTCAAAAAAAAAAATAAATAAATAAAGATACACAAAATGTGGTATAGACAAACAAAGAAATATCATTCATCTTTAAAAAGAAATAAAATTCTGACACAGGGTATGACATGGATGAACCTTAAAGACATTATCCTTAGTGAACTAAGCCAAACACAGACAAATTCTGTGTGATTCTCCTTATGGCAGTTGCTAGACCTGTCACCATCACAGAGAGAGAAGGCAGAATGATGTTTGCCATGGGCTGGGGGAGGGGAATGGGGAGTGTTTCACGGGGACAGAGTTTCCATCTGGGAAGATGAAGTTCTGGAGAGGGATGGTGGTGATGGGTGTACAACATCGTGAATGTCGTTAATGTCACTGAATGGTAGATTTCAAAATGGTTAAAATTGCAAATTTTATGTTATATGTGCTTTATCACAATAAAAAATAGTAAGAATAAAGCATATAGAAACATTTCTCTCCCTTAAGAAAACAAGTGCGGATACATGGCAAAGTCCCAGGTGTTGTGAGTGGTGGAGGCAGGAGGGTCAGGGGAGTCTAGGTGCAGTTGTGGTGGAGTCTGTGGGGCGGCGGGGAGATGGGTACATAGAGATCAGCTGGGAGGTGACACTTTAAGGCAGTGAAAGACTGCAAAGTGCAAGAGCTACTGCCTTCTCCCTGAGATGGTGGGGGGCAGCTGCTGAGAAAAAAAATTTGGATCTTGAAGACTGGGCAAAGTATGGAGTCGGCTTTGTGGGGCAAGGAAATGCTAATTGACTAAGCTTGTCCTGAGCTGCAGGGGCAGCTGGAAATGTGAACAGTCAGGAAGATCACGGAGCCTAGTGACAGCACCTGAATGGCATTGGGCTTGACTAACACGTCACGACACTAAAGTTAGCAGGTGGCATCCTAGCAAGACAGCCTGAGGTCCTGGGAGCTGGCACATTCGGAAATCCCATGGTCAGGTGTCTGGTGTCAAGAGGATTTTGCAGAAGGGTGAAAAGTCTGGACTCAGAGTTGCATTCCTTGGAAGGACTGCATGAAAAGAAAGGCTTAGAGGACTGGAATTCAGATACAAAATAGTTCAGGAGCAGCAAACAACATAGGACCTAGTTATTTTACTTGAGGGAAAGACAGAGGCTTGTCCACCCAAATAAATCTGTAACTCTTAACTACACTGGGAGGAGTGTTCCAAGCAGGAATAGAAGCAGGTGAACTTGGGTAGGCTCCTTCCCACCTCCCGGGCTGAAATCAGATTTGTGGTCAGAGCTATAGAGAATGCCTGAACAGCTCAGCTGAGGGGAAGGAAGTCTACAGGATTATGGACCTAGATCAACCACAATAACTGCGCAATTCTTTGCCTGTTTAAAATGGCATTTTTTTCTCTCACTTTAATAAGTGTAAAGCTTTTGAAACCCTTTATCTAATTTAGCCTGAACCAATGCTGACATCCGGGATAATTGCTACCTTGCATTTTAAGGATATATCAGTTTCTTATTGCTGCTATTTACTACAGGTGTCTTACAATTCTGCAGGTCAGAGTCCAAAAGGGGTCTCACTGGGCTAAAATCAAGGTATTGCAAGTCCTCATTCCTCAGCTCATGGCCAGGTGCCATCATCATAGTCAGCAGTGGCTGCTTAGCCATTCACAGCCTCCCTCTAACACTGACCCTCCTGCCTGCCCCTTTCACTTATAAAGGCCCTTATAGGTCTTTATAGATCAGCTGATGAGCAACGAAGGCTATCTTGAGATAGGAACTTGGACTTGTGGGGTGGTTCTCTCCAGCTCCCACTGAAGGAGGCTCCTATCTCAAGATCAGCTGATAAGCAACTTCAGCTCCATTGGCAGCCTTAATTCCCCTTGCCATGAGACATAACTTAATCACATGTCCCAGAGACAGAATCGGCTCAGAATCCCTGGGGTCCATTATTCTGCCCACCACAAAGGTGGCAAGGAATATATATATATGATGTATATGAATATATATGTACATACATATACATATATACATTTATATTATATATATATATATGAAGGAAATTTTATCAGAATGGGAACAATGCAAACATTTCCAGAATATAATAGAATGTAAGCTCTGATATTGTGATACTAAAATGATGAGTTTGTAAGTTTGAATCTCCTGCTAGACTCTGAGCTCTTTGAGGGCATGGACTCTTGTTTTATCTTTGCATTTCTAATGCAAAGATAGGAGCTCAATGAATGTTGCAGAAATTAAAGGAAACAATACATTTGTTAAAAGTTTATTTTCATATTATAAAGGTACAGATTACAGGTCAACCAAGGATACATTTATTGAGTGAAAGGTCATAAACCATGCACATGTTCTCAAGAGATGTTTGTTGAGAAAATAAGTTAACAAATGAATGAATGAAGATTACATTTTAGCTGAGGATTTCAACATAACCTACTCCAAAAATTTTGCTGGAGGGGCTGTCTATGAAGAACAGATGTTAAGGACAAGATGGAAGAGTCCAGAGAAGAGAAGAGCTAAATTTTTGTCAGTGATGTGGGATGTGTTACAGTCTTGAAAGGCTACAGAGTTTAGATACTGCTATAAAAAGGGGAGGTATGGGCCAGGCATGGTGGCTCACACCTGTAATCCCAGCACTTTGGGAAGCTGAGGAGGATGGATCATGAGGTCAGGAGTTCGAGACCAGCCTGGCCAATATGGTGAAACACCATCTCTACTAAAAATACAAAAATTAGCTGGGTGTGGTGGCATGCGCCTGTAGTCCCAGCTACTTGGGAGGCTGAGGCAGAATTGCTTGAACCTGGGAGGTGGAGGTTCCAGTGAGCCAAGATCACGCCACTGCACTCCAGCCTGGGGACAGAGTGAGACTCTGTGTAAAAATAAATAAATAAATAAAAAGGAGAGGTATGAGCAAGTTCAGGGCTGAAAAAGGAAAGCAGATATACTTCATCTTAATAATTATCTGTTTCTCTGTACCTACAGCTTTGACTAGGAGTAGTACCATTCTAAGCATTTTATGTATATTGAATCATTTACTATTTACCACAACTATGTAAGGTGAATATGATTACACCTACTTTAACCTATCAGGAAACTGAGGCACATAGAAGTTATTCAGGGGTCATAGCTTATAGGTCATAAAGCCAAATAAATGCTTTTTTAACCGCAATGTTATGCTACCTCTGAACTAAATTTTGCATTGTAGAAAGAAGAAGGAAATAGAATTGCATACAACTGGTGGGCCCAAGTTAGGAATGGATTGAAAATTAGGCAGAGAAAATGGAACATGGTTGCTGAGGCACTATGAATCCATGATGCAATCTTCAGAACAGAGTGACCTGGTTAAACCTTGTTTGAGGAAGATAGCTGCAAAAATATTGAGGGTGGCTTTGAGGGGAGATACATGAATGGCAAGAATGCCAGCCAGGAAACAATACGGGCAGGAGGAGATTAGAGGTGACAGAATGGAGAGGAAATGTCTAATTTGAGGTCAACTTCAGAGGAAGAAATAATAGCAATTGTTGGCAGAGAAAAAAGATAACAAGCGATGTGCCGGGTAGAACCTCAAGGCAAGGTCTCTAGCCTGGCAGCTGAGCGGATGAGAAGTCCACTAAATTTCAGTGCACAATAGAAGCATTTTCTCTTTCTTCCCAGAAAGGGTTAGGGACATGAAGTGTAATAGAGAGAAATGTCTAACCTGCCTCTTGGTTATAATATCTATCACGCAATTCCATAGCTCCCATCTTGAGCATCTCAAGCTTGCAGCTGATCTATTTGAATTCGGGGCTACAGAGGCAAACTCTGAAGTGCTGACCTTCAAGAGGCTTTCCAAGGAAGGGGAGAGCTTTGACCACAACCTTTGATTTCAGATCATAGATTTATTTTTAATACATGGAAAGTGGAAATTCTAATCTTCTGAGTTGGAAGGTGACCCATACTTCCCTTTCTACTTAATCTTGTTTATCCCTTGCTCTGAGCTACTTCTTTCTTAATGCTTCCTGCTTTAGACTTACTTACAAAATATCACACTGATATATCCTGACCCTCATATGACTCATTCCACTCGAAAAACTGGTTCTGAGAAGTACATGTACTTTACAAGTTATTATGAACCGTAACAGATCCTAGGGGATTCAATTCTGCATTCACTTATGAGGTGAGTCTGCAAAGTTCAATGTGAAATCCTGGTAGGGATACAGAAAGAGCTCTAGCAGGGTTCTGTATTCCAGGAGCTGGCATTCTTGTGGGGCAGATAGAGACAGATAGAAGATGCTGCATACGCAAAAGAAACTGGACTGGCAGGAACTAACTGGGATAAGATCTCAGAGGAAGAACAAACGTGGGACCAGGAAGGGGCTCGGGGAAAATTTCAGAGAAGGGTCTAAGATGGAGCTGAAACCTAAAGAATGAACAAGCTTTGATTAGGCGGCATAAGCCTTCCCTGCTGGTGGAATAAAATAAAGTCCTGAGAGTGAATGCATTATGCTAAACATCTGGTGGCGAGGTCTAGCTGGGCCACAGAGTGCATCAGGAGTTGAGGTAGAAGCTAAGGCTAAGGACCTAGGCTAAGGCTTGGCCGTGGGGCATCCATGCCATGATAATATGTTTGGAATTTATCATGCCCATTTTCTGGAGCCATTCGAAGGAGTTTAAGGATGTGGGTTATGTGACCATGATTTGAGGAATAATCTTACTTGCAGAGCTAAGAGATTAGAGGCAACGAGACCAGTTAAAGGTCTGTCGCACTGAGCTTTGCAGTCTTCCTCTGAGAAGGATGGATGAAGGCCCAGGCAAAGAAGAGCAAGGCACAATGAGAAGGAGGGGAGGATCAGTGGGGGTCTTAGCACCACAGGAAAGAAGCAGGTTTACAAATCCTAAAATATTTCTATACCCCACTGCAAAGAAGAACAAGTATATCTCCAACCATGTACCTCCAAGTGATGGGAGAGACCTCTGCCCCTTTGCTTGGCTGAGACCCTGCCCAACTAGCAAAGTCGCTGCTTTGATCATGGCCACATAGGCTTTCAGAATTCTAAAGTTCTTTTCTTCTTCTTCAGGAAGCTGATGTAGTAAATTAAGAAACACAAATGTTCTTTAATTGCACCCAAAATAAATACACATGCAATCAACAATTGGAGAATGGAATTGTTTTTGCAAGCATACAGAAGCGTTTACCAAAATGGAAAATATGTTGTGCCAAAATATGCTTCAAAACATTGAAATCACCAAGATTATCTGATGTGGCCATGGTGGAATACAGCTAGAAATCAATAAAAATCTAACCAGGAAATTCCAAATACTGGGAATTAACTAATGACCTTGTAGGAAACTCATGAGTCAAAGAAGTCATCCCAAGGGGAATTATAAAATATTTTTTATTAAATGATAATGAAAATACAACATAATAAAACTTCAGGGGTGAAGTGAAAACTGTTCTTAGGATGTTTATAGCCTTAAATTTATATATTGCACACACATAACAAGGCAAAATCTTAAATAACCTCTGTAACTTGGAAACCCAAACTCATTAAATCTTAAGAAAAGAAATAATAGAGATAATAGAAAAATTATTAAAATGAAAACTATGCAAAAGAGATAGTAAATAAAAAAGTTAGTTTTCTCAATGTATTAATAAAATTGGCATGTCCCTGACAAGATTGAGGAGTAAGAGAGAGATAAAGAGAAGAAAAATATTACCAAAATTAGGAATGAAAAGAGAACATCATTGTGGACCTTACAGACATGGAAAATATTGCAAGAGATAATATATACAACCCTTATACCAAGAAGTTTAAACATTTGTAGAAAAAGGATAAATTTCTTGGGGAACACAGCCTACTAAAATGAAAATGAAAATAAACAGAAAATTTGAGAAGCCCTAAGTGTTACAAATAAATATACTACCTTGCATACACATACACACACACACACACACACACACACACACACACACACACACACACACATTAAAGCCATGATGCTTCACTGGTAAAATTTTCCAAACATTTGAGAAAGAAAAAAGACACTAATCTTACACAAAGTATCCTGAATAACAGAAATATAGGAAGTACTTACAACTTTTTGTGATATTAGAAAAGTCATAATACCAAAGTTGGATGAAGAGATTACAAAAAAGGAACATTATAGGCCATCTCTTTTATATAGATGTAAAATTCCTGAACAAAATATTCAAAAAACAAATCAGTCAATGTATGAAATGTATAATCCATCAAACTAAGTTGGGATTTATTCCTGAAGTGCAAGTTTGGTTTAGCATATGTAGTTGGTTGTATTTATTGTCTCTTGCAAAATCAGTAATTGTAATTCACTGCATTAAAAAAAAATCAGGTAATTTTAATATACAAAAATAAATTGCTTGATAAAATTCAACATGTATGTATGATGTAAAAGATAACTAGGAATAAAAGAAAACTTCCTTGATCTGATGAGGATGATCTATAGTAAAACCTACCGAAATTATCATTTTTTATTATAAATTACTTAAGTATTTACCTTGAGATCAGTCATGAGAAAAGAAGCCTGGCATCACCACTTCTACTGAATTGTTCTACTTGAGTTTCTAGACAGAACTTTAAGAAAAGAAAATGTGTGAGGATTAGACAAGAAATAAAACTGTATTTATGCACAGACAACACGACTAAACGTGTAGAAAATCAAACTACAGATAAACTACTAAAATGATGTGCCAATTCAGCAAGTCTACTTGTAACAAAGTTAACATACAAAAAACTATTGCATTTCTATAAAGCAGCAATAAACAAATAGGATAAGATATATAAAAGATATAAAATATACTAGCATCAAAAAGATATCAACAAGGAATTAATCTAACAAATGTAACCAACTTGAAAATTTTATAGACAAAAATTAGAGAATACATAAATAAGGAGATATTCTGGGTATATAACTGTATCTGTAGATATAACTGTATATTATATATCATATATATGTATATATAGCTGTATATTATATAATATACTGTATTTTTTCAATAAATGCTACAGAAATAATGGAATGTCCATGTTTTACAAATACATTTTGACTCCTACCTCATACCATACACGAAAATCAATTCCAAATGGGTTGAAGATCTAACATGAAATGTAAAGAATCTTTATGACCTTAGGGTGAGCAAAGATTTCTGAAACAGAATGCAAAATATGCTGTCCAGAAAGGGGAAAAAAGATAAATTATCCTTTATTAAAATCAAGAACTACTGTTTATCAAAATCACCATAAAGAAAGGGAAAATGCAAACCGCAAAGAAGTTAAAGATTTTGCAATACATGCAACTGTAATACGTATGTCTAACATGAGGCTTGTAGTCAGAAAAATCAAGAATTCCTACATACTTTTACGAAAAAAGATGTTAAAAGAACCCCAAAAAAGCCAAGAACTGAAAAGCTATTTCACAGAAGAGTCTATTCAAGTAACCAGAAAGTATATGAGAAGGTACGCAAACTCAGCAGGGAAATGCAAATAAAATTAAAGAAGATAGCATTACACATTCACCAGAGTGGGTACAATTATAAAAAGTAGAGAAGAAAGAAGAGAGGAAGACAGAACAGACAGCCAGAGATGGAACGAATAAAAGAAAGATAGGCCATGTGTGGTGGCTCACGCCTGTAATCCCAGCATTTTGGGAGGTTGAGGCAGGTGGATCACTTGAGTTCAGGAGTTCAAAACCAGCCTAGCCAACATGGTGAAACGCCATCTCTACTAAAAATACAAAACTTAGTCAGGTGTGGTGTTGCATGCCTGTAGTCCCAGCTACCCAGAAGGCTGAGGCAGAAGAATTGCTTGAACCCAGGAGGTGGAGGTTGCAGTGAGCTGAGATCACGCCACTGCACTCCAGCCTGGGTGACAGAGCAAGACTCTGTCTCAAAGAAAGAAAGAATAAAAGAAAGAAAAGAAGGAAAGAGGGAGGGAAAGAAGGAGGAAGGAAGGAAGGGAAGCAGAAACTGAAAAGAAGGGAAATGGTAATTTGGAATGGTGGCAGGTGTGCAGAACAGCTGGAAGTCATGTATGAAACTGGCATACATGGGTTCTAAAACCCAACCTAAGCAGGCTCTGCAGTTCAGTGACTCCACTCCTTACAATGCTCTTACCTGAAATACATATAAATGTGCACCACAGACTAAATATGCACCAAAATAGCAATACTATTTGTAGTAGTCCCAAATTGAAAACAACCATTATGTCCTTCAATCATGAAATGGATACACTGTGATATATTCACACAGTGGAATACTATTTAATCAATGAAAATGAATAAAATGTAGCTATACCTAACACCATGGATGAAATGTATGACATAATGATAATCAAAAGGGGTCAGAAACAAAACAGTACATGGCATGATTTCTTCTTTATAAATTCCAAAATCAGTAAACTAATCTATGTTGATAGAAATAAAGGGAGTGGGACCCTCTGGGAAGGCGGGGGTGATCAGTCTGTACACGTGTGTGCACATTTCTGAGTGTATATTTTATGTCAATAAAAAGTTTTAAAACCTCTTATAAAAAATTTACAGAAGACAAGAAAAAGGCTGTGGATACAGAGCACGTCATCTGTCTGTCCATCTGTCTGTCTATCTGTCTGTCTGTCTGCCTGTGTATATGTCTGTCTATCTATCTGTATATCTATCATCTATCTATCCATCTATCTATCATCTATCTATGTATCTATCAGTCTATCATCTATCAATCTATGTATCTATCAATCATCCATCTATCTCTCCTGTCTACCTATCATCTATCAATTCATCTATCATTTATCAATCAATCTACCTCTTTATCATCTATAAATCTATATTTGTTTCCTAGTGCTGCCCTAACTATGTACCACAAACTGGGTAGATTAAGCAGGAGAAACTTGTTGTCTCACAGTTCTGGAGTCGAGAAGTCAGAAGTCAAGAGGTCAGCTGTCTGAAAGTTGTGTGGGAGAAAATGCTCCATGCCTGCCACTCAGTCTCTGGTAATCTGCTAGCAATCTTTGGTGTTCCTTGGCTTCTGCTTCATCACCCTAATATCTGCCATCATCTACATATGACATTCTCTGTGTGTGTGTACGTGTGTTCAAATTTTCCTCCTTTTGAAGGATGCCAGTGATATTGAATCAGAGCCAACACTAATGACCTCATCTTACCTTGACTACATCTGCAAAGACTCCATTTCCAAACAAGGTCAGATTGTGAAACTCTGGGATTAGGGGAACATAATTCAACACATAACACTATCTATCTATGTCTATACACACACACTATCTATCTATGTCCGTGTACATGTGCATGACCATAAAAATACTTGGAATCCTTTAATAAAATCCTGCCTTTTGATCAAAGTTTGCTCTTGGAAAATACAATTTTATTCTAACACCTAGAGGAAAATTTTTATAGCTCACTCCAAAGTACATATTCAGTTTGTATTTAACACATAATCTGGGACAATAAAAAATGCAGCCTTGATAACTTGGCTCTAGATGTATGACTAAAACACTGAAAATGGTCCAACATCATTTTTAGGTAGTAATTATTGGACCTTAATGAAAAATCACTCAATGGAGAAAATGGTGTTAATAGTATGAGTTACAATTAGATTAAATTGCTGTTTCATGCAGTTATATAGTGAAATGTCAGGTGTTCTTGTAATTTAAGAAAATACAGTTAGAATTAATGCTATAAAAGAGTAACAGGCAATGACAATTTCTGATTCGTGTCTGCAGGGGCTTGAGGTGATAGGAACTAAGTTCTTGCCCTCTGTTGGCCCCTTTGTGCTGTAGTCAAGGGGGCAGCACTGGCCCCCTCCTGCCTGGCATCTCACCCAGGAGAAGAGCTGAGCAGAGCAGTGTCACCTTTATCCCACTCTTAGCAAAACATCGTGATGTGCTTGTACTGTGAACAGTGAGTCAGGAACATGCTTAGATAGGATGCAGATCAATCACACTCTCATCTGCATGGTGCTTTGGAGAGAGCAAAGTCTTCTCATGTGTTTTGAACATTCTTTGGATTTAGTAAGGCAACTATAACTACTCCTCTATTAAACAGATAAGGTTAGGGACACACCTGCCTCCCTGGGTGCCCATCAGATTTAAATGTGGTAATTCCTGGTAAGTGCTAAGCACCATACTTGGCACACAGAAAGCGCTTGACATATACAGCTTTATTTATTAGAATAAGTTTTATAATGAGTTTTAATGTTATTGCCTCTGCAAGATCATAAGGCTTAAAACATTCTGAGGAAGCACTTGACCTAAGGTCATCAGACTTCAATGTCATTTCAGATTGCCTTGAAACATGAAAAACAACTACGCTGCAGCAAGGGATGAAAAATCCTGAGTCACCAAAGGTCAAGTCTTGGTAAACAATATCATGGCTTCAATGCCAATTCCTGTCAACCAGCAAGATTCACTGTTATGTGAGTGCCTTTTTGAGATAGATGAGAATAAAAATCTGGTTGTCACTCTAATTTCTAAGAAAATCCCAGCCTGGGCTCGCTAAATGGGAAACACAGCAATAGGTTTCCACTAACACGGTGTCCCCATTTGTCCTCGAGGTTCATGGCAGGAAGCAAATCAGACACCTGGCCCAGTCGCCTCTCTGATAAGGAGTGGGAGAGAATGCCAGCCATGCATTTCGCGACTCTCCCTCTGCTCGTTCCCAGAAGCACACATTGAAGCTTCCTTTCCAGGGAAAGAAAAAGGCCACATTTCTGGGGAAAAAAAAAAAACTTGAAAAATAACCAAGCACTCGCTGCACATAAAACAGCTGCTGCGTGCAGACCACTTGGTGCAGCCACGACGCGGGGGAGAGTGAAGACGGGCAATTCCGGGGCGGTCGTGTCATCTTTCTGGGTGAGTACACACGTGACACCGAGAGAAGAGAAAGTGGTTTCCCAGGTTGGCGGCACCAGCACGTTGCCAGGCAATGAGCCAAGACCGAGGGCTCAGACAAAAGACAGAGCGGCCGACTGGGCTCAGCGGACACACAGCGCAGAGCCAGCTGCTGGCTGGGAGGACGCCCTGCAGCCTCGCAGGGAACGTGGGCTCCGGCTTCCAGAGGGCAGCGCCATTCGCTCACAGACGGCCAGGAGACCCTCCCTGTGCAGGCAATGCCGGGTGAGGCATCGCTCCTGAAGAATTAATCAGAAACTCAGAAAAATTCCGCCGAGCAGAAGCCAGATGAGAATCCGACTGGAAATCTAGAAGGAATCTGACCAGCATCGCAAAGAAGGGGAGGAGCTGAGTGGGAAGGCAGCCTCAGGGAGCTTCCCCGGAAAGATGGGCCTGCTCATTCCATCCCCGACAGGACTGTCAGTCATTTCACAACCACGGCTGCTGATGAAGACAATCAAACAGCAGCAACCTTCTGAGGTCAAGACAGTGCTGGGCGTCTCTCGGAGTCACTCCCCTATCTTTTCGTCTGTTCTCTCAGGACAGCTTGGTGACGTTGCTAAGGAAGGAATTTGTGAAAATGAGGAAGCGGCCCCAGAATCCTTGTTGTTTTTCCCCAAACCTGGCTACTGGTGGTCAGAGTGACCTTGAGGTGCCTCACAGGGTTGTTCCAGGTGGCCCAGGTCTGCACCCTCTGACCCATGGCCGACCATCTCCATGGCCTGTAAAGGTGCTTCTCTTAGGTGCCACCCAAGTGCCACGGCAGTGTCAGAGGGAGGCCCATAGCCAGCCTCCTGAGTCAGAGCCTTTGGGCTGGGACCGGGGCAAGCACATTTTTAGAAAGTTCCTCCAGGACACGTTTGGTGGAGCTCATCCATAATGCTCTCTGGACAACCTTTGGACTAAGTAACTTTCCTAAAGTCTCTCAACTCAGTGGCCACCACCTTAGAACTGGGAACTGTCCCTCAATGCCCACTCAGGTATTTCTGCCATGCCCTGTGTAATTTGGCCTTTCTAGACCCAGCTTTCTTCTCCCACATGGAGGCCGTGGAGGACTGCCTGTGAGTCCTGGTAACACTCCTCCACATCTTGGCAACTCCAAGATTGTTATTGATTTTCCACTTGGAAGGCTGTTATCTGTTCTTTGACAAACTCTTATCTATCCTCCAGAACTCCCTGGGAAGCTTTGGACTTAGATGTCTCCATCGCAGGCACACCCCAGCGAATATCTTATCACCATGAGCTGCGCTTGCTGATCTCATTTATTCTTCATGAAATATTTGTGGATTTTCTTTTTGTGGCCAGGCACAGGATAGACTTAGAACAGCATCCACTTTGTGAAACAAGTAGGACAGGAATGCAGATGAGTAAGGGGCAAGACAAGAAAGCACAGTGAGATGTGAGATGTGTCCTGCTAGCATGGGTGGCGGGTGGCACACAGCAAACTTTGGGGAGTCAGGAAAGGCTTCCAAGAAAAAAAGTGTCTGGGAGTTACTCATCAACGGCATAAAGTTTCAATCAACCAAGATGAGTAAGCTTCAGACAGCGGCTGTACACCATTGCATCTGCAGTCAGCAATAACACACCGACACCTAAACATTGGTTAAGACGGTGGATCTCATGTTAAGTGTACTAACCATAATAGAATTAAATATGAGAAAGAAACAATGTCTAAACTGAGACCTGTGAGTTAAGAAGGACTTAACCAGGTGAAAATGGAGGCAGGGATTCCAGGAAAGAGGCTTTGCAAACAATCTGTTGTCTCCTCTAATACACCTTAAGCCCCTCAAGAGCACAAACCATGTTCATTTGGCCTGAATTCTGAGTACCTAGTGAAGGTTCAATACATTTTGGTTAAATGAATAATCAACTCAGCTGCTGATATATATATATATGTTTGAGATATACATATATCTCATATATATATCTATATGAGATATATATATGAGATACATATATGAGAGAGATATATATATGTATATTTCTCAAACATGTATAAATATATGTGTGTATACACACTCACACACATATATACACATAAGAGGGCATTGAGAGAGAGATTGGCATTTGCAAAATAATTTGTTGCTCAAATTCAGAGGTATTTGAGCACGTTATCTTCTTGCAAATAATAGAAAATTGTACCATGATAACCCATGCAATCTCTGCTTAATACATGAGGAAGAAGATGCAAATCTATGTTCTTTCTTTTACCAGGACCTCACTATAGGAAGAAAAAAAAAGTAAAGCAACCTCGCAGGTATCTTTGCTGGTTAACATCATAGAGTATGAAGGGTATCTTGATGTGATCCATTTTAAGCTACAAAGTTTCTTACAGTCATACTCAAAACTGGCAAAATACAGGACATCATACACATTTTCATATTTTATTCTAATGTTTATTCTGAGGTCAACAATATAAATTAGTTTCTGAGATGCGCAGATAAATTAAAATTCCATGCAGGTGACCATAGACATACCCCTACTATGTGTATCTGTCTAAACTATAACCGGAGAGGACTACAATTAATCCCTTAAGCCCTTTATCTTCTTTTCGTCTCCTGCTTGGTTCTACGTAAACACCTTTGCTGAACTGGAAGATCCAACCAACTTATACGAGCTTCTTGGATGCGAATGAAAACCTCGTGAATTGCCCAGCAAGTTGACATTCCTTTCTAGATCCAGCACATACAACTCTCTCCAGGTGAGCACAAAGAAAGAAGAGATTTGAAGTCAGCGAGGTGCGTTTTATTGGTTCAAAAGGGGAGGTTATTTTTTAAAGGCTTATGGAAAAAGGTAGCTATGTTTGTTCTCTCAAATAATCACATAAAGACCCTGCTAACATTTCTGGTACAACAACCCTGCCGTGGTTAATTTCCAGACAATGAAAGGTGAGAAGGCTGGAAAGGAAACCGAATCCTGCAGTGTCTAATCAATTTTAATAGAATCCGCTAATTGAATCATCCACATCCTTTAAAAAGAGACATGGAAATCATGGAAGCAAGCCTCTGTTTTGGTGCATTCTTCATCCCTCATGGCATGTCAAAAAAATTGAATTTCTCACAGTGGAGAAAGAGTCTGTCAAAGTTAACTTTACCTGGAACTAATAAATTATTATATTTCATCCAAAGGGTTTCCAATAAGTAGTTATTCAAAGACTCAATTTTTCAATTAATGTCTCCAAATGCTTTTCTGATCATAATTTTCCTAGTACATTTTCATGTTTGCTTCTCACTATTGTCTTTGTGAGGAGTGTTGGAAATTCCCAAGCTGGGGCAACCCCCAGGCTTCTCCCTCCAACCCCTCTCTCACTTGGACTCAGGCTTCCCCAGGGAGCAGACTCAGGGCGCACTGAGGGCAGGAGGAGATGCTGGCAGCCCCTCAGGGTGGAGGCCACCCTGGAACCTTGACCTAGGGAGTCAGTAGTCTGTGGTGTCAGAAGGTGGCATTAGATCAGAGGGCTCAGGAATCCATAGTCAAGAGAAACAGAAAATTTAAAAAAAAAAAAAAAAAAAAAAAAAAAAAGAGGCTCTCTAGAAGGGGCCACTTCAGTTGGTTTTGTTTTCATGCGGGGAGAAAGCATTCTGCTGCCAATGACTCTGCATTTATTCATCTGCCTCTCAAGTTCTCCTGGCCAGCACTGTGCTAGGTTTTATGGTTACTACAAAGATGAATGACAGTTGTTCCCTCCGTGTTCACACCTACACTCTTGCCTCGCAGTCCTTGCTGCTGAGCACCCGCAGCCTGACTCCTGGTTTCCTGGGGGCCTCGGGTAGAGCCAGGGAGCTCCTGGGACACCTGGAGTGGGCCGCAAGTTGGAACTGGGATGTAATCACCCTGCTCCTCTCCTGTGTGGACAATGAATGTCTCCATGTGAGACTCAACGGTGTCACACACGGTGGCCTCAGTGTGGCAAGGCACTCCCTATGGCCATCTTCTCATGCTGAGATAAGTCATTCTTCATTAACTGCCTCCGTTGCTAGCCATGTCCCCTGACCTTCCAGATAAACTATTCTCATATAAATTCTTGTCTCAGATCTGTTTTGGGGGGAGATCCCGCTAAGACAATAGCGAGAGAACCAGACAGGTAACCTAACCAAACCTGGGCTGCTTCCCGGGGAGGTGCACGCAGGTCTCTGCAAAGAGCCCCAGAGGACACCCATACGGCCACAAGCGTGAAATGCATGAGATGCTTAGGGACATGCCACACCCCAGGCTTGGGCTCCGGGGCAACTCCTAATCCCAACCCTTGCTAGCCTCACAGCCAATGCACTCTCCTCCACCGCCCTTGCTGCTACCTCCGAACACCATTTCCTAACTTCAAGTTTGTTTGATGCTCTTGTGGCCTGCTGTGCTCTCCTCCTCTGTCATCTAAATTTTACCCTCTTTCAAGGACCAGCTGAAATTTCCCATCCCCGATAAATCCATTCCTGGTTTCCCCAACACCAGGGGAACTTGCTCTTCTCTGTCATTTTGTTGCTCTGAGGGAATCCTAGTGTACATCGTTTAGTTACCTGCTTAATAGGCAGGACACTTTGCTCCCAAATCACTGTAAAAGCTTTTATAGGCTGCATTCTTGTCTTAGATTTTTTTGTAGCTTCCAGAGACCTCAGCATCTAGTTTTGTTCTATTTTCATTTGGGAAGAAAGTTCTGCTGACAATAGTTAACACATTTATTCATTCCCCAGACGCTTATTGATTTCTCAGTAAGTGATGATTTAATTATTAAGTCTGCTTTTTTTCTTATCTTTTCATTTCATTCCCACCATGTAACTATGCTCAAAGATATTCTTTTGGACAGGAACAGTTTTCTACCACGAGAGGAATAGGGCATTCTTCTGAAGAAGGTGAGGCTGGTGTGTAAACAGCAAGGCAGTCCAGAGCACCCCCTCCACCCACCACAGGCCTGCCTTCCCTCTGTGCTGCCTGGATAAAGCACCACAGCAATAATTTCTGTAGTTAGTGTCCCTATTTGCTATGTCATCCTTGACTCTTCACCCAGCAGCAAGAAGACTGAGAAAGAAATATGACAAATGAGCAAATCACTGACATTGTAGCCCATTACTAAATCAGTGCAAAGGGTAGACCACACCTGACTCCTGATAAATCCTTCTGTATCTTGGGGTCAAAGAGTTTAGGAGCATCAGGGGAGAGGACAGGATCAGAGGGGCAGGGGCGGGAGAGATGTGGAGACCATCTCGGTTCAGAATTCTGTTGCTAAACTGATTTCATTTCTAAGAATTTACTCCATCTGTTGCCCTGCTCACACTGTCTAGACAATTTCAAAGTATTACATAATTCATAGTGGCTGAACATTTTCCTGTTTACTACAGAGTCAGTCTACAAAGGTCACTGATAAAATAATCTTTTTAACTGGCATGAAAAGCATCTCAAAAATCCAAGAAGCATAAGAGCCAACCACACAATTACTTTTCAATACTCATTCACGGATAAAATAAAACCACAACGGGCCTGATGGTTTCTGGTTCCTGGCAAGGTTTTGACAGGTTTCAAAAAATAAAAGACCAGGTTGTCTCTGCATGAGTGAAATGAAGACTTATTCATGGACAGCCTTTCATTCTGTGATGCCTGCTGAACAGACACCCAATGCCGAGGACACAGCACAGCCTGCCCTGGTTAGAAACCATAGCTGAGTTAATGCATCATGCATTGCAAAATAACATTTTTGTAGTGTATTTTGTACACTTTGTACATTTTGTAGTGTATTTAATGGAGACACTGAGTACATTGACTAGAAAGTCAAAAACATACTTTGACTTCTTTTTTCAGTCCCTTTTTAGTCAAAGTACTGAAAACAAGGGAGGGAAGGAAGGAAAGGAAGGAAGGGAGACAAGGTGGAAGGGTGAAAGGGAGGAAGGGAGTAGGGGAGGAAAGATAGGGAAGGAGGGAAGGAAGGGAGGAAGGAAAGAAGGAAGGAAGGAAGGAAGGAATGGGAGGAGGGAAGGACCATGTAAGTCAACAAGGTATATCCCATTCAGTACTGTTTTCATTTTGGCACGTATGCCAGGATTTGCATATGAAAATGAACAATTGGGTTTGCAATCATAATGCTCACTACTCAGAAGCTGTTTTGGCATTCTCAGGCTAGTAGGCTGTGTCCTTGCTTTCTCTCGCACTTCTACAGGGACCATACCAGCCACGCTGTCACGTGGGACCTGTCCCTTGAGGAGGCAGTGGTGCAAAGCAGGGGTGGCCACAGGTGAGGCCAAGGCCTGGGCCAGGCGGGCTCTCTGCAAGTTTTCTGTGCCTTCCCCACTGTGAGGATCTAAGAACTGTCAGGAGGCAGGTAGACCTTTGCTAAAGCATAATGCATTTTCTTATTCATGCTACCCTTTTTATTTTACCTGCTCTGTGCATGGGATGCTCTGTGAGGTTTAGGAGACTAGACAGCAGGTTGACCAGCTCTTCAGGACTATTTGGCTTGCTAATTTAGAACTTACAAATATCCTTCTCCAAGTCCCAAAGGATGTGTCGCATGACCTCAGGGAAGCCTGTTTCTGTTTCTCTGAGTGGAGGCTGATCCACCCACAACTGCAAGAGCAGCGTAATAGCCGTCTGACTCTGGTTTTGAAAAACAGCCCTGGAAGGATGTCAGATGAGTCTGCCCATTGCTCCTGAGGGCATGAGTGTAAGGGCAGCATGGCACCCCCTGGCATCTTCAGACGAGTGTGGGCCTAGCACGCGTGCCTCTGCTCCCTCTCAGCGTCCAGGTCACAGTTCCTGGGACCACAGGCTCTGCTGGGACTTGGGACTTGGGTAGGGAAGTAAAAGAAAATGGTGCTTCGAAGCAGAAGCAACTGCCACACTGCTATTTTCTTTTCAGGATAAGCATAAATGTACTGAAATAGCCAAAGCAAAGTTTCAAGAGCATCTGGGCATAGTAACTTCTCAAATGACTACAAGTTTAGGGGTGAGCTAGCAGTGTCTGTGTGTGGTCGCTGAATAATGGCTACGTTACTGAGGCAAGGCAAATGGGGCATGAGATCTTCATAGAAGAAATCAGTAGCACAGTTGTGTATTGAAATTTATTCTGATTGGAAGCTTACAGATGTCAAGGTAAAGATAGAAATACTTTGCCTGTAAAACAAAATAAAATTTAATTTTGAGAGTTAGGTTTCACTTTTTTAAAAAAAGACTGTGAACACAAAAATTACACACATCTTCAGCTCCACTTAATCTTATCCATCTTTTGGGGTTTACTTTTTGGTCAACTTTTCTTCAAAATTAATTTGAATTGGACATGTTAAAATTGAGTTTTTGACCATAATCTATGGCTTAAATTTACCTATATATTAGAATTCCCTATGAGTAGAGTTTTACAATATGTGTGGCCTTATGTTAGCATATGACATTATATTGTATCATTATCTGGTTGGCAGTAGTCATTAATGGGTTGAATCATTTTAACTTAATATCAGTTATAAATGTCTGCTAATGTTGAAAAAGATGGTCAACCTGACTAACCTATATCTTCTGCAGTAGATTTTTTATATATTAAAAACTCCATGTAAAATGAAATTCATATTAACTCTAAATTTTGCATGGACATAATTATTCAAGGATGCCTGGAAAACTACACAAGATTCCCACAGGATGAATATGTATTTGTCCTGAGGATGCCGTTTTTATTAATGTCACATATAAAATTTTAGTCCAATTACATGCATAGCCACCTAACATGCAAGTGCAAAATTAAAATCAAAGTTAATTTATAAACAAAAACATCAATAAGATAAATACACTCCAACATTAGGTTTGAATTTGTCTAGAATTTCAAAACTGTGCTTATTATTTTTTGGAACTGGGGTTACAGTTAAATAACGAAAGTGGTATGCAAATAACATATCATGTATTTTTCCTAATCTCTGTGTCCATAATTAAGGCAGATATAATTTACATTATTGTAATTTTCATGTAATTTACATTTAATTACATATACATGACATATGCTTGTAATTTACATACTATGGGCAGTGACTTTTAAAATCTGTTTTAGTTATCTATTACTGTATGACAAATTACACCAAATTTAGTGATTTAATACAACAATAATCATTTATTATCTTTCATACTTTCTGGGGGTCGGCACTTGAGGCACAGCACATCTCTGCTCCATGATACCCGGGGCTCATCTGGAGCTCAGAGGCTGGGGCTACAATCATCAGAGGTCCCATTCCCTGGCAGGCAGGGTGGTGGATGCTGGCTGGGGCTGGGACACTCATTGGAGCAGTTGTCTGGGATGCCCACACATGGACCATCCACGTGGTCTGGGCTTCCTCATGATGGAGTGACTGGATTTTGCCTATGTGGTAAATCATAGAAGAATCGGAGAGAAAGTGAGCATATTGCCTTTTCTGACCTAGCCTCAGGAGAGATGGGGCATCACTGTCCCCGGAGTCTCCTGCCCGAGGCACTGCGAACATGAGGGAAGGTCACAGAGGTCCACCTCTCAGTGGAAGGTTGTCAAGAACACACTGTAAAGTAAATACACTGTAAAATATATATCCCATCATGAGATGGGATATATATTTGTGTGACCATTTTTGCAAAATACACTCAGCCATGAAGTCTACTTGGCTATTTACTAGCTTTGGTACAGTTACAGATGAAATGTTTGTGTCCCTCCCAAATTCACATGTTGACATCTTAACACCCAAGGTGATGGAATTAGGAGGTAGGGCCTTTGGAAGGTGAGTAGGTCTCGGGGTTGAGCCCTCATGAATGGTATTGGTAACCTTATAGAAGGGATGCAAAAAGGACCCCTTGCCCTTCTACCATGTGCGAACACAGCAAGAAAATAATGTGTCTGAACTAGGAAGTGGCCCTCACCAAATCTGATGGCACCTTGATCTTGGCCTTCCCAGCCTCCAGAACTTGATAAATAAACTTCTGTTGTTAATATGCTACCCAGTTTATGGTATTTTGTTATAGGAGCCTGAACAAAAGCACACACAACTGTATTTCAAATACTGAATAAGTTTTTTATCTTTTCCTATAATAATCAGAATTTAAAATCCTTCTTCCGTTATTTCCCAACGTATTTCTGTTACTAATCCAACTAAGATTTATGACCTTTTCTACTCTGTAAAAATACAGTTGTATAAAGGTTAATAAACAGTGTTTCCAAATTAAACATCAAGTTCTTGCAGCAAAAAATTCAAAAAATTTCCAAAATCTAGCAAGTCAAATAAACATATGTATAGTGACTTCAGCCTAATTTTTTTTCCAAAGGAAAATGGAAAGGAATTATAGTTATGTTATGGGAATTTGCAGCTGGTGGGTAAATGTACAGTTTGGGGAAGCAGTATGATGCATTGTGGAAAAACCTAGAAAGAAATCTAGAATATTGCTAGAGAGAGAAGGGAACCCTTCTGATTGGTAACAAATAGACTAGCAGGATGATGGTTTTCTATGGAGTACAATACTCAAGAGTCCAGACAGTACTGGAAAAGAAAGCTGCCAGGAGCTTAAGATCAAATTAATGTCAGATGATTTCAAAAAAGAGGAAGAATCTTTATCTGAAATTCACACATATTTAAAGGTACATAAAGAATGCACTAGAAACTCTTCTAGAGTTTCTAATGTGAA
Source organism: Homo sapiens (assembly GCF_000001405.40). Taxonomy (NCBI): domain Eukaryota; kingdom Metazoa; phylum Chordata; class Mammalia; order Primates; family Hominidae; genus Homo; species Homo sapiens. Next base: position 109,879,334 of record NC_000013.11, read on the forward strand.
GTTTCTAATGTGATATCTGTATATTAGTTTCTAGTGAAGTTTCCAATGTGAAGACATCTGTATATTAGGTACCAGGGCTGCATTACATATCACTTCGCAACCTCTTCAGAGCAGGTCCTGAGCATCTGGTCTGGAGGCTGGCCAGCATGGCACCGGACACATACACACTGGCCAGGAGTCCTGCTTGGGTGCTCCAGCGAACACCCGCTTACCAGGATTCATTGATCTGAGAGTCAGAAGTGACCTCAGGCCAGACGTGGTGGCTCATGCCTGCAATCCCCGAATTTTGGGAGGCCAAGGTGGGTGGACCACTTGAAGCCAGGAGTTTGAGACCTGCCTGGCCAACATGGTGAATCCCTGTCTCTACTAGAAATACAAAAAAAAAAAAAAAAAAAAAATTAGCCAGGCATGGTGGTGGGCACCTGTAATCCCAGCTACTTGGGAGGCTGAGGCAGGAGAATCGCTTGAACCAGAGAGGCGGAGGTTGCAGTGAGCCGAGACTGTGCCACTGCACTCCAGCCTGGGTGATAGAGTGAGACCCCATCTCAAAAAAAAAAAAAAAAAAAAAAAAAAGGCCCTGTGCAGTGGCTCATGCCTGTAATCTCAGCACTTTGGGAGGCCGAGATGGGCGGATCATGAGGTCAGGAGATTAAGACCATCCTGGCTAACACGGTGAAAACCCATCTTTACTAAAAACACAAAAAATTAGCTGGGCATGGTGGCACGTGCCTGTAGTCCCAGCTACTCGAGAGGCTGAGGCAGGAGAGTTGCTTGAACCCGGGAGGCGGAGCTTGCAGTGAGCTGAGATGGCGCCCCTGCACTCCAGCCTGGGAGACAGAGAGAGACTCCTCCGTCTCAAAAAACAAAAAACAAAAACAAAAACAAAAAAGAAGTGACCTCAATACATCACCGGATCCAGTCCTGCCTGGATAGGCAGGTAGGAGTTTCTTGGATTCACTTGCCCAACAAGGCAACCATGTGTTAGAAGCACTAGAGATGTGTTCAAAATCCCACAGAAGAAGAAGTTGTAGAATCAAACCTATAACCCAGGTCTGCTTCCTTCTGGTGTTAATGCCATTCACTCCATTCATCATGCTTTAGTATAATGGAAACGCAGTACACTGCATCCCCCCTGGCGTTTGGATAGAGGATGAGATGCCTTAAATTGCAGGTCAGCTCTGCCATCAACATGCCACACAGCCGGAGGGCAGGGCAGCTCCTCACCGGTGGAAGGGAGACTCGTTAGGTTCACACCAAGGGTTCTTCTCAGTTCTAAATTCATCAGCTCAAATGCTACATCTTTTCCGTAGAGTGGGTGCTAAGACAGACACAGCCACACCTAGAACGTTCACGCAGTGGAGCCACAACAGCAAGATGATCAGGAGCGCGGCAATGTCGTTGGTGATCTGTTTCGCTGCGTTGGAATTGTTGGGCGAGGCAGGGGCTGATCACACACACAGCCAGGTCAAGCAGGCACCGGGACAGCGTGCTGACATGAAAACCAATCACCTGTCACAGCGTTTTCACGGGCATGTGTCAGGCTAGTGTTTTGTGACCTCCTGTCACCGCGGCTGCTCACGCCATGGGAGGTCTCAGGGCCTCTGATCCCCAGTACGATGACGTGAGGGGCTGCGCAAGGAGGTGGCCGGGGTCAGCAAGCAGGTCACCAACAGGGGAGGGGACCCTGCCACTGGGACTGGGTTTTTGATGGTTTCTAAACACAGATCGCAGGAAACAGCAGCAGCTGAGTGATCCAAGGCCGGCTTCCCTTCCCTAAAAGGCTTCACGGCAGGTGTTATTTGAACGCCTCCAGCCACCACACCGTGTGCGTTGCGGGGTGGTGTGGACAGAGCTTTGCCCTCACGTGGTTATGTGTCCAGATTTCGGAAGCTTCTCTCACAGCCTCAGAATGTAAATCATGTGAGATACAGAACTTCACACAGAGCTCAGAATCCCTGGAGGAAAAAAGACATGGCCATCAGAAACCACTCAAAGAGAAGCCCCAGCGAAGGTGCCACGTGCAGGTGGCCATAAATGGCACCCATGAAGGGAGATGGAGCCTTTCTAAGCTTGGTCTAAAGGTTGGAGGTTGAAAATAGGACCAAGATTTCGAGTAAAGTTAGCTTAGTGGTTATGTCACATTCGTTCTCCCCGAGAAGGAGCAATAGGCATGACTAACGGGCGCTGGCAGATTAAACCAAGACGCGTTCCCAGCGCTGCCCACACCGCATCAGAACACAGCTCCACGCTGACTAAGCATGTCATTCTAGGTACATTTAAATAAAATTCAATTTATAGTAAATCTTCATCATACGTCTATTTTAAAATGCTGATTCTTAAAAAAGAAAAAAAGAGTCTTCGCTTCAACGTGTTCAGTGCTTCCAGATCTGTCCTATCCGTTCCCGTTCTGGTTAAACCAGGCTTTCCTCATAACCTGCGCTCACCTTTGAAGTCAAGGCTCAAAATATTGTATGTAAAAATGTTTTATTGTTGTTGCTCAGTGTTATCAAGCAATCAGTTAGAGATGCCAGGCATAAAATTAAAATGCCATCCCAAATAAAATACTTCAGAAGATTTTAATCTAACAAAACGTGCATTAAACATTTGTTATGTTCAAGACACCGTGCAAAACACTGAAAGAAACAGGTGGAGGCGAGGTTCGCAGACTAAGGAGGTGAAATGAAGGCAAACCCAGGAGCTCCATACTGAGGCTGTATCATGCGCATTGGAGTTGTTCTTTCTTAAAGCTGCTTCTATGGACAATGGGGTCACTGTGTCTCCGCTCCACATTTTACCCCAGGCAGGTCCTTCGAGTCCCTGTGGCTCTGAACCATGTGGTAGCTGCTCTTTTCCATGCCTGGGGGCAGCAGATTCCTGTGACCAGCAGAAAGAAACATGATGCCAGGGGAAGCGTGTGCTCTAGAACGAGCCACGACCAGAAATCTGGGTGTTTGGGTCTATATTTCTACCCCGAGTGACCTCCCCTTCTCGCTAAATGAAGGGCTGGGTGAGAGGCTGTCTCAGGGAATGTCGGCTGGAACATTCTCCAGGGGCTGTGTTTAGGCATGGCAAGGGCACGTGGAGAATTTCACACTGCAATGCCAGACCGGACCTGTGAGGCCACAGACTTTGAGTGGCTCTAAGGAAAGCAGGTCACAAACACACAGCGCAGGATCCCTATGAGTTTAGCTTTAAGTCCAGCTCAAATATTAGCAACAAACAAGGTAGTAGTAGCGAAAGGATATTAGCAAGCAATATCGCATAAGGGTGACCGTTCATTGTCAAGCTTAGCTGAAAGTTGCATATCCTTAGTTTTTATGTTAAGTGTTTGTGTGTGTGTGGGGGGGGGGGGTGGGGGGGTAGTAGAGGACAACCCAAATGCAGTTGGAATGATACAGAGTAGAAATAAACGAATACGGAGATCTGCAGATCATGGAGCAGAAAGTATGAGCTAAGCTTTACATGGAATTAATGGGGTAGATGTGGTGGAGTGGCAGTATTTCTTTCCCCTCGCAGAAGTAATAGGCAGGCTGTCCTTCATGACACCGGGGTTTAGTATTATTTATCTAGATGTAATATTCAGCTGTAAATGGGACAGACATACAAGTTGTATTCTGGTTTATTTTGAAACGGAAAAGTACAGTGACGTTACAAAAACAGTCACTTTAATCAGGAGCATTCATTTCCTTGCTAATGATGGGGTGTATTCAAATGTATGAATCAGAGATTTGTGAATTTATCATTTTGCCCCATGCCTCCCTCAGAGCCCATTATCTAAAATTGGTGCAGGAAGCAAACAGTGTCATGAAAATAGGTTAACCTAGTAAAATTTAGTTAACTGTACATCACTTCTGAAACTTCGGTGTGTGCACACATCCCCTGGGGATCTGGTTAAAATGCAGATCCTGCTTTTATAAGTCTGGGTGGGGATTAAGATTCGGTATCTCTAACAAATTTCCTGGAGATGCCAACGCCCCAGTCCATAGACCGCAGGTTGAGAAGCAAGGCAGTAAAAAGATTTATGACTTCTGTTCCACAATCCCAGACTGCGCACTTAATACTGCGAGGCAGGTGCCACGTTCAGATCTAGTACCATGAAGGTAAACAAGACCGGTTCCTGACCTCGAGGGACTCAAGGGGACAGTTTTGCTTTCATGAGTTTCATGTTGGACACAGGTGCACAGAGGTCACTATGGAATGCAGGACAGACTGGGCTGAGGTTTGCCTTGCACTTTGAAGAAGCATTTCCAGAGCAGGTTCAGAATGCAGTCAGTGACGGAAGGGGCGACTTAGTCTACAGTGTTTGTATTGATGGAGACAGCCGCTGAACTATCCTGAGATGCTCCCTTAAGCCTCTGCATGTTGATAAGAACTCGTCCAAGGCAGCCAAGGCCAATGCTGTGTCTCTTAAGTGGCTTTAAATGTCACAGATAGGATGTGATGAAGAGCTAGAATAGAGGCGCTATTAATAGAGAATGTGTCCTCGCATCAGTAGCTCAGATCATGCGGTTCCAAATAGATAGTTTTTTTTAAAGAAAGGATTCCAGCCTACACAGTCTCCTACTTACCAGGGTCTCAGGAATTGGGATGTGGAGACAAATGACTTACGCCCCCCACAAGCTGTGCTTCACAGAGGGGGACACCCCACTTCCCGGATCAGGCCCGTCCTCACCCCACTGGGCTGCCTTTCACATCCTCCCTAACCTCTGCATTTCACTGGACAAAGCACATCAAAATGTGACATTTCTTCCCAATAGTAACAGAAATTTGGCTTTGGAATTAATGTCACCATTATATCTCTTTTTTTACGTATCCATTTTTTAACACAAACATTTTATAAACTGATTTTTGAATGCTTATCAGTTCTCTTATAATTTTACAGTTATTATTGTTAGAATTTCAAAATAGTGAAAGCTTCGCTGCATATATACATAATTTAGGCTGACAGATTTGCAAACATTATGTCAAATATTGATGATAGGAAAACTGTAGCTAAGTAATTCTATTGATTCTATACATGAGGATGTTTTGTATCTGGAAAACATAATTGTGGAAACACAAAAATGTCTCTTCATATAATGATAAATATTAGACTGTCACCTTTTTTAAAGAAAAATAAATATTTAGGTGCTTTTATATTGAAGATGATCAACATGAAAAATCAGCATGATGGCAAAAAATGTGGGATATCTGCTGATTGTAAAAAGACATAGAACATCCATACTGAGGGGGCCATGGAAAATAAAGGGAAGTTACTACAATACAAGACATACAAGTTACAGCTGGGTCAGGGGCTCAGTCATGACTCACTTTAAGGTTCATCTGCACACCTGTTGGGTATAAACCACAGCTTTCACTGTTGGTTGACTACAGATTCAACATCAACACTGTTGCCCTTTTATTTCAAAGACTGAGGGGTAAATGGGCTTGAAGTGACACTTTATGGGTCTGGGCCACCTCCCAGGTCTCAGAGGCTCCCTCCACCGTCCCTCCCAGGCCCCAAGGCCCACTAGGCTGCTCCCAGCACTGCCCATAGTAGACAGAGTCCCCACGGCCCCCCAGGGCTGTAGGCTGTCTTCACTGTCCTTCTCTCAGTGGGCTCTCCACAGCTTCAGTCCTTTACCCTGCAGGGAGAATAAAAATAGTCTGATGAACAAATCCAGTCTCATAACAATGATATAGTTGCTTCAATAAATGTATCTTCCCAAGTACAATCTGCATTAATTCTTCCTAGCTCTCAGGACAAGATTAAATATCATTTATATTAAATATATTGTATAATATGTTCTATATTATTATATATGATATTAAATGTAACAGAAGAATGGCAACAACAACAACTATCTATTAAGCCAGTGGTTCCTAAATACGTACAGTTCAGAATCACTTGGTGTCTTTTAAAAGCTCTAAGGGTCAAACTGTAGGCTAGACCAATTACACCATAATCATGGGAGTAGTCTGAGACACCTTCCCTAGCATTTTCCGAAGGTCCTCAGATGATGCGTGCAGATGAGCCTGGGAACCAAGGCAGGAAGCATTTACCCCAGGACCTTGGCGAGGTGTTACCTATACGCTTCCATTTGACTGGGGGTTTTGGTCAAGGTCACTGGGATGGTCAGAGATGACTTGGCCAGCCTGACTCCAAAGCCACACTCTCTGCTGTACTTGGGAGTAACACATGCTTAATGCAAAAGGTGGATTTGGCTGAGACCACTTCAAGGCAATCCAATGAATGGATGTTTCAGAAAGAGGTTTGCTTTCTGGCCTGTCTCAACAATTTATAGTTCTTTCAACAAGGTTTATTGAGAATTTATTGTGTGTCAGGTCTGACCCTGGAGAGACAATGATGAAGAAGACAGGATCACTTCTCTCCAGCAGCTCATAGTTTACTAAGGAAGATAAAAATAATTAGAAAACAGCGTGCTTTGTGCTGTGTGCTGAGGTCCTGAGAGACATCCTTTATGGTTGTGCAGAAGGCTGAATAGAAAGGCAGAGGCTTTGCACGGCAAGGAGGATGAAGAGATGGGGGAGTCCAGGCAGCAGAAATAGAACATATGTGAGGCTCTGTCCCCAGGCTCTGAAGATCGGAGTAATTCTCTGCAAAAGGAGTTGGGACCTCAGTCATGATTAGGCAAGGACTAGAAACTTCCACAAGGGCAAGAATGCAAAGGGCTTCATCCAAGGGGAAACTGGGAGACATGAACTATTTTATGTTGTTTTACCTCTATGCAGAGCAACACTTCACTCAATGAGTTTTTACAAAGAAAACTTACAACGCGGGGCCTCTGTTGGTGAATGGAGTCAAGGTGGAAGATGATGGAGGCAGGGAATGCTGAAGACCACGAATGCTAAGGGCCATGAACACTGAAGACAGACAGTGAATGCTGAGGATGGTGAATTGATTTCTTCTTATTCCTGATATGAGAGCAGCCCCGCTGCTGGTGACAGCCATGGAAGATGCGAGTGTCACAGATCAGCGTGCAGTCTGTCAAAGTAGCTCATGCATCTAATCTAATCCTCCCAACAACCCTATAAGCTAGGTATTATTATTATTATTATTGGCGTCCCTATTTTACAGATGAGGAAACTGAGGCACACACTGGCTTTTCATGACTGCACAGCTAGCAAGAGGCAGTGGGATTTACGGTTATGCGCCTGATTCCAGAGTTTGTGCTCCTAATCTTTACATTTATGCACTCTCTTGCTTTGGTCTGGAATGTGCTGCTTAAGCAGACAATACTATGAAGATTTTAATGGCCTTTTAAAGAGAAGCCAGATCTTCCTTCTCACTTTTTTAGTTCTTTCCTTAATTATTCCCACAACATATATATACGTTCTATCATCTCTGCTTAACAAGAGCTGGAAAGAATTTAATTCTCTGCACGGTAAAAATGACATCAGTTCTGAGGTTTTAACATCTATAGAGTACCCAAAATTGCTGAAAAAAGTTTAATTCACTTCCCACTTAGTTCCTTTCAAAGATGAAAGATTTCTTGTATCATTTCCTCAGAATTACATGATTTCACAGAAACCTCAAGGTTTTCTTTCCTTTAAATAAATTCAGACTTGATTATAACAATCTAAGTGCACAGTGGGGAATAAATAATATATTCTTTCTGACGAGAAGATAAGCTTTTCCTAGAAACATTTGAATTAAGATAGATTTTCAATTCCTATTTTCAAGAATTTTTAAAGAACTGACTTGTAAACATAAAAATTTATTTTTTTGTTTTTTGTACAATTTGATTCCTAGCTAAGAAGCGAGAACTCAAAGTTCTCGTGTTTACTACTTCTTTAACTAATTGTGTAACTTTAAGTAACCTCCTCCACATTAATTTAATGTTGAACATTAAATCTCAGCTTCTACTTTGCTCATCTGTGAGTTACAACAGATGATCTCTAAGACCTCTTAGATGCTTTGAGTACATCTTTCTGTTCACAGACAAAACCTGTTGATATCAACAAAAATAAAGGAACACATCAAAAAATTGCTTTTTCCCCCAACTTTAGTTTTTTATGCTGGGCTTAGGATAAATTGCATACTATCAATAGGTAGCATGGTTCATGATTAAAACTAAAAAGATAAAATATGTTAAGAAAACAGTTCTTTTAAAAGTAGGTGGTTGCTCACGATCTCTGCCTAAAAGCTCTTTGATCTGATAAACAACTTCAGCAAAGCTTCAGGATACAAAACCAATGTACAAAAATCAGCAGCACTCCTATACACCAACAACAGCCAAGTTGAGAGCTATACAAAAATTCAATTCCATTCACAGTAGCCTTAAAAAGAAAGAACATCTAAAAACACAGCTAACCAGGGAGGTGAAAGATCTCTAAAATGAGAATTAAAAAACACTGGGAACGATGGCTCATGCCTGTAATCCCAGCACTTTGGGAGGCCAAGGTGGGTGGATCACGAAGTCAGGAGTTCGAGATCAGCCTGAGAAACATGGTGGAACACTATCTCTACTAAAAATACAAAAATTAGCCAGGCGTGGTGGTGTGCACCTGTATTCCCAGCTACTCAGGAAGCTGAGGCAGGAGAATCGCTTCAACCTGGAAGGCACAGGTTGCAGTGAGGTGAGATGGTGCCATTGCACTCCAGTCTGGGCGACCGAGCGAGACTCTGTCTCAAAACTAAACAAAACAAAACAAAAGAAAACAACTCTTGGGAAAGAAATCAGAGATGACACAAACAAATGGAAAAACATTCTATGCTCATGGATAGGAAGAATCAATATTGTTAAAATGGTCATACTGCCCAAAGCAAGTTATAGATTCAATGTTATTCCTATCAAACTACCAATAACATTTTTCACAGAATTAGAAAAAGCTGTTTTAAAATCTATATGGAATCAAAAAAGGGCCTGAATAGCCAAGAAAATCCTAAGCAAAAAGAACAAAGCTGGAGGCATCACATTACCAGACTTCAAACTATACTACAAGACTACAGTAACCAAAACAGCATGGTGCTGGCACAAAAACAGACACGTAGGCCAATGGAACAGAATAGAAAGCCCAGAAACAAGGCCACACACCTATAATCATCTGATCTTTGACAAAGTCAACAAAAACAAGCAGAAGGGAAAAGACTCCCTATTCAATAAATGATGTTGGGATAACTGGCTAGCCATATGCAGAAGATTGAAGCTGGGCCCCTTCCTTACATCATATACAAAAATCAACTCAAATGGATTAAAGACTTAAATGGCACTTTGGGAGGCTGAGGTGGGCGGATCACAAGGTCAGGAGATCGAGACCATCCTGGCGAACATGGTGAAACCCTGTCTCTACTAAAAATACAAAAAAATTAGCCAGGCGTGGTGGTGGGCACCTGTAGTCCCAGCTACTCGGGAGGCTGAGGCAGGAGAATGGCATGAACCCGGGAGGCGGAGCTTGTAGTGAGTGGATATCGCGCCACTGCACTCCAGCCTGGGCGACAGAGCAAGACTCTGTCTCAAAAAAATAAATAAGACTTAAATGTAAAACCCAAAACTATAAAAACCCTGGAAGACCACCTAGGCAATATCATTCTGGACATAAGACCAGGCAAATATTTCATGACAAAGACACCAAAAGCAATTGCAACAAAAACAAAAATTGATAAGTGGCACCTAAATAAATAGCTTCTGCATAGCAAAAGAAACCATCAACAGAGTAAACAGACAAACTACAGATTAGGAAAATTTACTGGCAAACTATGCAACCAACAAAAGTCTAATATTCAGAATCTATAAAAAACTTAAACAAATTTACAAGCAAAAAACAACCCCATTAAAAAGTGAACCAAGTTCATAAACAGACACTTTTCAAAAGAAGACATACGTGTGGCCAACAACCATATGAAAATATGCACATCACCAATCATTAGAGAAATGCAAATTAAAACCTCAGTGAGATACTATCTCACATTAGTCAGAGTGGCCATTATTAAAAAGTCAAAAAGTAAAAGATGTTGGCGAGGTTGCAAAGTAAAAGCCTGCTTATACACTGCTGGTGGGAAAGTAAATTATTTCAGCCATTGTGGAAAGCAGTTTGGTGATTTCCAAAAGAACTTAGAATTATCATTTGACTAAACAATCTCATTATTGGATATATAGCCAAAGGAATATAAATTGTTCTACCATAAAAACATATGCATGTGAATGTTCATTGCAGCACTATTCACAATAGCAAAGACATGGAATCAACCTAAATGTCCATCAACAATAGATTGGATAAAGAAAATATGGTACATATACACCATGGAATACTACACAGTCATAAAAAAGAATGAGATCATGTCCTTTGCAGATACATGGATGGATCTGGAGGCCATTATCCTAAGTGAACTAACACAGGGACAGAAAACCAAATACTTCAAATTCTTACTTATAAGTGGGAGCCAAATGATGAGAACTCATGAACACAAAGAAAGGAACAGCAGACACCAGGGCCTACTTCAGGGTAGAGGGTAGGAGGAGGGTGAGGATCAAAAAACTACCTATTGAGTACTAGGCTTAGTACCTGGGTGATGAGGTAATCTGTACACCAAACCTCCACAACACGCAATTTTCCTGTATAACAAACCTGCACATAGATCCCTGAACCTAAAGTAAAAGTTTAAAAAAAAGAAGTAGTCGGTTGCTTCTGTCATGTAGTTTGAAAGCACCAGAAAGATATCCCTTACAAAACCCTTCTTCCCAAACTGGAACCACTGTGAGAAGTATCATTGCTCTTTGGCAGGATGACACGGTAAACTAATTCACACAACTGTGTCAATGAATTTCCAAATACATAATTCCCGATGGGAGAGGACGTGACATACAGAAGTCCTCATCCAATGAAGTGTGCCAAAACCAGGGGGCTAAAGCAGATCAAAAGCACTGTTAGAAGTTTTTTGGTTTTCTTGGAACCATGATTCCACAGCCAGAAAAGCCAAGATCTGGACATGTTTAATCTCATTTGTAGACCCAGAAAATCTGAGACAGGTCTCAGTTAATTTAGAAAGTTTATTTTGCCAAGGTTGAGGAAGTGACCCCATGACACAGCCTCAGGAAGTCCTGATGACATGTGCCCAAGGTGGTTAGGATGCAGCTTGGTTTTATACATTTTAGGGAGGCATGAGATATCAACCAAATACATTTAAGAAATACATTGGTTTGGTCCAGAAAGGGGGGACAACTCAAAGGCGGTGTGGTGGGGTCGGGGGGCAGGTGGCGGTGGGGAGTTGCTTCCAGGCTATAGGTACATTTAAACATTTTCTGGTTGACAATTGGTTGAGTTTGTCTAAAGACCTGAGATCAACAGAAGAAAGGAATGTTTGGGTTGCAATAAAAGGTTGTGGAGATGAAAGTTTCATTATGCAGATGAAGCTTTTAGCTAGCAGGCTTCAGAGAGAACATGATGTAAAATGTTTATTAAAGTCTGAATTCATGTTAATGGCAGAGAGGCATAATAAGGCATGTCCGACCCCCACTTCCCATCATGGCCTGAACCAGTCTTCAGGTTAAATTTTAAGAGCCGTGGCTGATGAGGAAGTTCATTTAGATGGTTGGGGGACCTTAGAATTTTATTTTTGGTTCACACATTCAACAAAAATCTATTGAAGACCTACGCTAAGCCAAGTGCTACTCTCCAAGTTCCAGGGACTGGAAGTTGGATGATGAAGAAGACAGATGGGGTCACGTTGCCTAATGCTGCACCCTCACTCGGGTTGCCCATTGTATTAGTCAGGCAGGGTTCTCTAGAGGGACAGAACTAATAGGATATATATATATCATATATATATATATATATATATATAACTAATATACATGTATATGTATATTATGTATACATATACATGTATATATACATGTATGTATGTATGTATGTATATGTATATTAGTTCTCCCATATATAGTTCTCATATATATACATATATATGTATACATGCATATACATATATATACAGTTATGTATATATATGGGAACTATACATAGGAGAGCTAATATATACACCTAGGCTAAAGGGCAGAGCCATGGCTCCTAGGCTACAGACCTGTTCAGCGTGTGGCTGTACTGAATACTGTAGGCAACTATAACACAATGGTATTTGTGTATCTAACCATAGAAAAGGAACAATAAAAACATAATATAAAATATATATACATATGTGTATATATATATGAGAACTATATATAGGAGAACTAATAGGAGATATATATATATCTCCTATTAGTTTATTAAGTATTATTAAGTATTGTATATATACTCCTATATATAATAGGAGATTTTATATATAGAAAACTAATAGGAGATACACATATATATACTCCTATATATATTTATAGATATATATGTCTATATATCATAGGAGATTATATATATATAAAACTAATAGGATACATATATATATGTCCTATTAGTTTATTAAGTATTATTGTTAAGTAATGTATCTCCTATTATTTTATTAAGTTTATTAGTTTATTAAGTATTAACTCACAGGATCACAAGGTCCCACAATAGGTCACCTGCAAGCTGAGGAGCAAGGAGAGCCAGTCTGAGTTCCAAAACTGAAGAACTTGGAGTCTGATATTTGAGGGCAAGAAGCATCCAGCACACGAGAAAGATGTAGGCTGGGAGGCTAGGCCAGTCTAACCTTTTCACATTTTTCTGCCTGCTTCGTATTCACTGGGAGCTGATGAGATGATGCCCTCCCAGATTAAGGGTGGGCCTGCCTTCCCCAGCCCACTGGCTCAAATGGTAATCTCCTTTGGCAACACCCTCACAGACACACCCAGGATCAATACTTTGCATCCTTCAATTCCATCAAGTTGACACTCAGTATTAACCATCACACCCATGCACCCCTGATGTTAGATGTGGCCATGTGACAAGTTTTGGGAAGGAACTGTGAGTAGCTATAAGCTGTGTCCATTCTAAGGAAATGGATTTAAGGTCTGGAGCAGAGTTCTCCATTTGGTGTCTTCTACTGCCGTGCCAGTGGGTTTCGGGTGGTGCAGGAGAAGATGCTGGTGTATCCCTCTGCCTGGGTTGCTGCATCAAAGTCTGCAGGACAGTGGCTCTAAAGAGCCACCCAGATTCACAGAGGATTTTTCCTGAGTAAAATAAGCACCTGTGGCATCTAGCACAGAGATTCTCAGGTGATATGTAACTGCAGCATTACCCAGACTGTAGGGCTGAAACCCCAGATGAAGTCCTGCCACACAAGGTCTACCTCCTAGTGTGAGACAGACAATACAATGTCGATGAGACATGATGTCATATTATGAAGAAATAAGTGCCTTAGACAGTGGAGGGAGGTGGCGGGCCAGGGACACTGAGTGGGCTGTTTAGATACGATGTTGAGGGGGAGTTTTTATTCAGTAGATGAGATATCTAAAAAACAAACAACAAAGAAGGTGCTTCATGAGAATAAAAAGCATTCCAGGGAGAAGAGCTAGTGAAAGTTCTCTGCATCTGGATGAGCTTGGCCGACGTGAGGGACAGAGGAAGGTGCAGGGTAGAACGAGGTGAGCCTGGGGCACTGTGAGATGAGGCAGGGACAAGGCAGCAGGACGTCGCTTGGGTGATGGTTGGAATTTTCATGGGGTTCTAAGTACAATGAAAAACCAGGGAGAGGTCTGTGCAGGGCACTGGCCCATCTCAGTTGTAGAGCTCTGGCTGTGGTGTGGAATATAGAGTTCAGGGACCAAGAGTGTGAAGAAGGGGCCCCCAAGAGATCCGTGTGGATGTCCGCAGTGTTGGGAATCAGGAGAGCAGTAGTAGGAATTGCGGGAAGTGTTCAAATTCAGATAGTATTTTGGAATTAAAGCCTTACCGATGACTTAGGTGCGGGGTGAGAGGGAAAAAGAGAAACTAATATTGACTTGCAGTGTTTTGACCTAAGCAACTTGGTGAATGGAACTGGTATTTATTAAAATGGGAAAGATCCAGATTGAAACAGGTTTTGGGGTTAGGGCTGGGGGAAAAGAAATCAAGAATTCTCCCTGAAATACATGCATGTCTATTTTAAGATATACATGTAGAATATCAATTGAACAGGTATTTGCATATATAGTTCTGGAACTCAGATCAAGTGGTCAAAGATAGAGATAGAAAGACTTTTTTTTAAAAGGCCAGGTGTGGTGGCTCATGCCTGTAATCCCAGTACTTTGGGAGGCTCAAGTGGGAGGATTGCTTGAGCCCAGGAGTTCGAGACCAGTCTGGGCAACATAGTAAGGTCCCATCTCTACACAAAAACTTAAAAAAAAAATTATCCAGGCATGGTGGCATGCACCTTTAGTTCCAGCTACTTGTGGGACTGAGATGGCAGAATGATTTGAGCCTATGGCTGCAGTGAGTCGTGATCATGCCACTGCACTCCAGCCTGGGTGACAGACTGTCTTTAAAAACAACAACAAAAAAAAAAAAAAGGAAAGAAAGATAAAGAAAATAAAAGGAGTGAGGGAGGATAGATAGGTGGCTAGGTTGAGGGATGGATAGGTGGATTACAGAACCTGTAGCATCTAAAGCCACAGGCATGAATGGAATACCTACAACATGTGTAGACAGAGAAGGCGAGATGTCTGAGCACTGGGTCCCAGGGAGCTCTTATGTGTGGACCTCAGGAGGAGGAGGTGATCCTGCAGGACAGACTGGAAAGCAATGAGCAGGAGGGTAAGAAAAATACCCAGGTGAGTCTGTTGCTTTGGAAGAAAGCAAGGAAAGCATTTCAAGAAGGAGAGAGTGACCAATTGTATCAGAGATGACCAATGGGTCAGTAAGATAAAGCAGAGAACCAAGCTTTGGAGGTGTGTGATGTCCCAGGAAGAACTTATCCATGGAACATGAGGGATAAATACCTAATTGGGTGAGTTCAAGAGAGGCTGAGTGTTTGCTGTTGGGGTAGACACATTTCAGTTTACTTCAGGTGAACCCAACACTTCAGAAAACTGTCTAACAGTTTCTTCAAAATTTTAAAATACACCTCTCGTGTAACCCAGCCATTCCATGCCTAGGTATTTACCCAACAGAAGTAAAAACATATGCTCACACAAAGAACGGTACGCATATGTTCACAGCAAATTTATTTGTATTAGACCCAAACTGGAAGCAACCTAAATGCCCCTCAGCAGGATAAGTGAATTGTAGCACAGTCAGCGTCACTTAACCAGAGGATATGTTCTGGGAAATGGGTCATCAGGCGGTTTTGCTGCTGTGCGAAGGCCATAGAGTGTGCTTACACAAACCTAGATGGTACAGCCTACTCCACACCTAGGCTAAAGGGCAGAGCCATGGCTCCCAGGCTACAGACCTGTTCAGCGTGTGGCTGTACTGAATACTGTAGGCAACTGTAACACAATGGTATTTGTGTATCTAACCATAGAAAAGGAACAATAAAAACATAATATAAAAGACAAAAATGGTATATCTTTATAAGGCTTTTGCCATAAATGGAGCTCACAGGACTGGAAATTGCTCTGGGGTAATCAGTGAGTGAGCGGTGGGTGAACGTGAAGGCCTAGGACATTACTGTGCACTACTGGAGACATAAAGACTGTGCGCTTAGGCTACACTAAACTTACTGAAAAACATTTTTATTTTTTTGATAATAAATTAACCTTAGCTCATGGTAAGATTTTGGAACTTTATAAATTTATTTTTTTAATTTTTTTTTTTCTTTTTTCAGACAGAGTCTTGCTCTTTCACCCAGGCTGGAGTTCAGTGGTGTAATCTTGGCTCACTGCAACCTGTGTCTCCCAGGCTCAAGCGATCCTCCTGCCTCTGCCCCCCAAGTAGCTCAGATTACAGAGGCACACCACCACACTCAGCTAAATTTTTTGTATTTTTGGTAGAGATGGGGTTTTACCAGGTTGCCCAGGCTGGTCTCCCACTCCTGAGCTCAAGTGATCCGCCCACCTCAGCCTCCCAAAGTGCTGGGATTACAGGCATGAGCCACCGCACCCGGTAGTATTTTTAAACATTTTTTGGCTCCTTTTTAATAACATTTAGCTTAAAACACATTGTACATCTGTACAAAATATTTTCTTTCTTTATATCCTTATTCTATAAGCTTTTTTCCTATTTCAAAATTTTGTTAAAAAAATGTTTTGAATGTTTTTGTTAAAAACTAAGACACACACACACAGACACAGACACACACACAGACACACACAAACACACACATATTATCCTAGGCCTATACACGGTCAGGATCATCAATATCCCTGTCTCCCACCTCCACAATTTGTCCCACTGGGAGTTTGTCAGGGGTAATAACAGGCATGGAGCTGTCATCTCCTCTGAGAACAATGCCTTTTGTTTGAAGGACTTGCTGGAGGCTGTCATACATTTAATTTTTTTTTTAAATGAGCAGACATACTGTCTAAATATGATAAAAATATGGTATAGTAAATACATATGCCAGTAACAGTTTATTCTCATCATCAATATCGCATACTATATATAACTGTATGTGCTATCCTTTTATGGGACTGGCAACACAGTAGGTCTGTTTACAACAGCATCACCACAAACATACGAGCAAGGATGGCATTAGGACATTATGATGTCACCAGGGGATAGGAATTTTTCAGCTCCAATATCATCTTGGAGGACCTCCATCATATTTGCAGCCCATGATTGACTGAAACATCATTAGTGCATGACTGTATTGCCATACAATGGAATACTACTTACCAATAAAAAGGAATAAACTAATGATATGTGCAACAATGCAGATGAACTTCCAAATAATTTTGCTGATAAAAAAACCAAACAGGCACAAAGGATTAAATACTGTGCACATATACAAAATTCTAGAAGACTTCAAGCCAATTTCTAATAAAATCAATAAGACATTGGTTATCTGAGATAAAGAGGCATAGATTGCAAAGAAGCACAGGAAGCTAGAATTGTAGACATTCTGATTGGTGAGTATTGACAGCTCATTGTGCTTCTAGTTTGCATTTCCCTGAAGACTAACAGTGTGGAACATTTTTTATATACTTATTGGCCATTTGTATGCATTCTTTTGTAAAGTGTCTCTGCAAACTTGCTGGTATTTTTTTATTGGGTTGCTTACCTTCTTAATATTGAAACATAAACATTGCATTATATATTCATACAATATAAATAGCACAGAAATGTATTTCTTAAAAAAAAAAAAATTTCAAGAGCCAAACTTGCAACATTAGCTCTGTCTTCCAGGGTCTTTGTCGGGTAACGAAATCCTATAGCATTGTAGGGTGAAATATATATTACACATAAATATATCATTAGATATATAAGATATAGAAATATAAATAAATATATATTTTTAACTATATAAATTTTTTTCAGGAACAATAAAACTTTTAATTGCAAGGTTTCTTTTCTTCCCTGGCACATTCACACTTGGTCATAGAGTATTGTATTTCAAATGCTCCTCAATTCTATTGGTTATTAAGTTCAGGTTTTTGCTAATATATATGTATTAGGCTAGCCTTCACTTATAGAATGTGTGTGTGTGTGAACACACATGTGCACCAGGACGGTATCTTCCACAGGTTTTGATATTGTAGTTTTTGCTGAATTTTTTTAAAAAGAACTCTTGTTAAAGATCTGTAATGGCTTAAGTAGCACTGGAATTATCCTTGAAGGTTAAAAGGGATTCACCAGGGAAACTGTGTGGACCTAGAATTTTTTCAAGGGATAGTACATTTAATAGAGGCAATCATGGTAACATGTATATTGGTAGGAGGTTTAAATAATGAAATAATGCAGGTAAAGCTATCGTACTTTAGGGTGAATCCCAGTTCATATGTATAACAAGTTCAGAAAATCTCCCAGTTATAGGAGCTACCTTTTGCCTTGCAAATAAATCAGAAAGAAGGGAGATTAAGAAGAATGCTATGTCATCACACACTACACCATTCTAAAAGTTTTTTCGTTCCTGAGAAATGTTTAAGAATGAGGAAAGATTTAGTGGGAAATTATAGTATTGACAATTACCCTTTGTTACATTTTTCCTGGCTATCCTTTGGGATTGAGCTGATGACAGGGCCATCTCCAAGCAGAAGTACTGTTCATATTTAGCTTTAAACAGAACATAAAATTAAATTATGTATGACTTACTTTTTGTGACCTTCCATGATACAGCTGTATTTTTCTGAATTTAATAATTCCTTAAGGCTTTTTCTCTCACAGCATCCTTCCTTCACCTCTCTAGGTTTTCAGTGCCTAACATTTATTTGGGTTTTATTCCCTTACTTTTTGTCATTACATACTTTTTATTACTAATGCCAAAGTCCTTTACTTGGCCTAAAAAAACACAAGGAAGCTGCCCACAGAGCGCCATCAGGGGAAACAAAGAATCCCTTCCCTACCAGCTTTATGGATACCTGCTATGGTTTGAATATCCCCTCCAAAACTCATGTTGAAATTTAATTGTCAGTGTAAGAGTATTGGGTGGTGGGATCTTGAAGAGCTGATTAGGTCTTGAGGACTCTGCTCTCACATGTGTGGGTTAGTCATCTCTGGAGCTCAGCCTCCTTTTCCTCTGTCTGGGGGACTCACTTCCACCTTCCACCCTTCCACTGTGGGATGGCCCTCACCAGATGCTGGCACCATGCTCTTGGACTTCCCAGCCTCTACCACCATGAGCCAAATACATCTCTTTTATTTATAAATCACCCAGTCTTTGGTATTTTGTTAAAGCAGCAGAAAATGGACTAAGACAATAACATTGCTGAAAATAGACTGACCTAATAAACAGAGGAATTGAATTAGCAACTGACATAATTAGAACACATGCACACACACACAACTCATTCCTTCTAGAAAAAAACGCTGGCCATTAACCTGTGGTCCAGAATAAGCTTTAGTGACCTCAGACAGTAAACAACTCCAGTGTAGCAACACGAGTGACTGCCTGTGACTCCCTTATTTATTATAGAGCAAGGGACAAGAGTGTGTCACGGTGTAATTGAAAATGCTTTCCCACTGGGCATTCATCAACATGTTATTAAAATCTTGTTAAAATATTGTTAGCTTGTTTAAGTTTGTCAGGTCTTATAAGCTCCAGATTTAGGATTTGTCTAAGTGCAGTGGAATGTTCCCCCATTTATAATGAACAATCATGCTCCCAGTGCCTTGTGGATCCATGGTAAACTAAAATTAGTCTTTGTCTAACAGCGTTAATTAGGATGGTATTTAGACTGATGTCTTTCAACACTCTTGGGACCATGACTTACTCATAGATCCTCCGGTTGACACAAAAAGCTATGAACTCACATTCCTTTACACTTTTTAATTTTAAAGATAATATCTTTGGCAGGTGAAAGACACTGTGATTTTAGCATGTCACTTGTGAAAACTCACAGGATTTCCTAGATAGTACATAGACATCACCCTTCATAGTACTCCACGTTTACAATTGGAGGGATGGCAGGCTTAGGGCCAAATTGAGCCGCTTTCAAAAAAATCAAATGTATGTCCAGAATCACATATAGGGTGATGGCAGACAATGTAACTCATTAGCACAAAGTCAAAGGTTACCTGGGAAAACAATGTTCCTGGAGGGAAAATTATAAGTGATTCCACTCTTTCCTCTTCCCCATGTCAGTGTACTTGACTTTATTGGATGAGAGTTCTGATGCATCCTCTGTTGTGTCACTTAATAAGTTGGGTATTGAAAGGTTTAGAAATGAGTAGCTACACCATAAAGAAAAGAGAAGCATGCAAACACCCTTGGCTAGCCTAACCGCATGCTTGGAAGAGCATGGAGGAAGTAACTGCAGAGCACAACTAAAGTTAATGTGGCCGGGCGCAGTGGCTCACGCCTGTAATCCCAGCACTGTGGGAGGCCGAGGTGGGCCGATCACCTGAGGTCAGGAGTTTGAGACCAGCCTGGCCAACATAGCGAAACCCCATCTCTACTAAAAATACAAAAATTAGCCAGGCGTGGTGGAGCATGCCCGTAATCCCAGCTACTCAGGAGGCTGAGGCAGGAGAATCGCTTGAACCCAGGAGGCAGAGGTTGCAGTGAGCGGAGATCGTGCCACTACGCTCCAGCCTGGGAGACAGAGTGAGACTGCATCTCAAAAAAAAAAAAAAAGAAAAAGAAAAAGAAAATGAAAATTTAATGTAACAAATGAATTGTTTGGTGAAGGCATTTGGCAGAGGAAGGGAATACAACAAAGAACAGCATAGGAATTATTACTGAAATACAGAAATGCTGTGGATTTTTGCCAACTTTCCAGTGACTTTATAAGCTGTGAGGTTTATAAAAAGCATAGCATGTCCTATGCTTCTAAATTTGTAACTGAAAATATCAATAAAACTGTCCAGATAGAATTTGCATTCTTGCTATGGCTCTTAAATATAAAATATTAACATAAATGCACATAAAACAAAATGTACTTGGCTTATTTTAATGCCACATTTTCTGTTTTAATCAGGACTTTTGCTGACATTGATCTACAGGTAGAAAATGCTCAGCTCTTCATTCCATGCATGTTTCTAACTATCTTACAGATATTGGAATCAGAAACTCAGACTTTCCTTCTTTCCTCCCTCCCTCTCCCGCCTTTACCTGCCCTTTTCCCCTCCCTCCCTCCTTTCCTCCTTCCTTCCCTCCTTCCTTCCTTCCATCCTTCCTTCCTCTTTCTTCCTCCTTCTCTTCATCCCTCCCTCCTTTCTTCCTTCCCTCCTTCCCCTTTTTCCTCCTTCCCACCTTCCTTCCTTTCTTCCCTCCTTCTTTCTTTCCCGTTTCCTGTCAGTAAACCCACTCACATTTATTTAATACCAACTACGATGAGTGATTTCCTGATCAAGGTATTCATTGTACAACAAATTATTTTACATTGGTTTTCAAGTAACCATTTCATGGAACTGATGTCATTTGATAACTATTTGACAATGAACGATGTTTAAGTATATGTCTAATGAAAGGCATTTATAACAGAAAATGGGATTTTCAGAAAATCTACCAGGATACATGTCATCAGGAATGAATTCTAGCTAGCAGTCTCTGAAACAGCCTTCCAAGACAGAGCAAAAGAAGGCAAAGAATAACACTTATCACACATACCTAGGAAAAGAAATTCTATCCATAGAGTGCTAATCTGAGAAACCAAAATGAGATCTTCCCCACGCTTTCTTTCCTGCACGGAACAAAGCAAACTGCCAGACCAACAGCGATAAGGAGACCTTGTTCTCTCCTCTACTCCCCTGCTCCCTCCTCCGAGGACAGGAAACGTGGCAGCCAATCCTGTCCTGTAGATGAGCGGTGTTTTGAAGTGACAAACACTGCACAGCTGCCTCCCCCACCAACACAGCACCACAATCACTATTTTTCATATTCTTATTATGTCTGCATAAAAATAAGAAAAACAAAGACCCCATAACAGAACCCTAAGTTAGGAAGGAGCTTGGAGGTGTAAGTGTGCAGGGAAAGCTGCACAATTCCAAGGAGGAAAGTGCTGGCGGAGGAGCAGGGGCAGGGTTGAGGAATCCCGGTGGGAACAGAGCATATTCTGATGGTTCAGTTATCAGCGGACGCACTGAGGTACTGAGAAGACCCTCTCTACAGAGCACCCCACATGAACACCTGGCCATTGTGCACACAGAGCAGGCTCCACCAGCTCCTGCTGCTGGCGTGGAGGGCGGCACTCTGTCTCAGCTGGAGCTCAGTCTACACTGACTTCTGGCAAATCCTGGGTCTGAATAAACCCCTCTTCAGGATGAGTGTATGCGCATGCACTCACAAAAAATACTTGGGAATCACGTGAGACACAGAAATGGAGGCCACCTCCTAAACTGTCAGAGGAAAGACATACTTCTGAAAATCTACCTAATATAACACCTAGAATAATGCTTGCTGTTTAATGACCTTAATAGCATGCAAGAAAGTTCTCCCAGAAACCAAAGGAAACATTCATGGACAAGAAATGAAAAATTAAAATAATTCAAAGGTGTGACAAAGCCAAGTGCATCAGCATGAGGAAGAGTAACTGAATTGATACTGTAGAAAATAAATCGGTGATGTGGAACAAATTTGAAAAGCTCTTCCAGAATGCAGTAGAAAAAGGCAAAGCAATAAAGAATAACAAATATATTACCTTTGTGCAGGGCAGAGAATGAAAACATAATTAAAGAAAAAAGCTTGGAAGTACAGATTAAAATACACAAAGAAAAATTAAAGAAAATAAACATCTAGAAATATTGAATTTTTATTATAACATAAAGAAAATTGCCTTAAGCATTCAGGTCATAAACAAGTTATTTAAAAAGGAAGAAATACCAAATTGACCTTAGATTTCTTTTTTTGCCAGGTGATGCATTTGAAGACAATAAAGCATAGAGCTACAGAAGTGAGTAGCTACATCATAAAGAAAACAGAAGCATGCAAACACCCTTGGCTAGCCCAACTGCATGCCTGGAAGAGCACGGAGGAAGTAACTGCAGAGCACAACTAAAGTTAATGTGGCTGGGCACAGTGGCTCACGCCTGTAATCCCAGCACTGTGGGAGGCCGAGGTGGGTGGATCACTTGAGGTCAGGAGTTCGAGACCAGCCTGGCCATCATGGTGAAACCCCATCTCTACTAAAAATACAAAAATTAGCCAAGTGTGGTGGTGCACACCTGTAATTCCAGCTACTCAGGAGGCTGAGGCAGGAGGATCACTTTTAACCCAGGAGGCAAAGGTTGCCGTGAGGCAAGATTGTGCCACTGCACTCCAGCCTGGGCAATAGAGCAAGATTCTGCCTCACAAAAAAAAAAAAAAAAAAGTAGAGCATGTAATAAACTAATACTGAGGGTGGCAGAAATAAAACAATGGGTGAAAATTAAAGCAATTACAAAGGAAAGCAATAGTATAATGTAACACAATTTTGGGACATACAAAAAAAATCAAATGGGACTGAGATTATTTAATATTGATAACGGGAATAATCTAAACTGGAAATAGAAAAACTATGAATTTTAATGCATCAGAAATATAATATCAAAAACTTAAAGTAAGATCTCTTAGGAATTCAAGGAGAATGTAATATAACTATTAATATATACGTTATGTCCACATGACTCTATCACATAAGCCATATATTCTGACCATTTGAAAGCTGGACATAATTAATAAAATATTACATTTAAAGCTCCAGCCTCTGAACCTGAATTGCCACAGGAACTCTGAAGAGCAGTTGGGCAATATTTATGAAAATTAGAAATGTTCATACCCATCAGTTTCACGATTTCACTTCTAAGTGCACACCTTAGGGAATACTCCTACATGTTCAAGAGAAGAGGCACGTTAGAGGATCACTATGGCAGTGTTTACAGCAGGAAAAAAAGTGGAAAATAACAGAAACAGCCCTCAGTAGGGAATGAATAAAATGCAGAATATGCTGGACTACTGTGAAGAAATGTTAAAATACACAGAAGATCTAAATTGGCATATATGTAACATAAGCAACTGAGCTCTGGGTGTTAGAAGTTAGCAATCGGACTCCATGTAAGCATCAAAGGGGAAGTTAGCATTGCCTACAGGATTTAATTCTTGTTCTGTCTCTTATGCATAATGTATACATCTATTACATGTGTAATTATTAAAAATACTAGTCATTATTTTTCATCCTGAAGGATAGGAATATGCATGATGGTTTTATTATGTTTTATGTTTCCTTTTTTGCAATATCCTCATTTATGAAAGCTGTAACTGGTGAATAAACATTAAAATAAGTAACTCTCAGACCAAAAGGAAATAAAAACTAGAATTACAGATTATTTTGACAATAAAATATTGAGACTACAAAGTAGTGACATTTAAAAGTTGTGGCCAAAGCTGTTCCCTGAGGCAAAAATGTCACCCTTAAACATTCCAGTTATTAAACATTGAAGAAATACAAATAAACTTAGTGTACAATTTGAGAAGATAGAAAACCAAGCCCCCTAAAAATCAATAGATGTGTTTTTATATAAACTTTAAGATGGATGCTAGCTTCCTCATGACCAGACAAAAACAGACATCCAAAGATTTCACGTGGGGAGTGCGGGAGGAAGGGCTGGGAATGTTAGTCACAACACTATAATATTTGTGAGCTAATATTTTCCTGGGTTCCACTGAGGGAATAGCAGGAGAGAGGGACATGCTGAGAAAACAATTCTAAACAGAACACCTAATGGCCTCCAGGTTACTCTGTGTTGGTGTGGATGAGGGGGCTGTGGAGAGGGGGGTTTCTGAGCCATCACAGTGGCTAATTTTTCTGGAATGACGTAAACTTTCCAGAAGAAAGTTTCTAGCAGCCACCTTGCATGAAGAGCTATTCTTAACCCCCATGAACAGAGAGAGAACAAGAATGGAAGGGTGAAAAGCCATCGTGAGCAGAAGGGGAAAAGCCCTAAACTTTTTTCATTTGTGGTAAAGGTTGGACCTGGGGTTTCCTGTGGTGTAAAGATGGCGAGAAGGTGATGGAGGCCTCTTGGAGAACTGAGAAGAATTTCAATTATTGTTCTTGTTGAACAAGAGATTCTACTCGCAACCACTTGACAGAAAACGCCGTCTTCCGTTTCTATTCTAATTGATAACATGCCCTGTATCTTCTCGCCCTGGGATGAAAACACTTTCCACTGATTTTTACGTGAGAATTTGTGCAATTTTCTTTGAAACAAAAAGTAGTTTACTGTGTTTTTTTTTTTTCCAGTGTGAACACAGAATTGTTACATGGGCTTGAGGGCTTTGCTTTTGCATTGGTTTTCTCGTATTTTCAAGAAATTTCTCATTAACCTCACCAGGGACTGGCATGATTTATTAAGGGTCCTGTGGAGCATCAACTCTGAATTAGTAGTCTTGTTTCACTCAGGATGAATTTTTAAATAGATTATTTTTCCAAAATCAAAGCAAGAAAAAAATGAAAAGCAAGAAAAATCAAAGCAAGAAAAAAATTGGGGAAAATTGCAGAAGGCAGGCTGGCATAATGGTCTACACGAGATTGTCTCCCAACCAGATAGACCGAACCCTGTTAAAGAGGCTGCTGCAGCAGATGATGTAATTCCAAAATGGCCACAACACTTCCTACCCCACACGTCCTTCCACAATGTGACTCAACTGCGCCCCCATCAAGTCTAAGAGAATTCCTCTCCCTCTACTTAGGAGCTTACAACTGCTTTGTTCAATAATGTAAGGGGGAAGTAATGCTCTGTAGCTTCCAAAGCTGAGTCATGAAAGGGAATGCATCTTGCACCCATTCACTAGAACACTCACACCTGGAACCCCCAGCTGGCAGGTAAGAAGTTTGACTCCCTGAGGCAGCCATGTTGTGAGAAAGCCCAGCCATGAGGAGGATGTGCTCAGGTGCTCTGGTCAAAAGTCAACTCTTTGAATCATCCAGCTGAGGCTCCAGACCTTATGAGACAAGCCATTCCCACTGGGCCTTGTCTGAATTTGTGAGCACCATCAACTGTGTGATTGAGGCCATTAAGTTTTGCCGTAACCAGAACTGTTATGGGTTGAATTTTGTCCCCTCAAAATTTATTTGTTGTTTGAAAATGAGGACACTGCAGATATAACTCATTAAGACGAAGTTATAGTGAAGCAGGGTGGATCCCTAATCCCTTGTGACTAATGTTCTTATAAAAGGGAATATTTGGACAAAGACACAAACACAGAAAGAATGCCAAGTGAAGATGAAGGCAGAGATTGGGATGATGCTTTTATAAGCCAAAGGACACCAAAGATTGCCAGAAAATCACCAGAAGTCACCTTGGTGCTTGGAACAGATTCTCACTCACCACCTGATATGGTTTGGCTCTGTTCCCTACCCAAATCTCATGTGGAATTGAAATTGCCAGTGTTGGAGGAGGGGCCTGGTGGGAGGTGATTGGATCATGGGGGCAGATTTCCTCCTTGCTGTTCTCATGATAGTGAGTGACTTCTCACGAGGTCTGATTGTTTCAAAGTTTGAAACAATCCCCTGCCACCCTTGATACCATGTGAAGAAGATGCCTGCTTCCCCTTTGCCTTCCACCGTGATTGTAAGTTTCCTGAGGCCTCCCAGCCATGCTTCCTGTACAGCCTGTGGAACTGTGAGCCAATTGAACCTCTTTCCTTCATAAATTACTCAGTCTCATATAGTCCTTTATAGCAGTGTGAGAATGAACTAACGCAGGCACACTTGGAAGGAAGCAACACTGATGATATTCTGATCTCAGACTTCTAGCTGCTGGAATAAATTAATGTTCTTGAAGTCATCTTGTTTGTGGTATTTTTTTACAGCAGCCATGGCAAACAAATACACTCATGAAAGATCATATATTGCTGTATAAGGTTACATTCTTATTTTTGGTTAGTTTGGCCTAAAATGCTTGCTTGTTAAGATAATGTTGATGCATTGATACTTTTCTCTAAGGAGTTAGAGAGGGAACTCCACACATCCCTCCCTCCCTCCACACACCCTTGCCCTCCCTCTTGCATTTTTACAAGCTGGGGCAACAAGTATAGCTCAGAGTGGAGCCCATGATAAAGCTCTGCTGTCCACTTCCCTTCCAGGTAGTCTTGGGTGACACTCTGGGTACTGTCATTCAACCAGAAACAAAGTCATCTAATTTTACGATCAGTCCGTGTTACTCTGTTTTGTCTATAGGATGTTGTTAAGGACCTTGTTAAGCTGCTGGCTGAAATCTAGATAAACGACATTGACAGAATTTTCATCATGTAGTGATTCAGTAACTCAAATATGTGACTTAACATGAGTTAATGTGTGTGCATGTGTGTGTGAACCCAACCATATGTGCATATCGTTACACATACAATCTCATGTATACAACCTCACTACACATTTTCAATGGTAGGAGAGCTTGGTCCAAGCAGGTGTATTTGATGCCTAGTCCAGAAAAAAACCAACAACTTCAGAATGAACTATTAAAAGAAAAAAAACTGTGATAATTAAACACTGCTAAGAAAAAAAACTATATCAAACCCAACTCATTTGTAAAATAGGTTTGAGCTGGTGGTGTCATCTGTGCTTCCCCAGGCCCTTCTAGCTTCATTGCTAACTTAGATAATGACCCAGAGAAAGGCTCAATCGTTAGCTGCAAAAACACAAAGCCAGGAAAGGCGAAATGGATTGCATATTTCCTAAAGGATGTTTCAAACCCCCCAATCCAGTCCAATCATGAGAAAAACACCATGTACACACAGATTTTGGAAATTCTGCAAGATACATGATCAGCACTGCACCCCTTCCCCCACCATTGTCAAAGTCATGAAAGACAAGGAAAGACTGAGAAACTGCCACAGACCAGAGGACGCCAGACAGACGTGACTACTAAATGCAATGGGGAATCCTGGAATGGATCCTGCAACAGAAAGAACATTAATGGAAAAACTCGTAAAGCCCAAACAAAGTCAGGAGTGCAGTTAATACTAATTCACCAATGTCAGATACTTAGTTTGACGAATGAACCTTGGGTCAAGTAAGACAGTAACAGCAGGGAAACCTGGCTCAGACACATAGGGGAACTTTCTGTCCTGTCTTTGCAACTTTTCTGTAAATCAAAAATTCTTTCCCAAATCTAGTTTTTTTAAGGAAAAACAAAAAATGCAAGTTAAAGGTAGACGGGTGGGGCAAACTCACAGAAGAAAATTAACTGGGGAATAAAATGAACTCACTGATGGCTCCATTCAACAAACACTTGTTGAACACATCTGATGTGTCAGATAGTAGCAGACATTGTATTAGGAGGATTTAAAACGGGTAGACTGCCTCTCTGTAGGGAGACCCATGGATTTCTACCCTGAAATAGAAAGTTCTAACCGCCTGAGTACAGATATGAAATCTAACCACACGGGATTCCATATGGATCTTAGTTAACAAGTTCAATTTTAAGCATGCATGTGCTGTGGATGAAAGGAAGTTAATGTAATATTAGCTTGCATTCATGGAATTCCAGGAGGCAGGAAAGGATGAAGGCACACACCATGTGGATTTACAGCCTTGTGGCTCCAAGCTCACATCACTGTCCTGAGTGGCAAAGCCCTGCAGATGAGAATTCCTTGTCTGGGGAGGTGTGTGGGCCCTCAGGGATTGGCTGGTTTCAACTGCAAAAACACTGACTTGCTTTTTCATTTTTTAAAAAAATTTCAGTAGCTTTATGGGTACAAGTTGTGTTTGGTTACATGGATGAATTCTACAGTGGTGAATTCTGAGATTTTAGTGCACCCATCATCCAAGCAGTGTACACTATACCCAGAAAGTACCTTCTAATCAAGAGAGTGGCTTGACCAGAGTGTGGGGCTCTCCCCTAGAGAGAGGAGACTTGATGGAGAGGATCGAGCCCTCAGCAGATTTTGCTGTTAAAGTCACATTGGCCATGTGCTGGAGACCTTTCAACAGGATTAGGGTCTTTACTCATCACTAGAAAGCCAAAGGGAAGGCACAGCCTCCCCCTCGATTTTTTTTTTTTTTTTGAGACAGAATTTCACTCTGCTGAATTTCACACCGCACTCTGGCTGGAGTGCAGTGGCATGATCTCAGTGCACTGCAACCTCTGCCTCCCAGGTTCAAGTGATTCTCATGCCTCAGCCTCCTGAGTAGCTGAGATTACAGGCATGCAGCACCATGCCCAGCTAACTTTCGTATTTTTAGTAGAGACAGGATTTCGCCATGTTGCCCAGGCTGGTCTTGAACTCCTGGCCTCAAGTGATCCACCCACTTGGCCTCCCAAAGTGCTGGGATTACAAGCATGAGCCACTGCACCTGGCCAGGTTCCAGTGACCAATTTTAAGCATACTACCCCATCTTCATACCACAGTTAGGATCACATGTTCCACTCTTTAATTTGGGAGGTGTATTAGTCCATTCTCACACTGCTATAAAGAACTACCTGAGACTGGGCAATTTATGAAGAAAAGAGGTTTAATTAACTCGCAGTTCTGCAGACTTAAAAGGAAGCATGACTGGGAGGCCTGAGGAAACTTAACAATCGTGGAGGAAGGCGAAGGGGAAGCAAGTATGTCTTACCAAGGTGGAGCAGAAAAGAGAGAGAGAAGAGGGAAGTGCCACACACTTTTAAACAACCAGATCTCGTGAGACCTTTGCTCACTATCATGAGAACAGCAAGAGGGATATCCACCCCCATGATCCAATCCCCTCCTCCAATTTCACCATGCCCCTCCTCCAATTCAATGTGAGATTTGGGTGGGGACACCAATCCAAACCACATCAGGAGGCTTGCCCCATGGAGAGGGAAAACCCTAAAGAGTAATACATAACAGAGGGAGACACTTCCAAACACATTCAGTTGCTCAGCAACAGGATCTAATCCCGCTCCATCACAGTGGCTCTCAACAGGGCTGATCTGGTAATGTCTGGAGACATTGTCACAATTGAGGGGGCTGCTGGTGGCATTGAATGTGTACAGGCCAGGATGCTACAACACATCCCATGGTGCACAGGACAGACTCCACAGCAGAGGTATCTCAAGCACCAGGTGTCGGCAATGCTGAGGCTGAGATGCCCTAATCTACAGAAGCACAAGACTGGCCTGCCTTGGAGCGTGTGTGACCGTTCACCTTGACTGCTCCTCCTCAGATCATCTGCTCTCAGCAGCCTTAGCCTTCCCCCAGCCACAGTTTGGCATGGAAGGAAGAATACATTATTTGGAGTCAAAAAAGCTATCCTTGAGCCCTGGATGAAATACCCAACACCCAGGTCTCTGTGTCTTCTCCTATGCAGGTAACCTAATGTCTGAGATCCACAGCTTCCCTCCCCTGTGACTCAGACCCAAGCCCATTTAGCAACCAGTGTTGCGGTGAGGAAAACACTTAGCTCTTTTATCCAATATGACATTTTTGGGGTTCAAACCCTCAGCAAACCTTGCTATTATAATTACAAGAGTCACATGTCTGGCTGTGTAACCTGGGGTCTATGGACTCTGAAGATGGGATTGCATTTTAATACAATAGGGTGCTTCTCATCCTGTATATCTTATCTTATGCATTTATAAACATTACCTGCAATGAGGTCTTTACTCATCACCAGAAAGTCAAAGGGAAGGCACAGCACCCCCAAAATTAAGAAATTTTAGATGCCTGCATAAATGTATTGTAGAGATTTACTACTGGAGTAAACCTCTCCAGTTTCTGGGCCTGGAGTAGAGTGTTTCTACTTGTGTACTCTATGGGTACATACACATAATAGAGTGTTTCTACTCCAGGCCCAGACACTGGAGATTCACAGAGACCACTGCCCAGTTCTTGGCAACTCAAACCTTAGCCCCTACCTTTCTCCACTTCCAGGTCTCTGACCTTATTTGGCCCCACATCTCAGCTCCTGGTGACCTGTAGGTCCCCCTTGTTGAAACAGGTTGGGCTCACCCAGCTGCACCAATGTCGACAGTGTTTTCCAGTCACAGTGCTCAGTATTTGCCCAGCAGTGCTGTCTGCAGGAACACAGGCCATTGCTGCTTGCCTGGACACTCCATGACTGTCCAGCTGGGACTGGCTGCCTCCAGGCTGGCCTCTCCACTGGGGAGCAGTGACTTCAACCCAGCATGACGCTGGGCACATGCTAGATGCTTCATAAGCATTGATTCCTCGTGTAACACTCACATATTCCAGCTCACTCAACTGGAATTGCTCTAGAATTCCAACCAATTCCAGCTTATCCTTCAGAAATTAAGCTTGATATACTTTCATAACTTTCTAGTAACAATTCCTGTTTGCCTAGACTCAAAACTGGCAAAATTTGATCCCTTTTTAAAAGATGGATGCCTACCTACACTATCTGATGGACTAGAAAACAACTAACAAAAATTAAGTACACATTTGAGAGCAAGGTATAGCCCAAAGGTAGGTGGAAGGAAAATGGGAGTCAGGTAGGTGCTGAAGGCCAGAAGAAGGGGCTTCAAAGCTGTCCTCGGAGAAGGAGCCCCTGCTCCCTCCATGGGCACCGTCAATAACCAACAGCAGGTTTGACTTTAGCATTGCCACACCTGCTCCATGCTCTTCTCCAAGGAGAAGCACGTGGTTGCCTGGAGCTCCAGAGTGCATGCCGGTTGATAATGTTCTCATTTCCCTTTTGGTTGCTGTGCTTTCAGCAGCGTCCCAGATCACAGGCTGGCTTCCTCCAAAGTGCTGGAGGGGCTGCTTTGGACTTCTTTGATTTTTGTCTGGCTGCTTTCCACCTTATCTTACTCACAGGCTGCAGTTTCCAAAACCTTAGGCATTTTCTGTTCTGCTTCACTTGAAATATTTAGTCTGGTCTCTGAGAGTAATCATCCCTGTACTGCTTCTCCAGTGCATGCTGATATCTTTGGCAGAACAGAAATCAACCATCCGATAGCTACAGATGATAACCAGATTGGTAGATCACTTTCTGCATTGAGACTCTAAGCAACTTTTTTTTCCTATTTCTTGATGCACTTTTG
The DNA here is from genome assembly GCF_000001405.40 of Homo sapiens. Lineage (NCBI taxonomy): Eukaryota > Metazoa > Chordata > Mammalia > Primates > Hominidae > Homo > Homo sapiens. Next base: position 109,910,705 of record NC_000013.11, read on the forward strand.
GATGTAGGTCATTTTCCCAGTTCTGAAGGTAACTAATTTGCCTCAGATTGCCTCCAGTACCTAATTTCTGGAGTCATTCTTGCATTAGTCCAGCAAATTATGAAAGGTCTAAGGAAATCATGTAGCTCTACACAAGGAAACAGACACATAGTGTAGTGGCTAAAAGCATAGCCCCTGAAGTTAGATTGTGTTAGGTTTGATTCTGCATCGTGTAAACCTAAGTAAAATGTTTCAATTTTTTATGCCTCAATTCTCCCATAGAAAGTTGGAAATAATAATAGTCCATATCATATACGGCTGTTTTGAGAATTAATATTTGTAGAACACTTAAGATAATACCTGGCACACAGCAAGTACTATGGAAGTGTTTATTAAATGAGGCAAAACCAAAATGCATTAAAGAGAAAAAGACATTGCTGCTGGTTAGCTCTGCCTGAGGTCATCTCAGACATGCAGTGTCTGGGATGGCGGCTCCATTTTAAAAGGGAAGTGCTGCTGGCTGGGTGCGGTGGCTCATGCATGTAATCTCAGCACATTGGGAGGCCGAGGCAGGCAGATCACGAGGTCAGGAGATCGAGGCCACCCTGGCCTACACGCTGAAACCCTGTCTCTACTAAAAATATAAAAAATTAGCTGGGCATGGTGGCAGGTGCCTGTACTCCCAGCTACTCGGGAGGCTGAGGCAGGAGAATGGTGTGAACCCAGGAGGCAGAGGTTGCAGTGAGCCCAGATCTCGCCACTACACTCCAGCCTGGGTGACAGAGCAAGACTCCATCTCAAAAAAAAAAAAAAAAGAAAAAGAAAAAAGGGGGAAGTGCTGCTGGCCAGACGCGGTGGCTCATGCATGTAATCCCAGCACGTTGGGAGGCCGAGGTGGGTGGATCACCTGAGGTCAGAAGTTGGAGACCAACCTGGCCAACATGGTACAAAGATCTTACCTTGAGGTTAGAAGTTGGAGACCGGCCTGGCCAACATGGTGAAACCCCATCTCTACTAAAAGTACAAAAAAATTAGCCAGGCGTGGTGGTGAGTGCCTGTAATCCCAGCTACTCGGGAGGCTGACGCAGGAGAATTGCTTGAACCCAGGAGGTGGAGGTTGCAGCCAGCCAAGATCGTGCCACTGCATTCCAGCCTGGGCGACAGAGTGGGATTCCATCAGCTTGGAAAAAAAGAAAAAAGAAGAAAGAAAGAAAGAAAAGGAAAAAAGAAAAGAAAAGGAAGTGCTGCTGTGAGTCTCTTCTCTTTCATGTCAATGATAGGGTAGGTTTTAGATGTCTGTGAGTGATACAATCAACTGATAAATAATATGCAGATGGAAGTATAAGATTTTCAGATACAACCACAAATGCAAGTGTCGATTCATAATAAAACTTTCCCCTTAATTGCCTTTAAATGCAATATGATATTCTTAAGACCATTCAGGACACCACGTCTCTGAATAGAGTCAACTGCTTTCCCATACGTTGCAATTGCAGTCTGTGTCGGCAGCCAGACCCGTGTCCAAAGGGATGACCAGAGAAAGTCTAGCTCCCGACAGATACCTTTTCATATTTTCACATTCCTGCTCTTAGTTGCAGTTGATCTCAGGGTGAGATCTTTGTACTGTATGGGTGCATTAGCTAAACAAGATGTCAGTCTATAGGATAATTTTAACTGGTGGTGGCTAGTGTATACTTTTACTTCTTTGTTTCCCTGTAGTGCATGCTATGGATGCTCAATGAGTATTTGCTGATTTACTCACTGGCTGCAGTGAGTATATCCTCTAATTTATAAAATTATTCAAGATGCATTTATACATTATTTCAGCTAATGAAGACAATGAGGGCAAAAAGAGACGGGAATTGTGGGGGAGAGCTGAGCATTAGCTGGTCTTGGTCACTCTTTCTGCAAGCTGAAGTTCCCAGTGACTCCATCAAAGCAGGAATTTGTGTAAGTTTAACTTGCTGTTGGAGGGTGCATCCTGAAGCTAAATGCCTTCTCCAAACAGGTCTGTGGCTCTGTCTTAATCTCCAGACATTTACTGAGTGCTTTCTGTACACCTGCCTCTGAACACAGATGAGGCCCCTGTTCCCTCATACTATGATACTGATCCTTCTGCATGGTGCCCTTAACAATGCTTAACAAGTCTTGCACATAACTTGCCTTACATTCAACAATAGATATAAGAGAGTTTTAAAATTAGTTTTGATCTCAGTATCTATTGTTACAGCTTTTGTCAGATGTATTTGGTACCTAAATGTGATTGCTTTGCTTTACCAAGTACCTAAAGTAATAAATTTCAAAGGACAGCTCTTAAAGATGGCATGTGCTTAATTTGAAAGTAACAACTATTATGAATGTATCTTCTATTTGCATTCTAACTTCTTTAACATCTTTCAAAATACAGCTTTTTCATATATATGTATATATGTGCATATATTATATATGTATATGTATATATGATCAATGTGATAAGACTATTCACCAAACAAAAATCCCTTTGTTGAAATTATGGGTTCTTATTTATGAAATTCTAGAAAATGCATTTATGCATTATTCCAGATAATGAAGGCAATTAGATAACAAAAGGCCAAAGAATGAGAAAGCTGTTAAATCAGCTCCTTAGATTAATGATCTGCAGCAGGACGCTTCCCAAGGGCCACATCAAAGCATAAGGAGACTTGGATAGATGAAAGATATATTTGCATATGATTTGTATGTAATTTGTATGTCATTAGCATATATGTGCTTGGCTCAAAGTCTTGGGCAATTTTCAATTTAAAAATGTTCCTTAAGGTTGTCATCTCCTCTTTTCTATGCAGGCTCATCCATTCATGAGTGCAACAGCCCTGTATGAATATTATATAGTGAAAAAGAAACATACCAAACCAGCCAAAAAGGTAATGGAGGCAGCATTATCACTCAGAAATTTTTGCAAAGCCATTAATAGCCTGGAGTTTAGAGAACATTTTCTTAGATGAGTCAGAAGGAAGGAAATGATACCTCTAAACTTGCCTTGACCAAGGGTATCCAACGTGGCCACAAAATCACTTATACCTACAGTACAAGGAAGGTCAAGATTTTGAGTTCAAAAGCTCCATATACAGGGATGGCCCCAGGAAAAACGGAAAATTAGTATTTATTGTCTCAAGGCACCCTTTCCGTTTCAGTATTCCCATCCTTGCTGCCATCAGTTGCTCCCCTCCCACCTTTGTTAGACACTGACAACCCTTGTTCTCTCTGTAGCACTAACTCTTCACACAAGTAAAAGCCTACTTTCAGGAAGAATCTGATATCATTCATTTGCACCTTATTATACATTTGCTAACAGTTCATTCATTCAATGATATCTATGGAACACCTACTTTTTATTCACTCTTTCACTTATTCTGAGTGTTTAAAAGATATTTCTCCGAAGAGGACATACAAATGGCTGGCGGGTGTATGAAAAGCTGCTCAATGTCACCAATTATATGGAAAGTGTAAATAAAAGCCACAATGAGGTATCATCTCACACCTGTCAGAATGGCTGTTATTTTTTTAAAAAGACATGTTTTGGCAGGGATGTGGAGAAACTGGAACCCTTGCACACAGTTGCTGGGAATGCAAAATGGCACAGCTGTTACAGAAAGCAGAATGGAGGTCCCTCAGAAAATTAAAAATTGAACCACAAATGACTCAGCAATCTATTTCTGGCTGTTATTTATCCAAAAGAATTGAAATTAGGATCTCAAAGAGATATTAGCACTCCTGTGTTCGTTGCAGCACTATGCACCATAGCCAAGATGTGGAAACAACCTGAGAACCTGTCCACTGACAAATCAATGAAGAAAGAAAATGTAGCATATGCATACAGTAGAATACTATTCAGTCTTAAAAAAGAAAGAAATGTGGGGATATGCAACAACACAGATGAACCTTGAGGACATTATGCCAAGTGAAATAAGTCAGTCACAGGAAGACAAATACTGCAAGATTCCACTCATATGAAGAACCAAAAACAGTAAGACTCCTAGAACCGAAGAGCGGGTTGCTGGTGACCATGGGCTGAGGGTCAGGGTAAATGAAGAGTTACTGGTCAACGGGCATGAAGTCTCAGTTATGCAGGATGAAAAAGCTCTAGAGATCTGCTATTTACGACATTGTGCTTATAATGAGCAATACCGTATTGGATGCTTAAACATTTGTCCAGAGGGTAGATTTTCATACCAAAGTAAAATAAAATTTAGTAAAAAGAAAAATATTCCAACAGCTATGCCAGAGGCAAAGAGACCAAATCTGAGGGGCACATAGTGTGCTGGGGAAGGGAAAGAGAATGACGGCAACACAGTGGTTCATGGTGGTGTTCTGTGAGTGGACTGTGTTCCTCCACATTCATATGTGAAAGTCCTCACTCTCAGTACCCAGAATCTGGATGTGAGGGAGATCTCGCTGTGACATCTGTCTCCCCACTGATCGCTAGGGTTGCATCGGCTGATCTGGCTGGCCAGGCGGGTATCCCTTTCCTCCGTCACCCCTCCATGTGCGTCCCTCCCAAAGCTGCACGCTCGGTCAAAGAGGAAAACCATCCGCGATAGAGGAAGACCAGTCTTTGGTCAAGGGTTTACGAGTAGCTGCGTTCCCCCGCTAGAACCTCCAAACAAGCTCTCAGTACCCGGAATCTGATCTTATTTGAAGAGAGGGTCTTTACAGAGGTAATCAAGTTTAAATGAAGTCGTGAGGGTGAGCCCTAATCCAATATGACTAATGTCCTTAGAAAAAGGGGAAATTTGAACACAGAGATATTCATAGAGGAAGAGAATTGAAGCCTCAGGGAGAATTGAAGCTTCAGGAAGAGACTTGAAATCTACCAGCACAGAAGAGAGGCCTGGAACTAATCCTTCCCTTATGGTGCTCAGTAGGAACGAACCCTGCCAACACCTTGATGTTGAACTTCTGGCCTCCAGGACTATGAGAAAATGGTTTCAGTTGTGTAAGCCACTTAGTTTGTGGTGCTTTGTTACAGCAGCCCTAGGAAGCTGATATATCAAGTGAGCAGGGTTCTAGAGAAACAGAGAAAGCAACAGTTAACTCTGTCTTGGGGAATGAAAGAATGCTTCACTGAGAAATTCTGGAAAGAAGACACTATTATGCCCCAAATGCTGCTCCTTCTTGTATGTTACACTCACACCTCTTAGGTACGATGTCTGGATTTGATAAGCCAGTTATGGCAATATTTACCAGAGAGGACAGAAGGCATAGAAGGTTTAGGGCTCTTCTGAGCCCCTGCACCACATTCTTACTTGATGGTTTGTCTGTCTTTTTGGAAAAGCCCGTCTCTGCGCACACAGCTGGTCCACGAGTTCTCGGCCTGGGGTTTATGGTCCTCCTTCTTATACCTCACGGGGCATCCTCCACTCACATTTTTCAGTGGGCATTCAGTGATCTGAAGCAGGGGTTTTCCCTGATCACTTGTTTAGTTTGGGTTCCCCTGGAATCAGATGCTGAGACAATAGTCTAGATGCAAGGGGCTATTGGACAGGTGCCCCAATTCTGCAGGAAAGTGGGGAAGTGGCACAGGAAGGGGACTGGAGGGGAAGGAGTCCAAAGAGGCATGTTCTTACGTCCTTCACCACCATGGGTAACTGAGCCTTTGCTCCCCATGGAAACTCTGGGAAACAATGCAAGTCCCAGGCTTCAGAGTGACTACACCTGAGGGACAATGGAACTGGTGTGTCACTGGGGTTTAGCATCATTGCTTCACGGTGGTAGTAGGGAAGTGATTACCTAGCCTAGGGTCAAAGCAGCTGTTTTGATCACAGAAGAAAACCTTCAGGCACAGAGATGCAGACATCATGGAAGGTCAGCTGGCGGCACTCACAAGGCAAAATGGTTACCAGTTCCTCACCCGCACTACTTGCCTTTAAATTTTTTTTTTTTTTTTTTTTTTGAGAAGGAGTCTCACTCTGTCGCCCAGGCTGGAGTGCAGTGGCACGATCTAGGCTCACTACAAGCTCCGCCTCCCGGGTTCACGCCATTCTCCTGCCTCAGCCTTCCGGTAGCTGGGACCACAGGTGCCCGCCTGCCACCAAGCCTGGCTGATTTTTTGTATTTTTAGTAGAGATGGGTTTTCACCGTGTTAGCCAGGATGGTCTCAATCTCCTGACCTCGTGATCTGCCCGCCTCAGCCTCCCAAAGTGCTGGGATTCCAGGCATGAGCCACCACACACAGCCTACTTGCCTTTAACTTTTATATTTCCTTACGTAAACCCATAAAAAATATGACTTTTCTGGCTAGATATTTTCTGACACTTGGCTAATAAGCATATTTATAAATAACATAAATATTAGCATATAAATGTAAATAATAGCTAGGATAAATCGTGATAACTGATAATGTGTTTATCAAAAGATCCAGAGGTCTTTCTTATCTGAATCCCATTCTTTTCCTGCTTAAGGAAACCCAGAAATATTGATTCCAGGTTCAGATGTTTGGCCCCTGCAATGTAGTAGTAAAATTTACCAGCTTCAGAAAGAGTAGCTGCAGTTTACAGTATAAATAACAGTCCCCAAAATCTGGTTTTGGGATTCACTGCAGCAGGGTCCCAAACCTCTGCAATGGGTGTATCCCAGTTCTCTTGATCAGGATGAGCAATGCTCTTACACTGGAAGGCTATCCACATACTACTCAACAATGCAGAGAAACTAAAAACCAGTGCAATAATTCTCTATTCAACAGTGGTTAAGTTCCTTCTATGTGCCAGGTAAAATGCACTACTGCTAGTGTTACCAAAATGAGTAAGACACAGTGCTTATTTTTAAAGAACTCATGCCCTAAAGAGAAAAACTACAAGGACTTTTCATTCATAAAATTTGAAGTCATTCCAAAATATGTTACAGAAGGAGAGGAGCTAACTCAATAATTTAACCAACTGGAATGCTATTAAAATATTTTATTTCCCCATTCTTTTGTCAACTTGTGTCTTATCTAGAGGGTATAAACAAGTGCAGAAAGGAGATTGCATTCGAGTGGATTTTAGTTACATAGCACATATGGGAGGGTGGAGAAAAATACTGGAAAATTCAGAAATTACATACATATATATTTCTTTTCAATGCTAGGACTGGCCTATTTGATAATTTTCATTTTGACTAGATTTTTAGCAAATTTGATTTCCCTTTAAGGGTTTGTAATCTTTGTTGGTTTTGTTTCTCTAATTTTTATTTCTTAGATCAATTTTAAGAGAAATACTTCTTATAAAAATACTGCACAAATAAATTAAAATCACACTGTGCAACTTATTTTATAATCTATGATCTATCCACTGATAGCTATTAGTAATCTTTGTGGCTTTCAACATTCTGTTTAGTAGAAATGTCAGGCCTCTTTGTGGCCTGTCTATAAAAAATATTTTTTTCACAATGGCAAAGGCCAGCGTAATAAAAGGCCACAGAGAAGAATTGTTTCCACTCCAAAAAGTAGTGCACAAGAAGAAGAAATTGGGCATGACCAACTGGCCAACTGCCTCCTCCTCTGAGTGCCTGACTTCTTCAAGGCCAGCTCTGCCCCTTGGGATGTGCCAGGTCCTGGCTCGGCTGTGCCCTGAAACTCTACCAGGCTTGCCAGGAAGTAAGCCTCCTACTGGAACATCCAGTAGAAGCTGAGCTACCCTCTATCTCACTGGGAGTTAGTTAGCTCACACATAATCCCCAGCGCCGTGTCTTTTCATCATGCCTACAGCTGACTCCAGTGTGGCAACTGGCCGCCACGCCTCCCTGTTCCCTGGTGGCGGCCCATCATCTGAGTCTGCATTTTCCTCAGAGCCACCCTCTTCACTCAGGCTCAGAGTGACACATCATGCTCTTGGGAGGGGCTCTGTCTCCCCCGCTGCCTGTGGACACCATGGGTGATTGCTGTGATGCTCACATCCTGGCTGCAGTTGTTCATAAACAGATTCTAAACCAACCCAATTATTCACAAGACACTGGTGCAGACGGCTTTATGACTTAGAAGTGTGATCTTTAAAATACCCCGGAAGGAATGGAATTTACATTCCTGATGTGGATTGGGAATATTAATGTGGTCGGGTCCAAATTCTCAGAGCAATGCCTGCAGTACCCCTGATAGAAGTGGGAAGAGGTTCTTACTTACTCCACGCCTACTGCACAGAGAAAGTCAAAGCACAAGTTTATCTGCAGTGTCAGAGGCCTTGGGCTTGGCTTATCACCTAGTTCATAGTGAAAACAAAACCTCAGTCAGGCAGTGTTTTTATTGCTAAATTAGGGAATTTCTAAGTTAGGGCATTGGTGTTGCTCTGATGGGATATTTGGGAGTTCTGTTAGTCATTTTCTTATACTGTTCCCTCAAATATCTTATGCTTGGACTTGTAATTCATGCTGTACTTGCATAAACGTAAGACGGAAGTGCTGTAGGTTATACCCCAATGTCAGAGAACCAAGTGTATTAAACTTCCTGTTTCAAAAATACATAAAACTAGAAAAAGGCAAACATGAATTTCAAAGGCTCCACCACGGTCTCTCTTAAAATGTGAGCTACTCATTTGTACTTAAAACGTAAGTCGATTTCATAAGAAATTATTTGCCTACACATTCAGTAATCTAGCTACAGCATGAAGAACCTGACACACAAGTCAAAAAGAGAAACGCAGTCCAGACATGGTGGTTCACAACTGTAATCCCAGCACTCTGGGAGGCCAAGGTGGGTGGATCACCTGAGGTAGGAGTTCAAAACCAGCCTGGTCAATATGGTGAAACCCTGTCTCTACTAAAAATACAAAAATTAGCCAGGCACGTGGTAATCTCAGCTACTCAGGAGGCTGAGGCAGTAAAATCGTTTGAACCCAGGAGACGGAGGTTGCATTTAGTTGAGATTGCACCACTGCACTCCAGCCTGGGTGACAGAGCAAGACTCCATCTCAAAATAAACTAAAAAAAAAAAAAAAAATTGAGAAACGCAAGTGTTCATGGCACTGCCTTGTTATTTGGCCAGATAGTGCCGAGGAAAGGAAAATGATCTATATTAAGAGAGAGATTTTGATGGAGACAGTTGCTGCCTCATATACACAAACATAGAGCTCACAAGGACAGTGAAAACAAAACCATAGCAAAAGAAAGAATTAAAGGCCAAATCACCAAGTCTAAACCCTTGAACCAACCAGCATCTCTCTCAGTGAGGTTTCCCAAAAGACTGTGACACAAACTGCCCTTTGGACGGGAGAAGGACCTTTGCCACGAAAGGGATGAGACCCAAGCTAATGCTGCCACTCCTGTGTGGCTGTGACATCCTGCCTCTCAGAACCACATTGCAGGAGCTGATCCTCTCTGAGTTTATTGTCATGACCTCCTTTCCAATACCAACATTGCATCAGCAGAAAGAAAATGGTCTCTCACTTATTTTCCATTGAGAGCAATAGCCCATGCTTCAAACTCAGTGAGTAGATGTGCCATGCAGCTCTTTAAGTATAGTTGCTTTGAGTAATTTTATCCCAGTCCATCACATTCCGATGAACTGAGATCACAGACACATTATTTTCACCCTTTGCCAGAATTTTTGTGTGACAGAATGTGATAACCAAGAATGAAATGAATTAAGTTTGCTTCTTGCTTTCAGGTTGATGTAGGGAAGGAGAAGACGGAAACTCTTCCCCTTTAATTTTCATGTAGGGATTGGTATACAATGTACTTAATGAATGTGTTCAGTTAATTAACTAATGAATGTGAAGTTGGGTTTATCAAAATCTTGAGAACGATGATAGCCTGAGTTCTTCCACTTTCTCTGGTGCTGGGCTCATCATGGTAGAAGACAAATGACACCTTGGGAGACACACATCCGAGGAACCGCCCTTGGAGGAATTCAGTAAAGATGCGTTTGCTCTTTCTATGGGTTTTAAGATACTGGATTTGTGCCACTAAGAATGTGACACTTCAGGCTATAGTCCTCAATGCCATAGATGTCATACCCCCTTTCTTTTGGTGCCCAGGTTTTTCTGCCTGATGCTGGCAGGGGCTGTCCCCACGCCATGTGCTCCACCCCCAGCTTGGTGATCTTGCCTTCAGAGAGCTCCCAACCCAAACAGGGTAAGGTGCTGGCTTTCTTGTTAAACCCACATTTCAATAAAAGCCTTTGTAACTCAGAGGAATGCATCTTTGGGGAAAGTCTTAGGTGAACGAAGGAAACACTTTCTGGCACTAGGACAGCCTTAGAGCCCTTGCCTCATGTTCCGCAGCCAGGTGTCCATCACCCACAGCTGGAAACTTGGCCTGTCCAGTTGGCTACATGGGACATAGTTTCACAGGGATGAATGAATGGTTTTCTCAGTTCAGTTCCAAAGTGTTTCAGTAACGCCCAGGACATTATTTTGGAGGATTAGAAAAAGCTGAGTAGGAAACATGCTTTGTGTACTAATCATAAATTAATTAGTATTTGGGCCACAAAAGGATGCTCTGCTGCCTAGAGGAGTGTCTTACCGTCAGGAAATGGGAAGAACAAACTATGGACTTGATGCTTAAAAGAGGAAGGTACACTCAAATCTGGATTCTCTTATCTTCCTACCAATGTATTTGTACCTAGTAACCAAACTCACTAACAATACATTCATTTTAGAAGTTAGTTTGTACTGACTTTTTTTTTTTTTTGGGCGGGGGAGATGGAGTCTCAGTCTGTCACCCAGGCTGGAGTGCAGTGGCACGATCTTGGCTCACTGCAACCTCTGCCTCCTGGGTTCAAGCAATTCTCCTGTCTCAGCCTCCCAGGTGGCTAGGACTACAGGTACATGCCACCACACCCAGTTGATTTTTGTATTTTTAGTAGAGACAGGGTTTCACCATATTAGTCAGGCTGGTCTCAAACTCCTGACTTCAGGTGATCCACCTGCGTCAGATTCCCAAAGTTTTGAGATTACAGGCGTGAGCCACTGCGCCCAGCCTGTACTGACTTTTAATAACCGAAATTTAACCATGTCAGGCCTACACATTGGAGTCTCCCAAAAGGACACACGGAAAGTGAATACCTTGTAGCTGAATATATCACTATGTTTAAAAATAATAATCCCAGGAATTAAGGACTGATCAGTTTACTTGGGTACCGGAAAAACTGACTGAGAATTAGTTGGGGGTTGTGAAGCCCAACATTTGCAGGATCCTAATCTGAGAGTGTCAACAAGCCCAACTTCTAAGGAGGAAAAAAAGCATTAGGTTATTGCAAAAGTAACTGTGGTTTTTGCCATTAAAAGTAATTAAAAGTAATGGCAAAAACCGCAGTTACTTTTGCAACAACCTAATACTACTGCAAGTTTAGTAAGAATTCTCTGCATGGAATGTAAAAAAGAGAGAGCCTTTTCAGTTTGCCACGGTCAAACTTATCTCCATGAATTTCCCTTATGTATAAGTTTCTCTACTTTTCAGATCACCTAAGAAAGACCTTAGATAATGTTTCTGGCGATGGCAGGGGCAATGATAAGCTGAAACAAACTTTGACTGACTTTCGTTCAGTCCATGGCACTTTCCAGCCTCCAAATCTTATCTAACAAGGACTCTCAACTTAAGGAGAGAGAACACACAAAGACAGGAAGAGCAAGAAATATTGAAGCTAAGGGTGCCTTATCTAATCAGGGATAAAAACTGGTGGCCAGGCTAGAAAATGTGCTCTCCACCTTACAGTAAGAATAGCCAAAACTGGTTAAAAAGTGTGCTTGGAAATACCAATCTGCTGGCAAACATGCCATCTAGATTCTTCCGATTCTTGGTACCAAGCGGGAATTTAGTGAACAACCTAATTCACCCGTGTCTCTGTCTGCGTCTGCCACTCCAAGGTTTTGATGAAAATGGAAAGACCATGACAAGATAATCATATTTTATTTAAAATATTGCACTGGTAAAGGTGTACTGAAATTAACAGCATCTCTTCATTTTCTACAATTTTCTAGTATTTTGAGTTTAAAAAAAAAATACGTGCCTCTGAGTGAAAGAGCCACAGGTATGATAATAGTGATTTGGTAATTCTTAGCAAAGCATTTTTGTGTCATATTCATAAATTTGCTAAGCATATGACTCTAATGACTAAGTAATGAGTCACTTTGCAAGTCAGGATGCCATATTCTTTGCTATCAGCTAAACTGAAAAACGTCCTGATTGAGATGGGAACTGATAGATCATTTAAAATAATTTGATGATAGACCACTATGTGATTTTTTGCATACAACTTGAAAAAGGTTTAAATAATTGAGTGAAATTTTCATAATGAAATCCTTCCAAGTGCCGATTTATTTGAACAAAATATCTCAGTTCTTCAATCTGCGAAAATGAAAATTAGGAATTGAATTAATGCCAAGCCCTGTTTCATTATATCAATAAATAATATCTATCTGTGATTATTTAAACTACTTGACAAAAAATCCAAGACACATTTCCAATACATTTTACTTTTTATGTTTAATAATGATGCATAAAATTTTATAATATATTTATGTTGTTTTGATCAATTTCTACAGTTATTAATTATAACTAACAACTCAGAATAAAATACAGAACACTATGTTCACAGGAAATGTGCTAGAAAAGTTTGAAAAAATTTTATATATAGTTTTTGAAAAGAAGTATATAAGCTGATCAATAAAACTTTACACGAAGAAAAAATTCCATGGGAAAGTAAAATTGAAATAAATAATAGAGAATAATGAAACACATTTTATTTTCTATTATTAAAGAACTTGTTCATTTTCCTCTTAAGTAGCTTCTGATGGGTGTCAAATTACTGGGGCATTTAGAGTCCACTGGGTTGATTTTTTTAATCATGTAACACTTTTATTTCAAAATGTTAACATTCACAATAAATCAGAAATGATAATCCTTCAAACAATTTAAACTTTTGAATAAAATGTCTAGCTATCATCTTTAAAAAGAGATGTAATACATAGTTTTTCAAACTTCTTTTATGGTTAGCAAAAAATTTTTAAAGCCACTACTTTGGAATATTATGTGGTAAAAGGTAAGGAACTGAATCTTTACTAGGGTGTAGTTGATGTCTTTCTCTGTCTGATGCATCACATTTAGGCAAGAATGTAGTATGATCTTAGAGCGCTGTTCACTGAAGAAGAGGAGGTAGGAAGCGTTTATTTCCTTTTAAAGAAATTCCTTGAGAAACCGACTTTCATTTCTTATTGAGAGATAGCCTTGGCCTTAGGAATCAGGGTCTTTTGCCCAGGCTGTGACCTGCCATGAAGAGGCTGCCCTTGCCTTCCTCGTTTTCACTACCCAGAACTATTCCCCGTGTGATTATCTCACACATTCTGTGAATGTGATTCAAAGTTAATATCAGGAAAACAGGTCTCCTCTCCTGGCCATGGAACTCCATTGCAGTTAGCAAGCCATAGTGCAGGCCTGGGGAGTGACGTGTTCAAGGATACAATTTCTTCTACAGTGTGAAGGATGATGTTCTTTCTATTGTGTGAGCAGCATTTCCACTGAATAAGTGCATCCCTTTTATTAATGATTTTCTGCTATTCAATTCACAAGAAAAAAGTCTTGAGATATAATAGGCCACCTTACATAGGCAAACTACATTCAGGTAGACAACAAACATACCATACAAATAGTTGGAAGTTTGTTTCAAATAAAACACTCTTGGAAGTACAAGAAGAAATTTTAATAGATGTAAAAATAAAGTACAAGAAGAAATTCCAGTACAAAAACCAATTAATAAAATGTAAAGTGAAAAAAGATTTACCTTTGGTCATTAGGCTTAAGAAGCAGCTGTTGTCTGGGGAGATTTTGCAAACAAGGCCTGAGCCCTTTAGTGTTACAATAAAAAGTGCTATAAGTCACCTTTTGAAAACAGTAATTATGTGGGGATTTTTTGTTTTTGCAATAGATGTTGACAGTTAAAGTAACACTGTTAGTACAGAAAGATGTTGCAAAACTTCATGTTTATAAAATAGTGGCTTAGAAGTCAGATAAACAGCTTCCCACATTTACGAACTTAAAATATCTGTGCCAGGCAAGTCCTAAGATCTAATTATGTACAAAAGAAAACAAAAAACACAATTAGCATGTTTCCAGTACAGGTGTATGAAGCTATATAATAATATTGTATGATGCTAAGTGCTGAAGACAAAAAGATAAAACAGAGTAAAGGGAGAGAGGATGAAAAGGGTATTCCTGAGAAGTGTTGGTCAGGAAGGCCTCCTAATGGGAAAAGAGAAGCCTCAGATATAAACAGTGAAGTCATTTTTCTTTTGCTTCTAACACCTCACACATAATAAACAGAGGTAGATTAAAGCTGAATCTAAAGCCAAATGTTTTTCAAGGGATATTGATATCTAGTTTATTTGAAGTCTAATGGTCATTCAAGACAGAGGCTGACTCTGAGTTAAGAAATTAAAAATGAAAATACTGTTGAATAGATAGATCGATAGATGTGTGATAAGACAAGCATAGTAAAATGTCAGTGGTGGAACATTAACATCCCCATCATAATCTAGGTATTGGATATACCTGTGTTCTCCATAAAATCCATTCAGCCTTTTGTATGTTCATTTTATAATGAACACTTTCATGTTAGAAAGATTTATATTTCTCAAGCTTAGAAACATACTTCAGATCAGAACAAGTCATAATTAATCATTAAAATAGTTACTAAAGTTTATCAAATTTGCTTTAGTGTTTACTTATTTAAATCTTTTCCCACATAGTTATCATCTTTTAAACTAACTTAGTAATATTGCCTGTATTAAGTTCTGTTTTTGTCTTAAAACAGTAATATGAGGTAAGCAGTATGACATTAGTATGCTAAGGTCTCTTTCAGTTAAGCACACTTATGGATGACACAGGGATATTTAGATTACGAAAATATCTATTATCTGTACAATAGGTAGAAATATAATTTCATGGAAAGCACTTATAAAACAAAAACCACAAAAGTTTCAGTATTAAATGTTCGTATTTATTTGTAAGTTAGTGGCACAAGGGTTAAAAGCCCTCTTCTCGAATATTCAATTAATTACTTAAATTTAACAAAATTGATAATAACTAGTTGAGTTCAATAACACAGGCTGACCCTGCCTTCATGTTAAATAGCATAGCTCTAAAAGTCCCCCAAATACAGATCATTTCTGGAGCAAATAATATTCCTCCTCCAAAAAGAGATTAAAGATTTAAGGTTGTGCATATTCTCGACTATTCAGGAGATGACAGATTAGAAAGTGAATAGGATCTTTCTGACTTTAGAGTAAGATAATGGCACTTTAAGAAAAATGACTCTCTGAATATTACAACCAAAGCTGATTTGTATGAGAAACATCCCTCATATTTCTTTTCAAATTCTCTTAAATGCAACATTAAAAATAAACAAACAAAATATTTCAAAAGGAATGGGATGCAGAAATGTCAAGTTCTGCTAGACCAGAGAAGTAATTTCTAAGAATCAAAAGTTACATACAAAATGAATTACAATTTTATCATACAGAAAGAAATTGGGTAATTTCCCCTCCTCACCTCCCCTCTTGTATTTCTAATAGGCAAGAAAAGCCCCACTACAAAGAGCTCCTTTCTGAGGCATCTAGGACTATTTGTTTCCCCACATCCTCACTCCACCCCATTGTATCTATATTTACTCAATTGCTTCCATTTAGGCAATGATGGCTGTTGGAGAGCACTTTCCACTGTGGGTGTGAAGCTGGCAGAAAAAGGTGCTGGGTTTGGAAGGGCCACTGGAGCAGTGCCTTCTGGAATTGGTGCCATGTTAATTCATTATTTCTAGCAAAAGTCTACCTCATATTAATCAAAAATAAATTCTCCTCCAGATTAAGATGACTGGCCTACAGAAATAGGAAAGCACACCTCGGTGAGGCAGTTAGAGAGTGGATGATTGACTGATAAACACCAGAAACTTGGCTAAGCATTGTGGATGTATTAATCCAAAAATTTTAGGGACCTTAAAATTAAAACAAACAGAATGGTGTACAAATATTGTACTCTAGTTAGTGAGTTTTTTTTTCCACGGGAATGTGAGTTAGCAATTCTGAAACTAGTTTTTGTTCAAAGACTGAAGAAATAAAGAAATATGTATGTAAGTAATGACAGCCAGGACTCTGTCAGAGAAATGAGTTGCCAACGAAAAAAGGGGGAATGCTCAAATGAACCCCATCAAGTATCATTGAAATCAAGGGCATGAACCACCACACACAATCTGAAAGGAATAATCTGGAATAATGTGAACAATAAAATTGGAAGCCTAATGTAATCATATCAATGATTACATTAAATATAAATGGCCTAAAAGCACGAGTTAAAAAAGATTATCAGACTAAAGTTTTAAAAACCAACTGATTCTATGTTATCTATAAGAAACCTACTTCAAATATAATGATATAGATATAGTCAAAGTGAAAAGATGGTAACATGCTATGTCAAGTAAACACTAATTTAAAAATGAGAGTAGCTATAGTAATATCAGAAAAATTGAACTGCAGAACAAGGAAAATTACTGAGGATAAAAACGAACATTATATAATTATGAAAAATAAATTAATCCAAAAGAAATAATAATGCTAAGTGTGTATGCATCAAACAAGAAAGTTCCAGAATGCACGAAGCAAAAACTAAATAAACAAAAAAAATAGACAAACCCATGCTCATTCTTCAAGATATCAACAGTCTTCTTGCAGTGGTTGTTAAAACAAGTAGACAGAAAATCAGCAAGGATAAGAAGGGCCTGTACACTAGTATTGAACAAATTTACCTCTTTGACATGTATAGACTTTCCCTTCAACAAGCAGAGTATATATTCTCTTCCAGTACACAGAGAACATTTATCAAAATAAGATCATATTCTGGGCCATAAAATAAACGTTAACAACAATAAAAGAATTTAAATCATACAAAGTGTTTTGGCCATACATAATGAAACTATAAATTATTAACAAAAGATACTTTGGAAACACCCAAATATCTAAAAATTTAGCATCACACTTTTAAGCCTTTGGGTCATGGAGGAAGCTTCAAGGGAAATTAGAGAATATTTCAAAATATATTTATTTGAAAATGCAACAGGTGGGATACAGCCAAATCATAGTTTAGAAAGAAATCTATAGCATAAAATGTTTATATTAGAAAAGTCGCTCATCAATTATCTGTGCATCCACCTTAAGAAATAAGAAAAAAGAGAAAATTAAACCCAAAGCTAGCCAAAGGAAAAGTAACAATAAAGCAAGGTGCAGAAACCATTGCAATAATAAAAACCTAAGAATCATAGAGAAAATCATTGAAAACAAAAGCTGTTTCTTTGGAAAAAAGAATAAAATTGATAAACCCCTAGACAGACTAAGCAAAAGGAAAAAGACAAGACATAAGTCATCAATATCAGAAACAAAAGTAATTATATCACTACAGACCTTACAGACATTAAAAGGATAATAAAGGAATGCATCAGTCTGACAGCTTAGATGAAATAGACCAACTCTTTGTAAAATATTACAAAAACTCACTAAAGAATAAATAAATAACCTGGTTAGTGTTATGTCTATTAAAGACATTTTATATAGTTAAAATTTTACAATAAAGAAAATCCCAGACCAAGATAGTTTTAAAGGTAAACTCCACCAATCATTTAAGGATGAAATAATGCCAATTCTACAAAAATTCCTGTGGAAAATAGAAAAGGACACTTATAAACTCATTTTCTGAGGCAAGTATTACTCTGATACCAAAAGGAATCAAAGATAAGAGAGAAGAAAATCATAGCCCAGTATTCCTCGTGAACATAGATGAAAACATATTCAACAAAATATTAACTCAAATTCAGCAATATATGAAAGGGGTAATACACGTCTGTAAAACTCTGGTGAAAAATATTTACAGCAATTTTCTCTATAATTGGCAATAATAGGAAACAACCCAGATATTTTCAAATGGTCAGTGGCTAAACAAACAGTAGTACATCCACAAAGTAGATGCACTGCTCAGGATAAAGCAGAATAAACTTTCGGTGCATACAGCAATGTCAATGAATCTTAAACTCATTTTTGCTAAGTGAAAGAAGCCACATGCAAAAGCCTATATATTGCATGTGCCTATTTATATGCCATTCTAGAAAGAGCAAAACTACAGGAATGGAAAACCGGTCAATTGTTGCCAGGGTTTAGGGGTTAGTGAAGGGCTTGGCACTAAAGAGGGGCACAAAGGAAATTTTGGGGTGACGAAAACTGTTCAATATGGCACCATAGTGATGGATACATTACTCCATGCATTTGTCTATACTCACAGAACCGCACATGAAAAATTAAACTTTATGGTATGTACATATAAATTAAATAAAAATAGAACCTATGACATACAGCTAAAGTAAGAAATATTCATAGTCTCAAAATTATGTCAATGGAAATTAAAAAACCAAAATTAAATAAATTAAGCATTCAAGTAAAAGGGTTAGCAAAAAAAAAAAATCAAAACGTATTGAAGGAACATGGATAAAAGCATAAAATAGAAAAAGAGTACAGCCAAAGAAAAAAATTAAAACTTCCCTGAAATTACAGTAATATTGATGAACCTCTGGCTCACCTAATCAGGGGAGAAAAAGAAGAGGAAACCATACATACCAAAATTAGAAATGATTAAGAAGAAATAATACTTGAAAGAGAAGATTTTTTTTAGTCAAGAGAAGCTACTTATTGTTCCATAAATGTATATTAAAAATTAGAAAGGTTGGCTATTCTACTGAGAAGTCCAAGCAGAACAATTTCCTTCGAAGAAATAAAGAAAAATTCCACCCATAAAGAAAATACCAAAACACAACAAAACAAAAAAAAGGTCTGGATTGTTATTCAGGGAAATTCTACCTAAACATTGAAGAGCTAACGATCTAATGCCATTTAAGCTGTCCAAAACCATAAAACAAAGAAAATAGTATTTCAAATTATTTTCATAAACCTGTAAGAAATTCACAAAAGATAAAGATCAATAACACTTGCAAAGGCTGACGGAAACATTGTGAGTAAAATACTAACAAACAGAAATCAAAACATGTTTAAAAATCATGAAACGTAGATTTTATTATAAGAATGGCTGAATGCCTCTAATTAGGCAACCAATTAATATTCCTAATTTCCAATTAAGAAACCAATTAATATTACCACATGGATGGTTCAGCATTAGGAAACATTAATAATGTCTTGCTAAAAACTCATTACTACAACGTTGGAAAAGCATTTGACATTAAATTTCAAATCCATTCCTAATTTTTAAAAAGACAGTTACACAGAAATCAACAGAAAATATCTAAACATAATTTATACATATACAAGTACATAATATGAAATGTATAGATCAAAGTCAGAAATGAGACAATGCTGTCTACTGTCATCACTACTACTTAACTATTTTTTCTTTGTAACTTTTTATTGAAGGTCTTAACTAATGGAATTAGAAAAGAAAAGGAAGTTAATTACATAATAGGAAAGGAAGAGATAAAACTACTTTTAAGTTGCCATTGATATACAATAATTTTATACTAAGAAATACCAGGAAAACTAAATGAAAAAAAATTACTTAAAAAAATAAGGGAATTTAAAAGGAATCCGATCACAAAACTGACAAACAAAACATATGTAAACACAATTAATTAAAAAGTACAATAAAAACTAATCCAAAACAGAAAAGCAGTGGGGTGGGACTAGTTCTACCAGATATTAAACATATTTTTCAGACTTAATAAAGAAAATTTAGTAGATGTACTAGTGGATCAGAAGAGAAAGTTCAGGAATAACCCCAAATAAAACAATTTAGAACACAACAAAGGGTGTATGTCAAATCAATTGAGTAGATATAAATTTAGTTATAAATATAAATGAAAACCATAAATTTTTAAAATTGACAGTATGGCAGTGAAAGAATTAAGTGGGTTGCATACTTCATAGCACAGACTACATTGCACACCACATAGATCAGATATCTAAATGTGAAATAGGAAATCATACAACTATTAGAAAAACTTCAGAGTGAATTCCTTTAAAAATTTTCAACTGGTAAGGCTTCTCTAAATTTTACTCAAAAGTCCAAAAACTAGGGAAAATATCAATAATACATAAAAATAAAAAATGCCTGCCTGAAGAAAAATGTGCAGGAGCAAAAGCATAATCCAATGACAGAAAAAGTCTTTGCAACTTACATCACAGGCAAAAACATAGAAATCTCTAATACATAGAAATCTCTAATACATCAGGGAGAGAAAGACCAGCAATTCAGAAGAAAAATGGACAAGACATAAACAGATACTTTATGACCATTAAATAAATAAAAATATGTTCAGTGTGATTTCTTGTAAGAGACATGGAAACGAAATCTACAGTATACCACGCTGGCAAGGTATTCTCCAGGAAGAGGGCCCAGAGCCCAGTAAGAACTGGCTGCTTCCAGGACTGGGGACAAAAATTAGCCGGGCGTGGTGGCGGGTGCCTGTGATCCCAGCTACTCAGGAGGCTGAGGCAGGAGAATCGCTTGAACCCAGGAGGCAGAGGTTAAAGTGAGCAGAGATCGCGCCACTGCACTCCAGCCTGGGTGACAGAGCCAGACTCCATCTCAAAAAAACAAAACGAAACAAAAAGTTTCAAAAGTCGTTACACCAGAGGGCGAGAACGCACCACGGCGGATGTGGAGAGTATAGGAGCCAGGCGGGAGGGAGGATCACTGGCCAAATTTGGAACAAAGTGGAGCATCCAAAATAATAGTGACTCTAACTGATCAGAAAACATGGCTTAATAAATGTAAATGAGATCACTCAGATGAGCACATTTACCATGATTGGATTTACCTGTTATGTGCAATGACTAAATGTCCCCGTTTGCCTGGGCCTTCCTGTGTATGTCTGAAATAATTAATAGTGCTGCTTTCATTTTTCTAAATATTTGAAAACATGTAATAAAAAGTTGCAAAAACAAGATGAAAGACTTTAATGATGAGATAACCAGGTGTAAAACAAGCATCCCGGTGAGGGTGGAACAGCTGAGAGACAGGGGAAGAAATTTGTGCAGGCGCTCTATACCAGAAATGTCAAAAATGATCACTGAGGTTTAGGTATGACAATGCTATTTTGGTAAGTGGAATTTTTTCCCCAAATTTTAAATGGATCCTGAAGTATTTTACCGCACAATGTCATGGTGTTTGTGACTGACTTTAAAGGATTTCATCACAAATGTGGAACAATAAACGCGTAAAAATAAATATATATATATTAGTATATCCTTGATCTACATAAAACAACTCTGGAAGGATATATGAAAACTAATAATGGTGGCTACCTGTGGCAGCATGTTTTATCTTATCGTCTTGTCTTATTTTATTTTATTATTTTGTTTTGGAGAGGGGACTGAAAGGATGGAGAAAGGATGAAGGAAATATTCAAAGGTATACCTTTACATACATTTATTTAAAATGTAGTGTTATTCAATAAAGTACACATTTTTGCTATTAAAATACAAAGAAAACTTCTTCAGTCTTTAACAGATCAAGAGTTAGAAAAAAATAAATTTTTAGCACACCTGGAAGATGTGTTATAATGGTAATTAAAACAATATTGTTCTAACTTTGTCCTCTATAAAAAACATGTATTCATTTCAGGGGTACACAGAATACTTACAAAAATTAAGTATGCATCAGAGCACATGTTTAAAAAAACCTCACTGAATTTCAAAAGGCAGAAATTATACAGGCCAAATACTCTGACCACAGCAAAATAGAATGAAGCTGTGTTCAAAGACAGATTCATATCCGTAAAAGCTTTTATTATTACATAAGAAGAAATGAAAACAAATGAAAGCATTCACTTCAGGAAGTTAATATAAGGAAAACAAAGCAAAAGGAAGGAAATAATTTTTACAAAAAAAAATTGATGGCCAAAATAGAATAAAACCAGATTTGATATACACATCTAAGAGCTCATTCACTGAGGCCAAAAAAACTAATTAAAATGCCAAACATCTGGCAATCTCTTTAAGAAAAATGGGAAAATATAGATATACAAAATGAAGAATGAGAACATAGCTAGGTAGATTAAATTAATAATATGGTAAAACCTCTCACAATAAAGGTGGTTAACTCCATGATAACACAGTTGAACATCTTGCAGAAATGGGTGAATCTCTAATAGGAAACGGCAATTTTCCAAACCTATTGAAGACTAAGTATACCATCTAAATGTACAGTGATCACAGGGGAAAAAGAAAATGAAGAATTATCCAAGCATTTCTTCCAAAAATGGTGCCAAGCCCGCAGTTTTTGGGCTAAGTTCTTTCCAACTTTCAAGGAACAGATAATTAGCAGGCTATGTAAACTGCTGTAAAGCAGAGGAAATCGCAGGAAGCTTCCCTGCCCACTTTACAAAGCCAGCACAGATCCGATCCCAAAACCTGACAAAAGTGGCACAAAAAAGAAAATGACAGGCTATGAATAAGCTTATTAAAATTCTAAATAAAGCACTAGCAATTTCAGACCAAGTCTATATTAAAATGACAATAGTTCACGATCAAATAAAATTATTCAAGGAGCACAAGGATATTTTAATATATCACATTAATAGATTACAAAGAAAACCATATAATCATCTTTAAAATGCCCATAAAAAGGCATCTGAAAAAATGCAATCTCCATCCCTGGGTTAAAGAAAGAAAATTAAAAAGGACCAAAAATCTTTAGGAGGCCAGGATCAAAAAGCTGATTCTCTAATATTGTACTATCATGTAGACTTCCTTAAATTTTAGCCTAGAAGCTACTTACATGAGAATTATCTGGGTGCTTGTCTAAAAGGTAGATATGTATGTAGTCTTTTCTGTTGAATCACTTATCCATTGCCACAGAAATCCTATGTAACACACCACCCCCAAACGGTGGCTTAACATCATAAGCATTCATTTCTTTTGTGCTCTGTGAGTAGGATATTTAGGCGAGATGTTTCTTCTGACCCTGGCCTCCTGGCTCACAGGAGGAGGGCTCAGCGGGCTGTAGCTGATCTGGTGGTTTGGCTGCAGTGACCTGGCGCAGTGGCTCTGCTCCACACTCCTCCTCTTCACCCTGGGGCCAGCCACCTCGCCTGGGCATCTTGTTGTGGGGATGGCAGAGATGCAGGATGGCAAGCACCTGCCGGACGTCCCTTTCAAGCCTGTGCTGCTATGACATCTTCTGACATCCCATGGGCCACAACACTTCACACAGCTAAGCCCAGTGTTAAGGGGCGGGGTCAAGCATGTCCCTAGTCAAAGCCTATTTCAACTTGCTACAGGAAAGGGTGTGGACAAAGGGGCAGAACATCAGGGCCATATCTGTGCTTTCCAGATTTTCTACAATTCTCATGTTACATTTGAAATCGTTTTTATTTAAAAAATTAAAAATTAAGTGCATAGGTTTGAGAGACATTACGTATGTGCTACTGTGGGAGAGACCACAGCCTGCAAAGTGTCTAATCCCAATGGGAGATAGAAAACAAATGTGGGTTTCTCTGTTCATCAAAAGGGAAAAAAACACAAGAAAGAAAAAGAAATACCCCCCAGAGCCAAAGGGACTGGAGCAATTGGGGTGGCTGTTGGGAGTAAAGAGTGAAATAGAGCAATATTTTTTAAACTTCAGTTTGTCATTGACTATTAGATCAAGATAACAATTTCATGGTCCGTAAAAACTTTTAAAATTTTTTATTTAAAAACATTTTTATTTTAGGTTTGGGGGTACATGTGAAGTTTTGTTACATAGATAAACATGTGCCACGTGGGTTTGTTGTACATACTATTACATCACCCAGGTAATAAACTCAGTACCCAATAGTTACTTTTTCTGCTCCTCCAGCTTCTCCCCCCTCCCCACTCAAGTAGACCATAGTATCTGTTGTTTCCTTCTTTGTGTTCATAAGTTCTTATCATTTAGCTCCCACTTGTAAGTGAGAACATGCAGTATTTGGATTTCTGTCCCTGCGTTAGTATGCTAAAGACAATAGCCTCCAGCTCCATCCATGTTACCGCAAAACACATTATCTCATATTTTTTATGGCTGCATAGTACTCCATGGAGTATATGTACCACATTTTCTTTAACCAGTGTGTCATCGATGGGCATTTTGGTTGATTCCATGTCTTTGCTATTGTGAACAGTGCTGCAATGAACATGTGCATGCATGCGTCTTTATGGTAGAATGCTTTATATTCCTCTGGGTATATACTCAGTAATGGGATTTCTGGGTCGAATGGTAGTTCTGCTTTTAGCTCTTTGAGGAATTGCCATACTGCTTTCCACAATGGTTGAAACAATTTACACTCCCACCAACAGTATATAAGGGTTCCCTTTTCTCCGCAACTTTGCCAGCATCTGTTATTTTTTTACTTTTTAATAATAGCCATTCTGACTGGCATGAGGTGGTATCTCCTTGTGGTTTTGATTTGCATTTCTCTAATGATCTATGATATTGAGCATTTTTTCATATGCTTGTTGGCCACATGTATGGCTTCTTTTGAAATGTGTCTGTTCATGTTGTTTGCCTACTTTTTAATGGGGTTGTTTTCCTCTTGTAAATTTAAATTTCTTATAGATGCTGGACATTAGACCTTTGTCAGATGCATAGTTTGGAAATACTTTCTCCCATTCTGTAGGTTGTCTATTTACTCTGTTGATAGTATTTTTTTTTTTACTGTGCAGAAGCTCTTAAGTTTAATTAGATCCCATTTGTCAATTTTTGCTTTTGTAGCAATAGCTTTTTGTGTCTTTCTGATGAAATCTTTACCCATTCCTATATCCAGGATGGCATTGCCTAGGTTGTCTTCCAGGGTTTTTATGGTATCAGATTTCATATTTAAGTCTTTAATTCGTCTTGAGTTGATTTTTGTATATGGAGTAAGAAAGGGGTCCAGCTTCAATCTTCTGCATATGGCTAGCCAGTTATCCCAGCATCATTTATTGAATAAGGAGTCTTTTCCTCATTGCTTGTTTTTGTCAGCTTTGTCAAAGATCATATGGTCTTAGATGTGTAGCCTTACTTCTGGGTTCTCTATTCTATTCCGTTGGTCTATGTCCTTGTTTTTGTACCAGTACCATGCTCTTTTTGGTCACTGTAGCCTTGTAGTATAGTTTGAAGTCAGATAACATGATTCCTCCAGCTTTGTTGTTTTTGCTTAGGAGTGTCTTGGCTATTCAGGCTCTTTTTTTGGTTCCATATAAATTTTAAAATAATTTTTTCTTGTTCTGTGAAGAATGTCATTAGTAGTTTGATAGGAATAGCGTTGAATCTGTAAATTGCTTGGGGCAGTATAGCCATTTTAATGATATTGATTCTTCCTATCCATGAGCACAGGATGCTTTTCCATTTGTCATAAAAACATTTTTTAAATGAAGTAGAAAATACTAGAAAATGTCACAGTTTATTACAGAGTGGATGTAAATATCGTAGTGAAATATCTTCAGTGATGCATTGTACATGTCTGCTTTCTTCTTAGAAAGACTTTGCAATAGAGGAGCCCTAAAAAGTGGGCTCAGGAAAAGGGATGAAAAGGCCACATTTAGGCTATGTGTAGGAAGATGTGGATAACATGACGTATGTCCTAGATTAAACCTGGTAGAATTATCAAGGGAGTTACCTCTAATTCTCAAAAGTGTTCCAGTTTGGGCAATAAATTATACGGTCACCCTCAAGATACTTGGCTGAATTCAGGCAATGTTAGTAAGGGCTTTAGTGCCTATAGACAAGAGTCAGACTCCAAGATTTCCCTAGAAGAGAGCCCCAGGAATGCCAGGTGGGCTATGGATAAGGGTTTATACACAGTCGTATTCTCCTGAAGTGCACAGCTATGATGTGTAGTCTTATATGTCAACATGTCAGGCTCAGGTGCTGGTTATTTAATCAAAAAGAATCTAGGTGTTACTGTAGAGATATTTTGTAGATGTGGTTAACATCTATAGTCATCCTACTTGAAGTAAAGAAGATCACCCTCTGTAATGTGAGTGGGCCTCATCCCATCAGTTGAAGGCCTTACGAGTAAAAACTGATTTTTCAGAGAAAAAGGAATTCTGCCTCAAGGCTGCAGCATGAACTCCTGCCTGAGTTTGCAGTCTGCCCTCTGCCTTAAGGATATTGGATTTCCCAGCCCCCACAACCAAGCCAGCCAATTCCTTAAAATAAATCTCCATCTCAATTGATCTGTATGTCTTCCTGTCTGTCTATACATCTGTATCTATCTATCCACCTACATCTCTACATATCTAGATCTAATGCCTTCATATCTAAATCTATCATCTCCTATTTATTCTGTTTCTCTGAAGAACCAATATAATGGCTGAGAACCAAGGCATCACCTGGAAAAAAGGTCTGATCTTGCAGGGATCCAAGTGAAGAGAGTGAGCCCAGGCCTAGTTGTGTTAAGAGGTGAATTAATGAGACTAGAGGATGGTCACTGGGGTCCGAAGGATGGAAGGGACACACCAGTTGTCAGGCCTAGAGCTATTGTTTAACTCTTACAGGGCTAACAACACTAACAAGATACAGTGCTGGCATGAAATCCACACTTGTCCTTCTTCGAGGTTCCATGTGGCCTGTACCCTGACAGTTTCTCATGCTACAGTCAACATGTTGAAAAGCTGGGTGTGCTACATGTGAGAAATAAGGCATGACGGATGTGTGTATTAGCCAGGGTTCTCCAGAGAAACAGAGCCAATAGGCTATATGTGTATATACATACATATATATATATATACACACACACACAAACATATATACACATATATACATATATACATACATATATACATATATACATATATATATGTGTATATGTATATATATATATATATTTATATATATATATATATATATATATATATATATATATATATATATATATATAAAGAGAGAGACAGAGACTTTAAGGAACTGGCTTATGCAGTTGTTGGGGCTGGGAAGTCTGAATTCTGTAGAGTAAACCCACAGGCTGGAGATTCAGGTAAGGGCTGATCTTGCAGTCTCAAGTCCAAATTCCGCAGTGTGGCAGAATGGAAACTTAAGCAGGATTTCTGTCTCGGTCTTGAGGCAGAATTCCTTCTTTTTCAGGAAATCTCAGTCTTTGCTGTCAGGGTTTTTGACTGATTGGTTGAGGCTCACCGACATTATGGAGGGTCATCTACTTTACTCAAAGTCTACTGATCTTAGCTATTAAGCACATCTACCAAATATCATCACAGCCACATCATAGCCCGGGCGAAGTTAACATGTGAAATTAACCATTTCAACATCATATGGACTTTGGACCAAGGCAGACCTGGAATGTGTGCCTACTAGCTGGGTAATTTGGGCAAAGGATCACCTCTCTAAGCCTGAGCCTTCTCATCTCTAACATGGGAGTAATAAGGATGACCTAGAACAATTGTGGAAATAATTCATTAGCTGCTCAGTAATTGGTAGATTCTGTTATGACTCCATTAACTGTGTTGGGAAGGGGGAAGTGTTGGTGGAAGAAGAGAAAGTAGGGAGAGCTTGTGAGCCCAGCAAGTCGCTCCAGGAGGAAGCCGTAGCATGAGAGTGGCTGCACAGATCCCAGGCTGGAAGATGGGGCACCTACTGAGACGTGCCCCTGGGACCTGTCCTACTTGGTCACATTTCTACCAGCTACTGAACAAGTGCACGATTACCATCTGGAGTTGCCGGCCTCTGCCTGTAAAAGAAGGACTGATCTCAATTGAGTCAGCTGAGGACACCGGGCTTCTCTCCCCTTTTGTGCCTCTCTCCTGTAACTCACACACACAGCCATGTTGTTGTTACCTCATTCCAGGACATTTGCCTGACACTAAGGAGTACTGTTTAAGCCTTAATTCCTTTCTAGGAATGTCTAGTTGTCTGAAACACAGTGTTTTCCTAGGAAAGTAGGCCTGTGAAACAGGTCCTATTACAGTACCTCCAGCCCGGTGTGAATGAAAACCAACAGAATTCATAAAGCAAATGAAAAATGAAATTCAGCTGCTTCAACTCCCTCGGCTAGTATCGAAATACAGGTACAGATGTATTCCTCGGATGACACACAGCCAAATGTGACTAGAGTGTTATGATGTGTTTCTTAGGTCATAGCTGACAGGTTGCCAGGATTGCATTTGTAAGAGCAAAGAGATCAGCATTAAATTTCTTTCCTGTTATGTAACTGCTTTCACTTAAAGGATTACTTGTACCCATACAAGAATGAGCCATGTACCTCCTTATAAAGTGCCCACGCTATCCCGCAAACTACAGACCTGCCTATGGATTTCACATGGACTCATTAGCTACTTTAATTGATGAAAGAAATGGGAAACTGCCTTCTCTTTGTGACCACATTCAAAGGCTCCCCTTTGCTTTTAGCTTTCTGGCCATTTCATTTGATTATAGAGTAATTCTGAGCCCCTAACAATACCATCAATTAACAACATGAAAGGCATGACTATAGAGGAACATGGAGCCCCCTTTTAGTTCCCTGACACTGGTTTTTCCTCTTCTAGTTAGTTGAAAATAATTCTTGAAAAAGCATTTCAAAAGGAAACCTTTCTTTTCCTCCAAAGATTCCAAACAGGATGTTATTACTGCTTGTTCTATTACATTAGAAAACTTTATTAAAACCACCTTTCTCTAGCCTTTTAAACAGAGAAGCATGGAGCAAATTTGGCAAACACAAAAATACTTCTGTAATGATGAACAGAAATACATGTGCATTTGTAACATGAAGCATGCTCTTGTGTTTCTAATATCTGACTCTCTTTCTATACATTATTCTCTTAGTTTCATGAAAAGATAGACCTTTCATCAAATTGAGATTTATCGCTAAACGCTTGGAATTCATGCAACAAAATCAGGGATTGACTTCACTTCAACCAGACAGCTCCCACCTTCCAGCCTGGGTGATTCAGTATCCACATTTGCTTTATTAAATCCTGTATTCCCTAGTTTGGTGGCAAACAAGGACTAACTTACTTAACTAATTTGTAAATTGTGATTCCAGACTGTGTCAAACGGCCTTGACTAGGCTTCCCGGGCTTGGAGCAAGCCAGGTACGTGGCCCCTCTCTGAGACCTGACATGAAATTCTTCATTTATTTTCCATGATTGTCACTTTATTTGAGCTCATAGCCCTGCCCTGAATGAGTCTCTGATACGTTGAGAGTTAACCTAGTATATCATTAATAACACTGAGTAGAATGCAACCACAAAACTCAGCAAAATGCAAAAATAAGTGTTTATTTAGCTCACAGTTCCATGGGGTTCTGTGATCTGGGCTGAGCACACCTGTGTGTTTCCTGTGTGGTCAGCGGGGGGTTGGCTCACCCAGGATGGCCTCCGCTGGACGACACGGACTCGGCTCTGCTCCACATGTCTTTACTCTTCCAGAAGGCCAGCTCAGACATGGATGCAGCAGCCAGGACAAGGGCCGTCCTAACCACCCAAGGCTTTTCGGGCCTCTGCTTACATGATGGTGGCTGAAGTCCCACGGGCCAAGAGAAGTCGCATGGCTGACTGAGAGTCAGAGGAGGAGAAAACTGCAAAGTGAATCGGCAAAAGTCTTGGACACAGGGAGTGGGGAGAATTGGGGCCATTTTTGTAATCTACCACACTCGGTGCCTAAAGCCAAGCTTAAGAAAAGAACAGAGTGATGTGCAGGCTCAGAAGAATGAGAGAAAGCTATTTATATCTCACCTGAGCATCAGGGAAAGCTTCCTGGTGGAGGTCGCAAGTTGGACACACATCACCACATCTTAGACGCCATCCTCCAAGAACTGTTCTTCCTCTGAAATACTAAATGGCAGAACCCCTCCACAGTCACGCCCTCACTTATGCTACACACACCCACTAAGTTCACTGAGACTTCCTCACCTGATCGTTCAGTTTTCTCTTGTTTCTCTGCAACCCTGGGGCCCTCAACTCCCTCTTGGTCTGTCCCTCTGATGCTCAGGTGCAGCAAAACCCTAGCTCAGGGTGAATCCAATAATCTGCCCCCCTTAACTTGGATGCTTTGGCTTCCTGGAGAAAACTTAGAAAACGGAGGATGAGTTATGAATTATTGCTAGTCTGCGACTTCAGCCTGCCCCTAGGCCACATTTAACAATCCCTTTACTCATGTTGGGTCATTTCCCTGCCTGCCCCAAGCGATCGTGGAAAACTTTCACTCACATGGCGAGCTCTCCACTCTTCTCTGACCAGCCCTTTATCTACCTTCTAGATTGGCAAGGAAATGGGTAATCTGCGTCAGCCATTGCAAATTCCCGCCTGCCACATACAAAGTGTCATAGCCCTTTCCTCACTCGCTCCCTCCCCATCAGTCTCAGAAATCCAGACCCTTCTCTTATTCAAGAAAAATCTTTTCAGCCTTCTGTGTCCTTAGAGATATTGGTTCATCAGTTACCCTGTATCTCTCCTCTATCACTAATTTCCTTTTTTTTTTCTTACTCCTTCTACCCCCCAGTTTATAAACTGGCTCTCATCCTAACTAAACAAAATAAAATTCTATGATTCTATGTCTGCTCCGTGGCTATTGCTGTCTCTTTCCTTCTTTTATTGGCCAAGTGTGTTAAAACCCGGTCTACACTTTGTTTCCACTTGCTCCCTATTTATTTACTCTTCCAACCTTGCAACCTGGAGCACACCCCACCTTTCCTCAGAACTCCTGCCGCAAAAGTTGTCAATGATCTCATATTTTCAAATCCAAGGGATGTTTCTCAGTTCTTATCTGCCTGGTCATATCTGCTCCTTCAATCCTGGGTACTTGGAATTTCCCTTCAACTTGAGAAATGAATTTCCTTTCATCTCCCTGAGGCTAGTGCCTGCTTTTTCTCTCCCTCCTTCCCTGATTGCTCTTTTCCTGGTGCTTTCAGGATCTGCCTCTGCTGATCCATTTACCTCTGGGGTTTTCTAGAGAGATCTCACCATGGCAGACTGTTTTTCACATTGTTTATGTGTTTCACAGGCAATCATTCATTGCTTATGAACAAAACTACTTGCAGTTTAGTCATTTATATGTAGATGACATTCACATTTCTATTTCTAGTTTAAACTTTTCCAAGATCTATAACCTTGTCTGTCCAACTGTTGGCTTACAGTATGGACAGAGAAGCCACAAGAGTCTTGCCGTCTATACATCCACAAATGAACTCTTCATCTCAGTTCACCTCCTGCTCCTCCTCCTCTTCCTTCTTCTCCTCACTCTTCATCCTGCCTCTCTTTCTCTTTCTCTTCCTCCTCATTCTCCTCCTCATCTTCTTCTACCTGCCCTTGGTCTTCCTCCTTCTCCTTTTTCTGCAGTTACGACTAAAATGCAAATCTCATTGTCCTCTTTCAGCCATATAATTTAATTCTAAACTAACGTGTTTTGAATGGAGAAGGAATTTTAATGATTTTGAAAGTTAATCCTCGGTCATTGAAACTTTTTGAACATCTCTCTAAAGCAGCAAGTTCTCATCAGTGTTGTTAGGAATGATTAACCATCCACACGTGCTGTGTCATTGGTTGCGTAAGAACTAGCTAGACCTATTTCCTATTCACCATAAGATTACAATTAAACGGAGACAACGTTGATAAAACTATGCATAACATTTAAATGACTACACCATCAATACCAAATGGAAATGAAGATTCTGAATTGTATAATCATGTTTGCATTATTAATTCCTGTGTGGTCAAAAGTACAGGTGAAGCTAGATGAGGTGGCTCACGCCTAATCCTAGCATTTTGGGAGGCCAAGGCAGGCAGATCACTTGAGGCCAAAACTTGGAGACCAGCCTGGCCAACATGGCAAAAACCCACCTCTACTAAAAAGACAAAATAATTAGCTGGGCATGGTGGCACACCCTTGTAATCCCAGCTACTTGGGAGACTGAGAATCACTTGAATCTGGGAGGCGCAGTTTGCAGTGAGCTGAGGTTGTGCCACTGCACTCCAGCCTGAGCTACAGAACGAGACTATCGAAAAAAAAAAAAAAGAGTACAGGTGAAAGTTTATGATGTAGACACACAGCCCCCAGGGGGATGCTCAATCATCCCCTGGGGTAATCCCTTCTCCTGATTCTCCTGAGTGTTGGCCGTGGCTGTGATGCAATCCTAACCCACAGAACATGGCAGAGATGATTGGAAGTCACTGCTGTGATTAAGCTGTGCTACATGACATTACAGCTGGCCAGCACTCAGGGGCTAGGGATTGGATTCCTCTCATCAACTGCTAAAGTAGGCAGTCACAATGTGAGAGGCCCACCTGGCAAGAAACCGTGGATGATCTCTTGTAGTGGGGGTCTATAGCTAGAAGAAACTCTATTCTGCCAATAGCCAGTGAGCTTGGAGGAGGCCTGGAGCCTCAGACAAGGCTGCAACCCCAGGTGACATTGTGATTCCAGCCTTGTGAGACTCTGAGTAGAGAACCCACTTGAGCGTTGCCCAGATTCTTAACCTACAGAAGCCATGAGATAATAAATGGGTGCTGTTTTAATTCACTAAACTTGTGGCAATTTGTTACACAGCAGTAGCTAACTAACACAGACCATCGAGTTTGAAGATCCATATATCATGAGAAGTTAAAAATAGCTAACTCTTCAATCCTACAAAAAATTTCAAAACTGATGCAAATTAGATGATAATTATTCTTCTAAGAGTTTATATTAGGAGAGAAGCAGTGCAAAGGAATTTGGAGACCCAAAAGGTAGTCCCTCGTTTTTCATTACAGATTTAAGGCTGCTATAAAAATGCATGCAGTGCAAAATTAACATATAATTTAAAATGCCAGTGAAGAAAATGATGTAGAGGAAAAGACAAAGGCACGGAAGCACGGTGAGCCTGGAGGATGTGAGACTTCTGTGTCAGTCTGGGGTGAGGACCTGTGTTGTTGCTGCAGACACCATGCACTGGCTGTACATCTTGTACAATGTAATGAAAGAGAACTGACGTCAGTGCAGTGTCCATCAGATTTTAAAATACATACAAACATAATTCCTTTGGAGAAACATAACATTCCCGGTTCAAAAACCAAGGAGATGCCTCTTGTGTGGTGTTTAATCTAAGAACACCACAGAAGCAACATAAAAGTTACTGACTGGCCTTTTCCCTCTTTCTAGAATTGGTGACTAGGAGCCCATTTTAAAGAAAACGAAGTTAAGAATACTAAAGCCAAAAAGGCATGCAACTGGAGTGAGAAGCTCTCCCTTTTTGGTTTATAAAAAGGTGAGATCTGCCAGTGTAGGTGTTCCCACCACCACACTAACTCCTCACCACCCAGGAAGATTAGCTACAGAGGAACCAGAGGGCCACAGAGACTTGGAAATGCAAGAAAGAACAATGGAGTGATAGGATGGGGTCAGGACACAAACCTAGTTGAGGGTGCTGTGGTGTTTCTTCTCCTCCTACAACAACTGAAATAAAGAGACTTCCAAGAGCACCCTCCAAAGAACACTGGGAGAGACTTGGAGGCCTACAGGGAGGGGAGCCTAACATCTCCTCCCTTGATTCAGCAGACCAGTGGCTCCATGAAGATTTCCCATGGACATGGTGGCTGATACAAACAGCTTTAAGGGAATAAACTTTCAGGTCCTCAACTTCCATATATACTCTTTCCAAAATCTCATCTGCCAAAGAAACATATGATCACCATCATTTGGGATGATCTCAATCATCCCAAGTATTACTGTAGATTTTCATGAGGTACAAAAACCTCCAGGAGGAACACTTATACAGTCACTGTTGGTGAGAGTGTAAATAGTTCGACCATTGTGGAAGACAGTGCAGCAATTCCTCAAAGACCTAAAGACAGAAATACCATTTGACCCAGCAATCCCATTACTGGGTATATAACCAAAGGCATATAGATCATTCTATCATAAGGACATACGCATGTGTATGTTTATTGCAGCACCATTCACAATAGCAAAGACCTGGAATCAACCTAAATGCCCATCCACGGTAGACTGGATAAAGAAAATGTGATACATATACATCATGGAATACTATGCATCCATAAAAAAGAATGAGATCGTGTCCTTTGCAGGAACATGGATGGAGCTGGAGGCCATTATCCTTAGTAACCTAATGTAGTAACAGAAAACAAATACCACGTGTTCTCACTTATAAGTGAGAGCTAAATGATGAGAACACATGAACACACATGGGAAAAACACACTGAGGGCTATTGGAGGGTGGAGGGTGGGAGAAAGGAGAGGATCAGGAAAAACTAATGCATACTAGGCTTAATACCCAGGTGATGAAATAATCTGTAAAACAAACCTCCACGACAAAAGTTTACTGATATAACAAATCTGCACATGTACCCCTGAACTTAAAATATAAGTTAAATAAATAAATAATAAAAACTTCCAGGGCACTCCAACAAGGGACCATCTGAGAAAGAACCCCTCCTGAGATAGAACACCTTGAAAGACAACCAAGTTGAGCTATTGGTTATGAGTCCACTTACGCTGCTCTCCCAAGATATCCTAGACTGGGAGACTTCTAAACAACAGAAATGTCTTTCTCATAATTCTGAGGCTGGAAAGTCCAAGATTAAAGAGCTAGAAGCTTTGGGGTCTGGTGAGAGCCCCACTTCCTGGTTCGTAAAATGGCAGCTTCTGCTGCATCCTCACATGGTGGAAGGGGAGAATGGTCCCTGTTGAGCCTCTTTTACAAGGGTGCTGATATGGTTCGGCTGTGTCTCCATCCAAATCTCATCTTGAATTGCAGCTCTCATAATTCCCACATGTCGTGGGAGAGACCCAGTGGGAGGTAATTGAATCATGGGGGCAGGTCTTTCTTGTGCTGTTCTTTTGATAGTGAATTAGTCTCAAGAAATCTGATGCTTTTATAAAGGGGGGTTCCCCTGCACAAGCTCTCTTGCCTGCCACCATGTAAGATGTGACTTTCCTCCTCCTTTGTCTTCTGCCATGATTGTGAGGCCTCCCCAGCCATGTGGAATTGTGAGTCAATTAAATCTCTTTCCTTTATAAATTACCCAGCCTTAGGTATGTTTTTATTAGCAGCATGAGAATGGACTAATACAAGCACTAATCCCATTCATGCGGGCTCCACCCTCATGACCTAACCACATCCTAAAAGATTCTGCTTCCTCACACCATCACCCTGGGGTTAGTATTCAACATAGGAATTCTGGAGTGACATCAACCTTCAGACCATAGCATTGTGTAAGAGTTATTAAAGGAATAAAGCCCTTATTTCATCCAAGTGATGAGCCACTGTTTACTGTCTTCTGATGTGCTTTCTGTCTTTCTGTCTATTTGTCTGTCATCTTTCTTAGAATTAGAATTCAAGATTGAGAGGTCCATTATAGATTTGCATGTTAACACAATTTATTTAAAAATGAAATGATGTAAAACATGTCTTTGCAGAGAATAAGTCTAGTTAGGCAAACCAGCTCAACAATGAGGAATAGATTATATGGTGGTCATTTTCAAAGACTAAATCAGCTAAAATCAGCAGCTTCAAAGTTTTGCTGAAAATATATTTTAATCAAGTCCACAGAGGGCTTTCCAACCAGTAGACTGGGGATGAGGAGAAAATAACCCAGAGGCTTTAACATACAGGTGCAGACCTACATGAAGAGCCCCAGGAAAGTTAATTCTATACACAAAAGATCCCCTGACTTAGTCTTTTAGCAAGAGGAGAAATTCATACGGATGGGCTCATTGACCCCAGGTGATGGTAAACCCCTTATTTCCTTACATGCCTTCTGTCAGGAAGATTATTCATCAGATTGGAAGGATAGAAATGACCAAAGTGAAAGGAGGGTCCGAGCCTCAGAAATGGGTTGAAGGAGGCCGGAAGAAGCACTGGGGCTGTCAGTAGGATTCGGGGATGTCTCAGAACACACTGTGATCATGGAAACCCTAAGACAACCTTTGAGACACCCTAGAGGAGAAGAGATACCAAGAAGACTGGAATTGAATAAATGTTCTTCCAGTTTTCACAAAGAAGAGGTAGGTTCTGCAACTTGTAGTCCAGAGCAATGGGCTTTTCTGTTGTGTGCAGTCCTAGGACAGGTGTCGGGGACCAGGAAGCTTCTGATGAAAGGCATGTGAGGAGGGCAATGCTGATGAAAGCAGGAAGGGAGAGTGAGCCCAGCCCAGCCATGGTCATCCTGGCCTGGGAGAGCCTAGCCAATGATAGCTCTGATCCCACTGTCCAGGGGAGCTGGCATCAGTGTCTAATAGACCCATTCTTCTGGACAGATCAAATACAGAGAACAATGATAGCATTGCCCAAGCCAGTATCTGCCTGCTTTGAGGCACATTACCAAGCCAGTACAGAAAATACGGAAGTGGGTAAGCATTTTTCAACCCATTATTCAAGCATTTTTTTAAATCACAAGTCTCTCTTCCAGTTATTTCAACAAACTGAAATATAAATTCGAAAGCTAGGTATAGGTCCCCATGGAAGATATGAAGGGAGGCTTCAGTTTGATTACATGAATATTCAGAGTTTCAAGCTACAAAGTCTTTTGTAAGGATAATTTCAGATATCACTCAGACAGATATTCTAAAAGACTTAATTCTATAATCCAGCTACTTGGCAGCACTTGAAGTTAAGTACTAGGACTGTGGCTTTTGAGTCCATAAAAATCAAGATCAGGGCCCCAGCATGTTCTGTGTCTGATGAGGGCTTGCTCTCTGATAGTATTTTCTAGCTGCATCTCACAGGGCAAAAGGGGCAAACAAACTCCCTCGGGCCACTAATCCCATTTGTGAGGGCTCTACCTTCATAACCTAATCATCTCATGAAGACTCCACCTATTAACATCACATTGGGGGTTCAGTTCATATAAATTTTGGGGGGACAACAACATTCAGACCATGGTAGGTAGATGGAAATGTGGGTGGATGGACGATAGACAGACAACAGCTGGAGCCCTGGAGAGAGGTGTCTAGTGGAACGGCATAAGACTCTGTCACAAGCACTGTCCTGGTCGGCAGGGATGTTTTACATTTTTCGTGTCTTGGATGTTGACATTGGTGGCTAATGAAAATTTTAGATAAAGTTCTGGAAGGAGAAGCCAATATTCTGATTCAATAATCCAGAAAGGCTAACATTGTTGATGAAATATCGGATAAAATTTAAACAAGATAAATATAAAAATCATGCATTAAGTTCAAGATTATGAAAGCCATTGGAAAAAAGAGAGCTAGGAAATATTTGGATTAACAAAAGTTCAAAGTTCAAATAAAGAAGAATTGATTCAATTTTATTGAATCTCAAATAACCCAAGGCTATATTCATGGCTGTCAAAATAAATAATTGTGTTGGACCACATGTTAAGAAACATCATGGGCTGTAATAGAAGAAAATACCTCATTTAGAAGAGCAATAAAGCAAAGATAATGCCTAAGCATGTGAAAGATCTATATCAGAAAACTTTTTAAGCAGGTCTGAATGAATTACACAAACAGAAATATGAACAGATGCAAGGTGTACCTTGTAGAAAACTCATACCAGAAATGTGCTAATTCTCCCTAAGTTAATTAAAACCCTTAACAGAATATCAATACAATACCAAATATCAATATTTGAAATAGACTATATAATCCTTAATTTCATATTGAACAACAATAAACATGAACAGTCATGGAAACTCTGAAAAGACAAAAGACTAATTTGAATTATAAAAACAGAGAATCAAGGCCCCTCAATTTCCAGACTTGAGCCAGTTTACGGACCCAGAACCTCCTAAATGAGAGAGGCCAGGTCCCCTTGAGGAAGGACCCTACTACATTACTGACAGTTTATACAGTGAATCTTCCTCCCTTCCTTCCCCAAAAAGACCTCTGGCCTTTTACTAGGGTAACTGTGCATTGGGAAAAGGGAAATGATCAGACATTTCGGGGACTATTGGACACTGCCTCTGAGCTGACGTTGATTCCAGGGAACCCAAAATCTCATTGTGTTTCTCCAGTTAAAGTAGGGCCTTATGGAAGTCAGGTAATTAATGGAGTTTTAGCTCAGGTCTGACTTATAGTGCATCCAGTGGGTCCCTGGACTCATCCTGTGGTCATTCCCCCAGTGCCAGAATGCATAATTGGCATAGACATACTTAGCAGATGGCAGAACTTCCACATTGGTCCCCTGACTGGTAGGGTGAGGGCTATTATGGTGGGAAACGCCAAATGGATGCCACTAGAGCTGCCTCTACCTAAGAAAATATTAAATCTAAAACAATATCACAACCCTGGAGAGACTGTGGAGATTAGTGCCACCATCAAACACTTGAAAAACACAGAGATGGTGATTCCCACCACATCCCCATTCAACTCTCCCATTTGGTCTGTGCAGAAGACAGATGGATCTTGGAGAATGACAGTGGATTATCATAAGGTTAACCAAGTGGTGACTCCAATTACAGCTGTTGTACCAGACGTGGTTTCATTGCTTGACCAAATTAACTCATCTCCTGGTACCTGGTATGCAGCCATTGACTTGGTCAATGCCTTTTTCTCCATTCCTGTCCATAAAGCCCACCAGAAGCAACTTTCCTTTAGCTGACAAGGCCAGCAATATACCTTTACTCTCCTACCTTAGGAGTATATCAACTCTCTGGCTTTGTGTCATAAACTTACTTGGAGAGAATTTGATCACTTTTTGCTTCCACAAGATATCACACTGGACTATTAACACTGATGACATTATGCTGATTGAATCCAGTGAGTAAGAAGTAGCAAACACACTGGACTTGTTGGTGAGACATTTATGTACCAGAGGATGGGAAATAAATCTGACTAAAATTCAGGGACCTTCTACCTCAGTAAAATTTCTAGGGTTTCAGTGGTGTGAAGCCTGTCAAGATATTCTTTCTAAGGTGAAGAACAAGTTCCTGCATTTGGCCCCTCCTACAACCAAGAAAGAGGTTCAATACTTAGTGGGCCTATTTGGATTTTGGAGGCAACACAGTCCTGAATGTTTGACTATGAGTCATCAAGTCACCATGTGACCTGAACTACTTATCATGAACTGGATGCTTTCTGACCCATCTAGCCATAAAGTGGGTCAGGCACAGCAGCATTCCATTATCAAATGGAAGTGGTATATATGTGATTAGGCTCGAGCAGGTCCTGAAGGCACAAGTAAGTTACATGAGGAAATGGCTCAAAAGCCCATGGTCTCCACTCGTGCCTCCCTGCCTTCTCTCCCCCAGCCTGCACCGATGGCCTTATGGGGAGTTCTCTATGATCAGTTGACAAAGGAAGAGAAGACTAGGGCCTGGTTCACAGATGGTTCTGCACGATATGCAGGCACCACCCAAAAGTAGACAGCTGCACCACTACAGCCCCTTTCTAGGACATCTCTGAAGGACAGTGGTGAAGGTAAATCTTCCCAATGGGCAGAACTTTGAGCAGTGCACCTGGCTGTGCACTTTGCATGGAAAGAGAAATGGCCAGATGTGCGATGCTATACTGATTCACAGGCTGTAGCCAGTGGTTTGGCTGGATGGTCAGGGACTTGGAATGAGTATGATTGGAAAATTGGTGACAAAGAAATTTGGGGAAGAGGTATGTAGATGGGTTTCTCTGAGTGGTCAAAAACTGTAAAGGTATTTGTATTCCATGTGAGTGCTCACCAATGGGTGACCTCAGCAGGGGAGGATTTTAATAATCAAGTGGATAGAATGACCCATTCTGTGGACATCATTCAGCCTCTTTGCCAGCCACCCCTGTCATTGTGCAATGGACCCATAAACAAAGTGGCCATGGTGGTAGGTATGGAGGTTACACATGGGCTCAGCAACATGGACTTTCACTTACCAAGGCTGACCTGGCTATGGCCACTGCTGAGTGCCCAATTTGCTAGCAGCAGAGACCTACTCTGAACCTTCGATATAACACCATTCCTTGGAGTGATCAGCCAGCTATCTGGTGGCTGGTTGATTATATTGGATGACTTCCATCTTGGACAGGGCAGAGATTTGTCCTCACTGGAATAGACATTTACTCCAGATATGGTTTGCCTATCCTGCATGCAATGCTTCTGCCAAGACTACAATCTGTGGACTCACAGAATGCCTTGTCCTCCATCATAGTATTACATACAGCACTGCCTCTGACCAAGGCGCTCACTTTATGGCTAAAGAAGTGCATCAGTGGGCTCATGATTAAGGAATTCATTGGTCTTACCATATTCCCTATCATCCCAAAGCAGCTGGGTTGATAGAACGGTGGAATGGCCTTTTGAAGTCACAATTACAATGCCAACTAGGTGACAATACTTTGCAGGGATGGGGAAAACTTCTCCAAAGGTCGTATATGCTCTGAATCAGCGTCCAATATATGGTACTGTTTCTTCCATAACCAGGATTCATGGGTGCAAAAATCAAGGGGTGGAAGTGGAAGTGGCACCACTCACCATCACCCCTAGTGATCCACTAGCAAAATTTTTGCTTCCTGTTCCCGCGATATTATGCTCTGCTGGCCTAGAGGTCTTAGTTCCAGAAGGAGGAACGCTGCCACCAGCGTTATATACTGATTTGTGGGATGCAGCCAGTGGTTTGGCTGGATGATCAGGAAGACAATCCGGGAGACAACGGGAGACAAAACAATGATTCCATTAAACTGCAAGTTAAGATAGCCACCTGAACACTTTGGGCTCCACCTACCTCTAAGTCAGCAGGCTAAGAAGGGAGCTACAGTGTTGGCTGGGATTGACTGAACCGGACTATCAAGATGAAATCAGTCCACAATGGAGGTAAGGAAGAGTATGCATGGAATACAGGAGATCCACTAGGGTGTCTCTTAGTATTACCATGCCCTGTGATTAAGGTCAATGGGAAACCACAACAGCCCAATCCAGGCATGACTACAAATGGTCTGGGCCCCTCAGGAATGAAGGTTTGGGTCACTCCACCAAAAAAAAAAAAAACAAAAACAAAACAAAAAAGACCCAAAAAACAAAAAACAAACAAACAAAAAATATGACCTGCTGAGGAGGCAAAGGGAATACAGATTGGGTGATCAAAGAAGGTAGTCATCAATACAATCTACAACCACGTGACCAGCTGCATAACAGGGGATTGTAACTGTCATAAGTATTTCCTCCTTCTTTTGTTAAAAGCATGTTTGTGCATGTATACACTTGTACTTAAAAAAAAATCTTCATTTTATTTCCTTTTCCTTTATCATGTGACATATGACTTATTGACTTCATATCAGCATTTAAGTATTGTTAACTTTATGCAATAGTATTTGGGTTGGGGATTGGTGGATTTCTGGTAGTATGAAGGATAATTGTATTATGTTAGGCATAATTATGAACTTATTATTGTTGTTATTTGAATATTACGTATGATCTCAGGAGATGTGTATGGGCTCAAGTTGACAAAGGACAGACTTGTGATGGTTAATACTGAGTGTGAACTTGATTGGATTGAAGGATGCAAAGTATTGATCCTGGGTGTGTCTGTGAGAGTGTTGCCAAAGAAGATTACCATTTGAGTCAGTGGGCTGGGGAAGGCAGACCCACCTTTAATCTGCTAAGCACCATCTAATCAGCTTCCAGCAAATATAAAGCAGCAGAAAAATGTGAAAATGCGAGACTGGCCTAGCCTCCCAGCCTACATCTTTCTCCTGTGCTGAATGCTTCCTGCCTTCGAACATTGGGCTCCAAGTTCTTCAGTTTTGAGATTGAACTGGCTCTCCTTGTTCCTCAAGCTTGCAGACCGCCTATTTTAGGAACTTGTGATCATATAAGTTAATACTTAATAAACTCCTCTTTACATAAACCCTTTACATATATATAGTACATATATACATGCATATGTACATATACATATGCATACATATGTACATATACATATACATGTATATATGTACATATATATACATATATATATATATATCCTGTTAGTTCTGTCCCTCTAGAGAACCCTGACTAATACAGACCTATTAGATTAGCAAAGACTTAT
Organism: Homo sapiens; assembly: GCF_000001405.40. Classification (NCBI taxonomy): domain Eukaryota; kingdom Metazoa; phylum Chordata; class Mammalia; order Primates; family Hominidae; genus Homo; species Homo sapiens. The sequence continues at coordinate 109,952,581 of NC_000013.11, forward strand.
AACTTTGATGTCATGCTGTGCTGACAGAAGCCACTACTCTTATCCACTGCAGGTGGCCACATGAATAAGAACAGCTCTAAGACAGCATGCTAATATCTATCAGATTTAAAAAGCAGTTTGGAGATTCCTCAAAGAACTTAGAACAGAGCTACCATTTGACCCAGCAAGCCCATTACTGGACATATATCCAAAGGAAATCAATCATTCTACTAAAGAGACACATTCATTTGTATGTTCATTGCAGCACTATTCACAATAGCAAAGACATGGAATCAACCTAGATGCCTGTCAATGATGGATTGAATTCAGCGCATGTGGTAGATATAGATCATGGAATACTATGCAGCCATAAAAAATAAAGAGATCATATTCTTTGCAGCAACATTGATGCAGCTGGAGGCCATTATCCAAGTAAATTAACACACGAACAGAAAACCAAAGACCACATGTTCTCACTTAAAAGTGGGAGCTAAACACCAAATACATGTGGACATAAAGTTGAAATTATTTTTTTAAAAAGTGTGTACCCTCTGGTACTGTAGGGATTTGTCCTGCAAATGAACTGACACAATCCAAAGCAAATAAAGTCACTTAGTGTGCCATTTTTAAATAATAACAAATAATTGGAAACACCTAAAATTTTTTAAAGTCTCATGAAATATATAATGAATATTCATACAGCATTCACTACAATGCCAAAATAGAAAATTCTTTATATTCTAATATAGAATAATCCCCCAAATATAATTTTGAATGAAAAAAAGCAGGGGGTTTTGCCTATATATAGAACAGAACCAAGAGAATATATATACACACACACATATGTGTGTATATATATCTATATACAGATTGTATACATATATACATACATACATACATACATACATATATGTAGAGAGACAGGCATTTTAAGGAACCTGTTCATCTCACTGGAGATGCTCATGCAACTGTGGAGATGCAAGGTTAAAAGTTTGCCGGGCAGGCCCTTAGGTTAAAGACCCGAGGAAGAGCTACACTTCAATCCCAGAAGTCCAAAATGCCATCTGAAGGCAGAATTTCCTCTTCCTGAGGGAACCTGAGTCTTTGCTCTTCAGATCCTTGATGAATGAAGATGGATGAAGTCCACCCACCTTATGGAAGGTCATCTTTCCTCAAAGCCCACTGATTTAAATGTTAATCTTATCTATTAAGTACCTTCCCAGCAACATCCAGACTGATGTTGAACCAGGTAGCTGCGTAATGAGGCATAGACAAGTTGACACGTAAAATTAACCATCACAGAGTGGAAGAAAACATTTATTTTTCTTGCTTACACATAAATACCCATCTGGAAAGAGATCTAGAGAACAATAGAGGGGACTGGGCAGCAGAGAGCAGGGAAAGGCGTACTTCATGTTGAACACCCGAAAACCCAAATATTCTTTATTTTTTTTTTATTTTTTAAAGACAGAGTCTCGCTCTGTCACCCAGGCTGGAGTGCAGTGGCGTGATCTCGGCTCACTGCAACCTCTGCCTCCCGGGTTCAGGCAATTCCCTGACGCAGCCTCCTGAGTAGCTGGGATGACAGGTGCCCGCCACCACACCCGGCTAATTTTTGTATATTTAGTAGAGACGGGGTTTCACCATCTTGGCCAAGCTGGTCTTGAACTCCTGACCTCGTGATCCACCCGCCTCAGCATCCCAAAGTGCCGTGCCCGGCCGATCCTTTTTTTTTTTTTTTAATTGTGAACTGTTTCAAAAGTATTATTTGTACCGAAGTTAAATAAAATTTTTAAGTGGGAGAGAGAAAAACTGAAATTCTTCCAGAGGAGAGAGACCAGGATAATCAAAACACCAAGCACCATCAATGGGGATATTTCGCCCGAGGCAGATAATGCACTCAGGCCAGCTATGAAAGCTGCCTCATATACTCAAAGAACTGTCATAAAAGAAAGGAAATTTGACTTGTGCTGTGAGCCTCAGGGGGAAGGGAAGGTATTTCGAGGCAGAGGTGGAAGTTATGAAGAGACAGATTCTGATTCAAAACAAGGATGAACGTCTCCATAAATAGATGGTTCTGAAAAAGAGGTGGCTGCAGACCGCTCCTGTCCCATGGGGATCTGGGGAAACTTCTGGCAGGGGTGGTCAAGAACAACTGAGGTACTGGATGGATCCAGCGCCCCAAAGTCTCCCCTCAACTCTGGCTACAAATATTTCTCCTCCTTCAGGACTCTGGATTCCCTTACGTGTGTATGGTTTCTGGTCATGGTGCCTGATGACAAAGCGTTGGTGCCGAAGCCATGCACCCAGGGACCAGGACTCTGGTACCGTCATTGCCCAGCTGCAAGGCCTTGAGAACTTCCCCAACCTATAGATGCTGTAACCTGAGCATTACAGGAAGCTATTTTAGGGTGACTTGAGGGGCACTACATTAGAGGATGCTCTTGAAGCACATGGAGGCATCCTGAGATCATGACAAACGTTTGACATCATACAGGTTGGCTGGAATATTTGTTATGGTTCTTCTTATGTTTGTTTTTTTACTAGTAGTAAAACTTTAATTGCCTTTTAGAAGGAAGAGGCTGGAACTGAGAATCACCTGATATGCACATATGACTGGAGAAATTACAATAATATATTTTTTAAAATATCCTGAGTGACATACTGATGGGGGTCTTACGTCTGTATGTGCTTACTGTGATAAGTCAGAAAACACATACTCACAGTAGTTAGCAGCTCCTCTCATCAAAGGTAGAGAATTTTTCCCCTCTCCTTGAGCGTGGGCTAGTCTTGCTTTTGTTCCAGAAGGTGACAGAGGGATATTGCATGGGTTCTAGAGTCCAGGCTAAAGAGGGTTTGCAGCTCCACCTACGCTCTCTCCTGCAACACTCCTGCCACTGCACAAGGGGCTCTAATCTGGGTCAGTGCAGCAGCTGGCAGCCACCACCAGCTTTAGATACATAGGTAAGGCTGTCCAAGATCCCCCAGCCCTCCTCAAGTTGGAAAATGATCGGGACCACATGTATGGCTTGACAAAGACTCTCCTTGACCAAATATTAGTCGGGCTCCTCTGAGGATTCTCTTCATCTGGCCTCAACCTTGACCTGTCGGAACTGCAGCCTGTCAATTTTGTACTCCCCACCCCCACCACACACACATGAAGATACTTGAACAAACACTAGCACAGTTTCTAACAGCTCAAGTCCACATTCCTAGGATGATGACACTGGCCTCTTTAAGTTCTGCCTGACAAGGCTCAATGCTGCCAAAAGAATGTACTGTTTGTTCCAACAAGAGCCTGATTGCAGGCCCCTGACCTCCCTTTTTTGGAGCATTTACTTTAGAAAACTTGCAATTGTAAATATTTTTTTCTATCCTTTTGAGAGGTAGCTTTTACAACCCAGGAACATCTTTCTCAAAGACTTCGGGCCAACTCTTTGAAATGTAATCATTAAAAAAGATAGGGCTCCTGTCTTCCAGTCTCCTGGGAGGGCAGAAGCCCATCTTAATCTGTTTTGTGCTGCTATCACAGAATACCACAGATTGGGTAATTTATAAACAACAGGAGATTATTTGGCTCATGGTTCTGGAGGCTGGGGAGTCCAAGATCAAGGAGCCACATCTTGGGGGTGGGGGCAGCCTTCTTGCTCTGTATGATTGGTAGAGGGCATCAAATGGAGAGAGGGCATGCAAGAGAAGGGAAGAGGGCAGAACTCATCCTTCTGTCAAGAACCCACACTCATGATAACTAACCCACTACCATGATAACTAACCCATTCCCGAGACAGTGGCATGAATACATTCACAAGGGCAGAGCCCTCATGACCTGATTAGCTCTTAAAGGTCCCACCTCTCAATACTGTTGCATTGGGGATTAAGATTTCAACACATGAACTTCGGGATATACATTCAGACCATACAAAGCTTAACTTGAATGTGTCAATTAGCAAACACAGGTGGCCTAATTACATTTCCCAGTTTTTCCCCAGTGTCCTCAGTAATTTTCCTTTAGCATGCCCCACCATTTAAACAGCCCCCCACCTTTTGTTTTGGGGGAATTGAGCTTAGTTTATACTGGAGTGTCTTTTCCCTACTGTGGTACTCTAAATCAAAATCTATCTTGATATTTTTAATAAATGCTTGTGCAAAATTTTTCTTTTACAGCCTCTAGGCCAGACCAGCAGAATGGCCCAACTAACCCACCAAATTATGAGACATAAATTGATTTAAGCCATTAAATATTGAAATGATTTGCTATGAAATAAAGCCTAACTAGTACCTAGAAATGGATACCTAAAAGTGGGCACTCCCATAACAAAAACCAGAGCATTAGCTTTGGGCTTGATGAAGCTGCTAGAGGCTGGAGAAGAGCCTAACTGTATTATGTAGTCAGTTTTGCTGTCAACTCACTGGCAAAACCATTACCTGTAGTAACTTAGAACATTCTTTTAGATGTGCCTAATGAACTCATGGATCTTAAGGACATATCCAGGAAGAAAGTTGAAAGTTCCAATGGATTTCTCCTGGCTGTGAAGGATAAGGGAGAAGAAGAGAGAGGTAAACTTAAGAAGGAAGTGTTCGGTTTTAAGGTAGAATTGGATAAAACACAAAGCCCAGAGTTTCCCAGATTTGAAAGTAAAATGGTAAAAAATTATCAAAGTTAATTAAAGTCTGAGGCCAAAATCAAGTCAAGAATATGGGTATCAAGCAAGTGACATATTTAAGGAAGTTCTAGGTAAACCTTCTCAGACAAATGGGACTTTCAAGAATCTAATAATTTTAAAGGTATTTGCCCAAGGTAATCTCAAATGAAACCCAAAGAAAACAGAAATCTTCTCAAAAAGTATGCCTTTTAGGGCATGGAATAAACACTCATCAGATTCAAAGGAACCCCACAAAGTTTTTAAAGGAGTTGTGCTTTTGAAAACACCACTACTTTGCACAAAAAAAGAAGAGACAATCAAATGAAAAGAATCTCTTGATGTCCAAATTCCTGTAGACAGAAGAAGCTACTGATCAGCAAACAAGGATGATTTCTTATGGAAAAAGAAGGGTATGTCAAGGGGTAAAGGTAAAAGTCCCAAGGATGGACTTTCTGTAGAGCAGCAGAAAACAGGAGCTAGAGGATCACATCCAGGGACTAGATCTAGGTCTTCATCAGGGAACAGTCCCTGCCTGGATTACAGAACTGGATTTCAACCTGTGTGCAGCTGCATTTCAGACCACAGTGGCCAAATACTGCCTTTCACTTCCCCGCTTTGTGGAAGGGAGTGACTATTATTGTGATGCCATCCATGCCTGTGGTGGGCACAGGATGCATATCCCAGATCCCCTCGAGGAAGAACTCATTGCCCCAGCTGCAGAGAGTGCTGTCAGCAAGCAGCCTTCAGTCCCTAACCCTCCGATATTCTCATCTACAGAGAACTGTCTCCCATTACTTGTTTAACTTTTATTTTAGCTTCAGGGTCCACATGCAGGATAGGTAAATTGCATTTCGTAAGGGGTTGATGTACAGATTATTGCATCACCCAGGTAACAAGCACAGTACTCGAGAGATACTTTTGTGATCCTCACCTTCCTCCCTCTCTCCACCCTCAAGTAGGCCTCAGTGTCTATTGTTCCCTTCTTTTTGTCCATATGTACTCAATGTTTAGTTTCCACTTATAAGTGAGGACATGCGGTATTGGTTTTCTGATCCTGTCTTAATTTGCTTAGGATAATGGCCTCCAGCTGCACCCATTTTGCTGCAAAGAATATTATCTCTATTTTTTATGGCTGCATAGTATTCCATGGCATAGATCTACCAGTTTTTCTTTATCCAGTTCACCACTGATGGACATTTAGATTGATTCCATGTCTTTGCTATTGTGAATACTGCTGTGATGAGCATATATGTGTATGTGTCTTTATGGTAAAATGATGTATATTCCTTGTGTGTAAATATCCAATAATGAGATTGCTGGGTTGAATGCCAATTCTTCTTTGAGTTCCTTGAGAAATCACCAAACTGATTTCCACAATGGCTGAAGAATTTACATTCCCACCAGCCGTGAATAAACATCTCTTCACTTGGCAACCTTGCCAGCATCTGTTATTTTTTGACTTTTTAATAGTAGCCATTCTGACTGGTGTGAGATACTACCTCATTGTGGTTTGATTTGCATTTCTCTAATTATCAGTATGTTGAGCATTTTTTTCATATGCTTGTTGGGCCATATGTATGTCTTCTTTTGAAAAGTGTCTGTTCATTTCCTTTGCCCAGTTTTTAATGGAGTTGTTGCTTTTTGCTTGTAAATTTATTCCTTACAGATTCTATATATTAGACCTTTGTTGGATGCATAGTTCATAAATATTTTCTCCCATTCTGTAGGTTGTCTGTTTACTCTGTTGGTATTCTCTTTTGCTGCGCAGAAGCTCTTTAGTTCATTTAAGTCCCATTTGTCAAGTTTTGTTTTTGTTGTAATTGCTGTTGGTGTCTTTGTCATGAAATCTTGGCCAGTTCCTATGTTGTGAATGGCATTGCCTAGGTTATCTTCTAGGGTTTTTGTAGTTTTAGGTTTTATATTTAAGTCTTTAATTCATTTCGGGTTGATTTCTGTATATGGTGTAAGGAAGGGGTCCAGCTTCAATCTTCTGCGTATGGCTAGCCAGTTATCTCAGCACCATTTATTTAATAGGGAGTCCTGTCACCATCACTTGTTTTTGTTGACTTTGTTGAAGATCAGATGATTGTGAGTGTGCAGCATTGTTTCTGGGCTCTCTATCCTGTTTCATTAGTCTATGTACCTGTTTTTGTACCAGTACCATGCTGTTTGGGTTACTGCAGCCTTGCAGTATAGTTTGAAGTCAGGTAGTGTGATGTCTCCAGCTTGATTCTTTTTGCTTAGGATTGCCTTGACTATTCAGGCTCTTTTTTTGGTTCCATTTGAATTTTAAAGTTTTTTTTTTCTAATTCTGTGAAAAATGTCATTGGTAGTCTGATAGGAACAGCACTGAATCTATACATTGCTTTGGGCAATATGGTCATTTTCACTGTATTGATTCTTTCTATCCATGATCATGGAATGCTTTTCCATTTGTTTCTGTTGTCTCTGATTTCTTTGAGTGGTGTTTTGTGATTGTTATTGTAGAGATCTTTCACCTCCCTGGTTAGCTGTACTCCTAGGTATTTTATTCTTTTTGTGGCTATTGTGAGTGGAGTTGAGTTCTTGATTTGGCTCTCAGCTTAGATGTTGTTGGTGTATAGGAGTGCTACTGACTTTTGTACATTGATTTTTGTATCCTGAAAATTTGCTGAAGTCGTTTATCAGATCAAGGAGTTTTTGGGCAGAGACTATAGGGCTTTCTATGTATAGAATCATATTTTCTGAAAAAAGGGATAGTTTGATTTCCTCTCTTTCTACTTGGGTGCGTTTTCTTTCCTTCTGTTGCCTGATTGCTCTGTCCAGGGCTTCCAGTATTCCATGTTGAATTGGAGTGGTAAGAGAGAGCATTCTTGCCTTGTTCTTGTTTTTAAGGGGAATACTTTGAGCTTTTGTCCATTCAGCATAATATTGGCTGTGGGGTTGTCATAGGTGGCTCTTATTATTTTGAAGTATGTTCATTCAATGCCTAGTTTGTTGAGAGTTTTTTACATGAAGGGATGTTTAATTTTACTGAAAGCCTTTTCTGTATCATATTTATTTTCTGCATGGTGCCACTCTTTGAAATTCTTCCATGATTTGATCAATAGGCACTGACAAGAGAATTCCCTATTAAATTTTCCCATCTTCTGTGCTGTGCTTCTGTGTTGTTTGGGGCATGCAGACATCCATTTTGCATGCATTCATTTACAGGCCAATTTGATGGAAACAATCCTGGTTATCGAACAGCAGCACCATTACTTAAGTGTCTTCTTGTCCTACTGTGCACAAATTTTCAAACCAGTCAGGAGTTTCACTGGCTTCCTCAGGTCAATGTGGCTTTAATTCATTAACAGCTCCTGGAATATCATCAGCTGGAAGACATGCCAATGCAGGAAATAATGCATTGTTAACCTAAAGTTTTCATTGTTGCTGTGTCACAAGGCCAATTCACTCACCTGGATTTGCTGCCAAATGCACTGGGCTAAACAGGGAAAACAAATGTTATTGGTAACACTTTGAAATTCACTTTTAGAAGCCAAGCTTACAGTCCACCTAACACGATGCGACTATCCCGTGATCACAATTTTTGGGATTTGAGAGCTTAGGGATTTACACTTTAGGGATTTCAACCTTTAAGATTATGGCTTTCAGAATTGTGTCTTTGGGAATCACGCTCCGCACACCATGTAACAACAGAGGCAGAGATTGGAGTGATGTACCAGCAAGTCCAGAAGCTCCAAGCTGGCTCCAGTAGGATCTGGAAGAGGCCAGGAAGAACTCTTACCACAGCCTCAGAGGGACTACGGCCCTGCCACACCTGGAGTTCAGCCTACAGAACTGTGAGAGAATGAACTTCTGTTGTTTTGAGCTAATCGGTTTGTAGGACTTGTTAAGACAGCCCTAGAAAACTAACAATTCTCAAAAGAGAAAAATAAACATGGCGATGAATAAATGAGTGCTGTGGTTTCAGAACAGAGAATGCCTCATCGTAACCCAGCTGAGCATCTCTGCCCTCCCTTGGATGCTCCACCTTGAAGGTGATGCCCTCACCTTGGAGAGATGTGCAGAGTGCAGCCTTGGGAGAGGGAAGGAGCAGCCCTCTCAGGAGGAAGCACTGCCCTTGAAGCCCATGCCTCCCTCCCCTCCTTCCCTGTGCCTCTGTCCATCTCCTGATGCTGGTCCACCCACTCAGCCCTGCCCCGGAGCATCATCATTCTTCACAACCATCCACTTCTTCAACTCAGCAAACCAGTATCAAGGTTGACATTATTTTTCCCAGTGTGAAGAGGAAAGAGGACAGCTCTCTTTTCAGCTTCATATGACGAAACTCAGGAAAATATATCCATTGTTTCTCTCTTCAGTGTCACCATTCCTTGCCTGCTTGCATAAGTAATAAAGTTTTAAAAAATACCTAAGTTGGTTCCTAAACACCAGTCAATGCAGACAAGGACCCAATATCAATACACTTGATTCAGCCTTATTTATCACCTGCTCTGAAGGCTTAAAACACAAGCGCCTCTAATGTTTCACAAATTCACTCTTGTCTACATTCCATAGAGGGGAACAATCTATCACATTAATCTTTAGAATATAATTTCAAAATATTATACTTTCTTCAGGAAATCTTATTCACGCTCAGCTATTACATCTGAAAAGTAAAGGATGTCTGCACATGCAGCTGGTAGCCAGGGAGTTAAGTAATATTGTAAGAAATCATGGGTACCTATAAGGAGAATAAAATACTTTTCAAAGGAGAAAAATGGCGTCGAATAACATTGCCCCAGAGCATGGGTCATTCTCGCAGCCCACACCCCTCCTGGGGGCAGTGACACATTGGAAGAGAGCCCCCCACCTCCTGCCACTCTCCTTTGCTCCCAACCCTGGCTCTAAAAGAACAGAATATCCCAAATCCTTCAGATTCATGATTCACACCTAATGGTTCAAAACTATGAAGGAAAAATCGGCACACTCTCACCGTCCTCCCAGTTACATGTCCAGTGGTGTGGGGACGCCATGTGTTCAGTGTTCAGAACCTGGGGGCGCTGCCGGCCAGAGGACCTATTGCATAAAAGTCCTTGCAGGGCTAAAGAGGAGGAAAGACAATCACAGAGACAAGTCCTTAAAAATATTGTCAGAAATGAAATGGGCTTTCCCCTCATAGCTTTACAGAAATAATGCATTTTCAAGTAAAATATCCTGAATACGACCTTTACTCCAAAGTTTTCAAAAATGATGTGGTTTCTTCCCAGGCATGTGTGTTCTGTATCAAATATTGAAAGGCCAGGTCTCCACACCCAGGAAAGAAGAGAGCTGAGGAACTTATCTGGATAATTCAGAAAATAAAAGAAAAACCTCCTTTGCTCTAAATTGCCCAAATTATTTAGGAGCACGGGGAAGGTGTTGCCTGGAATGTCCGTGAACGGAGACATCGTTCCTGTTCCCTTTTGCCTGTAAAGATCTGGCGAGACAGGGCCTCAGCAGTCGGGTTTTCATCCTGAATTAAAATAGACACAAATAGACGACTGTCTGGGGATGAAGGAAGACCTTGTCTCCTTTGAAGCTGATGGGAAGCAGAGTTCGATAATTGAAACAACAGAGCACAAACTTTAGTGAATCTGCTGCTGCTGCCACAGCCGCCGGTTCCGTGTACACAGATGGTGTTTAATTATTTTAAAGGGCACCTTAATCCTCCCTTATCTGTGCAGAGGGCTTCTAGCATTGGCTTTTCCAGAGCAGCCCTCCCAAAATGCTATGTGTGTGGGTTAGTAGTAAACTTTTCTCTGCAATCAAAGTTTTCTTCCACTAATCATGTTCTCGGTGTGATTTAAAATATTTCCTTCACATACGACAGCAAGATCTCCACCCTGAGCTATTTTTGTTTGTTTAATTTTCTTATTTGCTTCTCCTTAAAACCATACAATCCTCACTATAAATAATACCTTCCACTAAAAATATATTTAAAATGGTATCACCGACTGCAGCTTAAAATACTAACCATAGAAACACACCATATGGATTTAGACCAAAATATTAAGAGGTATCTGGCAGTGAATCAGTTTTATAATATGGTTCTCTAGCCTCTTCAATCAGAAAGAAGCTGAGGCCAGGTCATCACATGGAGTAGCTCATCAGACAGATTCAGTTGATCTGATATGTTCATTCGTCTACACTGCATGAACGTGGCTATTCCTGGTTCACATGATGAAGCTTGGGGTCTGTCACATTGGGAAGCAGGCGGAGGGGACAGAGACTCCTGCCATATGCAGAAATTGTTCTCACTTCTTATGATATCATGAATCTTAGGAGGGACTGACCCCTGGGGAGAAGAAATACACATACAAGTTGGGAGGTGTGGACGGAGAGATGGGAAGTGGAGTTCATGCCAGGCTGCCGCAAGGCGGGGTAGGGCTTAGGACAGACTCTGAGCCCGGCGATGGCCACCTGGCCCCTTCCCCTTGTGGGTACACACCCTAAGCCTCCTTTACAAAGAACTATAGTGAGAAAACGGAACTGAGCAGAGGTGAATGTGAATTAGGAAGTATTAGTATTTTGTAATTTTTTAAATGAGAGGGCAAAAAAAACCCCCAAAAACCCATGACACCATTTTAAAATAAAACAATGGCATGCTAAAAATGCCAATTAATTATTCTGAAAATACGAATGAAATACAGCTGAAGTTTGCTGCATTGCACATTTAAGCACAAAACACATCACACTCGTCAGTCAAGCCATGTCCCTGCACTCCTAACGCTGCTCCGTTTACTGCTGCATTGAGAGTCCAGGCTCTAGCCGCCCAGGAAGGAGCAGAGCACACACCCACGTGGAGGCTTGAGGACCACGATGCTGCTCGAGAACAAGAATCTCAGACGTGAGGGTGCATTCGAAGATGCACTCAAGCTCCTCTTAGATATTATCTATGCAAGAGCTGGTGCACAGCCCGACAAGACGTCCACACATCTCCTTCTGAGCAAGAATCTCAGGCTGGGCTTCCTGAAAGTCGTTTAATCCAGCTTACTGGAATATTTGAGTAACCATCAAAACATAACTCCAAGGGCTTTACACCGGCCCTGCTGACACATCTGACATTTCAAATCACAGAACTATAAAAATTCTAAAAGTCATTCTGCAACGGTGTCAACCAGTCAGGAAATGTGCTTTCTCATACATGTCATTTTTTATTTGATCAGAGATGAAAGCATCCAGTTTTGAAACGAAAGAGCATTAAAACATCTGTTTCCTGGGACACATTAAAGACACCAGAGTCTAGCAGAGATCAAGGGGGAAAGACAGAATCAGTCAAGAGGAAGAAAACATTTTGTTTTAGGGGGGAAAATCAAGAATACAGTGAATCTGGCAATGCCTATACAAGTCCGCAGAGGTATTTTTAGAAAACTGAAATATGTGATCTCAGGATCTCAGTGTGAAAGGGCCGTGGGGGTCAGCTGGGTCAAGTCCCTTATTTACACAGTGGGTGTCTGGGACCCAAAAAGTGAAGAAAACAGTCTATAGATGCTTTAAATACATGCCTGGGAAAAACTCAGAAAAGTGACAGTGATATGGCTTGGCTGTGTCCCCACCCAAATCTCATCTTGAATTCCCACGTGTTGTGGGAGGGACCTGGGGGGAGGTAATTGAATCATGGGGACAGGTCTTTCCTGTGCTGTTTTCATGATAGCGAGTAAGTCTCATGAGATCTGATGGTATTATAAGGGGGAGTTTCCCTGCCCAAGCTCCTCTCATTGCCTGCCACCACCCACGTAAGATGTGACTTGCTCCTTCTTGCCTTCTGCCATGACTGTGAGGCCTTCTCAGCCACGTGGAACTGTAAGTCCAGTTAAACCTCTTTCTTTTGTAAATTGCCCAGTGTATTTGACTTTCTCTAAAGCATGTGCTTTCCCTTAGAGTTTTTTTTTTTTTCCTTTCGTGCGAGGTTCCCTTTATGAAACCTTTGGATGGGTAACTATTTTGAATAGTCATAAGATTAGTATCTGAAATAACTGTAAACTTATTTCTACACTGTTAATCTACACAGTGTTCTGAGCCTAAAGTTCTTATTTGTGTTTCTCAACTAAGTAATTAAAGGGAATGGGTTTCCCTACTGCATAGTTTTAAAATTAGTATGTTTGGCCAGGCACGATGGCTCACGCCTGTAATCCTAGCACTCTGGGAAGCTGAGGTGCGCAGATCACTTGAGCCCAGGAGTTCGAGACCAGCCTGGGAAAAATGGAGAAACCCCATTTCTGCCAAAAAACAAACAAAAAAACAAAAACAAAAATCATCCAGGTGTGGTGGCACACAACTGTAGTCCCAGCTACTTAGGAAGCTGGGGTGGGAGCATCACTTGAGCCTGGGAGGTGGAGGTCACAGTGAGTTGAGATTGTGCCACTGCACTCCAGCCTGGAGTGACAGAGCGAGACCTTGTCTCAAAAATAAATAAATAAAATATGTTTTTAAACTCCAAAAATAAGTAGTTTGGAGGCCCAGATCTGTTTGCGGGATTTGCAATCTCAAAATGTAACCCTATTTTTTTTCAGCTTATACACTGATAAATGTAGAAGATAACTCATTTATTTCTTTTAGTCATGTCAAGGGAAAGAACAAAAGGAAAAGAACCCCTGGACACGAAATGCCTGCAGCGTGTTTTCCAGCCTGGGACCCGCGGACATTCTGAGTCGGCAGGAAGCTCTTTGGGGTGGCGCCGTCCCTGGCACTGTAGGATGTCTCACAGCATCCCGGGATGCCCGCAGCACCCCCTCCCCACCCTGAGGTGTGACAACCAAAAATGTCTCCAGGCATTACCACCACATGTCCCGGGGAACGAAATCCCCCAGATGAGCACCACTGCACTGCAGAAAGGGATATCTAGAAATGGGTGCATTTTAAAGCCAGAATCAGAGGGCAATTCTTAAGTAAACAGCCTTAATCATAGCCATCCAGTTGCAGCCTAGGATGCGGAGTGTGAAATCGTAAGCATGATCAGCCTCTCAGAGGGTGGTGCTGCAGTGACTCAGTCTGAGAGAAAATTTACACTAATGATAGCAAGGTATCAAACATGGTACCAAAGAGTTTAACCTACCAATGGCTCTTTAAGGAGGGTCACATTTTTTTCCTCACTTTTCCAACGGGGAAAGGCAGTCATAAAGAAGGCACTTCTCAGAGAGCTAGGAAGTAGGGTGTGGGGTGTAAAACCCAAACCCAAGTGCAGCAAACCTTTTCGTGCTTTCTCTCTCCTTAACCAGCCCATCACTATTCCTGAGTCTTGTTGGGAGCCATTCCAATTTATGGGCAGTCACTTCCGTCAGGTGTATCATTGAGTCAAGAGCTCTGAATGGTTTTATTCATTTTGGGTTTTTTGACCAGCAGTGACGATCTAGTATATCTTTTTATTTTACTGCTCACACTGATTATAGGAAGTCTAGCTGTTTAAGCAGCGGTGACATGGAGAAAAACCTTGTGGAATTGTCTTTGAGTTGACCAGGAGAACTGCTCCGTGTTCACAGGCTTCAAACGACATCCCCGGAGTGCCTCACAAACCATGCATCCCGAATGCTTCAGCCCCTGAGAACTGCTATAGACCGTTAAATGGTTACAGCAAAAGTCCAGTTAGAAATTTTTATTCAGGATGCCTCCAAACTTGATCACCAACACGAGCCATGAACACTGAACTGCATTCACAGTTGACGAAGCCATTTTTATATAGTATATTTTAAAATTCTACATATTTTGAAAATGCGGTTTTCATAAGAAACATTCCATTGTTGGTTACCTTCTGTGTATAAATGAATATATCTTTCTAGAAAGATCAATTTATGTGTCCTCTTTAACCATCTATTGTCAACTTTTTTCAAATGGAGCTTTCTTTTATAAATATATCTACCAAAAAAAAAGAAATTTTTATTCAGGATGAAAGAGAAATCTAATGCTGATAAAGTTCAACTTTGATCCTTGAACTACCAAGGCATTCATACAGCATACTGGTTAAATAATATCCCTCCAAACAGGCAGTGTCCAGCTCCAGACAGTCTCGTGGCCATGAAGAAATTAGAGCATCTGGCAGCTCAGCTCCATAACACTGTTTAGAGGGGCCTTGTGGCTGATGAATGAGCATTAACATTACAGATGGATATCGAGAAATATTATGAATGGGTGATTTATCACACGGCAACAAAAATAATTGCAGGGTCACATTTCTGGATCAGACAATCAGACACAAGTTTGAAGTTGAAAATAATAAAATATGCTTTGCCTAGGGGCCAGGCGCAGTGGCTCACGCCTGTAATCCCAGCACTGTGGGAGGCCGAGGTCAGCGGATCACAAGGTCAAGAGATCGAGAACATCCTGGCCAACATGGTGAAACCCCATCTCTACTGAAAATACAAAAATTAGCTGGATATGGTGGCATGCACCTGTAGTTCCAGCTACTAGGGAAGCTGAGGCAGGAGAATTGCTTGAACCCAGGAGGCAGAGGTTGCAGTGAGCTGAGATCATGCCACTGCACTCCAGCCTGGCAACAGAGCGAGACTTCGTCTCAAAAATAATAATAATAAAAATAAAATAAAATAAAATATGCTTTGCCTATTAGAAACTGTATGACCAACATTTACATGGAATCTTTGTCTCCTATCATGTCCATTAATACTCTAGAAATTGTGGAGGGGTGGAGATGGCGAAATCAGAAATATTTTTGACCCCATAACAGAAATTAGTGGATGAATGTGATGTAAAGCTCACAAATACTAAATCCTAACATTGCTCGTTATTTAATAAATACTTGTTGGATACATCTGGGGGAGACACAGGGCCTGACATTGAGAATATGGAAGTGAACAAGTAAATATGGTCTCTGTTATCATGAAACTTACAGTTTTTTGAGAAAGGCAGTAAAGAGGTAAGTTGGTAAGTTTTTTTAAAAACGGAATTATGCTGAGCGCTATGAAGTAAACAAAGCGCAGGCATGAGAAAGTACGCTAGGCAGGGCAGCCTTTAGAATACAGCCAGGAGCAGGCTTTGGTGGGGCAAAGAGCTAAGCTGAGAACTGGAGGCGTAAGACCCAGCATGAGAGGACGGAAGTGGAAGCATCTGTGAGGAAGGAATGTTGCACAGAGGATTCAGAAGCAGAGGAGAGTTTGGAGGAGTTGAAGGTAGGCAGGCATCTTGAACACCATGTGTAAGGGGCACGGTTCCTGTGGAAAAGGGAGAAGAAGCCGGGAGGCGCAGGGCTTTGCAGGCCACAGGCAGGAGTGTGGGTTTTCTTCTACTGGTCATGGGAAGTCACTGAAGAGTCAAAAGTAGGCGAGTAAGAGGGCCCAGTGAGCTCTGAAAAAGATCTCAGTGGTGGCCTTGGGGCCACAAGGGTGGGAAGTCAGGGGAGTGGTTGGTGGGGGATGGCAGGAAGCCCATGGGGTGGTGAAGATGAGACAGGAGTGTGCTGGGGTGAAGGCGGTGGAGAAGGGAGACGTGGCTGGAGATGACAGGTCACTTGGAGACTTAGTGGGGTGTGCTGATGGGAGGGATCACAGAGAGGAGGAAACGCAAACAGGGGAGACAGAGAAGCTACGGGATTCTTTCCTGAACAGCCACGTGGTTGGAGATGTCTGGGTAGAAATGGGGGCACTGAGGGACAGATGGAGAGTTTAGAGTTCTGTTTTGAATAAACATGAGTTGTGCATGAGACTTTGAATTAGAGAAGCTTACTAGGAAGTTAGGCATACAGGGCTGGATCTCAGGAGAGACACAAGAGCTGAACATATAAACTGCGGAGTGTAGGGATTGAAACCATGAGAATGACAGTCTCCCCTGTGGATGGTCCAGGCAGAACCCTGCAGAGCTCTAACACAGAGAAATCGCTCAGAGGAGAGGGGCTGGAAAAGAGTGGGGGCAGGAATCAGGAAGGGAACCCCAAGGGTGCAGTCTCACAGGAGCCAAGCCCTGCAAAGAGTGCCCCTTATGCATTCAACAGGCATTTTTTTTGCGCACCTGCTGTGTTGGGCAGTTTTTTGATTGACAGTGATTAAAAGGTCAACAAGACAGACAAGGTCCTCGCATCTTGGAGCTTACATTTTAGAGACAGCGTATGTTTCAGAAACATGTGATTAGCTAATTGTGTTGAGCAATTCTGAGAGGGGAGGAAACAAGGACACATGTGTTATTGCGATTTGGCAATGCGGAGGTTCTCGGTGGTGTTGACAAGAGCAGTCCCGGGGGTGTGGTCTGATGGAAGCCAGGTTTGAGTAGCTTGGTTTGTGTCCGCATAGTCCCAGTGGGGAGGCCATGCAGGCAGCACATGCGGACAAAGTTTTGGGTTGAGACAGTCTCTCTCTGTCACTCAGGCTGGAGTGCAGTGATGGCATGATCTCAGCTCACTGCAACCTCCACCTCCCAGGCTCAAACGATTCTCATGCCTCAGCCTCCCCAGTAGCTGGGATTATAGGTGCCCACCACCACGTCCAAGTAATTTTTGTATTTTAGTAGAGATGGGGTTTTGTCATGTTGGCCAGGCTGGTCTCGAACTCCTGCCCTCAAGTGATCCATCCGCCTCAGCCTTCCAAAGTACTGGAATTATAGGTGTGAGCTACCGTGCCTGGCCCCATATGTCTTCATGTAAAGACAGAAGACCCAGAGCATGTTAAGCACTGATGGAAATGATCACATGGGAAGGAGAAATTAATGCAAGGCAGATTGGAGCAAATCGACACAACAGTTTTTGGGAAGGGAGGAGTGTGTTGAAAACAGAGCATACATAAAGAGACAGAGTTCTGATAGAGAGAGAATCAGAAAAAAAAGGGACAATGAGCTCAACGCAGGGAGTTTTAGAAACGTGCAGCTGGTAACATGTGTGTGTTCTCACCTGATGGCTTGTAATTTTTTGGTGAAGTATGAGACCAGGTCACCAGCCAGAGAAGGAGACAGAAAAGAGGGTGTGAGAGGTTCCACAAAGAGAAGAAGACATCAAATGGGCATCAGGAAAAGTGGAAAAAAATTAAAGAGATATAGCAGCAGGTCAGTACTGTCTGCCTGCTTGAAGGTTTGTGATTGTGAATTTAGAGTCCAACCAGGTGGCCTCGTTGTGCCATTTTCTCCAACCATGTTGACCCCTTGAGCATACGTCAACAGTGAAATAACCTGTTCAAGGTTGAAGTTTACAGGTAAGTCAGACTGAGGAAGAGAGACAGAAAAGTCAAGGGGCTCAACAACATGTGTTTGTCATAAAAGTAGACCCTGGAAGGAAAGTGAAGGAAGGATAAATTCTTTTTCAGAGTCTAAAGCAAAGGTCTTCCTGTCTCTACAACAGCTGAGCAGACAGCTGTAGCCTGTGGCTTCCAGATCACACGATACCTGAATCATGGATTCCCTGTGGCCTTAGGGTCCCCAAGCAGTGATGGTCTCAGATGTCCTTGCTGATTTGTTTTGGTTGGATGCCCCTCTCATCTTTGGCCATCTTGGATTCACCCTATCTTTGACTCCTTGGCTGGGTGGATGGCTTCCATTATGTACAGCGGGAGACAACAGCCCCAAAGTGAACTGTAAACCTGCACGCTATCTAAATTACCTGGGAAAAGGGATGTGTTGTGTATCATCTAAACAAAATGAAACATTTAACTGAGATAAGGTACCTGTCTCCTGGAGAAAATACATATGAGGACGCATAAAATGTGGTATGTGGTGGGAATAAAAGGAGGGCATGAGGGCAGAGATTTCAGGGATTCAGTTCCACTTGTTTGGGGAGAGGAGGCCAAGAGAGTTGGTCTTTGGACGCCCTGGTGGCACAGCACTGAAAAGGATGTGGGTAGCAAGAGAGCAGGGAAGAAAGGACAGTTTAAACCAACTTGTTCAACCTGTGATTTTTTATTTCTCTACCTCCCAGCCAAAGCGCCATTGTTTACAGCCACTTTAAAAATGCAACTGGACTGGAAATCTTCCTACTGTGGCTCAGCGTTGCAGGAACCAAAGCCTGAGACTGACACAACGTCTCTGGAAAGTTGGCATTGCTTTTTAAAATGAGCTCCTTTATCCTCGTGCGTGTTCATTTGCAAGTAATTAAATACACACACGATATCAACTCAAGGATTAGGAATGTCACTGACAAGAAAAGTAATAAACAGGAGGAAATTAAAAGAACTCACTAAGCCCCAGGGGAAAAAATCTAACAGATTTAATCAGGAGAAATAAAATATTCTCTGGGCCCTGTTATGAAGACCCCTGGTGCCAAAGAAACGTGGCAGAAATGGGACAATTAAAATGGATGTGGGGAGGGTGACAGAGCCTCACGATGAAACAGGGAGGTAGCTGCGCAGGGCAAGCAGCCCCAGTAGAATTCAAATGAGGGTGTGAAACTTAAACAAGAGGCCCGCCAAATGGGAAGAGAGGCCGCGAGAGACGCGTGGCGGAGCCTGTCTGTGCAGTGATGGCAGGAAACCCACAAGCCTCCCAGGCAGATCCTGGGAGATCCAGGCATCTTGTTTTAGCTAAGCATGTGTTACACTTTTCTGCAGCCTTGCATGTCTGCTACAAAGTCAGGATTCTGAAGACGTGACAAGCCACTGACGATGATTATTCTTCCCATAGACACCCCTCCCCACCTAGCCTTACTGAGCAGACAGAGCTGCTGGTTCAAATAACACAGAAAAGGGATTAGACAATTTGACCTGCCCTATTAGAATACTTCTCATCCTTTGTGATAGATGGATTCTTGACAAATTGCTTATGGCAACAAGCATTTAGCAATATCATGACTGTCTGGGTCTAGCGAGTAACCTTACCCTGGAGCTATTTATTAGGCAGGCTAGAGACAGTTTCATAACTCATTACCTGATCTTCACTGAGAAAGGGAAGATGTTAGGGGCTCCCTTCTCCTTAAATACACCCACCAGATAGTGGCCACATTAATTGAGAGCCTACTATGTGCCAGTTCCTTACATACATTTTCATTCATTTATAAACAAATCTTAACACAGTGTGTACTATGTGTTGAGTTCTAGGGTTAGCTAAGAATGAAATGGGCAGAGCCCCTGTCCTCAAGGAGCTTGAAGTTTAGTCTACCTGGCAGTGTAAGCCAGGTCTCAAGGCTGCCTTCATTTGCCAACCAAGTCCTGCTGCTTCAACCTTCCACCACCTGCTCTTGGGTCCATACGAGGCAGCATTGCCCAATAGATCCACCTGCCGCAGCCACAGGTGCTAGTACAGCTGAGAAATTACATGTAATTTAAATAGCTACATGTGGCTGGTGGATGCTCTATTGGACAGTGCAGAAGGGAGACTATTGATCCAAGATATTCCAACCTTAAAGGCAAGGATGCTCTGAAGATGAGGCACCATGGCAACTGCTCTTGATGATATGTAAGGAGCTGTGTGGGGCACACCTCTCCACAGCAGCAGTTTCTGCTGCTTCTGTGATGTCCCCAAAGGCTCCTTAGGAACTCGATGGAAGGGGTGTTCCCAGCTAGGGAAAAATGACCTGGGAATTTCTGGTCTGCCAAAACTGTGCTTAGCTGTCTACCAGCATGGCCCTCCTGCACAAAGCTCCACATTGCTGCTTCATTAAAGAAAAAGAAAACCAAGCTTTATTTTTGAATAAAAGTATGTTTTTCTTTAAAAGAGAAAACTCTTGCTGTGTATATGATATATGGTAAGTTGCACCACACTTGCACAATGCATGCTACATAAAACAAAGCATGTATTGCACTTTGCTTTCTATTTTTGTGTTATGATAAAGTATGGACATGTTTTGGTTTCCAAATATAAATACTGTGCACCTAACTACCCCCCTCCCCAAGACATCAGTGCTTCAGCTTAAATGGGGAGTCCTCCCCTGCCCTCCACTATATCCCTATTCCCCATTCGCAGTGAGCTGCCGTCCAGGGCCTGGAGTCAGAAAAGTCTCTCCAAGTGTGTGCGTGTCCAGACTGAATGCCCTCTGCTCCCCCTCCCTGTCCTGGGACATTGCTTCCAGCCCGTGCATCCTCTGAGAGATATTCGCCTGCTAGCCACTTCCTTCTGGGACGTGCAGGATCACACCCCACCTTCAAGCAGAGGGACAGGGGACAATTCTGTGCCTGGACACCCTGTGGGAAAGTGGAGTATTGTTTGCTGCTACATTTTCCCCCTCTTCTCCTTCTGGAACCCTCTCAGAATATGCCTGCCTCAATAGGAAATATGAGAGCAGCCGTGTTAAGAGTGCAAACCCAGAGAGGGTAGGTGACAGGCAGCCGCCTCACATGTGGTCGGCACTGCGTAAAGCCCACATCCAGGCTACAGGGTCCTCCAGCTGCAGCGCCCCCCGCCCCGGGTCACTGACCCTCTGTGCTGAGCTCCAAGTCTGCGAGCAAATACTGTTACCCCTGAGTCCCAAGTCCATGATTTCGGCTTCAGCAGCCCACAGAAAGCCCTTGCATGGGATTTCAGCAGATCCGCAGGGGCTGTTTCCATGGTTTTCCCAGCAGATCTCTCTTCTGCCATTAGAAGATAGTTTCACTTCCATGCAACTCTTCCTTTCCTTTCTCTTAATGCCTTGAGCCCACTTTTGTATGATGAGCCAGTCTCCATCACAGCCCCAAAAAGACAGAACTCTCATCCACCAAGCATAGGCCAACCTGGCAGCGTCCACCCAAGGCCACATTCCTGTGCAGGAATGTCCCCACTGCACCAGGGCAAATGCCCATCACCTGCATTTCATGTGGACTCCAAGTTGGTCTTTAGGCACAGATGCACATGTCATGCCTGTGAATTCTGACAGACTGGGGATGTGTTTACTTTTGAGAAACTTAAAGGTGACTGTTCACACACACCCCTCCTGGTGGAGGCACTTGACTTCAGAGGCGGCCTCTGCATGCCTTTGGAGGGGCGTCCGGAGCCTGGGACAGCCTGGGTTTTTCCCTGTGTTTCCACTGTCTGTTTTGGTCACTAGCCTTTTATGTTTGTGGACTATGAGAGGCTGAATTCCCCCTAAAATCACGTGCTGAAGTCCTAAACCCCAGGACCCCAGAATGTGATCTTATTTGCAGATAGGCCCGTTACAGAGATGATGGATTAAAATGAGGTCATTAGGTTTAGCCCTAATCAAATATGACAGGTATCCTTGTAATAATAAGAGGAAAGTTGGACACAGAGACATGGACAGTGAAAAGACGAATCAAATCACACAGGGAGAAGATGGCATCTACAAGCCAAATCCACAAGCCAGGGAGCGGGGCCTTCTCCTTGTGGCCTTCAGAAGAATGAACTCTGCAGAGACCTGGAGACCAGGCTTCCAGCCTCCAGAACCGGGAGGAAATAAATGTCTGTTGTGTAAGCAGCCCAGTCTGTGGTGCTTTGTTATGGTAGCCCAAACATACACACATATTGATGACATGTGATCACATCTTTATCTGGTTGATGTCATTAAATGATTTAAATACTTCTATGCCGAGTTTTACACTGTAATGCTCCCCAGGCTCATGTTGCAATAGGAGAGGGAGACACATACTTTTTTTTGGTGGGGGGCAGAGGGGAGAGTGTCTTGCTCTGTCGCCGAGGCTGGAGTGCAGTGGCACAATCTTGGCTCGCTGCAACCTCCGCCTCCTGGGTTCAAGCCATTTTCCTGCCTCAGCCTCCCGAGTAGCTGGGATTACAGGAGTCCACCACACCACCTGGCTAATTTTCATATTTTTAGTAAAGATGGGGTTTTGCCATGTTGGACAGGCTGGTCTTGAACTCCTGACCTCAAGTGATCCACCCTCTTTGGCCTCCCAAAGTGCTGGGATTACAGGTGTGAGCCACCACACCCAGCCAGAGACACACACTTTTCATCCTTGACTTTCTGACTGAGCAACTGAACGTCTTGGGGAAGGGGTCAGAGCAGGTGCAGTCTCCTTTATGCAGCGATGCCCAGAGCATGGGCCCCACACGTCTCCCTGCAGTGGCCTCTGAGGCAGGCTTCTTAACTTTCTCTGGGGGACCCTCCTATTAAGTTCAATGCTAATGCATTCATAATGAGAGCAGGAGTAACAATCTTGGTGGCTCCTAAGCAGCTCCAGATGAAGAGGAATCGATGTGCTGCACTTACTAAACATCTTTATTCTCCTGCTTCTGGATGCTTGGCCTTTGAAGGTGAAATTGTGACACATATTAGGCTCAGAAGCAATGCATTTCGAGTAGTCGAGCCTCTGTGGAGGAGAGGGGATGGCCTCTGAGCATCCTAGCCCCAAACACAGCGGCATTCACTAGTTCTGTTCCGTGCTAGGAAATCACAGAACCATTCAGCCCCATGCAGGCTCACAGGCCACATCGTTGTCACCGGGAATACGCGGAGGACATCTCCGGCTCGCAGACAAGGTCTGATTTCTATGCGGAAATGCTTATTTTTTTCAAAAATGGTAGATTTTAAAAATCCAAACATTTATTAAGAAAGCCAATGTCCAGCGGAGAAAAATCAGAATTAGCAGTTGGTGGTGGGGTCTGGGCAGCTCTCTACACAGGAGAAGCTAGATGTTGCTGGTTTACGTTTAAAAGCATTTCCTGCAAGGTTCTTCCTTAGCGTGAACTCTGTAGAGTTGTACTTCCCAAGCCTTTCCCTCCAATGGCCCCTGATGAACTGGGAAGGGGGCTGCTAGGTGGCAGGGGGTACACAAGGATGGATAAGAGGGGGAGGGGATACTTGGAGGCACCCAGAATACGGGAGCAAATCCAGCTTATTCTGCTTTTAGTATTAAGTTTTCGTGTAACATTTTATTTGAAAAACAAGTTCCACTTTTTTTTTTAATGTTAAAAACCCACAAAGATTTTAACTCAATCTATTCAGGAAACCAAAGCCCCAAGCGGTGAGAAGTGACTTATCCAAGGTCAGCAGATTTGAGGCTGGACTCAAACTCGGGACTCGTCTTCACCCTGAGACCAAGCAAGGAGCTAGCAGGACTGGGGGTCCCTTCTCAGTCTGTGGTCCCAAGAAGCAGAAAGAAGGCCGGTGCAAGTGTGCAGTGTAGATGTGAGGAGGTGAGGTTGTGGGCAGGAAGAGAGGGCCTCCAGGCTGGCGTCGCCCTGCTCCAGGCTCACCGCTGTGTTTCCATCTTCCAGTTCCCAGTAAGGTTTCAGCTCTAGCTCTATATGCAGAAGGAGGCACAGGCAGCAAGAGCAAAAACACACAGAGGTTTTTGAGACACAGGCTGGGCCGATAGTGTCATAAATGCGTGTCCCTGGGCTCCCTCTGTTCAATTTTCTCTGGGCCCCTTCCAGCTGCTGGCTCTCCTCCCAACCTCCCAGGACCCGTGTTTTCTCCCCAGGGCCTGGAGTCCCCACCCTGGTGCCCCACCCAAGTCTCTGGTCTCTCTGGCAAGGACCCTGTCTCTGATCACCTCCCTCTTGAACTTTACTCCACTTTAAAATCTCTCTCTCTTTAGTCCTTTCATTTTATTATTAGCAGAATGAGTGAAAGACCTTCCGGTACCTAATTTCAGCTGGAGTGATAGACAGCTCAGACATTTGCAAGGACACAAACACAGAAGGGACCACACTCAGATTTTTCAACAGGCGGCCTCTCTTAAGTCACAGCAGGACAATCTGCTGTCATCAGATCAGCCTTCTAACCATGGGCTGAAGATAAGGCCTGTCTCAGGGCAATGTAATGACGTCCAAGCAGGTGAGAGGCATAAACCATGCAAGGGGCTTGACTCTTGGCTATCCCCGAAGCACTGAGGTGATAACAACAAGCAGGCAAAGAAACAAACCAAACCCCTTCACTGATGTCAGGGTTGGGCGGTGAGGAGTGGTAGGCAGTAAATACAGACACCAGGGAAGTTCTCCCTTGATTTGCAAAGTTTTCACAGTATCTCCTTCTGGATAATAATCTTAGTAAAAGTGAAGTGTACTTGTTTTTCTTTCTCTGGGGTTGAGTAGAGTTGGAGGAAGGGGATGAATTCTGAGTTTAATCCCGTTAAACATTCTAAAGATATAATTATTGGGAAGTGAATTAAAGTGATAATTTGAGGATTGTGACTAAAGTGTCCCCACCTCCAGCAACTTGCAGGGTACAAAGGGGGCAGAACAAGTTAAGTGCAGTCAGATAGTCTAAAGTTATAAAAAATGGGAAATTAAGTAAGACGATGATTTTAGTATAGAAACCAAGACTTCCTGTACATTGTAACAAAAGGCAGCTGTGCAGCTCCGAGTACTTGAGATTTTTACTACTCCACAGCCGGAGCTTTTGTGCACCTGCGTGTTTGTCAATGTGTCTTCGCTGCTTTGTGTCTACCTCTGGGCCGGGGATATTCAGGGGGCAGTCCCATCTAAACTTACTTCAGCCCTGTAAATGAGCATGTGTCTATCAGCTCTGTGCAGAGCAGAAATTAGGCCAAAACTGTAAAAGGCAGCATAGAGTTAAGTGTAGCCTTCAGCAGGACTGATGATACAGTGTCTTCAACATTTCTGAATCAAGAAGACATTTGACTCCTTTAGGCCTTTCAAGTTATGAATTATACATATGATGCATTCAACCCCAAGAAGGCATGTGAGCATGTGAGTTAGCTGGGGCTGTTGTAACAAACACCGCAAGTGGGGCAGCTTAACCAACAGCCATTTACTGCCTCCCAGTCCTGGAGGTTGGACGGCCTTGTTGGAGGTGTGGGCAGGGCTGGCTCCCACCGAGGCTGTAAGAAGGTTCTGCCCAATGCCTCTCTCCAGTATCTGTGGTTTGCTGCAAGCTTTGGAGTTCCTTGGTTTCTGGATGCAACCCCCAACCATCTCTGCCACCATCTCCACACGGCATGCTCCCTGCGAGGGACTGTGTCCAAATCTCCCCTTTTTATAAGGACACCAGTTACATCGCATTGGGGCCCACCCTAATGACCTCATTTTAACTTGATTATGTGTAAAAATTTTATGTCCAAATAAGGTCCCATTCTGAGCTCCTGGAGATTAGGACTTCAACATATAAATTTTTTTTGGGGGGTGGCGGTGGGAAACAATTCAAGCCATAATAGCAAGTAATCCCATAAAATCAGTTAGATTTATTTTTTCTTTACCTGGTATAAACTGCTTTGCTGTAAGACAGTGACTGTTGACAACCTAGAATCTGTCTTTTCCAGTCCCACTGTCATCAAAACAGAAAGTGGGATCTCATTTCCTTTGAGCATGTAACAAATTCTGGGAGATGTTGGAGATGCATCTTCTGGGAACGATGTGTGAAGTGTTGTGAGCATAAAATACCTCTTTAAAAAGGACAGACATCAGCAGCACATCCCTCTGAAAGCTAAGCAGCCCAAACACTCGGGCTGCCCATTGACCAAAGAGCCTTGGGTTCCAGTGGAAGGCGTAGAAGGCTGAGGAACCAACGGCTGAAGTTGGAAACCTGGGGCAAATAATGAGAACGAAATAAGTATCTGTGAGTCCATAGCGAGAGAATTAAAAGATTCAAAACATTAATATAAACAAGTGGGAGGAAAGGGGCCCTCTTCCTTATGAAGCAATTTCCACTAATAAGTGCAGAAGGAACACAGGCATAGAAAGTCACCATTGGAACAATTTGGTGAATTCTGAAGTTAGTGGATAAGACTTTAAGGAAAAAGGTATATTTTGTAGGGCTTCAATGTATCCCTCCCAACATATGTACTGATGATGATGACGGTCTATATGTTCACTAATTCTTCGATAGTCCTCCCTCCAGGATCTTAATTCTCCTCCCCTACAATGAACTTAGTGGCTCATTTCTCTTTTTTTAATTTTTATTTTTTAAGACAGGTTCTTGCTGTGTCTCCCAGGCTGGGGTTCAGTGGCACCAACACAGCTCACTGCAACCTCTGCCTCCTGGATTCAAGCGATTCTTCTACCTCAGCCCCCCAAGTAGCTGGGGATACAGGTGCACACCACCAAGCCTGGTTAATTTTTGTATTTTTAATAGAAACAGGGTTTCACCTTATTTGCCAGTCTGGTCTCAAACTCCTGACCTTGTGATCCGCCTGCCTCTCCCTCCCAGAGTGCTGGGATTATAGGGGTGAGCCACCGTGTCCAGCCCTGCCCAGATAATTCTTAAAGTTTTTGTAGAGATGCAGTCTCACCATGTTGCTCAGGCTGATCTTGAACTCCTGGGCTCGAGCGACCCTCCTGCTTCAGCATTTTGAGTATGAAACAGGAAAAATGATGTATGAATTATGAAGAAGCCCACGCAATTGCCAGGTGAGCAGGTTAACCTGGTGATGAGTCAGCTGATACCACGTGCCTCACACACACACATCCCCTTCCTGCATTACTCTCCAAACTGCATAGCCTTGGGCTGGTAGAAGCAACAGGCAAACCCAGAGTGAGGGAGCGTCTACAAAACACCTGCCTCAAAAGTGTCACAGTCACGAATGACAGGGAAAGACCAGGAAACCCACAGGCTGGGGAAGACTTCAGAGGCATAAGAGCAGGATGCACTGTGGGTCCTGGGGGAGCATGGACATTCATGGATAATGGTGAAATCTGAAGGAAGTCTGTTGTTTAGGGACAGTATTGTACTCACGTTAATTTCTCGGTTTTGATATTGTTCTTTGGGGATGTGAGATAATAACATTAGGGGAGCTCACATGAAGAGTTTATGGACAATCTCTATTATTTTTGCAATTCTTTTGTGTAAATCTAAAATTATTTTAAGATAAAAAGTGTTTTTAAAAATATGCTTTTGTTCTACTCAGGAGGCAGAGGCAGGAGAATCACTTGAACCCAAGAGGCGGAGATTGCAGTGAGCCGAGATTGCCCCATTGCCTGGGCAACAAGAGCGAAACTCTGTCTCAAAAAAGAAAAAAAAAAAAAAAAGCTTTTGTTAAAGTAAGTCAATTAAATGTTGCATGCAAATTATCCACTCATTCTTGAACTTCACTCCACTTTAAAATCTCTCTCTCTTTAGTCCTTTCATTTTATTATTAGCAGAATG
Organism: Homo sapiens; assembly: GCF_000001405.40. Taxonomy (NCBI): domain Eukaryota; kingdom Metazoa; phylum Chordata; class Mammalia; order Primates; family Hominidae; genus Homo; species Homo sapiens. The sequence goes on from NC_000013.11 coordinate 109,980,061, forward strand.
AGTGAAAGACCTTCCAGTGCCTCCTGTATGTGCCTGTATGTGACACTCTCTTATTTTAACCGTAAATGCCATCTCATGTTGCAAGGCAAAGTTTGCCTGTTTATCATTACTCCCAGGAACGTGGCTCACGGAGGGACACCCCCTGAGATGATGATGTTGGCTGGCTTTGGCATACCCGTTAGGCACGGGAGCATGGCAGGTCCACAATACTTTTAGAAATTGATGTTTACATTTATTTTAAAATCACAATAAATAAATGAACTTTAAGACTGAAGAAAATATTTCTATGTATAATATCAATATATTGATATTAATAACTATGCAGTCGTAAAATATGATTTTTAATCTTCTGTTGTAGTTTTTAACCTGACAGAAGTCAGAATGCAGCCCTGGAGGCTGGTGTCCACCTTTATTCAAATGAAATCCAGACACACTTGTCTTGGCACTCAGGGGCCTGAGAGGGACGCATGCATAGGCCCATGCCTCACAAATAGAATACTGTTGCAAAACTATGTTCCTTGGAGGCCCAAGGTGACCTGCAGGTGTTTCAGGGAAAGTTCTGAAAGCTAAGCCAGGAGCCACCCAGACGTTGGCACCCCAAGGCTCATTCACCTTAGCAGAACCACTTAAATTGCTTCTCATAGGCTGGAGTTATAATGAATCACTTGAAGAAAAAAAAAAGGATTCTACTGCGAAAATTTCTGAAAATGCTCTGAAATAAGAACTAAGGAAGCACATCAAAATTTCTTTTGATAATCAGACCTTGGGCTTCAATGCTAAGAATTCTAAATACAAGAGAAAATAAGGTGATTATATGAAAAAAATTTAAAATGCGTTTGGCCTAATTTTAGTGTAACAGTTACATGATTTTTAAAATACTTAAAAACCTGTAAATGGTAATGGGAAGAATGCAACCCAAGTTTCTAAGCATAATTCAAAAAATAGAAGCTGGAAAGATATGTAATTTTAAAACTAAATATTTTAGGGCAGTGACAGAAGAACTAAGAGTTACTGAAAGCATGCACGTTGTTGTTGTGTTGTGTCTTGATTTTGGTTTTCAGCAGGAAAAAAGTAAAGTCTATCACAGATGAAGGTTAACATGAAAGATTGTGGGGGCATTCTAGCCAAATGAGAGTGCTGACTGGACGTTTTCATGAATGAGCTGCTCCTATGGCAGGACCTCGTTTTCTAAGGTAGTTGAGGGAAGTTAACCAAGTGTACCCCAGAGCTCATTCATAGTTCTGTGCAACAGTGGTGGAGGCAGATTTCTTTCTTTCTTTTTTATTTATTTATTTATTTGAGACAGAGCCTTGCTCTGTCGCCAGGCTGGAGTGCAGTGCGCGATCTCAGCTCACTGCAACCTCCAACTGCCTGCAACCTACTTCAGCCTCCCAAGTAGCTGGGATTACAGGCATGCACCACCACACCCAGATAATTTTTATATTTTTAGTAGAGATGGGGTTTCACCATGTTGGCCAGGCTGGTCTTGATCTCTTGATCTCGTGATCCAGCCGCCTCGTCCTCCCAAAGTGCTGGGATCACAGGCATGAGCCACCACACCCAGCCAGAGGCAGATTTCTAAGGCTGCCTGCACCTGCCTATCCATCTTGCAGATGCTACGATACAACTGATGTCCTGGCTCTGTCAATCCAAAGCTTGTCTTACAGCCTGAGACAGCATGATGGGTTCTCAAATGTCAGAGACAATGGTGAAGCCCCTTGTGGTGCCCACCCATAAAGAACTCGAAATCATCAAGGAGCTTTCCTTGATTTGTGCTGAGTTCCCCAACTCATAGAATGTTCAAGATTAAATTTTTCTCCAGCAATTTTCCTACAAATTAGAAACACTGTAGAGCAAGTTACCACTTCAGATGTCCTAATAGATGCTGTTTTTATATTCAGTATTCATGGATTTACATTGTTTGGCCCACCTAGATGCTTTCCTGACTCACAGGTCTTGGAGTGCATAGAAGGTGAAGACCGTGCTGAGCTCTGGCAGGATGCTCAGGCATGTTGCTATTTTTCTACTGTAGCGCAGTCTACAAAATTGTGGAGTTTAAACATGAACGCTGTGAAAGCACTTCATGCCTTGTTAAAAAGTAGTGAAAATCTCATAGAATCTAAACCCACACTTAGCACTTATGCACTGGTGTGAATGGGAAGTGCTTGGCAAGTCACTAATTTTTGACAGTGTAACTGAAAGGTAGGACAACCCACAGGAGAGAAGAAAGAGCCTATGCTTCACCCACAACGCTCCTGTGAGATCACAGGAGGCTCACTGTGAAATCGTGACTATTCATACTGCAAATCATCCTTAATCAAAGGACGACCATGTGGGACCTAAGTCAGACATCAAGTTTATGTTTTAAGTCATTGGATTCTGGCTGGCACAGTGACTCACGCCTGCAATTCCAGCACTTTGGGAGGACAGGTGGGAGGATTAATTGAGGTCAGGAGTTCGAGGCCAGCCTGAGCAGCTCCATTTCTACAAAAAATAAAAAACTAGCCAGGTGCAGTGGCGCACACCTGCAGTCCCAGCTACTCAGGAGGCTGAGACGGGAAGATTGCTTGAACCCAGGTGGCCGAGGTTGTACTGAGCCATGATTGCACCGCTGCACTCCAGCTTGGGCAACACGGCAAGACCCTACCTTCAAAAAAAATCCATTTGATTCTATTTACTTGCAGTAAAATTATCCCTAAATCATTTTTATTGGATGAGATGTAATTAAACTTTACAATATTTCCAGTATCACCACTTTTTTTTTTTTTTTTTTTTTTTTTTTTTTTGCTGGGAGTGTAAAGCTCTCTAAAACAAGATGTAAAACTGACATGGCTCAAGCATGTAAACTGTATGAGCCTCTCGAGCTGACTGTGGGCTGGTGACATGCTAACACCTCCCTCTCAACTATTCCCCAGCAGGTTAAATACGTCTAGCAGAATCTGAGGGGTCTACAGATTGTTATTCCTTGAAAAAAAAATAGGAATTACTATATTACAAGTACTCTCTAAAACTTGACTCAGCACTTAACACCTCCCAGCCATTGTGTTGTATGCGTCTCATCCATTATTTTACCTAAACATCACGCCAGCTCTCTCAGGACAACCATTTCCCCAGTCTTATGTAATACATAAAAAAACTAAGACTTGGAAAATGTGTGGAAGTTATGCAAAATCACAGCTATCCACTTAATTTTTCTGAGCCTCAGTTTCCCCTTCTGATAAGAATTCTCACAACACTATCTCAGAGGGTTGTGATGGAGATCAAATAAAATTGTGTATGGCAGCCCTCTGCACAGTAACTGACACACACTAAGCATTTAATAAAAGCTGCAGTAAACCAGAACGCTTTATTAACTAGAATACACCATGATCCTGAACAGGCCACATAAAAAGAGCTCAAAGAAACATATGCAAAGAATGTGGGCAAATGTATTTTCAGGTTATCGGAGTCTTTAATTACACTCGCAGGGAGATTGAAAGCCTGCTTTCGCAGTGCTTTTGACAGCAGAAAACAAAGTGTGCTTTTTTCTCTCTCTCAGCCCACGGCTCTGTGTGTAAGGGAATGGTGTTTGAGAGCCAATGTTCGAGGAAGTAAGGAATCATTTTGAGGACCCAGATGGGGAGTCGTGGGAATAGGCCAAAAGCTTGTCAAAATTTCAACGTGGTTAAAAAAAAAAATCACAAAAATCACTTAACCACACAAGTTTTAAAGTACATTCTGACAATTTCCTTAAATAAGGGCTGTATCTACAACAGATCTGATTTAAAGTATATTTTATGCATTCAATTGTCGAAAATCAACTCCATTCTGCACAGATTGCCATATTTTTTCATAACAAATGATCAGAGATAGCATTCTTAAGAAAGCCCACCCAGAAGATGTTAATTAAGAAATATTGATATTTTCCCAGGGTTTTCTCATTAATGTCACTCAGTTCATAGAGGCAAACATTCTAATTTGAGGAAGCAAGCAGGAGACTGCACTTTATTTATTCTTTTCACGTATTTCTTCTCAAGTATTTATAACCATTAGAAAAGAAACAAACTTTGCATTTGCATGTTGACAACCAAACAGGACAAATAAGAAATATTTGTCACAATTCTCCACATATCCTAAATAGACTCCAAAGAGGAAGGCACTGAAGGAACTTCTCTAAATATAGTCAAATGGCAAATTAACCTAAAACTCAGCCGAGTAAAGAATAACTTGCTCCTACTTCCTCAACACCTAACCTGAGTTGAGACTAATTGTGCCTCTGTATAAAAAGGCCTGGTGTTTTCTTTGATGGGCTAATATACATGAAACTTTGGCCAGAAATGGTTTTGTGCAAATGGTTTGCATCGCCTGCTCACCAAGTGTTTACATCCACTCCAGGAATAATCAAAGATATTAACCTCTGTGCACACGTCTTCAGCCAATGCTGATATTAACATTTTGAGGAATAGTCTGAATCAAAACAATAAAGCATTTTTCCATTCAACAGATATTTTAGCACCTTCAATGTACAAGCATTCTGCTACGTATTTAGACAAAATAGAGGTGAAAACATCAGTGGCATGTCACTCAGGAACTTGAGATCTAGTTACCAGAGTATACAACTAACTTAAACCTGTACCCCCAGAATATAATGAAGGGCAACAGAAAAGTAAAAGAGTGGTAAGATTTCAAGACGAGAAAAAGACTTTTTTTAGGTAAGTGTGAGTCTTGGCTATCATAGTGGTGATTAGATCCCTGGGTCTGCACGACTTCCCTTCATATTATATAGCCCAGGGTGTGGTCTTTTCATCTTTTAAAAAATTTTTTTTCTTTACTCATATTTGCTGTTGTTGCTGTCATTTCTGTAAGGTAAGGATACTGGAATGGTCTTATTTCATAGACATTAAAGTAATAAAAGCAATTTGTTGACTGAAAATCAACTGCAAATGTTTATTTAGAAAGAACACGTTATGTAAACAAGGAATGAAACCTGATTTTCTAACATTCAGGAGAGTGATTTGGCAACACACAGGAAAACAATAAAAGTAGCCATATTAAAAACTCAGTAGTTCTTCTTTATCACAGAATTTTACTGAAAGATGTGAATGGAGATTAATGTTCACAAGGCTTTAAATATGTCCATTTACATGCTGTTTATAATAGAGAAAAGTTGGAGTAAGCCTGAAAGTCCAGCAGTGGTGGCCTAATTAAGCACATTATTGATATTTGCACTGTAGACTACTCTAGAGCCCCTGAAAATTACATGCTGGAGCACATGAAGTCTCTGAACGAATTCTGAGTTTATATTGTTCAACGCAAAAAGCAAACAGTAATGTTGATTGCAATGTATGTTAATATCTTCAGCTATATGAATAGAGAGAGGAAATGGGGCAGCCATGTTTATCTCCAGGTACTGGGGTCAAAGCCATGGTGGGCATTTCTGTTTATCTGCAGAGATTTTTTTTGTCTTTAGTTTTAATCCATGAATATATATTACTCTAAGGGGGAAAAAACATATCTGTCAAGATAAAAAAAATACTTAGCTCCCAAAGTAAAAGCAAAATCAAACAAAAGCAGATAAAAACAAAAACCCAGAAATATTCATTATATAAACCCCAGATTCCCTCTATGGCTCCAACATGGCCAGACTCCTTCCTTCATCTCCTCTGAAGTATTACAGGTCCTTCGTGCTTACAACTTCATGCCCACTCCTACGGAATTCATAAGCTTCCCAGAAGTGTCGCATCAAACCCTGTGCAAAGTGATTTCCTCCCATAGCCACCCCCACTCACAGCTCAGAACTTGAAAGGACTGAACCTCCATTTCAAGGAAGTCATTCCCAGTGGACTCTCCTGAAACCCTGTGGGTCTTTCCCACCTGGAAGAAGTAGGGTGTAGGGTGGTTTGGGAGATGGTCTTATTTTCAGAGCAACAAGCCCTTTTCCTGCCTCCTCCCACTGCCTGACCCTGGCAGGACGAATGGCTCTCAAGGTAAAAGCTCCACTTGCCTCTCCAAAGGGTCACGACTCATCCATTCCTGGTGGGGATGCTTGTGGGTGACAATCACACTGCCTCCCATTCACTGAGTAATTACAGTTGGAGACATTACAGCTTCAAACACTGAACAACTGAGATTCTGAAAACCCTTAAGACAGGAAAACTATAAACATTAATAATTAATTTGCTTTGACAACTGCTTCTTCCTTTTTCAGGCATTTACAGTCCATCACCTTAAGTGCAAGCACATTGCTCGTAGCATCGCTGAGAACTCCGCAAGGATTAAAAACCAACAAAAAAGGATGCAAATGGCTTACTAGAAGAGATTTACTAGTGGCGGGGGGATTCAGTGAATCCACTATCTACTCTGAAAGAAACATGCTCCTTCCAATCTCTCCTCTGTTGACTGAAATCCACAGATGTCCGAGCCAGCCCTCTGCAGTGCAGATGCAGCCCCCAAAAGACTGGAGCCCCTGCAGTAAGGACATTCAAGCAGTAGCCATCAGAGATGCTTTGAATAATCAACTTTCCACCAACGCAGAAGTAAATGAACGATAAGCAATGTAAACACATAAAGACAGCCAGAAATTGAACAAATAATCACAAACAATGGGAAGCGAAATAAGAAAAAAGAAAAGTAAAGAGGACTAAAGGATTTGGGGTTTCTTTCCGGCTATTTTTATGACTGTTTCTTGAAATCTAGCTATATTTTTGAAAGGGGAGTGGGAGAGAATTTACATTGACTCCGTGTACTCCAGATTTTTTTTTTTACTTCTCCGATTTAACCCTGCACCACTGTGTCTCAAACGAGGAAACTGAGGCTCCAGAAGCCAAACAGCTAGAAAATGATAGAGTTGGACTAAAACAAAGGGCTGTTTCTTGGGCTTGGAAGTCCATCTTCTTTCCATCAGATCACATTGAGATACCTCTCATGGGCTAGTTGTTTGATGATCAAATGAGTTTTCATTCTTGTGTTTACATGGGAAGTGTATGTAAATAAACCAGTCATTTGGGTCCTCTGAATTCATTTTGAAATCTTTAAGCCTGCTTTGCTCTGTGATTTTGCTTCACTATTGGCCTTTGCACTGTGAAAGCACATGCATTTCTTTCTATCCAACAAGCGCAGTAATACTTACTAATGTGCCTGTTTTCCAGTAAGCTATCAGTACATTTAAAATAAAAACCTTAAGGTCCTTTTCACTTAATACCAAGTAGCAACTGAAGACTTAAATGGATTTGTTCTTTCTGCATTCAGCCCACAATGATTGATATTTACCCTTTGGGAGCCACCTTTGCAACCAGGGCTTATGGTGTCATTTTTCTTTACGCATTTAGGGATATGATTTAGTAATGATTATATTCCAACATTTTAAATGATTAAGACAAATATTGCTACTGTTTTGTTTCTAAAGATTGATGAAGAATTTGATATTCAGTATATCACACAGTCTACATATATAAACATGGTAGTCTGCATATATAAACATAATAGACAATATTTGGTATAAAATTTAGTTCCACGTTGAAGGGCATCAGCTTAGTGATTCCATGAGTCAAAAGTTCACTTTTCTGTTTCTCCGGTTTCTGACACTCGGTTCTTCTGCAAAGGTGGAGGTCCAGGATATCTTCTGCCTCTCAGCTCTTTACTTGAGAAACACCCAAGGCTGGCCCCTGCCGAGCTCTGCAGGAAGACTTCAAGTGCAGTAGGGCCCCTCTGTGCAGCCAGGGCCCACAGGTGATGCTGCCACACATTTTCGTCTTATTCCTTGATAATGAGAAGTATTTGGAGATGCAGAGAGCTCCAGCATGGATAGTGCAGGCTAAAGAGGCAGTTTGAAGAAGTGGTACCTGGGGATTTGCTCTGAGCCCCAAAGCCATGTGAGGTGAGAGCCTTTCACAGGGGTGAGCCTGGTGACTCCACAGCTGTTATGTCAGCAGAGGTCAAAGAGGGCAATTCCTGACTTGTCAACCAATACCATATCCACAACGGCAGGAAAAAGGAAGTCCGTTTTTGTGAAGACAATGTAGACAAAGGGCAGCAAGAGGCTCCCAGCTCAGACATTGGAAAGGGACAAAATAGACCATTTCTTTTCATCTCCCCTTCTGTGTGTGCCCCGTCCCTCTCTTCTTTAGCTTCTCCGCCCATAGCTTGTCTTCCTAGACCTGATCAGCTGGTCACAGCGATAAGGTTGGCCAACAGAATCTCTTCCCCCTGTCAACACACAGGAAATACCAGTCAGTACTTTCTCTCTGAAGGCCATCTTCATCATATCACTCTATTGTTCAAGAAATAGTCTTGAGTCCCCACTATCTTCTAAAAGTATAAACTCTTTAGTCCAGTTCTCAAGATTCTCCATAATCTAGTTTTACTGATCTAGCACTCTCTTTTTCCACCAGGCTGTCAAATTTACTTGGGGTACAGGGGCTTCTTCAACGAGTTTCATTGGAAATCCCACTTATGTGTTGTGTCTATAATGGTTTTATTAAAAAGCCTTCCAAAGCACAGCTTTGAGATGGAGAGCAGAGTTCTGTACTATAATCAGCAATGCTCTAGTTAGGTTGTTGGTGCTGCCTGTGAAATTTAAATCTCAAGACAATAGCTGATGTTCCTCATGTGAAGGTTGTCAAAAGACCCAGGCTGTGAAATGTGGACAGAAAGACACCATGTTACAGCAAATGCATGGGGAGCAGACTGTCAAGAGTCTAGAATATCAGGGTTCAAGATCTTTGATTGTGTTTGGTTCAATTATAATACACCTACTATTCATAAAGCACTATGCTTTTGTGTTTGGGACTCAGGCAGAATGGACACAATCTTCCTTATTTTGCAATATGGAGCCTAGACTCTGGGTTTCCCAATCCTTGGGCCAGAAGCAGGCAGAACTTAGACCCTTTGCTCCAGACACAGCACAGGTGTGGGAAGGAGGCCAGGGGAGAACCCAGCTCTTTGAAACAGGCCACCAACTCCAGCTGCCATTCCAAGTACAAAGAAAGGCTCTGGAGAGACTACCCAATGCTTACCTAGTTCCTTAAAAGAATTTTAATTCCCTGTTTTGCTACAATATTTTCCACATAATCCCATCCTCATCCCCAGATAGCTATCTGTTATTTTTACTATTTTATGTTCATTTAAGTTTCTTCTGATAATGACATCTTAATTTTTCTCTAGGTTACAAATCACCTTTTCTTAATCTCAAGTCATGAAATTTCCAGTAGGATCGATCCCAGCTCCAGCTCCCTGGGGTGCAGTAGTTTGTAATTCATTCCTTCCCAATGGGCAGATTGCCTTCCCTCGGCCATGGCTAGGACCACCATGATTCACTCTGACTCATGCACAGCAAATGAAAGTGTTACTGAGGCTGCTGAGAGACGGGGCACTCTCTTTGCTCTGTGAGATTTGAATGGGCAAAGCCGGTGGTGGTCCTGTTTTCACTGCACAAATCTGAAAATGAAGCCAACATTGGGCATAATAGATCCAAGAGATATCAAGAAACTGCATCTTGATGACATAAATTGGGCCCTGAATCCAGCCATGTATGAAGTCAGAGTTACCCATATACTTTTTTTTTATAGGGGATATTAATTTCCCTCATTTTCTTTAATCCAGGTAATTTTCTCTTTTTAATCTCTTGCAAATATTGACACAGATGTTTTGGAATGATGTACAGCAATCACTAAAGGCAGCCATGCTCACCACCCAAAGACACCCATGGACTTTGGTGACCATGTCCTGGCTTTGGTGACCTGCTCTGGACGCAGCCAATCCCCAGCTCCAGTCACCTGAAACTGGCCTGCCAGAGTTCTCATGCAACCCCTGCTACAAATCCCTATGTCCCTGGAATATATGACAATGCAACCCAGCTCACGTGACCCAGTTTCATGTGTCATTCTAAAAGAATGAGCATCCAAAGATTAAACTATCAAAAATATTTATTCAAAAAGAAACAGAAACCAGAAAGTGGAGTGTTTAGAATAAAATTTTTAAAAAAGAATGGTAGCGACTAGAAATCCCTAAATGCATCTCCCAGTAGAAAATATTCCAAAGTCAACCAAGCTCATGGGAAAATGCTACTGATAGTGATTTTACTGAGCTCCTATTTGCAGTTCTATCCCCTAAGTTCCCTAAGTTTTTTTTAATTATTATTATATGGCTCTGTCTTCATTTCAGGCACATAACAATGAAAGCAGTTGATATATCTTAGATATGTATGAATTACATATAAAGTAATCCTGATTAAGGCTGAAGGCTTTAATTAAATGAGCAATGAGCTTTGAGCATGGATGTTCATACAAAAAGAAAATAAGTTAATTAATTTGGACAATTATTTGCTCCTGTGAACAGTGGCCTGCCCTGGGCTTTGTGCTGCACCAGAAGTCTTACATACTGCAGTGAAAGATGGCGGAATGGCAGGGGACGGACAGAGCTCTGCTGGGGAGAGGCTCTGGCTTCTCACCACCAGTTAGGAAAGGCTCAGCCTGCAAGTTAGCACCTCTTCACCATCCATCGTCCACCCACACGGACACCTGACACCTAGACTGCAAGCTGACCTGCCCCACCTCGAAAGGCGCTCAGTACTTCACCTGGCCCCACCTGCTGTCTGACTGTACTAGATGATGGAGTTATGCTGAAGGAGATAAGGAGAGAAAGAGACAGAGATGGAAAGAGAGACACATAAGAGGGAGAAAGTGAGAGCATGTGAGAGACAGAGAAAGAGAAAAAGAGAGACATAGAGAAAGAAAGAGACACAGAGAGAGACAGAGAGACAGAACATTGTGGATATATTCATGGAAGTCAAAACAACGTTAAGAAGTGAGGTGACAGTTTAGTCTCTTTCTGAAAGATATTAGTTACACTTGTGGTAATGTTGGCTAGTTTTCAGTTTTGTAAGTCTTAAAGGGAGGTAATTATATAACTTTCTTTTCTCCAGGGTTTATAGATTACAGCTTGCTAAGTCATCACTTTAAAATACATGTATGCTTTTCCAGTCTAGAACCTATAAGAAGTGAGTTAAAAAAAAAAAAAAACAGGAGTAAAACTTGCAAGAGTAATTCAGATTAGACCATTTCTTCCTATACACCCTTACACATGCACACGTGATTATTTTTAAACTCATTTCCCTGAAAGTAATATTCTAGCCTAGCAGAGGCCAGGGTGAGTTAATTCAGGATTCAAGGATGCTTGCCTTAGAGTAGGTCATCAAAACTACTGAGAATGATTAAGAACAATAAATGAGAAAAGGAATGGATGGATGGGTTACAGGCATAACATTGGAACTGAAAGACCCCATACTCTGTGTCATAATAATAACCATGATCAAATCACCAATATTTAGTGTTTACTCAAATAATACAAACACAAATATTCAAGAGGGGATATGAGAAAATGTTTCTGAAGAAATACAAATTATAATTAAAATGTAATGTCATTTCCCTTATTAAAGTAATAAATATTTTAAATTAATAATAATTTATATTATTATTAATATGTTATTTTTAAATTAATAATACTTGTTATTGTTTACAACTATAAATTGATATCTGGCATTTCCTTATATTGATGGTCAGCATGAAAATTTACCCCAAATTTCTCAAATGTAAATATAATTTCATCAATCTCACTTCTTGGAATCCATCCTAAGGAAAAGCTGTTAAATACACAAAGCACTTAAGGCACAAAAGAGTCCATCAATGATAGACTGGATTAAGAAAATGTGGCACATATACACCATGGAATACTATGCAGCCATAAAAAAGCATGAGTTCATGTCCTTTGTAGGGCCATGGATGAAGCTGGAAACCATCATTCTCAGCAAACTATCACAAGAACAAAAAAACCAAACACCGCATGTTCTCACTCACAGGTGGGAATTGAACAACAAGAACTCCTGGACACAGGAAGGGGAACATCACACACTGGGGCCTGTTGTGGGGTGGGGGGAGGCGGGAGGGATAGCATTAGGAGATATAGCTAATGTAAGTGACAAGTTAATGGGTGCAGCACACCAACATGGCACATGTATACATATGTAACAAACCTGCATGCTGTGCACATGTACCCTAGAACTTAAAGTATAATAAAAAAAAAGTTCATTTCAGATTCATAATCACTAATATTTTAAAATGAGGATTAAGAGAAATGTATGTTAATATGGACACACACAAGATACACTGTTAGGCCATTTTAGAAGCAGGTCTTTGTATGCAAATGGACATCAATATGAGTGGAATTATGTAGGACAAACAAACAAATAAAACTCATCCAAACAGAAGAACTAAAAACAAAACAGACCAAGGTGCTTATGACATACAGGTGGCAGAACCATGGCTGACTTTTCCCTTTCCTCTTTTCAATTTTTCCAGTTCTAGCACTGTGTATTGCAAGAGCTGCCCAAATGCTTAGCCCAACTTCAGGCTCATCTTAACTTGGCCACTTTCCACACTGCAAATGGCATTAACTATTTCAAACTCAGAACGTTAGGTAACTTTCCCTATGAAAAATGCTGCTGTCTTTCCATTGCTTATTCTACAAGGTCCCCCCTCCTCAGGCTGCTCCAGATGGCCCATCTTACTAGGGCTCTGCCTTCCATTTTAGATGAATTCCCCTACGGCTGCCGGGTTCTGTAGGCTGACACTTATGGCTCCAGTGACCCGAGATGACATATATCACCACTGGCCTCACTTCACTTATTCATTCCATCCTCCTATCTCTGTGGGAGGATGCGTTATCATTATTCCAGCTTCCCACTTACAGAAACCAAAGCTCAGAGCTCTTGGGTGACACCCCTGTCCTATCCAGCACACAAAGGACAGAACTGTGTCCTACCCAGCACATCTAGGACAGAACTTAGGGCCATCTGATTCCAAACCAGTCCAGTCTTCCATTCCCACCACAGTTCCAAGTATGCGCTGTGTACCTCTAATTCCATTTTTGGCATCTGTTAGTTCCTCTTCCAGGAATGCCCTTCAACTTCGCTTCTCAGCAAACTTCTACCCAGTCTTCAAGTTCTGGGTCCAGCTGTCCTCGATATCTTTGTGGCACATTTTCAGATCACTCCAAACAAAATGAGCTGTTCCCTCCTTTGTGAACCCATACCCCTTGGATTTTAAATCTATTCAATCATTCACTTTGGCCAATGTTTAGGGAAAGTCCTTTATTCAGCTTTGTCTCCTATTAGTTTGAGAGGTAGGGATGATTTCTTATTTGCTTATTTTTTGAGCACCTGATACGGTTTGGCTGTGTCCCCACCCAAATCTCATCTTGAATTGTGGTTCCCATAATCCCTATGTGTCGTGGGAGGGACCCACTGGGAGGTGATTGAATCATAGGGGCAGTTTCCCCTATGCTGCTGTTCTCATGATAGTGAGTGAGTTCTCACGAGATCTGATGGTGTTATAAGCGGCTTTTCTCCCTTTTGCTCGGCACTACAAGGTCGAGTGAAGAAGCCGTATAAAGAAGCACATGTTTTCTTCCCCATCCGCCATGACTGTAAGTTTCCTGAAGCCTCCCAGCCATGCTGATCTGTGAGTCAATTAAACCTCTTTCCTTTATAAATTACCCTGTCTCAGGTATGTCTTTATTAGCAGTGTGAGAACAGACGAATACAGCACCCATTAGAGTCTTGGGGCATAGGCAATATTCAATACATGTTTGTAGAATTAATGAATGAAAGGAGTCAGTCCAGCTGTTCACATTACTTTCTTTAGTATCATCATCATCTGCAAACACACAGCCTACCAACCTGGGTGGAAATAAAACAAATTTTAACATGGAAGCAACTTTTCTCCATTCTTATCATTATTGATAATTCTTTGGGCCTATATATTTCAGAGTAATTAAATATTTTTCTTCTTTTTGTGTTCAAAATCAGACTTAGGGGAAAAATAGGAATGAATATCATCATCATAAAGAAGCTTTTCTGTGTTATAGGATGAAGTGCCTTCTTCTCATCTGGAGGGATGACGTTCCGTGCTCTGTCAGGGGCTTTCCAGGAGAAAGCCCAGAATGATGCTGTTTAGTCTCATTTAGGCTCAAGCCTCTTCACAGAGGGGTGCTTCTCCGGTTCAGAGGAAGGCGAACTGATCTGAGAACGAAAACAAGCTGAAGATGATGAAGGAGCCAGGCTGGAAGTAAACAGGATCTCACATGCCCACTCTGCAAGAGGGCCAGACAGATGGCTAACTCAAGGGAGGACATCCATGGAAAGAGCCCAGGACTTCATGTTTTCCAGCCTTGGCACCAACAAAATGGCCCTGCAATGAAGGGTGTCCCCCAGGAGCTCTTGCACACGCAGGGTGGTCACAGATCACTGGACCCTCACCACTGTGCAGGCATTAGGGGTTCCACCTATCAGGGAATAACTTGACAGCAACTGCTGAAAATCTCTTTCCAAATCTAAAAGTTCAGTTGGAAATTCTTTACGGTAAATTATTTGTTCATTTCTGTTTTGTGAAAAACAGAATAAAAATGGATTAGCTGCTTTTCAACAAAAAAGGTCATTACCCAGACTTATGGTCCAATTTTCCATTTCCTGCAAAGTTCTCACTCCGAGGAACTGGCACTGGAGGTATTTTGGCTAGACAGAGGTTCTGTCCTTGCCATTATCTATGTTCAAACATTAAAACATGTTACTGAAGGATGATGCAGAACTAAAAAAGAAACATGAATTTCTCTTGGGTCTCTAATACCTAAGCAAAACTTCCTAGGGACCTGAAGATACTACATGATTTCAAATTCTCTCTTTTGTGCTTCAGAGCCCAGTGTTAGAGTGGAATGACTCTATCAACGTTGTACATGGTACTGTACTCACAACACGGTTTTCTTCTCTGTCAAGCCCATCTAGAGAGCTGGACTAATTTTGCATACTTCCCTGGCCTGTCACTCAAGTTTGGTGAGTCTCTGCTTTCTTTATTCACATCCCACAGTTCCTGCCATCGAGTTAAGACTGTTCTGAGTCCTGTAAAAAGGAAATGGATGAACTGACTTCTGAGTTGGTCAAACGTTCTGTTTTTAGGCAACTTGGAAAATTTCAAGACTGCATGATGGATGATGCGTACAGAAGCCATGGCAATGCCTTTGTCCATAAAGCACATCTCTTCAAACCTCATACTTTGGAAGAAAGTTGCTTCTGCTGTAAATACAAAATGGTTTTACAAAATAGTTTGTAAAACTGTGCGTCTGAATAATTGAAGTAGGTAAATAAAAACTTTATAATGTATACTTATTCAAAAGCTCTTATTTTTAAAAATCACAGCAAATTTTGATTCCATTATACTCTGGAAACCCAGGTGAGCACCTTAGGATGCTTGTCCACATGGAGCTCATGGTGCCAAATGTCTCATCCCCCTAAGGCAGTGGTCCCCAGCCCTGGGCCATGGGCCAGTACTGTGGCCTGTTAGGAATCGGGCCATACAGCAGAAGGTGACTGGTGGGTGAGCACGCATGGCCGCCTGAGCTCCACCTCCTATCAGATCAGCGCAGCATTAAATTCTCATGAGAGTGTGAACTGTGTGGTGAACTGCACATGTGAGGGATCTGGGTTGCGCGTTCCTTATGAGAATCTAATGCCTGATGATCTGAGGTGGAGCTGAGGCAGTGATGCTAGCTAGCACTGGGGAGCAGCTGCAAATACACATTAACATTAGCAGAGAGGTTTGACTGCACAGTGACCGTAATAAGTCAACTGCTTGCAGACTCATATCAAAACCCTCTCAGTGAGTGGCAAGTGATAATTAAGCTGCAGGTTTTGTAGTGGCAAGTGAGTTGATATACTTCAATGCAGTTGCATCTGATGGCAGGCTTTAAGTCAGAATCCGACACTTATTTTAGTCCATACATGGCCTGCCTATTATTTTATTTACCACTTCCATCCACACCTCTTTCCCACACTGCACACTTGTCTCAGTCACAGTTTTGATCAGCCCACAAGCTAACCCCAGCCAAAATGAGTAGAAAACAAACATCACTGGAGAGCTTCTTTGAAAAGGGGAAAAGAACCAATGATGAGACAGCAGAAGACTCTCAGTCTGCCAACGAAAAGAAAGCTGCATTTAAAAGAAAATACCAAGAGTCCTGCTTAAATTCCCCGTTCATTGCAACAGGTGATTCACATTCTCCAAGCCTGCTTTGTACACTGTATGGCGACCAGCTATCCAAGGAGGTCATGAAGCTTCAAAACTGCATTGCCACGTAGGGACTGAGGACCCTGCATTAAAAGGCAAACATTTGGAGTTTTTCAAAAGAAAAAAAATGTTAAACAAAGAACAGAAGCAATTATTCAAGGCCACAACTTCATCATTCAAACACGTCTCCACTGAGAGCATCATTCCTAGTGGCTAACCACATTGCTAAAGCTAAGAAGCCCTTTACTATTGGTGAAGAGTTGATCCTGACGGCTGCTAGGGATATTTGTCATGAACATTTAGAGCAGGCTGCAGTTCAAGAGGTGGCATGTGTTCCTCTTTCGGGTAGCACCATAACTAGATGAACTGAAGAAATAGCAGAGGATACTGAGGCACAATTCTTAGAGAGGATTAATGAGGCACTGTGGTTGACAAGTCTACCGATGTTGACCACAAAGCTAATAATGCTTGTTTCTGTGTGATATATTTTTCAGGAGGACGTGCATGAGGATATGTTATGTGTGCTTTTGTTTCCAACCAACACCACAGCTGCAGAACTATTCAGGCCTTCGAATGGTTACATATCAGGAAAACTGAATTGGTCATCTTGTGTCGGTATATGCACAGACAGAGTCTGTCTGGATGGCTTTATAGTTTCATTACTCAGGTCAAAGAGGTCAGTTCTGAACGTGAGTCTGTGCATCATCCATAGAGACATGCTGGCTAGCCGAAAAATGTCACCTGAACTTAAGAACATTTTGCAGAATGTGATTAAATTTAGCAACGACATGCCCTTAGCTCACGTCTGTTCTTGCAGCTCTGTGAGGAGATGGACGCAGAGCACACACGTCTTCTCTGATACACAGAAGTGAGATGGCTTTCTAAAGGTAGCTCACTGGCCAGAGTCTTTGAGTTATGAGAACAGCCCCAGAGATTTCTTTTAGAAAAACAGTCACCACTGGTGGCACATTTCAGTGACACAGAATGGGTTGCAAAACTTGCTTACTTGTGTGACATATTCAACCTGCTCAACAAACTCAATCTGTCACTTCAGGAGAGAATGACAACTGTGTTCGAGTCGGCAGATAAAGTGGCCGCATTTGAAGCCAAACTGGTATTACGGGGGTGATGAGTGAACACTGGGATTTCTGACATGTTTCAAACATTAGCAGAGATTTTGAAAGAGGCTGAGCCAGGGCCTTCTTTCCCCCAGCTGGTGCATGATCACCTACCTCAGCTTTCAAAAGAGCTTGAGCATTACTTGCCAACCACAAAAGACCCCGGAAGTGGGAAGGAATGGATCCACAACCCATTTGTGAGTAAGCCAGGTGAATCAACTTTGTTTGTGCTAGAAGAGGATCAACTGCTTGAGATTGCAAATGATGGTGGCCTTAAAAGTATGTCTGTGGCAACTTCAAATCTCCATACATTCTGGATTAAGGTCAAGGAGGAACATCTTGAGATTGCCACAAAAGCATTGAAAAGCCTGCTTCCATTTCCAACATCCTATCTTTCTGAAGCAGGGTTTCTGCAGCGACAGCAACCAAATCAAAAATACAGAGTAGACCAGACATAACCAACACAGTTGGGTGCCACCGTCTCCCATCACCCCCAGATGGGACCGTCTAGTTGCAGGAAAACAAGCTCAGGGCTCCCACTGATACTACATTATGGTGAGTTTATAATTATTTCATTATATACTACAACGTAATAATCATAGAAATAAAGTCCACAATAAAAGTAATGTGCTTGAAACATCTGGAAACCATCCCCCCACCTCAGTTTGTGGAAAAACTGTCTTCCATGAAATTGGTTCCTGTTGCCAAAAAGTCTGGGGACTGCTGCCTTCAGGTTACTATGGGTCAGAAGACCTTGCCATCTTTTGCCAAAGTTTGCCTTTCTGTTGTTTCCTAAAGCATAGGCAATAAATGTAATAACTTATGAATGGTATGTTTAACATGCTTTTGGTAATCTTGTCTTATGAAGAGAAATAAATGTGCTCCAAATTCTTCCACAAGCAAAAGAATCAGATCAGTAATTTCCTCTGGGAGTGAGAGGGGTGGACTTGGCTGGGAGAAGTGGGAGAGAACTGTCTGGGTCATAGTGCTAATGTTCTTATCTATTCTGGTAAAGGTTGGGTAACATAGATGTATTCATGGGTCAAAACTGATTTCAGAGTGTTGATTTACATTAAAACCTGTAAACAAAAACTGAACTCTAGTTAATGGTATGTATGTTGAAGTGTTAAGGGAAAGTGTAAAGAAATGCAAGATGAATGAACGGTTGGAGCTACAGATAGAAAGAAGGGTGATAAAGCGAGTATAGTCTAGTGTTGATGGTAGAATTAAACTTAAATGGTGTCCATACAGGTGTTGAATAAAACCCCCTTGACTTGCTGTCTGCATGATTTAAAAATTTTAAAACAAAATGTTGGAAAAAGTCATCTCACTTCATAACATCAGGTTATAAACTTCAATGCGAACTTCCTCTTAATGCAAAACCTTCTGCCCATTATAAAAAAAAATGTATATATTGCCTGAGACACAGCATTAAGTTAAATTTACAGAGAAAAGGAATATGTCAGTCTCCAAGAATCTTACGGGTGAGTGGAGACAAGATTTATATCTGTACACCTCCCTTTAAAAACAAACAGCAAAGTTTGTGTTTGCAACCTGTTACTGGAGTTTAAATTTTCCAACAGCCTCTTTCTCCTGAATGCTGAAATACCCTGGGGGGAAAAACCCAGGCAAGTTTGACTTAACCACTTAGAGAAAAGTCCACTTGGTGCAATAACTAGCCCCAGGGTTTATCAAGCAAATATCCCCACTCTGCCTGACTCATTCCAAGGTATTTGTTCAAGGCATCGTCCTGTGTAATGCAATTGGTCATATCACACGCTTCAGTACTTTTTTTTTTCTTTTTACCATGCATCCCTTTTCTTGTACACTGACCTACTGAGAGGCTCTTCCTGACAGATCAGCTATGAGACTGCACTGGTCTACATCCCTTCCACTCCGTCCTCTCTCATCATCTGCCTTGTTCCTGAGAAGATGTGTTTGATGAGTAATTCCAATACAGATCTTGCACTGTTGGCTGACTTCTCCAACTTGTTAATTAATTCATAAAATGGTTTTCTGTTAATTAAAGAGGAAAGGGCTCCATCTAGCTGTTTGGGAGACAGAAAATGCATCCCAGGATTGACAGCAGGAAGGGGCTATGTGAGTTACCCTGTTCCTCTTTTTTTAGATGACATCTGTGGAAAACAATAAACTTCACTTCCTTTCTTAAAACAGTGGGAAATGCAGACATCTGCTATTTGCAATAACTAAATCCTAACTCAAGATATTTTCGAGCAGAACTTGATAAATGTCCTGAACTTCTGCAATGCAACCCCAAATTTCAATCATATTTATTCTTTTTCTCTCCCCTTCATGTATTTTAAGGAGAGTATCTGGCATGCTCACCAAAATCTGCAAAGAAACACACATGCAAAGTTGGTAAATATTGTAGTTCAGTTATATGAATTCCCAGCAAGTGTGTAAGAAGAAAATCAACCCAATTTGCAAAAGGACCTCACAGAGCTGAGGCTGGGCTGAGCACTGTCACTTTCCGTAGCTTGCGAGGTCTCTGTGCCACTGTCAACCAGGTACAGTGTCCCTGTCAGCTGGCCCTAGAAGGCTGTGCATGGATAACCAGGCTTATTTGCCAAGGGACACCTTGGCATGGAACACAAAGGGCACATCACAGGATAACCTGCTGTAGCATGATTGGCTTCAGAGTAGCTCTGATATCAAACCGATAGTCAGGTGCTGGGGCAAAGAGCTGCGATTTCTCAAAGATTCCTGCAGTGAGCTCGGAGGCTGCATTGCAGGAAGAAATAACAGCCAAGGAGCCCTGGCTATGATGCTGCAGAGAGTCAGGAAAAACAGGGAACATTGACCTGGAACGTCCCAGTGAGCGTGGAATGTGTTGAGCATTGGATGCGAGGCCCCTGAGCTGTTGGAGGGTCTGGTGCTCTGTGTGTGCAGACGGCATGCAAGTGCAGGCACATGTTCTGTATGCCGTTTTGGGAGAGGCGGCAGAGGTGCTGCTCAGAAAAGGCTGTGTTCAAATAGGATTTGCAGAAGAGACGCCCAGGAATTGTAAGAATTCAGCAGACTCTCTCAGAGCTGCCCCCAGGCACTCGTTTCCAAAGAGCATGGAGCCCGAGGTTCTCTCCACCCTGCGACTGAGTTCGCTTTTTACCGGAGATAAAGGTCCAGGTAACATTAGGTCGCCTACCCTATAGATAACAAGCAGCCACTCAGGTTCATTTCAGTCACTTCTGTGTCCCCTACAAGATTCTCTCTACTGCCGCAGGCAGCGGGAAGCCGGAAAAGTAAGCCTGTGTCTCTGCAGGAGCCACCTAACTGCACCAGGACTCACGGAGAGGGAAATGAAATGACACCAACTCTGAGTGAATAGGAGTTCCGACGCAGGAGAACCAGTGTGAATGGAAGTAGGACGAGATAACATAAAATTAATTTCTTTCCATTGAAAAGTCATATGGAATTTTACCTTACTGAACCCATGATCTCAAGAAAATTTCCTGCTGTTTTCCTCTGAAATGCTTGTCAGATACTAATTCAACAGCACACGAGAGGATGACAGAGCAATCACCATCTTCAGCTTAGCTTCAGTGTCAAGACGTCGCATTGCTGTCGTGAGACAGCGCTGCTCAAGTTGAATTATTTGACATATGAAGAAACTGGAATCTATGAACTGACTGACTCACCCAGGTTTGCTGTTTGTGGCAAAAGTGCAGTTGCAGTCCTGGCATCTACACTCCTGTCTTGGTCTGAGGATCTTCTGAAGAGGGCCCAAGGCAGGGATTCAAAGGCCAGGAGTTTACTTGGAAGATCCTCCTGGAGAATAAGGACTAAACTAAGCAGGGAAGTAAAGGAAGCTGAAGAAGTGTGCATAACCAGGCGTGCTGCCACCGTGGGCAACTGGAGATTCATTCTGCTGGGACCCGTGTCAACTGGACAACTCAGAGTTGTCTCATCCAAGGGGTGAGGGAGAGGAGGCATTTATCTACCAACTCCTAACAGTTCTTGGTTTGGAGCTGAACTGGAGGTGAAGAGCCTCAGTATCTCCCACCTATTGTAGAAACAGCAAATCCCTAGGAACCAGGAGAAGCCCCCAGGCACAGAGATGCAGGTGCCAGCCATTGAAGTTATGTCGCATGTGCTAAAATAACAAAAGCCAAAGAAATGGGGCAGCTAAAACTCCTAACTCCAGTCTGTGTCTGCATTTTAATGGATCAGAAATGTACTATGGCCAGGTACAGTGGCTCACACCTGTAATCCCAGCTCTTTGGGAGGGCAAGGTGGGGGAAGATCACTTGAGGCCGGGAGTGCAAGAAATGTATTGTGGCTTACAACAAAATCTATCTCCTTTCTTTGTCCATACAGATTGAGAAAAGGGAAGACCATTTATTCCTCTAATCTACAACTCAGCTCTTTTTCCCCTCAAGTTTAGCTCTGATAGGCAGACTCTCAAAAATGTTACCCCTTAAAGAGAGGATGCTTACTACCCATGAAATTACCCAAATAATTCAGGAAAGTATGATCAGACAAGGAGAATGAAAATGACTTCAGTTCCAGTGTTGTTATAAAATGTTTTACGTCCAAATTCCTCAGATATGAGTCAGATTATGTGAGTACTGCAAGAAAAATATACATTTATGTCTTTTTCACAGCAAACTTCATGGCAATTAAGTCAAATAAACGCTTAAGGGATCTCAGTCCTGTTTTTTTTGTTGTTGTTATTGTTGGATATTGGAGGAGAAGGTGGAGGATGTCCTCTAACTGTGAACAGTAGAATGGGACCTGCTGTCTTTTAGATCAGCAATGTCCAAGAGTAAGATGCGTCAACATCTATAACCCATCGAATTCCCCAGTGCTTAGTCAAAAAGAAGACGTGGCGGTCAAGGAAGAGACCATGTAGGTACTAGAGTAAAAGTGGAGAAGATGGCCCCGAATAATAAAAGAGTGAGGATTTTGTGTAGGTCTTAAAAGCAAATAGCAAGGGAGTGTGTGTACAGGAAGACATGAGACACAGGGAACAGGAAGAGTTATCCCACGATGGCAGGGAGAGGGATGTGCCTGTGAGCCTGAGAATGACATGGAGCCTGGGGGTGGAGATGGGGGACGTGGGGAGGTGGCCCTTCACAGAGTAATGTGTGAGATTTTGACTGTGGCTTTGACACCCGGGCAGAGGACTTTTGTGCAGGGGATGCTGAGGATGGACTGTGCAGACCCAGACCCTGGGTCCCGAGGAAACGATGCCTGGGATTTACAGGAAAATAATGGCTGGCCCCAGAATCCCAGGTCTCATTCACCAAAATTCAAACTAATTTAAGTTCTCCATGCTGTCAGCCTTAACAGAAAACTTTTCATTTCAAAGTTTACCATTTGCATGTGTAGCACGTGTGAACTCCCATATTCACACTCCAAATAGCTGTGAGTGCCCCACAGAGGAAAGCTTAGTGCTCTGAAGGGGTCACAAGTAGGTCCAGGCTATTTCATTCCCCATACGCTAAGGCCCTTCTGTCGCCGTACAATTTTACTATTTGACATTAAAAAAGTAATGTTTGTCCATGTATACCGCTCCTGTGAAAGTAAGACAGAGCTGTTTCCCAAACAATTACAATTTGTACTCCATGTACAAATCAGAGTATTAAGGGGTCATATTTTTGTTCCTTCCAGCATCCATAAAATCTCAGAAGCATGTCATACCCACCAATGTGTTCTCTCCTGTCATCATAACTCATCGTCTTATTAATAGGCTGATGCTCTCTGTAGATGCGCAGAAAAATGAGAACGTCAGTCCCCAACACAACTGCAATCTTTTCTTCTGAGTTCCTTCAATTAGGAGCAAAACAAAGGCATGCTTTTTCTTTAACTATCTGTTATAGTGAGTTGAGGCTCTATGGGTATAACTTTAAAATTCTACTCATTTCCGACTGGGTGCAGTGACTCACGCCTGTAATCCCAGCACTTTAGGAGGCTGAGGCAGGTGGATCGCTTGAGGTCAGGAGTTCGAGACCTGCCTGGCCAACATAGTGAAACCCCGTCTCTACTAAAAAGACAAAAAAAAAATTAGCAAGGCATGACGCTGCATTCCTGTAATCCCAGCTACTGGGGAGGCTGAGACAGGAGAATTGCTTGAACCCAGGAGACGGAGGTTTTAGTGAGCCGAGATCGGGCCATTGCACTCCAGCCTGGGAGACAGAGCAAGACTTCATCTCAAAAAAAAAAAAAAAGAAAACAAAAAAAGAAAGAAAAGAAAAGAGAAGAAAAATTCTACTGATTTCCCATCCAGGATTAAGTTCTCCAATGAGAATTCTCTATTTCAGCACCAAAAGCAGCACTGTGTTGTGCACGTGTGTGAGTCTACTGTTGGTTAGTCGTGGAACAACTCACCATGTCTCCAGAATATTCTACAAAGAGACATCTGCCATTTGCACGTGCATGCTATCGGTCCATCTGAAAAGCCTCATAGTCATCATCCTAAAGGGATGCTTTCTTAATTCCCCTGGCAACTTACGACTTGACAAAGTGACTTTGACCGGAAATAATCTGCTTTGGGAACCTCCCAGGTGACGGACAGCCTTGGACAGCCAGTTAATTTCAAAGGCCCAATGTGATAGTTAAGGTTGTGTGTGAATGTGGCCAGGCCACAGTACCCAGATATCGGGTCCAACGCATCTGGATGTTGGTGTGAAGTTATTTTTTAGTTGATGTAAACATTTAAATCAGGAGACGCTGACAAAGTAGATGATCCTCAAAAATGTGGGTGGGCCTTCTCTAAATAGCTGAAGCCTTTCAGTAAAAGGCCGATCTCCCCAAGGAAGAGGGAATCCTGCCAGCAGATGGCCTTAAGGCTTAAACGGTCATATCCATAGGCTCTCCCCTGAGTATCCAGCTTGCTGGCCTATCCTGTGAATTTCAGACTTGCCAGCCCTCGCAGTAGTACAAACCAATTCCGTAAAATAAATCTCTCTCCTCTCTCTCTCTAAAGAGACTATTGGTTCTGCAGCTCTGAACAATCCTAATACACCCAACCATCCCTACCAAAAAAAACCTATGTCTTTTCACAACATCCTAGGCCAATAGAGTGTCTTTCACCAATGACAGCCATGTTTTTCAGCCTTGTGGGTGAACAAAATGCTGAAGGTACCTTCTGGGAGGGGATTGTGGTCAGCACAGCTCTTGCTCACATCTTTTGTGCTTCGTTTCTTCTGTGCACCAGTTTATTCCAGCCCTTCGTCCCTCACAGCATTCTCTTCGACTGAACATTTTGGTGCATTCACTGACTTCCTGTGAAGGTCACCTATTCACTTCACTCTCTAATGCAGGGCTGAACTAGCTGCAGTGGCACAGAGATTAGGAGAGGCCCGAGAAGCAAGTCCATCTCTAGGTGCTCAGAGAAACATGGCCCTGGGGGTGGCCCTGAAGACAGAAACTTCCAGCAGCTGCTACCACAGAAGTCTACATGGGGTTTCTTAAGAGGAAGGCCAATCCCAGACATTAGGAAGCATCATAATAATTGATGACATTGTTTGAATGTGGCCTATAGGTCAGGCAGTGTTCTAAGGGGTTTACTGACCACACCTCATTTGGTCTTGCCAGCAGCCTCCCAGGCACATATTTCCAAGGATCTCCACTTTACACCTGAGGGATGCAAGGCACTCATCTGTGAAGTGACTTCCCCAAATCACATGCTATGACATGGTGAAGCCAGGACTCCTGAGACCCACCTGTCAACCACCAGATCAAGACTTGGTGATATTTGGAGATCCAAGTGTGTGGCTAAAAACAGGGTCAGTTGTCAGAGAGTGGGGCCATGCAGAGTATCTGTGCAAAGGGGGTGATGGCACCCTAGTCATACTAGTGGGTAACGGTCATTTCCTGGAGCACTGGGAAAGAGCTCTGTCATGGGGAGCCAGCTATGGGAACTGGGAAACAAGAGGAGGCTGGACTTCATGCTCGATTTAAACCCCAGCCCCATCACCACAAGCGATGAGACTTGGAGCAACTTCCACAGCCTCTCTGAGCTTCATCTGAATAGCAAGGATAAGAGCCGTTTCACATGGCTACTGTGAGGATTAAGTGTGAAAATAGGATGGTCCCAGGGAAAGTGGGTGCTTGGAATCATGACAGGAGCAAAATATAATCCTGGTTATCACAGATGTTGCATGAAGTCACGGCCAGACACATGGTGAACCCCACTTTGCTGGGCCTCAGAGAATAAGACTGAGTTCTTAGGGCACCTAAGGTCCAGTTGACCTTAGAGTCAGGATGGAACTGGCACTAAGGTGAGGGAAGTGAGGGGACCAGGGTGCACAGTTCAAGGAGGCACCCATGCTCTGGGTGGGGCACATACAGGGGAGGCAGGGGAGAACGAGTGCCTCCTTAAATCCTGCTCCCTGCATATCTGGACTGGGAAGTGGGGCTGCACCCAATGTTGGGGTGATGCCTGCAGGGAGGAACAGTCTACAGAGAAAACCAGGGACACTGCACCCAAGGCTGGCCCAAGTGCTGGTGAGTGACTGTCTTGTGATTTTAACTGATCTTGCGGTCCAAACCATCTAGTCATGCCTCAGAGCAGATGTTTTGGCTTAACTGGGTAGTTATCTGCACCACCCTAATAAATCAGCCAATTGTTCAGATTTATGCCACAACATTAACAGGTTGGCTTCACCTAGCAGTTGATCTATTGATATAATAAGGCACTGTATTTTCAAGAGAACATGAGGATATCCTTTGAGATTTGGATTTCTGCATAATATGTGGGCCCACTGGGTCACTTGCCGGCGCGAATAAATCTTACACACTCTACACTCACACTCACATGGAAATGTCTTAAAATCCACAGATAAGTACAAAACAGATTGCCAGCTGGCATACACAGTAAATATTTGTAGATACACATCAATTAAATGTTACTAGGAACTCCTGTGCTTAAGCACAAGCACTCAGGACCACATTCCAAATTTTCCCCACTCAGTTTCCACAGCACCAAGCCTCTTTAAAACATGAGGAAGTTCTGGGTACAAGGAAACTTCTACCAAGCTTTCGTTTAGAAGGAGTTGAAATGTCTAAGGTAAATTGGATGCTATAATGGAACAAACAGCAGATCCTAAATGAGGGTAGCACTGCCAAGCCCAGCCATAATGTTGTCTATTGTAATCACCCTGGACGTGCTCCAGCACCTGTGATGACTCAAAAGGTCCGTGCCGGGAGCACCAAAAGGAGACTCCTCTCTGCCACAAAGAATGTGTATTAAGCATTACGTTCTGGTCTAGCCAAGAGGGTGACATGCGGTTCCTCACTTGAGCAGATCTATTTCTTCACATCTCTGATTGTGTCACGTACAAAGGCCACTCGAGCACAAGCTCACGTCCTGTCCAGAGCATTTCTACACCAGGGCCACCTTGCCCTTGGCCTCCTATCTCTGGTTTCTGCCTCCTTCCCTCCCATTGCTCAACTCCAACTTCCCAGGATAGGATCAGTGTCCCATTGGAACCGCAGCACCAGCTCTTCCCAGCCCACTGAAGACCCTGCCTGTGAAGTCTCACTTGTCTTCAGGGCCCACAGGATATGTAGACTGGATGAACCTCAAACCAAAATAATAACTCTCAGCTGTCTCTACTCCACATGAGACCTTAGAGCCTGCAACCCTCAGGTCATAGGCCTTCTTCTTCTTAGAATGTCTTCTTATTCAAGGGATGATTCTGTTTTTAAGCCACACCTAAATATTGTGACTCTTGAATTTTCTTTTCTTTTCTTTTCTTTTCTTTTTTTTTTTTGAGATGGAGTTTCGCTCTTTTTGCCCAGGATGGAGTGCAATGGCAAGACCTTGGCTCACTGCAACCTCTGCCTCCGGGGTTCAAGCAATTCTCCTGCCTCAGCCTCCTAAGTAGCTGGGATTACAGGCGTGGGCCACCATGCCCAGCTAAGTTTGAATTTTGTATTTTTAGAGGAGACGGGGTTTCTCTATGTTGGCTGGGCTGGTCTCAAACTGTCAACCTCAGGTGATACGCCCGCCTCGGCCTCCCAAAGTGCTGGGATTACAGGCATGAGCCACCGCACCTGGCCAACTCTTGAATTTTCAAAAGATAACATACATGGGCAAATAATTATATCAAGCCATAAAGGCTCCGGTTACATACAAACTGCATCTAGCGTAACAGGATCAAATTACGAAACAAACGGTTCACCCAAAATTGATTGCCACACTCATAAAGTGAGAACTATTTAAAAACTGGAGACTGATGAAATGCCCATTGAATACTTCCCGAAGGTTTCCACAAGGTACTAGGGGAAGAGAGTGCAATGGGAATCTCGCCCGACACTAGGTCAGTGGCTGTTACAACTTTCATAGCAACTGCACATTTTACTTGTGCTTTTCCTAAAATTTACTCTTGAATTTAATAGTGATGAAGAATGTAGAGTGTATCAGCAAATTGAGACACTAGCAAGTAAGTGTAGAAAATAAATGACCATGAAATTTTTGGAGGAAACATTTGTATGGGTGTTTGTTTACCTTGTTTTGACCAGCATAGTATAATATTGTCGAATTTATGGAGTACCTACAACGTTCCACGTGTTTTTTATTACTCTGCAAGGTAGGCATTGTGGCTACGCACAGATGAATTAACCAAGGTTCAGAGAAGTAAAGTCGTTTGCTTAAACTTGCAGTCAGTAAGGGTCTGAGCTTGATTTGAAGGTGATCCTGTGAAGTTTGCTTTAAAAATACCCAGATATAGGAATAAGTACATGACAGCCAATCTGCTCTTCCCAGGATTACATTCCATGGGATTCTCCACTTTATTCGTATTGCAATAAGTAGTCTTGCCTATAGTCCTCAAATAAAAAGAGTAGATAAATGACAGAAATCTAAATATTTAAATTATCCAAAATATTTGATTTTGTTATGACTTTTGACCTCTTACCAAAAATGGAACAGGCAAAGTTTAAACATGGCTTCAGCCACTTTTCTGTCACTGTCGTTTCATCTGATGATCAAATGGGAATGAGCAGGAGATTCACGGCTCATATTATGCACAGAGTGAGTTATTCAACTTCATAAGACATAAATCTGACAGAATCATTATCCCGGAGCTCAATGACAACAGAGTCCTAAGAAGGTCCACAGTATATTCTCCAGTTTCTTCTTTATGAGTTCACCATCATCTCCTCTTTTGACACTCAGTGAGTTCACACACAGTGTGGTTCTCAAGGCCTTCCCATTCTGTTCAACAGGCATTATGAGAGCTCAGCGGCAGAGGACCACGGCCTCTTCAAAAGAGTGAACCAAATAGGGCGAAGGTAGCTTTGTCCCTAGGCATTCTTTAATGACATGATATAAATTTCAAAGAAGAATTCTAATAATTCAAAACAGGTAACACCATTTTTTTCACATTAATTTAAATGATTCTATTTATAATGAATTCAGAAATCATTAAATTAAATGTAGTATCATTTAAAGGAAGTGAAAATTGGATTATTCTAACTAATCTTTAAAATGCCTTTACAGATGCCAAAAAAATTGTTTAATTTCCTTTTGGTTTTATTTCTTATGAACAAGTATGCTGAGTTACAATAGCTGCATTTTCCACTTCATAACTAACAAGGAATGCCACTTCACAGAATAAAAAGGGAATAATGAAGGCATAGTGAGAAGTCGCAGGACATCCTACTCAAAAGCTAATCCACCAGCTACTATTAAGGAAACAGTCAGTGTGTAATGGGTAACTCAGGACTCAAGAGTACTTTTTCCGTTCAGAAGTAGTGGGTGGAAAGTTCCAATGAAGAAATTACCAGGGTTACATTATGCTCTAACATTTTGTTCTTCTAAGCAGTCTGTTTTAAAAGCATACTCATATTCCAGGGCTCATTGGTCGTGGAATTTCAGACTGGTTTGCTGTTTTCTCTTGATGCCTGAAATACAGGTAATACTTTGCATTTTTAAAATGCATTTCATTCCTATGTTCTGAGAGGAGGCATTGTATCAGAATCTTTTGTGCACTCAGCTAATGATCCATAGTAAGATCCCATTATCAATCAGGTTTGTCGGTATCGAACTTCATAAACAACTGATGGTAATCTTTGCTATGAAAAGTGTGGTACTGGGCTTAGTCACTCATAGCCCATGATAACAGAAGAGGTCACTAGTCCCAGCCGTCAAATACAGAAGTTAGGTCCTAGAAATCTTGAGAAGGTGTAAAAGTTGTCTAATATAGCCCATCCATCACTGTTGTCTAATTGGGAATTTCTTCATGGCCTCGTGGGAGTTTGTATTTCAGACACTCCGTAAGTGCCATAGATCAAGTCACTACTGCTAGCTTCTCTCATTGTTAAGTTATTGTGTTTGTCCCCACTTTATTATCTGTATGTCAACCCAGAACCAGAGCAGCTTCTGAGGAGTTCTGGGATTAGGATGTAGCTTACAAGGATGGGGCCTACAATAAAGTGGGGATAAAGCTACTTCTTCATATGGATGACCTCAGCCATCATTCAGTTTCTGCCACTGCTGCAAGCTCAAATTCTACCACATAGAGAAAATTTGTCCTAAAGATCAAGAAAACATATCATTGATTCCAATGAGAGGTCCTTACTCTTCTAACATTTTGGAAACCTTGTTTGAATAGGTCACCATACATGGATATATCCACTTAATGGAAAAAGAAGAACAGACTAAAAATAATTAGAAATGTGGGATTGACATAAATTCAGAGGGATCTTGAACACGGTACTGCTTTACCAGTCAGTACAGAGATAGAGCTGTTAACATCAGCTTATTAATTGCTGAAGGGGAAGCTGATAGGTTCTTCTTTTATTTTAAAACCTTGAAACTACATCATTGTATGATCCCGGGACATTTTAAGATGAATTTGGCAGTCTTATAGCATAAGGAAATAATTGAGTTTGATCTGTAGACCTCATTACTAGCAGAAGGCCACATGGGGATCCACACATTTTTTAGGAAGCAGGAATATTGAAAGGAGATTTCAACCATCAGAGGTCGACGTCCATAGAGCCTGTAACCTCCATTTTCCATTCCTTGTTGGTGCAGCCTGACTAATGATAGTCACTGGTCCTCACCAGTTAGAAGATGATGGAAAGCCATTTAAGAAGTAAATTCAATAATGCTTCCAGAAAATTCAGTTCTGTTCGTCTCCACATATCCTAGAAGGGACTGCCACCCACTCCAGTTGTGGGAATTAAAGGCACAGTGTGTATGAGCTGCCCCCAGCTGTGGTCTGGCAGAGGACAAGCTAATTAGAAGAGAGCTAACTACATTTAGAGATGTGGAAAAGTTATCCCGGTATTTCTGGCATGCCCAGAGCTATTAATCTCTTGCCTTTGAAAAGCACTCATGCATTTCCATTTTACTCTCACCCTTTTACTGCTGTACCTTAAGAATGTTGATCTACCTTGATCTATTGCTGTCATCCATCATCAGAATAGTAGCAACACACTCACCCAGCTATCGCTCTAAAACCCGCAGATGTCAAGCCCTGAGAGTGGGGGCTCTGGCTACGCTTCTAATGTAGAGGGCACCTGTTTATAAGGCATCATGTAAAAGCTATTACCACATTCAGAAATCACAATCCTCACAGAAACATTTTTAGGAGCCTCAGAGCAGGTTGTCTATAAGTGAAAAAGAAAGTGTGCTTATCAGCTTGCATGACAAGTGGAAGGCATGTGGCTTTAAAATCAGGGGGGAATGTTTTAAACAACAGCAACAGCCAGATTGCTTAGCAAAGATAGCAGGCAGTCATAAGACACTATGAAATCAATTCGCTGGGAACACACAGAGGGCAGCCAGAAAGGAGACTCTGGTCCAGTCTTTTAAGGCACTTCCTCCCTTTCTACCCACATGAACATTATTTTACACACTTGATGCTGATTTGTTTTTCTAAGGGTTTGAAGGTCTAAATTATTGCACTGTTTCTCCTATCCAGTATCCTTGCTTAAATCAGTGGAAATGTAATTGATGCAAAATGGTATATTCTATTCAAAAGCATGTATTCATCTGGAATTGCTTTGGACCAGAAAATATTGTGAGGACAGACTGTCCCAATTTTATTCTTTATGTTCAAGGAACAAGTCATTTGAGGGTTCGGGGGGTGGGAGTTTCTAAGTAATAAAATATCAACACAAGCTAATTAAACAAAATATGGCTAAAAATCTTTTACTATTAGGGCTATAATTTGGCAGATAATCTTCATAAGGCATCTGATAATGCTTATTAGATTTTAAAATGTACCACTGATATTCTCACAAAATTTGATAATGGGAAAAATATTAATATGTTACAATGCCAGCATAAACAAATATATGGAATAGAAGTGACCTGGAGAGAATGTACTTGCCTTTGAGGAAGGTGCTTTTGATCAATCTTGGTCAGTAAAGACAGGAAACTCAGGAATATGAGGCCATGACACTCCCTGACGTTGACAGTAAAAAGGTGGTTAACATTAAAGAAACCATGAAGAAGAATCCCAATATATCAAATGTCATAGGAGCACTGAGGGGTTTTTAACTTTTAAGTCCAGGGGTGCATGTGCAGGTTTGGTACATAGGTAAACTTGTGTCATGGGGGTCTGTTATGCAGATTATTTCATCACCCAGGTATTAAGCCTAGTACCCATTAGTTCTTTTTCCTGATCC
Source organism: Homo sapiens (assembly GCF_000001405.40). Taxonomy (NCBI): domain Eukaryota; kingdom Metazoa; phylum Chordata; class Mammalia; order Primates; family Hominidae; genus Homo; species Homo sapiens. Next base: position 110,011,877 of record NC_000013.11, read on the forward strand.
TCTCCCTTCTCCTCCCCTTCACTCTTCGATAGGTCCCGGTGTGTGTTGCTTCCCTCTATGTGTCCGTGTGTTCTCATCGTTTAGCTCCCGGTTGTAAGTGAGAACATGAGCACTGAGTTTTAATATGCAACAGATTTGTTTAGATGGTGAAGAATATCGCTGCTCAAAGGGTAACAGCCAATGGGTTCAGCATTGTTATCCTCGGAAATGGGCTAGGATTGAAATTCTTCAAGAAACCTCAGGCTAAAACACCATCTCTCAACCAGATCTCTCAGCCAGCAGCTCCATCAACAGACAACATTCTTCTCAAGCATATTCAGGAAGCACATTTGGAGGTTGTGACCACCACTGAGGATGAAATGACATCTGAGCTGGCAGGTCCCTGAGCCCCTGATCTATGCTGGCCTATGAGGAGCAAGAGAAGTAGGAAAAAGGGAATTATTAACCCACAGTATGAGTCACTAAATAATGATAATGCAAAGAATCTTAAATATCCTTCCTGTGGTTGAAATAACTGGGCAGGTCAAGAACAAGTTGTCAGTACTTATTCTTCCCTCCTACTCCTGAGTTCTTAGTCACTGCCTGAAACCTCTGACAAATCTGTCCTCGCTCTAAATACAGATAACGAATTCTGGTGTTTAGAGCCCATGAAAGCCCCTTTTTCTATTTCACATTTCTGGAAAAAATAATGAACATATTTCAATAGAATCCATGACAAATACAAGCCCATAATAATGTCTCAGGGACACATTGTTAAGGGATTAAATGTAGCTTAATTTTTAACATAAAACATACCATCCCTGTAAAGCAGGGAATTTTCAAAGAAAAGAAACTCAATCTCATCACTACTTTCCTTCCCCTAGACAGAACTTGTTTTCCTTTTCCCCAAGGGTCTTCTTTAGGTTTTTCTTTCCCATACATTGCTTTTTGTAAGGCTGGACATCAAGTAATACCACTTGCTCTTTCTTTTGAATTAAAACAAAGTCTAATCCTGATTTTGATCATTGTATTCGAGTAACAGCATTGCTTCTTTTGACTTCGATGTTGAGGAGAACTGAAGATGCAGATCACTTACACTTGAATAGTGCCTGCAGGAGTACCACCTTTCCCCATCTCTGATGCAGCAATAACCAGCCCTTCTGGGTAGAGCCCCCAGAGAGCACCAATGTGTGGCTCATTTGAGGCCTGGGCTTAGTAGTGTTCACTGTTCGAGAGATTACATGAATAACAAGTTGAATCTATGTTGTTTTCATAGGGACTAGAGTCCATTGGACAGTCTGCAGCTTTGTGGCAGTAGCACACTCTTGTCATTCAGCCAGTGCCATAATCTCACAAAGAATTAAAGAAGATAAAAATAAGCAGGTGGTCCCATCTATGATGTCGTTTATCTTTACAAGAAACATACGAATCTAGAAGGTTTGAGAAAAAATTAAAGGGCAGCTCTCACTCATACCCAAAGATCCTCCATTGCCCACAGGATGGACTTTCATTCCCCCAGAGTAATCGTGATAAATATTCAAAGATCTCACTGGGATAAGCACACATCTGCGAGACAATGGTCTGAGGTGGGCAGATCTAACCTGTAATCATGCTACACACTGAAATAGGGACCTGGTTCACGGTATTAAAAAATCAGATCCCAGAAAACAACATACCATTTTTTTTGCATTACTAGATGAATGAATGATTGATTATTTGACCTAAGTTAGGAAGATGATAAATGTAAAAGTGCTGTGTAAACTGTTCTAATAACTATATTATAACTTATACTTATTGTTATCAAGGTAATTTTGTAGAATGTTTTAATACACTTTTATTCCAAAAGTTACCAAGAACACACTAGACTTGGATCTTCCTTAAGCAGAATGGTGATTTAAGATTAACCACCCTCTTCTATTCCACCACACCTTTCTCCGTGTCAGTGTGTTAGAATTCCCTTTTATCATTTTCTCTCAATCTCATCTTCTCATATTGTCAAAAGGACCATATAAAATGACCTCATAAACTCATTTAGGCTTAGTTGTCACCAAATAAATGTGTGAACCCTCCTGGTAAGTACAGCTGAGAGGGAATTAGAAAAACTAAGAAGGTAAATGAAGTTAAGGATCAATAAGGAGGGGTCCTTAGAAGGGTAAATAATGAGAGGTGGCTGTTCCAGCATCTCGGAAATTGTCACATAGCTACAAACCTACACATATATATATATATATGTGTGCGTGTGTATATATATAGTTATATTATATATATATAGTTACATAACTATATATATATAATATAACTATATATATACACACGCACAGATATATATAGTTACATATATACACACACACATATATATAGAGAGAGAGTTGTGGTTCTTCCTGACTTTCCTTGACATTCTTAGATGAACTGGTTTATTGATTTGTTGGGCTGTTTAGTGGAAGCTGCAGTATTTTTAGGTTTTTGGTGATCCAAGTTCCTCAAAAACATAAGCCGATAAAGCAGATAATGGTCATTCCAAAGAATTATACTATGTGATGACAAAAATAGACCATAACTACTAATAACTATCACAATGGTCATTTATTGGGCAGTCACCATGTATTGAGGCTGAAGTGATTTACATATAGGCACCCTGCCTTGCCACGTGGCAATCCAACAAGACAGGAGTCCTATCCCTCATTTCACAGATGAGAAACTAGGCCCTGGAGACTCAGTAAAAGGGTGAAGACTTTTCCAGGATAATACATGGTTTACAGGTAACTTACTAGAAAGGGCTTCACCCTTTTACTTCACTTCCTAGTCTATAAAACAGATGAATATTTCACCTTGAAAACATTAGGTAGAGAAATTGGGTTCCCTTAGCATAAGTTTTCAACCTATGTGTAATTTATTGGGGTGTGTTGCTCCCAGGCACTCAGGACAGACAGCGAGGACCTCGGGTTTTGGTTGTGGGTGCTATTGCATGCTGTGGAGAGCTGTGTGTAACCATGAGTAAATGCAGACTTAGCAACACCTGTTAGAACCTGGGTGCAGTGGTATCTTTCAACTTGACGTCAGTGGCACTTTAAATGATTTCAAACAGAAGGGCTCCAGCTGGTCCCAGAGCTGCAGGGTGCCCTTATTAGGATGTGCATCATATAAATATAGATGTGTACATAACACAAATATAGATCCCCCTTACAGTACACTCTGTGCTTGTATTGTTTGCACAGTCATAAAGAGCCTGCTCATTTTCGGAAGACTGTTTTCCCCCAGGAAATGCAACATTTTTTTTTTTTGTTTTTTGCTGTTTCAATTACAGTTGCAAAGGAAAACATTTGAAATGAAAAGTTAAAAATAAAACCATCATTTCAAGGGAACAATGAAATGTAAGCTCAATGCACAGTAGCATTCTGGTTTTTTTTAATCTTCAACAAGTGGTTTAAAAAATTAATAATGTTAAACATTCGATGAAATAGGAAATTAAAATGACGTGAGAAACAAACCCGAGTACATTAACTATCATCTGTTTACCTGTCCTAGAGCTAACATGTAAGGCCGAGAACGTCTGGCAGGAGGCCATGCGATTGCTTACCACAAATAAACCCTGAACTTCTTGAATATCAACCACCCAAATCCAGAACCAACTTACTGTTGCTTTGGCCCAATTCCATGAAACAACTCATTTCCTTGGGACTCCATTAGGAAAAATTAAACTTGCCCCTTTATTTTTTATTGCTTTTTATTTTTAGATTACAAAAGCAGTATCTGTTCAATGCAGAAACCTTGGAAAACTAATAAAAACACAAAGATATTTTTAAAATCATCTGATACTCATAATTCCACTCCCCACTGTTATAATCACCATTAACATTTTGGTATGTTTCTTTCTGGCTACTTTTCTGTGGTCCTTTACATATGTCAATTTTTCCTCCCTGACTGGTGTTTTGCCATGCATGCCGTATGGCGCCTACTTCTCACTTAGCAATACATTATAATCTTTTGCCAAGTTTGAAATAACCTTCTCTGGCCTGATGTTTATCGATTACATAGTATTCCATTGCATGAATTATACTATATGGTTAAATAATGTCTCTGAACCAAACGTCTAATTTTGGAGTCTTCCAGTTATTTTGCCATTTTATCTATCTACACACACGCATAAATACATAGCTCTGTATTATATGTTATATACATCATATAATGTATATAAAATTTGCATGCAATCTTTAATAACTGTTGTCAAAGATAACATAAATTACCTACTTTACATCTATTTTTCTTTTCTTCCTTGTTAATATGACTCTGATTTTGGTCAGTGTGGAAATATCCCTGGCTAAATTATTTCAACTCCTATATCACGAAGTCTGGTCAATACAGTGTAAGGAGAAAATACTGAGTGGTACTTCTGGGATGGCCCTTTGGAGAGCAGCAGATGTGGCTGGCCTGTTCCTGTGCTCTTGCATGTTTGTGTTGACCATTCCTTTTGTCTCGCCTGGGACATGGATACAATGAGCACAGGCAGGCAGCCATCTTAGGACCAAGACCTGAAAACCATGGGTTAAGGAGGGTGTGGCAGGAAGTGGGAAGGAGACTGGATCCCGACACCATGACAGGGCCATTATCCTAGCCCTGGACTACTTCCTTCTAAGTCTCATGTCATATGAGCAAAAAACAAGGGGATATAGTCAATAATAATTTAATTGTATATTTTCAAATAACTAAAAGAGTATAATTGGATTGTTTGTAACACAAAGGATAATGATTGAGAGGACATATACCCAGTTCTCCATGATATGATGACTGCACACTGCGTGACTGTACCAAAATATCTCACATACCCCATAAATGTATACACCTACTGTGTACTCACAAAAATTGATAAATAAACCTCTATTTGATGGAAGCCGTTTTTCAGTTTCTGTTATTCAACACAGAACATCATACTATCTTTTCTGTTTTTTTTTTTTTTAAAGAGGCAGGGTCTTATTCTGTTGCCCAGGCTGCAGTGCAGTGGTGTGATCACAGATCACTGCAGCCTTGACCTCCTGGGCTCAAGCAATCCTCTTGCCTCAGCCTCTTGAGTAGCTGGGACTAGAGGCATTTACCACCACGCCTAGCTACAACATAATACTATCTAACAGAGTTACCTCAGTATAAGATCTTAGAAATGAAAGTGTGGGTCTCAGGGTATACATATTTTAAAGACTTTATATTGTGATTATTAATTTGCTTCCCAGAAAGTTTGTATAAATATTAGCTCTGACCGGCTGTGTGCAAGAGTACCAGTTAGCCACAACCACTGTTGAGTATTACCCACCCCAACCCAACTCCACAGGGACGAATACACTGCATTGCTGTTTTCATTCCCCTTTCTTTGCTTACTGATAATTTCAAGGAGGGTTTGGTTTCAAGTGTTTTGTTGGCTTATATTTTCCTTCTGTGAATTTGTCATTTATATATTCTATTTGCTGCTTCTTTTAAGTTGAAGAATTGTTAGAAGAAATCATGAAGACAATTGCTGGGTTTGAATTGATGCTTGCAGCTTCTGGAGACATTTGTCTTGAGTGAAAGCATCAGGTGAGAGCTCTGAGAGCAGGTGAGCCAAGGCTGGGGAAGCGTCCTAAGCCAGGGGAGCTCTCCCAGCTGGTGCTGCACGTGCGCTCCAGAGGGAAGGCTCTTGATGCCTCCCGTGCTGCTTGGGGCCCTTCTTCAGGGAAGTGAGGATGTTTCTCCCAGGATTCAGATACCAGAAGCAGGATGACCACACCTCTTTCCTCTCATTCCTGAGGTTCCCAGTGCGTCCGCCTCCTCACATTCCTATGTGTTTGCCTCATCTAGTCCATGACTGGTACCTTTTTTCCTACAGAAAAACTGAAACAACTATGCAGTTTTCCCCATTCCCATCTCAGGTTCGGGGCAGCTTAATTAGAAAGTGTCAGTAAATGTGCTTTGAGATCCTTAGAAGATGAGTTGAGTGGTCATTCCCCAAGACCTCGGCATCGGTATCGCCAAGGCGGCTTTGCAGTAAATGTTAGGGGAAGAATGGAGGGCCATTTGTGTTGTGCAGAGGAAGACAAAATGTCCATCACATAACTGAACACGACTGAGATGGTCCAATTACTTTGTCTCTCTGGCTTTTTTCAATAGTGCAAAGGAATGGTGATTAGGCAAGAATCCTAAACAGGAGAAACCCAAGTCCGTTCTGAGGTGCGTTGTGCATGGAGGCTGCTGGGCAGCACCAGTCATGCGGTAGTGTACAACAGACCTTCAACACCATCAGCATAATGATCACCCACCCGCTCTGTGCCCAGCATGGAACCACGGCCGGAGCAAGCCCGGCTGTGAGCATTCAGTGTCTTACCCAGATGCCAGGAGCCTGTGTGTCTTGGGTCGGTGTCTCTCTCCCCCACTTCCTGGCCAGGCTCTTGCCCTCTCATGTACGAATCACTAAGCACGCTCCATCCTCAGCCTCAGCAGCAGCCTCTGCCCCACTGTCCAGTTCTATTTCTGCAGTACCTCACCATCCTTATTGGAGACAGCCCTCAGAGAACTTACAAGCAGAACACCGCACCAAGTCCTAATGCAGAGAGGGAGGGCCACCTGGAGCGCTTCATTCTTCATTGATCCAACAAGCCCTCCTCCTCCTCCTTCCAATGCAGCTAAGGACCCGCCTCTGAGAAGCCTTCAGAAGGGAAGCCAGCCTAATGCCTGTCCTTCTGGAATCCTTATTTGGTTTCCTCAACTGCACTGTCTTAGAATCTTCACTCATCAACCCCTCACATCACTCCCGGCTCCTGCCAGTGATAATTTCCATCTCCTCCTTCACTCAGGCTCAGTATCTCCCAATCATCATTGATTCTTCCTTCATCCTTGTTCTCAGCTTCTACCTCTGGAATCACAAAAATCCCGACTTTAAGATTTGAAGGGCCCGTGGGGATGGCTAAGGGCTTAGCTCAATACTCTAATGTTATAGATTAGGAAACCCAAGCCTAGGGGAGTGGAAGGGGCTTGTCCACAGGCTCACTGCAGGAGGGGAGAGGAGTTGTCACTAGAAACACTTTTCAGGAAGGAAAGTTTGTCGACTGCTTGTCCAGGGCTCTTTCCATTGTATCATCCTTGCTTCTCAAATGACATGAGGCTGACACCATTATTCTAACTCTGTTCCCAAAATGTCCTCAATCCCAAAATGTCCTGTTGGTTGATACCACTTCTTTTAAAAATCTGACCTTGAGTGTGTCACCTGCAGTAGATGTTGGAACAGGATAGAGTTTAAGCCGTCATTGCGGGTCATCTTCCATTTGCTCACAATTTATATCCCACTCTGTTGCCCCAGTCACATGAGTACATTCATCCCACCATCTTCCCCACATCACTTTCCTCGGATCTGGGATGCTGCCCGGCTCTCCTGTGCACCCTGATCTCCCCTGTCCCCAAGCACTCACCCAAAACTTTGCTCCGAACGCTTCACAAGAAGCAACCTCCGCAGGGCATGGTGGCTCACGCCTGTAATCCCAGCACTTTGGGAGGCCAAGGTGGGTGGGTCAGGAGTTCAAGACCAGCCTGACCAACATAGTGAAACCTCGTCTCTACTAAAAATACAAAATTAGCCGGGTGTGGTGGTGCATGCCTGTAATCCCAGCTAATTGGGAGGCTGAAGCAGGAGAATCGCTTGAACCTGTGAGGTGGAGGTTGCAGTGAGTGGAGATCATGCCATTGCACTCCAGTGTGGGCAACAAGAGCAAAACTCCATCTCAGAAAAAAATAATAATAATAAAGAAGCAACCTCTTCTCCCTTTACTGTCCTTTATTTTCATTTTTTATTTTTATGGGTGCATAGTAAGGGTATACATTTATGGGGTACATGGGATGTTTGGATACAGGCATTCAATGGTAATAATCACATCCAGGTATATGAGGTATCCATCCCCTCATGCATTTATCATTTCTTTGTGTTACCAACATTCCAGTTAGGCTCTTTTAGTTATTTCAAAATGTACAATAAATTATCATTGACTGTAGTCACCTTGCTATGCTTTCAGACGCTAGATCTCATTCATTCTAACTCTATTTTTGTGCTCATTAACCATCTCTACTCTCCACTCACCCTCCCTACAACCACCCTCCCAGCCTCTGGTAGCCATCCCTGTACCCTCCATCTCTATGAGTTCAATTGTTCTAATGTCTAGCTTTTACAAATGAGTGAGAACATGTGATGTGTGTCTTTCTGTGCCTGGTTTATTTCACTTAACATGATGTCTTCTATTTCCTTCCCATGTTGTCACCAATGACAGGCTCTTGTTCTTTTTTATGGCTAAATAGTTCTCCATTGTGTATATGTACCACATTTTCTTTATCCATTTGTCTGCTGGTGGACACTAAAGTTGCTTCCAAGTCTTCGTTATTGCGAATAGTGCTGCAATAAACAAGGAAGTGCAGATCTCTCTTCCATATGCTGATTTCCTTTCTTTTGGGTATATACCCCAGCAGTGAGATTGCTGGATCTAAGGGTAGCTCTGTTTTTAGTTTTTTGAGGTGTCTCCATATTGTTCTCCAAAGTGGTTGTATTAATATATGTCCCCACCAACCATGTACAAGGGTCCCTTTAGTGTTCCAAAGACATCTCCCTGCAACAAGGTCCCTGTGTACCTTGCAACACAGACCTTTGTGGTCTTCCACCTATCTTATCTGTAACTGGATTATATGCTCTTGGAAGGCAAGGACAGATGTGTTTCCCCTTACACTACCTTATGAAAAGAAGACATGCAGTAAACATCCCTCAGCGGTGGCATTGGTCTTAACACAATCCTAGATGCTATGCCTTTCTCCTCCCTTACAGTTTTCTAGAATGCTTTGAACACAGTGGACAGACAGCTTGTTCTCTGAGCACTTTATTTTGGTATTCTTCTTGAAACGTATTTTCATTTCTGTCTTTAGAAAATTAAATAAGTGTGATAGCCATGGAATGATCAAGCGACTCAGACCCATTAACCAATGATCCAGGTGATGCTACTGGCGACAGCATTGACTACTTCCTGGGGAACATGTCCTGAGTGGGGGATGTCTCCTCAGCTGACAGCTGTGGAGCTGACACACACCCTGACGCCGATGTCTGGCGATTCATATTCCTTCTGCTTTCCCAGGACAGTTTTCTTTTCTCACTGCCACTTTACTCTCCCACGAGAACCCAGGCAGAGATGGGAAAAACATGTCCTTTCCTGGTGACTTTATTTGTTGAAAAATTAAAGCGCAATTTTCTTTACAAAGAAGTTGTAGGATGAGAGGGGCAGATTCCTTTCCTCTTGTTCTTTCTGCTCATGCAGTTCTGTGCAGAGGGTCCCCCCCACACCCCCAGCGCTCCTACTCAAGGAGCTGCAATCCACTTAACACACAATTCCTTGAGAGTCTGGATGTTTCCAGACTGGTGCATGGTACCAGGAAATAAATATGAATGAATAAACGATGTCTGCCCTCCAGAGTGCACTGTAATAGAAGCAGTGAGATGTACACGTTATTTTACTGTCCTGAAATAAATGCCGTAAGAATAAGGCCAAGTCCCAGCCTCATCACACATGAGGAAACAGCAGAATCACTCAGGGGAACTTAGGAAATGCTTCTTGGAGGAGATGATGGCCAGCCCGGTTTTTAAGGATGAGTGGGGGTCACCCATTGAATGTAAAGGGGAGACAAACGAGGTGCTTTTGTAAAGACAGAGTTATGAGAAGGGAATGGGGAGCAGTGGGTGTATCTAGAGCACCAGTGCTGATCACAGAGATGGGACTCTGCAGAGACCAGAGGGAAGGGTGCCTGGACCTAACCTGCGGGCAAGGAAGAGCCCTGGGATGTTCTAAGTGGAAGTAAGGAGATGATATTTGCATTATTTAAAACACCCATGGCCACAGGATGGAGGATAGATTTAGGGAGGTGAGACTGTGGCCAGGAGACCTTGTGTGGCCTGAGCAAAGAGAAAAGAGGGCCTGGCCATGGCCAAAGCCCCAGAAACACAGAAATATTGACAGACGGTCCCCAACTTATGATGGCTTGATGTTTTCTTAATTGTACTATGGTGCCACAGTGACAGGCAGTCACTAGAAACCACATTTCCAGTGCCCAGACAGCTACACTATGTTTCACTTTTGATACAGTATTCAATAAATCATATGATCTATCCAACATGTTATTATAAAATGGATTTTGTGTTAGATGATTTTGCCCAACTGTAGGCTAATGGAAGTGTCTAGGCATGTCTAAGTTAGGTTAGGCTAAGCTGCAATATTCAGTAGGCTAGGTGTGTTCAATGCATTATTGATGCAGTATTTTCAGCTTATGATGGGTTTATCAGGATGTAATTCTACTGCAAGTTGAGGAGCCACTGTATAATTGGAGCTAAGTAGTGTTACAGGACTATATATCAATCTGATATGTTCTTCTGGGTTGATGGACTACTGGGATGTTTTGTAAACATTTGTAGCAGGGAATTGATTGAGAAATTAATTTACATTTGTGTTTCCCTGTTACAGGTATAACTTTAAGGTGTTTTTCTCTCCCCTGGCCCAAGAATCCTTTGTGTTCTGAGTGTGGGCTCCCTGGTTGGAGGAGTTTCAATAATGACTTTTCATTTCTAGGTCAGTTGGGAAGTAACCAAGAGAACCTTCACTCTTCGTGGGTCCTGGGAGGATGTGTTGCTTGAACAAAGTGGGATCCAAGTGGTCTTGGCCACAGTCATTGAGGATGGAGGAAAGGAGTGGAGGTAAAAGTTTCTGGAGAGCTTGAGGTGCATTCCTCTAATGCCAGCAGCCTGGAAGGGGAGAGGCCCTCTGATGAGCCGTTCTGCAGAGCATGTTAGTGCAAATAGATGCGGGGATGGGAGGAGCCCCAAAAACAATGGCCTCAGGAATCCCTAGGAGAAATCCACCCCATGCCTGTGTTTGATGCTCAAGAAGTGAAGCCTCCTGCTTGGTGGGGGACAGTGACTCTGTCCTTGGTCATGTGGGCTTGAGCAAGAAGCAACTCCGTGGCAACCAAGAGGAGCTAAGAGATGCCCCTCTCCTTGTTGCCAGGGCATCCCCGTGTTCAACTGCACAACCTAGAGGAAGATGGCTCCCAACCATAACCAGCATGGGCAACTTTGGAACCCAAACCTGTAGCTTCTCTCTTTTATTTATTCTTTTCTCCAACACATCAGTGGCCCTCCAGCTGTTGAGTGGGGAGAGTGACAGGTTCAATGAGAAGGACATTCAGATGCATCCACAGAGGACTTTTCACCAGTACTCATGTCTCCTTTCTGGATCCTCAGCCCTCTGTTCTTTTCAAAGTCATGAAGCTTTCATTGTGTCCTATGCTTTGGAAACTGCTGAGGATCAGGACTCTTTGCCTTCTCTAGAGATCTCACCATCAGCTTTCTTATTCCTGGCTCTTTCCAGTGTCCTTTAGAGAATGTCAACCCTGGGGACTAGAAAGGGAAGGCAATGTTGTTTGGGAGCTAAGCCAAGGCTGCAAATTCTGTGTGAAGCCTGTCCCTGCCATGACTGGTGCACGACCTGAGGTGAGTTACATAATCCTGGTCACCTCAATTTCTTCATGTATGAAATGGTTAAGTTCTTCCTTCATAGGCTTGTTGTCAGGAAAAATGAGATACTGCATGAAAAGCTCTTATTCCAATGTCTGACCACCAGTGTAGAAGATGCAGGTAAGCAGTCATCAGTCCTGAGGCGGGCTGCCCTGTGTGGTGGAGATGCCCCATGCACCAGGATCCCTGAGGCATTGCCCCTCCCCACCATGGAATTATTGCATCCACCCCTGTGCATTATATCGTCATAGAACAGCCTTAGTGCCCTACCCAGGGAAACTGAGTGAGAAAGGACAAGGCATAGCCCCACAATGTTTTCAGTTCCTGGATCCCAGGTCTGTGCAAAAACAGAATCTAGAACCAAGACTCTAAGACTCTGGGAAACAGGTCTGAGATCTCCGAAGCCAGGAAGGTGCCTGAGTGTCATTTCCAGAATCTGTCAGAAACAGCTCCGAGCTCTCAGGGGCACCCGTCGCTGAGATCACTGAGGCAGGGGGCTGCTTCCTGGCATTGTTGAGTTTCATTCTGTTCCTCAGAAGAACAGTGTGTTTTGCTTGGAGTTTGTTTCCATTTTTGCAGGCCAGGAACTCTGCCACAGATTTTCTGAGAAGCTAAGTGAATGCTCCTTCTGTCAATCTGAAATTGGTGGGTGAGTTTTTTTTTTTTTTTTTTTTTTTTTTTTTGCCCCTTTGCTCCTTTTTTTCTTTATTAAAGCTGACAAATGGGGAAGAAAATGAAAAAGAAAAGAACAAATCCAGTGTCACAAGATGCTGAGAAAATAGCTTCTATTTATAGCCTGGTACATTTCAGAGATGTAAACACCTCTGCTAATCGCTGCCCCTGCAGAAGGCCCTGGGGATTACTGCACGGCCCTGGAGAGCTGGCAGCCACGTACGGCAGTGCAGTGAGGGCTAACAGGGCTAATTGTGCTCCCAGTTGTTTTCAGAAACAGTGGGAAAAAAGCTCTGTGTCCTGCCCCCCACCCGCGGAACAGCAGAGGTCCCACACGGGCCTCCGTCCCCTCTCAGAGGAAGCAGAATCTTGGCCCACAGGATAAATTTTAGTGGCGTGGGCACAGGGATGGCCTGGCCAAAGCACTTCCAACTGGACAAATCTAGCAACAAGATAACAGCAGGAAGTCTTGCTTTGAGTGGCAGCGTGACCACATGTTAACTGTGTAATGTGGGGCAGTTCCTTTAGCAAACATGAGGCTCAGTTTGCTTATCCATAAACTGGAACAATTACAGCTTCTGCAGAGGATAGGATGAGATATCAGTGAAAATAGAGTAAGTGAAGAACTGTCCAGACTTCTCAGTGTATCAGCCACAATTTCTGTCATCCAATCCAAAGTTTCTAGACATGGAAAGAAACAGTAGACTCTGACTTATGATCAAGCAAAAAAGCATTCTCTACAAAGAGAGCCCTGAGATGATTCGGATGCTGAATTTAGGAAGACAAGACTTCAAAACAACTATTATAAGTATGTTCAAAAATTTACAGGAAAATATGGTTATCATAAGTGAACAATTGAAGAATCTCACCAAGGAAATGGAAACAATAAAATAAGAACCAAGTGCAAATTCTAGAACTGAAAGTGCAATATTGGAACTGAAAAATTCACCGATGGGCCAATCAACAGACCAGATACTACAGAAACAAGATAAGTAATCTTGAAAAAAAAAATGGAAATTATCCATGCTGGAAAAAAGTAAAATGTATGTATTTTAAACAAACAGAGTCTTTGTGGCTACTCGAACAATATCATACAGCCTAACATACATGAAATTTGAGTCTGAAAAGAAAAAAAGAGGAAACAGAACAGAATTTTTTTAATAGCAGCCAAAATTTTTTAAATTTTGGTAAAAAGCCAACCTACAGATCGAAGAAACTCATTAAACCCAAACAATATAAAATTTAAAAATCGCACTTGGGAACATAATGGTGATCATGCTGCAAATAAAATGACAATCTTAAAATCAGCCTGAGAGAAGAGATACATTCGCTCAAGGAGACAGTGCTATGACTGATGGCAGAGGCTGGACCAGGGCTCACGATGGAAGGCACTGGAAGAAGAAAAGTGTCAACCCAGAATTTGATGTCCAGTGAGAATATCTTTCAAAAGTAAGACATCTGCAGATAGGCAAAACATGAGAGAATTCATCACCATCAGACTTTCTCAAAGAAAACAGTTCCAGCTGAAGCAAGGTTGGACCAGATGGAAACTGGGAGGTTCAGAGAGGAATGAAGAGTCCCAGAAATGCATCTGCAGCTTTTCATCTTAGGAGACTGAAATGGATCTAATGAGCCCAGCACTTCCTTGATTTCCTCGAATAAGTTTTCCACAAAAGGCAAAGACAAGTGAGACTCAGCCCCATTTCTAAGGCAAGCCCAGTGGAGTCACTGCCTTTAAATGCTATCCACAAGGTATGGTCAGCTTCATTTGTACAATGCCCAGGGCATCCAATGAAGAGGAGAAACCTTCATCTCTGCTTCACAGGCTGAACCGACATTCTGTGGACATTGATTCCACCTGGCCTCCACTGGAAAACAAATGTACCCTACATCCTTACCCAGAAAAAAGTCCTCTGCATGCTTCTCCTGTGCAAGAGGGGTTGTTCGGGATTACCCAGGAATGGGGTGTCCTGGCATGACAGAAGAATTGGATGCAGCAATTGCAGATTCAGAAAGAATACTGCTTAAACAATAAAGAAAAGTCATCAATTGTACATTTATATCAATGGCTTAAAATTGACCATTGAAAATCTTGCTTAATCAAAACAGACCCTGCAATAGTCAGTACCCACACCGGATTTCATGTCGAAGAAGGTCGTTGTCACGGTAAGCATGGATCTGTTTGCATTAGGGAGAAAGCTCCTCTTAAAAAATAAGAACAATGATGTAATAGAGAAAAACAAAACTTGATTGAACCTTTCCATAATGTATGCATAAAGCAAAACATCATATTGTACTCCATAAATATAGTTATTGTCAATTTAAAAAATTATTAAAACACCTGACATACACTCTGTGATGGATATAGGATGTTGATTAAGCCTAATGGACTTAAGAGTCCTTTCCATGTCAAGCTTCTTGTGACATATGCTAGGATTTGTCCTCCTAGACAAAAACCAATAAAAAACAAAAAATAAAAAATACCTCCTCACCCAAGATACAGAAGTTTTTAGGTAAAACTCTACAGGGTGGTGGCAGCCATCTAATGTCCACTGCTGGGCTTCCCCAGAGGAAGCAGCACAGTGCTCTTGGTGAGGACAATGATGCAGAGAGTGAGGTGGGGTCTGCTGGCTGGGGAGGCCCACCCTCCAGGGCTGCACCCCCAGCCCTGCCGAGCAGGCTTCTGACTCAGGCTCGGTCTTTGCAGGCACACACTACCACTAAATTCACTCACTGATAAAAATATTCATTTTGTGCCCATTATATACCAGAAGAGCTTATAGCTCCAGGGACAGAGCAGTGAGCAGGACATGGTCCCCGAGACATTGGGGAGACAGCAAATAGAGGTACAGATGAGTTCCCCCAAATCTACCACATGCTGTTCCCTGCAGACAGCCGCCCAGACACAGTATTGTGTGTTATACCTGGAGGGGCCATAACCCAGTTGGGCCTGGAAAAGTTCTGCAGATAAAGCAGCACCTCCAGGGAGACTTGCAGGACATTTAGGAAGAAATGAAGTGGCAAAAGACACTGTCATTTCCATCTATTTACTCCATGGCCAAAATCAAGGTATAGAGAAAGGTCATCATTAAATCCTACATATTTTCTGCTATTGCTTCCAACTGGTGAAAGAAGTTCATGTATTGTACTTTGGGGATGTACTAAGCGTAAATATCTGGGCAGCTTTTAATGCTGAGGCCTAATGCAATAACGAGTGAGTCATAACAGTTTACAAATACAGAGCTAAGACCACAATTTCCCAAATGTCCTTATTCATACGGAAAAATAAATATTTGTTTACTTTTTTGGGGTTCAAGAATTAGAGACATGACTTGAGAATAGAGAAATCTGGTGACAAATTTTTTTTTCTGGCACTTGATGTGATCATCAGTGGCATGAACATATTAATATGTAAAGTGTCATTGTATAGAATCACGCTTTCATTCTCATGATGTGATTACCAACTGGGTTCCAATCATTAGGTCTTGGAGAGTTGACTCAAGAACAATTGAGCAACCTCCAAATCCTGCTTCATTTCTCAGCTGCCGCCTAAAGGTTCACATTCTGTTTCTCCAGTGTGTTGTAGGGACTTGAATCTATTGACATGCAAAATCTCCAACAGAGACTAATGCTTTAAAACTCCACATCTTATAGGCAATGGGGTCTGAGAGTGCATATTCTCAATGTGCTCTTTGTGGAGAGGAGAGAGGGGAGAGGATGAGGGCCCAGAAAGGAGTAAGCAGGGTACAGACAGGTGGGTTGGGGATTCGGAAAGTGGATTTTATTCTCTTAAAGTGTGTCCTTGCATCAGCCAGGATTGGGGCACTGAGATGGCAGCCTGGACTTGGATAACACCACATACACGCTTACTCCTTCACTGCCCGTAGTTTGGGCTTCACATCAAACCTCACTCTCCTCACTGCACAGACAGCCTTTGACTCATGATGGTTTGATTTACAATTTTTCAACTTCACAATGGCACGAAACCATCGCAACTTTGACATAATGCACAGTATTCAATACGTCACATGAGATAGTCAAGCAAAGCAGGCTTTGTGTGAGATGATTTTGCCCAACTGTAGGCTATTGTAAGTGTTCTGAGCATGTTTAAAGTAAGCTAGATTATGAGATGGTGGTTAGATTAGATGTATTAAATGCATTTTTGACTCACAGTGTTTTCCACTTATGATGGGTTTATCAGATTTTAACCTCACTGTAAGTCAAGGGGTATCTGTATTCTAAATGCAACATGGAAATAGCAAGAAGATGACAGTTAAGTTTACAAAAAAGAATTGAATGTCCCCAGTCTCTCACACTTTTAAGTATTACAAAGTACTAAAGTTCTCAATAAAGAAAGCCATTAATATCCAAATATTCATGACAAGTAACATTAGTGTGGCGTGATTTGGCCCCTGTCCCAATGAATACACAAAGTATATACGTAAGCAATTCATAAGCAAGAAAAACACAAATGTCATTAACAAACATTTAAGAAAATACCTGACCTCATTTCACATTAAAGCAACGAGGTATGTATCAAATTTTAGCTATAACGTCAGAAAAGTTGAGACAAAGAGGAGAGAGAGCTTGCCTACTGTTGGAAACCCCTGCACAGTCTGTATGTCTGAAGACTGCACCCTTTTTGGAAAGAAATATGGCAATGCATATTAAAAGCCTGAAAAACAGTCATACATTTTTATCCATTAATTCTACTCCTGGGAATCTATCCTAAATAAATAACCTAAAATTCAGAAAAGGCATTAGGCAAAAATATTTCCATTACAGCATGGTTTATCATAATGAAAACTTCGAAACAACTTTCCTACCCAACATCAAAGAGATGGTTAATCCAAATAGTACAATCCAGGGGTGATATTCAAAATAATTCCTAGCTGTATTTCATAAAGCATGGCATGTCCAGTTGGAACACATGCCAGCCCATCAGCATGGACACCAGCCTGACAGCCACACAGATGTGCACTGTGAGAGTACCAGACTTGTGCAACCACACTTTGAATGTGCTTCAGAAAGCCGTGGAAACGTTTATGAGGGTTTCCTAGAAAACGGGGAAACACTTATTATAAGTAAATATATATTTGAAAAGAGAAAAAGACTGATGAAACTATAATAAAGTGTTAACCATGGTCATCTCTGAATCTTGGGATAATAGATTTTTTCTTCTTTATGGTTGATTTCATGTTTATAATCAGAAAAAATTTGAAATTGTTTCAGCAGCATAGTTCTAAATGTTCAAATGTCTTCACTTATCTGCCCCAAGACTTCCATGGGATAGGGATACCATCTTTCAGCCTAACAGGAGTGCATGTTAATTGATTTTTCATGCCCATCCGTAGAACAGTCTGGAAAACATTATCCACAGTTAAAGTAATTAAGAGAGCGATTGCACTTTTGTGCTTTATCAGATAATATTTCGCCCACTGTTTTGGTAACATCTAGAGATTTTAAAATTATATTTAGGAGGTAAATCTAACTTTCATAAATTAAAATTTTTATGGAAATAAACATGGATTCACATGCAGTTGTAACAAATAATAGGGACAGAGCCCATGTACTTTTTATTCATTTTACCCCAATGTTAGCTTCTTTCAAAACCATAGTACAATATTACAACAAGGATGCTAATATTGAGACAATCCACCTGTCTTATGCAGATTTCCCCAGGTTTACTTGTACTCTGTGTGTGTGTGTGTATGCGTATTAATTCTATACAGCTTCATCACATCTATATTTGTACACCCATGACCATAGTCAAGACACAGAGCTGCTCCACACCACAGGGATCCCCTGGGCTGACTTGCTTCTGGCTCCCAAATTGCAAGCCATGTAACCTATCATTAGCCAACTTGTGTACTCACCTCTGCAGTGCATAATTCACATTATGCATTCTCCTATTACAGTCAGAGCTTGTGAAATCTCTGATATCTAACATCCTAAAACACGGAAAGTATTATTAAAGAAAAAAATCAGTGGAAGTACAGGGATGTAACTTTTTCTCCATGGCTGTAACCACACACAGTGGAAAAGATGCTGAATCTACAAGGATGTTCCTGCATCTACCAGGTGGTTAGACTTGAAAAGGGTGCTTTGGTCAGGATACTCTCCTTATCAAAGAAACTCAAGGGGTTTTTATTTTAGTGTCCATTTTAACAAGCCTAGTTTTACAAAATTATTTAAGTAGAGTAAATAGCCCCAGCAGTGCTCTAAAGAGTTCAGTTTGGTGTCTGTTTATTCACACCAGAGTGTCGGTACTCCCTAATATGCAAGTAGCCTTCTCTAGAAAGAAAGATAAACTAAATCCTCAAGCTTCCCCTACCACTTTGGACCAAGTTTCCTACCACTTTGGACCAGGAGTGTGCTGGCCATAGCCATTGGTGATGGGCACGGAAGTCAGCAGTTGGGCCACAAATTATCACACAAAACTTCCTGAGCAAGCAACAGGTGCACAACCCCGGAACTGAAAGACGAAACCGAAGTGCAAACCATCCTTACAAGTCAGTAAGCTGGGGGCCAGACCAGACACGGGACTGGCCAGAGAGGCTCATGTGTCATTAGAAGGTGACCTTCATTATCCAAAGACATTAGCCCTGTCCTTTCTGGAGTTTCACAATTAGTGATAACTCCAAAAGCCACTGCCCACAGTCAGAAGTGTGTTGCTTAATGGACTATTGTTGACCGTGAATGTTGTAATGAATACACTTGGCTGTAGGAAAACGTAGAAGTGTCAATTCAAGAAACAGCTGCACATACAAACATGGCAGCCTAGCCATCTGTAATATATCATAGGCTAATCAGCACTTTTAAAAACAAATTAAAAGTCATTGTTAGGAATATGAGTATGAATTATCCCATAGAAAGCACCTTCCAAACTACTAGGAAATGCCCCAACATGGAGAGCTGAGGGAATCCCCCTGTGCCCGTTGATGCTAGAGTGTATGATGGTGGTCTATTTGCATGGTATACTAGTCTACTTGGGCTGCCGTAACAGAATACCACAGATTGGGTGGCTTAAAAACAGAAATTTATTTTCTCATGGTTCTGGAGTTCAAGGTGCTAGCATGGATGGCTTCTAGTGAGGACACTCTTCCAGGTTTGCAGACAGCCACCTTCTTGCTGTGTCCTCACATGGCCTTTTCTCCATGCTTGTGCATCTCTGATGCCTCTTCCTCTTCTTTGCAAGGACACCAGCACTACTGGATTGGAGCTCCATTCTTATGGTTTCATTTAACCTCAATCACCTCCTTAGAGACCCTATCTCCAAATGCAGCCACGCCAGGGTCAGGGCTTCGGTATATGAATGTAGGAGGGTACCATTCGGTCTATAACAGGAGGCTTTGAAAAACTACAGGTTCTAATTAAATTTCAAAAGTCATTCAGGTACCATCTTAAAAGAACAAGTTCTTTTCTCACACTTAAGAGGTCCCACTTCTGGAGGAAAGGACCCTGGTGTTGAGAACAGCACAGAAAGCAGCAAGTCCTGGAGGTGTGCAGGCTGAGGGGATGCTTGAGCGGGAGCTGAAAGGTGAGCACCCAGGGATGCCTTCCAACTTCCAGCCCTGTGTTCCACCCTGACAACCCTTTCTAGTCTCACTCCCCCTTTCCCCCCAGGAGTCAGACTAGAAGAGGACAGTGTTGGAGGTGTTGTTATACCTGTACACGTTCAATTAATACGTTTGGAAATATTTCCTTAACCTCACTCTTCCCTTTCTTCCTTCTCCCACCAAAATGCCACTAGAATTTTTGCTTATATGAGTTTCATCTACAAAGGACACCCAGAATTTCCACCACATGTCAAACGTGATTTTTGGCTGACCTTACTGACAACTTCATATTTCTGGAAATTAAGAGGGAGGAAGGTTGAATCAAGGGGTGTCTTAGGCAATATGTTTTGGGTGAAGAACCAATAAAATCAGAACAAAATAGTTGCCAAATTTGGATATTGTGATTTACGGGAGTCTTCTCCTCTGCTCCCCTTCCCTCCTTTTCCCTCCCCTCTCTTACTCTTCCCTCCCCTCCTCTTCCCTTCCCTCCTCTTCTTACCTGCTGCCCCCATGGCCAAGTATACAGCTCTTCTGAGACACTTTTGATGTGCTTCGTAAATGCTTCTTTCTTATCTATGGCTCCCACAACTATGTGAGCTTCTTCAGGACAGGAATTTGGTCTTAGATATTTTTCTATCACCTTGAATATCTCAACCTCCTGCAATAGCTTAGGCCATGTCGTCAGCATACCACAAAAATTTTACTGATTTAGAATTAAACAAATTATTAAAGAGGTAAAGCTAGTTCTCCTTTAATGATGCTGATCAAAAACTGGCAAACTGAATGCAAGGGAAACTCTTTTCTAAACTTAAACCATCACTGAATAGGCCCTAATGGAATACAATAGTCATTAAGCACCTACCTACTATAGGCAAGGCATTGCTAAATACTACAGATGATACAAACACAAATGAGAAAAATTTCTGTTCTCAAAGAGTTTGAAGCATAAGAGAAGAAATCAGAGAGGTACCTGGATATTTGTGCTCCATGTTAGGCATTGGCATCGAAATTGGTATTTAAACGGAACGTTCCCAAAGCTTCGGCACATGTGTGGCAGCCCCCACATGGTGCCTACCGAGAAACAGGGCACACATGAGGAAGTCAGGCCATTCCTTCCTTCGCATTCTTTCCTCAAGTGAGAGAGACTGGTGCCTCCGAGTTGAAGATTCTATCTGAAAACGAAGAGAATTAGGCTTTGATGTCTGTAGCATGTGAACACCGGATGGCCGTTATTAGTTTACTATCCAGTGTTCACCTTCCCACCCGCTTCTCCTTAAAGAGGCCATGTGGATTTTTATCCCATTATCCTCCCCTGCTCCATGGGCTATGGGGAAGGCTGACACTACATGATGCCAGGGGTGACCAGGGCAGCATCTTTCCTTCCCTGGCCACAGCATCTGGTCGTTTTACATAAACCATCTGATCAGGGTTCCTCTCAAAATTGTTGCTTGGGAAAATGCTCTCCGTCTGCGAATTGTCCTGAATTCTTCCCAGAAAACAAGGGACCCAGCTTTCAGACGAAGCGTGACTGCAGAATGCAGGTCTTGATGACATCATCTGGCCTCTGAATCAATCAACTCTGATATCTGCCCTACTCTGTACTTTCAGCTACATGAGATTTTTAAAAAATCATGTTTTTTGCTTAAGCATTTTGATTTGGGTTATCTGTTATTTGTAAAGAATCCTAACTGATAGGCACACCATAAAAGGAAAGGTCCAGGAAATTTAAATCATCTTGTATAATTTCTTTGGGAATCCTAGTCTTTTGGTTAGGACATAGGTGTTTGCTTATAGGCCTCAACTTGAGATGTCTGTGCCAGTGCAGAATGGAAAGGACTTGACATCTAAAGAAGAAATTAATGGTCTAGTGCTTATCATTGGCCTTGGGAAGTCACTTGTTCATTTTGAGCCTCAGGTTCATCACCTGCCAAACAGGAGAGATGGTGTGTCTCTGGAGTTCTTGTGAGACACCAATCAATCCAATCATGAATGTGGCGGGCTTGCTCAGAGTGCAAAGTGGATATCAACAACATTTCAACCTGAGCCAATATACACCTCCGTGGAATAATGGATGATAAAACCAACTTACCCATTTAGGTGGAATCACTGGTCTACTTGGCAGAGGATCAACAACTCTGCAAAACTTCCAACACAAGCTAGAGCTGTGGCCGGTGGTACAAGTTACTTCTCACTCCTTCAACACAAGGCCGAGGTGCTAGCCCAGCCAAAAAACATCTTCATAAAGGGACTGAACACTCCCCTGCCCTAACTATTGCCCCTCTAAGTATTTTTTAATCTCAAATATTTTTTAAAAAAATAGTTAAAGATTACAACCACATTATGCAATCCAGCATCTAAGTAGGGTAAGAAGAAATTAAAATTCTCCTTTTTTGGAGGTTTGGTCCCATTTGGTGAACATCTTCAGGAACAGTAAGCATAGAGTCCACAGAGAAGAATTTGAGAGATGTGAGATGCATCAACTGTGTGTTTTCTACAAACTTGGATTTGACGTCTCATCCTCAATGTCTGGTCTTACTTCGTCACTGATGCCAAATGTTTAACTCAGAAAGATAAGATTCGAGAAGATGATAAGGGCTGCTCTGTTCTTGTAACACAGGAACATTCATTTTTGCCTCAAAGGAGCTTACAACATATTCAGAAAGGGGAGCGTGTACTCCCTGGTGTCCCTAGGAAGATCACATAAAACTAAATCACAAAGACATTAAAGTAATAAATCTTTCTTTGTGTGGAACCCAAACTAATCACAGGAGTAAGATCCCAAGGGGAGGCAGGGTGAGATGGAGGGGAGGAGAGAAGGAAGAAAGAGGAGGTTTGATGAAGGGTGTTAATTTTTCTCCTTAAAAACAACAAAAAACCTATAAACTGCTGTTCCCTCCATCAGTCATTCATTACTGGCCATGAGAGTCTATTCTAAGGTATGTCCCTTGGGTGAAACTGCCTCAAACTAAACATTGCATGGCTAAGATAACGGACATGCAGAAGTAAAAGATAGAACTGAAAAGAGATCTCACAAATATTGGCAGCAATCTTTCCCAAAAGTGAAAATAAAATGAGAAAAAAGAATTGTAATGACTTCATGTATAGCTTATATATATTTGCTTTCAGGTATTATAATAGAGAAAGAGAAAAATCCTTCCTGTAATAAAAACCTAACCACTTCTCTCTCCCAAAAGCAGACAGAAAATAAAATGAGATTTTTAAAAATTCAATTACCTAGTGCCAAACATTAACCTGAGATGGATACCACATCAACATTAAAATGTAAATTAACACTTTAAGAGAAAACTATCAGTTCTAGAATGAATGGAAACCTCTTTCCTAGGACACTTAAAACATCTTTCAGCAAATCTAAACAGCTGTCACAAGAGCCAGGCTTCACACGGCATCCCGAGACAGGGGACATGGCCACTCCACATCAAATTAAATTTAATTCATCTATTAGAACCACCAATATTGAATGTTTTATTCCCCATATTCCTAGGAAATATAACTTCTGGATAGCACTCCTCTAACTTTTTCCCCTACCCAGAATGTATTCACCTGCTGTTTTCATTGTTGCAAATACATGTTAATGTTAAAAAAATAAAATAAAACGTAAACACAAAGGCAATTTATTGTTTCTACCACGAAATTCTAAAGCCAACAATAACCTCCATAATTATTCACTGCCAAGCTCTAACCCACAATGTGACTCTATTTGTAGATGGGGCATATAAGGGGGTAATTATGGGTGGGACCCTAATACAAGAGAGCTGACGCTTTATGAGAAAGGAAGAGACACAAGAGCCCTCTCTCTCTCTCTCTCTGAGGATGCAGTGAGAAGGCAGCCATCTACAAGCCAGGAAGAGAGTCCTCACTAAGAACTAAATTGGCCAGCAGCTTAGTCCTTAGACTTTCCAATCTCCAGAATTCTGAGAGGCAAATTTCTGTTGTTCAAACCAAAATAAAATTTATACGCTTTCTTTGTGTCAAGGAAAAGAGCTTGTCAGAATTTTTTAAAGGAAAGAAAAGAGAAAATAAACAACTGAAGTCTGAGAACTTGCTGGTATTCAAGATTAAAAGATGTTAGGCCTTGTTTAAAAATAGTGAGATTACCAAGCTTAGTGATTTCAAGTCAAATCATTTGACATTGACACTTTGGGGATATTAATATTCACAACGTGCCAAGAAATTTGATATATGGTGTCCCTTAACTGCTCTTAAGGGAATGGGGTTTTTTTAAGTATATCTATCTATCTATCTATAGATAGATATATATACCATATACATATATACTATATAGATAGTATATGTATACACGATATATATAGTGTATATATACACTATATATATATATATACTATATTATCTATATAGTATATATATAGAGAGAGATACATAATATATGTATTCATTCACATGTAAGCTCACTGTGTATTTAAGGCCGCGATAAATAATGCTGAGTGCTTTGATACATGAACCACATTCATCTGAGGTTTCTAGGAATTAAATTTAAATCAAATATTGCATAGAAAGTGGCAGCATTTCACTTCAAACTCTTCTCTTATCAAGCTTTATTTTTACAAAGTCCAGTGCAAATATTGACCATGTTTTATAAATTTCAAAGGATCTTGATTAGAGAGAGCTTTCAGGTAAACAGCTTTATTTATCTCCCTTAGTTTCATTGTAGGATTCTGTTCAGGGGAGATTCTGTTCAGGGGATATTCATGTTGGTCAATTAACTATTTTTTCATTAAGTTCCACTTAACATACAATTCGCAGTGCTCTAAAGATAAGGTAACCCTACCCCTCAGTTAGCATCTGGGGTTAGCATTTTAGCACTCTCAACAGTGAACAAGTTTGGGAGAGGACTCACATGCTTACTCTAGAATTTCCATTTGGTGAAACACAATGAAAACAATGGGGTGGGGGAGGTTGGGCAGATGCGGAAGTTCGAGGAATTCACAGAGCAATAATGAACCAAAGCCCAGTCTATCCACGTAGGTGGATGTTCACATGAGCACGAACAGGGAGAGGGAGGCCAAGGAAAGGCCTGCCTGCGTGGCAGAGCATGGCTGTGCAAGACTTAACAGACTGTGTCCCGCTCCCTGTGTCACACAGTGGGCTCATCCCATGTCCTGTGAGCTTGGTTATGGTTAACAGGAGAGCACCCTGGCCCGGCTGAGTATCAGCCCCTGCCACCAGGGTGCCATGCTGCTTCTCAATGGGAAGGTGCAATGGGCAGAGCTGGAGATCTTCTCAGTCCTTCATATTCTTGTGATGGAATCACAGAGTCACTGCTCTCCAGGATGTTTGTGATCCACTGGCTTAGTCCTACATTAAAAAAAAAGGTGAGAAGGCTGAGGGTCAGTGAGGGGAAATGACTTGCCTGGCATCGCAGGGGTATTCATCCCATTGGCAGGACCAGTGCAGGTGCCCAAATCCCCATCTTCCCATTCTCATGGAGTCATCATCATTGCCATCATCATTGCAGCTGGCCCTTATGAAGCACTTTCTGTGTTAGGCATGGCATTGAGCAATTTTACTTGAAATATCTCACTAACCCTTCAAAATTAATCAGTGCATTAAGGATTTTGTTATCACCATTTTATATGCAAGAATGAGAATTCATGATATAAAGGTCTAACAGCTATTAAGTTCTAGGGGCAATGATTGAACAAAAGTAGTTTACTTCACTACACCAACCCTGAATCACTTATTTGATTTCTACAAAGCACCCAGAGGATTGTTCCTTTCTCACCTTAAATGGGACAGCCCAGAGATTCGGGAGTTCATGTCTTATAGGCAATCTCAAGTCCAAGGGAAGAGGAGATGTGATTTTATGTTTTTTTAAAATGTTTTATATGTGTCTTTATTTTTATTATTATTGTATATATATTTAAGGTCTGTAGCATATTTTGACACATATACACATAGTGAATGATTACTACAGTCAAACACATTAACATTCATCACCTCACTTAGAGATCTCGTGTGTGCATGTGGTAAGAGCACCTAAAATCGAATCTCTTAGCAAACTTTGAGGATACACACACAAAAAAAATGTAATTAACTATATTGCACCTGCTGGACCTCAGAGCTCTAGGCTTATTCAGTCTACATACCTGAAAGTTTGTACCCTTCCATCTACATCTCCCTATCTTCTTCCCCTCCTTACCCCTGGTAACCAACATTCTACTCTGTTTCTATGTATTTGACTTTTTAAAAAAAATTCCACATATAAGTAAGATCATGTAAATATTTTTCTTTCTGTGTCTGCCTGTTTCACTTAGCATAACATCCCCCAGGTTTACCCATGTTGTCACAAATGGCAAGATATCTTTCTTTTTTAAGGATGACATGTACACACACACACAGGCACACACACACACACACACACACACCACTGTTTCTTTCTCTATTCATTCACTGACAAACATTGGGGTGGTTTCCCCATCTTGGCCATGGTGAATAGTACCGCAGTAACATAGGAGCACAGATCTCTTGGTGAGGTGCTGGTTTCATTTCCTTTGGGTTTATACCCAACAGAGGGATTTCTGGGTCATGTGGTAGATCTATTTTTAATTATTTTGAGGAAACTGCATAGTGTTTTCCATAATGGCAGCTCTTTTTTACATTCCCACCAGGGTTCCCTTCTCTCCACATCCCTGCTAATTCTTGTTCTCTCTTGGCTTTTTTGGTAACAGCCATCCTAACAGGTGTGAGGTGCTATCTCATTGTGGTTTGGATTTGCGTTTCCCTGATGGTTACAGATGTTGAGGCTGTTTTGTCTATCTGTTGGCCATTTGTATGTCTTCTTTTAAAAAAGAAGGACCTATTGCAAACTTTTTGCTCATTTTTTAATTGGATTATTTGTTTTTTGTTTTTTGGGTTTTTTATTGTTTGTTTGTTTGTTTTGCTATTTAGTTGTGCAAGTTCCTTATATGTTTTGGATACTAACTCCTAATCAGATGTATGGTTTGCAAATATGTTGTCTCATCCCATAGGCTGTCTCTTTCCTTTGCTGACTGTTTCCTTTGCTGTACAAAGTTTTTAATTTGATATAGTCACACTTGGTTATTTTTGCTGTTTTTGCCTGAGCTTTTGGTGTGATTAAAAAAAAAAAAGCATTGCTAAGGCCAATATCAAGGAGTTTTCTTCTTATGTTTTCTTCCAGGAGTTTTAGTTTCAAGTCTTCTGTTTAGGTCTTTAATTCACTTTGAGCTGATTTTTGTGTATGGTGTGAGACAAGAGCCCATTGTCATTCCTTTGAATGTGTATATCCAGTTTTCCTGCACAATTTATTGAAGAAACCATCCTTTCTCCACTAACATATGCAAATCAATCAGTGTGGCATACCACATAACCTCATGGTCATCTCAGTCGATGGAGAAAAAGCATTTGACACAGTTCAACATCCTTTCATGATAAAAACTCTCAACAAAATAAGTACAGAAGAAAATTCCTTCAACATACTAAATGCTATTTGTGAAAATTCCACAGCTTATATTGTAATCAATAAGGGAAAACAGAGCTTTTTCTCTAAGATCTAGTACAAGGCAAAAATGCCCAATCTCACTACTTCTATTCAACATAATATTAGAAGTAATAGCAAGAGCAATTGGACAAGAAAAAAATCATCAGAGACAACCAAACCAGACAGGAGGAAGGAAAGTTATCCCACTTTGCAGATAACATGGAGAAAAAAGTGTTACAACTAATCAATGAATTCAATAAAATAGCAGAATACAAAATCAACATACAAAAAATCAGTGGCATGCCGCTTCACCAATAACAATCTATTCAAAAAAGATACCAAGAAAACAATCTCACTTACAATAGCAACAAAAAGAGTAAGATACTTAAGAATGAAGTTAATATTTTATTGAGAATTTTTGCATCAATGTTCATCAAGGATATTGGTCTAAAATTCTTTTTTTTTGTTGAGTCTCTGTCAGGCATTGGTATCAGGATGATGCTGGCCTCATAAAATGAGTTAGGGAGGATTCCCTCTTTTTCTATTGACTGGAATAGTTTCAGAAGGAATGGTACCAGCTCCTCCTTGTACCTCTGGTAGAATTTGGCTGTGAGTCCGTCTGGTCCTGGACTTCTTTTGGTTGGTAAGCTATTAATTATTGCCTCAATTTCAGAGCCTGTCAAAAAGCTTATCCACCATGATCAAGCAGGCTTCATTCCTGGGCTGCAAGGCTGGTTCAACATATGCCAATCAATAAATGTAATCCAGTATATAAACAGAACCAAAGACAAAAACCACATGATTATCTCAATAGATGCAGAAAAGGCCTTTGAAAAAAATTCAACAGCCCTTCATGTTAAAAACTCTCAATAAATTAGGTATTGGTGGGATGTATCTCAAAATTATAAGAGCTATTTATGACAAACCCACAGCCAATATCATACTGAATGGGCAAAAACTGGAAGCATTCCCTTGGAAAACTGGCACAAGACAGGGATGCCCTCTCTCACCACTCCTATTCAACGTAGTGTTGGAAGTTCTGGCCAGGGCAATCAGGAAGGAGAAAGAAATAAAGGGTATTCAGTTAGGAAAAGAGGAAGTCAAATTGTCCCTGTTTGCAGATGACATGATTGTATATTTAGAAAACCCCATTGTCTCAGCCCAAAATCTCCTTAAGCTGATAAGCAACTTCAGCAAAGTCTCAGGATACAAAATCAATGTGCAAAAATCACAAGCATTCTTATACACCAATAACAGACAAACAGAGAGCCAAATCATGAGTGAACTCCCATTCACAATTGCTTCAAAGAGAATAAAATACCTAGGAATCCAATTTACAAGGCATGTGAAGGACCTCTTCAAGGAGAACTACAAACCACTGCTCAACGAAATAAAAGAGGATACAAACAAATGGAAGAACATTCCATGCTCATGGATAGGAAGAATCAATATTGTGAAAATGGCCATACTGGCCAAGGTAATTTATAGATTCAATGCCATCCTCATCAAGCTACCAATGACTTTCTTCACAGAATTGGAAAAAGCTACTTTAAAGTTCATATGGAACCAAAAAAGAGCCCGCATTGCCAAGTCAGTCCT
The DNA here is from genome assembly GCF_000001405.40 of Homo sapiens. Classification (NCBI taxonomy): domain Eukaryota; kingdom Metazoa; phylum Chordata; class Mammalia; order Primates; family Hominidae; genus Homo; species Homo sapiens. The sequence goes on from NC_000013.11 coordinate 110,040,714, forward strand.
AAGCCAAAAGAACAAAGCTGGAGGCATCATGCTACCTGACTTCAAACTATGCTGTAAGGCTACAGTAACCAAAACAGCAGGATACTGGTACCAAAACAGAGATACAGACCAATGGAACAGAACAGAGCCCTTAGAAATAATACCACACATCTACAACTATCTGATCTTTGACAAACCTGACAAAAACAAGCAATGGGGGAAGGATTCCCTATTTAGCAAATGGTGCTGGGAAAACTGGCTAACCATATGTAGAAAGCTGAAACTGGATCCCTTCCTTACACCTTATACAAAAATTAATTCAAGATGGATTAAAGACTTAAATGTTAGACCTAAAACCATAAAAACCCTAGAAGAAAGCCTAGGCAATACCATTCAGGACATAGGCATGGGCAAGGACTTCATGTCTAAAACACCAAAAGCAATGGCAACAAAAGCCAAAATTGACAAATGGGATCTAATTAAACTAAAGAGCTTCTGCACAGCAAAAGAAACTACCATCAGAGTGAACAGGCAACCTACAGAATGGGAGAAAATTTTTGCAATCTACTCATCTGACAAAGGGCTAATATCCAGAATCTACAAAGAACTCAAACAAATTTACAAGAAAAAAACAAACAACCCCATCAAAAAGTGGGCAAAGGATATGAACAGACACTTCTCAAAAGAAGACATGCAGCCAGCAGACACATGAAAAAATGCTCATCATCACTGGCCATCAGAGAAATGCAAATCAAAACCACAATGAGACACCATCTTACACAAGTTAGGATGGCAACCATTAAAAAGTCAGGAAACAACAGGTGCTGGAGAGGATGTGGAGAAATAGGAACACTTTTACACTGTTGGTGGGACTGAAAACTGGTTCAACCATTGTGGAAGACAGTGTGGCGATTCCTCAAGGATCTAGAACTAGAAATACCATTTGACCCAGCCATCCCATTACTGGGTATATAACCAAAGGATTATAAATCATGCTGCTATAAAGACACATGCACACGTATGTTTATTGTGGCACTATTCACAATAGCAAAGACCTGAAACCAACCCAAATGTCCAACAATGATAGACTGGATTAAGAAAATGTGGCACATATACACCATGGAATACTATGCAGCCATGAAAAAGGATGAGTTCATGTCCTTTGTAGGGACATGGATGAAGCTGGAAACCGCCATTCTCGGCAAACTATCGCAAGGACAAAAAACCAAACACCACATGTTCTCACTCATAGGTGGGAATTGAACAATGAGAACACTTGGACATGGGAAGGGGGACATCACACACCAGGGCCTGTTGTGGGGTGGGGGGAGGGGGGAGGGATAGCATTAGGAGATATACCTAATGTAAATGACGAGTTAATGGGTGCAGCACACCAACATGGCACATGTATACATACGTAACAAACCTGCACATTGTGCCCATGTACCCTAGAACTTAAAGTATAATAATAAAAAAGTAATAAAAATAAATTTGTAAGGGCTCTATATAGAAAAAAAAAAAGAATGAAGTTAACCAAAGAATTACAAGATCTGTACAGAGAAAACTGTAAAACACTGATGAAAGAAATTGAAAAAGACATGAATAAATGAAAAGCTATCCTGTGTTCATGGACTGGAGGAATTAACATTGTTGAAACGTTTATATTACCCAAAGCAATCTGTAGATTCGTGCAATTCCTACCAAAATTCCAATGGCATTTTTCACAGAAGTAGAAACAAGTAATTCTAAAATGTTTATGGAACCACAAACGACCCCAAACAGCCAAAACAATCTTGAGGAAAAAAACGAAGGTGATTTTAAAGCTTTCTCAGCACGCTTGCCTGAAAAAATGTTTTATCTGCCCACTCAGCTCAAACTGGAAAAGAACATCTCAGCCTCCTCCTTGCAAATGAGCAAGTGAAGGTCCCCAGTGGGAATCAGCTGTTCCCTCGTGAGTCCTTTACTTAAGAAGCCCTTGGGGGATTGGTTGTGTCTTTAACTTCTGTCCTTATAAAGAAGGCGAGAGCACTCAACGGAAACCGAGCTTGAAGAGTTCTGCAGGAAGGACATTTGTGAAGGCTCAGGTCAACTGTCAGCTTCGGAATGCCTGCCAACCCTCACCCACCCCGAGCTCTTGGACTGCACAGAAACCTCCCGGCTTAAGTGGGAGACATGCGGGCAGATCCCGTTCTCCACACTTGGGGACTCCAGAGGCCTTGGTAGATCACATTGTGGTTGCTGGCAGGAAGGTTGAAACTCATCCCAAGAACCTCAAAAACATCTCCAAGAAACACTCCTTGATGCGGCCGTCCATCACCGAAGGGATAGACGCGTCCCTCCCATCCTGTTTCCCAGCCTTGTCAGAAGAGCATGGCAACCATCATCAACCTTCTAGGGGTCCTGCTCCGGAACTGTCGTCCCCTTCAGGGCCCTGCTGTGCAAGACCTGGCCTCTTTCCCCACAGCCCAGCCTCCCCGGAAATGTACTGAGATAGCCACTCCATTGGCACTTGCACACACAGACACACATGCCACACACAGACATACACACCACACACTCACACTACACACACACACCACACACACACTACACACATACAGACACACACACAGACACACACACCACACATACACCCCACACACAGACACACCACAGCCACACACACCACACACACACACCACACACTCAGACACATCACACACACACTACACACACACACAGACACACACCACACACACATTCTACACACACAGGCACACACACACCACACACACACACGCCACACACAGAGACACACACATCACACAGCGCACACACCACACATACACCATGCACACAGACACACACACAGATACCACACACACACCACACACACAGATACCACACACACACCACACACTCAGACATACACACACCACACAGAAACACACACCACACATACACCACACACACAGAAACACATACAGACACCACACAGACACATACACACACAAACACACACCACACAGACACACAAACACACATACCCCCCACACACCATTCATACACCATACACACAGAGAGAAACACACCACACATATACCACACACACACAGACACCCAGGCACACACACCACACACACACACCACAGAGAGACACACACACATCAAAGACACACACACCACACACAGACACACACACCACACACAGACACATACACACACACAAACACACCCCACACACAGACATACACACACAAACACACACCACACATAGTCGCACACACACAGATACACACACACAGTCTGAACTTCTTTAAGAACCTGCAAATCATGCTAGCTACAGAGGGGGAAATACGCTACTTCATTTATCTCACGTGAATTGTAAATGTTCACAAAATCCCAGAAAAGTACACGTGTGAATAATAGGAAACAAACTTAAAAGGAAACAAAGGCTGCTCCTCATCTCCTAGCCATTATTTCCCATAGACCACACAATTTTAGGGTTCACTTTCCACTGAGCGTCAAGAAAATGGTTTTCAGGAAGCATGAATTCTACCTCTTTCCTGAGGGAAAAATATCTCAGCACTCCTTGACTAAAAAACATAAACACAAATAGAGCCATTCCATTAATTCTTGACTTTTTACAGGACTTTTTAAAAACAGATGTATCTTTAGGCACAGTGACCACTCACTCACCTTTTCATTTTGATTGTTTAAAAAAGACAGAAAATGAAACCCTTTGGGTCCTCTGCCCACTGCATTCCTGTTAATTGATGTTGTTCAATCTCTGGGGCAGATCGTTCAAAGATCTCCCTTGAAAATGCAATTCCTCATGTAACAGTCTAGGGACTTTCTAGAAGTCAATCACATATGACCTAGGGACCCTCAGTCCTCACCACCAAGCACGCCAGTGGCCCAGTTGGTCCAGAAACAAGAGTCACTGCCGCAGCGTGGATGAGCGCGGGATTCTGAAATGCGCTTTCACCCCCCACCTCCACCTCTCCCAGGAGAACACTTCGCAGCTGCATTCATCACCACCAGGGAGTCTAACTCACACGGAAACACCAGTTTCCCTAAGCATTTAGCTGACTTGAAGAACTTACAAAACAGAACTGCTTGCGTTGAGCGAAATCTAACTGAAAACAGATTTACTTAAAATTCTCAGCAAGACTTCAAGCATTGGAGGGGGAGGGGGCATTCAGACAAAGCAGCTTCTAAAATCATATGACAGGGTCCTCCATCACTTCACACATTAATGGGATGTTGAGAGTGTGTAACGTTGGAGACCTACACTAAGTTATGTATTTAGATAGCAGCCGTTTCCCTAATTATACCCAGATGACTACTTCCCAGTCTCTTGAGCTGAATAATCATCATTACCCGTCTCGTCTCACCGCCTATGATATGCAGTAATTAAAAATGCAATGGATTTGTCACTCAGACCAAATACCGGACTGGGTTTCTCCAAGACCGTCTGAGCCTCAAAGGAGACAGAAAAAAACAACAAGGTCTGCAATCTTACCTTCTCTGCCAAGGACACTCCTCCAGCATTCTAATGCCTGACCTTCCCAACCTTCCCTTTAGCCTGAAAATATGATTGTATCCAAAATGAATGACTTTGATCTCTTGATGAGGAACTGACTTTGTGATTGCTGGTTTCAGGATTAGGAAACTGTGTGAACACAGGACTATGCCAGTCCGGCAGCTGAGAACCACTCCTCTGAAACAGTAAACCCAGGCAGAGCGGAACCAGCTCACCTTCCGAGAAAGCTGGCTCACGAAAACACAGAGCAACTGTGGCGATCTTTTGACTGCTCTCTATACACTTTGAAAAAGTCCTCCTTTAATATTCAAAGCGACCCTGTTCGCTGTACTTTTGCAGTGATCCGGTATCGTTCCAGGCACAGTTCTGCGGGCTACATTCTAGGAATCCACCAACAACCTTCAGAATCCCCCTATAAGAAATGGCAGTTGCATTTCATTTATGGCACCTTTTAATGGATGAATAAATTTGAGCATAAGAAATTATTTAAACAAAATTGCAATTCTGACAGCTGAGCCGATGGAGAAAGAAACCCAAAAGACCTGTCTCCCTTTCGCATTACCTCACCTCCTCAAGTCATTCCCTTGTTTTCTGTAGAACTCTATCAGCAGATAGAGGAGGGAAGGAGAGGTTGACCATGTTTCTGAAAAATAGTGGCTGAAACTTTAATGCAAACTTCATAGAAACACATTAGAGGCCCACAGGTGGATGACGCAGGAAAGCATGGTGACCTGCTGATTCTGTCCTGAGGCCTCCCACCTTCTCCTGCATCACAGAATCCTTCACGGCTGTTCTTTCTCCCCAAAACATCAAACCGCCTCTGACCACCCTGAATCTCTGTGACCTGAGAGTTCCACTGAAGTCCACACACAGAGGGAAGGACTTTGACTTCTCAGTCCAAACTTCCTTTCACTTTAAAAAAAAAAAAAAAAGTTGTGTAATATCCCCCACTCTCCAGCATTGATAACCGGTAAGTATATTTGCAATTTCACAGGATTTGCCCAACGCAAAAAAAACACTTTTTAATTATCTACTTCTTGCTTGGAACAGTCTTATGATTCAAGAACTGAATCTTAGAGTGGCATTTCAGGCACTGTCCTGTGGAGAGGGGGAGTAGGAGGTGGGTCCAGTTGAAACAGCGCTTGGGAAGGAGGTAGCCCTCCTCTCCTGCTTGGTGGTTGCCCCCTGATAGGACACTTTTGAGCAATGTCTTATTTCATGGTCTCTACAAAATAAAAAAGGAAAATATAGCTTCTTCTCCTTAACCAAGAGAGCCCGTCCCAATCCCCTAATCCTCCTTAAAAATATCCAGACAGGCCAGGCGCGGTGGCTCATGCCTGTAATTCCAGCACTTTGGAAGGCCAAGGCCGGTAGATCACAAAGTCAGGAGATCGAGACTATCCTGGCTAACACGGCAAAACCCCATCTCTACTAAAAATAGGAAAATTAGCCAGGCGTGTAGTCCCAGCTACTCGGGAGGCTGAGGCAGGAGAATGGCATGAATCCGGGAGGCGGAGCTTGCAGCGAGCCGAGATGGCGCCACTGCACTCCAGTCTGGGTGACAGAGACAGACTCCATCTCAAAGAAAAAAGAAAAAGAAAAAGAAAAAAAATATATATATATCCAAACAGCCCTTGTAGGTGCTCATGGTCTAATGCAGAAAGCTTGAAACATTGAGCTGGACTGAAAGTCTGGGAGGAGCCCTTTCATATTTCAACACTGGGCCTGGAAAATGCTTTTTGTAAATGGACAGCTTAGATTCTGCCCAACAGCCAGGATTGTAAAGTTTATTCGCGTGCACAGTGGTCTCGAAAGCACTTCCGTATAATTAGGAGTGATTGTACTCACTTGTCAAATCTGACCAATAGATTTTAATTCTCCAAAACTCAGCCCATACATTTCCCAAGGCACAATCATACATATCATAAACTATTATGTTCAAATCATAGTAATCTTCAAAATACAAGATAAATAAAATGCAACATTTCAAGCCTACTTTCAAAAAAAATTTAGGTCTAACGATTCTTACTCTCACTGCCTGCTCTAGAAGAGAAAGAGTGTACAATAGTACAAAAATTAATATAGAAACTGCTGCACCCACTGTTTCTGAGATTGTTTCTCCAGGCCCTCCAAAGCAATCATGCAAACTAGTTTAATTTTTAAAAATTGTTGGAGTGCTTTATGCTTGAGTTCTTGTAAGAGATTTAAGATAAAACAAACACACACAATCTGTAAATACCAGCATTAAAAACACCCATGTAGGCAGAAGTACACAAAACCACAGGAGATTTTAAAAAGGTGGTGGGGGTGGGGGGCTTCGAAAAGATCTGCAGGAAACAGACGGTGGTTGAAATGGCCTTATTTCCAGGCCACCCCAGGCTCCTCGTCCCCCGCTCCTGACTTGAAGTGAGCTGGTGGACTCCCTCCCCTTCTCCATATCTGTGATCCAGCTTCCTGCTCACCCGCCCACAGCCCTCAAGTGGACTGACTACTTTGGCCTCTCTCCCACTGCACTCCAGACAAATCCATTTGTATTCGCACCAGTAAACATACTCTTGCCAACTGAACCATTGATAAAACTATGTTACGACAACCTCCTTTCAAATGAGAATGAGCAACTCCTGAGTGACCTCATGGGAGGGGCCAGCCATGCACTGCACAGCTCCAACTTCATTCCCCAATTTAGCAGACAGTTACTGAATATCCTTTTACCGTAGGCTGAGCTTACCAAGATGAACACCCGCAGAGGGAGTAGAGTCTAGTCAAGGGGTGCGCTGGACACCAGAGCTCCTGTGGTTACCCAGCTTCACCAATAGCTGTTTTCAGGTTTTTAAAAAATTAGCCATTTTCAATACCATTCAGGACATAGGCATGGGCAAAGACTTCATGATTAACACAAAAAGCAATGGCAACAAAAGCCAAAATTGACAAATGGGATCTAATTAAACTAAAGAGCTTCTGCACAGTGAAAGAAACTATCATCAGAGTGAACAGGCAATCCACAGAATGGGAGAAAATGTTTACAATCTACCTATCTGACAAAGGGCTAATATCCAGAATCTATAAAGAACTTAAACAAATTTACAAGAAAAAATCAAACAACCCCATCAAAAAGTGGGAAAAGGATATGAACAGACCTTCTCAAAGGAACACATTCATGTGGCCAACAAACATATGAAAAAAAGCTCATCATCCCTGGTCATTAGAGAAATGCAAATCAAAATCACAATGAGATACCATCTCACACCAGTTAGAATGGCGATCATTAAAAAGTCAGGAAACAACAGATGCTGGAGAGGATGTGGAGAAATAGGAACACTTTTACACTGTTGGTGGAAGTGTAAGTTAGTTCAACCATTGTGTAAGACAGTATGGCGATTCCTCAAGGATCTAGAACTAGAAATACCATTTGACCCAGCAATCCTATTACTAGGTATGTACCCAAGGATTATAAATCGTTCTACTATAAAGACACATGCACACATATGTTTACTGCAGCACTATTCACAATGGCAAAGACTTGGAACCAACCCAAATGCCTATCAATGATAGACTGGATAAAGAAAATGTGGCACATACAAAGAGACTTAGACTCCCACACAATAATAATGGGAGACTTTAGCACCCCACTGTCAACATTAGACAGATCAACGAGACAGAAAGTTAACAAGGATATCCAGGAATTGAACTCAGCTCTGCACCAAGTGGATTTAATAGACATCTACAGAACTCTCCACCCCAAATCAACAGAATATACATTCTTCTCAGCACCACACTGCACCTATTCCAAAATTCACTACATAGTTGGAAGTAAAGCAGTCCTCAGCAAACGTAAAAGGACAGAAATTATAATAAACTGTCTCCCAGACCACAGTGCAATCAAACTAGAACTCAGGATTAAGAAACTCACTCAAAACCGTTCAACTACATGGAAACTGAACCACCTGCTCCTGAATGACTACTGGGTACATAACGAAATGAAGGCAGAAATAAAGATGTTCTTTGAAACCAATGAGAACAAAGACACAACATACCAGAATCTCTGGGACACATTTAAAGCAGTGTGTAGAGGGAAATTTATAGCACTAAATGCCCACAAGAGGAAGCAGGAAAGATCTAAAATTGACACCCTAACATCACAATTAAAAGAACTAGAGAAGCAAGAGCAAACACATTCAAAAGCTAGCAGAAGGCAAGAAATAACTAAGATCAGAGCAGAACTGAAGGAGATACAGATACAAAAAAACCCTTCAAAAAATCAATGAATCTAGGAGCAGGTTTTTTGAAAAGATCAACAAAATTGAAAGACTGCTAGCAGGACTAATAAAGAAGACAAGACAGAAGAATCAAATAGACGAAATAAAAAATGATAAAGGGGATATCACCACCGATCCCACAGAAATACAAACTACCATCAGAGAATACTATAAACACCTCTACGCAAGTAAACTAGAAAATCTAGAAGAAATGGATAAATTCCTGGACACATATACCCTCCCAAGACTAAACCAAGAAGAAGTTGAATCCCTGAATACACCAATAACAGGCTCTGAAATTGAGGTAATAATTAATAGCTTACCAACCAAAAAAAAGTCCAGGACCAGACAGATTCACAGCTGAATTCTACCAGAGGTACAAGGAAAAGCTGGTACCATTCTTTCTGAAACTATTCCAATCAATAGAAAAAGAGGGAATCCTCTCTAACTCATTTTATGAAGCCAGCATCATTCTGATACCAAAGCGTGACAGAGACACAACAAAAAAAGAGAATTTTAGACCAATATCCCTGATGAACGTTGATGCAAAAATCCTCAATAAAATACTGGCAAACCAAATCCAGCAGCACATCGAAAAGCTTATCCACCATGATCAAGTGGGCTTCATCCCTGGGATGCAAGGCTGGTTCAATATACGGACATCAATAAACATAATCCAGCATATAAACAGAACCAAAGACAAAAACCACATGATTGTCTCAATAGATGCAGAAAAGGCCTTTGAAAAAATTCAACAGCCTTCATGGTAAAAACTCTCAATAAATTAGGTATTGGTGGGATGTATCTCAAAATTATAAGAGCTATTTATGACAAATCCACAGCCAATATCATACAGAATGGGCAAAAACTGGAAGCATTCCCTTGGAAAACTGGCACAAGACAGGGATGCCCTCTCTCACCACTCCTATTCAACATAATGTTGGAAGTTCTGGCCAGGGCAATCAGGAAGGAGAAAGAAATAAAGGGTATTCAATTAGGAAAAGAGGAAGTCAAATTGTCCCTGTTTGCAGATGACATGATTGTATATTTAGAAAACCTCATCGTCTCAGCCCAAAATCTCCTTAAGCTGATAAGCAACTTCAGCAAAGTCTCAGGATACAAAATCAATGTGCAAAAATCACAAGCATTCTTATATACCAATAACAGACAAACAGAGAGCCAAATCATGAGTGAACTCCCATTCACAATTGCTTCAAAGAGAATGAAATACCTAGGAATCCAATTCACAAGGCATGTGAAGGACCTCTTCAAGGAGAACTACAAACCACTGCTCAATGAAATAAAAGAGGATACAAACAAATGGAAGAACATTCCATGCTCATGGATAGGAAGAATCAATATCATGAAAATGGCCATACTGGCCAAGGTAATTTATAGATTCAATGCCATCCCCATCAAGCTACCAATGACTTTCTTCACAGAATTGGAAAAAACTACTTTAAAGTTCATATGGAACCAAAAAAAAGACCCGCATTACCAAGACAATCCTAAGCCAAAAGAACAAAGCTGGAGGCATCATGCTACCTGACTTCAAACTATACTACGAGGATATGGTAACCAAAACAGTTACTGGTACCAAGGTACTGGTACCAAAACAAAGATATAGACCAATGGAACAGAACAGAGCCCTCAGAAATAATACCACACATCTGTAACCATCTGATCTTTGACAAACCTGACAAAAACAAGCTATGGGGAAAGCATTCCCTATTTAATAAATGGTGCTGGGAAAACTGGCTAGCCATATGTAGAAAGCTAAAACTGGATCCCTTCCTTACACCTTATACAAAAATTAATTCAAGGTGGATTAAAGACTTAAATGTTAGATCTAAAACCATAAAAACCCTATAAGAGGGCCGGGCATGGAGGCTCATGCCTGTAATCCCAGCACTTTGGGAGGCCGAGGTGGGTGGATCAGGAGGTCAGGAGATCAAGACCAGCCTGGCTAACATGGTGAAACCCCATCTCTACTAAAAATACTAAAAATTAGCCAGGCGTGGTGGCAGACACCTATAGTCCCAGCTACTTGGGAGGCTGAAGCAGGAGAATGGCATGAACCTGGGAGGCAGAGCTTGCAGTGAGCCGAGATCTCACCACTGCACTCCAGCCTGGGGGACAGAGTGAGACTCCATCTCAAAAAAAAACAAAAAAAACCCTAGAAGAAAACCTAGGCAATACCATTCAGGACATAGGCATGGGCAAGGACTTCATGTCTAAAACACCAAAAGCAATGGCAACAAAAGCCAAAATTGACAAATGGGATCTAATTAAACTGAAGAGCTTCTGCACAGCAAAAGAAACTACCATCAGAGTGAACAGGCAACCTACAGAATGGGAGAAAATTTTTGCAATCTACTCATCTGACAAAGAGCTAATATCCAGAATCTACAATGAACTCAAACAAATTTACAAGAAAAAAACAAACTACCCCATCAAAAAGTGGGCAAAGGATATGAATGGACACTTCTCAAAAGAAGACATTTATGCAGCCAAAAGACACATGAAAAAATGCTCATCATCACTGGCCATCAGAGAAATGCAAATCAAAACCACAATGAGACACCATCTCACACCAGTTAGAATGGCAATCATTAAAAAGTCAGGAAATAACAGGTGCTGGAGAGGATGTGGAGAAATAGGAACACTTTTACACTGTTGGTGGGACTGTAAACTAGTTCAACCATTGTGGAAGACAGTGTGGTGATTCCTCAGGGATCTAGAACTAGAAATACCATTTGACTCAGCCATCCCATTACTGGGTATATACCCAAAGGATTATAAATCATGCTGCTATAAAGACACATGCACACGTATGTTTATTGCGGCACTATTCACAATAGCAAAGACTTGGAACCAACCCAAATGTCCATCAATGATAGACTGGAGTAAGAAAATGTGGCACATATACACCATGGAATACTATGCATTCATAAAAAATGATGAGTTCATGTCCATTGTAGGGACATGGATGAAGCTGGAAACCATCATTCTCAGCAAACTATTACAAGGACAAAAAAACCAAACACCACGTGTTCTCACTCATAGGTGGGAATTGAACAATGAGAACACTTGGACACAGGAAGGGGAACATCACACACCGGAGCCTGTTGTGGGGTGGGGGGAGGGGGGAGGGATAGCATTAGGAGATATACCTAATGTAAATGACAAGTTAATGGGTGCAACACACCAACATGGCGCATGTATACACATGTAACAAACCTGCACATTGTGCACATGTACCCTAGAACTTAAAGTATAATAAAAAAAAATGTGGCACACCGTGGAACACTATGCAGCCATAAAAAAGGATGAGTTCATGTCCTTTGCAGGGACATGGATGAAGCTAGGAGCCATCATTCTCAGCAAACTAACACAGGAACAGAAAACCAAACACCATATGTTCTCACTCATAAGTGGGAGTTAAACAATGAGAACATACGGACACAGGGAGGGGAACATCACACATGGGGGCCTGTTGGGGGTCGGCGGCTAGGAGAGGGATAGCATTAGGAGAAATACCTAATGTAGATGACGTGTTTATGGGTGCAGCAAACCACCATGGCACGTGTATACCTAATGTAACAAACCTGCACGTTCTGCACATGTATCCCAGAACTTAAAGTATAAGAATTTAAAAAATAGCCATTTTAGTGGGTTTCTTCCTATGTGTTTCTCTGAAGTCCTCCTCTCTTTTCTCTCATATGGACATCAGTCACTGGATTTAGGATTCATCCGAAATTCAGGATGAGTCATCTTAAGATCTTCAATTACATCTGCAAAGCCTCTAATTCCAAATAGTCACTCTCTGAAGTCCCAGGTGGGTGTGAACCTTTGGAGGACACAAGTCAACCCAGTGAGTAGGAAGTGGAAGTTGAGGTTCCTTTTTTCCACATGGATATCCAGTTCCAGCATGATTTCTGAAAATAACTTACTTTCTTTCTGCCATGATGTTCAAATATGCTTTATTCTCACCAAATTTTGGTCTGTTGGTTCTACCAATCACTGAAAGAGAAATGTTGAAGCCATGGAATTGTCTTGGTGGATTTTGTCTATTTCTCCACCAGTTATGCCATTTTCTTCGTGTATTTTCAAGCTCTGCTATCAGGCACACACACATCTAGAATTATTGTCAGTTTTTCCCTGTTCTTCATTTGGATAATTTCTATTGCCCTGCATCCAAAGGCACTATTCTTTTCTTCTCTCATATCCAAGCTGTTGTAAGCCAGTCCAGTAAATTTTTTTATTTCCCATATTATATTTCTCAGCTTTAGAATTTGTGTTTTATTCTTTTTAATAGTTTGGAATTTTTGTTAAAATCCCCAGCCATTCACCTTTTTGTTTCTCTTTTGCTTCAAGTCTCTGAAATATCAGCTGCTTTAAGTCCTCGTCTGCTCATTCCCACATTCCCACTACATCCAGGTAGGTCTCCACTGACCTTTTCCCCTCCTGGTTATGGTGTTCATCTCCCTGCTTCTTTTCACCTCTAGCGATTGTTTTAATTGTGCGTTTAACATTATAGGATGCCATCCTGCTGAAATGCTGCACTCTGTCGTTGGAGCTGTGGGTGTCTCTGAAGTCCTCCTCTCTTTTCTCTCATATGGACATCAGTCAGATGTAAGGGCTGCTGAGTTTTGCTTGGTCAGCAGTGAATTTATCGGTGGGACTGGCTGACTTTCGCAGGCTTCCCTGTAAGTTTAACTGGAGAAGTCCCCGCATAGCCCTACCTGGCAGCTGAGAGAGACCCGTGCACGGCGCGTGCCGTTCTGTGTCCCTGTTGAATGCAGGTGTGCAGTGCGGTCTCCCCAACCTTCTGCGTGGGCTACTCTGGACTCTCCGTTCTGCTCAAAGTGTTCTTTGTTCTCCATGAGGCTCAAGGGGACTCTCCGCAGATTTCTTCAGATCCTGTCAGACACCCACTGCAAACCTTGCCACCTCCTCACACACCCCAACCTCTACCATCTGTCCGCAACTCCATGAGGCCACCATGCTGTACATGGGCTCCACCCGCTCATGCCACAGTCCAGAGAGAGCATCTCAGCAATCCCAGAGCACACCCCACGCACCCGCCAGGAATCCCACCCTTGGCTGTGGTCCTCAGTGTCTGAAAACAGGTGCTTCATGCATTCTGTTCAGTTTCTACTTGTTGATGTGGAGAGGGATACTTCAGCACCAGTACTCTGTTGTGTCTCATAAATGGGTCCTAATTAGTATTTTCTTACTTTCTGGAAACAAAAGTTTGGTCACTTACTGTGTTTTCCTTTTTCTTCTTTTTTTTCAGGCTTTCAGGAAGCTCCTCAGAGGTGAATCAGATAATGAAGCAGAACAAGATCTGCCCTTGTGAATTGCTTATTTGATTGCCATCATCTTAATTTTAATTTTATTATAAAGTGTGTAGGCAACACAGTTGAAGAAAACTGTGAAGCCACAGGAGCCTAAGCAATAGATTCGATTCCTTCCATTTGACTCCATTGTCATCCTTCCACTTCATATCCCTATCCCATCCTACCTGGTCTCATAGTGACTGTCGAATCCCCCTTAGCCTGCATTCTGAACAAATGCACCTAGTTGGATTCCTCTCTCATCCTTGCAAAAACAAAACAAATAAAGCAGAAACACCCTTTGCTCATGTTTCTACCAAAATAAGCATTGCCTGTGAGCTCTATGTGCCTTACTTGTGTTGTGCCCTCTGCAGCGCCCAGCAAGATGCCTGATCCACAGTCAGCAGACAACAAACAGCTTCAAGGCTCTGTTGGGTCAGGGCAGTCTTTAGATGAAAACCCTGCTCAGTGAGGAAACCACAGTCTCACCACAACGGGGCATTCCAGGAGCTTGTCTGTGTCAGCATAGATGTTCGCCTCTGCACAAGGTGTTGTGAATTACTGTACTTGCCCTTCTTCTCTATCTAGGTCATTTTTCTTTTCCAATGGTGCCTTTAATTTAGATTTGGGAGGGGTTAAGATACTGGCAGCTCTTTGTTCTTTGAGCTTATAAAACAATGACAGAGCTAGAGTGTTCTTCTGAGCAAGGCGATCTGCTGGTTGATAATGATGATATGAGAGAGAAATAGCAGATGTGTTTTAGTGTCAACACTGAAGGACATTCCGAAGGCCTCATCCCTAGCTCAGACATAGGGCTCCACGCAGCTGCTGATCTTGTCCATTACTGTATCAGTCAGGTTTCTCCAGAAAAACAGAACCAACAGGAGATGAGAGAGAGGACAATTTTAAGAAATTTGCCATGCGATTGTGCGGCGGCCGAATCCAAAATCAGTGGTGCAGGTCAGCAGCTGGAAACTGAGGCAGGAGCCAGTGCTGCCATGTTGAGGTGGAACGTCTTCCTCTATGGAAACCTCTGTCTTTAACAGTAAGGCCTATGGCTGGCTGGGTGAGGCCCACCCACATTACAGAGTGTAATCTCCTTTACTTCAAGTTAACTGATTGCAGAGACTGAGCACATCTGTAGAATACTTTCACAGCAACACCTAGATCCGTGCTTGATTAAATACACGTAAAGAATTGCTTATGGAGGCATCCATATAAACAAGTTTTAAAGGGATTGGTTTTAAGTTTCATGGCAAAAAATACAGAAGGTAATTAACGTACAGAAAATATTTACCCTTGGTCAAGTGCAGTGGCTCATGCCTGTAATCCCAGCACATTGGGAGGCTGAGGCAGAAGGACTGCTTGAGGCTAGGAGTTCAAGACCAGTCTGGGCAACGTAGGGAAACCTTGTCTCTAAAAAAAAAAAGAAAAAATTTAAGTAGCTGGGCATGGTGGTGTACGCCTGTAGTCCCAGCTACTGGGGAGGGTGAGCTGGAAGGATCACTTGAGCACAGGAGGTCAAGGCTGCATTGAGTCATGATGGCACCACTGCACTCCAGCCTGGGCAACAGAGCGAGACCCTGTTTCAAAGAAGGAAGGAAGGAAGGAAAGGAAGGAAAGGAAGGAGAAAGGAAGGAAGGAAAGAATATTTACCCTTGGCAGTCATCAAAGAAATACAAATTCAAACAAGATTCCACTTTTCACTTTTCAAATGGATGAGATGTTGTTCTTCGTCGGATATTTTTAGACCCCTTATTGTCCCTAAAGTCATGTTCATGGACTGTCATCCCTCACTTTTTCCGTAACAACATTTCATCCCAAATTTCTTAGGTGTCTTGATTTTCTGTCAAATTGAGGCAGGAGAGGAAAGAGACTGGGTCCTGCAGACATGTGACAAAGCAACACAGGTCCTGATGGCCCTCACACATCCGGGCACGTTCCCTCCCCCACTTGCACCCCTTAACAAGTAGACTGAGTCACGGAGCAGGAAGGGGTGGAGGTGCTCCTAAATCTGCTGACCAGGCTGAATTCCTGACCATACAAGGAAGGACCTATCTATCTCTTTGAGTGATGCCTTCTGAGGTCACTGAAACAGGACTCTGGCATTCCCTATAAGGACCTGACCAGGTCCAGCTGCCTGAAGACCAGAGGGACTGCAGCCTGACCCTCACGCCTTTCTCCTCATTTGAATGTCATCGTAATATTAAAATCACTGCCCAGGGTGGGGCTCCTCTGCCATTTTCTGGTCACCCGATGCAAGTTAAAGCATGAAGTCCCACTGCGCAAGCAAAGAAAAGACAAAGGCCTCACCTGAACATGCATGGACGTCACTCTGTTCCCACCTCACCTTCCTGCCGGTGACACGCTGGGGGGCTGGTGTCCAGATCCTTTTCCCGCAGCTGCTCCGTGTGCCCAGCCCCAGCCTGTGAGCCCAGCCTGGGAAGAATCCCCAGCTGGCCTGGTGTCACCATCCACTCACACAAGAGCCAAAGAACTCAAGGTCCGGATGCAGTCACAAAATAAGCTCTTTTCTTAGCTTCTATAAAAAGCCAGGGAGGGAGGGGTTTTCAGTCACTGGGAGGAACAAGAAACCAAATAACCAAAAAGAGGCAGCCGAGCCCTGGAGCTGCCACACATCCAGCAAACATCATCAGACCCTTCGGGATGCCAGGACAGAGGTCAGAACCCAGAACCCCAGGATGCCAAGATCGAGGTTCCTTCCCTCACCGAATTATTTTTAAAGTTGATACAGTGTAACTGAAAACATTAAATTATATGTGACCTGCAGACACCAAAGCCATCCTGAAATGTAGGAATCTCCCAAGCCCTGGGCTGCCCTCACCTGCCGCCTGGCTGTACTGCCCTCCTGGGCTGTGATCATATATGCATGCGAGGATCTCAACAAAGTAATCCTGTCCTCAGCACACGCAAAGCCTTAGTTCACTGCACCCCTCTGGCGTACGGCAGGGCTATGATACCCCTTAAAATTGTCCTTGATGAGATAAAGAATTGAAGGAAAAAATCAGCAAAAACCTTTTTTCTTTCTCTTGCAAATAAAAAGTATGACCAACATAGCAAGAGAAAAGAGTGGGAGAACAGAATCAAAGTAGCTTTAAAAATACATCATCTCCCAGAAGTCAGGAAGAACATGATTAGCATATATGACTATGCAAACATCAAACAAATTAAACTAATGCATGCTTTTAAAATACC
This sequence comes from Homo sapiens, assembly GCF_000001405.40. Taxonomy (NCBI): domain Eukaryota; kingdom Metazoa; phylum Chordata; class Mammalia; order Primates; family Hominidae; genus Homo; species Homo sapiens. The sequence continues at coordinate 110,058,029 of NC_000013.11, forward strand.
ATAAACAAATTAAAAATCCACTTAAAAATATTTACAACATAGAAAACATATCAAGACCCAATTTCCTTACTATGCAAATACTACTCACAAATTGACAGAAGAAAAAAACTTAAATCACCTTACATAAAAATAAGTAAAGTTTAAAAACACAGACAAACATTAAAATATGTACACATTTAACATATAATTATAAAGGAACTTTAAATAAAAAGAAGACATAGGTTTTTACCTGCTAGACAAAAAACGAGATAAAGAGCTTGGTAATTTTCAGTGAGGCCAGGAATAAACAAACATCCTTTCACTTGAGTGGAATTGGCTACAGCCTCCGTGCAGGGCATTTTTACAGTAGCAATCAGTGATTCAAAATGCAAGCCCCCCTTATACTAGTGATTCCACTTCCAGAAATGTACTTAATACTTGATCAAGGCTGCAGGTATATGTTGTACAATGTTCCCTGCAGCAATTTCCTGAAGCTGGAAAAACAGTTGGAAGGAAGCTAAGTGTTCACAAATAGATGTCTGTTAAAATTATTATAGAATGTCCTCCCAAACAGCACACGGTCTTTTAAAAGAATGAGGTAGACATATATTTGCTGACATGGAAAATGGTCCAAGTAATATTCCGTGAAGGCAGGGAGCAAATTGCAGAAGTAGAATAGCATTTGAGTAAACATTTCTGGAAGGATGCTCACCAAAAAATGTCCAGAGTGGTGAGCTTGTAGGGACAAGGCAGGGATTCAGAAAGAAATGTTGCTTTTCACTTTGTGCCATTCAGTAACATTTGAAACTTTGTCCATAAGCATACATACATTACTTTTGTAATAAAAAACTAACTTAAAATTTTAAAAAATTAAAACAATAAAACAGATATTGAAAGTATATTAACATACTGATATATTTTAACAGCTCTGAATTTTGAGAAATGTCTTGGCTTGAAAGGTCATTAAGGGTGAAAAGAGACTACTGAATATGATATTTTTAGTAGAATCCCTTGTTAAATGGGATACCCACTACTATTAGTTAGGATATAAAGATAAATATTAATATAATACTTACAGGCACATGCCTGTAATCCCAGAACTTTGGGAGGCTGAGGCAGGTGGATTGCTTGAGGCCAGGAGTTCAAGACCAGCCTGGCCAACATGGTGAAACCTCGTCTCTATCAAAAATACAAAAAAAAAAAATAGCCAGGCATAGTGGCACGTGCCTGTAATCCCAGCTACTCGGGGGGCTGAGGCATGAGAATCACTTGAACCCGGGAGGTGGAGGTTGCAGTGAGCAGAGATTGAGCCGCTACACTCCAGCTTAGGTGACAGAGTAAGACTCCGTCTCAAATGGAAGCCCCCTTTAATAGTCTGCATTATAATATTGACTAATATTTGTAACACTTTGATTCACAACTACACTATTGAAGGCACTACTGAAGGCACTTCACTACTGAAGGAAGATATCTGCCATAGTTACTGGCAATTTATTTTACCCCCTTACCTTAAATTTTACATTATTGTTCCCTCTTAAAAATGATACAGTCATCACAGTTCTTTCATTTTGCCAGATGTGAACCTTTTATCCAAAGGGAGTTTTGAAAATGATGTAGATTTTTCTTCTCTGCAAAGCATATTCAGACTATTTGGGAAGTTGTAGATTTCTCTGGGGTGGACCTAGTTCCTGACTCCTGGAGCTCACAGTCTGTTCCTAAGCTAGCCAGTCCATGGCATGTCACGTCCTAATAAATAAGATTTCAAATGGTGACTGTGATTCTTCATAGGAATATAAGAAGAGCAATCTCTCTCCAGTCGTTTTTTCTTGCATTTCCAGCTTGTAGTCACAGTTCAATCAACCTTCCAATCCACTACTTCCAGACTTAGCTCATCAGTTAATTTCTTTCCTGGGCCTGGCACTTCTTTATTTCTTCTACTCCAATCCCCGAAAAAAGTTGAAAGTGGAATAAAGAAAAAATAGGATAACTATCTCCACCAATGACCCGACTCACCTCTTATAAGAAATCAATTATAAAGTATTTTAGGCAATTAAAAATATAAAGCAGTATTTTAGGTGTGCCCATCAGCAATGACTGGTTTGCAACCTTTTTTTTTTTTTTTTTTTTTGAGACAGAGTCTCGCTCTGTTGCCCAGGCTGGAGTGCAATGGCGCGATCTCGGCTCACGGCAACCTCCGCCCCGTGGGTTCAAGCGATTCTCCTGCTTCAGCCTCCCGAGTAGCTGGGATTACAGACACCCACCACCAGGCCTGACTAATTTTTTTTGTATTTTTAGTAGAGACGAGGTTTCACCATGTTGGTCAGGCCGCTCTCGAACTCCTGACATGGTGATCCGCCCGCCTCGGCCTCCCAAAGTGCTGGGATTACAGGCGTGAGCCACGGTGCCCAGCCCTGGTTTGCAACATTTTATTGAAAGATTGAAGAGCCTGGAGAATACACCATGTGGAGCTCATTAAAACGCCCACCATCTTCTCCTGAGGGAGGAACAAATTCTCTGGAGAGGGGATTCCAAACTAATCCACTTACCCACCTCACTCCTGCTCCCAGGGTGAGAGCCACTCACAGAAGCAGCAGAACATTAGCATAGCATCTACTTTAAAGGTAGAAAATAGCTCATAAAATAATTTTAATTATAGACTTAAGGAGGATTTTTTGTTGTTCTTTTTTTTCTCCAGTGATTTGGAAAAATTAAAATACGTTTTCAATTTGGCAAAGGTAACCTGGAAGTTCTCATCATGCCATGCAAGGTGTAGACACTTTCATATTTGATGTTGAGTTTGCTTGCGAAGATACAGATGAGAAAGAAAGACCTGATAATGTGCTCCATGCCCAAACCGATAGGTTCAATGAAGCTCAGCATCCACGCGCCCTGAGAGCAGTGTGGGTTGTCCTCACGGTGTCCACTGATCTGAAACCCAAGGGCGATGGGGTGGGGATGAAACAGACTCTTCATAATTCCCCACAGCATGAAAAAAAAAATGTTTGTTATGATAGGAAAATTACATGAAATTGGCAGATTTTTCACCACGTTAAAAAAGTACTGATAAAAGCCATGAGCACTTGTGTTATAACTCGGCTGGCAACAGCTGTGTCCAGGCAAGCTCATCTCTTCATGGCAGCACTCTTGGCACCACCAAATTAAGTCTTGTCAAAACCCAGCCACTGCCAGCTTACACTCCTAAGTCTGCAATGGCATCCACAGTGACAAAAGATGTCAATTTTAGATTAAAAAGGTAGCAAAGCATGGGGTTTTACCTTAACAAACAATCATTAATAGCCTATGAGGGGTGGGGTGCTGGAACCACTGCATGCTACAGTGTACCAGTTCATCAGGTGGCCCTCCAGATAACTGCTGGTCCGTTTTGGCGATTTGAGATGTGTTGGTTACAGAAGTCAAGGAAAAGCAGAGTACGTTAGCTATTTGCATGTAAGTGGGAAATAGTGCCTTCCACAGGCAGCAGGCAGAAGGATGTGGCCCCAGGAGTTTTCTGGGGAAACAGGCAGTAACAACTGTATAATATGGAAAGATGACATCAAGCCCAAAACAATAGGGCATATCTCTAGATACATATTCTGCACTTGGCACTGTTTAAAGGGCTTTGCATTCATTTACCCGTTTATTACTCACAATAATCCCATATGGTAGGTAAGATTATCTCCGCTTTACAGATAAGGAGACTGAGGCAGCAGGAGGTGGGATATCCTGCTCTTGGCTACACACAAGCAAGTGGTAAAGTGAGGCTGAATCCAAGCCAGCCGACTCCGGAATCTGTGCCCTTTGCCCTGCACCAGGCTGCATTCTGTGGCTTGTGTTTTCTTAGTGAAAAATCACAGACAGAAGACAGATGTCAAGAAGTTGGCATAGTGGAAAAGAGGGCCCCGTAGATCCAGTGGAACCACGTTCTTCTTTCTCCCTTCTCTCTGCTAAGGCAATGTGCACATAAAGACGAGTGCTCATCATCACCCCACCGAGTTTGGACATGAGGATATCCCAGAAAGGGTGGGAAAGTCTGAGGCTGCCAAATCTGAGGCCAGGAGTGTCATGCATGAGAAGTCCCATAGTTGTGGAGTGTGCCTGGGATGCCCCAGGAGCTGGGCCTTCCAGAGACCTTTGCATGGAGGCGTCCAGGGAAGGCCCAGCTGCTCTGAGAGCTGAGCAGGGAGCTCTCAACTTCAGCAGGCCTCAGAACCACCTGAGGCCTTGGTAAAACCAGGTGTGGGGGCCCTGCCAGAGTTTCTGACTCAGAAGGTCGGGGCTCAGTCCTGAAAACGTGCACTTCCTGCAAGTTCCCACGATGCCGACACTGCTGGTCTGGAACCCGGCTTTGGATTCTGTGTGTCGGGAGCATCTCTGGTGACTTGGCAGCCACTCTCCTTGTTCCCATTTGCCTTGCTCACCCTGGCCCCCACCCCACTCCATCCTCTCCTTCCATCTGATTTGCAACCACTACCCTTTATGGGCTCAGGGTAGATGCCATTTCCTGCAAAGCCTTTTCTGACTCCACAAATCTGGGTGTCTCGTAGAAGGGACTTTCTATGCTGCCTGCTCTCCCCACAGGGCGCGGTCACATGCACAGGCTGTGCCTGCCAGCTTGGCTGAGAGGCCACACATTCTGGGAAGGTGAGACACACTGAGCTATGCATGGCAGTCTCCCCTGACCTTGGCAGCATCTGCCATGCATGATGGGTTCCATAAATATTTGCTGAATCAATGAGCAGATTGATCTATCTTGAGGTCATCCCTTGAGAAGAGGATGTTTGGGGGTTCTGTCTGGAGTTTCTTATCGCTGTGAGTCTGTGGGCTTTCCAGCCTTGCTGCCACTGCTCCTTCCAAGTGCTGACAAACCTACCTCCCTCCCTGTGTTGCCCATTCAGAACTCACGACTCAGCCACACCCCACGCAGTGCAGGTACGCTGACCGTGGAATTTACTGCCTGAGCTAAGGGAGTTGTGAGTATGAAAAGGAGCACTATTAATAATTGATTCAGGGTGAAAAGCTTACATTTGAACTGCGCTATCTCAGGAGACCCAGGACATAGGATCATCAGCCCAAGTGCGGAGCATCCCTGCATGGCTGCCCTCCCGGCTCACAAGCCCTCTGCTGATGGCTTCTTCAGGACAGATGTCCATCCTTGGTCCAGCCCGCAGTCGTCAGGCTGACAGAGCCAGCAGGTGTAAAGCATCCCAGCCCACAACTAGGAGAGGGCATGGCATGGACTCAGAGGACCCTCAGCAGGTGTCAGCACAACTGGCAGGCATCCAGCACGGGCTGCGCCTATGAAACGTGTGCTGAGCTTGCTCACCGAGTAAGACCGCACGGGCCCCATCCAGTTAAACTCCCTGGAGCGTGGGGAGAGGAGGACCACGTCTGGGAAGGCAACATTTCTGAGGGACTCCTCCAGAAGGCGCCACTCCTCTGAAGATGACAGTTTCAGGGTGCCATCTGCAAATGAGCATTGGAGTAGCTGGGGGCTCACCTCACAGGAGAGGGCTGACCACGGCTGGAGGGGCTGAGGGCCTATGGGAGCAGAGCACTGGCTGGCAAGGGGGAGCTGGGGAGAGGAAGAAAATGGGCCTCTCCTCTTTGGCATGTTGTTTACCAGTTCCATGCCCAGAAACAGGGCGAAGAGTCTCTTGGTCTGTTTAGCTCCTCTTCTGCCGCACTGAGTGGCCTCTAACCCCAGGTCCTAGCACTTAGGATTGGGCCATTCAACTGTGCATTAAAAAGCAGCCTGGAGACCAAATCAACTTTTATTACCTTGTTTGTCTGGGAAAATCTGTTCCAAATTCCAAAGAACAGACTTAAACATGAGCTGCGGGACACAACCCATGTGTAAGTTGGAGCTGTCTGGAGAAGAGAGCACTGATCTGACCGCAGTGAAGAACACAATCTGGCATAATCTGTGCCTACAGCAATGGGAATCACTAGTGTTATAAATAAAACAGGAACAAGAATTATTACATGAAAGACTTTAGAGGAAAAAATGTTCCTTTTTGAAAAACAACATCCATCTGTGCAATGGTAAGAGGTACTTAGCGATCATTCAATTAGAAGCAAAATAAAGACTAAAGAGGTAAGGCCAGCATTCCCAAGGAAAGCTAATTATAAAGGCTTTAAGCTGATGAACTTTAGATCAAAGCTCTGAGTCCTCTGATAAGATCGTGTACTCATTAATAGAACACAGTGTCATCAGCTTATTTTTAGCCCAGGAACCGGAATATTCTCAGCATCACATGATCACATTGTGACACAGGTGCCCCAAAATTCGGGCAGGTTTTGTTTTTCTCTCCTTGGGAGCAAAGTGCTAGGTTTGTTTGAGAATAAGAACTCCTCCTATAAATAGCAATTCCTCTTTTTCCCAGATCTGAGACCATAGATAGATAGATAGATAGATAGATAGATAGATAGATAGATAGATAGATAGATAGTTTTTGTTTGTTTGTTTGTTTGTTTGTTTGTTTTTGGAGACAGAGTCTCACTCTGTTGCCCAGGCTGGAGTGCAATGGCACGATTGCAGCCCACTGCAACCTCCGCCTCCCGGTATCAAGCGATTCTCCTGCCTCAGCCTCCCGAGTAGCTGGGATTACAGGCACATGCCACCATGACAAGCTAATTTTGTATTTTTAGTAGAGATGGGGTTTCACCATGTTAGCCAGGCTGGTCTTGAACTCCCGACCTGAGGTGGTCACCCCACCTTGGCCTACCAAAGTGCTGGGATTATAGGCATGAGCCCCCACACCCAGCCGAGACCGTATTTTTATTGTATATACAGAAAGCCATGTAGGATTAAACAGGGCCCTTTTACTTTTATTTATTCATTTTTTTTTATTTTTGTGAAGACAGGGTCTCACTGTGTTGACCAGGCTGGACTTGAACTCCTGTCCTCAAGTGATCCTCACACCTTGACCTCCCAAAGCGCTGGGATTACAGGTGTGAGCCACCACACCCAGCCAAACAAGGCCATTTTAAGTTTAAGAATACATAAAATTCCTTCACTTATCTATTTAAACATAAACTTTAAGAATACAAACTTCACCACACTGTATGTTTAAGAAGCACTTAGGAGTTTTCTTGAGCTGTGGTAGTAAGTTACCACACACTTGGTGCCCTGTTTAAGGACAGTGCTAGAGGTCAGAAGTTCGACGTGGGTCCCACTGGCTAAGACAGAGGTGTCGTCAGGGTTGGCTCTTTCCGGGCTCAATGGCTGAGTGGGTCCCTGGCTTGGCAATTCCGGAAGCAGCCCAGTCCTTGGCTCACAGCCCCTCCCTCCATCTTCAAAGCAGCCCTGGGCCTCTCACATGCTGGGCTTGGGTTTCCCAGCATGAGGTCTCTGCCATGGTAAGGTGTCATGTGATGACAGTGGGCCTCCTGGACCATCCAGAACGACCCCCCACCCCAGCATCCTGGCCATCATCGCACCAGCATGGTGCCTTTGCCATGTGGGTGCACAGATTCAGAATCTCCAAGGATCCAGGTGTGGACATCCTGGAGGGCCATTATCCTGCCCAACCCAACCACTATATGATTTCTGCTTTGTCCTCCTCCCCTACCTGAAAGGTTGGTGCAAATGTAATTGCAGTTTTTACTATTACCTTTTAAAAAAAAAAATGGCAAAAAGTGGCCGGGCGGGGTGGCTCACGCTTGTAATCCCAGCACTTTGGGAGACCAAGGTGGGTGGATCACTTGAGGCCGGGAGTTCGAGACCAGCCTGGCCAACATAGTGAAACCCCATCTCTACTAAAACTACAAAAAATCAGCTGAGCCTGGTGGCAGGCGCCTGTAATCCCAGCTACTCAGGAGGCTGAGGCAGGAGTATCGCTTGAACCTCAGAGGCAAAGGTTGCCGTGAGCTGAGATCGCACCACTGCACTCCAGCCTGGGCAACAATAGCGAAACTCCGTCTCAAAAACAAAACAAAACAAAAAAGGCAAAAACCGTAATTACTTTTGCACCAACCTAATAGCATGTGTTTTCTTTAATTTCAAGGAATTGGTCAACTTGTCTATGATCTTGCATACTGTGGCAGAAGAAAAACACCTAATTCCGCTACTGCTGTATTTTTTACATGAAAGATTAAGAGTAGTTTTATACAGGAAATCTTAGAGTTGATGGGACCCAGGAAAGAATCCAATGGTCCGTTATTACAGAATCCTGAAAGCCTGTGTTCGCGGGCTTCCTACACAGTGGCCCACTCTGGCCTGGCCCTGCCAGCATCCCTTGCACATGCACACTCACCCTCACTGAATTCTCTCTCTTTCATGCTTCCTTTCCTTCTGTCTCTGCCAGTGCCCAACCTGATGCTTTCTAGAAGGCAGTGCTGAGTCCCACCCAGTCTGGCGGCATTTATTTCTCCAGCTGATTCTATCCACCATGATTTTAACAACCCTTCATGGAATAGCAGCACCGAATCCTGATCTTTAACCCAATGCTCTCCCTAGATCTCCACAGAGAACTTGCAAGTGTCTATTAGCCATGTATGCACCCTGAACTCCTTCAGTGCCTAATAGGTCCAAATAGGACTTCTTCTCTAATAGAAAATCCGCCCTAAGTTTTGTATAAAAATGTCATCATACACTCAAACGTAACAAATGCAGAAACCCTGCTGTCAACACGGATCCTTCTCTCTCCTAAAATAAACACTTATAATAGGGTGCCCAATCTACCCATTCTAAGGAATGTCTTTCACATCCTGCCTTTCTTTTCCTTGAAACACCTTAAGACATGAACAAAGTGGACACATGAAGAAATAAAGCACTCTTTGCTTTCCTAGACAGTGTTTAAACACATCATCTGTCCGAGGTACAAGGGTGGAATTCCCTTATGGTTGTTATAATGCAATTGCCTGTCATGCTTATGAAGTTCTACAGAATGAAAGTTTCCAAGATATATCAATGGCAACATGCTATCAAAATGCCATTGCTACTGCTGTGGTGTTTTCCTGTTGACAGGAATAATTATGGCAGCATGTTTTTACATGGTTTTAAATGGGATCTTTGGAAAAATCAGTAGTAAATGAAGTAGTAGAGTATCATGAGTGGTGTTTCCATAAAATTTCTGCCATCAAAACAACTGATGGCTTTTTTTATTTGTAAAAATATCTTTATCCATAAGGCATTTGAAATGGCTCAATAAACGAACTCTCTGCTTATACAAACCAGCATGCATTTTCATACCCATCCAACAATTAAATACCATTGAGCATTGAATATTTTGGTCGCTCACTAAATCATTCCTGCTTTAGATGCTCTCTGTACATGACTTTATACACATCCCGTCCTTTAAGGCTACAATCCCATTAAAATTTCCATGGCTGTTCCTATATCCATCCTTGGCTTGGCAACCCATTTTATGGAAATCAACTTGGATTTGCTACCAACAGGCTTTTATAACCTGATGTAAATTAGCCACAGTTGTCTCTTCAACATTGAAAAAAAAAGTCTCATTAATTAAGATAGATTTTGGCACTTTCTGTGGATAGCTCATATAAGTTGACAGTTGCTCTTTCATCAGACTTTTAGTTATCTTATTACATTCCTTCATTTTAGCATGTTGAGTAATCTGAGACACTGCTAATTTCATCCTGAGGTGTTGTAATAGTTTGTTCTTATCACATTTATTTCATTTTGAATTTGTTTTTATTTTTCCTTCTGAATCCTACTCAGCTGTCTCTATTTCTTATATTTCAGATCATGTTCTACCTCAGATTCCTGTTTATATTGCTCGAGAATATCTGTGTGTTTAAGTTTTTACATATAGCACGTGTAGGTGGAAAACCGGCATGTGTTAAAAATGTTTTTATTTTGCCCTAACACTTTGTTAGATATTGGCATAGCATAGAATTCTAGGTTTGTCTTAGTTCATTTTGGATGCTATAACAAAATCCCGTAAGCCACAGTTCTGGGGACTGGAAGTCCAAGATCAAGGCACTGGTGAGGACTACGCCCTGTTCATACAAGGCCATCTTTCTACAGAGTCCTCACATGATGGAAGCGGGGAGGGAGCTCTCTGGGGCCTCTTCAATCCATTCAGGAGGGTTCCACCCTTAAGACCCAGTCATCTCCCAGAGATTCCACCTCCAAATGTCATCACCTTGGAGATAAGGATTTCAACATAGGAATTTCATGGAGGCACAAATATTCAGACCAATGCAAGGTTGAAGTTCATCTTTCTCAAAACTTGGATTAAAAAGTCCTTGCTTCAGGGACTTCATGCTCTCTGCTGTCTCTGCCAAGAACATTCTGGAGTCTGCAGACTGATCTCCTTCCAGCCTCCTTTCCTCCTGTGAATTTTCATTCAAAGCTAGCTTCTGAGACAGTCCTTGCCTGGACACCTCTCCACACTGCCGCCTCTCTCCCTACTCGATGTATCATTTCTCCTTTACGTGCTTTATTTTTCTCTCTTAAGCCTTTAACACCATCTAACACTCACTGTATTTTACTTGTCCATCTTGTTTGTTGCTGGTCCTCTCACAGTAGAATCTAAGCTTCGTGAAGGCAGGGACCTTTGTCCAGAACTGTGGTTGGCTCGTAGAACACACTGAGGATGTATCTGCTGATTGGTGAAGTCAACTCTGAAGCCACCACCCTGTGGTCTGGCAGCATCGTCTGCCAGATGATGGGGGGTCTGGTGTTTCTGCCTGCCTTGTCCCTTCTTTTTTTTTATTTTTTTAATTTTTATTTATTTATTTTTTGAGACGGAGCCTTGCTCTGTCGCCCAGGCTGGAGCCTTGTCCCTTCTTATATAACCTGGTGCTTGTTTATACTTTATTCACTCTGTAAGTTTTGGGGGTTCTGTCTCCATCTTTGCTCTTCTAAAATACATGTTATGTTTCCAAGAATGGCTCTGTATTCGTAAATGATTCTGCTTAGCCATTAACTCGTTTATCAAAACTTGAATGATCCGCGGCTCAAGGACATGAATTGCCTGTGATTTCTTTGATCTACTCTTAACTTCACTGGTGTTTGTTTGTTTGTTTGAGACATAGTCTCGTTCTGTCGCCCAGGCTGGAGTCAGTGGTGCAATCTTAGCTCACTGCAACCTCTGCCTCCCGGGTTCAAGCAACTCTTCTGCCTCAGCCTCCTGAGTAGCTGGGACTACAGGCATGCACCACCATGCCTGGCTAATTTTTGTATTTTTAGTAGAGATGGGGTTTCACCATGTTGGCCAGGCTGGTCTCGAACTGCTGACCTCATGATCCACCCGCCTCGGCCTCCCAATGTGTTGGGATTACAGGCGTGAGCCACCACGCCCGGCCAACTTCACTCTTATTTCTGAAAGTCTTGAATCTATTTTTCATATCTTTACTGTATCTGTTAATTCCCTTCCATTTATTCTATAAGCTGAATTTTTCTCAACATTATTTTCCAGCTCACGGCTGGTTCATCCATCGCATCCATTCTGTGACTTCTGCGTGCATCCAGAAAGGTTTAATTTTAGCATATTTAATAAGAACTCTTTTTTTGTTCTCAGACAGCTCCTCTTTCAAGGCAACTTATTCATGTTTTATGAAGGAATTATCCTCTCACTGCTCACTAAACACTAATTAGAACATTTTAAATTCGTTTCTGTTCTGCGAATTGCTGCTGCTCTCAATGGTTAGTTGCTTTGCTTCACGGTCTTGATTGTTCTTTTTCATGCTCTTCATTTTTGCAAATATCTGGTGACTCTTGTTTTTCTTAGAGTTTTGAATGAGAAACTCCACTCTTGCTTCTGTGCTTTGGTGGTGGTGTGGATCTGTACCCCCGGTGGGTCTCCACAGCGCCTGAACCTCTGTGAATTCGGGAAGCCACTCGGAGAATGGATAAGAGGAACCTGCCAGAATAACAATGGCCCATACTAGCCATTCTAAGATACAATTCACTCTGGGACATGATCACTCAGTGTATTTCTGTCCTAAAAAGAGCTGCTTTTCTTTCAAAAAATAATCTCTCTCCCCTTTCTTCTGCAGGGAACTGGGGTTACTGGACGTTGCATTCTACTTCTCAGGGTCCTTTCTAGCCATGCGGTTTGCTTTCTTTAGAGAATGGTTCTCAGCCTTTAGCTAAAGGTTTTAAAGAAGGCCTTAAGGAGTAACTGTACTAAGTAAAGTACTTTGAAGCTAATTATTTCTAGTATTTGCATATTTAATTCAGAAAGTGAAACTTCCCTGAGACCCTCCTGGCAAGCTCCGGCGTTGCAGTTCCCTCTGCCCTCCCTTCCCCACCCCTCTAATCCCCCTCTGCCCTCCCTTCCCCAGCCCTCTAATCCCCGTGCCTTCTGTCTTGCAGGAATTCCTCACGATGTCTTGCCTATGAAAATCTCCTGTCTTATTTTCTACTGCATTGTTATGGTTTTATTCCTTCTTAGGAGTATTTTTTTTCTGTCATTCAAACTGGTGATTGACAAGAGAAGGAGAGGGTAGACCAAATTTTTCCATTATTGAACATTAATTGACAGAACAAACAAGCCTGAAAAATAAATGTATAATCTTCATATTCTAGCCATTGAAAGTTCAATAAGGGGCTCTGCAACGTCACAATTTTCCTTAAACTTTTGAAATTCTTTCTGGACATATTTTTCTGAACTTTAGAGCAATGTACAGGATTCGAGAGTCTAAATACATCACTCTCCGCACACAGGAGCAGCAGATGCTCTGTGGTTAATGATTCATGGGGAATTACTCAGCCAGGCCACACAATTACAATTAATAACATCATCTGACTTCTAGGTGAACACTTAGTATTTTGTTGTTTAAAAAAGAAAAACAACAAAGAATTTGTTTTGACTTTATTTCCAAATAACAATATGTACCAAGAAGTAACCATAACAATTAGAGCAGAGATGTGAAAAGACAGGGCAAACGTGCCTCCCACGCCTTGCAAAGCTATTCAGGCCGTGACATTAGCAAGCAGGTCTGGGCCCGAACGTCAGCCAGGCAGAATGGTGTCATCACCAAACAAGGTAGACCCATGTGCTTCTTGAAAAACCAACCCAGAATTTCTATTTCTCAATTTCTATTTCATAATTTCATATTTCTATTTCCCATTCTATCAACAATGCTGTTAAATATTCAGATACTTAACTTGCAAGTCGAGCAAACTTACCTTACATGAATTCCTCTAAAAAGCTGCCACTTCTTTCCCCCCTCACTCTACCCATCAAATTGCTGATCATCGGATTCCTTTCATCCTGAACACGCTAAACTAAAAAAGTGAAGGGTTCAAAGAGACCCAAAGAAGCAAGTGTGTGCAACGTGTGCACGCATGTGTGTCTGCAACAGTTGTTCACCGTCCATCGTCAGTTGGTAGTACAAAAACATTGGAAAGATGATGATTCTGTTAATTAAAAAAAAAATAGTCTCTTTTCTTCAGGTAGCTCAAAGACTTCCATTTCAATTCACACCTCCAGAAAAGTTAGAATCCCAGCAGATGTAAGTAGGATGTTTGGAAACTTCACGCAAATCAACATGAGAGATGCTGATGCCTACAGAGGTCAAATCCTGCATTCTTCTCCTGACATAAAGAAACGCCTACCAGAATGATCACATTATCCACTCCCATCGTTTGCAGGTAAGTTAGCAGAAGTGGAGTCACCTTTTCCTACTTCTGAGGGAGTTTAGTATTTTCTTTTTTATTTTTTCTGAGTATGATCAATGGCTAATGACATTTTTATGCTAATACTTTATAGTTGAATTGTGGCTGTCCTAAAGAATGTTTTCTATTTTAAATTTCCTGTGTAACGGGGGTATAGATCTAATTTTTAGAAATGTCTCCCTTTATATTTTGGTCAAACAAGTAACACAATATTAATTTCAGTGGAAAATAATAATTCAAAATACAGAGATGAGAAGTAAGAAAAAAAGATAACAAAAATTCACAATCCAGCCATTGCCCCTCTCCCTCTTTTCCCCTTTTGCATCCCAGTGTCTGTTATTTCCATCTGTATGTCCACGGGTACCCACTGTTTAGCTCCCACTAGTAAGTGAGAGCATGTGGTATTTGATTTTCTGATTCTGCATTAATCCTATGGGTACTATGTTCACTATTCGGGTGATGAGTTCAAGAAAAGCCCAAACTGCAGCATTACACAATATATCCATGCAACAAACTGGCACAGGTACCCCCTGCATCTAAGATTAAAAATAAAAAGTAAGATTCTATGACCCAGAGATGATCACTGTTAGCATTGTGTGTATGATCCTCAGGACTATGTGTGTGTGAGTGTGTGTATGTGCACACACAAAAAATAGTCGGGCACCTGCACACACTGTGCTCAAGGCCATACTCACAGCGCTGCGTTCAGCGCCTACGAAAGCCCTGAGGGCGGGAAGGACGGCGCAGTGAGGAAGCTGGTCTCGGGCAGGTTTCTATCAGTCAGGACCTGGGGTGTTTCACCAGCTCCAGCGTCCTGGCTGGACTCTCCCTTCTGACATTGCCACTCCCTCTACTCCTGAGGAAAAGCCAGTGCCGTCCTTCCTAGAATCTCCTTCCTCGTTTGGTTCCAGGCAAGAGTCCACCAAGGAGGTGCTGGAGTGAGCTGGAGAGAGAGGCCTTCCCTCCTCATAGGCTGCTGCAGGCAGATGGGTTTTCTGTTTGCAGACCAACTCTGCCTGGATGACGGCCCCCAGGACTGCGTGGGTTAGGGTATCCTTTCCCTTTTGCTGTTTCCTGGGTAATATTTGCTGACAAAACACCCAGGACATCAGAAGCAGGGGCTGGGAGAGACGCGATGGTGGGCAGAGGATGGAAGGGGAAGGAAGGGGGACCAGGCAGGCCTACGGCTTGCTGAGGGATGGGGTGCCCTCCCGCCAGCCACTGAACCAGGTGCCCACACATTCTGTCTCATTCTGTCCTCTCAACACATGTCAGGGAGGAGGAATAATCCTGCTTGGTAAATGGAAAACCCATGAGTACGTCTAATCAGCCAGAGGCCACGAGCTAACACGCATCAGAGCTAGCCATGCATTTGGCCCTCAGGAACCCACTCTTACAGAGAAAGAAAGGTGGGTGTCATTGTCTGGAGGTGAAGACGATGGCCGCAGAATTTCAGGGCTACATGGAGGTGCGTGTAAAAGGGAAAAGCAATGTTTCAGAAGGAATGGAAGGGGAAGAATTCAAGCCTGCAAAGGAGGCACTCATTAATGAGAGAGTGTCCAGAACAACATCTAGCGCCAGTCCCAGAAGAAACCCACAGGAGGTACCTGGTGAGGGAGCCTCTAGCACAAAGATCTTCAGCCTCCGAAGGGTGGGCCAGCCCCTTCTGTGGGTCTTGACCCCAAGTGCTCTGAGAAGGAGAGACTTAAATGTTTGGTGCCTAAACTCAATGTAGCATCTGAAGGAGCCATATTAGCATAAGGTGTTCTAGAAGATATGGCTAAGCCTAATGCTGGGTTAAGGTTTACCTTTTCCTAAATGTATCCCCCTTGAATTTGAATATCGATGTGTCTGAATTTTTTCTCTTCATTTTTGTAGTTCTGTAATAATTTGAGTCTTTTTCCTGAAAATTAGCTTCTGAGCCTGTTTTCATCCTCACCAATGTCCAGGCGTTTGCTGTCTCCTAGCTAGGTAATATTTCTGCGATTCCTCTCCCAAGACCATAAAGCCACAAATGGGAAACTTCTGCTAATAAATGAATCCGTCTTCCAAAGGATGGAGCAGGTCCCAAGAGGAGCTTGATCACTATAGCTGTGAAAAGGGAACCCGATTTTTTCAGGTGTCAATTGCCAGTATCCCAAAAGACACAAGACGGGGTGACACGCTGTTGCATGTTCTGTTGACCTCTTGTGCCGGGTGTCTGTGTCGGCGAAGGGTCTGTCTGCCCATTTGCCCAAGTGCCTCTTCCTCTGAGAGCCTTGCCATACTTTTTTCTGCTTTCCTATCTCTTTATTATACTCCTCGTTTTCTTTCTATCTGGTCATACTGCAGAACTGAGGTATAGTTGTATTAATTTTAGCTCGGTCTTTGTTTCCTAGTCTTAATTTAAATTGATGATGACTAGAACACTTAATTTGCTTTTCTATAAAGTAAACAAAAGGAAGTCGCTTTTCATTAAACAGCACTAATTGGCTTTCCCTGCAGTAGAAAAGAAGCTTTCCTGCCGCTGGCATGTGGCCTGTGATGAAGACTACTAGGCCCATTGTCGTTTGTGCCTATGCACAGCCTGAGTCCAAGGCACCCTTCCAAGGAGAGCCTCCTGGTGGACGACAAGACCTTGGGCCTTCTAGCAAATGAAAGAATGGCTGCCATTGTCCAGGTGATGCACGGGGCACTGCTGACCTGGGTTTCTCATAAGGAGAACTCTGGTCTCTGATATTGTGAGCCGGTAAAAAAGATTTCAGTGTTCTGTGTGCAAAAATGGTTATCACTTCTGTTGGTGTTAAAATAAATAAATAAATAAATAAAATAAAATAGATGCAAAGGTGTTTACTGGCAATGCCAAAAGATTATGTCAATAAATTTCCTTGTGTTTATACATCTTCCAAGAATCTCATTACTAATAGATTCATAGACAAAAATTCACACAGCATCCACCTTCTGACTGACAGCTGCTGAGGTATTCATCTTTGATTAACAATTCAAGACAAAGTTTTCAAATAACACTTCAGAGGTGACTCTGAAAAACAGTTGTTGGTACACTGTAAAGCAAGGGGGGAGGGGAAAATGTGACTTCACTTTAGCTTTTAACTTAGCATAAATTACACAACCCTCACACTGTGGTAGTGGGTAGTGGGATAGAGGGTGCTTCAATGCCTTAAGATAAGCATGGAACAGCTCTCTGGAACATCTGTTTTTTACTTAAAAATATTGAGGGAAAACTTAAGTTTCTATTTTTAAAGCCTGGCTATATTATGGCATAGGACATAGCATCAGCATTATAAGATAAAACCTAGAGTTCAAGTAAATTCTCTCTTTATTGCAGAGAACTTCAGACAGAAACATACCCACGCACCCTCCCCCATGCCTAGATGTGTGTGTATATACCGTTAACACAGCCCATAAACACACAGCACTGCCCTAATCCTCACAAGCATCTCAAATGCTTCTTCTGTGGGTTTCTTTTCTTTTCTTTTCTTTTTTAGTGTTAAGATAACTTTTATTATTACTATTATCATTATTATTATAATACTTTAAGTTCTGGGATACAAGTGCAGAAAGTGCCAGTTTGTTACACAGCTATACACATGCTATGGTGGTTTGCTGCACCCATCAACCCATCCTCTACATTAGATATTTCTCCTAATGCTATCCCTCCTCAGCCCCCCAACACTCACCAGGCCCTGGTGCATGATATTCCCCTCCCTGTGTCCCTGTGTTCTCATTGTTTAACTCCCACTTATGAGTAAGAACATATGGTGTTTGGTTTTCTGTTCCTGTGTTAGTTTGCTGAGAATGATGGTTTCCAGCTTCACCCGTGTCCTTGCAAAGCACATGAACTCATCCTTTTTATGGCTGCATAGTATCCCATGGTGTATATGTGCCACATTTTCTTTATCCAGTCTATCATTGATGGGCATTTGGGTTGGTTCCAAGTCTTTGCTATTGTGAAAAGTGCTGCAATAAACATACATGTGCATGTGTCTTTATAGTATAATGCTTTATAATCCTTTGGGTGTATACCCAGTAATGGGATTGCTGGGTCAAATGGTATTTCTGGTTCTACATCCTTGAGGAATCGCCACACTGTCTTCCACAATGGTTGAACCAATTTACACTCTGACCAACAGTATAAAAGCATTCCTATTTCTCTACATCCTCTCCAGCATCTGTTGTTTCCTGACTTTTTAATGATCGCCATTCTAACTGGCATGAGATAGTATCTCATCATGGTTTTCGATTTGCCTTTCTCTAATGACCAGTGACATTGAGCTTTTTTTCATATGTTCATTGGCTGCATAAGTGTCTTCTTTTGAGAAGTGTCTGTTCATACCCTTTCCTCACTTTTTGATGGGGTTGTTTTTTTCTTGTAAATTTGTTTAAGTTCCTTGTAGATTCTGGATATTAGCCCTTTGTCAGATGGATAGATTGCAAAATTTTTCTCCCATTCTGTAGGTTGCCTGTTCACTCTGATGATAGTTTCTTTTGCTGTGCAGAAGCTCTTTAGTTTAATTAGATCCCATTTGTCAATTTTGGCTTTTACTGCCATTGCTTTTAGTGTTTTAGTCATGAAGTCTTTGCCCATGCCTATGTCCTGAGTGGTATTGCCTATGTTTTCTTCTAGGGCTTTTAGGGTTTTTAGGTCTTACGTTTAAGTCTTTAATCCATCTTGAGTTAATTTTTGTATAAGGTATAAGGAAGGGGGTCCAGTTTCAGTTTTCTGCATATGGCTAGCCAGTTTTCCCAATATAATTTATTAAATAGGGAATCCTTTCCCCATTGCTTGTTTTTGTCAGGTTTGTCAAAGATCAGATGGTTGCAGATGTGTGGCATTATTTCTGAGGCCTCTGTTCCATTCCATTGGTCTATACATCTGTTTTAGTACCAGTACCATACTGTTTTGGTTACTGTAGCCTTGCAGTATAGTTTGAAGTCAGGTAATGTGATGCCTCCAGCTTTGTTCTTTTTGCTAAGGATTGTCTTGGCTGTATGGGCTCTTTGTTGGTTCCATATGAAATTTAAAGTAGTTTTTTCTAATTCTATGAAGAAAGTCAATGGTACCTTGATGGAGATAGCATTGAATCTATAAATTACTTTGGGCAGTATGTCCATTTTCACAATATTGATTCTTCCTATCCATGAGCATGGAATGTTTTCCCATTTGTTTGTGTCCTCTCTTATTTCCTTGAGCAGTGGTTTGTAGTTCTCCTTGAAGAGGTCCTTCACATCCCTTGTAAGTTGTATTCCTAGGTGTTTTATTCTCTTTGTAGCAATTGTGAATGGGAGCTCACTCATGATTTGGCTGTCTATTATTGGTGTATAGGAATGCTTGTGATTTTTGCACAATGATTTTGCATCTGAGACTTTGATGAAGTTGCTTATCATCTTAAGGAGATTTGGGGCTGAGACAATAAGGTTTTCTAAATACACAATCATGTCATCTGCAAACAGAGACAATTTGACTTCCTATTTGAATACCCTTTATTTCTTTCTCTTCCTTGATTGCCCTGGCCAGAACTTCCAATACTATGTTGAATAGGAGTGGTGAGAGAGGGCAACCTTGCGTTATGCCTGTTTTCAAAGGGAATGCTTCCAGCTTTTGCCCACTCAGTATGATATTGGCTATGAGTTTGTCATAAATAATTCTTATTATTTTAAGATACATTACATCAATACCTAGTTGATTGAGAGTTTTTAGCATGAAGGGGTTTTGAATTTTATCAAAGGCCTTTTCTGCATCTATTGAGATAATCATGTGGTTTTTGTCATTGGTTCTGTTTATATGATGGATTATGTTTATTGATTTGCATATGTTGAACCAGCCTTGCATCCCAGGGAAGATGCCAACTTGATTGTGGTGAATAAGCTTTTTGATGTGCTGCTGGATTCGGTTTGCCAGTATTTTATTGAGGATTTTCACATCGATGTTCATCAGGATTATTGGCCTGAAATTTTCTTCTTTTGTTGTGTCTCTGCCAGGTTTTGG
This sequence comes from Homo sapiens, assembly GCF_000001405.40. Classification (NCBI taxonomy): domain Eukaryota; kingdom Metazoa; phylum Chordata; class Mammalia; order Primates; family Hominidae; genus Homo; species Homo sapiens. Next base: position 110,077,585 of record NC_000013.11, read on the forward strand.
TGTCAGGAGGATGTTGGCCTCATAAAATGAGTTAGGGAGGAGTCCCTCTTTTTCTACTGTTTGGAATATTTTCAGAAGGAACGGTACCAACTCCTCTTTATACCTCTGGTAGACTTTGGCTGTTAATCCTTCTGGTCCTGGGCATTTTTTGCTTGGTAGACTATTAATTACTGCCTCAATTTCAGAACTTGTTATTGGTCTGTTCAGGGGTTTGACTTCTTCCTGGTTTATCTTGGGAGGGTGTATGTGTCCAGAAATGTATCCATTTCTTCTAGATTTTCTAGTTTATTGGAGTAAAAGTGCTTTAGTATTCTCTGATGATAGTTTGTATTTCTGTGGGATCAGTGGTAATACCCCCTTTATTATTTTTTATTGTGTCTATTTGATTCTTCTCTCTTTTCTTCTTTATTAGTCTGGCTAGTGGTCTATCTATTTTGTTCATCCTTTCAAAAAACCAGCTCCTGGATTCATTGATTTTTTGAAGGGTTTTTCATGTCTCTATCTCCTTCAGTTCTGCTCTGATCTTAGTTATTTCTTGTCTTCTGCTAGCTTTTGAATTTGTTTGCTCTTGCTTCTGTAGTACTTTTAATGGTGATGTTAGGGCAAAAAGATGGAAAATTCCAAAAACCAGAATGCCTCTTCTCCAAAGGATCACAACTCCTCACCAACAAGGGAACAAAACTGGATGGAGAATGAGTTTGACAAATGGACAGAAGTAGACTTCAGAAGGTGGGTAATAGCAAACTCCTCCAAGCTACAGGATCATTTTCTAACCCAATACAAGAAAGCTAAGAACCTTGAAAAAAGGGTAGAGGAATTGCTAACTAGAGTAATCAGTTTAGAGAAGAACATAAATGACCTGGTGGAGCTGAAAAACACAGCACGAGAACTTCGCAAAGCGTACACAAGTATCAATAGCCAAATTGATCAAGTGGAAAAAGAATATCAGAGATTGAAGATCAACTTAATGAAATAAAGCATGAAGACAAGATTAAAGAAAAAAGAATGAAAAGCAATGAACAAAGCCTTCAAGAAATATGGGACTATATGAAAAGACCAAACTTACGTTGAATTGGTGTACCTGAAAGTGATGGGGAGAATGGAACCAACTTGGAAAACACTATTGAGGATATTATCCAGGAGAACTTCCCCAACCTAGCAAGACAGGCCAACATTCAAATTCAGGAAATACAGAGAATACCACAGAGATACTTCTCGAGAAGAACAACCACAAGGCACATAATCATCAGATTCACCAAGGTTGAAATGAAGGAAAAAATGTTAAGAGCAGCCAGAGAGAAAGGTCGGGTTACCCACAAAGGGAAGCCCATCAGACTAACAGCAGATCTCTCTGCAGAGACCCTACAAGCCAGAAGAGAGTTGGGGGCAATAGTCAACATTTTTAAAGAAAAGAATTTTCAACCCAGAATTTCATATCCAGCCAAACTGAGCTTCAATAAGCAAAGGATAAATAAAATCCTTTACAGACAGGCGAATGCTGAGAGATTTTGTCACCACCAGGGCTGCCTTACAAGAGCTCCTGAAGGAAGCACTAAATATGAAAAGGAAAAACCAGTACCAGCCACTGTAAAAAACATAACAAATTGCAAAGACCATTGACACTATGAAGAAACTGCACCAACTGATGGGCAAAATAACCAGCTAGCATCATAATGACAGGATAAAATTCACACATAACAATATTAACCTTAAATGTAAATGGGCTTAATGCCCCAATTAAAAGACACAGAGTGGCAAATTGGATAGTCAAGACCCATTAGTGTGTTGTATTCAGGAGACCCATCTCACGTGCAAAGACACACATAGCTTCAAAATAAAGGGATGGAGGAATATTTACCAAGCAAATGGAAAGCAAAAAAAAAAAAAAAAAAAAAGCAGGGGCTGCAATCCTAGTCTCTGATAAAACAGACTTTAAATGAACAAAGATCAAAAAAGACAAGGGCATTACATAATGGTAAAGGGATTAATGCAACAAGAAGAGCTAACTATCCTAAATATATATGCACCCAATACAGGAGCACCCAGATTCATAAAGCAAGTTCTTAGAGACCTACAAAGAGACTTAGACTCCCACACAATAATAGTGGGAGACTTTAACACCCCACTCTCAATATTGGACAGACCAACATGACAGAAAATTAACAAGAGTATTCAGGACTTGAACTCAACTCTGGACCAAGCAGACCTAATAGACATCTACAGAACTCTCCACCCCAAATCAACAGACTATACATTCTTCTCAGCACCACATCGCACTTATTCTAAAATTGACCACATAATTGGAAGTAAAACACCCCTCAGCAAATGCAAAAGAGCAGAAATCATAATAAACAGTCTCTCAGACCACAGTGCAATCAAATTAGAAATCAGGATTAAGAAACTCACTATTGAGTTTATTTTCAAAAATGATAAAATGTTCTATAAACTTATAAGAACATACACATTCCACTGGCATTCAGATTATATCAATGAAATCAGGGCAATTAAGGTAATAGTAAAACTGTCCTGGCAACCTTAGAAACTTGCCCAGAAACAAACCTTTCATGTGGATAGGTAGTTCCATTCCCCAGAAGCAGCCTGAGGCAACTGAGGCAACTAACATGACCCCAAATGAGAAGCCGCCCAGCCAACTGGAGAGCTGGTGTAGGCTATCCATCAGCTGTCTCAAAGATCAGAGACCAGAGTTCACTTCTTTAGGTCTGCAGAATGGGCACCCTCTGCCATCATATTCTATTTATTTTTTTGGCCTGGGGGGAGATCATATCTCAATCTGTGGAGTGCAGCGGGGCCTCAGGTTTTGCACCTTTGGCTGAGGTCACAGTGGATTGCATACCAGCTATCAAGATTTCTACTTTCCTGCTGATGGGATTTCAGCAATTTGACATTCTCACCTAAGTCACCTTCCCAGAGCATGATGTTGAGAGGTGTGACCCTGTTTCACAGCCACCAAGAGTAACATAACCAAAGGCTACTCAATGTTGGGCACCGGTCTCAGGGTGAAAAAGGTAAAGCTGACTCTTGATTGGCCACATACAGATTTCCAGGGAGAACTCATTGGCTTTTTCCCTCTTCACAGTTCTGCCTCTCTTGGCCTAGTTCTATGCTCAGGAGACCTACCTGCAAATCACTCAAATGGTTACTTTTGTTGCAGGATTATCAAGCATTACTTGTGCTTCCCATTAAAAAATGGGTTTGGTCCCAAAATGAGATAATACACTGTGCTGACTTCTCGTTTTGTTTGTGTCCTCAGGGGATCTTCTGTTTCCAATGTGGTGCAGAAAGGGCCCATTAGAAGGAAAATTTCTTTCCTTTGCATTTATAATGCTGATGAATAAATACTCTAAAAACATAAAAAATACTTTTTAAACAATGCAATAGCAATGAAAATGTTATATGTATATAGGAAAAATGATAAATTACACAAATATAGACAGAAGTTATGTCAAGGGAGTGAAATTATGAGTGCTTTTGTCTCCATTTCCCAAAATGTACTTAAACTTCTTGTGGAATAAATAAAATTATAGCATTCTAAAAACTTTCATCTACCCCTTGACATCTCAATTTGTTTGCAAAAGTGTGCATTATGACCTTGAAGACTGATGGGGATGTATGACGATAGTACTGTCCCATTGAAAGGCTGGTCCATTCTTCTGATGGAATGGGAAATCCTCCAGCACAGTCCAGCTTCCTATAAAGATTAACTAAAGAAAGAATTCATTCCCAGAAGTAAAGTGGCTTTCACGTACAGAAAAACATTCCTGATACACAGCACCTGAATCTGCCAAGTAAAATATATATGCAAATATATACGTATACTTACATTTCAAATGTGTGGTTGCTAGGTACAAAAGTAAGAAATCTTTGGAGGGGAGAAAGGATGATAAAGTGCCAATAGAGAATTTAAGAGGGCCAATAAGACAGCATTTTATAGGGACATTACACAATTCCTACTAGCTTAAATCATGGGCTTTAATGGATGTCAGGACAAGAGCCTCAAAAAGGGAGGTCACGTCAGATTCCTGAATAAAGCTGAACCCCTAAAAGGTGAAACACCAACCAAGACAGTTGGCAAACATACTTGTCTGTTTTGATTTTGGCTCTGGGTGGAGGGAGAATATAGAAAACTCTCTAATGACAAGCCCCTCTTTCTGTGAGCTTGAAGTCTCATTTCATCCAACTTTTGTAGCAAAAAAAAACTTTAAAAGAAGAAATAGACTGGCATAAAGTGCTTCTAGGGACCTTATAATTTTTCATAAATACAGTTACAAAGATCATGAAGTCACAAGCAAATATTACAAAACATATAAGGAAAAAAATTATGAGGAAGAGTCAGTGAACACACTCTTTATATGTAGAATAAAACCCACAGAAATTGCAGATATTAAAACAATTTTCTAAAGAACCAAAATAAACGTGTTCAATATTTTTAAGTGTATATTTTTAAATAATAAAAGAATGTGTTGAGAAGAAAAGCTTTAAAAATTAAATTTTAAACAACCTTTTCCAACACATTTGACAAATGGAAAACTAACAAATTCGTAGAAAAATACCAACTGTCAAAACCAACTCAAGAACAAATTTCAAATGTCTGAATAGTCATCAGCCCACTAAAGATATTTACTTAGTCCCACAAAGAAAACATCAGCTTCAGGTGGATCTTATAGATAAATTCTACCAAACACTGAAATGTTGTAGAAGTAAAATTTAATGATAATAGCCAATTCGAAATAGCCTGAAGAAAACCATTGCTTGAGAAAGTAGATTTTTATAAATTACCCCAAATGCAGTTAATGGAGACAAAGATATAGAAAATATAAAACAGGGGTTAAGAAACATAGAGTGAGAGTGTCTAATATGCATTTCATTAGGGTCCCAGAAAGAGAATAAATAAATGTGAGAGAACGAAATTCAAAGAGAGAATGACTGTCAACTTTCTAAAATTAATAAGAGACAAATCTTCATATTCATAAATTCCCAAGAGTTCCAGGCAGTACAGTCAAGAGATGTTCATAATAAGGACACCACAGTAAAATGAAAGTGCACCAAAGATGCAGAGGAGATCTTATGTGGCTGGGGAGAAAACATGTCTGTAAAACAATAGTAATTAGACGGACAGCTGACTTCTCAAAAGCAACAGTGGAAGTCAGACAGCAATAAATACATCTTCAAAATTCTGAATTGAAATAACGATAAACTCAGAATTTTAATAAAATATATTAGTAATAAAGAGCTTAAGCAGGTAAAACATAAGGAAGGATAAAGAAATTGAGAAGTTTGATCTAATGAATGTAATAAAGAATGCGGCATTCAAAAACTGGAAAATGTTTATTCATTCTAAATATACATGGAATATATATATGAATATTGGTCACATGCTGGGTAAAAAAAAAAAAGAGAGACAAATTTCAGAGGATCAGTTTGACCACATTCTCTAATCTAAATTCTAAGAAATTAGAAATCGAGGACAAATGAGAACACTCCTAAATAATGTGTGACTCCAAAATAAATTATAGTAGAAAAATTTAGTGCATAATGATAATAAAAATTAAGGTATTATTATGTGACTTAAACATGTAGAATGCATTAAGACATTAAGTGTAGGAGCATTCTTAAGTTTTTGAACTTATTAAAGAAGATGAGCTAAAAGGAAATTAGCTAAGCATCCAACTTAAGAAGTTAGAAAAAGACCAAAAAAATGAAACAAAGCAGAAAGAAATAATAGAAAGAGGTGATATAAAAGAAAGATATCTATATGTATGTATATATAACAGAGAGGATTAAACTAGACAAAAGAAGATTTTTTGAACAAAGTGACTCATCCTTGACAAAATTATCAGTTAAAAAATTGAAGGCACAAATACATAAGAATGGATGAAAAAAGGAGCATGTTAGAGATGAAAAAGATTTTTTTTAAGTTAGATTAAATTACAAACAACGTTATGCCAATACGGTCAAAACGAGGAAAAAGTAAATAAATTCCTAGAAAAATATAGATCACTGAAGCTGACTCAGGAAAAAAAAACTAAGTCATCATGTAACTGTTAAAGATATTAAATTAGTCATAAAAAAATTTCTGCAAAAAGAATTAACCATTTCATGTGGGTTTTGTAATTCTACCAAATGTTTAATAAATCAAGAATTCCACCCTTACACAAACTGTTTCAGAGGACAGAAAAGAAGAAATTCTCCCCAAATCAATTTATGATAATAATATATTCTTGATACAAAGCTAGACTAATAAGAAAAAACATTGATATTGGTGATAACAAATTAAAATGGAAACAGTGTAGCAAAAAGCTATGGGATACAGCAAAAGCAGTACTAAGAGGAAAGTTTATGAGTAATAAACACCCACATCAAAAATAGAAAAACTTTAAATGACTTAATAGTGCACCTTAAAGAACAAGCAAGAACAATTTAAACTCAAAATTAGAAGAAAAGAGAAAATAAAAATTAGAGCAGAAATAAATAAAACTTACACTAAAAAACCCACAAAAGATCAACAGAAAGAAAACTTAGTTTTTTTGAAAAAAAAAAAAAAAGCAAAATTGGGCCAGGCGAGGTGGCTCACGCCTGTAATCACAGCACTTTGGGAGGCCAAGGTGGGCAGATCACAAGGTCAGGAGATCGAGACCATCCTGGCTAACACGGGGAAACCCCGTCTCTACTAAAAATATAAAAAAAATAGCTGGGCGTGTTGGCGGGTGCCTGTAGTCCCAGCTACTTGGGAGGCTGAGGCAGGAGAATGGCATGAACCCAGGAGGCAGACCTTGCAGTGAGCCGAGATTGCACCACTACACTCCAGCCTGGGTGACAGAGTGAGACTCCGTCTCAAAAAAAAAGAAAAAGGAAAAAAGAAAAATTGGCAAACCATTAGCCAGACTAAGAGAGAAGACCCAAATAAATAAAATCAGTGGTAGAAAAGGAGGCATTACAACTGATACCACAGATATTCAAAGGAACATCAGAGACTATTGTGACCAACTGTATGCTAATATATTGACAAACCTAGAAGAAATGGACATATTCCTAGACATATATAACCTACCAAGATTGAGCCATGAAGAAAGAGAAAACTTGAACAGACCGATAACAAGTGACAAGATAGAAGTAGCAATGAAAAGTCTTCCGTCAAAGAAAAGCCCAGGTTGTGATGAGTTTACTGCAAAATTCTACCAAATATTTAAAGAAGAGCCAATACCAATTCTACTCAAACTATTCTCAAAAACAATGAAGAGGAAAGAATACTTTCAAACTCATTCTGAGACCAGCATTACCCTGATGCCAAAACCAAAGACACATCAAAAAAAAAAAAAAAAAACAGGTTAATATCACAGATGAACACAGATGCAAAAATTCTCAAAAAATACTAGCAAACCAAATTCAACAACACATTAAAAAGATCATTCACCATGATTAAGTAGGATTAATCCCAGGGATGCAAGAATAGTTCAACATATGCAAATCAGTAAACAGGATACATAACGTTGATAGAATCAAGGACAAAAACCATATGATTATTTCAATAAATGCCAGAAAAGCATTTGATAAAATTTAATATTCTTTCATGACAAAAACGCTTAATAAATTGGATATGGAAGGAACATACTTCAAAACAATAAAGGCCATCTATGACAAACTCACAGCTAGATCATACTGAATAGGGAAAAATTGAAAGTCTTTCCTCTAAGATCTGGAACAAAACAAGGATGGCCACTTTCACCCCTTTATTCAATGTTCTACTGGAAGTCCAAGCCATAGCCATTAGTCAAGAGAAGGAAACAAATGGCATGCAAACTGGAAAGGAATAAGTCAAATTATTCTTGTTTGCAGATGATATATTCTCATATTTAGAAAAACCTGAAGACTCCATCCAAAATTTATTAGAACTGATCAATGAATTGAGTAAGTTTGCAGGATACAAAATCAACATACAAAAATCAGTAGCATTTCTATATGCCAACTGTGAACTGAAAAAGAAATCAAGCAAACAATCCCATCTATAATAGCTAAATAAATTTAAATACATAGGAATAAACTTAACCAAAGAAGTAAAAGATTTCTACAAGGAAAACTATAAAACTCAGATGAAAGAAACTTAAGAGGACACAACAAAATGGAAAGATATACCATGTTCATGGATTGGAAGAATTAATATTGTAAAGATGTCCATAGTCCCAAAAGCAATCCACAGATTCTATTCAATCCTTATCAAAATATCAATCACATTCTTCACACAAATAGAAAAAAAAATCCTAAAATTCATATGAAACAGCAAAAGGCCCTGAATAGCCAAAGTAGTCCTAAGAAAAAAGAACAAAGCTGGAGGCATTATATTACTTGACTTCAAAATATACTACAAAGCTATAGTGACCAAAACAGTGTGATACTGGCATAAAAAACAGACATATAGACCAAAGGAACAGAAAGGAAACCCCAGAGATAAATTTACACATTTATAGTAAACTTATTTTTGACAGAGGCACCAAGAACAGACAATGGGGAAAGGCCAGGCTCCTCAATAAATGATGCTGGGAAAACTGAATATCCATATGCAAAACCAGAAAATTAGATCCCTATCTCTCAAAAATATTAAAGACTTAAATGTAATATATGGAACTATCAGAAGAAAATACTGGGGAAACACTTCAGGACATTGACCTGGGCAAAGATTTCTTGAGTAAGACCTCAAACGTACAGGCAACCAAAGCAAAAATTGACAAATGGACTTACATCAAGCTAAACAGCTTCTGCACAGCAAAGGAAACAACAAAGTAAACAACCTACAGAATGAGAGAACATATTTACAAACTATTAATTCAACAAGGGATTAATAACCAGAATGTATAAGCAACTCAGACAATCAATGGCACAAAAAATACAATTAAAAATGGGCAAAAGATCTGAAAAGACATTTCTCAGAAGAAGGCACACAAATAGCCAACAGGTCTATGAAAAAATGCTCAACATCACTAATCATCAAGGAAATGCAGATCAAAGCCACAAGGAGATATAATCTCACCCCAGTTAAAAAGGTTACCATCAATCAATCAATAAATTATAAATAAATGCTGGCAAGGACTTGCAGAAAGAGGAACACTCCCACACAGTTGATAGAAATGTAAATTAGTACAGCCACTATGGAGAATAGTGTGGAGGTTCCTAAAAAAAATAAAAATAGAACTACCATATGATCCACCAATTCCATTCCTGAGTATATATCCAAAAGAAGGGAAATCTGGGTATATATCTGAAAGAAAGGAAATCTGTATAGCAGAGATATCTGCATTCCCATGTTTATTGCAGCACTATTCACAATAGCCAAGAAACAGAATCAACCTAAGTGTGCAACACAGATGAATGGATAAAGAAAATTTCAACAGATGGATGAAGAAAACATAATTTGTACACAAACACACACTGGAATAATATTGTATCTATATATATATATATATGTACACACACAGGAATAATATTATACACACACATACACACAATGGAATATTATTCAGCCATAAAAAAGAATGAAATTCTGTCATTTGTAGCAACATGGATGGAACTGGAGAATATTATGTTAAGTGAAATAAGCCAAGCACAGAAAGACAAATACTGCATGTTCTCACTCATATAGGGGAGTTAAAAATAATTGATCTGAAAATAATGGTTACCAGAGGCTGGGAAGGGCAATGGGGACCTGGGGAAGAAGAGGGGTTATCTAATGGGTACAAAAAGAGTTAGACAGAAGGAATAACATCTAGTGTTTTGTAGCACAATAGGGCAACTACAGTTAAAAATAATTTGTCTACCTCAAAGTAACTAGAAAAGAAAATCAGAAAATTCCAACACAAAGAAATGATAAATGTTTGAAGTGGTGTATATTCCAATTATCCAGATTTGATCATTACACATAATATGCTTGTATCAAAATATCACATGTATCCCATAAATATATATAAAAATTTGTATTGAACATTTTTAAAAGTGAAAACAAAGCATAAGCAAAAAGAAAAGAAAAAACGCTAAACCAAATATTAGCAAACTGATCCCACAATGTATGAAAAGATAATAATACATTGTGGACAAGTTGGTTTACTCTAGGAATGAAAGATAAATTTTTTAAAAAATTTTATTATTATTATACTTTAAGTTTTAGGGTACATGTGCACAACGTGCAGGTTTGTTACATACGTATACATGTGCCATGTTGGTGTGCTGCACCTATTAACTCGTCATTTAGCATTAGGTATATCTCCTAATGCTATCCCTCCCCCCTCCCCCCACCCCAAACAGTACCCTGTGTGTGATGTTCCCCTTCCTGTGTCCATGTGTTCTCATTGCTCAATTCCCATCTATGAGTGAGAACATGCGGTGCTTGGTTTTTTGTCCTTGCGATAGTTTGCTAAATTTTATATTAGAAAATTCACTCAAATAATTTGGCACTTTAATATATTAAAGAGAAATGCCCATATTATGATCTCAATATACGTGGAAAATTTTTCAGGAGTATTTTATTGATCTGCTTCTACATCTTCTATTCAATATTTTACTGGAGAATCTGGCAATCCAAATAAGCTAAGAAGAAGAAATAAATAATGTAAGTTTTGGAAGTGACAATATTTTTAAAATCCTTATCAATAAATGATAATTTATATTAAAATATAGAATCTACAAGACAATTGTCAAAAATTAATAAAGGATCTTGGCAAAGTTATATTGACTTGTGATCAATTAACAAAAATCCATTCCATTTCTATATACCAAGGGCAAACAAATTTAATTTTAAAAAGGTACTATCTACAGGAGCAATGAAAAATCATGTTTCTACAAATATATCCGGCAAACATGTATATAAGACCTCAATGGAAGAAATTTTAAAACTATGTTAAAAGACACTAAAAACTAACCTAATAAAATAGAAACACATCAGATATATATTAATAGATAGGAAGACTCACTACTGAAATCACATCAACTCTACCACAAGTAAATTCATGAAATTAATCCAATTCTAAGTAAAATGCAAATAAATATTTTATGGAATTTGACAAGTTGGTTGCAAAGTATATACGGAAGTTCAAGTACCCAATAATTAAGACACTCTTTAAAACTATTTGTATAAATTTGAGGGGTACAAATGCAGTTTTGTTACGTGGACATACTGTGCAGTGCTGAAGTCAGGGCTTTTAGGGTACCCGTCACCCAAATAATATACATTGTAGGCCGAGGAGGGTAGATCACTTGAGGTCAGGAGTTCGAGACCAGCCTGGCCAACATGGTGAAACCCTGTCGCTACTAAAAATATAAAAAATAGCTGGGCAGGTGGTGTGTAGTAGTCCCAGCTACTCGGGAGGCTGAGGCAGGAGAATCTTTGGAGGCTGGGAGATGGAGGTTGCAGTGAGCCAAGATTGTACCACTGCACTCCAGCCTGGGCAAAAGAGCGAGACTCTGTCTCAAATAATAATAATAATTATATATATATATATATATATATATATATATATATATATATATATATATATATTTCATTGTGCTACTACTCATTAAGTAATTTACCATCCCTCATCCCCCTCCCACCTTTCCACCCTTTTGAGTCTCCAATGACTATAATTTCACACTCTATAACCATGAAGACACTTTTGAAAAAAGAGAGCAAGGTGAGGGCATCTGTGCTGCCCAGTATCAAAGTCCATTAAAACAACTGTGTGCAGTACTGGAGCACACTGAGCAATGGAACCAAAAAGAGAATGAAGAAACTGACCTATGATTATGGAAAATTTGATTTACTGCCATCTCTACTGTAGATCTGTGGAAAAATTTGGACTTTTCACTGATTTAAATATATGAAAGTGAATCCATACTTCATACCATACACATACACAAAATTCATTCCAGATAGACCAAGTTTTTAAATGACAAAGGCAAACTCAAAAAACAAACAAACAAACAAAAAGAACAAATAGGCAAACCCAAACTCCAAAAAACAAAGAGGATTTGGAGAAGCAGCTCTGGTAGGGTTAGGAGCCATGGCCTTGGAGATTTGCTGCCTCAATTCCAATCCCTGCTTCATCACTTACTAGATTCTTGGTATTGGGCAAATTATTGAATTTCTCCAAGCCCATAATAATGGGGTAGTATCAATTATTATAGGTACTCCTGTAGTAATGGGGTAGTAATAATGCCTGCCTCCCACATTTTTTGGAAAGCTTAAATGAGATCCTTTCTGTAAAATGTTCAGTACAGGACATGGCAAACTTTCAATCATGCTGTTATGACAATGTGATGGCTATGTTGGCATTTGTGGGACACTCGGGGAGCCAGAGCCATATTTCCTGGAGAAAAGAAGAACACTGTGACTCTCTTTATTTATTTGATGCCCTGGGGAAGGAGGCATAGGTTTTCATGGTATCCCAGTGGAAAGAAGTAGTACTGCAGGGTACAAATGTCAGCATAAAAATGAAATGCTTCACCATCTATGACAGACGAACAGCTATTTATTACCAATTTCTCATGAGTGAAATCATAAAATCATGGAATGATAGAGCTAGATGGAGCCTTAGAAAGTATCTAGCGGGATGATTTTCTGCTTATTTTATTCACGGGCACTTACCTCTAATGAAAACTCTCAAGAATAATAATTGCTAAACTTTATAAATTCTTCCTATGGGCTAGAAGTGTTCGGCATACATGATTTATCCTTACAACTCTCCCATGAAGCAAGCACCATTAGTGGGCCCGTTTTACAGATAAGGAAACTGAGGTCATCTTGTTAGTAAGTGGCACACTTGAAGCCCAGTATGTAAAATGGAGAAGTGTGAATTATTCTGGGGGATGTGTGTATGGAAGTGCACAAGCTTAGCCCATCTGTTCCTGCACATACACACACCTCCAGCTTTTCAGCTACCCCTGCAGGATGCCCAGATCCAATTTCAAAATCAGTTTTGCAAATCAAAGATGAGGCCCAGAGCCACTCAGGGATCCACCCAGCAGCAGGCAGTGGCCAAGGGAGGACGTGGACACCATGGCACTCCAGCTCCTCCTTACACTCCTGCCAAGGTGAAGAACAGTCAGGTTGGCCCCTCTTAGGGAGGACAGAAAAGGGGAGTTTCAACCAAGAGAAACTAGAGCAGCCACTGAAAAAAATCTCTGCAGCACTGAGACTCCACAGTTCTCAGACGGGAGAGATGAGGTCCTGCCTCCCCTCCCACTTTTCTTAATCCTCTTCAATTCATAGCAGAGAGCAGCACTAAGGCACATAATTTATCACCACCATGATTTTCTTCCTAAAACACTCTGTCTTCTAATCACATCATGGCACCAATACGTGGAGGTGGAGCTCGTGGCCTGCAGCAAGGGTGTTCCCGTGTCCTGGGGAGTAATCACACTCAGTGAAAGAGGCGTGGAGGGTTAGAGCACAGCTGACCAGGGAGACTCTGGGATCTCCTGTCTTCTTTTAAGTTTTTGTTTATTTAGTTTTGAGTGGAGTAATCACACTCAGTGAAAGAGGCGTGGAGGGTTAGAACACAGCTGACCAGGGAGACTCTGGGATCTCCTGTCTTCTTTTAAGTTTTTATTTATTTAGTTTTGAGTGGAGTAATCACACTCAGTGAAAGAGGCGTGGAGGGTTAGAACACAGCTGACCAGGGAGACTCTGGGATCTCCTGTCTTCTTTTAAGTTTTTATTTATTTAGTTTTGAGTTTACATACAGTAAAACCCACTCATTTGGTATACAGTTCTAGGAGATTTGATGAAGGTGTAGAAACTTAACCACCACCACAATCAAGATACAGAACAACTCCATCACCCCAGATGATTCCACATGCTGCCCTTCTGTGGCCAGCCCTGCTCCACTCATCTATCCTCCACCTCTGTTGCCTTTTCCAGAAAGAAAGGTTTCAGAATGAAACCACAGAGAAGGACATCTTTGAGTCTAGCTACTTTCAGTGGCATAAGGCAAATCCATCAGTCCTGTTGCACGCGTCAACAGTGTGTTCCTGTTTATTACTGAGTAGTGTTCCATTGCATGGATATGCCACAGCCTGCTTATCCATTTGCCCACAGAGGAGTTTGGTTTAATCGATTTTCAGTTTGAAGCCATTATGAATAGAGCCGCTACAAATATTTACATACTTAGAAAGTGTAAGCATAGTTTTCCTTGTTTTCGTTTTTTTTAACTTGATTAAACAGGTAGGCAGGATTGCTAATTTGGTAGATGTATGTTTAACTTGAAAAGAAGTCATCAAACAGCTTTCTAAAGTGGCTGCACTGCTCTGCACCAGCGCCTTTAGTGTGTGAGCTTCTGTTCTTTTGCATCCTAGCTGGGACTTGGTATTATCAGATTTTTAACTTTACCCACTTGTGGTGGCATCATCTGGTAGATTGAATTGGCATTTCCCTAATGCTTGACAATGTTAATGCATCTTTTCATGTTCCATTTGCTATCAGTATATCCTGTTTGATGAAGTGTCTTTCAAGTCTTTTGCCCATTTTAAAAAACAGTCTTGGCCTGGCACGGTGGTTCACGCCTGTAATCCCAGCACTATGGGAGGCTGAGGCTGGCAGTTCACTTGAGGTCAGGAGTTGGAGACAAGCCTGGCCAACATGGTGAAACCCCATCTCTACTAAAAATACAAAATTAGCCAGTTATGGTGGTGCACGCCTGTAATCCCAGCAACTCAGGAAGCTGAGGTGGGAGAATTGCTTGGACAGGGAGTCACAGGTTGCAGTGAGCCAAGATCATGCCACTGCACTCCAGCCTGGGTGACAGAGCAAGACTCTGTCTCAGAGAAAAACAAAACACAAAAAGCAAACACACACACACACACATTTATTTTTTAGAGAAGTGTTAGATTCACAGCAAAACTGAGTGGAAGGTGCAGAATTTCCCATAGATCTCCTCCTCTTAGAGTTAAAAATTTCATGATTTTGCATTTTACACTTAGTTCTATGATACAGTTTGAGTCTACTTTTGTATTTATTCCATATGGTTTTCTCATTATTTTAGCACAATTTTTAAAAAGATTATCCATCCTCCATGGATCTGCTTTTGCACCTTTGTCAAAAATCAATGGACCGTATTTGTGTGGGTCTCTTACTAGACTCTCCATTCTGTTCCATTGATTGATGTGTCTATTCTTTTGCCAGTGCCAGACTGAGTGATTGCAGTTGCTTTAGAGTAAATCTTGAAATCAGATCATGTGAGTCCTCCACGTTTCTTCCTTTTCAATTTCTACTTTTTGGCTATTTCCCCAGCCCTTTTTTAACTAGTATAGTTCTGCTTTTATCTGCTTTATACAATGAACATCACTGGCCTGCAGAATATGCCCTAACTGACTCAGCCTGCATTCACATGGCCACATGATTCTCCAGCCCACTGGCCAACCCCACAGCAAGAACTCCCTTCTCTGGCCACATGTTCCTATCTTGGACAGTGAGCTTCCTGACTGAAGCAGCCTTTGTGTACCGCTTCATCCTAAATCAACTCTTCCAAGCCTATGACTGCCCCTCAGGCAACATCTCCACAAAGTCCTCTCTGATACCTTCACAACACAACCATTCTCCCATCTCAATGCCTCTAAAGTGCTTTTTCAGGCACTGCCTGATCCCTTTATATGGATCTGAACCCTGGTGACCTGAGAATAGCATGTGGGAATTGGTAAACTACAGAGTCTTCACACATTGACCCTCTCTCTGAGAGCCTCTGTGGGTGGGGCCCGAGATACTGAATGTTTCACATTGGCCAGATGATTGTGTGGCCATCAGGGTTGGAACCTCTTCTCTGCAGGGAGCCCCGAGCTACTGATATTGCTGAGTCTCTTTCTCATGGATCTGTGAACATGTTTTGTCTCCACTTGTGCATAGAGACCTTATCTTGCCTTCTGTGATGTCCCAAACTCTTTTCCTGCTCTTCTATTTTTTTGAATCCATATCTTTATAGATAGCTTTTGATTGAAAACTATGGTTGTAATTCAAAACTATACAGCAGAGCTGAGTAGTTGCAATGGAGATTGTATGACCCACAAAACCAAAGACATTTACTAACTGGCCTTTTGCAGGAAATCCAACCGCTGTTCTATCGTAGAAGGAGCAGTGACTCTCAATCCTGGTTGGGTAGCAGAACCCCATGGAAGCTCCCAGTGCTCAGGCCTACTGAATCCCACCACCCAGGGGAATTGGTAAACTTTGAAAGTTCTCAGGGAGGCCCCCTTGCAGTCCACCCTGCCTGTGAGAATGACAGGCATGGGTAGGCTACCGAGGCCACCCTGGCTCTGCTCCTAACTTGCCTGTGGCCTTGGGTGAGTCTTCACGCCTCTCCACACCACTTCCATTTCTCATCAATAGAGGGGCTAATTGAAGTAAAGACTCTTGAAGGACTCCTTCAATGGGAACACTCTGGAGTCCTGTATTCTGGTAGCATTTGTCATAATTAGGTTATTTAATGATGAGGTACCTGATATGAATGGCCTGCAGAATATGCCCCAACTATGCCTTCATCAAATCTCCTAGAACTGTGTACCAAACGAGTGAGTTTCACAGCACGTGCTCACTCTGTGCTCACTGTGTGTTCGTAACAACAATGATTTGGTAATGTGGAGGCTGTGTGCCTCCCAAATTCATACATTGAAGCCCTAACCCCCAGTACCTCAGAATGTGACTATATTTAGAAATAGGGTCTGTAAGCAGGTGATGAAGTTAAAACGAGGTCATTAGGATGAGCCCACATATGACTGGAGTCCTTATAAGAAAAATAAATATGAACACAGATGGGCACAGAGGGACAGCCACTTGAGGACATAGGGAGAAGGCGGCCATCTGCAAGCCAAAGAGAGAGGCCTCAAGAGAAACCAGCCCCACCGACACCTTGGTCTCAGACTTCCCAGCCTCCAGAACCGTGAGAAATAAATTTCTGTGGTTTAAGCCACCCAGTCTGTAGTGCTTCTTAATAGAAGCCCTGGGAAGCTAATACAGGGGGTTTGGCTGAAGAAAAACAGTTGGATTTAAGACTGCAGTGTGCTGACATCGGCTCCCATAGTTAACCAGAGCAATTCCTCCTGTGCGACTGCTGGATCCAGCCCTTCCGCCAGCTCAGCACCTCCCTCGGGATTGCACAATGCTTTGTCAGTTGAGCCACTAGCAAGCCCAGCCAGGTCTATTTGAAACGGTAAACAAAAACTCAGCCCCACACAATAGTGACATTTACTGCCCTCATGTTCATTCTCAGAATCTTCCACTGCAGTTGGAACATATTAGTCAGAGTCCTTTGAAAGCTGATGCAACGTGGGCCTGGAACTCTCAGAACAAGGCGTGATTGTGCTAGAACTGGATCGCAGAGCCAGTGTGCCTGGTGAGCCAATACCTGCACCGTTGTCTGCTTGACTCGAGGAGAGGCCACAGCCCCTGCTTCCCCTTCAGCAACCTGATGGCAGGAGCTTCATTTCTGCTGCGAGTGAGCAGGCTGCCAATCATTCTCATGCCTGCCCTTGTCTGCTAAATGCCATAGTCGTAAATGTTCAAAGGCTGATCTGACCAGCATTCACTTCTATTTAGCGCCATGTCTGGTCTGTGCTTCTGATCATCCTGCCTGCTCTCCCCCTAGGGTTTGTGGCTGGGGCTTACTTTCAAAGCTTTAAGATGTTTAGGATTTTTCTTTTTTCTTTTTTTCTTTTTCTTTTTTTTTTTTTGAAACAGGGTCTCACTCTGTCACCCAGGCTGGAGTGCAGTGGGGCAATCATGGCTCACCCCAGCCTTGACCTCCTGGCCTCGAGCCATGCCTCCCAAAGTCCTGAGATTACAAGTGTGAGCCACTGCGCTTGGCCAGGAAATTTCTTAGAACTGGGTTACGCTTGCAACCCCATTCCCCAAAATTCCTTCTATCAAAAATAAGAGAAAAGGGGCTGGGTGTGGTGGCTCACACCTGTAATCCCAGCACTTTGGGAGGTTCAGGCAGGTGGATCACCTGAGGTCAGGAGTTCAAGACCAGCCTGAACAACATGGTCAAACCCCGTCTCTACTAAAAATACAAAAATGAGCCGGGCATGGTGGTAGGCGCCTGTAATCCCAGCTACTCGGGAGGCTGAGGCACAAGAATCTCTTGAACCCAGGAGGCGGAGGTTGCAGTGAGTCGAGATCATGCCACTGCACTCCAACCTGGGTGACAGAGCTGGGGGCCATCTCAAAACAAAACAAAACAAAACAAAAACAAAAACAAACAAACAATAAGGAGAGAAAAGGCCCTTGTGCTCTGGAGAAAGAGTGAGCCTTGCTTCTTCTACAAAGCCTTTAGGGGGAGGATTTCCCTTTTACCTACACCCCCATATTAAATACCCCAGTGTGACTTATTCTAGGGGCTGGATGAGCACCAGTGCTGTGAACAGCATTCACCTTTACTTCTCCTCCCCTCTGCTCCATGCTGTCTGGTCATCATCCGGGTGGACCAGCATCTGGCATCTCAATAGCAGCAGGACAAGAACACAAGAAATGGAGAAGTCCCCAAACAATGGTCTGGTTGTTTGGCCTTTCTTGTCATTTGAACTCCAAATAATTAAGGGATTTTTGTGTATATTTAAAACTGGCACTAGAAACAATATAAGCTAAGAAAGTGACTTAACCAGATACGAATTTTGCTTTAGGAAAACCATGACAGCAAAAGAGCCAGACCATGTAAAATCTGTTTTCTGTTTGAAACGACTTTATTACAAAGAGCTGGCTGGTTCTGTGTCTCATGTCATGATGCTAATGAGACCAAAAAGGAAAGAGAAGTAAGACCAAGCACGCCCACCTTGTTTTAATGGGTTCTCCAATAACTGAGAGTAAGACCTCATTACCAACATGGCATGGTATTTTTTGAAAACTTTACTATGAAGCAGCATGAAGCCTCTTTCTTTCCATATAGGAAGTCAACTCTTCCAGAGAAATATTGTGGTTGTCTTGGAGCTTCAGGTGGCAACTGGAGCATCTCCTGGTACCAAGCATGGCCAGAATCCAATGATCCCACAACTCACAACTCTATAACATGGCAGCCCCCGAGAATTCCCCGACATCCTGACAACTGGGAGGCCACTGGTAGCATTTTCTTTTCTTCCTGTGGGTCACCTCTTCTCAAAGTGTGAACCTTCCATATGCCTGCATCAAAATCCCCTGGGGATGGGGGCTGCAATGCAGATTCCCAGGCCCCCCTACTCCTATGAAATCAGACTGTCTGGGGGTGAACTACTAGAATCTTTAAAGGAAGCAGGAACATGAGTGGGACAATCTGAATCTACAGATAAATAACACAAAGAACACATTCATTCATCATTCAGGGTCTTTCACCTTTCTGATTGAGTCAGAAAAAATACTATTATAAGCCTTGAAAGAGGCATAGGTCAGTACTTCTCAAAGTAGGTGTGGTAAAGGAATAATCTGTATATTTATAAATTCCCAAGCCTTCGTGAACTAACATGTGGCACTACCGGGCTACTAAACAGCCCATGCCACACTCAACCTACCTCACATATCCAACAATACCTAGTTTGGTATGTGTGCTTGGATGTCATGATGATGTCAGATTACTGGAAACCTTTCTAAATGTTTACTTTCAATTTCTATACTTACATCTTGTTGTAGAAAGACAGCCAACAGTTCAAGAATCGACAGGATTTTACAGGTCACACTTTGAGAAGCACTTCTAAAAATGACTTAGATGCAAAGGAGGAAACTTGCATAGCACTGAGCCAAGAGACCTGGCTGAGAGGTGAATCATGGCGATCATGGAGACAACAGACTTGCACTAATACCAGGCAGGACCGTGCTCCTACTGGCCAAAGAGACTGGAAGGACAGGAAAGAAATGACCACTTAGAGAATAAATCCAGCAACTGTGTGGCAAGGGGACCATGTCGCCATGAGAAGCAGATTTAAAAGCAGCACAAAAAATGAACATACATTAGCAGAGGTCAAGTAACTGAGCCAACACACAATGAATGAAGGCTCAAAGTGTCTTCAGCGTAGCAAAGAGGCACAGTGCATAAATGTGTAAAATGCAAAAGCCAGGGTGAAAGGGTAAAAGGTCAATGACTGACAGCAACATGTATAGCCAAAAACTCTATGTATCAGAATAAAAGAAAAATGATAGATATTACTAGGGCAGAGAACCAAGGGCCAAGAGATTTGCGTTCTAATACTAATTATGCTACTAACCTCTTGAACTTCCTGGATGATTTGAGAACCTCTCTAGGCTTCAGGGTTTGTTTATTTTTTTTTCTTTTTTTGAGACAGGGTCTCACTATATGGCACAGGTGAGAGTTCAGTGGCTATTCACAGGCACGATTCCTCTACTGATCATCACAGGAGTTCTGACCTGCTCCACTTCTGACCTGGGACAGTTCATCCCTCCTTAGTCAACCTGGTGGTCTCCTGCTCCCAGGAGGTCACCATATTGAGTCAAACTTGGTGCAGACACTCGATCAGCATAGGGCACTACAGCTCAGAACTCCTGGGCTGCTCGAGCGATCCTCCTGCCTCAGCCTCCTGAGTAGCTGGGACTACAGGCACAAGCTACCATACCTGGCTAGGTGGTTTTATTTCTCATAGAAAAGTAGGTGCAATGATTATTTTTGTGTGTCAACTTGACTGGGCCATGAGGTTCCAGATGTTTGGTCAAATACTATTCTGGGTGTTTTTATGAGGGCGTTTTTGGAAGAGCTTAACATTTAAATCAGTGGGCTCAGTAAGGCAGATGGCTCTGCCTAATGCAGTGGGCCTCATCCAAACAATGGAAGGCCTGAATATAGCAAAAAGGATTACCCTCCCCAAATAAGAGAATGCTCCTCCTGCCTGGCTGCGTTTGAACTATGATGCTGGGGTTTTTTTTCCCTGCCTTTGGACTAGAACAACACCATTGGCTCTCCTGGTTCTCAGGTCTTTGGACTTGGACTGGAAGCATGTCATCAACTCTTCGAGGTCTGCAGCTCACAAACTTCAGATCTTGGGACTTAGCCTCCATAATCACACAAGTCAATTCCTTATAACATAGACATAGATTAGACATAGATATACACATAGAGATAGATATAGATATAGATATATATAGATGATATAGATATATGTATAGTATGGATATAGATATAGATGATACAGATATAAACATAGATAAAGACAGGTATAGGTATAGGTATAGGTATAGGTATAATCTCCTACTGGTTCTGTTCCTCAGGAAAGCCCTGACCAACACAGTAAGGATATGAAAGAAAACCCATAGGGGAAAAATATATTTGGCCTTGAGATAGGCAAGGACTTCTTAGGACACAAAAAGCAAAAACACATTTTAAAAAATAAATATTTAACTTTATCAAGCTGAAAAACTTATACTCTCCAAAAGATGGTATTAAGAAAATGAAAAGACAAATTACAGACTGGGAGAAAATATTTGCAAAATTACATATCTGATAAAGAACTTGTATCTAAGAATATATGAAAAACCCTTGTAATTCAAGAAAAAGAAAAAAGAAGAGGAGGAGGAGGTGGAGGATGGGAGAAGGGGTTGGAGGAAAGGAAAAGTCATTTTTTAATGAGCAAAAGATTTGAAGATACACTTCACCAAATAAGATGGCAAATAAATGCATTAAAATATGCTTAATACATTTAGTCACTCAGGAAATGCATACTAAACTACATGAAATAACACTACACATTTACTAGAATGTATAAAATGTAGAAGATTGACCATGTCAAGTGTTGATATGAATGTGGAGGAACTGGAACTCTCACACATTGCTGGTGGATATGCAAAATGGTACAACCACTCCGAAAAATATTTTGGCACTTTATTAAAAGTAAAAACTACACTTAATGTTTGACCCAGCAATCCCACTTCTAGGTATTTGTCCAAGAGAAAGAAAAGCCTATTTCTATTCAAAGGCCCATATGTAAATATTTATACCAGATTTATTCATAACAGCTCAAAACAGAAAACAATTCAAATATCCATTCATGGGTGAATTCCTATACATGCTGTGGTATGTCCATTTCACAGAATCCTGCTCAGAAATGAAAAGGAAAGGACTACAATCTCAGAACCAGGTGGCTGCAAATCAAACACATCATGTGAAGTAAAAGAAGCCAGCACAAAGGACACCATATTGCATGGTTACATTTCTATACCACTCTAGAAAACACAAAACTAGGGTGAAGGAAATCTGGTCAGTAGCCACCAGGCACTGAGGGTCAGGGGGGCAATTGACTGCATGAGGGAAATGTTGGAAATGATGGAAAACTTTCCTACCTCAATTGTGGTAGTTGTTATGCAAGATACGCATTTATCAAAACTCATCAATCTCTGCACTTCAAAAGAGTGAATTTTAGTGTATGTCAACCATACTTCAATAAATTGACTTGAAAGTTTGGGTTTAATTGAATCCATTGACAAACAAGTTTCCCTCCAGTGTTGAAGACCTGTGTTTCTACTGTCAGGCCCACTCCGTCCTCCACAAGATGCACCTCCACCACCACCACCCCCACTGTGGATGGACACTTTATTCTTCAGATGTTACACCAGACATAAGCCAGAGCTATCCATGTCTTCTGTGTACCCAACTCAAGACCATTCTAGAAAATGCTCCCTTTGGCATCTCCAACCATTTCCATGGTTCTCTTGGGTGCTCCTATTCTATGAACACAACCTTCCCCATGATCTCAGCCTGGGTTCCCTAGGACTTGTCTCCCTGAAGAACCAGCTGTCCCAAAGCCCTGACAGGAGAAGTCTGCTCCTTTTCCTCACACCATGGGACCCCAGTCTGGATATGGAGATGATGTCTTCACACCTCCTCCTCCTCCAGCCTCTGAGGAAAGTCCATGTGGCCTTGACACCATGCAACCACTATTTTTCATCCATTACCCCCTTATTCCCTTTGCTCACCAAAGCACCGGCAGTGGACCCTCACTGTGCTGAACCAGATGTGGTCTCCACCTCGGGTGCTGCTGGGCTCTTGAGTGATTCAACTCCCTCACAAGCTTGGTGTCCAACACCTCTCAACCACGTGAACTCCTCATCCCTAATCACCTTAACCTCTGCTCCTTTTCAGCTTTTGACTTCGTGGCCATACTGAAGACCCTGGACCACCCAGGAATGTTGAATCTGTGATATCACAAATTAAAACTTCCATCTCTGATTGTAATTTCCTGTTCTCTCACGTCATTGCCTTCATTGTTCCTAGTTCTACAGTGTTCTCTGAATGTCCCACCCACTGCCTGCTCTACTGTCTCCCCATCAAGTAGCCTATCTGGAGTCCTGCTTTCCTTGGAGCCCGTGTCCCAACATGCCCCACCCCCATCTCCTTGACGATGACCCACCTCCCTTGTGTGGTTGTGTGCCTGTCCCACCTGCTTCACAAACCTCAACCAGCTCAGTCCTTGCCTACCCTCACTTTATACTATAAAATGTGCCAAAGTGACTTTGCTAATTTGAGATGTTGTAACAAATTGCCACAGACTGGGTGGCTTATCGTCAACAGAAATTTATTTCTCATGGTTTAGAAGGCTGGAAAACCAAATTTCAGATGCCAGTTTGGTCAAGTTTTGGTGAGGTCTCTTTTCTGGGTCCTAGAAGGCCAACTTCACCTTGAATCCTCACATAGTAAAAAGAGGGCAAGAGCTCTCTGGGGGTCCGTCTAATAAAGTCACTAATCCCATTCATCAGGGCCCATTCTCATGACCTAATCACCTCCCAAAGGCCCCACTTACTATTTATAATACCATCACCGTGGAGGTTAAGATCAAGATACAAATGTTAGGGAAGATTCAAACATTCAATCCACTGCACAGAGCAGACAGGATCTCCAAAAGTTCAGGGTCACCAGCCTCCACTGGGATCCCAAATCTGATCAACAGTTTGAGGACTCTCTCACACAAGGCACTGTGAGCTGGAAGTTTTCAGGAAATAGGGAAGAAGGTGATATCATAGCAACACAGACAGCTTGGGCTGAATGTGAGAATTCCCTGTGGCCAGGCGCCCTTTGAAGCTCACCTGAGTGCCTTCCTTGGCAGTGAGCGGCCTGCCTTCTGCAGCATTGCACTCGAACCTGATCGCCTCCATGAAGAGCAGCTTCAGCTCCTGGGGAGCATGCATGTAGGAGGCCCTCAGGAGCCTACTTTCCCTCTGAAAGTGACTGTCCACATAGTTCCTCAATGAAACATAGACCAACACCATCGCCATCCCTCTAAGAAATTCTCATGCAGATATTAAAATATTTTTTAAACTACTACTCTTGCTTATATCTTCCTAAACACTGCATGCGGGGTTGGTGACAGATGAGGGAGAAGCAGGACTACCTTTTTATTTGCCTCACCCATCCCTTACCTAGCACTTGGCATTGTGCTGTGGATCTGGCAGGCACTTATGGAAATGTGTTGGATAAATAGGGAGATGAATAAATGGATGCACAAACAACTAAGTGAGTGTGACCACCTCATGGAAGCTGCCGTGGTTTTAAACTATGTCCACCAATTCTTCAGGACCCCTCCCTTCACAGGGGGAGCCCAGCTCCCTCCCCTTCCGTGTGCAAGGCACTTCGAGATTCACTTCTGACAATTAGAATGTGGTGGAGGTGCTGATGTGTGACTTCTGAGATAGGATTAAAAGATCTTTGGCTCCCTGCTTCCTCCCCTTTTCAGATTGCTTGCTCTGGAAGAAGCCACCTGCCATGTCATGAGGAAGCTCAAGTAGCCCTGCAGAAAGGCCCATGTGGCAAAGAGCTGAGGCCTCCTGCCAATAGCCGTGGGTGATAGCCATGGTGGAGCCTTCAGATGACTGCAACCTTGGCTAACACCTTGACTCATGGAAGACCCTGAGCCAGAGCCACCCAGCTAAGCCTCTACCAGATTCCTAACCCATAGAAAATGTGAGACAATAACTGGTTGTTGCTTAAACTGCTAACTTGGGAGTAAATTTGTTTTTGTAGCAGTAGATAACTAACACAGAAACTAAGTGCAGAAATGATAAAAGGATAGTGCAAAGTTCGGAGAAAGAACAGGCCAACACTAAGAATAAGCCACTACTTCAGCTATGCTAGGAAATTTTGCCAATCCCAAGGGAAGTTGGGCTTATACCTGGATTACCCCTTCTCTGTGTGCCTAAAGCAGTTTACAAGCCGCCATTATGCCATCATATGATTCACCCATGCTGTGCTTCAATACTTCACAATTCTTTCATTCTTATAACACTGAATTCCAAGTTGAAGAACCGCATTCAGATTTTATTACATTGGGGCATCTGCCAAGCTACCTGCAACACAGTCGGGACCCAAATGAAAATTGTACCTGGTTTGCACAATTCCACGGAAACTAACTCCTATCTCCATATTTCTCTTTTCCCCAAATAAAATGAGTAAATACATCTTTTGTGACGAAAGAACTTCAGAAAGAATGGTGAAAGGAAAGAAAGCACTCAGATTTGGCATGCTAACTGTGCTTTCTTCACATCTACTCATGGCTGAGTTCCCTTCAATTTCTCCCTTCCACTCAGTCTCGGACACAGAGGTACATGCAAGCACTCATGCTTGCCCATGCGGCTTGTCACTCCCAACTGGAGCAGAGAGCAGTGCTTTTAGTTTCTCTTCTGCAGGTCTTTTAGAAGGCTCTGGAAAGCCTGGGGAATCCATGCTCCTTTGTGGAGGCAGCTGTCCTTGCTGATACTTTGCAATCCGACCACATCAGTGATTCACAGATGGTCTTAATATCTTATCAGCGTGAGCTCCCCATTGCAGAACCTTTGATCTCCTGGGGTGCAGGCTCACAGGCGCAGGACATCAACCCTGTACAGAGGCTCTGTCAAGCCCTGTCTCAGCCAAGGCTCGTGGGCAAGAGCTGATTATTGAAAACCTTAACATTCACCTCTCTCTCTAAATGCTTTTCATTTCTTTATTCACACCACACTTTTTTTAAGGTAAAAAAAAAATGTTCTCCTGTTTTACCTGTCAATTGAATATCTACCTCAGCCAATGATTACCTTGAGCACTGCAATCATGATTAACCATTGATTCATAGCTACCCTAAGAACATGAACCTATCCGGGGAAGTTAATTATGCCTCAGCCTGACATCTCTAAATTGGCACAACTACAGACAGTTCCACAAGAAAACTAAGGAGATGACTAAGGTTTTTAAGGAGAAATTAGATGATGAAATTAAACTATTTAGTCTGGAAATAAAGGTGATGAGGGCTATTTAATGCCTTCAAGGATCAGGAAACCTTCTATCATGGTTTGCACGGAGGACAGTCATGAGGAAGTGGGTTTATGTATTGGTGTGAGGAGGATGATGGTAATAACAGACCAGAGAGTGGGGTGCTTGAGGAAGCGCAGTGCCCAGAGAAATGCTGGAGACTCTTTCTCCGTTTAATTTTTTGACTTTTGTTTCTTATCATGGGGTAGTTGTAATATTATTAGATTAATACAAGCTCATGTTGTGTATTTTCCAGACACAAACTAATATGCTTGTGTGTGTGTGTGTGTGTGGCCTCCTTTTACAAACACTAGGGGATTACATTCTGTATACAGTTCTACAACTTGTTTTTTTTTTCCTTTAACAACATATCTTAGTCATGTGTATAGATGAGTATCTATAAACCTACCTTATTATCTTAATACTTAGATGTAGACTTAGGAAGCTTGGGTTTCCATCGTATATACAACACAGCTTATTTAACCATTGCTTTATTGATAAACCTTTATATTACTTTCACTTCTAATAGAACTCATGCCCACATCTTTACATACTTATATGAGTGTATCCATAGAATAAATCTCTAGAAAGGCAATAAATTCCTAGAAAATGAATAACTAGAAAAAAGCAGTTTATTTTTAACCCCTTATAACTTTAAATATGTGTATGTATATCTTCAGACTTATGTTTAAATAAGCCCAGAGCTTCCAAATTGAGCTGGCGTCAGCGTCTCCTGACAGGCTTGCTAAACGCAGATTGCTGGGGCTTAGCCCAGAGTTGCTAATTCACAAGGTGCAGGATGGGGCCCCAGAATCTGCACCTGTAACAAGAGCCCAGGTGATGGTGGTGATGGTGATGCTGCTGGTGCAGGGACCGCTGTCTGAGAACACCTGGATTAAGCCCTGCACCTGCCTGTGGGAGGAGGACAGTAACATCTCATCCATATCTGGGAGCCAGAGCTGGCGTTTTGTTTTTTGTTTGTTTGTTTCCAAATGCACTGGGTCTGTGATTGTGGGAGCCCACCTCAGGCTTCTCTGCCTGGGCCTTGCCAGGTGAGCGAGAAGCTGGTCCCGTGAGGAGCAGTCCAATCCGGCCCATGTTGCACAGCCTCGTGCCCAGGCCCTGGAGCTAGCAACTTGCCCGACACAGCCTGCTCCTTCCCAGAGGGCAGCCCCCATGCAGGCTGCTTCCCACGGTGTCTCAGCAGGTCCTCTGCAGATTTTTCCTCCCACCTTTTTTATGGTGTCCAAGACATGACCACAACCACCACCACCAAACTCTTCCATCCCTGACAAACAGTTCCTATGTTATTTTAGAAAAAGTCTCTCCCCACAGTATGGCAGGAGCACTTCCCATAGTGCCCCCTTCGGCTTTATCTTCAACGATATCTCAAGGCCTGCCAAGCATTCTGACATCATGAGATTAGACTCCACTGTGTACTGGCAGGTTTGCATTTTTTAGATGTCATATTTTAAAGCACAAGACAGGGGCCATGTGGTGGGAGGGACAGTGTGAGGCCCATTCCCTGTTCCCAGGGCACAGACTGCTGTGACATTTGCTCTCTTGAGAACTTAGCAAGGGCAGGCAGAGGCAGCTGACCGAAAGTAACTCCGTGCAAAAGTGGCCCAGCCACTCACGGCGACACTTAATTGAGAGGAATGAGGGCCAGAATTCAAGTCCAGGTTCATGGACAAGTCATGTCCTTTTCAAGACCTACACTGGAAGCCACATCTATGGCCCTTGCTCAGTGTCTCCTTAGTAACCATCGTGGTGCCTCACATGGTGAAAGCTTGACAAACTTTGAAGGACTTCAGCACATGTGGTCTCATTCATTCTACAAAGTCAAGATGTCTTTAACTCTCCTACCTATTTCTTGGGAATAAAACAGAGCTTGAATGACTTTAGTGATAAATAACTTTGGAATAGCAACTCCACATCTTTCCATGCATTGCAGCCTCATGGCATCCGTGTGAGGGAATGTCATTATTATCCCATTTTAGAGGTGCAGTGGGTGAGGTTGGAAGAAGTTTTGACTTTTCTGAAGAAACTTAACTAGAACATGAAAGAGTTCATTCTGAACCCAAGTTCCAGGTTTTTCTATCACTGTTCCATTGGCTTCCTTTATTTCTGTTAATAGTGTGATTGCTAAGAATAAATGCCTAACATTTACTAAGTGCCTCTATGAGCCAAGTAACACAGTAAGGAATTGCACATGGATTACCTCAGGGCAAGGCAGAGGGGTGCATGGCCGGCCTGCAGGACAGCCCAGCAGCGGGAGCATCAGGGCAAGCTGAGAATCCATTTAGGAGATGGGGCCTACTAGTATTTCCATTCTACAGATGCCTAAACTAAGGCTTGGATGAGTTAACTCACTCCCATGAGGACACAGAGCCAGCAGGTGAAGATGGAGCCATGATACCTAACTCAGCACTCTGTCTCCAGAGCCAACGACAGGTCCTGGAACCATTAGCCGTATGGCGACTACTTCTCAATTCATTATCAGCACCTCTCATTCATTTCACATGCAAGCCAGCTTCTTAGAGGAAACAGCATTAATTATGTAGACATATGTTTATGTTGGTCAATGGACTTCTTGCTGTTGTTATATGGCTTGAGGATTGGTCTCCTCTTTTACGACAATAGTCATAGAAAATGTTTCACAAGTATATTACAGAAGTGACAGCATATATCAAAGACACTCCGTTAAAGATGAAAGTGTAGAAACGCCAGGTTTTCTGGGAAGGGGTCGCCCAAGGGAAAGAGTTGAAGATTGAAGGTTGATAGGAACAGCCTGTGTTCAAAGACAGTCATGAGTTTACGAAGCTGTGGAATGTTTATGGAGGACATCGGCCATCCAACATGAGGATGAACTTCATTCCCCGAGGCCTGGCGCAGGATGGAGCTGTGATTACGTGGGCTGTCCTTTGCACGGGAACAGGGGCTCCATCGATGAATAACAGGGGGTACCTCCAAAAGGCCACGCTGACTCTGGGAATTGCTTTGAATTTCAGGCTTAGAGAGCTGGGGCTGGAGTGCTGACCATGACTTTGAAGCTAAAAGCAGTGTGTGCTCTGAGGCAAGGAGCTGCAGCTTGGACCTGAGCCCTGGGAAGCTGCCCAGAGGCACTGCATGGCAGAGCAGGCTGGGGGCAGGAGCAGAGACAGCTCTTTACCGAGACCAGCTCCAAGACAGCTCGCCCCTAATAAGGAAGTAGAGTGGCACTCCCCCATACCTCATCTCAGAGACCTCCCAGGTCCTTCAGCCTCGCTGAAGGAAGGCCGAGCCTCTGTGGGGCCCTGAGATGTTAGGGCTGAGCAGATTCTAAAGCAGGACTCTCAGTCCTGAGCAGCAGAAGATCAGATGAGGGTGAGAACTGCCCCCAAACTGAGCTGCCAGTTAGATTCAGAAATGTGCTCAGGCTGGTGGGTAGAGCTGCCTGACACTTTATTCCTTTTCTTCATGTCATTTACTGTAATATTAATAATCTCTGGTTACACATCATCTCTAAATGTCACGATCTTGAAGGTCAGTGTTAGGGGTGAATTGTGTCTCCCAGAAAGCCAAGTTCAAGTTGTAAACCGTACCTGTGAATGGGACCTTATTTGGAAATAGGTATTTGTGAATGTGATCGAGTTAAAATGAGGTCATGCTGGCTTACCTGGGGACTTAATCCAATGATGGAGGTCCTCCTAAGAGGAGGAAATTTATACCGAGACACACAGGGAAGACCTCAAGTGACCACAGAGGCAGAGACGGGAGCGATGTGGCTGGAAGCCGAGCAATGCCAAGGACTGCATCAGCACTAGAGGCTGGAAGCAGGGGAGACCCTTTCCGGAGCCTTCAGAGGGACCACGGCCTGTGGACCCCATGATTTTGGACCCTCAGCCTCCAGAACTGTGAAAAAACACACTTCTTGTGTCAAGCCCGAGGTTGTGGCAATTCATTGCAGTGGCCCGAGTGCACTAAGATCAAAGTCCTAAAACCTTTGTTTTCCATAGGAGGATATCGAGGCTCAGAACACTGTCCCTCCACAAAAGGGTGGCACTGCTAAGACTAGGCCCAGACCTTCTCCGTCAGCCCTGTTCTCAGGGATCCCTTGGCGATGGGACCTGAAGTTCTGGAGGGAGCTGCCACAGCAGCATGGATCCAGGAGGCTCCCGGGTCACATGCTTGGGGCAGTCGGAGGTTCCAAGTGTGGTGCCAAGTGCCCAGTTGAGTTGTTGGCACTTCTGGCCTTTGGAGTCACTCTGTGGACGCTGGTAAGTCATCAAAGAGGGTGTTGCCTCTGTGAACGTCAGGGGCACAGCCTAGCGGAGAGTGGGCCTTGGGGACATGGGGACCCCTAATTTAATATAGACATGGCACACAAGGCAGTGGAGGCAGCTCCTGTCAGCACCCTGGGGCGGCAGACAGGCTGGAACCTGTGGTCTCGGGATCAACCACCCTGGGAAGCAAAACGTACTTCCCGCCGTTCTCCACACTGAGGCGCCATTAACAAGGCCCTAGCAAGCAACTAGGCCTGGCTCGGGCAAGGCCGCCACTTCCGTAAGCTTTAGAGCCAAAGACAGCAGGTGCCCAAGGGAGGCACTGCACCAGTGTGAGAGTGTGAGTGTGCAACAGAACACACGTGTGTGAGTGTGTGACAGTGTGTGGGTTTGATTGTGAGCATGCTGTGATTGAGTGTGTGTAACATCATGTTAGGTATGGGCGAGTGTGCATGTGAGTGTCTACAAGCATGAGTGTGTCACAGAGTGTGTATGTGAATAAGTATAGGAGTGTGTGTGAGAATGTGTGTGCACGTGCAAGAGTGAGAGGGTGTGTGCGTGTGTGACTGCCTGTGTTGGGTGTGTGTGAGTATGGGCCTGTGTGTGTATGTATAAGTTTGTGAATAAGTGTGCATGTGTGTGGGTAGAGATGAGTGTGAATGTGTGTATATGTGTATGTGCATGAGGTTGTGTGGGCTGTGGATGTGCATTTATGAGTGTGGATGTGCAAGTATACACCTGTGTGCATGTATGAGTGTGTGTGTGAGTTTGTGAATAAGTGTGTGAGTGTTGATGTGGTTGTGTACATGTGAGTGTGTGTGTGGCTGTGGCAGTGTGTGTGTGTGTTTCTAAGTGAGTGTAGGAGTGCAAGTGTGGGCGGGCTCTGGCAAATGCATGGGAGCCTCAAGAGGCCCAGGAATGAGGCTGACCAGGCTGTGAGTGCACTTCCAGTAGGGATCCCTCCCAGCAGGGCCTGGATGCTGCAGCGGGCCTGCTCTGCCTGCTTTGTGTGGAGTGTGCTGCCACCCAGGGGAAGGCTCCTGGCTGACATGGCAAGTTGACATTGGTCTTGGGTGGTTTCTGTCTCTAGGCTCAGACAAGAAAAAGGACATATAGGGTGCAGGGGCCAGGAGTCAGGGACTAGCCCCGGCAGAGAGAAGGGGAAAGCGCCAAGACCCCAGGCACAGGCTTCAGAAACACCCCTACTGGACCATCTATCCACATCAGTGGGACCTCTTCCCCATTTTCCCCCTTCCCGTAGTCTAAGGTGCTTGCTGGCTAAGGGTATTAGAGGACACCAGGAGAGAGGCGTGGCCTGTCTCCCTTATGTGTCCCTAAACTGATCCTTACTGGAGATAAGTCCCCAACAATGTCTTGAATTTCAGGAAGCTTCACTTTGTTGTGTGGTCTGAAACTGCAATGCTACCCCGAGGAGCCTTGGAAATTCACATCACCATGCTCCTAAATACGCCTGGTTAACTGCTGGAGCCTTTTCATATGAAAAAGGAAACCCACTAACTGACGTTCCCACAAATCTCCTGGGTCCCTCGGGGTCTTTGAACTCTGCCTGAGAGACAGTTTCGTCACCCTCTGGGACAACAAATTCATACATTTCTATCTTGCTCCAGTTCCAAGAAAATGGCATTGTGTCCTTTAAAACGCAGTCAATTCTAAAAGCACACTTCTCCTTGCCTCCTCAAAGAGTGCTCACAACAGTGACTGATAGTTCATTCTTCTTCGTCTTCTTTCTTTAAGACAGTTTGTTCAGACTTTTTACTTACGTGCTGCAATACAGATTTTAAGAGCTCATTAGCATGGTACAGCAGCTGCACCTTTACAGGATCATGATCCTAATACGGAAAAGGCAGTTTCTGCGGCGGAGCGGTGCCTTCTGCAGGGCCCTGGCAGCCCTTGATGCTCCTGCTGTTGAGCTGTCCTGCAGCCGGGCCATGCACGCCTCCGCCTTGTTCCTCCCCCTATGGAGACAGGCGGCTGAGTCAGGCCTGTCCTCCACGGAGGGATAAGCCTGCCATGCACTCCCAGAAGCTGCCAAGTCAACCCCCAGCCGTCTCTTTCCAAGCGCTAGCTACTCCATTCCCTTCCCTCTGTGGAGCTCTTATTTCCCTACTGTCTAACCAGTCAGACACCACGTGCCCTTCAGTCCCAAGCTGTCCGCTCTGATCCCTTCGTGGAGTCTTCCGATATAAATAAACTAAACAAGGGAAAACCCACAGGGAAGAAGAAAGTCTGCAGGTTGTTTTAGACTCCAAACAGATAGGGATTGAGCTTGAAAGAGGGGCAACCGTAAATACCAGATCTTCTTGGAGAGCAGCCAAGTAGATCTGGTATTGACAGGTGCCCCTCTTTCACCTGGTATTGACAGGACCCCAATGGAAAATAGACATCATTGCATAGGCACTGATGAAACAGCACGCTTTGAAAAATAGCAAATAAAATCAGGCAAACTCTGCTGTTTTCAAAGTTAGAATCTCTTACTACGGAGTCTAGGATGGTCACATTAGCAGAATATTAGGCACAGTGGCTCATGCCTATAATCCCAGCACTTTGGGAGGCCAAGGCAGGCAGATCACCCGAAGCCAGGAGTTCGAGACCAGCCTGGCCAACATAGTGAAACCCCATCTCTACTAAAACAAATATAAAAAATTATTCAGGTGTGGTGGTGGGTGCCTGTAATCCCAGCTACTCGGGAGGCTGAGGCAGGAGAATCACTTGAACCTGGGAGGCGGAGGCTGCAGTGAGCTGAGATTTCGCCATTGCACTCCTGCCTGGGCAACAAGAGCAAAACTCCATTTCAAACAAACAAACAAACAAACAATATCAGCAGAAGATTAACAGACTAAGAAGATAAGGCTGGCCAGGGTGGCGGGCTGCGTGGCGGGCTGGGTGGCGGGCTGGGTGGCGGGCTGCGTGGCGGGCTGCGTGGCGGGCTGGGTGGCGGGCTGCGTGGAGGGCTGCGTGGCGGGCTGGGTGGCGGGACAGAACGGTGTCCCACGTGGCGCTTTCCCATCTCTGCTCACCCCCTTACCATCCCCTTGGCAGCTCTCCCAGATACCTTATCTAACAAAGACTGAGCCTTGTTCTTTTGGCTTAGGATTGACTTGGCGATGCGGGCTCTTTTTTGGTTCCATATGAACTTTAAAGTAGTTTTTTCCAATTCTGAGAAGAAAGTCATTGGTAGCTTGATGGGGATGGCATTGAATCTGTAAATTACCTTGGGCAGTATGGCCATTTTCACGATATTGATTCTTCCTACCCATGAGCATGGAATGTTCTTCCATTTGTTTGTATCCTCTTTTATTTCATTGAGCAGTGGTTTGTAGTTCTCCTTGAAGAGGTCCTTCACGTCCCTTGTAAGTTGGATTCCTGGGTATTTTATTCTCTTTGAAGCAATTGTGAATGGAAGTTCACTCATGATTTGGCTCTCTGTTTGTCTGTTATTAGTGTATAGGAATGCTTGTGATTTTTGCACATTGATTTTGTATCCTGAGACTTTGCTGAAGTTGCTTATCAGCTTAAGGAGATTTTGGGCTGAGACAATGGGGTTTTCTAGATATACAATCATGTCATCTGCAAACAGGGACAATTTGACTTCCTCTTTTCCTAATTGAATACCCTTTATTTCCTTCTCCTGCCTAATTGCCCTGGTCAGAACTTCCAACACTATGTTGAATAAGGAGTGGTGAGAGAGGGCATCCCTGTCTTGTGCCAGTTTTCAAAGGGAATGCTTCCAGTTTTTGTCCATTCAGTATGATATTGGCTGTGGGTTTGTCATAGATAGCTCTTATTATTTTGAGATATGTCCCATCAATACCTAATTTATTGAGAGTTTTTAGCATGAAGGGTTGTTGAATTTTGTCAAAGGCCTTTCAACCCTTGTGGAAGTCAGTGTGGCGATTCCTCAGGGATCTAGAACTAGAAATACCATTTGACCCAGCCATCCCATTACTGGGTATATACCCAAAGGACTATAAATCATGCTGCTATAAAGACACATGCACACGTATGTTTATTGTGGCACTATTCACAATAGCAAAGACTTGGAACCAACCCAAATGTCCAACAATGTTAGACTGGATTAAGAAAATGTGGCATATATACACCATGGAATACTATGCAGCCATAAAAAATGATGAGTTCATGTCCTTTGTAGAGACATGGATGAAATTGGAAATCATCATTCTCAGTAAACTATCGCAAGAACAAAAAACCAAACACCGCATATTCTCACTCATAGATGGGAATTGAACAATGAGAACACATGGACACAGGAAGGGGAACATCACACTCTGGGGACTGTTGTGGGGTGTGGGGATGGGGGAGGGATAGCTTTAGGAGATACACCTAATGCTAAATGACGAGTTAATGGGTGCAGCACACCAGCATGGCACATGTATACGTATGTAACTAACCTGCACATCGTGCACATGTACCCTAAAACTTAAAGTATAATAATAATAAAAAAAAGACCGAGTCCTCCAGCCCTAGTCACGCCCTCTGCTGGCCACAGCCCCCATCAACACCTTGACTGCAACCTTGTGAAAAGCCCTGAGCCAGAGCCTTCCAGCCCCACGGCTCCTAAACTCTTGACCCATCAAAACTGAGAAGATAAATGGTTTTGTTTTAAAAACTAATAATAAATTAGAGACTCAGCATGTTGCTGTCCTTGAAAACTGTAGTATCTCCCTAATTTCCAAATCTCCAGATCTTCGTAGGCTGTGTTAGTTATCTGCTGCTGTATAATTAAACCACCACAAAATTTACCTGCTTCAGACAACCTACATTCATGACCTCACAGATTCTGTGGGGTGGGAATTCAAGAGCAGCTGAGCTGGGTGTTTTGTATAACGTGTGGTTTGTAAGGATGAGGAAGCCAGTGGGGCAGGAGATGATTGCCATTGAAAGACAGTTTGTTTCTCACAGTTCCCAGGAAGAAAAGCACAGGGGCACGCCACACCATGGTAAGGGGTCACGCCACACCATGGGGGGCACATAGGGAAGCTCCAAGTGGGTCAAGGGGCAGAGGGAGCAGACGAGACCTGGGTTCTTGCCTTTACTGCGCTTTGTGTGGGAAAAGTGAGGTGAGGCACCATCAGCACACTTGGGGGTGTCTGTCCTAATTGTCTGCTGCTGGCCCCGGGGCACCTAGGGAGGGTGAGCATTGGCCCAGAGTGAGCAAGCCCTATAAAGGTGGTGGCTATGGTGTGGGTTCCAGGTTGGTTTGCACCCACAGCATGCTCAAAGCATGTTTGCTGTCTCTAGGAATGAGCTAGCCCTGGAAGGGGCAGGCTCTCTTGTGTCAGCAAGGAGATGTGTCATCAGAACTAAAAAGGTATGATGAATACAGGGTGTTTCTGGCTCCTGCTGTCTTATGAGGTTGCAATCCGGATGTCAGCCAGGGCCACAGGCATTGGGAGGCTTGGCCAGAGCTGGAGGATCATGTTTAATGTCATCCCCCTGCTGTGGGCCAGAGGCCTCAGTTCCTTCCCACTTGGGTTCCTGCAGAGGGCTGCAGGGTATCTGCATGATAAGGCACCCAGCTTCTCCAGAGTAAGAGGCCCAGGAGAGAAAGTAAAGAGGAACTGCACAGCCTTTGTGCAACCCAATCTCAAACATCGCACATCCTCATGCTGCCTGATTGTGTTTGCTAGAAATGAGTTGCTAAGTCCAAACCACACTCAAGAAGAGGGGAATGAAGCTCCATCTCCTGAAGGGAAGAATGTCAGAGCTCGGTGTGAGTTACCTTTAGGGCCACCATACAGGCTGGGGCAGCCTCCCCTCTCAACCCCCAGCCGCCCATGACCCTCGCCCCCACGCCTTGCTTTTTAACAAAGGGTTCACGCCAAAATCCTGTAGGGAGATTTTTCAAATCCCCATGCCCAGGATCCAGCCACTTAGAACCTCCAGAGGAGGGATCCTGCCCGGTGCATTTGGGGAAAGCATTCCATGTTATCTGATGAGCTCCCTGATTGAAACACAGCCCTAGGACGCACTGGAGTGTCTGCCACTGCATACATTTGTTCTGTGCTTGGTCTCTCCATGTATGTCTCAGGCAGGGTTGTTGGAATGCCCGTTGTCCCCATCTATGTGGGGAACACTGTACCCTCCTCAACCTGCTGCAATGCCATCTGTGATATGAATGCTTCCCAGAGCCCTCACCTGGCACAATGAATTGCTCCTTTCTCCGTCCTCCCAAATCACTGCAGACAGAGCTCGGGTGAAGCCCAGAGTACGTGCTGATAAAAGCAGAATGTGTGTGCTTTTCCTTCCAGCTAAGCCGGGAACCCCCCAAGGGGAGACCCAGTGCCACATTTACACTCATGCCCCCACATCTGTCACTGGAGGGTGGCTGGCTTGTATTGGTAAATGAATGACTAAGGGAATGACACACGGTCAGTCTCTGAGAGCATCTTCAAGAGATATTTGGGGAAAAGGGCAGGTTTCCTTCCTAAATGTTAGCTGTATCCTTCAAACAAGCTCAACTTCCTGCAACTGTGTGTTTATATACAGATCTTATGTAAACTCTCCTTGAGGTGGTTTGTTTTCATTCCAGATGTTTGTTTCATAGCCCTTCTATGTGCTATTCTCTTTTTCCTTGGCAACTTGACCTTTTTTTCTCTCTCTTCCAGCTCAAATTCATACCTTCGAGACTTGGGCTGCCCCCTCTCCTTCTCCCTGCAGCCTTCCTTGACATTCTCCCATCTCTGAGGCCAGTGGAGTTTCTGTCTTTCCTCAGGTGATTTATCCTTCTTTACATATTGTCTTATATTGCTCTCTGGTGGTTTTATGTGCTTTGTCTGATCTCTCAACTCTTCCATAAATTCCTGAGAGTGATACTATGTCTTCTGCCAATTTTGTCTTCCCTGTAGCAGAGTTTGTTTTTCTACTGAGCATTTAGCAACTGTGTGTGACTTGATTGATGTTTTTAGCAGGTTCACCTCTTAGAGTAACACACTCTACCTGCTGTCTACAGAGGTGATTCCAACTGCATAATGTCCCTGCAATTTTTAAAGAAAACAACAGACATATGATGTCCTGAGTGTGATGTCCAGGCTGTGGGAGGTGTAACAGTCTCACTGCACTCTGAACTAGGTGGACCTGTCCAGTGAAATAGGTTATGGGTACTGTTAGGAAAGGTTAAAGAACCTGAGATAGTTCCACTACTTTTTAAAAAGACTATATGTTTTTATGACCATTATCTCTTCCAGTCGTATCACATGAGGTATGCAGGGCAGCACTTTTTCTCTGTTAGCCAATGGGTTGAGGTCCATGAGGCCAGGGGACTTGCCTAGGCCATAGCTGGACTCCTCTCATTCCTCTGCGCCTCAGTGGTCTCTCTCCGGCTGAGGAGAAGCAGCCACGGTAAGACGATTGATCTGTCCACCGACACTCGAGGATGTCCCAGAACAGTGCAAGGCATAGGTGTGCTCTGAGTTCTGTGGGGCGTGGCCAGCTGCAAAAAGGTGCAGGAAGGGCGGAGACTGCCCAACAGGAGAAAAGTGCCTCAAATCTTGACGTGGCTACCAGTGAATTAAGCTGCCATGGTCAGAAGGGAGTTTCCTGAAATGTTCAGCATTTAAGCAGATGCAGCTGCAGGCCCTGCATCAGAAAACCAAAGGATGCAATATAAGAAAACCAACTGGATCTGATTAAAATCTTCAAATGTGTGCAAATGGTAGAGAACCCACAATTCCAGTAAGTTGTGTGCTTTATAGAAGACCATGAAGAATTGAAATATTTCCTTCTGTTGTGTGACTTACGTAATTTGAACGAACATAAAACACACCGACATATATTTGCTAGAGCATAGCTTGCACGTATGTTTGTGATAAATCAAGTTGACTGCTTTTTTTAAAATTCACATTTGTTTTCTATTCAGTTTTGTATTTTGTGTTGTGTTAGAAAAGAAGACACAGATACTGAAGATATAGGAGAAAAAGTAGTGAGTTTTTTTTTTAATGGAAAACGTCTATCCATTTCCATTTCTTTTTGTGCTTGCGTGTTTTCCTCTGCCATCATTTGATCCTCTACCCGCTAAAAAGCGGGTTTTCCTTCTGGGACTTGGCGCAAGCGCTCCTAGGCCAGGCGCGCGCTTAGGTCTGAGACCGGCCGAGGAGCAGGGGCGCCCTCTGGAGGCTGGGAAGGGAAGGACGCGGTTCCCCGACCTGAGCCTCCAGAACCGGGCGCCGCCGGAGACCCGCCAAGACTCCAACTCACAGAACTGGAAGGCAATGCATCCGTGCAGTTTTCAGCCCCGAGTGTGTCGCAATGTGTTACAGCAGCAATAGGAAGCTAATACGAGCATTATCCAAGGGAAAGACTTTTTTTTTTTTTTTTTTTTTTTGCTGAGATCCTTGGTAGACAAGGGGATTGCAAAACAAGGAAGAAAACATAGGGGAAAACAGAGCATAATTTTACCAGAATTATCTAAATGTTTTAAATAACGAAAAAGTGATGCATTTTGCTATGGAGGGCCGTGTGTGTGTGTGTGTGTGTGCACGCGTGCAAATGCAAACTCATGCATTCAAACATCTGCTTAGAATATTCCATGTGCATTTAGCTGGAGTCAAAGGAAATTTTTTTAAACGATAAGATTGGCCCACTCTTCAAGAGTGCACCACAATAGGACATGTGCTGCGGGGGGCGAGTGTTGCATGCGATGGGATCGGTGCTTTCACAGAAATGAGCAAAGGTGGTGTGGGAACGGAAAAGGGAAACAACACAGCCTAGAAGGCCGGGTGGGGACTAGGACCCTCCAGAGAGATGATGACTTGTGAGCTCACATTGGCAGTGGGTGGCCATCCTGGCTGGGCAGAAAGGGCAGCAGGGAGAGAGGCTCAGAGGCAGGAACGCCCATGCTGGGCCCTCAAGGTGCGGCAATGCCCTGTATGGCGGGGAGTCAGGAGCGGAGCAAGGGGCCGATTTGACACTTCCCTGCCCTTTGGGGAAGTTCCTCTAAGGCATCTAACGCTCTTCCCAGATGAGCTTTAAATACCCCGAGACACAATTTCTGAACCTCCTGAGAGTTCATTTCATGTTACCATGGGTTTCCCCTTTTTCCTTCGGTCACCCCAGGAGCGTCTCCATCATCCTTTCAACAGTTATTTAAGGGAAGAATTGTAAGGAGTTTTCCTCTGGGGCGTGGGGAGCAGAAGAGTTAGGCACAAAGAGAAAAAAACATGGAAAGGAAAAAAATTAGAGGCAAAATTCTTTTGTATGAACATGAGTCAACGACTATTTTTATGAGAATTACTCTAATTTTTTAAAAAATATTGTGCTAGACACAATTCCACGTAGAGCCATTGTTAGAAAATTTCAGGACTTCAGGAAAATCTCCCACTGGTATTATCTGCCTGCACCTCCAAGGTATGTTTATTTAAGAATTTGGCTTAAATAAAATATGAAGAAAAACAGCCACTAAATGACCCCGATCAATCCATAGCAAGCACAAAAAGAAAGGAGGTAACATGAAATGGACTCTCAGGAGGTTCAGAAGGCGGGAGGCGGTCCCTGCTGTCTCCCATGGGAGCTGGGTACCAGGTGCCAAGCAGGAATTGGGGGACCTGAGCCCCCCCTTTTTTTTGAGGCAGAGTCTTGCTCTGTAGCCCAGGCTGCAATGCAATGGCACAATTTTGGCTGACTGCAACCTCCACATTCCCGGTTCAAGCAATTCTCATGCCTCAGCCACCTGAGTAGCTGGGATTACAGGTGTGTGCCACCACTCCTGACTAATGTTTGCATTTTTAGTAGAGATGGGGTTTCATCATATTGGCCAGGCTGGTCTCAAACTCCTGACCTCAAGTGATCCACCCACGTTGGCCTCCCAAAGTGCTAAGAGTGCAGGCGTGAGCCACCAGGACCTGCCTGGGACTTGAGCCCTTCTCAGCACCTGTGATTAGGTGCTGTCCTGGCTGCCTCCTTGGTCCCCACCTACCCGAACATTAAAGAAAATCTAGGTCTCTCAAACAATTGAAAAAAACAAACAAACAATTTGTCATACACTAAGGTCAACCTTTCCTCCACCATTAAACTCATGCTTCTCCCCCTGAGGTGATAGATGCACCCCCAATATTCCCCTTATCACAACATGTTGATTGACAAGGAAGCGCAGTGCTCTGGGCCCCAGCATCCAGCAGAAATGTGGGAGGCCCCCCCAGCTTCCAACCTCTGACTGCCCGTGCCGGCTGGACCAGCTTGGGCTTCCAGTCCAGCTCCGTGAACATGGGGAAAATGGGTCCTTGCGGGCTTCCTGCTGGAGCTCGTAGGGGAGCAGAGCTGCCTCTGTCGAGGCTTTCATGGGCTCGGTGCCTGCCCTTGACTGCCTCCCGTCCCAGGGGATGCACTAACCCTGCTATGGGAAGTGGCAGACATCCGGTTAAAAATTCAAGTCGATTAAAGGTGGTAGCATGCTCACAAGGGCTTACTAAATGGCTCTAAGAAAAAAAAAAAAAAAAAAAAAAAAACCCTGGATAATTTGGCATTTGCCAATTTCATGGCAAAAATACCCTGCCACGGCTGATTCCAGGTCCTCACAAGCACACCACTGACAGCAGACCCAAATGTCAATAGGGAAACCATGAGCGTTTCCCGTGGAAACATGGGGGAATTCCTCCGCCGTCTTGGGATAGAGCAGAACTTGCAAACTGGTGATTCAGTATAGAGAAGCCTTTAAAAAGTTGAAAATTCTGAATTTGTGTTAGGAATTCTACGTGCCAACATGGAATATTAATTAAAATAATTTTAAAATACCATAGACAAAATTGAGTTCAAAATCAAGGACAGAAATATATGTAACTTTCATCACAGATATTCTAAAAAAAAAATTACTTTTAAAAAAGACTAACCATCCAATAAAAAGTATGAAAATGACAAGAACAAGAGTTTGAGAAAGAGAAAAATCAGAGGATCCTTTAATAGCTGAAAAGATGCTCAACTTCACTCATAGTATTTTTGACCTAGACTCATTTCCATAAGTTTAATAGTACACCTTGTTGTTGCGGCTGAAGAGAAATAGTCATCTTTGTGTACTGCTGGTGGTAATGTAAATTGATGCTGTTTTAGAGGGAAAATGTACAATATCTATCAAAATTTAAAATGCTAGGCTGGGCACAGTGGCTCACACCTGTTATCCCAGCACTTTGAGAGGCCGAGGCAGGTGGATCACCTGAAGATAGGAGTTCAAGACCAGCCTGGCCAACCTGGCGAAACCCCATCTCTACTAAAAACACAAAAATTAGCCAGGCATGGTGGCGCATGCCTGTAGTCCCAGCTACTCGGGAAGCTGAGGCAGGAGGATTGCTGTAACCTGGGAGGCAGAGGTTGCAGTGAGCTGAGATCATGCCACTGCACTCCAGCCTGTGTAACAGAGTGAGACTCCAACTAAAAATAAATAAATAAATAAATAAAAATTAAAATTAAAATGCTGATACTTGTTGACCCATTCCGGGAAGATACCCTACAGATATGCCTGCACATGGTTATTTATGGCAAAATTTTTGGTAAGAGTGAAGTGTTAGAAAAGCAACTCAAGAGTCCACAAAAGAGGACTAGTTAGAGTGTGGTACATCCATAGTATGCAATATATGCAGCTGTAATGAAAGAATGGAGCAAATTCTATGCATATTGGTGTTTAAAGCTCTCCAAGGTAGACTAAATTAATCATAAAAAAGCAAAGTCAGACATGTGAATTGTATGCAATCTTTTGTCTAAAAAACTCAAGAAAAAAAGAATAAAAATATATTTATTTTATATGCATTAATACATACTAGAAGCAGATAAACAAATGATTGTGGCTTCCTAGGGTGGTAGAGATGGGCACAAGCAGGAGGTGAGTGAATGGAACAGGAGAGATTTCTCAGTGTTTTACTTCTTATTTTTGAAGCATATGAATGTTACCT
Organism: Homo sapiens; assembly: GCF_000001405.40. Lineage (NCBI taxonomy): Eukaryota > Metazoa > Chordata > Mammalia > Primates > Hominidae > Homo > Homo sapiens. The sequence goes on from NC_000013.11 coordinate 110,119,978, forward strand.
ATTCAAAAATTTATGTTAATAGGTTTACAAAATAAATAACAACTTAAACAAGTTTAGGTCACAGCTGGTAGATTCCAGACCTTAAATGGACCCACCCTGTATCATGCAAACTTTCTAAAGATAGAATGCTTTGTAGCTAAGCGCTAAGTGTTCCTGTTACTCCTCTCATGATAATAAAAGAGTAAAGAGAAGTATTGATAATAAGAGCTGGTGTCCTTGGAGCATACCTTGTATGCTGGGGACACGGCTCAGTGGTTTGTGTTATGTTGTATACTCCATGATTATAATGACCATTTCATAGAAGAACCTACTGAGGCATAGAGAGGCAGAGGCGCAGCCCCAGGTTCACAGTTGGTTATTACAGAGTCAGTGCTCAGGGCCAGCCCCACCACATTGCGAGGCAAGGTCTCTTTCAGGTGCTGTGTGCTGTGGCATTCTGCCATCCCTGGGGACACACGGTTACCCAAGGGGCAACATTCCACCTTGCAATGAAAACCTTAATCGGGGACTTGCTGTGCCCTGTGGATGTTTTATCTTCAGAGTAGTCGGCATCAGGGAGATGCTGGGTTTCCCAATCAAGAATTCATCATCCACAAAGCTGAAGATGAAACCCAGCCCCCCGCTGCGGACATTCACTGTACCCCCACACTGTGCACACATTGTGGCGTGTGCAGGGCACACCTCTGTGTCCTCTGGTCAGTCCCTGACGCAGTGATGGGGTAAGCCACGCCATTCACCACGTTTATGTGGCACCCACCTGAGATGTTGACCCAGTCTCTGTGAGTCACCTTCTGTGAGTGATTCACTAGCAGTCCATGTTCTTCTATGCCACAGCATCCGTGTCTCCTGCTTCTCCCCTCTTCACCTCTCTTGGACTTCGTCTCATTCTCCCCTGGCCCTTCCCTGCCGCTCCCCCTGGCTCCCCGCGTCTCTTCCTTCACCCTCTTCCATCCTTCTCCCCTCTCCCCACTAGCAGTTGTGCCAGGCTCCTTAGAGACACGACCTGCTGTTTCTCTACTCTGTTGTCCTCCACAGCCTTCTGTAAGATCGAATGTGGAAGAAACTGCCCATTCTGCGAATGTGCTTGATAAACGGAAACGCCAAGAAGATCCCTAAATCCATGTTATTTTCTAATGGTAGCTTCTGCGACCTGTGAATTCTATGGAAAGGAGCTGGCTATTTTTGAAATCAAGGAAATTGACTCTATATTTAAGTAAATTCTATAGCTAAGTAAATACAAATATTATACTTAAGTAAAATTCTATAAGTAAAACAAATTTCATATTTAAGTAAAACAATTCTATGTTTAGGTACAAATTCTATATTTAAGTAAATTCTATCTTTAAATAAAACTGTATTTCTAAGTTTTCCCATATTAGTTTTGTCCCTCCAGAGACTTTAATATGTAGGTCTAGAGATGTCTACGAAACACGACAGTGAAAACCAGCACCTGCATGGACCCATCTGTGTGTGGTTGTAAATCAGCAAGTTACCAAGCCAAATGCACCCATTTCACTTTCTCACCATGATTAGACTGTGCTGTGTCATAGGAGGAAGAGGGGGCTGTCACAGGGCAGCAAGCAGACATGCCTTCATCTTCATATGATTTCACTATTTTGTAAATGGTTTCTCAGTTGCTTTATAAAGTTAAATAAACCTGCATTGTGTAACCCAGCAATTCCACTTCTAGGTATTTACCCGAGACAAAAGGAACAATATCCACAAGGCTGTGTGGCTATGTATAGCTGCTTTAATCATAATAGCCCCAAACTGGAAAGAACCTAAATGTCCATCACCAGGCGAATGGGCAAACAAATTGCGGTGAATTCATATCATGAAACTACTCAGCAATAAAAAGAAACAATTCCCTGAGTACCTAACAGTGTGGACGATCTAAAACCATGCAGAAGAAAGAAGCCAAACAGATAGAGTGAGTCCCCCTCTACGAAGGTCAGGAACTGGCAAAACTGACTTGTAGGGAGAGAAGTCAGATCAAAGGTGGGAGGATTGTAATTGATGGGAACGCCCTCTGGGTGATGGGAAAGTTCTGTATTTTGACATGATTTGGGTTATATGGATGTATGCACTTGTCAAAACTGATTTTAACACTTAATGTCTGGAAATTACACTTCAAAACTTTGTTGAATCACTTTGTTGGTCCTTTCCATCGCCTGCTTCACAGACCAGGGGAATGTACCTTTTGGTAAAAGCAGAAAACAAACAAAACGATGAGACCAGAACTACGGCAACCAGCCCAAGCACCACTTCGAGCTCCAGGAAAGCTGTGTGATGCTGAATAGACTGCTCAACCTCTCTGAGGCTGGTGTTCTTATCTTCAAACGGGGATAAAAGATCTACCAGTCTAGGTGAGTGTGCACAACAAATGGTATATTCATTTGCTAGGGCTTCAGTAAGAAAATAGGACAAACTGGGTGGCTTAAAACTGCAGGAATTTACTGTCTTATCATCCTGCAGGCTAGAAGTCTGAAATCAAGGCATCGGGAGGCCATGCTCCAAGACTCTGAGTGGAACCCTCTTTGCCTTTTCCTGACTTCTGGTGGTGCCGGCGGCCCTTGATGTTCTTGGCTCTTTAAGCATCTCTGCAACCTCTGCCATCATCTTCACACAGCGCCCTCCCTGTGCATCTCTGTCTTCATACGATGTTTTCTTCTTTTCATGAGGACAGCAGTTATATTGGGCTACAATCCACCCTACTCTAATATGGCCTCATCTAATCATACCTGCAATGACTCTATTTTTAAATAAAGCCACATTCAGAGGTACCCAGTTTAGGACATGAACTTTTCGGGAGACACAGTTCAACTCATCACAGAAAATAATCAGGGGTCTGGACATTCTGTGTCAATGAGATTGAGCCACTAGTTGTTAATAGTATTTCACTCATCTCTGCTGATATTTTTAAAGAACATGTGAAAGGGGTGAGGTATCTGATAGAAAGCCCTCCCTCATGTAATTGATGAGATAAGGGTTCTAATTTTCCCCACAGAAGTTATAAAGAGCACCTGAGCTGTCAGCCAAATCAAATTGCCAGTGGAAAGCAGGTGAACCTAAGGAAGCCATGGGGGTGAGACGTGCCTGGGCATGCCCTGTTCATGGTGGCACCGACCCACACAGCATTCATAGAATTCATACCTTCCCGGAGCTGGCGTGACTCCTGGGAGACCACAGTTTCTGAGAAAATAGAAAGCCAAGTGTAAACTGGACTGGTCACAAAGACTCCGCAGGGAGCTGGCTGCAGACACCCACTCAGTCCAGTCCTGTGGGCACACAGTTGGGTCTTAGGGGAAAAAGAAAGCTTAAGTTAAAACTGCAACAGCTCTTCCAGGAAAGAATTTTTTCAACCCAGGGACACAAAGAGCGCTGCTTTGGAAACCTTCTAACAGAGCGGAACATGAAGGCGAGCACACCCCCGCCCAGGTTTGACTCAGGGAGGACCCAGGGACCTCGGGCTGGAGCCCAGCAGGAGCCGGGAACTGCCTTCTGTGGATCACAGCTGAAAGGGGTAGCCATTCAGAATCTCTGACAAAGGGCCACCGACTTAAGGTCCCCAGCTTCTACAGCTTCACCAGACCCTGCTCAGCAAGAAGGTGCTGACAAAACCCATATGCGTCCAATCCCACTTCCAGGGAAGCCCCTGCCAAATAAGCATGGGAGCCATGCTTCCCGCTGCCCATCAGAACCGGCGATTTTGAATCTCTCTTTCCACGGCAGTAGCTCCTGCAAGAGCCCCCATCCCCATCGTGCCACTCAGCCGGGCTGGGGCTGCTGGGGAAGCCCTGTGTTCCCAGGGCTTTGCCCTCTGTGTCTTAGCAGCCACAGCTCCTGACTTCCATTCCCCCTTCAAAGTCCGTGGGAGGGAAGAGGAGGGAAACTAGGAGAGACTTTGGAATCTAAAGGAAACAAGGAGGATGTTTTCCTAATGCCCAGAGGATATGTGTAACTCTTTTTCTGCAGACAGAAGCTTCGTCGGTACTGGGGTTAGTTCCTGCAGTATTTGGTATCCTAACTCAGCGGTTATGGTTTATCTAGCCCGTGTGAACTGGTCCAGGAAGACGAGCACCCTTCCCAACTTAGTCTACACAAGAGAGTGCTTCGCTTTAGGGATTTTTTAAAAACTTGAAAACAGCTTTGAAACACAATTCATCGGTACATTTTCTTCTCATGGCATTTAGATATTAAAAACATGTGCATGCAGGTTCTCCAACATTAGAATAAGACTTAAAAGGATGGAAACCTACGTCATTTGTGGAGTATCTGTTTTGCTCAGAAATGGACCACGATAGCATCGTGGCACCGTAAGGTGGTGAAGTACTACAGATAGCACAAGGAAGACCATTTGAACTCCAAAAGGCTGTGATTGACAAAAACTAACAAGAGACAGCCCCCCAGGAAATTCAGGGTTTATTGCTGAATTCTCATGTATGAAAGTTTGTGGGATTTGTAATCACAGGGGCTACCTCCCAGGAAACCGTGATAGCCATTTTTCCACCGTAGTTTTGCACTTAATGGACTTTGCCTCCCATAATTCAGGAAAATGTCTTTTGTTGTGCACAGTGGAGGCCGAGTGCTATTGAGAGTGTGTGTCCTACAAAGGGCCTCACTATCTGAGGTCTGCAGCCTGTCTCCTAGGCACTCCCCACTTCAAGAAGCAGCTCTGAGAACAGATTAATGCCTGGATGCCAAGGAGCAATGAAGTTCACCCATCTTATCCAGGGGCTGAGCTAATCTCCTTAAACCTTTGTACAAGAGCGGGGCCAGTCACCCACATGATGCTGTCAATGTGCTTTCAAAGCCCCACTTCAAAGAGGGAGATCAAATGGGGGGTAATTGAAAGGGACAGCGATGTGAGGGGGTTCCTGAGACGCCCCCCAACGATGACTATGAATGCGGCACACACCACCCAAATGACAGGAAGGCAATGCGTTGCGGTGGCTGGACTCCAGGAAGGAGCTCTGCGGGAACGATGAGGTCTGTGGGTTTTGCTGCTGCTGTTGCTTTTGCTGTTGGTGGGCTTTGAGAAAAACACGACTGGCCGGGCTCCCTGCCTTCTCCTTCTCCTGTCGAAGTCTCTACAGCTAGGACCCTCCTGTCCTGACAGGCTCAGCTCTGCATCTTGAGGTCCCTCTGACCTCCCAGCTGACCCTCCATGTAACCCAGGCTCACCCAGGACTCTTTGGGACCTGAAGATGCTCTATTCATCCATTTGTGCTGATTAATAAAGTGAATTCTGAACATCTCGGCGGCTACAGTCTCGGTGGCTCAGCGGGGTGGATGGGATTGCTGCTGCCAAGTCCTCACCCTCTCTGAACTAAATGCGTCATCACGGACTGTGAGGTCCCTCCTACTTCGGGGGAGGGCACCAGCCCATCCCCGCCATTGAGGTCAGGATTGCCTGTACAACCTTCATGGGTCTACAGCCTTTATTTTTTGCATTGAAGGCCAGCAGGGGGCTGGTGCAGTTCTGCTGCAGGGGTGGATCGGCTGGGCTCAGTTCAGGTGTGTTCCACACCTGTCAGCCTCACGGCCAGGAAGCCACCTGAGACACACTGTCTCCTGACAGAGCTCAGGAGAGCAAGAGGTGTGAGGAGATGCACTTGGTGCCCTTATGTCTTGGTGCACCGGGCACGTGGTCAAGCCTGTTCACATGCACAACTGTCCATGGACACAACCAAGGCACAGTCCAATGGCACTAGTCCAAGGGAGGGGTGAGGACTTGGGGGCAGGAATCCAGCCCTTCCCAAGCCCTAAACCCTTTACAACAGAAGGGCAACTAAATACACAGGGAGACAGGTAGACTCACAAGTGATCAGAATAAAAGCCAGTGCACACCCCAGATAACTGCAGCGGCCACGAGCCTTGTAAAGACCCATGTTTTACGGAGGCAGCCACCAGCTTGCAGAAGCTGAGCTTCCTGTGGCCCTGATTCTGCATTACTGAACTACTCATAGAACCACTGTTTCTGTCCTCAAAGCTTCTGTCTTGGTCCCATTGCCTGACTTTATAACAACCTTGAAATACCCACCAGGACTGGTGATCTCATTCAAGACACAGAGGTCCGTCTCAGGCACTGTGCTGGGGCCTGCCTGTGCCCAGCCTGCCTGTAGGACTTTGGAGTCCGCAATGTCGAAGTCCTTCTGCATTTACACCCTGTGGCCTGAACCCTGACATCATCTCACCCCCAGACCACCCAACCCATGACTCTTGGACACAAAAAGAAATATCTTCTCCATTAGAAACCAGCACCTGAACGCAGCCAGGGTCCCCGGTCACACCAGAAACTGTTGCTTTGACCAATCTCCACAGGGATTTTGACAATCAAGCATAGAAACCACCAAAAAAGTAAATACCGAGGTTGTATTTTCTTTTCTTTTTCCTTTTTCTTTCCTTTTTCCTTTTTCTTTCCTTTTCTTTTCTCACCAATGCATCCACTTGTTTGGACGAGCAGGTCATAAGGACAGGCAGGAGATGAGTCACATCTGACTTCACAAAAGTGCTTAAGCCTTTTCACAATCTCCATTTAAAGCCAGCCAAGCCTTTTAGAATTGCCCATCTCACAGGAATGTTTGTAACAAGGCTAGGAAGGAAGTGTGTGCTCAGGTCGGCCCGTCCCTGGCTCCCGGAGGCAGGCTCTCCGGTGCAGCGGCAGCTGCCAGCCCTGGGGTCGGGCTTCATATTTTCTCATGCCTTCAACAAGTCCTCCCTGGAGGAGGGGCAGTAAGCAGAAGGCAGTACAAGTGGCACATTCTCCTTCTAATGAGCACAGCACACTAACGTCTCTCGGAGGGGGCCCAGCTCTCCTCACGTTCCTCTGGGCCCAGGCTCCCTGCCAGCCTTTTCTCTTCCCCAGAGCATTCAATCGCTGTCAACAGAGCCAGACAAGAATAGAAGCCGCTCAGAGACTCTCTTTTGTTTTGCTGGGACACTTCAGCACATTCTCATGGATCCTTCAAAGGAAGGCAATTATCTGATCATTCTTGGGAGCAATTAAAATGTGGAAGGATACATCCTGCTTCAACCCGCCGAGTTTGTCTTTCCAAATCACATGGGCAATTGATTACACCATCAACAAACCCCATGTAACCCTCCAAGGAACGAGGTGCGTCCCTTGCAGTAGAAAACCGATAACCCAAGACATGAAGGTTCGAATGGATGATTGGCTTAGCTGGAATTGTGCTCCTCTGGAGGAGACTTTTTAAATGTATTCCTAGTTGCAAGTCCAGAAGCAAGGGAAGTGAGGCCCTCAGGGTTCTATCAGAGCCTGGGAAGGGGAGGAGAGCAGAGATGCTAAAGCAGTAGCAGAAGATCCACAGACCCCTGGAAGGACATGGAAGCTCGCTTTGAGCTGCTCCTTAGTTCATGGGGGTCTCTCCAGCATAAAGAGCTTCCTTCCTAAAATGGGAAGAGGGCTGTTTGCACAGAGAGAAGCGTAGCCTTAATACTGTACTTTGTCCATCCCTCCAGAAAGCCCAAGGGAGGGGGCAGATGGTTCATCTGCAAGTGATCCCAGGCCTAAAGCAAAGAGATGGATGGTCGGAGCCTCCGCGCGGTTTTTCCTGGCTACCTCCATACCACCATGTCACCTCTCTGTAAAGGCGATATAGGGAGCACCATCTGGGTGTTGTAGCTCATCTGGCTGTTGTAAGGAGTAAATGAGATGGGACGTGCCACACACATGATATGTGCCCGGCTCACAGGAGGCACCTTAGTAAGTGGTCACCATCAGATATACTAGTGAACCTGAGAGTGGCCCTTACCAACGTGGAAGGCTGGGGTGTTTGTAATCATCACTCAAGGCAAAGCAGAAAGAAATCTAGGCTATTTTTTAAGACTCATTGTGTTTGGTCACAGGCAAAAATAGAATCCATCCTCATGCAACCATCCTTTAAATAGTATTTCAACAGAGGGTTAAAGTGTTGGTTTGGGGTGTGAGAGTGATACCTTATTCATTCAGAAGTCCCTCAAAGAAGAGGATGGAGAAACAGACACGATTCCATGAAATGATCACTTTCCCCAGGCAATCACACCAAGGAAGGTCAAAGAACCTCCTCCCCGAAGGTTCACTGCTGGAGGTGGAGATCACAGCCAACTGACAATATAACTGCTGGCAGATATTTTTAGGTGGAAAGTCCCACCGTTTCCCGTACCTCACTGTGACCCTCATTACGGCATTAGGATGGGATTACCTTGCTCTCTTCTGAAATACTAGCTTATCCGTGGCACCAGCAACAAATACAAGCAGCTTGTCTGATGGAAAGGTCCTCTACTTAAGAACTAAACTTCCCCCAAATCACAAGCCCCTTTGCTGAAACAATGAAAAATTTAGGTAAGCTCTGGATTGAACTATTTCCCTCCCTTTGAAATAACTGGATGTTTAGTCATAACAAATAAGAATGATTCTGGTATCTTGTGGTCACGACATAGCATTTTTATGTTTTTTTTTTTTTATTTTTCACTTTACATCTCACTACATGGACATGCTACCTTCAATTCAACCCCAGGTTACATCAAAACCTCTTGACCTTTCATTTAAAGACAAATAAAAGGCAGCTGCTGGGCTGTGAAATTGTGAATAACAAACGGAACCATTATTTGAAAGGTTTCAAATTCTGATGAACAGAAAGATTATTTTGGAAAATCTATAGCGGAGAGTAGTATAATTATAACTTAGATTTGCGTGGTGCTCAATCCAAACTCATCTCCAAACTGAACGTGGTTTTCTAACAATAACATTCCTCCAAAAAAGGGGGCAGCCTACAAACCAACATAAGCGTAAGATGCACTTCCTGTCCAGCTAAAAATAAACCTGCAGACATTTGAAAGCAGCATAGAATCCTTTCTAACAATAAAAACAAACTCACCCATGTCGTTGGGCCAAGGCTTTGACATTTTAAAAATCATTATGGTGAAAAATAAACGCAACCTATAACGTGAGCTATTGTTAGAAATCCTTGAGAAAAATGCCTCAAATAGAGAACTCGAACGTCCACTCGCTAAAAATGAAACCGTTTTACTTGGGCATTGTCAAAGGTCGAATGGTTTTCTCCAAAAATGATGTTGAAGTCCTAACCCCCAGGACCTCAGAATGTCACCTTATTTGGAAATAAGGTCCTTGCAGATGTAATTAATTAGAACGAGGTCACATTGGAATGGGGTGGGCCCCGCATCCAATAAAACCACTGTCCTTATAAAAAAGAGGCACGCCACGTGAAGACCGAGACACACAAGAAGAACACGGGGTGTGGCTGAAGGCGGAGGTTGTGACGACGCATGTACAAGCCTGCAGGAGCATCCGCGAGCACCGCTGGCCCCACCGGAAACCGGGAAGAGGCAGGACAGCTTCTACCCCGAGCCTCAGAGACAGTCTGGCCTTGACATCACCTTGATCGTAGAATTCCAGCCTCCAGAATGGTGAGACACAAATTCCTGTTATTTTCAGCCAGGCAGTTTGTGGCACTTCGTTTCAGCAGCCTAGGAAGTGAATATATTCACTTCCATATACGTGAAATTGACATCAGTGAGGATTTGCTCTCTAGGCAGTAGATGTGAACCGGCCTTCAACGATTTTTTTTTTTCTGGCTGCATGTTGGGCGCTCCCAGCTTAGGGGGTGGGTGTGCAGGGAGTGGGGAGGGAGGCGCTTCTGCTTCTGTGGCTCTCCCATGGTCTCTTCCCACAACATCTTCTGCATCTCTGTGGATCCGGCTGCCCCCAGCGCAGCAGCCCGGGTGGGGTGGGAATGTCCAGCACTGCGTCGCTGCCAGCCCTCTGGGCGTTCCAAGTTCCTGGCAGGATCCGGATGCAGTGTGGTTGACCTTAACTACCCAGGAGAGGGTGAGCTCTCCTACAGAAGACTTGGACATCTTCTCTGCCTTCTCATTTCTGTGTCCACAAAAAATCAGCACAATGGACACTGGATCCTGCTCTCCCTTCCTTCTCTTTCCCACCAACGCACACTTTGGCAGTCCTGGCACCAGCATGGGATCCACCCCACGCACACCCACATGCACCCCACACTCACCTCCAGGGAAGAAGCACATCAGTGAGAGGAATGGCTCTGTCCTCAACTCAGTAGGAGCCAGCACCCACCCCTCCCCTCTGTTGCCACTTCAAAAGGTTTTCTTTGTTCGCTTGTTTCTACTTACCATTAATGTTCTTCAGGCTGGATAAGCTTTAAGGTGTGTCCCTTGACATATTAGATCTATTTTACTCTGCCATTTTATAATTAAACAGGGTCTGACTGAAGTTACCTTTGGCCCATGTATGTCTAATCCTACCAAGTCCTAGCCATGAAACAGGTGATATGTGTATAAATGAAAACAGTGGGTTAAGAGGATGCTTCCAGAAGTATTAAGGCACCCACGCACACACACAGACAAATACGCTCCACTGAAGATCATTTAGAACTGTGGGTACAGGGAAGCACTTAGAGAACTGTATTACAAGAAGATTCAGTGGAAAATCTACCACCAATCCTAATTCATTTCCCTACAGAACCTTAGTGTGCAGTTCGTAGCCCACCTTCAGCACCTGTATGGGATTGGGGCCACTGAGTATTCTGTGTACACATTCGTCATGGTCTTTTAAAATCACCCTCATTGTTGCTGGCTTCTGACTGCCTCTCAGCTGTGCATTAGTCAGGATGCTGCAGCGAACAGCTGACATTAAGGACCTTAGGATGAAGGGACATTTTACCAAGATAGGGGCAGAGTTTAGGAAAAGCAGTAATGTTTAGTCCACTAAACCAGGGGTCACCAGCCTCAGGGCTGCAGAGAGGGGGAAGAAGTCTTATCCATGGCCCTGGAGGGCAGCCCCATAGTGTTTTGTTTTGTTTTGTTTTGTTTTGTTTTGTTTTGTTTTGTTTGAGGTGGAGTTTCAGTCTTGTTGCCCAGGCTGGAGTGCAATGGCGTGATCTCGGCTCACAGCAACAACAAACGGCTTAGCTGGAATTGTGCTCCTCTGGAGGAGACTTTTTAAATGTATTCCTAGTTGCAAGTCCAGGAGCAAGGGAAGTGAGGCCCTCAGGGTTCTATCAGAGCCTGGGAAGGGGAGGAGAGCAGAGATGCTAAAAGAGTAGCAGAAGATCCGCAGACCCCTGGAAGGACATGGAAGCTCGCTTTGAGCTGCTCCTTGGTTCATGGGGGTCTCTCCAGCATAGACAACTCCCTTCCTAAAATGGGAAGAGGGCTGTTTGCACAGAGAGAAGCAGTAGCCTTAATACTGTACTTTGTCCATCCCTCCAGAAAGCCCAAGGGAGGGGGCAGATGGGAGGAGGCTCCACCTCCCGGGTTCAAGCGATTCTCCTGCTTCAGCCTCCCGAGTAGCTGGGATTACAGGCATGTGTCACCATACACGGCTAATTGTGTATTTTTAGTAGAGATGGGGTTTCTCCAGGTTGGTCAGGCTGGTCTCGAACTCCCGACCTCAGGTGATCCACCCACCTCGGCCTCCCAAAGTGCTGGGATTGCAGGCGTGAGCCACCATGCCCGGTGGGCAGCCCTATAGTTTGAGAAGGTGGTGACCAGAGCTGCAGCTTCCAGCAGAGAAACCCAACACCCCACAGCACCCTAACAGGAGACCCTGAGTAAACACCTCCTCTGTCCTCCTCCTGCTGCTGTTGCCCCCCATCCAGCCCCTGTTGGCCAGACGCCACCGGACCCAGGCACAACGGTGTCTGCTTCTGAGGTGCGGGCCGCCTCCCGGAGGGAACAGCAGGCGGAGAAGCTGATGCTGGGCTGCAGAGGATGCCTTTCTGAAAGCTCCAGTTATCAGTGGACAGAGACAGCAGCTAACCAATGCCTGTCAGGGAATCCCAGTCGGCATTTTCCTTTTCCTTTTGGAATTGAGCTTCTCAGGAAGAGTCTACAGTTCCCCACACTGAGTCTTATTCAGCAAACCACAGGACCCCAGGCAATCTCAAACGAATGCCTCTTTTTTTTTTTGAAATTCAACATTTTAATTGTGATATAACTTATGTAAAAACTTTCCAAAAAGTATCTAAGATATTCCACTGTACAACACATCAAAACTTTATCTGAGAAGCTGGAGACAATGAAGTATAAATAAGGCACACAGTTTACACTCATAATTGCATCCTAAACTGTTGTATAGTTCGTATTTACAACCCCCCATAACGTTTTTGCATCCTGGATTAGTCCTTCACATTTTGATATTTGGCATAATGTTCAAACACACTTTATACATCAAAAAGAGCAGCTGTGAGTGCATCCCCTGGCTCACGGGGCAGGCGGGAGCAAAAACCAGGACAGGGCAGGTAAAGGAGCCGCCCCTCCAGTCCTCGCTGGTAAGAGCCGCAGCAGAGAGCACTGAAGGCAGAGCACCTGATAGGAAGCGGGCTGTTAATTACACAAACAGGAGCAGAGGGGGGTGGGGCCTAGGGACCCCTCCCATGCCCACAGTCCTGCCAATTGCTCAGTGCCATCATTTATCGGGGGCCCCACAGGCAGTGCCGTCTTCATGGCTCCTCCTGGCCTCATTCACATCGCTGAGATGCCTCTCAAACACAGCTGTTCTCCACGGCCCACTCAGTGGATTTCACTGCTCTCATCTGTCAGTTTGCTTTTCAAAAGCTTATTCCTTTGTCCAGAGAAAAAAAGAGAAAATGAGTGTGTAGGCTCATCTCTAAGGAGAGTGGCAGAGATGCCACCTGCCAGTGCACAGGAGGCTGCAGGAAAAGAGGCAGAAACTCACAGGCCCCCAGGGAGCTCAGCTGGACAGGACTCAGAGCTCAGCAAAGGGTGGGGGCTCTCGGCTGGAGTCAGGATGCCTGGAGCCAGGGAGGCCAGGGCACAGGGGAAGAGGGCCTGCCCCTGGGGTGGGGCTGCCTGTTTCACACTGGTGAGAACGGCAGTATTGGTTGCTGATGATGACTCCTCACAACGCCCCCTTAGAAACCCTCGCATGCAACGGTTCCACATCATCCTGGCCCAGGAAGGAGAGAGCTGCATTTAAAAGGAGAAGGCAGGGCGAGGGAGGGAGACCCTATGGGCACTGCTTCATTTCTGCCTTTTCGTGAAGCTCATACACAGAATTGCTTTTTAGTTAAATGCTGGGGTTGTAGGACACACACCCTCACCTGTGATGGAAATTCTGCCAATATCGGGGAGAGCTGGTCTCTTCAACCTGTGCTGTGATGAATGGGGCTCTGCTTTTTCAACATTTCCCGGGAGCGCTCTGTTTCTTCTTCCTTGTAGTTTTAAAAGAACAGCTTCAATAACCTGGTAGTAAAGGAGAGGGGAGACCGGCGAAAAATCTAGCCCAGAAAAGAATGTTAAATACTGGGGGAAAAGCTCTTGGGAATTAGAATTTCATTTTATGTCTAGAAAGTCCAGTAAAATGTCAATAATATTGTGACAGGTTAGAATTATACGATCCTATTTCTCTCTTAGGAATATATGATCAATCTTTAACATTATGTTAAGGATATTATGGCAGATAAGGATATCACATAAGTATATTATGGCAAATAAAAAGAAAAACAGTATATTATTTCTGCGCCTATATTCGCATCCCTTTGCAATGTGACTTTGTGGCCCCTGTCCCCACCTCAAGAGGTAGAGTTCATGGTACCAAGCCCTGAATCTGGGCTTGGCCATGTGCTTTCCTTTGGCCAAGGAAGCATCAGCACATGTGACATCAGCAGAGGCTAAGTGCTTTTGCACTGAGGCCTCTCTCTTGCTGCTCTTGGGAACTCTGACTGTGTGGCACCACAGGAAGAGGCTGTGCTGCAGGGCGATGAGCAGGATATGCCTCCGGCCCCCCAGCCAATGCCAGATATAAGTGAAGCAATTGACCATCCACTGATAGGTGCTTGAATGAGCCAGCACCATAGAGAGCCATCCTGGGGGGCCCAGTTCAAATTACGTGTGCACATCTACGCAACAGTCAGCAGATAAAATGGTTTAAGTCATGTTTGGGTTGGCTTGTTGTTCAACCAAGGCTAATTGACACAGAGACTTATTCTCATGTCTGACTTCGTGATCAAGTCCAACACAAAGGTCAGATGCTTAACACAAAGTCAGGAAGGGTGCGTGAAGCCCCAGGAGCAGAACAGGGCCCTTCAGGTTCCCTGGATGGCCAGGGCGCAGGGACACTGGGGGATGTGTCACAAGTTGTAATTTTCATTTGGGAGATCTATTAGAATGGGTCTTACTTTGAAAATAAGTTTCAATATGATTGAAAAACCGGTTACTTGAATTGCCTAATTTTTTATTTATAATTCTTAAAATGTTCTTATACTTTTATAATAAAAGTATAACTCTTATACTTTCTTGTTAATTTTTTAAACTGATAAGAACAGATATTACCCTCGATCTTAGCCAAAAGCCTAAGAAGCGATGATTTTTAATTTTTTAAAAGTAATAAGTGTTTTTCATATAATTGTGTTCAATTAAACAGAACTATCCCATTTGGAAAGGACGGAGGGAAATAGAATACAAAAGTGGAAGAAGGAAATCTATCATTAAATAACTGAAGTAAAACAAAATAAAACACAAAGTATTAAAAAGTGGCCTGTGTTTGGTTTTTGCGTTTACCTTGTTCCTGCATAAATACCTTAAACACAGAGCAGCAAGTTGGAAATCTTAGTATCTTCAGACTTTCCTTAATGTAATTCATACAAAACAATTGGGAAAATTAAAAGGCCATGAAGGCGTTATTGTCCTTGTCTCACAAATATTAAGTTACAAAGCTGGACATTCAGAGGAGTCAACATTTCTAAGTCAGGGCTCAGCGTAGCGATAATTAAAATGGACCATTGCTGGGCTTACTGTGTTTGAATGATGCCACCCAAAGCCCCTGGAATACTACCTGATAAGGATGACTTCATCAACAGAACCTATTAGGATGCTAATAATGCCTGCTGGCCTATTTAGGAAGCTATTTTGTAGCGACGAAGGTTGGCTTCCCTGGGACATTGTGTCATATGAGCCATGGGGATCACATAGCAACGAGGACATGAGTTTCTTTCTATTTATAACCAGGTTGCTAGCAACGGCAACATGATGAGAATTGAACAATCACATCTGCTGGGAAACCACAGGGCTCATTTTGATCCTTCTTTAACCCACAGACCCTCGTGGAGTTGAGAAAGGACGTGGGGGAAGGACCCTGTGGGGGAGTCACACTGCCCAGGGGCCCACATTCAAACCCTTGCCACATTCCGTTCTAAGCGCATTACACAGGTCATCTAATTTATCCACAACCTACAAAGTTCTACAAGTGATGAAACTGAGTTCAGAGTAAGTAAATAATTGTCCATATTCATTTATAATTCAAACACAGGCAGTCCAGTTTCAAAGCCCATGCGTTTCTGTTAAATACACTGAAACAGACATCTGAGGGGGACGAAAGTGCTCACTTGCCTGCACTCAGGGCAAACTGCACTGTGCAAAGTGGTGGTTCCTATCCCTTAACACTAACTTGAACAGATCCCTGAGCTTTTGGATTCCTTTTAGGGACTAGGGACAGTCCAGTCCAGTCTAGATAAAAGCTATCCTCTTGTGCTACCCTCAGGCCCTGCCCATTCTTGTCGCAGTGACCCTCAGATTCAGCTCCATGGAGTCCAGCATCCATGAACTTGGATGGGGGATAAAGTACATGTTTACTCTCACCAACCTTCTGAAATGTAGCATTTCTTTCAATTATGACTAAAGGCCACAAACCACTATAGTATTAACAGTATCTGAGGCATTGTCACCAATAGAAAAAATAGGTATCATATTACAATAATTTCAGGTATTATGAAATATTATTTATACTCAGCAGTATTCTAAAATGTGTCTTCTAGACAGTATTATTTAATGTATCAATAAAGAAATATGTATATTACTATGTTGATAATTTTTTAAATATTTTGATAAGTGCATTTTAATATAGTTTTCTTTATAATACTACGTATTTTAGCACATGCCTTTTTAAAATAAACATTTTTTTCTAAAAAGATTTCCATAGGCTCTGTTGAATTGCCACAACATACAGAACAAACAAACAAACAAGAACTCTGGGCTGGAGGGACATGAAGCAGGCATAGCCTTTCTTTGCATCTTTCTCCTTCCTCCTCCTCCCATCCTACTCCTCCCGGCTGGGGACCAGGCAGGGGCAAGGGAGAAGGGACCAGCCTTTTACAGCTGAACTGTGGAAGTAAAGGCCCTCCCCACACTGCCCTGAGCCTTCTGTGGTCCCCAGGCATTCTCGGGGTGAGGGTGAGGGGGTCTGCAGATGAGTTTTCCCCAGGCCCTCCACCCTGGAGAGCCCTCAAACTTCTCTCTCCATTCTCGCTTCACACCCTGCCCCCCTGTGAACCCTGAATATCTGAGAAAGGTATCAGTCAATTTAGGAATTTTACTTTGCCAGAGTTAAGGATGCACGCCTGTGACACAGCCTCAGGAGCTCCTGATGGTGTGTGCCCAAGGTGGCTGGGGAGACATAAGACATCAATCAATACATGTAAGATGAATATTGGTTCCATCCAGAAAGGGAGGACAACTCGAAGCAGGGAGGGGGCTTCCAGGTCACAGGTAGGTGAGAGACAAATGGTCACACTCTTTTGAGTTTCTGATGAGCCTTTCCAAAATGGGAGGCAGGTTTGCCCTAAGCAGTTCCCAGCCTGACTTTTCCCATTAGCTTAGTGACTTGGGGGCCCCAAGATTAATTTTCCTTTCACACCCCAAAGCATACCTCATAGCTTTCCCCAGAGAAGACTCTTTGTGGAGAGAGCCAGGAGAGCTCAAGCCAAGCTCTCTCCCACAGGCCCCAGACAAAGCTCACAGCCCCGGGCCCCCACAAAGCTGTGGGTGTGCCTTGCTCCGCCAGCTCTGAACTGCCCCCTCAGATGGGTGTGGGGGGTGCGAGCAGAATCCAGCCAGGGCTAGAGACACCCGCAAAGTCTGAGATGTTCCTGTGGCCGTGGGGTGTGGAGACAGGGAACTTGGCAAGGAAGATGTCCCCTCCCAGAGGGGAAAGCACAGGACCCCTGCAGACTGGAGTCTCCTGCCTCCTCCCCCACTCTCTCCTCCTCTCTTCTTCCAGAGGGGTGCAGCCTGGAGAGAGCTGGGTTGGCTGACAGAGCTGGGCTCTTTCAGCAGGACAGGAACCCTGCCCCCAACTGCTGGCAGCTCTCTTCAGAATATGCGGCGCTGTGGCCTCTTTTGCTTTAGCTGGGGCTCTAATTAGGAATTTGGACAATGGGGAAAGTCCCAGCCAATGTGTCCTGTTACCCCAGCAAAGCTGAGAAAACCACCCTCACAGGACTCCCCTGCCGTATTGCTTCTGAGGGCAATTCCCCTCACCACGTTCGCAACTTCAGTTCCTTAACGTGTTCCAGGAGCACTCACCCTCCATGCAACAAGGTGAGGCTGCCAATCCTTCCTATACTAGATACATGTGTGGCAGTAGCTGTTAACAGTGACATGGGGGAAGGCACAGGGCGCTAGAGGTTGAATTTCTTTAAGTACCAAGGAGGGCTTCTTTCTTTAGGAAGAAACCGCCCAACGACAGTAAGGACGCATACAGTGCCACGGATGCTCATTTGTAATTCCTTAAAAATGTGAGTTCTCATTGTATTTTTACTGTTATAATTCATATTTGCAAACTCTGGTGAAAGGCTTCATTTAGTATATTTGGAATAATTCTCCATCCACTTTCTTTCCAACACAGTTAGTTACCCGTTTAAAAAAAAAAAAAAAATGCATTGACCTGGCCACAGATCCTAATTAGCACCTAGTAACCTGCTTCAGGTTAACCTTGTTAAACACTGAATTAAAAAGGGCAATGCTGCTATAAATTGCACCTAAGCCATTCTGCAGAGGTGGAACTTCACAATCAGGGGACCCTGGTGCCACCTGCAGTCTGTCCTGGGAACGCGTCACAGATAGCAAGCCGTCCACCCACGTACAAATACACACTGTTGCATGGAGTGTCTAGCGAAGACTGCTTCAAAACCAGTCTGCAGAATTTCCTCATTTACATCGGAAAAATGAATATCCCTTAAGGCGGAGCTCCGCCTAGGTACATTTGGTGCGGAACTTGCCCCAAGCAGCAAGTCGTGGGGAAATGTGAAACCAGCAAGAACTGCCCCCAGGGAAATTGAAGATAAAACACAAAACCGAATTTAAAAAGTCACCTGCTGCTCCATTTCAAACTGGAAGTCTAAAAAAGGCATTTCCTGACGCTGGCGAGTGACTCAGTGTCACCGTGACTCAGCCGCGCCCGGTTGCCCACGAGGCGGGAGGGGGAGGCAGATGCTGCGGGCGGCGCGGGGAGCCGAGCCCGCGCGCTGCTATTTCGGGCAAGTCTGCGGCGAGCAGGGCCCGCAGTCCACGCGCACTCAGGAAGTACAAATAGGGCGTGCATCAGAGGAAGCGCTCCCCACGCAGAGGCTGTGGGAAAGTGATTCAGCGCTGCTAGAATCCCCCTCTCCCGCGCCCTTCGCAGCGCAGCCAGGGAGGGAGGGAGCGCGCCAGAGCCTCCTGCAGGTGCGCGCGGGGCAGGCGGGCGGGCGGGCGGCGCGCGCGCCCAGGGGGCCCAGGTGACCGCCTTCCGCGCGCACACAGCCGGCCAGGGCGCACCCGGAAGCCCGTTACCCAAAGGCAAGGCTTGTTCCAGCCTAAAGCAAACTCATCCACACAACGTCGCTAGCGAGTTCCGTTTCCCTGTTTCTGGGAATTTGTGACTGTCAAAACAAACGTTCAGGTGACCATTGCCCTAAACCGCACTGACGAAAGGGCTAAGGACCAGGGAAGGAGCTGGTATGAAAGGCTGTGAGTTCACAGGGTGCCACGTGCAGGGTTGGAGAGACCCCAGCCCCATCAGATCTCCTCTCTCCAGAAGCACCCTCCCTCTCCATCCCTCCAGAGGCCGGGGCCATGTGTCCACCCATGTGGAGGTGTAAGGAGAGCCAGAGGGAGAGGTTCCCACGTGGACCCAATGGCGAAAAGTCTTGCAGTCAAAATCACTTAGAAACATTCTGCGCAGAGCTGGCTGAGTGTTGGGTGACCAGGTGATTGATGCTCAGGCGTTAAGGGAACAATGGGCTGTCCTCTGCATGCTTTCAGAGCTGGAGGGGCCTTGCCACCGGCAGAAGCAGAAAGATCATTTAAGCAGCACCCTGAACAATGAGTGTTTTCAGAAAGTTATCGAACAGGCTTGTGAAATATTTTTCTCTTGATGTCTTTAAAAGATATTTTCACTTCTCCCGCGTGATTCAGGGTGGTTTGGAAGTGGGAGAAGAAGGAGGCTTGAGATGTTGAAGTTCACTGCAAAGTCCCTCCTTCAGGACTCTAATTATTAAATATTTTCTCTATATATACCTTGTCTATCCAAATGATCATGAACCTGGGATGGAGGATAGGATTTATTACCTTGTCTCCTCCCAAGGGGTCCAGAGAAAGCCATGTGAAATGAGGGGATGATTAATAAACATTAGATTGACTGATGACCTCCACAGTATGTGAAATTGTCTTTTATCAAAGCAGCAGGGAGACATAGTAGAGTCAGACAGGTATAACTCAAATGATCAGAAGGATAAGGATCAGAAGCTTCTGAGAACACGACTTGAAAACATCTCTTAAATCTGGAATAACAAAGGTTAAAGAAGATATGAATTATGAAAAGAATGATCTTAACAAAACCTCAGATACTTAAAAATTACTCTAGGGGACACCTTTTAATATTGCAGAGAGATCATCTTAGGCCCAATAAAACTAAATGCTATTTTTGCATCATGGGAATTGAATATAGGGAATTTGTCATTCAGGTAGAAATGAAGTTGACCACAAAATTATCCTCAGAATGATTTAGACACACGTGTAAAGGAGAATGCAGAAACAATCCACATTGGTATAAAGTCTCCTGAGGCAGGGGCTATGCCGTGACATTGCATCCCTGGACCTCACTCGGGGCCTGGATGAAGGAAGAGATGCCGTGTGCACTTCGTCTTGCATATTTCTCATTTAATCTTCCAGGCAACACTCAGATGTGGGCAACCTTTATTCCATTTGTAATCCAACCCTCAACCTCACCCTATCTATTGCATAACTCCTTTTTAATTCCTTAACCTGACAAATTACAGGTTTCTTCCACAATTATTATTTTTTTTTTTTTGCACAACACTTCTTAAGGACGACATTATCGATTTCCATTTATCCTGTACCTAACCTAGTACTTGGGAAATAATAAGCACGCAGAATATGAATGATGAAGAGATGGATCAGTGGATGGATGGATGGATGAACAGATGGATGAATAGATGGATGGATGAACAGATGAATGTATGTATGGATGGATGGATGGTGGATGGATGATGGATGGATGGATGGATGGATGAGTAGATGGAAGGAACAGATGGAAGGAAGCAGAGAATGAGTAAAAGGATGATAAGTGATACAGCCAAACAGGTTTTCTCTTTTTTTGTAAATCCTTCTCAGTCTATGATTCTGATTTGGAAGAATTACAAGTAAAAATGACCTAATTTGTGCAGATCTCTGAGAGGTTTTATATCTTACCCAAGGTCACAAGTTTGTAAGTGGCAGAGTCAGCATCTGAACTCAGATTTGTCTAGTTTCATGAGGACGACAAAATGACTCTTGGGTTCAGATACAGGATGGGTGCACTGAGTCTTAGGCTTTAAGAATTCTGGTGTAAAAGCGATGGTACCCCTAATGAGTACAAGCTAATGCATGTAATTTAAAGTCCAGTAAGCTAGAGTGAAAAAGTGCATGGAAAGAGCCAGCATACAGCCATTAAAATCGAAAAGCCCATGAATGATGGTTAACTAAATTGGTAGACTATGGTATGTTCAAGCTTTAGAAAAGAGAGTGAAAAGATTTTTTAAATGACCAAAGTTGAACCGTTTCATTCTCTTCCATTTATCACCATCATACTTAAAACCATCAAAACAAGTACTCTGTATTGTGGCTGGTGCCAGTCCCAGGTAAAGTTTAGCAGGCCACCCCAGCCTGTCTCTCCTGCTGAGTGCATGGAGCAGCTATTAGAGGACTCTGTCAGTGAACGGTAGCAGACAGACTGGGGAAGAAAACCAGATTTAGATGTGCCACCAAAGCAGGACAATTTTACCATATTTTTTCTCCAGTTCTCCTGCTGTTTAGCCCAGATATGGCTGCAGCCACAGAAATTATGTGCAGAGTAAGTAAAGACACAATTTTAGAAACAAGGAGTCAACAAGAGGAATGTTAGGCTCTGAAAAGTAATGGGGAGTTCAGTGGGACGGTGGAATGAGGGAAGGAGATCCAGTAAAATTGTTCATGGACTCCTGGACTCATCTTTGATGTGCGCGTGCATGGATCTGACTCTAAACAGCTACCAAACTGAAAACTGCCCACACTGCCCACACCCAGACAGGCCGTTGGTGGGCACGCATGCAGGACAGATCTGAATAGTACCGCAAAAACAGTTCTACCTATAGAAGGTGAATTGAAGCTTGCAGCCTGGAACCTGACCCAGTCATTGGCCTGCAAAGACCCCCAAACACCAACATTTTTCCATAAGAGAAAGGCATACATCTACAGACTCACAAAGCTAAAGAACCCAATCCACACACAGACATGTCATAATTAGATGTCGGAAAATTAGACAGAATGAGAAATCCTAAAAGTAGCCAGAGACAGCACATTACTTAGAGGGGAACACCGATTTGAATGATTCAGGGTTTATTATCAGACACTAAATAGAGGCCAGAAGGAAAGAAAGTAAACAACAGATTTAAATTGTTGAAGGCGAAGAACTATTAGAATTCTATGTCCAGTGGAAAAAAATACCCAGTACAGGTGAAATAAAGACATTTTTCAAATGAAGAAAAAAATACCCAGAACAGGTGAAATAAAGACATTTTTCAAGTGAAGAAAAACTAAAAGAGTATACATTTCTCTAAAAGAATTGTTAAGGGAAGTTATTTAAACATAAGAAAAATGATATTAAAAGATACTTTGAAATATCAAGAATAAAGAAAGTAAAATATAAATTGGAAATAGCTGGGTAAATATGAAACACTTTTCTTCTCTTGGGTTTTAAAAATATATCAATGTAGGAAACAACACAAGTAAGCTAAAATAGCAAACTAGAAAATGTGTAAATAACAAAAAAGGCAGAAAAAGAGAAAATCAACAGTAGCATATAGAAAATCAATAATAAAAAGCTAGACTTAAATCCAAACATACCAATAATTGCTTTAAACACAAGCCCAGTCTAAACACACTAATTAAAATACAAAGATGCCAGAACAGATTTGAAAAATATGACCCAACTATATGCTGTCAGAAAGAACCTTGCTTCAAATATAAGAATATGGATAGGATACAAATAACAAAATAGAGAAGACTTATCAAGCAAATGCCAATCAAAAGAAAGATGGAGTGGCTATATTAATATCAGACAAAGTAGATTTGGAGCAAAAACTAATTCCCAGACATAAAAAGGCAGGTAGTATAATGGTAAAAGAGTTGACTCACCAAGAAGTCAGAACAATACTAACGGTGTGCACCCCTAATAATGGAACTTAAAAATAGAAAAAGCAAACTGTTCCAATTGAAAGAAGAAATTTAGAAATCCATAAAACACACTGGAAACTTCAACATTCATCTCTCGATAAATGACAGAACTATAGACAGAAAATCACAGGGATATAAAAGAACTGAACAATACCATCAACCAAGTGGATCATAAACTACATTTATATAACAATCTATCCAACACTAATAGAATACATATTCTTTTCAATTGTACATGGAACACTCACCAAGAAAGAATAAAAGAAACTTTAACAAATGCACAATTATTGAAAGCATATGTAGTATGTGCTGTGTTCATAATGAAATTAAACCAGATATCAAAAACAGAAATATAACAGAAAAATCTACAAACATTTGGAAACTAAGCTACATACTTCCAAATAAGCCATGGATCATAGGAAGTATCAAAGAAATTAAAACTTATGTTGAATTGAATGTAAATGAAAATACAACATAACACAATTCATGGGATGCAGGTAAATCAGTGCTTAGAGGGAAATATATAGCATCAAATGCTTATGCTTAAAAAGAAAAAAGTCTCAAATTAATCATGTATGCTTACACCTTAAGAAACTAGAAAAAGAAGAGCAAAATAAACACAAAATAAGAACATGAAAGGAAATAATAAAGATAAGAGAAAAAATTGATGAAATTGAAGGCAGAAAAAATAGAAAAAAATCAATAAATCCAAAAGCTGGTTCTCTGAAAAGATCAATAATATTGACAAACTTCTAAAGAATTTGACAAAGAAAAAGATGGAAGATGAAAATGTTCAATATCAGGAAAGAAATAATAAATGCTGCTACAGGCTTCACAGACATGGAGATAATAGAATACTAGGAATAACTCTACACACACAAATTTGACAACTTACTATGAACTAATCCTTGAAAGAAAAAGTTATCTAACTCATCCAAGATGAAATAGATATCCTGAATAGTCCTATAACTATTTGTAACTTAAATTTATAGTTCAAAACCTACCAAGAAAGGAAATTTGCAGGACCAAACGGTTTTATTGACAAATTCTATTAAATATCTAAAAAACAAAACAAACAAACAAAAAAACAACTCTACATAATGTCTTCCAGAAAACAGAAGAGATGGGAACATTTCCTGGCTCATTTTTCTTTTTTTTTGCAAATGGCATTATTTGATAGAAAAGCCAAAGGTAATATAAGAAAATAAAGTTAAAAGCAATTTTCCTCACTAACACAGACACAAGGAACTCTAGTAAGTACTAGCAAATCAAATGCTCAATATATAAAAAGAATAACATATCATGACCAAGTGGGCTTTATCCCAGAAATATAAAACTGGTCTGATCTTTGATTATCAATCACTATTATCCACTGTTTCAACAAGCTGAAGAAGAAAGGCCATATAATCATATCATAGGGGATTGCATATGGGATTGCCGTTGATGCAGAAAAGGCATTCAACAACATTTGATATCCACTCATGATACTTACAGGGATAAAGGTATCTGGTTTTTTTTTTAAACCCTATAGTTAACATCATATTTAATGATGAAAGACTAAATGCTTTTTTCTTCAGATCAAGCACAAGGGAAGAATGCCCATATTCACCACTCCTATTTAACATTGTACTTAAAATTCTGGAGAGTACAAAGAGGCAAGAAAAAGAAAAAGAGGTGTGTGTGTAGGAGGGCTGAAATAAGAAAAGGAAGAAATAGACAGAGGAAAACATAGGAGTAAATATTCATGACCTTGGATCTGGCAATGGATTCTTAGATATGACACTAAAGGCATGAGCAACATATGAAAAATAGATAAATTGTACTTCATCAACATTAAAAACCTTTGTGCACTAACGTACATTATTAAAAAAGTAAAAAGACAATCTTCATAATAGAAAATATATTTGCAAATCATATATCTGATAAGGGTCTACTATTCAGAATATATGAGGAATGTTTACAAGTAAACAACAAAAAGACGGGTCAGGCACGGTGGTGCACAACTGTAATCCCAATAGTTTGGGAGGCCCAGGCAGGAGGATCGCTTAAGCCCAGGAGTTTGAGACCATTCCTGGCAGCATAGTGAGACCCCATCTCTAAAAAAAATTAGAGAAATTAGCTGAGTGTGGTGGCGCATCCCTACAGTCCTAGCTATTCAGGAGGTTGAGGTGGGAGGATCACTGGAACCTGGGAGGTTGAGGCTGCAGTGAGCCATGATTGTGCCATTGCACTCCAGCCTGGGTGAAAGAGTGAGAACCTGTCTCAAAAGTAAATAAATAACAAAAAGACAAACAACCTAATTTAAAATGGAAAAGAAATTGAGTAAACATTTCAAATGTCTACTCAATATATAAATGGCCAAGAAGCACATTGAAAAGATGCACAGCATCATGAACAATTAGGAAAATGCAAACCAAACCGTGACCCCTTCATACCCACTAAGATGGTTATAATCAAAAATTGGAAAATCGTAAGTGTGGACAAGGACATAGAGGAATTGGAGCCCACAGCACTGTTGGTGGGAGTGTAAAACAGTTCAGCCTCTGTGGAAAAGAGTTTGGCAGTTCCTCAAAAAGTTAAACACAGACTCAGCAATTCCATTCCTAGGTGGATACCCTAAAGAATTGAGGTGGGTGGATCACGAGGTCAGGAGATCGAGACCATCCTGGCTAACATGGTGAAACCCCGTCTCTACTAAAAATACGAAAAATTAGCCGGGCATGGTGGCGGGCACCTGTAGTCCCAGCTACTTGGGAGGCTGAGGCAGGAGAATGGCCTGAACCCAGAAGGCAGAGCTTGCAGTGAGCTGAGATCACACCACTCACTGCACTCCAGCCTGGGCAACACAGCAAGACTGTTTCTCAAAAAAAAAAAAAAAAAAAAAAAAAAAGAAAGAAAGAAAAAGAAAAAGAAAAGAAAACAGGAGCTCAAACAAATGCATGTGCACAGCAACACTATTCACAGTAGCCAAACATCAAGATAGTCCACATGTTCATGAATGGGTGAGTCGATACAGAAAATGTAGCATATTTACATGACGGAAGTTATACAGCCATAAAAGTGATCGAAGTACTGGCATGCCACAATGTGGATAACCTTGAGAAGGTCATGCTAAGTGAAAGAAAGCACACACGAAAGTCATGCACTGTATGAAATATCCAAAGTAGGCAAATGTATAGAGGCAGAAAGCAGACAGGTGTTTATCAGGGACGGAGGGGTAGGGAGGGAATGGGGTGTGACTTCTGAATGGGCATGGGGCTTTGGTGTGATAGAACTAGTTTTGGAACTAGACACAAGTGGTTTAGTACTAGATACAAGTGGTTTAGTACTAGATACAAGTGGTTTAGTACTAGATACAAGTGGTTTAGTACTAGATGCAGGTGGTTTAGTACTAGATGGAGGTGGTTTAGTATGAGATGCAACTGATTTAGAACTGAATGCGGATGGTTTAGAACTAGATGCAGGTGGTTTAATACTAGATGCAGCTGGTTTAGAACTAGATGAAGGTAGTTTAGAAGTAGGTGCAGGTGGTTTAGAAGTAGGTGCAGCTGATTTAGAACTAGATGCAGGTGGTTTAGAAGTAGGTGCAGCTGATTTAGAACTACATGCAGACGGTTTAGTACTAGATGCATCTGATTTAGAACTAGATGCAGGTGGTTTAGAGCTAGATGCAGCTGGTTTACAACTAGATGTAGGTGGTTTAGTGCTAGATTCAGGTGGTTTAGTGCTAGATGAAGCTGGTTTAGTACTAGAAGCAGGTGGCTTAGAACTAGACGCAGGCGGTGGCACAGCATTGTGAATGTACTACATGCCACTGAATTGTTCACCTTAACATGGTGAATTTTACGTTATGTGAATTTCATCAATTAAAAAATGATTACAAATCGAAATGTAGTAAGTAAAACCATAAAACTTTGAGAAGAAAATGCAAGAGAAAATATTCGTGAGCGAGGGTATATCAACAGGTTCTTAACCATAATAGCAAAAGCATGTCCAATGGAAGAAAACAAAAATTGATAAATTGGATATCATCAAAATTAAAAAGTTTAGCTCTATTCATGGACATAAACATGGGAACAATCAACACTGCAGAATACTAGAGCGGGGAGGGAGGACGGGGCCTGGGTTGAAAAGCTACCTACTGGGTACCACGCTCGCCACCTGGTACTATACACCTGCATAACAATCCTGCATATACACCACTGTATCTAAAATAAAAGCTGAAATTTTAAAAAGCAAAAAAGTTTAGCTCTGTGAAAGACATCATTAAGTGGATGAATTTGCAAATCACTTATCCAAAAATGGACTTGTAACCAGAATATGCGAAAAACTTTCAGAATGCAGCAGTATGAAAACGAGCAACCCAACTGAAAACCTGAGCAAAGGGGCTGGATACGATGGCTCACGCCTGTAATCCCAGCACTTTGGGAGGCCGAGGTGGGCAGATCACCTGAGTCTAGGAGTTTGAGGCCAGCCTAGACAACATGGTGAAACCCAGTCTTTACAAAAATACAAAAAAAATTAGCTGGGTGAGTGGCACACACCTGCAGTCCCAGCTACTCAGAAGGCTGAGGTGGGAGGACCACTTGAGCCCAGGAGGTGGAGGTTAACAGCCAGCCGAGATTAGGCCACTGCAGTCCAGCCTGGGCAACAGAGTAAGACCCCATCTAAAAATAAAATAAAATAAAATAAAGGTTTTAAAAAGACTGAGCAAAGGCTTAACAAACACTTTAAAAAAAGGATATACAAGATATACAGGCAGCCAAAAACTGTTCAACATCATTAACCATTAGAGAAATGCAAATTAACCATAGTTAATGCCACTACATACTTGTGAGAAGACCACGCACACACAGAACAATTGCTGGCAAAGTCAAATACTGGAGGGGATGTGGAGCCACTGGGGCTCCCATTGGTTGCTGGTGGAAGGCAGCATGGTGCAGCCATCCTGGAAGATGGTTTGGCAGCTCCTTAGAACATTAAACACACACTTCCCCTATGGCACAGCTGTCTTAGTACTGGGCATTTATCCTAAAGTAATGAAGTAATGAAGACTTACATTCACATGCAAACCTGAATGTGAATGTTTATTCCTATTTATAACCACCAAAACCCAGAAACAACCAAATATCCTTCAACAGGTGAATAGATAAGTGAAGGGTGGTATGTCTATAAAATGCCATCCCGCTCAGCAATAAAAAGGAACGAACTATTGATACACATAACGACTTGGAGGAATGTCAAATACATTATGCTGAGTGAAAGAAGACAGTTTCAAGTCTATTATTCCATTCCTGAATAGATGATCTATGATGGGGGAGAGTTCCATGGTTGAAGACCAGGTTAGGGTGCCTGGGCGTGTTATACATAGTACAGGTTTGAAGGTTTTTAGGTGATGAAACTGTTCTGCGTGCTGATTTGGTTATGGGTATGTGAACCTATTTATAAGTTCACAATTCATAGAAATGTACATCCAAATAAGTCAGTTTTACTGTAAGTTAATTTAAAAAACATAAAAACTGCTTTCAGAATAACTGGTATAAGATGCATGGGATTTGAATGTTGGGATCCACAGTGTTATATTATCTTCTTTGTACTTTCCTAGGGATACTAAATTGTATATAATAAACATGATAAATGAACTTTATACATATATATGTATATATGTGTACAAAATTTTGTACACAAAATATATGTACATGTACGAAATGCTCTGAAGTGGCTCTTAATACCTCTCAGTAACTTCAGTAGAAACTAAGTCTAATGATTTTAATTTTCTTCTCTACCCTTCTATATACTAAGGAGAGCAAAAGAACGCTTTTCAATGGTTTTGTCAAAAGTGGTGAAAAGGTGGCGAATCGGGTCCCTGCCGCATGGCCTGCCTGGAGCACTGTGCTGCGTGTTCACATTCTGTCCTTCGTCTTCACAATGGCTCTGGTGGGTGAGTTAACTGAGAGCATCATCGTATTGAGAGCTTTTTTCTGAGTATTCAGTAACTCACTCATTCTCCGTGGACTATATTCTGATCCAGCTCAGACTGAAGCTTAAGTCATTAGGGAAAAGAAATCAGCCATCTATTTTTTTTTCCTATATCAAGTAATA
This sequence comes from Homo sapiens, assembly GCF_000001405.40. Lineage (NCBI taxonomy): Eukaryota > Metazoa > Chordata > Mammalia > Primates > Hominidae > Homo > Homo sapiens. The sequence continues at coordinate 110,148,619 of NC_000013.11, forward strand.
CTTGGAATCCAGCCCTCTACTCCACTCCTAATATAACTAAAATCTCAGCTCTAACCCCCAGTGGATTCACACTTAATGGCTATATATGTGTGCTATTCATCGCTGTTTATCTTCTACTTAACCAATGCCTGGGAAGTGGCATTTGTAGAGTGAATGAATGGAAGGATGGAGAGATAGATGACAGCTCTCTGGGGGGACAGAGGGAAGGATGCAAAGGAGGGAGTGAGGAGGCGACGAAAGAGGAAGAGATGGAGAACACCAATCTTTTTTTCCTTGTTGTAGTCACTATAAATCACCCCCAGTCTGTGACTCTCATTTGGAAGAAGTGCAAAATAAAAATAATCTAAGGTATGCAAAGCTTACAAATTTATTAGCAGCTTGTGCAGTAAGTTTCTTTTAATGCGTCTGTGGCAATACTAGCAACAAATTAATAAAAGCTTAATTTTTATACAAATAGTTTTATTACAAATTTGAATTCTTAAGAAATACACATTTAAAGAAATTACATAAAAGGCCTTAGTAGTCTTAGAAATGTTTTGGAGACTTTTAGTGAAATGTCATTTCAGGCCTAGTGGTCCGAATCTGCCCTCCTGCGGTCCATGCGATGCCCTGCTGAGGTCTGTGAACACAGCTCATGAGAAACCACGGAAATGGCCCGAATGTGCTTACGTGTGAAAATACTGATACTGTGATTCAACAGAGCTGTTTTTCAAGCCAGGATGCAGAATGAGGAATACTAATGAAATGACGGCCTTTAAGGTTGTTGCTTTTGAAGTCAAGTCATTCAGTTTGTGATTAGTGTTTAAAACCCTGAAAATATTTAATACAGAATAAAAACAATAAGCTCAAAGTACATGTTTCACTATAATAGACACCATATTCATGAACCTGGGTTTGGTTTTGGCAACACATAATTTTTGGTTTAGAAGTGAACAATGAAAACGGATGTTTCACATTCAATATCCTAGTCTTTAAAAACCTATGTTAAAGGACAGCACAGTCTTTCAAAGGAAGAAAACTATGTAAGCTTTATTTTAACAGTGGAAGTTAAACTAAACCTTGATCTGCCTAATTGCTGACATCTATATAAATTACTAATATATATATATATTTAATTTTTGACTATTTTTGGACCATCTTTATTCCACAGGAAAATTGTGATTTCTGCAAAAGCAGCTGCAAAGTACCACACATAGCAGAAAGACAGAAATTTATACTGGGGGGTTGGAAGATATGGCTACTGAGTCTGTAATTCCATTTGGAGGTTCAAAAAACCATTTTTACATTGCTATTATTTGTACAGACCAAGGGACCTAAATTTTGAAACAGCTAGACAGTGATATAAACAAACATTTATCTCTGGGGGTAGAAAATTAATTATAATACAAGAATGAAAATGGGCAAACAGTATGGAAGGCACCCACACCTCCTAGCACCCTTTGGTTTTCTGATGGAGTTCTCACTTCACACATCAGTGCATTGGATTGCAGAAAATATTGATATTTTATTTCATCAAAAGTGCCATTTGGTATGCCACTATTGAAAGCTTATCGCTGTCTTTTTCTCCTTCAGCAAGTAGAGGTCAATGAAGCAGGGTGTGTTAGTTACGCAAATTCCTATAAGGCACTTTACGGTTTTCATATTGGACAGTGAGGTACACAGGATATATTTCTAGGGTTCGTTGCTGTTAACAAAAAGAAGAAGAAGTAGCACCATGTTGTGACATTAGCTGAGTCAGGCTTCATTATGTTCTTCTCATACAGACTTGGCAGCGGCTGACGTGCGTGCGCAGCTCCCCTGCCTTCAAGGTGGACGGCGTAGGCTTCCTAAAACACGACACAGAGACAGACCATTGGCCATCATCTCACAGCACGTCAGAAACATGGCACTCCTGCCCTGCTCGGAAATCTCTAAGGGATCAGCCCAGCCCCTGGCATCAGGCCTCAACCTGGTACCACCCAGTGAGCAGGCAGGTGCTGGGTGCAGTGCACACACGGTCCCACGCACACAGAACACTGCAGGTTACCAGCTGCACACCCAGGCCCTGGCACCTGCCCCAGTGCCCACAGCCCCATAGGGCACAGCTGAAGTCCCGCCACATCAGTCTGGCTCCGAAGCCTTGGCCATTCCCCTCTGTGCCACCCTGCCTCCTCGTACTACAATTTCACTTTTTTTCCATTCTCCTCCACTAGATCATAAACTCCTCCAGGGTAAGAAGAAGATATTATTCTTCTCTGCAACACTTTACACACACAGTAAGTATTCATTAAATATTTGTGGAATGATGTGATGAGTAATAAATCTGGAGTAATTCCCTAGACCTCGAAATACTTTTATAACTTTTGAAGGATTTCTATGCAGATGGTCTGCTTTGAGACCAAAAAGAGGGAAAGACATTCAATGTCCCAAGTGTTTCTCAAGCTTAGAAACTCTACATTATTTTGATTGTTGAAAAGGTAAAATCTGAACTAAAATTGTTACTGAGAAAATTCTATTAAAATAAATAAATTAATTAAACTAAATTAAAATAGCCATTTATGAGAGTGCCTCATCCTAAAATTGAGGCTGCTTATTTTATTAACTTTTGGTGCAAATTCTAGTACCCTCAAGTTTATTATTTAAATTAATGGGATCTTACCTAATTTGCTTTGGGAAAACATTTTAGTTTATTGTATCAGGCTGCTGGTTAAAAAAAAAAAACCCATCATTACCTATCAACCTTATAAGAGGACACCGCAAGGGCTGAGGCATGAACAAAGTGCGCTCATTTTGGTAGTGAATGGTTAAACTCTATCTGCAGCATGGATGTCAAGTTTCCAGTTCCTTGAAAGGCTCCAATAAACCACCAGTTAGGCACGCGGCACTTTTTGGATGAGTAACGAATTAGAGAAGCGTGTATGTTGTTCTGCCTCTTACTATCTAAGCTGGAAAGAGACAGGATCATAGCAGGGTTCCATATAATTCTCTCCAAAAAGGTGAAGATGGAAAGGCTCATCTCCAGGGGTGAGAAGCGCTTGTTTTGGAAATGAACAGTAAGCAGCTGTGCCAGCTCCGTCAGCCTCCTGCATTGGCTCCAGCGGGGCTGCAGCTGGGGCTCGGGATAGAGGGTTCATTATGCGTTCCTGGCCTTCGGGGACCGGCCCGGCTCCCAGTCAACTCCAGCAAGGTTAGTAGCCACTTGGGCCAGTCATTTTAAAGGTGAGATTTTGGTAATGGAAAAGGAAGGAAGGGTCTTCCCTCTCAGTTTCAGCTGAATTTGTGCTGAAATTAATTTTTATTTGCACAGGTCTAAAAAAATACCTTGTGAAGTCACTCAGAACTTACACAAAGTGTACATTACGATCAGTGTTATGAATGGCATGAAAATGAACGCTGCTCACTTCTTCTCCCCGGGATTGTTAAATATACTGTATTTCAAACATGCTCTGTTTGGAGATTTCAGTTGCTTTAATTACATTTTAGTACACTCACCTAGAAAAAATGGAAAATGACCTTTTTCTTTCATGGTTCTTCGGTAAATGAAAAAATTAAACCTGTGACTGAAGGTCTGCCTTTGAAAATCGTCTCGGTCATCTGCCCATGTCGAACAGCATCAAATATTCATTGCTAACCATCTTTGAGACTTTGCATTGGAAGGTGTTACGGATCGCGGATGATTAAAAAATAAAGTCACAAAGGGGCCAGCAGCCTGCAAAAAAGCAGTGCTCCCACTTACTTGAACATCTCGCTCCTCTCTATGGTGGCGAGCCAAAAGCTGTAAGCGTTTGCGTAGTAATTGCAGGTCCCACGGCCGTGACACTCGATGAATGGCGCACTTCTAAACTCCTCCAGGCAGGAGCCGGGGGACGCCAGGGCTTGGCCAGAGCCTTCTGCACCAGCGCTGGTGTGCTGCAGAACAGATGCGAGCCGTGAGTCAGAGGTTCCCTCCCCAAACACCAGGAAAGAGATCGATCCTTCCCAGGAAGGCGCCAGGGTGTTCCCTCTGGAAAGCCACACACTGCAGCCTCATGTGGTCACCACAGGACACACTCTGTGCCCAAATTATCGGGCTGGCCCGCAAGCCAGTGCCTGCATGGCTGGGGCCCCATGGTGCTCAGCATGGCCCCAGGGATCGTCTAATGGCTGCTTCCCAAATAGGTGACCAGCCCAGCTTCATTAGAGTTTAAAGAAGAGCTCACTGTGTATTAGATTTGAAACACTCCAACCCATTCTAACATGGGTCATGAGACAATAGCCAAAATGTTCAAATAATGTTGTAAACAACTGATGTGGAATCAGACTTTACAAATGCATTCCTGTATTTGCTATATTAGATGCTATTTATCTTATAATAAGGTAAAGAATAATCATTCAATTTTTTTTCTTTAAAAAGAGAGAAAAACAAGAGAAAGAGAAAAAAATAGCTACTACTATATCAAATTGCATTTTGGTCTAGCAGGTTTAAGTAGGACCTTCCTGTACTCAGAAATCAAGACCTTAAAATGAATGACATACAAACTTGACTAAGACATTACAACAGAGCCCCGTGACTATTATTTCAGATATAGGAAATGTGAACTCTAGAATTTTGGAGACACAAGGGACCTTTGAGGACAAGGCTAACTCCACTGATTCCCAGCTGAGGACATTCTCGGATCTGACCAGGATCACATAGCTTCAAGGCGGAGCAGAGGCAAGGACGGGGTCTCCAGACCTCCAGATCAGAGCCACCGTCCTGAGAACTCAGAGGAGGTGCTGGAAGACACTGTTCTCTAGAACGTCACTATTTTCGTTTGCTCCTGATTTAGACAAATTATGGGCAATCACTGTTTCAGGCCTTTTGACACCCGGACAAGGGTTGGTGGTGACAACAGCTTTCCTGTGGGTCCTCAATGCAACTGTGGGCTTTCTCTGACACACAGAGATTCCACTCAGTATTTCTTATGATTATGGAGTGGCGAATCCAATCTACCTTTTAATGAACATGGCAAGCTTACATCATTGTTAGTGTCCTGATTTCTCTATACAGCATTTTCAACCTTTCTGGCTCTCTCGATAAAGTAGTTACAATGCAGCACTTCGAATTATTGCAACAACCTGTTAATCTGGTGGTTGCAACATGAAGAGTGTAGCTGCAGTACAATCAACCCAGCAAATCATACAATCAAACTTGTACACGTGCACGAACATTTTAAAAATTGCTTTCCTGCCAACTTTTTCTACACTTGGAAAAATGTGTAGAAAAGCACAAGAAAAAACCAGTAGAAGGAAATGGCAATGGTGGGCGCCTCGCACACAGCACGTCTGGAAGGTGGAACAGAGACCCTCCACACGGCTGGGGCGCAGGGCAGACGCCACACCATCCGTGAGTTACCTTGTTATCTACCCTCAGCGTCCTCACTCAAACATTAAAAAAATGCTTTCCCGCCAATTTTTTCTACAATTGGAATAATTTACAGAAGAAAATAGCTATGAAGCCTGTCAATCAGATAATAAATAATGTTCATCTGTGGGTCAAATGTACAACTTGCCCATTCCTGACAGTGTGAAGATGGGACTAGGACTTCCAATGATGGTGCAGATGTATGTGTAGGGTCATTTACTGGGAATTGGCAAATTCCGGGATAACTCTGATCTTACAAGTTCACGGCTTGTATATATTCAATCAATACTGCCAACTGGGGTAATAGAATAAAATAAGCTACAATGAGTGTATCAAACAGGGGCCTTGTTTTCTGTTTCAGTTGGCTTTTGTGGGAAAGGGAAGCCCTGGGGCTAGGAGAGCAGTCCTTGCCCTCTGGGAAGGGTCCCAGGCGGCACTGCCCCAGGAGGGCCTTCGTGGAGGCCACGGCCAGCCCTCGGGTGTTCTCTCCCTAACTCAAGCTTCTGCTTTCAAGCTCGTGCATGTTGTAGTAGAATGTGTACTCCCCACGTGGAGGCTCTCTTCCTCCTTTCCCTGAAAGAGGCCTCCACTCCATGTAAAGAGGCTGGTCATATAGAGAAGTTGGTCACATGGAGAAGCTGCTCATATAGAGAAACCGGTCATATACAGAAGCTGCTCATAGAGAGAAGCTGGTCATACAGAGAAGCTAGTCATATGGAGAAGCTGGTCATACAGAGAAGCTAGTCATATGGAGAAGCTGGTCATACAGAGAAGCTAGTCATATGGAGAAGCTGGTCATATAGAGAAGCTGCTCAAAGATGGAAGCTGGTCATATAGAGAAACTGGTCATATGAACAAGCTGGTCATACAGAGAAGCTAGTCATATGGAGAAGCTGGTCATATGAAGAAGCTGCTCATATAGGGAAGCTGGTTGTATGGAGAAGCTGGTTGTATAGAGAAGCTGTTCATATTGCTGGTGCTGGAACAGACCCGTAGAGCACCTGAGTGGAGCAGCCACAGGGAAGCAGAGGCCTGGGCCTGCATTTCCAGGAAGATGCTCATCCCAGCTACCTTGGCTGTGAGCAGGGGAGGGTTCTGGCTGGTGCTGGAGACCCCTGCTGTCACCAGGCAGGGCAGGCCAGGCTTTGAGGCATGCTTTGGAAGGGGATGGTTGGAGGAAGAAGGAGGGGCTTAAGCAGCGAGATGCAGAGAACTCCAAGGTGTGGAGGCACCAGACAGAGGCGACTATGGGGCGTGAGTGGGGCTCTTCCCGGGAAATATGGCGTCTCCCCAGACACTTACCATCACAAAAGAGTAGCCGATCCACAGCGAGGACCACCCGCTGGGGCACGGTGGGATCTGAATGGTCTGGCTGTGCACGGCCATCACCATGGCAGGCGCCTCACACACAGCACACCTGGAAGTGGAGCAGAGACACTCAGCACAGCCGGGGTGCAGGGCAGAGGCCGCCCTCCATGCACTGCCCCGTTACCTACACTCAACATCCTCACTCAGTCTTTCTGGTCCAATTACATATTAAGTAGAAAACATTGTGCCCATTGCTTAGACTCTGAGGTTTAGTACCTCCCCGTTGGTTTTATAAGCCTGTCTCAGTATTAAAACATTCAATTCAAAAATAGAGCAGGATGGCTGGGGGCGGTGGCTCATGTCTATAATCCCAGCACTTTGGGAGGCCGAGGCGGGTGGATCACCTGAGGTCAGGAGTTCAAGTCCAGCCTGACCAACATGGAGAAACGCTGTCTCTACTAAAAATACAAAAAATTAGCTGGGTGTGGTGGCACATGCCTGTAATCCCAGCTACTCGGGAGGCTGAGGCAGGAGAATCACTTGAACCTGGGAGGCGGAGGTTGCAGTGAGCCGAGATTGTGTCAATGCACTCCAGCCTGGGCAACAAGAGTGAAACTCCGTCTCAAAAAAAAAATTAGAGCAGGACACAGGCCTGTAGTCCTGGCTACTGGGGAGGCTGAGGCAGGACTGCCTGAGGCCAGGAGTTCAAGGCTGCAGGGAGCTATGCTCGGCCTGCCTGTGGGCCACTGCTCTACGGCCTGGGCAACATAGCGAGACCTGCCCCTAAAATATTGTTTAAAAAATAGATCCAACACGAGTTATTTAACTGTCTGTCTTGTAGAAGGGGAAAATAGGAAGGCAAAGCTCTAACAGTGGCTCTCCTGGAGGGGCTGGGGTTACAGGCAACTTTTCTTCTTTGGGCATTTGAGTGTTTTCCAATCTTTCAACAATGCATACGTATTTCCACAAGCACAATAAATGCTTCAGAAAAAATGCTGGTGAAATCCAAGAGCTACTCCTTCTGGAATGCAACAGTTTGAAGCTACTAATAATCTTTAGTATAAGAAATGCACTTAGTGAGTTGAGTAACTAAGACAAATAATGCATGCTTTAATGAACTTAAGGCTGAATGTCCACATGGGCCTCCTGCGGGAAACTTGTCTTTTTGGTCTGCCCTCTTGGCTCAGATGTCCAAGGTCCAAGGCTGTCAGCATCCACTGCCGCTGAAGTGACCTCCAGAGGACCCTCCCAAGGACAGGATGCCTCCCAAGCCAGGCTGATTCAGCTCAGCCTTGGGACTGCACCAGAAACACATTAAAACAGCACAGTGTTCTGACTAAGACCCTCTCAATGAAGGGAACCCTTGATGGTGGGATAATGCTTTGTTTAAAAAAAAATTAAACGTCAACAGTGAATAATTACATTCAAGTCACAAAATGAACAGAGTGTTAACAATGCTGATAAATGACTATAAATGGTGTCAATAATTACACCTAGTTATACTGGGACATTTGCATGAACGTGGATCAGAAGGGGGAATAGGGCTGAATGAGTCATTTGATTTTCCATGGACTTGTGTGTGTGTCTGTCTGTGTGTGTGTGTATGTGTGGTGTGTGCAATTTTCTATTTTATTCACCCAAATGCAGATGAATTAAAAGGTTCAGTTAAACAACAGTGACTGAAATTGGCCTTATACATCTGCCACCATCTGTTTGCTAGACACGAGACCTAGAAATACAGCCTGGAGGGAAGGGTTTTGTCTTTTTCAGACTGTCTCTGGGCTGAGGGATTCAAGGGTCCTGCCCCATTGCAGGCTTAAAGAGCTGTGTGATTCCTTAAAATTCACATGGCCAAATTCTCCATATTGCATATGAAGAAACTAAGGCCAGGGTTAGTTGTGTCCAAGACAGAACGAAAATGCAGTTCTCCTTGCTCTCAATCCAGCGGTCTTTTCGTCAGAGCAATTAGCAATCAGTATTTATTTCGTGAGTCTTGTCTGCAGAAAGCTAGAAAGTACTTAGAAAATTGTGCCCTACTATCGGATGAAAGCTGGAAAACTGCCACCTTTTCTGCTCAAAACGAAGGCTTTTGTGTCATTTGCTGTTTCTAAAATTTAGCTTTCGGACCTCCCTAAAGGGAAGAGCTGAGAAGGAACCTGTAAGTCCTGAGAAGTCGTGGAAACCACTAAGTTCAGTAACCGTGGAAACCTGCTTGCTCAGAGACAGGGACAAAGGGGCAGCCTCTCTACGAGAGGGAAGTAGAGGCAGACTTGATGCAAAAGCAGCAGCTTCAAGTACATGCCTGGGAAGGTCCCTTCATGCTGAGCTTCGATGTGTCAACTAACAGGAAGACATAAAAATCTGGAAATGTAAAGTCCTGGGACATTTCAGGACTTTCTGGTCCAATGACATGTTAAGTGGGAAATGCTGTGCCCCATTGCTTAGACTCTAAGGTTTAGCACCTCCCCGTTGGCTTTAGAAGCTCATCTCAGGATCAAAACATACAGAGACTTAGACTCTTGGTGCTCAAAGACCAGGGGTGTTTTACTGAGAGGAATGCATCACACAGAAATGCTGGTCTCAGACACACAGCTTCTCTGAGACCTGTTTTTGGACTACCACCAGGGCATGCCAGAGCTCCTGTCAAGGAGCTCTGAATCAAGGTCAAATGTCAACATTGCCAAGAAAGTAAACAGGAAACCTATCAATGAATAGTCTTTTTCTACCTGTTGTGTAAAAGAAGCTAAAAAAAGAAACCCACAAAAGTTGTTACTTTTCCTTCTAGTTATCAGGCATGGTTCTGAGCAAGAAAAGTCTCAAAACAGTCAATATCTGGCAGCCACTCACACAGGTGAAGTATTGCCTGCATTCTGAAAAGTGCCATTCTGGAAGTGTAATGAATGATATTCTCCATTTTAAGACCTATAAAATAAGTTTTCTTATAGCTCAAAAAAAATCAAAGAAAACTGTCAGTAGATATTTTAATGTAAGGGGATCAAAGATCTAAGATTTTCCTACATAGGAGGCACCTTCCAGCCCTCTGGTCCATGGTCCCACGTGGCATAGCTCTCTCACTAAATTGTCATCTGCCAGGAATTGCCTGGCACGTAACCCTGGTCTTCCCCCAAACAGGGCATGTTCATCTAATGAAAGGAGTTGGGCTAAAGGCACAGCCTGGGGCAGCTGGGCAGGAGCTCCAGGGGTGACTCCAAGCATTTGCTTCCCTTTTCCCTTTTCTGTTGAATGTAGGGCACTTCCTACCTGATACTGCTACATCTTTCTTCATATTCAAAGACTGCTGATTTCTTTAAAGGGAATATAAAAAACTTTGTATCTTTTTTTATCATTATCTTAATATGTAAAAAGTAAAATTACGGAATAGCTTCTTAGTCAAATGAATTTGTTCACTGGCCACTTTCCTATTATTTCTGAATATTTCTAAGAAATAAACTTTTTTTTTTTTTTTTTTTTGAGACAGAGTTTTGCTCTTGTCGCCTAGGCTGGAGTGCAATGGTGCGATCCTGGCTCACTGCAACCTCCGCCTGCTGGGTTCAAGCAATTCTCCTGCCTCAGCCTCCTGAGTAGCTGGGATTACAGGCATGTAACACCACACCCAGCTAATTTTTGTATTTTTAGTAGAGATGGGATTTCGCCATGCTGGCCAGGCTGGTCTCGAACTCCTGACCTCAGGTGATTCACCTGCCTTGGCCTCCCAAAGTGCTGGGATTACAGGCGTGAGCCACTGTGCCTGGCCAGCAATAAACTTTTAATTAGAAGGAAAGAGGCAAAGAGAGGACAGTCATGTTATTTTCAGTGGTAATAATTTCAGTTTTCCATCTTACTTCCTATCAGGGAGGCTCCTGGGGCCTGAAAACGTACTTCAGATATTAGTGCGGATAAACACTCAAGGGAGATCGCTCAGTCCAACACATGCATTTTCGATGGGTACAATATCACCCAAGGGAGCAAAAACTGGTGGAACTGGGGAGTGTGTGTATTATTGTATAACTTTTTATGTATAAATCTGTATAATTTTATGTATAAAGCACAGATATACATACAATACACAAACAGAGGAGATACACAGTATGTCTGCGGTATTACGATTTCATAGGGGCCCCCTCACACCCATTGGGATGGCTACTATCAAAAACGCAGAAAACAACGCATGCTGGTGAGGACGTGGAGCAACTGGGACCCTGTGCGCTGTGGCAGGAATGTAAAGGGTGTGGCCACTGTGGAAAACAGCATGGAGGTTTCTCAAATAACTAAAAATAGAATTACCACATGATCCCACAATTCTACTTCTGGGTGTACCTCCAGAACAATTAAAAGCAGGCTCTCAAAGAAATATTTTCACACCCATGTTCATAGCAGCATTGTTCACAATAGCTGAGGTGTGGACAAAACCTAAGTGTCCAGTGACAGAGGAATGGAGAAACAAAACGTGGCACCTATGCACAATGAAATATTATTTGGCCCTAAGTAGGAAAGAAATCCTATCACATGCTATAATATAGATGAACCCTGAGGACATTATGCTGAGTGAAACAGGCCAGTGACAAAAGGAAAAATACTGTATGATTCCACTTACATGAGGTGTCTACGGGGGTCAAATTCACAGGGACAGAAAGTAGAATGGGGGGTCACCAGAGGCTGGCAGGAGGGATGTGGAGTCAGTGTTTAACAGGGACAGAGTTTGAGTTTGGGAAAATAAAAAAGTTCAGGAGACGGATGGCGGTGATGGTAAAACAACACTGCAAATGTACTTAATGCCACTACACTGTGCACTGAAAAATTATTAAGATGGTAAATGTTATGTTATGTCCATTTTACCAAAATTAAAAATAACTTTTAAAAAAATTCATAGGGGGCCGGGCGCGGTGGCTCACGCCTGTAATCCCAGCACTTTGGGAGGCCGAGGCGGGTGGATCATGAGGTCAGGAGATCGAGACCATCCTGGCTAACAAGGTGAAACCCCGTCTCTACTAAAAATACAAAAAATTAGCCGGGCGCGGTGGCGGGCGCCTGTAGTCCCAGCTACTCGGGAGGCTGAGGCAGGAGAATGGCGTGAACCCCGGGAAGCGGAGCTTGCAGTGAGCCGAGATTGCGCCACTGCAGTCCGCAGTCCGGCCTGGGTGACAGAGCGAGACTCCGTCTCAAAAAAAAAAAAAAAAATTCATAGGGGCAGGGATGATTCAGAAAACAATGTCTTAAAAGGCTCCTTGGGGAAGCTGTTACTTTTTAAAAAGAAAGATTGAGCAACACTGTTCCAACGCTTGCTGAAGAATCGAGTGGCATCACCTTGCTCACAGGAGGAAAGGCAACCACCACAGTGAGTCAGGCAAAATATAAATTATCTCTGCAAGCCTGGCATTATCTCACCATGGTTTTGCACCACAATTTTAAAAGAGAATAGCTGACTCTTTTTTCTTTTTGAGACAGGTTCTCACTCTGTTGCTCAGGCAGGAGTGCAGTGGTGTGGTCTCAGTTCACTACAGCCTCAACATCCCAGGCTTAAGTGATCCTCCCACCTCAGCCTCCCTCGTAGCTGGGACCACAGGCTCACACCACCACGCCCAGCTAACTTTTGTATTTTTTGTGGAGATGAAGTCTCGTCATCTTGCCCAGGCTGGTCTTGAACTCCTGAGCTCAAGCAACCCTCTCGCCTCGGCTTCCCAAAGTGTTGGGATTACGGGCATGAGCCACTGTGCCCAGCCAACTGACTTTTATGTCAAATAATTTTTATGGTAGATTTCCATTACAAAACTCGAATATCACAAATAATAAGCTAAATGGCAATGGATTCAACGTTTTGGAGAAAAATAGAAAACATATGCTTGTCCAGACTAGAGACTTTTCCTCTTCAATTTTGCATTTGTTCCTACAGATGCTCGACTCACCTACTAATAAATGGTCTTATGTTTTCCCCCGTGATGGGTGCCATTGACATGGGCATGGGCTCAGGGGTGGACAGCCAGTACGAGTAGTCATTTCGTGATGCAAAGTTGCACACGTTGTTAATATTGCAGAACAGGAAGGGCATTGTGCTGAACTTGCGCAGGCAGCTGCCGGCCGTGCCTAGACAAGGAAGAAGACAATGTGAGATGTTTCCTTTATAATTCACAATCTATCTCTATGTAAAGTGGATTTCAGCTGGACAACAAGCAAAAACATATAATCAACATAATCACTGAAATGGAAATGTATAAAGGATTATGTAGGACATTTTTGATGAAAGGAAACAAAACCAGTTTACCAGCACAAAGAAACCTTTTCCTAAAGCTGAATTCTAGAAGGAACTTAACACATGGTTCGTTATACGATGGATAGTAACAAATTGGGCAATGTCTTTCACAACAGTTTTGCAGAAAATGCAGATGCTCTTTCTATAGCAGCTTGCTGATTCTAACCCTGATAAAAGTTAAAGGCAGAGAAAATTAAAACACAGTTTGGTGGAGGATATCTGGGTCAGATTAAGATAATGAGGACAGATATGTAGCTTTCTGCTGATCTAAACTAGAGGAGCAGAGCTCAGCAGCTGTAGAGAATTTCAGACAGGATAACATGGACCTTTTTTTTTACAAAGAGCAATGGTTAAGCCGCATCAATGCAAATTGTTAAGTGCACTCCAGGAATCTTGATCCTACTTGATAATTTGAAGATGAGATCTAAAGTTTTATTAATTTAAAGATTTTCGAAGATTCAGTCTCCACATTTCTTGGCTTGCCATTAGTAATACAGCAGCTGTTGAACCGATTATTTGTAATCAATGGAGGGAAATGGGGCCGGGCTGCTTTTTCACTGGCTACCGCCCTCATGGCGCAGTGTTTCACTCGCTACTGCCCTCACTGCAGCAGCAGAGGCGAGTCCAGCACTGCACACCGAAGGCACTCAACACACCTACACTGAATGAATGCATGGATCTGCAGGCTTCTTACCCAAGTCCTGGCCATGGGCCCGTTCATTGCCTTGCACGTAGAGCAAAGAGTACCCGTGGTAAAGAATTTTGGTCCCAGAAGGACACTGTGGGTCATCTATTGTTTGACTATGCCTGGTCACAAGGAAGCCGTGATCAACAGATGGGGTGCCTGGGGGCCCCATGGATCCTGGCAACCCATCGGGGCCTGGTGGACCTGGAAATCCTCTTGGACCTGGAAGATAGGAGACAAATTAGTTTCCCTAATTACAAACACGCTCCCCTAAAGGCTTTCAAAATCATTTTCTCCAAAGAGTTTTTAATATTTTATATTTCCACAAAGTATCCTACCTATTCATGTTACCAAAAAAGTCTAAAAAGAATGCATGGCTAACTAAATACAGCAGCCTACCTCCTTCATGGTGTCTTAACTTTTTCTTTTTACCTGCCACCTCAAGATATTTTTATAAGCACAGTTCTCGGTGCAGAGCAGATGCTTGAACAATTTAGTTCAATGAATATATGACACATATGAAAATGGATATATGAATAAATGAAAATAAATGAATGACGTGACTCTGTGCATGTCATTCACACGGAATCGTGGGGCTCCTGTTGGGGAGGACTATCATAGAATTATTAAACAACCTCATCTTAAGGTGTTTCTTCCTCCATAGCAGCCCAAAGCCTGCGTATGGAAATGGAGCAGTAAGGGACCTCGCAGGCAAGGCCTGCTTCTGTCCCCTCTCTAACTGTGCCACGTGCCAAACTGTGCCCAGGTCTGCTGGGCTGAGCTCTTTGTTCAATTAGTCAGTGGCCTCAGCCTTTTGCATCATAGCCTTCACCGGACACTCGAGTGTGCCTTCTCCTAAGGAAGCAGATCAAGTTCATCCCATGCCTTTGGGCCAATGCTGGCATTATTTTCATTTCTACTTCCCTTGTCCTTTGCTGAAATAGAATTTTCACAGCTGCAGCTCACATCCCACTTAGGAAACCACATGGGCCACCACTATTGGCTGCCTTTCAACAACATCTGGGAAACGTACACTTTGATCAATATCTGTCTCTACACAGAAAAAAGAACACTTCTTCAGCTCTTCTATTTGATTCTATTTCTTCTAAGAAACAGACTTCTTCGGAAATCTGTCAAGTGATATATCCAACTTCATTCTGCTGTTTCCCCATGCCTGGTTCTGCTCCTTCTATCCCAAAGATCCTGGTCAAGGGTAATTACGTTGGAAGTTTCGCAACCTACCAGTAGGCCCGGCAGGTCCCATCTCTCCTTTCTGGCCAGGGGCACCGTCAAACCCAGGAATACCTGGAGGTCCAGGTATACCCACCAATCCTGTAACACCTGAGGCAGAGGAAAAATAATTTATGATCCTGTATGGCAGTAAGCTGTATCTCTTTCTTCCCTTCTTAAATGTCCTTTTCAGTGTTCAAGGAGCCAAGCATAAAGTCTCACTGCAGATGAGAACGTTTTCTCGGACAGCCAGGAGTTGCTTCCCACAAAGTCGAGTACAGACTTTGCAGAAGCAGCTGGATATTCATAAGGGGGTGTGTGTTTGGGCACCTCGTTCTGAGTTCTCCCTGGTTTCTTGCTGTTTGGCAGATTGGTTTGGAAAAGGCAGGTGATGTGGAGGGAATGAGAGACTGGATAACTTTCCCTCTCAGCCATATACTGGGGTCTCAATTTTTAGGCAACAGATATACCAACATGGATAGTTTTTTTGTTTTCATGTACATAGCTTGTTCTTCTTCTTTCTTTCTCTCTCTCTTTTTTTTTTTTTTTTTTTTTTGAGACAGGGTCTCGCTCTGTCACCCAGGCTGGAGTGCAGTGGTGTGACCACCGCTCACTGCAGCCTCGACCTCCCGGGCTCAAGCGATTCTCCTACCTCAGCCTCTCGAGTAGCTGGGACTACAGGTATGCACTACCACACCTGGCTAATTTTATCATTATTATTTTGTAGAGACAGACTCTCCCTATGTTGCCCAGGCTGGTCTTGAACTCCTGGGCTCAAGTGATCCTCCCACCTCAGCCTCCCAAAAAGCCGGCATTACATAGGTGTGACCCAGTGAGCCTGGCTAGCTTATTCTTAAGTATCATTAAATTTTCTTTGATGCTTTCAACTTTAAAATGTTTTCATTCTCCTTTACTTCCCACCCACTCCTTATCAGTAGCTCTTCAAATAGGAGATGTTTCACTCAAATAAGCAGAAGACTATGTTAGGGTTTCAGGAAATAACAGAGAATTGTACAGACAGTGCCAATCAGGCAGCGCTCCTGGGGGCATGGATGGAGAGCACCGATTTTTACCATTCCAGATTGCTACATGCCACCCCCATCTGGAGCGGGAGGCAGGAGGGGGAAAGGTAATGATCTGGTTCTTTGAGCCCATGTTTTTCTAACTGAACACAGATGTGTTGTTATGTGTTCCTCTAGCTTTTCCTGGGTTTTCTTCTGGATTTTTTTTAGGTCCCTTTAAAAATGTCATAGGTTTTGATATGCATTGAAGGGAGGTAAGAAACTCATATTCATATGTGTGTGTATAATCATTACCCAGAAACTTATTTTAGATACATGGGTGAGGAGGAACTCTGACCACTGCCCCTCTGGGCTCCCCATACCGCCCTGCACAGGCCAAGCCTTCTCACCTTGCTGGCCTTTCGGGCCTGGCAGTCCCTGAAGCCCTTTCAGCCCTGGGGGGCCCTCAGGACCAGGGAGCCCGGGCTCCCCTTTGATGATGTCGTAAGGACCTGGGGGGCCAGGAGGACCCGGGAGACCTGTGGGAATAGGGAAGGCATTGATCAATTTCACTGTCCACATACTGGGGCGGAAACAACTTTAGAAGGAGAATCCCGGGTGAAGCTATCCAAATGGAACGTACTTCTCAAAGGTAAAGTCATTATCAAAACCCAGGTAATCAGATCTTCACAAAACATGTCCAATCTGCACATCTTTATTATTTAACCTGAAATCCTGAACTCTCGGGCAAAGGCATTGGGGCATCAGCGTAACTTCCCACTGCATTCTGGGCTCTGGGACCCCTGACAACTGCCCTGCAGCCTCATGCCAGCCCTCCCAGCAGGGAGAGAAGCTTGTTCTTCCCAAGCAGCCCCCGCTTCTGACGTGGAGAGTGCCACTCTGCGATTAGGACATTTTTCCCACACTCATCTGAAACCTGCCTTACTGTATAGTATCACACTGGTCCTGATCTTTGAGTGACGAATGAACTTAATCCTTCTTCTGCATGGCAAGTCTTGGCATGTGGTAAGAACCACACAAAGTGCGAGTTCCCCTCAGCCTCCCCGTTTTCAGCCCAATACCCTCAACTCTCCCTCCCCTTCCACATACCCTCCCTCCCCTTCCACACACCCTCCCTCACCTTCCACACACCCTCCCTCCCCTCTCCTTCCTTGGGTTCCACTTCTCAGGGCATGTGGTTTCTCATTCTCTCTCCCAAAACATGGTTTGGAAAATTAAATGATGCCCTAGAAGTATGGTCTGCTGTAAAGAGGAAGCAGGATGAATACTGTGCTTAAACCATTCCCTTTTGAGATGATGTGGTTTTCGGCGACTTTCATGCTGTAGGCTCCCACCGGTGGAGAAGCCAACAGCACCTTTCCCAGGAAGAATTCTTTACTGTGCAGCAGGAATGCACTCCGTCTCTAAGTGCAAGATTGATTTTCTTTCCTATTATAACTTTCAGTGGTTGATTTCAGGCTAACTTGAGAGCCTTGGGAAGTTTCTGAATTCTGAGCCTGTCAGTGAGAACCTCGGCCACCCCTCCCCTGGAGTTCCCTCAGTCCTGGATTTATCAGATTCTACTTTCAGACAAGTCGCTGGTTAAAATGTCAACTACAGGAATCTTGACTTGCTGCAAAGAATTCCCTATCAATTGTTTTTAATGATTTTTGAGTCATTTCACATATGAAAAACCAAACACCCCAATTCTGTGCATTCCTGGCTTTTACATTTTCACAAAGCACCAGTAAGGTGTCCACAGATCAACAAACTCTCCTACCTTTAGCTCCCGGGACGCCTTGATCGCCTTGATCACCTTTAATTCCCTGGAGGCCAGGAAGACCTTTTGGACCTAAAAGCAGAGGGAAAGCACTGTCTTGCACAGAATTCCCAATGATATACAAATATGTGTGTGTATATATCTCTCTCTAGTGCACACACATACATGTACACAAATGTATAGATAAATGCATATACACACACATATACTCATATATGCATACCCATATATACACATTCATACACCTGCTTATGCATGCATACATATACACATACATATACACACATATATGCATATATACACATATATGCACACATAGACAGTGAACAAATTTCCAATTTATCTTCAAGGAAGAAAACAGCATTATTTCTGGTCACGTGTGTAAAACTTTTAATGAAACTCTTTTTTCTAGAACCCAGAAGCTACATTTTTATAAGCATGCAGCCAACTGTAAAATGATCCAACTAGTGGAGGGGCATAGGGCACTGTTTTTGGTCCCGATCTGATTCACACATGTCCCCAGTTGGACCACAAGACACCTTGAGGCTGCGACCTGTTTTATTCACCTTTCACGTGTATCTGACTCAGCAGTAAAAACTGCAGTGCCTGGGGAGCTGGTAAGCAGCCCAAAAATGTGTGTTTAATATATGAATAAATTAATGAATAGCCCAAATCCATGACTTCTTATTGAGATATTAATGATCCACTGATTCTTAATAAGAAAATCAGAATGTCTTTACACTGGCATCCATAAGATTATACAAATTGGGCTGCCACACAGAAATGCCATTTTTAATTTGAAGAGAACAGTATCTCGTGCTATAATGGCAGCGGTGCTATCAGTGCTAAGGTGCCCGAGGTTAGCAAGCTCTTCACACAGCGTCTGCTGCTGCAAAGGCTGTGCAGCAAGGTCTGTGCTGTCTTACCTTGAAATCCTGGAACTCCTGGAGGCCCCATATCACCCTTAGAGCCTGTGATTCCTGGAGAGCCACCAATACCCTAGACACGCAAAGAGGAGGTTGGGAATTGCTCAGGATATGTAGGTTAAGTCTCTCCAGTAACCTGCTAGTTGGAAAATGGAAACAGCCCCTCAATGTTCTGGAAAGCACATTTGTGAACAAATGGTGCCTTGTGGTTTCTTAAATGACAGAATAACAACACCTTTGCATGTGCCTCAATCGGGAAGCTGGAAAGTAGAAGCATTTGTTTCCCTCCCATGTATCTCCTCTGCTTGTCCATCCACAGGGGAAGCGCCTGAGGAGCAGGCAAATGTCCTGCCCTTGCCACCTCCAGCTCACAGCACGATGCCATAGACAGAGCCAGGGCCCCCTCAACACCTGTGACGGCAACATAGCCATCCAGCACCAGCCAACGAGCTTTTCTGAAAACTTTCCCCTTAATCCTCAAGTGCAATCAGTTTTCTTTAGAATTAGTTTCATGTCTTATCTGAAAACTGATTTTAAATATGCAAAGAAAATTAAGAAATGCTAAGGAACGAGTATTTTCCTTTATACTGTGGCAATATTCGTGTATTTTAAAATAGGGGCTCATTTTCTTTCCATTTCAACAAGTCGTTCCTTTCTCAAGTCGTGGACAGCAACATGTAACAAGTTGTTTTATTTCTTACGTAGATTTGTTTCTTAGCCTTATTTTAAAAGTGTCAAACCAAAATAACATGAACAAATATATATGTATATAAACATATATACAAACACATATTTATACATAAGTATGTATACAGAGACAGACAGACACTGACTGGCACCAGGAATGGGGTGTATTTCTTTTTCTTCCTCTTTTTTTTTTGAGACAGAGTCTCGCTCTGTCATCCAGGCTGGAGTGCAGTGGCACCATCTCGGCTCACTTCAATCTCTGCCTCCTAGGTTCAAGCAATTCTCCTGCTTCAGCCTTCCAAGTGGCTGGGATTACAGGCATGAGCCACCATGCTAACTTGTGCATTTTTAGTAGAGACAGGGTTTTGCCATGTTGGCCAGGCTGGTCTCGAACTCCCCACCTCAGGTGATCTGCCCACCTCGGCCTCCCAAAGTGCTAGGATTACAGGCGTGAGCTACCAGGCCCAGCCGGGAATGGGGTATATTTCTATGTTACTGAGGAATAAAAATGAGAATACATAAATATTTGACAAATTACCTAGGCTTACATTACTGGAAAACTGCAATATAGCAATAGGGGCCCAAAAATACATTCACATACACATTTGCTATACTGTGGAGATATACACAGCTTTGAGGACAAGGAATGGGTAAACATGACTGTTGCTACTCCTTATAGCCAGTTCTGCATAATTATTTATAAGCATTTCATAACTTACTGATTCAGAAGTAAATCAGCACCACGTATTGTTTTGCACCCAGCAAGCTTAGCTATTCTGTATCCATCCTTGAGAAAGTAGTCTGATGACTCTAAGATATGTCTCTGCTGCTGATGAGCAGTTCAAAGCTTTCCCTTTAAGGGAGAACATGTGTTGACTTACAGAAGAACCCCGCTTGCTCCAACATAACTGCAGAGGTCTGTCTCAAATCCCTCCTATTCATGATCTCCCCTGATATACTCTCTCTTTCTCCTAACGTGTGTTAGAGAGAGACAGAGAGACAGACAGATGGAGACAGATAGAGGAAACAGAGAGACAGACACAGAGAATAAAGCTCTGCTAATCCAGCTATTTGAATGAGCGAGCCACGTAAACACAATCCTTTAGCCATGGACATGGTTAAGCTAAAAATCAAACCAAAGATCCATGACCACCACTAAGAAGGGCTATATATTCAGGTGCAGCAAAGAGCCAAAGTCACACACACACACACAGAAATACACAAGGCTGCTGGTCACTTATTGCACCCTGAGATGTGCTCTTCTGAAGGCTTGTCTAAGTCACCACTTAGACTCTGTATCTGGATCAGGTCAGTAAAGAAAGATGGAATATTGCTGGTTATCTTTTATGACTTGAACTGTTCAACTGCAATTCCCTGTCCTCCTGCCAGTCCTAAGAGATGGCTGGGCTAGTTTTACAGAATTGTTCTCTGCAAAACAACATTGGCTTGCTTTTTACATTGAGTTTGTAAATAGGTCTTAAATTTAGGCATTGAGCCATAATTTCCAGCAGTATAACATTTCCCTTTTATGGTTCTTGGAAAACTGGATTGTAAAAAAATGTTACAATAGTTTCCTACTCTGATGCCAATAAAGATGTGGGTTACTGGCAAGAAAGAAAGAAAGAACTGATTTAGTGGGGATGTGGGAGTGTAACACACACACACACACACACACACACACATATATATACATACACAAAATACATACACACATAGACACATATGAATACTTCTGGCCAGAAAAGACTCCTTTAAAAATAAAAATCTACAAATCAATAACTCACAGGCATGCCCTGGAATCCAGGGTCTCCCTTGGGCCCTGGGACACCGGGTGCTCCTGGCCAGCCTGGATTTCCTTTGTCACCTTTAACTCCATCAATCCCAGGAAGCCCTGGAGGCCCCATGGGTCCCGGAAGTCCTAATGGAAGAGAAGAAAGCCACACATTTGGGGTTAAATATGCACAAGTGTCCCTGGGCTGTGGGGCTATCAATACTGCCACCCACGGCCCCTCACTGATACAACACTGGACCAACAGTGACAACCCTTGAGACAGAAATCGAGGCAGGTCCAGGAAGGAAGGAAGGAGGGAGGGAGGGAGGGAATAGAAACACTACTATCTCTGATAAAACACTGGACCGACAATGTGAACCCTTGAGACAGAAATTGAGGAAGGTCTGGGAAGGAAGGAAGGGAGGGAAGGAGGGAGGAAGGAGGGGAGGGAGGAGGGGAGGGGAGGGGAAGGAGGGAGGGAGAGAGGAAGGGAGGAAAGAAGGAAGGAAGGAAGGAAGGAAGGAAGGAAGGAAGGACAGACATAGAAATGCCACTGTCTCCGTGTCCAAAATGGCCTGCGGTCAGTGGTGCCCGGGCATCTGTGCTACCACTACGGGGGTCTTCACCAGAACCCACAAGTGGGCCCAAGTGCTGCGCTGGTTTAAGTCCAACGCCACCGACGGGGCACGAGTCCAGGCTTGTCCAATCATTTCCTTTCTTGCATCTCCCTAATTACTTAAATTCCTTGACAGAAAGGATACAAGAAAAGCTTTGACTCGATGGGGGCCAAACACAATTTCAAGCTGTAATAAATGCTGCAGACTTCTAAATAAAAAAGCCCAATTGAGAATTTAACTATTTCTTTTACGCTATTTCCTTTTGTGAATTCTGTCCCAGTCCTCAGCCCTGGCCCCTGGCGAGATGCCCTTACCTGGCAGGCCAGGCTGGCCCTGAGGTCCGCGGTCTCCTTTGGGCCCCTCCGTGGCATGGCCTGGGGATCCCGGTAACCCCGGCTGTCCCTGGGGCCCCGGAGGACCCATGAATCCTTGCTCTCCTTTGGATCCAGGAATTCCTGGGCTCCCGGCTAATCCTGGGAAACCCACCTCACCCTTTGAACCTGAACAAGAAAAACAGTTTGAGGTGATGGGAAACGCAGCAGCAGAACAGTAATCTCCAGCGTGGACGGCAGAGATGGGATGAGGCGTGCCTCATCCTGTAGGTACCGCTCAGAGGGAGCTTCCAGGGACACCACAGGAAACTGCAGCAAGGGCTCCGATCCCTCCTTCTCTTTAATAACACACTAGAATCCGACCATGGCCTGGCTGGAAAAAGAGCTCAGAATGCTAGGAACCCAGCTATCGTTTTCATACTTCTCACGAGACGTGTTCTATGGCAAAGGCATCTGAATTGTGTTTAAAGACATCTGCAGCAACTGCACTGCTAAACGAAAGCCTCACTCCATCAGCACATGAATGGGCTGGACAAGCCAATCATGTTATATCCATGCAGTGGGACACTACTCAGCCATAGAAAGAAGTGAGCAACCACTGGGCTGGATCTCAAACGAATTATGTCGTGGGAGAGTAGTCAGGCTGAAAAGACTACGAAGTGTATGGTTTTATTTTTGTAAACTGCTGGAAAATGCAAACTAACCTAGAGGACCAGAAGGCAGATGGACGGTTGCTTGGGGAATGGGGAGAGGGCAGGAGGGGGGGATTATGAAGCCACGGAGGAGACTTTTGGGGGAAGGCTTTGCCTGCTATCTAGAATGTGGGGATGTTTTCATGGTGTAGACCTATGTCAGCCTTATCAAATTGTCCACTTTAAATATTTGTAGTTTATGACCTGTCAGTGAAACTTCAATAGAGCAGGTTTAAAAAATTAAAAAGTAACAGCTTGTAGGAAAAAGAAATTCTATGTTTAGTTTTAAACATAGTATCCAAATCTTACCAATAAAAATGCCAAAATTCTAAGGTTATTTCCAAAACAAAGGAAAAGGGAATGAAATAGGGTCAAGACCTAAAGTGGTCATTTGGGATTCTCTTCTCCTGGGGATTCTCCCTGCTATTTCACACAGCAATGAGTGGAAAACGCAAGGTGCTGCGTAGAGTTTGTGCAAGGGCAGTGCAGCATGTCCAAAGGAGTGTGCGGGATCACATGGCAAGGTAGGAAAGGCAGGGCAGGAACAGCCCACAGCGACCCCTTGAGCAGGTGCATTTGCAAGGGGCTCTGTGTTTGAGGGATTCTGTGAGTTAAGGGAGAGGGAAGTGTCCATTCCCAAGGCAGCCCACCCGGCACCAGGCCATCCTTCTCAACCCAGGGGTTCCCAGTGTCAGACTACATGCCTGCCAAGGAAACACTCTGGGCTGGTCTCGGGGAGAACCAGGGGGTGGGAGAAACAACACCTCCGTGCCCCTGCTCCTTCTCAGCTGAAGTCCAAGGCCTTCCAGGGCTTTCTGAATCCTCCCACTGAGTGGGATCACTCAGCCAGCCCAGCCACGGGCCATAAGCATGCCCATGGATGCTGTGTGTGAGCTCCTGGCTGCGGCCACCTGTGGCTTCTCTTCAGTGTCGTGCAGCTCACATGCCTTGTATTTTCTGTGTCCCCTTTGCTTTCCCATGAAATGCTCAGCTCTCTGAGAGAAGAGACTGCCTTCCCAAGCTCCTGGCCAACTCTCAGCTGCACTTAGTACTGAGCACATCGTGGCTGCGCAGGGCATGTTTTTGTCTCGTGGTGTGTGCTACATACTGTCCTGCATTCACATAAGTATAACCAGTTCTAGAAAGTCAGAATTTCAATATTCTGATGACCTTCTAGGCATAAAAATGACAGGGGTCTCGCCTCTCTGCTGGATTTTTACAAAATTAGTCCAAGTAAAAGATAATTCTGATCATGAGTGTACTGCACGCCATTTTGATCCATTAATTAGAAGGGAACCACATGTGTCTTGCAGGCATTGCCCTCTGGGCTCAGCACCCATCCTCCATCCCGTTGCTGCCTGGCCAACAGGCATGGGGCTTCATCCTGAAGACACTGCCCCTTGTTCTGCTAATCAGGCAGCAGCGGTTGGTTGAAAAGGAAGAGCACAGTGAGCAAAGATTACCTTTGTCTCCTTTGGCCCCTGGAAACCCTGGGAATCCTCTTCCTGGTAGACCTATAAGATGAGGGTAAAATGCCACGTTTCTCTTTACTTAAACAATCCATCTGCAGGTACAACACAAAGCACTATCAACTCTGCAATAATACTACGTATATTGTGGAGTACATAGATATTAGTTAATTGCACCCTTGTAATAAAATGATATTCCTACAGTTATAAGATACCCTTGACTGAATGTTCCTAATTTAGTACTTTTTCCTAAGTACCTTTCAGCTCAGAACCACCACGGCATTTAGCACAAATGATCTGTGCAAATGAGTATTTGTTTCCTGCTGCCGTCTGGAGATAAGCAAATGGGATTCTCAGACAACCATCCACTAATTGCTATTCTCAGGGAGGTGGGGAAAGCCAAAGAGATTTGGGGCAGCAGATGCTGGGGAGATGACAAACGTCAGCAAAGGGCTTGAGGGAAGATTCAAATCGGGGGAAAGGAGTGCAGGGGTATTTTTATGAATTGTTTGTATAGAAAAACAAATGTATAGAATATAAAGTTATGGAATGAAAAAAATGAAAAGAAAGCCAGCACCAATAGCTGTGGATGCTCTTGGTGGTCCTCCCAGTGTCCCCCCAAGTCAGGGGTAACCTGCTTCAAATGGTGTGTTTATCTCTCTCTTGCATTAAATACAAATATTACTGTGTATGTGATTGTCATCATCACACCTGCACTTTTGTCCAAGTTATGGCCAAGTTAAAGCCCACCAGTGACAGGAGCAGACTCAGGGGCCAACCAATATTTCCAACCATTTCCCCTCAAATGGGGAAATGCTGGGCAAAGAAAAGAGTTTTGTTTTGCTTTGCTTTGTTTTGTCATAGCAACCACAAGGGAAATGGAAAGTGTTCTAACAGCAGGTATTTTATGTGTCTCTGACTCACCACTGAGAGCTCAGGTTATTTCAGGGGAAGATGCCCTCAGTATTTATGGGATAATAAATACCCCTTCCCTTCTTCCCCTCCACTCATCCCACTCTACTCCACACATCCACATCAGTGTTTAAGTAGTTGCAGGGATGTGCAGTCTAGGGGCCATTCTGTGCCCAGCTTTATTCACTGAACACAGGCAGTCTGCAGGTCTCTGGGAGTGGACACTGCTGATTCTGATAGGGAATGGGGCGTTGGGCCATACCTGGTTCACCCTTCTCTCCTGCTGACCCCGGGATTCCATCACTGCCTGGCTCCCCTTTCTGGCCAGCTGGGCCTGTGGGGCCAGGAGTCCCAGGAAGACCTCAAAGAGAAAAGTCACATCAGACACCCGCATAACCTCTCACAGCACCCTAGCTGCCATACAAAATGGCCCTTTGCTGACATCCTTTAAGGGAGCTGTTCCCTCCCAAGCACACCTGGTTTTCCTGAGGTCAGTTCTGACTTCCCTTCAGAAAGGACCCTGCGTGCTTTCAGCAACACCACCAAACCCTGACCCTCAAAAGCTGGTGACAAAAACTCCATGATGGCCACAAAAACAGTTTGGAGATTTAGGTCCTAGATCCTGCTAGTGACAAGACCTCAGAAAGATCCTGTAACCTGCACTAGACTCAGTTTGCCCATCTGAAGATGGGAGACAGGACAGCTGGCCTCCCTGCTCCCCGTCTGTGATGGGAACTCCTTGGGGCCTCCCATCCCCTGGCCACTGTTCTCTATGTGCCCGGGCTGTGTCCCAAAGAGGGCCCTCTACCTGCTTCTCCTTTGACACCAGGGATGCCATCCAATCCTGGGAGGCCTTTGTCACCTTTTTCTCCAGGTAGCCCAGGACTTCCTAAAGAAAAAAACAAAACACCAGAACATCCATAAGTTTGGGCTTTTCTTTGATTTCTTAGATTCCCCAAGTCCAAGAGAAGCCCCCCTCACCTACCTGGATAGCCAACACTCCCGGGAGACCCTTTAAGGCCTGGGGACCCTGGCATTCCTGGGATCCCAATGCTTCCTTTTTCTCCCTTCTCTCCAGGGCTTCCTGGGAAACCCGCTATCCCTTGATCTCCCTGCAAGTAAAAGTCAGGCATATTAACTTTACATTTGTCCATGGGCATGCATCTGTAGGCATGTTATAGATAATGGTATACATTTTGGTGCAATGAATATTGCATTGCAAAACTCCATTTCCAGATTTCTCATCAAAGAATCAAAGTCCACTTCTGAATGGAGAGGAAAACTTAAGAGCAGTAGAGCCAACCATCTGGTTTCTACCTGCCATTCCTCTTCGTCCTCCATCCTCTCTGTTTTATCCCACTGACAGCTGTCTCCCACCTTAGCCTCTCACCAGTCTCTAGATTCTTCCTTGGGGGAGAGGTAGTGAATACAAGGGGAAGGAGAGGCGACTTGTGCTGCCTTATGGGACTCCCTGTGTGTTATGGCTCATTGAGTGTGCTGAGATATTTGCTGAGCATTTCTCAGGCAGCATCTCCACTGAGCTGGGAGAAGGGGACCTTTCCACGCAGAGCGCTGGTTACCTTTTCACCTCGCAGCCCTGGGATGCCTATGCCAGGTGGGCCTGCCTGCCCTTTCTCTCCTTTTGCACCTTTGTCTCCAGGTAAGCCAGGTGAACCTTGTGGGCCAGGGATGCCAGGCACACCTTTCTCTCCAGGTGTTCCTATAAACACAAACAATTGAAACTTGATTTGGGCTTAGCTAGTGCTGGTATTACAAATGAAAAAGTGCCTCCACAGCCAGCCAAGAATGAGATACAAGAACGTGAATCCCCCACAACCAGCCAAGATTGAGATACAAGAATGCACATCCCTCATGTATCAATCGGCTCATGACCCAGAACACGTCAGTCACCCAGATCACATCAGAGCCACGCTAGGAAATGTCTCTCCCGTCCTTTAAGACCATCATGTTATAAGACAGGGAAGAAATACATTAACTACCTAGAATATTTACTTTCTCAACAGAATAAAAATGGATCTTATGTTCTTTATTATACAGCCAGCTCTCATCAGCCAGACGTCACAGGGACTATGAGGCGGGCAGGCCGGAGTCTGTGCACACTCGGTTCTGTGATGCATGCTGGTAGCCAGGCTTATTCACACATAGGCATGACCAGCAATCTAGATGCTTATATTTTAATTAAAGTGATAACAGCACCTGGTCAAGACTCAAGAGGAGATGGAAAGATGGGCTTCCCATCTGAACTCTCCCCCTTTCTGAGTGAGCTCTGAGGACCATCACCACCCAGCCCTTCCCGCACTCTCCTCCTCTTCCCG
Organism: Homo sapiens; assembly: GCF_000001405.40. Lineage (NCBI taxonomy): Eukaryota > Metazoa > Chordata > Mammalia > Primates > Hominidae > Homo > Homo sapiens. Next base: position 110,175,974 of record NC_000013.11, read on the forward strand.
GCTGCTCTCACTACAATAGACACTGATGGCAAAGCATTAAGGCTAGTCCGGGATTGGAGCAGAGGAGTCCGGAGAATTCTTCTGAACTAACACAAAGGGCTCTGGAGCCATAAGCTACTCAGGCTGACAAGCCTGGATGGAGAAGCCGTCGTCTCTTAGGGAGATCCTAGACAAGGGGATGGTCACTTGGAGATCATCAAAAGTTGACTGTATACAGCCCATGTTTTATTCCATTAGATGGTGAGTTTTCTTAGCAATGGCCATTCTGTCAGCCAAATGTCATCCATCCCTGAGCAGGAGACCATTCAGAGCTGGGGATGTGAATTCATGTGAAAGACACACGTGCCTGGATTCTGTCCGTCTCAGCTGAAGAGGATCTCATTCTGCAGACATGCCCTACCAGTATCACACGCACACATGCTAAAGAATCCTCTTCTAAATCCAGTTTACCTGGCAAGCCCATTCCACCAACAGATCCTTTTGGTCCCGGAAGTCCTGGAGCACCTGGGGTTCCACTTATACCTGGATCACCTTTAGGTCCTAGAACCATAAAGAAAGCAGTCTGACAGGTTGACATCTACAGAAAGAGCTGGGGAACACAGGCCTCATCCTGAGCCCTTGCCACACTGGGGACCGGAGCTCCACACTGTACCTGGCTGCCCAGGCTGTCCTGCCTGCCCGTCCTTTCCAGGCACTCCTGGGGTCCCAGGGTCTCCTCGGGATCCCTTCTCACCAATTGGTCCAATTTGTCCTACACATCAGAGAAGAAAATAGCAATGACCCGCATTTGCTTGCAAGCAAGTTGCTGCAGAAACGCAGGTTGGTTTGGTTATTATTTATGGAGGACCCGATAACCCAGGAAAGGCACATTGTGGTTCCGAGCTTGGCCATGAGAAGCCTCCTGGACTTGCCTTTCTCTCCTTGGTCTCCTTTCTGGCCCTTCATGCTGCCCATGTCCACCTTATCCATGGAGCCAGGCTTGCCAGGGAGACCGACATCCCCCTTATCACCTTTCAAGCCAGGGTCTCCCCTGGGTCCTGAGGAGCCCGGAAAGCCATGGTCCCCTGCAGAGGAAAGAGAAGGCACTGGTGAGCCTGGGCCAGTGTCACAGAGGTGCTCAAAAGGCTCACGTTCTTGTTGACAGGGACAGCAGCTGGCAAAAAGGCTACAAAGCACTCATAACTTGTCCAAAATGGCATTAATGGCCAGTGTCTGAGACACAGAAGAATCCAACCCCAGGTAAATGAGCAGTAAAAAGCCATTTTCTACAATTCATTATTCGCTAATAACTCTACTGCATGTGACTTGGCTTTCAGGTTTAGATAACTTACATTTCTCTCCTTCCTACATATCTTTATCACTCTTATTCATAGTGCCCCTCAGTTCTATACAAAATAATAGAACAGGAATTTTATCATTCTACAAAACAAATGACCTTTTCATGTGTCATATTTACAGTATTTCTTTGTAAAAGACATTATTTTGGAACAACTTCAAATAACGATAAGAAATAAAGACGAAGCCTTGTAAACTTGCGCAGGTTGTTAATCTGAGCCTAAGGACTCGGTCCCTGTATCTTGGCATGGCTGAAGATTCCACCATTTCTCACAAGAAGAATCTCATCTGTGCCAAGAAGGAAAGCCCAGCTTCTTTCTGATTTGCTTGGCCAAGCACAGTTTCAACCCCATGTGCATTGAGCACCAGGAATCCTACTGGAAGAAGGGGGTCTCCCAGCCTTCTGCTTGATGTTCCTAACTTCTTTTGTAGGCGTCTTAAAGGGAAATATGATCTATGACAACTTGAGAATTTCCCAAGTGGCATCGAGAAATAGACACAAAATGAGCTTCTAGGGTTATCAGCTCCCCTACCTTTTTCACCCGGTAATCCAGGAGCACCCACTGGTCCTGGTGAGCCCGGCTGCCCGGGGGTCCCCATGACGCCCATTTCTCCCTTGGAACCTGTGGCCAAAGGAAAGGACTGTGAACATTTTCTTGCTCTGAATGCTGACAGTAAATGCTGAGTCATAAAAAGAATAAGGTGAGGCCCATGTCTTCATGATGGATCCAGGCAGAAGTTCAAAAATCACTTACCTGGAAACCCAGGAATCCCAGGAGCCCCCTGCTGTCCAGGAAGGCCAGGGAGCCCCGACTGTCCCGTTATGCCAGGGAGTCCTTGAGCCCCTTTATCTCCTTTAGGGCCCGGCATGTCCAGTCCAGGGAATCCGGGGAAACCCTTCTCTCCTTTTATTCCAGGAGGGCCTGCAGTTGGGTGAAACACAAATAACTTTTAGCAGAATTTACAGAATGATCTACAATGTACAGTGCTCTGTTTAACTATGACTTTCTGCAGAAAGCCCGTGAGCACGCCCACACTGGGAACTTGAATGGATCATCTGTTAGGTGTTGGTGTTTGGGGTCATCAGGATAATCAAATGGCTCTTGTTCTAAAAGAAAAGCACTCCCCTTTCCTGTCATTGAGAGTCAGCAAGGCCACCCTAAGCACCACCACTGCCTTGTCGCAGTACTTAGGACTAGGGCTAGTTTTGCTCTAATTTCCATGCACCACCTTAATTCTATGATTATTATGATCAAAGGCAAAGCTAGGTTCTAGACATGGACTCAATTAGTTGAAATTATCCACCACTAATTAACCGTCCTATGGAAAGATAATATAGAGACATCAGTTAGAATAAAATGTGAAACGTGACGGAGTACACAATAAAGGAAAGGTCTCTTTGTTTGGCACATCATCTCAGTGGGTGGGAGAAGAATCTGGGACTACATTTAAGCAAACAATCAAACCTATTTTCACAAACTCGAGTTTTATTTTTTTCTCTTTTTATCTCATACATTGTGCTAAGCTTCACTTTATAGGGACCCCGGCCTCATCCCCCATGCTTCAGAAAAGCATGCTTTTGGGAACAGATAATTCTAGAAGCATGTCACTCACCTGACAACCCCGGTGGTCCCTGTCCTCCAGGGGGACCCCTAGCTCCAGGGGGGCCTATTCCTGGAACTCCTGGAGACCCCACGGAGCCTGGCAATCCAGGAGGTCCCGGTTCACCTGGAGAAGAAAAATTGAGAGTAAGCTGTACAGGAGCAGTGGCACGTCTCCCGGCCTAGGAGACCCATGCACACGAATGGCCCCAGCAACGGAAAGCCACGAGCTCTAGGCCTCTAAGATTTGCATCGTTCGTTCAACAAATACATATCAAATATACTCGGTAGGGGCTCTGGGAATGCAAAAATAAGCACATCCTGTCCTCGAAACCCTCCAGACTGATCTGCATGAAGTTACCTCTGATCCCCTGAAGCCCAGGGGGTCCGATCGCTCCATGTTCTCCAGGAACGCCTGGTACCCCAATGCTCCCCTTCTCCCCGGGTGTGCCAGGAATGCCGGGAAGACCTGGCAAACCTTTGAGTCCCGGTAGACCAACTCCAGGCTCTCCCTGAAAATCCCCAAAGCACAGAGAAGCAAATTGATTTGCAAAGTCAGTATTTTTATCAAACCAATAGCGTAAGTGAAGACTTAACAGATACTGCCAATGCATTTAGTAAGAATATTATCTGCTCAACCCTTTTCAAGCGTTTGCAAAGCTTCCTCATACCTATTATATCTTTTCAATCTCACCACAAGCCCCATAGGTGGGTAACTTTCATTGTTTTCATTTTACAAAGGAGGAAAAGCAAGGCTCCCCACGGATAAATGACATTTTTCTCAAGTCTTCTGACCTGAGCTTGTCCCCTCAACTCTGCAGCCTGGTGCCTGTGACAAAGCACTGGCCCTGAGTAACCGGTAAAATGCCAAATATGATTTGTGAGTAGTTAATGGAGTTCTTCCTAAGAGATGGCAAGGTTCCAGGGCTAGCATGGACACCAGTTATTTAGTTTTTTGGATTAATGAAGGTTTCACAGTAAATTAAGCATTTTAAACTATGGCATGAGTCACTGGGCTTTGATAGATACAGATGATTAAAATAAAGGGTGAAGGTGCCTTGGAAACAGCCTGGATTTAGGCATAGATGTGAGGCTCCAAAGCAAGCAGGTGGCCATGAAATCACAGGGCTCCACCGGTGTCCCCTGTCTGCAAATGATATTTCCAGAGAGGGAGGATTTGGACATTAGTGGGCAGTGGTAACTTCCCTATTTGTCCCAGAAGGAAATTCTCAAAATGGAACAAACTCCATCAAGGGGATGCTTGAAAAAGCATGGTATTTTTAATCATAAATTAAATCTTTCATTCCCATTCCATTAGGCATTTACTAACTCCTGAGTCTTGCACTAAGTTTAAGATGATCCGCAAGTTGCCGCGGTTGACTAAATGTTCAAATGCAACGTAGGTTATCAGGGGAAGCTGGTGGCGGGTTGTACAAAGACAAAGGTCCAAAGGTTTCTCTTCTGCCTCAGCCACCAGAGGAGGGCACCCTGCTGTCAGGTATTTCTCCGGAAGAAACCCCCCTGGGATCCCAGAGGCACGGCCCCTGTGGTGCCCATCTGCCCTCTCCTGAGGGCCAGGGAGCAGGCCCCACCTGGGTCCATCACTGGCAACGTTTATCGATGGCCGTTGGCCCTTTCTCCCGTTTGGTACCAATGCCTTCTGGCAATTTCACATTGGTTCCTTACAATCAGGACAGGAAAGGATCTAATCGGTAGTCGCTCACATTTGCTGAGCAGAATTTCAAGTATAGGCAAGTTGGTAGCAGAATATTTGAGGGCAAGGAGAATCCTGACTTCACCCTGTACCAACAGTTCTCAAGCCGGGGCAATCTGATCGCCCTAGTGACATTTGCCAATGTCTGGAGAGATTTTCAGTTGTGACTGGGTGGAAGGGGGATGCTCTTTTGGTGACCCATAGGTGGAGGGAGGGCTGCTCCTGTCAAAAGCCCTACAAAGGCACAGGGTGGCCCCCCACAGAAAAGAGCTATTGAACCCAGAATGCCAGTAGTGCTGAGGCTGAGAAACCATCCTGGGTGACTATGCTTTCTTTCAGGACAGTGGCTTTCAAACAGCCTTCATCTGCTTCTCACAGTAAGAAACATATTTTACCCTGAGTTTCAGCTTACACAGGCAAGAAAATGTCTGTCATAAAATTTCATAAAATTGAAACAAATGTTTCATAAAATCAAAACAAGTGTTTCCCTTCAAAATACTTACTTCCATGTGCTACGTTCTCTGATACTTTCTATTCTATGTTATTTCATCAAAAACAAAAATCTGCTGGCCCAACATGTCCTGGGACGTTCACAACCTGCATTTTTTCCATCCAACTAATAACAAGGATGGGGGAGAAGGGTCATGGAGGGAATGCTTGGCACTCACCTTCTGGCCCTGCACACCTGGGTTCCCAGGTAAGCCATTAAATCCCGGGCGACCTGGAGTCCCCGGTGGCCCCATGTCTCCAGGTAAGCCGTCAACACCTGTTTTAAAGAGTCAAAAAAAAAAAACAAACAAACAATCATTGCGATTACAATGCCGTTCCCCACTTTCTTCACTTTTAGTCTTGCCCAGAGATGCCGACCTGATCTGAGAAGGTCAACTGTGGAGGCCTTCCGAGGTGGCTGGAAGAGGCCAGGGGAGACTGCCCGGCAGAGGGGTCAGGTGCGTTGCTGTCTCTTCCAGCACCTCTGCCCTCCTCTTTCTCTCTCCTTTCCTTTTCTTCTGCTCTCTTCAAACTTTTCTTTCCCATCCTACTCTCCCCAAACAAAACAAATATACCCCTTGGCGCCTGCAGGTGAGAAGGGCACTTTATTCATCTACTCAAGGTGTGGTTGGGGGGGCAGGTCACCACCATCACTTCATTAGAAATGCAGACCCCAGGGGTCTATAAGGCAGGCCCACTTTTCAAGATCCCACAGGATCTGTCACTGAAGGACACCTGCCCACTGTCTGGGCCCCGCTCTGGAAGCTCTGATGGGCTATGAAGCTGGCCAGCCACTAGTTCAGACCCTTTGTATGCAACACTGAGGTCTCCGATGTCCAGTAATTTGTAAGTTTGCAGTGGCACACACCCGAATCACATCTTCTGTGAGGCTGCTGCACAGATAGGGTCTGTCCTCCTCACTGCCACAAAGCCAAGCAACTCCATGTCACATGGGTCACGGCCTCAGGTGAAGGAGGCACTGTGTGAGGCAATGGTGGAATGTGAGGGAGTTGTGAGTGTGACGAGGCCTCAGCGCCTGGCCCTCCTGAACAGGGATGCTCTGCTGCCCGCCCAGCCTGAGGGAAGCAGCCGTGGTGTGGGTGGGCGTTGCGTGGCTGTCAGAGGAAAGGGGCTGCCGTCTCCTGTTCTCCAAGCTAGCAGCCTACAGCAGTGAGGGTGGATGGGGCCTGGAGCCTCTGGGTAAGAAGCCTGGGAGCCTGGAGGAGATTTCAACCTAAGTGTGGCTGCGTGGTGTGTTGTACGAAGACAAACTTCCTTACACAACACGTCCCTTTTGTGCTCACAGCACCTTCTCCTCAGTCCTGAACAGAAGGTCTGTGATGACAAGTGTGTTGATCAAGGTCTACCTGAGGGACAAGTAGACCTAAGAAATGTGAAAAGCAGGGGGAAAAGAAATTCCCTCCTCACCTCCTTCCAGTTTTCAGCAGGAAGTGACGGCTCTAACACCGGTAGGACTCCTCCCCTCGGAGCAAAGGCCCCTCCCTGCGACTCCTTGCACCTCCCCCTGGGCGCTCCCCCAACTCCCAACCCACCCTGGCTGTGTTCAGGTGGACTGCGAGTCTTCCTCACGGATAAAAAGCAAACACCTGGAGGGTGGGTTTCAGCGGGCACCATTGGTGGCAGTGCCCATGCAGCTTGCACAGCCTTAGCGTCCCATCTTCCCAACCAAACCCTACACTGCAAGGCAGCTATTGCCTAGAAGCTCCTGAAATCACTGGGCTCAGCACTGCTTGGGCTCTTCTGAAAGCCTCCCTGAACAGCGGTCACCAGCTTCTGTGGTGTTTTGATGTCTACCACCTCCTCTTTTCTCACAGAAGTCACAGGTGGACCAAAGGCTCGGGTCCGTCTGGCAGGGTTACCTTTGGGGCCGGGGGGCCCTGGAAATCCAATGCCTGGCTGGCCCACAGCGCCCTTCTCTCCTGGCAGGCCTGGCCTTCCTGGGGTTCCGGGAAAGCCTCGGTCTCCTGTGGTGAGAAAGACCAACAGTCAGCGTGAGAAAAACGTGAGGAAACTCTCGTGGTATCCCGGTGAGCTGGAATTCCAATCGTACCTTGGGGACCTGGGAAGCCTGGGGACCCCGGCAGTCCTTCTGCTCCAGGGGGGCCTGGTAAAGGAACAATTTTTCCTGGTTCACCCTTTGGACCTAGAGGAAAAAAAGAGCAAAGACAAACGATGAAGGAATGAGGACCACACGGAACACAGGGAGGACACGCAGTGGGTGGGCTGCACGCCACATCCTACCCAGCACCACGAGTGCCCGGAGAGCAGAGCCTCTGCCTGTGTTCTCCACTTCTTCCCTTGGTGTTTCTAGGATCTTTCACAGAGAGCTACGCTTCTCCCCATGCGTTTGCATGTCCAAAATGACCAAGATGTTTGTTGGACACAAGAATCCCTTAAGAGTCCACAATTAAGAGTCACAAGAAGCTGAAAAATCTACAACAACAACATGTGAGGTGGCTCTAGGTGATTTCTTAGTGAGCCGGTCTCAAAAAGTCAAAATACTTTTGCTGTTCTCTCTCAATTTACCAAAGTCTAAGTTGCTTTGAGATTGACCTAAATTACGGTCGTTTGGTGGGAAATTATCCAAACAACATGATCCGCGGGTGATTACGAACGATCCATTATCTGTAATGGTGCAGCTGGAGAGCTCTGCGCTCACTTGAGCAACACAGGCAAAACCATCCTTCCTCCCAAGCCAGGAAGCACAGCCCCGGCCCTCTGGGCACTCATGCCTAGGAGAGCCACCGGAGTGTCAGGGTTTCGCTGTTAAGAAAGGACCAAAGGCTTCCCCTCCAAGAATGCACGCACTGAATCTTCGTACACCTCGTAAGAGTTCAAGCTATGTGGGGCCTCCCTAGAACAGCCAGCACATTCTTTAGCTACAGACTGTGGGAAACGCCAACTGAACGACCCTAGGAAATGCCTGCTGTTGGTGACACACACCCTGGGCACCAGGCTTTTATGATTACCACAGTTACACACAGCTCTGGCAGATCAAAGACATCTGTTTTCTAATCTCGAAGCTAATTGGCTCTGGATGGCCAAGGAGCCCTACAGCTGTGGGGAGAGAGGATCAACAGCCCTGTTCCCCCTCCCCAGAAGCCTTCTTCCCCATCTGCTAGGGTATATTTGTGAGTACTCCAGTTGGTTTCTCTGATGGTAGTTTCTCGCCAAAAGAAAAGCTAATTCCCTTCGACAGCTCTGGAAATCTGCAGATGTCACAAGCACAAAGACAGCACTTGATTTGTTGATTGTGGAATCAAGAGACCCAAGGGAAAGTGATCGGAAGTCCCTATGCCTGGCTCACCGAAGTCCTCCTCCATCAAACCCGGTATCCCCTACCTCTAATGGAGTCATAAAAGAGACATTTCTGGGACGCTTCTAAACAAAGAACAACCATCAACAGAGTCAGAACTTGATGCTAAGTACTCACTGATTATACCAACAGGGAGAAGGATAAGAGTAACAGTTATGTTAGCACACTACACCTGGGCTTCCATCAAACACTGGCTGACATTTCCCATACTGGAATGCTTAGGAACTGGACTGTGTGTGTGTGTGTGTGTGTGTTTTGTTTGTTTGTTTGTTTGTTTTTGAGACAGTGTCTTGCTCTGTCATCCAGGCTGGAACGCAATGGCACGATCTCAGCTCATTGCAACCTCCGCCTCCTGGATTCAAGCAATTCTCCTGCCTCAGCCTCCCAAGTAGCTGGGATTACAGATGCCAGGGTTTCACCATGTTGGCCAGGCAGGCCTCGAGCTCCTGACCTCAGGTGATCTGCCCACCTTGGCCTCCCAAAGTGCTGGGATTACAGGCATGAGCCAGCGTGCCCAGCCTATACACTGTATATTAATAAGGAAATATTAGTCCCTAATGGGAATAGGAATTCATAAAACAGGCTCAATATGGTTATTGACATAATCAGCACACTTGCGAGCCAGAACGGCATGCTGTAATTGCTCCAACGTGGTTATTGTTGGGTATTTCAAATATCCAGCTACTTTATTTATTTATTTATTTATTTATTTTTGAGACGGAGTCTCACTCTGTCACCCAGGCTGGAGTGCAGTGGCGAGATCTTGGCTCTCTACAACCTCTGCCTCCCGGGTTCAAGCGATTCTCCTGCCTCAGCCTCCAGAGTAGCTGGGACTATAGGTGCCTGCCACCATGCCCAGCTAACTTTTGTATTTTTAGTAGAGATGGGGTTTCACCATATTGGCCAGGCTGGTCTCCAATGTCTGACCTTGTGATCTGCCAGCCTCTGCCTCCCAAAGTGCTGGGATTACAGGCGTGAGCCACCGCACCTGGCCCCAGCTACTTTATAAATAACTATGTTTTTTAAGGTTTACTAGTTAGATATTTTTAATCACCTTAAGTCCTTTCACTCACTTTTACAACTTTTGAATGTTTCCTAGCAACGCGCATTTACTTCCCTCATCTACACACAAGGCATTCCTAGCCTCTCCTCTTCTCATTCCGGGATTTTCTAGGGAAGAACAGGCGTGCTCCATGTCTACTGGGAATCGCAGTCAGATAATAAACTATTAGCACCTGCTGTGTGCAAGGCCTAGCGCCACAGCCCCCTCCCGCTGGCCCTGAAAATAAGCAAGTCGTGGGAGAGGAGAACGACGAGGGAGCCCACACTCATCCCTGCTACAGGTTCTCTGGAAAACCTCTGAACAGGCTGTGCAGGAGGGCAGGGACCACGTCTGTGGTTTTGACCATGTGTTGTCAATGCTCAGCATAGAGCTTGGCGCGTGATTCACTCCAAAAACAGCAGACAACTAAAACCACCATGGAATGAAATCGTCATCGCGCTGTAGGACCTCTAAATCCATTCACAGGCGTCTGCCGACTGTGAAGAGGTGGAGATCACACCACTCGGGATGCACAGAAGCCAAAATGGGCTGCTCATCGGGGAAAGCCAAATGGGTAAGGAGAGGAAAATGACTTGACCTCGGTGTGACTTCTATACAAAGGCTGACTTTAGCTGGTGCGTGCTGTGTACTTACTTATGAGGACTGTAAACCCAAGTTCTCCACCTGCATATTACCTGGCCCATCACATACATGAGGAAAGGGAGGCACAAAAGGCTGAAGGCTTGCCCAGGTCCTGCCCCAATTCCTGGAAGAATCAAAGCCAAGTGTGCGCCCTGGCCTATGCGAACCCCAGGCCTCTGTGTGCACCCGAGGTGCCTGCCCTAACCTCCGTTTACAACTTCATGCTGCATCACGAGTTTCTCAGGCCTCACCTGGCAGGCCTGGGGATCCAGGGCCTCCAGGAAAGCCTGCTTGTCCTTTGTCACCAATGGGACCAGCAGGACCATATCCTGGAGGCCCAGGGGGGCCGGTGTCACCACGACTGCCTGGGAATCCAACTCCTCCAGGGGGGCCACGCTCTCCTTTCAATCCTACAGAACCCTGATGTGAGAAGAAGAAAAAGACACCGTTATCAGAGACACACCAACACCCTGTCCTTATCGCATTCTTCTGACATTTGTGGTCAATAAGTACTAGAGTTAACTGGCTCACACTATTTATTTACTTCATCTACCCTCCCAGGAGGGCCACCTTGTAGTTAATAAGTGAAACCAGCATTCTTCTCCCTAAGCTGAGCATTCTTCCTCCCTCATCTACTTAGGGAGATACTTTAGAGAATGAGATGTTGATACCTGGAATCTTTTGAAAACAATGACATGAATACTATTAACTTTAGATTTCACCTCCCATCCAAAGCAAAAAGATACACAAACACATCTGTTCAGTTCCCCCAAATGCATCAGAAGACACTGATCTGTTATCACCTAATTATTTGTCAATAATAACTGGCAATGCCTAGGTTTATAGACTTAAGTTGTTCCATGAACCATGAATCATGAAACAAGTTCATTTGTGCCATCATCAAGGAGATAGAAATACATCAATATGATTCAAATTACTCATTTCTCAATGCTTTGCAGATCCACACTGTAAAATGCACATTCAAAGTCTGGAGATAAACATACCGGCGAGCCCTTGGGGCCAGGAAGACCCGGATGGCCATCTCTTCCAGGAGAACCCGCTCTCCCTGGCATGCCGGGCTGTCCTGGAAAGCCTGGGTCTCCTTTGTCACCTTTGAGCCGCAAGTCGAAATAAAACTCACCAGGCTCCCCCTTGGCTCCTGGCTGGCCTATCAGCCCTGGTGTACCTTGAGGGCCCTGTAAGAACAAAGCCTTGTGATCCACAGAAGAACCCATCCATGAAGCACACCAGTGTGACTGTAACACAAGCAACCATAGAATCAAGAAGCCACCTTCTTGAAAATGGTCATGCATTCATGCCTCATCATTGATTTTCTAGATGCAAGCCAGGAGCTCTGTGACAAAGCCCTGGTCTGCTGCACTTCTTGTGTTTTTCTTAAAAACACTTATCTTAATTAGATATTTCAAGCAAAGACCTGGATGGGGCAGAGGGAGTTATAGTGTGGCTTTGGGCACCCAGCTCTCCTCCAGGAGTTTTCTTACCCTAACAACTGCTCAACATTCATAGGAACACACAGCACCTGTCAGAAGGTTCTGATTGATGTGTGGTTCATTGTGCAGCTTCAGTAACAGACAGACTCAAAGAACAATCGCTGTCCTCAGCTCTGCCTGCTGCCTCAGCCCCACCGGCAGCACGCAGAAGCCTTTTCTCCAGCTTCTGGGCCCACTGAGCTACCCGTCAGCACCTCCTGGCCAGTGCTGAATACTCCTGTGCATATTGAACAGGCTTCCTTTTATGCTCATGCCCAGAATTCCAGAAGAGATAAGGACTTCCAGGGCACCAGTGAGAGATGAAACTCTGGGAGTGGGCACTGGGCCAGCTCTAAAATGAGTTATGTTGAGTCAGCAGAGTCAAATTGACTTTCCCAAGAGACTCACACTAGAACGTTGCTCAGTTCCTGGAAAGTTAAAACTGCAAAGAACACCCATACCCACCAATGGCTTCTCCTCCAGCATCCTGAGACTTGGGTTTCACAAGAAAAACAGAAAATGTTTCCAACAATTGTCCCATTGACTTGTTCACTTAGGCCTGAGAAAGGCATCTTCAGACTCCCTGTCGACTTGGCAGAATTTTAACTCTGGCACAATTCACTTAATGTGAATTTTTTTTCATAAACTTCCTTGCAGAAGGTTCTTAGATATGTATGAATCCCTCACATGCACACGCTTCTGTGTGTACAGATGCTATGTGCTTCTCAAAGGAAGAAGTTGGTCAACCAAGGACAGACCAACATTTGCCCAATCTTTAGACTGAAAATATGGCTAGCATTGGTTACCAGCCTGCTAGGCACTATGACCCATTCTATAGCATCTCTGACCCTTATTGCAGCTCTGCAAGGAAAACATGGAAACCAGGACATAGCAGAGGAAGAAGCTGATACTCAAAGAAGTGAGCTGATAGATCCAAGACTACTCAGCCAGAAAGTGCTGGAACTGGGATCCACATTTATGCATTTCCAGCTGCAAAACTTGTACCTTATGCCTGTGCCTCTGGAGTGCTAAGGAGAGTTAGGGATGAGCGAGTAAAATCTGCCCATTACACAGGGGGAGAGGTGGGGCTTGAAGGACTTCTGTGTCCTGCTCAAAGTCAAACAAACAGCAAATGTGGGACTAACCTAAATGGAGCAGACTTGCTTTCCTGCCTGAATTGCTTCCTAACAGCTGAAACATCGCAGGCTAAGGAACGGGAGAAGCTGCTCTGCCTCCCATTCCATCTTCCATACCAACCACGATGCACTGACTCCTGGCCCAATCCCATCAAGCAGGCTTCCAGAAGTATGGAGAGAGTCGGCAGCAACTCTCTGCACTGTTCAATATGACTTGGAAAGTTAAATTAAATAACACAAAAAATGCAGTTCCTCCATTACAGTGACTACATTTGTTTTTGTTTTTTGTTTTGTTTTGTTTTTTGCTTGTTTTGTTTTGTTGAGACAGATTTTCGCTCTTGTTGCCCAGGCTGGAGTGCAATGGCGCCATCTCGGCTCACCGCAACCTCCGCCTCTCAGGTTCAAGAGATTCTCCTGCCTCAGCCTTCCGAGCAGCTGGGATTATAGGCATACGCCACCACACCCAGTTAATTTTGTATTTTTAGTGGAGACGGGGTTTCTCCATGTTGGTCAGGCCGGTCTCGAACTCCCGACCTCAGGTGATCCGCCCGCCTCGGCCTCCCAAAGTGCTGGGATTTCAGGCGTGAGCCACCGTACCCAGCAGTGACTGCATTTCAAAGACTCAACAGCCACCACTGGCCAGCAGCTGCCAGATCAGATGGCACTGACGTAGCACGCTCCTGTCATGGCAGAAGCTTCTCATGGACGACTACCAGTGGTCTGAGCTGGCCCCGCACTCTAATGCCCCTTATGACCTGGGACACTTCACTTGGATCTACTCAGGAAAGGTGGAACACACCCAGTCTATTTGCTCTGGGTCCCAGGAAAGGCAACAAATTATTTCTATGAGCCACCTGCCAGAAATTGTAGCAGAGAGTCATGGAAAATTTGTTATTTACTTGAAAGGTGTTTTGGGATTTTTAAACTGTTTCTCTTGAGTTAATATTAGCTCCTATGCATCCTTCAATCCCAGCTAAAATTAGCCTCCTCTATGCGGCCTTTCTTGTGGGCTCGGGCTGCCTTCTGGTCCTCATTCTGTAAATCACTTTGCTTCATTAGGACAGTCTATTTGCAGAGCTGTCTCTCCACTAGTATTTCAGGGCTCTGAGGGTAGGACCAAGGTTTCCTATCTTTGTATCCTTGGCATCCAGAACAAAAGAGATACTGGAGGAAGTATACACTGAACTGGCAATATTCATCCATTAAAAAATACTAGTGTAAGAAATTATAACCAATGTATATTTTTCTCAACCTGCAAACATCATTATATTATTTTATGGTGATTACTCACAGCCTAAAAATATAAAGCTCCCCAATACTGTGATCTTAGGGTGAGAAAATATAATTTTTTATTTTAACAATGATGACCTTGCCTGCCATCATTCTATTTACGGGAGAAATCTGGGTTTTTAAAACAGTGACATTGGTGACCCTAGGACATCTCGTGTGCTTTCTTTGCCACAGAACTTCTTGATTCTAAGTAGTTCAAAGGTCTTTTGATCCGTCTCCCTGAAAATAAATGCTGAGGATTCAACTACTGCCTGGAAAATTTAGCATTGGCTGCATTAATTGGAGAAAATCTGACACCTACGCTGTCTGCCTCTAAAAAGTGGTGCCACTGTGGAAAAAGTCAGGGAGTGTTGGTTTCAATTCATCCTCCCAGTGACCAGGAACCATGAAACCTGCTCAGACCAACCTGGGCATCATCAATCCGCTCGGGGAGTCGGCCTTTTGTGATTCATTATTCTTTCCCCAAAATCAAATACTTGTCTTTCAAAAGGAAATGTCACAGAAATGCTATCTAAGTCAAATGAAAAATCAGAGCATTTCACATTTTAATCTACTCTCCTGTGTGCTCGTTTATGGATATCTCTTTTAGCCTCTAGCCAAATTCAAAATAAGAGAACCACATTTCTGAGCGAGTTAAATCACGGAGCTTCAAATACAGCTTCCAATAAAAGGAAAATTACTAACTTCTCAATTGAATTATTTACCCATAAATTTATTTTTAGAGACTTTTTCCAACTCCGGAAAGAAAGGAGCTCCTGATGAAGGCATAAGGAGTAGAATTGGGGTTGTATGTTTTCTTTCTTTTCTTCTATATTATGATCTTTCCTCAATATTCCTTCTTTCTCACCTCTTTCCTCTTTTTCCGTCTTTTATTAGATATGTCTAGACTGAGTTTCAGCCAGAGTTGAGGCAGGAAGTCCACCAGGAAAGCCCAGGAGATGAAGCGGTGCATAGAGGTTAAAAACGTCCTTTTCTGCTTCCTTCAAAGTTCTTCTGTCTTTGATCCCCACTACAGTCAGGGCTACCCAGTTATTTGAACTTCTAATTTATTTAGATATATCTTAAACAATTGCAACTTCTAACTCAGCTCCCCAGGCACCAGGGAAGTTCTGGAGAGCAAAAGCCCAAGATCTAACTTCAAAAGCAGAAAATGATTGCTGAATTCCAGCTGGGTCATTGCTATTTCAACTCGCTTTTGCCCTGGTTTTCTTTTGTAGAAGCTTCCAGCAATATCTTTAAAAATTAAAAAATTTGAAGGGCTACATCAGAAATGAATAATTCTGAAATTTGACTTTCAATATCTTACAAAAAGAAAAAAAGGAATGAAAGGAATTGTGGAAACCAGTCCATGCTCGCAAAGCTCAGAAGAACAAAGAAAATACGAGAGGAACAATGCCTTGAGATTTCAAAACTTCAGAAACAGAAGTCATTATATGCAAGAAAATAATGTCCTTCAAAATTCAAGATTATTATTATGCTCTTCTATTTAGTGGATTCTTTTAAAACAAACTACAAAAGCTAAGAAGCTGGTATTTTGTTCCATTGAAAGGTTTCATGTCAATGTGATCCGGATATTTCATTTATGGATTTGAAAAAGCAACTGCACAATAGATGTTGTAACAGAAATTTTCAACTGTAAGAAGAAGAATAAAAACATATTTCTAATCCTCAGAGGCAAACAGATCTGCTTTCCTTGATCTTTTCATAGAAACTATTGATGCTGAACCTACTGACTAACCAGCTTTTAGATGATCTGATATGATGTTACCAGCACTGGTAACACAGAAAGACGGCACTTCGGCTCTGCACTGTGGCTGTGTGGGGGTGGCTCCTGTGACACCATTTGTTTCCAGAAATCCCAGAGACCCTGAGGGAAGGACACACTCCCATTCAGCCACACCTGAACACAGGTCGGCAGCAGCCGAAAAAATGTTGACCAGGTGAGAAGAAAGGCAGCTGTGATTTGGGCTCTGTGGGTAACAGTCTTGCTCATTCTCCTGAGACAAGGGCCGCATGGAGTCACTCCAGAGGGCTCGACACAGCAACACTTACCAGCTCCCACACAAGGCAGAAGCCATGCTTGCAAATGCAAAACGACACAACTCTGTCCACGTGCTTGGTGGCAACTTCTGATATGTACATGAACTCAGACAGGTTTACTTACTGGCACTCCTGCAACACCATCTCTGCCAGGCAAACCTCTGTCGCCCTTGGCCCCTGGCTGCCCTGGGAAACCTTTCGTGAGAGAGAGGGAAAAAGACAGCAACACAGCATTCATGAGACACTTCTCAAAACCTTTTCTTAAGACTCAAAAGCATAAAAATCTGTATAGGAAGTGGATGATTGCTTGGATAATCCAAAGAGAGTAATAACTAAAATGCCCAAGACGGACTCAGAAAGGGAATAGGTGACCCGACGCACATGTACACCCGGAAGCAGGAATGCTTCCAGCACCCCACACCTGCCCCCCTGCCCACACACCCAGGGACCACTTAAAGGAAAAACATGAATTCCATTAACTGCTTGTGAGATAACAGAATCTGTGGCATGGAGGGAACTGTTATGCTGCTGTCTTTTATTAGGAAATCTTTATGAGGCCATCTTGATCATTCCCAGCAATGTGGACAAATCCTGGAAGTGGGGCCCAACATTCTTCTGATTATGCTTTAGGATTGGCTGCCGAAAATCAGGCCTTCTATGGAGTGAAATCCCTTTCACAGGAAAGATGCCAACACACCAAAGCAAACTCTGACCTGGTCCTTTTCACATGTGGGTCTTACCTATTTCTCCCGGGGGTCCCTGTGGCCCGGGAGGCCCCCGATATCCGTCTATATCACAGATGAGGCAACTCTCTCCTTTTTGACCTAAAAAAGAAAACACAAAGGTGCTTACGTGTAACATGTGACCAGAAGTCTCCGCAGTGCACTGAGAGAACAGAAAAAGGCAAGGCTGTCACTAACATATTACATCCAAACTTAGGTTTGCTCAGTGGCAATGGCTCCTCCAGACAGCTCTCTGCTAATGGGTGGAAACTGCAGTCAAACGCACGTCCCTGTCTGTCAATGAACGGGCCCACTGCCCCCAGCACGCGTCACGTGTGACCACAGACGCACTGCTTAAAGATCCAAGTTCTTCTCCCAGCGAAAAGACAGGGCTGCCTCAGTAAAAAGTGGTCCAGAAATTCAACTGTGCCTATCAGCCTGAAAAGACTTGACTTTTGTAATTTGTCTGTAATGTGAAAACTACCCATCCCCTTTCTCTTTGGTTGAGTGCTTAGTCCAGTTCATGGACTTCACTGGTTGGTGGACTTGGGAATAAGAAGCCACAAAAGCAAGAACACATATGTGATCCAGGACAGAAGAGGAGAGAGACTGCAGCCCTGAAAAAGGAGAGGAGATGCTCTTCTTTGGAAATTCTAACATCTGAAGTCTTGATTTTCAAGCCAAGCTCAGAGACCTTACATTGTCTTAGCTATTCCTGTGTCTTAAATATTGAAATGTCTGGTTTCTAGGCACAAATCAGGCATAATACAGAGCAAAAAGTGCTCGCAGAGAAGCCCATGCCAGGGACATCGAGGCGGCGTGGCCATGTTCTTCCCATCCCTGCCCTGGCTGGCAGCCGCACACGGGCACTGCTATTGCCCACTCTGCCCTGGGATGCCCCTCAGTCAGAAGTAAAACAGGGCCAGTGCAGGTAGGCCATGCCCCCGAAGTGTGGGAGCAGGCACATGGTTTCATTTCGAGCTCTTTCAGGAGGCAGAGCAGGAGCCCATCAGTGGAAGGGGCACGGTACAACACAGCTGAGAACCCAGCTAAGTTCTGGGCACTGGGGCATTCGTGGGTGTGTCTGTTCGCAAGGCTTCAGGTGGGTGGGGAGACAAGGTGCATTCCCAGCAGACGATGGAGTCGAAAGAGGAATGGGAAGACTCGAGAAGACAGATGCTTCTCCTAGGATCTGGGGGATGGATAGCTAAGATTGCAGTGTGAAGAACCTCTGGACGCTGGATCTGTCATAAAATGGAAGAGCCCATCTCACAAAGTACTGAGCGCCTGGTAACTAGAGCAGACAGACTCATTAAAACCCAAACTGTACACTGACTCAGATCAGTGGCACCCCTGTGATGACGCCCAAGATCGCTTCCATTTCAGGTCCTGCAGTGTATGTGGCTGTCAGAATTCTAAGATGCTGGCTGAAACTTTTCCATGCATCATTTCTGTCTTACACATTTGAAGACTAAAACATGTTTACAGTTCACAGGCAGAAATGGTACACAGTGGGGTTGATTTGAGGGACAGCCTCCTATTTGTCCTACTCTCGGGTTACTAACAGGCATATAAATATCAGAATATCCATTGCTTATTCCCCTCTAAGGCAGGACTGTTGATGCAGTGATAATCCACCTCTGTGTCTAGGATGGCGGAAGAGATAAATAAGTGTCCTGTGCGGGTAGTAAGGCAAACACTTGGAAAGATTAAAGATGGAACCGAGAGCCCAGAGTGAAGCTGGTTAATGCATCAACGGTAGATTTGCTCACACTGATGATGCAAACACCACTGGAAGAATTGGTGAGCATTCCATGTGCAGATTTTTGACTTGGCTTGAAGGAGGGAAGAGCATTCTTTGGTAACAGAAGTCTCTTCTCAAACACTGAATGGAAAGATTGCGGTAACAAATCAGTCTGAGTTTTATCTGCTGACCACGCCCACTGTAGCAAGACTGACTTCACGGTCCTCGGAAAGGGAGAAGGGGCAAAACTCTGACTTTCAGGGCTGTCTCCACCTTTCCCACCCAGATCATCAACTAAGTTCCGGAAGATGCTTATTCTAGGAAGAGATTGTGAAGAGGGTTCCAAATAAAAGGAACCTACGCCCTAACTCTGCCCACCCCCACTTGGCTCCAAAGCCGGTAAGTATGTGGGAAAAAATCATACGCAAAGACACAACCACCATTTTAAAAAAATCAAAATTTCTTACCTTTCTCTCCAATTTCGCCTATAAATCCTGGCTGCCCTGGAATTCCAGGAGGACCCTGGTCACCTGGAGGTCCGGGCTGACATTCCACAATTCCATCTGAAATTGAGTTGTCAGAGTTATAGGATCATAGCTAGGTGTTTTTACCCTCTCCTAACTCAACCTCTATTATAAAACCAAAATATTTTAGGCTATTTGACAAGTGTTAGAAATTCAGCTTTAGTTTGTTTCAAAATCATCTTAGGCTATCCACCACTTGCAAAACATAATCACCACACACCACCCACCACCCACTCACCATCCCAAGCCATCACTGCCAACATTTCTATTTCACAAATTCTGAAGTATCTGTAGGTGCATCAGCCCTGTCCTGTATACTATTTCATTTCATCTTGCGAAGTGCCTACCATCACCCTTATTTTACAAATGAAGAAACTGAGGCTCAAGAAAGGTAAGTGATTTGTCCAGGGTCATGCATCTAGTCAAAGCTGAGACTAGAAAAATTTTCTTCCTTTTTTCCCCCTCTAACCCAATTTACAGCAAAACTAATCATTATTTTAGAGCTGCAGACTGCCCACGAGGAAATGCCTCAAATTGTTCACATTCAATTCTGAGCATCATTTATGTAAAGAGGCATAAAAATAAACTGCAGTAATGTACACACCATCTGTCCTAGGTTCTAGTAAAAAATATCAGTATTGTTTATTGTTTTATGATTTGGATACACACTGAGATGGAGTTTATATTTCCTTCCCCAAGATCCTTGAAGAAAAAAGACACAGTGAACAACTTGGTATCCAGCATCCCTGCCCAGGCATAACCCTAACACTCATGCACCAGCACTGAAGGCCCTCCCCTCTCCCTTACAGGGTCTTCACCTAATGACAAAGTCATGGGCAGTCTCTGTTCAGCTGTCACCTGGACGCCCTGAGTCCCAGACTATAGAAGGGCCCCAGGGTGTGGAGTGGGGCTGTGGGGCCCTCCCTCGGGCTTGAATATATTAACCAAGGTCAACTCTCCAGCTCGCCCACCCCAGCTAGAACCAGAATGCCTAAAAAGATCCCACACCTTGTTTGATGACTTGGTTTAGAGCTCAGCAGAACAAGTTAGCTTCCGCTGTGTAGGAACTATGGGGGAGGTGCTTTTGCTTTGCTTGTTGCTTATGTGCTTATGTGTCTTTCCCTGAGTTTCTCCCCACAAAGCACAGGAGGCAAGAAAGCCCAAGTGGGGTCACCATGGGTCCCCCACAGCCACTGCTAGGGACCTGCTCCTGGTGACTCTGGTCCTGCCTGGCTCCTCGTTAGCCCTTCGACATTGGTGCAGCTGGCACCATCGTCTTAAACAAAGTGGACTCCATGTTTATGCTTCAAAGAGCAGCCCCTAAATTACTTCACTGAAAGAACCCACATCTCTCATCCCTGTGAGCCTAGGGTATACTAATTCCTTGACTCTAGAAATGTATGCTCAAGAATATTGAGAGACATGTAACTGTTATACTCCTTTTCCAGAGCATAACTCCTGCCTGCTTCAGCTCAACCAGAATCCCTTCAAATCCCTGACAAAAAAACAAAAAACAAAAAACAAACAAACAAAAAAAAAATAGTACATCCTCACCAAAGTCCATTTAAATTCATTTTATGCAGTGATTATTTCTGAGGAGTTCTAAAGTGCAAATCTAGAGTTTACATTTTACAACGCCTTCTCATCAAGGGTATCTGCAGCCACAGATGGTTTAGAGCTGGCTGTACCCACTTGAGACAAGAATGCAGTGGCAGAACTTACATGCACAAATGGCTGCATTGTGTGGTTAATGCTCTATCGATAAGTCCTGAGGTAGCAATGGCTTTAAGATGTAGCCTCTTTAACATACATTATAAATCTTAGTACAAATCTCATTTCTAAATTATTACTCGATACTCTGTGATTGAGAATTACTTAATTTACGTGGACTAAAAAGGCCACCTAGAAAACCTGGAATAGTAAATATTACAATGTGCTCAGCTAACACATCCCATTCAATTAACAAGAGTGTAAAGTTCATATTTTTACATGACGTGTGTTTATATTTCATCACTTGCAAAATTACGAACATCCAAAAGAATGTCCTTTTCCCAGATTTCCCCACCATTGGCTCCCTCACCCCCTTCATGTCTTTGTAAATCACTCTGCTTAAAACCACAATCCCCTGCCCACCCCCCACCCCAGAACCCTCTGTTGACTCTCCTGCTTAAGTTTATCCCTGGACTTATCATCTCCTGCATTCATGAGAATTCCCTTGTCTTGGGTAACCCCTGTCAGCCCCATGGAATACTTGCTCCAGGACAGCAGGATCTGTTGAGTCTTGTCACCACTGCTAGATCTCTGCCTCCCAGGCACTCCCTTCCCCGCTGAATGAATCTGGAACCCAAAGGCCCCTTGGTCAGAGCTCACAACCTTCTCTCAGACACACAGAGAAAAGGAGCCTCTGGATTGAGTGTCTCCAGGACTGCAATATTTTATCTTCATTTCCCATGTTTCACACAATCACAAGAGCAGAGGAGAAAAGTTCCCCAAAGTCACACATGATCTGTTCTTTCTCCTACCCAAATTCATGTAGATCACATTCCCCATCGAAGCTGCCAGGCTGGAATCCATGGCTCCATCTAGTCCTGGCCCAGCCCCCAACAGTGGCCTCATCCATGAGAACTCCCTTTCGTAAAGATTTGCTTGAATTCTAGCAAATAAATCTTGCTGGGACTTGAAGCCTGTGAATCCTTTCTCAATCAACCCCACAGAGGATTCGTGTTTCAGGGGCCCCACAGAGCACACGTTGGTTTTGATCCAGCAGGTTCCAAAGGCTGGCTCCAGGTATCTGAACACACTCCCATTGCACAGGTTGGCTTAAATCCTTGGAGATTTTCTTCGAATTTGCTTTGGTATTGTATTGGGACCACACGGCCATCTTAATTGAGTCAAGACTTCCATGTTACATGTTCACCTTTTCTGGAATAAAAGCTGGCTTTTCTGGACTTTACTAATGTAATCTTTACCCATGTAATCCTGTCTTCCTTGTTTCTGGGGTGTGTGTGTGTGTGTGTGTGTGTGTGTGTGTGTGTGTGTCCTAGTATTCATTTGTATCTCTAGATGAAGAAGAATGCATTCTGTTTTCAATAAAAATTACATAACTCAACAGTTTTGCTTTTTAACTTTAGATGCCAGGAGTCTCAGAGGTGGTTAACGTGTTATTTACTCCGTTAAACCAGCTTTATTTTGAAATTTTAACTATTGCTTTTTGTAGCATGGTTCATTCTCTGAAGATTCCCTTAGAGGAATATGGATGATTAGAAGAATCCACGCCTTTCTATTACACTCTGGCTGTGGGGGACTATCACAGCCCCCAACCTGGGTCTGCCCGGCACCCTGGTGTCTGCTTGCACCCCACATTAAACCATTTCTGAGGGAACTCACTTGTGTAGCCAGGCTGCCCAGGGGGCCCAGGGGAACCAGGAGGACCCGGGAGCCCATCTCTTCCACTTGGTCCTGGCAGAGATGTACCAGGAAATCCTCGGTCACCTTTTTCTCCTCTTTCACCAGGGAAGCCAGGGGCACCAGCCTGCCCAGGTACAGGGAGGCCTGCAACCAGACAGAAGCTCACATCAGTAACCTCAGGGCCACTTAGCAACTACAGCATAAACTCATTCTCCTAACTCTGTTCAAGGTAAAAATCCAACCAGACCATCACTGAAAAGGGAACTGCTTTAGACATGTAAAACCAAATTAAGCTGGCAGGTGTCTTGCCATTTCATGCTGACAGTCAAATGTTTCCTACAAATTAACTTCAAAGAACAGGGACTCATTACGTAGATATTAAAATCTGTGAATTTCTCTCAGTGCAAATAGTATTCCCAACATATTTTAAAAAGGCTGTAGAGGGTGCACTGCATTTCTACTTGGCCAATGAGGGCATAGAAATGTCATTCAACAAAGCTAAAGTGGACCTGGAGCAAAGGGATGGTCAGTGGGTTGGCAATCTAGAAGAAAGAGCAGAAAATCACAACTAAGGACACACAAGATGGTTCTGTAAAAGGGTTTGAAGTCAGAGTAGCCATTAGGTGTGAACATATCAGGTCAGGTTCAGCCACTGTAACTCTGTAAGGGTAAGACCATGTGCCCCTGGGAGAGCTGAGGCCGGACGCAGGGCTTGAGAGAGTGGTGGTGCAGGAGGCTGCATGGAGAAAGCTCTGCTGCTTCTGTGAGGGACGCACCAGCTTCTGCTCCCAGCATCAGGCTATGATGAGGAGAGTGTGAGAAAAAGGACAGTCGAGGGAAACAGGACGCAGGAAGACTTGGCAGGAATGAAGAGCAGCATGGAGAGGAGAGGGAAGAGCGCTGACCAAAGGGGCACAGAGCCTGAGACATCCAGCCTGTCACTGGGGAGAAAAGCCACAAGCACAACGTGCTCCAAGGCAGCCAAGAGCCCCGAGGGGCGGCCCCTGTGGGCTTCCACAAAATACTGTGTGCCCTTCCTGAGTGGTGAATGAGGGGCAGCATGTCTAATGGAGAGGAAAATGAAGGAACTACCCGGGCACGAGGCCAACCAGACCCTCAGGGTGAGGAGGACGGTCAGGGAGCTGGGGGCGGGCAGAGGCAATGGTCAAGGCCACAGGCGAGCCCAGGGCAGGACTGGACAGAGAGCAGCGCAGCGACTTTGGGAGGGGGACGTGGGTAACTCCTCCAGCCAGAGCAACTTCAATGGCTTTTTATCAAGCGTCTGGGTTAAGAGACCACTAAGGGTTAGATAAAAGGCTGTAGACAGTAAACAAGGCTTCTGTGAGGAGACATGAAGTCACACATTTCCGAGAATCCAAGAATTAAGAAGAGACAAAAGGGATGCTTTTAAGGGTAGAGTCAGAGTTTTTACAGAAAAGAGAGAAAGTGGGAGTGGACGAAGGCCCTGCCCTGAGCCAGGCGTGGGCTGTGTGGGGTGTCGTCTGTTCCCAATAAAGGAAAAAAGGGGGCTCTGCAAGAACTTAGACCAGCTGGAAAGGAAACAAATATAAAATAATAAACGGGGATAAAAACAAAAATAAATGTAAACATCAAAAACAAAGCAAAAAGCGTAAAGGCTGCGAACACTCCGTTGTGTGCCAATGCTAGGGCACGTGAGCGTTTCCATCAGACGCTTATCGGGTCAGCTCTGGGACCTGGGAGAATACCACAGGTGCACACGCACACACGTGGACACACGTGCATCTGCGCATATGGACAGAGACAACAGCGAGCCTCTGCAAAGCGCAGTCTGCCAGGAAACACAGGTTGGCACGTCTGGAGTGACTGGAGAATGACTTCACCCTGAGGAGCCCCGGGGTCCAGGGAGGCAAGGCTGGGGCTGGGCACAGCAGCTGGAAGGGGTTTTGTCCTGGAGTCTGATCTCCAGCTGGGAAACATCCCAGAGAGAGGGGAAAGTGGTCAGGACGCTGAGGAGGAAGGCGCCTGACTGTGCTAGAATCGGGGCTCTGTGGAAAGACAGGACCTGCTCAGTGGGAGCCGTGGGAAAAGAGGGGGGCAGGCTGGCTCTGGTGGGGTTACATCAGAGCTGGGCAGAATAGATCTGGATCCCCAGGAGAGACATAAGGGTGTACATGTTCATTAACATGCTAAGTGGTCACTTACAAAAGACAAGATACTTATCTACAAGCACTTGTCTACTCTGCTTTCATCACTAGAAAAGATGTCGTAAGATTGCTACCGATTGTGTGCAAATATCTAACATTCGTGATAAATTATATATTCAGAATATAAACAGCACAGAAGGTGTGCAAGTATGCTATAACAAATCAGTTAAGGAGTCTCACCTGGAGGTCCGGGTTGGCCTGGTAGTCCTGGGAAACCTGAAAAGAGAAAGAGAGTGTTGGATCAAACAGAACAGTTCACCCGTTTGTATACACTTCTTATTTCTCTACTGAAAGCCTTGCTTGGTGCATTGGTAAGTGTCCATGGCCAAAGGGAACGTAGAAAACAGAGCGGGAGACCACCCGAGCCCCCACTCTGGAAATGCATTGCTCTCAAAGCTACAGCGAAGGGCTCCTGAAGCCTGTTGTGACAGTGAAATAGGAACTTGGAGGAGACCTGGTCACAGACAGTCCTGCAAGGCCTGCAGATGCTTCCAAAATATGGAGGAACACAGGTCAAAACTAGACAAAAAGAGGGGAAGAAATAGAAAGCGTGGGGAGAGAGAGAGAAGGAGGAGGAGGAGGAAGAGGAGAAAGAGGAGGAGGGGGAGGAGGAAGAGAAGGAGGGGGCGGAGGAAGAGAAGGAGGGGGAGGAGGAAGGAGGAGGAGGAACAGGAGGAGGAGGAGGAAGAGGACGAGGAGGAGGAAGAGGAGGAGGAGAGAAGGAGGGGGAGTAGGAGGAGGGGGGAAAAAGGCAAGAAAGCTACCTTTTGGGCCTGGCTCTCCTCTTGGCCCCGGAGTTCCAGGGTAGCCCCTCTCTCCTTTTTCTCCCAAAGGTCCTGTGCCTATAACCTGAATCGAGAAGGAAAAGGTGATCATCCCGTGGCATGGGAATGGCTAGTCCTGTATAGTAAAGCAGTATGAGTGAAGAAATGTACATATTTGTTTTTATTTCAAGAAATATGAAAGTGAAGTAGCAGCAATGGTAGCGGACAAGGAGGAAGGGGATAAGCCTCTAAAACATATGGGACAGGCCGGTGCGGTGGCTCACGCCTGTAATCCCAGCACTTTGGGAGGCTGAGGCAGGTGGATCACAAGGTCAGGAGTTCGAGACCAGCCTGGTCAATATGGTGAAACCCCGACTCTACTAAAAATACAAAAATTAGTCGGGCGTGGTGGCATATGCCTGTAATCCCAGCTACTTGGGAGGCTGAGACGGGAGAATCGCTCGAACCCAGGAGGTGGAGGTTGCATTGAGCTGAGATGGCACCACTGCACTCCGGCCTGGGTGACGGAGTGAGACTCTGTCTCAAACAAAGAAACAAACAGCAACAACAACGAAAGCATATGGAATAAACATGCTGCAACCATCCCTGCAAAGGATCCTGCCAGGCAGGCGGTTCTGCTTCCTTTTGTAATAGTTTGCCTGGCAGCAGCTTTTGTAACACTCCAGTGAGGTAAAGATGGAGTAACATCAATTTGAGGCTTAGATTTATAATTTCTAATTGTACATACTAGCCATAAACAGAATGTTTTACTTTACAACGTATTATGAGAGGAACACTCTTAAAAAAAAAAAAAAAAAAAGTAGGCGCTTCCTTAAGGTCGCAAGACAAGAAGAGGCACTTTCGGCTCCTTAACAAGGAGAAAATTCACTGGCCCTGATTCTAAATTAATGGAATTCAAGACAAGCGGCAAAGTCAACTTTTGCATATTACCTTTGAACTATAATTCCTTTGTATCAATTAATAGATATTATTAAAATGTGCCAATGTTAAATAGCTTGACTTAGTCATCCCACAAGTTATATATATAAAACATCATGATGTATACCATAAATATATACAATTTTTGTCAGTTAAAAAATGAAAGTAAAACCCTTCAATGTAAATCTATAAATAAAATGGGCTGTGTGAACGCATTACCTGTGGCACTGCAAGGAAGGCAGCAAAGGAGAGAACGGTAACATTTTCATTATTTCAAAAAAGTCTGGGGGCAAAATGGCTAAAAAAATTAAAGCACAACTCTCTGATAGGACACTGAAAATGATCACCATGAAGATATGTGCAAACATGATAATGCCCATTTTTAAATGTCACACACATCACTGACAAGTATGCAAAATATGTATGTTGACCAGTAGTAAAATGTTATTTGCAAAAATAAAAATTGTTTTACCAGGATAGTTAAATTACAGATGACCTGTTTCTCTTACAAAAATTTTCCTCAATGGACCACGTTTTTTTAAAAAAGGTGTCAAGGCCAGGCACAGTGGCTCATGCCTGTAATCCCAGAACTTTGGGAGGCCAAGGTGGGTGGGTCACCTGAGATCAGGAGTTCGAGACCAGCTTGGCCAACATAGTCAGGCCCTGTCTCTACTAAAAATACAAAAATTAGCTGGGCATGGTGGCGGGCACCTGCGATCACAGCTACACGGGGGGCTGAGATGGGAGAATCACTTGAACCCAGGAGGCAGAGGTTGCAGTGAGCCAAGATCGCACCACTGCACTCCAGCCTGGGCAACAGAGCAAGACTCCATTTCAAAAAAAAAAAGGAGTCAAATATGTTGCTAATATTCTCATTCATGTGCAAACCTTTTCATTTTCAGTGATTTAAAGATGTGCAGAAATTATCAAAATATAATAAAAATAATAAACACGAAACTCCGTACAACAAATTAGAAAATCATTTCAAGTAGCATGAACCACTTTACATAACAAATGCAATTCTAGAGACAGCTGTGGGTGTGTGCCCTGCATCTCCTCTCCTTCCTCTCCCAGCGCTCTCACAGACCCAGGGTCCTCTCCTTCCTCCCCCCAGTGCTCTCACAGACCCAGGGTCCTCTCCTTCCTCCCCCAGCGCTCTCACAGACCCAGGGACAGCACTCTTACTCACAATTCCAGGTGGGCCAGGAGGACCTGCTTCACCCTTTTCTCCCTACAAAAGAAAAAATAACTTTCCTTGCATATTCTTACTATAAAGATTGTCTTGCAGAAAGCAGATTAAACATTTCTTCTGGTAAAATAGAGTGTGCCTACAGTAAATTAAAACTATTTTTCTCTCTTTAATATCTCTCATTCTGTGACGATTACAACAAAAATGAATAGATTTCATTTTGCTTTGCACACGCATGACACATGAAAATAAAGATCTCTGCAAAATATAAGTTGGGGGCTAATTATTCTCCTTACAAAAGCCCAGATACTTGTCCCATCAACTGCACACTTCCTCGGAAAACAGAATCATTGATGAGCGGAACTGGCAACCAGGGTTTTTCAATTTTAAAAAGAGAAATGAAATAAAATAATATAAAAGCATGATTTCCAAATACATTTTCTTAAATAAATCATTTTATATGATGTTTT
Organism: Homo sapiens; assembly: GCF_000001405.40. NCBI lineage: Eukaryota > Metazoa > Chordata > Mammalia > Primates > Hominidae > Homo > Homo sapiens. The sequence continues at coordinate 110,204,036 of NC_000013.11, forward strand.
TAGGTGAAGATTTTCTCAAATTTGCATTGGAGGTCATAATGTAAAATCTAATATTAACTGAAAACATTAGTGGATAAATTCTGATCACTTTAAGGTTTAATCTCATCCATAGTAGATGAAAAACTCAAAGAAATTAACCCTTTCATATCAAATATTTTTATATAAACGTCATCGTAATGATTTAAACAGTCCAAAGATATGTACATTTTACCATGAATGTATATATTTTCCTTTTAAATTAAGGCAGTAAACAAGAATTGAATGTTTTGATTTTTCTTATATGAATACCAGAAGATTTTAGAAATATCTAGAGGACATAAATATCTTAGCCACTATATTCTAAATATATCTACCATTTAAAATGTACAGGATTTTACTTCCTCAAAAAATTACAGCCAAGGGTTTCTTCCTTTTGTCCCTGGCTTTAATAAATTAACCGTAGGCTACTGAGGCCCTCCCCGCAGCTTTCCATTCGCCTTTGGTGATGACTATTCCAAAATTATCTCTTATATTAGTAAAGACTTACATTACCTAGTCTCATATTAAGAGAGAAAAATAAAGCAATAATGAGGTTTTTTTTTTCTGCCTGTCAGATTGACAAATATTTTTTAGATTTTTTTTTTTTTTTAGTTAGTTCCCCAACTAAAAGGGCCCTGGTCTGGCAGAAGGACTTTCTGGGGCAATTTGGTTGCATGTGGCAAAAATTTCAAAACAAGTGTCTGACTGTGGACCCCAATATTACGCTTTTAGGAATTTGACAGAGAAATGACCAGACAAGTGAGCAAAAATACTTGTAAGCATACAAATTTGGAAATGGCCTAAATACCACGCAACAAAAGGCATGGATGTTCACATCATAATTACACTGACGGCCATTGAAATAGATCCTCCTTCTATCATTACGTGAAAAAGCAAGATGTCTTGTTCACTATCACCTTTAAAAACTGCCTGCTTGTGTATGCACATAGGAACAAGGCGAACTCTGGCCACTTCTGAACAGGTAACAGAAAAAATTAGGTAAGCTTTCTTTACCTCGTGATATCTTTCTGTATTTTCTATTGCTTTATGATCAGGAAAAAAATAATCTACTACCAAAAAAAGATATAAAAATTTGAATGAATGGCACATTTCATATATTTTTATTTTGTAAAAAATCATGAACATAAAGGAAACCACTAAATTGTGTTTTTACCCAGAAGAAGCATAAATGATTTTTTTCCCTTGAGTACAGAGTCCTTTATTCTAGGAAAGAATAAACAGACTTCTGGGTTGAATTGGAAAGTGAAGATAAAGGCTCACAATAGTGCCAGCGTTTACCTGCGGGCCCTGGCGGCCTATGAGTCCTGGGTACCCGGGTTCACCAGGAAAACCCTGAAACCGAAGAGAGAAGCAGTAACCGTCAGAGGCCAGTGGTAGGAACAGTGAGCCTGCTTGTAAAAACCACAGAGAAACACTTACGGGACTCCCTTTTTCCCCTTTGTCACCATCTTTTCCGGGTTTGCCCTGTAGAATAAAGATGTAAACGTTAGTATTTAATAAATAATAGACTGCGCGCGGTGGCTCATGCCTGTAATCCCAGCACTTTGGGAGGCCGAGGTGGGTGGATCACCTGAGGTCAGGAGTTCGAGACCAGCCTGGCCAACATGGCGAAATCCCGTCTCCACTAAAAATACAAAAATTAGCTGGGTGTGGTGGCAGGTACCTGTAGTCCCACCTACTTGGGAGGCTGAGGCAGGAGAATCACTTGAACCCAGGAGGCGGAGGTTGCAGTGAGCCGAGATCACACCATTGCACTCCAGCCTGGGCAACAGAGTGAGACTCTGTCTCAAATATATATATATGTATATATATATAATAACGGATATAACACCAAAGCTCTGATTCAGATAGCTTAATATGTTGTCTCTCCTATGAAACACAAGCAAGGTAAATGAGGGTTCTATGTAAGTTGACAATACCACAATAATAAGTAATATTGTATATGATGAATAATTATGAAACAGTTACAATATAAGAGAACTCCATTTTTAAAGAGCAGAGTCCGATGAGCTACAAGTCTTCTAAAATATGATTGTATCTTGGTAGCAAAGCTAACATTAGAGAAGTTTGCCTATTGGCAGCTGAGTATTTGCAAGCTTATGCAAATGCTTCATTTAATGCAGGTTTCTGCATGCTCCTTCCAGGTAGAAACCAGAACCATCCCAGCTGACTGGCAGTGGGGTGGGTCTCACGCCACCACCATCCCTAAAGTGAAAAGCAACTCAGCCTCTCAGGCTTGTGGCTGTGCAAACACTGTCTGGTGTTCTGGGTGGCAAAGTCCAACCAACCTGCTGCTCTCAGAGCAGGACCGAAGGTTTCAGGGATGGCCCAGGGCTCTTCAGAAGCCTCTCTGAACAGCCGGCGGTGGCACCTTCAGTGCTGGATCCTTAAACAGGGAAGGACCTCGCCTGCCTGGGAAGCCTTGCAACTGATATAGCTCAGGAGAGTCTCGGAAAAGCCCTTCGGGGCATGAAAGGGATAAACTAGAAGTCCCTACGAGCCTTTTCTGTTCTTGTGTTTCTGTGAATCTGCGATTTTCCGCATGGAAGGAGAATTGTTTTATGATAAAAGGACTTTGGAAAGCACTTACTCTGGGTCCTGGTTTTCCGGGTTCACCTTTCTCTCCGACCCCTGGCATCCCCTTAAAGGAATAAAAAGACAAAGAGATTTATTCGTCTATTTAAGCAAAATTTAAATTAGATAGATATTAAACTTAAGGTGAAAAAAACTTGAAACTTAAATCTTTATGGTCTTTGACCTAAAAATGATAGGCAGAAACTGAGTACTGACCTGAAATCCAGGTTCACCTTTTTGGCCCTGAAAGAATTCGAGAGACAGATCAGCACTATCAAACAGCTGTATCATTTGTTATATGCTGCATTAAACACACAGCAGAAAAAAAAAAAACCTTTTTCTGATATATTAACAAAGAAATTCATGTTGATCTCCAGCACTCACTTGACATTGACTGGTATAAATGTAAGCAGGGCAGGGTTTATCATGCTTGACCCATGATGACTGGCCCTGCCCCCCTCCTGCCCCCCAGCCCAGCTCCCTCCTCCTGACCAAGCCATCTCCAACTTGGGGCACATTTAAGAAGCCCTGATCCAGCGGGGTGAGCCTCAGATCAGGCTTGGACCAATCCAGTTCCAGCTGTCTCTGCTCTCAAAGGGGCTCGTATTTTATGGACTGAACAGTCTATAAATCTGTTTTCCAGACCAGGATTGAATGTAGCTGGAAAAACTGAGTTTTGACCCATTTTCTCTTTATCTTTTGGAATTTGTCCAAAATTAGAAAATCAGTATTCACTGATGAAGCCCACTCATACCTTTTCTCCCTTGGTGGCGAAGTCTCCTTTTTCTTGAACTTGAGCTTGTCCTGGTACTCCTGGAGGCCCACTGACCCCTTGGTCACCCTGTCGACATAAAAATGTAAAATTAATTAGGCATGAAAACAATTATGCAGACATGAAAAATTGCAGAGAGAGGTAAAAGCCTAAAATAAAACACCTATTTTTAAAATGTAATTATACTCTATTCTGTTCTAATCATCCTTGCCTCTGCAGAAAATCAAATTTCAATAGGAAGATGATACAACAAGTATCTAAACCCAGGAGGAGAATTTCACTTCTTCTATGGGTGGCCACTAGCTCAGGAATAACCATGGAATCTGAACACCTGCAAGACACCTCCGGACTTGCGTGCCCCTGTATAGTGTATACTGGCTTCTGATGGCACGGAGGAAAGGAATACAAACTACCTAATAGAGCTTGAGAAAAAAGAAGGCATTTTAGGTAATCCCAGAATAAGACAACCATCAAGAGTCTCCCTCCTCGGGCATCCTAACTGCCGGGTACGCCTAAAAATTACAACTGCATACATTTCAGAGTCACTATATTTCAAAGTTTATGAAAAGACTGGGCCAAAATCTTGGGTGGCAAGCAGAGGCCACCTGCACATCCAGATCCATCCAGGCCCCACTGTATTGGGCGCTCTGGTTGTAATTGCCTCCACCAGCTTGGATGTCAGAGGAGAATCTGGCCTTCCACAGGCTGGCTACAGCAATGGCAGGCATCCCTTCTTAGCCAGTGCCTGCTTCATTGGTCTGATCCAGGGAAACTCCTGGAGAGGATCAGGGACCCACCACTTGCCTCCTCTCTGCAGGATGAAGCCACCTGCTGTGTGGTCTGTGCCCTCCCGGCTCCACACTGCATCTCCTCCCACACCCACTTGGTCCTGGACCTGCCCACCTCTGAGAAGAGAGGCCGGTGGTGCGGGGCCACTGCCAACCGTGCTAGTCCTAATTCTCCTGGTGGTGGCCCTGGACATGCCCGCCTCTGAGAAGAGAGGCCGGTGGTGAGGGGCCGCTGCCCACCGTGCTACTCCCAATTTCCTGGCGGTGGACTCCCGCTCTGCAGGGCTTACAGGGTTACTCATCTAATGGTCAAGTCCTAAATTTGACTCATAAATCCTAGGTCTGACCTCATCACTGACGAAGAAGAGTTTGAACTCTTTGTACAGATAATTGGAGTTAGTCTCGTTGTTCTCTGCTTGTCAGATCACAGAGCACTTCCATAAATTCTAGCGTACTGAATAAGCTAGAATAAATTCAATAATGCTGGCATTTTAAGGAAAACACTAACTACCAAATGCAAGAACATGCAGAGAAGAGTAACTATACTTGTAAGAGTCCAGACATTGATCCAAAGGTGGGAACTGTCAGGTGAGGACTGTGGTTTTCAACATGAAAGCACTCCAGAGCAATATGCACTCACCTTGTCACCTTTTGGTCCTTGAAAACTTAAGCCCATTTGTCCCTGTGGATTAAAAATTAGGCTCTCATTATTAGATTTGTCTACTTCGTTCAAAGTCATTCTACAAACCTCACACAAAATGCAATAAGATGGTAGATTTCAGGCAATAGCTTTGTCCCATAACTCTCATAAAATTTTCTGGAAAGTAACGATCATGCTGAATTCAATGTCTATGAAAAAGTTTTTAAAGTATGACTGATCAAAAATTCCAAAGACCTTTTTAAAAATTTACAGTTTTTAAACTCTTGCATTAGAAAACTAAGGGAAATATCAGTGTGATTCCAAAGTATTGACTAAGGGATGGATGAAAGAAAAGATCAATATATTGATAGATAATCAATAGATAATAAATGATATATGATAGATACTTAAAGGTATAGTTAGATATAGTGTTAATTTTCCAACTTTTTTTTAGAGACTGAAAGAATAAGAAGAGTGAGCTATAGCAATTTCATGATAGCCTTATACTAATGCCAAAGAACAAAAAATGAAAAGAACTTTTACCTTTTCACCTGGAGGGCCGGGAGGGCCTGGGGGACCCTGGGAGAGACAGCATTTTAATTAAATAGGATTCAGAACTCTAGGGAGCTTTAAGCCCTTCTTCAGGCTGACGTTATCTTAAGATTCTCTGGTCAACATGATAATTTATTTGTGAAATATTTTTCCTGGGCTTCCCCTCCCTCCCCACTCCTAGCAGGTGCAGGACCCTCAGGTGTGACCATACCAATACCAATCCATCTCCCCTGCTCCCTGGTGAAGTCACCTGGGGCACAGCCTGTCTGTCCATCTTTGAACTCACTCCCACAGGCTGTGACTATCAGCAGTACCCCGCCAGCCCCTTCAACCATGACTGCATTATTTGTTTCAGGGTATCAGTTTATGGTACTATCATCATCCCTTTCCCACAGCTCTGGGTATATGGGTACCGGGATGCCAGCCAAACGTTTAGTAAGAGGGAAGCTGATTCCGCCATGTCCAAATTAAGAGCGACCACAACTGTGTAAAGTTTTTACTAAATTATTATTTATTTTCAAACCTCAATATAGTTGTTTTTTAAATGATTGCCTCGGAGAGACAGCCCCCAAAACTTACTGGTGGTCCGGTAAATCCTGGAGGCCCAACAGGACCTTGAAGCCCTGGCAGTCCTGGTGGGCCCTAGAATGCATGAGAAAGAAATGAGTTCAGATGCGAACTGGGAGGGTGAGGTGGCACATGTTCATAATGATTCAGCAAATGCTTACTGGAGTCCCTGGGATTCCGGGAAATCCTCTTTCACCTTTCAACAGCATCCCGGGCACATGGCCAAGTATCTCACCTGGATCACCCTAGAGGATGAAGAAAGAAAATAGAAAGTTGCAAATATCGACATTCATGTAAAGAAGCTGAAAACTCTTTGATAGTTGGCATATATTAGTGTTACAGGACTAGCCTAAGTCTGGGATTTAGACCCCGTCTACACTGGAAATCAATAGCCTGGCCATCTCTCCCATCATGATTGCCGTCTTAATGGCCAGCGTTAACCACTGCCTGGTCAACTGAGCCGCAGCCGGGACTGAATGTAGAGACGGCAAAGCAAAGGGGTCTGCCACACTGCCCGAGGACCACCCCCAACTCTAGACAAGGGCCCTTGTCTCTGGTTGAAAGACTACTGCGTGACCACAGGCTCTCCTCACAAAACAAGAATTCTCTTTTGAGAAAAGGCTCAGGATGAATACTTTTATAAAAGCACGGCGTAATGGTAAATTTTATCTGCCAACTTGGCTAGGCCACATTATTGGGTTAAACACCAGACCAGATGTTTCTGTGAAGGGATTTTTAAAATGAGCTTAACACTTAAATCAGTAGACTCTGAATAAGGCAAATGGCCCTCCATAATGCTGGTGGGCCTCATCCCATCAGTTGAAGGTCTTACAGGATAAAAGACTGACCTCCCTGGAGGAAGAGGGAATTCTGCCCACACACCACCTTCAGACCCAAGACTACAACTCCACCCCTTCTCTGGTGTCTGGCCTGCCCACCTCACTCTGCAGGTTTTGAGTTTGCCGGCCCCCACAATCATGAGAACCAATGCTTTAGAAGCAGTTTCTCCTCTCTCTGGCCACACACACACATGCTCCTGGTTCTGTGTCTCTGGAGCATGCTAACACACAGGGCTATTATGAGGATCTATTTCCTACGTGTTCTGAATCACAGGAGCGAGCACAGGGACTCTCACCTTCATCCAGGTAAGCAGTTATCTCTACTGCAGCTGCTGAGACCTGTAAGCCTCCCTTTGACAAGGCTGATCCCAACATCCAGATGCCCGAGGTCCCCGCCCTGTGCCCAAGCACAGCCGACACATTACATGACTGCACAGTCTGAGGTCGGGCTGATGCCAGCAGCCGAGCCCCAAGACATCAACACCCCGCCTGGGAAAAGCTGCCCCAGGTTCCCTCCTGGGAAGTCTGAGAGGCACCCAGGGAGCCCCATTCTCCCATCTGCCTCCCCAGTTTGGGTGAAGTGAGCCTTCGCCACCACACCAGGCCTCCTTCCGCTGCTTATTCCCCATTAAGAAGCTGTGCCAAGTGTCTGAACGTTAGAGTCTGAGATCTGAGTTTGTGGGTTACTTGTACAGTCTTTTCATGTAACAGAGTTTAGGGAAGTGTGTTCAGAAACAATCGATCAGCCAAAGTGGTTTAAAGAGAATGTGCTTCTATGGCACTTGTTGTAAACAGATTCCCTGTAATGAATCCAATAAAGCAAAATAAAATAAAATGTACCTTCATCCCTGGTAAGCCTGGTGGTCCCTAAAAAAGAAAGTTTTGGTGTTAGTTTTGTTTTTCTCAAAATATCATTAGCATTAAAATTGTTATCATGTAATATTATATATAAAATATAAGTTATTAAAACATAAGCAAAGAAAGAAAGAAAAGGAAATGGAATGAAAAGAGAGAAGTCATAACTAAAAGAAAGAAGTTCTGCCCTAAATAACCTCTACTCACGGGATTTCCAGCGAAACCAGGCAAGCCAGGAGGCCCGAGCGGCCCTCTCTCCCCCTGGGGAGACAGCAGAGCATCATTCATACGCACTGTGTGTGGCAGACACATCAGCCCTGACATCGCATGCATCACTCTGCCCTACCCTTCATTTGTTGGTTAAAATCATTTCCTAAAAACAGTTTGTCACAAGCTGTGCTACTGGGTACCACTTTATGAAAGAAGAAATAGACTTGATAGTATCATTAATAGGGACAAAGGCCCATAATGGCATTTTCTTACGTGATGTAGTAAATGATTATAGGTAATAACTTTCGTGCTTAAATGCAATTTTAGGATAAAAGTCTACAAAAAAGAAAGGAACAATTATATCTTTCTGGTACACTAAATATGGGAAAACTGTATTTCCTTACTAAATAAAGCAAACTTTAAGACAAGCAACTTTCCAATTGTGGCAAATAAAACTCTATTAACAGAATCACACTACCTGACTCCTTAATATGCAAAAATTACGTAAACACACACAAAAAGGAGGGTCTCGGTTCTGGATTTACCTTTGTGCCATTGCATCCTGGAATACCTGGGGGGCCTGGCGGGCCGTCTTGGCCAGGAATTCCCTGCAATGAAGAAAGTGAAAATGTAACCCAGGCAGAAAATCGCCTGATGGAAGAATATTTCATAAAAGAAGTAGAGCACGTTTTCTATACATACGGGAAGTCCTGGGTTTCCAGGGTAGCCAGATGCTCCCGGAGGTCCCTGTGAGGGCGGAAGTAAAAGCGTGTCAGTGAAGAGCCGGGAAGCCTCACTTCCTCCTCCTGCATCTCCCCGGTTAATGGAGTCATGCCCTCATTTTTGGTGTCAGAACACACACAAAGCAGACAGAGCACTCTGCACAAGAGGCAGCAGAGGGCACAGCCTAGGGCAGATGGCCCAGGCTTACAGGAGCAATGCTACACCCAAAGCACACTACTGCCATTCGCCACTGCAAAGATATGGAACCAACCTAAGTACCTACCAACCAACGAGTGGATAGAGAAAAGGTGGAATCCATGCACCATGGAACACTACTCAGCCACAACAAGGAACAAAATGATGTCTTTTGCAGCAACTTGAATGGAGCTAGAGGCCATTATTCTAAGTGAAGTAACCCAGGAATGGGAAACCAAATACCGTATGTTCTCACGTATAAGTGGCGTCTAAGCTATGAGGATGTAAAGGCATAAGAGTGATACAATGGACTTCGGGACTCAGGTGGGGGGAAGGCTGGAAGGAGGTGAGGGATCAAAAACTACGTAACAGGTAGAGCGTACACTGCTTGGGTGACAGGTGCACTAAAATCTCAGAAATCACCACGAAAGAACTTATACATGCAACCAAACACCACCTGTACCAAAAAAAATTGAAATAAAAAAAAACAAAAAAATAAGTTTTTAAAAGCTGACTGCTGATCCCTTCAAACATAAGGCTGCCCATGCACAAAATAACTCTGCTCCCATTTCATCATTACTAAGAGGTGGAGAGGAGGAAGAGCAAGGCTGGCTCTGAAAATACCATGACTTTTCCATTAAATGAAGTCATCTCTGTCTAATGACTGTGGACACATCATCAATTGCCCCTTCCCCCAAATTAAAAAATGCCCAGAAGAGATTCCTGAAGAAGAACAAATGGGGGAAAGCAAGTTTGCAGAACCAAGGACTAAGGAGCTCAGCCTGTGCACAGTCCCCATGGGAAGGACTGGGGCTCAGGGAGTCACGGGCTGCTCCTCACTGCCTGCCTCGCGCCTGCCTGCCCGTGCTGTGTGAGCTGGGAGAGGAGATGGAGGACGAGGGCAAGGAGAAAGGAGGGAAAAGGTGCCCGGCTCTGGAAGCGGGCCTGTCCCACGCATGGAATCATCGATTGTGAGTAGCAACTGTACTCACTCTTGTCCCTTTTGTTCCAGGTAGTCCTGGTTCTCCAGTATCACCCTGGAACAGAATAGAAATGCCATTGTCATTGATCACCGCTATCTCAAGAATGCGGGCAATCTTACATCCACCCACCCCCAATCCCACAGCCGTGCTTACCTTTTGTCCTGGTGGTCCCTGTGGCCCCTCAGGTCCTTGCATTCCAGGAAACCCAATGACACCTTGTAACCCCGGGAGGCCTCTTTCACCCTACAGAAGAGGAACATCAGTCAGGCAAAAGGCAGCAGTAAAGAACAGAGGAAGGAATTGGTGACCAACTGTGATGGCTATATATATATTTTTTTTGAGATGGAGTCTCATTCTGTTGCCCAGGCTGGAGTGCATGCACGATCTCGGCTCACTGCAAAGTCCACTGCCTGAGTCAAGGGATTCTCCTGCCTCAGCCTCCCGGGTAGCTGGGATTACAGGCGTGCGCCACCACGCTGGCTAATTTTTGTATTTTTAGTAGAGGCAGGGTTTCACCATGTTGGCCAGGCTGGTCTCGAACTTCTGATCTCAGGTGATCCACCCACCTCGGCCACCAAAAGTGCTGGGATTACAGGCATGGGCTACCACGCCTGGCCCGTGATGCCTAATTTTAGGTGCCAAGTTGACTGGGTCACAGGATAATCAGAGAGCTGGTAAAGCATGACTTCTGGATGTGTTTTTGAGGGTGTGTTTCTGGAAGAGATGGGCATTTGAATACATGGACAGTAAGGAAGATCTGCCCTCACCCAGGGTGAGCAGGTGTCATTGTTAGTTGAGGCCCGGATAGAACAAAAAGGCAGAAGAGAGGCCAATTCTCTCTCTTCTGGAGCTGGGCACCCATCTTCTCCTGCCCTTGGACATCAGAACTCTGGGTTCTCTGGCCTTCAGATTCAGGGACTTGTACCACTAGCCCCTTGGGCTCTCCAGCCGCTGGCCTTGGACCCAGTTACACTTCAGGAGTCCTGAGTTCCCAGGCTTGCAGGCGGCAGATCATGGAACTCCTCAGCCTCTATAATCCTATGAGCCACTTCCCATAATAAATCTAAGCAGCATCCAGCCTTGCGCAAGTCCACAGTGAGTGTCTGGAAACAGATAGCAACGACTACTTCAGGTGGTTTTGCTCTACTGTGTTTTAAACTCTTGAGGGCAGGAAATATTTATATCTCATTCCTAGCACAATCCTTTATATGTACTTAATGCCAAATAATTTCTTGGGTAAATAGAGTAACAAATAGCGAGGTGTTTTTCACTGAACTGGTTATAATTTCGCTCAATCAATGGAACTCTCTTGTTAGCAACAGCCTCAGTGCTGAGATTCTGTGATGGAGCCTCCAAGACGTCTTCCTCTTTAGAGACCATTAGGAGATGTGGGTGGGCAGAGTCCACAGTGTGCACCTCATGCAAGATGCTTAGCCTCCCTTGGGCCATCATGGGGTGATGGTGGGCTTTAATGAGAAATGTCTTTCAAGAGTATTTTTTGGGCTGGGTGCGGTGGCTCGCTCATGCCTGTAATCCCAGCACTTTGGGAGATAGAGGCGGGCAGATCACCAGAGGTCAGGAGTTCGAGACCAGCCTGGCCAACATGGCAAAACTCTTTCTCTACTAAAAAATGCAAAAATTAGTTGGGTGTAGTGGTGCACGCCTGTAATCTCAGTTACTCAGGAGGCTGAGGCTGGAGAGTCACTTGAACCTGGGAGGCAGAGGTTGCAGAGAGCCAAGATCATGCCACTGCACTCTAGCCTGGGAGACAGAGTGAGACTCTGTCTCAAAAAAAAAAAAAAAACAACAACCCATAACCATTGTAAGAAATCAAGAAAACCTATTTACTTTACAGCATGTGGACTTCAGTGCAGCCTTACCATACGAATTGGGTAGATTCAGTAACCATTGTTAGCTGATTTAAAAACATAAGGCAGACAGTTTGGAGATCACAGGCAGGATTACTTAGTGTTCAGTGCCTTTCTCAAAGTTGCATTAGTTGAAAGTAAAAATCAACCGACAAGCTACACACCACATAACATAAACATCCAAAGTCGTCCTTCTTTCCAAACCACTCAGCCAGTCCTGGCACTTAACTGGTGAATTAACTGCCTGCTCCATTTTTACAAACGCAGGAAGGACGTTATGAACCTGGGACTCAGCCGCCACACCTCCATAGAGCTGTGTTTCGTTGAAAGGATATGTCAGGAGTCTAGACACAGTATGTGGATAAATATGGGAGAGATTGTTTCAAACCCTAAAGAATTGAATCAAACAGTAAATGGATTAAAGAACCTCAAGCCCCATACTGTGGCACTGCCCCTTCAGGCCAGCAGCATCCAGGGAGTCGGCCAGAAGCACAGACGTGACTCCACGAGGGCCCTGATCCCAAGGTTTGACAGGGAAGGCTGGCTCCTTCTCCCTGAGGCCTGTGACAGTGAGGAAGGAAAAACATTCCCAGACCAGGACTTGTTCAAATGAAGAGCTCCTTAAATACACCCTGCAGTGATGGCCCCAGGACACAATGGCAGAAAATCCTGCTGTAAGGAGTTACAGTGCACAAGGTCACCAATCTGGGGCACCCAGTTTTCGGATATAGGAAAAGTCTGCTCAAACCAGAATAGGACTGAACTCCAAACAGCGGCTAAAATAAATAAATAAATATGGACTTGTGTAGCCCCAAGTAACCCAACATCAGACAGGAAGGAAATGAGAAAGGCAGGTCCATGTAGAAGCTTTCTAATACATTTGGTGGAGTATTTTTAGTACTTAATTAATATGGGCAGTATCGCCATGAGACCAGCGATGATAAGATTTTATAATTCTCAATTTAACCATGGAATGCACTGAGGACCAGAGCCAGATTAACTGATTTCTACAAGTTTCTCACTGAGTCAGCACTACAGCCAGAAATAGAAATGAGGTCAGCCTCCACCATAGTCCCTGTTTTTTCTGGGTCACTAGAGCAAGCCGGTTCCCAGCAGAACATCAAACAATTCACCAACTTCATGTCAGCCCAAGGTACCGACCCTTCTATGTCCATTTCACAGATAGGGAAATTAAGATTCCGATGCTTAACTGACTTGTCGTACGTCACTGGGTGACCCCTCGTGCTGCTGGGAACAGAACACAGAAATCCAAATTCCCAGACCTTGCTTTTACCGCAAGAACACATTCTTTCCCAAATGTCACCAGAAAGTTTAAGCAATCTGTGTATCCCCAGAGCTTTGAAATGAAGGAGCTAAGAAGGAAGTGACTCCTCCATGGACATGGTTCTTGCCATTCCCCACATATTTTTTTAACGTTCTTAATCTTTTGTCCAGATAAAAGTGCACACGAATAATCTAATACTCTGTACCCTGTCCAAGGTTATTATGGGAACCAGAGCAGAGCAAACGGACAGAATAAGCACTTAAACAGCTATACAGTTAGCTGGCGACCAGCATGCAGTATGGGGCCAAATTATTCCTCCAAGATTTTAGCACATTTCCACCAGGATTGTAAGAAGAGCAAAGAGCTGGACATGTTGTGCAAAGGTTATTGGAGCTAGCAGGGTCCAAGCCAGACTTTGCAGCTGCAACTGGCAATGCTACTAACGTGACCACAGTGACCCCCCACTTCCACTGGAGCTCAAGGCAGAATGTGCACAGTTAGAGTCAGGGAGCAACAGGACCCTCGATCATCTGTTTCCCATGGTGTGCTCAAGGCAAGGTCCAAAAATCCATGGCGGCCACAGACTTCATGTCAGGCAAAAATGAAAACCACAACCATTGTCTGTCACAGCAAAGACTATTTAAAATGGAAGAAAGAAACGAGAAACTTGAAAAATACTACACAGAAAGTTTTCGTGCAGCTGAACCTTGTGCTCTCATTCCTGAACATCAGTGCAATGCAGAGCACTGATCAAAAAAGGAAAATCATACGCCAAAGCCGGAGATGACTACTGCTGTGTCCCCAAATGATGAAATTCAGAATTTGTGGAGGGAGAACAAAGTGCCATTGTCTATAAAGATGAAAGAATACAACATGGAGAATAATCTTAGCACCAAAATTAGGCATTGTAAATTAGGCATGAAATAGGGTTTCATGCATGGAGCAACTTAAAATTCTTGCTTAATGCATTATCTAAAGCAAGCATATACTTTTTAAAAAATCCTTAAAATGCGTGGATAGAAAGTCATTTTATAATACCCAATTATTTCCCTTCCTCTTCCAATGCTTGTAGAAACAAGTTCATGATTCAGGAAAGCAAATACTCTAATAAGCTTCCGTCATAGCTAAGTCAGAAATTCAAATACAAATCAAATACCCAGGACAGCTGAAGTTAAAATAGCATGAAGCTTCTAAATGTGGGGGGAAAATATAATTACCAACAACAAAAACTGATGTTAACACAAAATATACCTAGAATAAGCAGTCATCAAAATTCTTACTGTCAAAGGCCTGTTTCAGTGGCTGACATGGAATCCATATCTTTAAATCAAAATTTTAATGGATTTTTCCAATCTGAAATATTAGGATCACGGATCTTCACAATGGACTGAAGCACACACAGAGATGCTGCCAGCTCTCGGGGGCTTCCTCTACGCACGGAATGAGTACGGGTACCGGGTTTGGTACTGAGCACTGAGTGTACTGGGTATGGCAGCCTCCATGTGCTGGGTGCATCCAAGGGAAACAAGCAATGCTTATCAGGGAAACTGCAATTCCTTCTCCACCTCAACCCTGTAACTTCTTCACAGGCAATGAAATTGTTTTATTCATTCATGGTGTTTGAATTCAATAAAATGTCATGGGATGCTGAACTAGCCAATTGCATAACATGACGCTCAGCATGAGGTAGGATTCCACATACGAATCCTAAAAACTTTAAGAGGTAGTGAAAGGTTACTGGGCAGGACAGGACCCCCGTCGCCTTTGCAGTCCAAGCATTCTAGGCACCATTCCAGACTGGCTGGAGTCCGCAGCAGTGGCTGAGAGGTGCAGGGCAAGCTGCGTTCGGGACCACGATGGCCCTGCTGCTGCTTTCTGTCATCTAGCGCCTCGAGATTTCCATTTACGAGCAGACTGCAAATCATTCAGGGAATGAAAGCCCTCACATTTGAAGCCAGAGCTCACCAAGTATCCAGTGAAAGGGAAATGATGTCAAGGATGGGTCACAGTCAGTGGGTGACTGCAGAACTCTTTCCGAAATTCCACAAGGCCAACTCCTTGAGCCCAACCACCATCAGAAGAGACATCAGAAGAGACATCTGCAGGACCATTTCCTGAATGCCGCCGCTGGGAAAGGGGTGGGAAAGCTGCGGTGGGTGCCGCGGGGTCATGGAAAACTCTGTGGCGAGGCCCCGCCGGGAGCTCCCTCCACACCATGAGGCTTGACGTCAGGGCAGGAATACTGCCACCACAGTTTGAGGGGGGACAGATGCAAGGAGATCCCCTAGAGGGTCTGCTTTGCCTAAGAGGAAGGCGTGAGTGCTCACTCTCCTTTGCTCTATGAGACATACAACTGAACTCTTAAAAGGATGTATATGTGTTCACTAGAAGTATGTGAATGAAATTTAACAGTGTGGATTGTTGCACTTAGCAGCTACATTTATCATTACTATTATTTCTTGCATTTAAATATTTAACATTAAAGCAGCAAAGATTAAACCAATCATGCATAAAAAGCGTGGCTGCAAATCTGTATCTTCTTCCCGAAATTCTCATTTTCTCCCTCCAGCCCAGACGTCTAGCTTGAGACAGTGAATATCAGGAAATGTGTGCAGTGGCCCTCCATCAACTATGTGGGTATACGCAAGAGCTTGAGCAGCACATACAGACGCACCTCAGCTTATGATGGGGTATGTCCCAATAAGCCCATTGTAAGTTGAAAATATATATATATATGTATATATATATATATGTGTATATATATGTATATATATGTATATACATATGTGTATATATATGTGTGTATATATATGTATATACATATGTGTATATATGCGTATATATGTATATATATGCGTATATATGTGTATATATGTATATATGTGTATATATGTATATATATGTATGTATGTATATATGTGTATATATATGTATATATGTGTGTGTATATATGTATATATATGTGTGTATATATATGTATATATATGTGTGTATATATATGTATGTATATGTGTGTGTATATATACACATACATACATATACATATATATATATATATATTTGAGGCAGGGTCTCACTCTGTCACTGAGGCTGGATTGCAGTGTTACTATCTTGGCTCACTGCAACCTCAGCCTCCGCAGTAGCTGGGATTATAGTAGTGTGCCACCATGCGCCGCTAATTTTTGTATTTTTAGTAGAGACGGGGTTTCGCCATGTTGGCCAGGCTGGTCTTGAACTCCTAACCTCATGTGATTTGTCCGCCTTGTCCTCCTAAAGTGCTGGAATTACAGGCGTGAGCTACTGCACCCAGCCCAATAGAAAATATTTTTAACTCAAAAACACATTTAATACACCTAACCTACCCAACATCATAGCTTAGCCTAGCCATCCTTAAACATGCTCAGAAAACTTAAACACTGGCCTACGTTAGGCAAAATGGTCTAACACAAAGCCTGTTTTATAATAAAGTGTTTAATATCTTGTGTAATTTATCAAATTCTGTATCAAAAGTGAAAACCAGAACGGCTTGTGGCTCCTGACTGGCATTGCAAGAGTTGCCTATCGCACAATGCTAGCCCAGGAAAAGATCAAAATTCAAAGTTTTTATCTTTTGAATTTTGATCTTTCAAAATCCATGACTTTCAGATATCATGAGAGCTGTTCTATTTCTAGGAGACTTCGGGACTTGTCCTGCCTCTTCTAAAGCACGTGGGGTTGTTTGGGCAAGTTCCTCATTTCATGGGCCTCCACCGTCCTCCTTCTGACTATCATTAGCTTGGTTCTGACTACTCCCAAGGCTGCCGATGATGGAGATGAGCAAATCTGTGTGAAGAATGGGAGAGAACTCAGTGCTGGAGTCTCCTGGCCGAAAGAACAGTGGCTGGGGTCTGAGGGGTGGGAGCTGGGCTGGATAAACTAGAAGTGAAAATGCCTTCCTCCGTATGGCCAAGCCTGGACTACAACTTTTATACTGGACTTCTGGCCCCAGGATTCTTGAGTGGAAAATCCCAAGCCCTCACGATAAGGTCCATGTGATGAAGAAGGTCCACCCTGTGCTCAGCGAAAGCCTGCCTGCAGCTATAGCATTTAATGCAGAATTGTCTCCAGGTGTCCATGTTCAAGGAGAGATTTCTATTGGACAAATCCTGATGTTGAAACATTATCTGAGCCCATGATGAATTCTGGCACAATTCTAGGCTCAAGTATTCTAATATGAATTTTAACATTCACTATGAAGTTGACTGACAGAGCTGAACACTCAAGTCATATGTAATCCAAAGCTAGAAGGCGATGGTTACAAAGGAGATGCACAGTGAATATTTCTGATAGATCCACATTTACAAAGAAATAAAACCATAGATATTTTCTGATCCATGAAAATCCACTTTGCACATCAGCTTAAAAGAAAAAAATGAATTAAAAAGAGTCCTTCAGAAAATACTTTCTAAAGAACTATCATTCAACACAAGAATAACTCAAGGGGGCCCTCAGTATGGTCTTCTTATAAACAATTTAAAAGTTCCCCGAAAGCCATCCAAAAGCAAACAAACCATCTGACGTCCCCGATCCAGTAAAAATGTTCTAGGAGAACTGAGTGCTGATAAATTACTGGCAGCCAAAAAAAATCTTAAAAATTTCCAAAGGTCTTTAAATCTTACCAAAGTTCCAGACATTTGTCCATGATGAAAGTGGAGACTCACTCATGGAAGCGCACAGTAAAGCTGTGAGCAGCAGCAAAGGTCTCCAGAGGCAACTATTATCTTCAAGAGTTTTTTCTTATCTTTTTTCAGAAAAAACAGTCCAAAATGCTCTCATTAATTCTTACTCCAAAGCAGTACTCCGTTTCAAATATTGTTAAACAGAACCATTTTAAGTCAGTCCCCCAGAGCAGTCAGATTTCCACGTTGGAAAGGAAGAAAAATATGATGATGATCTTTTTCCAAAGGCTTGTGAACCTGCTCAGTCAGATTCCACGTGTGCCTGCGCTCAGGCAGCGCGTCTGTCATCAACAGCTTAATTCCGTTTTCGCATCAAACCACACCAGCAGACAGTGCGTTCTCTGGAAACACTTGTATTTTCCTGGCTCCGGGCTCCATCAACAACACATTCAAATGCCCATGTGAAGGGCCAAGCTCCTGGTCGGGGCGTCCGTAGACACCCACCCTTCATCCACCTCCAGGCACCTGCGACCCACACAGCAGCACCCCAGGGCCCTGGCACCCCTCAGCACATTCGAGAGCGCTGCCTTCATGTGAAACAGGCACATTCACACCCTCCCCGGCGGGCCCTGGCACCTCAGACACACCCATGGGATCTCAGCCAAGCACCCCCTTGTTGAAGAAGTACTCAGACACTGAATGATCTGGAGAAAACCCAAACTCTGGCAGACAGTGGATCCAGCCCGTGACAGGCCCGGGCGGAGGAACCAACGGCCTCAATCAGGGCTTGGGTGAGGAGTCTCCGTGGGCTGCAGCTGCTCGCCACTAGAGGGAGCTCTGGGACTATACATTTTCCCCCAAATAAACTAAACCTCCCTGGTGGACCTTAAAGAATTAAGGCTTTTTCAGGCCGGGCGCGGTGGCTCACGCCTGTAATCCTAGCACTTTGGGAGGCCGAGGCGGGTGGATCACGAGGTCAGGAGATCGAGACCATCCTGGCTAACATGGTGAAACCCCGTCTCTACTAAAAATACAAAAAATTAGCCGGGTGTGGTGGCGGGCACCTGTAGTCCCAGCTACTCGGGAGGCTGAGGCAAGAGAATGGCATGAACCAGGGAGGCAGAGCTTGCAGTGAGCCGAGATCGTGCCACTGCACTCCAGCCTGGGCGACAGAGCCAGACTCTGCTTTAAAAAAAAAAAAAAAAAAAAAAAAAAGAATTAAGGCTTTTTCCTAAATATTCATTGTAGTAATATATTACTATTAAAATATTAAATATTCAGTGCCATTGAACACATTCTGTGGGCGGAGTGAGAGAAATCACTTTGATATGGCCTAAAAGAACTCTATGGTAAATATTTTTAATTAGGATTCAAAATTTAATTAAAATTAAATATAAAAACTAGTAACCTGAATATCGAGGCTATTGCGTTACAGGTAAATGCGGTCAGCCTATAAATAATGAGAATGATGGATATTTTCTGGATAGCATTTTCACATCCATTTTATAAATTGGGAGAGTATTTGAATCTAATGACAATACAGAAAAAATAGCAAATTCAATTTTTAAAATAGCTGTATGGAAATAGAAAATACTGAAAAAATTACATTCTACAAAGCATGCATAAAATAGATACAAATGTAATCACAGGGAGGTCTCTAAGAAACCACTGCTAAACATCCCACTGCCAGTAAAACTTATGTAAAGGTTCTTCTTTGGTCTTCTTCCACTATAAGTTTATAGAAAACTTATGCATTAAGGTAATTTAGTCCATTCTCCTGAGTTTTGCCAATTCTAAAAGAAAAAAAAATCTATCCAGTTTTTTGGATCCCAAAAAAGATGATAACATTCTCTCCTTTGCTTAACCTATCAGCATGAACACTCATTAAAACCAAAATCACAGATGCCTCTTTCTAAACCTACTACCTAACATTCTGTTTCTCAAATATATATTTTTAAAAACATCTTCAAAACGAGAAAAACAGTACAGAAAACAAGTGTTCTGCTACAGGCTTGGAACCTCACTTGCTGCAGCTATGGACGGTGTGGATGGTTGTGCATGTTGCACACTGCAGCAATCAGAGGCCAAAATCAGCCACCGAAGCTAGGTGTTGGCACAGCAGGAGGCCTTTATCTAATATGACAAAGCTGGAAAAAGCCCAGTGGTAGCAAAACCATCCTCCAAATAAGTTGCACAGAGCTCTCTGGGGGTTCCTGCCTGGGTGACACCCCAAGGATGGCAGGACACACCAAGCAAGAGGCAGCCTCCGTGTAGACTTTAGAGGCTTGGTACTGACCTGCCAAGAGTTGGGAAGCCAACTGAGGAATGTCCCTCAAGAGAGCCCTAACCCAGGGCAGGGGCTGAAATGCCCAGTCACCACTGCCAACACTTTGGTTAACTTTTGGTTTTGGATTTTACTTACTCCATTAAAAAAAATATATATGGAATACTATCCTCAAAGACCTAGAAATGCACATGGCATAAATGAATGCTTCCAACTTGAGCTCCAGCCATTGCAGGAATGATCACACTTAGGAGGTGCTGAGAGTCTGCACATGAAATCACGCCTCTGCTCACCAGCACAACCGTCTTTTTTTTTGAAGTTCCATGAAATTTATCACAATTCTAGGTCATGACTTAGTTAAAAGATTTGGGGTAAGAAGAAAGACTGCAGGAACATAAATAATTGATAACAAAATATCAATAAGAGGTTAGCTCTCTTCTGAGTTTGTATAAGAAAAAAATATATATGTTTTTGAGATGGAGTCTTGCTCTGTCATCCAAGCTGGAGTACAGTGGCATGATCTTGGCTCACTGTAACCTCCACCTCCCAGGTTCAAGCGATTCTTGCGCCTTGGCCTCCCAAGTAGCTGGGATTACAGACGTGCACCATCATGCCTGGCTAATTTTTGTATTTGTAGTACAGACAAGGTTTCACCATGTTGGTCAGGCTGGTCTTGAACTCCTGACCTCAGGTAATCCGCCAGCCTCGGCCTCCCAAAGTGCTGGTATTACAGGTGTGAGCCAACGCTCCTGACCTAATTTTTTTTCTTATAAAGACACTTTGCTTTATTTTCATTAGCTCCAAAGCAAGGCCCCTGAGGGTTCGAAAGACATGTTCTACATTAACAGAAATGTTGAAAAATGCCAATTAGTGCCTAAGTACTTAGACAGCCGAGGATGTTATTAACGTGAACTTAATAATGTATGTGGGTGTGGGGCAGCGTTGTGGAACAAAACGAGGACACAGCAAAGGCAGGAAACACCACAAGGTAGGTGATGGATTTTTTTTTTCTTTTTTTGGTCTGTGATAAAAGTAAACTTGAAAATTGCAGATGAAATACTCTGAAGATAAGAATTATAGTTAATAATACAAAAGCATGCAAGACAGTCTTCAGGTTTAAACCTTGAGAGAATTGCTCATTGGCAATTAAGAAAAACCTTTCTTTTTTTTTTCCTTAAAAATGTGTTAGATATAATTATTTATCAAAATTGGGTTTTACAGGTGCCCTGCCAGGGGACATCCAGGGTCCCCATCCTCTGAGTGGTTCCGTAGTCCCTGCGGTTCCCTTGCCAGGGTGTGCAGAGCCGCGTACATAGCACCTCCAGGAGATGCTGGAACCCAGCAGGCAGTGACTGGCATTCCCTCTCGTTCCCTCCCCCCAGCACTTCGAACAGATGGCACAGGGTAGGTACTCAATTAATATTTTCACGACTGGGCCGGGTGCAGTGGCTCACGCCTATAATCCCAGCACTTTGGGAGGCCAAGGCGGGTGGATCACCTGAGGTCAGGCGTTCAAGACCAGCCTGGCCAACATGGTGAAACTTGTCTCTACTAAAAATACAAAAATTAGCCCAGCGTGGTGGCACACGCCTGTAATCTCAGCTACTTGGGAGGCTGAGACAGGAGAATCGCTTGAACCCAGGAAGCAGAGGTTGCAGTGAGCCGAGATCATGCCATTGCACTCCAGCCTGGGTGACAGAGCAGACTCCATCTCAAAAAATAAATAAATAAATAAACAAAAATAAAATATTTTCATGAGTGACTCAGGAAAGATCCCAAGAAAATGATATAAATCTACAAGAGGGTGCAGATTTAGGAATCTTAATTTCAAATGACTGCAAAAACAAGCACCTGCACTCCGGGTGAGCACGCGGAGCTCCGGGCGCCCTGCTTTTCATGCTCTCTCTTCAGTCACTGCATGGATGGGCAAAGAACCTAAGCCTGGAATTCTGGTGCTGGCTCCAGCGCCAACCCCTGGGACGCTCTGAAAATCAGCTTTGCCATCATCTGTAAGTCAGGGATGACTCCACCTGCCTGTTTTACCTGGCAGCATTATTTTAAAAATCAAACGTGCTCAAGTATTCAGTTAAATGCTGTACAAATGGTTCTGAAAGAAACTGGTCTGACTTCACTGCTTTTTAAACACGTAAATATTTTGTGTTTATTCTCACGATTTCTATGTCCAACAAGCCAGCTGCATTTCCTCTGAAGCCACAGAATGTTTTAAAAGAGAATGAAAAGGCCACACTGCTAGTGTTCCCACAAGTCATGACCCAGGAAGTATCTCATTCCTGTTTTTGTGGCTAAGACAGACATAAGAAAATTGGAATTTCTTGAGTATTTAAAAAAGATGACAGTTTCAAGAAACTCCCCCCTTTATCTTATACTCAAGGTTTTGTGTTTTTTCCTTAATAAATATCTCTGTAATTCAGGCAGTTCAAGCATAGAACATTCCATTTATTCTGTCAGGTCAGCCTGGGTCTTAGTAAAGCCACCACACTCCTCCATGGTTAGCCTGGAAGTAGCTAACGACATACACCGGTCTGAAATCCCCAGATTACTTCCTTACCCCCAAGCAAGTTACTTGTCTGTATCTTATCACTGATAACATTTTCCCCCAGCATGCTGCAATAATTTCAATACTCCATTAATCATACTTGGAATCTAAGAGATAAGAACAGTTCCCTTGACTCCCAGATATACAATTGCCAGGTTAAAACTAGACAAACCAACTTTGCCCATAGAATACAAGGTAATCTCAGCAGAGCTGGAGGTTTTACAAAACCCACTATTAGCCTAACCTCATTAATTTGAAAAAGCAGTAGTGAGATCAATCTAAATTAATAAATAACTGAATTTTAATCTCTTTTAAGTAAACACCATTAATTCCTTTAAAACATATACAGTCACCCAAAGAAAGAAATTAAGCCAACATCTTGAAGTTTTTTCTTTTGTGTTTTGCTTAAAATCTTGGTTTTAAAACTGAATAGATAAGAAAAGCATATAATTGCAAACTCAATGCAAAATACCGGTGCTTAATTAAGACAATAAATAGCTACTTCATAAATACTTAAAAATGGTCTTCCCTGAGCTGCTAATCTCTCTTCACCTCAATGCTCTTCATAAAGTTGGCAAGCCTGTTTTCAAAAGATAATATGGAGATATATTTCAATCCAAGGTGTGGCCCAATTATTTAAAAATTTCTATCAGTAAGACCTTATTTAATGCCATTTTCACTATGCCTACTTTGTAGACGTTTTAAAGATTAAACTTACAGTATCATTTCCTGCCTTTTTTTCTTAACTACTTAATGTCAATAGACTAAAATATTGAGATCTTCGGCTAGAAACTAAGATGTGGAAACAGACCAACTGGGTTACAGTTTGCAAATTATGAGGTATAAACTTTCTAATAAAAATAGATTGTAGAGTATATAAACATGTTACACTTTCCCACGTATATGGATTTTTTTTTAAGTTACATCAATTGGGCGATAGATGACCAAGTATGGGTACGGTAGACACACACACACACACACACACACACACACACACACACAAACACACACAAACACAGAATCAGAAAGAGAGAGAGAAACGAAGAGACAGAGACAGAGAGACATAAAGAGAGAGAAGCTTCACTAAGAGGCAGGTTGGGGGCACCTGGTTCCCACGCCCCCAGACCTCCCACTCCCAGGGTCTGAGGTCTGGGACACATCACTGAGGCAATTTGTCTTTGGCAAGAGAGGGCCAGTCAGCCATGCACCCTGAAATGGCCTTCCCTTGATTCCCAAATATACAATTGCCAACTTGGTGGAAACTGAGCTCTCATGGGAATTCTAAACCTACAGGTGCCCACCCTTGGTTCTCCACAGGGAGAATCAGCACGTTCTGTGAAGAAACAGGGAAAGCAGTCATCTTTTTAACAACTATTTGATATTCCACATAAATATCCTGCCGTGGGTTAGGCCCAGAATTTTGGGATAACAAATCAGGCAAGGACAGGGAGGCAGCCCTGTCTCGGGTCTCCGGGGAGGCCCGCTGTGGAGGAGCTGATCCCAGAGCCCTTCCTGGTCCCTGCGGTCCCTAAATACACCCTCCTGGGTGGAGCTACACCTCGCTGCACACACAGTCCTCAGGTGCCCATTTGAACGTCACCCTCGCTGGGCAAGAGGTGCCCGGTGACAGGTGGGAAAGGGATGCACAGGGACATACACGCGCCTTACAGGACTCAGGAAGCGCAGCTGGGCGGGACCATCGCGGAGCACCTGCCAAGCCACGTGCTTCTGCAGTAAAATCACCCACATGCTTCCAGAGCTGACACCCCGCTATCAAGCACAGGATGCCCCTGAGGAGTGGTGGTGCGGGGGCGGGGGGGGGGTCTACATCAGGAACAAAATATTGGACAGGATGGAAAAGAACATGTGTGTTCTTCTCTGTCACTGGGTGAAGCAGATTCCTTTAAAAATCCAATTTTGAAGGGCACATACTGAGTAGCTTCCGTGCAAGGCAAGTTTTTAATGACTACCCACTTCCGGGCCTGTCACTACCCACTTCTGGCCCGTCGCACCCAGCAGGCGGCTCCTGCGCCCCCTCCAAGTGGCAGGGAGAACAGGGAAGCCTTGGAAGGGAACACGTGACCCAGAATGCGAATGAGCAGCCTCCAGGCTGGGGGACTCTTCTTTGAAACACAGGGAAGACACACATTTAGGATTAACGATATAACTTCCTAAAGGCAAATGAGTGAGACAGGAAAGGAAACGGATGCTTATACCAACTCCCATGTTCCTAAATTATCATCTATTTCCCCCTCCCTTTGGGTTCACGGCCTTATCCAATAGGAAGCCCAAAGAAATGGCATCTGGTCAATTGTCTCTAGAGGAGGACAGAAATCAGAACAGCTAGTTAAGAAAGTCAGGCAAGATTTAAATAGAGTGACTTCAAGTACTAGCGTCCACTTCACATGCCCAGATAAAATGATTTTAGGAATAAAATATGGAGAATCAAATTGATTAGCGAATGGAAAAAACCACAGACAGTGAGGAAAATGTAACAAAATTTCCCAGCTATGATTGCTTCAACTTGGAACGTGATTTTTCAGAAAAGAAAAAGGGGAGGAAAACCAGATGGCATTGGGGATTCCACAAACTTTGGTTTTCCCATCAGCAGATGTGAAGAGACAGGGAGGATGAAGGCACATTGGCTCAATACTGCAGAGTCACCGCTCCCCTTTCCTCAGAATACATCACCGAAAACATAGCTGACACTGAGGAAATGTCTGCTTGTGAAGTAATCACCCATTATGGGCCTGATCTTCCTTCACTTCAAATGAGTGGACAGTTCTGACATGTACTGCATACCAAAGTTCTTTTCAGTAAAATAGCTTTTGCTCTAGAAAGGCCAGTAACAGTAGAGTGTTGAAGTACCTCCAGCTTCACAGGAAAGATCTCAACTCAGAGGACACTAACATTTAGAAGGGTTTTAGAGGTCAGAGTCCCAACTCTTTCCTCTTAGGAGGTTTTCAACTTTAAATCTGAATGACTCGAATTTTTTCACATTGAGAAATTTCCAGCCAATTACACAGTTACTTAAACACAGCTGGGATGCATTTTGTCGCCACACATCACTGTACGTGTCCTGCATCCCAGGATAATAAAAGTGCTGTGTTCTGAATGTCCATGCCCCGCCCCAAATTCCTGTGTGGAAATTCTAACCCCCAAGGTGATGGCATGGAGGTGGGGCCTTGGGAAGTGATGAGGCTCATGAACAGAATTAGTGTTCTTAGAAAAAAGACCCCAGAGAGAGCCCCCGCCCTCGCGCTGCCTATGAAGAAGGGGTCCACAGCCGACCTCGAATCTGCTGGAGCCTTGATCTTGGACTTCCAGCCTCCAGCACGGGAGGAACACACTTCTGCTGCTGAAACCACCCAGTCTGTGGTATCCTATTACAGCATCCTGGGGAGACTAAGAGGAAAAGAAAAAGCCCTATGCCTCTGCCCTGTAAAATGTCAGTAATTTCCTTGGGCCCCACTTCCGACGTTCACCCTCTTGTGGGTGACTTCTGCCGGCTGGCCTTGGCTCTCACTCCACGGTAACTGCCCTCCCAGCTTGGCCCACCAGCTCTCCTGTCCCCTTCCACAGCATCAAATCCACACTGAGTGCCCAAGGGCAGCACCCTCCAAAATCCCCCACTCAGGAAAAAGGAGCAGAACCAAGCCCAAAACAGGTGGACGAGGAGGGCTCCATTCAGGCCACGTGGTGGAGGGGGAGGGCTGGGAGGTTCCTGAAGAAAGTGCGTGTGTGTGTGAGTGTGTGCCCGTGGTGTGGGTGTGCACGGTGTGTGTTCCATGTATATGTAAGTGGTGTGTGTGGTATGTATGTGTGTGTGGTGTGTGTATATGTTATGTGTGTGGTGCGTGTATATGTATGTGTGTGGTGTGTGCGTGTATGTGATATGTGCATGCACGTGATGTGTGCATGCACACATGTGAAGTAGAGAGGACAAAGCACACAGGTGGCAGGCGCGGGTCATCAGGGCTCGTCGTGACACCCTGGAAAATCACACAGGTGTACATGAGCCCTGAACAGAGAGAAAGGAAAAGTGGATGGGAAATTGTGGTGGGAGGAACAGAAAGGGCAGAAATTTTATAAAGGGAAGAAGGGTAAAGGGGGCGAGTGAGGTGGGACGGGTGGTGCACCTCCTCTAAGACCACGGGGAGCCTCCCCAGCCTCCTGCAGAAGCCACTGCACCTCCGGCCCCCACCACACCCTGCCCAGGTCCCTATCAAAGGCCCCCAAAGAAGAAAACACCACTCTGCTTTCTGCCCCAGTCACGCCAGCGTGCTGTTCCTCACGTTTGCTGGAAGTCCCCCCGTGGTATGTTCCTCTGCCCTGACAGGCAGGACACCTGTGGAGCCACGGTCTCCTGTGAAGAAATGCAGGTTCCACGTGCAGAGGCGGAAGCAAGGAGGCCTCCAGCCGCCCGGAACCTCTGCTCCCAGGGCTCCTGATGTGTGGTCCAGGCAGGACAGGGCACACCCGTTTACCCAGGGCCTCTACATTCAGATTCAGGGCAGGGCACCCAGCCCCTCCTCCCAATCAGGAGGCAGAACCCAACACCTGCCACCCACATCAGCCCCGTCAGGATGATTAATGACGTTGCATCCATAAAACTCCAAGAACCTGGAGACAGGGTGCTGCCTCCCAAAGCCCTGACTCAGAAAAACACACAGCATTTCCAGCCCGCGTGGTGAGGAGACAGTCAGTGTGGGAACAAGATCCACCGAGGTGCCTCTTGCCCTTGCCCAGGACATATCGATGAGACTGGGGAGCCCCACATGGGGACACAGAGAGTCAAACAGCGACAAACAGTTTCACACTCATGGAGATGTGTCCTTTAACATTCTGGAGTCTTGTACGTGGAAGTGAGAAGGGGGAGGTGAGGAGGCACAGTTGTCCATGGACATTTCTCAAAGCACCAACATTTCCAAATCGGGAAAAACCTGACGTCAAACAGGGAAATGGAATTTGGAGGCGTAAATCATGGGCCACCGCACCTGAGCGGCTGCCTGAGCTTTTGGGGCCTGCGAATGACCGTTCGGTTTGCCCTTCCCTGCCCCCTGCAGATCAATTTCTTCCCATTGGACATCCATTCTCGCAGCCGTGCCTTCTCCCTCCCTGGAGGTCTTAGCAGAGTGTTCACTTGGGGGTTCAGTTGTGCTATTACTGGCTAGCATCTTCCATCATGAACCTGTAGGGCAGGCTCCAGGACTGCCGCTGGCCACTACCCAGGCCCACGGGTACAGCAGGAGCCCACAGGACAAGGAGGCACTGGGATGAGTGGACATTGGTTCTCCAGCTCAAGGAATTTACTGGCTCTACTATAGACAGATGTCATTCCTTTACCAATCTTCTAGGGAAAACCACTTCAAAATCAAGCATGTCACCACATGCCACAGACTTGGGTACTCAAGTCTTAGGGTTGTGGATTTCTCACCTAGGAGGGCAAATTAACCTAAGGCCCTAACATGCTACAGCGGGACGCCCACAGAAAATTCTCTGGTTAAGTCCTCAAGCTCTAGCAAGACGTGTGTAAGAAATTCACATCTATCATTCATTACCTTCAGGTATTTGTCCAAATATCTAATAAAGGAGAAACCGTACCAAGGGTCTTTAACCCTTCTGATTTCACTACAGCTTTTTAGAAATTAGCCAGGAATCACTGTTAGCTTCTCGTGTCAGATTCTCATGTGAGGAAATCCAGAATCATTGAATTTGGGGCCAGTTAGCATTAAACTCATAAAACTATGTGACGAACCAAAGCTAAGCTATATGAAGTATACTTTTACCATGTTTAATGGATTTGCCAAAGGAAGAAAAATCTGACAAAGGGGCACCACGTCCCCAGAGCCATCTGGTTTGCTCGTTAACTCTGACTAATTCTTCCTTTGTTTAATTGCACATTGTGCTAAACCACTTCACAAGGATGAAGGTCTGTTAATACCATTTTTGAGCGTGCAGTTCTCCACACCCACACTACCTAATTATCTAGCATCACAACTTGCTGTCTAGAAACGTGTTTGAATGCTCAAAATATTCTACCAACAAACAGGAGGAAAATCCCATTGCCCAGTTTTCATTTGTCAGGGTTTGTTTTATGTTAAGTCTTTGATCTTGAATTAAAATATACACTCTCATTTTGCTCCCCTGAAAAGAAAGCTATTTTCCTGCCAGCCAATGTTTTGTCAAGATCATATTTACAAAAAAATATTTTTTCCCATAAATAGTCGGGACAGAGGCTGCCGGTGCTGGGCCACACCAATGACAGCCTGTACTCCTGGAGAGTGCTCTGGGCTTTAAAAGTCATGGCATGTGATCTGCCATTCGAGATACTTCATTTTCTGCTGCTCCTTCTGAACTTGGAAACAGAATCGGCTCCCTATTTTTAAAGCTGCACTAGATTCGGTAAGCTCCAGATACAGCTGCAAATCAAGAGCCATCAATTTGTATGATGGTCTCTCCTGAGTCTAACAGGTCCCACAGCGCATGGCAAAAGGGCAGATTTTACGGTGGGCAGAACTAGGAAGTGGAGCTGGAAACGAGAATGTGCAGCTCACTCTCCCTGTTCGGGAACGGGATGTGTGTGTATCAGTGACGTCCAAGGCATAGGGGAGCCAGCGACGGGTGGGCCTCGTGTGCAGAATAAAATAAACCATTTAGCATAGATCTGCTTCCAGGGGCTTTTCTAGGGTACATTGTTGATATTTTACCCTTGAATTCAGGCATATTTTTAAAAAAATTCATTGTTTTCAAAGAACTATCAAAAAAGACAAAAGTAGGTGAATGTGGGAACGCACACTGATCACATGGATTCTCACGATTCCTCTGCCAGATGATGATTCATGTGCGGTATGTGGAAATAGGAAATAGGGGACATCTGGAAAAAAATCTTGGCATTGCAAACGCCAGACAAAACACGGAAAAGGAAAAGAGAATGTATTCTATTAACCCATTTAGCCAGCCAACGGGAGGGGAGGGAAGACACCCTCGGGTCCTGCAGATGAGCCTGAGTGTCAAAGTCAGATACTTTGGGGGGTGGAATCCATTAGATGGCAAAAACGAAGTGATATCTCACGCATGTTCCCCTTTGAATAATAGCTAGACCAAGCAAGGCTGGCCGATGGGAGGGAGGAGTCTGGACGTTGGTAAGTACACGCACATTGGGAAAAGCTGTTGGCAACAAAAACTCGCAGCGGTATTTGGAAAAGTTGGGGAGTTGAAGAAAAGGAGAGTCGTTTTCCTCACATTTTAAGGGGTAATGATTCCGGAAATGGATGATAAAACCACAACGTTGATTAGAAATTTGGATGGAAACTGCAGGCAGACCTCCCAAGTGAGCCCATCTCATTTTCCCTCCACCAAAAGCATCCAAAAGCTACAAACACTACCTAATGGCCCTGCCAAGATTCTCAAAACATTCTAACATCCCTTTAATTTAGGTCCTGGGAGCGCTTCTGTCACGGATGGAACAGGTCCATTTCTCTGGGTTTCCAGGCTTCACCTGCGGATTGCAAATACTTAGCTGGATGGGGATCCATGTCTATGTCTTTCTATCCATGGATCTGTCTAGAGCTGAGCTAACAAGCACATTTTCCTCACACTTATTGCAACTTCAAAATGCAGCTGCTATTCACATGACACGCATATGTCCCTACATGTGACATTTTAAGTTGCTTAAGTGCTCTTATGTACAGTATCCCCCATTCAGTTCTTTTAGCAACTCTGGGGAATTTCCAGGTCAGGGCATAACTTGGTCAAAACAACTTGGTGAAAAACAGTGGGTAGATGGGGGAACTTACACTAGAATCAAGGTTTTATCCACCGATCCACTCTTTCACAAAGGCCGTTCCTGGCTTCAGAAATAAAAAGGGTCAGAGGCTCGGTACAGTGGCTCACGCCTGTCATCCCAGCACTTTGGGAGGCCGAGACAGCAAATCTCTTGAGGTCAGGAGTTCCAGACCAGCCTGGCCAACATGGTGAAACCCTGTCTCTACTAAAACTACAAAAATTAGCCAGGTGGGGGGGTACACGCCTATAATCCCAGCTACTTGGGAGGCTGAGGCGTGAGAATCACTTGAACCCAGGAGATGGAGGTTGCAGTGAGCCGAGATCGTGCCACTGTACTCCAGCCTGAGTGACAGAGTGAGACTCCATCTCAAAAAAGAAAAAGAAAAAAACAGGGGGGCGTTCAAATAAGTGTGGGGAACTGTATATGACGCAGCACCCACGGAAGGTCCAGATGATACACTATCTTATTACAGGCTCTGAGACATCCCAGGGCAAAACAACAAATGTCCATTTAACCTGAACTCAGTTTTCCCCAAACGCCTGTGTCCTTGGAACCTCTTCCCGTTTCCATCCCGGAGGAAACATCTGTTGACATCCTAAAGATGGTCTGATGATCATATTTTGGGAAAGGCTAAACTAGACACTATTGTCTCTCAGGAATATTCAAAACATGTATAAACAAAGGCATTCAATTGATCTCAAAAAATTAGTAATCTCAAATATGCTTAATGCACTACCTAAACAAAGCTTATATTTATTTTTTAAATCCCCCTAGTATTGTACACTAAGGAACACTTTTTAATGCGTTTTGATTTTATGGTATATATTTCACACCTTATAAGTAAGAAAATTGAATTTCTTTTTAAATAGACTAGATTTGAAATTCTCACTAAGTCAAATCTGGCACAGTGCGTCTCACATATTAAGTACTTAATAAATTACTGTTATTATTAATAACTCACCATTATTAGTTCAAATGAATGAACTTATCCAAAGTTTCAAAGAGTCTACACAAAAATATTTGCTTTCATGTGCTTGAGTAAAGAATTTAGTATCTAAGAAGCATAACACCTTTAACGTTTAAAACAATGGTTAATATAATTTATAGGAAAAATTTTTTAATATTCTGTTAAAAACAGCAATAAAAGAAAGAAGATGCCGGGCGCAGTGGCTCACGCCTGTAATCCCAGCACTTTGGGAGGCTGAGGCGGGCGGATCACAAGGTCAGGAGATCGAGACCTTCCTGGCTAACAGGGTGAAACCCCGTCTCTACTAAAAATACAAAAAAATTAGCCTGGCATGGTGGCGGGTGCCTGTAGTCCCAGCTACTTGGGAGGCTGAGGGAGGAGAATGGCGTGAACCAGTGAACCCGGGAGGTGGAGCTTGCAGTGAGCTGAGATGACGCCACTGCACACCAGCCTGGGCGACAGAGTAAGACTCTGTCTCAAAAAAAAAAAAAAGAAGATATGCAAGAAAGATAATCATACAAGAAGGTAATTATTATTCTTTAATAATTACTGGAGATGCAAATATATTCTACACAGATACTAGGAATAACAAGGAATAACAGGAGAAGAGCCAGTCCATCTATCTATATGGTGGAATATTTAAAGCACTCTGTCCTTGTATATTTTAATTTCATAATGAAAACATGGCTAAAACTATGTCTATTGTTACCCATGTGTAAATTAGAGGAAAGATCATGGAAATAAATATATTTATAAATTGAAGATTATTGAATTCTCCAAAAATACAAATAAAGTACAGTCCCTGTCTCAAAAAGGAATTTCATCTAAGATTTAATTACAACTATGAAAATACCCTAAATTTATGATCTTAGGAAAAAGTGAGTCCCATACCTTAAAGGTAATGTTAGATTCTAAGGCACTTTGACAATTGTTACAATATAGCACAAAAACGACTAGAATGTTGTAGATGATGTGTTTAAAACCAGCATGCAAGCTCAAGCCTAAACTCCTTATCACGTAGACATTGCAATGTCTCTGGCAATGGGAGCTAATAAAAAACAATCAATGTAAAATGGCACATCTAATTCAACAGACTGGAAAATCTGTCCTCTTCTCTTCTTGTATTTAGGTATTAGATTTATGGTATTCCTTACAGATAATATTTTTCTTCTTATTTTGTATGTCCTTGAGAGAAATATACTAAGAGTGCTCATTTTGCATCTCTCAAAGTGCCCAGCAAAGTAACAACTGAAAAACATGCGTTGATTAATTAATCATGTATCTAAGGATTGACAGACACAATCCCTCTCCAGCTCTAAGTAGCCTGTGAAAAGGGAAAAGAAGATGCCTCTTCCAGATGTGGAGGAGGCAGAGGCACAAGTCGATGATCCTGAGTCAAAGAGAGGACGTGTGAGAAGCATGGCCATGCCCACGTCCTGGGTAATCGCGGAGACACAGTGAAGACGACCAGCCTTCAAACAGAGGAAGGAGCTCCTTGTGGAGCGGACTCTACACCAGGATTTCCGAAAGGCAGGGGCTGTGGGGTGACCCAGTGCTCACGCTGGGGGTGTTTCTGCAGACCTCTCACAGGCCTGAAACAGGCTTACTTCAAAATGCCTTCCCCTTAGAGAGGTTTTATTCCTAATGCACAGGGAAAAGCAATCCAGAATGGGGTGGGATGCATATTTTGATGGGCTGGGCACCCCTAACCTGTCTCAGGAGGGGACAATGGGGCAGGAGTGGCTGCTGACTGGCTGACCTGCCCCTTGTCACACACAGGGGCTCGCTGTGGGTTAGTTGTTGAACCGGGCTGGAGGCCCACGTTGACTCCTGTAGAACAGGAACTGGGAGGTCTGCCCAGGGCCCCAGAGGAGTAGGCTCATTTCTTTGTGGTCCTCCAGCAGTCCTCCCCGTCCCGACCCGTTAGAGAAAGGCTTCAGAAGGCTTGCTGTCCTTGGCAGGTGGCCTGGGGCGCAGTGGGTCCGCCACAGAGTCAGTAAGAGGAAAGGAACTTGCTCAAGACTTCGGATATTCTGAGCCGTGTCTTCAGCTGGCCCGACTCCCTCAGATTAGGGTCTGCTTATCTGAAGGAGTAGAAACTGAGTCGTACTCTGGTTAGTGCCTGAATCCTGTTATTTGTCTTTTATTAGCTATAGAAGATGGGGTTAGTTCAGCGGTATTCCATCCAGGGTGAGTCTGCACCCCCCACCCCCCGCCAGGAGACATTCAGCAACAGCTGGAGATATATTTATGTCACGACTGCTGGGGTGGGGGTGCTCCTGGCATCCGATGTGTAAAGGCTGGGATGCTGCTCGACATCCTACAATGGACAGGACAGACCCACAACCAAAAATTATCCCACTCAAACTGTCAATACCACCAAGTGGAAAAAGCCCGGGCTGGTTGGTTTCTTCCACTGTATAATAGATATTACAATAATGTGCATAAAACATACTCGGCCCCAGGCCTGGCCCAAGATACAGTCTCTTTCTCTTTCTTGCTCTGACACTCACAAGCCAGGATTTTTCTATCCTAGCCTAGATCCGTTGTGTAAAAGCAGCAGCTATAGCCAAATGTTGAGATGCAGAGAGACAGGTTTATACAAAGGTGTGACATGGACATACACCGATTGTGTCAAATATCTAGGCGCTAAATGGCTGGTAAAGCTACAAACTGTTTGCCATAACAAAAGAAAGGGTATCCTGTACAAGCTCAGCCATACACGACATTAAACTCTTCCCAGATTTCCTGGGCCAGCAATGAAATCACTTCCAGACTGGCCACAGACTTCTCCAGCCTTTTCAAATCAGATAAGATACACATTTTAGACAGACAGATAGCAATGCCATCTTCAAAGTTCTCTGCTTGGAAAGCAGTCTTGGTTGTTCTATCTGATGACAATATTATTGCAATGCAGAGCCAATGTGGACAGGAGCTGTGATTTATAGACAATCTAATTAGTAATAACAGGATAATGTGCTGCTTCTCTATATCTTTGCTGAGGATCTGGGTATCAGCAGGGTTAAAGTATTACAAGAAGGTATGAGATATCCACACAGTTGTCACTACTCACTAGAAATGCTACAATTCTACTTAATTGAGACTCTGCTCACAAGACTGTGGCTTGGGAATGTCCCTTTTTGGAGTCACTATAGTAGAAACCGTCAAATCTTTGCTATGACAGCATTTATCAGCTGGTCCCAAGAGCTGTTTTCTCTGATTAATGCAGTTCAATTAACATGTGTCTTCACATGTACGTGTGACAGAAGAACCTAGTCTATATCTAAGCAAGCCTGGCAAATTAGTGAGGACATGAGAGGCTGGGGTCCTGCTGAATTGGGGAAGCTGTCCCTTGATTTTATGCTCCAGGTCCCAGGGATCACTTCCTTCTCAGAAAGACTTTTGTATTTGTTTTCCCAACAGATTCTCCTGGAATGTGATGGTTTACTCTCGCCTTGTTATTTATGTACACCAGTCTTCCATCTCTAGTTTAACTTTAAATTCCCTTTTTTGGACACTGCAGGGTCACAGACTATGGTGATAGTGTTATGGAAACGTGGGCTCCCAGGTTAGATTATTTGAAAGAGGTCTTGTGTAAACTCTATTTTAGCAAAACATAAATGGTTAATTTCCTTAGCATATAGCAGTAACTTCTGGGAATGTGTTGCCTTTCCTACTATCTTAAATACTTGAGAAAATCAAATTATCACTCAAAAGAAGAGCTTAACTTTTGGCTATTTCTGTGAAGGCAAGCATTCAAAACCCTAATCAGTACAAGCAGACAGCATTCCCACACTGCCGCAGTCTCTGGAGGAGCACAGAGCCACTGTGTGCAAGGCCAAATTAATTACCTAACAGAAAACATCTGAAGATATGAGTGGCCTTCCAAGCAAGTGGGAAAATAAACAACTCAGCAAAGACTCTCTGAAATCCAGTAGAAACCTGCTGAATTTAACTGTTGAACTCAGATCAAGCTATCTAGTATTTATTGATTACTTGAAAACTATGAGATTATAACGCCAGCAATGATCTGTTGCACTAAAATGTATTTATAGTATCTACAGAATATAAGACATTTTGTCCATTCTGTCATATCGCCATAGAAAGCAGAACTTAGTCAAAAGAGATTTGTACTGGAGATATTCCAGTTTCTGTTGAGGATACTGATGGTTTGCAAATAATAGTGTCAAAGTGCTCCTCAAAGAGACGTGGGAAAATATGTCTTAGAAGTAATAATTTCCAAATTTCTAAGGCTGTGACATTCTGACCCAGCTTGGTAACTTTAACTGCATCTCAGCTGTGCCTCCTACTGTCCTGTTTAAAGAACAACCAATCAAAATCAATTTAATGTGTAGACATTTGAGAATATCAAAATAATTTCTATGAGGATAGAAGGCGTTCAGTTGCAGCTCATAAGCAGACTAGTGATCTAAACCAGTAGATTTGTATTCCATTATTCCAACCCCTTTAGTCATTTTGTTTTTACACTAGGTCGGCATTTCTAGGGCTGGGACGCTCTGAATATGCAGAAGGTGGCAGGAAGTGCAGAAGGTAGAAGGTGGCAGCCACTGAGGAAGATCCACTTCTTCTCTTGACCTGCCAGCCTAGAGTACATTTCTTTCTTAGCTGACTTTGGGATGAGAGAAAGGGAACCAGATCGGAAACCCTAGCTCAGTGAAGCTGAGGCATTTCACATCATTAAATTGATTATTTTAACAGGACTTCCAAGACAATAAGGGGAAGTTTGTTTAAAATTTCCTCTGTCAGTGGGAGGAAGGGCTCTTTCCCCTTCTCAATGCTGTGTGAACCATAGGACCTGAAATGTTTATGCTCAAGATGAGAAAAAAATAGACCTTCTCCATTTTTGTTAAAATGATATAATACTAAACCATTTAGCTATTGTCCTAGGCCTAGACTTCAAGAGGTCTTCTGAATCCATTCAATCATCATTGCCTTTTAAATCACAAATTCAGAATGGTCTAAGGTAGAGCTTGCTAGCATTTTATTTTAAATGTTCTTTATGGAATTAAAAAAAATTAAAAAAAAACAGTAAGAACCCCAAAGTTGGCAATGGAGAAACAGGAGTGTAGAGGAGCAGGTCAGGCCAAAAAAGTCCTGGAGGTGCTGGGCTCCCTGGCCTAGGTCCCTTGGTGGGAAACCTGGCTAAGGCCACACAAGGAGGGGAGCAGGATCCTGCTCCTTCCATCCCAGTCCTGGCCCGGGCTCTGCTGACTCCCAGTGTCAAGGCTAAAGCTGGCCCCTGTAGGAAGCTGGCATGGAGCCTCCCTCGGGACACAACTTCCACGTGGCCCCACACTTCTCTGCCTTCCTGTCCTAAGCAGGGCGCAAGCCCCACGCAGGCTCCAAGCCAGGACAGGCACAGACCTCGCCTGGCCAGAGGGGGCCACCCCCAGCAAGGGCTCCTCCTTGGGCAATGTTGAGATGAAATGTTGGCGGCCCCTTTCCTTCAGGCCAGGTGCTGGACACCGCCTCCCCTGCCTTCCCCACACATGTGTAGCCCACTCGGAGTGGAAGCGGCTTGGCTCTGAGGGGTGTTACCAGGTTGTGGAGATGTCAGTTGACAGGTAGGGAAGGCTACACCCTATCATTCTCCCTTGTCATGTTTTGATGAGTGGATTTTTGGGAAAAACTGAAATAAATTACGTTAAAAAAGTTACAAGTTTTTTGGTTTTTGGTTTTTGGTTTTGAGTTAGAGCCTTGCTCTGTCGCCTAGGCTAGAGTGCAATGGTGTGTTCTTGGCTCACTGCAACCTCCGCCTCCTGGGTTCAAGCAATTCTCCTGTCTCAACCTCCTGAGCAGCTGGGACTAGAGGTGTGTGCCACCACGCTGGGCTAATTTTTGTACTTTTAGTAGAGACTGAGTTTCACCGTGTTGGCCAGGATGGTCTCAAACTCCTGACTTCCAGTGATCCTCCTGCCTCAGCCTCCCAAACTGCTAGGATTACAGGCGTGACCCACCATGCCTGGCCTAAAAAATATATATAAGTTTATAGATGCGGATAGAATAAGAAAGTATGTAAAGCTCCAGAGCCAGGAGGGGCCGCCAAGGCCTGCCGGCTGGACAGAAGCAAATGGAAATGGAGGTGGACATCAACCCTGCTGTCCCTAGGAGGGAGCAGGGCCAACTTGGCTCCAGCCCTGCTGCTTTCAAAGTCACATGGAAAACAGAGGTAATCATGATCCAGGCCTTAATTCCTCTTTGTTGGGACCCCAAAGTTCTCCATTTTATCATTTTAAGGACATTTTTATGAGTTTGGTGAACTCACTTGTATATTTCAAGTTAGGTTTTTAACAAAATGTCTGTGGCATGAGAAACACTTGCGTCTACTTTAAAATAACTCTTGAGCATGCACACTGGAAATCGCTAGAAAAATCCAAAGTAAGAGAGCAGAGCATGAAGATAAATTAGAGTTGATATGAAAAGATGTGAAACTTTCCTTACATACTCCATTCATTCAAAAACTATCCAGGTAACACTAGTGCCATCACCTATCAGGCATATTTTTTAAAATAATAATGTTGGCATTTCAGCAAATAGTCAAAAAGAAACCACAGAATTTTCTGTAAACTAGAATTTGCTGAATTTCGAAAGCATCAGTCTGTGGCCCCATAAAACCTCTGGCATGCCGGGGAGGGAAGTAAGAATTCACACGCTAGCCAGAATGACACCTTCAGCTTTCTGGAAACAGTATCCTACAGAGTATCCACTCCATTCTACAGGGTCCCAACCTGCTGTGCGCACCTGCACCAAAGGCTGAGTGGCTTAAGGTGGTGGCATTTCCTCACAGCCACACCTGGTTTCCACGGTGACCCACAGACAGTACCAGGATGCTGCACTGTTTTCTGGATAAAAAAACAGCCAGGCACCCTCTTTCCAACCAACTGAAATGCACAGATTCAACTTGCCTTCCAGAGAAACTTATCTTTATCTGGAGCCCTGGTTCTTAAATGAAAGGGAGGGGAACAGTTTGCTTGCAAAGAAATACATTTTAATTTTACATTTGGGAAACACTAAGTTTCCCAAGCAATATTTTTATAAATAAATCTAGACAAGCATGTGATGGATTAAAAGATGGTTTAAAAATACTAATTTGAAGAGAAGGTCCTCAAGTAGAATAGGAACTAGTTTCTTTTTCCGGAAAAATGTTAAAATTAGTTCTTATACATCAATTCGAAAAAGTACGATAGATTCAACAGATTTTCTACCAAGAGTCAAAAAGGAAAATAAACCAAATATGTTTTTCTACATTAATTGCCACATACTATTACATTCTTTGGAGAAGAGCTATTATAATAATATTACTACTCAGAAGTAATGTCAAGCCTGGTTTGGCTTCATTTGTATTGCTCTGGGGAAATTATCAAAACAGTAATAAGGCTTTCACCTGAATTGCTGATTATTCGGTTACTGTTAATGTAGTACTTACTGTCCAATTCACAAAGAAATGTTGTGATTTAAATTTCGGCAACTCACCTTTTGTCCCTTCACTCCATGGCAGTCACATTTGCCACAGCCAGAGCCAGCACAGCCACCCTGGAAGGAAAAGAAAACTTCTTTAAATAGAAGAACACTTTCAAAGCGAGGGCACTATGCAAATGGAGATGGTTCTGGCATCTTGACTTGTTTATGAGCGAAGCCTGCCCTGTCCTTCGGACACAATCTTATCTGCACTGGTTTTCATGGGGCTGTCATGCAGTTCCACTTAGGGTGCAGATCCCCTGCCCAAATAGATAAAAAAAAATCCTTGAGTAGAACAAATCCCAAGTGTTACTCAGCCCAAAAAGTGAACAATGTCACCTATACTTTTTGCCCTTTGTTAATTTCTATTTGAAGTTGACTCCCTCGGGGATTAGTTTAACAGGGCAACACCCATATTTGCAAAGCTACCCAAATGTCATGCTTCTTATTTAGAGGTGTCAGACCTAAGACCGTGGAGGCTGAGAGCTCCCAATGACGTGGTCTCAAGGACACACGGCCGCGCAAAAAAAAGTTTGTACAGAACAGAATAAAGGAATGAGCTGATTTTTAAGCCCCAATCTTAAAGAACTCCTTTTTGAATTCAATTAAAGCTTGAACGTCACATTAAAGAACAGTCAACAACAAAATATTCTTGTAGTTCACTTTTTTTTTTTTAAGACAAAGTGTTGCTTTTGTTGCCCAGGCTGGAGTGCAATGGCGTGATCTTGGCACACTGCAACCTCCACCTCTCCAGTTCAAGTGATTCTCCTTCCTCAGCATCCCAAGTAGCTGGTAATACAGGCATCCGCCACCACACCCAGCTAATTTTTTGTGTTTTTAGTAGAGATGGGGTTTCATCATGTTGACCAGGCTGGTCTCGAACTCCTGACCTCATGTGATCCACCCGCCTCAGCCTCCCAAAGTGCTGGGATTATAGGCATGAGACACTGTGCCCAGCCTGTAGTTCACTTCTAACATAAAAATTAACTTTTAAAATGGAAGGAAATGAATCCAAGCCTGTGATAAAAGCTGGAAAGGAAGCAAGCTACCACGTGTTCAAACGCTTACCAGGTGCCACGCACAGTCAGCGATCATCTTATTTAATGATCATAACAAGCATTTCAAGATAGGTAGTGCCATCCCCATTTACAGATGTGGAAACTGAATTAGAAGATTTATTATAACACGCTAGGACAAAGTTGAAATTAGAACCCAACTTCAATTTCCATTATGTAAAATTGTCATCACATGAAAAGATAGAAATACGTCGGTACATACACGCACTTGCAATTTCCTTAGAAGAATCCCAATTTTAAACCATGACAGACACAGGTATTGTGGACAGAATGTAAAGAGGTATGAGATGAATAATCGGGTTAATAAGCTTTATTAGAGGCTCTGCTTTAAGTCTGATATAAAATGTTTACTTATATTCTACTTCAGGTGATTATCATTTCCTGAAAATAAAATCATGCCACTAATAGTATTGTGATCATGCAAAGTGTATATTTTTAACAACATATTCCAGCCTCAGCTGCATTGCCATGGAGACGCCTGCATAAAACAATCACATCTGGAGATATTTATTTTGTAAAGCTAAATCTGAACAAGTGCCTCCAAGACAGTAAGCTGTTCTCAATTTTATATTTTGGAAATGGGGACAGCTGACAACAGTCCAAAAAAACTCCAGAGATGATAGGTCTGTGTTTTTCTCTGACTCACATTTTAGGCAATTTTCAGCCTACACTCTCATAACCTCCTAACATTTTAAATCAATCCATGTGCACAGATTTGCTTCATAATCTGGGTTTTGGTGACCACTCAGAGGCATCCAAAGAGATGAGGCCAAAATCTGTAACCTGTGCTCCAGGAGGTTCTTCCAAAATGGACAAATACCAGTACTGAGAGACCTCACCAGAGGTACCTAACTCAGCCAGTACTACCATGTGTCTAATCCCCAGGTGAGGGTCACCTGCTCCCTACCTGGCTCCTGCGAATTGCTGACTGCATGTCTCTATTGTCAGGCTTATCACGTTTCTCGTTGTTTACTTCTGTGTCTCCCCGGTACACCCTGAGTGCTTTGGAGGCAGCCTCACATACAGCTCACACCAGGCTCCCGTAGCATTGAGCCTGATGTGAGCTGTACTTCATCTAAGACGACACCAATTGTAAAACCCATACTAAGAAATCAAGAAGGGTACTAATTAAACAATGACACATTATCAATTGTTAGATCTATCCCAATTCCAGAGTTGTTAAAACATCAATAAATGCACATCTTAGAATTGATGAAATCAGTACCCAATTATGGTTGTATTCTTGGTGCTGTTACTGGTGTTACCCATCTAAGCAACCTTAAGTAACAACTGTAGATGGAAATCCAGTGGCACCGCGCACCTCAACCACAGTGCATTCGTGCACAACAGCACTGTGGGACAAAGCTCCAAACAGGGAACTCGGCAATGATTACCTGACTGCTCCAGATCACAGAGTAGCCAGGGAAGAGCCGGGGACTCTGGGGAGTGCGCTGGCATCTGGCACCTGACACCTGGAGCCGTCCAGACCAGCTATTCCATCACCAGGTCATCTCCAAGTCCCTGGAGTTTCGGGGCAGCCTCTTTGCTGGGATTATGCCACTGCCCACAACCTGTTTGCGTTTGAGCCAAGTTTGGAAACACATCTCTGTTCTTTAAACTCTGCAGTGTTTCATCCCCCTCCTACAGATACCAAAAGGAAAACCCACCAGGCTAAGTCTCATGTATCTGCAGAGTCCATTTAGGAAATGTCCAGCAGTCATCTGGGCTTAGCTGGCAGAAACTCAACACCAGCCTGAAGTAGTGTGGATTTTCGACTTGTGAGTCAATTGCTGCTTTCTGGGAAAGAGCAGATTAAGCAGGGATTTAAGGGATTGAAGCTGAAAATGGCTATTTGGTGATCTGGAGTTTTCTGAAAGGTTGATAAAATCTCAGAAGCTTTATCTTTCTGCAATTTGAGGGAGGTTATAAAAATGAATTTCCTGGAACTGGGCCCTTAAGCCATCCGTGAATGCTTCCATTGCCTGGGACTGCAGATAAGAGGCTGCAAGGCTGTGACTGTGGACCCTCGGGTCAAGACGCTTCTTGTGCTTTTGGTACAGAAACACCCCCAGCCGGTGCCGGTGACAGGCGGGTGGGTAGTTTTACCCTGGGGACCACTTCAGGTACTAAGGAACACTGGGGAAAATCAGAGATGAGACAGGACTGACCCCCGACCCCGGCCTTCCCCCACCACCTTACGCTTTTTCATAAGCAAGTAATTTTTTTTAATCCTGGACCAAAAACATGCATGGCTTTATGTGTGTAGGGAATTTGATTATCAATTCTAAAAAATTGATCATTCCAAAAATATCTAAATTAGGGTTAGCTTTTCAGAACAAAAGATG
Source organism: Homo sapiens (assembly GCF_000001405.40). Classification (NCBI taxonomy): domain Eukaryota; kingdom Metazoa; phylum Chordata; class Mammalia; order Primates; family Hominidae; genus Homo; species Homo sapiens. The sequence continues at coordinate 110,246,081 of NC_000013.11, forward strand.
TCTAAGATCATGATTTTTGTGTCACATTCTGGGTGGCCTAGCATTTTATGTAAATGGTTTTGTTAAAAAAAAAAAACAAAAAAGCTAGCCTTTAGAATGACAAGAATGACAAACAAATATCCTAAGATGTATGTTTACTTTGTTAAATAAAATCTATTTTAAAATATCACTATTCTGGTCCTTTCTGTCATATAAGGGCCCGTGCTGGGTTTCACCCTGGCATATGAAGGTATTTTAGCTGCAGTTCAATGGTTCACTGCTAAAAAGAAAAAAAAAATACAAAGGATGACCTGAGTACCCCCTTCACTCAGGTGTAATGTATAAGCTTCAAATGGTGAATTAAAATAAAAGTCAGGTAATGCAAGTCTTAATTCACTGTTGTAAATTACTGTGTTTAAAAGGGGTACATAAATAATGCAGGTTACCCAGGTTCACAATTTCATTGGTGACCTGACATGTGAAAAGCTATGTCACCATTTCATCATTTCCTGAGGAAATACACCTTGCATCTGGACTCCCAGAAAAATCTAAAGCTATATGCAGACTGGTGGACTCCACCGGCTCCCTGCTGGCTGCATATCTGAGGGCCTTTATGAGGGCTCTGCATTCTCCCGGTGTCTGGATGACCCTACAGATAAGCTCCCATACCATCTGTTTCAGATTCTAGAATGGGAAGAACTGGTACATTCTGTGCGGTACTCATCCTCTTCCTGGTTTTCCCCTCATTGGTGTTCTAGGGTCAATGAGTTCCAAGTTCCTGGAGCAATGCCTGTGTTGTGCTCCTGTGAGGCACACACTTAACCCGAGTGGTCATGAGGATGAAAGTGGGTCACGAAGGCAGTCTCCACTTGGAAGACGGGGAATATGGCTGGGAGTTCTCAAAGGAAAGAAAGGCGGGGGTCTCGGTCTCTCTTATAAAAGCAGACCAGCCATGGACAACAGCAACACAGGTACCCCAGACCAATGTGGAAAAAGAGGACCCTAGAAAGCTCTTGGGGTTGGGGGTGAATTTATTATTTATACTCCTAAAACTGTAGACAAACTTAATGAAAACCAAGTCAGTTTTGAAAGTCCTTTTAGCCTCTTCCCCATAGACCATGTGGCCTACAGAGTATAATAAGTTGTCTCCAAATGGAAGCCAAACTGACTTAACTGTGTTTGAAACAGAAAAGAAAATAATAATAATAGTCCCCAGTGGACTCTGTCAGACACACACACGCACACATAACTTCAATAGCAGAGATCAGCTTTAAACGAAAACAAAAAATACAATATGAAAGGAATGCAAAAGGTACTACAAAGTAATCCCTAAACCAAATATCTTTTATATTCTCTAAAAGTCTCTTAAACTTTTCAGGATATGTTAAAATAATTAATACTGTGAAACTTTTCTTTCATGCTCCAATTAAGATATTCAGAGATCCACCATCAGTATTCACGTTATAAAGTATATTAAGTTCTTAAAATACACAAAGATTTTACAATACACAGTACGAGTGCCAAAGAAGAAAGGGGAGGAAGAGAAGTCAATGGTTTTAATAAGAAATAAAGCCTATTTCTGGTTTTCTCGCATCTACAGACCAAGAGGGCGCTCTTCTCAAGATTACAGTGAATTCCATTCCAGAGGATGCAAAAAGAGGAAAGCTCACTCATTCTGTTTACAGAATGCCTTTTTAACTGAACCGAAGAATACCAGCTGCTATGCTACTCGTGTGTGTGTGTGTGTGTGTGTGTGTGTGTGTGTGTGTGTGTGTGGCAGAGAGAGAGGGAGGGAGGGAGGGAGGGGAGAAGGGTGCAGTGTTATACAGTTTAACTGGGACATGTCTTCTGATGAAGGCATATTTGGAATGAGTTAAACAGGATGAGGTCCTCAATTTTCTGATTTTTTTTCCTGCTTTTGATGGAAGATAGACCTTTAACATCGCAGCTTTCACAATTTTTATGTGTTTCACATCCCACCAAATAGGGACATGTGGAGATCTGCCAAGTCTAAACAGCTTATCTTTCAAATTCTTTCTCGCATTCCCTATGCTGTGCAAAAATGTCAAAATACTTTCCTGGTGATACTGCCGTCGAGGGCTCTTCCTGGTTGCAGCACTTCCTCGGGGAGTCTTTTAAATAATTCCCTACCCAACTAAATAAGCGTATGGAGGCAAGAGACTGTATCTTAGGGCTACTTGGGCAGAATTAAGAGTACGCAGCAAGCGCGGGCCCCACACGCTCCCGGCGGGATTGCGAGCGGGACATTCCCAACCCTCTGGAAGGCGCTCAGCCGCCTCCGCTGTAGCTGGGCCCTGGCCCCTGGCCCCGGCTCCTTCCCCCAAATTCCACTCCCAGGGATAAGCCCCACGGCCACACGGCAGGGGCGCACTGGTACGTTGCTCCAACTGAGGCAAGTTGGACAAAACCCCATTGACCTTCATCACGTCCTGCTGGGGTCTCGCTCTGTGGCGCAGGCTGGAGTGCACTGGCGCGACGTCGGCTCACCGCAACCTCTGCCATCTGGATTCAAGCGATTCTCCTGCCTCAGCCTCCCGAGTGGCTGGGACTACAGGCACGGGCCACCACGCCAGGATAATTTTTTTGTATTTTTAGTAGAGATGGGATTTCGCCATGTTGGCCAGGCTGGTTCGAACTCCTGGCCTCAAGTGATCCACACGCCTCAGCCTCCCAAAACGCTGGGATTACAGGTGTGAGCCACCGCACCCGGCCTCAATTCTATTATTTTAAATTCCACTTCATTCACACACACAAAATGCTGGTGTGGTGAATAAAAGATAACCACACACAGATGCAGCAGGCACTCACACTTTTTTCGGATAGCGAAACCTCAAAGACTGCACGTGGAGAATGGACTTTCTAGCTTCTGTCCTGTTTGCCGCTGTGCTGCTTGTGTCACGCTTGTTTTAACCGCGGTGGCTGTGAGGCTCTGCAAAATGGCTCTCCCCAGCTCCATGGACCCCCAGGGCCCAAGAATGCCCTAAAAAAGAATCTTAAAACTTCTCCAGAGAGAGCACACTCTGTATGATCCCATCATATGAAATTCAAGAACGGAGGCATCTGTCTATGGGGAAAAGAAGTCAGAATTGTGATGACCTTCTGCGGGGGTGTGGCAAAGGTAGGGACAAGGGAGGTTTCTGGGGTGCAGGAAACATTCTTTGCTTGTTGCGGGCGGTGACTACACGGGTGTATACGTCGGTAAAAACTCATCGAGCTGTGCACTTGTGATGTTTGCACTTTGTTGTATTTCAATAAAATTCGAGAAAAAGGGACGTGCTTAAGCCTGTTCACAGCAGCACTATCCACAATCGCCCCAGCTGGAAACAGTTCAAGGGACTGAGAAACGATGGGGTATATTCACGGAAGGGAGTCCCCGGCCACACCAGGGCAGGCCAGCTACAGCACCCGCAGCAAGCTGAAGCAGGCACAAAAGAAGACAAACTGGGTGACTCCATTCCTGTAAAAGTCAAAGCCGAACAAGATGACGTTGGATCCTGGTTACTCGTGAGGGCTACTGACTAGAAGAGGACTCCAGGGACTTCGTGCCTTCTGGTAATGTTCTGGTCCGTAGTCTGGGTTCACTGCTATGTTCACTTTGGGGAAAATGCACTGAGCTGTACCCTTCGCCTTTGATATGTTTCTGTAAGTTGATAAACTTCAATAAAATTAGCTCCCCAAAAAAGTGTCCATGGCATTTAAAAATTACTTAAAAAACAGTAAAATATAGGCCAAATGTTGTAGTACAAATAATGATTTCTTAAAAGCTTACATTTGCATAACATTTTTCAACTTCCAAAAATATACTTAGTATTGTGGTTTTAAAGGTAAAATTAACTTCTCTCCCTTATTCTCACAGAACTCAAAATCATTGTGCTTTCATCTGCATTTGTTTTATTATCATCATCATTTGTTTTGACTAATGTAAGATAGATGTGATCCCAAAGATGTGAAAATAATTATTCATCATTAACTCCCCTGAAAGGACAACTTAGGTAAATAAAATAATATTTCTGTTCCATTTAATAATGGAAGACATAGAAACAAAACAGTCCCTACTACTGTTTAGAGTTACACAATATTTCTGCCCTAATTTGAAAACAACAAGAGTTGATACATTCTTGGCAAAAAAAAAAAAAAGCACAAAAAATGTGAGAAACAGTGAATTTCTAATATGTAACATGTCTCTCTCTGTGCTGTAGTATGACTAAGATTTGTACATGTGAGGTACATGCTCTATTCTGCTTCTCAATTAGAGACTGAGTTTGCAGGGCAGAAAGGCTCCCAAGAAACCACACGCCTTGAGGAAATGAGGGTGTTTTCTTGGCTTCTCTTAGGAACAACATGTGACTAAAGTTCTGGTCTCATTTTCCCTGTCATATAATTTTGTTGACTCATGTTTCACTTCTTTTCTTCCCTTTTTCCCACTAAACGGGGGTGGACATTAAATGTTCCTGCTTGGGGAATAGGATGGCCTGGAGGGAATGACCATGAAGACCGGCACTTCACCTCCAGGTCATTGGTCTTTGTCCAGCTGCAAGCAGATGTGAGTATGATTAGTTGCCATGGGTCAGTGGTTCCTTGGATGGCTGTGTGTGAAATGAGTTGGTGGGCTTCGTGTGTGTCTGCTGGGACCCATGGGTGGAAACACTGTTGGGAGGCATGACCTGGGGCGAGCCTTCCCGTGCTTGTGAGTCACTGGCCTGACGCACTAGCACAGTGGGGCAAGGCCAGTGCGTCCCCAGCATCCGGGTCCCACGGAGCCCCTCCCAAACCAAGTGTCAGCTCCAGGCAAATATGTAGACTTGAGAGACATTTCGTTCTCTCAATGAAACTCAAACTCCCTAATTCCAGAGAAGGAATCTCCCACCCATAGAGTTGTCACTCTTAGCTACTCTTCCCGGTTCCCCGGATTCTTTTCCCACCAGCCCTGCTCCCATCCTTTGTAACTTTCATCTTTAACCCCTTCATTCCACCAGTGCCTATTTTACAGGCACCCTTTGAAGAACAGCAAATTTTACCCAGACAGGCACGAAAAAAGACGTTGGACTATTTCTTCCAGCTTTGGAGAACTGTGCGGCTCCCGGCTGTGCTGAAGGGCAGGGAGTTCTCCCAGCTATTCCCGGTTTTCATCTTCCATGGCCTACTCCTTCCACACCCTGGTGCCACCCTGGCCTGCACCGGCCATGTGGGCTTCTGCCTTCACTTTCAACATCTGACTCCCAAGCCCAGCCCACGCAAGACAGCCCCAAGGCCCCATGCCCAAGACTAGGGTGAGTGGGTGGGGCAGGGGAAGCACCAGCAGGCCTGTGCCAGGCACTCCTTCACAGCTCCTGGCAGTGCCCAGTCATACTTATCTTTTTCTTAACAGGTGGTGAGATTCACTTCCCATCTACTGCACGCCTGCATGGGCCAGGCACCCCCCAGTGCTAAGAATACAGAGCTGAGTGTGTGAGCAAGCTGGATAAGGAAAGGTGAAATTACAATAAAACGTGGGCTGCAAGGGAGGTGAGCAGAGACTCACGGGCATGCCAGAGGGGGACTCGGGGACCCCCAAGGTAGGGCACACTTCAGCTGAGTTGCGAAAAGTCAGGGCTGTTCACCTAGGAAGAACCCAGGATGAGGGAAAGACGGCGAGAACAGGCTGCCAGACAGGCACAGGTGCAAGCCGGTACAGAATTAAGACAGCACATTCCTGAGGCAGACAGGAGTTTAACTTTTCAGATCTTGGCCGCACAGCCTGAGAGCATAAAGACCTTGAACCCACACCTGACTTACAGCAGAGGCACAGTCTTCTCCGCCTTAATTCTCCTTAGTCCCAGTAACACTGACTCTGATAAAGGAGTCTATAATTGCTGTCTGAAAAGTGATAGCACATTTACGGGAAGACTTACAGAAATTCCAACAACTGGGCATAAGTGTCTTCTTTATTAATTCCTAATCATAAATAAATTACTTTTTTTTGAGGTAGAGTCTCGCTCTGTTGCCCAGGCTGGAGTGCTGTGGCGCGATCTCAACTCACTGCAACCTCCCTCTCCCGGGTTCAGGCAATTCTCCTGTCTCAGCCTCCCAAGTAGCTGGGATTACAGGTGCCTGCCACCATGCCTGGCTGATTTTTCTATTTTTAGTAGAGACGTGGTTTCACCATGTTGGCCAGGCTGGTCTCGAACTCCTGACCTCAGGTGAACCACCCACCTCAGCCTCCCGAAGCACTGGGATTAGAGGTGTGAGCCACCACTCCCAGCCAAATAAATTACATTTTAATCTATTCCATCTACAATCTCCAAATTTATAATAACATTTAATTTTAAAGCATGTTTCTACACATAGTTATATGTGTATATGTATTATATATGTATAATTATACGTATATGTATTATATACATATAATTATATGTATTATATATACGTATAATTATACGTATATATGTATTATATATACGTATAATTATACGTATATATGTATTATATATACGTATAATTATACGTATATATGTATTATATACGTATAATTATACGTATATATGTATTATATATGTATAATTGTATATATTATATATACTTATATACAAAATGTATATATGTATATATACATATAATATGTATATATACATATAATTATATGTATATATGTATTATACATATAATTATAAGTATGTATGTATTATACATATAATTATATGTATGTATCATATAAACATATAATTATAAGTATGTATTACATATACAGATAACTATAAGTACGTATGTATTACATATACAGATAACTATAAGTACGTATGTATTACATATACAGATAACTATAAGTACGTATGTATTACATATACAGATAACTATAAGTACGTATGTATTACATATACAGATAACTATAAGTACGTATGTATTACATATACAGATAACTATAAGTACGTATGTATTACATATACAGATAACTATAAGTACGTATGTATTACATATACATATAACTATAAGTACGTATGTATTACATATACATATAACTATAAGTACGTATGTATTACATATACATATAACTATATGTACGTATGTATTATATATACATATAACTATATGTACGTATTATATATACATATAACTATATGTACGTATGTATTATATATACATATAACTATATGTATGTATGTATTATATATACATATAATTAGGTATATATACATATAATTAGGTATATATACATATAATTATATGTATTACATATACATATAATTATATGTATTACATATACATATAATTATATGTATTACATATACATATAATTATATGTATTACATATACATATAATTATATGTATTACATATACATATAATTATATGTATTACATATACATATAATTATATGTATTACATATACATATAATTATATGTATTACATATACATATAATTATATGTATTATATATACATATAATTATACGTATTACATATACATATAATTATAAGTATATATGTATTACATATACATATAATTATACGTATGTATGTATTACATATGCATATAATTATACGTATGTATGTATTACATATACTTATAATTATATATGTATGTATGTATTACATATACGTATAATTATATGTGTATGTATGTATTACATATACATATAATTATACGTATGTATTACATATACGTATAATTATACGTATGTATGTATTACATATACATATAATTATACGTATGTATGTATTATATATACGTATAATTATACGTATATATGTATAATTATACGTATGTATGTATTATATATACGTATAATTATACGTATATATGTATGTGTGTGTGTATATATATAAAGTATAATGTGCTGTCTTCATGCCCATCAACATGATTAATTGGAGTAGGAGAAGGTTTGTAAAAGAAATGCGCTACAGGTTGAATATTCCTAACCCCAAAATCCAAAATACAAAATGCTCCAAAATATAAAACTTTTTGAGCGCCAACATGATACCACACATGGAAAACTCCATGCCCTCTGACCCCACCCACAACCTTTACTGCACTCAGCCTTCAGAAGAACTCCCAACTGGGTCTAGGTTTGAAACCAGAGGATCACTTAGCTCCTAACAGAGGATCACTTAGCTCCTATCAGAGGATGACTTAGCCAACAGCTGCTGTCTATCCCTCTGTGGTCCAGGAAGTGCACTGCATATTGTCACATTAAGCGAGAAATTCCAAACAAATGGTCTAGCTTAATGCCATGATCCATAGGTTTACTGGACGGCTAGCAAGAGGGAGTATGCAGATAGTTTTCCCATCAACAGAACTCTCTTTGAAGCATATCATGAGGGCTCCGTTTGCCTCTGGGAAGTGATACACAGCACAGAAGCGGGAGGGTGGCTTTGCTCTGAGGAAGACACAGCAGCGCCCATGTTCTATTTATCCCACTGCGTTCCACCAGCTGACCCTTTAAGGAGCCCTACAGTTTGTAACATACTTTAAAAGGAAACATGAAAAGCCTAAGTGACTAGTGAAATATTTCAAGCATGACGGACATGCAACTCAAAAACAGAGTTTAGTAAAACCAGTGGTGGCAGTAGGACCACTTTTTTTCCTTAAACAATTAAATATTTTAAATCATTGCTGATTTTGTGCTCATCTTCTCCCCCAGAATAGCGACATCACTAATCTCTTCCAGTGGAGATTTGGAATGTAACCCAAATTATATGACCTCCTGCCATTCTCTGTGTGTCCCCATCCTAAAAAGATAAATTCCTCTTCTAAAAAGCAGACTTAGGTAAGCCCTCCTTTTCCACAGAACTGGGGAATATGCAACTGAACAGGCCTGCTACTCTTACTCACTTGGTAGCAATTTAATGAGCACTTACTATGTGCTTGCCACTGTACTTGCAATCTGGAGGGTGAAGGATGACTTAGACATGAGCTGTGTTCTCAAGGAGCTTGCTGGTTAAGAGGAGAGAAGCTGTGGCCCCTACCACGCTAAGCCCATTACAAGGAAGGTGGCTGGACAAGCCAGCAGGAGCACACTTCCCGCGGAGGAGGTCTGTGTGCCAGCAGAACAGCCCAGGTGTCGGCTTCAGCCCTGCACAGGGCTGCCTGAAGGCCAGAGTGCTGCAAGGACACTGGTGGGGCAGCTGCCTGTGCCCACAAAAGGCCAAGTGTTTTCCACCTCATTTTCTAGCAGGCCTTGGGTAGGGTCTAAAAGTTTAGAGATGAGGGAGACCTATCCCATTCGCTGGATTTTGGTGGCATTCATCTGTGAGACTTGTGTCAAGTGTATTAGCATGAGGAGGGAAGGGAAATGAGGAGACTTGCAAGGACGTCCTTGCCCTTGGGGATGGGAGCTAGAGCAGGGCAGCCGCAAGAAGGCGGGAGAAGAGTGCAAGGGAGGGAGGCAGGTCATGGCTCAAGGACCAATTCAGTGTCATGAGGGGAAGACAGGAGGTTTCCCAATGAAAGAACGGTGATTCCACCAGGAACAGGGGGAAAGGAGGGAAAGGAAGGGAAGGGGGCAGGCAGGAAGGGAGGGGGCAGGCAGGCAGGAAGGGAAGGGGGCAGGCAGGAAGGGAGGGGGCAGGCAGGCAGGAAGGGAAGGGGGCAGGCAGGAAGGGAGGGGGCAGGCAGGCAGGAAGGGAAGGGGGAAGGCAGGAAGGGAGGGGGAAGGGGGAAGGCAGGAAGGGAGGGGGAAGGCAGGAAGGGAAGGGGGAAGGCAGGAAGGGAAGGGGGAAGGCAGGAAGGGAAGGGGGAAGGCAGGAAGGGAAGGGGGAAGGCAGGAAGGGAAGGGGGAAGGCAGGAAGGGAGGGGGAAGGCAGGAAGGGAGGGGGAAGGCAGGAAGGGAGGGGGAAGGCAGGAAGGGAGGGGGAAGGCAGGAAGGGAGGGGGAAGGAGGCAGAGGAAAGAAAAGACTGTGACTGACCTTATCTTATGACAGGAGAAGGTAATAGGTCTCATTTTCTTAGCTGGTAATTCTACTGTCAATTAGACAAATTTTATGTGAAGATTTTTATTCTACAAATCACGCTGTATATCTCATGTTCTTCTTATCTATTAAATCATACCTAACTGTTTTAAAATCTTGCCTAACATTTCAGCCTCCTCCCCATGAAATCTCCGGCTAGAGACAAGACACCTATATAATGTTTAAGATGTTCAAGAGTTGTCCTGGGCCCCAAGCGACAGGGTGAATAGGGCGTGGTTTCTACCTTCGGGCATATTCTAGTCCGGGGGGAAAAACACATCAAAAAAACTAAATGACTCCACAGGATGATTGCAACAAACCTACAAGATGCTGGAGAAGGAAAAATGGTTTTGGACGAGGATGATACTCGGGAGGAAGAGGTGAAGACAGCAGAGGAGGATGGCCACTTGCTGAGTGGTGCTGCCCTGTCAGGAACCAGCAGGCACTGTGAACGTGCATCCTCGAGGGAGCAGGTGAACTGGACCTCAGAGCCCAGAACCACAGGGAGGATGTCAGTGCCCGGGAAAGCAAAGGAGGAAATTCCAGAAAGAGAAAGCAAGGGAACCAAATATGGAAATGAGAACGTGCACAGGGAGTTTGAAGAACATTGGGAAGTTTAAAGAGGGTTGAAGCCCTGGTGTATTTACAGGTGCAACTGGAAATGCGGAGGTCGGCCATGGGGTGAGGGGTTTGCATCCACTTTAACCCAGCTACACTCTATTCATGCCCCAGACCGGCGGCGGGGGGGTCTATCCGATACTTTCAGCAACAAGGATAGCAAATAGATATTCTTTCCTGTGGGATAGGATCTAACCACGCACTCACTATGCATTCAACAAATGCATTCTATTGATTAATTTAATATTACTTCCATTTCACAGAGGGACTATTAAATAGTCTCTATGATAGCAATCATAGCTGTTCATCTCTTTTGTCAGACACCAGACATGTCTTTAAAAAAATCTTCATGTTTAGACTAATCCCAGCCAGCCAGAATGAAACTAAAGTGTAGTTTTCATAACTGCACTCACTTGCAAAGCCACTTTTCAAAAATAAATGGAAGAATTTATACTACTTATAAAAGATAGATTCTGAAATGCTGCTGCACAGTTCCCAAAACCCAAAGAAATCACTCTTGAAAACATCACCTTCTAAGGATAATATTATCTGATTTGTATCTTTAAAACCAGGTTTGAAAACTCAAACATAATGTAAATAGAAACTGCACATAACAAACCCTACAGAATAACGAACATGTGGAAGAGATCCTGCGGCAAACCTTCTCTGCATTTGACAAGTGGTCAGAGATCCATCTGGGAGACTTCCATGCGACATCCTTCCAAGGCCATGAGCAAATGTGAGCACAACAGCAACTAAAACTCTCCATAAGAATATGGAAGATAACGGCTGGTAAACCAAAAATGCTACTCTGCAAACCGTAAGTGCTACTTCCAAAGGACCTACCTAAAAGCACAAGTACATTTGTGGTTAAAGAAGAAAAACTGAGGTATACCACAGAGAAAAGTTGAACTTTTGCTGGTCAAAGCCATGGTCTCTCAATGACATACACTGGTATTTGAACAGTGGCAGAGGGTGCCAAGAGCTATCTCTCCAGGACCCTGTGAGACACTGTGGTTAACTGTACAAGGTCAGTGCATGTTGAGGCCTCCTTTCCAAACCACACTTCCCCACTATAACCCTGAGAGGGGAGTCTCACTCTTAAGACATGAAAAAAGAGAATACATAAATAGAGTTTACCAGCAACTCTTGAAGCCAAATGGTCTAATTAATTGACAAGCGTAATGCTATGTAGCTATTGAAATGTGCTACAACTTCAGGAACTCTTGCCTTTTCCAAAGGAACCTAAGAAGAATATTTAGCAGCCTTAAACCATTCATAATTTATTATAAAAATAAATAAGAAATACATAAAATATGGAAAATATAATTCATTCCATGTCCCTGGTCCTTCCATTTGAATGAGTAATACACAAATAGCCCTCGTTTCTTTCTTTTCTCACTGACATTCATTGAATACTTATTTTCCCATTGCCTACAGTGCATACAATACAACAAGGCTATGAGATTTGTAGAAATAGAAATATGGTTCCTAAAGACAAAGAACTTGTATTAAGCATGTTAACATCCAGAAAATTCTAGAAAACCTTTTGCTACCACATACTGTGAAGCTTAAATGAGCAGAAGTCACGTGGAGCCAAAGTGAACCGGGCAGCACTCAAGAAAATAAAATTTAAGCCGGCGCAGTGGCTCATGCCTGTAATCCCAGCACTTTGGGAGGCCAAGGCGGGCAGATCGCATGAGCTCAGGAGTTCGAGACCAGCCTGGCCAATATGGTAAAATCCCATCTCTACTAAAAAAATACAAAAATTAGCCAGGCGTGGTGGCGCACGCCTGTAGTCCCAGATACTCGGGCGGCTAAGGCAGGAGAATCGCTTGAACCCAGGAGCCAGAGGTTGCAGTGAGCCAAGATCATGCCACTGCACACCAGCCTGGGTGACAGAGTGAGACTTCATCTCAAAAAAAAAGAAAAGAAAATTTAAATGGTAATAAATATTTTGAATTTGAAAATGTATTTCCATCTATTTACACCAACTATGTGCCTCTTTATTAAAAAATAGTCAATCTGAAATTGCCAGGTGATATAAATGATAATTTAATAAATAAGGTAATAAACAATGTTAACTTTTTGGTTGTTGCTTTGACTTCAATTTCGGTTTAACTAGAGCTCTTGGTAGTCTTACTATGCAAAGAAGCTGATACACTGTAGTTCCCACAATATATATATTTTAAATCCTTAAATCATTAAATATCTTCAAAAAATAAGTTCAGCATAGTTTTAATATTAGATGTCTTTCATTGCATTTCATAGCATTAAAAGTGGAAAATACATGTATGATAGATATATGCAGCCTTGATCTGTCACCAAAATATTTATTTAACCTGAGGATCTCATTCACCGGCGATCCTGAGCAACCTATGGGATCCTTTGCGGATGCAAAGACTTCAGATGACACGGGGCCGCCCGGTCCCTGGAGTGAGGCCCTTGGCTTCCAAAGCCATTTCTGACGCGTGCGCCCTTTGCTCAGTTTTCAGAACCACACTCAATGGTTTTTTCCATCTTGTTAATTTGCACATTTTACCTTTTTAAGGCAATACTCTCCAGACCTTGTTTTCTTTTCAAAAAGTCACCATTTCCTCCTCTTCCGTCTAGCCTTAATTGTTTTATTTTTATTTTTTAGCTCATTGACCCTAATTAGGTGGTTCTAACTCACTCAGTCCAGTGACTAATTGCATGATTCACTCTCCAGTCAGGACATATTTATTCTAAACTTTGTGCAAATCTGAAACAAACTGAAAGTATTTCATTAACAATACTACTTAAAAAAAATTTTTAAGCGTGTCTACAAAATCTAGGTGGAGCAAAACACAAGATGGGAAATCTTATTTTAGCCTAAGGAGGTGAAGGAATCAACATTGTCCATCTTTCCTCTTCTGTTGCACTCTGCTGACTAGACAGGAAACTGGCTTAACATGAATTTTCCTTTTCAAAAACCAGAGCGAATCTTTACTGGAACAATTCACTATGCTGAGCTTATTGTCCAGTTTTTGGACTTTCTGGTTCATAAAAACAAGTGAAACTAAAAGTGTATTTTTAAGAACGTGTTTGCAACATGGTAAAATATTCTAATTTAAAATAGAAATAGGTCAGTCAACCTAATTTAATTATATTAATTTAATGGTCACAGAAATCAGACCAAGAAAGGAAGTGGGAGCTAAGTGCTGCCTTCTCCTCCGGGCTCTGCATCTGTTCTTGTGCAATAGTTGAATCTGTAGGTGGACTAGTCGGCTGACATGCATGGCATAGTAGGGCCACAGCCAAAATATCAGCTTCCCAGACGCTCTTCCTTCTTTACGTAATGGATGTAAAGCTGCATCCCCGTTACTCTGAAGGCTGCTGTACATGGATCATGCTACCAGGCAACCTAATCTTACATCTCTCTCATTCACTCTGAAGTCAGGAGCCATTCTTCTATCTCGTGCCATCTCTGCTCCGTGCCACCTGTATTAGTCTGTTCTCACACTGCTAATAAAGACATACCCAAGACTGGGTAATTTATAAAGAAAAAAGGTTTAATGAACTCACAGTTCCACATGGCTGGGGAGACCTCATAATCATGGCAGAAGACAAAGGAAGAGCAAAGCCACATCTTACATGGCGGCAGGCTAGAGAGCTTGAGCAGGGGAACTCCCATTTATAAAACCGTCGCAACTCTTGAGACTTATTCGCTACCAGGAGAACAGTATGGGGTAGACTGCCCCCATGATTCAATTACCTCCACCTGGCTGCACCCTTAGCACGTGGGGATTATTACAATTTAAGGTGGGATGTGGGTGGGGATACAGTGAAACCACATCACACCATTACAGGTAACCTCTCCACACAGGACAGGCTTGTGACTTACTGAACTCATAGATCCCTAGTAGTCACAGCCAACTAAAACCAAGTGTCACCACGGCAAGGGTGGTACAAAAGGCCATCTCCGGCCCAAGCTTTCTAGAGATGAAGACGGAATGCATGCCTCTCGTGCTGACATACAGTATGACATTTTTTTTCTGTTTAATGGGTACTGAGTCTCAGTTTTGCAAGAGGAAAAGAGTTCTGGAGTGGATGGTGGGGACGGTCACACAACAGTATGACTGTACTCACAGCCGGTGAACTCTACACTTAAAAATGGTCAAAGTGGGCCGGGCGCGGTGGCTCACGCCTGTAATCCCAGCACTTTGGGAGGCCGAGGCAGGCAGATCACGAGGTCAGGAGATGGAGACCACGGTGAAACCTCGTCTCTACTAAAAATACAAAAAATTAGCTGGGTGCGGTGGAGGGCACCTGTAGTCCCAGCTACTCGGGAGGCTGAGGCAGGAGAATGGCGTGAACCCGAGAAGTGGAGCTTGCAGTGAGCTGAGATCGCGCCACTGCGCTCCAGCCTGGGTGACAGAGCGAGACTCCGTCTCAAAAAAAAAAAAAAAAAAGGCCAAAATAGTACATTTTCTGTTATGTGTATTTTACCACAATTTTAAAAATGTGAAAAAGATTTGTTCACCAATTCCATGAACTCCCCTTACAGCCCCAATGTGGTCACAGCAGAGCTCACCACAGGAGAGGACAAGAGGCAGCCTGCTCCCCAGGAAGGGGGAATGGAGCCCCCACACACCGCCCTGGCGCAGGAAGCCCCCCGACCCATCACAACTTCACCCAGAAGGGACTGCCTCTGATGGAATTCCACAGCCAAGCTATTAGCTCTTGGGCAATTTTGGATTCTCTCAAAACAACATTTGAAGTTGCTTCCTTTCCACCTCTCGGATTTGGGAGCCTGCTAACTCACTGGTTTGCTGCTGCGTTCTCCTGAAGTGCTACCGCTGTTTAGATTTGGAGAGCAAAAACCCCAGTGCTGCTTCTGTGGCTTCCCAGCAGCCCAAGGGCTCCCTAGCTTTTAGATCAAGTGGAGTTCCTCAAAATTTAAGATTCAAATTACTGAAGATAAGAAGGAAGACACAGAAGCGATGGACTGCCCAGGTTCCATCCCTCCTAGAGAGAACTCACATCCTGCTGTGCCCAGGGAACCGCACCCAAGGGGAATTCCTCAAGCCATCTGGGGATTTGCATCAGAGCTGAGGGCGCTTCCTGTGAGCTGCCCAGGTGGAGACAGTGAGGGAAGCCGCGCAGGGGCAGGGGCTCTGCCAGACATTGTCTCCTAAGGACACTCTGCGTCCTCTGCCACCCCGGGCCTGGTGCAGTGCCTGCCACTTGTTCATTCAGAGCTTCTGCAAGGCCAGAGCAGAGCCGGGACACCGGCTGTCCCCCGGTGACAGTGAGTGACTCATTTCGAGGCCAGCACACAGTGGCTGCACAGGGCAGGTGGGCACAGGGCAGGTGGGTCCCAGCTGTGACCGGGCGGGAAGCTGGGAAACACTGGGTCCTATTTAAAGGGAATTTAGAAACATGCAGGAGGCCCATGCTTCCATCTGAGGGTTTAACTGGGTGGAGTGTGGTTTCTTCAACGCCACATTAGGGGAGGAATGGAAAGAGGACCAGTGTTTTTGAGTACCCCGTGTGCAGTAGGAGCTTCAGAAACAGATTCCTGCTTAACGGTCACCGCACCCCGAGAGGTGGGGGTCACTGCCTGAGTCCCACAGGCAAGGACCGCGAGGTCTGCAAGGCCAAGAGCTTGCCCTGCACCTGCCCGCCAGCAAGTGGGGGGCTGAGACCGCCCAGGGCAGGACCCAGCGCCCTCACCCTCCACCATCAGCCTTCCCAGTATACAACATGAAAAATGCAGCTACTACTTCAAAATGCGTCTGCCCTCCCAGAGTGGTGGTAATTAAACTGTCCAACTGGAAGCTGACACATATTTAGAGCAAATCAGAAGGCAAAAGCATTTTTCAGAAGTTCCTTTCATGTGCGTAACTTAAGTATGGGATTTTAAATCTTACTGATCTTCCTCCTCCCTCTTAATTCTACTTTTTATTTAGGCAAAAATCTCACAAAGATCAACAATCTCGGAGTGCTTTTCATCCCACATTCCTGCTACTGTACAAGAAGAGGAAGCATGGCCCAGGCTTTTAACCCCCAGGGTCCAGAGTTCATACAATGGGAAGGAAAGTGAAACAATACATGTTTCAGGGAAACACGCATCTCCTGATTCTGCTGCACTGATTAATCCTCCCTGCCTGGAATTTCCAGCTGTCCTGATCTGCTTCACTTCGATGTGTTCCCCAATGGGTCTAAGTCTCCTTCATGATAACCTTCCAGTTTACGGCTGTATTTTAAAACCAGTATTTCATTTCAAGGGCTGCAAGGAGTCCATCAACACTTGTGCCCTAAAGGCGGCTGCTAGCACTGATCCCCCAAGGACCTCGTGAGCTTAGAGGAGCTCCTGAGTGTGTGGACCAGAGTTGGACACCATAAATTGTGCATCTGAACTTGGATCAAGTGAACCAAATTTCTCCAGAGCAGGCAGGTAGGTCTAGCTGGCTGAACCCTGTCCGCTCTCCAAACATGCCTGGAAAACTCCCACGCAGCAGAAAGCAGTCAAGGAACTCAAAGCCAAGAATACACAGTGTATCCTCTCCAGTCCAAGCCAGAGACAAACCACCCCAGACCAAGGAGAGACAGCTGTCTGCAGTGAATTCACGACGGCCTTGGCCTCCAGGAATGATGTCACACCCCTCATGAAATACTTCAAAATCAGGAACGGAGGTTCAGATAAGACAGAATACAGCATGTAATCAAGAAGTATTGGGAAAACCACCCAACCCTTTACCATGTCAAGCACAAAACAGATTACTAAGATAAACTGAGCCCCACCACGCCCTTACAGACCCACTTTGAAAGATGCATTAAAATGAGCAAGCTGCGTATTATTCTTATTATTATTTTAAAATTTTGGCATATGGGATCTCGCTCTGTTGCCCAGGCTGGAGTGCAGTGCTGTAGTTGTAGCTCAGTGCAACCTCAAACTCCTGGACTCATGCGATCCTCCTGCCCCAGCCTCCCAAGAAGCTGGGACCACAGGCGTGTACCACCATGCCCAGCTCCTGTGTTTATTTTTATCATCAAAATGGAATTTGATGCTATCTTCTAGACGAATGAAAAAGTAGATTTTGCCTCTTGTATGGATAGTAACAGTTCACCAATTATATATTAAATGAAAATGTAAATTTAATCATTAAATGGCATATTATTTTATAGATCATTTCTTACAAACACTTATTAGGGCTCTCAAATAAACTTTAAAGAAATGTAAGTTTAGGCTATCAACATTAGGGCCAAGTAAAAATGAATTCCTCATTGTAAATAAAGGAAAACCTAAAATTAAACAGCTGAATGTTTACTATTATTTAAAAAAGAAAAAAGTAGGCCAGCATTTTTTCAGAGCCAACACATCTGTAAAAACTGTATCAAAAGAAAAAGTTCAGGACATCCTCATCCCTCGCACTGCTTGGCAGGAGAGGGCTGCTGCGGCAGCTGTGCTCCCAGCCTGCTCTGAGACACTGCTTTCCAACACACACCCCAGACTGCGTCCCCAACCCCTCCCAGCCAGGAATGAAGGCTGAACGGGGAGGAGGCATTCCACACCCACCCCTCAGGAGTCCAGGTTAATTATTTCTGAGGTCAAAGGACCGCAGACTCTGGTCCTTCTTCATGGGAGGGAAAGACATAGACTTTAAGGAGTTGCAGACCTCATAAAATGTGTATTTTCAGCTCTCAGAACCCTGTTTGCCATTCCCAGTAGAATCATTCATTCTGTCCTCTGGAGTTAGCTGAGTCAACTAACCTGGCTGCAGGTTCCCTCTTAAAACTCAAACTTGGCAACCACCCTCCTAACCCCTACCTGCGCCCAAAACCAAATCCAAATTCCCAATAATTCCTAAGAACAACAGAGGGAGGACGGTAGAAAGATAAGGGAAAAAAGGAGGGAAGGAGAGGAGGAGAAAGAAGTAAAAGGTTAAAATAATGTATTTCAATGGATGCACATTCAGGCCTCATGCTTCAGAATCTACCAAAGAATGCCAACTCTAGTTCCATACTTTAATTAAATCCAAAAGGTTTTAAAGAAGGAAATTGTTTTGACATGCTACTTTGGCCCAGTGAATCAAAAGTATTAAATAATATTCTCTCCCTCTCCTCTCTCTCTGTCTCCTCCTTCCCCGTCTCTTTCTTTCTCCCTCTCTTTTTCTCCTCTTTCCTTCCATCTCTCCTTCCTTGCCTTCCTCTCCCCTTACTCAGGGGTTGATGGGGGGATTGAAGGCCACTGGAGCTCCTGAGCTGACAGGGCCAATGGCCCCTGCACCACGTGATCCCAGGGCATTAGGCTCTGAGATCTGGGACATGCTTTTTACACTTTCCCCATTGTCTCTCACTGTGTCTTAAGAGGGCTTTCTTCCCCTCCTTCCCTGTTGCTGGATCGCCAAGTGCTGCTGCAGCTCAGCCCACCTCGGCTCTGCAAGATGCTGGGCTGTGGGCGCCGTCCCACCATCATCGATCGGCCTTGACTGCTAGAGACCTTCTCGCTGCCTTCTCCATTCTCCCTTAGGCTCCAAATGTTTCAAGTGATCTGGGAATGAGTGGAGTGTGACCTCACTTCCTTTCAGACAGATGAAAGAAAGGATAAAGAAAGGTAGGGAGGTAGAAAATCACAGAAAGAGGAAAGAGGAAAGCGCCGACTGCAATACGATTTTGGTTTATTTTCCATATGCAGATTTCCTAATTCTACGAAGGCAATTTGAGTACATCACAAAGCCAGAAAAGGTGTGGGGTACATTCTAAATAAAGAAAAGTATTAAAGTAGTCAAAAACAAGTCTCACACAGTGTTGAGCCTGAGGCACCCTAAACTACAGCTGTGTGCAGTCGCATTCATAGCGCACAGCTCAGGCTGTGAACCCAGGAGAGACGACACATGTGCTTTCACCAGGCTTCACAGCGCGTGAGCCTGGGATCAGGAAGTGTGTGACGCTGAGAGTCAGGGGAGCTGATTCTGGTGACAAGGACACAGCCCAGCCAACTGACTCCACACAGGTGGCTGCAACCCCAAACCAGGGAGCTGCATGCCAGTCCTGGCTTTCAGGAAAGGAGATCCTATGCACATCCTATGAGGAAATGTGGCACGTAAAACGGATTTGTTATCTACGTCACTAGGTGCCTTCCTGGAGGCCTTTCTGCTGCCAGCAGTCTTGGGTTTGGGAGCTGCCCGTAGAATACAATGGAGTTCCTGAAGATGATGTGGCAGTCATCGAAATTCCACTCCAGCCAGGGCCATTCTTTATCCCCAGCACGAATTTCCACTGAACACTAGACTCTAAGAGCCCGCGGGAATTCCTGCGCATCTCCCCAGACTCCACCATGCCTGCTGGGATGATGATGCCTGCAAGTGTGTGAGGGCTCCCAGCTCAACCGTCTGCGGTGTCGTCACTGAGAGTCCTGGATGGCCACCACGTGGAGACAGATGCGGGTGGTGGCGGTCCCCAGACGCAGATACAGCAAGCAGGGGGACTGAGCCAGCAGCCCGCGCGGGGGGTGCCGCATAACCTAAAGAATGAAGTCATGCCCCGGCCTGCACCCGGGAAACTGCACACAGCGAAAGATCGCCACTGAGATAAAGAGCTGAAAGCTATTCCCCAATTCAGCTGTTTCAGCCGTGCGGTCTCACAATGGGCTCACAGACGGCAGCATCCACACGCACCAAGCTCCGGGCCAGCCGAAGGGACGCAAGGGGAACTGGCAAGCCACCGTTCTCCATGTGGGGAGACGGACGTGTCACAACCCGCCTGGAGTAGTTCCAACTCTGTCGCCACGAATCCTAGCTCAGGAAAAGCAAGAGAAGGCTGCCAACCCCCGGTCCTCCAGCCCTGGAGTCACGCTAGCAGAAATGTGGCCACGGAGCTGGATGGGGGTAAGAAAACCTTAAAACTCAAAACTCATCTAGCAAAAGAACAGCAGCCCAAAGAAAGGCAGGGCAATGTGGGGCCTCAGTATACGTCGCGGAGACCAGATGCTGACTTGGGGAAACACACAGGGCAGTGCTAGGCTAACTGGCACAGTGAGCGTGCACTGGACATGGGATATAAAATTGCAACAATGTTACAATTCCTGAACTTAATAAAGGTATCATGCTTACGTAAAAGAAAATCCTTGTCCTTGGGTCTAACGCTGACATGTTCAGGGGCTAAGGGAGATGACCTTTACAACTTAATCTCAAATGGCACAGCAAAAAACAAGAGTAATATGGAGAGGCAGTAAAACCACGAATGTGGCAAAATGTAAGCAATTGATGACTCTCAAGTGGAAAGCATGCCAGCGTTTATTTGCATACTTCCTGACACTTTTCTAGAAATTTAATTTTTAATCGAAAAAATGTTTAATCAGGGTAATGAGATTTGAGAAAATTTGAAAGGAATCCAAAAACTTAAAAAAGGCATAAGGCAGCAGAGTTGCACTCTGCCAGGGACCAGCAGCCAAGGGCAAATGTGAAGCAAGCCTTTTTGAGCAGATAAGGATTAATCACAAAGGAAACCCACAGCGAGGGCAGCGGCTGCTGAGCAGAGCACAAAGAGCACA
Source organism: Homo sapiens (assembly GCF_000001405.40). NCBI lineage: Eukaryota > Metazoa > Chordata > Mammalia > Primates > Hominidae > Homo > Homo sapiens. Next base: position 110,267,141 of record NC_000013.11, read on the forward strand.
ATGAGCCCACTGGAGAAAGGATTTCCGGTCACCCAGTGGGCCCTGAGCCTCCCCACCATCCACACAGGCGAGGGGAAGGACCTCGCACTATCTGGTGTCCAGGGAGCCCCTGCATGACCCAGTGGAGGGAGGAGGGGCAGGGAGACGGAGCTACGCACACTTTCAGCACCTCCAAGAAGGACAGAGGGAGAACGGCGGAAAGGATGCCCAACTCAAGCTCACAAAGATGAACGTGTTTTTTCTGTCTTGGGTGCATCCTGAGTTGCACAGCTGTCATCTCAGTGCCTCCCCTTCTCTAAAGCACCTTCTGGTGGTTGTACAAGCAGAAGGGCTTGAGGAATCTTTGCAAAGCATCCCTGTGCTGGAGCACCCAGAAAACTCCAAAGAGCTCTCAGTCTCTGGAGTTTTCCTTATCCACCAGTAAGCTCCCCTTATCCAAGCACCCAAAACAGGGGCTGGGCTCTGTACTCTTCAGGTTTTCAGTGACACGAGTGTAAGAAGCACTTAGACAAAGAAAACTGATCTATAGCTGGAAACAACTGAAAATTAACATGGAGTAGATAATAGCTATGATAAAATTTGCAATATTTCAGGATTTTCAGATTCAATGGTTCCCAAATAATGGCATTGGAATAGCTTCAAAATAAGACACACAATACATGTTTAATTTAAAACACAGTCCTGTATAACATTGAGGGCAATAGGTAATTATTATTATATGTATATTTATATGTATATGTGTATTTATGTATACATAAAAAATATGTAGGTCAGGATTTTAAACCCCATGAAGATCCTATACAGAGCTGCACATCTGTTATTCACAGGGTATGCTCCAAACATCATCAACACCTAGAACACAGCTGCCCCCCTCAAAAAAAAAATACAGAAAAAAGAAACTCTCTGGAAAGCAGTGGTCACAAAGCTCATGACATTTGACTCCAGGAGGAAAGTTTGACAGACTGCTGTTAAGCACCTACAGTATACAAGACATTCACTGGCCTCAGTCAACCCCTAGCATATAAAGACAAGGGGCCAGGTTCAGCAGGGCCGATGCCAACTGTGTCCTGCCTCAGAGCACCGGCACTGCCAGTCCAAAACCAGGAAAGGCATATGGATGACGAATGGCTCTGCACACTCCTGTGATGAGCACTCTGATGCCTGTCGTGCCAGGCTCAGGAGCTTGGACCTGAATGCAAAAGATGGCAGGGATTTCTTGGGTGGGGAGGGGAGGGAAAGGGAGGTGAGTATGCAGAAGCCGGCATGGCCAGCTCTCTGCTCTCTTTAGAGAGAAGGCAACCATCCTCGCCAGTCCAAGTGAGCTTTTAACAAAAATGTGTCGAGTAAAAGAATGACAGTAGGATAACATTCACTGCTGTGCCAGAAAAACTTGGTCATTTGGCTTCTGCAGATGACTTCAGGGTGGTGTGGCAGGGAAAATGCTTTTGAGCTTCAAGCCTCAGTTAAAATGCTGGCCGTGCCACTGTGCTCTGCTGGCCATTGGCTGCATGGCTTGCCAAGGGGCTCTACCTCTCCAAACCCGGGTGCCTTGTCCATGACCCCATGTGGGAATGACACCTGCCTCTTAACACAACTGGGACAAGGAAATCAGCTGACTTCCAGGACCACACGCCTGGCACGTGGGAGGCTCAACAAATCTGACTCTGTCATCCGCCCATCTTCCAGCCGAGGGCAGGTGAGACACAAGGAGGAGGGGACTTGTTTGAAGCAGTGAGAAGTGGAAAGGAACCCAAGGAGGAGGGAGTGGGAACACCACCTTCCAGAGCCCAGCAGAGGAGGCCAACGTGCAAAAGCCGAACCTCCGCGCACCTCCACACGCCTTGCAGCACCACGGCCCACCTCTTGGCGCACGGAGAACTGATCCAGGCTCACCACGATGACCCGGAGCCACTTGGAAAAGTGCCAGCTGTATTGACAGCATGCTCTACTAACAAAGGGCTGTGCATAACCTATTTCAGTAAAGACATCAATGGAAAAATAATTGTAGCATTTTAAGGAAAGTTCCAGAAAATTAACTCATACCTAGAAGAAAATCCATTTCCTGATGCCAGTAAAATAAGACTTTTCTATTCTCCAGGGCTCGAAGCATATGTTAAAACACCCTTGTTTATGATATAATTTAATAATATAGGAAAATGTAGAATAAGTAAACTAAAAACCTTTATAAAATCAGAAGCATACATATTTTTCCTACGACATAGAGAGAACATTGTCATAAAAACGCTTTTTGAATTATGCTGCAAGATTGGGCCTGTAGTTCACAGGCATGTAGAAAAGAAATACAGAATCAAAGTAATGAAGTACATTGGGAATTATGAAAATAGTGGTGTTATTTTACATTTATCTTATGTATTTATGATGATCAGTGTCAGAAACAAGAAATTATAAAAATTAAGCTGCACCTGGAACACACTAGGCATATAAAAGTTAAGCTGCATCTGGAACTGGGTCTCTGGGGGCTGGCTAGGTCTCCACGTGTGTCCAGCACAGGTGACATCTGATGGAAGACGCAACACAAACGGCAGGCCCTTGCCGGCAGGGTAGGTGCCAGCTGACCACAGGGCGCATCCCGATTGCATGCCCTGGACACCATCAACCTCAAGAGGCCTTTGTATGAGATTCTGAAGTGATTATACCATAAAGATCATATTTCAGGTCCAAAACTCTCAAGCAGAAGGAAGGAAACGTGTTAGCCTCCTCAGCTGGGTGAAGGGGTCTGAAGCCTCACATACAGGGTGAAATGTCAGCAGGAGGCTGGCACTGCGAGACCAGAAACACATACCTGCCGAAATGGCTGTGACCTGATTTAGGGAGATGCCAGAATGAAACCAGATCTGGTAACGGACTAGAGCGTTCTTCTCCACGCACCCCCAGCCTTCACCCCGCACTCCACTCCAACACAAACAGCTGCTTGTTGGTTTGAGTTTGAAATACTTGGTCTGCATCAGCCAGATGTCACTGCAGATCACCTGGCAAGACTGTGAAGCTGCTGTGAAGGCTGCGACCTTCTTCAGAGAAATAACAGGAAAGTTCATCTACCTGAAACTGACCTGTGTTCATCCTACCATACCCAGTAGGGGCACATTAACGATTTCCTTGATAAATATTGTTTTTAGTGCATAACAGTGCAACCTTCCTCTTAAAGTTTTCTAATCAGACTACAAGGAAGGAGAATCTAAATCTACATCTAATTAAGAGGAGAATTATTCAAATGATCAAAACAATGGTAGAAGCAAGTAATTTGCCATAAAGGACCCAAGGTTCTGATGCAAATGGGTAAGAAAAGGAGATAAAAGGAAGAGCTATCAGTTTCTAGTTTCTCTTGCTGTTTTAGGCTTGTATTGTATTATCTCACTTGTTCTCACAACAACCATTGTAGGGTTAATCATTGTAGGGTCGTTTCATGGCCCCTTTGTACACTGGAAGGTGCTGAGGCTTAGGGTGGGGCAGATGGGAACGAGGTCTCTGACCTCCCAGGCCAGTGTTTCCACCACTCCACACAGCCTCTCCACCATCACCACACACGTGCCATGGCTGGGGGCACTGGCCGAAACTGTGCCCTTAGTGGAGATGTCCATTTCTCTAACAGCGACCATTTACTGCGTCACCGGAGAATATAGCCTTAGTTAGGTCTAGAAGCAAAGACACCACAGTAGCAATGGGCATGCCTAGCCCCCCTAACTTAGATTTTTGTTTTTCCATAGAAGGGTCCAGAAGTCTTAAGAGAAAGGCTGATTTCAGGGGTGGGGCAGGGAGAGAACAAAGTGAGCCTGGAACTTCTGATTCCAGGAAAGCAACGACATGTTCATAAAATGACAGCACGTGTCACAAAGACACATGCGCCAGCTGGAAGGAGCTCCCAAAGAACAAATTGGAGATGATTTGAAAAACAATGATGGAAATGGATTACAATTCATAGAATAAAACCAATCATCAAGCCCATTCTGATCTAAGTAAATAACTGAATACATGTAAGCAAATGGGAGCAAAGGGAAAGCTCTTCCCTTCTGCAGAATCCCAACTAACAAATGAGACGGGATGGAGACAGCGGCGCCAACCACTGAACGTTGCAGCAAGAGCTGTTTCAGGCAAGAATCCTCAGGGATAGTCACGTTACGGTGCAAAGTAAGAGGAGAAGCAAGATATTCATACTGTGTCAAAGGCCCTTTCCACAAGATACATATTAGGAGCCAAAGAAAAACAGTAACTTCATGGAGAGACCTGGTAGGCACCACCTGAGCCAACCCTCAGAGTCCCATCATCAGGCATTGGGGAAACTGGCATCACACACCTCCCAAGGAGGAGACAACGTCAGTTCTGTGCTATTTCTGTCAAGAACACATGACCTGGATTTAGTCATGAAACATCAGATAACCCAGGTTGAAGCACTTTCTATAAAATAACTGGCCAGGACTCGCCAAGGTCACCCCTGCCAGCCCCCGCCCTGACCCACATACACACAGAAAGACTGAGGATGTGTTTAGATTAGAGGTGACCAGGGCGATGTGACAGCTAAATGCAATATGGAATCCTGGGCTGGAGCCGAGATCAGAGAAAGACACCGATGGGACAAAGGGCAAAATTCCAAAAAGGTCAGTAGATCAGATCAGAGTATTATCTTAATTTTATTTTCCTCATTTTCATCATTGTTCTGTGGTTTTGTAAGACATTAACATTTGGGGAATTTGGATGAAAGATATACGGGAATACTTTGGAACTTTTTTCTAAGTCTGAAGTTATTTCAAAATTTAAGAATTTTATTAACTACTTGAAAAATGAATCCTAAATAGCTCATCGTATTTGTGGTCTTCAAAGCCAGTTTTACAGGTACACTACCCAAAGAATTGACATATTCAAGGGGTAAGATCAGGTAATATTTGTCAATACTCAATATCAAAGTGGAGTACATAAATTAGGCCAGAAATTTCTGGTCATAGCCTCTTTAAAACAAAAAAAGTTTCTCCGCCAGAAATATCCTTTAAAGTTTTACTGTTTTAAGAACTGTAATGTACAGCACATAGGTGAAAAATGGCTTTGAACTAAAAGTCAGACCTCTTTTTCTTTTTCAGTAACTCAGAAAAAATGAAGTATACCTACACACATTTTTCCATAGACAGAGAAAGTAATAATTCTGTAATTTCACATAGACCGTAGATACGTGAACACATGAAGAAGGCAAATGCTGACTCTGCCTTTTCTGCATCTCACAGTATATAGTGGACTCAAAATTGAAGTGGAAACACTCTCGAAATTGCACACTTCTTTCTAAGAAACACCTCAACCCACAGAGCAACCCCTAAACCCTTCTGAGCACATGCATGTAGCGCAGATCACCTGTGGGCGTGGCAGGTGGCCCATGCTTGTCTCTCTGAATTCTCATTTCTTCCATCCTCCATCATAAGTCCCCTCTAAAAGAAAAGGGGGGGAACTCTTCTCAGCATTGCACACATGGATGTTCCACAATGGTGACACTTCGCTACAAATGAAAAGAAGAAGAAAGCCGGGAAGGCCAGTACCTAACACTAGTCACTTCCTATTTGCCTAATCCTTTTCTTGCCAACAGTAAGGTAAGATGTCAACAGTGAGACAAGGCAGAAGTTGCTTTTCGCTACACCCTGAGCAGGTAAAAAGGAAGCCACATTGGAATGTCACCTCTACTATGGAAGTATGATGTGGCTGATGTCAGAACGTCCGACCCTTCACCTGTCACCATCAATAAGGTGCCCATGGAAACTGATAAGGGATGCTGGACCCCAGGCATCGCTCCTCTGTGCCAGATATGCCCAAAGGGAATCCTAAAGCAAAGGGAACGTTCTCCTCCACCTTCTCCTTCCTTCCAGGGAAATAAATGGGGTGTGTGTGCACATGTGTGGTAAAATTTAAATAAGCATGGTTAAAATTTTCAGAGAGTTTTTAGACAGTAAATGGCTGCCTGATCATGTCTCAGAGAGCAAGTGCTTTCAGATCCAACTACCTACTGGGCCTTTGGGGCATTATGGGCCTGGCAAATCACTCACATGAATTCAGCAATGTCCATTTAACCCTTGTAACTGTCGGTCACTGTTGTGGGTACCGAAATGGAGAAAAGTGGAGAAGGTCCCTGCTAACGCGGGATGTATATTTTGAAGGACCTAAAGGTCTATTATGGGTTCGTCTTGAGAATCAGTGGAATGACCTACCTGTGTCAAAAAGGCTCTGTTAGTGGCTGAGTGCATCTTAGACCACCATCCACAGCATTTTGCAGAAGCTTTTTTACCTAAATCACCTCATTCCACTTGTGACAACTCCATCCAGCAGTGTCGTCTCTATATATCTCACCTAGTCAGGGAAGAAGTCTTCAGACAGCCGAGCTCGCTCCTAAACACACAGATCCTAGGACAGAGTCTGTTTCCAAACTCAGATCCTACAGTTAACTGTCTGGTTGGAAAAAAGGGGTTTAAATTGTTTATGGCAACTGAATAATAAAGAACTAAACACCTAGAATTTTTCTTCTTTCTTCTTTCAAAAGCATAGGCACCAGGGAATGGGTATAAAGTCTGGAAAACTCACCCTCTAATTCTGAGGTTAGAAGGGTCATTCAGACTGACCCCAGTGTCCATCAGTGCTGCACAGATGTGGCTCCTCTTTTAAATGAGGGCAACTAATCAGTCAAGTGAGGCTGAAACTTGTTCAGGGTTGCAGACGCGCATCTGCCAAAAGAGCATTACAACTGAGACACACTGAGTGCTTACACTGCAGTTTAAAGCACTAAATGATCCCATTTCCCTTCCTTTCTCACTACATTTCAAAAATCCTGACTTCAGAAGACAGACCAAAAAGATCTAGGGCCTCATCAAATTAAAAATGAATTTTTATTTAAAAATACAGCGTTACTACTGTATTGTGCATTTGCTTATTTTTGATAAATATTTATTAAATGCCTATAAAAGATAAAATGTGCTAAGTACTAGGGGTAAACAGGGGCAAATATTAAGGCCCTGTTCCCAATGAACACAATACCTAATGAGGAGACAGCAGTGGTATGAATAATGACAATATCATCAGCTAATTATTATAATGGGATAGAAGTCCATGGTTTTCTTCTCTAATACGTCGTATGTAGCTCAACTTTAAGTCAATGAAAATTCAAGGCAGGTTGGAAAGCAGGCATCAGGATACCTGCAGTAACTCCACCTTTAGGAAGCCCCCTTTCCCATGAGTGTTATTAGATGTTCTGATCTGATGCACGTATAATTCAAAGAGAAACAGGTGATCAAATCAAAGCACACAGCCCTCGGGAGGCTGGTCTGAACTTGGATCTGGCCGCATTCCTTGCCTTTGGTGTGTCTTTGAGCAAGTCACTAACTCCCTACACCTCTCAATTCCTCCTGGTCAGGTGGGGTCAGCATCATCTATCCTGCTGAGTTGAAATGATATACAATATATGTGAAAGGATGCGGCAGGCACACCACCCCTGGAGCTCTCTCCAACCTCGTCACCGTTGTTAGACAGAAATGCAATGGGAGGAGTGTCAGGAAAAGAAACCAAGAGTGGCCTGGCTGTGCACTGATAGCCACAGTATCCGCTCATGAGATCATAACATTGTATAGGTAGCAAGAGCTTAGGGATGTACTAATTGAACCTCCCTGTCATGTAGAACAGAGAACTGATGTCCATAAAGCAGTGATTGTGCCAACGCCAGGCCCTAGGAGGGAAGCTGTGGCCACAGCAACAGATGGCAGCACTGAGGGACTTTCTACTTAAATGTTGCAGCACCTCAAAGGCAAAAGCAAAATATGCATTCTCTCTCTTCCAAAAATCCTTGCTCGCAGCCGTCACCTTCCGCTCATTCCCCAAGGAAGATGACCAAACATTTTAAACACAGTACCAAAGGCATGATCCATGAAAGAAAGAATTAACAAGCTGGACTTCATTAACATCAAAATGTTCTGCTCTGGGAAAGACATTCAAGAGAATGGAAATACAAGCCACAGAAAATATTTGCAAAAGATATATTTGATTGATAGAGGACTGTTATCCAAAATATACAAAGACATCTTAAACTCAACAATAAAAAGACAAACAACCCAATTAAAAAATGGGCCAAAGACCTTAACAGACACTTCACTAAAGAAGATAAACAGGTTGAAAATAACCATATGCAAATGCGTTCCACATAGGTTATGGGGAAAATGCAAATTTAATCAATGAGATACCAGTACACACCTATTAAAGTGGCTGAAACCCAGAACAGTGACAATACTAAGTGCCGGTGAGGGTGTGGAACAACAAAAATTCTCAGTCATTGCGGGTGGGGATACAAGATGGTGCAGCCACTCGGGAAGGCAGTTTGGCAGTTTCTGATAAAACCAAACACACCACACAATCCAGCAATCATGCTCCTTGCTATTTACCCAAATGAGCTGAAAACTTATGTCCACACGAAACCCTGCACATGGATGTTTACAGCAGCTTTATTCATAACTGCCAACGCTCGGGGGCAACCACCACGTCTTTCACTAGGTGAACAAACAAACAACCTGTGGGACATCCAGACAATGGAATATTCACACTAAAAATAAATGAGCTATCAAGACGTGAACAGACATGGAGGAACCTCAAATGCATATTACTAAGGGAATGAAACCAATCTGAAAAGTCTACATACCATACGATTCCAACTATAAGACAACTATAAGAGAGTCTGGAAAATGCAAAACTACGGAGACAGCAAGAGGATCCATAGTTTGCCAGGGGTCAGAGGTAAGGGGGTAGGGATGAATAGGCAGAGGATGGAGGAATTTTGTGGGCAGTAAAACAACTCTATGTTATACTATAATGATGGATAGATGTCATTATCTATTTGTCCAAATGCATACAAAGTACAGCACCGAGAGTGAACCCCAGCATGAACTATGGACGGGGGATAGTGACGTGTCGGTGCAGGTTCACGCACTGTAGCCAATGACCCACTCTGGTGCGGGATGTAGAGATCATGGGAGAGGCCATGCGTGTGCCCGAGAAGAGGTACGTGGGAACTCTTGGTACCTTCTGTACAATTTTGCTGTGAACCTAAACTTGCTCTAAAAATCAAGTCAATTAAAAAATAAAAACCTGCATGTGTACCACCCCAGATTGCGAAACAGTGGAACAGAGCTTCGTAAAACATCTGCATAATTGTTTTATTGTTGACTCAAATATTTTGTCATTTTCCTTCCAGCACTGGTTCAATAAATCACTGCAGATGTTCATGAGCCTCCTGTTAGGCCCCTGGGGAATGCGTCCTGGCCTTCAAGACTGATTCTCGTTGTACCGCCAAATCCATCTCCTCTGCTGAGGCTCCTCTACACCCGGAGCGTTTTTATACAGGTTGCATGGGAGGGTTCCAAATTTTTGTAGGATATTTACTACAAACTAAATCCAAATATTACAGGCAATAATTAATTTCTCAGTATCAATTTCTATGCACTCCATTAAGTATGTAAATGTTCTGACTGTAGGCAAAATAACATTCAAAAACCCCTACTTTCAGTGTGGTACTCCACACCAGCCACTCAGAACAAATGCTGGCCTTGAACCTGCTCTCCTGCTGTTGTGACCAGTTTTAATTCCACGACTGCTACGTAATCCATACAACACAGTTCAAAACTCTGCAGTATAAAGATACCGGGTGCCTTAACTTTGGAACAGAGATTGCAAACTGGTGACCCGCAGGCCAGATTCGGGCCACAGATGTACCCTGTTTGGCCTGCACCATATTCTAGAAGTTTTTGAATGAATATTTTAAAATTGAGGCCCCAGGCTTCTGATTCCTTCCCAGACCTTTAAAAGCAGGGACCCACTGGGATCCTTTTGCAGGGATGTGCGTTTTCTCACAAAGCTGGCTGCTCCCAGTTATCTGCCTGACCTCAGTAGACATCTGGGTTTTTGAACTCCAGTTTAGATAACCAATGTATAGTACGTTAATCGAGCTTAAATGATTGAAATTTGCATCCCAATAAATCTTACCATATAATTTATCAATACGGTCCTCTGTAGTTATATTCCAGGGCATAAAAGCACTCTCTTAAGCTATTTTTATTGGATATTTCTGTATCATCAATGTTAACACATTTCATTTCTGTGTAGCCATTTCTGTGAAATATCACATGGCAAACATGTCATTTAAAAACTGGCTGCTGACATGTTCTGTCTAAGCCATTCTTTATTTTCCCCAATTTGTCTTTGCCTGAAACCTGTGATAGGATGAGTCATCTTTTCAGAACATCTTTTTATCAAGGTTTTTAAGCTAATTAATATAATAATCCCTCCTGCAAAGGTACTATGATAACTTCGTAGCCAGAGTACTGGCAACAAGGCCCTTTTCTTCCTCAGCTGTGTGTGGGACCCACCTCCAGCTTCCCAGGGTCTGCACTCTGCTCTCAAATCTCTCGGAACTGCTGTTCGGGTGATGGGCATCCACCAGCCAGACCTCACCACCACACAGTATGTCCGTGTAACACAATTGCACTCATAACCCCTAAATCTGTAAACATAAATAAAATGGAAATCTCTTGGAACCAGGCATTTCAGATTCACTCTGGGTGACTCAGGCCATCCTTTGCAGAGCTGACCCTTGGACATATTTTGTCCTCCCCTCCCTCTATCTTTTGACCCACGTCTTGCAAGTTGAGTAAGTTAAAGGTCACTCACTTCAAACAAGCAATTTCATTTTCTTCAGATTTCCCAATCTCCACTTGGCTTCATTTCCCTTAATTCCCATATCATCTTTTATAATTATTAAGTAACCCATGCTAGCATTATTGCCTTTGATGAAAGTTTCTAAAAAATTCTTTCCTATTTACCCCAGCCTTTTCTCCCCTTTCAAAATGATCCCAAATGGAACTCTAGTTTCTTATTTCCAGCCCCCTTCACTGAGAAGTACATACGTTAACGTATTTAGAATAATATTTTCTCCCAATAACTCGGAAGAACTTAGTAAGTTTCAATAGAGCCACTTAGAATTGTGGCAGATGGGTATAAATGATAATCTCATAAAAGGTGAAGTGAGTTTCAAGGAGACACTGCCTACATTGACAGGAGTTTTATATTTTCTTCTCCTCCTTTCCAATGCTATTTTGCACCTAGCTTTTTCCACAATGTATTCACAGAATTTTTATGAGCCCATCTGACATTTTTATTCCCTTTGCACTATCTTATGTATTCTGCCTTCCTAGCCTTATCATTCTTCTTTGGTCTTTGTGACCTGGATTCTGGAAATACCTGCGTATTTTCCCACAATTTGAAAGCATTGCATTTCATACAATACTCTGGACTCACTAGAGAGGTTATGAAAGCACTTCCTAGACATTTCTTTTGGGTGTGCTCATTCATTCATCCATTCATTCATTCTTCTAATCATTATATATATATACACATATATACACACACATCTGCAAAGTACTATGTAGTGACTTCACAGCCTTTTTAAAAAGGCTTTCCTCCCCAAGGATACCCATTTTCCACACATAGTAAATGCTTAACAAATATGCTCCTGATTGATTTCATAACTGATTTCTTCATGGGCATTTCCTCCTCTTTTATTTTCTATGTATTCTTTGGACTTGCAAACTATGGCCACTCTTCTCCCAGCCACGCCTCTTGACAGGATCACCTTCTCCATCTGCCTAGACTGTGGGAATGTTGGGTGGGATTGCTGGGTACATATATGCTACCTTAGATGTTTCAGCAGCTCAGAGGCGTCCCACACCTCCTTTTCATTTTTCTCAAACTACAAATCATGTTTTTTCCTGTAAAATATCTTCCCTTAATCTAGGACTATGATGAAACCCTCAGGCCCAACTTCATCTCATCTGCCCACTGTCACGGTTGGCTCCTCTGCGGAACCCAACTCAGTGCTTTGCCCGGGGTCTTCCAATTCCATATGAAGTGTTTCGAGTCGGCCACAGGTGCTCTCAATGTCCTACTGTTTTTTATGTTTCTACCTACTTGGCTTTGCATGCACTTTTGGGGGGCACTTACCTAACCAATCTTTATCATATACACTGGAGCGCCCTTTCCTTTTCCAGCTATGTCTCCCTGCACATCTGATCTATTTTTGCTTCTTATGACACATACATATCAATAATCATCGCTCCCCATGGAAGGTGAGGTTTTCTGGAGTCCAGTTCCACACCTGAGGCCCTTCTCAGTGATGCTTCCCAGTACTGCTCCTCCCCACAATACGGGCTCCTTCTCTGAGCTCATGTACATAATGCTCAGGTTGGTTTCATTGTGATATCATTTCAATGACTAGTGTTTCCAGGAAGATTGTAAGCTCCTTGAATGTGCAAACCATATAATGTATTTTTTTGCTCAGTTCCCCATATCCTGAACCTGTGTTAGACACATTCAATCTATTCTTTTGGGGGGCTGGAGGACCACACACACATATAGATTATAGGAGGAAACCAAAATATGCCAAATTCTTATTACTTGTGTCTTTTCTTGCAGGGGAAAACCTCCTAGCATCAGAAACCAGCCACACAGAAGTGTTTAACAGGATTTGCTTCAGGTAGTTTTTCCCTCCCCAAGACTTCATATTTTAAGTTTTGCTGTTGTTGTTCAACTTTCTAACCAGTGCCCATTTCACAGTATTTTCTTTCATTCTCAACACTGACTTTCTTGGCACTACTATTCAGTGAGTCCCTTCTGCAGTGCTGGCCTGTCTCCCGTGGGCCTGCATCGAGAGGGCTGGCTGCCCTCCTTACTGTGGCCACTGTCTTCTCCTGGGTCTGCCAGACACCTCCAGAGAGCGTCCACGTTGCACCTGCTTTAGGTCCTGTGAACTCCAGTGTCTGCACATTACTGAATTCACTTTGATTCTCCCTTCCTGATATTCCTTTCCTGTCTTACCCTTCCTTATGAATATTTTCTGTTTCTATTGGCAATTTTCTTTTAATTTGGAGCTTACTTTTATTTCTAAATCCATTACCAAATGATGAAGTTTGCCACGTATAAAGAACTTGGGATTCTTTAAAGTTAGTTTTTAAAATAACTAAAATACTGCAGTGGTGTTAACTTGTTCAATGAGCCAATGGGAAGCCACTGACGGTCCTTAGTTTGCTGCGTGTTTGCTCCATCTGTGCCGAACAGCACATCCAGATTTTCAGACACAACAAAAATGCACACTTGGTGCCTATTACCCAGCAATAGTCAGCCACAAGTTTCAGATAAAGGTCAAAAGTGAAATGCCTTTAGGAGTTCCCTCAAAATCTTAAAATAAAAGTCACATTCCAAACTTCATAATTCTCATGAATACATCACAAAGTCACCATTATGCCATTGAAAACGAAAACAATTCTATGCTTGTATTACAAGAGAAAGTATTCAAAAAATGAATTATATAGAATCTTCAAGTTCTTGCTCACAAATCATGGTTTGCTTTGGCTTAGCAGCGCCGCATGGCATGGGCTTTACGTATTACACCTCTGAAGACAGAGGACAATCCCACGCCTACATCTGCAACACCAAATTTGGTGTGTTGGTTTTATAAGTGGCCTCGAAAAATCCCCTTTTCAATAATTCTGGTAAGCCTCTTTCATCTTGGTGCTATTCTGAGAACTTGTAATCTTGCTAGTAATACATGAATATAAATGTGAAGGAGAATTTTCTTTCTTTTTTCAAGACCTAGAGCCTTTCTTATATTCTTTCAACGAACACATGTTATGAAATACATCCGAGATCTGGCTGAAGGTTTCTTACTCTAATGCTCTGCCTTTGTGTTCAATATATGCAACTATCTACTTAGATCGCCGTATTATACTTTGTTTGCTTCAGGAGTGATCCAATTCCTTTGGATCAGTAAAATATGGCTTTTCTCCTCACCCCAACCATGTGTCCCATTTTTTTAGCCACTCGAGCATAAAAACAATTCTGCAGCTCTAAACTTTTTCAGAAAACAGAACATCCTTTGGCCAGAGAACTCAACAACATCTTTGACACCATCAACTGGCTTGTGTAAGCCACAAAACGTGGCCGGCACTCTCTCCCGTTTTCTTCTCTTGGGATAACAGCTGTAAGGAGCAACACTGTTCTGTGATGACACGACTCTGGGAAGACTAACCTCCCCCCGCCATCTCCTACAGCCAGAATTCTTATTTCCCAAAACAAAACGTGAGAAGCAGAAATACTGAGAATTTTTTAATGTTCCAAAAAGTACTCTGTGCTCCTTGAAGGACATTTTCTGACATTATTTCAAAATACTTTATGAACAGTAATTAATTCTTGAGAAGGACCAAAGGAGAACCCAGATGTGCCATAAGCCAAAAACAGCCAGATCATTCACAAACTGCAGTGAAGGGAAAGAGAAGAGGAAGTGGTTACCTGCTGCAATATAGAGAGAAAATGTTTAAAAAAAACAGTAGGAAGCTTAGATTTCCACTATGGGGGCTCACACAGAAACTCAATTTCATCAAAAATCTATAAATTAAGTAATTAAGAAGACTAGTCAAGATTTGGGTAGACCCTTGATCAAAGAGTAAAGTCTTACCCACTTTACCTCCACTATCTGAAATAATTAGTACCTCTCAGCCAATGAATTTTCACAAAATAAGGGACTCTTCTTCTAATGGTATGGCCGTTTACCAATCTGGCAGGAACATCAATTCCCCTCTCACATTTTAGTAAACTTACTCAACCCATCTGTTTCTCTGCCCTTCAGAGAGTCGGCACACAGTTCTGTGGATGTTTTCTGCAAAAGGCCCTGACATCTACAGTTTCTTTCGCATTCCCCTGGCCACCTTCCCTGCTCAGATCTCCATCAGTTTATGCCTGAAACACAACAGCTCCCTTCAGTTTTCCTGGCTGCGTGTCCTCGCCTCACCTTAGGGCCTGCTTACCATTATCCACCTAGTCTTACTTAAGAGGATTCTCCCCAGCAAAGACCCTTGGTCACAAATCACCAATTACTCACCAGTTTCTAGTGTATAAAACTTTTACAATTTGACCTCTCTCCCCTTGTCAGAATTCCCTACCAATGCTGGAGAGGTGGCATATCAATGTCAATATTGTAAACTTGGATTCAGACAGACCTGAGTTTGAATACTAGTGGAGAAAAGTCCTTGACCTTTTGTTTTCTCATCAATAAAATGGGAGTAAGACAACCCACCTCACACTGTCATTGCGCAGACTGTGGGGGACTCATGTAGAGTACTGGCACATCAAGGGAAGCTGGTGGTGACTCTTAGGTATTATCACTTTCCTACTCATGCTGTGCATTCTAAGCTGTTCATTGTGTCTCCTCAATGCCATCTTCATCCCTACTGTACCTTCCCTGGCATGGCTGCATCCACGCAAGTCACCCTGTCCTCACTTCCAATGCACATCCTTTAGATTAGCAATGGCAAGCTGGTTTCAACTCAAGTGTCAATTCCTACCAGTCAAGGATGGCTGCAGGAGCTCTGAATTGGGGAGAATTTTGAGGCCCTGCCAAGGTCATTGAGATGAAGTGCTCTCACATAACTGTGTGTCCTACCCTGGGACATGGCTTCTCCAAGCACAGGGTCTGTACCCTGAAGTATATGTCCCTGAATGGCATCCCTGCTGTGCCTACTGATTCTCCTGACCTGTTTTGGGGCACCTGTGTTGGCTTCCAGGGATCATGAACTCTTTATTTAAGTATTCACAAGCTTTCTGTCAAAAAAAATCAATTTGGAAATATAATTGTCCATGCTAAGTTCACTGATATGTGATTTCTGGAATTCAATTTTGTTCTTTCGTGGCCATCGGAACATTGCCCTCTCCAATCTTCCTGCATGTCTCCACATTTCAAAATCAAAATGAGCCAGTGATCCCAGTCGCTTCCAGGTGCCCCTGAGGCCCTGGGGCCTCACCTCCAAGCATAAAGGCTTCAGTTAGTTTTAAGCAATTGCATGGTATCTTTCTCTCTCTTTGCCTTGCCTGTGATTCAGTTCTCTCCTTACCATGTTTTATTTAGTGTTCCCAGTTTGAAGGATGTTCAGTTCTTCATAGGAAAGACAGAGACTGAAGAGTAATTACTTGATTCTCTCTGTCATCAAATAATATAATATGTTCAGAAAAGACGAGTCATCGAATCAGAGATTTCAGGAAAAGAGAGGTTCAAGAAAATAAAGAATAATGTAGACTAGAAAATTTTATGTCAGCAGCTAGTTTTTAAATCATACATTTGCTTTTTGACATTGAATAGAAGTGGCTAATAAGCCAAATGTGAAATGTGTTGATGTCACTAATGTAGGGAGATGAGAATGTGAGCCGTGCCCAAGCCATGATGTAAACTCACTAAGAACAGCAAGAATACAAAGGGAAGGGCCAAGGTGTCTGGGCGCCCCATAGGCACACGCACACTCTCACGCACACACACGCACATGTGCACCTGCACACACCTTTCTGTGTATACAGACATCTGCATATGCAGACACATGCATACACTCCCTCACATACAGGCACACATATGAACACAATGCACACTCAGGCACATGCACACAGGCATGTGCATGCTCTCACACTCATGCACACACCCACACATGCACATCAAAGTTTCCCTCAAAGACTGCCTGCCATCTGTGAGCTCATCTGGGGCTCACCATGCCCAGGTCCCACCATACTAAGCCAGGCCTTATGCTGGTGGGGTGAGCTTGGACAGCAGCAGTGGGTGGCATTTGGGGGGTTATTTTTCATGACCCTGAAGACTTTAGTCACTGTGGCTGGGCTGGCAAAGCTGTCACATGTCGACAGGATGGGAGATGAGGTGGCAAAAGCTCTCCCTCCAGCCCAAGGAACAGCGCTGTATGACAGTGGTGGCCACAGGCCAGGAGCCTTCAGCAAAGGGTCTGTCCGGTGATGGCCACAGGCCAGGAGCCTTCAGCAAAGGGTCCTTCAGCAAAGGGTCTGTAGGTCAGGCCACCAACGGGCAGGGATCCCACAGAGCGTGCACCTGGATGCTGTGGTGCAGGTGGAAACACACAGCTCTCAATTTCACACCCAGACAGGATGTGCTCCCCCAGGTAGAATCATCTAAAAAGAGGCTGCTAAATTTCACCCCTCTCCTCCTGGAAGTTTTCTTAGTGTCTCTCTAACTTAAACATCTGTCACAAGCAGAGCTAAGCTGGGAGGAAAGCCCAAATTCTGGAATCTGGGAACCCACAAGCCACAAGCATCTCTCTAACATCTGACTAATGTGACCCCCACAGCTTTTAAATTATAGGTGTTGATTTTGGGGGCTGGAGGCATAATCCCGAAATCAGTAAGCATGATTTGGAAGCTGCAGAGGTCTTTTGGTTTTAACGTCTTGAGAAGTCAACATGATATCCTAATATTAGCCTTCAGTCCCTTAAGAAATAGAAAAATCTAATGCACACGCTTCAAGAATGTAGAAGTAGAAAGCCATCATTTTTCACCGATTTTTGTGCAAAACACATGGAGAAGTAGCACATGATTAATGAATACTAACTTCCTAACACAGATAGAGCAAGCAAAATATATTCCCCATAGCTGTCTTCTTTTTGTAAAAGGCCTTTTTAATGAGCAGAAACATGGCTCCATCCTCATGATATGAAAAAGAGAGGCTCGAATGGGCTTAGTATTCACCTAATCAGAACAGTAAGGCAAATGCTGATGGAGATTACCATCTCCTGAACATCTGAAAAGAAGATGCAACCCTTGACTGTAGCTAATACTTTCTGCCTATTTCATCTCCAAGAGAAATGAACAGTGACAAGTGCCAGACAATGTGCTGTGGCCAGGAAGATAAGCCTAGAGATGACACCGTCCCTGCCCTTGGGAAAGCTGATGGTGTGGTCTAAAGGCTATGTCAGAATAATTCCATTACAAGGCAATGGCCCTTTCTGTAGCGAGGCACATGCCCTCAGCAGCACAGGGGATGGCCGTCAGTCTGGGCTGAGGCTTTCAGGGAAAGAACACTCTGAGCAGTGTTTGGATCTTTTCATGTTTAAAATGTAACCAATAGATCAATTTTCTAACATGAGTTATTTTCAAAATGAAAGACTAGGGCACTAGCCAGAAGTATTTTTATTAAAATGTTGAAGCCAGGAAGCATCGATTTTCCATTGGAAATGCACATTCCAAAAACGTGAATCTACAATGGTGAAGAAATAGGATGGGCTCTTACGTGTGCTGCGGAATCCCACGCATATTTCCTCACCCTGTGGGCCTCACTCACTGGGACTGTCTCCGTGAATCCGTGAATACAGAGTTTTGGCTCTGCCTTTGTACCTTACACATTTAGGAACAGCAGCCCTTAGTAAGCGTCTGTCTTCTGCAGTGGAAATACTACCACTCATAATAAATCAGCACTTGAGCTAAGCTACTGTGATTGTTAGTTTTATGTGTCACCTTGCCTGGGCCATGGGATGCCCAGATATCTGGTGAAACGGTATTTCTGGGTGGGTCTGTGAGGTGTTTCTGCATGAGATGAACATTTGAACTGGTGCACTGAGTAAAGCAGAACCATCCTCCCCAGAGTAGGCTGGTCTCACTCAAGCCATTGAGAGCCTGAACAAAACCAAAAAGCAGAAGGAGGTTGTATTAGCGCTCCCTGACATTTTCCTTCTCCTGCCCCTGGTGCTCCCAGTTCTCAGGACTTCAGGCCATACCATCGCTTTCCCAGTTCCACAGCTTGTAGACAGCACACTGTGGGACCTCTCAGCCCCCATGGTCATGTGTGAGTCAAGACCTTATAATAAATCCTTATATCTCTATAAACTATCTGGATGTATTGGTACCTTTTCTCTGGGAAAACTGACTCAGAGCTACTACTCGATGACCACATCCCCTGTCCAAAGCCTTGGTTAGACCCTCTGGAAATGGGACCCCGTTTAATTTTTGCCCCAGATTCTCATAGTGCAGAGGGCAAAGGTGCAACATCGGCTCCCTGATATGAGTGAGCTATGAGTCTGGAGAGGCCTGGAAGGAGGGAAAGGACTGGATACGGGAATGCCCTAAGGAGAAACTGCCATGGAGGGGCAATACTGACAAGACCAAGAACGACCAAGGACAGCATTGGCTCAAAGGCTGCAGCTGCAGATTCAGGGTACACTGAAGCCAGTGGGACTCAGCCACTTGACACTGGAGGGGAAATGGGGGCTTGGGATCACACCCAGGCCAATAACCATCTGGTTTATTCACATGAGGGTGCTGAACACTCGAAGCTCCTGAGGGTGGCTGCAGGCAGAGTAGGAGGGCTGAGCAGGCTAAAGGGAGAGATGGCCATGCCTGGAGGGGCCCGCTGTCCGGTCAGGCCCAGACAGGAGCCTCAGGGTCCAGAGCCTTGTGTGGCATTCAGATTGTGTGGGGGAGAGAGGCAGAAGTATCATGCCAAGAAATCCATTCCTGGAAGAGGAGGAACAGTTCCCAGGAAAATGGGGCTGAGGCAGTAAGACCACCAGCTGGGATACAGAGGAGCCGCCTATAGGGACAGAGAAATCCTAGGCACCCCGGAGTGCCAGAAAGGCGGTGGGTTACTTCGTGGGGCACTGAGATTGGCTGAAGCTGTATTCCCAGATCCCAAAGGTGAACAAACCATGAGCCCCGGCTCTGCAGCCCTGCTGGCCTCGCAGAGAGGCAGCTTGCATTACATGGATGCCTGGACTCAGGCAAGACCAGCAGAAGATCCCAAATGCTCACTTTTCCCAAGTCCACACGATAAACAGTGTGTGCTTCTGACTGTGTCCCAAGCTACTTGACACCTCCACTAAACCCAAAGAGTTAAACAGAATTCGTTTCTGGGAAGAATTCCACTTTGCATTCTGCTACATTAGTTCAAAGCTCTTCTTCGAAACAAGTTTGGAAACGACACAAAACTCCAGAAAATTCAGGAGTGGCATTTGGAAAACCTGAGGCTGAGGGTGGAGAATGGCCCACAGAGATGCTGTTTGTCTTGTCTTTCTTCACACAGAGGCCACCCACCTAGGAAGAGGCAGGAGAGGCCCCGGGCACCCCAGGTGTAGACATGAGGGCTGCAAGGCCAAGCCACAGGGCACTGGACATGCAGAGACGCACTTTTCCCCACTATGTGTCAGAGGGAAGGAACGCCCTCATTTGCTCTTATTCAGCCATTCAACAATAGTAACAGAATTCCTTTAGGCCGCATGACATCTCAGGGGCAAGCCAGACAGCCTGCCGTCCCCACCCTAAAGCCCGAGGCCAGCCACTCAGATATCTAGTCTAAATGGCTGCACACAGCTGCAAATCTAAATACTCCCCTACTTCGTGCCCACAAAGGATCCAGTCCTATTAATATCTTATCTTTGTGAAGTTCCCGGTTCCTCTCTAAACAAGAAGCACCACCACAGCCAAGACTCGGTTTTTCCATTGGAACATGGAATGAAATGAAGTGAGTTTACATTTGGGGCTCTCATTGTATCGGATGAACTCTTCTCTAAAGGTCAGAAGGCCGGGCATCATGAGCTGTCACTTGAGCAGAATGCTCACCCTGCTGTGAGACCCAGAAAGAAGCCGGCACGTCCTTGAGCGCCGTACAGTGGGATGGCCTTGCCTGGGCGGCTGTCTGGGGCTCAAGGACATGAAGTTGAAAATCACACACACTTCCAATCTATATACAAGGAGGAAGCACATGAGAGCCCAACACTGGTGTTTCCAAGAGAAACGTTTCCTTTCAGGGGCTAATGCAGGCGCTACAATACCTGCAGCACAGGAAGCACAAACTATTTTCAGACTCAGAAGAGAGCCGTTCAAGTGGTGGCAATGCCACCAATAGGGAGTATCTCATCAATTGTCTTTGGTGAGGAAACGCTGACAACAGACCAAGAAATTGGTGAATTCAAGAAGCCTGAGTGGTCTGGGCGCGGTGGCTCACGCCTGTAATCTCAGCACTTTGGGAGGCTGAGGCAGGTGGATCACGAGGTCAGGAGTTTGAAACCAGCCTGACCAACATGGTGAAACCCCAACTCTACTAAAAATACAAAAAAAAAAAAAATTACCCAGGAGTGGTGGCAGACACCTGTAATCCCAGTTACTCGGGAGGCTAAGGCAGGAGAATAACTTGAACACGGGAGGCAGAGGTTGCAGTGAGCCGAGATCGTGCCATTGCACTCCAGCCTGAAACAAGAGCGAAACTCCCTCTCAAAAAAAAAAAAAATAATAATAATAATAATAATAATTAAGCCTGAGCGCAGCCTTGAATCGCTGCTACTATGAGCCTTGAAACTCAGCTTTGATCTTGCTGGTAAAATAGCAAAATGTGAAAAGAGAGACTCCTATTGCCACTATAGAAAAATCCATGGCTCAGGAGATCAGCATAATTTTGTCTCTTGCAACCAAAATGTCTATTTTAAGGATTATCTAACCACAGGGTAGAGCAACTGACAGAATTGTTCCCACTTCACTATATCTATTTTTATTTAGTATATGTATTTTCTTTGCACAGACAAAAATCAAAAATCACAAAAATGTATGTCATTTGAAATGAAATAATGAACACTGATTAACCCTGACAATTTGAGCATAACAGACTGATTTTCCATTCTTATCCCTCCCATGTCCTTGTGTAAAACCCTGGACAGGTTGTTGAAATGCCTCAAGCCTCGGGAGCTACCTGTAAATGATGGGTGTCAGGCCAGGCGCGGTGGCTCACGCCTGTAATCCCAGCACTTTGGGAGGCTGAGGTGGGCAGATCACGAGGTCAGGAGTTCCAGACCAGCCTGGCCAACATGGTGAAACCCTATCTCTACTAAAAATACAAAAATTAGCTGGGTGTGGTGGCGCACGCCTGTAATCCCAGCTACTCAGGAGGTGGAGGCAGGAGAATTGCTTGAACTGGGACCCAGGAGGCGGAGGTTGCAGTGAGCCAAGATCGTGCCACTGCACTCCAGCCTGGGCTACAGAACAAGACCCCATCTCAAAAAAAAAAGATGCGTGTCACAGGCCTAGCCCTTCAGTGGAGAGGAGAGGACAGAGTGGACTAAGGTCAGTGAGTATCTGGGGAGAGCAATGGCTTCCATTCCAGATCTCCTCATTTTGGCGAGTGCTGGATTCCTAAGTTCTCCTGGATGGAAGAGGGGATTTTGATCTCAAAGAACAGGGTCTGAATGGCCCCGCACCTAAGCCTGGAGGTAGAGGGCTGGAGTGATGAGTTCCAGCTCTAGCACGATCCAGGCCGGGGTGCCATCCACTGCCGCGACCAAGAGGAGACCCTTCCCAAGGCAAAAGAACAGCTTCCCTCTTCTCCAGCATCTCTGGCTCCTCATCACCTTGCAATCAACTCGTTCCTGTGAGGGGACAAGGCCCTGCGCACCCACCCTGACCCCCTGCCCATCCCCCACTGCTCCAGGCAGCCCTGTTACTATTCCTGTCTACCTTCTCAGGAAGCTCTTTGCAGGCCTTGAGTTCACCGATTTCTTGGTCAGTTGTCAGTGTTTCCTCACCCAAGACAACGGATGAGATACTCCAAGTCGGTGCCCTTGCAGGTTCGTCCTTCACAGAATATGTAAAGAGTTCAACATGTTAGACGTTACACTGCAAATTACGCTATCTGTATTTTGGGTTAAAGTCCAAAAGCGCATAGAGAATACCCACAGCCACCTTCAGGGCTAAATACCAACATCTCAGGTTCCTGATGCATGGAAAACTCAAGAAGAAATGGAACATGAGATGCTCCGGATCCCAGGCTGCTCCTCAAGGTGGCTGGCACGGACCACCGCTTCTTCCTCTGTCTTCCAACAGAAACATGTTCTGCCCCCAGTGGACAGATCCCAGAGACGGAATGAGGGTCAGCGCTTCACCCACATCCTCATGGAGGACAAGCAGGTGGGTTTTAAGGCCCCTGGGAAGTAAAAATAGAGGGTCTGCTTCTGAAAAGGGGCGTGAAGGGAAGGGTTGGCTGAAAGGATGCTGCCGGGGGGCACAGCACCCTCGCAGGGGCGTCACTCCTTCCAAAGGTGACTCGGTGCTATTCTAAACAGAAGAGTCCTGTTTCATGTTCGGTAATTTTGACATGCTGCTGTGTAGGTTTTGTCATCTTTTCCTCTTAATTAAAGCCTAGTTGAAGGCCTTTTAAAGTTCATTTTCCTGGTTAGACAACAAGTGCGAACACACTAAGCTACACAGACACACGTGAGCGCGTTGCAAGCTAACAAGCGCTCGGCAGGCGGCTTCTGGGATTTTGATTTCCAGACTCCCCAGAGGGAACACAATCTGTGCAGCATTCGTTTTATCATTAACATGTCCTTGCACTGTTTAAATTTTATGTCCAAGTCATAATTTCTTTTATGATTTACCCTCTTAATCAGTACATCTAATGACCACCATGCTTACACTACACTCAAGATTCCCTTAAAAGGTTACAAACCCATAGCATTCCTTCCACAGGCTCCTCCGGCTTCCTCGATCCTTCCTTCCCTTTGGACTCTAGCTTCACTCGCAAACTACTCATCAACCACCCCAGGTGACCAAAATCTCTGGGCACTCACCCTGGAGTCACCTCCAGCTCATCATCCCTGTCCACACCTCCACCAGACCCACTCTCCACCCCACTTTTATTTTAGTTTTTATTTTGTTTTACATTTTAAAGCTTAGCAAGTGAAGCTTGGGTGCACGAGAGCAAGTGGGGACTGGAAAAGGAACAAAGAAATCTATAACTGGTTGTGATCAATGATCTGTCAATATCACTGCATTTGGACCAGCCCACTTTTTAAAACGTGGGTGTCACTTTTGGGTCTATCCTGCCGGTGACGCTGGGCACTCTGCTACTCTCTTTGCCTTCAGTGGCCAGTGAAACTCGGCAGGGGGGTCGCCGTGCAGTGGCAGAAGCCAAGGGCGATTGCACGTCCCCCAGGGGTGGGCCTCTTTGCACTTGGACCAGCACAGAGGTGCTCACAGGGCGGGTGGGGGGCTGTCCTGACCTGAATCACGTGCACAGACGTGAGTGTCCTGCCCGCCCCTCTCCTCAGGACACTTGCAGCTCCCACCTCACCTGTCCGAGAACACTGGGGCTTCCCCTCCTGACCTTAAGGTGTGTCGAGGACCTGGTGTCTAGAAAAAGTACACCGATGCCAAGTAGCCTGGCATCACATTAGCCACCCACTTGTCTCTTTGATCATCTTCACGTTTTGCACTAAATTCATCTAAACTCTTGATCTTGTCTTTTCATTTCTTCAGCATTTCTCAGCAACCAAGAATCTGCCATATTTTTCTGCAACTAGGAGGCAATGGCGAGGGAGCTTTAACCATGCCATCTCCTCACAGCTGGCTGTCCACAGAACTCATCTTCCATGTCGGGATGTGCTAGGGGTGCACGGGAGCGCCATTAGTAATTTCACCCAGGTCACAGCATGGACCTCGCTGGCCTGGGCAAATCAGACCACAAGTCAGCCCTCTCCCATCGCCTTCTCAGCCCTGCGAGGCTGGCCACGTGGCAGGGACTAGACTTGTCAGTTTCCTTATCACCCACCCCATGTCAAGTGCTGAAAATGCAATGGCCTTCACTAATTGTGCAGAGCCCTGACTGCCCCCAAGTACATCGCACCTTTTCATAAAAGTGTTCACAGAAACACCTCTCCTGTGACCAGACCCGGCTTCTTTAGTGGGTTATTTACTTCTTGTCTCCCTCTTCAAGAGCTCTGAGCTGGGTTCCTAGAGGGATCATAATCGCCAGTTCCACCATCTGCAGATGAACCAATCTAGATTCACCTTCAAATTTCCATTTTCTAGCATGACCTTGACAACCAATTAGTCAATCAAGAGACACACTTACTGAGCATAGATTCTACATGGCGATGCTCAGATACTGTGCCATCCCTGGAGGGGCATGGAGAAAGAAACCAAAATGCAGCTGAGAAGATGGGGTCTGCACACATGTCTTTCGAGAGATTCATGCCAAACATTTGATACAAACAATAAGATTAACATTCGCCAAAACTGTCTTTCCGACCGATTTTCCCACCACCCTCAGAAGTGCCTGCATCCTGCCTGCCGCTGAGAGCCAAAGCTTTGGAAGCATTGTCAAATTTAGCTCTATTCTTATCTACTGCCAAATTCAGGGTCTTCTTCCCTGGAAAATCTTTTTGACAGTTCTTACTATAAAAATCTGCTACCAAGGCCCTCTAGACCAGCAGTCTGTGGCATACATCTCTGAGAATGTGATAAAAGTTCCAGGCATTGTCTTCTTAAAAATGCACTTGTGCACAGATTCATAAAAATTTGCATATCATCTCAAGGGGTTCACGGGCCCCCCAAAAGAGGCCATGCTGTGGTCTAGACTGGACTATAGTTTCTTGACTCTCAACTTTTCATATATTTCCAATCTGGAGGTGGTTATTTTTGTTAGTCCATTCTCACACTGCTATAACTGCTATAAAGATACTCCTTGAGACTGGGTAATTTATAAAGTAAGGAGATTTAATTAACTGACAGTTCTACATAGCTGGAAGACCTCAGGAAACTTACAATCATGGTGGAAGGCAAAGGGGAGGCAAGGCATGTCTTACATGGTAGCAGGAGAGAGAGCGAAGGAGAAAGCACAATTTTTAAAACCATCAAATCTCATGAGAACTCACTCACTATCATGAGAACAGCATGGGGGAAACTGCCCCCATAATCTAATCATCTCCCACCAGGTCCCTCCCTCAACATGTAGGGAGGGACAGGAACTCAAAGGATGATGACTGGCAGGTAGGCAGATGGGATCAATGGGTCATCAAGTCAATTATCTCTATGTAAAGGGTCAGGAGAAACAGGATATGTCCAGGGTTCTCACTAGCATACAAAGGCAACTGCCAGGTAATCTGTGTCACTTAACAGCCAAAGATATCACGCCTCAAATTCATAAGTAGATTCTAGAATTGTGGGAAAATAAATTGGCTGTTATTTTTAAAAAATCTCAATTCCCACCTACACAACTTACCCAGAGCACCCCCTAAAAGTGCAGTCACTCTCTTTCAACTAGTGATAAATGCTGGATTCCATTCAAGGTCACCGTGCAGGAACACTTAGTCTACTCCCCAGTGCCACCGTTGGGGGCTGGAGGTTTAGCCCTCCCATGCAAATTAGCAAAGTCCCAAAGCTTAGGCAAACATGACCAAAGGTGTGTAGGACTGTGGCACCTAGAGAAGTGTTTCTGGACGTCTGCAGGCTGCCAAAGCTGGGGGCTCGCACCTGTGGCATTGCTCTGACCCAGGGAAGAGTCAGTAAAATGTTGTAGAGGTAGCGGCTGCTGCGTCTACCTAGAAGGCTATGAATGATAAGAAACTCAACCTAATTACTTCGCTTTGCCAACTATAGCTTTCAAGTTAATGCTACAGTTTCTCAAATGGCACAAGTGCACATCATATAGAACTAGAAAAAGTTGTATTAAAAATTTGACATTATCTTCTAGAAGTTACTGCCAATCATCTGACTTGAGATGGCAATTGACTCTGCTCAGAGATGGCAGATAGGCTCAGATACAGCAACCCAAACTCAGGCCTGCACTTTCGAACATGCTGTTTGAACATACTGGAAACACCAGCTGATCTTCCTCACTCTGACACTTTAAGAAGACAATTGCCAATTAAGGAATCAAATTAAGGACCATTTCTAGAATTATTTTCCACCAAAAAGGCTCTGTAACCTAGCACACTTCATCAGAGCTTTTCACATTATACCCTTTCCCTTATTAACAGCGTGTCACTGTTGCAGGATAATGTGGGACATGCACTGCCAATTGTCCAGGACAATTCGCCAACATATTTTGCCAAGAACTTTGACCTGCGTTTCCTTGTTTAAGCCTCTGAGTGTTCTCACAGCAATAGTTTTCATGTTTCTGATTCATTTATCCCTAACTCACAAATTAGGTTTCTTTTGCCCAGGAAACCTGGTAAGCCTTGGTCCTTGGAACCAGATTTTAATTTTGACTCTCAGAAAAGGCTCAAGTGCTCATTGTGACCAGAACTCCTCCAGGTTTGAGTAGGCGCTGAGCTGGAGGAGACGAGCCCCCAATTTCTTGGTGCTGCCATACATTGTGACAGTCTGTCCCTGAGGGTTGCCATTGTGCAGAGATGGTAGCACGACCACTCGGGTCCTGTGGAACTAGAGGTCTGAGGTGTGTCCCTGATGATTACAAGAGCATCTCTTTTCTCTGCCTGCCTCCAGCCCCTTCACACAGGGTCCGGCTGACATGGCCAAAGAGCAACACAATTTTAAGACAAAGGACAATATTCTTGCATCATTACAGTTGTGACACACAACATCCTCATCAAAGTGCCAAGAAATCTTGCACACTGGAGAAACACATTTGCTGTCCACAGCCTCCCTCCCATTCCTCCATCTGGTATTTCCACATCTGATGGTTTCATCCACTCTAAACCCAAGTGGTATTTCCCATGGCTAGCTGTACTTAATTCCCAGGGAAGAGAGAAGAGCTCTGCAAACCCATTTCCTACTGGAGAGATATTTCAAAATTTCCAAAAATTGGAACAACTCAATGTCTGTTAGTCTCATGAATGTACTTCTGAGACACAAAGTAGACACAATTTCCTATAAAGGACTCCAGTCTCTTCCTTACAACTATTTTAACAAAGTTGAATTTGGGAGGTTGAACCATCCCTAAAATAGCAGAGAGGGATATCCTTTTAAATAATTTCTAGTTCAGCATGATAAAAGGCAGAAATTGTTTGCTTCTCTGTATTCATCCCATAAATAAATGCTGAGGGCAGCAATTCTTTTCTGTTTGTCTCCAAGTCTAGAATAGTGCCTGGCACATAGTGGGTGTACAATAAATATTTCTTACATGAATGAATGAATATCATTCATTTTATAGGAAATGCACACATGGTCTACTTATGTAGTGTATATGTGTACATATGTTTATATGTATTTAAAATCTAATTTTGTGAAGTTAGATTACAGTTCTGTTCATTGAGCACACTTAATATACAAAAGCCATAATGTCCTAGAAATAATCATTTTAATGTAAAAATGTACAAATCAGACTCATTTCCTTAAGACATGTACAGAGCTCAGAAGACTTTATGAAGTTGTATGTGAAGATCCCACTTTTAGACTCTTTAATGGATAAACATCCTCAATCTGCCAGCATGTTCAGATTTTTCTCTTAGGCTCTCACACTACATGGTTTTCTTTCTTTCTTTTTTTTTTTTTTTTTTGAGACGGAGTTTGTACAGAGACACAATAAAGGAATGGGCTGATTTTAAGTCCAAATCTTAAATAACTCCTTTTTGAATTCAATTAAAGCTTTTGAATGTCCCATTAAACAACAGCCAACGACAAAATATTCTTGTAGTTCACTTCCTTTTTTTTTTTTTTTTTTTTTTGACAAAGTGTTGCTCTTGTTGCCCAGGCTGAAGTGCAATGGCACTATCTCAGCTCATTGCAACCTCCACCTCCCCCATTCAAGCGATTCTCCTGCCTCAGCCTCCCAAGTAGCTGGGATTACAGGCGCCCGCCACCACGCCTAGCCAATTTTTGTATTTTTAGTAGAGACAAGGTTTCACCACATTGGTCAGGCTGGTCTCGAACTCCTGACCTCAGGTGATCCACCCGCCTCGTCCTCTTAAAGTGCTGGGATTACAGGCATGAGCCACCGCACCCAGCCTCACGGTAAATGGCTTTCTGACCTCAACCTATGCTGAATTCTAAAATATTTACATGCAAATATTTACATGGCTGGAAGCCCCACCTCTGGAGCCCCAGAGACATTTTCTACCATGGAAAATGTCAGGCTGAGGCAGCCAGAGATGCAACCCCTCCAAAGTCAGCTCCAGCTCTCCGGGGAGACAGGTGCGCTTTCTAGCGGGGAGTGAGCTGCTGTGGGCAGCTGTCTCCACTGTGCTCAAGCCAAAACTCAGATGTGCAGTGCTGGCTAACTTCAGCCCTGCGCCTCTCCCACTTGATTAAGAGACCAGAGAAAGTTCTCAAAAGTGATTCCCATTTTGCACTCTGCCCTATTAAACTAGGACCTTCCCATAAATCGCTTACAGGAAGAAATCTATGACAGTCTCCTCTCTGAGTGGCTATGATGGATCTCATGAGAAGTGAAGCTACGGAGATTCTGCCACCACCTACGCGAAACCACGGCAACGTGCCTTGTTTCAATTTGCTTTTGTTCATCTCATAATTGTTATACCTCAAAGCCAAGGGCTCCATCTTGGAATACATTAGGGATAGAATTGTGCCCTCAAGAATTATGCACTCAAGATGTATTCGATTGTTTGAATATCATTATAATCCCAATATTTTGTAAATTATCCAAGAAGCTGATCTCTTATAAGAAATAAAGTCGTAGTAAAAGAAAGATACTTCATAGTTTTAAGTACATACGAATATCGATAGTATAATCACGAAATCAATAGTAAAAGCTAACATTTTATGAATGCTCATCTGAAGATACAAAGAGGCACAACAGTTTTTCCTCTGCTCTCACAACAAGCTTCTGACACCGGCTGTGTGGGAGGTTTCCCCACATACCAAGCAAGCAATCATTTCTTCAGGGGAGACCAGCTAGGCTTCCTTTAATTCCACTCAATTCTGATTCCATCTATCTGAAGACAGCATCAGCTCCCACAGATGAAGGCTCAGTCCCACAAGATTGCCCCACTTCAGACCCCATTGCCAGGAATAAATTGTCACCTATTCTTCTGTCCATTGGTTATAAATTGGAATTTCCATGAACCCCTCCTGGGGTTTGATTAACCTGCTAGGAAGGCTCACAGAACTCAGGGAAACCCTTATGTTTACTGATTTATTATAAAGGCTACTGTATTACAAAGGATACAGATGAATACCCAGAACATGGAAGAGAGGCACAGAGCAAGGTGTAGGGGAAGGGGCAGGGCTTCCAGCCCTACCAGGGCATGCCACCTTCTAGGAACAGCTCCACATCTTCAGCCATCCTGAAGCTCCTCAAGCCCGTCTTTTTGGGATTTCATGGAAGCCTCCTTATATAAGGGCATGATTGATTAAATCATTGGCTATTGGTAATTAACTCAACCTCCTACACGGCCCCTCTCCCCAGAGGTTGTGAGTGGGGCTGAATCCATCCTTTAGCCTGCCTTGGTCTTTCCCAGGGACCAGCCTAACTCTGAAGCTGCGGGGTGGGGGGGCCAGCCACCAGTCAACTCATTAACATACAAAGACACTTATCACTTCGGATTCCAAGAATTTCAGGAATTGTATGCCAGGAAACAAGAGGAAGACCAAAGATCTACTTCACAGCATGAAATCTTATGATATGGCAGTCACTCATTTACCAGTATCGTGTCTGCGACCTTCACAACACAATAAAGGAATACGTTATTATCCCTCATGGATAGATGGGGAAACTGAGGCACAAAGAAGTTAAGAAGGTTGCCCAAAGTCAAACAGCTAGTTGCTGTTTGGGCAAATAAATTTATTTTTATTAATTTTATTATTAAAATCCATCACTAAAACTGTCATCAGGAATTCAAATCCATCTCATCTGACTCCAGAGTCTGAAACTGATGCCTTTTGCAGTCTCAGAACTTAAATGAAAAGATTTGGAGCCAGAAGAGAACAGTGCAAGTGCTAAATTTTCAACGTAACATCTATCATACCATTACCAAAATTATTCTCACTTTAACTCAGGCACATGTCCGAATGCAAAGTATAAGAACAATTCCAACCACCTGCATATTTCCTAATTCAGAGTAAGCGCTGAACACACACTTACTGAACAAATTTTAAAGGCCAAAAGCAAGATACTGAGCTATCAAACTATTACTTCCTACTTTGTTTTCATGTGAATTCTTACTCTTGTTTTACTTTCGCTGATGTAAAAAAAAAAAAGAGAGAGAGAAATGGGCCTTTGGTTACAAATTGGCTTCTCGCCTAGGACAATACCCAAAGTTATTTATGTTTTAAATAAATGATCTAGTCAAGAGAAAAAAAAATCCATATATCATAATATATTAATTGATGATAACCTCCATGGAAAAAAGAGAAAATATCTATGATCAACATGAAATAATAAAGAAGTATGAATTATAGAATTTTTTAAAAAAAGTTTTAAAAGCCTAAATTCCTGAAGAAATACAATCTTATTATTTTCAAGTATTTGGGAAAACAAAATCTAATTATTATGGAGGCGCCCAATGGCTATTTAGTCAGACTAGACAGGCTTTAACAATTGATAAAAAGCATCTGGCGCTAGCATAATGTTTACATGAAAAACATGTTTGTTAAAGATAAGCTAGGAATGAGAAATCTTTCAAGAAGATCGCCCACTACATATCCTACGTAATAAAAACCGTGTCATCCCCTTTTCCAGTTAATATTATTGATTCTGGACCGGGTTTGTGTATGTGTCCGAAATAAATCGGATGCTGAGGCTGAACTAACCATTCCGTGGATGGTATTTTCCCCCATCACTGACCCATTTTCCTGCTTTGGTAAGTTTATCTTCATTGTATAGGCCATTTCCGGACCAAAATTTAGGAGTTATTTTAAACCACTAACCTTCAACCGTCTTTTATCTCTAGAAACCGGATTTGGCGGTCGTTAAGAATTCCTCACCAGGAAGCCGAGTGGCCGGGCCTGGAGGAGGTGGGAGGGAGGCAGAGGACCCATGTTCAGAGTCCTGCGTCCCAGCGCCCGCTGACTGGCTCTGCCCTGGGTCGGCCTCTGAGCTAGGGCGCTGAGCGCATCCTGCCCAAGTGTGCAAGCTCGCAGGCTCGCCGCAGAGGATGGCAAAACTCAGACTGAAAGCAGATCAGTTCTGAGACACCCACGCCAGGCTCCCGAAGAGGGGAGAAAGCCACGGAGGGCAGAGTCTGCTCCAGGCACCGCTGTGCTCATTTACCATCAGCCCAGCCCTCTCCAGATCCACTCAGGAGCCTCCACTTCCTGACACGCCACATGCATGTTTCTGGAACCTTCCTCCCCCGCCCATCTGACCTTCCAAACTGCACCACACAGCTGGAACCGGGATTGCGGGCAGGAGCAGAAATCAACGGAAAAAGAAGACAAAGAGAACGGGGAGGGCCATGTTACACGCAGGGGTTCAGCCTCAAAGTGAGTGCAAACTAACGTCCCGACACTGCAGGCCTGCACCTAAGGCTGCTCAAGCGGCGGCCTCAGTGAAAGAAGTCGGGCTGTCAGTAGCCGCACCCTCACCTGCTAGAAATGCAGATTCTCGGCATACCCCACACCTCCAAAAACAGAAGCTCTGGAGCTGTTTCGTGGAGCCCTCCAGCTGATGCTGCTGTGAGCTCATGTTGGACAACGGCTGAAGGAGATCCTTGTGTGGGCCCTTCCAGCCCCAAGGGGTCTTGATGTCATTACTTTGCTGTTTATGCTTCTGAATTTGTCTTTAATTTAACAGAGTAGTGCCTGGCACAAAGCAAGCTCGGTATAAATGCTTCACAGACATTAACTCACTTAATCCTTACATTTGCTCCCTAAGGAAAGCAACTGCCCTCATCCCCATCATACACATGAGGAAGACCAGGGCCCACACATTTCCCTGCAGGGCCTGTGACTGGTGCACAACCAGTGTGTCCCTGGACTGTCTCCTCTCTGGATGTAGTTGAGACGTTGCCATCGCCTTTCCAAAAAGTCGTGTGCACGTCTGACCCGTTAATGCCAGCTTCTTTGAGAAACAGACTTTTCTTTTGCCAGACTAATCGTAGGGTCCTTAGTCTGGTGGTAGCAAATACGTCACACACAACTCAGTATTAATTCTGTAACATTAAAATGGCATTGCATTCTTTAAAAAACTCTAAAATGCAACTCAAAAATTCAAGCTAATGATAAAAAAGAGTTGCTTATATTTTAAAATGACATTTCAAAGCTGGTGCTCTTGGATGATATGAAAATAAATGCCACTGTGCTCAGAAATCAGGCATTACTTGCACACAAGGGAACTGCGGATCTGAAAATAAATTTTGATTGTTTTATATTACATAGTAATATACATATAAATAAAGCATTATTAGAGATGTAATAGCCAAATCTTCCACCAATTAGATTAGATATTAATATTGTTTATTTAATAAATATGAAGGAAACAATACCAAAATGGTTATCATTGAGTTTATCTGTACAACGCTGAAACAGAGAACAAATACTGACCTAGTACCTTCAAAAATGCCCCATGTGCTGAATGTGAGGATTAGGCAAGGTTTATCTTTGTGCAATGAAGACACATAGTATTCTCCTCTGAACGTGCATCATCTGTCATTTTCTTCTGAATGTGGATCATCTCTAGGGATGAGTGTGGCTGCTGGGAAAAGTTTGTGGAAATAGCTTTCAAAACATTGAATTACAGCTGGAACACACTGGGTTTTGTTCTTCACAAAGGAATATCCTTGTTTTCTAAAGCAGAAACTTAATAAAATCTTTAAACAATTTTAATTGTGTCCAATACAGGAATAGTGTGCCTCCAGATCTTCTGCTGAATTGAGCAATGTTTATTTAAGTTAGCTGCACTCTCTATGAGTGAATACACAAATGGCTTCCCCAATTGTTGGTGTATTTGGTGAAATGAAAATAGAGCAACTGACATCAAACTGGATGCTTCCAGCTCACGGCCAGTATCTCTGGCTGTGGTCCTTGCTGGAATCAGTGGCCACAGTACACTAAGATGTGTATGTGTATGTATTACTAAACAATGGTAATTTTACAACTGAACAATGTACTGATTCTAAAAGCAACAGAAGATGAGGAGGTTGAATAGCTCTCCTTTATCAGGTAAGAGGTACAACAACAGAAACACAAAAGCCCAAGTGGCCTGGAAAAGATTGCTTTAATATCTGATTTGGACACTTGGCATTTGTCTTGTACCTTAAAGATCAAGTGAGCTTTAAAACTCAGATAAAATGAAATGTTTTTATAGTATGCAGATTAAAAACCAAATCCAGCAAAGCTTCCACAGAGAAAATTACTAAACCACGGAATAAACTATTTACATAAAGTGTTCAGCAGTGTACATATTTCCAAGTCATGTTTAGTCTGTGGTGGAATATCTACTCCAAATTCCAAATTAAGGGGAAACACCTTCGTTTGCCCAGATTCATCTTTGTGTTCACTAGTAATACCACAGGGGTGGACAGTGTAAGCCAGCAGGCAGCTCCCTCTAGGACACTCCGGGGGTGGGGAGGGGGCTCCCAAGAGAATGGCAGCTAGAAAATTGGAACCAATTACAAGTAATTAATTCCTGATTTCCTCCTCTGTGTCGGGCACTCTCCCAAACATGGTGGGATGCTTTAAAAAGAAGTTATGTCCTGGCAAGTGTTGGAACCAAGACACAAATGACAATGTAACTCCAAGCCATGTGGCAGCAACCACAACCAGCACCGCTCGAGTGCTTACTTCATGTGCACATGCTCTCCCTAGACATGGCGACTACCCTCACTGTATGTATTAGAGACTCCAAGCTCAAAGAGATTACAATGCTACTGAATGGCAGAGCAAGAATTGCAATTTAGGCTGGATTTTTTAAAATCCAGATAGTCAACAATATTTCACATTACCACTCTGACTCGAGAGGGGATCACGTGGAAAAGGGGCAGGCTGCGAACTGTTTCAGGAGCTTCAGTGGAATGCGTGCTAGCCGAGGGAAGACGAGAGGACACTGCAGGCCGGGGAGCAGGAGAAGATGAAACAGCTTCTGTGGAATGCAGAGATTATCCTTCCTTACAGTTACCAAAGCCGTATGTCGAGGAGTAGCAAGGAACGAGGCCAGAAAAATTTGACAGATCCGTACCACAAAGGGAATGCACAGCCAAGCCAAAAAGAGGGGGAACCCCAGTGAGATAGTAGGTGGCCATGGCAGATCCTGAACCAGCAAGTCTATGACCATAACTTAGGGAATTGAGGGCAATTAGCCTCTCACAGCCTGAGGAATGGGCTGGAGAGCACGAGAGCTGGGAGGAGGGGCAGGGCCATGAGGGTTCAGTGGTGATCCTGGCACAAGGCAAAGAGAGCTGGAAGGGAGTCCCAGCCGTGGGAAGGGAAAGCTGCGGGCACCTCTGGGAAGCATCCAGAAAGAAGTAGGAGACTTTGTGACTGAGCAGATGCAGAGGATAAAGAAGAGGAAAGGCTAAAGCCTCATAGTCTCTGGGCTCTGTACCCAGAAACATCAGAGGGCACCAGGACCAAAATGGCAGAGTCGGGAAGGGTTGTCAGTCCAGGTAAAAAATGAGTTCAGTCCTGAACATATTTGCTCAGTTTGAGATCAAAGCAAGACAGCCAAGGGGAGGCGTCGCGTGGAAATGTGAAGACGTTGAACTGGAGTTCAAGAAGGAGTTCTGGAGTCCCCTTCAGGGAGTAATGGTGCATCATGGAGCAGACCCCCAGTGGAAGTTAGAGAGTGCAAAGAACAAAGAGAACCACGCAGAGCTGCCCCTGCAGCTCACCCACACTGAGGGGCATGGGAAGAGGAAGAAGACAGAAGCAGAGACACGGAAAGAGCGCTAGGAGGGACCCATGTCCCAGAGTTAGGACCAGGAGAACAATGGAGGGAAACGAGGCTGGAACCAGCTCACTGTGTACCAGACTATCAAAGTCTTCACCCCAAAGTCATTCCTACAGTGTCAAAAGACTCAGAAGAAATTCACCATTAAAACATGCTCTGGTTGACATCCCTTTTCATTGTATGCATAAGAATGGTAGGAATATGTCTTTTGTATTGTTCTATAGTTGACATTTTTTCATGGTTGCTTAATAATAGCAGGAAGAACAATGCTCTAACATTATTTTAGGCATTCTATTGTTGCTTGAGCTGACTCTAGCCCAAGAACTCAAAATACCAAACCTCCTTGTGAGACATTTTAATGAGGTTAATCCTTCTTCAATTTGGGGAACAATTATTATAACAAATATCATAGAATTCATCAAAACCACTGTTGTCATTTAGCCACTTCTTGATGTTCTTCCACTGTCTACAAAGGTTTGTCTTAGATCATCACTGGTGGGTTCCATTTGTCTGCAAAATCTTTACCAGCTCTTAACTAAATAACTGAACTTGTTATGACCATCCTTGCCAGTTCTCAGAAATTTGCCAACAGCCTTGTTAATGAATAATGTAGGGTTTTGTGAATTCCCTCATGGCCTGGCCCAAGTAAGGGTAGGTTTTCTGGGTCAGTTCCTAAAGGCACTCCTGACTAGAATCAGTCATCCATGCCGCAACTTTCCAAACATCCCCTGCCTGCCTACCTGCCACCTCCGAGAAAAGGGACAGGACCACATACTGGGGCCTCAGTTGGAGCTGGGAGCTCTTTTTTAACACTGGTCTCCTAAACCCTGCCCTTCCAATTCTTTCCACCCCTCTGAGAGCAAAGTTCAGCCACCAAGATTGTTAATCACAGAAACAATGACATTTTGGTATCTCAAAGGAGCAAACTTGAAGGTCATCTTTCAGTGCAAAGACCCTTAGACTTGAGAGCAGACAGGCAGAATGACCATGTCTTCTGTGTATAGTACACCATCACAGTGCACATGGAAATGACATGCTGGTGTATAGTTCCTATTTCTCCCTCATATTTCAGAGGCGGAAGCCCCTCCCAGAAGTTTCCTCTGAGTTCCCCAAAGCTGGATTCAGTGTTCCTATAGCCCTTCGATTCCCCTGATTGTGACATTTACCAGCCTGACTTGGATTCGTCTGTTTCTTTTCCAATATTTCTCACCTGACCTTCCTGAGGACAGAGAGTGGGGGTGAGTCCCTGCCGCATGGCCAGCACCTGGCAAGGTCATGGCAGGAAGGAGGTGTTCCCGATGTGTGTGTGGAATGAAGGAAGGCACAAACGGGTCCGTGTGAGGAAGGGACAGACCTGCCAGGGAAACTGAGGTATAGAGTTTGATGAGTACCCCCAAATCATCTGCTTAAAAGCAGGTATAAAATGTAAGGTCCTCTGGTGCCTAAAGCACACTCATCCTGTGTACACGTGACTATTAATAATATATAGCATTGATAATTCTGTGAATCTAGTCAGAGTACATGAACATTGTGTCTTCTGGTTGGTCTTAAAGTTATGTCCCTTCACCCTAGTCCAATTCCATCTATTAATATAAAGAGCTTGCAGATATAAGGAATAGCTTCACCAATATCACTCCTGAGATCCTGGGCGATGCTGCTCTTGTTGGGACTGATTCAGAAACCAGCCTTCTCTTCTAAACTACATTTCCAGTAGAACATGGTCCATACTTATATGGGAATGAAATCTCACTTAGTTTGAACTCTAGGTCATTCAGTCCCAGAGGTGGTGACTAATGGTCAGGAGATGACAGTATTGCTGGACAAGCATCACCACACTGAGGGGAAAGTTCACGTTTCTAATCCTGAGAAATAATCTGTTAAGAAGCATCACACAGAACCAGCTAGAGGGGAGTGTGAAAGCTGCTGCAGGAAGGGTTCATTCCGCCCAGTGCAACTGAGTGACTAAGAGTAGAGGGTGCTCACAATCAGAACACTGCTGGCACGTGTTTGTCTGGAGCCTGCAAGCTATTCCTCCTTTCTTGCTGAAGAAAAGTGGAGGAAGGGAGGAGCGGGGAGTAGAGTGGTAGGTTCAGCGTGGGATAAAATCAATGGTTTAGAAAATCCACCCATGAGTACGTAAACAATATGACCATAGCAGATACAGCAAATACAAAATTAAACAGCCTTTCATGAAGAAAAAACAATAAGGGCAATTCATGCCTGGCACACAGCAGGTGATGTCTGGATGTACAAATGCAGGTGAAGTGTGATTCAGACAGTGCAAAGGAGAGGTAAGCCAACAGTCACTTCCACTGGCTTCTGAATGAGGATCTGATCAAATCCACAGCATCTTATCATTCAAAATGTGCTTTTAAATTATGTTTTGCTTGGATCAGTATTGAAGCTATTTCAGTGTTATGGTACATCTAACAGCTGATTTTGGAAGGAGGTAAGCCAAAATGTTATTGATGGCATGAAAAGTGAGACAAATTTTAAAATTAGGCAGATTCAGTTTTTAAGTGATTTTCTTGTATACCCATACATCATCTGCACATTAAGCACTTTTCTCTAATTAAGCCAGGGAAAATACAGAGTAATGATAATATCTGTGAGGTCAGCTGTGATCAGAAGTGCCCACAGGCTGCATCTCTTAAAAACAGTCCATGGCACCTCAAGGGACACTGCAAAGACAGTGGCCGGGAATGTAA
Organism: Homo sapiens; assembly: GCF_000001405.40. Lineage (NCBI taxonomy): Eukaryota > Metazoa > Chordata > Mammalia > Primates > Hominidae > Homo > Homo sapiens. The sequence goes on from NC_000013.11 coordinate 110,305,271, forward strand.
TTGAGCTTTAGGAAATGATTAAAGGGAAGTAAAATCATCTCCAACTCAACATTAATGCGTTTGATTTCCCGGGTGAGAACAGGATTTGCGTAACTGAGTGGTTCTTTCTTTCTACAGTCCTGGATGTTTGGAAAGCCAGCTCTTACAGTTAGCTTTCTTTGCTTTGCTAACATTATCCATCAGAAAATCGAAATGCAAACAGCTCCTATTTCCCAATGAAGAACTTTCTCTGATTTACCTTACCATCATCAGGCTTCACCATCTCACCTTGGAAGCGTTCAATCTTTTGGTCAATATTTCTAGACCAAAATAAAGTGCTCTCAAGCCTGTTCTTTGGAAAGTATTTTGTCATCATTACCAAAGAGTGTTTAAATAACTGGCTATGAAGTTTGGGGAGACTGGGCTGGGAGGTACAATCTGAAGTTAATTGCTGATGTAATCATTAGTCCTTTCAATACCCAGTGGAGAAGCTGCCTCCAGGGAGATAAGCTCTCAATTAGGAGACGTGTGTGTATATCACCAGTTCTCTCTGGCATGTAACAGTTAACAATTTCTATACAGTTAAGTGGATTTAGTGAGTATCATTCTTCCAGGAGAGAAGTAAAATTTTTTTTTAAAGAGGAAAACAAAGAACAAGATTAAGAACAGTAAAAGAATAAGTATGGAAAATCTGGTAAGTAGCAAAAATCATTTTTAAGCATTTGAGGGAGAAACTGCAAAATCTGTTCAGAAGCCACACCTTCCGGCCTGTGGGACTGCATGGCTGTGACACTGAGCAACAGCTGAAGTCTTTATTCTCTCGGAGGGGAAGGAAAAAAGGAAACAACAGTCAGTCCAGGCTTGTCCACGGCTGGAAGCCTCGACTCCTGCAAACCTCCTGCAAACCGATCTCCCAGATCCTTTCTGGGCAAGCACATAACCAAAGGAAATGAAAACTAGAAAAACAATTTGTGCATGGAACAATGACATGGAGTTTCACTTTGGTTTCATGCTCAAATATGAATGTGGTTATAATTTTTTAAAATATATATTAATAGAAGGCAACGAGTTGAGGATGGTGGCTTCTTCAAGCCGGGCGTCCAGAAGAGCCCCACTTCTGCCTTGGAGCGCGCCTTAGGCAGCAGTCGTGGGAAAGCTCAGATACAGCTGTTTCCAGGCAAAGGGCCCAGAGCTTTTCAGCCTCAGCCACCAGGGTCTCCAGACAAGGAGAAATACGCCCAAAGCTGCTCCCAGGGGCTAGGAGCTCGGAGCTCCCAGTGTGGGTCTCTGAGCAGCGCGGGGTGGGCGCTCCCGGCCCTCCAGCCCCCAACTCCCTCGCGCACCCGGGACGGGTGAAGGCGCCCAGCTGCCGAGCATACCCGCGACGCGGGTTCAAATCCCGCCGGCTCCCAGGCACCCTCACCCCGCCACAGCGCGGGCTGTTTCTCCTCCCTTCCCCGGAGGAATTCCTTAACTCTCCAGTACCCATACCATAACAAAGGAGGCTCGGTCCACCAATGCGCGATCGTAGCCTACAGGGACCCCCAACGAACCCCGGCCCAGAGAATGCACCTGGCCGTGCCACGCGCGACCCCCGAGGGGCAGGCGGACGGGTCCAGGCGCGGACAAAGGGGCCTCTCGGGGCGCCCAAGCTCGGGGCGGGACGCCGGGAGCGGAGCTGGCCGGGAACTCACCTTCGCAGCGGCCCGGCTGTGCTCCTCGTGGAGCAGAAGGGCGGCGGGCAGCAGCAGCAGCCAGACGCTGAGCCGGGGCCCCATGGTGGCGCGCCCGAGGCGGCGAGGGACGGCTGCCCGGCGTGCGGGGGCCGCGGCGGACAGCTAGCTCTCGGAAGGCCGGACTTCCAGCGCTACGCACCGTCCCGGGTGCGGCGGCTCCAAGCGGAGACCTGAGCGCGGCGGGCCGAGCTCCCCAATTTGTTGGCGCTGCCCCCTCCCCCCCGGCGGTGCGCGGGCGGCGCCTCAAAGGGGAGGACCCTGCGGCGCGGGTAAGAGGCGGCGGGAGCGCGCGGCCCGGGAGTGTGGCTGCAGTGCGCCGGGACACCAGGGCTCCGCGCTCCGCACTCAAGAGGCTCCCGCGTCCCAACCCCTCGCGCCCGCGCGTTCGCGGATCCAGGCCGAGGACCGAAAGGGGCCGCCCGAGCCCCCGGGGCCGGCGCCCAGAGAGCCCAGCAAGGCCGGCCGCCCTGCCGGTGTGCCGCCGGCGGGTGCTTCTGGAAGGGCCAATGCGTTCGGGCAGCAGCCCCTGAAGCCGAGCCCGAGGTGAGAGCGACCCCCGAGCGGCGCCCAGACCCTGGCCCGAGAGCACCGACTTGGAGCGCCTTGTGCAGGCTAGGGCTGCACGCTCTCCTGCTTGGGAGTAGAAAGGGGGAGGGTGGGAGAGCGAAGACCGAGCTCCTCGGCCAAGGAGCACCCACAGGGGCCTAACGGGAGGCTCTCCTTCTTTCCGGGTCGTGGGGGGGACGGCCCTCCGGTCACCCCTGCATGCGGGCCGCGCACCGCGCTGTCCCCGCGTCTCGCGGACCGAGACCGGCGGTGAGGATGGGCTGCCTCCCTCATCCTGCGCTAAACTCGCTTTGTCTGTCGCCTCTAGGCTAAGTGGGACTGACCGGGGCCCAGAGTGGACGAACCGCCAGCATGGGGAGAGACCAGCGCGCGGTGGCCGGCCCTGCCCTACGGCGGTAAGCGACTTTCTGCCTGGTCCCCGTGGGTCACGCGCGCATGGACCCTTCGGTGTAACTCTCGGGGACTGACAAGCCGGGCCCGCACGTTCACGTCTCTCTTCCTCCCTTTCCCATGCAGGTGGCTGCTGCTGGGGACAGTGACCGTGGGGTTCCTCGCCCAGAGCGTCTTGGCGGTAAGTCCTGGCTCCCGCGCTTGGACTTGCGCGCCCGAGAGTGGTTGGGACGTTTGAGTGGCCTTGGAGAAGGCAGCTCGTCCGTGCGCTCCCGAGTGTGTGTGTGCGTGTGGATGTTCGCCAGGCTGCCCACCAAGGTTCTGAGAAAGCTTGCTCTTCCCTCATCATGCTTTCCACCTTTCCTTCCCCTTGGGTTCCCAGCGTCAATCCTGTGTTTTGCAAGCGTCGGCCTTTCACGGGAACTGGGAACTTAAAATGTAGCCTGAGGCACCGTTTTCGTTGCTTTGGGCAAAGCTGCAGCCGTAGAGGCCAGGAAAGTGTGTCAGTCACTAGGCAGTGAGACGCCAGGCTTAGGGCGAAAAAAGTTTTCCTGGAACTCGGGAGCTGGTGGGGAGTCTCTGTCACGGACTGAGGGTTTTTTGTGTTTTTAAATGGGAGTCTCTGGGTAAAGGGGCGGGGCGAGGAGGCGAACGAGACAACCTTAGTATTGTTTGAATTGAAGCATTGCGAGGGAACAATGGCAGAAAAACCGCGTTTTCTCCCAAGTCCTGTTCCGGCCCTGGAAGAGCTGCTCCGGGCGCCACACTGGGATCCTGTTCGCCGAGCCTGCCCCTCCACGCCGGCCGTGCACAGCCCTGCCGATACCGTGGGTGCAGCTGGCGACTGCACTGCGAGGCTTTGTCCATTTTATACGTTTTGTTTAAAGAGTAGGAGCCACTTTTACTGAGCTTTATGTAACCATGGCTAAAATGAAGAGGTTTGGTAGGTGAATTCGGTGCAGGACTCAAATGTTTAGACAGGAGCTGAAAGCGGAGGGAGCTTTCGAGATGTCCGCTGTCCCTCCTCTCCTTACTGTGGCCGATGGAGTAGCCCTGCCCTGTGGCAGCCGGGGCCCAGGTGGATTCCTCCTGGGAACGACCCCTCCCTCCTCAGCGCGCACTGTGCCAGAGCAGTACACAGGTACAAAGGGCAAACGTGTTCATGATTTCATTTGAATTCTGTTGTTTTTACATCGTTCTGCCCTGATGTAAAACAAACCAGGATTTTAAAGGCAGTGAGTGATGAGGAGCTACTCCCACTTGGGGAAGAGCTGCTAACTTTACTTTTCCGCTGCTGTTGGTTCCGGTTCAAAGCTCGGTTTGGGAAGTAAGAGGAGGACTCGGAGACTTTGACCAGAGCACTCCAGGCCAAAGTTTTCTTCCAGTTCAGGTCTGTCTCTTCGTCCCAGCCCCGACTTAAGATCAGAACCTAGATATTTGAACTAGCCCAGTGACCCTGTGAATTCTAATGCACAGGTCTGTACTGCATGTAAGACTTGGCTCAGATTTATGAACCAGAAGCAATGCATGCACGCGCACGCACGCACACTCAAAGAAGGGGGCGATCCCTAGAAAATACCACATCGGGCTGTGTGTGCTTTGGTTGTGCTGCCACCTGCACCCCTTTGTCCCTTAGAGCCACTTTTATAATTTCCATATGTTCATGCCTAAGGATGGTGGGAGTCCCAGGTATTCTTTTCTGAACTCATCCTAAAATTGGTAGAAAGACCACCAAGCACCTAGGTCTAAAGATCTAGGTATTAGCCTGGGCATGGCGGCTCACGCCTGTAATCTTAGCACTTTGGGAGGCCGCGGCCTGTGGATTGCCTGAGCTCAGGAGTTCGAGACCACCCTGGGAGAAACACGGTAAAACCCTGTCTCTACTAAAATACAAAAAAATCAGCCGGGCTTGGTGGCGCTTGCCTGTAATTCCAGCTACTCAGGAGGCTGAGGCACAAGAATTGCTTGAACCCAGGAGGCCGAGGTTGCAGTAAGCCGAAATAGCACCACTGCTCTCCAGTCTGGGCGACGGAGCAAGACTCTGTCTAAAAACAAAACAAACAAACAAAAAAAACCTAGTTACTAAACATAGCTCTGCCCTAATCTCTTAAATCCAGAGCCCCAGTTTCCGTACTCTGAAGAATTACGGCTTCACAGAGGCCAAGTGCCCTAAGGCAGATAGGACACCTCTATGCCTCCCCAAAACCTCATCATTGCTGCAAGCTCACCCCCAGTCTCTTTGACTCTTTGATCTTTGGATGGCACCAAGAACATTGATTGCCCAGCAGAGCTTCTCAAAGTGCAGGCCCCCTAGACCCCCAGACCTAAACCCTGAAAGGCTTGTTAAGAAGTCAGGCCCCATCTCAGACCTTCAGGTCAGACATTCCAGGGTGGAGTCCGGGACTCCGCCTCCCCACATGATACCAGAATCTGGGAACCACTGAGCTACAGTATTGGGTTGAGAGGCAGTTGAGATTACTTGCCAATTCACTTTATTTTCCTGGGCTTTAGATTCTAACTCAACCAAAAAAAATAGATATTTTTAATCATTTTACTAGGGACCTAGTAATATGTGTTGTTAAGAGACATGTAGTTTGTTACGTTCAACAAGGGGCTGGTCTTCTACTTACTCACTTCTTGGTAACCACTGGCTTTAATGGCTGTTCCTTGTGAAATAATGTTTCAATTTTCAACTGTATTGATTAAAGATTTTTCTTAATTGTGGCAAGGACTCTTTCCTGCGTAGGTCAGTTCAGGAAAAAGGGCTGCCGCTGGGAGCCCTTTGGCTTGTTTTGTTTCGGAAGCAGCTAGGATGGGCAGTGAAGAGCCTTGGTGATTACTTATTGGGCACTTCCTGTGTGCCAATTTGTCTGTACTAATGCTTCTAATCCTCACAAGCAAGCACACTGATGAGCTAGGTAACTATTATTACCCCCATTTTACAGGTGAGAAAAGCCACAAAGGGTTTGCAGCCCTCGCCCAAGGTTCCTGTCTTTGTAACTGAATGAGACGGATTAGAACCCAGGCCTCTTCCTCCACACCGAGCTTCCCAGGGCCTGAAAGGTGGCCGGGAGGGCACTCCTGAGTTTCAGTCTTTGAGTCTCCTGGGGTGTGGGTGCTTTCTTCTTGGTCTTGACCGTGGACTAACAGTGGAGCGGGCACTGATTCCTAGGAAGGAGGCTCTCCCCCTCCTTCCTCCTCTGCTTCTCCCACTGTGAGGATCAGGGGCAGCAAGTGAAGGAGAGAAGCAAGACCCTTCCCAAAGGGAGGAAAGGAAGCCGAAATCCCACGGGGCAGCCTGGGCTCTAGACTCAGTGTGAACCCAGGTGATCTGTGTGGGCACCTCAGGACACACTCCCTGCTGTCCAAGGTGCCCTTTCTAAAGGTGCCCTTGTTTGAATGTGGTGCCAAGATGCACAAAATGGCTTCGTGTAAGGCAGTGTGACACAGGGGTCCCATCCCAGACTTGAGGCAGGTGACGGGGTGCAGTTCTCAGTCTGGTGGGCAGCTGAGGGGCTGCCGCCTGGGGCGGACATTCGCCAAGCCTCTGCGTCCTAGTTCTCCTCTCCCCCAAAACGGAGGTGTTACTCATCCCACCCACCTCATAGATGGGGGTGCTGTGAGGTGTGTGGGTGCATGTGAAGCGCCTTGGAGGGTCTGGCACAGCCTGGGTGCCAGGAGGTATCCCCTGGGCCTGTTTAAGGGACTTCCCCTCGGCTGCCTATTCTAACCTTCATGGAGGCTTGAAAGCACTCACTGTAGCCGCTCTGAGCATTGTCACCTATCTCCAGAGGCTGGCAGCAGCCTGAGGGATCAAATATGCAGCCGGCTGGGTGGTCACCTGAGGACCTCTGGCCGGGACCTGGGGCCACAATAGACGTGGGTTCACGTAGGCATCAGTGCGGGGCCCCTGCCTGCCACCCTGCCGCTTAGTTTCCAGGCTGTCCTCGGGGCTCCAGCCCCAGGAAATTCGCCTGACCTTCCTGTTGGCTGCCACCGCCTTCCCTGCCCTCCAGGCCGGCAGCTGCGGTGGCAAGTCCTTTCCGCAGGCTTTGGTACAGGGAGGAGAGGTGTTCATGCCGCACGAGGCCCAGAGCTTTCTGTAAGGATCGGGAAGGACAATTCTTTCCTGCATTTCCTGGAGCTGAAGCGCTATTGCTCAAAACATGGCCCTCTGAGAAGAAGGGAAAAGCACGGGGTTCCTCCTCTGCTCGTGGATAAACAAGCATATCTCAGCTCTCTGGAGGCTGTTAAAGTCTTCCTCCATGGGTGGCTTGTAGGACTTGGCCACGATAAATAATAGCAGAGATTTGTCAGCAGCATCCCAGAAGGAGAGGTGGGTAGGAAGGGTAAACCGAAAAGCGCAGGAGAGGAAACAGGCTCTGTACGACCAGGCGGCTATGTTTACAACCAGAGAGAGAGAGGTGAAGAGGAAAAGGTTCTAGAATAGAAAAAAGATTTTGCTAAAATAATAAAAATCAAAGAACTGTGTTTAATTGTGTTTCTGGGGAGAGGGAAAGAAAATGGATGTGTAGTTTAAATAATAGAGAAACTCAAGGGAAAAACTGAGTGCCATGGAGATTTAACTTTTCAACCCTGTGTTGATAATATAATGAAGAGATCACCATCTAGAAAGTGGTTTGAGAATGTCTCATTCTTTTTATCTGAAGAAGAATGTTTGTCTTTGATTAGAGGGTTTTAGAGAAAGCTCTGAAACTGGCCTCATGCTTTGTGTCTGCTGGTGTCTACTGTGTGATCACTGCTGAAGGTAGGAGGCAATGTCTGCAACCCCCAGCCTTGGCTGATAGAGCTTGTGAATCAGGGACCAGGAATGACACAATAGTCTTGAGAGGCCATAAAGTCTAATCCAGCCTGTTGCTAACCGGGTTCTGACTTCAGGGCAAGACACTTTACGTGCTTTGGCTCTGGAGCCTGGAAGAGAATGTTGTGTGGAATGGATCTCTCAGGTGATCAACATACCATGAGTAAGTTAGAGGTCAGCAGTGAGGGCTGGCCTGTGCAGGTGTGCTAAGACCTGTGAGGGTGAGCCGGGGTCTCCGCTGTGATGCTGGGGATGAGAAAGCCCTTCCAGATAAGCTCCAGAATAGAATCTATCCAGCCTGCACCAGGATATCGCTTAGAAATCAATATGCCACATGGGACTTTTTATCTTCACGGTGTCGAGAAGCTTCTGGAATCCAGTAAATATGTGACATTTCTCAGTTGAGATGAGGAAAAGGGCAGAGTTCCTGGATAGTCCCCTCTTGCTGTTTCCCTCTGGTGCCCACTCCCTTCAGTTAATGAGACCCTGTCAGGACAGGTGACGGCCTAAGTGACTCACTGCTCTTGATTTCATTGGTGGCTCCGGAGGACGGTAATTTTTATTTTGGTTACCCCTGAAAGGAGAAGGCGGCATCTAATTCTAGGGAGACTTCACAGGTGTCTCCAGTCCTGTTGATGTGGCCAGAGAGTGAATTTCAAAGGACGTGCGAGCAGCCGGCGTCCACCCGGCAGGCTCCCACCCCGGTGCCCCGCGTCCACCCGGCAGGCTCCCACCCCGGTGCCCCGCGTCCACCCGGCAGGCTCCCACCCCGGTGCCCCGCGTCCACCCGGCAGGCTCCCACCCCAGTGCCCCGTGTCCACCCGGCAGGCTCCCACCCCAGTGCCCCGTGTCCACCCGGCAGGCTCCCACCCCGGTGCCCCGCGTCCACCCGGCAGGCTCCCACCCCAGTGCCCCGTGTCCACCCGGCAGGCTCCCACCCCGGTGCCCCGCGTCCACCCAGCAGGCTCCCACCCCAGTGCCCCGTGTCCACCCGGCAGGCTCCCACCCCGGTGCCCCGCGTCCACCCGGCAGGCTCCCACCCCAGTGCCCCGTGTCCACCCGGCAGGCTCCCACCCCGGTGCCCCGCGTCCACCCGGCAGGCTCCTACCTCGGTGCTGGGTTCCAGCCCCTCCCCTGTCTCCTGAGCTCCTGGCTGGCTCCTGAGTACTCTGCTTCACTGTCTTCTGTTGCCTTGGATGAAGCTGCCTTTTGAAGCAACATGCTTTTTTGTAAAACCGGCTCCTTTGAAGTGCAGCCTGGTATCCTGGGGCGGGTCCTGGGACAGAAAAGCTGCACTAGTGGAAAAACTGGTGAGATTCTAGCGGAGGCTGCAGTTCAATGTGATAATGTTGATTTCTGTACCAATGTTGATTTCTTAGTTTTCACAGAAATGTGCCATAGTTTTATAAAATGTCAATATGACATCATGATGTCTGGGTGAAGGGTATACAGGGACTCTCTGTACTATCTCTGCAACTCTTCTGCAAATCTCAATTGCTTCAGAATTTTAAAATGCTCCCAGGAGTCAGCAGCCAGTCACATTTGGTGTGCATGGGTCAGATGGACAAGTGCATGGAGAAGGCTGAAAGCAGCCAGTCTCGAATGAGCAGATGTGGGCAGCAAGAGGGAAATGTTGCTCCCATTCTTTTCTCTCATAGAGTAAGTGAACAGAAGTCTCTTCCACTTAGTGGAAAATACAGCAGAGGTAGACCCAAGCGAAGCCTGAGTAAAAGGATTTTTGTCCCCTGGCCGTGGGTGGAGTCATTTGTGAAGACGGGGAGGTTTCCCTGTGGAGTTTCTGCAGCACCACATGGGAGGCCCGGTGGAGCTGTCATGGGGCCTCTTCTTCGCTGGGGAGGGAAGTGGCCGCTCCGTTGTTTCCTGAGCCCAAGATGGAAGGGCAGGCTTGTATCACAGTGTCGCTGCAAGGACAGAAAACTGACAGTGGAGGAGCCCGGTGCTGCCCATACGCGCTCACCCCTAGGAACGCATCAGGCAGTACCCTCGTGCCCTCCTGGGCTGCACAGAATGGGAGCCCCCTTCCCGCCTGCCTAGGAAACCCCATGGGCCACAGGGACGGGCAGGTGGCAGGTGGCTGGTGGCTGGTGGAGGACTTAGGCCTCCTGCACACGTGGGTCACCTGATAGAAAGGGACAGGCCATGGCAGTGGGATTCAGAGTCCCAGCCTCTCAGTGGCCTCAGCTTCTGTGTTAGTTAGGGGCCAAGGGAAAGGGGCCTGGAGCCAGGATGGCCAGTGGCTGTTGCCTTGCACAGTTGCCTGTCATCACCCTGCCATTGATAACTGGAAATGAGAAGCATGAGCAGAGCCGCCTCTGCCCGGCCCCTGCCAGTTCTGCTCTGCACACCCTGTCTGCACTCCAGGCCTTAGCCCCGGGGGGATAAGGATGGCCTGTCCCTTTCTATCAGGTGACCCGCAGCAGGTATCACACACCTGCACATGGCTGGAGCCTCTGTCCTTTGCAACTGAGGCCCATTTCAGGGTCTAGCTAAAGTGTCTTCTCCACTGATAGGATTTTAAATTCTTTAGGATCGAGGATTATAAGTCATGATTGTAGCTCTATAGACTTGAAACATTTGTCTTCACCCATCATCCACTTTTTTTGTTTGTTTGTTTTCGTTTTTGTTTTAGAGGTGGAGTCTCACTCTGTCACCCAGGCTGGAGTGCAGTGGCGTGATCTTGGCTCCCTGCAACCTCTGCCTCCTGAGTTCAAGTGATTCTCCTGCCTCAGCCTCCCAAGTAGCTGGGATTACAGGCACGAGTCACCATTCTCAGCTAACTTACGTATTTTTAGTAGAGACAGGGTTTCACCATGTTGGCCAGGCTGGTTTCAAACTCCTGATCTCAGGTGATCCGCCTACCTCAGCCTCCCAAAGTGCTGGGATTACAGGCATGAGCCACCACGCCCTGCCATCATCCACTTTTTCTCCCAGTAACATGTCTTCTTTAGCTGACATTGCTGTTCCCACAGTCCAAGTTCAGGGCATCTTGCATCGGCCCTCATGGAATGATTCATGGGTACCTTTATCTGCCCGAGGCCTGAAATACAGTGGGCCCTCAACAGAGCTTGTTACATAAATGATTGCAGTTAGTTGGCAGCAATGCAAGCAGATCCTTTGGATGAGGAGTACAGTCATGGAACTATTAATAAAAGAGGAGATTAAAATGTATTTATTCTTACTGTGGGTTTTTTTTTCCCAAATTATCTGCTTTCTCCCACTGGATAAAACTAGCCGTATATGATGATAAAGGAATCATGGATCAGTCTGAAAGATTTGCATTTTTTCCTAGGGATTGTTTCAACCCCACCCATAGAATTCCTGTTTTGTTGCTTTTACCCAGTTCAGTGATCTCTCATGTGGGAATTAGAGAAGAATGTGTGTTTTTGAATTTCATGGACTGATTATCTGGTACCTGGTGGTAAATATTATATAACAATATTTTTCCACATGTTGAGTGTTTTTGGATCCCTGACTGTGGAGTAATGGGACCCTGTGAGATCCAGGAAAAGGGCTTCTGTTGGTGCACAGGGTCAGACACACGTGCCCTGGACTGCATCAAAAGCCATGGTTTGTCCACGAGAGAAAGGAGATGCCGATTGGCAGCCGTGATGCAATCATTGCAAACTGTGTCGGGAAGGAGCATCGCAGCGATGCAGGCCCTGGAGCCACCAGCCCGGCCCTCCTTCCCGCTCTGTCCTCCCCGCCTTCCAGTGACACTGGCTCCAGATTAGGTGAAAGGAAGAGGTCCCCTGGGAGATTCTTTGTGGGATCACCAGAACCAAACCTAAGAGAGCATCCTGAAGATGCTTCCAGCATTCCAGAACCTCTCGGAGCAGCTAAAACACCCTGCGAAGAAACATAGCAAATCCTGTTTGCTGAGCCACTGGTGCTGCAAACTGCTCTAAGCCACGGATGGTTCACAGATGGGTAAACTGAGGCATGTGCAGGAAGGCACCTGGTAGGTCAATAGGAACAAAGTGGGGAGTGAAACCTAGAACTTGCCGATTCTAAAACCTCTGCTCTTAACCACTGGCTAGGTGAATAAGCCCCAGCCACAGAATATATATACACGTCAAAATACAGAAATTGTGGTACATGTAAAACATAGATATGTATATTATATGTAGAAAATATGTTATCAATCTACATGGAATATACAGACATAGATGATAGAGATAAAAGAGAGAGAGAACACACACATACATATGCACCCTGTACTCACACACACACAGACACACAGATGCACACATACATGCATGCACATAGACACACAGGCACACGTAGACACACACATGCACCCAGCACACACATACAGACACACACATGCACATATAGACACACTTGCACCCCACACACACATACAGACACACAGATGCACACACACATGCACATAGACACAGAGATGCACACATAGACACACACGTGCACCCCACACACACAGACACACACATGTACATATAGACACACTTGCACCACACTCACACATACACACAGATGCACACACACACGCACATACACATAGATGCAAATACACAGAGACACACACTTGCACCCACACACACACAGAAACACATGTACACACACATAAACACACATGCTCATGCGTGTACACACACACACACTTAGCCGGAGGACGCTCCTGGTTTCTTTCTTCATGGGAGCAGCCAAGGCAGAAAAAGACTATACCTGCCTCTGGGGAGCATCAAACAGACCTGTTTCTTTAGGGTCCCTTCTGCAGAGAGGCTGGACAGAGGCGGGAGGGTGACTGAGTAGCCTCATGAACTCTGAAAAGTAAAGGCTAAGATGACTGCACTCAGGAGAGGCCCTTAAAGGATGACCAAGAAATACATGAGAATGGGCAAAGGGACAATTTCACCTGCAGAACCAAGAGTCCTGCAGACACAACCCCCAACCGGCCCTCTCCAAGTCTGGCTTGAAACTCCGGGCCACTGGGGTAAATGCTGCTGCAGCTATGTAAAGGGGAAAAGGAGGGGCAAACACGGCTTTATGTTTGGCTGTTGGAAAATTCTGCTAGTCCTAATTTAGAGAAAGACTTACTGAAACGCTATGGGCAAAAGAGACCTTCCCAAAATTATCTTAGACGTACAGGAAACCCAGTGGGCACTACAGAGAGACAGGGGATTCCATTTTCCCTGGACCAATGCCAGCTTCCTTACGCTGGGTCTTCTCTCACCGCCCCGTGTTTGTGCTGCTGTTTTTCATGGAAGTCCCCATGCGCCAACAGGAGGATAGGTGTGGTCTGTTAAAAAGAAGTGGAGCCTGTGGGCTTGAGCCCAGCGACTGGGAAAAGTCACTTTTCCTTTCTGAGAATGCTTGTCTTCATCTGTAAACGGGAATACTGAAAACTATGTCCCAGGGTCTCATGTATGTGACATTCGTTCATTAAATGAACATGTCTGATGCTGCTAGGAATAATTCACTCACGAGTTCTAGAACACCATGGACTCGTGTCTGGGTCAGAGCAAGGACAAGCAAGGAACCGTGAAGTCTGATCAGTGTGTGTGTGCGCGCGGGTATGGTTTGGGTTGTCCAAATATCTGACCCAACTTTACTTTAAATATGTCATCTAGGATTATTCATGGTAAGAAAGCAACCTGCAGACGTTCACTATTTGAGAGCCACTTTATTTGTTCTATATGAGACGTTCAGTACGATTGATTTTGTATGCAGTTGTACTCATCAGCAAGCACCTATAAGAGCCCCCACTCACCCTGCTCACAGGAAATGTCAGGACTCAGGCATGGGCCCCACAGAAATAGGGCCAGCTGGGGTCTTGGGTTCGAAACTGCTGTTGCTGCTGCCCAGCCAGGTGATGTTGGTGCGAGTATTCAACTCTTTACACTGTAGTTACATTTCTAAAACTGGGTTAAAATAGTTCTTACCTTATGCACGTGCCCAGAGGAGCAAGAAGAAATTGGCTGTAGAGAGTTTAGCAATCTTAGCATTGCGGTGCTTGATCAACACTAGTTCACATCTACCTGGCTTTAGGTTGTTGTTTTTTAGGTCTTCATCCTCAATACCTAAAGAACTTGAAGCCACAGAGAGTGAAGTTCAAGTTAACTAGAGTTATTGTTAACTCTAGTTAACAGTATGAAATAATGAAATATTCCATATTTCATTATGGGCAGGTTGGGGGTTGTGTCTGCAGGATTCTCGGTTCTGCAGGTGAAATTGTCCCTTTGCCCATTCTCACGTATTTCTTGGTCATCCTTGAAGGGCCTCTCCTGAGTGCAGTCATCTTAGCCTAGAGTTACCTTAGCCATGGTACTGGGACAGGAGGAAGTGGGTCAGCAGGACTGGTGGGTGCGGGGGCCTGTGGGGGGAGGTTTTAGTCTTCACGATTCTGGTGCCTGGAGTGCTGAGACCCTGGTGGCTCTGAGCAGATGGCCGCTGAGTGAGAACTGGTGGAGATGCGCCTTCCTGATGCCTTGAGACGGTTATTTCCATTTTCCTTAAGTTTAGGAAATGTCACCCAAAGGAAACATTTTAATATTAATTAAATTTCAGTCAAGGTGTAACTAACTTATTTCCAGAACAAATGGAAACACTTATAAACAAAGAACAATTTGTTCAAATAACCATGAGATGCAAGTATAATTTAGCAAAGCAAGAAAACTCAAGAGGCTTTGGTTTGGCAACATGACATAAAAATGCAGAACAGAATCTTAGGAGAGAGTTTCCTTCTTGAGAGAGCAGAAAGATTCCCTCCATACCATTTCCTAGCAGCGCAACTACTTCTCAGATTAGCATGGAAAGGCCTCCCAGACTAGCCCGTACCCTCCAACAGCCAGGTGAGTCAGGCCAAGACGTGGGTTCCCTGAGGAAGATTCCCGCTGGAAATTTCAGGGAAGAACCTCACCTCCTTCCCTTTCTTCCTTATTTGGTAGTTGTCCTAATTGTAACAAGCATCCAAGTTACAATTCAAGACCAAGTAGGGACCTGAGGTGATCTCCTGTCCTGTCTGAAATCCACCTTCCTTTCCTAGCTGTTCCCGCCAGATTTCAGCGCCCTCTTCCCTTCTCCTCCCAAGACAGTCTTAGCTCAGACAGGATTTCCTTAGTCTTAGTCATCAGCTCTTATTGTCCGGCCTCCTCCTTCCTGTTGTAAAACAAGGAATCTTAACAGCAAGTAGGCCAAAATTGTGTATCTTCAGTGATATGTCAATTTCCTGCCGGTAAGTGCAGACATCAGGTTTTGTGGTGGTTACCCACATCAAGGCGCCAGAGGTTGGAAAAGTCAACGCATTTCTAGTTAAGGCACACCGCACAGTGAGTTTTCAGCTGTCTGCCTTGGCTTTTGTGAATGTGTCTCTGTCCACCCGAAGGTTCTGGTTCTCGCATACTGGGCTCTCCTTTTGCCAGGCGCAGCCGCACAACCCAGGAACAGTCCTAACCCATTACATAAGGTGGCTAGGCGGGGCTGGCGGGTGGCACTGCCAGGTCACCTCCGGGCACTGGGTGACCCAGTCATTGGCCCCCTACGGCGACCCCCTGCCGCGTGGGTGCCACTGGCACCTCCCCTGGACTCCCAGTGCTGTGATTTCTGGGCGATTTCTCTGCTCTCCAACAAGAGTGATTTGTTATCTGCTTCTCACCTGATTGGAATTTAATGGTCTAGAAACAAATGAGTTATTTCACTCAGGAGGGGGAAGGAAGTCAGATTAGTCATGCTGGTGCTTGATTTTTTTTTAATCCAAGAATTCTTTACTTAAGAAGTAAAAGCAATTAAGAATAGTACTGAATCCTGCCTAGAAGTTCCAGAACAAGGAATGGGATGACACCGATAGATATTTCAAATAACTGGAAAGTTTAGTTCCCTCTGAACAAAGTCTAACTCTGAGGCCATCTGCTTCTTTTTATATCAAAACAGAGCAGCGTCTCAAAGAAAATAAGTGTATTTAAAAGGAAAGATCATAGGTAGATAGAATTCATCCGTTTTAAAAGTTGCCTTTTTCTCCTTTTTATAGCACCTTTCAAAAACATCTCTTCTTTCAACACTTCTAGCTCATCAGTGAGAGAGAACAAAAGGCTACAACTGTTGATTCAGGCAACATTTTTGCCTTCATGTTGATTTTTCTTCCTCATTGGGTTTAATTAACTAGAGTGTCTAAGAATAAACATAGAAAAAAGGCCTGTTTCATGGGCTTTTCTTAGTCTTTCACATTTAAAAAAATTACCTTAGATCTTTATTCTTTCTAAATATTTCATGTGTTTAAAAACTAGGTAACTTTCCTGTAATAAAAAATAAAATCTTGGCACATTATCAATATAGCACCTACCTTACAAACACAGTGTTGATAAACTAACCATCTGAAGATAATCTTACTAATGTCACATCAGGTCTCATATATGTGCGTATTTATATAGTGTGCATGTGTGTGTGTGTGTGTATGTGTCTGTGTGTATATATATATATATATACACACACACACACACATAGAGAGTGTACATATATATATACACATAATGCAAACCTGTGTCCATTTTTAATATTTTTTTCATTGTTTTAAATTGTGGTAAAATATATGTAACATAAAATTTACCATTGTACCCATGTTTAAATGACAGTTCAGTGGCATTAAACATATCACATTTTTGTGCAACTGTCACCATTGTCCGTCTCCAGAACTTGCTCATCATCCTAAACAGAAATTCCATGTGCATTAAATACCTCTGCATCCCATCCTTCCCCCACCCTCTGTTAATCTATTCTACTTTCTGTCACTTTGAGTGTGACTACTCTAGGGACCTCACAGAAGTGGAATCAGGCAGTGTTTGTCCTTTTGTGACTGGCTTACTTCGTTTAGTATAATGTCCTTGTATTAGTCCATGTTCATGCTACTGATAAAGACATAACCAAGACTGGGCAATTTACAAAAGAAAGAGGTTTAATCAACTTACATTTCCACGTGGCTGGAGAAACCTCACAATCATGGCAGAAGGCAAGGAGGAGCAAGTCACGTCTTACATGGATGGCAGCAGGCAAAGAGAGAATGTACCAGCAGGGGAAATGTCAGATGCTTATAAAACTAGATCTCAGGAGAACTCACTATCATGAGAACAGTATGGGGGAAACCATCCCCATAATTCAGTTAGCTCCACCTGGCCCCACCCTTGACATGTGGGGATGATTACAATTCAAGGTGAGATTTAGGTGGGGACACAGAGCCAAACCATATCAGTCCTGAAGATGCATCCATGTTGTAGTGAGTGGCAGAATTTCCTTCCTTTTTAAGCCCCAGTAACAGTGCTATGCTTTTTAAAGTTCTTATTTTTAAACTCAGTTTTGTTTCTTTGGTTGACAGGTTTCAAATGGTTAATGTCAGGTATTGCAAATCAGAGAGGTTTAGGAAATGGCGATGTGAGACCCAGCTCCAGATGAAGGAGCAGGGGGCAAGGAAGCCTGGGGCTGGCCTGCCTGCCTGTCTCTCGGAGGCGGCCTGCCCGTGCCTCTGTTCTTGATGTTTGTTTTGCTTTCTGGTAAACGTTCACCACTCTCCCGAAGGAGGTTGGCTTGGGCCGCACTGAGTTGGTTTCCTCTGGGACAGGCATGGGAAGCTGTCCAGGAGGGAACCGGGTGTCTGGGTGGGAAGCCAGTGAGCGAGGTCTGGGTTGCCCACACAGGTGCAGGCACCAGACCTAAAGCAGTTCTCCTGGAGCAGTTCCTGAAGCCCCAGAACTGCGTGAGATTCCTCAGGAGGAGGACAGGGGATGGACGCGTCAAGACAAGGGGAGAAGACATATGGGGAACCCCGGGAGGGGCTGTGAGAGGAGGCTGTGATCGGGTGCAGGCCTAGATCTTCCCCATGGCTTCACCAAACTGACGGTCACCAGCCTCCCCTCTTCCTGTGGTACTGGGGTCAGAAGATGGAGAGTGGAGACAGGGAGCCGATGTCCACCTCTGGTCACTGCCCTTCTTCCCTGCTAGACTTCAGGTTGCTAAGGGCTGGGAACTTGGTTTATTCATCACCAGGTCCTCCCACAGCACAGGACCTTCACATAGATGCTGGAGTAATTTTATTAAATCAGTGTGTTATTTAACTCTTCCACGGGGACCCTAAGATAGTTAAGGTTTCTCTGCAGGCGCAGCTGGCAGCATGATCAGAGGCTACTGAGGCCGCCCGAGTCAGGTCAGCTGGAGCGGGAGGGCGGATGCCCAGAGGAGGCTAACAAAGGGCGTGTTGCCATCTCCTTTTTACATTTTGAAGGCTTTGGCATGACCCCCAATACCAGCTGTTACAACCAACCCAGCCTGGGCACTGTTGCACAGTCTAGGAGGAGCAAGTAGACAAAGATAGGGATCCACTGATTCTATGAAAACTTGCAGCTGATTGAGGGGAGGTGTCAGTCCATGGGAAGTCCATACCACAGGGGTTGGGAGCTACATTCCCCAGAGTTCAAGGGCCTGTTGCTGCCCCACTGCCTTAGATTCCTATGACTGGACATCAGAGGCCCACTGGTGACTCTGGAATTTCTGTTGCACCCTCTGTGGTCAGGGAGCTCTAACCAGGTGATGCCCCGATGCCTGGGAGGAGGAGCGCATCCACAGGCAGTTCCTTGCCTGAGATGATGTCAGGCATCGGGATGAGGGCCCCCCCTGTGGAAGCTGGACAGCCGTCTTGCTGTTTGCTTTTATATTTTTTGAGTTAGTCATGCTAAATATAATGTCTCTGCAGCTGTAAAACCTGGAGCTGAAGAGAATGAGTGTCTGGGAAGCTGGGGGCCAGCCCACAGGCTCCTCTCCTAGACAGACAGAGCATGCAGGATGCCCAGTGCCAGCTTCCCCTACCTGCTACCTGCAGTATTGCATACAATAAGGGCAGGTGGAGTTGAAGTCAGAAAATTCCAAAGGAAAGGGGCTTCCTCCTCCACACCAAATCTAAGCACAGGCCCCAGGTGGCTCCCTGAGGACAGGGACCAAGCCATGGGCACGCTGCCCCCAGCGCCCAGCTGGGCATCTGCTGTAGCAGCTGGAGTCTAAGCCACACAATAGACAGAGCTGGTGGGAGGAAAGAGAGAGGGAAAGTCGAGATTCCTGGCCAGGACCGAAGCTAAGTAGTTTGGGGACTTTTTGTTCAGAATCACAACACAAATCATTATGCTGAGTGCGAAAGGCATGGCCCTCAAAAATGTGCACCTTGGGTCAACTGAAGGTTCCTCTCTCATTGGTTTCACTTGATTTGAATTACAGTCGAAAAAATTATTGGGTAGACAGACATTGGCTTATCTGCAAAGTCAAACTAATGCAAAATATGCTTCAACTGCAAGACAGAGTGCCAAACTATTTCAATTTAATAGCATGGTTTTTTTTTTTCTTGAGCTTCAATGCAAAGGGAAGCCAGGCATCTGGCCAGTGAGCAGTCTATGAGCTGAGCTGTGCTTTTCTTCAGGGCAGGCAGAGGTTGGCCAGTGGCCTTCTTGGCACTCCCAGAAACTCAGCTTCATGGGCGTCAAGGGTAAGAATGTGGAAGGTGGTCTGGTGGCCAAAATCACACAGTCCCTGGATGTGGTGGTCACCATCCACCAATGTCCACTGGTGGGCGATAACTGGACTCGCTCCTTCTTGACACCTGTCCTGCTGGGCTCTTGATATTGAGGCTACTGGAGGAAGGAGCTTGCCTGAGAAGGCACTTCCACAAGGAGAGGGATCTGAGTCCACAGGGGAGGGGAGGTCTCTTCGCCTGAATGCATGAGAAAGCATACTGGACATGAAGCCCCAGTCCTGGCTGGGGGTCAGAAGAGATGGGCCGGAGCAGCACTGCCCGAACGGATGCACGTTTGACTCAGCCGATTTGGATCAGGCAGGTCTGGGGCTCCTGGGACTCTGCATTCCTAATGCTCCCAGGTGATGGTGGTGCTGCTGCCCAGGGTGCCACAGTGAGCAGCAGGTCCTAGAAGACAGCCTCTGGAGGGCTCTTCTGGCCTCGGGATTGTTTCTGCCTTGAGTGGTTGCTTTCTAGCAATAGAAAAATGTGTAGGTGGGGCCTCCCGGCCCCTGGAATCTCCCGCCAATCTTTAAAACGTGGTGAGGACCACCCTACGCTTGCCTGCTGATTGATACAGCTTTAGGAATTGGGTGAGGGAAAGATAATTTTCATCTGTTGGTTCTTTGGAAGGGTTAAGGAATTTCTCATTTACAAAGCTCTTTATCTTTTGACGTGTGGGACTGAGCCTTCCAGGATCATGTCATGCCTGAGAGCACGTTCGACCCTTAGCATGGCAAAAGCAGCCTTCACATGCACAAGGAGGATGGGGAGAAGAGGCATCGTAACTGACTGTATGAAAACGTCTGCGTCCCCACAAAGATGGACTTTCTTACACCATCCACCTTAGCTCAGCCTTTTACCAAAGTTTAAGCCACATGTGTCCATAATAATAATCGGAAATCAACGCATTTTTAATAAGCATTTAGAACCAATGATCAGAAACAGAAAGTGACACTAATGCTTTGTGGAGAGTTTACCCGAAGATTTTTTTCTCTTTGAAATGAAGTCAAAAGCACATTCCTCCCCACCTGTTACCTCCCTAAGTTGTTAAAGGCAGCCCTGTTTCTCCTGGAGTGATACTTGATTCTCCCTGGTGATGGTCTGCCATGCATTGATGGGCTCTAGTTAAAACATCTCTCAGACAGAGTCCTTTGGAAAATTCCATGAAAGAAACCGCCTATTAGAGATAAAAGCAAAGGTTAAGTAACCAGATAGATCATAGAAGTGTCTCCCAGGGAAATCGTATTGGAAGATCAGTGGCTGAGGTAAAGGACGCTGGGCTTGAACACTTAACTAAGGCTGCCTGATCACTGGAGGCTTCCTCCTGGAGGCTTCTAATCCCCGTGTCGCTTCAGCCTTTCTGTCTTCTCAGATTGCTTACCCCGGTAGGTGCTGCCCTTCCCTTCGGGACACGGAAGCTACACTTTGCTTTGTGCATTGTCAAGGAGGAGAAACAGGCACTTCCTGCCTTATGAATGTGTCCTGTTCCTGAATTTCTTTTTTTTTTTTTTAGACGGAGTCTCACTCTGTCGCCCAGGCTGGAGTGCAGTGTTGAGATCTCAGCTCACTGAAACCTCCACCTCCTGGGTTCAAGCGATTCTCCTGCCTCAGCCTCCCAAGTAGCTGGGACTACAGGCGTGCGTCACCAGGCCGGGCTAATTTTTTGGTATTTTTAGTAGATACAGGGTTTCGCCACGTTGGCCAGGCTGGTCTTGAACTCCTGACCTCAAGTGATCCTCCCTCCTTGGCCTCCCAAAGTAGTGGGATTACGGGCATGAGCCACCAAGCCCAGCCCCGAATTTCATTTTAAGTCATTTGCTCAGAACCCAGATGGCACCTGCCCTTCGCCCAGGGGTGAGGAGCTTCCACCTCGGAGTTCAAATTCATCTCCATCAGTCCCTGTGGAACCTGGGAGGAGATCTGAATTTTTTTATTGGAAAATGCATCCCCTGTGAGATGAATTTATAATCCTCCCTCAGCAAGTTGCTGGTAGAATTAAATTCTACAGTGTACATAAGGTACTTAACCACAGTGTCTGGCATAGAATAAACACCCAAAAGGTGCAATTCCTGCACTTTCCTCTCTATCCTCGTGCACCTAAACCTCAGCCTCCTCTGTCTGTCTCCCTAGTGGCAGCTGCCAGCCTTCTGCTCCCCTGAGTCACGGCGTCTTGGCAAGTACTGCCCAAAGTGTTTCAATACAGAGATAGCTCTTCAGCCTCTCTTTCCCTTAGCACATTGCAGGCCCCAGGAATTGTGGAAACAGGCTGTTTGAGGACATCTGTCATTTGAGCTTTCACTCACCCCAGCATGCTGGGGCCCTTCTTGGGCCCTGCAGCCTTCAGGGCGAGGTCACACAGAGGGGACACGCTGGGCCCTTCCTGCTGCCCCGCGCCTGTCTGGCTGCCTCATCAGTGACTCCTGGTCTGCTGGGAGGTGCCCAGTGGAACCCCCTACATCCCATCCGATTCCTAATCTATTTCCTGGTGGTCAACCTGGCCCTCTGCTCGGCCACCTGTGGACAGCACTGCCTTCCCTTGAGTGTGGGTTGGTTCCCAACATCAGAGCAGTTCACACAGTCTCAGATGGCAGTCACCCGCCCGCTCAAGAGCGTGACCACTTTGTGACCTGATCAAAGATAGACAATAAGCTTGGCTTCGTGATAAGCCTGTTTAATGTATCCCCTCCTCTTATTCCCAGAAGTTTTAAGAAATATTCAATTAGCGACTCAGAGTCACAACCCAGATACCTCTGCCTGTCTCCAGCAGACACCGCTCCCACCCCAGCCCTGTGGTTGCTAACCTGGGCTAGCCTGTCCCCAGCACACACACACCCCTCCTGCTCCAACTCTAAGGTGCTAACCCAGGCTGGCCTGTCCCCAGCACACACACTCTTACATCTGCTCCCTCCCTGGTTTATGATTCCCAGGGGGCCCCCACCCATGGAATTTGGGCGTCCCCAGTTACTCTGGTTGGGTTGTTTACCCCTCCACTGGCTTGCTTCCTGCCCTTCCCGGGGGGTCCTCACCAACCCCCAAGAGCTCAGCACACACAATCACCCACTCCGGGTATTTCAGACAAACTTCTCCTCGCGTCACAGACCACATTTGATTCCATCCAAAACACAATCTGTGATATCACCTCCACCACCCAACCAGCCGTCCCAGCAGGTCAGTCTCAGAAATATAACTCTGCATTTTACATTTGACTCTTGTCATCAAAAGACAAGCAATTGAATGTGCTTTAGAGTGATTCTCTTAAATAGTCCCAGATGGTTTTTAAGTGTGTGTCTTTCTATAGTGAAGAGATTGGGGGTGGGGTGTTGGGTTGGAAAACAAAGAAATTCAGCTTGAAGTAGTCAGCTTGTGTTGTTTTAGGAGAGGAATTCATTCTGTGGGTGTCAGTGAAGCATTAAAATCCCCCCAACAGCTCCAGAGAAATAGTTCCCTGCTGTGGCCCACACCCCAGCTAATTCTGTTTTCGTCATTAGTTAAGGCAGTTGTCCTGGGTGAAGTCTTAGCACTTGTCCATCATCTTTTAAAACTTAACGCTTGAAGCAAAGTTGTGACTGTAAACAGCTTTGCAACTCTTCGGTCACACACACAAAATGATTCATTTCTCATAGTCTTAGTAAAGTCTAAATAAGTTTTTATCATATTTTCCTAAAATCTTTTTTATGAAAGGTTTTTTAAATGATGAAGTGATGTATAGAACTGTTAACTCAAAATCATACACCACAAACCTCATCAACCTAGACTAATCACTCTGACTTTGCAGTAAACTGTAGGCAAGAAGGAGTCTTCAGTTAAATTAATAGTCTGGAAAAGTTGATCAGGAATATAATCTGTTTAAGAAAAAAATCTTCTTAAGGAACTTCTGGGACACTTACTTGTGGGCAAAAATCAAACGTTCTTGATAAATATTACGAATTTGTTTAATTCGTCCTGAAGAGCCTCTGTCGGAGGACCATGAGTTCCTTGCTCAGTTGTTGGATTGTTTAAAAATCAGTTAAACATTGTTTCTGTTTTCAAAATTTTCCAATTCAGATATTTTTTCTGTTCCACCATTAAATAAAATTAGGAATATTTTCCACTCTGGCTTGGCATGGGAGAAGAGACAACCCCTGGCAGGCAAGTTCACTGCTATCTGAAGCAAATGCGGTGCAAGCTGAGATTTGTGTCCATCGAGCATTTTACTGTCTTTCTCTGTCTCATCCCTTGGTTTCATGAAATATGAAAATAGAACAGCGCACTTTTCAGAAGAAATCGATGGCTCAGACACATTTACCTTAATGGGCTGCTGGGCACGTTTAATTCAACGACTGTGCGGTGGTAAGGATGGTAGATAAGGACATTGTTCTCTGAAGGGCTCGTTCTAGACCAGCTTGCCCAGACTGCTGTGAAGGTGATCCAGGGGCCCAGAGCAGACAGAGAGATGACGCCCAGAGAGACGGGCGGGCTCCGTCACCCAGCAGCGTCTCCTAGCAGATCTGAGATCCTAGCGGATCCAAAGCTACCATGGAGCCCTAGTCCACTGCAGTCTTGATAAACTCATGCTGTCATCTAATTCACTAGCTAAATCACTTCATATATTAGATCACTTTTTGAGAAAATTACATGACTCACTGTTTTTAAAAGCCTGCTTTGGAAATGATGAACAGAACCTTCTAGTAGTCCAAAACCCATTGAGCTTTGTAGAACAACATTATGGAACAAATTTTATACTTCTTTGAGGTCCTGTATTCTGGCGAAAAATAAATTCTTCTTCTATTTTAGCACAATGTGTTTAAAGCCCATAATCAGATACAGAAATAGAAAACATGCTAATCTGAATAAAATGAAGAAGTAAATGGAGAAGTTTAGACCTTTAAGCAAGTTGCTTGTTACTTCAATACTTGGGGTATTCGATTTTTTAATGCAAATGTTTTCAAAGATACACTAATTTTGAAATAATGTAAGACACCACTGCAATCACTCTTACATTCCCGGTAGACCTCTGAGAGCAGCAACCACCCTCCACCACCCCACTAACATCATCTTGAATCAACGCTTTAAGAAAAAACATACTTGCTGCAGTGGTTCTGGAGCTGGAGAAGGAAGATAGAGCCAGCCACAGGTGGGCGTGCCCTGCAGGGGAAGGCGTCTAGTGGTCCCTCCGTACCACAGAGCATTCCCACCCTCTTCCCTCACTGCGGGTGCCACATATTTGTTGTGGTTTCTTTGTGGTTGTCAAAGCCAAGTTTCATAGGTGTTATCTCACTTTATCCTCATGGCATCCTTGGAAATAGAGGGCACAGGTGCAGTCATACCAAATACAGACAAAGGAAAAATGCCAGTGGAAGTCAATAACATGCCTGAGGCCTCTGGTTTGTGAAGAGCTGGTGCTGGAACCCTGACTTTCTTTTACTCAAAGGGTTTGTCCCAAGCGAATTATTCCAGGTCCACACGGCTCTGTTTGAAGTACTTCGGTGGATGCATCCATCTGGTATTCTCAACCACCCCATGAAAGAGACAGAGGAAGGTTATGACCACCACGGCACTGGCAGGAGGAGAGAAAAACGCCCAGTGATGGCTCAGCACACCCAGCAAAGTGCATAATTCCAGAGGGTGAAGGGTGAGTTGGTGCGTGCAGTGAAATACGATATGACGAGGCCAACTTTTCATCTGTTTAAAGGACAAGACCAAGTGTGACAGATTCAAGTATATGTCTTTAAGTTGCCAAATGAACACTGTGTGTATTTTGCTTTTTGGTAAATACAAATTACTCTTCTGAAAATTTGGAAGCACTGTGACAGTTTTCTAATGAAATTAGACGGAGAATGAGTTTTACCATTAAGGACTCAAGGCTTTCCACGGCCCCTTTAACTGAGAATGGACCTTGATTTTGTTTTGCGAGTCACTCTTACAGCTGCATGACTTCATCTCAAGCAAGCTAAATAAAGGAATTTTCGGTATTATAACGGTCACTAAGCAGACAACTGACGTGTCAGCGATTAGAAGGGGTAAGGTTTCGGGGCGAGTGTGGAAAGATACTGCTGTAACACGATGTTTTACTCGGTGGCTTCATTGTGTAGGTGGGTGGCGAGTCGGAATGAAGCTGGGAGGCGCGGGGTGGAGGCGGGGGGGCAGCCCCAACTCCAGAGCTCTTCCCAGCCAGAATGTCAGTCTGATTGGGGCAAATCCCCTGAAGTCTATTGAAACTCCCCATCTGCCTGTTCACAATTCATCTAAGCAACTCTGAAAAGAGGATAAACCTCCTCAGGCCAGTATTTCTGGGATTCTGTTATGGTTCAAAGCAGAGTGCATATCTTTGTTTTTCCAAGTGTCCGATGTCTGTCTACCTCTCCTCTTGGAAACGCTTCTCCGATCCGCAGGGCACGATGGGGTCCCCGCGGCCTGCGGTGCCTTCCCAGGCTGTATCTACATGCAGCAGGGCTGACTTGGGCCTTCTCCTTTAAATGAAAGACCTCCTACTAGATACTTTTTGCTGAGAGCAATTAGTTTCCAAAACAGCAATTAAGAAGAGTTTGCTAGCAGTAACTGCCAGCAGAGTTGCCTGTTTTGACCTATTTTGGCTGAGTGGTTCCTCTCTAAATGGTTTGGTAATCAGACTATTAGGCTGCTGGGGAGCCTTCCCCACCACATTCCTCTATGGTGTGTCTTCCATCTACCCGATCTCGCCGTGCCATCACTACTCATGAAATTGCTGTTTAAATAAACCCTGGGTGTTCAGATTCTCTTAGGATCAGTAATATTTTTTTCTTTCCATGCAGCTTTTTTTTTAAAGGAAATTTACTGATATAATTTTCTTCTAGAAAGATCACAATGGTCTTACCATCCTCCAAAAATCAGCTTGAACATTTTATACTGGTCTTAAAATATGCCAATAAAATCGTGTGATAGTGCCAGGCCATTGCAAAGGACAGAGAAAGTCATATATTACAGTTCCCAATTATTTGAGAATCATCCTAAAAGAGGAGGTAAGAACAGGGTTATTTGAGAGATAGAAAACCTACCCCAAATCTCCATAATAATTTTTCTGCAGTAGTTTTCCTTTTACTCATCTCAGATGTCCAGGCTGTTGGAAAGAGGGGACGAATCCTAATTTTTCTGGCTTATTAACGTCAACAGTGATGAAGTCCTGGAGCCAGGAGAGCAGCCGGCCGTGGCTGCCTTGGCCCATGCAGACTCACGCCTGACCCTCGTTACTGGGCCGCTGACTTCCACGGTGCTGAGAGGTGGGAAAGGAGGTGCACCCACAGCCCATGGGAGGTGGGGAGGGTGATGTGTTCACAGACCGCCGGCAGCTCTTGATTCAAATCATTCACAACCACAAAGCCAAGTTTCTAAGACCAAGGGCAGTAGGAGGAATGGAGGCAATATTCCAAACACCGACTCAAAACCACCAACAAAAGAATGTGCTATCTAGTATTTACTCTCACAATGTTTGCCTTTCTCTGATTCCTAATGAGTTCAAGCACTTTTGTATAGATCTACTGGCCATTTGGTTATTCTCTCTGTGATCTGCCACTTCCAGCCTTGTGCCCATTTTCCTGTTGGGTGTCATTTTCCATACCCACTTGGGAACTCTTTGTATCCTAAATACAGTCGCCCATTTGGTTACCTGTGTTGCAAAGACCTTTTTTCACTCTGTCTTTTCTGTCTTAATGATGTCCAATAAGCTGATGCCTACGTTTTATTGTCATCCAATTTATCAATTTTTTATGGTTAGTGTTTTCCCAAGCTCATTCATTAATTCTAAATTTTACAATAGATTCTGTTGTGTTTTCTGTATGTAAAATCATGTGATCTGCAAATAATGATGGTTTTACATCCTTTTAGTCATTATACTTTTTTCTTTTTTCAACCTTATTATACTGTCTAGAATATATTAGCAATGTTAAGTCAAGAAAGGCTTATTAGCCAAGTATACATTAAGTAGACTTCACCAAAAAGCTTTGAAATGCATATTGAAACCTACATAAGGGCTATTTGCAGAACCCAAGCTCACATTTAAAACCGCGGGATCTCCAAAATAGCTTTCTGGACTACCTTTGAATGGAAAGGGCCATGGCAAACAATTTTCCAAGTCCTCCTCATCTTTAGTTAGGTTTCGGTCAGAGATTCAAATGCAAGAGGGATGTAAACCAGGGATGAAGTGATAGTGGCAGCAACACAAGTTCGTTCTCCTGTCGCAATGATAGACAGGACGGCTCCCACACACAGCACCTTCTTCTAGAGCACTTTTCCTCCTCTTCTCTCCTTTTGTCCTCTTGAGTTTGAACATTGATGGTGGTACATGATGTTCCTAAAAAGACAAGCACAGGCAGATAGAGAGAAACGTTGGGCCCACGGAAATATGAATTCATCCAGATTTCTACTGTGTTAACTTTTAATAGAGGAATCCCCTTCTATGTTTGTACCATGTGTTGCCATCCTTAAAAACTCTGTGTTGAAAGGTGACCAATGAGTCCTTCCAGTAGTACCTGGTTTCCTTAGTAATTGACTTGTCACATATTTCTGCATCAACAGTATTCTCAAATGCACGCTTACTTTCAGCAATGGTGAAGCTCACTGCTGAGCTCAAAGTCCTTCACAATCTGAACACACGGTGCTATTTCCAGAAGCCCAAATTCCCATGGTAGCTATGTAAGTTGTATCTCTGAGTCAGCAAGAAGTGGGTGCATGAGGCTTCCCAACCCACCAGGTCCTTGCAGGCAGCCAGGCTTGCTTCTGGAGAGGGCAGAGGGTGAAGGGCTGCAGCTGTGCATGTGGTCAGCCCCATCATCCTAAGGAGATATTCCTGAGTGTCCAAGAAAAGCACTGCTCCACCCTACTTTCTGACCTTGACTTATGACCCCTCCAGGGGTGTAGTGACCACCTGAAGGCCACTGGCCCGGTTACTCAGAAATGTACCTCTTTGAATGCTGCCTGCCTCGAGGTGTACCTCTCATCATCACAGAAGGACCACCGCTTACTCTTTGTTAATGAAATCTGAGATGCTTCCACCTTCCTATTCTTGGAAAACATTAGGAGTCCCACACCTCTTGCAGCCCTGATGTCCTGGGACCCAGTGTCCATCCCACATCCAGCCTACTTCGTCCAAGCCAGGTCCTCTGAGCTGTTTGCTGTGACATTCAGAGGCAGCTTTGCTATCTGTGAGGTGTGTTCTGGTACCTACAGGCTCCGTGAGCACTGTCTTTCCTCACTGATCTCTTCTTTAATTCTCTTCATGGGGGCGATTTCTTGTAGCACTTTTTCTTCTCCAAACATTTTCTAACTTACCTAAGATGGGTTATGATTGAGGTGTCCCCTGGCTACGACCTACTGCACCTGAGATGGGAAGAGGACCGCTCACGAACCGTGGTCCTGCTCCCACACCCCAATAATGTACAACTTTTCATATCGGGACACAGCCACTGCCTCTGCGAGTCTGAACTCGTTGCCATATTTCTGTGTGCTTTTATTCTGGGCCTTGGGCAGTCCCATCTGTTTTGTTGTATAGTTATGATTATAAATAATAAGAGCTCTTACCTTGTGTGATAAGTTCTTATCACGATCTAGGTCCTGGGCAAGGTGCTTTACACGAATGACCTCAAGTGACCTTTAGATTAACCCTCTGAGATAGGAACTAATGTCATCCTCATCTCACAGACAAAGAAACCGAGTCTAGAAAGTCAGGTCATGGTGGGGCCGGCACCGCCCATGGAGCTGGACTTGGGTGCTGGCCCCATGCTCCTGCTGAGTTCGGCTGGATGGCAGTGACCATGCTTGCTTTGAGGGCGAGGGTCACACCCAGGTGTGGCCTGTGTCCCCAGGTGCCTAGACACGGCCTGAACACAGAGGCGTTTGATAAAAAATGTACAATATGACGCACAGTCAGTGCCTCTCTTTGGGGCTGAATAGCGCATGCCCTTAGGTTGGACAGTAAAATCGGCCTTCTTGACATTCAGAAAGGCTGACCCAGCTTTGGAACTCTGCTTGGTTTGTTTGTTCGTTCCTTTGTTTATCAAGCACAGCAGATGTGGCCCGCATCTAACCTGTTGTGAGCACCACCACCATCTGCATGTTGGAAGTGCCTGCACGATGCCCTAAGGATTCTGTTCCAGAGGCTTCCCTTAGATGAGACCACAGAGCAGCCGTCTGCCTGGGGAGCAGACCCATGGCCGCATTCCAGAAAGAGTGTTCATGCTCATTTCTACTAAAATCCAGGTTTCGCACTTGGAAGCGGCTTCCCTTCCCAAGTAGAAACACATTCCATTTCCTTCATACCTGTCGTGGTCATGGCACACTCATTCAAGATGTTTATGAGCTGAACATATTTGCTCCTTACAGTGTGGATTTATAGTCTAAGAAACTTGGAAAAGCCTCCATGCAGGATATTGTGAGACAGGTCAAGAAAATTCCATTCCCCAAGAACAAATGTTATGCAGCCAGTATATAACAATGCTTTGTTTATGCAGAGCATTTAGGAATATGGAGAAATGCTTAATGTGAAGACAAAGTAAAGATGCAAAATTGTATAGAAAGTATAATCCGAGTTATGTAGAAAGAAGTGCAAGAGAAAAGACCAGGGAAAATGCTGAACGTTCTCCCGGAGCAGGCCTGCTTCAGCCCTCGGTCTGATTCAGCACAGTCAGATCCACGCAGCCCGTCTTCAGTCCAGGGAGGAGGAAGATAAAGAGCTGGGGGCCCAGCTCCAGGTGACCTCAACTATCTCTCTGTCCCTCACCTGTGCTGCTGCCCTGATCCCTGGGCATCTTCCCTCTGCAGAGGCCGAGCCCCCAGCCTGTGTCACACTTCTCATCCCTGGGCTTCTCCTTGGCCCTCTGGGCTCAGGTGCAGACATTCATGGATCCTGTTCATTGATCCTGTGGTTGGGAGTCTGCTGACCTCCTCCACTGCCTGCAACCGTGTCTCCAACACAGGCGACTCCTGAGTTCTCTTTGTAATGCTTCAGCCATGGCTCCTGCTGTGGTTTGGCTCTGTCCCCACTCAAATCTCATCTTGAATTGTAGCTCCCATAATTCCCACATGTTTTGAAAGGGACCCAGTGGGAGGTAACTGAATCATGAGGGCGGTTTCCCCCATACTATTCTTGCGGTAGAGTAAGTCTCATGAGATCTGATGGTTTAATAAGGGGAAACCCCTTTTGCTTGGTTATCACTCTCTCTTGTCTGCCACCATGTAAGACGTGCCTTTTGCCTTCTGCCATGATTGTGAGGCCTCCCCAGCCACATGGAACTGTGAGTCCTTTAAACCCCTTTTTCTTTATAAATTATCCAGTCTCACTTATGTCTTTATCAGCAGCATGAAAATGGACTAATACAGCTCCCTTGGTGCCCAAAGTGGTGACTGAGCTCCAGTTTCTTGTCCCTGATGTCCACTCTGGCTGATCCAAACCCATCACATGACAAGGCTTGGCCACCCATCTCCAAGGTGGTGACATTTTACTCTCAAACTGAAGAAGATAAAATTCTGGGATCCAAAATTACTAGATGCCTTTCTTCTATGGAGTTTAAACTACTTCACATATACTATTTCACTATCCTCACACCACGTTTTTGAAACAAGGGTGGGAAACAGATAGTTGTGGCACACACTGTTCAAAGTTTCCACAAGATCCTGGAAGTCTGCTCCCCTGTAGTGTGCTTTGCAAAAAGAAGACTCTCGTGGGCTTCTGTTGGCAATGTAGACTCATCCAGTCTCCTGTGGATGGCCACTTCATTACTTCTAACCCACCTTTCCCCCCAGAGCTGACATATGTGAAAATGAAGACTGCAAAAATTTGCCTCTATGTATCTTCTTGGAGTTTTTTGATTTTTAACTTTTTTAGTCTCGGCTATTTTGAACTATTTTCTCCACTGCTCTAATACATTGAAGTAGAGAATTGAGAGTAGGCCATTTCCTCTTTTCCTGGAAAATATTCTGATGGCTCTCTTTGATAATTTGTCTGATTGTCTCAAGCATAACTGATCTTTCATGAACACGCAGGGAATCATAATGGCGCTGCACTCGGAAAGTTGAGTATAATGGTGCTATTCATGAAAATAGATGAATTCAAAAAAATGGGAAGCGAATATCAAAATGAAGTTGGACAAGTAGGTTTTTATAGGCTCCATAAAACAAAATGCATCTTAGAAGAGGCCTGGGAGGTGGGATAACAATAGCGGCCGCTGGAGGAGGGCTCCTGCGCGCTGCCCAGGGCTGGGCTTTCTTTCTGATCCTTACGACGACCTGGCCTAGTAGGCCTCATTTCATCTGTAAAGGACTATGTTGTGGAGGAAAGAGTTAAACATACTGTTGTTCCCTTTCCTGGGGAAAGGGGGTCCCTTTTTATCTGCATCAGGGGTTTTGCTTGGGGAATATAGGAGGCAGGACATGGACCTCAGGGGGTGGCATCTCATCTGCAAGCAGCTCATCTGGGAGCTTCCTTCCCGAGGATGTTTGAACATATTATATACAGAGCCTTGACCCCAGGGCCTTATTCCTGAAGCTTTCGTTGATCAGCTTCTGGGAAGCCTCCAGCAAAGGCAGTTCTTCCTCTGCTCCCTCTGAAGCAGTTCATGGGAAGAGTCACCACATTCAGCCTGGGGCTGGCATCCTCTGGACAACATCCATTCCCACGTGGCCTGGGTTGCCTCTGTGCTCCTTCACGGGACACTCACACCAGTTCCTATACAGGTTACATCAGAAGTTCCCAAATGTTGCTCTGGGTACTGCACTGGTTAGCAATGCAGTTTTCAAAGTTCCAAGGAGAAATGAGGGGAAATGAGGAAAACAGACTGCGTTTATCTATGGATGCTGATGCTGTTTTGTACACGTAGGACGTATAATATATGCTCACTGCATTCAATCCGTAAGCCTGTAGGCCAGTGACAGTTGCAGTCCTGGCGCTCTGATTCCGCGGTTCTGGAATGGGGCATGGGCGCCGGAAGTTTTAGAAGCACCCGGCATGATGCTGATCACAGCCAAGTTTGGAAACCACTGGGCTCGTGTGAAGGACACTGTACCCTGCTGTTTGGAATCATAAACGTAAGATTTAAAATGGGCTTTCCTAACTAATAAGTGCCAGTGAGGGCTCAACAGCTGATGGGCAGTGGAGTCCAGAGTGATGGTCCCAGCAAGCGTTCCAGCGGCATCTGCCAAGGCTGGAAGCTGTTGCCAGGCTCGAGCCAGAGCAGCATGGGCAGGAAGCTCCTGATGGGCAGTGGAAGTGAGATTGGACCAGCGTCAGAGGGCGGATGTACTGGTGGCAGGCTCAGAGAGGGTTGCCTTGGGATTCACAAAGCATGGCCCATGGTGTCCAGACTGGGGGCTTTTGAAGGCTTAGGCTGATGTTCCCCCTTAGCCACACCCTTGCTATCCAAAAGGTCCTGCTCCACATCTGACCGCAAGCAGCCCTCTGACACAGTGCTGGAGGCTCTAAGAATCTGAAGTCTGCCTGTCCCAGGGAAGTCCCTGCAGCAGGTTCTGCTGTGTGTGTCTGTGTCCCCAAGACATTTTTCAGGACAGCTTTGGGAAAAGCACTTTTTAACTGTTAAAAATAGAGAGAGCATTGATACTTGTGAAGATATATGTACTCACTAAAATATATGCAGTGAGCATATATTCACTAAATGAACATGCATTGAAAGTAAACAGCATGATGCCAAGGGCTTGAAGTTCCTTTTCTTGTTGCTTTGTAGGTTAATGAGGCCAGGGGTGTGGATTAACAGTATTCTGGAATCACACAAAACTCTCCAAAGGAACCATTTATGCCACCGTGATAGGAACTGCGTATTGCTCACTTGGATCCTAAGCTGATTTTTAAATTAGATCTTTCCGTGATCCCTTGTTGAGTCTGTTTCATGTGCATTTTATTATATTCTATAAATATTTCACTAGTTGTTTCTAATAATTAGAGAAAAAGTGTCTTTCATCAATTTAAGAGAGAAGGGAATAGTCTGTTAAGGCTGAGCAGTTACTGCATATGAAGGCTCCAATGGTGAGCTTCTACCATTAGCTGGCAAAAAAGAGCAAAAATGCAATGGAAAACAGTGAGGGAGAGAGAGAGAGAAAGAGAGAGAGAGGAGAGAGGCACAGTTACTGAGCCATGTGGCCAACTATTAAAACTAGGAGAAAAGACACAGAAAATGTTGTGTGTGGGGGGGGGTGGGGGTAAAATGCTCCCCCTGAAGAGCACTGAGGCTCTAGGGAGCCCGTTAAACCCAGATAATTCTACTAGAGCAGGAGGGAGCTGGCCTGGGCCTTCCCAGTTAGCACTCACTGAAAACAACGGGCCTCTGCCGAGAAGCTAAACCTGGGACCCCAGGGATGGTTTATCTGGAAGATTAGGGGAGAAACGTGCAAGGCAGCCAAGGCAATCCAGCCATCTCTGCAGCTGGGAAAAGGAGTGATTGTTTTCCTGAGCTGCTAGCCTGGATTTGCAGAAGGAAAGAATGCCTTGTTTCTGTCCCCTGAAGACGCAAGCTGAAAAAATGTCTGGCTGCTCTTCGCCGCCCTCCCAGGTTCTCTCCCACAGCCAAGAACGACTGGCTGCTGCCCTGAGCCGGGAGGTCACAACGCTTGTGGAGTAAGGAGCTCGGGTTTTTGTTTGGGGCTTTGTTTTGTTTTCTTAAGTATCTGCAGGACAATGTTTGGAAGAGTCGTATGCCCCATAAAAGGAAGAAAATGGTGCTCTTGGATTGTAATCAGTGACTTGTGGTTGGCAGTTATGCCTCTGCCTTCAGTACTGCAGGCCTGTGCCTTCCACGGACCTTCCCTAACATCATTTCTGGAGATGATGGGGCCAGCTCTTTAAGAAACTATTTTTTCACGTTATCATGTGGTAAGAACAGAGATGAACCTCAGAGATGAAGAGTGTGATTGAGCTCAGAGAAACTTCAGTGACTTGATTTTAAATGGGCCAAACAGTTGGATTTCTTTTACCTTTTGTGCAGAAAGCCTTCGTTTAGAGAAAAGAGGACTGAATTCTGATGGACAGTAGGTGTGGGAGGGGCAGCATGTTATCACAATAGCATCGTGATGAGATTCCTGGATGGAGGGAATCACTGGTGCTTGCATATTTGGGGCTTCATCTTAGGGAAGTTCCCTAAAATCTCTGTAGCACCCAGTTTTCGTGGGAAGAATGTCGTGGGAGCAGGGGCTTCCCTGACCTTGGAAGCCTGGCCGGTCAGTCTCAAACGAGTTTACTGCCTCCGACCCAATTGTGAGGACTGAGCCAGAGGGAGTGCATGTCAGCCTCAGCCTCCAGCAGCACAGCCCCTTTCTCTACAAGCCTCAGATATAGGGGAAAAAAAACAAAAACAGAGTCAAAAGTAGGTCTTCATTAATAAAAGACTGGGATCTCCCAGAATTAATCATCTTGCTCATCTTTTCCAGTTCTGGAAATCTGATCTTTGAACCTGGTATCCTCAGTCTTAGCACAATACCTGGGACCATAATAGATGCTCAGTAAACTTGGTGGGAGGAAAAAATCAAAGAAGGAGTCAAAATAGAGGTGCTCGGTGCCGAGGAGTTGCTAACCTGGACCATCCAAATAATGACAGTCTGTGGCACTTCAGAAGCATTCCAGAAATGGAACAATGGCACTCCATGAAGCTGTATAAACTCATAATGTATCCTGTAACTAACCCAGTATAGAACAGTAACACTGTTTACACTGATTGGAAGGAAGAAGGTTCATCCTGGCGGTTTATGACATTGCCAGAATGGCTTGAATCCTTGAGGGTGGGTGACAGGTAGAGTGGATAATAAATGGGCCTCCTGGTTCACAGAGCCTGAGAACCTCTCACCCAATGGGCACCTGGTGCCCCTGCAGAGTCCAGTCTAAGAGGACAATTTTTTTTTTCAGATGTAGTCTTGTTCTGTTGCCCAGGTTGGAGTGCCTGATCTCAGCTCACTGCAGCCTCCGCCTCCTGGGTTCAAGCAGTTCCCTGCCTCAGCCTCCCTGGTAGCTGAGATTATAGGTGCACGCCACCACACCCGGCTAATTTTTGTATTTTTAGTAGAGATGCGGTTTCACCATCTTGGCCAGGCTGGTGTTGACGTCCTGACCTCGTGAGCCACCGCGCCCAGCCAAGGACAATTTACTCTAGCCACAGATATGGCCATGGTCCTCATGTAAGCTGACTACAAATACAGCAAATCCACCTTTCCAAAGACTTCATTCTAAAGATGTAAAAGAACAAAAAGAGATAAAGGAAGAGGATGAGAAGACTTGAGAAGAGTGGAAGTGTAGAAAGAAAATGTTTAAGGTTCATCCCCTCCCCACCTTGGGGAGTTCCTTTGGCAGCATCTTCTGAAGGGTACTTCTCCTAGCCCAGGGGCAGAAAGATCCAGTCTTTTGGGGCAGCTGCGGAAGAAAGGAGAGCAGTCCTGTAGCTCATGAAGACATTACGAAGCACAAAGAACTGCACAGGGACAGAGAGTCTTTAGGGTCTCGAGCTCACTCTATGTCCTTGGCTGTTAAGTTCCCCGAGAGCAAACCCCAGCTTCTCGCTTGCTTCAGGCTCTGCATGTGTGAGTGTGACCCTTGGGTACTCTCGGGGCGTTTTCAGCCATGCGATTCTGGGGACTTCAGAGGACTCTGTTCCTTTCTGACTCGTGTTCCGGCGTCTGTGGATTGCTCCCAACAGGAGGAGGAGTATTGTCTATTAAGGGAAAAGATTTCAGTGACCTGGCAGCAGGGAGCGTCGTCAGTGTTTGACTGTTTATGGTATGTCAGGGAGCTGGTTCCTGGCAGTGGCTTCCCCAGGGGTGGGGAGGGGTGTGCTGGGGGTGACAGGAAGCACTGAATCACGACAGAGAAGGGAAAGAAGCCCGCCCGCCACTTCCGGTGTTCACTGAGCAGGTCGGTGGCCAGCGCTGCCTTCGCATCAGAACCCCATTTTAAAACACATCCAAGCGCGTGGCGTCATCGGGACGACGGGCTTCTCCCCAGTAGAGTGTCAGACCAACACCGCCCTGCACAAAGCTCTGTGTTCCCTGCTTTCTGTCATGTTCCCACCCATAGCCAGAAATCCCAGCTGCTGGCCGTCCAGCCCCTATGGAGCAGTGACTAAGGGTGGCTGTGGGACTCACTCACGAGCCTTAGGTTGGGTGTACATAGTTTGTGGCTGATTAGGTGTTGTTAAGGATTTACTGTTCAGGGCTGTTGATTTCTGCCACTGGCTTGTCTTCTCCCAAGGACAAGGGGCCTGCCTATTGGCTTTTAGATCTTAGCACTTAGCAGACTCTCAGAAGTGTTTGCTAGAGGACGTTTTCTGGGGAATGTCCACCTGCACTGATGAAAACAACTCAGTAACAACTCCACTTTGAGAGGAGCAGAGCAGGAGCCTTCCTTAGGTGTGCGTAAGGGGATACCGGCTTTAAAGACGCCAGGCTGAGTTGCTGTGTCAGGATTGATTCTTTACTTCTCCATCTGGAGGTGTTTCTGCTTTATCAGTTTCTCCTTGTTTCCAGCTCTGTCTCGCTGCCAGAGGGCCGACGTTTCCTGGCTTTTGTTGTACTGTGGCACACAGTCTGTTTTGAAAGGACAGGAGCATAATAAAAGCGGATATGAAAGAAGGGCCAGATGACATCACATAGAATACTGGAGGAAGTCCGCGTTTGTGGATGTTTATAATCTCAGCATGTTAGTTGTTTGTAATATGATAAGAGCACTTTTGATACATAGGAGGACTACAAGCCTTGTTGCTTAGACAGGACTCACGAATTTTTATCTTAGGCTCATAGTGACGAACAGAGAATGGGGATCTTGGCCTGGATCCCAAGTGACCCTGGCTCATTGGTTGACCTCGGGTACAAGATTCGGCATAGATGAGCCATTTAAATTGTGCCTAAGCCAGCTACTCATTGAATTTTTTAAAAGAAAGAGAGAGATAGAATAAAGAAAGCTAAGAATTTGACTTATTAGAGATGAATTAGCTTACTAAATTTTTTCCTTTTGAAATCTTACTTCAGAGAAATTGATGGTACCTAGAACTTAACATTAAATCAAGTAAGACCCTTTTAAGGTGAATTCTGGAAGCCATATAGAGTCAGCATTATATGCATGCTTACTCAGTGAAAATCCTAAAGCATGCAAGTGTCTCCATAAAGAGCAATCTCCTTGAACAATAACAGTGTTGACACCTGCTGTTCCCCAGGTCTGTATCGTGAGATGGAAATACACCAGCATCTTCCCCCACTAGGGGAAGATGATAAAATGCAGGTTAAGAACATGGACCATGGATGCTGGGTACTTCCTGCCGGGAGCCGGGCACTATCCTCACCTCTTCCCGTGGGTTAATCTCCTTTCATCCTAACGGCAACCCCAGGAGGCAGGAACAGTAGGTTCTACCCATTTTTTAAATGAGGACCCTGCAGGGCATGTGGGATGAGCATTCCTCACAAGACCGCCCCCACGAAACATGGCCTGGAGCCCGGGCACCCTTGGTCCAAAGCAAATCAAGTTTCTCCCAAACACAGTGCCATTCAGAGCAAACCAAATCTGCAGCACTGGAGACCCGCACACCCGACTGGAAGCTTAGGGCAGGGCAAAGGCACAAGACAGCATCATAGCACTCTGGAGCCCAGGAAGAACCCATCTTCTTGCAAACACTCCAGATTAAGCGTAAAAAGACTAGAAAAATCAACTGTCTTCATGCACTGGTATAGGAGAGCAGGGTAGAGCTGGCTCCTAAAATTTCACACTCAGGAGACTCTAAAAATCGTGCTCAAACCTAAAAATGTGTGCATGCTAATTCCAAATTAGCCTTATCGACAGAGGTTAGCGTCCAAAACTTGGTCTAACCTAGTCCAGGGAACATGCAATCTTTGCAACTTCATACTGCAGTGACTGTGTGTGTGGTCTCTGATTGTCCATCGAACACAAGAATTAAAATCCCAACAACCTAGTGAGGGGCAGAGAGGAGTGGGATTGAAAATCCACTGTTGAAATATCCAGGTAGATAATCCACTCCCAAATAACGGAGTGCTGCCTGCGCCTGTCCGTACCCAGTGGGTGCTCTCCTCTGCTGGCCCCAGGAGTAGGCGTCTGCTGTGACTTAGAGCAGATTTTATGCACAGACCTTCTTCCAGGCAGAGAAAAAACTACCGAGTGTGAGTTCACAGCAAAGGCATCCTCGATCCCTGCTGATGTGGGAAGGCATAGGTACACGCCGTCTGAAAGCTGCCAGGCGTGATTCACTTGGCAGCGTACCTCCAGGAGAAAGGGCGGGGCAGAAATTCAGAAATTCTAACCCAGAAGCCAGGCCAGCAGGTAGGTAAAGTGGCTGTCGCATGGGTGTGGTGTTGTCCATGGCCCCAAAGCCCCTGGGACTTTGATGGTCAAGTTTGCAAAGATAAAGCTGCAGGCACCTGAGGCTGAGCCTGCCCGGGCAGCGCAGCGCTGCTGTGTGCCAATGCAAACGGGGACCTTCCTTGCCTAGACCAGTCTTCACCAACCAGAACAGAAATCTTATTGTATTCTGAAAAAGGATTCCTGGATCTCTTTCATTCCATGCTTTTCAGATTTTTTTCTCCCAAATTTAGCACAGAGGGCAGGTTTTGAACAGAACTCTTAAACTGAAGGTACTTCTCTGGAATAAATAGCTTCAAGAGATGGACCCACTTTGTTTATTACCAACAGGGCTAAATATTTACCTTAGACCTATATGCCAATACTAACCACATACACATTTTCATTCATTGCCAAAGAATACCAAGAACTGGCATGCCGTATAAATAATTAAAATTTAGTGTAGATAATGTGTGAGGTAATGCTTATATTAGATGATGTCTCGGTGAACTCTCTCCCTAAC
Organism: Homo sapiens; assembly: GCF_000001405.40. Taxonomy (NCBI): domain Eukaryota; kingdom Metazoa; phylum Chordata; class Mammalia; order Primates; family Hominidae; genus Homo; species Homo sapiens. Next base: position 110,344,097 of record NC_000013.11, read on the forward strand.
GAAACAGAAGAAAAACAACATAGCTCATAAATATGTAAGGGTATTTATTCTAAATGTAACATGTGAAACTCTTCACTGCATGTGTACCTATGAGTCTGAAAACTCACTTCTAACTATGATTACATTGATGGCCTCTTGAACAAGAGTTAAAAGCTCCTTGTAACTTGTTCTTCTCAACACGGAGACAGAACAAAATCCCTCAGGCTATTAAAAGGATGACATGACAAATAGCCTTCATAAAAGATGGTCTTTTATGCAGCCAATTTTCTTATTAGTTATTTGACGACAACATTGAGGTTTAAATGAGTAGCCAATGAGAGAATATTGAAGTAGGCTGTTTGTTACAGCACATCTCCTCTAACTCATACTTGCTGATAGGTAATTGGAACAGAAGAGAATGATGTCAGTATGAGATGGAAGTCATGTTAGTTCATGCGTGACATTTTTCCCAGCATGGTGTTTGTACCACTGAGTAACAGGATAGCTGAGGGTAAGTAGAAGAATACACATCAGCACAGCAAACTGTCAAGGAATGGAACTCTATACGAGACCCCAGGGCCGCAGTATTCTCTCTCTTGCCTCGCTCAGGCCACATACTCTCCTTAGAAATGCTTTCTCCACAGCTCTTCCCAATCTTTGGTCATCCTGTCCTTGCTCTCTGCAGTGTAGCAGTCTCAGCACTTCCTTACACCCCCTTCTATGAAACTATGCCATCACTTTTCTTCAAGATAAACTGTTTTATTTACTGCAATATTTCTTTACTTGAGAAGTTAACATGTCCATTAAACTGTGCTATTATTTGTATTAGGATTGCTACCAATTTTATTAAGGCCCTAGTTACAAAGTTGCATCGGTATTGAGTGGTCTGCCCCAGCTCTGTTTTTCCCATGGACCTCGGTGGTTTGCTGTGTGGTTTTGCAGAGTGTGAGAATTTTTCAGAAACAGTCATATACTGTGTTACAGCAGAAAAGCCTGTTCTTAAAAAGAATGAGTGGGGACTAGATGTGAATCAATGTGATTTGACTTTCTTCTTCCCAAGGTGAGTGGCTGGTGTGTTTGAGTTGGTCTTGACTACACTGACAAGGAAGGTGAGGGTATGGAGGACATTCCAAGCTGAAGGAACAGTGTGTACAAACGCAAGTTCTTTGCGAGGATGGAACTTCAGAGGTGTTCATACTCAATGCATTGAAAATCCTCACATTCCCTCAGCATGTAAAATAAGTGATTAAGCATTCCGCTGTAGTTGAAAGAAAAAGAGACTTTGAAAGTGGAGGGAACAGTGGATGCAGGGGAGCAGAACCCCAGTCGGCGGGTCTCAGGAGAAGCGAAGCCTGCTGTTCCTGGGAAGCAGTGGGGTGCAGGAATCAGAGGACAGCAGATGCTGGCTTCACACCCTCACCTTCCCTATGGGTACAGTCGAGGCCTCCTCAAACACACCAGCCACTCACCTGGGAAAGAAGAAAGTCAGACTCACATTGATGCACATCTCGTCCTCACCCGTTCTTTTTAACCTGATATGGGCTCTCAACTAAAGGGTTAATACCAGAAGCACCCACCTAGCTAAGTACCGACCTAGACAGCCATTAGTGATTTACAAAAACATGAAGGGTGGCCATCTATATTAGGGGTGGAGAAGGACAGGGGGCAAGGGAAGGTGGTTTCTGGCAATTGGTCCACTGACACACCCCCAGCTGCTGTGTGGGACAGAAGTCACGTGAGTCAGATAGCAACACCCAGGCTCTCATCTTGTTCCATCTCATCTGTGCCTGGGCATGTGTACCTGTGCACAGGGGGACCACCTTCTGCAAGGTAGCTGGGGTGCGTGTTAGTTCTCAGAATAGTGCCAGCTGTGTGTCCACTTCATGATGACATCAAGAAGATGGGCTTTGGGATCCTGCCCACACCCAGCTCCGGGGCGCTGCTGATGTATCTGGGCAACCCCAGCCAGGATCCTGGGCTGCCTCTATCACCCTCACAACCTGGGGGCCAGGAGCCAGCAATGAAGGCCAGTGAGAGGTGAATTTGGAAATGAGGAGCTTTCCTGGGGTACTGAAGGAACAGTATCAAAATACTTGAAAAGAAAGAGAACTCTTTCTTGTTTGAGGCTTTTGGGGCGTTGTTTCCTGCGTAACTCAAAGCCTTGGGAATCCCAGACAGAAAGTCATTTAAGATTAACTTTTGAAATCAAGTGAGTAAGACCTGATTCAAAGGAGAATTTAGCCATGGGTTAATAAATATATCTAAATTGCAATGAAAATCTTCAGCGGTCTTAGCCGTTGATCCCGTGGTCACCATAGACAATATAAGGAGCAGTGTCTATGGCAGGAGTGATGGAACAGATTTCAGGAAGTAACTTTGAGTGAGAGAAGCAGGGGCCCCAGAACTCTAGTGACCAAGACATTCGAAGACAGGCAAGGAAACCTTCAAATGCAGGCAACTCATATTTCGACGGGGCACCCTCCAGTGCTCCGAGATGGAAATTGCCTGCATTTCAGTGCCCTGTTCTGTGGCTCCAGTGCTCTGCTGTATGCCCACTGTGAAGGCTGCTTGTCACCTGTGCTGCCCAGCTCAACCCGGCCCCTTTGGTCGCTGTCCTGCCTGCCTGACGGCTGACGACGGCCCCACACCCATGTCTACACCCTGGGTGTTTGCTGTGTAGGTTCCAGGCTTCTAGACCAGATGACTCAAGATGAGGCACATGTGAGTCTCCACCCAGCACCTAATAAAACCACCCAACAAATGAGGGCTCAGCTCCTCCCGGGGTGAAGGCCAGGGTGCTCTGTTGACTAAGGGGAGGCCATGAAAGAACGGGGAAGACTGGCTCTGGACAGAGCCTCATCCCCTGCGCTTATCGTGGCTCACTGCCAAGTGCGAACACCTGGGTCCACGCCTCCGCATGCCGGGCCCGTGTGCACACCTGCCTTCCTCGCTGGTGAGAGGGCGCATCTCAGCCTGCTTTTCGCCTCTAGAAAGGCACTGAGTGTGAACTGTGAAGAAGTGGCCAGGGCAGAGGATGTGTGTCAGGAAATGCCAAGCCCCCTTTCCTCACTCAGCCAGATGGCCTACCTGTCCTCACCTGAAACCAGGCCCACCCATGCTCTGAGATCATCTCTAGCCCAGGACAAGGCATTTCCAAGGCAGCGTTGGCTTAGACTATGTTGGCTGGGCTTCACCTCTCATTCATGTGTCAGGAGCTCTAGGCCGGGGAGCCAGGCATTGGAGACCCTTTAGCTGGGAAGGCTCGGGGGGCTGAGTTACATCACCAAACCCTCACAGCAGCCCTGTGCAAGGGTGCCATCATCCTCCCTTTGTGCAGAAGATGCTGTGGCTTCAAAGGACCAGTCACTTCTCTGCCTGAACTCTTGCCCTTTGCTACATCATTCATGTTCCCAGTTGGCCCCTCACACCTGCTCTTCAGCATCCTGGGTTCTCAGCAGTTCCTACCTGGGGCCCTGCCTGCCATCCCTCCACTGTCATTCAGCCTGCTTTAAATGTCTCAGGATGACTAATGTCACTGGGATGTGTTCTGGCCCTGGCCTTTGGCCCACCACACACTGCATGCCCTGGCAGTCAAATTCCTGAATTTTTTCTGGAGCCAGTCCTGCCCGTCAGGACCCAAGCTCCAGCACTAAAGTACGGCTGTCAGAGGTGGCCCTGCCAATAGCACACTGTGTGTGGAAAACACCCAGACATTGAGCTGCCTGAGGAGAAATGGAAGGTGGCCCACTTGGCCGGTCATTGCTCGTTAAAATGTAAAGGTGTGCAGATATGAAAACACGGGGCTTGTTGCCGATGACTCAGGGGAGGGCACCGAACGTCATGCCTCCTGGTTATGTCTTGCCGCCGTGTTGAACCAGGATGGGGAATGATCCCATTCCTCAGGTATTCGTCTGGGAGACCGTAAAGGATTGCTTCCAGACAGGAAGGACGTCTGTCTTCCTAAAGAGTGTCTAGCCCAACTCGTTGAACTACTGTCATTTCTTTCTGGTTCTCCTGTTCCAAATACACAGCCTGAGCTCCTCCCTCCTTCTCTGAGTCTCTCAGTTCCATGAGGACAGGCATCGACGCAGTCATAACTGCTGGCACTCACTGGCATTCCAGAAAAGCCCATGGGGCTTATTCATTGTACGTGGGGGAGCGCCCCTGTCCTTCAGGCATTTCACCATCTTGAGCTGGTGACTAGTTCAAGACCATTCTGTAGAGTGAACACATTTATTTAGGATGCCCTTGAAGTACTGTTAAACAAAGGAAGCTGAATTGGCTGGCTTTGCTGCCCGGCATATAGAAGAAGGATTTGTGCTGGGTGGTACAACTGTGACCTGCACTTCCTCTTCCATATACCTTGCCCTGCTAATACCATGTTGGAATTATTTCCTTAATTTCTAAAGCTGCATGTGCGGAAATGGCTTATATTTCCTGTTTTGATAAACTAATAGAACTTTACTGAGAACCTTGTTCCCGAGTTGGCTTTCTTCTCTTTTGGCCTCTTTTTTGATTAAAATAGTAATTCTAAAAGTCCAGCTTGACTGGACTTGTGTCAAAGACAAAGAATTGTATAGATTTTTTTTTTTTGCCTTGAAAAGATAACTTTTTAGCTTTCAAAAGGATGATAACTTTTTAACAATAGGTAATGTTGATCTTGTTTGTCACTTGGCGTAGGTTTTTCAGTATTCCTCTGTGGAGGGAATTTGGGTTAGATGCTAGGCACAATCCAATCGTCAGCTATCTGTAAATTCCCTTCAGAGGATGGCTCTTGTTGGCTGGAGGTAAATTGGCTTAAAAAGACTTCCTTGGACAAGAAGTTTCTTGGAACATGTAGAGGACAAAATATTCTTTGTTTTGGGACAGATGAGTTTTGTTCTTGCGATTCATATAACTCGATTACTGCTCATTTTCTATGTGCAAGTTGAGAACAATGACCAGCATTTTTTTTCATTCGTCTACATGGCATCCACTTTAAATGATACTCATGTCTGAAGAGGGCTGGGTGCATTTCCATGGTTTGTTCCCTTGCTATATGTTGACAATTTGCAGTGGTAGTAGAGAAATAGTAGTCTCAAAGAGTTTAAATTGTTTATGTGTTTTGTTTCCTGGCATTCAGGTTGTCATTTAAACCTATTTTTTTAGTGTCCTAAATATAAGGACCAATCTGCCATGGAGAGAAGTGACATTGGGCAGTTTTCTCCACGTTTTGAGATGGGCGATTCCTCAGACATCTACCAAGGAGGACACCCTTTTCCCCGGTGGCAAAGGAGGGACTCTCCCTCTGCCTGGTGGCACAGGATCCTAGTGAAGGCAACACGATACTCTCTTCTCACTGTCATTGGGTCACTCACAGAAGAGCCAGGGCAGCAACCAGGAGGACCGGATGTCCTCTTAATCCTGCAGCTGCCACTCTTGATCTCTGCTCCAACTCCACTGTATCCCATTGATAAATGACAGAGTCTCTGCTGGCAGCCAGGCAGCTAGTGACTCCAAGCAAGAAATTCTGCATTTGATCCTGATAGGAGCCTGGTTCAAGAAACTAGAACCTGGTTTTCCTTAAAGGGTTCCATGACTTTTATTCTTCCAGAGGTAAAAGACTCACCAAGGAATCTAGATTGTGCATCTGGAGTGATTTGATGTCTATGGTAAATCTATCCATGCAAACAGATGGATTTTCATATCTTCTTTTTTTTTTTTATTGAGACACAGTCTCACTCCGTCACCCAGGCTGGAGTGCAGTAGCACAGTCGTGGCTCACTAAAACCTCCACTTCTCGGGTTGAAGTGATTCTTGTGTCTCAACCTCGTGAGTAGTTGGTATTACAAGCGTGAGCCACCATGTCCAGCTAATTTTTACATTCTTAGTAGAGACAGGGTTTCACCATGTTGGCCAGGCTGGTCTTGAACTCCTAACTTCAAGTGATCCACCGCCTAGGCCTCCCAAAGTGCTAGGCTTACAGGCGTGAGCCACCACACCCAGCCCAATTTCCACATCTTTCTAAATGTAATGATGCCAAGATTTAAATAAGACTCCAAGGAAAAGAATTTCCATATATGAAGTCAACCAAGAAATCCCTCACTCAAAGATTCCCGTTCTGCACCTGGAAAAAATGTCTGTTGCATTCCAATTGAGTAGAATGTAATCTAAGGTTTCTGGAAAACACATCTTATGCCTTTACATACACTGCCAACTGGCTCCTAAACATTTCCAATTCCTACAGTTTTGAATTGGCACAGCAATGCTGGCTACCAGTTTCAGAACAGGAAAAAGAAGAGCTCTAGAAGGATATTTTGAATTTTAAAAAAATTAAAAGAGAGAACTACAATTTTTTTTAGCACTTGGAGGGATTAGAGGCTCAGCCACTGAGTCCTTAGGGCTCAGAGCCGCCCCAGATGCAGCACAGGTCACAGAGGTCAAAGCAAGGTCCAAGGGCCATCACTTTTCTAGGACAGACATGCCAGGCACCCACTGAGTCATGGAACATGCTGAACCTGTAATAACTCCTACCTTCTGTTGCACCCAGGGTGATGGTTCAGTGGTTTCCAGCTTTCTCACTATCTCTAAACAAAGCCTGTTTTCACAATGCCCATCCGACCACCTAGTGTAGGGCTTTGCAAACCTCGGTGTGCTAACCTGGAAGTCATGCTAGAAAGCAGGTTCTGCTCCAAGAAAGGTGGGGTGGGGCCTGCATTCCTCACTAGCTCCAGGGTGATGCTGATGGGCCCTGTCCACACAGCACACTTGCCATGGCGGGGGCCAGCTGGGAGAGCAGCTGCCCTTCAGACAAGCACTCATGACCTCTTTGACTTTGTGTCTAAGTCCCTGCCTCTGATCAGTTTTCCTCTCTGTTTCCCTCTTATTCCCTCCCATTTTATTTGTGGTACAACTTCCAGGTAAATCTTCCTCAAACTCTCTGTCCAGTGTCTTCTTTGCTACCTGCTCTCTCTCTTGTTTCTTTCTTTCTTTATTTTTATTTTTTCTTTTTGAGATAGGGTCTTGCTCTGTTGCCCAGGCTGGAGTACAGTGGCGTAATCTCGGCTCACTGCAACCTCCACCTCCCGGGCTCAAGCCATCTTCCCACCCCAGCCCTCCAAGCAGCTGGGACCACAGGCGTGCACCACCACACCCAGCTATTCTTTTTGTTTGTTTGTTTGTTTGTTTGTTCGTTTGTTTTGTACAGACAGGGTTTTGCTTTGTTACCCAGGCTGGTCTTGAACCCCTGAGCTCAAGCGATCTGCCTGCCTGGGTCTCCCAAAGTGCTGGGATTACAGGCATGAGCCCCCGCACCCAGCCTTCTCTCCTGCTTCTTTGCTGCCTGTGGCTTTCTCTACCCTGCTCCTCCCTTGCCGGCGTGGGTTTTGTCCCTAAGAACTGGTGCAAGAATGACCGGTCCTTCATCTCTTCCTTGCAGCTCAGAGACTTTCAAGTCTACCTTGCTTCTTAGGTTTATGCTGCTTTGGACACTTATTTCCTAAAATGTATAATTCACATTTATTTTTCAGAACTATTCCTTTTGGTTCCACAACACTAAAGATGTCAAGAGCTTACAATAATCAGACTTAGCACCCCTTCCCTTTGTCCACAGTGCCTCTGCCAGCTTCTTTAATTCCTCTGCCTTTCTTGAAGGAGCAGATAAGTCCAATGGGGTCTGGCCTCCAGGTTGGTGTGTGATGAGATAGTTGGCAAGGTAGGACTGCCTGCAGGTCCTCAGTAAATGTTCATTCATTTGCTGAGGGAAGTAATGATTCATCCCCCTAGGCAAACTCCTTCCATGATTTGGAATTTAGGTCTGAAGTTTCCTGGCCAATGCGCCTGGGAAGCCACTGAGCTGGCTGTCAGCTGAGTAGGGACTAAGGATGTTCAACTGTGGGTACTGAAAAGCGGCACTAGATTGAAATGGAGTCCTGAGCTGCAAGTTGGGGAGCACAGCAGTGTTGGAGCATCCTGAAAGTCATAGGAAGAATGGGCTTCGAGTCACTCCAACTCAGGATGTTCCTGATTCCCTGATAATGATCATGATGATGATGATGATGACGATGATGATGGCATGAAGGTGGTGCCCTCCTAGGCCTGGAGGTTAGGGGTAGCCAGTCTGTCTCTGCTTTCTAGCAGTGAGAGCCTCAGGCTGTCAGGCAGGGAGGTTGGCCTTGGGAGGTAGGCATAGAAGGAATAGTGGAGCATAGCAGAGCCCTAGGGCGCAGGCCTGAACACAGCCAGTCCTCTCTGTGAACAGGATAATGCAATACTTAAGGACCCACTGTTCCTAATTTGCTCTCTAACCATCCTCTTCTTCGCAGCTCTTACCAGAATTTAAATTATGTGGGTTTAGTTGTTTGTTTACTTATTTCACCTTCTTGTCTACTTGGTCACCTGCCACAGGGCAGGAGCAATGTCTAATCTGCCCCCTACTCTATACCCAGAGCCCAGCACAGTGCATGGCTCAGAGGAAATTCACATCAGTGATCATGAGTGAATGAATTTGTAAAGTGAAAGCGTGGATGAAGGACCTCCCAGCCCCTTGCCCTTTGTCATGTTAGTTTGGAATTGGGGATGTGAGGTGTCCTCTCACTGGTGCAGTTGAAGGAAGGTGCCGGATACGGTTCAGATTCCTCGGTGGTCCCGAGTTCCCTGGGTGGGGAGGTTCTGTGTGCCTATGAGGAGGTGAGAGTCAGGCATTCTCCAGGGAGTAGGGTGCCCCCACCAGCTTTCACAGGCCTTCTGTAAAACTGGTCCCGCCAGGCCTTGAGTCCTTTCCTGCCTTGGGGTGAAGGACACCCAGACAACCACAGGAGTTTGGCCAGCCGGGCTGAACGGCTACAGCACGCCCCACGAGCCTGGATCACGTTCCACACCTGCAGTAGGAGCTGCAGGAACCTCCTGGCCCTGCGAGCTTCAGTGGGGTCAGCAGCCAGGCACACCTGCAGGGGGCGTCAGTGAGAGCTGGGCATTGGAATTGCCCTACACAGTTGCTGCCTTGGAAATTCAGACTTGAAATGAGAAATTAATGGAGGATTGAATTGATGTTTCTTTCATGAGCCTGTGATTGTTGTAAAAAGAGGTGTGTCAAATGCTTGGTGAGACCCATGCAGGATTCTTTAAAGAACACTGAGGCAAACCAGACCTTATAGGGAAAAACAGGCCTCACGGAGACTGAAGTTAAAATATGGACCAGGGCCAGTGTTTCTTCATGAAGGGGGTGAGCAGAGATTTGAGGAGGCTGCAGGGTGGGAGGAAACTCATCATTTTTATTAAGGAGTTGACAAGAATAGGATCGCGGCTTGTCTTTGATTTGCGTTAAGCAGTAAAATGAAGGGATAGGCTGGAGGGCTGAGAGCAGGGTGGCAGCAGGTGCGTGCAGTCGGTATGCCTCTGCTGGAGGGAGTGGCCAGGCCACAGACATGGGACACCACATAGCAGTCCTCACACTCCTCCTCTGAGGTCCTCAGGGAGGCATTTGTGTCTCGAGACTGTTTCAGAGACCCATGTCTTCTCAGGAGATGCCAAGGCTCAGGTCAGAGACTTGTTGAGTTTTTAAGAGACTGTCTGAAGCACACACCCTGCCCTAATAAGTCAATATTTCTGTTCCTCCTGGAGACCTCACATTCCAAAGTGTGGTACTTCGGGCTCTTGTAAATGTTGGAATTCCTAAGACTCTCTCTGGAGGACAGGTAAGATGTCAGTGGGAACACACATACACACATGCACGTGCGTGTGTGCACGCACGGCTGGCATGTCCATGGAAACTGCCTTGGCGTGGAATGAGCAGGGCTGCCTCTCAATGAGGTATTCCTTCCCTCACAATATAGCACTGGAGCCATCGGTACATGTAGAAAAGTGTTACTGGGAGGTATCTTAATCAGCCTACAAGTCCTAGTTCCAAAAGTAAGAATGCATCATTCATTTTTGAGTGGGTTATGAATAACTCACTACAACTAAATACAGTGAATATCGTAAACCTAGAATAAGGAGTCTGTTAGATCAATTTGAAACCATTCAAATCATTTCAACCTTTGATTTATATGGAGGGATTTGGCAAGTGGCTTTAAAATCAAAATTAAAAATAGCTTGGGAAACAGCAGATGGAGGATATGAGTTGATGCTTTACCCTATAGACCCAGGAGGCCCGCCTGCCCTTCCCAGACAACTGGCCAATGAATTATTGGGTCAACTGAGGACCTCTGCCAAGCGCCTGTTCATGCCTCCCTCACGTGTAGTAAAAGGCATGAATGCGCCAGCCCATCTAGTCTTGAGCTTTGGTGCTAAACTTTCTGGCTTAGTATGGAGTTGGATTTCTAGAAATCACATATTCAAATCATGGGATTTATGAGCCCCATTGCAGATAAACATTGGAGCCATTGAAAAATTGGCAAATACCTAGGATCGTGTTTTCAGGGCGTGAGAGGATTTTATATATGTTTACTTTTACACCATAAACTCCAGCTGCCTCATTACCTCACTCAAGACAAAAAGATCACTGGAAAGAAATGTAAAAGCTTTCAAGGTACTGTTTTCTCTGAAGGGTTTGGGACTTTCCACTTTTTGGAGTTTTTTTTTTTTATAGTAGTAACTGATGCATCAGATACTATATTAGGTAAAGAATTATAAGAAGAACATAAAAAACGTGAAACTCTCAGATGAGAGTTCTCTAGTAGAAAATTGTTAGCTGAAAGAAAAAAAAAATCACCCATACAAAAGGAACATGGAGTCATTGCTGGAACCCAAGGCCAACTCTTGCCAGGAGGTTTTGGGTCAGAAGCCTGCGTGTCCTGCCCTTCTGCCCTGGACTATCTGGAAGACCCTGCTGGGCGGCAGTGGCAGAGTGGGCCTGGCCATGCCACTTGCACCTCCACGTGGACATGCAGCTGGTGACAGGAAAGGGGAAGGTTCCAGCAGACCCGCTATCACAAAACAACTTACAGAGGGAGTCCCCAAGTGATAGTCCTGTTTAGTCATTGACACGTAACTCAGAAGAGAGTGAAAAGGCTGTGGTAAAATACAATTTGCTTAACATTGGAAAGGGTTCTGTCATCTGGTAAGTTTTACTTGCATGATAAGGTTTCAATCAGTGAACACCAGAAGCCAGCCTTGTCCAGGGTCCCTTAGGTGTAACTGTGTGATAATAGGGAGGCTCCAGGCAGGCTGGCAGAGGCTGGCTGAGGGTGAAAAGCTAGATTAAGATTCACCTGTGAGCCACTGCTCACCTGTTTGTGTGGGGAGGGCTGCAGTAGCTCAACTGTGTGTGGGAGAGGGCTGCACTAGCTCACCTGTGTGTGTGGGGGAGGGCTGCACTAGCTCACCTGTGTGGGGGGAGGGCTGCACTAGCTCACCTGTGTGTGTGGGGGAGGGCTGTACTAGCTCACCTGTGTGTGTGGGGGAGGGCTGCACTAGCTCACCTGTGTGTGTGGGGGAGGGCTGCACTAGCTCACCTGTGTGTGTGGGGGAGGGCTGCACTAGCTCACCTGTGTGTGTGGGGGAGGGCTGTACTAGCTCACCTGTGTGGGGGGAGGGCAGTACCAGCTCACCTGTGTGTGTGGGGGAGGGCTGCACTAGCTCACCTGTGTGTGTGGGGGAGGGCTGCAGTAGCTCACCTGTGTGTGGGGGTGGAGGGCTGTACAGCTCACCTGTGTGAGTGGGGAGGGCTGCACTAGCTCACCTGTGTGTGTGGGGGAGGGCTGCACTAGCTCACCTGTGTGTGGGGGTGGAGGGCTGTACAGCTCACCTGTGTGAGTGGGGAGGGCTGCACTAGCTCACCTGTGTGTGGGGGGGAGGGCTGTACTAGCTCACCTGTGTGGGGGCTGAGGGCTGCACTAGGTCACCTGTATAGGGCGGAGGGCAGCACTGGCTCACCTGTGGAATGAAGGTTGTACTAGCTTACCTGTCAGGGGAGAGGAGGCCTGCGCTGAGACTCGGCTGATCAGAAAGGGGAGAAAAGAGGGTCACTCTGATTGCCATCATCTCAAAACGTTTAATACTGTCACGATTTGAAAGGAAGAGCTAAGGTACTTGTCCAGTAGCCCAATCTCCAAGTCCATCTTTGATCTGAATGTTGAGATCAAGGATGAGAAACACCTTTTTGCCCCATCGGGATTGCCCATCCAGGGAACTCCCTCCATTTCCCACTGACTCACTTAAGGTTGTATCTCCTTCTCTGATGAAACACTCAATGGGGTCACCCACTTGCCTGAATAGGTCCTGAGGAAAGCCTCTTCCCGGCATTCCTCCTCCTTACTGAGCATAAGTGTGTCCCGTAGGGCGAAGGGGAAAGAAAGTGGACTTCCTCTGCCGACACCCCTCAAATGAAGTCGCAAGTGATATCGGTGGTGCAGATGAGGGTTTGGCATCCCGCCAGATGCACCTGCCAGTCCCTCCTCCTCACATGGCCCTCCCTTTGATCACCATGATGGGTGTCCCATGAGGGAGCCACCGTTTGCACCGACACCTCCTCCTCCCCTCCGTGGTGGCCCACTCCTGCCCACCTCTCTGGGTTCCCCGCCAGCATTTTCTCCAGGCACATGCTCCACATGTCCAGGCAGAAGGCAGGGCTGCTGCCCATGCCCCGGAGTTTCTCATGCATGCCACAGGCCTGCTCCTTCCTGATTCCTCACTTCACATGGAATCCAGATTCTCGGAATGTTCTCCTGACGCTGAAGGTCCAGGACTTTGCTTGGCATCGGGCAGTTTATAGGCACTTTTTTTTTTTTTTTTGAGACAGTCTTACTCTGTGGCCCAGGCTGGAGTGCAGTGGTGTGATCTCAGCTCACTGCAACCTCCACCTCCCGGTTCAAGCGATTTTCCTGCCTCAGCCTCCTAAGTAGCTGGGAATACCGGTGCCTGCCACCACGCCTGGCTAATTTTTGTATTTTTAGTAGAGACGGGGTTTCACCATGTTGGCCAGGATGGTCTTGATCTCCTGACCTTGTGATCCACCCGCCTCGGCCTCCCAAAGTGCTGGGATTCCAGGCGTGAGCGACCGCGCCCAGCCTAGTGAGAACTATTTAAAGACTCCTTGACCATAGAACATACAGCACCAAGGGTGAACCCTGGTCTCAACTGTGGACTCTGGTGATGGTGATGCGGGCAGACTCAGCGATTGTAACCAGCATACAGGTTGGTTCCAACCTGTACATCCTGGTGCAGGATGTCGATGGTGGGGGATTTCAGGGGTGGGAGAGACAGGGGTATATTGGAAATCTCTGGACCTTACACTCGATTTTGCTGTGCACCAAAAACTGCTCTAAAAATTAGTCTATTTTTTTAAAAAAGCCTTATTGAATGTTTTGAATGAATCGTTTCTAGAGTTGGAAGGATTCTCAACAGATGATATTTTAATACATGTTGTAGTTGGCAATGTTTAGGTAACTTTTCTTTGCCTTGTGTTTTATTGTTGCAGGGTGTGAAGAAGTTTGATGTGCCGTGTGGAGGAAGAGATTGCAGTGGGGGCTGCCAGTGCTACCCTGAGAAAGGTGGACGTGTAAGTCACAGCATTGCAATAAATAATATTATCTTCCTCATACAGTCATGCCTCGCTTAACAACGGGGTACCTTCTGGGACACGTGTGGCTGGGCAGTTTCATCATTGCTTGAACATACTGGAGAGTACTCACACAAACCTAGATGGCCGGGCCTACTACACACCCGGCTGTGTGATAAAGCCTGTTGCTACTAGGCTACAAACCTGTACGTAGGCAGTTGCGACACAGTACTATTTGTATATCTAAATACAGAAAAGGTACAGTAAAAAGAAAGTAAAAAGATGTAAAATGGGACTCCTGTGTAGGGCATTTACCATGAACGGAGCTTGCGGGACTTGGAAGTTGCTCTGTCTGCGTTGGGGAGTGCGGGGTGCGTGGATGTGAAGGCCTGGGGCGTGACCGCGCACCACTGTAGATCCATCAACACTGGGTCTTAGGCGGCCCTAAACTTACGTTTTCAATATTTTTCTTTCTTCAGTAATAAATTAACCTTAGTTTACTATAACTTTTTTACTTTATAAACTGTTAAACTTTTTAAACTTTTTGACTGTTTTTGCAATAACACTTAGCTTAAAACACACATTGTACAGCTGTACAAACATATTTTCTTTTTCTACGTTTTTATTCGATGTTTTTTTCTATTAAAAAAATTTTTTTTTACTTTTTAAACTTTTTTGTTAAAAACAAAGAAACAAACAGACATGGGAGCCTGGGCCTACACGGGCTCAGGATAATCAATATCACTGTCTTTCACCTCCACATCTTGTCCCACCAGAAGGTCTTCGGGGCAATAACACGCATGGAGCCGTCATCCCCTCTGGGAACAATGCCTGCTTCTGGATTCTTCCTGAAGCACCTGCCTGAGGCTATTTTACAGTTAACATATGTACACATATAAATAGGAGTACACTCCAAAATAACAATAAAAAGTAGAGTATAGTAAATGCAGAAAACAGTGACGCAGTTGCTTGTCACCAAGTGTCATACACTGCATGTAACTGCATGTCCACACTTTGATGCAACCAGCAACACAGCAGGTTTGTCCCCACCAGCACCACCACAAACATGTGGGTTATGCGCTGGGCAGATCCGGTGTCATCTTAGGGCACCACTATCTTCAGTGCAGTCTGTTGTTGACCAAAAAGTCATGATGCGGTGCCTGATTGTACTTCCATTTGAAATGAGAGTGTCTTAAATTTTCTGAGTAAGTCATTGCATACTTTGCTAAGAAATTTAATCAATTGTATTCTGTTCCACTAGAACAAACAATAATATAATGCAAAATTGGGTCAATGTATACCACTTTCCTACAAAATTGAGAGCAATTTTAATTTTCATAAGCATCTTTTCTTTCATTCATTGTTCATTATAAGTACGTACGTGTGTTTGCATGTGTGTATATATGTGCATATATAAAGCAATGATGTTTTATAGTTATAATAAGCAGAAATGTCATAAAAATATTCTGTAAAGAAAAAAGTAGTTGCATTTATACTGCAATATAGTTATACAAACTAGGGAGCACTGGCAGTTGTATCATTGCTAACAATTCTCACTTTGAAAATATTTACTCCCTGAATGTCTTTGATGTGGTCCGTCTGATAGATAAGTAAGAGGAAAAAAGGGTACCCCAAATCATCACCATTACATCTGGCAGAATTTGAAATATTGCCCTGATATTGGATTTAATATGTTCAATCAAAGTGATTGATCTCTGATTCTGTTGCCTTTAAAACTGATATCTTTAAAACTGAGTCTTGGTGTTACTTGGTTTAAAAGTATTATTTATATGTGCACCTTTAAGTCCATCTTGCATGTGTGAAGGTGTGGGGAGTAGTATTTTGTTTTATGACACAGCCTCCTTGCCTTTATTCCCTGGACTCATGTATCTACCCTAGGACACATGCTTGTCTACACCTTCGTTTGGCAAATGCCAGGTTGTCAAGGCAACTGGAAACTCTTCCCTGAATTGCCCTGATGTTGTTGGAATCAGAAATTATAACAGCCCTTGGGTGTCCAAATGAGTTTCCCCAAGTTGAATCCTGAAGTCAGTTTCTACCGTAGCCATTTCCCATCCCTACCTGCCAGGAAGAACGACCCTCTGCTGGAGCTTGGCCTCCAGGGCTGAGGTGCGATGCCGCTGCCTCCTCTCCTGTGTCCCCTCCACAAAATCAAATGGGCACAGTTCGTGATAGGGAACCTCTTTATAAATACTGTCTTCCTATTTCCTGACCTGTGACTGATCATTATTTCACTGTCAAAAATCACAACTGAGGAGGCTTCCTGCCCCTTTGATCAAAGCTCCCATCTCTCCACCTGCTGCATTCATCATTAGTTGCACTTCTCAAAACAGTTATTTTTGTTTCGGTTAAGCATTCCTCTGCCTGCTGTGGGGACTTTATGGTTTAGAAATTGCTGGTTGAAGATCATTTATCAGCACTTAACAAGGCTAAATAATTTTTAAGTTTATGGAAGCCATTTCACAAGATGTAAAATTCCCCTGGGTCTCATGCTATGGATTTTCCCAACGACACTTCTGTGGCAGTGATGAGAATGCCTGACTGCAGACTCTCCACCCCGCAGCCCTTGACTGGCTCAGCCTTATATGGGCATGGATAGAATTGGTGGTATACACATATCTGTGAGACTAGCTGTGTGGGACGGAGTTCGTGTCTAGAGCGACTCTGCATTCTTCTCCATGTCATCAGATAAACAGAACCCAAACAAACTGAGTAGAGGTGACCGGATCTGTTCTTTTCACTTTCTATGATTATTTAATGCAGAATCAACATAGTAACATTTTCCATAATGCCTTTAGGAGAATTTGATTCTTCAGTAAACATAGCTAGTTCAGATTATTTCAGTATATAATGGCATCTGCATAGCAGTGTACTGTTACACGATGCCAGAGGTCTTTTCAGTGAGGTTATTAGGAGGGGATTTCTAAGGATCCCCAAGACTCTGTGATTTCACGAATTCACAGCACAGGCATTGAGACCTTTTTATTTCCCAGCGTCCCTAGTGAAGGAAACACCTTGAGTCTCTTTCTATACTTTGCCAAGTAAAATGAAAAATCGACACCTTCTGGTTAATCTGATTAACTTGAGTAATCCAAAACTCCGTGTGGGCTTGGCTGTCCTCTAGTTATCCAGACGGGTTATCAACACTGATCCAATTAAGCTGTGATTGGCAGCTGTCTGAAGGGTTGTACAAAAGACAGAGGCAAACGATACCCGCCCCCCACCCCGGGGCCTGGACTGTGGGATCCACTGTGCACGCGCAGCACTCATGTGGCCTGAAATCTGGCTGTACCTGTACCTCTGGGTGCTGCGTGATGCTTGACACTGTCATTTCACCTGGGCCGAGGCCCGTGCTGCCAAGGGACCACACAGCCAGTCACTGGAGTGTGTTAACAATCAGCACACAGGGCTGCTCTGTTAATTCAGGTGAGACCCTGAACATTCACTGATAAAGTGATAGAAATAGCTGATGATAAAAGGTAAGAAAGAGATCAGTGATGCCATTTACCATTTTCTTATTCCTGGAGATATTCTTCTGTGTGTTACAGGAGACAATTACTCTCAGGACTGCTGCATCTACTGTATTAAAACATTTTTAAGATAGAGCATCTGTTTCAATACTACAAATCCGGTGCATGTGGCTTAACTATTTATTAATTAACAGATTTTCCCAAATGTGCTCTTGCAGAAGCATTGCTCTGTCTGCCCTACTTTTGGACTGATAGTATTTTTTTAAAGTAAGATAATACATAAAAATAGCAGCTGGACAGAGCTTGCTGTCGAAAGGGCTGTGTGCATAGTTTGTTCTTTCCCACAGCTTCCCCTGGGGTGGCTCCCGTCTCTCTTCCCTGTGGTGCTACTGTAACAGCCCTGGAAATGCCTGGCTGCAGACTCGCCACACCCCAGCACTTGGCTAGCTCAGCCTTTTATGGGCATGGTACCCCAGTTCATCTGTGCGTCACCATGGTGACAGCCAACATCGGAAGTTGTACGTCACTGGATAACTTTTGGACACGAAGCAGAAATCACAAGCATACTATGGATTCCAGTTCCAAATGGATTCTCATGTGACCAGTGAATGAGCTTTGGGTCAATTTGCAGAGCTTTGTTCATCCTTGGGCGGTGAGTGGTAGACTCTCCCAGCAGGGAGAGAATTGCTTCACCCAGACAGAACCACCCAGTCCCATAGATAATTCCAGCAAGCCACAGAGTTGAGGCCTGAAGAGGCAAGGCAGGAGCTGTGTACCGGCTGCTTGGCACTGCCCACTTCCCCTCCCTGGGCAGAGCTGGGAGGAGCTGAGCCAGGAGCCAGCCCATGTCCTGTAGTTCACGTACGAGCACACTGACTTCAGGAGGGAAATGGCCTCTGCAAATCTCACACCCAGATTGTGGCAGAGTCCAAAACAAAACTCAAGTCTGGGGACTTAGACAAATTCTTTTTCCAGCATAATCATCTTCTGTGTCCGTACTCCTCTTCCCATATGTCAGCCTAGAAGAGTGAGGCTCTCCGGGATGCAGGGAAGAACATAGGCAGCGTGAGAAGAGAGTTTCCCCTCGTTATGCAAGAGTTATGGTTCCCTAGTTAACTCTCTAACCACTTCTTCAGTTGTTTTGTGGATTAAAAAATAACTTTAACAAATGATTCAGGGCTCTGTTGTTATTTGAGGGTCTGTATTTCAAATAATCTCTAGTAAGCATATTGGAATAATTATAAATGATAAGTTCGATTCATTGATACTGCATGTTCTCAGATTTACCCCTCCACTGAATACCAGGCAATCATCAGCACCAAACAAGGTGCCCGCCCCTAGCACCTTTCACTGCAGCCCTCCCAGGCTCAAGCAGTTCTCCTGCCTTAGGCCCTCAAGTAGCTGGAACTATAGGCATGCACCACCACACCTGGCTGATTTTTGTATTTTTTTTTTTTTGTGGAGATGGGATTTTGCCATATTGCCCAGTCTGGTCTTGAACTCCTAAGCTCAGGCAGTCTGCCCACCTCAGCCTCCCAAACTTCTGGGATTACAGGTGTGAGCCACCACACCCAGCCTTCTTTTTCTATTCTCTTTTCAGTTTTCTTTCTTTATACACCATGGAGATGGAAGGCAGTTGAATGGGAAGCATCAAAGTGAGTTTCAGTTACAGAATTTCTGTCAGAGTTATCAGCACCACGCAATGTAAAGGTTAATAATATAGAAAGCAGTAGAGGGGCAGATAGGAAATCGGAGTCAACAAATAAGACAGCTTTGCTTTGCTTGTTAACTCACCTAGCAGATGGTGAAAGTCTTGGATTTTTCCAAGTAAGGTCAATTTTAGTTCATTATTTCAGTAACTTAGCCAGGTTCCTGTTCTCCCCCAAACATCTGATTTTTGACCATAAACTCTGATCAGATAGGTTGTTTCAAATTTTTTAATGACATCAACCTTCACAGGGCACCTCCTATGTCCTAAGGCACTTGGGTATTCCAGAAACTGGTAAATATGAAGACTGGTTGGATAACTCCGTGTTGGGAATTAGTGAGATGGTCAAATGGCCCTGTCACACGACAACAGGGAAAAGAGAACCCACGTCATCAGCCCCTGAACGAGTGAGTGGAGGCCTCTGCATCACTCAGCATGCATCCAGGCGGTACCCACAGTGCCCCCTGTGGCCTGGCAGCTGCAGCTGAGAGCCTGGAGACTATGCTTCTGGAAGGTTGCGATTGACAAGCTCGCTCAAGTAAGCAGTGGCTGAGTGCTTAGGGCAACAAGTTGTGTTTAGCGACTGCATTTTTTCATGTAGCTAAGAGTTTCCCACAGTCTATGGGTCCCTGGACTTGGGTCAAATAGTCCTTAGCCTCACCAGATTTCTTAAATTCAACACTATAAATCAAAGTAAAAGAAACCAGAGAGAAACTGAGCAAAAATAGCTGCCAAGAGAAGAGGGAACGAGTGCTCGGGGCGGGTTGGAGGCAGATAACGAGAAGGCAAGAAAATTCTTTGTCTTTGGCTCCTGCTGTCAGCTCAGAGGGGTCATCTTGAGATGAAAAAGAAAAGTCCCCAGCCTTGGGGAAGGAAAGGAGAGGGTGCCCCACGCAGATATGAAGCAAAGCCATTGGCAAGATATTCTCTCTAAGGAGAGCAGCGGTCTTGCCAAAGGCATCTTCTATTGTGTATTGCCGTCATAAACCCTACCCTTCCATGTAGATAGCCAGGATTTTAAAATAAAACTAAATCTTCCCCAAGGAGAGAATTGCGATGCCCTGGCAGCATGGGCACTTTTGTGTGGGTGTTTCCGTGGCTAGAGGGGTTCTGAAATTTTTGTATTTGTAGTAGAGATGGGGTTTCACCATGTTGGCCAGGCTGGTCTCGAACTTCTGACCTCAGGTGAGCCGCCCGCCTCGGCCTCCCAAAGTGCTGAGATTATAGGCGTGAGCCACTGCACCCGGCCTCTGTCTTAGTTCTTTGAAGATGTGGGCATGTGTGGAATAAAAACATCAGTGCTGCTGGTCGGACCTCTTTGCAAACCAACTGCAATTTTTCCAGACAGATACTTTTAAACGGTGTGCCCAGCATACTTAGAAAAAGAAATCTCCAGCTTTTTACATGCTGCACAGAAAGGGCAAGGAATTAGTCAGAAATAGCAAAAACACCACCTGGCTTCCAGGCTTTTATAGCCCTGTCTACACATAGCTCTCACTCACTTTCAAAACCATGCAGTTATTTTTAGTGTGGCTTTGGAGCAAAGGTGGTCTGGCTCATCCAGCGCTGCAGGGGCTGTGGCAACTGGGTCCCGTGATTATTTTCTGTGGGTGAGCTCCAAACTGGCCCATTATCTATCAAATCCTCAATGGTGTTATAGTGGTTCTTTTGACATAAAATATTTATCATATGGGTGGGATGGCGAGTGGAGGAGGGGCCAGAAATTCGTAATTGCTTCTCTCTTTGTCAGCTGCATAATTAACTCAATTCTACCACAATTTATTAAAAGTCCCACTTCAAGAGAATGGTTAAATCTCGCTGGAAAGAAAGAGCCACATTATGCTCTGAAGCTCCAAGTTTCAGAAAATATTCTTTTTGTGAATATATAAGCCCAATAGGTCACCCATCTTGGTCTTACTTTCATGAAACCCTGACTTTATATTGTGCTTTCTTTTCATCTAGGATTTACTATCTAGAATAGTCTTACACATTTGCTATGAGTTTCCTGTCTCTCCACTCTCCCCAGATCCTCCCTCTACCCCTGGCTCCAAACTCAACGGAGATTGGATGTTCAGTATGGTAACTGCTAGGCACATGCAGCTATTTCAATTTCAGTTTTAATTAATTAAAATGAAATAAAATTTAAAATTCAGTTATCCTGTTCACTAGCCACACCTGAAGTACTCGCATAGCCACAACTCCAGAAGATGACTGCTCTGTTTACTTCTGTATTCCTGGGGCCTATGCAGGGCCTGACACATGGTGGATATATACTAAGTATTTGTTGAATGAATACATATTGTTTTTAAATTTTAGTAGCCAACTGTGGCTATGCATAATCCACTGCCTGTGTTAGGGGCCAAGTTTCCTGTTTTTCAAGGCATTTTCTCTCTTGCTTTTTTTTTTCGAGGCGGAGTTTCGCTCTTGTTGCCTGGGCTGGACCGCAGTGGCGCCACCTCGGGTCACTGCAACCTCCACCTCCTGGGTTCAAGTCATTCTCCTGCCTCAGCCTCCCGAGTAGCTGGGATTACAGGCATGCGCCACCACACCCTGCTAATTTTGTATTTTTAGTAGAGATGGGGTTTCTCCATGTTGGCCAGGATGGTCTCGAACTCCTGACCTCAGGTGATTCACCTGCCTCGGCCTCCCAAAGTGCTGGGATTACAGGTGTGAGCCACTGTTCCCGGCCTGGCATTTTCTTTAATTAGAACTAGATGTCTCATTGAATGGCGCACCAAAGTATGAACCTCGAGACTTTGTCACAAAGGGCTCTGTGACCTTGGGTAGGGCACATGACTTCTTTAAAGGAGTCTCCTGAGGGCTTCACACCTTGCTCAAATGGGCCTTCCAGAGCTTTGCACACCCCTCCCCCTACCCTTCTCTCTGAACCTGCCCTTTCTCCACGCAATGGCCTTGGCTCTCCAAGAGTCACCCTGGCCCCATTGCAGCCCCTGCTGCTGGGGCATCCTCCCCGGTTCATTGACTCCTTCCTTCTCTTACACCAGTGCCTTACATGCAGTTGCTGATAGAAAATACATATTTGAGCGTTGAAGGAATGTAAAACTCCATTGCTAAAACGAAGCTAGGGCCTTTCTTAGGATGGAGGACATGAAAGAAAATGCCACTTCCAAAGCTCCACACTCCATCAGATTGACAAGTTAGCTGGGATCAGATAATAATAGCCATTTCATGTCTTGATTAAAAACCTCACACAGACTCCACAGAACTGTTGATAAACTAGAGCAAAAGGAATTCACAGTTCCATTCTTCTTATAAACCAAACTAAAATGCTGACTTTCGAAATCCTTTTTTCCGACCTCCTGATGGAAAGTTTTGACAAGTGTAGCACTGAAGCATTTCCCCCTCTCTGCTAGAGGAGAAATGGCAATCTTCAAAGACCATTGTTTTGTTTTATTCGCTTCCAATTCATTCTTAGTAAACAATTGCAGGATTTCTAAAAAGACCAGACCATAGTAGTTACCAGACATGAGATGCTTTCTAAAAGCTACTTTGAATAGAAATGTTTTCTCTGAATCTGTCTTCCCTCATGCAGCAGGAAGAATGTCTGAAGCTATGCTACCTTCATATAGAAACAGCGTCCACAGTCAGTCTTCCCAGTTGGGTTTATCTCAGCGGTCCTTTAGAGGTGGTCTACACAAGACTCTAAATGTTCCTGCCTGTGAGCGGTCTTCTACTAGACTACTTCAATAATAAAGAGAAAACTACTAGATTGTTTTGCAAAGTTTTGAAATTACTGTTGTTGTTTTCTTCTGGAGACAGTAAAATAATAGCCAAGGGGAGAAAATGGCACAAATGATCAAACCAAGCAACCGTATGCACATTTTCCTCCCTGAGGGGCCTTTGAATTTGCCACCTAAATGCTGCATGCAGTGGGTACCCCAGGAAGGAGGAAATGGGGTCCCTTCATCTCTGCTTTATTTTGTCCATCATTAAATCAGAAGGACATGGTTAGTGTCCTTCATCTTCGAAGGGTGAAGATGGCTGCATACATTGTCTGTTACTATCATTGACATTAGGGTAAACATATAATAAATGTATTTTTAAATGAAACAGTCATTTCAAAATGTCCTTAGGAAGCTGGTCAACCTGAGGCCCTGAGCTGCCTGCACTTCTGAGCCCTCTGGCATCTCACCCAAATGAGTTCATTGTGGTGTAGACCACTGAAGCGCTCAAGGTGTCAGAGGTCTGACTCACCTGGGAAGCACAAAGCAGGCCTTCCAAAGGCCATATGTCCCCACTGATTAGAAAGATCAAAACACCCCTGTCCCTTTCCTCTCTGTGTCCAGCCTAGAGGTTTGCATTCTAGGAGAATGGCAGCAGCCAGACACCTCCCAGGAACCCAATGTAAGCCCTGTATCGATGGCAGCTTCCTGCGAAGCCACTGTGAGCGTGTGAAAAATCCCCACCGTAGGAACAAAAGTTTTTGTATCTAAAACACTGTTGGGGTGAATAACTCTTAGAGGTTTGGAACCAGAAATAAAGAAAAAGAACAAAATAAAATGGAAGTAATTAATGTTGGGTAAATAATATCTTTGGCCTAACAAGTTCTTGGCTCCATTGTCAGCATCCGTGTTTTCTATTAAATTGTTGTCTTTGTGAGGCATTATTACAGTTCTTCCCTCTTAAAGTCTGTTTTGAATAAAGAAACCGAAGGTTGGATGAATTCTATAGTTAGGTTGGTCTCTCTCTAATGAAGATTAAAGTTCTGGCATGTCTTAGCTCTGCATGGCAATAATTACTTTTAAAAAAATGCACTTAGGGTGGTGATTATGGCATTGTAAAAGTCTTATGAAAATGAGATGTATGTCAAGAGAACCTTACTATCAAAATCAGTTTTGTGCATTGCACCCATGCTTCGCATCTGTCAGCAAAAGCAGGCTTTCTCAGGTTTGGTGAAAGGAATATTGCCGTGGCCTTTGAGGACTGATGAGTTTCCACTAATTTAGAGCAAAATTAACAGAATCCTATGAGCCTGGAGGAAGCAGTTCACTTTTGTTTGTGTTGCTTTTAGCATACTGCTCATTTCAACCCTGCTTAGAGAAGTGGCAGATCTTATACCCTCAGGCAGCTGGGATATGCCAGCCACAGAGGGCAAGATCCATAATCTTTAACAGATTTTACTGTACACGTTCACAGCCCCAACCGGCCATACCATTGCAACCTAAAAGAAAGAGAGGATTGAATAAGCAGTCCAGAAAATTCAAGCAAAACTCTGAAACAGGAAGCCAGGCTTCCTGCACTTGAAGGCCTTGGGGTAAATTCCTCATCATTTAACACCTGAAATTTTGCAAATATTTGGACTTCTCTTCGAAGAATGATAGAATTATTGGTCTAGAACATCGACTAGTCTTCTCCCAGCCCCGTATTCAGGAAGGACAGAAGAATGCATTGGAGACTGATGAATATCCACTCTGTTCTAAGGACTCCAGGGAGAGAAATTGGATAGACTTTACTGGTAACTTAAGGAAAGACAAAAAGGCGTAGGTTTATATATATCCAGAGTAAAATTCACAAAGGCCTCAAGTCATTAAAGGTATTACATACTATTGCAAAAGAAAATAATCCAACTCCCAAAAGTTGAACTAAGAAAGTTCCTCTTCTTCCAAATAAGGTTTTACTTAGAGACTTTCAGTCCCACTTAAAACTTCAAAGCAATAAGCTTCATTTCACAGCTTCACTAAATGAAACCTAATGGTAGACATGCCTTTGACTAGACATAAAGTAAGCATTCTTTCTAGAGAAAATAAATAGAAAGAGAGGTTTCTTTCTATTTCCTTATCAGCTTCACCTCTTTCTTAGAAATGATTGCTCGTCTGGACAGCATTTGTCATG
The DNA here is from genome assembly GCF_000001405.40 of Homo sapiens. Classification (NCBI taxonomy): domain Eukaryota; kingdom Metazoa; phylum Chordata; class Mammalia; order Primates; family Hominidae; genus Homo; species Homo sapiens. The sequence goes on from NC_000013.11 coordinate 110,368,605, forward strand.
AGTTTGTTTTCACTTTAAAGCATGAAGGGGAGAGATGACCAGGGAGTGATACCCATCTGCTCATCTTCAAGGATTGCGTAGGAGTTGAGCTGTAGAGGTTTCACTGCAGAAAGCCAGTATTGTCAAGAAGCATCCTGAGAACATGTAATTAATCTCTACAAATGGTAGAATAGTTACATTAGTGCCATAATTTGTTATATTTAAGCTATTTTTCTAATTCACAATCAACTAAGGCCAAAGAAAAGGGGGGGGGGGGGTTGAGCTCAATAATAGCATTAGGATGTTTAATGTGAAATCCAAGAAGACTAAAATAATACAATTAGGCCAGGCGCGGTGGCTCGCACCTGTAATCCCAGCACTTTGGGAGGCCGAGGAGGGCGGATCACGAGGTCAAGAGATGGAGACCATCCTGGCCAACATGGTGAAACCAGGTCTCTACTAAAAATACAAAACAATTTAGCTGGGCGTGGTGGCACGCCACCTGTAGTCCCAGCTACTTGAGAGGTTGAGGCAGGAGAATCACTTGAACTCGGGAGTTGGAGGTTGCAGTGAGCCGAGATCACACCACTGCACTCCAGCCTGGTAATAGAGCGAGACTCTGTCTCAGTAAATAAATAAATAAATAAATAAAGCAATTAGAGTTACAGTATGGCTATTCAGGTTGACCATTCCTAATCCAAAAATCCAAAATCTGAAGGGCTCCAAAATCAGAACCCTTTTGAGCACCGACCTGGCACTCAAAGGTCATCTCGTTGGAGCATTTTGGATTTCAGATTTTTCAGTTTAGGGTTGCTCAACCAGTAAGTATGTGCAGATATTTGAAAATTCAAAAAACTCCCAAATCCAAAACACTTCTGGTCCCAAGCATGTCAGATAAGGAGCACTCACCCTCTGATGAGCTTCAATCATTGTGAGACCTTTAAAATCTAACACCATTAATAGAGAGCACTATTAACACTATGGACAAGTGGTTCTTCCAGCCAGAATGCCCATCGGTAGCACTCAACAGGTGGCACTATGGCATAGGCTATGGTTAATAAAACTGCAACAAAGGAAAATTTTAGCTTTAACACGTGCCGACTTCTCTGCAGCAATCCCACCCTTCCCGCCTCAGCTTACAAATACGCACTAACTCAGATACCTCAATGATACTCAGGTGACTCCAGCCAGCCTCACCCCAAAGCTCCCCATTGCACAGATGAGCCTTCTCTCCCATCATCCACCCACCAGCCCCCTGTCCAGCCCCACTTTCTTCAATTCATTGATCGCAGCACAGCATAGGGAAGAACATGATTTATTGAATCTTTTCCATCCTAAAGTATTAATTATCAATAGCTGCAATATACCCTGACTTCATAGGAAAACCTGCACCTCATTCTAATCACCTTGTTCTGAGCGTCTCACTTTCCTTCTTAGGTCTTGACCTTAAGATTTCAACTTTACTTTCTAGCCGCTGCCTGATCAACGTGGAGTGAAGTGAAATGATTTCCCCCTGTATTTGGAAGCTGTACTTCTAAAACTCTGTCCTAGAATCACATCACTCTCTTTTACCAACCAGATTATTGCATTGCATTGGCTCACTAGTAATGTATTTCTACCAAAAAAAAGAAAAAAAAAACAAGGGTTTTTTTTACTTTTGACAAGTTTTTTGTTTTGTTTTGTTTTGTTTTGTTTTTTGAGACAAAGTCTCACTCTGTCTCCCAGGCTGGAGTGCAATGTAGCAATCTCGACTCAATGCAACCTCCGTCTCCCGGGTTCAAGCAATTCTCCTGCCTCAGCCTCCCGAGTAGCTGGGAGCCCGCCACCATGTCCAGCTAATTTTTTGTATTTTTAGTAGAAACGGGGTTTCACTGTGTTGGCCAGGCTGGTCTTGAACTCCTGACCTCGTGGTCCGCCCACCTTGGCCTCCCAAAGTGCTGGGATTACAGGTGTGAGCCACCGTGCACAGCTTTGTATTTTGTTGTTGTTGTTGTGTTGTTGTTGTTTTTCTGCTTCTTCACTCTTGGATTTCCACTTGTGCAGTTAATTTTTGAACTTGATTCAGGATTTTGTTTTGATTCCTGTTAAATTGTGGAAAGGTGCAGCTACAGTTGCTGATGTGGAGATGGAGAAATTGAAGGTGTTCTTCTGCCCTTGATTTTCCTCTCTCCCTCTCTCCTACTTGTCTAATACTGATCTAATTCAGACATAGACAGTCCATGAAGATGGCTATTGACCAAAGAGGAGATTTCTAAATGCTAATTCCTACTAGTATTTTTGGGACTTTATTTTGAGGATAGCATGGATGAAAAGGGATAGCTATGCAGCCATCTGCATACCCTCAAGTTGAATAATCAGACTGAGGAAGTTAACAAAAAGAACTTTGTGGGTGGAAATGAACTCCTTAATTCCAGAAGATTAAAAAGACTTCTTTAGTAGAAGGAAATAAAGTTTAACAAAAAGGGTGCCCTTCAAAAATGTCAGTTATCTTGGAAGGAAAGATGAGTAATGGAAATCCCGGTTGATCACAAAGATGAATAAGATGCGTCCTTTAAAACTGGCATTTATGGAGGACAAGGGTTCTTCACCAGCACTCTGCATCCTTTCCTAGCAGCCGCTGACATAGTAAGAGAAGCCTCTGGAATTATCTTATTGCATAGAATTAGTTATTAATTATTCCTACAATTAAGATACTTATGATACAACAAAGAAGCTCAGGATCTTAAAGTGTACATGATGTGCGTTGTATGTGTGTGTGCATGTACCTAGACCTATTTACATTTATGTTCTGAAATTGTATACATCTTATATTTACCAAGTATTTATATATTTTCTGTATGCGTGTATTTCCAGGGGAATAACAATGTACTATCCTAGAAAATCTTTTCAACCTCCAGTGCTCAACATAGGATTTTAGTTATTTTTAGCACTTAATCTTATCTGAGAACTTAAAATGAAACCCAGTGTGTGTTTTTTTAATGTCCTGCAACTTTATTAGAAGACACTGTTGCTTTTTAAAATTTATCATGTTTTTATATCAAGCCTGTGCCAGATGTTCCTAAGTGTTTTGAACAATAGCTGGTTTTGAAACCATCAGGCGCTCTCCACGTAGCTCTGCTGTGAGCATCGATACTCCCTGCTCTCTGAGCATAGTGTAGGGCGGGCGGCGGGCCGTCTGGGATATGGGAAAGCCTGGGGCCTGGGCGCTGCAAAGACTGTTCTGCCTGGGGTCTGACGTTGGCCGTGCCGGGAGCTCATTGTCTTTCCGTCTCCCCCAGTTCTTATCCTACTGATCTCTATATGCTGTTGGCTTTGAGACAATAGGAACTCCAGAAATGAACAGACAGGGAATTGGCTCATGGAGGGGAAAGGAGGCAGGAGTGGGTGGACAAGGCCGGAACCACATTTGCACCCTGAGGAGCTGGGAGATTCCGCTCACCTCTCTCTCTCTCTGTAAGAATGCTACATCCCACTCAGGGGGTTTCCAATTGTCCTTACTCTAGTTGGCAGGAACTTAAAACATAACTGAAGCATGAACAACTGGGTATTTTGATGAATGATTGACAACATCCCATTGTCTTCAGAGCCCAGCACACCGGGCCGGTCATTCCACTGTTGAGGTGGTTCCTTGAGAGAGGGGGCAGAGGACCCTGTGCGGGGGTGGGATCAAGCACAAAGAGAAAACTTTCCCAAAACCCTTCAACAGACTTTTTTGTTTAAGAAAATAATAATGTTTCCGTCTCTGAACACCAAGTCAGGTGACCCGTTTTTCCTTCATGTGATTTGTGAGCTATTTCAGAACCTCGTAAGTCTCTCTGACAGGTCAGGAATGGGGAAATGAGAAGTGTCATCCTGTAGAGTTTCTCTTCTCTGGAATTTGTCTTGTGTTATTTTTTAATAAAAATAATCAGTGTTATGCTATTGTTTCAAATCTGGAGACATTTTACTCTTTGTGTATCATTGCCTTTCTTTTTTAATGTGTGTTATTTCTGGAAGGCAGGCAAGCTTTTTTCTTGTTTGTAAAGATCTCTTCTCCTGTTGCCAAGAGAGATAACCTGAAAAGACAGAAAATTGCCAACTTAAACTGTAGATATCATTCCATTGATTTATTTACAGAGCTTTAAATCTTATTTTGTGGCCACTACAGTGAAGCAAATATTATTTTAAAAGCTTCATATGAAATAATCATTAGTAGCTTGTTCCATTTTAAAAATTGCAGGTGTTTCCTATGCCTTTGGGCAGGTTTTGTTGTTTGTCTTTTGTTTGTGTGTCTAAATTTCCCATTGTCTGGGATGTGCACACTGCATGTCATGGAAGGTCATTGTTCTGGTTCACATGATTTTATTTCCAAACTGTGGTATAGGTTCTAATGTATGTTGGCTGCTGTGTAGCTGTGTACCCATTTCTTACTAGCCATGTGGTTTAGTGACTAAACAGTTTATTTCTTTATACATAATATTTCTCTGAGTTGGGATGTCTGTTACCTGTTTTCACAGTTTAAAAGGAAGCATAATGATTTAGTTGTAAGTTTTTTCTGCCAGCACTATGAATCATTTGGGGTGTCTGATCCACTTGAATAGCACATGTGGGCTGCAGAATATTCATATTGATGGAACAACCCAAACTTTAGGATTTCCATTCTACCTGCCACCCAACCAGTACCAACTGTGTTGTGAACGCATTTTTTAGGTAGGGAAATGATTTACAAATGTTAGCCTTCTTTACCTTCACAGAGTTGATATTTAATTGGACCATTAGTAGCAAGTACAAATCTTAAGAACGTTTTAAATCTTGCCTTCAGAGGGCATCTATGGTAGAGGGCTTTGGGTAGTGAAATATTTGACTACTTTTCTTAAAAAAGCAAAAATCAGAACAACTTATAGAACAGTCCTCCTGATGTGATCAGCTAAAAAGAAATTTGAAGCAGCCATTAGACTTAGGTAAAACTTAGGATTTAAGCAAAAAGCTGCTCTCTCCTGTCCTCATGTGTGGCTTATTCACACTCAGGGGTGTCTCCTGTGTTGAATAAAGTGGCCTCCAGCTACAGCCACTGCTTACACATGCTTGGTTGTGCACATGAGAGATAAATACCCAAGCCGCAGGGTGTGAGGACGTAGAAATCCAGGGCATCCCTAAAATTATATCAAACTCTGCCAAACTGCCTGAGAATCTATGACATCCTAATGCCTCCGTCCTCCAGCATCTGTGGAGTTGGCTCCTTTCCGCCTCTGTGTTTTCCTTATCCCTTGTTGAGTGTAAGTTAATCGGGCACATGCCAAGGGGCAGCATCCGTTTTCTTTTTACCCCCTTTTGGATGCTAAGGCTCTTCAAGGATATAATGCAGCCCTGTGCAGCCGTGGCCAGTTTTTGCACGGCCGCAGTAGAGACTTGGCACCCTGGAATATCTCCAGCAATTATCCAGCTTGAGAGTTTTCAACTGAACTGAAGTTTTATTAATGTTCATCATAATCGTGTCACGTCCAATTTTAGTACTTGGTATGAATTAGAGGAAAAAGGAGAAAACGATGGCCCGTTGGGTCAGCATGCATTGTCATGATACCCAGCATTGATTGACAGCTTACGGTGGTCCCGGGGCGATGGGAGCACTTTACATCCATTCACACTTCCTCCTTAGGGCAGCTCCGTGATGTAACCCACTTTTACAAGGAGGAAATTAATTGAAGAACAATGATGTGAGCTGCCCAAAATCACATCATTAGAGAGTTAAGGAACCAAACTCTGACCCGAGATCTGGAGCCAACACTTAACTTTCCCTGAGGGGCATCCTTTAAAATCTGGGTATGATGTTGCACCTTGAAACTCAGTTGTTCAAAATTATTCTTTCTTTCTCAACCTTTAACTTCCACATCAACTCTTTCTCTCCCTAAACAAAATCACTAAACCAAAGAAGCAAAAGTCTATAAGGCCACAGTTTTGTGAATTAAATATCCATCCTTTTCCCCATCTGTTTGCGTTTATCCTACTCTCTTTCCTCTTTTGGAAGCAGCTCTGTTCCAGGAACTGGCAAATCGATTTGGCTCTTTTTGCTTTCCTCTTTGCTCACAGGGAATCTCCTCTTTGAAAACCAGAAAGGTTCTCCAAATATAGCAAATGCTTTCCTCATCTCCATCCATCCTAGTTACCCCTCTCCTCCTCTCCTCCCACTCTCCTGCTCTGTCCCACTGCTCCACCCCTGACTCTGCTAACCTCATGCCGATTATACTTCTGTAGTTTCATTAAGTGGATAGTTTTCCCCTCTTCAGAAGCATTCCTGAGTCAAGAACACCCTGAATGCACTGGAAGTTGTTCAAGTCTTACCCTCTAAGTCAAGGTGAGATACTGTGTAGATCTGCCAATTAATCTCCTTAGAGGATTATTTAATCCTAAAAGAAATTCTTATAGCTCCTGGTTTTAAGCCCTTTCTTTACTGGGGCCCTTTTACTTTAGTCCTTATCTACTCCAATAAGGCACATAGAAGACATTCCTCACTATAAGATGTGTGGGGTTAGAGCTGTTGCCCAATTGGACTCTGAGATGCGATACTTCTCGCCATTCAGGTGTGAGGATGGCTCACCGGGTAAGCATCTTGACTTTGGCATCACATTCCAGCCCTTACACCTCTGTCCCAGCCCCTGGGTGAGCCATGTTCCCCTTTGCCGTCGAATTCTGCCTCTGAAAATGGAATCATAGTTACTGCCTCCAGCAGCTCCAATGTGGCGATGGTATTGAGAGATCAGCGCAGTGCCTGTCACAGTGCAGAGGCTCAACAGATGGTGGATACTACCACGTTTTCTCTTTCTGTGGAACTTCCGCAACAGTCATCCGCAAAATGACAGAAAATGCCAGTCAGTTGGGCATTGCAGGGACTGTTGGGTTTGTGGGCGAGCATCCCTGCAAATAGGGCTCCCATTAAAGTCTCATAAAGGAGGTATTTTGGACCTTGAGTCTTTTTAAATTTTTGACAGAGCCGGTGCAGTGTCTCATACCTGTAATCCCGGCACTTTGGGAGACCAAGGTGGGCAGATCACTTGTGGTCAGGAGTTCGAGACCAGCCTAGCCAACATGGCGAAACCTCTTCTCGACTGAAAATACAAAAATTAGCTTAGTGTTGTGACGCACACCTGTAATCCCAACTATTTGGGAGCTGAAGGCAGGAGAATCACTTGAACCCGGGAGTCGGAGGCTGCAGTGAGCCAAGATCACGCCGCTGCACTCCAGCCTGGATGACAGAGTGAGACTCTGTCTCAAAAAAAAAAAAATTGACAGAGAAAATCATCGTGATTATGCTACATCTTTATACAGGAGTGGTCCGTACAAGTTTTTATTCATTTAATTTTTCTTCTGTGCTGCAGAAGCATTTCCTGGGCTTTTGACATTCCCTGAGTAAATTAAGGCTTTGTCAGCCTCTGTTCTGATTTGGGTGATTTATACATCATTATGCAGAGTAAGCACCAGTAGAATCACAGTGTCTATTTCAGCTGAACAAAATTTTTGCTAAGGAAAGAACTATCTGACATTCACTGGCTTAGGGATATTTGGGGAGACACGATAGCTTGCAGTGCAGAGTGGCCTCCTGCTTGTTCATGACAGTACGAAATGCATTCCTAAATCTCTTATGTATCACTTCTGATCTGACTGAGAAGAACTAGGTAAGGTATAAGTAAGGAAATAGTCTCTTATCTCCACCCGCTTCACTGTTCCTGGCAGAGCAACAGTCTGGAACTGTGAGCGTCAGAAGGTCGGAGCCTGTTTTTATTGCAGTGACTCTTCTGGTTGCTGCTTGATATCACATGAGCCTCTGACCTGCTTAACTACATTTTAATCATCCTGCCTTGATTTGTATTCTTGGTAGATGAATTGTGATTCATTATTCCATAATCATTAGCCCCCCCACCCAAAAAAAAATCACTATTTTTCTGATAGTTTTGATGGTTTTAGCAAATTTTTATATTAGTTTTGGAAACTTTACTTTTTTATAAAAATCATCGTTTTTACATTACATATTTGTTTCATGTTGCAAATTATCGGAAGGAATGCCTCTCACGCTGTAATGTGCCTGCAAGCAGCCTGGGCCCCTTGGTAAAGCACAGATGCTAGTTCTGCAGGCCCAGGAGGGCCTGAAGTTCTGCAGTTGCCTCAAGCTCCCCAGTGACATGGTAGCTGCTGGCCCAGGGGCCCTACTTGTAATTCAAGGCCCCCGAGGACCTTCCTGAAACCCCCTTGGAGAGTCGAGGCCAGGCCGAGTGCAGCCTCAGGTGTTCTCCTGAGACTGACGCATCCTGCTTGCCTTGGTGAGGCCAGGTTATTAAGCAGATAGATAATTCATTGTGTGCCTAGAAGACATATCCTAAAAGTTATCTTTCTTGCTGAGATATGGAACTAGACCTGTCTTCACTCAGTGATCGTTGATCTTTAGAATGGCCAGTGTGGTTCATCTTATTAAGGGGAAAACTTTAATTTTACTTATTACGTTGAATGTCACTATGTTCAGTTATTGATTATCCCACCAGCTTAGACTTGGGTGGTGAGTGTCTTATACACCTGAAAGCTAGGGTGGGGGTGGGGAGACTTGCTTATACCACCATGCCAGCTGTAGCATTCTGCTCATGGTCACCAGAGTGCATTGTCAGATGTTTCTTGGTTAGGACATCTGCATTCTACATGCAACAGGTGCCATCTCTGCCCTTGCTTGGGGTCAGAGTGCTTTAATCCAGATGCAGTATTGGTTGCATCTGTCATTATCGGCTCATCTGCAGCTGTCCTTCCTGTGTGGTGAGCCTACCCCTCACTCCTGCCTGGTCACTCTCCTGACCCTCCAGTTTACTTTCTGGCTCTGGAGGTGCACTGAGCAAGGGCACACACTCTCCCTGTATCCATCTCCATCCCAGGACCCCGCACATCCCTGCAGCTGCTCCTGGGTGTGCCCACCCCACCCCCACTGGGATTTGAGCTCCCCTCAACTAATGGGCTTTCCATGGGGAATCAGGAGGGTGGGAATTGTGATTCCGTTAAAATCATTTGACTCAGGAAAAGCTTTTCGAAATAATCCCCAAGGACCAACTCTTTACAGAAACTCCTCCCCCGCCTTCATATTTTTGGCTTTGACTATGGGGAAATTCATTATGTTGAGCTAACCTTGGTGAAACAATACTAAAAATAGAGATAATAGAAAAACATGTTAAAGAAGGTAAAATCATCTGAATACGTACTTTATAAAATTCAGCCTAATACTTAATGGCTTTATTCAGACCTAATTTGAACATATCACAAGTATATTTCAACAGAACTTTCTTCTTCACAGAACTTTTCTGGAAAAAAAAGTATACTGTCAAAATGTTTCTCTTATTAGCAATCAAAACCCAGTTTGGAAAAGTGAGTGGTTTGCTCTGAAAAACAACAAACAGGGCTTGTGGGAATTCAACAGAAGAATAACCCACGGCTTGTAAGAATATTAAAACCACGGTCACATTTTACACAGTTTTGGCAAAAGGAATAGCCCAGGCGTCTCGAATCGAGATGTAATGTGAAATGAAGAATTTCAACAGGGCTCATTAGGCTTTTGTTCTATCTGAGCAGAGTTTTCTGCTTTCTTGGCTAAAATAAGATGCATGCAGCTTTAATTGTATCTCCCTTTATTCAAGGTCTTCACTGGCAACCTTAAGTATCAAGGATTTGCTGCTCAAATCATTTGTAAATAAAACTCAGATGTAAGGAAATACAGACAAGGGAGGACAAAAGTTTTGTCCAAAAAAATAGATATGGAACAAATTCAGAGAATTGTAGATATAGGAAGGACCTGATACACTAGCAAGTCTCCTTTCCCAGTTGAGGAAACTGAGGCCCTCCATGGTCCAGAGGTGCGCCTGCGGCCTCATGAGACAGAACCAGGCCCTTTCCTCCGGGTCCCTCGCCTCAGGAGATTCTCTGAGATGGAGAAAGATTCTGGAATTACAGCCAAATCAGGAGGCCTTTTAAGATTGATTTAGGAAGAGCTAAGAGAAAATACTAAATGGAGTTGTTTCCAAGAAACAGAAATAATCAGTGAAATTTCTTTTACAAGGAAATAATTGAAGCAAATGCCCTCTGCATGAAAAGTCGCATTAAAACCCACCCCAGTGGGCACTTCCTGAATGCAGTATTCCCTGCAGACAGCATTTGAACGATACTTAGGAAGCAAACCCTTCGAACCACTGGGAAGAATGTTCCCAGTCTGACCTAGACAGTCCTTAGACAAGGAATTCGGTCCCGCGGTGTATTTCCTTCTCCACAATGTGATCATGGTGGAGAGCTCCACATTGGTGTCGGTGGACACAGTCATGAATGGAAGCTGCTTCATATGAGGCAGAGCCTCCGTGTCCCACCTCACGCACTCTCCGGCTCCTGTAAAGGGGAGATCATGGAGCCGGGGGCATTTGGGCCCCGTTTGTAGTCTTGCCTGGCCCTGACCCATCAGCACCTGCCTAGTTCCGCAGGCACGGAGAAGACTGCACCTTCTGCTCTTAGGTGGCTGCACCAGGGCTTCTTGAAAAGGGGCAGCTTCCTCTCAGGGACATCAGACAAAATCTGAAGGCACTTTTGGTTGTCATACTGTGGAGAGGGTGTTTCTGGCATCTGGTGGGGCACAGGGACGCTGCTACACATCCTATATGCACAGGACAGCCCCGTGAAGAAGAATTATCTGGTGCAGATTATCTGAAGTGCTGAAGGTGGGAGACCCTGGGCTAGAGCAGTGCTCAGCACCCTAAGCTAAGAGGCGAGTACGCGTGCAGGTGCACCCGAGGGAAAGCCTTGCCCTCAGAAAGCCCCTGCAAAATTCCTTGGCATGACCTTCCATCTTGCAGCTCATTTCTTTCATGTACTCAGCAAATACCTGAGTTCCTACTGTGTGTCAGGCTCTGTGTATACCTCAAATTGAGGAGCCAGGGGCGCCGGGCAGCAGTGGGGCTCACAGACTTTTGGCTGCAGCAGAAGCTGCAAGGCTCCTCCCTTCTCATGCACCCCCAAATCCAACTCTGGAGGTGCCGTGTCAGGCGGGTGCACAGACCATGGAGCTGGGGTGCTGGGGTCGGAGTACTCCCCATGGACCCCCATTCGGAAGTGCGGGCTGCTGGGCACATTAGTTAATCTCTTGGCACCACCGTGTTTTATCTCTAAAATGGCAGTGTTGATGAGCCCCCCACTCCCTAGGTGGCTATGCCTGTGCACCCCTAACACATGAGAGCCACGTTAGGATGGTGTCTGGGTCCCTTGTCATTATTTGGGAGGTGCAGCTGAGCTTCCTGGTAGAAGGACTTACTTAGCAACCCGCTCCGCCTTGGAAAGCTGACCCTCCTCCACCTGCCTCCTCTCCTCCACCTTCTCCAGCCCCTCTGTGTCACCAGGCAGCTCTCTCCCGTGTCCCAGTGAGCCCTCCGCAGGCCAGCCTTCCCTTGCAATGGCCTGTGTTGCCAGCTAGTCCTGTTCTGAGAGGATCTGCTCCACTCAAACCGTCCCCACACCTTCCATGTTTGAGCAAAGCATCTGTGGATTGCAGATGAAAAGAAACTTCACCAAAGAGCACATTAGTCATGGCCTCAACCCAGCTGGGAGTGATTTGCATTTGATAACAGCTTTTTAACCCCCAGGAGCCTCTTAAGAGGTGGGTCTTGAAGGAAGTCTTCTGAGAGGCTTTTCTTCTGAGGGGAGGGTCGAACAGAGAATTTTATTTAGACTTTTCTCCCACCAGCATGGACATGAGTTATCAGTATTGTTTATGATTTTATAGAGGAGATTTTCACAAGAGGAACTTTTCCTGTGCCTTTGCCTAATGCATAGTAACTATAAGTCACTTGTTTATACAGCTTTAATGTGTTAACTGTTAAAATTTAAATATTAATATTTTAAATAAGTCTCTATTTGTATACGTGCTGACTCATCGGATTCTCACACTCACTTAGAGATAAGATGGTTTTCTATGCACACACTCACATTAGAAGAATGTAGGGATTTTTTCCATCAATATTCGGGCAAGAGGGCACTAGGAGGCTCATCGAACACCCACAGGGCTCTACGTCACACCCACAAGCTCTATCTCACACCCACGGGCTCTATTTCACACCCATGAGCTCTATGTCACACCCACAAGCTCTATCTCACACCCACGTGCTCTATCTCATACCCACGTGCTCTGTCTCACACCCATGGGCTCTGTGTCACACCCACGGGCTCTATGTCACACCCATGGGCTCTAACTCACACCCACGTGCTCTATCTCACAACCACAGAGCTCTATCTCACACCCACGGGCTCTGTCTCACACCCACGAGCTCTATGTCACACCCACATGCTCTATCTCACAACCACAGGCTCTATCTCACACCCATGGGCTCTATCTCACACCCACGGGCTCTATGTCACACCCACAGGCTCTATGTCACAACCACAGGCTCTATCTCACACCCACGGGCTCTGTCTCACACCTACGGGCTCTGTCTCACACCCACGGGCTCTATCTCACACCCATGGGTCTCTATCTCACACCCACGGGCTCTATGTCACAACCAGAGGCTCTATCTCACACCCATGGGCTCTATCTCACATCCACGGGCTCTATCTCACATCCTCGGTCTCTATCTCATACCCACAGGTTCTATCTCACACCCATGGACTCTGTCTCACACCCATGGGCTCTATCTCACACCCACGGACTCTATCTCACGCCCACCGGCTCTATGTCACACCCACCGGCTCTATCTCACACCCACGGGGCTCTCACGCCCAGCACTCTGGCGTCCCCTTTCCTTGACATCCGCCTGCTCCTCTACCGTAGCCAGATTTCTTTAGGAAAAAAATGATTCTTTAAAAATCTAAAATACTGTAAATCCTATTGGGAAATAACAGTTATTAAACCTCTTCATCAGGAGCCACCAGATATCAACTTAGGCTGTGCATCTTTCTGCCAGGTGGGTCCTTATGACCCTATTAGTGACTGTCTCGCACAACTGGAGATACCAGTGAACACGTGATTGAACTCTCAGCCTCAAGGACAGGTCAGAAAAGGAGCCTCAGGTCAACAATGTGTTCTCGACCTGCTTGAATTTGCATCTGGGAATCCTCCTGTTAGTAGAAAGGTTGACCCTGGACGCAGTCTGGGATTGAATCTGCCTCACTCCTTTTTCACTCCCTTTCAGAAACAAATGAAAGGAAGTGTGTAAACCACACAGCCAAGCACCCAACGCATCATCATCTTCATATCATCGTTATTATTAGTCTAAAATGGTGGTGGTGATGATAACCCCACTCCCTAGGTCTCAGTACCCATACTGAGATTTTATGCTCTCCCTTTTTCTGCTGGATTTCATTTTTTCTCTAGAAGCTTGATGCTATGCCTTGATTATTACTTATTTCAATGGGACAAATTTGCACTAGAACTACAGTATTTGTTATCACTGAATTTTTCACGGTTGCCATATATATATCCAGCATCATTTGTGTCCTACTGCTGTTGAACAACTACTTTAAGATCAGAAAATAGAAGTAGTTTAGCCAGTCTAAAAGGATTTCCATTCATCGAATCATAAATAGAGAAAAAAACAATCCCTTCTATCCATTACTAAACCTCTCCATTCCAAATGTCTTCAAACAAAGCAATTATGGTGGACAAGTATTTGAGGACAGTTTTTTCTCATAAACAGCTGCATAGTGCTATAGCATCCTTGTTGATTAGCCAATTAGAATAAATTCTTTCCACAGCACATTTTAAAAGACTTAGGGGAAAAAACAAGACTTGCAAGACTTGAAGTTTTCATAGAACAATGTGCACCCGTCTTCCGCCCACTTCCCCAGAGAGAAATATATGAATCACATAGCAGTAAATGAGTAAAGTATCAAAACAGGTGCTGGAGACTAGGGAGCATGAATCATCTTCTTCCTTAGATACTTTGTAAATAAAACAGGATGTATTTATGGTAACTCTGTGCGTAAACTTCTATTTACAATGAATTATATAAAATAAATACAATGTCACACAAAGTAAATAAAATTGAAGAATCTATTAAATATCACTTTAACAATTATATTAAATTGTTTCCTTAAATTGATCCAATTTTGAAAGAGGAATTTGAATAGGAGAGATCAACAACAACAAAAATTCCTCCTGTATTCAAACTTTAAGGAACGCTAGCTATCTATTTTAATGAGTGAATAACTTATTTCCCAAACCACATTTTAAGAAAGTCAAAAATAGTTGCATCACATTTTTCCTATTGAAAATATACACTTTGAATAACAGAAAAATAATCCGCAGATAATTTTTTAAAGATTTTTACTCAGCTTAGTGGTAATAGATTTCTGTTTATATTAACCTTAAGAAAGAGTGTTCAGAATGGAGTTTGGCCATTTCATTATGAGTTATGGATATTATTGTATAAAACATGTACACAAAATTCCACTGATGATTTTATCTAATTTCAACCATAAGATTCTGACAGAGAATCAACTCAACTAGCTCTTTTAAGCATCACTTTTAATGTACCACATTTTTTAAGTGACTCTTGTTTATTTTTTTAATGTTTGCTCAAACTTATGGGGATAGTGCCATGTTCTGCGTATCCACGCTAGGATGTGGCCTTTTTGAGCCATGGAAGATGCTGTCAGAACAGGGTCCGGAAAAAACAAATAGGACACTCGTTATTTTCTTGTTGATTTGATTAGCCATATGTACCATTTACAATACTCTTGGGGGACAAAAGGAAGAGAGGGAAAAAACAATTGTATCTGAATATTGCAAGCTAATCTTTTATAAATTTTACCCTTTAAGGGTTGATGGATTCAGAAATTAATCAACTGTATTTTTATCTGATAAATGCTAATACTGTACTGCAGTGCAGTTGTGGTTTTGAGAGTTACATTCATAGGTTTATGTCAGATCAAGAATAGATTTTGTTGGGGGGTGATTTTTAGATTGTAGGAGGTTTTATACACATAATAAACCAAGATGCTAACAGGAGGATGCAATCAGTGGTTATTTTGTGTCAGCCCTTTTCTTTTTTTTTTTTTTTTTTTTTTTTTTTCTGAGACAGTCTCGCTCTGTCACCCAGGTTTGAGTGCAGTGGCACGATCTCAGCTCACTGCAACCTCTACCTCCCGGGTTCAAGCGATTCTCGTGCCTCAGCCTCCTGAGTAGCTGGGATTACAGGCGCATGCCACCACACCAAACTAATTATATTTTTAGTAGAGATGAGTTTCAGCCTGTTGGCTAGGCTGGTCTCGAACGCCTGGTCTCAAGCTATCTGACCACCTCGGCCTCCCGAAGTGTTGACATTACAGGCATGAGCCACTGCGCCTGGCTGTGTCAGCCCTTTTCAAGCTGCAGCAACACTCACACTGATGCACTTGGCCACTGAGAGGTGAGCCATTGGCAGATGATGTACAGAGGATGGAAGAAGGACTGCTGTGCAGGCGGTAAATGGCATCTGCCAGACTGCACAGATGAAGGTTCCTACCCTGTTCACTGCCGCATACAGGAAATATGATCAAAAGAGTGGTAGTGTGTTTAGACTTGTGGCTCACTCTGTGTGAGAAGGAAAATTAAATACCAAAGCCATCTATAAAGTAGCAAAATTGCCCTAAAAGCTGCAAATTAGGTCGTAATCATACATCAATGACAGAGAAGTACATGGAAGACCTGGAAGGATATTCTAGAAATAGCTACCATCTTGATGGTTCATCTCTTCTTAATTACTTAAGGGAATTTCGACACCTTATTAAAACAGAGGAAGTCCAAGGTGAACTCTAAAACCCTCCTTAAGTATCCAATTCTATGATTCGGTGTGAAGCATTATCACACTTGTCCCAAGGGAACTTAACCAGTAATTTCAACGCTTCAGTGGGGAGTCACACGTCAGATGGACTCTTGCGGGCCATGCTCTCAGGTAGTGGCTTGAGTCCCCCTGCTCCTCCAACAAGGCCACCGTCCAGCTATTAATATTACTCCCAATTCCCTGGACTTGCTATGTCCTCTGGCGTGTGGAGTGCCTGGCTGCCGCCTTCATTCTCTATCTGACTGTCTCCTGCTCATGCTCAAAGCCCACACCCAATGTCACCTTCTGGGGGACGCTGGTCCCAAACACCTGCCTTCCCAAGCCAAGTCACAGCTGAGCCCTGTGTCCTTAGCACCCTCCAAAGCCACTGTCTTCCCTCTCCATCCCCCAGTGGACTGCGAGCTTCTGGAGGATGCTCCTTCCCTGGCATAGAGCAGACATGTAGCAGCACTTAGTGAGGAAGGCTGAGGCAAGCTCTGTGGTCCAGTTTCCCTGCAAATAGGGGTTTAGAAGGAGCTGAGAAAAGAGGAGATGAGGGTACACTGTAGGGAAGAAGTGATATTCACAACTGACAGCAAGGAACAAAAAAGTTAAACAGAGGCCGGGCGCGGTGGCTCACGCCTGTAATCCTAGCACTTTGGGAGGCTGAGGCAGGCGGATCACGAGGTCAGGAGATCGAGACCGTCTTGGCTAACACGGTAAAACACTGTCTACTAAAAATAGAAAAAATTAGCCAGGCGCAGTGGCGGGTGCCTGTAGTCCCAGCCACTTGGGAGGCTGAGGCAGAAGAATGGCGTGAATCCGGGAGGTGGAGCTTGCAGTGAGCCAAGATCACACCACTGCACTCCAGCCTGGGCAACAGAGTGAGACTCCGTCTGAAAAAAAAAAAAAGTTAAACACAAAAACCACAGTATGAACTAAAAGGGCTTAGAAATCTGAGGCTGTTCCCATGAAGAAAATCCTCATCCTGGACTTCTGTGTCTGCTAAGGGAGGCACAGTGATTATGATAGTTGGAGGTTACAGTGTGTGGATAGACTGTGGTTACAGTGCCTGGATAGACCGTGGCTGCAGTGTGTGGATAGGCCGTGGTTACAGTGTGTGGATAGGCCGTGGTTACAGTGTGTGGATAGGCCGTGGTTACAGTGCGTGGATAGGCCGTGGTTGCAGTGTGTGGATAGACCGTGGCTGCAGTGTGTGGATAGGCCGTGGTTACAGTGTGTGGATAGGCCGTGGCTACAGTGTGTGGATAGGCCGTGGCTACAGTGTGTGGATAGACCGTGGCTGCAGTGTGTGGATAGGCCGTGGTTACAGTGTGTGGATAGGCCGTGGTTACAGTGTGTGGATAGGCCGTGGTTGCAGTGCGTGGATAGGCCGTGGTTGCAGTGCGTGGATAGGCCGTGGTTGCAGTGTGTGGATAGGCCGTGGTTACAGTGTGTGGATAGGCCGTGGTTACAGTGTGTGGATAGGCCGTGGTTGCAGCGTGTGGATGGGCCGTGGTTACAGCGTGTGGATAGGCCGTGGTTACAGCGTGTGGATGGGCCGTGGTTACAGCGTGTGGATGGGCCGTGGTCACAGCGTGTGGATGGGCCGTGGTCACAGCGTGTGGATGGGCCGTGGTCACAGCGTGTGGATGGGCCGTGGTTACAGTGTGTGGATAGACCGTGGTTACGTTTTGTGGATAAAGCATGGTTACAGTGTTTAGATAAACCATGGTTACAGCATGTGGATAGGCCATGGCTACAGCATATGGATAGACTGTGGTTGCAGTTATGGGTAGACCGTGGTTACATTGTGTGACTAGATTGTCGTTGCAGTTGCGGATACACTGGTTAAAGTGTGTAGAGTGTTGAGAAACGCTAAGTAGCTTTCAGCCTCCCTGACTGCACCGAGCAACCTTTGGTGTAAAAAATCCTCCAAGGTTTTCGGACACATGCTCAAGTTACAGAACAAAACAACTGCAGGATTCACTTTGTAAGAAGAGAGACTCAGGTGTGTTTCTTGTGTAAGCCACAGTGCTGGAAAAGTAGGATGGCTCCTGGGGATCACCAACCCCACTCCAATCTCAGCCATCATTTCTAGCCATGCAATTGGGTGTATCCCTTAGTATCTTTGATCCCTCCTTGTCTGTAAAAAATGGAAATGAAAATACTCATAGGTTTTATGTGGAGTTTATAAGGCAACTAGTGCACCATATGGAGTGGAGAAGTGCTATTGCTATTATAATTGTGTAATAGTATGTAATACATTGATATGTAATATATTAATATGCAATTATAATAATAATAGCATTGTTATTATTTCTCCACTTTGGCCCACAAACCTGAATTCAGCCACTTCTATGTAGAGAGTACTCAGATAAAAAAGAAAAGTGAGATGCTTACGCTCTAGAAGACCATGATGTGGGACAGAGACGGAAGCATGGGATCTTCTACTGATTGTGAAAGGACGTGCGAAACCCAGGCTGCTGGCCATCCCCATGAAGGGCTGCTAGAAGGGTCTACTGAAAATGGCCCACAGTTGGGTGCTAAATGAGGAAACATTATCCAGAAAACTCACTTAAATGGAGCGACTGAGGCCGGGCACGGTGGCTCATACCTGTAATCCCATTACTTTGGGAGGCCGAGGCGGGTGAATTACGAGGTCAGGAGTTCAAGACCAGCCTGGCCAACATGGTGAAACCCCGTCTCTACTAAAAATACAAAAAGTTAGCTGGCCGTGGTGGCGGGCGCCTGTTATCCCAGCTACTCAGGAGGCTAAGGCAAGAGAATCATTTGAACCCGGGAGGTGGAGGTTGCAGTGAGCCGAAATCGCACCACTGCACTCCAGCCCAGGAGACAGAGTTAGACTCCATCTCAAATAAGTAATAATAATAAAAAAAAGGAGCGACTGATACCCACATATACCAGGTGCATTAGCACAATCACTATTTCCAAAGGCTGGAAGGAAATAGCCTTGCCGAGGGCCAGACCCTGAGCTGCTGGAGGCCTTGAGAATGGCATCTCACGTCCCCACGGAGAGAATTGTGATGCCCGGACATCACGGGCGCTTCCATGTGGGTGTTTCCGTGGCCAGAGGGATTCTGAAATGTGTAGGGACAAGGACCCATTCCAGGGAAGCCAAGTGTCGGCCGCATTCACCACCCGTCCCCTGCAGTCTCACACCTGCCCGAGGAGGCAGCCCAGCAGTCGGGGGCCCCGAGCTGGGGAGGAACGCAGGCGGCTGCAGCCCCGAGGGAGCCCTGCGCTTGTTTCTAAGAATAGGTGGCTTCCGGGATCTGGAGTTCGGTTTTTCTAAATACACCTCAGCCCGGAGACTCGGAGGCAGGCAATGGGGCCAAGTAGGCAGCCTTGGGAGTGACATCACGGTTTCCTCTTTTAAGGCGATTCTGAGGCTTCCTTCTCCCCAGGCCCCTCCCGCCCAGCTGCTGCAGCTGCTCAGAGCCACCTCGGCCTCCACCTCTGCGGAGCTCTGACCTGCCCTGGCTTGGCTGTGCCTGGGTTTGGGACAGTTCGGTGTGTGTTAAAGAAGCAGAGCTTTAACTGCGTTGAGGGTGTGTTTTCCCTCCTGCCTGCTCTTCTTACCTGCAGTCCAAACACGTGTGCCTCGGTTGTTTCTAAAGCTTCCCCGTGGACTGCATGACTGAAAATGGACTAAATGATGATTATGTTAAGAAGACTTGACAGTGCCACCTTTAGAGGGAAACGCCAAAAGTGGCCCAGAAGGCTGAGGGACAGGGGCCTATGTAAGCTTCACGGGAACAGAATTCCTAAGCTGTAAGGTAACATTTCTATGCAATATGAAACCTGAGAACAAGGCTTAATAACAGCCCCTCCAGGACGGCGGCAAGCGAGCCCTCAAGCGCAGTCTGCATTTCCCCAGCCGCAGCCAGGCAGCTGCCGGCACCTTGGGAGGCACTGGGAGCACGCTGGTGACTTCTCTTGGCCAGTAGGTGTGGGCGTGGCTCGGTGCTCCAGACACTACTTGAAAAGGGAAGGTTTCTGGGACTCCTGGCACCGCGGCCTCTCCTCTGCCCAAATTTCAAGATTTATTTTTACTCGTTGAACGAAAAAGAGAATGAGCCCTGTACTCTGTCATGCTCCAAACTGCTGCCCCATTTTTAGACCACAGAGCAAGATGAATGCTGTTGGAAGGAATGTGTTTATGAGAGAGACAGTTTTTAATCCATCAGAGAGCAATACTTGCGACTTTAAATATGGCATATGGTGAAAAAGTGTCCCTGTGATGAGTCAGCAAAAAAAATTATTTCACCCCTCACATATACGAGGGTTTGATTAGCTCACTGATTGCAGTTTTACTAGTGTGCAGCACAGACTCAAATTTAAATATAGCTTGAGGGAAAACTCTGACATCAGAATTTGTGCATGATAAACTGTGTTGCTCAAACTTCAAAGGTCTGGTCTCCACTGCTTCCGGGACCTCCCCCTGCCTCCCAGGGGACAGATTCCTCGTGTGATCCCACAGGCCAGCTGCTTCAAAGCTGTGTCTTTCCTTGGGCCCCTTCTGACCCATTGGCTCCCCTGTCTCCACTCCTCACGGTCTGCCCTCACCCTCTGTGATCATGGCTGTGGCCCTGCGATCTCCATCCTGTCTCCTTGTGACAGATTTTCCACCTCACCCTTTCTTTAAGCAGCTGACACTCAGACCCATCCTTCCTTTGTGTCTGATGTCTTTGGTTGGGTTTATAAAGGCAAGACACTTCTCCCAACCCATGCAGGACGTCCTCACAGATCAGCTTCTTCAAGGAGACCTAGCCCAGCCCGTGAATGAGTGGTGGCAGCGCTGGCAGCATGAGAACAGGAGTTGAAACCTGCTCTCACCCCGGCCAAAGATCACATCGCTTCCCTTTCCTATAAAGTAGTGCATCATGTGGAGGACATTTCGTGTCTGTAAAGTACCATCACCCTTTTCTATAAAGTAGTGCATCATGTGGAGGACATTTCGTATCTGTAAAGCACCATCACCCTTCTCCCTAATCTGTGCATGTGTGTATCTGTAGAAGTGTGCGTGTGCGAGAATCCACCCTTCATGATTTAATTGAAATCACAGAGCAGTGATCAGCAGCAGCGAAGATGACCCTCACAGCTGGGGAGCCCATGCTTGATGTGGTCAGCATTGCCTCCCTGCAGGAGGGCCCGGCTCAGGGAGTCCTTCTCAGACCCCTCTGTCTTCCCTATGGTCTATTAATCTCCCCATGCAAGGGAAGATGATGGACATCAAATCGACTGTAGGCTGTGCTCCTCTGTGCACTCTCACGAGCACTAACACCTCCCAGCATGATTCTCCAGGACTGCGGCTCCAAGAGGAAAGCTGGCCCCAGAAGCAGGCTGCTGTTCAGGGCCTCCTTGCCTGGTCCAGTCCTTGCTTAGGTGAACTCCAGCTGACCAAGATAAGCATTCACTGCATTTGGTTTAAGCAGCCTTTCGTGTTTATTGTGTTAGTGGGTGCTTTTCTTTCTAAAGCAAAAAAAAAAAAAGTTTAAAAATTTTTAAAACTACCCTACTTCTTTTATGACTTTTACTCCCTTCTCAAAAATATCAGTGTTTCCTAAGTTCGATAATAGCATTTGACCAAGTATAGTACACACTTGATGAAATTAACTCAGTTTTATTAAATGCCTATTTTATTGGCATGGGATGATTTAAGATGAAGACTCTCAGTGTTAACGGCCTCAATTCATTTATTCAAAAAGCATGTATTGAGCCTGCTCTGGGTGCCAGCTACTATGCTAGGTGCAAGGATGTAAATATTCGTAAGACACAATCACCCCACTCAGGATTTTTTGCTGTCTACTTTTATTGTCCTGTGAAGAGGAAAGTTTGGAGAGACCCACTCCCCTCCAAAGTGGGTTTCTAGGTCATGTCCCATCACAGGAGGACCAGGGCTCTTGAGCTCGTTGGGAATTCCAGGAAGACTTCCATGGAAGGTGGCTGGAGTCTCTGTCTCCACAGATTCCCAAAGGTCACGCAGTGACCCTGCACAGGGAGCCTTGAAACCTTTGCAGTTGGAGCCAGAGGGACTCCACACACCTTCTAGCCCAGCGCTGGGAGTCTGTGGGTGGGACCCCGAGTGGTGATGTGTTGCACTCAACGCCATGCCATGGGTGAGGAGCAGAACCTGGTCCACACTCACTCTGGTAAACTGACACCCCATTAAACCATGTTTTAAAACTTGTGTATTGGGAACTTCACTGAACTCAGCAGTAGTTATTCCATAGGGCAGCTGGAAACCATTCTTTAGGGACTGGAAAGTCCATTCTCATGCCCTTTGACTTCCTTGATGTTAATTCTAAATGACACATTCTCAGGATGTTTTCCCCAGAGGAATCCTATATGGCAGGGCTGTGTACAGGCCTGAGAAGCGACAGGGCAGCCTGCGGTTACACTTGACTGAGTAATCCGCTTGTTTAGGGCTGTGGCCGATGAGTCCCTGTTCCCATGGTATCCTAAACGTTTGCAGTTATTACCAAATCTGAATTCAACCCTCATCTTTTATATTGAAATTCCTTTTTTAAAAAGACATATGTCAAGTGGAAGCTATTTCATTTGTATCTGACACTATCTTTTCAAACTGTTTATCCAATCATTTGGGTCCCAAGTGAATTACGAATTCATCAACTTAAGGAAGAAACTTGGAGGTTAAGACTTCTTTTTACGATACTCCCTCATTCATGAAAAAATGCGTTTATTTTTAGTAGTGCTTTGGATTCTGTGTTTTGTTTGTTCTTTGGTTTTGTTTCTAGAAGAGTCTTGTTGGAAGCTCTGTTTCCAGAATGCTGGATTGGCTGTGGTGGGGTCCATAACCCACTGCCTGTATCAAACTCATACTTCAAGAAAATATTAAATAGTTGCAGTATCTACAGGGCCTCTACAGAGCCCCTTCTGCTATTAGCAGGGATGTGACTTTAGGTCACAAAAGAACTAGAAGCAAAATGGTGACTATCAGAAAACCTTACCCAATAGGAGTAGCCAGACTTGGTCATTTGTGAGGAGTCCGGCAGCCGGGGTTCCAGCATCTCTGTTGCTTCCCTGCTGTTGCCAGTGTAAATGTTTTATCATAGTCAGGATCTGTTGAGTTAAAAGAATATCCAGAGATATAACAATGCATTCTTTGTCTGAGTCATTAAGAATGTTTATGAAGAAGAAATTGAGTAGTGAAAAGCACAGATTCAGAGCCCGGCAGATCTTCCTCTGAAAATTGGCTCTACCGCTTACTAGCGCGATGCCCTTGAGTAATTCTCTAATCTCTGTAAGCCTCAGTGTTTAGTTCTGCAAAACAGAAGAGCAACACCTTTCTTTCAGGGTCGTCATTGGGATTCGAGGTAGACAAAGTAATCTTTAGTATCTAGTCACATGATCATTGGTCCCCAGGTGCTCGCTAAAAGGCAGCCTCCACCCGTCCTGAGAGTGAACCACTGCATTCTTCAGTGTTCCCGGCTGGCAGGTGTGGACTGCTGGTTCTCTTCAGTTTGCTCTGAAAATCTCACTTTGCTTTGCCCTTGCTGGATATTTACCCAGGTTTCTTGGGCTCTTTCTGCCCCCACGTGTCTTGCACATCCCAGCAGGTGTCTCCTCTGGGGCCTTCTCTCCTCTTGGCCCCACACATTCTGTTTGCTCCCAGGGTGGATTTGGAGGGGAGTGGTAACAAAGACCCAAGTTTTCAACAACAAATGGCAGGAGGTGAAGAACTTCAAATTTGAGATTCTAGGAAAAAAGAGGAGTTTGAAAGAAATACTGAAATACTGAAAGTCACGGTTGAATATGGTGAGAACTTAAGAGTAAAATAAAGAATCATCAAGAAAACAAGTCAGTCAGTCAACAACTTGACTGATTTAAAAGAACCAATATGAAGAGTCTAAAGAACTGATTTATTCTTGCATTCACGTTCCAAAGCAATTTAAGTAAACTCAAAGAATGATGCTATAGTTGAAACGTAAATGGAGGAGGACTGGGTATTTATCTCCAAGATGCAGGGAGAAAGGTGGGTTTTGAAGAGGAGGAAGCCAGGACAGAATACCCGAAGTCTGCAGGAACCAGGAGCTGGGACCCTCGAGGGCAGTGGGAGGAGAGACGGTCACAGCAGTGCTGTGAGTCCGCGGGGCTCTTCCGGCCCCTCTGCCTGTGTGTCCACTCAGTATGTGAAAAATGCCTGTGAATTGTTCACCCAAAAATGTATTGTGCAGCAGCAGATGTCCCCTACCCCATGCAGAAAAAAAGACCATATTAGTACAACGCCTGTCTCATTCCTGTTTCCTCAGGGGATGCCTGAGAATCCCTTGCTTTAAAATCCTCTCCCGACCCTTATCTAACTGTGGTCAAGAATAATTGTTGGCCATTTCCTGCTCTGGAAACCATCTGGTCTGCTGTGGTGCCCTCTATCCTCCCTCCTCTTTAACTATAAATTAAGTCCTAAAAGAAAGAAGTAGAAGAACTGAGACAATTTAGGACCAAGAAAGTAAAGTTAAGAAATAATTGTATTAAGTCTGTAAGTTTAGAAAGGGCTGATAGCCATGGGGCAGGTGGTTGATTTTCATCCTCACCATGTAGAGAATAAGAAGGGAAAAACTTACATGGAGGATTCTGACTAGCCTGGAGCGAGAACTCACAGTGATTCAGCAAATATCCACACGAACAGCTGCGAAGTATTGTTGATCTCCCCCTGGTGTCGCCCACCTGGGAGGATTGGCCCACGGTGGTGCTGAAGGCAACAGTATGGAGGTTGGCTTCAAATCCCTTCTGGCAGTGTAAATTCATGAGAAATGCTGAATACAGTTCATCTCATGTGCTTTTCTTTTGTAAGGTAAAATTGAGCTCTTTCTTTTCTCTAACAAGCTCATTTTAAAGGCTATTTAAGGGAAACATAAAATTAAAATATAAAACTGAACCTTTCGCTGGCTCAATTTCTTAATGCTAAATTGCTCTCCCATCCAAGAATAATTTCAAAAGTTTGGAATTTATAAATGGCAATACTTGGATGTGGAAATTATGTTAGGACTCCTATTTTTATGAATACAATCCAGTATAATGTAAGGCTATATAAAATGAAATATTTCTGTTGAAATGTATTTCAATTCTTTGTCTGAGTAGTGAGGATTTTATTATTGGATTTTAGTTACTCAAGTTTCAGCTATATTTAGTGCTGAAATTCTAGGCCATTTTAAGAGAATCCCACTATAAAGAGGGAAAAAAAAAAAAGGCCAGGCCCGGTGGCTCACACCTGTAATCCCACCATTTTTGGAGGCCAAGGTGGATGGATCACTTGAGGTCAGGAGTTCGAGACCAACCTGGCCAACATGGTGAAACCCCAACTCTACTAAAAATATAAAAAATAGACGGGCGTGGTGGCACACACCTATAATCCCGGCTACTCAGGAGGCGGAAGCAAGAGAATCACTTGAATCTGGGAGGCAGAGGTTACAGGGAGCCGAGATCGCACCACTGCACTCCAGCCTGGGCAAGGGAGTGAGATGCTGTCAAAAAAAAAATTCTTTTTTACATGACTCAGATACAATGAGGGTCAAAGTATCTTTGCCCAAAACATTACTGTAGGACTCATAGTAAAAACCTTCCAGCAGAATGAGGTGTTGGCCATACCCCCTGCCACTATATGATGACTTTCTCCACCATATCTGTGTGCTGAAGAGTCAGATGGGACAGTAGAAGCATGAGAGAAAATCCATGCTGGAACCACCTGTGCTTGACTTTGTAAAAAATTTTTCTCACAGGTCTTTAGGTTAAGGATCTTTTAACTCCCTTGATAATTTGGCAAATAGGTATTTTATAATCGTAAAACAAGAGAAAACATTGATGTAGTGCTTACTTTCTGCCAGACACTGTTTTGCTCTGTGTGTGCGTGTGTGTGTCTGTGTGTAATTAACTCACTTATTACTATTTTCCCCCTTTAACATGAGGAGCAGAGAGGCTCAGTAGTTTGCCACTTGTCCACTGTTTCTAACCTGGTTAGGCTGGTCAGCATTTGAACATGGAGGATAGGACAGTCACATGACATTCGCACAAGTAGAGAGAGGAACGTTGACTTCTGAGTCACAGGTCTTCTCCTGGTAGCGCCATCATACCTTGGGGATGTTTCACAGCCACAAATCCAAACATGCGTCCCAGACTGCATGACCCGTACCCCAGTTGTGTTGACCTATGTTCATTTCCTAACTCGTGCAATTACACAAGGATGGTCTTGGTGCACACGACCTCTCGGTCCATTTTCTGGCCAATATTCAGTTCCTTGTTCTCGCCTTGCCATTTGCCACGCTTCAGTCAGTCTTGTTTCCCACACTGCTGCTGGAGAGGTGGGCTCCTCCGCGGGTGGGCCGATGAATTACTTGCCTTTGCCTTTGCTAGAGTGAGATGCATTCCATCATGTAATACATCAAAACATACACCAGAGTTCTGGCCCATCTGGTGCTCTTTGCTCAGATCCCCTGGCCACTCCCTAATTTTCTCCACTCCCACAACTTGCTGACATAGATTTGATTTTCAATTCAGAACAAATTCAAAACAAGTAAAAAAGATCTGATGGAATTAGCAGACACATGTCAAATTATCCACAGCTTCTTGCTGGAGACACATGGAAAGATAGGGTGCAGCACGTCTCCGGGGACCCAGAGCTGGAGAACTCCTAGCAGCCTCCATTTTCTACAAAGCCACGGGTCCTCCACAGGGTTGGCCCTAGTGCCCAGAGGTCAACAGTGGAGACCTGTCTCCTCCTGGGAGGACTGGATCTCATATCAATGCGTAAGATGATAATTAGGTATTGCCAGCATTCCCCTTACAAATCCTTCAGGCAGGGCAACTTTGGAGCACAGTGGTTGTGTCTTAGGAGGTCCAGCAAAGCCAGTTCCCTTCAACATTAGAACAAGTCACTCTTCCTTCTACGGAGCACTGCCTGGGAAGTGACTGCCACTGCCATGTTGTGTGACAGAGGACAGTCTTTAAAGGGGTTTCATTCATTGTGGACAGATACTATATGAAGGCACATAAGGGATTTCCTGATGGGGAGGATGGCAGGGGAGGTGTCCCACGATCTCAGTGCTTGTTCATCCTGTCTGTGTCTCTCTCTCCACTCCCTGCCCCACTCCTCATGTTGCAAAGTTAAATGAGAACGTGACACATTTTTCCTGTGATTTTCATTTTACATTTTTAGATGTGGTCATTATATTCAACTGGATATAACATTTTGTTTCTAATTGAAAACTTTTTCCCCAAAAGTTTTTGTGCTTTTGAAGCAAATGCGAAAGTCCATTTCTGGCAGGGCGCAGTGGCTCATGCCTGTAATCCCAACACTTTAGGAGGCCGAGGAGGGCGGGTAACTTGAGGTCAGGAGTTCGAGACCAGCCTGGCCAATATGACGAAACTCCGTCTCTGCTAAAAATATAAAAATTAGCCAGGTTTGGTGGCGCATGCCTGTAATCCCAGCTACTCGGAAGTTTGAGGCACAAGAATTGCTTGAACTCAGGAGGCGGAGGTTGCAGTGAGCCAAGATCGCGCCACAGCACTTTAGTCTGGGCAACGGAGCAAGATTCTGTCTCAAAATAAAAGTCCATTTCTAATTCCATTTGAGGGATATGGAATAAAGTACATAAAAAGTAACGAGTCAAAAGAAAGAAAAGGTTTTAGTGAAAATGAATGTACTCTTCTCCCCCTTCTATTGTTTGTAATAGACTTAATCTTTAAAGCAGTTCTGGATTTACAAAAACAAAAAAATTATTCAGAGTGTACCCATATCCCCTCCCGCTACCTCTCACCCCTAGTTCCTCCGATTATTAACATCTTGTATTAGCGTGCTGCATTTGTTACAACTGATACCAGTGTTGGCCTTCCATTATTCTTTTAAATGTGAATCTGACTCTGGGGATTTGTGTGACTGAATCTCGCAGATTGAGAACGATTTTTAACAACCAGCCATGCTTGTAAAAACATGTGGAAGTTTCTCTGACTCTGAAATAAGAGGGACAAGATGGTTCCCATGCAGGCTTGCGTTGGAAATGGGGGAGCGTGCACAGTCTAACTCCATGCCCCGTGTTTTTCTTGAGTAGCCCTCTGGGTTGAATCACCCTGGACTTCAGCTGAGGCAGGGGGATTGTTTTATGCTCAAGAAAGCTCCAGGAGTGGTAGAATCTGGCCATCAAGATGTTCTGTGAAATGGGGCTCTTGTCTTTTCTGGAGAACATGCCTTCTTGGCCCTTTGATCATGAGACATCTCACCACGCCCTCCTTTAACATTGCTAATGATGGGGACTGACCACCCCGTCATTAAACCCCATGGCAGTCTAAGATTAAGCCATTCAGAATCTTACTAGAAATGACTAAGCGGACCGTTTTTTCTTGTGAGGAGAGAATTAAAGGCGTTTCCAATCCCTAATGATAAAACCAGCATCAAATTGTAGAGAATTGCAATTTCTTTCTTACAAACAGCAAATTTTTGTCTCCTTTCATTTTTTAAACTGTTGAACGTGTCAGATGGTATGCATAGAGAGATTTCAGAGGTCTAGTCAATGTGCAAATGTTTTGTGGTTTTATTTTGAGTTTGAAGTCAGAGCACTGAATTCCACAAGGCTTGAGCCTCACTCTCCCTCCTGAGCACCCAGGCTTCACGGACATGACTAATAGGAGTTTATTCACAGCCTGCTACCATCCTTGGTCATAACGTTGCTCAAGGCCCGAGCAGGCCTGCCAAGACCACAGTGTAGCCCTGTTAATATCACATGACCGTCGGAGAGTTTTTGGAAAACCTCCTCTGGCCGACTGTTTATCCGCCCCCATTGATATTTGTCTGAAGATAAGTTATACAGTCTGTTTACTTACAAATGCGTCAGAACAGTCTTGGACTTCTGCACGGAGGTTCTGCCAAATACAAGTCTAACAGGGAAGTGGTTTGGGCAGCCCCGGAACCGAAGAACCCCTCAGAGCATCACAAGCCATCACTCTGGGTCCCTGTCATTTAAATAGGGATTCAGGCTTCAGGTTGTCAGTATTTATAGGCTTGATTGGAGGGAAGTAAGCCGTATGAGCACTTTTTAAATGAATTTTTATTTCTCATTTCCACTTAGTGATGGATGCACATTTTTCCACTAATAAACATTTGAACTTTTTTCAGTTTTTAAGAACATCGTAGGTGGCATATTTCACAATCTTGGCAAGGCAGACGTTTTTGGAGTAAATCGAAACTGGAGGCCAGAAGTACTGGCTCTGAACTGAACTACCACTTGCAAATCGATGTAGCAGAAGGAATAATGGATCATGTGGACCACGCAGAAAGCGATCTGAGACGGGCGTGTCAGCCGCATGTGGATGAATAGTCCTTTGTGGGCAGGAAGGAGAGGGAGTGGGTGGGTATGAGGGCAGGAGAAAGAATCAGCTCTGTGTTTGGGGGCTGTGAGAGGACACTCAGAAGAAGGCTTTTACACCATATTTTATATTCACAAGTTTATTTATGTTATTTTGAGTCCAACAGAAAGAGTCACAAACGTTAAACTTTAGCAACCCCCTAATGATTGGAAAAGATGGGCAAATCCTTGCTTTAAGAGCAGCTGTATCGTATGGAGAAGAAGTCATCTCTGCTGGGAAAACTCGCGAACAGATGCAGGCTAAAGCGAAAGATCAACTCTCCACACCATTACATTTTGAAGGGCTTTGAAGTTATTTTTAGAAAAACTCAAAAATCTAAATCAAAAATCAGATTTTTTCTTTTTTTTTTTCCTACTGCTTCCTTTTCCTTTTTCTTCTTCTCTTGTCCCTTCTCCTTTTTGGTTGTTTCTATTGCTATTTTTACATGTTCCTTTAGGTGGGGGGAAGATAAGGTGTGAAATGTATTCAAGTGCAACTTTTTCAAAATAATAAAATACATGTTTATTATGAGGAAAACTCAACTGCCTATAGAAATGACAACGGTAAATGTAAATAAGCAAAAGATCAGAGATATAAGTGTATAGCCATCACTTCCTTTAGCAATCAAATAATGAGCTGGGCGCAGTGGCTCACACTTGTAATTCCAACACTTTGGGAGGCCAAGGTGGGTGGATCAGTTGAGGTCGGGAGTTCAAGACCAGCCCGGTCAACATGGTGAAACCCCGACTCTACTAAAAACACAAATGGTGTTTTTAGTGTTTTGTTTTTAGTTTAGTGGTTTTAGATTTTAGTGGTGGCAAATGCCTATAATCACAGCTACTTGGGAGGCTGAAGCAGGAGAATCGCTTGAACCCAGGAGGTGGAGGTTGCAGTGAGCCGAGACCGTGTCACTGCCCTCCAGTCTAGGTGACAGAGTGAGACTCTGTCAAAAAAGAAAGAAAGAAAAAGAAAGAAAGAAAGGGAAAGAAAGGAAGAAAGAATCAAATAACAAAAAGCACAGTCAGCATTATAAGATATCAGACATACCCAGCCCAGAGGCAGGGTGGAGTTGGAGATCATCTAGTCCATCAACCAAATCAATTTAGGTTGATTTTTTTTTAACAATTTTTTTTTTTAGCCAAGTCAAAAAAAGTATTTTTAGCCTTACTTATATATAACTGTATCTTTTTTGGCTCACTTAGACCATTTTATCAAAGGAGATCAACCACAAATTCCTGCCGGTTTTTAGTTGTAAGAAGCTTTTTTTATTGGCAGGAAAACTGGGAGAATGTGTAAGTTGTTAAGCAGCCAGGCCACTCTGTGCCCAGTATTCTGGTAACTATTGTGAAGGATGTTTAAGAAGCAGGTCAAAGGAATGAAAGGGCATTGGGGAGAAAGGTGAAGAAAATTTATTGAACACCTATCACATTTTTCCCTCACTAGCTACTTAACTCACACATCCGCACAGGAGCCCAAGGTTAAACCACTTGTCTAGATCACCAAGGAGAGCAAAGATAAAATCTTGTTCCTCCCGTAAGCCCTCAGAGCCTGTGATGTCAGACACCTTGTTGAGAGATAACATTCACAAAACAACCAGAGAACCTTGATGGCCATCATATATTAGTGACATATTCATGCTGGCATGTGGGGCATAAGTGAGCTCCCGTATTGACTTGGTCTGAGAATGAAGAAGTCTAGCTTTACCCATAATGGGCTTTAAAGCAGCTCTTTGAGTTTGGTTGGCCCCAGACCTAAAGTCTTGCATCTCTGAACCACTTTACCTATTTTCTTTCCCACAGAGGACAAAAATAAATGTGTGGAACTGAGCCTAGGTCCTGTGAAACCTTTTATTCTCCAGATGCATAGCATTCCCTTGGTGACACAATCCAGTTTTGTGAAATATATGAAAATATTGGAACTTTTCAAAAATTGTCTAAATTTGGGGGGATGTGCCATGAGAATGTTTAAAATGCAAATTCCCACACAGTTCATCTAATTGATTTTAATCTGATTATGCCTGCCCTGCAGGATCTTCCTGGCAGGAATATGATAGGCCACCTGCTTCTTTTAGGGGAAAACATTCTGTTTTGAGGGTAAGAGAAGATTTGAGTGAGGTTTGCTTTGGTCATGGCTTCTGAAGCTTGATAATTGCAGAAGTTCCATCTGTAAGATGCTCGATTAAAATTCTAGATGAATTGAGTAATCTCCACAAGGCCAAGAGAATCTAATGTTCTTGAATTTGTTCCATATTCACGATAGATCTAGTAACCATGTGTAGTAATCAGACAAATTCTCCAAAACATACAGCCAGCTGGATTCCTGAACTTTAACAAAGTTTTTATGCTGACTGCTTCTGCAACCTCACTAACTAGCCAGCCTAGATAGGAAACTCCCTTCTTAATTCATTCATAAAGTACCTTTTGATATATAGACCCAATCTCTAATAAACCTTTTGGAGATCAATTTGCATATGTGATAAAAGTGAAAAAGTTGGTCTTCAGATACCTACTACAGAAAAAAAAGTGAAAAAGTTCTTAAGCAGATGAGAAATTTAAATAAGATTTTAAGTATTTTCTGAACATTAATTCACCTCTTGACTTTTGAAACTTTGGTCAGACGGAAATGTTCATTCCTTCTCCCTGAAAGAGTTGATGGTTAGATTTCATAACACAGAAGCTAGTAAAGCAAATGCAGTAAGAAAAGTAGCCTCCCATAGGTATTCAAACACGTATTCAAAATTAAGACAGCAGAAAGTCTAAATGTTTAAAATATGCTTCATTAACTTCTGATTCCTTGAATCTATCCCCATTTATTAATGTTTATATAGAGAACCAAAAAAACAGAAAAATTACTATGATGACTATTAATTACATCATTTTCCAAAAGGGGGAAAAATATTGTAATCAATGAAACCTGAATATACTTTTATAATTGATAAGATTAAAAAAGTTGTAATTCCACTTCAGTAACTAAAAGAGTTATTCAGAAGATAAAGCATTTATAATGATGGACCTAGATTTCTGCTTCCTATAGAGATTTCCTGCCCACGTACACATATTCTGGTTACACAGGAAGGCTCATGAGTTGACTACTTTGGCCAGCCTTCTATTTTGTAAGTATTGGCAGAGAGATACTTAAGAAAAAAAATGATTTCATAAGTAAACTTATAATTAAGAGAATGAAGAAGAAGATGTAGCTCTTGGGGCTTCCATTGCCTCCTAACAGAAAACATCTGCTGGACTTCCGGAATTTTCCTAAGACCTTGAGAACACACCCACGCATTTCCAACTTTTTTCCTAACCAGTGAGTTGGCTTCAGCAGTTTTCAGTTTTATAGCTGACTGTCCCATCCAAACAGTTGTTCAGCTTTGCCCTTTATCATAAATTCATTCCCATTTGTTTATTGCATAGTATTGGTTACCTTCTGTTAATTGGGAGGTGGGGAGGAGGACCAGAGAACAAGCTCATAGGTACAAACCTTGTCAAAACTAAAACCTGTTTTGTAGATGAGGATTGGTTCCTTGTATTGTTAGCATTGCCTTTGCTCAAGAGAATCAATCCAACTCATTTTAGTACCATCTGTATCTTTCAAAATGAAGAAGAGTAGTTAAAACAATATGAAGTATGGCATGTGTCAAACTCCACAAAGGTGTTTTCCATATAAACTTGAGAAAACCTAATTAAGTGGGTTTTGAAGAGACAATGGAGCTCTGTTTATATGTTTGCCTACCCAGGGGAACTAAAACAAACAAAACTTACTTTTAAAAAGCTTCTTCAAAGTTCTCATTTTGTTTTAGAAGAACTTTCAGCTTCATTGCTTTCTAAGTAGCTTGATATCATTAGAAACTGATAATGCTCAGCACAGTCAGCGCAAGATAAGTTAACCAGCTTACATCCACCTATATGTTTAGGGGTTCTCTTGGTCTAAAACGTCTTGAAAACCAAATTTCTGTGAATCAGTTACTGTCTTAGTCCACTTGGGCTATTATAACAAAAATACCTTAGGCTGGATAATTTATAAATGACAGAAATTTATTTCTCACTGTTCTAGAGGCTGGTAAGTCCAAGATCAAAGTACTAGTAGATTTGGTGTCTGATGAGATCCAGGATTCATAGATGGTGCCCTGCTGCTGTGTCCTCACGCAGCAGAAAGGACAGATGCTCCCTCCTTTATAAGGGCACTAATCCCACTCATGAGGACATCACTCTAATGACCTAATCACTTCCCAAAGGCACCACCTCTCAATACCAGCAGATTGGGGATTAGATTTCAGCTTATGAATTTTGGAGGGACACATTCAGTCCGTAACATTTCACCCCTAACCTCCCAAAATTTATATCCTTCTCACATGCAAAATACATTCATTCCATTCTAATAGCCCCCAAAAGTCTTAACTCTTTCCAAAATCAACCTAAAAAGTCTAAAGTCCACAGTCTCATCTAAATATCATCTAAATCAAGTGAGAGTCCAGGTATGATTGATCCTGAGGCACATTTCTCTCCCAGTATGAGCCTATGAAATCAAATAAATTGTGTGCTTCCAAAATACAATGGTGGGACAGGCATAAGACAGACATTTCTATTCTAAAAGGGAGAAACAGGAAAGACTAAAGGAGTAAGTGATGCCAGGTGAGTCCAAAACCCAACAGGGCAAAGAACATTCGATTTTAAGTCTTGAGAGTCATCTCTGACTCCATATCCGCCTTCTGGACACACTGGGGTGGGGATTGGTTCCTTGAGTCTCGGGGCAGCCCCGCCTCCCATGGCTTCACTGGGCACAGCCTTCATTGCAGCTCTCCAGGCTGGGCAAACTGGTCACTCCACTGTTCTGGGTGCTGGGGGCAGCCCCACTCCCACACCTCCCCACCTAGAAGAAACCTACACTGCCATGAACAGAATATTATTCATGGTGTTCTGACAGACTGAGGCTTTTTCTGCAACTCTCTTCTTCTTATGAGCCCTCACCTTACGGAGTGAGGAGCCCCTCTCCCACAACACTGCCCTTGTGGGGCCTCTGTTGTTGGCCCTGCTCCTGTGTCAGGTCTGTGCCTGGTCACAGAAGTTCTCCAGGGCATCCCTTGGAAGCTGGGTGGAGGTGGCCACATTCTCACAGCTCTTGCACTCTGTGTGCCTGCAGAGTTGGCACCACGTGGAGGTCACGAAGGCTTCCTGCTTGTGTCCTCCAGAGAGACCATCTGAGCTACACCTGGACCCACTGGAGCCACAGCTGGGGCAGCCGAGGAGCACTGCATCCGATTGCAGGGAGCAGAGACTTGAAATTGTTCTGGCCCCAGGGTCCTGGCATTCTGGGCCTAAGATGGGTGGGGCAGCCCCAAAGATTGCCTCCGGAGGTCCTTCCTCAGTTGTCTTGATTAGCAGCATCTGGCTTCCCTCTACCATACTCATCTCTTTATCAAATGTTTGCTTGGCTACAATCTCGATGTTCTCTGCTGAACATGTTTTCTACTCTTCTACTACCTGGACAGTCTAAGAATTTTCTAAATCTTTCAGTTCTGCTCTCTGTTTCTTGATAAATTCCATCTTTAATTTGTTTCTCTCTGTTTACACTTTACTATAGGCAGTCAAGAAAAGTCATGCCACACCTTCACTTTGCTTAGATATTTCTTCTGCCAAATATCCTATTTTATGGCTCAGAAGTCTACCTTCCACAAAACACAAGTAGATGAGCATGATTCAGCCAAATTCTTTGCTGCTTTGTGACAAGGATGGCCTTCCCTTTAGTTTCAATAACATGCTTCTCATTTCTGTCTGAGACCTCATCAGAATGGCCTTTCCTGTACACATTTCTACCAACATTCTGATCATGACCACTTAGGGAATCTCTAAGATGGTTGAGGCTTTCTCTACAGCCCCCCTCTTCTTATGAGCCCTCGTCAGAATCACCCTTAAGGTTCTGTTC
The DNA here is from genome assembly GCF_000001405.40 of Homo sapiens. Taxonomy (NCBI): domain Eukaryota; kingdom Metazoa; phylum Chordata; class Mammalia; order Primates; family Hominidae; genus Homo; species Homo sapiens. The sequence continues at coordinate 110,403,662 of NC_000013.11, forward strand.
ATGGCCATGTAGGTTTTTTTCTAGCATGCACCTCCAGATTCTTTCAGACCCTACCCATTACCCAGTTCTAAAGCTAATTTTACATTTTTAAGTATTTGTTACCCCAGCATCCCACTTTTAATACCAGTTTCTGTCTCAGTCCATTCGTAGTCCATGCTATAACAAAAATACCTTAAGAGTAGGTGATTTATGTACAACAGAATGTTATTGCTCATAGTTCTGCAGGCTGGGAAGTTGAAGAGCAAGTGACCAGCAGATGTGGTGTCTGGTAAGAGCTCTCTGCTTCATAGACAGTGCCTTGCTGCTATGTCTTCACATGACGGAAGGGACAACAGGCTCCCCTGGGCCTCTTTGAGAGATGCACTAATTCCACTCACCAGGGCTGTACCCCCAGGACCTACTCACCTTCCAGAGTCCCCACCTCTTAATGCCAACACACTGGGGATCAGATTTCTACTCATGAATTTTGGAGGGACACAGACATTCAGACCATAACAGTTACTGCTCAAAACAAAGAAGTAAAAGCTAGCAAATAATATAAGTATGATGTATTTAGATTTATTTTAGTATTGCTCATTGCCTTTTTAAGGTAAACTTTCTGGGTCAATTGAGCTGTTTAGATGCCGACTCATATTTGAAGGTTCTGCTACTCCTCTACAATACCAGACTTATAAAAATCAATATATTGCAATCATTCATATACTCAGCGAACATGCTGACACCTACTGCGTGAAGGGTTCTGTGATATGGGCAGGGGGTGCAGACTTGTATCAGGCAGCTACTCTCTCAGAATTCACTGCCTGGCAGGGGGAGGCCAGGAGGCTGTCCCCAGCTAAGACACAAGGCATGGCTTGTGCTAGGCCAACAGGGAGGTGCCGGGAGTGTAATACAACAAGGAGGAGCCGCCAAGGCTCACAGGAGGGTCCCCATATGGACCCACCATTGCTGAGTGTGTGTAAGAAGAAGAGCAGGACCAGGGAGGTGGGTCTGAGAAACAGTACTGATTAAGAAGGAGTCCAGGAAGGAATCCCTGAAAAGAAAATGAAGACCAAGTGGATAGAGAGACAGGAAAGGAGCCACAGACAGTTCTCCCAGAGAAAGAGGAGGTTAGGAGGAGGGAGTGGTCCACAGGACCTAGCGCCTCTGGGAGACAAGGGTAGAAACCACACCATTTCTAAAATGAGTTGGGGCTGGGCACGGTGGCTCATGCCTGTAATGCCAGCACTTTGGGAGGCTGAAGCAGGTGGATCACTTGAGCTCAGGAGCTCAAGACCAGCCTAAGTAAGCAACATAATCCAAAAAAATTAGCCAGGCATGATGGTGCATGCCTGTAGTCTCAGCTACTCAGAAAGTTGAGAAGTGAGGATTGCTTTAGCCTAGGAGGTTGAGGCTGCAGTGAGTTGTGATCATGCCACTGCGTTCCAGCCTGGGTGACAGAGTCAGACACTGTCTCAAAATTAAACAAAGAAATAAATAAAATTTAAAAACGTTAGGAAGAGAGGAAGAAGAGGGTGGTACCTGGAGGGAGATCTGGGCTACAGAGAAACGTTTTAGAAAATCCATGTAAAATCCAAATGCAGCAGATTATTTCAGAGGTCACCAGGGTGAATTATGGCTGGGAAATGGACTAACACAAAAAAGATGCTGGTGTATATTGTGGAGGTTCGGGAAGGGTGGGACTCATGATGTGTTCAACAAGGCTGTATGGAAGCCTGGGTTGAGTCTGTGTCCCAGGAAAGGCCCACTAGTGGGTCCCGGTGTGGGACCCACCCCCGGCCCCCACCCCTTCCTGCCCCTTCTGGCTTTCTGCTCCACTCCCAGACCCGTCTTCTCCATCACCCGACGTTTTCCTAGAAGGGCATAAAACTTACACCATGAGGGGACCTCCACGTTAGACAGGGGGAGAAGCTGGAGGACATGAATGGCCCCGCAGTCAGGGCCCAGTCACCTGATCTCAGCTCTGTGGAGGTGAATGTGTTTGAGTTGCCCTTTTTGTGAAGACGTGGTAGCTGCAGGCATGGACAACTTACACATTGAGCAATTTATATACTATTTGAAGCCACCTCACTTTTTCCCTTGGTTTTTGGTTTCTGGGGTTTTCTAAGAGGGGAGAGTGACTCATGTCTTTCCCACTAGTAGGTGGCCTTGGTTTTAATGCTGCTCAATGGATTCTAAGAGAGCATCCCAGGAACCTGCTGGTATCAGCCCAGCACATTTTTGGGGTCTCTGGGAATGAGCTTGGGAAGGTGAGTGAAGAACAACTGAAAACAATGAAGCGCATTTGTGGCTGGAGGTCATGTTCTGATGAATCCCGATCGGGGGAAGCCATGGCTGCTCTTGCAGTGATCAAGTGTCTGCCGCCTGGATTCTTTCCTGGCATGTCAGATTTGCAGCTTCCGAGAAAGTGCTACTGTCTTGCATGACAAAGTAATATTTGGCTCAAAGAAAACACTGCCAAACTGAGCAGCCAGTAAATTCTATGACAGCATTCACCATAATTCCCAAATGTAAACCAGATAGTAAAGTGTCGTTCATAACCAGCGGACTGTCAGAAATCAGAGAAATGTGGGAGTGGCCTGCAGAAGCTGATCTGCTGCCCCTACGGACACTGATGGCTTCCTTCATCGATGCAGACTGGGGAGAAGTGGGCGAGGTGTAGGCCCCAAGCAGTCCCAGGCTGAGAGCCCGGCACAGGACTGGAAATACTCATCAGGGTTCACAGGCTGTCTGGTCTTAAGGAAGTGACAGCATAAGCAGGAGCATGTCAGTAAATTCACAGCAAGACCCTGCATGCAATTCTATTTGCAAATGGACCCTCTCACTCTTGCATGACTGGCTCCAATAGAAGCAAAACTCAGGTCCATCCTAGAGCACATCCCAGGAGAAGTTTCTCTATGGGGGATGAGCTTCAAAAGTAATTGTAATTTAATTAGAAATTTAGATGTGAGTACCTGGTTTTTTTAGTGGGACTCTTTTTTTTTTCTTGGTAATTTATACATTAGCCGAGACGCTTTTCCTACTACACTGCCAGAAGTTAACTTCTAATAGAGTTCATACATTTTGTTCTCTCTCATGTTTTTTCTCCGTCACCTATTCTTCACACCTTTTAAATTTAAGAAGCATGTATGTATACATCTGTGCGTGTGTGTATATGTATCCTTGGCAGCAGTCCTCATTCCTTTGGTGATTACTAAACATTTGAGGACTGGTAAACTGTGAGGAATTGAACCTTGCTGGCTGAAAGGTAGAGGACCAGAGTCTGCCTTGTTCCCCTTATGCCTTCAGGGGCCCGGCAGGGTCTCCTGCTCCTGGGGCTCATCCTGCAAGAGGCGGCTGGTATCCAAGCAGCCCACCCCGATCGCCTCCTCAGGGAAGAGGGCAGGGCAGTTAGGAGGCAATGCTTCTCCATGGTGCTGGGAATCTCTGTGATATAAACCCGGTGGGATGGAGGAGATTATTTCAAATAATTGATATTTACTTGCATTGACCATGAAACCAACCCTTCACGAGCACCCTCTCTGGCCCAGGGCAGCACTGCGCCCCTCGGGTGGGAAAGCCGGTGTGGGAGAGTCCAACCCTGCAGGAAACGGCTTGGAGAAGCTCCCGCCTGGGACACTGAAGAAGTGAGCGAGGAGGAATGATGCGTCAGTTCAGTTCACCAGGAGAAACGTGGAAAGGCCAGTGTAGCGAGGAGAGCGTCACACAGTTGTGGAGATGTCAGCAGACACAGTGAGGGACCATGGATGCGGGGCTCCAGCCACCAGAGTGCAGGGTAGAGAGGAGCTGCACCTAGAAAGCCGTGGCACACGCAGCACCAGGAGGCCTGGGCATCACATCCACCGACCCGAGTTTCACTCTGCAGGGAGCAGAGGGGCCTTCACGTTTTTACATTAGAAAGGAGTCGGAGAACACGTTGGATTTCAGAATTTGAATGAAGGCAGCTAAGAGAGGAGATGCATGAGGGTGCAGTGGGATGGGGTGCACAGAGGCAGTTCCAGAGTTAATGCAAGCAAGCAAGGAGGAAGTCCGATCCAGGAAGGAGGTGCTGGGAATGCAGAGGAAACGGCAGACTCCGGAGATGCTTGGCGGAAAGCCCAGTGGAATCAGTGCCCTCCCAGTGCAGTGTGAGGACGGGGGACAGCAGTGTCTCCCCCATTTCAGGTTCTGAAGCCTGGCTTGTGGGCCTTGCAATTCACCGAGTTAAGGAGCAGAGAAGGAAAGGGGGGTTGTTTCTGTTTTTTGGAGTTTTGCTGGGAGCAAGGTTGGAGGAAATGAGGTAAGAAGTTCAACTTGAAGCCTGCTGAGTTTAAAGTATCTCTAGACCCTCTAGACAGAGGCGTCCAGGAGGGAGGTAGGAGCCATCCACCTCTGAGCGTTCACTGAAGCCGTTTGGTGTGAATGAAGTATCCCACCTCATGAGTTTGGAGGGGAAGAGAGCAGCAAAACTCCAATGTTGAGCAGAACAGGAATCAGGAAGGGGCCAGAGGAGTGAGGGGAAACGCAGGCGGGTCCGTGGCCACCAGAAGAGCCCATTCCAGGAGGGAGGGGGCAGCTGTGCTGGGGCCACAAGGGTCCCCAGGGCGGGGAGGGGCCCTCACAGCTGGGGATAGTGGCATTGCAGGCCCTTGAAGAAGAGTGTCAGGCCAGAAACCAGCTCACCATGGTTCAAGGTGTGAATGGGGGACAGGAAGTGGCTTTGGAATGTGTCCAGGTTCTTTTTGAATAGAGAAAAATTTCCTCCATGACCATGCTTCCTGAAAAGAGAATGAACCCACACTCTGGGATGTGAGGCCAGGAGAGTTGGCTTCACCGTCGGCTGGCCGTCCCCAAGTCCTGCCCCTTCTCCCGCTCCTGTCTGATGTGAGAGGTGTTGCCACTGCAGTGTATCCAAAGTTCCAGACATGCAGAGCCGCCCTCTGGCCATCGTCGGGGTCATGGATCCTTTAGGAGTGAGGAAGCGGGATGCGCTGGTGTGGAAGGCCTTTCATATGGTCGGGCGTGGACACAGAGAGAAAGCGCCAAACATCCTTGCGGCATTGCTCCTGCCTGGTGGAACAGCACATTCACAGTGAGACAAACACAGGTCATAATGAGAGCAGAAGACCACAACAGCCACATGACACGCGTACACACACACGCACACATATATATACACACACACATGCACACACACATACACGCACACATATACACACATACACGCACATATACACATGGACACGCGCACACGTTTACACACATGCAGATATACACATGCACACACACGTACACACGCACACATATATACACGGACACATACACATAACGCACATATACACACACATGCACACACGCACACATACACACACACATACACATGGACACGCGCACACGTTTACACACATGCAGATATACACATGCACACACACGTACACACATGCACATATATACACACGGACACATACACATAACACACATATACACATGCACATGCACACACGCACACATGTACACACATGCACATATACACATGTACACACATACACGCACATATACACATGCACACATATACACACATTCTTGCACAAAAATCTCACAAGAACATCACGGGTGAAGCTTTCTAGGAATAATCTTACTAATATTACGAAGCTGACCACCCAGGCTGTGACGGGTAAATCGCAATATGGATATTCCAACCGCAAAGAAAGCAAGAATGTACCGTGATCAGCGCAGACCCACCCCGGGTCTCTAGTTTCCCTCTCCCAGTAATGCTCCTTGTTCCTAATGAACCGCGTGCATCTTTGGTGTCTGCGCTGCTGCCGCTACACCTTTGTGAACACCAAATGCGCAGGAAGCGTATCGGGAGCAGCACGGCTGCACTCAGTTGTTGCCTTCTATTTCGTGGATGAAAACTGCTATTGATTTCTCTTTTAACAAGTGCTGTTGGGAAGAACCAGTGTTCTGGAGGCTGTTTTCGCCCATGTCATGAGAACAGGGCGCCAGCTGAGTCACTTCTCTGGAATGGACTTTAATGTCACTTGGTTTCCTCTCACCCAGGACCCGGGCTTCATGTCTGGACAAATGAGCCATGCATTATCTTTCCACCAGACTAAAGAAAGATCAGTTTCTTGTGGTTTGTTGTTCTTTTTTTAATTGCGGATGTGTGTTCAGCATTCGCCCAAATAATCATTCCAAACCGGGGAGTCTTGGGGGAGTGCAGGATGTCCAGATAGCACCAGCCCTTTGTTAACTGGAGAGACGACAGACAATAACCCCGGCGTGGTGAAACCCGGCCCACACGTCCCGCCCGCCCCAGAGCCAATGCTAGGGCCATCAGGTGGCCCTGGTAGCCAGTGGTTCCAGGACCAGCATCAGACACTCGGTGTTACTGTGGACAGTAGCTTTGTACAAGTTCCTAGCGAGGTGATTTCCAAAATATTAGATACCTTTAAAGACAGAGATGAGGAAGACTGAATTGGGATCTGGCTTTTACTGTCCGCCATTTAACCTTCCTCACACCAAGCTTCAAGGCAACAGGGAGCGTGAGACATCCGTGAGCAAGAAGCCAGGCTGCTCAGCCACTCGTGGGCCACGTCCCCTGTCCCCTCGCAGGGCTTGCAGTTATCACACTCAAAGTTAGCCCAGGTTGTTCTCTAGGCGTTGTTGCCAAGCTCATAATTCCACATGTTCACGGTCAAATGTATGTTTAGATACCTTAAGTTGCTGCTAACATCCTGAGGGTAGCTTCTGGCTGTAAACAAACATAATTCTGATCACTGTGAGACTCATTCTGTTCTTGGACAGCCCCTTGGGGTTCAGTGACATGGACTCCAAGTTCACCATCTGATGTATGGGCTTCTGCCACTGGTGCTGTCATCTGGCACCTTCCTAAAACCTTCCCATTCGTACATGACCCCCAGCACCTGTTCTTTTTCTCCCGTAGCTTTCCTTTTCTTCTTGGCGTCAAATTCGAAGCCACTTTCATACCCTTTTGTTTTCTTCACGACAAAATATGTTACTGATGTTACTGTTATATCAGCTTGGTTTGTTCAGAAATCAAAACAGTGACATCTTTCTTCCATCTGGTGGAAAGATCATCAGAACCCAGCTAGGTGGTATCAGTGAATATTTCCATTTCCCAAATAAAGAAACTGAGGCTCAGGGAAGGGCAGTGACTTGCCTGTGGTCATAGAACTGGCAGAGCTGGGATTCAACCCCGGTAGCACTTCAAATCTGGTACTCTTCCTTCTTGACTGCACGGGGCTCCAAATCACGTGAATCTGTGTTTAACTGATCAGTGTTAAATCACTTCGGTTTGTTCACAAACCAAATGGCCACCATTCTGCCCTTTTCTCCTCTCAGCTGCCTTCTTCTCGATGCTCTTAAGCCCTCACTCACGGCCTGTGGGGTTACTGCAGGGACTTCTACCACCGTCTCCCACGTCCCATCTCAGCTCCTATCTGTGGTCAGCACCCAGGCCTCCCTACAGGTCTTCTCAGCCACGACAGCCTTCTCCCAAGGAACCTGGGCCTCTGCGAAGCGGCCTCCTGATTCCCCACAACTCCCCTGGAACACAAAGCTCGTCTTCTCCAAGGTCCAGCTAAACCCTGCTTCAGAATATGCTTAAACAGCCAACCTTTTTAGCATGCAGAACTCCACAGCTGTTTAGAAAATCTTCCTAATGCAGCCTGTTTTCAACAACGAATCTGTTCAGAGAAGGTAGAGAAAGCATAGGTTATGTCTAAATATTTCCCTGGAGTGTGTTACTACTTCAGAGTATTAGCCTGCAGCTCCAGGGGCCTCCTCTGCATACCTTTTGACCAGCATTGCTAAAAAGTAACAGAAATGGCTTGTTTGGGTTTCACCTTCTTTTTCTACCCATCACTCTTTAGCAGGGAGGGGGATTAATGAGCCGTGAAATGGCTACATTTGAGCAGGGTAGGGTTAAAGCAGAGAAGCCATGTTCTTAAATCACCTCTGCAGGACTGTGGCTGGCTTGGTTTTGTACGGATTTCCATGAACCCCAGGCATACATTGTTTATTTTTGTAGACAATTTGTCCATCTGCTTTTGGCTTAATTATCGCTTCAGGAAGATCAGTGGAAAAGATGTATTCAGAGTCCAAGGTCATGTCTGTTCCTCAAGGGAAGTCTGTGTGGATGACAATGCCCTATGGAACTCTTTTGAAAAGCCCCATATGACTCTTCTCTTTCATATACCAGCCAAATGGCCCAAACCTCTCTGTGCCTCAGTTTCCTCACCATAAAATGGGTACAATGACAGTACCTACCTCGTAGAGGTTTGTGAGGACTACATAGGCTGACTGTTGGAAAGTGCTCCGAACAGTGAACAGTCTAGAGTAAAAATGTCAGCTGCTGTTCTAGCTTAGTCCCAACCAGGGGTCAAAGCTAATAACCTGAAACACTCTCTTGTGGACCCTCTGCAATGGGCTGGGCCTAACAGGTCCGCCAATACACAAATTTGGAACACTTTCCTTTAAGCAAGTCAAAGGGAAGGGAATTGTCCAACCAATCAGTGATTGAGTTTGTTCCACCACCCTGTAGAAAGGAAAATGGAATTCGATGTGCTCTTTCGACATCTTTGGAACTCTGCAGTCAGGACTTTCCCCATGGGAGGTGAGCTCCCCGTGACAAATGAGGGAGCTGCCCTCTCTCCCACTGAGATGAGTCATTGTAACCCAAAACAATCTCAAAATCTTTGACATCACTGCCGCTTGCAAATCTGTGCCTCCAGCCAAGGGCCGGTGGATGCTACTGCCTGCCACCTCGTGTTCACCACCAGAACTGCACGTCACTCCGAATCTGCTGACCTCATACCCTGGCATAGAAACAGTAAAAAGACCAAACAAAAACGTGTCTTTTTTGGACCCAAGGTTGAAATCTGATTTTAAAACAGAGACATTCAGTAAGCATTAAACATCTTCCTTTTATAGCTTTCTCACAGACCTACATTGACAAACTCACCCCTTCCCTCCATAACCTTTACGCCCCTGAGTCACAGTAGTTGCCCTGAATTGCTTACGCAGGTCTGGCTTATCACCGACAGTTGTCCTCAAAACACTTGGTTCAAATGTTACCAGAACTAAATTTGGAGGAGGGAGTCCTGGCATTCCAGAGCCCTTGCCTCATTTTCTAGCGCGATCCCAGCAGATGGTCTGATGTATCTCATCAGATGCTGAGCGCGGGCCTCACTGGCCCAGCCCTCCTTTCCACAAGTCTGGTGGTCTCCTTTTTTATGACTCCACTTGAGAGGCCTGGGAAACATTCTCCCTGATAATGCAGGTGATAAAACCAGATCATCTGGTGGAACGAACAATCAGAAATTCCACTGGGCGGGCACAGGGCTTGGAGAAGAGTTGAGATTGCGGATGATGTTTTCCGGTAGATGAAGGTGACTGAAGGAATTGAATGGAGGGTGGAGGGGACTAAAGGAGAGGGTGAAGTCCTCCACAGCATGACCCACTGCTGCTCGGCATCAGAAATTGGGAAGTCATTATAATGGTCAGAAACGTGGTCTAAAAATAGAAGATTCCATGTGGGAAGAACATGAATTTCGGAGCCAGGCAGAGGGGGTAAATAGCAGTGCCATAACGCATGTGTTTAACAGACAGCACATGGAGTGTGTTCTGTGTGTCAAATCCTGCAAGAGATGCCGGGGACAGAGTGTGAATGAGGCATGGTCCCTACCTCCAAGGGCCTCGCGGTCTCACGTGAAATGTGGGTACAGAGATGTAGTATGGCAGTGCCCTGCAGTGTGCCATGGGGAAGAAGCCCCGGCCGCCTCCTCCAGTTGTGAGGAGGGGAAGATGCCCCCAGAGAGCCCATGCTTGAGTCACATCCTCTAGTGACCCTGAGAGCCTCAGGCAGCGAGGGCTGCGTGTGCCATGGCCCTGAGGTTCCAGAGAAACTGGCCCAACCGCTAGGCACTCAGTTAGACTGGAGAGTGCAGTGCACTGTGCCAGCGTGGGAAGGGGTGTGCCAGGGCAGTGGGGGACAAAAAAACGCAAAGGCTATGGCGGGGTGGCTCGCAGAGCCTGCAGAGCTGACACAGTGGCTTGGGGGCAAGGCAGACAGGTCTCTCAGAGGCCCCCTTACCTTTGCTTCACAAATGAGACATGAGCCAGCAGTGCTTGGCGGTGGTGAGCAGCCGGGACTGTGATGTGGGACCCTCAGCATGTGGGACCCTCAGGGCTTGGGGAACGGTATTGCTGCATGCAGAGCACCACTGGGTCCAGGTGCTGTGGGTGAGAGGCTCATCTCTCTGGGCTGCCCCCTCACCTGTCTACGTGAGAATTAGACACACTCCATGGCTCCCAAACCTGCCTGTGAATCTTAAGTGCTTGGGGGCCTTGCTGAAAACATCAACTCCTGACTGGGCAGTGGCTCATGCCTGTAACCCCAGCACTTTGGGAGGCTGAGGCAGGAGGATGACTTGAGCCCGGGAGTTTGAGGCTGCAGTGAGCTATGACTGTGCCACTGCAGTCCAGCCGGGCAACAGCAAAACCCTGACTCAAAAGATATGTATTCCATATATATAAATTCCCTGTCCTTTTGTGGGTCATCAGCATGATGCTGGGGCGTTCACACTCGTGTGAGACATGCCTCTCTCAAACCTTGTTAAGATGTCAGCACATGACCCATCTCACATGAAAAAATTAAAAAGAAAAAAACAAGGAAAAAGAAAAATACATATATAAATTCTTCCCAGGCTCCTTCCCTTGACTCCCAAACTGCTAGACCAGAAAATTCACAAGGTCTGAGACTCCCCGTTGTTGGTACTTTGGCGGCCAGCCCAGGCCAGTCCTGGGACAGGGACCACTTCAGAACGATCACCCGGAACCCTGTTAAAATCCAGGACAGGAGAGGGCCCAAGTGCCCTGCCTGATTGCTAATGAGCCCCCAGGTGACTCTCACGCTGCCGACCCCCCCGATCTCTCTCAGATGCCCCAGATGCTCTCTGAGGTCCCTTCCAAGTCCAACATCTTATGAAGCCTTTGGGAAAATAATCAGTTACCAATGGCAAAAAGCAGAGATGTAAATGTGAAAAGTGATATTATATTGGTCTAATTTCAAATGGCTATCACTGTCTATAATCTGTAAGACTCTTGCTAGGGAATGAGGCTTGTGTTTGCGTATTAAGCAAGACAAAGGTTGTTTTTGTATCATAATGTATGAGAAGGAAATATTCTTTTATCCAAAATAAAATGAATCCATACTCTAGGTAAGAACTTTGGAGCCGTGTTTCTCTTTAGTTTCTGTATGGTAGAATTTTTTTTGTTAATTATCTTTTTCCCCTGTCTTTCTGTAGCAGCAGCACTCTGGGGGAATCTCAGATGCATTGTGCTAAGTGAAAGGAGCCAGGCTCAAGACTCCACACTGCGTGGTTCTATTTCTGTGAGTGTCTAGAAAAGGCAAACTACATGGAGGGAGAAACATGAGGGTTGGACCGAGGTTTGGAGAAGGGAGCATTTGATAACAAAGGGGCAACACCCAGAATGTTGGGTGATATGGAGCTTTGCTGTCTCTTGCTGATAGTGGTGGTTACACAACTCTGTTATTTGTTGTGTCTGTTAATGACACACCAAATAACACACCAAAAAAAGTGAATTTTATTGTATGTAAATTAAAAGATAAAATTTTTTTAAAGGAGTAAGAAAATGAAGTCAAAATAAAATTAACAGTTAACTAGGCAGTAGCCAAAGGAGGAGAAGGACAATGGTGGTTATCAAGCATTTTGTAACAACAGAAAAGGTGGAGTTCTATTTAAAGCATGTCCTATTCAGGAACATTTCAAATAAAGATAAGAGGGGAAAAAAGCTGTGCATCACAGCCAGTTCAAACCCCCTCCCCATGCCCACTGCCCCACTTTTGGCTCGTAACCTTTTTTCTTACTTGGCCAATGTGGTGTGTGTTTGTATTATCGTAGCGGAACCAACTCAATATAATGCTAACTTAAAGAATTTTTTTTTCTCTCATATATATAGACCGCTTTTCAGTCTAAATGCAAAATAGATATAACTCTTGGTCCTGTCCCTGGGCTGTGCCACAGATCCTGAGCAGTCACCCTGGAAGACAGGCGGCCTGCTTGCTCAACTCACCGGGAGCCCGCCTTTGGAAGGCCACCCACACGCCTTTCCTCTCTGCTTCCACCTGGGGCAGACTCTGCAGGGCTGTTAGCTGCTTACTACCTGCAGAGGCCCCATGGGGTAATGACAGTCACATGGCACAATGGGAACACACCATCTCAGCCATGAGTCATGCCATGCTCTTGGGTGTGAAGATGACCTAAGAATACCAGGAAAATATTGGCACGTGCCATTGGCACATGAAAATTAGTAACCTGCGCCTGTGAGTGAGGTCGTAAGTATAGACAATTAGCTCTTTTAATTGCCAATCATCGTGTGATCCTGGTAGCTCAGTAGTTGCCGCCTATGCTAATTGTCACTCTCTAACCGTGTAAGTGGAGGCCACCAGCACAGCATCCGTAACCTCTTCATGACATCCAGGCTGCATGAGGGTGATGCTCTGAGCATTGACACATTGCATGTCAGCAGTGCTAAATTAGAAAGAGCGTTTCATACCCATTCGCGGCCTGACAGCCAAAGCTCTCTGCATGCTGCCTGCAGCTCCAGAATCTGCTTCCTCCTGGCCCTTTCCTCAGGTGCAGTCTGGGCTCTCAGGGCCCTGAACTCATCCACAATCAGACTCCAAGTCTTCTTAGAGGACAAGCAGGCTTAGGAAATCACATCAGTCTATTACACAATGATTCACATTTAGACAAATGAAATGCATTTATTGCTAAAAGCACAGAGGTAATAAAAGGCTTTCCCAGAAAATCAACTTTTCCAACACATGCCAGGCAAAATCATATCCAGAATATAAAAAGTTTGGGCTAAAAGCCATTGAGCACAACCACCCATGTGCTGCCTATTTTTAGAATAAGGAGCAGGGGTTTTCAGACACTGATACTATGGGTGGGGAAGAGGAGATCATCCACTTTTTCTCTGCTTTAAAATGTACATCTACCCCAGTCAAATCATTTCAGATAAAACTATATAATAGCATCTTAGAATTATAGGTGGTACCTTCTGGGATTTGAAAATTTGTCTATAGAGATAAAGCATGACAGAAACCAGTGGCTTCCCAGACTTCGCCTTCACTCCTGAATCTAATTCGGTCCTGACCCACTTTCAGTTCTGCTGCCCTGTGGGCTGTGTCCCAGACAGTTTTCGAAATTTCTGTCAGTATCACCATCAGACAGACCAGATTCCATACAAGGAAAGCTAGGTCTTGGTTTCTTCAGATTATTTCCCTGGCAGACTTTTCTTTTTTTTTTTTTTGAGACAGAGTCTCACTCTGTTGCCAGGCTGGAGTGCAGTGGCACGATCTTGGCTCACTGCAAGCTCCGCCTCCTGGGTTCACGCCATTCTTCTGCCTCAACCTCCCGAGTAGCTGGGGCTACAGGAGCCCACCACCACGCCTGGCTCATTTTTGTATTTTTAGTAGAGGCAAGGTTTCACCATGTTGGCCAGTGATCCGCCTGCCTCAGCCTCCCAAAGTGCTGGGATTACAGGCATGAGCCATCCCGCCCAGCCCCTGGCAGACATTTTTAAAAAGCATTCGGCTAAGTGTTTTTTTCCAAATGTCACTTTAAAGGTGTAGACTCTCCTTCCTTTTCGAACTGTTCTCTATCACATAAGCTCATTTGCAGGAAAACCTGGAAGGGACATAATCTCGGTCGCCGGGCAACATGCCTGTGATGTCACAGCTTGTCTTCTTCATCTTTGCCTTTACTCAGCTCCTCTTTTGTTTGTTTGTTTTTAGGTCAAGGTTATTGAGGCATAATTGACATGCAAGTCATTGAATATTGACAAATGTATACAGCGATAGAACCACCAGAATCATGCTATGGAGAAGGTCCATTACCCCAGAAACTTTCCTTGTGCCCTCTCAGTTAGTCCCTCCCCTCCACCTCCAGTCCTGGCAGCCACTCATCTGTTTTCTGTCTTTAGTTTCGCCTTTTCTAGAATGTCATAAAAATAGCATCAGACAGTAAGTAGCATTTTGTGTCTGGCTTCCTTCACATAGCAGAATGCCTTTGAGATTCAGCCTCAACTGCTGCACACATCGGGCATTTTGTTCATTTTTATTGCCAAATAGCAATCCCAGGAGTGAGCTAATTTAATAAAACCAGGATGAACATTCTCATACAGGTCTCGGTGTGGATATAGGCCTTCGTTTCTCTTAGGTATATACCTAGGAGTGGGATTGTTGGGTCCTGTGAACTTTAGAAGAAATTGCCAAACTGTCTTCCAAAGAGGCTGCACCCTTTTGCGTTCCTGCCGGCAGCCCATGGAATTCGAGGTGCCATCCTTCCCAGCTCTTGGCGTGGCCACCTTTTTCTGTGTATGTTCACCATTTGAGTCCATCACAGTTATATCTCTCTGTGGATTTAATTTGCTTTTCCCTAATGACCACTGAAGTTTAGCATCTTTTCATGTGTACAACTTATTTGGTGCAGTGTCTGCTCAAATCTTTTGCCAAATTTTGCAGTTGGATTGTTCATATCTTTAGTATTGAGTTTTGAGAGTTCTTTATATGTTCCGGAAGAAGTTGTTTATCAGATATGTGTTTTGCAAATATGTCTCCCAGTCTGTCCCCTGCCTTTTTATTTTTAACTGTATCTTTTGACAATCAAACTTTTTAAATCTAGCTAACTTTTTCTTTTATAGGTTGTAATCTTTGTGTCTTATCTAAGAAAGCTTTGCCTAATCCAAAGTCACAAAGATTTTCCCCTGTGTTTTCTTCTAGAAGCGATACAGCTTTAGCTCTTACATTTAGGTCCATTTGGAGTAAATGTCTGTATATCAAGTGACATAAAGGTGAAGGTGTGTTTCTTTACATGTGGATGTTACTTACTTTGTATTGACATTAGTGCTACAGTCTGCATCACATAATTTTGGAGGGCAGAAATTCCAAGGGTCCATATAGTTCTACCTCATATAACTGAAATTCTTAATAAAGAATAGTACCCAGGGGTGGGACAAATGTTTTATATACTAAATAAGGAGACAGAGATAGAAAGTGTCCAACTTAACCTCAGCTCTGTGTTGCATGGAATAGGCTGCTGATAGTTATCTGTGTAATATACTGTACAAATACTAGCCTTTACATTATTGTTACCTTGGAACATGCTACTAATTTCATCTTGCCAGGGTAGTCTAAAAATTGCTCAGAAATGCTAACTGACCATCCTCAAAATCAACGAATATTTCTAAATTTTGGCCGGTGGAATTATTTTTCTAGAGCCTAAAAAGTAGTCCTTTCCACCTTTTGGGACATTTTACGTATTTGAAATGTGTGGCAAAGAGCTCACAGAAATTAACTAGGTCTTAGGTTGGAATCCCCGGAGGATCACCAGGAATTGCAGCCTTGGACAGGCCTTGAAGGTCTGGAACACACTGCGGAAGGGAGGGAGGGTCCGCCCTGGGGAATGGAGAGGATATGGGCGTCTGCTGGGCGCCAGTGCCCATAAAAGGTGAGACAGGAAGAGTCCGCTTAGGAAGGAGAAGGGATTTCCTACTATTCAGATTTCGGCTGGTAAGTCATGAAAAGCTCATTCTTATTCTACCAGTAAAATACTGTACTGTAGATTAAAAATCCTGATGTGTAGTGAAGCCAGTTTTATCCTGGGCAACACTGTTTTTATCCTTCTCTGATAAATGAAACTCTTTCTACTCCCTTACCCAGGGAATATTTTAAGGTTAATGAACAATGAATGGAAACCACAGGGTTGTGTGATGTGGGGCCCTGATGCGTCATCCATCTGTCCACCTTTGTTTAAGTCTGAAGCTGTAGGGCTACACTGCGTGTGCCCGTATCTGATCATCTTTTGCCTCTTTTCTCAGAAGTGAAATTCCCCAATTGATGAATGCGGGAGTGTCGGGACCCTGAGCGCATTCTCTCCACGGTCGTGGTATTTGAGTAATGTGGGTTCAAGTCTGGATTTGTTGCCTTTTCAGACTGCAGCTTCCAAAACCAGCCCGGATGGCCCATGTGCGCACCAGCCATGACTTCAGAGAGGGAAAACAATGGGCAGCCCCCGCGCCCCGTCCTCACGATAGTCAAAATGGAGTCTGTCTTGTAGATATCACTGAAGTATAAGGCCAAGACTGATTGAATTAGAGATAATATTTAACCCACATAAATACTCTTATGTTCCTCTGCATGACCCAGTAAGCCAGACCTTTCTACTGAGCCCCAACTCCATGCTTAAGAGGTTTTTCTTATTGAAAGTCACCTATCTCTTCCCTCAGGAATGCCAGGATGGGGGTTATGGTGGTCTCGTGCATTGGTTCTCAAACTGTTATGTACCAAGGAGTATCCTGGGGATCAGTTCAAATGCAGATTCAGGAGTTCTGGGGCCAGGCCTGAGACTCTGCATTTATAGCAAGCCCCCAGGTGACGCCGACACAGACCTCCCTTGGAGCAGTAAGGGCCTGGTGGAGTCAGCCAGCTCCCCAGATCTGAGTGCACCCCGGCCAGCCCTGACACTGGTCCCATCTGAGCCCCTGTCCTCTCTCCTCTCCACTGGAGTTCGTGTCACTACATGCAGTTGCCGTGGGGACAAAATGAGAGAAACCATATTTAAAACTTGTAACAACGCATCATCTCAAAAGATAGAAGCAGTTCAACGATACTGTTCATTATCCTGTTTCTTAGGAAATAGTACCTCTACATGGTCTGGTGGTGGGAGCAGGGCGGGGGGCAGGGGACATGACATTACCACTCCTGTCCACAGCGTCTCCTGGCTTCTGAGTACTTTGTGGAAATATTTTTCTCAAGGATGTTGGAGGAATATTAGGAGCTTTAGAAATTTAGGAGCTTTTGAGATTTATGCAAAGACATTTAAACTAGACTCTTTTCACTTTCTGGGAGTAATTTTTATTTTTAATGTCACTTATCACAAAAGGAAAGAAAGAGATGAAAATAACTTTTCCTGTCGGGACTTTTTGACTGAGGATGGAAGTTGATAAGGACGATGATTAGCACAGAGGAAAACCCTTGGCATGTACCTGGTCCTCCCAGCTGCTCTTTATAGATGCACCACACTTCCTTAGTGGGCAGGAAATCCTGGGGAGAAGCTCCATCCTGATGACCAAAGCGTGGCCTCCTCGGGCCATGCTGTAAATGTCCATTTAATCCCAGCAAGGCAGGCTTTACATTGTGCACAGCGGAGAGGGATCCATCTGGGAGGACTAAGGTCTAACTCACATTCTGCCCAGGCTCTTCCTGGCCCTCTCTCAGCGGGGAAGCTGGATGGAATTCTGTGAAATGTTCCATCTCATCAGAAGCTCAGGATGGACTGTTTAGAAGTGATGCCATCTTGACACTTACTAGAATGGCTATAGCCCAAAAAATGGAAAATCACAGGTATTGGTGAGGATACAGAGGAATTGGAACCTTTGTGCATTGCTGGTGGGAATGTAAAAGGGTGCAGTCAGTGTGGAAAAAGAAATTTAGCAATACCTCAAATATGTGATACTCGTGCACACATATTTACAGCAGCACTATTTAGCAATTCCACTCCTAGGAACACACCCAAAAGAATTCAGAACAGAGACTCAAGTAGTCACTCACACACACATATTCACAGCAGCGCTATCCACAGTAGCCAAAAGGTAGAGACACCCCAGATGTCCACGAACAAATGAATGAACCCATTGTGGTCTATCCGTACAGTGGAATATTATTCAGCCATCAGTGAATGAGGTAATGAACCCCAAAAACATGATCACTAAAAGAAGCCAGACACAAAAAGTCACACATCGTATGACTGATTCTATTTATTGGTAAATCCGTAGAGACAGAAAGCAGAGTGATGGTTGCCAGGGGCTGGGAGGAAAGGGAATGGGGAGTGATTGATTAATGGGTTTGGGGCTTCCTTTTGGGGTGAGGAAAATGTTTGGGAACTAGATAGAGGTGGTGGTCACACAACATGGTGAATGCACTGAAAGGCACCGAGTTGTATCCTTTAAAATGGTTAGCTTTATGCTATGTGAATTTCACTTCAGTAAAAAGAAAAGTTTACAGCATACTCCAGGAAAGGAAAGACTAGAGTTTTTCATTCCAAAGTCAGACTCCCTAACCAAGAAATAAAGATGAGAAAGGGGTTTACTGACAGTGAAAGGAAAATGAGTTCATGATGTGGTTAGCCACTTTCCCCCATCAAAGGGAATTGAGGAAGGGTTGACGAATGCAGATAAGAATGTGGTTTTCATCAATAAGACGTGCATATTTCCATTTTGGTTAGTAGCAGATGTTCCCTTTGAGTTGACTGTATGAAATAATCCCCCTGGTCACTGCTGCTTGTTTGGTTGGCTAAAAAATAATAATAATCCCACTGGATAGATATGTAGTTTATGGGCAATAAAGCGACAGTCCTGATAAGAAACATTTTATCCCCCAGAAGACAGCCGGCAGACACTAACAAACCGCAGGCCTCAACATAGTGAGGGGAGCGTAGAGCTTCGTGGCATGGTATGTAATCTTAAGAAGGTTATAGTCTAGCATAGCCACAAACTAAACAAAATTGAGCACCACTGGGAAGGATCCACAAAAGTCGGAATCAAAACATAGTTTGTTCCCAAACTTAACAACAAATGTCGTGTAGGAAACCACTAAGCATTGGAGATAGAATGAGTCTGGGATATCGTGCGTCCAGGGCCAGGGCCACCCATCTTCCATGAGTCTCCTCGCCTAGGTAGAAACACAGTGGCAATAGCTTCTATTGTAGAATGTTCTCCAAAGACACTAAAGTGCACAAGCTTCACCACGACTTAGGAGGCCTGAAATTAGGCTGCCCGAGGTGAGTACTGATGTGGCATTGACAGGACCCCTCTGGGACACGTGGAGGGCAGAGGAGAACCCACTGTCTCTAAAACTCTGACTTCGGTCCAGACCAGGTTACCCTGAGGGAGATTTCCCAGCTCCCCTTGGTTTGAGGGGACAGGGGTCCCAAGATTCGGGATACATCATCTTCCATCCACAGCCTTAATCTGCATGGATAGCTTCCACCCCAAAAAATCATCTTAACTACTTCCCGTGATGCCTGGGGCCTAACATCTCAAGGAATTGCCAGTTAGGAACAGTAATGAATTTGGAGGTGAGATCTTCCCACACCCCTCCATGCTACTGCCTCAATGACATTAACACTGTACCCTGGGCTGCGTTTTTAAATTCCCATTTCACTTCAACTGTGTGGATTGCTGAGAATGGCATTATGAACATTCTGTGAAGACAGACACGTCTCAGCTGAACAGTTTACCTAGGAAGTTACCTAGAGGCAACAGAAGAAAAGCCTAGAAAAATGGCTCAAGTTCCCCCCTCAATCTCAGGGCAAGACAGGAATTTGACATTTCACAGCAAATGGGGCTTGGCAAGTAAAGGTGCCGTGTGATGAATCAACAGCAGACTCATTCGTCTCAAGAGGAAATTAGGACATACGTTTTTTTAAGTTTGGGCTAGCCTGTGAAATGTTAAAATATAACTATAATACAATAGTTAGTTCCAGCCATAGGAGAGATAGAACTTCCCCTCCCCTCCTTTCTCATTTTTAAAACATTTTTATTGTGGTAAATTTATTTTTAATTTTTTTAATGTAACATTTTAAAATTTTTCTTGTATTAGAAATATGCATATGTCCTCGCTTATGAGTGGGAGCTGAACAATGTGAACACATGGACACAGGGAGGGAAACAACACACCCGGGGCCTGTGGGTGGGTCGGGGGGAGGGAGAGCATCAGGACAAATAGCAAATACGTGCTGGGCTTAACACCTAGGTGATGGGTTGATACTTTATTGTATTAAGTTCCAGGGTACTAATAAAATAAAATAAATGCATAACATCGAAATTACCTTTTGAGTCATATTGGCGTGTCTGATTCAGTGGCATTAAGTTCTTTCACGTTGTTGTGCAACCTTCACCACCAATCCATCTCCAGAACTTTCTCATCTTCCCAAACCGAAGCTCTGTCCCCATGAAAACACTGCCTCCCCCTGTCCCTCTCTGCCCGGCCCCTGGCAGCCCTCATTCTACTGTCTGTCTCCATGGATTTGAGCGTGCTAGGGACTGCATATAAGGGGCCTCTATACAGGAGTTGTCGTTTTGTGACTGGCTCATTTCACTCAGCACAGAGTCCTCAAGGTTCTTCCGTGTCACAGCCTAGGTGACTGCTTCCTTCCTCTTTAAAGGCTGAGTCCTATTCCATTGTGTGGGTGTCTACCCATTGTTGGACACTTGAGTGGTTTCCACCTTTTGGCTGTTGTGAATCACGCTGCTGTGCGTGTAAGTGTACCAAAGCTAGCCCCTGCTTTCTGTATGCCCAGAAGTGGAATCGTGGGATCCCGTAGTGATTCTCTTTTTTTAATGTGTTAAGGAGCCGCCAGAGTGTTTTCCAAAGCACCTGCACCATTTCACATGCCCACCAGCAGCGCACGGAGATTCTGATTTCTCCACATCCTCACCAATACTTATAACTTTTTTTAATAACAGCCATCCTATTTAGTGTGGACAAACATTTTTATATGTTTCAGAAGCTCTTTTTTTTCCCTCTATGTGAACAAAAGGAGAGATTAACCACTTAAACATCTGAGGGTCTTTTTGATATTTGAATGCAATACACATTTCCACAGTTACTGGATGCATTATATTGAGGAAAATAGAGATAAAATTGTAGAAATTCATTTGGAAAATTTTTTATACTGAAATGACCTTAAAAAGAACCCAAATAAGTTAATTCTTTCATCCCAACCCAGTATTATCATTTCACAATGACATGACTTTAGTAATTTAGGATAATTTTTTTCTCACATTCCATATTTTCTCTTCTTAAACTCTATGACTTCTTTTGTTAGCTATCATGGCAGTAGATGATAGTTTACATATAATGTTCCCTGTAGATTATAGCTCTTTAAAAACAAAAAAAAAAATGTAGTTTTGAAAGTAACCGTAACTGATCATGAGTATGTATTGTGATTAATCGTGGAAATTGAACCTTTGTTGTTCCCACAGGGTCAGCCTGGGCCAGTGGGCCCCCAGGGGTACAATGGGCCACCAGGATTACAAGGATTCCCGGGACTGCAGGGACGTAAAGGAGACAAGGGTGAAAGGGGAGCCCCCGGAGTAACGGGACCCAAGGGCGACGTGGTACGCACCGCTGGTGTATTCCCCTGGCCTCATGAGGGTGGCGGGTATCTCAGCCTTGGTTAATTGCATTTGCTTTCTTCATAGGGAGCAAGAGGCGTTTCTGGATTCCCTGGTGCCGATGGAATTCCTGTAAGTTTTATGGAAGACTGGAATTTTAAAACATTGCGTGCATCCTAGGCAATACATTTTGTGACTTAAAGAAACATTTTGAATGAGACCTCCTTTTTTGTTTATGACATAAAACACGTGGGGACTATACGTGCGTATTCTCCCCGCGGAATTCAGTCAGACAGTGAACAAATTGTTTGCTTTGTAAACGTCCTTATAGACTTGGCTTCAGAATTGAGACGATTTTGCTAAACTGCACATTGTTTGGTAATAAAAAGCTAGAGTGCTGTCCAGATACTCGCCCTAAAGAGCCAGTCTTGTGATCTCGTTCGAACTATAGAGCAACCTGCATATAAAGTCGTTCAGCCAAGAGCATGGGCAGAATGAAGCCCTGCTGAGCATTTGTGCAGCTTCTCAAGTTCTTTACAGCAACCTCACATAAAACGAAAAACAAAAGGCATGGTTTGTTCATGAGAAAAATCTCAAAATGCAATAAAATGTGTTTTTATAACCTAGTTTACTTTACTTCTCGTGGCATAAAAAAATAAACAAAACAGCCTGACTCACAGCCTTCTTCACAGGGACCCACGAGCAGATTTCCCAGGGTTGGCTTCCTGGCCAGACCTGACCTCAGGGATCAATGTGTTTATCGCACGTTCTGACCCACCTCCCATCCGGCTACTGCTGTGGTTCTGAGACATCTGCTTCACAAACCTCACACATATACACAGATGTGTGTGCCCGTGTCCTGCAGAGGCAGGTTCTGTATCACCACACACGCACACGCACAGGGAGAGAGACTCCATTCCCAGGCTGCACGAGTAGGGCCATGCCTTGCAGAAGAGAAGGAGGGAATGAGTGAGTGGAGGGCAGTGCCAGAGAACTCATGCGTTTCCATGAGATCTTTAGTCCCACCGTCGAGGAGACATCCGCAGAGCAGAAGGAGACAGTCAGGGCAAAATAAAGGAAGTCACATTTGCCAAGACAAGAGCTGCAAGCCAGTGATCTCGGGGCTACCTGAATGGTAGGCTCAAACAGGCACTTGGGTTTACCACATGGCCCTGAACAAATAAGGAAATAATGTTCACATCAGTCAGAATCTTGAGAAATGGACAGAAATGAAGAATCTGCACAACCCAAAGATTAAACAAATTAGGAAAGTATTTTCATACTAATGGCCTGAATCTAAATCACCCATTTTTAAACTACTCTTTTGAACTCTTTGGAGTGTCTTTCAGTTTTGTCTCCAGCTGAAATCTGAGTTAAAATGGAATGACATTATGGAAAGCAATTGCAACTCATCTGTACCAAGTTTCCTTCATGTTTCCACTTTACACTCACTTAATATCAGAGGCAGATGTCTCACAAACTAGGGAAGAAGTAATCATAATTTGGAGGAATGATTGTGGTGAGCAGGTGAAGACCATTTTCTACTGAACCTGCTGCTCAAAGGATCCAGTCTCTTAACCGCAGAACTCTGATACTACAAATTAAGTTAACATAAATATCACCTGCCATAAGTAATCAGTTAACAAATGTAGAGTTTGAAGGACCTGGATCATTTTAGCTGATTAGAAGTTATATATAAGAAGCGATATGCAGTAAAATCTTAGAGGAGTGGTCTCATATAGCAGTGAATCTAATTTGATGCTGAGCAGAGACAGACATTTAGCTCAATATAACTGAAATTTTTCTTTGAAGCACAATTTCAGACTCAGATTAGATTGACATGCAATTTCAAATAGATCAGTTCTAAGCAAGTAAGAAAGACCAACGGCAGACAAATAATAGAGAAAAATTTAAACATTACAGTTCATTTTAAGCAAAAGCATCACAGAATACTAAAAATCTGGAGCAGAACATGTGGAGAGCTGTTTTCTCAAGCTGAAGTGCAAGGGCCCCTTATGTCTTTATTTGAAAGGCCACTAGAGTGCCAGCTCTGCAAACAGATCGAGAAGCTGCCAACAAACAGGGATTCCTCTGGCTCACCAGAGAGTTTGACTGAGCCTGTTGGATCTCTCATCTGACGGCACCAGTTCAACCAATGGCTGTGGACATCTGAAGCAAAGAAATGTGCAAATAAAAGTTCTACTTTTTTATTTTATTTCTTAATATCATTCAGGTTACGGAGAACTATATGTAGGATTTGTTGTGTGGGGGTTTTGAGGTTTGTTTGTTTTGTGTTGTTTTGTTTTGAGACAGAGTCTTGTTCGCCCAGGCTGGAGTGCAGTGGTGCGATCTTAGCTCACTGCAACCTCTGCCACCTGTGCTCAAGCAATTCTCATGGCTTATCCTCCCGAGTAGCTGGGATTACAGGTGCCTGCCACCATGTCTGGCTAATTTTTGTATTTTTAGTAGAGACAGGGTTTCACCATGTTGGCCAGGCTGGTCTCGAACTCCTGGCCTCAAGTGATCCACCTGCCTCAGCCTCCCAAAGTGCTGGGATTACAGGTATGAGCCACTGCGCCCAGCCAAGTTTGTTTCTTTATCTTGAAATTTTCCAAATTTCTCAAAGTAACTGTAAAAGACATCCCAATGCTCTCAAAAATCACTCTGGAATATATGTTTGGTTTATTATCAAGAAAACTAAAGTTTAAAAGTAACTACACAATAACAAAGCATATAGCTAAATATCTATTGTTTAAAGAAACAGCAAAACAGGCTGTGGCCAGGTACTGCATAAATTATAGATTATTAACCCAGCCCCTGTGTGTCTCCTGGAACCAGCTTAATGCAGTGAAGATGCCCACAAATTTAGCCTGAGTCCCTCTAGTCATTGCAGACACTTGGCTGTGTTGCCTTTCCCCACCCCCAGACATTTCAGAAAACCTGACTTGCTTTATATTCATGTTTAAAATCTAAAAGGTCATGTTTCCTAAGAAAGCAAACAAGAGGCAATCAGCTCTTCTAAACATGACAAGGCCATTGATAAAATCACGTTGCGGGTGTGTCTTCTCTGTTTAGGATGTGGATCTGTGAAACTCACTATCTAAAATGCAGTTGGGTACAACTGATAAGGACCTCCCTGTTTTCCCTGAGAAGGAGGTAGCTGCTTCTAAAATCTTTCCTAGAATTTTTAAAATGTACCTTTACTTGTTTTCTACAGGGATAAGGACCTTCCTGTTATCCCTGAGAAGGAGGTAGCTGCTTCTAAAATCTTTCCTAGAATTTTTGAAATGTAATTTTACTTGTCCCTGCTGATAGACAGTCACTCAACTAGTAAGACAGAAGAAACCCCGACAGTGTACTTCTTACCCAAGCCCAGGTGAAGCAGAACTTTGCTTCGAAATCTTTTCCCTGCTTAGAACGATACCTTATGCCTTCACTTATTTAATCTTTCATTCATTCATTTGTTCACTTTTGAGGTGTCTTTTCCTTGGATTCATGCCGGGAACATGGCTTATGAGAATATAAGACTGTTTTATCTCACAGTTACATGACAACTAGAAGCCTGCTGGTTGGCTGATTCTCTCACTGCTCTCTTTCCCAGGGACACCCGGGGCAAGGTGGGCCCAGGGGAAGGCCGGGCTACGATGGCTGCAACGGAACCCAGGGAGACTCAGGTCCACAGGGGCCCCCCGGCTCTGAGGGGTTCACCGGGCCTCCCGTGAGTATCCCCACAGCGCCTGTGCTCCAGGGACGGGCAGACCCCTGCTAAGCCCTGCCTTTATAACCTGGGGGAGCCTCCCGCTCACTGTGGCCAGAACGGAAGCATAACTGTATGTTGACGCCCAAGACATGACGTTTCTGGATTCAAGTAACTTCATTTTTCGTATTCTTTAAATGTTAGATAGAAAATCATTGTTGTGGTTGATGTTGTTCACTCTCAGTCTCCCAAGTGTCACTTCATTTTCTCCCAAATTCTCATGCGTAATAGTGGAATCGTAAACGCAAATTAAAAAGCTGAAACCTTGACAAAATTCTGTCCATCACCATCTTTATCAGATTATGAAATACTTTGTGACGTGGGAGTGCAGTTATTCTCCAGCAGATACGATGCAGGAGTTTGTTTTTTAATGGAGGAACTTTTATATAATCATCTGTTTTGTGGCCTCATTTATTTTTTAAGGTCTTGGTAAAACATCCTGAAATGTGTCTTCAGTAGTACGTTGCTACCTTATTTCCAAGGAAATCTTGCAAATTCAGGTTTAGACTAAAATTTTGTTTGGTGAGACTTTTTATTTAAAAACAAAAACTTTAAAGTGGGGAGGGAAGAACAGTCATTAATCACCTTCATCACGTTTTCACCTGAAGCAAATGGAGTTCTCCTACTCAGTTCCACCTCCACCTGCTAGTTCACCTTTCCTCGGCTGTTTCTGTTTTATGTGGTTCAATTTTTCAATAAACTACGTCATCTTCTACTCTATATATCATCAATTTCATTATCAAGAAACATATCTATTACTTTAAGTGATTCTTATAGTAGATGTTGAAAGATATTTACACATGCACATATGTATTATGTATATGCCTACTGTTTATATTTGACACAATTCCAATTTTAAAGAATGACCCAGTATCTATTCTGCAAATGGGTGCTTGTGTTAATATGTTCAGTACACTAATGCCAAAGAAAGCACGTAATAGTATTATCAGAAATAAAAATAACATTGGCATACTAGAGGGTTGGTTGACAGAGCATTCATTTGGGTTTTGAAAATAATTTAAATCCTAAAGTATTTCTGTTTTAACTCTAGGAAAGATATGATTGGGTCAATAGGAAATTAAAGGTCTTACCCTTGTTGCTGAATATAGGGTTGGTGTTCAGAATAACCCCCATCAGCCATAAGAACAATTAGACCTTGCCCACAAAAGTCAATGTTCAGTCATCCACATTACCATAGCTGCACCGAATGTTAATGGACTCTTTTTGTTGTTTTTTCTTTTTACAATATATCTGCTAATTAGGGGCCCCAAGGACCAAAAGGGCAGAAAGGTGAGCCTTATGCACTGCCTAAAGAGGAGCGCGACAGATATCGGGTACGTTTGCAAGAGATGGGAGGGGTAATGAAGGGACCCAGTGTAAATTCTCAACTAACAAAGTTAATTGCCAAGTGAACTTTGCATGTAAGAATGAATGTACTGAAGGCATGCCTAGAATGGCGGCATAATCTAAAAGTCATCTTACTTCCGATCAGGATGTTTTCAATCTTATTTTTAATTGTGTGTTTATCTCTTTCCCATATTCACAATACTCCAAGCCAAATTAGTACTTGTAGTTAATATTAGTAAATATTAATATTACTAAAATATATTCTGACTAAATAACAATATTAGTAAAAATTAATATTAGTAAATTAACATTACTAGGTCCTGATAGGGCTGATCTGTTTGATATGCTTATTTCCAACTCTGCAATAAAAGGTAAGTAAATCTAAAGATGGTTAAAAGCTATCACTCTTAAAATTATTTCTTCTCCATTAGGGTGAACCTGGAGAGCCTGGATTGGTCGGTTTCCAGGTAAGTTTATTTTTATTGGACGATATTCCAAACAAAAGTTTAAGAGCTTCAGAACTCCAAGTACCAGTTTACCTCTCTTAAAAACATTCTCCCGCTGCCTATCCATAGGGACCTCCCGGCCGCCCTGGGCATGTGGGACAGATGGGTCCAGTTGGAGCTCCAGGGAGACCAGTAAGTACCTGGACACAGGTGCCCACTCTGGGACCATCGTCCGGTCATCCCTTCCAGATGCCACTTCTTCAATGGTTGACTCCAGATGAGAGCTTTAAGAACAACTATGATGCTTATAGGCGTAGCAGAGAACATCAAGACAAAACGGACCATTCCTTGCACACTTTGCTGCTGTTAAGGTTGAAGAATAAGGGCTTAAAATTATGGTCACCAGCTCTCTGCCAGTTATGTCAAATTTTGACTTGGTTCCGGCAGGGTGCCCTTCCATCCCCACCCCATACCTACCCAGTGACAGACAGCCCATCATCCCTGGGCAAGGCAAACCAAAGTCCCACAGGTTCATAAGGAGGAAATGGAGGTCTGCCTGTGCCACACCCATGCTAGCAGGCATATCACACCTGGGCTCATTACAGCAGGTGAGATACTGGCCACTGTTTAACACAATGGCCCTAGAGGGCTCATTGCAAGTAGGGAAGAGCAGAAAAAGGCACTTGCTGAGGCTTGTGTAGCTCTCTGGCCACTCCCACCACTGCACAATGAGCTGGAAGGTGGATTGGCCACTGCGAGAGCTCCTGACTCGCTCATTCCCCACATATGTTAGTAATCAGATAAATAGGCCTTAACTTACACAAGGAGCGATTTGGGCTGCAGGTGAGAGAGATCTTCTCACAGGAAGCCATTGCTCAAGACTGAGACAAGCTATCAAGGGACACTAACACCAGTTCCTTGACAGATACTGAGAAAAAAATGAAGTCATATATGTCTGGGGAGACTCAGTCAAACTAACAGTTGGGGGGTACTCATAATTCTCTTCAGATTATAATAAATGACAATAATAATAATAGATTTTGTTTCTACAAAGCAAATTTCCCCGGTGCTGTGAAAGTCATTCTTGCAAGTAGCCCCGTCTGTGAAAGACCTGGTCAAGGTGGCTGAAATCAGGGTCATACGAGGCGCTGTTGCTGTTTCACTCCATAGGGTTATTGGCTTAGTCACGGCACACATGCCACATGGTTGGATTTCATACTTTAAATGCACCACTCGGAGAAGTCCGGCACAACAGATTGTACTTGCTAGGTCCTCAGCTGCTCTGACAGCTTTTGGTTCTTCACATGAGCCATGCAATCATCCACAACCCCCTCCCTATCCACTCCTTTGTATCCACTTATTTGTACTTAAACACTCTTCCCCTGCATCTGAAATGCTTTAATCCTAAGCACAGTGTTGACACTGAATGCTCTGCAGAAAGACACACCATGATACTGCAGATGGACTTTCCGCTCTGCAGTGCCAGCTTGTAGATTCATTCTGTCCATGAAAGTTGGCCAAGCTACCAGGAAGAAGTCCTGCATGGAGTCTCGTGGGGACTCCCAGAGGAAGTCAGGGAAGCTGTCGCTGCAGTCACAGGGCCTGGGACCTTGCAAAGGGATCAGAACAAACACAGAGAGGACATGGGTGAAGTCAAAAGCCCAAACACACAAAAGCAAAGCAGAAACAGCTGTCCGTAGACAGCCGGCAGATTCTGAGAACTGGAGCTGACCCGAGTCCCTCTCCCCCAGCATGTCATCTCTGCCAAGCCAAATGCATCAGAAACCTCCATGCATCCTACACTGTGTCCTAAATATACAGTCAATGGCTTTCCCAGAGCTTTCCACCAGATGTTATCTGGGTCCTGGGGTAAAGAAAACCATTTACACATTTCTTTGTATTTGTACAGGGACCACCTGGACCCCCTGGACCAAAAGGACAGCAAGTAAGTTGGTTTTGGGGGGTGAGGATGAGGGAAGGGGGTACTTAGGTGTTTGTGGGTTTGTTTGTTTTTTACCATAAAACTTCTTGGTTGGCAACTATTTATTGTTTATATTATGATGAAAACAGTTTTGGAGGTTTTTAAGACTTAATGTTAAACTCCAAGGATAGATCCATGGTGCCTCTGGACATTAAAAAAGTAAACAGGTGGAATGATTTGTTGTTTGCAAATTAATTACCACATGCCTGTTGGTATATGAAAACCACACTGAGGAACATTTGATTGAAACGAAGATTAGAACAATTTAGGGACAGTTCACATTTATTCACATGCATTGATTTACGAGAATGGACAAAATGTAACTCTATCTGTTGTAGGGAGGCCAATGTCATTCTTCTTATCTGGCTAGAATTAGGTTCTACAGGAGTCTAATGTCAGCCTCTAGGGATATATTCAGTGATAATCAAGTTAGGCTAGAGCCCAAAGCTGTATACTGTTTTCATCCCAGAAAGGTTATTAAGTTGATTGGAACACAGCAAAGTAGGTGGTTTGTTAGAAACTCGGAGGACAGAACTAGGGTTCCTTATTATCTGAGAAAGCTGGATAAATGTCCAAGACAAACGAATGCAGTTGACAAGGGAAGTATTTGATCAAAATGCAACATAATTCAGAAATGCTGGGCTGCCAGCGGGAAGCATCTAGGAACGTTTCCTTTGCCCTGTGTCCCGATGGAGGACGTGCCAAGCCCACACGTTGCCATGCCTGCCCATTGCTGTGACCCCTGGTGACTACAGCTGCCACCGCCCATGCCCCCAGGCTCCTGTCCCCTCTGACACAGCTTCCGGTTGGCTGGAGGGCTTGCGCTGGACGCCCCACCGCCTGGCAGCCTGGAGCAGGATGAGATGGGCCCCAGGCCAAGAGCAGCAGAAATAGGACCAGGCGGCCGGGCTGAGGAGGCAGCAGCCAAGCCCTGAGCCCAGGCGTGAGCCTCAGATCTCCCCTTGCTGCGGCAAACATCAACAGCCCTCCTCACCCCTGACCAAGTCACTTCCTGGTGACTTTGACGACCAGCTCAGGAGGCAGAGAGGGACTGTGGGGGACTCACACAAATTGCATTCTAATCCAGCCTGGCCGCGTTTCTGTGCTTTGATTTCAGCTCCCCACCAGGTGGGGAAGAAGCAAAAGGCAAAAATTCATTGAAGGCTTTGTTTTTATTTTCAGAAAATATCTGGACATTGGAGGGGGCGGACGGTAGACTGCAGAGAAAGAGAGATCAGATAGGGCTTATGTGACCCCGCTGTCACTGTGGGAACACACAGAAACCCTGGGAAAGAAGCAAAGCTGTTGGGAGTAGAAGAGGACAGTGCCCGTGATGTGCACAAATTTGTCATCTTGCTTTTTCTATGCACGAATCTTAGAGGTCAGCGTTGTCAGTCCTCCCACACGTGGCTACTACGTTCGTGAAATTATTAAATCCTTACTATGATACTGGGCCTAGCTTTGCTTCTTAGGTAAAAAAGGAAGACAAAAAGTTTGGATAAAGCCCAGAGAATCACGTAAAATCATTACATTCTGATTGATTTTAAATTTCCAAAGATTATTAAAAAGATAGGTAAAGTTTATATGAAATGAGGATTATTTTGCCAAAATGAGAGAAGACTGAGCCAGAAGAAAAGACGAATCATGATCTTCAAATGCAGAGTCCAGGGAGTGAAATGGGGCTGCTTCTTCCATCTGCAGGGGCCAGAACCCAGGGACATGCTCTTAGACTACAGTCTGCAGAGACCATATACTCACGATCGAGGGCCAGCACCACCTGGGGTCCAATCTCAGCTCCCACTCATTCACTCTGAGGCCTTGGTCAACTGACATGACAAACTGTCAATTAGTTTCTACAATGCAAAGCAAGAATATTATGCAAATATAGTTGCTCAGTAAAGTTGCCGATAAATAGGCCTTGGGTTTCTTTTTCTAAGAAAAATAATTTTATTTCTCTCTGATTATTGGCTTTTTAAAACTTACAGAAATTATTTATCTTTTCAGGGCAACAGAGGACTTGGTTTCTACGGAGTTAAGGGTGAAAAGGTAAAGGAAGCCTGGTCAATTCCAGCAGAGGCATGCAGCATTTCTCAGCCAGGAAATAAATCATTTTAATTACTAAGTTCTGTGCTGTAAAACTTTTACCTTGAGTTGATCTGCAGACAGACCATTTGCATAGGGAAATAATCATTGCAAAGTGCTAGGTTGTCACCTACATACCAGTGATAATTCTGCATCAACAAGACGGTAAACATAGACCATCTAGGCTAGCCGAGACTCTGACACAGAGACATAAGCTCAGCTCATCTTCAGAAGGTGGAGGTGAGGACATGTCACTGAGTGCATCTTCTCCTGTGTGGAGCCCAGAGGTGATGGAGGGGACTGAGACTACAGCCAGAGGCTGACATGGAGCCATCTCAGGGACCAGGGGATCTCAGGGACCAGCCCTGGTAGGGCACAAAGGCAGCCGTAAGGACCATGTGGCTTTTCTCCTTCCTTAGAGTGCTAAGATCCAAAGACCTCATGGCCTTTGAGAGGAACGTGTGAGATCACGTGCATGACAGGCTTAACGCAGCGCCACACCCCGCAAGCAAAACCTCACCAACACAGTCCCATTGCGTTCACCACAAAAGCCATGAGCCCACTGTAAAGTAGACCTGACCCTTGGCCTCATGATTGGAACATTTCTATTTTGTTTTCCCTTCTGCTTTTTGATGGAACAGCACAGTAAGTTGAATCAAGTCCTGCTCATGTGTGAAGAAGAAACTCTTCCTTCTTTACATTAATGCCATAGAAGAAGTCAAAAAAGGACAATTAGCAAGCAGTGGGCTTCTGGGAAAAAAAAGAAAGAAAAACATTGAAGATCCAAACACATAAAAATTTATAGCCCCATACAATGAAATATAACAAAATAATAAAAACAAGAAAAATCTGGGAAGAAATCATTGGTGGGAGAAGAGAATAGTCCCGTTAGATATAATGGAGATGAAGTTAGAGTCTACAGTCTACAAAGGACTTATGCAAATAATGAATAAAAAACATCAGGGGCCCAACAGGTACAAGGGAGGAGAACAAACAGTTTGGGTATTTTAAGATATTCTATTAGTGGACACTCAGCGTACACTATGGAGTATCACTTTCTGCAGCTGACCCATCATCTCCATTTACTGCTGTCCGTGTTATGTGATATCTGGGCTCAGACTTGTATGATACAGTTTAATGTGGAAAGAAAGGAAAAGACAATGATGTTCTTTTGTGTCAATCAGTTTCTGGGAGGTAAACCCAGAATATTATGCAAGGATAACGGTCCAGTAATGTTCTAGATAGATCGGTTTCACCATCTGTGCACCACATCAAAAAGTGTTTTCTGCTAATGATAAAAATGCAAATTAAAGCAATCTTGGGATATTATAGTTACTTAAGATTTTTTTTATTATATAAAAACATCTTTAGCTGGGGAAGTAGTCTTTCATTTCTTCAGCATTTCGTTTATCTCGGTGCCCATCTTGGCAACCAGTAGAGTAATACCTGTCAAAAACCATAAAGACATTCAGCCCTCATACCTAATAATTCCCATATATAGAAATTCATTGTAAGGAAACAACCCCACAGAAACAAATGCAGTCCAGAATTGTAAACAACCTACATGGCTTTTATGCATAAATTCTAAATGATTGCTAATGAAAGGAGGATATAAAAAACTTACATTAGGATTACTCTATTTTGTGGTTATTATACTGTAAATAGGTATACATATGGTAAGTAATATGCAAACATTAAAACTGCAGTATTTTGGCCAGGTTGTATTTGTATTCGAGTTTTGTAGTTTCCTTTCGATTTAAAGACAACTGCTTTTGCTTAACAATATGCAGGGTGACGTAGGGCAGCCGGGACCCAACGGGATTCCATCAGACACCCTCCACCCCATCATCGCGCCCACAGGAGTCACCTTCCACCCAGATCAGTACAAGGTAAAGAGCAAAATTGACTCTTTTCATAGTTGAAATAAAAAAAGGAGAGTAAAAGTACATTTCTTCAATTGTATTCAACCACATTCCAAGTAGAAAAAGCCTCACCACCAACTTGGCACATTACCCATGAAAACATAACCGGGTCCTCCCAGAATGTTTTCAACTCTTCCAGACGGTTACTAGATTCACAGTGCGATCCCGTCGTCAGTCCATCATCTCAATTCTGATGAATCTGAAGCAACAAGAGAATTCATTTAAAAAAAAACTTATATCTATCCTTACATTCAGTGTAGGTGGAGGCTAATGGTCATACCGTAATTCAAAGCCAGAATCATGGAACTGTCTAGCAAAATGTGTTCAGCAAAATAAAACCTACTTCTTTGCTGACATGAAGCACCTTTTTGGAGGTTCAAAGTCAGTTTTTGACAGTTTCTGAATCATTCAATTAACATTTTGCTTAATTGAAATCATGCTCTTAGTCTGAAATAGGAATTGCCGCGTCCACTCTCTCTACGTTTGGAGGCTGCTGTGCCACCCACCCACTCGGAGGTCCCACAGCCTTTCTAGGGCTTCCTGTTCCCCCTGTCAAATGGGGATGGCGACACTGACCTCCTGGAGCTGACGAGGAGGTTGCAGGCGACTGTGAAACACTCAGTACCATGTCGGGCACGCAGAATATCTGGGAACTAAAATAGAAACCCCAAACGGGGAGATCTTAACTTTCCAAATAGAATCTGGTTCCCAACTCTTGAGCAGGGTGGGGCTTGGGTCCTGTGTCCTGGGTCCTGCATCCTGGGGCGGATTTGGCAGGCAGGACCACTGCCTTGTGGGGGAAATCAACCCAGGTGGCTGAGGCTCGAGTTATGAGTGACCGTTGACAAAAATGTCCTGGGAGACGGCAGGGAGGGCCTCTGTCCAGCTTCTGGACTGGAGCCCAGAGCAGGTTTGATCCACGTGGAGGTGCTCAATCTTCCGAGTCAAGTTTCCCACCTTTTCTACAACCCAGGCCAGGGTGGGATCCGGGGCTGGGAATGGCCAACCCGCAGGGGCAGTTGTGTCCTGCAGGAATCCAAGGTACCCTCAGAAATGACGGGGACAAAGGACCCGCCAATTGCTGTTTCTTTCACCATTTTAGACGAAGAGAAATGGGAAAAACGTAGATCATGTTTTTGATCTATGATATTGACATGGCTTTCAACAGCCACTTTTGCTTCAAGTTTCAATATGTTCCATGTGTATCTTTTTCTCAGAGGGCCTCCTAGTAATGTTTTCTTCCGAAGAGTATTTTCATTAAGGCTTTTCCTTGGGCACGTTCTCCCACCATACGGATGTAAACATCTGCCTGGAACGGTGTGGGGGATAAAGGAAAACAGAGAGAAGGAAAGACAGACTTTCACTTGTACCAAGAGGAATACAGGAATTAATTTATCTTGTGAAAATCTAGAAGAAATGACACCTCTTTTCTCTTGAATTTTGAAGCTGCAAAATTTAAGAGTCATGTGTTGTAATCAATTTATGATGATTGTGTGAGGATTGATTCAGTACTTTCAGCTCATGTCATGAACCCTGATTGATTTTTACCCATTACCATCCTCAAATTAATAAGCGTTTCTTATTTTTCATATTCTTCACAGGGTGAAAAAGGCAGTGAGGGGGAACCAGGAATAAGAGTAAGTCGAGTAATGAGCATGCCCCCTCCCCTGTGGCTCCTGGGCTGTCGGCGCTCTGCCAGGCATGACGGGGTGCACCATGCGCTCGGGGCCCGCACACCGCCAGTCTCTCATCCCCTTGTCCATAGCAGAACAGTATTAGCATGCATTTTTACACTGTATTTTAAGAAGTCAGTTCTAGAATTTCTTCCTCTTGGCATCATAAACACTGGCTAATCATCTTCTGAGGTTTGGGAAGGGAGCATGGAGATGGCGGAGGGGCGTGGCTTCCACTCAGGCGCCACCGGGTTCTGCCCTCCGTCCCCTCTGTCACTGCCTGTCCTCAGAGCTCCAGCTCTCCCTCGCGGTCGCTTACCACGTGACATGACACATGCAGTCCTGGATGGGTGACAGCCCGGGAAGGCTGGCGGGTCTCCTAGGACCGTGCCCTGCACTGCGCCTGAGTTGAGCATCGCCAGGCGGTCTGGACACCATCGGGGCTGAGAACACAGAGTCCTGGAGCAGAGGATGACACGTGGGCCCTGTTGGCTGGAGGGGCCGCCCCTGGGTTGCTCCTTACGCCCCCTCTGCTCTCTCCTAGGGCATTTCCTTGAAGGGAGAAGAAGGAATCATGGGCTTTCCTGGACTGAGGGTAAACCACGCCTTTTATAACTGCAGTTGTCGGTTTGGTTTGGTTTTTTTCAGTAGGCTTTCCTTTTTAGAGCTGTTTCAGATTCACAGCAAAATTTAGCAGAAAGTATAGAGATTTCCCGTTATTACTCCCCACCCCCCCCCACACACACACACAGCAGCCCCCCAGCACGAACATCTAGCACTGGGGGCTGCGCTGGCTACAATCCGTGAACCATCTTGACACACCGTCTTCACCCAGCAGCAGGTGTGCAGACGCGGCCCTCCCCGTGGAGGAGGCGCGAGTACCGCACAAAACCTTTCTGGTTGTGTGTGTTCAGCTCAGTTAGTCTGTAGTAACCAGAAATGTAGAATATCTCAAACACACATTGATTTCCGACTGTCCCAAGAGCCCAACAAAAATGTCCCTAGTCGTAAGGGTCGGGAAGGGGTCACCGTCCACGGTGATTCAGCCACCTGGGAGACAGACCTCACCTTCAGAGCCCCAGCCTGGACTGACCCCACTCACTCCACGACCACACCTAGCTGAGGGCTGGGACGGGTGGTCAGAGCCCTGGGCCCAGGAAGAGAAAGCAGAATTTTGGTGGCTATCTGGCAGTTGCTACCACTCAAAAGACCGTATTTTACATTCTCCAAAAATAAGAATAGAGAGACACAGTAGAACATTAGAGTACAAGCCTTTTTACATTTTTAGTTTTTCATTGTACTATCTTTGTGAGTTTCTCTGTATTTCTTTACGTGGTAGAAATGATGCACGTTATGAAAGTATTGCTAAAATGATGTGTCTCCCTCAGGAAATGAGAGTCTTGGGGTGGCTCTGACGTCTTCCACAGGGAAGCAGCTTTGAGATTAGGATGGATTCTGCTTTCTTCGAGCCTTTTTATCATAGTCATTATTTCCCATCCCCACCTCCCCACAACTTTGTAAAGGGGAAAGAATTGTATTAATAGTTGGTATTGAATTTGGCAATTTGTTGCTATTCTTCAAAATCTGGACCTGAGACTTGTTCAATCTGTCCATCGGCATTTTGCTGTGATCACAGCCAGGTGCCGTAGTCAAGCCCTCTGGAAATGTCTACTGCATATTCTGAGCTGTTTGCTTCTGTTTTTTGTTCATTCCAGGGTTACCCTGGCTTGAGTGGTGAAAAAGGATCACCAGGACAGAAGGTAAGTTGGATGCATGAACTGCAGTCTGCTCTGGGCCCACGACATCCCACAGAGGTTAAATAAATAGGCCTTGGCATCTCAGGAAAGAAAATTGTCTCCAGAAAAAAACATTGAAAATGGTTCTTGTATTTGCAGTCACAAAGATAATCCTGCCTCACAATACTTGAACCGGGTCATTACCTTGGCTCTCATTTTTGCAAACTATCTTTTGCTTCCTCCCTTTCAAAGTGTCCGTCACTCGACCCCACCAGCCATGGTTTCTATATCGTCCAACCTCACACCCCTCCTCCATGTCCTTGTCACTCATAGGAAGCTCCTGGACTTGGTGACCCAGGGTCCACCTAAATTTTTTTATAGATTGACCCATACTGTGACACTTCATTTATGTTTAATGACAACCCAATTATTTTTATCATGAGTTCTGTGGACAGATTTTTGGCTTTTTTTTAGGAGAAAAATGTTATGTAAGAAATGTATTATGGGCCAGGTGCAGTGGCTCATGCCTGTAATCCCAGGACTTTGGGAGGCCTGAGGAGGGTGGATCACCTGAGGTCAGGAGTATGAGGCCAGCCTGACCAACATGGTGAAACCCTGTCTCTACTAAAAATACAAAATTTGCCAGGCATGGTGTGGGTACCTGTAATCCCAGCTACTCAGGAGGCTGAGGCAGGAGAATCACTTGAACCTGGGAGGCAGAGGCTACAGTGAGCCGAGATCGCGCCATTGCACTCCAGCCTGGGCAACAAGAGTGAAACTCCATCATAAAATAATAATAATAATGATAAAATTTTTAAAAAGAAATGTATTATGAATCTAGGTCAGATTTAGAACCGTCTGAACTCTAGGTCATACACAATGTTATAGTTCAGTGGTTGATGCCTTTTCACTGTTCACTGTGCCTGCGGGTCCCACCCCACAGCACACAGCACACGCCTCCTACGGCAGGCCCGGCAGGCTCCCCAGACACCACCACTGACAGCCCCTTGGGTCTCACATCACACTCATGCCAACATACACACAAAGACGTGTAGCTTCACATGCATGTAACGGAGCAACAAAAGAAATGTGTCTGTGCTGCTCTGCCCAGTGCCCCTTAGAGAATGTTCCAAGTCGGCAGGTACACATCTGCCTCGTTCTTTAAAGCTGCAGAGAATGGCAGTCAATAGGTGCGCCATATTTCCTTACGCCCTCGAGGTGGTTTTCATATTTCCAGCAAACATGCAGTCACCTCGGTGGTACACAGGGCTTGGCTGCCTGCCCATGGGCTAGTATGTCCATCACTCAGTCCTAGTAGGTGCACAGAGATAGAGTTTTATCAAAATCACTAGCCTCAGAATCACAACTCCGTTGAATCCTGCTCAGGGCTGCACAGAGAGTAGTGTGGCGTCTGGAGGCCCATGGGCTTCAGTTAGCTGGTACAGAAGCTCGGCAGGCCTGGTGGGGGTTCCGCCATGCTTGTTCCAGGACCACAGATGGACCTGCCTCCCAGACTCGCTTTCTGACCTCCACTGGCTCTAGACACGGGCCGTCTTGACCCAGCATTCTGCTTTTGACCATTCAAACTTAACACCAATCTTGATGACTTCCTGCAACCTCCAATGATCATACTGTTCCCATTTCTGTTATTTTATGCTAAACTCAGCCCAGGGAGCCAATGCCAGGCTTTGCCGTAATCACACCCAGCCTTTCATAACATCAGTTACTGATCGGAGTACTCCCAAAGGCGGCACACCTAGAACAAGAGCTATCCAAATGCACCCCACCCAGAGGCCACATTCTAGTTCATGGCTTAGGAAAAGCAAATATTGTAAAGGGACAGAGGCTAAAGCAGACATTATCGTTCAAAAGTAACCCGTTTCCACCTACCCCATGTGATTAAAGTGCTGCTGTTAATTTCCTACCATGTGCTGGTAAAATTATAATTATCTTTAGTTTTCCATCTTCAACACAAGGGACTTGTAGTATTTAAAAGTGCATTTCCAGGTGCCTGTAATCCCAGCAGTTTGGGAGGCCAAGGTGAGTGGATCATAGAGGTCAGGAGTTCAAGACCAACCTGGCCAACA
Source organism: Homo sapiens (assembly GCF_000001405.40). Taxonomy (NCBI): domain Eukaryota; kingdom Metazoa; phylum Chordata; class Mammalia; order Primates; family Hominidae; genus Homo; species Homo sapiens. The sequence goes on from NC_000013.11 coordinate 110,441,897, forward strand.
TGGTGAAACCCTGTCTCTACTAAAAATACAAAAAAAAAAAAAATTACCTGGGTGTGGTTCATGCCTATAATTCCAGCTACTCAGGAGGCTGAGGCACGAGAATTGCTTGAACCTGGGAGGCAGAGGTTGCAGTGAGCCAAGATCGCACCACTGCACTCCAGCCTGGGAGAGACAGTGAGACTCTCTGTCTCAAAAAAAAAAAAAAAAAAAAAAAAAAAAGGGCAGTTCCACAGAGCTGCTCCCTGGAACTCCAAAGTTAATGAAAGACAAGATGCTGTGTAAACAGTGGCCACCTGGCAGCTCCAGGGCTGGGGCCCAGATGTGAGGATGGTGAGGCGTCAGGCTTTCATTTCCCAGCTTACTTTCTGCAGTTGCAACAACTTGCGAAGATGCAGATATTTCCAGTTAAGTGGGTTACAGGGAGGCAGTTTACTCAACTATAGAAATGGGAAATAGGCAGACATACACAAATGACGCAGCCGCCGTGCTTGTGAGCACCGATCTGCACCACAGCTATGTCCGCCCTCTGCCATCCCACTGGCCAGGTGGCCATCACTCCATGACTTTCATTTGTTCCCCACCCAACACCTCCCCCTAGACACCAAAAGCCCCTCCAAGGAGCAACTGCTCGGTGACATAAACAGTGCATCAAAATGGGAGGAACCAGAAAAGAAAAGATATCCTGGGTAGGAACTTGCCCTCCTCTACATAAACACAGAATTGGTTGCCTGTCATCCCCACTGAGATTGTCAGAACTTCTATTAGTTCCAGCCTTTTCTAAAAAGGAATGGAGACGTAGCATTTATGAATTTGGTTATATTCAATTTTCTGATAAATTAGAGATGGTTTCGTCTCCTCTTTCTAGGGGAAACATATCTTTAGTAACTGAGCAAATGCTGTCCACAGTGTTATTTTATAATTTTGAAATAACTCCACAGAGTTATTTTATAATTTTGAAATAACTCCACAGAGTTATTTTAAAAAGTGTTCGTTGAGACCTAGTCTCCTTTGAGGAATACATGCCACACCAACACGCGTCGTGTTGTGGGAAGTCCCCCCTCAATAGGACCATTGTCCTCTATGAGGACTGTCCAGGACTTCAGGGATGTTGCATTTGCACAGGCTGCAGTGTCGATGACTTGGACTCACCAGATGCAGCCTCAGTGTTCCCTGTGGCTGTGTGTAGGTTTCCTCTGCAAAGCTTGAAGTGGCAGACATGACCTCAGATTGAGTTCTTTTATGGAACTCTCACTGTCTTTAGTCTTTTATACTAAATCGCATCTCATTTGCAGGCTGGCAGGGTTTCTTTGCAGAGGCGCCTCTTTCAAGAGGCACATGCGTTCTATTTAGCCTAACAGGTGCTCCCTCGGCCACTGCAATGAAAAGGGTACAACAGGCAAATGAAGAACAGAAAGATAACAGGCCAGTTCACACCACGAGAGACAGCAGACTGCTTTTAAGCTTTAGAAACATGCATCTCCCTAAAAAAGCCTAGCCATACATTCTTTTCATCTGTTTGTGTCAGCTAGTCCCTGAGGACTTCTGCCCAAGGACTTTCCTTACTCCAGTTATTTCCACCCTTGAAAAACATAAAATCAACCTTGTACTTCTAAAATTGCATAATCAGAACTTCCTATGAATCATATATATGACCTCACTGAATTCAAATGAGTGATAAGTTATTAGATTTGGGGGAGGGCCGGGGAGAAAGGAGGTTGCAGTTTCAAAGCCCTTCACAGTTATCCATTCTAAAATAGTGATCTGCATGTCAGTCTCCTGACCTCAGCTTTCCCTAAGGGTGGGCTCTGTGGTGAGCTTGCTAGCAGGAGTACAGACCTTGCCTGGAAGCGGGGTCTCAGGGAGCCCGGCGGAGCCTCCACTGGGTCCTTCCCGGGGTGGTTGCCAGCCTGACTCTGGGAGCGCCTGGGTGATTCCTCCTTGGCCATCCCTGCGCCTCCCCGACCCTGTTGTGTTTGCCACTGAGAAACAGAGAGGAAAAAGTTTTGATCGTCATTTTGACTTAGGGTTCCCGCCTATCTGGGTTTCACTGCCAGTGGTCTCAGATGAACCCTGAGGGTGCATTTTCTCCTTAAGTCGTGCATAACCCTCAGCCTCCCCCGAGTCAGTTGACCTGTTGACCTGCCGCTGGGAACTCCCCTGGAAAGTTTTAGCTCATTGCTTTGGCTCTTGGGGTTCCAGCTGCCTCAGAGGAATCCTGAGTGCTTCTTAAGTTGTCCCCCTTCCCCAATGGGTTTTCTATAATGCCCAGTGCATTTCAGATGGTTCAAAGTGCCCATGCTGTCTTGGACCCTTCAGCAGAGATGGCAACACGTGGTGTCTGGGGTGCTTGTTTTGTTTGCTGAGGATGCCACAGCATAGGTGTGTGATGCTCGTGGCCCAGAGTGAAGCTCAGATTTGACAAATTCCAGGGCACCCTCTGAGCTGGCCAGTCTGTGGCTGTGCTCACAGCTCCCACTGAGTGTCCAGCTGCCAGCTCCTGTCATGCCAGGTACTTGAGGATTCCTAGCTTAGCTTATGACGTGGCCTCTAAACAGGACCTCATTTTTAAAATCACAGAAGTTTGTCTTTACTTTTGAGTCTTCAGCTCCACCTAGCGTGAGAGAAAGTCCGGGTCCAAACCACAGGACCACAACAACACACACAAAGTGAAGCCCGTCTCAATTCAGTCTAAACAACATGACTTTCAGCACACCTGCTCCTGGGTGTCAAGATAACCTCGAAAGTAATCAGAGAATGGACCTTTCTTATACCTGTGGCATCTGGCATTCTGAATTTTGAGAGCTGAACCATGCATGTTCTTTAAAAGAGGGAATACATTGCTAGATTTTTAGAGAGCTTTACTCTTCTGTCCAGATACCTCATGATATGACTCAATGATAAACTTTTTCTTTCAAAAAATGTTCAAGGGAATGAGAAAACAAAACTTAGTGTTATAGTTGTTTTCTATTTTTGAAACAGGGTCTTGCTGTGTTGCCCAGGCTGGAGTATGGTGGTACCATCACAGCTCACTGCAACCTCAAACTCCTGGGTTCAAGCGATCCTCCCACCTCAGCCTCCCAAGTAGCTGGGACTGCAGGTGCCTGCCACCATGCCCGGTTACATTATGTATTTTTTGTAGAGGCAGGGTTTCACTATGTTTCCCAAGCTGGTCTCAGACTTCTGGGCTCAAGTGATCCTCCCACCTTGGCTTCCCGAAGTGCTGGGATTACAGGCATGAGCCACCATACCCAGCAGAGATTTTTTTTAATGAAGAGAAAAAACTCTAACTTAAGAAACCTTAATGCGTCTATTTTGGTACTAAATGAAGATTTTCAAAACCTACCCTGGGAGAGAGTTTCAACAGTTGGTTCAGGTTGTCAACACCTGACCCCACGATCAATCATAAAAGCAACCCGACACTCATATCTTCTGTAGGAGAAGAGGTGCCCAGCATCCTCCGCAAATGATCCCTGCTGAAAAGGGGAACCTGCACCTAGGGCAGCCTCCAGCCCTAATGACTCACGTGGAGGAAACGTGGGGTTAGAAGAACAGATTGTACAACACCACGGGGGTGAGACTGACTGCAGCCCACCACAAAGAACATCTGCAGCACAGATGACCCAGTGTCTTCAACAACCACAAAATGATACTAAAAACATAGAAAGGAAGAAGGGACTATTGTGAATTAAGTGAGAATTCAGAGGCATAGCATCCAAGTGTTATATTTGGACTTTTTTGGCTCCTGGTTCTAGCAAAGCAACCTTAAAAAGACATTTTTGAGACCCAAGTCAGGGAAAATTGAGCACAGACTGGGTTAATACATGACTTTAATAAACTGTTGTTCATTTTGTGAGATATAATAATGCCATTGCAGTCCCTTTTTGGAGTTATACATCAGAGACAAAAATTAAAAGCAAATATCTTTCTTGCAGGGAAGCCGAGGCCTGGATGGCTATCAAGGGCCTGATGGACCCCGGGGACCCAAGGTGAGCCCGTTTCTCATGTCTTTGCCACTTATGGTGTCTCGCCCACCCTGGCTGGCCTTACTCCCCTCTTGATGGTGTCCTGTGGAGGCATCCCCTGCCCTAAAAAGTACAAGATCCCCAAATACACGGCCTCTGACACTGGACAGACGAGGTGGATGGTGACCTACGAGCCACGTGTGCTCCCTGCCAGGGAGAAGGGTGCCACCTGCCACTCAGGGCCACGTAGGGGTGCGCTCAGGCACAGAGGAAGCCAGCAGCCCTGGGGAAGGCAGGCCTTGTAGTAACAAGAGGGTGCGGTGCCCCTGGTTTCCAAGGGAGGATGTGGCTTGTGTGAGTAATTCCTGGGCTTGCAGGGAGGGGAGACCATTAGGTGGAAGACCAGGTGGGTGCTGCTGGTCTAGCTGAGAGGGGAACGCACCCGTGGGGAACCTGGGTGGGGGCACATCTGGAGAGGACTTCTGAGCCGGGTGAGGCTCAAAGAGGTGAAGGTGGTGCGCGGGATGCTGCCTTATGACAAATGCTGCCTTACGACACAGATGGCGCTCCACGGGGGTCCTGCGGCCGCATCATCTCCCAGCCCACCCTCGCCAGGCGGCTCGGCTATCACTACCCAAAATGTAATAGTCTGAACTACAGAAAGCACAGTCTCCTGGCATTCGACAAGGATTTCAAAATGAGATGAGCCCCTGCCTGTCTTGTTCTCTTTGGGCACCTGTGGCTGGTGGCTGGGATGCCAGGCTCTGCCACCCTAGCATGGGGATGCTGCCCCAGGCACTGTCTGTGGTTCCACTGGTTGAAATAGCTGCTCTGCCAGCCTGACGGTCCACGCTCGGGTTTCTTCTTTGGAAATATGTGTACTGTCAAAAACTCCAAAAGGCTATTCTCACATCCTGTTTTTCTCTTTTCTTTCTCTAGGGAGAAGCCGGAGACCCAGGGCCCCCTGGACTACCTGCCTACTCCCCTCACCCTTCCCTAGCAAAAGGTGTGTGAACAATTTCACCTGCATAGTTCAGCATCGCATACACATTCTCTCCTGTTAGGGACACAGAGCTATGAACTTTCAAGACAGATATTCTAAGCAACCCTAAAACTTAAAGTATAATAATAATAAAAAAAATAAAAAATAAACCACGAAATTTAGAACATAACTTCATGTACAATTTCCCTCATGCTTAAATGTGTCACAGGGAGACCTTCATGTTGCCTGTGCCTGAGACAGTCCTCACCACCTACACGTGAGAAATCCCCTCCGTTGGGGAATTCTTTCACTTCTGCTTAACTTGTAGAGTTCTAGTTCTGCCGTCTGGACTATCGCTGAAGATATCCAGGGCAGCAGCCCCAGCCGCCTTCGGATTTTTTCTCCAAATGCACCAAGGTTCTTAAGCCCTCTGCTTGCCAGCCCGACACCTGGAATTGATCATAACTCATAACCAGTGAACAGTCACATGCTTTCAGGCTTCAAGGCAACTAAATTCCCAGATATTTACACATAACAACCACTCCCCACTGTCACAGTTGACCTTGGAGTGTAAACGAAGGACTTTGCGCATGTCGTCACTAATGCTCATCTTGTTATTAAGGCTCGGCTTCCAAATTGGCGAGATCATATGGAAATCTGATCCTAGTCCTGCAACTAGAGCACTTGGCTCTGAACCTTGTAGAATGCGCATCCTTCTAGGTTAAAAAAAAAATGTTTCGAGAACCTCCTCCTGATAATCGTGCGTATATATCTTTGCGGATCATTGGCCCATGTTATAGTCAGCTCTGTGAGGACAGACATTTCAGCCCATCTTGTTCACTGCTGTATTCCCAATGCCTGGAACAGGACAGGCACAGAGTTGGAGCTCAGCAAACGCCTGACTGAGTGACGACGTGCAGAAACATATCAGACAGGCATTGTGAAGGGTAGGGTTTTTTAAATACAGACGCTCTGGTGTTTACCTCTTGAACTCAGCAGGTCACCTGGTCTCCCTGTCCTCTAAGCCTAGGTGTCAAGAATTCACCTCCCTGCTTCGAAGCGAGCCCTCTGTCAGTTTAATAATGGCTTTGCATGTCTTCATCCAATGCTGATCAAAACGCAGGACAGAACAGGGCCATGGGCAGTGCCTCCAGGAGCCCCTGAGATGTCTGTCTGGGGAGGCGTGGAGCCGTGAATGGGGATATTTTGAAATCCATGCTCAGCTTCCATGATGCCCGTAACTACGAAGCTGGCATTTCCTGCCTCATCCATGGCGCACACCTGGCTACCAAACCTGAGACCCACTAAAAAGAGCCATGAGCCCACTTTGACTTGACTCATTATTAATAATTTTGGTAAAAAGGAAATATGCTGTTTGAGATTTTAAGAACATAATTTTTAAGTTAATGCTGGCGATGTTTCTTTTGCATTTTTTAAAAATGTTGCTGACTGAGAACCCAACTCTCACCAACCCCTCCCTTCTCACCGTACTATATTCCTGGAATTCACACTGCAAAGGCGGGTGCTTTCAAAATTCACTTTTTCCCACAAGCGGATTCAGAAATGCGGAGGTTGCCTGCCGCCTTTTCTACCGGACAACATTCCCGAGTTATTGGTGAGCTGGAATGTGACTGACTTGCATTCCAGGGTTTCTTAAAGTCAAAGGTTGACTAACCAGCAGATTCCCTCAGGGAAAAGAGGCAGTAAATGTATCTTTTTCAAGGTAACATTGCATGAACTTGTCAAAAGACAAAAAGGATAGAGGGGTTTGTATTAAAAGAAATGATTCCAAGGTACCTAGAAATAAAAGTAATCTTGCTATTCTTCCAAACAAGTGAGAAGGTCTGTGGCTTTCAATTTTGTGTCTTTTTATGGAATCAACAATGGCTAACAGGAGTGTAGGTCACACTGTGTGCCAGGCGATGCTCCAAGTTGTCCTAGTTGTACTTTTCAGTGTGTTTACCCCTCTGGGTGACCCTGTGAGGTGGAGATGGACTTGGCTGCTTTTACTGAGGGAGAGATGGAAGCGCAGGGCGTTGAGTTCCTTGCCCAGGGTTGCCTTTAAGTGGAGGAGCCAGGTTCAGGCCCAGGGCCTCTGGCTGCGGAGCGCAGCCCCCTGCACACTCGGCACGAAGCTGCCCGAGCAGGAGACGCCATACACGGAAGTCAGGCCTTCTGTCCCTTGCACGTGGGACTTCAGTGTGACGCCCAGCAAAGCCCTCTCCTTATTTTAAGGAACTTCGTAAGACGACATGCAGAGTGAAAGCTTTCCTAGAAATTCCTAATGCCTACATGATAAAAAGTCCTATTTTCTTCTCATTCTTCTCATCTTTCCCAATTATAGTCTAGAAAAAAGTGTGTTCTACAGTAAAGCGTTGCTATTTACACAGCAAAGGAACATAGCCATGCCACTTTGTCTTTGTTTGTTCAGGGGTGAAAGTTTTTAAAAGCCAAATTTTGTTATGCATCCAGCAGACAGGGATGAGAAGAGCCTAATAGGGTTAAAGCTGGGGCTGAGGGGCAGAGTGGGGTGCAGGGAAGTGAGGCCTCCTCGCTCCCAGGCCACCAGCAGAATTGGCAACCACATTAGTTCCTTCTTTATTCGAGCTTTGGACTCACCTACTTCCTCACCCGGTTTTCACTAATCCTGTTCCCCTGCTGGAGAATGAGCCCCTTAAAAAGAGAGACCACCCCATGTATTAATCATCTTAACTCCTCATCAGGCCGCATACAGCATATGGAGCATTTGGTAAATATGTAGTCAATGAAAAAGTGAACGCCAGCTGCGATCCGTAGACCACGGTCTTGTTCTTACTGTGGGACTTGTTTCCCTTCCAGGTGCCAGAGGTGACCCGGGATTCCCAGGGGCCCAAGGGGAGCCAGGAAGCCAGGGTGAGCCAGGAGACCCGGGCCTCCCAGGTCCCCCTGGCCTCTCCATCGGAGATGGAGGTAATGTGGCTTCATAATATCAACACCGGAGACCCAAAGCACCTGCACTCAGGTCCTAGCACACACAAGGGAGACTTCGTTGACGACGTAGCTATGTCGTTGTTACTTTTCCCCACTGACTAGTCTTAGCAGCTCTAAGGAGCCCCGCACACATGCTTTGGACACCTTCACAGAACCCTCGCACATATGACAGTAACTCCCCAACTAGGTTAGATGGTGCCACGATGGGTAACTGGCATGCTTCCACCTGTGGGTTGGGAAGAGAACGGAGAATCATCAGGTGTTGTTGCCCAGTGTTGATCACAACTATCAAGCCATTATTTGAGGGGCAAGGAGAGGGGTGTTTTTAATGTTGAAAAAGGATAATGAACTATACCAATGGCTTCTACCCATCGGAGTTATTGACGGGGCCATGAAGCCCGCTAGTGCCCCAGTGGGCCCCTCTGGACACGAACACAAAGGCAGCGGTGTGGTATGGGAGACTCACGCTGCAGGTGAATGCTGTTTGGTTTCAGATCAGAGGAGAGGCCTGCCGGGTGAGATGGGACCCAAGGGCTTCATCGGAGACCCCGGCATCCCTGCGCTCTACGGGGGCCCACCTGGACCTGATGGAAAGCGAGGGCCTCCAGGACCCCCCGGGCTCCCTGGACCACCTGGACCTGATGGTGAGTGGAGGGAAACAAAAGGGAGGGTGTAGCCTAATGTTCAGATGAAGCCCGGTCCCAGCCGGATGTTATTTGGGATTCTCTGCTAAATGACTCTGGGAACGAATCCAGTAGGCCAGTGATTAGGGTGCAGTGGATCCAGGTAGATTAGGGTGTAGTGGGTGCTCTCTGGGGTCCACGCAGGAGCTGGGGATGGAAGCTGAAGCCCTGTAAGCCTGTGAGTATCACAGCCCCGTGGATGCCACACAGTGAGGTTTAGTTGCTGCAGCTTCGGTGAAATCCATCCTTCAGCGAAACATCTGAGCTGCGCAGTCTGGAAACAGATGTGAGCTGACATTGCTGCCTCTGTGTCGGGGTGATACATTCCACAAACCTAATCCAGGGTGAGGGCTCACCCTTGACTGGCAGCCTCTCTCCTGTGTTACTCCATCACGTTTAAGCCACCTTGATAATCTGCCTTCTCAGCCCGTGCACAGCCAAAGCTACAACTGAACAGGTGAGAGTAGCTGGTGACAAAAAGAGATGGCTGCATTATCTGCAAAAATAAGTGACAGCCGTCCCCCAAGGCCCAGACAAATGCCCATGAAAGTCAATAAAGCCGGCAGGCACAGGAGTGTGGACCCACCTGCCACCCAGTAGTGCATCCCTGAGTCAGCAAAGATGCTCTTTCAGGTTATAACGTTAGGTGACTCAACTTGAGTTGAGAATGACCTGTCTCAGGCAGCAGGGAAACATGCAGTCCCGCCTGGAGCTTGCTGTCAGAAAAGGCTGTTCTTTCAGCTTCAGCATTCAGAGAGTTATGCTTTAAAGACCAAGCTTGTCCAACCCACGGGCCACATGCGGCCCAGGACGGCTTCAAATACAGCCCAACAAAATTCATAAGCTTTTTAAAAACATTTTTACAATTTTTTGTAGCTAATCAGCTGTATTAGTTCGTTCTCACGCTGCTATAAGAACATACCCAAGACTGGGTAACTTATTAAAGGAAAGAGGTTTAATTGACTCACAGTTCTGCAGGGCTTGGGAGGCCTCGGGAAATTTACAATCATGGCAGAAGGGGAAGCAAACATGTCCTTCTTCGTGGCATCAGGAAGGAGAAGTAAGGAGTGAAGAGGGGAAAAGCCCCTTATAAAACTATCAGATCTCATGAGAAACTCACTCACTATCGTGAGAACAGCATGGTGGAAACTGCCTCCATGATTCCATTACCTCCTGTGAACCAGGTCCCCACCATGACATCTGGGGATTATGGGAACTACAACTCAAGATGAGATTTCAGTGGGGACACAAAACCTAACCGTATCACCAGCTAACATTAGTGTTAGTGTATTTTATGTGTGGCCCAAGACAATTCTTCTTCCAATGTGGCCCAGAGAAGGCAAAAAATTGGACACTCCTGCTTTCGATGTTGTGAAATGCCTAATAGGAATATTTCATTCTCTCACAAGAGTGAATATAGGAGACATTGGGAGAAAATAAGAGGTCATAGTCTCTTTCTGTGTGACGTTGACCAAAAGTTAACAGCCTCTTCTTTCCAAAGTAGTTTACTTTAAATTCCCTGACATTGCCCCTAATAATCTCTTACAGCCTCCTACCTTCGGGGAGGAAAAACACCATGTTTGCTAGTGGACAGTGTTTGGTTTCAGTAACAGGTCAAAGTCTCTGTTTTGTTTGTTTGTTTGTTTGTTTGTTTGTTTTGAGACGGAGTCTCGCCTGTCACCCAGGCTGGAGTGCAGTGGCATGACCTCGGCTCACTGCACGCTCCGCCTCCCGGGTTCGTTCCATTCTCCTGCCTCAGCCTCCCGAGTAGCTGGGACCCAGGCGCCCGCCACCGCGCAGCTGGGACCACAGGCGCCCGCCCTCACGCCCGGCTAATTTTTTGTATTTTTAATAGAGACGGGGTTTCACCATGTTATCCAGGATGGTCTCGATCTCCTGACCTCATGATCCGCCCGCCTCGGTCTCCCAAAGTGCTGGGATTACAGGCATGAGCCAACGCGCCCGGCCCAAAGTCTCTGTTTTAATTGTTTGTTTTTGGAAGATTACTTCTCTTTGACATATCTAGAAGGAAAATCATTAGAGTTATTAGAGGCAATGTCTTCTATTTAAAAGGTAGTAGTCACTTCTCTGTGTCTGTTTTATATTATAAAGTAAAATTTTAACTTAATATGCTTTCTACTTTCTCAATTTTTCTTCAATTAGAAAACCCACATATTCTCACATTATTCTGAAAATTTTTAGGTGCAGATATTTCCCTGGATCATGAACCTGCCAAAGAGTCTGAGCAGTGTGAACTTTATTTTTTTATTTTATTTTATTTTATTTTGAGACAGGGTCTCGCTCTGTATCCCAGGCTGGAGTGCAGTGGTATGATCTCTGCTCACTGCAACCTCCACCTCGTGGGATCAAGCGATCTTCCCACCTCAGCCTCTTGAGCAGCTGGGATTACAGGCATGCACCACCACCATGCCTGGCTAATTTTGTAATTTTGGTAGAGACGGGGGTTTCACTATGTTGCCCAGGCTGGTCTTGAACTCCTGAGCTCAGGTGATCTGCCCACCTCGGCCTCCCAGAGTGCTGGGATTACAGGTATGAATCACCACACCTGGCCTTTAATTTTTTTCATTATCCTGGACTGCTGTGATAAGAGCTAGGTTTCTATGAGCATTATATTTCCTAAGCAAATGGTATCTTTTGAGTTTTCTTTTTCTGGAGCAGAACATGACATGTTAAAAACAAAAGCATACAAATATTCCACTTTAACGGCCAGGCATGGTGGCTCACACCTGTAATCCCAGCGCTTTGGGAAAGCCGAGGGGGGCCGATCACCTGAGGTCGGGAGTTCGAGACCAGCCTGACCAACATGGTGAAACCCCATCTCTACCAAAAATACAAAATTAGCCAAGTGCGGTGGTGCATGCCTGTAATCCCAGTTACTCGGGAGGCTGAGGCAGGAGAATCACTTGAATCCGGGAGGCGGAGGTTGCAGTGAGCCAAGACCGCACCTTTGCACTCCAGCCTGGGGAACAAGAGCAAAACTCCATCTCAATTTAAAAAAAGGAAAAAAAAATCCACTTTAAAGAACGGTGATCAAAGGCTAACGTTGCCATTATTCCTGTAACTAAATTCCATTTTGATAAAGTCACAGCATATGCCATCTTGCTTTTCAAGTCTTGCTTAGTAAATCCGTGGTTTACTAGCATAAGTCAACTGCGAACAATTTAATTTCTGATCTGTAGTGTGGGCTGATGAGGAAAGTAATAAAATGAATGGCATCAGATCAATGTTAGCAGCTAAAAATGTTAAAAGCATACAACTTAAGTCCTCTAATTATATATATTACCCCTGTGAGACACATGGTTTCCAAATCAACATTTTTAAAGCAAGTTCTTATGCAAAAAGTAGTCCACCATAATGGCCTTTAGAAAATGTGTGTGTGGTTGTAGTTTAGTAGGAATGACCTTGATTCCCATGGAGTTCTCTGACTTTTCCCCTGGAATGAAATTGTTAGATTCCTCTCTTGTTAACTACATTTCATCCTGTTTTATAGGTTGCTACTGATGAAAACCAGAGTTTTTAGTCTTTTGCAGCTCCAGTAAAATCAAACCACGAAGACAGTTTTCTTTCTGGGTGAAATATTTTGCTTCCCCCTGTTCTAGTTCAGTTAGCTGAATTGAGTTCTGGGAAGTTCTGTTCCACGTAGAAAAAGTCAAAATAGGCCTGGCTTGTTTGGCCAGGGGCTCTTTGTGGAAATCATGTTGCAAACATCTAAGAGGCACACTGCTATTCTATAGGACTTATTTAAAATGACTAATATATTAGAGAAAAGGAGAGCAGCAGGGGGCAGAGGAAGGCTGTCACCCTCAGAGAGCCACTGTGTGCCTTTAGGACTAAATTTGCAAAGCATCCAGTGCTTCCATTGTAAGGAGCGCCCACAATCTCTTTGTCCTGAATGAATGACGTGTCTCAGATTGACAATGGTGACATCTCTGAAGTGTGTGTGGTTAAATTTCTCTCTACCTGCGACACTGCACGTCTCATCACACAGAGGGAGAGCTTGGAGACAGAGAACAAAGCTCACAAAAGTCCACAACTGACCGGACACGCAGCTGACCTGGTCACCGGTCACCCTTTGTCCCCAGCAGTGCGGGGTGCGGCCGCCTCTCCTCCTGAGACGCTGTCTTCTCCCCTCCACTCCCGGGAAATCCCACTGGCCCCCGACATCTCTCCCCTGAAGTCCCTGCCCCTCCCTGCACTCCCCGCCGGATGAACTCGTCCTCCACATGAAAGTACATGCAGTGTGTGCTGGTCACTCGCTCGTTTCCTCTCTGGCCCTGTTCTGTGTGCTGAGCTACTAACAGAAACCGTTAACTCGACACAGAGTCAACCCTATGCACGTGTCTCACAAATGCCTCAAGCTCTCCATGTCCAAAATGGAGCTCTGGGCCTCCTCCGTCCCCACCCCCTGCCACCCCACAGACCTCTCCCTTGGTCCTCACCCTCCTGCACAAACCCGGGAGCTCCAGCAGAGCCCTGGGCTACTCTGCCTACCTCACCCATTCTGTACTGGCTCCCTCACAATCCTGGCGGGTCCTCCACTCCAGTGCTGTGTGTGCCCTTGCTATCCACCACCACCGCCCGCGTAGCCTGCTAGGATGGCACCCGTTGTTCCTTCCCTCTCCAGCCTGTCGTCCACACGGCAGACTCACATGGCAGACCGCGTAGCCTCCCTCCTTGATGCCCTTTAATGGCTTCCTACTGCCCTCGGGGTAAAAGCCAAGTCCGGTTTCTTCCCCTCCCTTTGTGCAAATCTGCCCTTCACTCACCACTCTGCGGGCGCTGGCCTTCTGCCTATTTCAGGGCCTTTTAGAAACCCTGTCCTCACTCTGGAGCATTCCCTCCCGCTCCCCACTTCAGGGGCTCCTTTTTATTCTTTGGGCTTTAATTGAAGCATCACTTCCTCAGAAAGGACTCAGCTGACTACCCCCAAAACATTTCACTGGGCCTCTCCCTGCTGCTTTTCCCCTGTTCCCCAGCACGGGCCATAATTTGAAAATCCGCATTAGTGTGTTTCCTGCATTGTGTGTTTAATGTGTGTCTCCACGTCTAAGCTGTAAGCTCCATGAGAGTCCATCGGTTTCATTTCCAGTTGTATACACACAGCACCTCGCACACAGCCTGGCACAGCATAGGCACGGGATAAGTGTTTGATGAGCGAATGAATGAATGAGCTATGGTAAACGTGCAGTGAGCAAACTACATGGGACGGTATCCATGTCCTCATTCTCATAGACATTTATCCTCACCTGGCAGTTCTCTGACTTGCAAACTCCCGTGCTCTTTTCCAAGCAGATAGCTGGGTTCTTTAAAGTTGGAGTTTTCTCACCTTCCTGTGTGTAACGGCCTCATCCCCTGCTCCTCTCAGGTTCCATGTAGTGTGTATAGCAACATGCCTTTTAATTTGCTGGGGGAGTGCCATTTGCCCATTGGAGCTCTGGCCCTATTATTTAACAGTGAGGAGGACAGATAGCTGCAGGGCACACCTGCAGAGCCTGCCCCCAGCAGCAGCTTGTGTGTCTTGCAGACACACACCCTCCTCCTGCCACGAGATGGCACTCTTCTTCTCCAGTGCGATGGCGCGCTCTTTGCTGGTGTGAAGAGCACCGTGTTTCTTGCACCGTCATCATCAGGGATGCCCCCGCCGGGATCATTGAGCCCTGCAGGAGCTAGTGGGGAGAGGTTTACAAGGGGAAGGTGGTGGGCGAGGTCATCCAACATGGCTGACCATGCTGAATCCAGATTGGCCACAACATTTAATTAGCATAACAGTTATCCTAACTCCGTGTGTGTGCATGTAAGGCATGAAAGAGGAAACAGTGTTCTGGAGGGATGCACACGTGTGCCCCCATTCCCATATCAGAAAAAGATCAAAATGGGAAACTGAGTTCATCTTTTTTTTAGTTTTTTGGGGGGGAACCAGAAGTGTGTAGCAGTCTTGGAATCCAAGTTACATGATCAAAAAATCAAAACTTTTCTTTGGACTCAATGTTTCTCAAAAGGAATAATTGTTATCCCTATAGTTTAATGGAAAAACTAAATTTGCAGACTCTTATATTTCTTTCCAACCCTGAAGGCTATCGCCACAAAATAGTCTAAGTTTTCTTTTGAAAAAATGTGCTTTTGTTTATGAAATTGGGTTTATGGATCATTTGGGGAGGCTTGGCTGAAAGCCACCCTGGGCTGGGTGGGACACCAGGCGTCTCTGTGGTGCCCATGCCCTGTGTCTGGGGGGACCCTGGGCATCCTTGATGCTGGTGCCTCACAACTGGGTGGGATGCCGGGCACCCATGGTGCCGATGCCCTGCGTCTGCGTGGAACCCCAGGCGTCCGTGGGGCTGATGCCCTGCGTCTGCGTGGGACCCCAGGCGTCCGTGGGGCTGATGCCGTGCGTCTGCGTGGGACCCCAGGCGTCCGTGGGGCTGATGCCCTGCGTCTGCGTGGGACCCCAGGCGTCCGTGGGGCTCATGCCCTGCGTCTGCGTGGGACCCCAGGCGTCCGTGGGGCTGATGCCCTGCGTCTGCGTGGGACCCCAGGCGTCCGTGGGGCTGATGCCCTGCGTCTGCGTGGGACCCCAGGCGTCCGTGGGGCTGATGCCGTGCATCTGCGTGGGACCCCAGGCGTCGTGGGGCTGATGCCGTGCGTCTGCGTGGGACCCCAGGCGTCCGTGGGGCTGATGCCCTGCGTCTGCGTGGGACCCCAGGCGTCCGTGGGGCTGATGCCCTGCGTCTGCGTGGGACCCCAGGCGTCCGTGGGGCTGATGCCCTGCGTCTGCGTGGGACCCCAGGCGTCCGTGGGGCTCATGCCCTGCATCTGTGGTTGTCTCTCTAGGCTTCCTGTTTGGGCTGAAAGGAGCAAAAGGAAGAGCAGGCTTCCCTGGGCTTCCCGGCTCCCCTGGAGCCCGCGGACCAAAGGGGTGGAAAGGTAAGAACATCTGGGAGGGACGGGATGAGGACAGCCTGGCCTTTCCAAGTCCCTCACCTTACAGAAGGTGAAATCCATCCCCCACTCACGTGTTTGGACATGAAAATGAGCCTGCATGTCTCTCCCAGCCTCCTGTCCCCTTGGCGGTGGCACTGAGAGGGAGGCGCATGGAGCCAGTGGTGCTGTCTGAGCACTCGGCCCCCAGGCTCACCGTCCCTGCTCTCCATCTGCCATCCTCGTCACTGACCTTCCTAGCAGCAGTGAGCCTGATGCTGAGTCCTGTGCTGGGTTAAAAGGGAAAACAGTTATTTCTTAGGCTGCACTCAGGTAGTGTCTCAAGGGCTCAGCTCCAAGGCATTGTAACAGAGGTCTGTAGAGAGCTCTGTCCATAGCAAGGTGCTGGTATAGTCACCATCCCTGGTCCTACTGAGACTCGGTAGAGTGACGTGGTTTGCCCGGGTCTCCCTTCCCGTTGATGAGGAGGCGAACTTGGAACAGGTGGTCTTTGCACCTGACCCTTTCCAGTCACCTCAGGGACTCTGCCCCTAGCTCGAGGCCGTCCTCTGTGAGGCTCTGTGGGCCCTGGTGTGGTGCAGGCTGTGCTCCTGCTCACCTCTCCCCTCCCAGAACATGGGGAGCACTTCCTGGGACTTACCACGTCTTGGCCGTTTTGGCGTATGTAGGATGTGCAGTGCATTCAGCACCCCGCTGTGGATGGGCATGACCTGAGAGCAGGCACCGCAGGACCTGGAGGAAGTGGGGCCTCCCCACTGGGCATCCTCTGTGCCCTGGGGGAGCCAACCCCTGCCGCCAGCATGGTGCTGCCTTGCTGCCCAACTCCCTGGGTTCAGCTGTGGCAAAACAGAGGAAGAGAGGTCAGGCATGTCTTCCCTGCTCACCTATGACCTTTCATGACCTTGGCCTCTGAGGCCAGGGCTCTTGCCCTCCCTGACGGCTCCCTGGAGCCGGCTCCTCCCCTTGGCCCGCAGGCCCAGTGGTGGCAATCTTCAGCTCTAAGCACTGAATTCCTTAACCTCCTTCACACTCCCCGCAACTCAACCTATGCCTCTGAATGTGGTCCCAGTTTTTAAGTATCTTTAGTAAACATCAGAGTCAAATTCTGAACCCCATGAGACTATGAGTGAACACTTGAGTCACTTAGTCTGAGCCTCAGTTTTCCCATCTAAGAAATGGGGGTCATAGTGCCCATCAGAACAGGCAGTGTCCATAAAGCACCAAGTGTGCCACCCAGCTCTCCCCGCTGCCTGATACCCCTCTCCCCGCCACGCTAAGAGGAATGCGGAACAAGGAGGCCCTCCTCTCCCTCCTCTGCAGGTGACGCTGGGGAATGCAGATGTACAGAAGGCGACGAAGCTATCAAAGGTCTTCCGGGACTGCCAGGACCCAAGGGCTTCGCAGGCATCAACGGGGAGCCGGGGAGGAAAGGGGACAGAGGAGACCCCGGCCAACACGGCCTCCCTGGGTTCCCAGGGCTCAAGGTGAGGAGCAATTTCATCATGAAGCTGGCAAGACACTCTGAGGCCTCCCCAGGTGTCCCGTTCTTGCCTTTTATCTCCTAAGTTTACACAGCTTCAGACCGGCAACACTCATGGACCCAAGGCATGGCTAAACCATTCTAAAAACCCACATACCCCAAGGCGGACTTTCTACATGTCCACTGGTGAGACTGAGAAGGGGCGCTGCTGTGGGAACCGCAGCCGACAGCTCTTGAAAGAGTTCAATAGGGGGTCACCACGTGACCCAGAAATGCCACTCCTGGTGTATCCCCAAGAGACTTGAAAGCACGTGTCCACACAAACACACATACACCAATGTTCACAGCAGCATTCTTCAAAATAGGCAGAAGGTGAAACTATCCAAATGTGCGTCACCTGATGAATGGATCAGCTAAATCTATACAGCATCTATACCACAGAATAGCCCTGACCTTCACGTGGGAGCAAGGTGCTGAGCCATACCACACTGTGGATGAACCTGGAACATGTTATGCCATGGGGATTGAGACCCACACAGAAGGACACATGCTATCACATGGTCTCTCATTCTATTCTTATGAAATGTCCACACAGGCAACCTAGAAACAGGAAGTCGATTGGTGGCTGCCACAGGTGGAGGTGGGGGTGGGGGTGGGGAGTACCTGCTTAATGGGAATGGGGTTTCTTTTTGATATAATGAAGATGTTCTGAAATTAGATAAGAGTGATGGTTGCACAACCTTGTGAAAATACTAAAAATCACTGAATTTTATGCTTTAAAACAGTGAACTTTGTGCTATATGAATTATATCTCAAAAAAACCTATCATTTTTAATGTAAAGGACATTATTTATTTATCGAACATTCGCCTTCTGAAGTTTAGCAAGAACTGATTCAGCATTGTTGGAAGGCTTCCTTCACCTGATAAAAAGCAAGACCTTTTGATTTTTAAACTGTGCACGTGCTTGTGTGGAGGTGTGGACCCCACACACATCAGCTCATGGCCTTTATTCTGTGCCTTATGCAAAGGTCACCTGCAGCAGACCTTTCTTCCGTGGCAGATTTTAGCTGACCAAAGAGTTCAAAGTGAATTTCAGATGTAGACAAAGAAAGTATACTTTTTGTTGATTTTTTAACTTAAAAAGAGAACTCTGGGAAATTTATAAAGCAAAAAGTTCATTATTTAACATATTCAGCAATAGAGGAAAAACAGTTGGTCAGGACACTTGGCCAAGGAAACTTAAAGGATCTGAGCCCACAGCATGGAAGGAACCGCAGCCCCGCAGAGCTGTGTTGCTGACGGCCATGACTCCCAACTGCTTCATGGCACGGAGCTGTGCAGGTGAAAATGAGACCCGGGCACCTCGCTGATCCATGCCCTAGGTTTTCTCAGAAAACAGATAGGAAAATTCAACAAAAAATAGCAGGTGCTCATTTTATCCCAGCTTAAAAAGGATGCGATCTCTGAATCATGGCTGTCTAGCAGTAAAAGTGGCTCTAGTATTCAGAAAAAGTGCGTGGGGTGAGAACTGCACATATACCAATGGCAAAGCTAGTAGGATCCTCAGTTGTTTAAAACGTGACCGAATATTTCCCAGAAGCCAAATGGACCCCATTCTGTGCCCCTGAAATGTCTAAAACCTTCCAAGCACACACGTCCACAGAACTTTTGTTCACACGCCTCTGGCTGTGCCTGGTGTCCTGCACTGAATTCTATGATTGTGTGTATGGAAACCACACTGAAGTGGGAATACCTGAGACCATTTGGGAGTTTTTTGGTTAGTTTTTGTTTGTTTGTTTTTATTGTTGTTTTTGGTTTTTAATATCTGTACTGGTAGAGTGGCAGGGCGCTTGAAGTGTGGGAGTGGGTCAATAAGCCCATCCCTCCATCCATATACCCAACGTGTATTGATCGATTGGGTCTGGTCTGTGTGTGAGGAACTCTCCTAGATTCTAAAGTAATGTTGCAAAGCACTAAATAAATCAAGAATCTGTGGAATTTTCTAGAAGGGAAACTCCCAATTACTTTCAACATTGCATTTAATTAAAGCAACTCCACACATTCCCATATTCTTGGAAATAGCGTCAACCAAGATATGTCAAAAGCTAGCACAGCTCACGTTTGAAAACACAACGCTGATGGGTACCCTGCTCATCGTGGAAAGAGCTAGACGCGATTTTCCAGGCTGCGATTTGAGAGTCCCTGCAGGCAGCTTCTCTCTAAAGTATCTTTTTCTCTCAACCTTAACCTCAGTGCAGGAAACAAATTTCTATTAAATACCATTTATTGTTCTCAATATTATCACAAAATTTTATCCTCCATACCTGGATTAACCTGCTTGGCTCCTAAACGACTGTGTTTTAGAGGAAGCCACCTTGACTTTTAATTCAGTGCTTCTCAAAAGGCACCGAGCCCGTGGATCCCTGGGGCCTCTGTGGACACGAAGGCAATGATTCAGCTGCCCCGGGCTGGGGCCTGCACATCTGCACCATTGGGCAGAGCCCAGGGACACTGAAGATGGGCCTAGGACCTGGGTTTCCCTGTCCAACCACCTGTGGCTACTTCCACTGCATTGTATTTACTTATTTATTTATTTATTTATTTTTGGAGACAGAGTCTCACTTTGTCACTTAGGCTGGAATGCAGTGGCAAGATCTCGGCTCACTGCAACCTCCACCTCCCTGTTTCAAGTGACTCTCCTGCCTCAGCCTCCCGAGTAGCTGGGATTACAGGCGTGCACCACCACACTCCACTGCCACACTCGGCTAAGTTTTTGCATTTTTAGTAGAGACAAGGTTTCACCATGTTGGCCAGGCTGGTCTTGAACTCCTGACCTCAAGTGATCCGCCCACCTCAGCCTCCCAAAGTGCTGCGATTACAGAAGTGAATCACCGCGCCCGGCCACATTGTAATTATTTAAAATTAAAGAAAAGGTACCATCCAGTTCCTCAGTCCCACCATCCGCAGTTCCAGTGCTCCACAGCCACTGTGGCCAGTGGCCCCACACTGGACAGCTGGATGGGGGCGTATCCAGCATCGCAGAAAGTGCTCCTTGGGTGGCGCTCGGTTTGGTGACGGGTGACTGCCTGCCAGCTGTGTGAGATGAAAAAGCTTGCCAGCCATCTTCTCAGATGCCCTCACAGTACAAAGAAGGAAGATATTTTTTTGTCTGTTTTCCACAGGGAGTGCCTGGCAACATTGGTGCTCCCGGACCCAAAGGAGCAAAAGGAGATTCCAGAACAATCACAACCAAAGGTGAGTTCCTCTCTGGCCACGCGGCCCCTGGGGCACTGAGCCTTCCTGTGGGCACCTGCCTGGGCAGCTTCACATGCAAATCCCTTTCTAGGTGAGCGGGGACAGCCCGGCGTCCCAGGTGTGCCCGGGATGAAAGGTGACGATGGCAGCCCAGGCCGCGATGGGCTCGATGGATTCCCCGGCCTCCCAGGCCCTCCCGTGAGTAGCCACAAACTGCGGCAGCTCCGTCCTCTCTTCTTCATCCTTCAGGTTCTCCAAACACCCCAGAAGCAAACAGTATTGACATGAGCACTAAACCAACCTGTGCATAGGACAGGCTGCTCATTCTGCTCATTCTATTTCTAATGAGCAGAAATCAGACTTTTTAGGAAACGGTGAATTAAGTTAGAAGCCAAGCTCCAAATGAACATTTAAAAGTCAACAATCAAAGAAATATTCCTCCTGGTGTAACAGACTAAGAACCCTCCCCCGCCAAAAAAAGTAGACTATTCTAAAATGGGTGGTGGAACCCTATTTTTCCAAGGTAAATCATGAAATATACAATTTCATTTTTGCAACAAACACACACTGGTGTTGAAGGAGGGGCTACCTAGTAGCCTGCAGAGACCCCAGCATCATTTCCTCAGGGGAGGCTGGGGTCAGAGGCGCGGGAGGCAGCCATGGAGGGAGACAAGACCCCTTCCTGTGCACCCTCCAGCCTCTGAGCCTCTCCTGCCACCACGCCTTTCCCACTGCCAGCTCTGGAGCATTCTCTTCTCAGAAGGACCTTGCAACCTTATTTCTCACGTCTTTTTTTCTAGATTCCATTTTCCTCCCTCTAGTCACCAAGCCTGTACCTCCTTAAGCTCTTTGTACTGGTTTCCTGGGGCTGAGGTCACAAACTGCCACAGACTGGGCAGCTTAGACATCAGAAATGTATGGTCTCACAGCTCTGGAGGCTGAAAGCCGACATCAAGGTGTCTGCAGGGCTGGTTCCTTCTGAGACAGTGCGGGAGGATCTGTCCCTGCCTCTCTCCCAGGTTCCCGGAGCTCTGGCATTCCTTGGCTTATAGACGGCTGTCTTCTCTCTGTCTTCTCATCATCTGTCCTCTCTGTGTGTCTGTCTCTGGGCCCAAATTTCCCCTTTTTATAGGGAGAGCGGTCATATTGGAATGGGCCCATCCTAAAGACCTCATCTGACCTTGAGCACCCTCAAAGACCTTATTTCCAAATAAGGTCACATGTCTAGGTCCTGGGGGTTAAGACTTCAGCATCATTGGAGGACGATTGAAGTCATAATCCTCTTTCTCCTCCTCAGAGCCTCACGCCTGAATTCTATTCGCAGCTTATTTGCCTCATTCCATAACCCATGTCTTCTCTAGTTTTAACGTGGGTCATGTCTGTAATAACACTCTTGAGTGCAGTGGTACAATCAAAGCTCACTGCAGCCTCGAACTTCTGGACTCAAGCCATCCTCCTGCCTCAACCTCCCGAGTACCTGGGACCACAGGTGCACACCAGCACACCCACCTAATATTTTTAAAATTTTCTGTAGAGATGAGATCTCTCTATGTTGCCCATGCTGGTCTCAAACTCCTGGGCTCAAGTGATTCTCCTGCCTTGGCTTCCCAAAGCACTGGTTTTATAGACATCAGCCACCACACCCGGCCCACATTTTTACAATTTAAGTGCAGTTTTTTGGGGCCAGAGAACACAGATAATTCTATGATTGGGTATCTTAAAAATCTCATCTGGGAGGCAACAGGGTTAAATAAGAGGCAAAGTCATAATTGGTCACTTTAGCCAGAAGAGGAGGATGAGTGATGATTCCTGTGGTTGGAACAGTCTTTGGCCTGTTCAGTGTCATGTGGGGTGGGGGTGGTGAGTGTATGTGTGGTGTGTGGTGTGCTCATGTGTGTATGTGTGTGGTCCGTTTGAGTCTGGATTTGTTACGGTAGTGGTGGCCTTCCCTGGAGTTGGTGCCTTGTGAAGTTGGTGACCAGGAGGTGCACCTGTCCAGCCATGGGGTTCACCCACCCCTGCGGCTCCCAAGCCTGGCTGCCAGTCCCAGCCCAGCTGGGGGCAGGTGGTCGGAGCAGGGTTAGGGGTAGGGGTGAGGGTTAGGGTCAGGGAGAACCTTGCAGCCTCAGCTTCCCATTCTCGGGGTGTAGGGACTTTCCCAGTGCTTGTGTGCCTTCCTTGTTTGGTGGCATCTCTAAACCAAGAATGTCAACTTCTGCCTTTAGAAAACTCGTGATCCTGCCTGTGCCACCTTCCAGTGGCATCATCCCCACTGCTGTCCACTAAGTTTGGGGCATCTGCCCTGTGATCTCTGCAACAGCCTTGTGTCCCCCTCCCCTGTGAAAAAAAGCTAAAACACAGGGGTACACCACTTAATCAAGGTCTCATAAATAGAGCTGGACCGGTGTCCCTGCCCCGCTCCGTCATGCCTTTGACAAGGAAGGGGCTGTGGTGTCAGTGGAGAGCAGGGTTTGATTTCTTATAAGCAGCTGCCTCATTGTCATGAGAACACCCAGCCTCGTCCCGTGGCTCAGCAGATGAGCGGGAGCTTATGCGCATGGCTGTTCCACCAGCACGTGGGGACAGCACCGAGCCGTGCCGTGGTGTGTGCGCAGATCACACCAGCATCACTGCTGCCAGCCTCCCCACCCCATCCCTGCACCTCCCACCAGCTCCCCCCCGCACCCTGCAGCTGGTGCTTTCATCCACAGGGCAGCCCCTCTCCATTCCCAATCCTGTAATCTCTCCTGACTTCTGAGGCGCACACGGCTCTTTCCTTGTCCAAATTAGCTTCCTTTCCTTTAACAACGTAGCATCTCTTAAAATAACAGCCATTTTACCGATGCTAAATTATAACAACAAAATCATGTGTTTCTTTCTCCACCCACAGTAGAACACAAAAGCCTGTGCCTTCGCTGTTCTGGAGATGAAGGCCCAGGCTGATGCAGGGGAGCTGGCGGGTGGGAAGAGAGAAATGCTCAAGCATGTACATGTGCCTTCCAGAACCGGCTTCCGTGGCATTGCTTAGACTGCTACACAGTCTGTCACTGGCTCCTGTGACCTGGCTGACCATGGCACTAGGTTCCTGTTCATCTCTGTTGTCTTTCTGTTCTGGATCCATAGCTCAGAATTCCGGGAAATGGGAAAGGAAACAGGGAAGTCGAGGCGATCTTTAACATTAGTATATATTTTAAGAAATAAACTGAATTTTCACACAGGGTGATGGCATCAAGGGCCCTCCAGGGGACCCAGGCTATCCAGGAATACCTGGAACGAAGGGTACTCCAGGAGAAATGGGCCCCCCAGGACTGGGCCTTCCCGGCCTCAAAGGCCAACGTGGTTTCCCTGGAGACGCCGGCTTACCTGGACCACCAGGCTTCCTGGGCCCTCCTGGCCCCGCAGGGACCCCAGGACAAATAGGTATGAAGGAATCCTCCCTTTTACCTTTCACAGTCCTGAGACATTCCACGCTTTCCTTTGTCAGTGTAGACGTTTCCCAGTAGAGTCAGATGAGGATGCTGTTTTGCCTCATCTGTTCTCGCACGTACAAGGGATGACCCAACTGTGAGGTTTCTGAGCCCCCACCAGCCTCCCCTCAGCAGCTGAAACATGCAGCCTCTCCTGTAGGACTACAGTGACAGAGGCCTTGCCCGGAAGTTCAGAGATGGCTTTCCCGTTCCCTGCCCATTTCAAAGCCTTCCTGCCCCCACCAGCAACATATACGACACACCTTCACACACGTGCACGCCCCAGACGAGCCAGTAACTCTTATCTGTTTCAAAATTGCCTCACTCTGTCCTTATGTCTTCCCCCCAGATTGTGACACAGATGTGAAAAGGGCCGTTGGAGGTGACAGACAGGAGGCCATCCAGCCAGGTACTCTGGGAAGTGCAGGTGGCTTTAGGACACTAGAGAACTCTCATTTGGTCTGCTGGTTAAGCTCTTGCAGTATGCGTGGGATAAGAAATATTAATAATATGTGCAAGCCACGTTTGATTTCCATGGCACAACATAGTGGCCTGGTGAGCACTATACATTGCATGAATGACAACCTGGTAGAGACGGAGAGACATTTAACCAAACCCCTCTTGTCAGAAATCCTTTTTCACTGGAAAGCACCAGTGCATTCCAACTCAGCTCCACAGGCACGTGTGCTGCCAGGAGGGTCCAGGCAGAGGAGGCTGAGCCCAGCCCAGACGGTGGCGAGGATGTCAGGCCAAGATGGGAGCCTGGTCCAGATTCCCAGGCACACAGACAAAAGAAAGCTCCAAGAGTGACTGTTCTTGCAAGAGAGCCTCTTAGACAAAGGGCTCTCACAATACCCCAGCTGGAGTGTCACTGCTCCCAGCCACACCAACCAGAAGTGCCCACAGCCTTGATTTAATTTTGCAAGGTGGCTGATTGCTGTGGTTCACTCTGAAAGTAAACAAAGTCACAAAGGAGAAGTCAAATAATTCATTTTGAAATCGCAGGCTATCTCCATTGCTGGCAGATGCTTCCAGACAAAAGAAAAGCATCCACACTGACTTGCAGGGTAGCAGCCAGATTAACTCGGTTTGCACCCAGGCTACTGCCCTGCAGGAGGGAATCAATTGTTTGCCAGCACAGTGCCAGTTTTTATTTGACTAGACTGGCTTAGTTTGCATTTTATACGAATATTTTGATTTCATTACACAATGAAATTAAACTTTTATTTACATCAGAACCAAGATGAATTAAATCATTAAGTTACTCTGATCCCAGAATGGTAGCCGGTTTGCACAGCTCGTGCTTTTGCCCTTGGGGATCCCCAAGGCCGTGGGACTCAGTGTTTAGGATTGCTTGGGCTCATCTTTTCTCCTTTCTGTCCCCAGGTTGCATAGGAGGGCCCAAGGGATTGCCAGGCCTGCCAGGACCCCCAGGCCCCACAGGTAATGCACGGAGGGAACCTGGAGTGCACCCAGCCTTCCTCCCACATCTTCACACTGCTGTGTCTCCCCCGCCCATCTTTCCTCTGGTCCTGCATCCCCCACCCCAGACATGGTCGTGTCCAGCATCTCAGCACAAACTGGTCTTGCGCCTACAGGGAGCCCACTGTCATTTGCCACTATAGAAAAAGGAGTCTGGTAGCTGACACTTAGTTGGGGCCAGGCTAGAAGAGAAAATTCAGCCATGGCTGCAGGGGAACGCCCCCAGGGGCAGAGATGGAAGCCTCGTGTTTAGGACTGGAAAGGGGTTGCACTTCTATGTATTTTCTTTTTATGCCTTTCCATCCCAGGATCTAGGGGAAGAACCTACAGGAGAGGATGCTTTCATTTGGGTTTTGATTAACAGGAAACGGGAATAAACAAGGCTAGAGTGTTTTGTCTCTAGCACCTGGGAGGACCTGGGCTTCTATCTGCTGGCCCAGGCCATCTCTCAGCCCATGTGAGAAAGAGTCTGGGTGCCCTTCACAGAGCCCATGCCTAAGGCCGCCTGCGTGTCCAGTGTTGGCGGTGCAGGCCTGGCTGGCCACCACTGCCGTCCCGCCTGCGCTGCGATTCTGCTGCCCTGCACTCCAGGGTCTCCGTGGGCCTGTGAGCATCGGGGAACACAGAGCCAGGGCTTCCACTCAAGCAGGAGGAGGGCTGGACCCTGAGAGGTGGCTCTATGCCTGTGTCCATCAGCCTGAGAAAAGCAAGTTCTCTGAGCAGTAGGAATTCCCCTTTGGATGTCTCTTCCACTCGGCCTGTGATGGGGCCGGGGAAGCATGTCACTTGGGTAACTCAGTGTCACAAGCACCAGACACAGCCAGAGCTGTTCTCACTTGTTTCTTCTGGAACTAAGTCCCCACCTATGCAAGATGAATAGTGCAGACAGGTGTTCTAGATGCTTCCTGCTGCACAAATCATGCCCTCACTGCTTCCCGTGATAAACTGTAGAGAGCGACACCAGTGTAGTATGAACAGCAATGAGAGTTAGGAAAGTGGACGGACACATTCTATGTGCCCTGCACCTTAAGGGGGTCTTCGGAGTGCACCGTGATCACAGGGCCTGGGGAGCACAGGACAAATGCAGAGGTATCATTTGCACTGTGAGCAGAGGTAAAGGCTCCTTGTGTTGTCTTCTGAGAACTGAGCTTGTATCTTCCGCGTTCCATTAGACCTGCCCCCGGTCTAATTCCATCCATGGATTTCAACACCGTCACTCATACAGCAACCCCCAAAATGGTGACAACTCTGCATGTCTCAGGTGGTCAGGGAGAACCAGAGGCCAGCACGCTCAGCACACACCCAGACTACAGCCGTGTGCCAAGGCCGGTCTCCGGGAAAGCTCCAGTGATGCGAGTGTGGGTTTCTGAGGCTCCGGGGCTCCCCCAGCCATACCCAGTTATTTCCATTTCATGCCCAGGCCCCCATTACTGGGAGCCCCTTGCTGGCCTCCCATCCGCTCCTCCCTCTCACTCCTGCTGTCCGCACTCCACTTTCTAAGAGTGAGGGTGGGTTTGATCACACACATCCCCTTCCCAAGAGGCGCCAGGAACGGGGATAAAAAAGTGTGGCAGATGGGTTTTGTGACATGGCTGAGGAACCTCAGCCCTTCAATTATCAGAAAACACTTCTGGAGCCCACACACTGGGCCAAGCAGGATTCAAGTGTTTGAAAAGAGTCACCTCATAGTCCTCGTGGCGTCCTCATGAGGCAGGCGATCCTTCTCCCCACTTTACAGGTGAGGAAACTGAGGCACAGAAAGTTGTCCACGGTCACACAGATAGAATGGTAGGGCCAAAATTTATAGCCAAGCATCTGACCCCACCTCCAAAGCCCTCATTTAGAGCACTGTAGAATCTAAATATTGGATATTATCATTCTTATGGTTCCAGTCCGTAAACAGGATTTTAAACACTGAAAATCATTCTGTAAGCCTGGAGGTGCTGTTTCAGGCTGATATTCCCCCCAGCCTCATCATTTCCCGGTTTCATGAGATCCACATTAAGTCAGATGCCAAGCATGACCATGCCCATTTATCCTCGTGGAGCCTGATGTGGTTTGTGGTTTATTTGGTTATTTAGGTGCCAAAGGCCTCCGAGGAATCCCAGGCTTCGCAGGAGCTGATGGAGGACCAGGGCCCAGGGGCTTGCCAGGAGACGCAGGTCGTGAAGGGTTCCCAGGACCCCCAGGTGAGTTGAGATCAGACCCCCATTCAGCCCCTGGGTTCCAGCGGGAACCTGTGTGTGATTCATAAGCATCCAGCTCTATTATCTTCCACTTTGTAGAAGCTGTTTTAACAAATACTTGACAACTTTTGCATTTGTCCTTGGGAGATTAGAAATTCTTGATTTTTCATAACTGATATTGTACTGGGTTTTTGCAGAAGCTATCTACAGATCTTGCAGGAAAAAGGAGACAGGTGTTTCGGAATGGCTGTCCTCCGCAACACCTGTCTCCCAGGTATGTCCTCAGTGTTAATAATGATTAATATTAAACATTCTAAGGGCAACACAAAGTTATCCTCTCCTGAAAGAACCCTTAAAGGCATAAATAGCCCTCTCACAATGTGGCTGCAAGAGCTTAAGGCATTAATCTGTATGTGGAGGAAAATGAGGTTTCCCTTAACCAGCTCTGGTGAGGAGTACCCACTTGCGTGTCAGCATGCTCTGGAATGCAGCCAGGCGTCTGCAGACATAGGTGTCTTGCAGTTGTGCCACAGGCGATGTGCATGAGTGTGATGGCACTGCCTTGATTGCAGGGGCATACACGTCTTTTTTTTTTTTTTTTTTTTTTTAATGAAATGGAATCTCGCTCTGTCACCCAGGCTGGAGTGCAGTGGCACAATCTCAGCTCACTGCAACCTCCGCCTTCTGGGTTCAAGCGACTCTCCTGCCTCAGCCTCCTGAGTAGCTGGGATTACAGGCATGTGCCACCACACCTGGCTGATTTTTGTATTTTCAGTAGAGACGGGGATTTCACCATGTTGGCCAGGCTGGTCTCAAACTCCTGACATTAGGTGATCTGCCCGCCTCAGCCTGCCAAAGTGCTGGGATGAC
Organism: Homo sapiens; assembly: GCF_000001405.40. Lineage (NCBI taxonomy): Eukaryota > Metazoa > Chordata > Mammalia > Primates > Hominidae > Homo > Homo sapiens. The sequence goes on from NC_000013.11 coordinate 110,470,192, forward strand.
AGGCGTGAGCCACTGTGCCAGGCCGCACACATCTTCAATAGTGTTTGTCTAATGAAACCATGGAAGCCATTGTGGACAACTTTCCACCCGAGATGAAACATCCTTCCACAGGGTCCTGGGCAGGTTCCTGCAGCCTCTGCTGGAGTCCCACTTGTCACCTAGAACCTGTGGCACATTGGAACCCTCTTGTTGCTAGAAAGTTCCTCCCTGGAATACAGCCTGCCTCCCAGGGAGTTCTCACCGGGCTGTTCCTGAGCCACACAGTTGACTTCCTCATAACCACACACCCTGAGAGAGGCGGCCACATCTCCCACAGACGTCTCATGAACAGGCAGAACTGACCCCGGGAACACATACTTTCTTTTAATGACATCGTTCCATGCCCTTGGAATTCTGAGCAACCTTCTAGGACCCCCACTTATCAGGATTCTTTTCCAACTGGGCTCTAGAAACTGAATAAAGCGCTCCCCATGTCTGGAATATCACACAGAACATCGGGACTGTTGCGCCCTTAGGTTGAACATCTTGCAAATGTTCCCAGTGAAGACTAATTGAACCCTGCCCCTCCCCTGACCTCCACTCAGATAGCTGATTTAAGCCTCAATGCAGAAGTGTCTGTCCGTCCCTGATAGATGGTATCTTTCGGAATTTTGTGTTGCAGCCCGTAGGGATTGTTCCAAACCCTGACCCTGTTTCCTTTCATATGATGCGTTTCTCCATGTTTTGCAAAATTGGGAAGCAGGCTTCCTGTGTCTGTATCAAGGCCCTGGTAAAAACAACTCTGCATTCGAATGAAGCAAAGGAAGTCTCCATGCCTCTGCCCCAGGGGTTGGTCTCTGTGGTTTTGTTGCCCTGCTGGAAGTGTCTAAATATTTAGAAGTGTAACATTGCCACTCTCATGATTTCATATATACTAAGTTTAAGCATTCATGATTTTGAGAGAAGGATAATAATTCCTGAACAGCTTCTTGCTGTGAGTATGAAAGTTCTCTGGTAATTGTGATTGGAGTGCCCAGCCATGTGTGCGTGAACGCCACACGGGGCTCCCCTGTAGGGGGGAATGGATGGGATGCACCCATTATCAGGTGATTTGGACAGTTGCCCACGTGAGTTGGGAGCCTGTTCCACCATCAAATGTGAGCCCTTACGTCATGAACAGGGAGGCTGGGGCAGGCTGGGGGTGGGTGGTGATTGAGGAACTGATCAGTTTCTGAAACGCATGTCACTTTTTATGGTGCTGAAATATACTGCCCTTCTGTCGCCACATGCAGAAGAGGATAAAATGCCCAATTCAAGGATTGCAAAAATCAGAGAGTCTATTCCAGATCTAAGACCCACACATGCAAACCCAAGTGCATGGCTCCCTGGGTACAGTTTGTAACATTGCCAGTGAAAGTCATGTCTCTTCATTGTGAGTAAATCACACCGTTAAAACTCTGAGTACGGTCTAGCTGATTAACGTCAGGTTAATCCAGATCCTTTATTCTGTATTCCAGTTACTCCCAGCTCCCAGGCAGTGATGGCTTTACCGGCCCAGGAGGTCCCCGGGCCCTGCTCATTGGATCTTTTTGGTGGGATACACCCCACAGAACACAGAAAACATTCCCTTTTCCGTATCCATACATAGGAGTGCCGAGCCTGCCGTGTACTTGATCTTGTCCCACAGAATCACCTGCCAGTCTCATCGTTGCAGGCTTCTCTCCTGCATGCACAGCGGGGGTGGTGGTGACCTCAGAAGCCTTTCCTTCTGAGCACTGCGTGACTGTCAGCTGTGGGAGTTCATTCTGAGGCCATGTCAGGGCTGACTGCACCGAAAAAGGAAGTGACCTGATGAGATCATTTTATCCAGTGGCACCCACAAAAGACACAGGACAGCTGCCTTCCCTCCATCCGCAGATGGGACTTGATGATTTTCTTTTTTCTTTTTATTTTTTTCTCTTTTGAGATGGAATCTCACTCTGTCGCCCAGGCTGGAGTGCAGTGGTGCGATCTTGGCTCACTGCAAGCTCCGCCTCCCGGGTTCACGCCATTCTCCCGCCTCAGCCTCCTGAGTAGCTGGGACTACAGGCATCCGCCACCACACCTGGCTAATTTTTTGTATTTTTAGTAGAGACGAGGTTTCACCGTGTTAGCCAGGATGGTCTCGATCTCCTGACCTCGTGATTCACCCGCCTCGGCCTCCCAAAGTGCTGGGATTGGGACTTGATGATTTTCATGGTCAATACAACAGAGGGGTGTCGTTCCTCTTTGAAGCGTTTCCCAACCGACAGTGACGGGTTTCTACCAGGGAGATGTTACGGCAGGCAGCGTTTTGGCTCTGACGGCCCTGTTCGTTCCTGCCTCCCTGGGATTTTCCATCCCGAAGTGCTGTTCCTCACTCAGCACAACCTAGAAGGTCCCACAAAAAGCTATTCTTTGGGGCTTATTTGCAAAGCAGGGGAACCCATGAATTATGCAAATCGAGGTCCAAGGAGGCGTTGTTGGCTTGTCCACCTTCACTCAGTTTTAGGGCTGGGGGGCCGAATGGCGGGGCAAGCAGAAGAAACATAACCAACAGAACGACATGGCGAAGGTTGTAGGTTCCAAAAAGGGCGACAGGGACAAGGGCTCGAGCTGAGGAATGCCTTCTGAGGACCCCATAGCCAAATTTTTGCTGTTTCCAGCCTCTTTTTGACTCTTCTCTTAGAACGTCACCATGCTAACTTGTGGTTTGGGGCCCACCCATGTTTCCTTTTAGGGTTCATAGGACCCCGAGGATCCAAAGGTGCAGTGGGCCTCCCTGGCCCAGATGGATCCCCAGGTCCCATCGGCCTGCCAGGGCCAGATGGGCCCCCTGGGGAAAGGGGCCTCCCTGGAGAAGTCCTGGGAGCTCAGCCCGGGCCACGGGGAGATGCTGGTGTGCCTGGACAGCCTGGGCTTAAAGGCCTTCCCGGAGACAGAGGCCCCCCTGGATTCAGAGGTGAGTGCCCCATCGGGGAGCCGGGGGCCCCATCCCAGATGCACAGTGGCCTCCAAGGGCGACCCCAATCCCTTCCGGGGGATTTGGTAGGAAGCAGCGGTGCCCTATAGTGCTAGCCATGCGTACCTTCTCCCATGGCCTTCCAGCACTCCTTTAGAATGTGTCTGTCACAACACTGTGACTACCCACGGTAGCCAGTGCGATCTGGCCATCTGAGAACTTTGACAGGTGTGGATTCACTGATGTAATCTGTTGTCAAGTTGCATATGCCTGGCTGTGACAGGGGCCGTGACAGGCTCACTGTTTGTCTTGGCAGAATCTGTACAGGTGGTATGAAGAAAAGATGGGCCCTGGCCATGCTTAGTCAGAGGTGAAGAAGGAAAATAGAAATAATCTGGAATGCAATTCTATTGGTGTAAAAATTAATACATTTTTTAAAATGTCTTAATGTTGTTTACAGTGTTATCAATGTATCTCTATCAAAGTAGACAGAGCATCCCTGGTTTCATGAGTGACAAGGCACCCGGTGGCTTTAAGGGTTCAACTGATGCCAAATCGGCTTTGGGAACCCGAGCCCCGAGCTTTAATGAAAGATGATGCCATGGACAGCAAATGTTCACACTGGGTGAACCCCAGGCTGGGGATTGCTAGATCATTGCAACCTGCCATTCAGTGTTCCAAATCAAAAATGAGGCTGAGCACAGTGGCTTACACCTGTAATCCCAACACTTTGGGAGGCCAAGGTAAGAGGATTGATTGAGCCGAGGGGTTCAAAACCATCCTGGGCTACATAGGGAGACCCCATTTCTACAAAAAAAAAATAATAATTAACTGGGCATGGTGCTGTGCACCTGTAATCCCAACTACATGGGAAGCTGAGGTGGGAGGATTGCTTGAGCCCAGGAATTGTAGATTGCAGTGAGCTATGATCATTCCACTGCACTCCAGCCTGCGTGACAGAGTGAGACTCTGTCTCAAAAAGAAAAGAAAAGAAAAGAAAATGTGGGTTAAAACTGTGACTCGGTGCATTCACTGTTTATCTGTTGATGGCATTGTCGTTAGTCCCTGCTGCCAACCCCAGCCCGAAGAGGCTTCTCTGTGGTGTGGGAAGCAGGTGTCGCTCCCCTGATTCTGCCATCAGCCCACATCAGGCATCCTAAGCGAGATGGAGGCTAGGCCTCCACTGGCAGGCGAACCCATGAAGCTCAGGAGCATGAATTGGTTTTCGGATGAGCCTGTGAGATTCCTAGCAAGGCCTGGAAGGGTTGGGACCCAGGACAGGGGAGTTTTGATGATGATGAGACTGATCAGTGCCCCCAGCTGTTGATACTAGGGAGCGCCCATGGGTGCCACAGTTCACTGAGAGAGCAAGGAAGAGCCTAAGATGGCCAGAGTGCATGCATGCACACACACACACACACATTCACGGTCACACTCATGCACATGCATGCTCACACATGATCACATACACACATGCAGATACCTACACACGTGCCTATGCATGCTCACACATGATCACACTCCTTACACACGTACCCACACACGTGCCTGTGTACACTCACATGATCACACACGCACGTACCCACACACGTGCCGTGCACACTCACACATCACACACGCACGTACCCACACACGTGCCTGTGTACACTCACACATGATCACACATGCACGTACCCACACACGTGCCTGTGCATGCTCAAACATGATCACACACTCCATACACACACGTACCCACACACGTGCCTATGCACACTCACGATCACACACATGCACATACCCACACACGTGCCTGTGCACACACGATCACACACACGTACATACCCACACACGTGCCTGTGCACACTCACACATGATCGTACACTCATACACACACGTACATACCCACTCGTGCCTATGCACGCTCACACATGATCACACACTCACATACACACACGTGCCTATGCATGCTCACACATACACATCCAACCCTGAACCAAGCCAGCTAGAGCAGGTTGTTGGGTGAAATTACGAGGATGGGGAGGCCTCGTGCTCGGCCATCCAGATCTCCCCTTTCCAGTCCTACTGACTCTCCAGGTCATTTATGGAAGATAAGATGCAAATCAGCGCTGTCTGCAGAAACTGAGGACTCGGCGCTGAGAGGTGGGGCTCTGTGTGTCAGCCTTCCTGGAAGGCACTTAAATGAGTTCACAGAAGGCAAAGTGAAGGACATACGTAGGTGACTCGAGTGTCCACCATCGACCTGTTCTGCAACCCAGCTGTCAAAATCCTGCCCCAAGCTCTTTGACATAAGGGTACTTCTGGTAGAATTTTTTTAAAACTTAATTACTTCCTGCAGGCTTCAGAATGTTTGAGCATGAAAACAAATGGAAGCAGGCTTACTTTCGATGTCTTATTAAGGTCTTTACCATGATCAATGTTACCTTTATGACAAGCTTCATATGCCTTGTTAGGCAGAATGTTTTGGATGGTAAAAATCCTGACTCCCAAAGCATCAACATTCCAAGTAACTACTTCAGTTTCAGTTCCGCTCACCAGTGCTACAGGAGCAGCGTGCAGCGGGTCCTGCTTCCATTCGACTGGCTGTGCAGGACGGCCACAAACACACGCAGGTGCACCCTGCGCTTCTGAGCAGAACTCTCGGAATGAAGTAATGCAGACGTCCACAAATGAGATGTGATTTCACTGAGGGAGGCTGATTTTTAGCAGTTGTTCCTTTTTTAACAGATAGTCTATAAGTGGAAACTGACCTGAAACATTCAGCTCTAAAGAAATAATCACAAAGCACCTCGGTGCCTGATTTTTGCAAGGCAGTCCTTGCCGGAGGATCGGGCATTCGTGCACATTCACCCGGAGACCGTGCTGTCCACTTCCAGAAGGGGAGGAAGGGCAGCGCTCAGAAGCACGCCCAGACTGTCTCCAGCCCTGCTGCCCCCTGCTGAGGCCATCTCGCCTGCTCAGCCCCCAAGTTCCCCCACAGTCCATGTCCCTGGGTTATGAATGTCACCTGGTGTCTGTCAGATCCCCACCCCATTGTTCTTGTCAATGAGCAGGAGTGGGGTGGACCTGCCATCGCTGCGAATCCTTTACAGCCTGCAGTGCTGCCTGCCAACTCTTCACAACCATTAGCACCCACTAACAATCCATTTCCCCTGGAGCTCTTCACTCTAAAGATAGAAGACCAAAAAATAGAAGTGTCCTCATTTCTCACAGTACTACAGGAGGAGGTGAGAACCGATGCATCCGTGCATCTTAGAGAATCTCATTTCAGACCTCGGCTTCGAGTGCGCCTCCTGCTCAGTCAGCCCTCTTCCTCGCTGCAGGTTGACGTGGTCAGACAGTGCGCAGTCAGCAGCCTGACTCTCGGTTCTGGGTTGGTCCAAGACTGACCGGGTCCCTTTTGTCACTGCCCCCTCCTGTGCACCCCCCTGGCTTGTCTGCCTCCCTGTCCTGGACCAGCCCTGCACACCTGCAGGGTGGCTGTGAGGCTACGTGAGTGTGTGGACTGTAAAGTGGTGGCAGGAGTGTGCACCTCCGGTGTTAATAATCGGAGAGCAGCTGCGACAAGCGTCAGGCTCACGAAGAGAGGGGGAAATGCCTGAATATAAGGAGGTCCAGGGAGCTAGTGTTAAAAACTAGAAGAAAACAGATGCCCTTAGTGTCTGACCACTGGGCAGGACAGGATATTCCAAACTTAAAATGAAGAGAAGAAATCACACATGTGCACACACACCCACACACACACCATATGAAGTTTGAATACAAAGGTTAGTATCCTGCATGTGGAAAGCAAAATTAAACTTTGAGCAGCAGAATAAACTTTACAATAGATATGAAGGAAAATTCGTCAGTGTATATGAGGAATACTAAAATCTATCAGGAAAATATAAAACTCCCCAGAGGAAAATAGGAGCAAAGAGGCCGGGCACAGTGGCTCATGCCTGTAATCCCAGCACTTTGGGAGGCCAAGGCGGGCAGATCGCATGAGCTCAGGAGTTTGAAACCAGCCTAGGCAACATGGCAAAACCCTGTCTCCATTTAAAAAAGAAAGAAAGAAAGAAAAGATATGAGCAAAGAACTAAAACTTCACCAAAATCAATAACCAGGAGAAAGAAACGTAGATCATAATGAAGAACAAGCAAGCGGATCCCCCGACACCACGTTTCACTGCATCATGACTGCCAGGGTTCCATTTTGCTTCAGTGCTAACGCTCAGTGCTGGGGAAACACTGGTAGAATAAATGGGTTTAGACTTTCTGAATCAGTGCGATGTATCTTTTAAACAACATTAAATTAGTGTTTGCTTTGATACACGATGTCAGTTTCTCAGGCAGTTTCCTAAAGAAATTACCTACGACATGGACATGGATAAACATAGCAAAAAAAGAAAACTCCCCAACTATTCCTGACAGTGCTGTTTGCAAAAGTGAAAAAAATGGGGAGGATGCGATGGAATACATTCAATGTGTCCAGATGATAGAGTTTTATTCATGTAGTTATTTTAAATGTTTGCAAAGACTATTTTTAAATGTGGCAAAATGTTCAAAATATAATGTCAAGTGAAGAAAACTAGGTTAAAACTATACTTATAGTGCCATGTCAACTCTGCAAATGTCTAGTTATTTATAGGAATAGACAAGGGCAGGAAGGAAATTCCCAGTGGTAGTCATTACCGCTGGGTGATGGTGTGCCTTACCTGATTTTATCCTTTATACTTCTTTGTGTTTTCCTGATTCTCTAGAGTCCAGAAAAGCATGAATTGCTCTTTTTACAGAATGAGTGTGTGGAGGGAGATGCTGTCTGTGATGAACAGTCCAGAGTTGGCCCCCACAGCTCTTGTCTCTGATTCCTGCAGGAAGCCAAGGGATGCCTGGGATGCCAGGGCTGAAGGGCCAGCCAGGCCTCCCAGGACCTTCCGGCCAGCCAGGCCTGTATGGGCCTCCAGGACTGCATGGATTCCCAGGAGCTCCTGGCCAAGAGGGGCCCTTGGGGCTGCCAGGAATCCCAGGCCGTGAAGGTAAGACCCCAGCCCTCCCATAAACGAGTGGGGTCCTCACTGGTCCTGCCAAGAGAATGAGCACTGTCTTCTTGTGGAGCTCTCAAAGTCTGTTCCATGGAACCCCTTAAGAGGTGCAGGGGTTCCCAAACCAGAACATGTATTTCACCTAATAAGGAGACACAAACAGCCTGAGACATCGGCTCATCCTCTGTACCTGTTGTATATATTAAGGATCTAGGGAAGGTCTCATCGGGAAAAAAGAAAAAGAAAGAAATTCCCCCTACAAAAGTTCAGAATCACTGCTCTGATGTGGAGAGGAGAAATGGTTTTATGAAAGTGCAGGGTGTGGGTTGGAAAGGCAGGTGGCTCCGTCAGGGAAACCTGGGGTAGATGGGCTGGAGCAGAGGAGCGGGGAGGGGAGGCTCGGCTGCATGCCCACCACACAGGCCAAGGCAGGTGGCAGAGGTGGCCCAGAAGGCAGGCAGGGCACAGCATCCATGGGCATTGCCCACCACTGCCCAGGCCGCTCTCCCACACTCAGTACAGCCAGTTCCCAGACTCCTACACTTCACGGTCCAGGGAAACTGTCAGTGCTGGTTGGAGGAATCAATGTACTTTCCCCCCTTTTTGTTTTGTCCAGAAAAACAGCTTTTTAAGGAAGTGTTGTATGTCACCAAAGGACACCGTAACTGTAAAGTGGGAAAGACGCAGTTGCTTAATAAGGAGTTGTCTCCATGGAAACTCTCAATCTTACTATAGTTCTCTGGTTTGCCACAGTCAGGCAACAGCTTTGTCCAGGACCTTAGCAGATCTTGGTAGGGAACTGCCACTCCACTTGAAGATACACACTGGCTTCCCCCATGTGGGGCCTCGCCTGTGTCCAAGAGCTGGGGGCTGGACTCAGGTAGGGCCCGCTCCCCTATTGCCGCACTAGCCACTGGCTTCCTGGGGTAGCAAACCTGGACCGGAGGTTCAGGCTCCTATCTCAGTATCGACAGGGCCGTGCTGGTTCTCAACTACTGAGAATCAGCTGAACACAGCGTCGTGTGGTGCTTACGAGACCCATGGGAAAGCCTGTCCTGAACTAAAGCCTACACTTTAGGTGGGGAGAGAGACACACACATTAAAAGGCTCCCACTTGGCCTGGGCAAGCCAGCAGAGTGACAAGGCCACGCGGTCCCCGGTGACCCAGAGGAGGCGGGGACAGGCAGGTCAGAGCAAGCCCAAGGGGAGAAGTACCTGGTGCCAGCGGGGAGAAGGCTGGGACTGGAATGTGGGGTGCTCTCTAGGAAAGGGGGACCACCCCAGCAGAGGCAGAATTGCCCAGGGAACACTTTGGAGCCTGTGATCCCCAAACCGGCTGGGGAAGAGAGCCTGATTTGAGGGGGCTGGGGGTTTAGATAAGAAGATTGAGCCAAAGGTTGGGAGCAGTGAATGCTGGAGCTAAGGAGTTGGAGCCCCGAGGCAGAGGGGGCCTTTGGGAGTTTTTAACAGAGAAATGCATTAAGAAGGGATTTTAGGGACCCAGCAGGCAGCCCTTGGACGGCTTGGAGTCGGGGGAGGCGGGAGGACAGCTGTGGGCGGGAGCTGCCAAGCTCACGACAGTAGCAGTGATGAGATGGGAGCACGGAGACCAGAGAGGGCAGCAGCAGCAAATGGGCAGCTGGAGGGTCCCCCGGGACTAACTCCGGGCTGGAGCCAGTGATGTTCGCGAGGAACAGGCCAGCTCTTGACTAACCCCAGTGACCATGCCCCAGCCAGAGCTGGCAAGGCCCCCACTCACATCAGCATCCACACAGCTTTGTCCCTTGGCTTCTGAAGACTGCAGTGGGAAAGCCATGCTGGCTGGCACCCCGCCAGCACAGCCTCAACCTCCAGATACAGACCTCTCCAGAAAGGCCAGCCCCAGGGTCCCGCTCCGGCCACACTTTGGAAACTCACCCCAACATGGTGGTTTTCCACTTTCCTTCTAAGGAGCTTTTCTTACTGAACACTCAATGCCGTAAAAGCAGAAGAGAAATTTCCCCTGTGTGTGTTTGTCCACCCTGTTTGATTTGCTCCTCTTCCTGACAGGTCTGCCTGGTGATAGAGGGGACCCTGGGGACACAGGCGCTCCTGGCCCTGTGGGCATGAAAGGTCTCTCTGGTGACAGAGGAGATGCTGGCTTCACAGGGGAGCAAGGCCATCCAGGAAGCCCTGGATTTAAAGGAATTGATGGAATGCCTGGGACCCCCGGGCTAAAAGGTAATTGTGTGACTGTGACCAGGGATCCCTTGGCGGGGAGGTTGGGTCTAATCAACTCTGACCTGAGACAGCTCTGCTGGGCGCCTCTGTGGGCCGTGGGGCTGGCCTCACACTTCTGCAGATTGGAGGCCTTGGGACTCTCCTGACCTAGGAGACAGCAGCCTCAGGACAGCTGGTTAATGCTGCTTAGACGCGGGTGGGACCAATGTGCCTCACAAAGCCAGTTTATGAATTTACCAAGACAAACTGCTCCTGCCTGGGAAACATCGTCTTATTGTAAATATCACCATCTGCACAGGGAAATTTGTGGAGAGGTCCACTCAGGGGCCTAGATTCAGATCCAGAGGTTATTTGGTGAATTTGAAACCAAAGCAAAGCAAAGTGGTTGGTTACAGGGATAGGTTTATTTCAGCACAAGCAGGCCAATCTAGAAGCAGAGCCCTCCAGCCCATGAACGTTGCTGGAGACACACTGTTCTTCCATTGCTGGAGACACACAGTTCTGTCCTTCCATTGCTGGAGACACACTGTTCTGTCCCTCCGTTGCTGGAGACACACTGTTCTGTCCCTCCGTTGCTGGAGACACACAGTTCTGTCCTTCCATTGCTGGAGACACACTGTTCTGTCCTTCCGTTGCTGGAGACACACAGTTCTGTCCCTCCATTGCTGGAGACACACTGTTCTGTCCCTCCGTTGCTGGAGACACACTGTTCTGTCCTTCCGTTGCTGGAGACACACAGTTCTGTCCCTCCATTGCTGGAGACACACTGTTCTGTCCCTCCGTTGCTGGAGACACACTGTTCTGTCCCTCCGTTGCTGGAGACACACAGTTCTGTCCTTCCGTTGCTGGAGACACACTGTTCTGTCCTTCCGTTGCTGGAGACACACTGTTCTGTCCTTCCGTTGCTGGAGACACACTGTTCTGTCCCTCCATTGCTGGAGACACACTGTTCTGTCCCTCCGTTGCTGGAGACACACTGTTCTGTCCCTCCGTTGCTGGAGACACACTGTTCTGTCCCTCCATTGCTGGAGACACACTGTTCTGTCCCTCCGTTGCTGGAGACACACTGCTGTGTCCCTCCGTTGCTGGAGACACACAGTTCTGTCCTTCCATTGCTGGAGACACACTGTTCTGTCCCTCCGTTGCTGGAGACACACTGCTCTGTCCTTCCATTGCTGGAGACACACTGTTCTGTCCCTCCGTTGCTGGAGACACACTGTTCTGTCCCTCCGTTGCTGGAGACACACTGTTCTGTCCTTCCGTTGCTGGAGACACACAGTTCTGTCCTTCCATTGCTGGAGACACACTGTTCTGTCCTTCCATTGCTGGAGACACACTGTTCTGTCCCTCCGTTGCTGGAGACACACAGTTCTGTCCCTCCATTGCTGGAGACACACTGCTCTGTCCCTCCGTTGCTGGAGACACACTGCTCTGTCCCTCCGTTGCTGGAGACACACTGCTCTGTCCCTCCGTGCTGGAGACACACTGCTCTGTCCCTCCGTGCTGGAGACACACTGCTCTGTCCCTCCGTGCTGGAGACACACTGCTCTGTCCCTCCGTGCTGGAGACACACTGTTCTGTCCTTCCGTTGCTGGAGACACATTGGTCGGTCCTTCCATTGCTGGAGACACATGGGTTGGTCTTTCCATTACTAGAGACATATGAGTCTGTCTTTCTGTTGCTGGAGACACCTTGACCTCTCCTTCCGGTGCTGGCGACATTGGTCTGACTTTCTGCGGTCCTGTGTCGCATCTCCATGCCAGGTGCAGTGTTACTGCTGCCTTCCTTTCCAGCGTGCTCCTCTGCCTTTGTCTTGATGGGCCTGTGGGCCAGTGAACCTGCATCATCTTCAGATTTCCCTCCTAGCCTTCCTGCCTGATCTTTGTGTGTTTCCTTGTTGCCAATGTCCGGTCTGAAGACAGGCTGATTCTGGAATGCTGTCTGTTAACAGCAGAGGTCAACAGAGAGAAGTTGCTTAGAAGATGGTGTCCCCGGAAATCCCTATTTTAGGTTCAGAATCTTCTCACTTGAGTTACATTGCCGAAATGTTACGGAGACGTGAGACTGAAATGTCCCATGCATTTTATTCATGTCTAACCCAGCACTTTTCTCTTTTCCTCTGAAGGAGATAGAGGCTCACCTGGGATGGATGGTTTCCAAGGCATGCCTGGACTCAAAGGGAGACCCGGGTTTCCAGGGAGCAAAGGCGAGGCTGGATTTTTCGGAATACCCGGTCTGAAGGGTCTGGCTGGTGAGCCAGGTTTTAAAGGTATGTCCCTCTCTTAACATCCTCCTTACCTGGTCATGGTGGCATCCTCCTTACCCTTTCTTGGTGGCATAACATTGCCCAGAATGAATTTTTGAAAACCCATGCATCCAGGAACCCTAAAGCTAGACAAAACAAACAAAATGAGCTAACAAAAACTCAAAGGCTTTATCCCTGCCTCAACACACTGACCATGTGATAAGGGAATAATCCTAACCAAAGGAAACTCTTGAGAACCAAAATGATGGCATCGCTAAGAACCAAATATGTCATGAAACATATTCCACCATGATTATACCGTGGTAAACATGAAGAGGGGGCGGTGAAAAGCAGGGGACAGGTGAGTTCCCAGAGAAGGGAGTACCACCAGGCACAGGAGGACACAGCTTTCCAGGTGGAAGGACATAACACGGTGCCAGAGAGAACGTGGTCCACACATGAGGTGGGTTCAAACCCTCACGCGGACAGGCATCTCAAGACCCCCCACGTAAGGCCCCTCGTTCATTGAGTTTATTACTAACAAGTCACATTTTCATGACTTCTGTTCAGATGCTTTTGTTCTGAAATAATCACAGTGGTCTCTAAAAACGTAATGACTAAGAGTGTGTGTTGGTGAGGAGGTGGAGAAATGGGAACCTTCACAGGCTGCCAGCAGGAGTGTAAAACGCTGCGGCCAGTGTGCCAAACAGTTTGGCAGTTCATTAAGAAACTAAGCATAGAGTTACCCAGAAGTTCTACTCCTAGATGAAGATCATTGAAAACATAGGTACAGACAAAAATGTGGACACAAATCTCATGGCAGCATCCTTTATAGCAGCCATAATTGGAAACAGCCTGAAAATGCATCGACTGATGAATGGATGAGTAAAATATGGCAGAGCTGTGCAAGGGCACATTCAGTGCTGAGGAAGGATGGGGCTCTCAGACATGGCGCGTGGGCGAGCCTTGAGAACACTATGCCACGTGTCGTCTGACTGCATGTATATGAGATGTCCCCAGTAAGCAAGTTTACAGAAATGAAAAGTGGATTCGCAGTTTCCTACACTTGATCTTAGCCAAAAGGCCGAGAAGCGATGGATTCGCAGTTTCCTAAAGCTGAAGGGTTAGGGGAGAATTAGGGCATGGCTGCCAGCGGCTCCAGGGTTTCATTTTCTGGGATAAAGTGTTCTCAAGTTAGACGGTGCTGCTTGCTCACAGCTCTGTGAGTACACTAAAGTTATGTAATTGTTCTGTTTACTGGAGCGAGTTGTAGGGTATATAAATTATACATCAATAAGCTGTTTTGGAAAACCTTAATTACTCTTCAGACTTACAGCTTTTACAAATTTTCAGCAAAATAAAAATTGCAATCTAGGGTGCTCATTTTTTTTAAGATTTTTACTCACACTTGTGCTTTCAAATAGTCTTCCTGTTAGCAGAGATTTCAGGCTATTTCAGGCAAAAAAAAAAAATGACATTTTAAGATTAAGTAATTTTCAGCTCCATGGTAATTATTTCCTCGAGCCTCCTTAGGGTGAAGTTAACCATGGGGGTGTCTGTCCCTCCACTGGTGGGCACGCTCTGTGGGGTCAGGACCAATTTATGATTTTGATCCCATCAGCCTCTAGCCTAGTACTGAATACACAGTAAATGCTTAGAGACTGAAGCTCAATTATTTTCACTGAGCCAGATTTCACTTACTCCTCCAGTGAGCATGGATTCCGGGGCATCCCCAGCCTGAACTAGCACAGTTTCCCGCCCGGCCCGCAGCTCTGGGCCCCTCCCCTCCTGCAATTTCTCAGCTCCTCAGAACCCCCCGGAGACCTCCCTTCCATGCTTCTCCTCCCTGTGAAGGTGCCTACAGGAGGGCACGGAGCTGGCGCCTGCCTCACGGGCCTTCCTGCTTGTGACCGAGGTCCATCATGGTCTCATCAGAGCACACACAACAAAATGACCTTCTCACAAAGCATCCTATGGGAGTCACACTGGCTTTGACCGCTCCCTCTGCATCTGCTGGCAGGCACGTCCCCCTACTGTGGTGCTGTGTGCTCAGTGACACCAGCCCCAGGCCCAGGACCCTGGAGCCACCCCCAACTCCAACTACTCCGATGGACACAGGAGAGGCTTCTCCGGCGCCCTTGGTCTCTCTCCAAGGCTTCCCTGCTTGGGGGAGACGTGCAGCCCTATGGCTCAGGGACCAGGCCTTCACCTGTGTTCTCCTGCGTGGTCTGGAGCCCCCAGAAAATGACAGCACTCTATTCCCTTCCAGGCAGCCGAGGGGACCCTGGGCCCCCAGGACCACCTCCTGTCATCCTGCCAGGAATGAAAGACATTAAAGGAGAGAAAGGAGATGAAGGGCCTATGGGGCTGAAAGGATACCTGGGCGCAAAAGGTGAGGCTTCTGACCTGCAGCCAGGGGCCCCTAGTCCCTGCCGCCCCAGCCCGCACCAGCTCGTGCCCTTCTCCGTCCCCAGAGACGCCCGTGCCCTCCACCTGGCTTTCTTCGTGCTTTTCATCTCTGGGCGCCCTGTGTGTCCATAGCTGGCGCAGGGTTGTTCTCTGATGCCTGAGTAACCTCGGTTTCCCATCTTAAGATTTGCAGCACTGGCCGGGCGCGGTGGCTCACGCCTGTAATCCCAGCACTTTGGGAGGCCGAGGCGGGTGGATCACAAGGTGAGGAGATCAAGACCATCCTGGCTAACACGGTGAAACCCCGTCTCTACTAAAAATACAAAAAAATTAGCCGGCATGGTGGTGGGCGCCTGTAGTCCCAACTACTTAGGAGGCTGAGGCAGGAGAATGGCGTGAACCGGGGAGGCAGAGCTTGTAGTGAGCCGAGATTGCGCCACTGCACTCCAGCCTGGGCGACAGAGCGAGACTCCGTCTCAAAAAAAAAAAAAAAAAAAAAAAAGATTCACAGCACGTAGGACAGCAAAATGCATCCAGGCTGCAAAATTGAAAACTGGAGGGCGGGTGCTGCGTCCTCACCAGAGTGTTACACACCAGGGTCTTCCTGCAGGTATCCAAGGAATGCCAGGCATCCCAGGGCTGTCAGGAATCCCTGGGCTGCCTGGGAGGCCCGGCCACATCAAAGGAGTCAAGGGAGACATCGGAGTCCCCGGCATCCCCGGTTTGCCAGGATTCCCTGGGGTGGCTGGCCCCCCTGGAATTACGGGATTCCCAGGATTCATAGGAAGCCGGGTGAGTGGGCGTCTTTTACTCCCCTTGTTCTGTGAGCTCCTCTCCCCTTTGCTTGTGAATGGACATGCTTTGGTCTGGAATTTGCTAGGGTGAGAGTGTCAGTGGCAGGTTCAGGGCAGCCTCAGGCTTGGTGGGGTCCACACAGCCCTGGAAGGAGCTGCTGCACTTGGACACCATGCAGATGTGATGTGAGTCCAACCGGCTGCCGTGGCCCTTCTGTGGGCTTGTGCTGGGTGAAGCATGTTGTCTGCATTTTTCATGGTGGCCTTGAGAGAACAAAACTTGAATTTTCAGGGATCAGAGCTCTAAAATTGAGCACATCAGTGACACCAGGCCTGAGAGCCCATGGCCGAATCACAGCGTAGACCTGGGCCCGGCAGCCTGGCTTCCCATCCGGGCCACCGTTCACTCAGCCTTTGTTCAGCGGATGTCTGTTGAGCACTTGACATGGGCCAGACACGCTGTTGTGATGGTAACAATGGTGAGCCCTGACCCTGGGCAGGGCTCTCTTCTCCACACCTTCTCCCTCAGCTGCAGAATGAAGGTAGTAGCTACCTTGCAGTTTTCTTGAGTGCTGTATAGACAGTGTGTATAACATAGCACAGCGTGGCTCCCCATAGATTCCGTTTCCTAGAATTCCATTTCTAGCCTCGTTCATATGAAGATAGTGTATTCTCACAGTCCCTAGCACACGGCTGGCCTTCCCAGGGGGATGGGCACATTTGGAGCAGATCAGAAGGTCTGGGCCCCTTGATGTGTTTCAGTCGCGTCCGTGTGAAAAGACCACCAAACAGGCTTTGTGTGAGCAATCAAGCTGTTAATTTCACCTGGGTGCAGGCAGGCTGAGTCTGAAAAGAGAGTCAGCGAAGGGAGATAGGGGTGGGGCCGTTTTATAGGATTTGGGTAGGTAAAGGAAAAAGGGGGGTTGTTCTCTGGCGGGCAGGAGTGGGGGTCACAAGGTGCTCAGTAGGGGAGCTTTTGAGCCAGGCTGAGCCAGGAGAAGGAATTTCACAAGATAATGTCATCAGTTAAGGCAGGAACAGGCCATTTTCACTTCTTTTGTGGTGGAATGTCATCAGTTAAGGCAGAAACCGGCCATCTGGATGTGTACGTGCAGGTCACAGGGGATATGATTGCTTAGCTTGGGCTCAGAGGCCTGACAGTGTGAACCCTTAGTAGCAGGCCAGGGCCTGCCTGTGTGTCTGTCTGGCCCACCTTGGTGTACAGAATTCTTCAGGGGTCTTCCTCCCCTCACTCCCAAAATCTGCAGCTGAGAGTATCTTCTAGCCAGTCTGTGTGTGCTATTCAGGTCACTTTAAAAAAGAAAGATGCCAGCCAGGTGCAGTGGCTCTTGCCTATAATCCCAGCACTTTGGGAGGCCAAGGCAGGCAGATCACTTGTGGTCAGGAGATCGAGACTAGCCTGGCCAACAGGGTGAAACCCCGTCTCTACCAAAAATATAAAAAATTAACCGGGTTTGGTGCTGCGCACTCATAATCCCAGCTACTGGGGAGGCCGAGGCGGAAGAATCGCTGGAACCCAGGAGGCGGAGGTTGCAGTGAGCCGAGATTGCGCCGTTGCACTCCAGCTTGGGTGACAAAGCAAGACTCCATCTCAAAAAAAAGACAAGAAAAAAGAAAGATGCCTGTTTCTGCCAAAGACACCTACAACATCCAAAGGACCTTTATTCATAACAGCTCGAAACTAGGAAACAGCCCAAATGTCCATCAACAGGGAAAAGAATAAATGAACGTGGTATATTCTAACCAGACACAGCATTATCTGTGCATTTTATCTCCATACACAGCAATAAATGAGAATTCTTGGTAAAATCCAACAACCTAACTTCATTTCCAAACTTTATGTTGAACAAAATAAACCAGAAACAGAAAAGTACACGATTCAGTTTCATCGATGTGAAGTTCAAGAACTGACAAGGCTGTTAGATGGGGTATCGGGAGCACAGCTGCTTTAGGTGGGGTTGTCATAGAGTGCTGACAGTGTTCTGTGTCTTTCAGTGACACACGAGTTCAGATGCATTGAGCTGTGCGTTTAAGATGAGTGGACATTACTGTATTTAAGTTTTGCTTCAGAAAAGTAAGCTTTGAGAAAGAAAAATAGAGCATTACCTAAACAAAGGTGCAGCCTGTGGATACCCTCCCCCTTCCTCCCACAAAGGAGCTTTTGTTTTGTTTTGTTTTGTTTTTTGAGACAGAGTCTCACTCTGTCACCCAGGCTGGAGTGCAATGGCATGATCTTAGCTCACTGCAACCACTGCCTCCTGGTTCAAGCGATTCCCCTGCCACAGCCTCCCAAGTAGCTGGGATTACAGGCGCACGCCACCACGCCCAGCTAATTTTGTATTTTTAGTAGAGACAGGGTTTCACCATGTTGGCCAGGCTGGTCTTGAACTCCTGACCTCAGGCAGTCCACCCACCTCGGCCTCCCAAAGTGCTGGGATTCTAGGCCTGAGCCACCACCCCCGGCCTAGCTATATTAATACTGCAGCGACTCATGTTAGGCCATGCTTGTACATTGATGCTGTAGTACTAAAGTCCCAGTGGCACCCAGGTAGACCAGAACTCTCATGCTCCCTCTGGGGAGGAAGCCACTCTGGAGGGGAAAACTAGGGCTTCCAGGAAGCCACCGAGCAACTCAGGCATCTTCTCAATTTCCTTACCAGCCACCTGTGTCTTTCTGGAGAAGTCTCCCTCTGTGCACAGATGGAGGCGCACAGCCCCATATCTGTGTTATAATCTGCAGAGAGCAAGCTCTGCAGTCTGGCTGCCCAAACTGAAATCCCGGTTCTGCCACTTGCTGGCTGAGTGACCTTAAGCAAAACCTTTCTGTGCTTCAGTTCCTTTGCCTGTCATTGGGAAGTAACGGTGCCTGCCTGGCAGGGTTTTCATGAGGCGTGAATACGCTCTTGAGACGGGGTCCACCATGTGCACGCGGGAAAGCATGGTGGAGCGAGGATGTAGTCAGAGTCACCGCCGCCGCTGACATCACCACACTGTCGTGATGGAGACCTGGGCCACTGATGCTCTTCATTATGATGCAGTTGCCAAGCTTGTTTCATTGTATCACTTCACAGTTCCATAAGAACAGCAAGGCCAGGTGCAGTGGCTCACGCCTGTAATCCCAGCACTTTGGGAAGCAGAGGAGAGAGAATCACTTGAACCCAGGAGTTCAAGACCAGCCTGGGCAACAGAGCAAGAGCCCATCTCTACTAAAAATTTAAAAACTATTAGCAGCCAGGCTTAGTGGCTCACACCTGTAATCCCAGCTGCACAGGAGGCTGAGACGGAAGGATGACTTGAGCCCAGGAAATCAAGGCAACATTGAGCTATGATTGTGCTTCTGCACTCCAGCCAGGGTGACAGACTGCGATCCTGTCTCAAAGAAATAAATAAATAAATAAACAAAAAGAACAGCTAAGCAAACCGCCTATGATACACACTAAAAAACACGAGTTTTCCACAAAATGACAAGATCACAAACCTTGAGTATTGTCGTTAGCATACTGGATAGTTAAATAAGTGAGCTAACTTCAGAGTTACAACTGACTTCGCTAACAGCCTTCTAAGATGGTTCATGTCTGTCTTTAGGGTGACAAAGGTGCCCCAGGGAGAGCAGGCCTGTATGGCGAGATTGGCGCGACTGGTGATTTCGGTGAGTGTTGCCCGTCCAGTGAAAACAGGGAGTCCACAATTCAGAGCTCTCTGAGCATGTGAGCCAATTTCAGACCTGCAAGTGCTGTTAGGTATTTTAAAACAAATTATTCTTGTTAGGAATATAACAAAATAGAAGTTGCAAAACTCACAAAGTCCCAGTGGAAAGTCCTGTTCTTAGCCGTCTTTTTTGCATGTAACAGGTGACATCGGGGACACTATAAATTTACCAGGAAGACCAGGCCTGAAGGGGGAGCGGGGCACCACTGGAATACCAGGTACGCAAGTTATTTTCCTTGTCTTCATCTTCAACAACAGCCCTGAGCCTTTGTCTAGGAGCCCGACTTGCCAAACAGATCAAATTCAGTAACAACCAGAAAGCACTTGATAGTGAATGAGGTCTTCAAGTCCAATGTGCAAGAAAGACCGTCGTTTTTAATTAAGTTAAATCTGAAGATAAAATCAGGAAGTCTTTCTCTCTCTCTGTCTCTCTCTTTGATACTGAAAAAAGCCAGAATGGACCCTCGGTGGATGAGAATCACTGCAGTCCATAAAGTGTAACTGATGAAAAGCCAGCTAGCACCCTGACTCCCGGAACACCTGAGGGCGTGCAGCAGGTGGTCGCTGACCCGAGCTTCTCAGAAACAGCGAAGGGTCCAGGAAAGGGGGAGTGGGAGTCAGGCCATCGCTTGAGAGAGATATGGAGGCAGCTGACCAGCCCGAGCGAGTTGTGGGGGCCTGGGGCGGCACAGTGCCTCCCTTCCCTTCTGCACATCACTGAGGTTCCACTCCTAAATTCCTGCCTGCAGTGACGTCTCAAGGGGACTGTGATAGTTTTCTTCTTTCTGGGGATTTTCTTTTGGGGGGACCCCACACTGCTCAAGTTGCTGGAGCCCCAGGGGCTTGCAGGGCTGGCCCTGGTGGGAGGGAAGGAGTCTGTCCAGGGTTGGCCAGTGGGGAGACTGCTGGGCCAGTTCTTTATCTAGAAATTGCTCTGGAATGGAAAGACGTGTTCAGTTGAGCACAGGATCAGAGAACCGCCGCTGGGAAATAGGCGCCTCTGTTTACCAGCCCTCCCGGGCTCCTTTGTTATCTGTGACCTGGGCTCCCGGTGGCTTCCTCCTGAGTGACGGGAGCTCTGTACTGCTGAGCCATCCGGCGCTGGGCTGGCTGTGTCTGCCACCCTAGGCCATTAGTCCGGCCATTTGGTTTATAAACACAGAAACGTGGACCATCATTACCACGCGTCTCTAATGATGCCTTCACTTGTTCAACTGAAAATGTGTCAGGGAAGAGACGCTACCCCCACCCAAGAATTATTTTTGCTGTTACCTTTGAACATTTTGGTTTTTGTTAAACTCTGGGCCCAGAAAGGCTTTGGAGTGGAGCCTCCCCTGCATCCATCACCAGAAGACGGTATTTCGGAGCTGTGGTCCCACAATGGAAGGGTGGGGCCAGCTGTACCCATCATCCCTGGGGGTGTCCTGTTTTCCCTAAGACAGTGAGGGGTGCATGGGTACATGGGTGCTGCCTTGGAAGCTGGCTAGTGCAGGCTCAGAGGGAGGAAGTAGGTTAAAAATCAGCTAAGGAAGGAGCACGGTTGGATGCCTCTCTCCATTCCTGAAGGAGCAGCAGTGTGGTTCTGCACATCCTAGAGCCGGGGTTCCAGGGAACCCACAGGGGCGCGGTGTCTGTTTGTTCCAAGCAGCATGTCTGTGGTTGCAGGTCTGAAGGGATTCTTTGGAGAGAAGGGAACAGAAGGTGACATCGGCTTCCCTGGGATAACAGGCGTGACTGGAGTCCAAGGCCCTCCTGGACTTAAAGGACAAACAGGTAAAATCTCCCGCAGCCACACAGCCTTCCTCAGGCAGGCCCTCCGGAGACCCCAGAACAAAGGCGGTCAACATTGTCAATTTCCTCCAATCACACCCAACCCTGGAAGCTCACTCGTGCCTGCTGCCAGCTTAGGAGCTTTCCTCAGTGCTGATGGCATGGAGAGAAACAACCACCTGGGCTGGGGGGAGACCTGAGAATTGGAGAGAAGCATGGGGGTGAATGAGAAGTGCCTCTTCGGTTGAGCCTCTGTCTCTCATATAGAAGCCGACGGTTTGTAAGGGATCCCTTTGCTTGCATTGAATATGCAGAAACCCCTATGAACATCCTAGGTTAGAGAAGGAGAGCGGACAGTGGGCTGGCTTCCCACGCTGTTGCTGCTGCTGCTTTCTGTGTTTACTCAGCACCGGGGAATGCCAAGAGGCTCATCTCTCCAGGCACTGCCTCAGGGTCCTCTCCAGACGTCTATTTGGATAATAGGGCGACAATTAAAACTACACGCTATTTTCTCTCTGGCAAGGCTGAGCAAATCCTATTGAATTTGTATGTGGGGTCTAAGACCACCTGCATCCCCAGCTTGAGGGACAGTTCTAATCTCTCCTCCAACTGGCACTGCGGCCCTTCCGGCCCTCGGCCCCTCCCAGAGCGGCTGCCCCTCCTGCCAGGACCTCACCACACAGCGCCCAAGGTGTCCTGTGTGCTCAGACTTAATGCTGTGTTCACCCCCAGGCTTTCCAGGGCTGACTGGGCCTCCAGGGTCGCAGGGAGAGCTGGGGCGGATTGGACTGCCTGGTGGCAAAGGAGATGATGGCTGGCCGGGAGCTCCGGGCTTACCAGGTAAGGTCACGTAAAACACGTGGTCACCCAGACCCAGAGTCGTGGGCTGTGCAGGAGGCACCGCTGAGCAGGCCAGCCTCTCTCAGGGCGACTTCTAAGGCCCATACGAGAGCAAAGGCAGGTCTGCTGTGGCTTACGGTGGTCTGCACCAACATAGCAGCACAGGGTATACTGGCGCCCCAGGCAACTGGGAATCAAGCCAGATGCACAAATCTGCCCAGGGCTTCACCTCCCAGAAGGATGAATGAAAGCCTCCCAGAGAGGCTTCAGGGTCCACTTGTCATCGCCACACAGGGACGCACAGCAAGATCAGGGTGCAGGAGCAGCCTCAGTGTACCACTGTGCTGCACGGGCCACCCCCGGGGCCTCCTTACAGCCCCGAGACGGGCCACCCTGCCATGCTCACTGCCCATGTAACAGAAGGAATTGCCACCTGTTTGCTGTGTCCTGCTTTAGAAATATTTACCCTCAGAAATCCAGAGGGAATGGAAATGACACCGGGCTATTTGTTCCAAGCAGCTTTTACAAACCAAACATACAGCAGTGGCGAGGCGTCAAGAAGAGGCATGGGACATGTCACTCCCCAGGCCCCTTCTGGCCTAGTGAGTCTGTTAAAAAGATTCTATGAAGACAGTGTTCCAGTTCAATGGTGTTCCTAGGTAACATAAGAGTGCTTAGTTTACATGTCGTGTAAGTTGAGCGTGTGGCTTAGCTGCTTCCTATTTGTGGGGCTTTAGCAGGATTGTATGGGTGACAGTATCAGGTGACAGTTTCAGAGCCAACAAAACACATCTGAGTTATCTTGAGGGTTTCTCCCACCCAGAACCCCCTGTGCTGTCCCACACATGAAATAACAATGAGTGACACCCCCACAGGTGAAATAACGATGAGTGACACCCCCATGGGTGAAATAACGATGAGTGACACCCCCATGGGTGAAATAACGATGAGTGACACCCCCGCAGGTGAAATAAATAACGATGAGTGACACCCCCGCAGGTGAAATAAATAACGATGAGTGACACCCCCGCAGGTTTTCCGGGACTCCGTGGGATCCGCGGCTTACACGGCTTGCCAGGCACCAAGGGCTTTCCAGGATCCCCAGGTACTCTGTGCCGTCCCAGCCCCGAGTCCCACGCAGAGGTGTCGAGGGTGGGGACTCTGTGCTGAGTCTGCCCTCCAGACTTCAGGGAATGGAGGGTCTCAGAGAGCAGGGTGGGCTTCCTGAAGTGCTATGCGATCGGCCGTGAGGGGCGGGTCCGGGCCCTGTGGTCCTGTACGCTGCTAAGATGTGATCCCTAAGAATCGGTTTCTCAAGGCAGTTGCTGGGTTGAATGGACTCATCAGGCTTTTAGACGGAGAGAGAAATAGAGTCCTTGCTTTTTCAGCAGCACCGTTGGGAGGGTGGGATGCACCTGCGCCCCTCAGGTGTCTGGAGTGTTCACTCTGCCCATTGCCTGTCTGTGATCTTTCATTTTGTTGGCCTAAGGAAGCCAGCGGTTTCCACCTGCCCCTGGGCAGTTCTGATGCTGGAGACAGTGATAGCGCTTGGGCACCCACAGGCTGGGAGCCAAAAACAACCAAAATGGGTTTCCTCCCAGTTCTGGAGGCTGGGATCAGCATGCCAGCGTGGTCGGGTTCTGGGGGGGGCCGCGTCCTGGCTGCTCGCTGTGTCCTCACGAGGGAGAGCACCCGCTCTCCCCTGTCACTTCTTATAAGGGCAGTAACCCCATCTTGGGGCCCCACCCTCATGACCTGGCCTAACCCTAATCACCTCCCAAAGGCCCCTGCTCCAAATGCCATCACACTGGAGTTAGGGCTTCCACTTAGGAACTTTGGGGTTGGGGAGAATGACACAATCAGTCCATAGCAAGGTGAACCAAGGGCTTCTTACCACAGGAAAAAGAAACTAACAACTTTCATAGCACTTTCTGGCTTATTTTATAAACTACTGTAGCACACATTTTTCCCTGAATGGGGATATAAAGACTCATTATTTCCAAAAGCCAATGGCAGAATAAGGTTTCCATCCTGAGCCCTTCCAGGGTATAATAACAGCAACTGGATGATCCTCAAAAGGATCATCAGACTTTCCCACAGAAGGCCTCCCTTTAACCCTGTCCTCCCCAAGAAGCTGAGATAGCATAGTGCAGGAAGGCTTGGCAGCTTCTTGGAACTTCTTTATTTTAAATTCAGCTATTTTCATCCTAAATTTTAATGTCCTTGTCTTTTCATTTAATTTTGAAATCTATTATAGGACTAATAAAATAACATTTGAAGGACATCAGGCACTAAGTGGGGAATCATTTTATTATTATGTCTTTTTTTCAAAAGATAACCTTGTTTTCTTTTCAATTTATACAAATTATTTATGTTCAGTGGAGAAAAAAAAATTAACACATTTAAACACATTTAACTCGGGAGGCTGAGGCAGAAGAATGGCGTGAACCCGGGAGGCGGAGCTTGCAGTGAGCCGAGATCGCGCCACTGCACTCCAGCCTGGGCAACAGAGCGAGACTCCGTCTTAAAAAAAAAAAAAATTAACACATTTAAGAGGAAAAAAAGACCCATAATCCTAAAGCTGCTTTTAGAATGTGCTGTTTGTAGACATTTCATATAACCAAATATTGCTCTGTCTACAGGTGAATTTGTATGTGTGTATATTACACGTAAATTCACGCACTCCTGCGTCATTAACACTCCATTACAGTTCCAGTGGGCGAGTGGCGGGAAATCCTCGTCAAGTTGTCTTGCTGTTTCCTGCCATGATGGCGATGAGCACCTGATAGGAGAAGGGGGAAGACTTTAGATAGTGTTTACTTTGAAAACCTAATTAAGCATAGCCTGAAGAGAAGCCCCCAGGAGCCTAGAGGCCCGGGAGGGGTCCCAGCTCCTTGACCCACTGTTTCTGTGAATTTGAACCCTCTGATGGGCCTCGATCCTCTTATCCATAGAGCCAAGGGCTTCCACTGTGATCTCTGTAAGATCCCTTCCAAATCTCAGCTCCTGTGACCTGGAGGCCATATATTGCAATGCAAGCTGAAATCACCATGGCTGCCTCTGTTTCTTTGCTTTTGAGGCACCCCAAGCTGTTCTTTCACTTAGGAAAGTCAACTGTATGGTTGGAAACACCGACATCAGCTGCTGTTATAACTCTTCCACAGGTTCTGACATCCACGGAGACCCAGGCTTCCCAGGCCCTCCTGGGGAAAGAGGTGACCCAGGAGAGGCCAACACCCTTCCAGGCCCTGTGGGAGTCCCAGGACAGAAAGGAGACCAAGGAGCTCCAGGTGAGGCCACACATTCCAAGCCAACATTGCCGTCCCAGTAACCAGAACCCACCCAGAGGTGGGGCCATGGAGTGTCTATGGGGTGGGAGAGGCTGTGCAGAAGTGCAGGAAAGAGCTGGTTTTTCTGGGGAGGACTACCTGTTGCAGGACCTCTCAGCTAGTCTTAGTTTGTTAGGCAATTTATTTTATCCCATCAGTGTTAGTGAGGCACTGACCACCCATCCCGTGGAGTAACTGATAAGCTCCCTGGCCTAGAGACCCCATCAGATCCTCTGTGCGCCTGGGGCACTGGCACAGGCCTTGCCATAACAAGCACTCTGGGTAGTGAATGTGCGAATAAATGCATTAAACCTCCTAGCAGAGCCACGCTGACCCATACTTGGGTAGGAAATGCCCAGAAACTTGTCTTCCCACCCCATAGCCTCCCTGCTCACCAGCCAAGGTGGGCTCAAGTCTAAATGGCAGTGAGAAACATTCCTAGATAGAAACCAGGACCTTCCTGGGAGCCAGTCTGCCAAGGGTGTTGCGGTCTCATTGTGCATGAGCCCACAGCCCCAGAGTCTGCTCCTGAGATCCATGGGCCCCTCCCCCACCCCGCCCACCTCACCAGCCTGACCAGGGGCATCTCCTGGCTCAGGTACGGGAGCTGGGCAGCACACCTGGATGGACAGCCTGGGCACCCTGGGCTCCATGCTGGCAACAGAAACTCTGGCTTCCATCCACAAAGGCCTGAGTTTTTCTAGTGCCAATTCCCCATGAAGCTAGAACCAGACATCCACAGGAGAGGAAGTCAGGACCAAGGAGGCCAGCAACCCTGGCTTTTGCTGGGGTGCAGGGATGTCTCGAGGCTTGCAGATCACATCTCACTCTCCAGGATCTGCTGCCTGCCCTCTCCCCTCACCAGCAGCTGGAAACTCCAGAATCCCCTAGCCTCAGAGCTCCACAGCACTGATCTGAAGATAGGAGAAAGAGGAGGGGCTCTGCCAACAGGAGCCAGACTATCCTGGGAGGCTGCATGGTGCTGCCAGAGCCCTAGTCAGGGTGAGGATCCAGGACAGTCCACCAGCACAGCCTCAGCCAGCGGTGAGGATCTAGGGTCAGTCCACCAGCACAGCCTCAGTCAGAGTTGAGGATCTAGGGTCAGTCCACGAGCACAGCCTCAGTCAAGGATGAGGATCTAGGGTCAGTCCACCAGCACAGCCTCAGTCAGAGTTGAGGATCTAGGGTCAGTCCACCAGCACAGCCTCAGCCAGCGGTGAGGATCTAAGGTCAGTCCACCAGCACAGCCTCAGTCAAGGATGAGGATCTAGGGTCAGTCCATCAGCACAGCCTCAGCCAGGGATGAGGATCTAAGGTCAGTCCACCAGCACAGCCTCAGTCAGGGGTGAGGATCTAGGGTCAGTCCACCAGCACAGCCTCAGTCAGGGGTGAGGATCTAGGGTCAGTCCACCAGCACAGCCTCAGTCGGGGTGAAGATCTAGGGTTAGCATACCAGCACAGCCTCAGTTGGGGTGAGGATCTAGGGTCAGTCCACCAGCACAGCCTCAGTCAGGGGTGAGGATCTAGGGTCAGCACACCAGCACAAGCTCCACTGAGGAGTGAGAATCTAAGGTCAGTCCCACCAGCACAGCCTCAGTCAGGGGTAAGGATCTAGGACAGTCTACCAGCATAACCTCAGCCAGGGATCTAGGGTCAGCGCACCAGCAGAAGCTCCACCCAGGAGTGAGGATCCAAGGTGACTCCACCAGCACAACGTCACTCAGGGGTGAAGATCTAGGTCAATCCACCAGCACAGCCTCACTCAGGGGTGAGGATCTAGGTCAATCCACCAGCACAGCCTCACTCAGGGGTGAGGATCTAGGTCAGTACACCAGCACAGCTTCAGCCAGGATTGAGGGTCTAGGGTCAGTCCACCAGCACAACCTCCACTCAGGACTGAGGATTTAGGTCAATCCACCAGCACAACCTCCACTCAGGACTGAGGATCTAGGTCAGTCCACCAGCACAACCTCCACTCAGGACTGAGGATTTAGGTCAATCCACCAGCACAACCTCCACTCAGGACTGAGGATTTAGGTCAGTCCACCAGCACAACCTCCACTCAGGGCTGAGGATTTAGGTCAATCCACCAGCACAACCTCCACTCAGGGCTGAGGATCTAGGTCAGTCCACCAGCACAACCTCCACTCAGGACTGAGGATTTAGGTCAATCCACTAGCACAACCTCCACTCAGGGCTGAGGATCTAGGTCAGTCCACCAGCACAGCCTCAGTCAGGGGTGAGGATCTGGGGTCAGTCCAGCAGCACAGCCTCAGTCAGGGGTGAGGATCTGGGGTCAGTCCAGCAGCACAGCCTCAGTCAGGGGTGAGGATCTGGGGTCAGTCCACCAGCACAGCCTCAGTCAGGGGTGAGGATCTGGGGTCAGTCCACCAGCACAGCCTCAGTCAGGGGTGAGGATCTGGGGTCAGTCCACCAGCACAGCCTCAGTCAGGGGTGAGGATCTGGGGTCAGTCCACCAGCACAGCCTCAGTCAGGGGTGAGGATCTGGGGTCAGTCCACCAGCATAATCCTCCCAGGAGCCCAGCAGTAGAGTTGACCATGCCCGTGACCTTTAAATCAGACACCTGTTGGGTTCTTGTTCTGCGTCTCACGTGCACCATATTTTCACCATGTGACCTTGGCCATGGTATTGAATGTCTCTGGCTTTGTCTGTCAAATGAAAATAAAAATGCACTTGTGAGTATTGGGAGGATACAATGAGATACTACAGGTAAAGCTCTTGCACACAGGAGGCCAGCAATAAATGTTTGCTATCTTTAAAGGCCTTGAAACATAGCGTTGTTTTCAGAGTGTCATGATGATCAGTTTACCAGTCTGTCACCTGAAAGGCATCTGGGAATGCAGCAACGGGGAAGACTTGGCCAGGAGATGTGGAGAGGAGATCCCGCACAGGGAGGGGCGGAGGAAACTGAGATGGGATTTCGACAGGGTGCACACAGTGGCCCATAGAGGGGGGTCACAGAACACAGCTGCTAGCATTTTGTATGACCATGCATTGTTAACGTTTGATTCACACAGCATGATGTTCAGGCCCTGTACTTGACCACAAAAAAGATTTAAGATTTCCATCCCCAAGGACAGAGATTTATCTCATTTATTTTCCACTTAATACCTCAGCAAAATGCTTGTCCCTGAGTAAGTGCTCAACAAATACTTGCTGGAGAAGAATATTGTGAAATTGTAGGATAATTTTCTGACATCAGTGGAGAGTTACGTGTAGCTCAGAACACCCCTAAGGTAACATTGATGGCCTTATTACACATTTGATCTGTGTGGGACCCATTTATCAAAACTCTCCGTGACCTCCTGTGGCCCTCCTTGCATTCCATCCCAGGGACCTGGACGGTGTCCCCGGCTTCCAAGCCACCGTGCGGCATGCTGACTTTTGCAAGCCATGCCCCCACCCTCGACCTGCATGAACGTCACAGTGGGCCCATGAGCTGATGACTTCAGAGCAGGTCCTGGAGGCCAGGGCAGACACTGCCCAGTGCCATTGGGCCTTGGCATATGAGGCCACTGCCTCTGGCTAGTGATGAGGGAAAGACGACCTTCCATGATGACGTTCACACACTGATCATAATGTCATTCAGGACACACACTCTTCTCTCAAAATATGGGAATAATTTGAATCCGTCATCTTCCTTCGCATGAGTTGCATCTCATTTGTATTAGTTCGTTCTCATGCTGCTATGAAGAAATACCAGAGACTGGGTAATTTATAAAGGAAAGAGGTTTAATTGATTCACAGTTCTGCATGGCTGGGGAGGCCTCAGGAAACTTACAATCATGGCGGAAGGGGAAGCAAACACATCCTTCTTCACTGGCGGCAGGAGAGAGAAGTGCTGAGTAAAGGGTGGGGGGAGGCCCCTTATAAAACTATCAGATCTCCTGGGAACTCACTATCACGAGAACAGCATGAGGATAGCCACCCCCGTGATTCAATTACTTCCCACCAGGTCCCTCCTACGACATGTAGGGACTTTGGGAACTACAAGTCGAGATTTGGGTGGGGACACAGCCAAACCGTATCACAGCTCACTGAAGCTAGAGTCTGCAACCTCACCTATTTCTGCAGCTGACATTCGAGCATCAGTTCCTGATTTGGCCTTGAGTCATGCAACATGGGCCTTCACGGAACCCCTGTTAGTGAGACTCTTTTATGTCAGTACTTAGGACGATCCATGGGGGCTACTGAGAAATCATAGCGGTTTCCGTCTAGATTCCAGCAAACTGACTCATGTTTGCTAAGTGTTCTCATTAACAGTCCTCATCACTGCAGTTAAGTTAATTATGTTTTCGTGGGAATCTGCCAGTCTGCGGATTGCACTGGATCATCTAACTCAGGAGTCTGCCATTATTTACTGACACTCACCATCTGTTTCGGGTACTTTGTGACAATAGCTAGAAGCAGTTCAATTGGTGTCATTTTATATCAAACTACAGATGGTGGCTCACTCATGCCCTCAGGGCTAATGAACCCACTTGCATGTTGTCTGTGATTTGTGAGACAAGCCTCACCTCTCTAAATATTTATCCTGCTGTTTGTTTTGTCCTACTTGGAAGCACGCATGAATGGAATCCTTTCCCCTGGGATGGATAATGGATACCAGGATCTTCCAAAGGGAAAATCTCTTCCTGCTGCTGATGCGTGTAGATTAGTCATAAAGCCAGAGGGGAAACAGAAAACCACTGTTGCTACCTTTTCTCATTTTTATAGATTTGCACTGTTTCGCCCAGCTCACTATTTCCTGCAGAGCAGAAGTGATGCCCTCCTTGCCCACTTGGACATTCTGACATTTTGCAGGGTTCTAATACTAATCTTGGTCCCCAGCCCGAGGTAAAACAAAAGGCTGAAGGTGCTTAGGAGAGAAAGTAGACTTAATCCGCCCACTCAAGTCCACACTGATTTCTACCCACCACTGCCCTACAGCACATAAAGCTCCATTAGTGTCTTGTTGGCTGACAGCACAGGGAGGAGTGGAATTTCCACAGATTTCCTTATGTGGCCATTTCCCTCTTACTCTCCTACTAGTGCCAAAGAGCTCCAGCCTTTGACCCAAAAACTGTTGGTTCTCATTATTCGCAGTAGTTATGTTCTGAAGTCACCAAGAACACTGACTTAGTGAATACTGAACCATTGCTCCTAGGGGAAATACAAGGCTAAGTTCCTGCAAGCCTCTGCTCACAAGATGTTTGTCAATGATCAGTATATAAGCTGGTTTTCTGTGTAACGGCACCTTGTTTAGTGTGGATTGCTGATTCAGGAACAGTCAACATGCACTCACTCGTGCCTGAATGCAGCTTCTCTTACATATGTGTTTCTCCATAAGGGACTTCACAGCCTTCTTGCACTTACCAACAGTAGGATGCACTTCAACACAATACATGGGGGGCATTTGAAACAGCAAAATCACCAGCATAAAGCACAAAAATGTGGAAAACAGGGCACTACAGAGACCAAGACAAGGACACGTGTGTACAGTATGAGCTGCAGCAAGAAGGCAGGAGCGTCACCTTGCTGGATCTCAGCTGGGACTCATTTTGCCTCTGTGTATATCTGTGAATGCCAGTGTTGATTTGGGGGGGATTCCAAGTGAGTTTTAGTGAGTGGACAAATTGGGAAACACAGAATCTGTGAATAATGAAGACCAACTCTATCCAAGCTGGGATCCGAGGCACTGGAGGACAGCCGCAGGGAGGGTTGACAATAGTGATGTCAATTGTAAGCCTCATTTGCAATTTTTCAACCTTCTGTCCATCACCTGTGCTGACCACTGTCCACACATATCAGGATCAGAGTCTGACCAGCTGTGCCTCGCCTGGTGCTGAGGCTCCATCTAAGCATGATCGGGCAGCGCCTTGGGGAAGTCGAGCACAGGCAGACAGGATCCCAGTGGAGGGCTCCTCACAGGAGAAAGGCTGGGGTGGGGGAGGGGTTCACATAGCCCCTGCCCCCCCAACCCCGCCCTGAGGGCCTCCCCAGCCCCACCATGAGATGTTCCTTGGCCTGAGGGCACCTCCCATCACTGTCTCGCTCGCTAGGCTCTGGTCCACCACAGGTGATGGTGTGGAGGGAAAATAGTAGATTTGAAAAGTTGGGTGCTAACGCTGAAAATAATTTCTTCTGTTTTCATCCTAAGGGGAACGAGGCCCACCTGGGAGCCCAGGACTTCAGGGGTTCCCTGGTATCACACCCCCTTCCAACATCTCTGGGGCACCTGGTGACAAAGGGGCGCCAGGGATATTTGGCCTGAAAGGTAAGCAGGACTTATACATCTGTGCTTCGACATCTCTAGGGGCAGGAGCTGGCAATGGCCCGCTTAATGTAGGGGGAGAACAGACGTTCATTTCCACGCTGTGCCCAGACTCCGGTCAAAGAGGCAGGAGCCATGATGGCTCCTCCTGTGTCATTTCCATCACCTGCACGACCTGGTCCCTGGGAAGCTGAGACACAGGCCATGTCATTTACTTGCTGTAATAGCAGATATTCAAACTGCAGGGGGCTCAGAAATGTGCAGTATGAACGGCTTTCTTCTTCCTCACTGTATTGTGTTTAGACAAGTATTAAATTTAATTTGCACTTCCTAATCACGAACGAGCTGAATATTGGAAAGAGATGGCGTAAAGATGAAGTCACCCGTCAAACAAGTGTTTGTGCGTCAAGGTTCACAGCAGCACTACTCACAAGCACCGAGTGCTGAAAGCAACCCGAGTGTCCATCAACAGAGGAATTAAGAAGCAAAATGCAGTCAGTATCCACCCAGTACAAGAGGAGTCCGTCTTTTTTGTTGGGTTGTTTTCTTGTTTTTTGTTTTTTGAGACAGCCTTGCTCTGTCGCCCAGGCTGGAGTGCAGTGGCACGATCTTAGCTCGCTGCAATCTCCGCCTCCCGGGTTCAAGGAATTTTTGTGCCTCAGCCTCCTGAGTAGCTGGGATTACAGGTGTCCACCACCAAGCCCAGATGATTTTTGTATTTTTAGTAGAGACAGGGTTTCACCATGTTGGCCAGGCTGGTCTCAAACTCTTGACCTCAAGCAATCCTCCCACCTCGGCTTCCCAAAGTGCTGAGACGACAGGTGTAAGCCACCTTGCCCAGCCTTTATTCGGTCTTAAAAAGAAGGAACTCTTATCACCTGCTACCACCTAGATGACCCTTGAGGGCATTCTGCTGAGTGAAAGAAGCCAGTCACAAAAGGTCGGATTCTGTGATTCCACACATACGAGGCCCCTGAAGTCATCAAATTCATAGAAACAGAAAGTACAATGGCTGTTGCTGAGGGTTGGGGGGAGAGGGACACGGGGAGTGCGTGTATAACGGGGACAGATTTCAGTTTAGGATGAGAAAGTTCTGGAGCTGGTCGGCGGTGAAGGTGAATATATTGAATGCCACTGAGCAGTGCACCTAAAAATGATTAAAATGGTAACTTTTATGTTCTACGTATTTTACGACAATTTTTTAAAAACATAGACAAAGTCATTCCATGCCACAGACTTGCCAGAGACTGTCGCCTGAATGGGTGACGGTGCACCTGACTGCCCCCAGGGGCCTTGGGGCCCTGTTTAAACCCTCCTTTCTTGTCCCTAATGCCAACAGGTTATCGGGGCCCACCAGGGCCACCAGGTTCTGCTGCTCTTCCTGGAAGCAAAGGTGACACAGGGAACCCAGGAGCTCCAGGAACCCCAGGGACCAAAGGATGGGCCGGGGACTCCGGGCCCCAGGGCAGGCCTGGTGTGTTTGGTCTCCCAGGAGAAAAAGGTAACAGTGCCCATGGCCATGGGCCAGCAGCCCTGGCCACAGTGAGAGGAGCCCCCTCCCCACAGACTTTCGTGTCCCTAACGTCTTGTTTGTGTTGCAGGGCCCAGGGGTGAACAAGGCTTCATGGGGAACACTGGACCCACTGGGGCGGTGGGCGACAGAGGCCCCAAGGGACCCAAGGGAGACCCAGGATTCCCTGGTAAGTGACCGTCTGGTATCTTCAGAGCTAGTGGCTCAGCCCAGCCTCTCCAGGCTTGGGGACATCCTGGAGGTCAAACGGCCAGGATCCTCTCTGGCATGGGTCACATGTTGTAAAGAGCAGGGAGGAAACCAAGGCTGTGCCTCGGATGTTGTCACAGGACCTTGGGGAATGGAGAGCTTAATATTCAAACGGCAGGCGCTGAGTCACGGCTCAGGCCCGTTAGTGTCTGGCTCATCTCTAGAAAGCACAGTTGTCTGGGAAGCTCCAAAAGAAGCCTCCCTGGTGAGAAACGCAGTAGCACTCGGAGCAAGAGAGTGGAACGACCTTGTGTGTTTACTGGGGCCTCTCTGTTTCCCTTCCAGGTGCCCCCGGGACTGTGGGAGCCCCCGGGATTGCAGGAATCCCCCAGAAGATTGCCGTCCAACCAGGGACAGTGGGTCCCCAGGGGAGGCGAGGCCCCCCTGGGGCACCGGGGGAGATGGGGCCCCAGGGCCCCCCCGGAGAACCAGGTAGAGTGCTGAGCTGGGGCCTGGAGCCCCTCGGGGCTGCCCGGGCAAGGCCAGGGCCTGCTGGCATTGCGTCCTCTTGTGTTCTCTTTGTGGATCGCCGGCCGTGCCAGGCGTGGTCAGTTTCCAGCCATAACGCTTCTTTGGTGGCTTGCAGGTTTCCGTGGGGCTCCAGGGAAAGCTGGGCCCCAAGGAAGAGGTGGTGTGTCTGCTGTTCCCGGCTTCCGGGGAGATGAAGGACCCATAGGCCACCAGGGGCCGATTGGCCAAGAAGGTGAGTGACAGTGGGGAAGGACCTTCCCAGGTCCTAGTGCTCTGGATCTGACTCACAGACTGTGGTCTGCAGGAAGGGGACACACGAGAGCCCAGAAAAGCCAGAAATGAGGCGCTGCCCCACCCTCCTGCTCCTAATCTGGGCGTAGCAGCTACACTCCTATGCCCAGCAGAACACCTGGCCCCGAGTCCTGGGACAGCCTCCCTCCTTTTCCTGGGACACCTGCGGTGCTGTGGAGTGGGCGGCAGGGATCAGTAGACTTCAAGGGTCAGGATTAGACAAGGAGCCAAAAGAAACCGACTATTAAAATGTACAAGAGCCGCACTGCGAAGCCCTGTCTTACTTTTTTTTCTTTTTTGGACAGAGTCTCGCTCTGTCTCACCCAGGCTGGAGTGCAGTGGCGCAATCTCAGCTCACTGCAGCTTCTGCCTCCCGGGTTCAAGCGATTCTCCTGTCTTAGCCTCCCAAGTAGTTGGGACTACAGGCATGTGCCCCCATACCCAGCTAACTTTTTTGTATTTGTAGTAGAGACGGGGTTTCACCATGTTGGCCAGGCTGGTCTCGAACTCCTGACCTCGAGCGATCCGCCAGCCTTGGCCTCCCAAAGTGCTGGGATTACAGGTGTAAGTCACCGTGCCTGGTCGTCTTATTTTTTAAAATTATTTGCACATATACAGAATGAAATAGGCCAGGAATAACAGCTATTCATGAAAAAAAAAAACCTCAAAATTTGTCTTAATCAACCTGAGCTCAGTTTGAGCCAATGGTCTGAGCATTAAAATTAAAATTAAAATTAAACATAGGGGCCGGGCGCGGTGGCTCACGCCTGTAATCCCAGCACTTTGGGAGGCTGAGGTGGGCGGATCACAAGGGCAGGAGATCGAGACCATCCTGGCTAACACGGTGAAACCCCGTCTCTACTAAAAATACAAAAAATTAGCCGGGCGTGGTGGCGGGCGCCAGTAGTCCCAGCTACTCGGGAGGCTGAGGCAGGAGAATGGCCTCAACCCAGGAGGTGGAGGTTGCAATGAGCCAAGATCGCGCCACTGCACTCCAGCCTGGGGGACAGAGCGAGACTCCGTCTCAAAAAAAAAAAAGAAAATTAAACATGGGTAGTACTATTGGTGTCCAAGTCAAAGGAAATAGCAGTCCCCTGCCCCTGGGGACAGATCCGCAGCCGGCAAATTATGGGTAGTGTGGGGTGCACCTGAAAACAAATGCCAGCAAATGGGAGCCCGCCCAGGGTAGGAGACAAGCTAGGGATGGTGGAGGGGAAGTGTCCTGGGAGAAAGGGCCATGACCATGGGTGTCCCTTGGAAGGGGAGGGGACAATGGGAGAAAGGGTCACTGGGGATAGCTGAGAAATATTCACAGA
The DNA here is from genome assembly GCF_000001405.40 of Homo sapiens. Taxonomy (NCBI): domain Eukaryota; kingdom Metazoa; phylum Chordata; class Mammalia; order Primates; family Hominidae; genus Homo; species Homo sapiens. Next base: position 110,505,640 of record NC_000013.11, read on the forward strand.
GCTGCTGTGCTGGAGGCAGATGAGCCACCCCCGTGTGCTCCTCGGGTAGGAGTTACAGGAGGCTGCACGCAGAAAGAACATTCTAACCCAGGCTGTGGTCAAGTGCGCAGTCAGCATGGCCTGCGATGAGCCATGTCTCCTGGAAGTGTCCAGCGGAGGGAGGCCACTGCTGGGGGTGGGGGCTGGCCTGCGATACTCCTCCGGACACTTCCAACGCCAGGCACGTTGGGCACATCCTGAGGGGCACATGCCTACCTATGGCTGACTGAGTCTTTTATGGAAAGGACCCCTCCTCTGTGCCCAGTGCCCTCACTGCCATCATTTCATGCTACTGAGAACAAAGTGTGGATCAAATCCTTCCCAAGAGTCTCCTGATCTCAACAGACTGAGCCCCAAGATCTGGGGAAGGAGAGCGATGGTTCTAGGCGCACCTGGAAACTGCCCTGCACTCCTGGGTCCCGAGGTTTCTGTGGGGCGGCTGTCAAGGGGGCTGCTCTCTCTCTCTTTCTCAGGCTGCAGGTGCACTAGGCCGTCCACTCTCTCTCTCTCTCAGGCTGCAGGTGCACCAGGCCGTCCACTCACTCTCTCTCTCGGGCTGCAGGTACACCAGGCCGTCCACTCTCTCTCTCTCTCTCTCTCTCGGGCTGCAGGTGCACCAGGCCGTCCACTCTCTCTCTCTCTCTCAGGCTGTAGGTGCACCAGGCCGTCCACTCTCTCTCTTTCTCGGGCTGCAGGTGCACCAGGCCGTCCACTCTCTCTCTTTCTCGGGCTGCAGGTGCACCAGGCCGTCCAGGGAGCCCGGGCCTGCCGGGTATGCCAGGCCGCAGCGTCAGCATCGGCTACCTCCTGGTGAAGCACAGCCAGACGGACCAGGAGCCCATGTGCCCAGTGGGCATGAACAAACTCTGGAGTGGATACAGCCTGCTGTACTTCGAGGGCCAGGAGAAGGCGCACAACCAGGACCTGGGTAGGTACCTCCCACCCGGCCCCCGTTGCCTGCTCAGGGCTGGCCCGGAAGTGGCCAAGATCAAAGGGCCACAGCGAGACTCCCAAACCCTCCACGGCTGGTAAGTTCCCCTGACGGAAGGGTCCATCTACATTCCTCGAGTGCAGAAAGATTAAAACGGCCTTTGAAGCAGAAGCCTTACAAAGCCCTTAAACCTCAGGACCTTAACACAGGGACCTGCCTTTTAACCTGGTATTGACTTCCGCAGGCTCCCATGTGACCCGTCTGACCCCCGACCCCTCTCCAGTGGAGACCACCAATTACTTCACCTCCTTCTTGTTTTTGACCCAAGTTCTGTAGACTTGGAGTCAGGCAGGGGCCATGAGGGGCTGGGGTTCATGTAAGACTCTCCCATACAGCCCCCCGAGGAAAATGGACCCATGGACACGTGTGCATGCTCTTATTTAAGGAAGCCTTTGAAAGGCATTAACGCGACTTCGAATACAGAAAATGCAATACACACAAATTACAAGTGGAGGTAGCTTAGTCTGAGGTCCTCTTTGAGGGGGTGACGGGAAGGGTCTCTGGGATACTGGCTGTGTTCTGCCTCCTCGGTGCAGGTTACATCAGGCGTTCTGCCCCCGGGAAGCATGTTGCTGGCTCATGGTGCCTTCACATTCCTGCCTGTGCGCCCCGCCTCCACAATGAGTTTCTAAAGAACAACGGGGCAAAGGCCGCCAAGGATAAGGGCCAAAAATAGATCTAGGAACAGGGCCAAGGAGGCAGCCTAGCACCGGGCATGTTTGCTAAAGGTGGCTGCACTTCTGGGTCTGAGCTTTTCAGCAATCCATGTGAAGAGGGAAACCTGCTTAGCTGCAGCATTCGTTGTGGCCAGGAGATAAAGGCTATCTTAGTCTCCAGAAGCAATAAAGCTACATGGAAGGGAGAAGGGCCAGGACTCCTTCTGGGGTGGCTCCTTGGGGTCAAAGAGCGACCCCTTGGAGGCCATCAGAGTTTTCTTGGGGCCAGTGCTGTTAAGACCCCACTAAGGTAAGGCTCACCCAAAATGCTATTCCATGAAGACGCCACTCCCTGGTGATCCAACTTGGCCCAGTATGTGTGAGAACTTGTAGAAGAACAGAGCTGTTCCAAAATGCCAGTGGAGTCTGATCAAAAAGAGAAAAAGAAAGAAATTGGGAAGCCTTAGCCTGGCCCTCCAGTAGGTGGCTAAACTCCACCAGGTGCCCTGGGGCGAGTCCGTGACACACAGCCTCCTGGGCCTGGCTGGGGCTGGCAGGTGCGTCTTCTAGCCACACTGCACTGTGATCTCATGACCCCTCCTTCCACAGGGCTGGCGGGCTCCTGCCTGGCGCGGTTCAGCACCATGCCCTTCCTGTACTGCAACCCTGGTGATGTCTGCTACTATGCCAGCCGGAACGACAAGTCCTACTGGCTCTCTACCACTGCGCCGCTGCCCATGATGCCCGTGGCCGAGGACGAGATCAAGCCCTACATCAGCCGCTGTTCTGTGTGTGAGGCCCCGGCCATCGCCATCGCGGTCCACAGTCAGGATGTCTCCATCCCACACTGCCCAGCTGGGTGGCGGAGTTTGTGGATCGGATATTCCTTCCTCATGGTATGTGGTATTTGCCCAGTTCCCCTCCCCAACCACACCCTGCTGGGGACACAGCAAGAACAGCTGCCTTTGTGAGAAGAATCAGACACGGCAGTCCAGGGTGTGCACTGCACAAGGGTAGTTGGCCCAGGAAGCGAGCGAGAGCTGGAACACAGCTTACACTTGGCTAACTGAGCCACATGCTGGGCACAGGGCTTCCTCCACCCAGAAAGGGCTCATTAATTTGCCACCAGGCCTTTGTAAGGAGTGTAACCAGGACGAACTTGCCTGTTATCCGTCTTACTAGGTACAACACCAACACCAAAGGTGCAGCTGCTTTGGGTTTACCAGAAGTCTAAATATATGGGAGACTTTTCTCTAGAATCCTGATCTTATTTAGAATCTATCTGGAACCTAGAATACCCTGAAGAAATACCTATTAACTGGCTGGCTTAAAATGGATATATATTCGTGAGGAAAATTCTGGAATACCTTTGGGTATAAAATAGAGAGCCTGTGGATACTTTGAAAGCCAGGAGAAGGTGCACAACCAGGACCTGGGAAGGCACCGCCCACCCTTCCGGATCGCCTTTGGGTATAAAATAGAGAACCCTCAGCTTTGGCCAGATTAGGTTTAGCTTAACCTCCAGGGGAGAGACCACAGCACCATAGTGTCTCTTGCAATATTGCCTATTAAAGCAGAGGCTCCTCAACTTGGAATAGGGTCCCGTCCCGATAAATTCATTGTAAGATGAAGATACTATAAGTTGAAAGTGCGTTTTCAATTTATGATGGGTTTATCTGGATGTAACCCCACCAAAAATCAAATAGTGAATTGAATACATATTGCTTTTGCACCATCGAAAACTCAAAAATCCTAAGTCTAACCATGGTAAATCAGGGACCATCTGTATACTATTGTAGGGAGAAAAGAAAGTCTCACTGAGGACAGTGGGTCTTCCAGTGAGTTTATTTATATGCATTATAACTGTCATAACTCCAGCTATATGGATTGGATGCCCAGCATGTTAAATATTTCATAAATTATATATATATATATATATATATATACACACACACACACACACACACACACAACATAAAATATAAATTACATAGTGATTGCTAATCTTTCAAAACAACAGGAAAAAAAATCCGGATTCTAGGAAAGGAAGGAAAAGATAAACAAGTATTGGCATTTTAATAGGTATCGTTGCTATGATAAGTTGGAGCAACAGGATGCTAAATCCTGGGCAGGGACAGGCACAATTTCTACCTTTCCAGAAGCTTATCATGGAAGGTGACTTTGGAGCAACCTTCTTTTGTTTCACAGTGACCTTCAGGGTGCCCCTGTGTCAGGAAGTAAGCTTTGGTTGCTCCTGTTTTTTTCACTCCCGTTGTTAAATTCAAAATAAATGAGCCTCTCCCTTGTGAAGGGCATGATTACACAGTATCCAGAAAGGTCAGGCATCCCCTGTTCCATTAGCATCAGGTTTCAAATGACTGTCACGAGATAAGCAGACATTATCCTCTGCACACGTAACTCTCTGCTTACATAAATGGCTGACAGCCCCAGCAAGCCTGGAACTTGACATCCCCAAAAGGCATGGGTTGAGACGGCTCCTGGGTCAGGACAGATGGGCCAGAAGTACCTTGACTTCTGAGAACAGAAAGTCCCCATTGTCCCTGACAATGGATAAGTGAGCAGACACATCTGTGTACTGGAGATGTGCCCCCTCCAGATGTGCCCTGACTGCCGTCTAGGAGGCAGGACCTAAACCAAGACAGCTGTGTGCCTCGTCTGCACTTTAAATACTCTTTGATCCCTTCTGTGTGGTGACAAGCATATGGTACCACTAGGGCTGCTGGCATCTCAGCATAATAAGAGCTGACTTTGGAGAGGAGAGGACAGCTTGGCTGAGAGCAACTGCCCCACCGTCCCCAGTGGGTACGCAGAAGGCGAGAGCAGTGCTGAGGCTAGCGCCTGGCTCACCCTTCTTTTGTCCGTGAGGATGGGTGGCCCCAGAGGATGCATTTTCTGCATTCCCTACAAGCGAGCGCCACGTGGGAGGGAGGACAAGGGCAGAGCCCCGGATGCAGACTGCAGCAGCAAAAGTCATTTTCCTCCCCTCCCCTCGGTGGCCTCTCTCAAAGCTGCTCTGGCAGAGGCTACAAGTATCTAGCCAGCCGTTATTTTAGTTCCTCTTTTTTCAATTCTGGCTACTATCTGGAGCCCTCACAGCCCCTTCTCCAGGTCAGCCTCTCGTCCAGGCAATTCTCTTAAGATACATGAGCTGCTATGAGTACCAAGCCAGAGGTTTGTCCACTGAGAGAAGCACATTGGAAAGGGTGCGTGTGCCTGGACTGTGTGCACTTATGCACGTGTGTGCATAGGGGTGTGTACACAAGCATGCACTGTGTGTGTGTGTGTGTACATGCGTGCATTTGTGTGTGTGCATGAGTGTACACCATGTGTGTGCATGTGTGCATGTATGCATGTGTGTGTGCGCAGCAAACTCAGCTCTTACCTGGCTGGTGCCAGCCTCTAAGACTTCTCACATTGTGCTCCCTTCTGACCTCGTTCTGGGAGTCCCAGGTGTCTCCTTTGGGCAGCTCCCAGCATGGCCTCAGCTCCTTCAGACCAAAGTGAAGCCGGAGGTGCCCTGGAGGACGTCTCCACTTCTTATTACCTGCTCATTAGCAGACAAGAGCAGGCAGCTCAGGGCTGGACAGGCTTCTGCCTTATGTGAGCAGAACACTTTTTAAAGGTTTTTGGGTTTTTTTTTGTATTTAAAGGAAAGCTTAAACTGGGGCCCCTGCCCAAATATATCATAGAACAGCCCCTTTTTTCCCTGCAAACTGAACTGAGATATTTCTATTCTAAGTAAACAGATTCCAAAGCCCACTTACCACTCAAAGCCTGCTCAGCCAAGCCAAATGGCCCTTATACACCAACTCTGGGATCCAGGAGGCCTGCCGTGCGCTTCCATAAAGGCTAAACATGTTGATGCAACAGAAAGTAGAACTTTAAAATGAAAAAAAAAAAAAGGCTTCCTTGAAGACCTCAGCCATCTCCCAGCCAGCCTCAGAATCAACTATTTAACAACCTCTGATTGAAAAAATATATATTTAATTACACAAGTAATACATATTTATTGTGAAAAATCAGCAAGTACAGATTTAAAAAAAAAAATAAAACCACTCATCTTTCCTCCCTGATCATCAGCATTTTCAGAGAAGGAGCTGGGAGGCCTGGCTGGGTGATTATTTTTAACTTATTAGCCTCAGATGCCAGCCTACATCTTAATTTTATTTTTTTCTTCTAAAAAGAGTAAACATTGTGTTATCTCTTCTGCCAGGTATTTTTCTTTGAATGGATGATTAGGCAGATGTTTTGTTTTGTTACTGAAATGCAGTGGATTATATCTACCGCTCGTATCTGCTGTCACGGCTCTAGTTCTTACCGAACGGCCAGCCTGGCTGTGAATTAGTGTCCATGCAGCTGCCTCTGCAGCACGTCCTGGTGCCTGGGGCTGCCTCCTGCAGGGGGCCCATGTGTATTTCACCAGCCCCCTCTTGCTGAAGGCGCATTCGCGAGGATGCCTCATGTCCGTATTGACACTCATGGTTTGCTGTTCAGTAAAAACAAATGCACAGAAGAGGGCTATGCCCTGACCCCGTGCCACCTGCAGGCTGTGATTCCTAACCCTGTCCTGCCCCCCTCTCTGTGCAGCACACGGCGGCGGGAGACGAAGGCGGTGGCCAATCACTGGTGTCACCGGGCAGCTGTCTAGAGGACTTCCGCGCCACACCATTCATCGAATGCAATGGAGGCCGCGGCACCTGCCACTACTACGCCAACAAGTACAGCTTCTGGCTGACCACCATTCCCGAGCAGAGCTTCCAGGGCTCGCCCTCCGCCGACACGCTCAAGGCCGGCCTCATCCGCACACACATCAGCCGCTGCCAGGTGTGCATGAAGAACCTGTGAGCCGGCGCGTGCCAGGAAGGGCCATTTTGGTGCTTATTCTTAACTTATTACCTCAGGTGCCAACCCAAAAATTGGTTTTATTTTTTTCTTAAAAAAAAAAAAGTCTACCAAAGGAATTTGCATCCAGCAGCAGCACTTAGACCTGCCAGCCACTGTCACCGAGCGGGTGCAAGCACTCGGGGTCCCTGGAGGGCAAGCCCTGCCCACAGAAAGCCAGGAGCAGCCCTGGCCCCCATCAGCCCTGCTAGACGCACCGCCTGAAGGCACAGCTAACCACTTCGCACACACCCATGTAACCACTGCACTTTCCAATGCCACAGACAACTCACATTGTTCAACTCCCTTCTCGGGGTGGGACAGACGAGACAACAGCACACAGGCAGCCAGCCGTGGCCAGAGGCTCGAGGGGCTCAGGGCCTCAGGCACCCGTCCCCACACGAGGGCCCCGTGGGTGGGCCTGGCCCTGCTTTCTACGCCAATGTTATGCCAGCTCCATGTTCTCCCAAATACCGTTGATGTGAATTATTTTAAAGGCAAAACCGTGCTCTTTATTTTAAAAAACACTGATAATCACACTGCGGTAGGTCATTCTTTTGCCACATCCCTATAGACCACTGGGTTTGGCAAAACTCAGGCAGAAGTGGAGACCTTTCTAGACATCATTGTCAGCCTTGCTACTTGAAGGTACACCCCATAGGGTCGGAGGTGCTGTCCCCACTGCCCCACGTTGTCCCTGAGATTTAACCCCTCCACTGCTGGGGGTGAGCTGTACTCTTCTGACTGCCCCCTCCTGTGTAACGACTACAAAATAAAACTTGGTTCTGAATATTTTTAAACCCCGAGTTGTTGACCGCCTTAATCTCGTGTCCATAGAGCAAAACGTCTGCTCAGATGGATGCGAGGCACAGCGTCCGCCCACGCTGCTGTTTTTAATCCATCTCAGTAGAGTTGAACCCATTCGTGGTATTACAGCCATTTCTCGGGGAATGTGTTTGTTTATAACTCACTAATGCTTACAGAAAACACCCCAACCAGGCCATGCGTGCTGGCTCACGCCTGTAATCCCAACACTTTGGGAGGCCGAGGCAGCTGGATCACCTGAGGTCAGGAGTTCGAGACCAGCCTGGCCAACATGGTGAAACCCCGTCTCTACTAAAAACATAAAAATTTTCCGGTGATTGTAATCTCAGCTACTCGGGAGGCTGAGGCAGGAGAATCACTTGAACCCGGGAGGCAGAGGTTGCGGTGAGCTGAGATCGTGCCACTGCACTCCAGCCTGGGCAACAAAAGTGAAACTCCATCTAAAAAAAAAAAAAAAAAAAAGAAAAGAAAACACCTGAACCAGCACTTGTGGGAATTTGGAGAAAGGGTACTTCACAAATGTAAGTCATTCAATTTGTTCCAACATAGGCTGGGTGCAGTGTCTCACATCTGTAATCCCAACACTTTGGGAGGCTGAGGTGGGAGGATCACTTGAGCCTAGGAGTTTGAGACCAGCCTGGACGATATAGTGAGATCCATGTCTACAAAAAAAAAAAGATCCCACATAACTTCCCAAGTCAAAGCTCAGTATTTCAAAGAAACAATCTCCGAGATTCAACTCACAGTTTATTTTGACCCTCTGAAATGCAATCTCAAATTGAAGTTTTCCTAAGAAAAAGGTTCACATTATGAAATAAGTATCCTACCTTATAATGTTATTTGAAATAGATACGCAGCCGCCCTGGCGCGTGTTCCCCCAGAAGCTGGCTGAGGCCACGACCTCTACACAGCACGGCTATATGGGAAGGCGATATCAGGAAGCCTGAGTGGGACCTGGAGGGGGTGATACCAGGAAGAAGAAAAGCCAACTCAAGGACATGGGACTAAGGGGGTTACCACTGTGGGCTGTTTAGGCTTGATCCTGCTGGGGATCCACCAAGGAAGGATCCTCAGATGGTCCAGCCATGGCTTGGAAAGGGAAGTGTTCTCCATCAGCTGCGGTCTCGACTGGTCAGGGGTTGCCTGAGGGTGCTAATTCCCTCACACTCCCAGGTGCACCACACACCAGCATGGCTGAGTGGGCTCCTGCCAGATGCCAGGTGGAGGTGGTAGAGAACCAGGCAGAGCTGAGACACGGTGTGTCAGGCCACACCTGCTCATGGCCAGTCACCACAGCAATAGCTGTAGCAAAACAGTGGGCCCAGAGCGTGTGAGACGGGGATCAAGAGACCAGAGCTCGCAACCACAGCAACTCTAGAAGCTGGGAAGCAACAATTCATTCTAGACTCCACCCCTACTGCCAAGGAGGCAACCGCAAAGTGTGCTGCAGTCCTGAAGACCCCTGCTCGACTTGAGGTAGGCTTGATACCTTGTGTGTGGATCACACCTCAGCGTCAGTGCCCAGTGTTAAACATAAAAGAAATGTTTCACCCTAGACCTAAAATAAATGAGAAGACAAAGATCCTCAACAAATAATTGGTTTCCAAAATGTGGATCATAAAATATAAACCAATCACAATTCATAACCCTGACATCTGTGCCAGGGAGCCCACGATCCCGCTGAAGTATAGTGAGTGGAGATGCCTCATCTGGAATCGAACCGCTGAACATCCTGCACCTTGAAAATCAGAGCTCTGTCCTTCATGGATCCTGCATGTTGCAAAAGACAGATTTTTTCCAGGCTAGTTTCTTGGTGCCAGGAATAACTGCTCCCTGAGAGCTGAGTGTGCTTGAACCACCCTCTAATGATGTGCCACATTTTCCAGAGGGTGGGTGCCCCAAAGTCAGAATCACTTCCATCTCCCAGCTGCTTCAGACAGTGACTTTCAGCACCCCTGGCAGAGACGCTGCTGGAATGCGCATGAAGATGCGTCTGCAGCCATCCTGACTGGGTAGGGGCGCCCAGGAAGACTCACAAGCCCTGGAGAGCACATCAGCCTTTAAACCACCCAAGAAGAGCACGTTGGCAAGGACGGCCTGGATGGGTTGCTTCAGTGGGCTGGGCCTCCGGTAAAATGAATGAAAGTACCTGTGCATCAGAGTGACATCAGGAGAATGAAATCAGTCACTACACGTGAACGTGCCCAAAGCCGCAGGTATGTATGCACTCGTACGTGTCCAGGACCTAAGAGGAAGGAGGTAGAGAATCGCTGCAACCTGGGAGTTCTAAATGTGTTGAGGTTGAGGACTGTGATTTAAAATGCACAGTGCAGGGAAGGGAGGAGAATGATTTGGAAAGTAAATTCCATGACATGCTAGACAAGGAAGGGAAGGGTAACACTGAGCTGATCTTAAAGTGACAGACCAAACCCAAGCAGATGTCTTGAAGGCAACGAGGGAACAGCATCCTCACCTCCCACACGTGGTACAGCAAGAGCCTCACTCTGCAGACTCAGGAAGGCACCAAGCTACAAACATCTATGAGCTATTTGTATTCATACAGCATAAGTTCAGCTCAGCCAATAAAATGTAAGGCTGTCCTTCCCCCTGAGAAATACTCAGTGCTTCTGGTTACACCTGGAGGTGGCTTTTCCTTGAGGCTGCCTTCCTGGAAAAGGGCCATCCACTTATTTAAAAAGAAAAAACCACAGAAGTTTCAGGAGCTCATTGAAGCCGGTAGGGGAAACGTGCTATTAATAATATAAGTAATTTGGAAATGAGTGGCGTCTCTAAGAACAAAGGCAAAGAGAACTGCACACAGCATTGTACTCTAGTGGATAAAGTTGTTTCTTGCAGGAGTACCAGTGAACAGTGCTGACACTATATTCATGCTAAAACTGAACCATTGGTTGGGCGCGGTGGCTCACGCCTGTAATCCCACAACAGAGCGAGACTCTGTCTCAAAAAAAAAAAAAAAAAAAAAAAAAAGAACCATTAATTAAGCGGATGGTCGATGGTGGGAGCCATGTTTCTCATTGTTGAAGGAGAATTTACAGCAAAGTGGGGAAATGACACAATGGTTAGAGTCCGAGATATCAGTAGGAACTCGGGTTTAACCTATTATAGACACCTATAGTCACATAAAGAAATATCTGTAGGGGTTAGTACAGACACATGTATTTCTTCACTCTGTCAGCTGAGAGGGCCTCAGAGAAGCAGCCCTGCAGGAGCAGTGAGCACACCTGGCCCCAGATCTGGGATTCTAACACTTCTCCAATAAAAGGACCCGAGGCTCCTCGGGGAGATGGCTGATTCCGAGACGGGGGCAGGAAATATAGACCATGAGACTGGAACATCTTGTAGTGCCAGAAAGTAAGGAAGTGCTCAAATAAAACCCCAAATGGAGACATGTGGAAGGGACACGGGAGCCATCTGAAAGAGCTCCCAAGATGAAGCCATCTGAATAAGAAAGTGAGACAGTACTGGATAACAACCCAAAGAATAAATATCCACGAGTCCATTCTGAGTCCTCAGCCTTCCTCTCTAAGGATAAACTGCTGTTCCCAGCACTCAGCGAGGTTCTCAAGGCTGAACGGTGTCCGAGGGAGAGTGACTTATGGGTGGCACATCTCCTGCACGGCCTGTGCCCAGCTGTGTGGGGCGGCTACAGCTCCGATGTTGATGCACGTGTGTGTGCAGCTGTGCAGTGGCACGTGTGGCACACGTACACCCTCCCCAGAAAAGAAGCACCTTTCCTGCTCCTACACCTCCCCGTCAGGCACCTCTCACAATTCTGCCAAAACCAAGGGAGATGAAAAACGAAATGTCACAAAGGCAATGTGCCTTTTTTTTTTTTTTTTTTTTTTTTGAGACGGAGTCTGGCTCTGTTGCCCAGGCTGGAGGCTGGAGTGCAATGGCAGGATCTCGGCTCGCTGCAGCCTCCACCTCCTGGGTTCAAGCAATTCTCCTGCCTCAGCCTCCCGAGTAGCTGGGAGAGGTGTGCACCAGCACACCCGGCTAAATTTTTTTGTATTTTTTAACAAAGATGGGGTTTCATCGTGCTGGCCAGGCTGGTCTTGAACTCCTGACCTCAAGTGATCCCCTCCCAAAGTGCTAGGATTACAGGCATGAGCCACCCCGCCTGGCCCCAAGGCAATGTGCTTTAAAGTGAAGCTGGCTGTCTCTCTGGCATTACAGAAAAAGGGAAAATCATTGCTTTCTGGCCATTTTTCTGTAGTGGCTGCTTCATGGTGACATTACTTTGCTGGGGTTGGAGGTGGAAGAGGATGGTCATCTTCCTCCTGTGGTCCAGCCTCTGCAAAGTGCTCTCCCAGGTGCTTTTCCTGCCTCCCACTACTCTGTGAAGTAGGTACAATATACTCCATTTCATAAAGAGATTTTCCCCAAAGATGGCAAATCAACTTGCCCAAGATAACACAACCCACGTGCTCAGGGGGCATTCAAGCCAAACCTCTACACTCCCTTCAGGAACCGAGCTGACTTCCTAAAAACAGTGACCACTGAGCATCAACCATGTGCCAGGCACCCGAGGCACTTCATATAACATTACCTGCCATGTCCAGAAGCCTCAAAGGGTGGGGTCATTTCCACATACTCGAGAGTCCCTGCACCTGAGGGGTATTTCACAATTTCATTGTACAAGCCCATTTTAATTAACTAGGTTCTTCTCAGAGGCCAGGAACACTTAGAGATGAGAGGCTGCAGCTGCAAAGCCACATGGGATGGGGCAGGAGGGGACTGCTGTCTTCCCGAGTTTAAAATACACCCAGGAGCCCTCTTCCCCCACCCCACCTGCAGATTCACACTTGAGAGGACCTTGCCACATGCAAGGGTGACTCAGGGACCTTCTCCTCGCATTTATGGCCAAAGTACAAGAACAAAGGGCAGATGGGGTGGAGGCCACTTAGAAGATGTGGGTCCTGTGACGGCATAAACCAGCCCTAAAGCTGGAGCCATTCCTGCAGAGGCCATTTCATCCCACATGGGACAGGACCCCGCTTCTCCTCTGGGTGGGACCCATTCTTTTGCCTTGAGCTGGCTTATTCTTAACTGTACACTCACAAACATAATCCATTTTATCTGCAGGATTCCTGGGAAAGGAATTCTTGCATTCAGATTATGAGGACTCTGTCCAGGGGGCTCTCACACCTCCCTCAAAGCAGAGAGAGCTCGCCCCTGGCCATGGGAGCCGCCCGCCACACAGGGGCTGGTGAATGAGGTCGCCACGCAGTGAGGCTGAGGGAGGGGGTTTGGAAGTGCTACTGGGGATGACAGTGGCCAGTCCCAGGCCTGCCACCTTCAGACCAAGAGCAGGCACGAGCCAACCCTGGTTACTTAACTGAGACCAGCTCCCAAGAGACAGCATTCCAGGCCCCCATGCCTTCTCCCGGTGGGAAAATCTGGATGGAGGATAAAAAAAGGGGCTGAGGCTTGTCCTGGATCCGTGGGTATCCACCATTTGCAGCCCGAACAACCAAGCCCACCTTTAGGGGAGGAAACACATGGCAGCAACTGGAACGTGGCATTGAAAGTCCGAGGCTCAGATTCCCAAGCCGCCATGCCCCAGGCAGGACCTTCCACAATGACATCCCAAGAAAACAGCCAACGTAGACTGAGCTGGGAGGGCCTGGTGAGGAAGTGGGTGGGGCTGGGAGCCAAGGCCTGGGCGTGTCTCACTCCGGCCACTGACACCCTGACCCAGGAGGCACCTTCTCGGGCCTTGGGTCCACATATCCTCCAGCAAGGTGCCCTCCAGATCCGATACCTGAGGGCTGGGCCAGTGGCTTCAAGGCAAACACAAAGTGAAGGGGAGGGACACAGAGCTTCATAACCACGCAAGGACGCTTGCTCTGAAGGCGTCAGCTCTCCCTGAAGGAGGCAGCCTGGACCACAAGGGAGGACTGGGCCCAAGAGCTTCCAGAGCAGGCACAGAGGAGGCTGAGTGCAGGCGGCACATGTATGTGCAGGGTCTCTGCTGTGCGTGCAGGGTCTTGGCTATGCATGCAGGGTCTCGGCTGTGCACACGTGCAGGGTCTCGGCTGTGCGTGCGTGCAGGGTCTCAGCTGTGCGTGCATGCAGGGTCTCAGCTGTGTGAGCAGGGTCTCAGCTGTGCGTGTGTGCAGGGTCTCGACTGTGTATGCAGGGTCTCAGCTGTGTGAGCAGGGTCTCAGCTGTGCATGTGTGCAGGGTCTCTGCTGTGCGTGCAGGGTCTCTGCTGTGCGTGCAGGGTCTTGGCTATGCATGCAGGGTCTCGGCTGTGCGCACGTGCAGGGTCTCAGCTGTGCGTGCATGCAGGGTCTCAGCTGTGTGAGCAAGGTCTCAGCTGTGCGTGTGTGCAGGGTCTCAGCTGTGTGAGCAGGGTCTCAGCTGTGCGTCCACCCACCACACCCATCCTCTCTGTCCTGTTTCGACAATGAGGCTCGAAAGATCCAGCTCTGTGAAGTGGGAGGATGGAAGACCCCTGCACACTGTGGAGAAGAGTCTGTGCTTCTAATAAGGGCATGTAAGAGGACGAGGGCACCGGCCACTCTGCCTGGCCACAGAAGGGAAGATACGACCTGGACTCCACCAACCAGGGCTGGGAGGATCTGTGCCTTTGAAATCCTCCAAACACCTGGAGGCCACACCACGGCACTCCCACCAGGGTCTCTGGGGCCCGGGTCCCACTCTTCTTCCTTCTTCAGAGGTTTGTGGTCATTGCTCAGGAGGGACTCAGCCTGGTTAGAGTCTCCCAGGAGCACGGAGTGAAGGCCGAGCTCAGAGCCATTGCCCCTTCTCTCTGGAAGACAGGCACCATCTCCATGTCTCATGGGGTCTGTCTCATGGGCCTTGAGCAGCAGCTCACCTCTGCCGGAGGGATCCATGTGCTGGGAGCACCCGTGTGCTATGGGGATCCGTGTGCTAGGGGGACCCGTGTGCTGGAGGGACCCGTATACTAGGGAGATCTGTGTGCTGGGGGAGGGGGAACCCGTGTGCTGGTGGTATCCGTGTGCTGGGGGGATCCGTGTGCTGGGGGGGAGCCGTGTGCTGGAGGGACCTGTGTGCTGGAGGGACCTACGTGCTGGGGGGATCCATGTACTGGGGAGACCCGTGTGCTGGGGAGATCCGTGTGCTGGGGAGGGAAGCCGTGTGCCGGGGAGGGAACCCGTGTGCTGGGGAGAACCTGTGTGCTGGGGGGACCTATGTGCTGGGGGGATCCATGTGCTGGTGGTATCCATGTACTGGGGGAATCCACGTGCTGGGGAGAGAACCCGTGTGCTGGGGAGGGAACCCGTGTGCTGGGGAGAACCTGGGTGCTGGGGGGACCCATGTGCTGGCGGAACCCGTGTGCTGGGGAGGGAACCCGTGTGCTGGGGAGATCCGTGTGCTGGTGGGGGAGCCCGTGTGCTGGGGGTATCCATGTGCTGGGGGGGGCCCATGTACTGGGGGGCACCCGTGTGCTGGGGTGATCTATGTGCTGGGAACATTCATGTGAGGTTGTTTTCCTGGCACAGCAGGGCTGTTTAAACCAGGAAGTTGGGTCCAGAAATGGCAACGTCATACTCTTTAAGAAACTAGGCCTGGGAGCCTGGGGAAGGGGACATTCTGACTGACAGCACCCAGATTACCACATACCCAACCCCAGGACTCCCTGACACCACTGCCAGGCACGAGGCTTTAAGGGCACTAGGAAATACCTGGTTATGAGGTGTCATTGAGGAAAGGGTTCTCATCTGCATGGGGACATGGACAGCTGGAAAGTGCAGAAGGGAGCTCCAAGACCACACACAGCCATGAACCCTGGACCGTCACTTGCTCATCTCCTCCCTGGAGTGGCCGCTTTGTACAAAGGAAAGACGGATGCTCGAGGTCACGAGCTCAAACCCACACCCAGTGGGGAAATCTGCGCCAACAGCTGAGTTGCCCAACCGAGGGATTTCAAGCTTTCCAAGAACTGACGTGGTTTCTGGAAGGAAACAGAGGCCACATGAGATGAGGGTGGGGGAGTAGGACCCAAGACCAGGCTCCCCAGCGAGGAGCCAGGCTGGTATCCAAGGTCCACTTGGAATGCAGCCCAGGACACAGGGTGCCAGGGGGCCTGTGGCGGCACTGTCATTGAAACTGTCCCAATAGCTCAGCTCCAGGAAGGGCCGTGGAGAGTGCTCAGTGAGATGTGCTGAATTAATGAGCCCCTCATGCCCTTACAAAAGCACTTGTAAGGGCAGCTGGAAGTTGCTAGCATAGGAGAGACTGCAGCGCCGACTGCCCAGAGGAACTCATTTAAAAGGAGCCCACAGGGATGCTTATTTTTAGGACAACACATATAGGATGAAATGCTTAAACAGAGTTGATGGAGAATGTGCCACCCATGGGCACCATCCCCGGAGCACGCGGCCACTCGAGGAAACAAGCTGTTGGGTGCCCGGAGCAGATGGGAAATCGAATCCAAGACTGTTCAGGAAGAACGGGCCTCAGGCATTCATACAGCCCTCCCTGCCTTCAAGCACCAACTGCAAAAACAGTGCCATATGATACTTTCTCTCCCTTCACAGCCTTCAAAGAAAGACTCTGGCCAGGGCCAGAGCTCATGCTTATGATCCCCGCACTTTGGGAGGCTGAGGCAGGAGGATTGCGTGAGCCCAGGAGTTCCAGACCAGCCTGGGAAACACAGCAAGACCTCATCTCTACAAAAAATAAAAATAAAAAATTAGCTAGGCATACTGACACACCCCTGTAGTCCCAGCTACTCGGGTGACTGAGGTGGGTGGATCACTTGTGTTCAGGAGTTCGAGGCTGCAGTGAGTGAGCTGAGATTGTGCTACTGCACTCCAGCCTGGGCAACAGAGTGAGACTCTGTCTCAAAAAAAAAAAAAAAAAAGATTCCAAGGTCTCTTTGATTAGCCTATTTCCTAGATGGGTCACTAGCAAAGATACACATTATAGAAAATAAATATAACTTCTGTCCCTACAGTGGTATATTCAACCAAGTCAATAAAAAGTCACGAGTCAGGCTGATTTGCGTTCACTTCTCAATGGGCTGCTGTTGCGAAACTGAAGTTTTAAACTCCGAAACCACATCTCAGGGGAGCTGAGGACCTGCAATCGCAGGGGTTGCCTCAGTGCTTCCTCCTGGGGTTCAAGCTCCCTTCCTTGCCTGAAAGCACTCACTCCACAGGAGCGGAGAAGTTAGGCCTGCAGCAGCCCAGAAACCGGAGAGCACAGGCCTTCAGCAAATTATGAACAGCTCCCCAGAAAACAGAGCACCCTGTAATCCCAGCATGTTGGGAGGCTGAGTAGGGAGGATTGCTTGAGTTCAAGGGTTTGAGACCAGCCTGGGCAACATGGCAAAACCCCAACTCTACCAAAAAAAAAAAAATTATTGGGGCATGGTGGCACATGCCTGTAATCCCAGCATGTTGGGAGGCTGAGTCGGGAGGATTGCTTGAACCCGGAGGTACAGTCTGCAGTGAGCTAAGATCACGCCACTGCACTCCAACCTGGTGACAGAGCAAGACCCTATCACAAAAAAAAAAAAAAAAAAGAAAGAAAACAGCACTTATGAAACCCACTGCCCAGTGCCATCTGCCCCACATTGCCTCCCAACAAACAGCCCCGACCCCAGCCTGCTTTCGTTCAGTCACATTTCTGGGAAAACAAATCTGCTGTCTCCTGGCACCTCTGTCTGACATCTTCCAATAAAGCAGCCACCCCACGGCCAGCAGCAGCAGACCCGAAGGGGGTTTCTGACTCAGAGACCTGGGTGCTCAGATGCCCCAGACTTCAGCAGAACCAGAGCTTTAAGCTTTGCTACTATTATTGGAATTCAAGTCATCAAGAAAACTAGACAGATGGGCCAATCTAAATATTCTGCAATTGGTAAGGATTTCACAGAGCTTCCGCACAAAGAGAGACGTATCTCAAGTTCACAGCCATCTCCCCAGCGCCCCCCACCCTACCCCACAGAGAGTCCCTGGGACTGGGGGTGCAAATGAAGTCAGTTCAGTCTCAATACCTAAGTTGTTCCAAAAATCCTCTTTAATAATACATGTAGCCAACATTGCTGCAATCAGTATAAAAACAAAGTTATTCCTGATTTTGTATAAATGAACACGTCGAGAGTCAGGATTATAAAGCATCAAGATACAAGTACCAAGTGGGAGGACCAAAGACAACTCACAGTGAAGAGAAACGCTTGAGAACAAGAAATGTCAGAGTTGTAGGACGTGGTAACAACCCAGGGTGCTGAAACGGTCAGAGGTGCAGGTGCAGACGCAGGCTTCTGCCTCTGCAAGGGCAAGGGGGCCGTTGGTGGCTGGCTGCAAAGGACCAGTGCCAGGCAGCGGGGCAGAGAGCACCAGGGGTCTCGACTCTGCAGATTGGGCTTTGCAGAGGATTCCTGTTTCCCACCTCCCCACCCCTCTGACAGAGACTGAGGAGACCACACACGTTGACCTCCTCTTCATAGCCAGCCATCATTTCCACTCCAACATTCTGCTGCGGGTGTCATTCTGGAAAATAATTCCTTGCTGTTCCTTGCTCCTTTCAGATCACAGCTTGCCTGGTCAGACCCCTTCCCAACATGCACAGTCTGAGTCCAGGAGGCCCTCGAAAGTCAGGCACAACACCCAGATCTGGTCCTCTTGGGTGGCTTATGACTGGATATATCCACTGTGTGTGACGGCCTCTCAGCTCTCTGCTGTAAGATCATTGGCACCACCAGGTCAAAGAGGGTCTCAAACAGGAGGTCCACATTGTAGCCGGTCTTGGCGCTGGTCTCAAAGCACATTTGCTCAGCGGCCGGCACATCCTGCTCATCCAGCATCTTGTACTTGAGGATCTTTTTATAAAGGGCCACCGCATCCTCCAGCTGCACCTGCTTAGGTGCCCTTGGGGAGACACGGTCCCCAGCGTCCATATTGGGACTGCACTCTTCCTTCTCCTGGCCCGCCAAGGCCCCCTCCTCAGTGAGGTCCACTTTGTTCCCCACGATGGCAAAGAGGCAGTCTTTGCTGGCTGTGTCTGTCAGGCCCAGGAACCGGTCCTCCAGCTCCACCAGGCTCTGCCGGTGATTCACATCATAGGTGAGGATGATGGCGGCCGCCCCCCGGCAGTACATGGAGCCCAGGCCGTGGAACTGCTCCCGCCCTGGTGGGAAGAGAGGGACAGAAAGAGTGGTTATCTCTCATCTCAGAACATAGCCACCAGCCACACTGCAAGGGAACGTCCCACAGGGATGTTTATTTTTAGGGCAACACACACAGGATGAAATGCTTAAACATAGTTGATGGAGAATGTGCCACCCATGGGCACCATCCCCAAAGCAGGCAGCCCCTCGAGAAAACAAGCTGTTGGGTGCCCAGACTAGATGGGAAACAGAATCCAAGAATGTTCAGGAAGAACGGGCCTCAGGCATTCACACAGCCCTCCCTGCCTTCAAGCACCAACTCCAAAGGAGTCCTGGCCCCAGCCATGGCTGGAGATGGAAGGAATCAAGAACTGATGTCCAGAAAAAAGCAGCGACTGCCAAGGCCCTTGCTGAGATAGAAGCTGACTCGGGAATGCAGACTCCGGAAGCAAAGTGTGCCCATGTCCCTTCACCCTCCTCCTTTACACCCCCTGGGTGCTCCCAGCTGCCCTGTGCTGCCCTGCCCAGGAAGTGCTGCGGGGAGGGCTTCTGAGTTCATAACAGCAGTTGTAAACCACACCTGCCCTTATCTGCCCAGAATCACACAGCACCCTGCGGTGCTCACGATATTTTTAGGACACAGTGGACATCTCCCCTCCCACGCTGGAATCGGAATCCCTGAGGAGCCAGGCCCCAGCATTCGCACTTCTTGTGGGTGCCGCAGCCCCGCCTGCCCTCCAGGTTTAAAACAGACAGAGGTGCGGGCAATTGCAGGCAAGCCGGGAACCTGCTCCCAAAACATTTCCAGGTTGAGATCAAACCCTCGGGACACAGCTCAACGTCAACACATTGGCTACTGACAAGGTGCTGTCTGTCACTGGGTCTGGCGGGGAACAGGGCCAGCTGGCATGCACCCCTGCAGTGCCTGGAGTGTGGGCATCTGCTCTCCCCGTGCCCCCAGCACTTCAGCCTCACGAGGTCGATGTGGGCACACACACTTTCCATGAGGAAACTGAAGTGTGGGGGAGTCAGGCATAGCAGCGCTAGAGGGAGGCTGGGCCAGGGCACTGGAACACCCGCCACCGTCCTACATTTAAACGCAGAGACCCCCGAACTGATGGCTAAAAAGGAAGATTAAAAGGTCCCCAGCTCTGTGTACTTTTACAATGCAGTCATCTAATCAAATCAACCCGGGTCAGAATACACTCCCCACAGGTAACACCTGCACATCCGTACTGTTCTGTTCCCAACGTCTGCCCCAGGACCACCTTTCTATCCCACCAACAGTGCACAGATCCCCAAGGGGGCCCGCTCACCTCCCCACCAGCAGGCGGCTCCCTGCCAGTCCACTCAAGGGCTACCTAGGAACTTTCTGGCAGAATTCTGAACCCCTGTCTGTAGCACAAGCTTTCTGCATACTCAGATGTGGAGGACAGACTCCCACAAGGGGAGCAGATCTGGCCAAGGCAGGTGTTCCTGGGACAGGTGCAGTGCACGCAGCAGGTGAGAGCCCCCAGCAGGGAGGGCCGAGCCGAGCACGCCTGCTGGTATGTCCTCCCAGCCTTGGCGTGCTTTTCATCGTTGGACACATCTGCCGCACTGGGGGGACGAGCTCTCAGGAAGCAGCTGTGGGAGAGGCAGCAGCATGCACCTTGGCCCCCACCTGCCTCTCGAGGACCGAGCAGGCTGTGCATGGCATGGGCCCTCCCTGCTGGCAGGAAGGGGCTTCACAGACGCTCCTGGTGATGCATTTGTTTCAATCACCAACAAGCAAACCCCAAGTGAGATCTTCCAACCACAAAGCACCTGCTCCCAACCACACCTGCCGGGGGCACGCTTTCGAAGAGGAATGAGACTGAGACCTGTGCTCAGACGCCATCCCAAGGAGCCTCTGCAGACAGGCCTGGAAGCTCCCATAGCACCTGCTGCAGGCCAGCTCATCCCCTCCTCCCTGGGGCATGTGTGGCCTCCCGGGCCATGCCCTTAGGCCAAGAGGAGGGAGAGCTGGGAACGACTGACAGCACTGGCCTCCACTCTCGAGCTCAGAACGCCAAGGTCAAGTGCCTCTGAACAAGGATGAGGCTGCTGGGGCACTGGCGCAGAGAGAGGTGGCACCCAGGGAGTGTCCAGGCCCCATTCCAATCCCTCGCCTGGGAGAAGTAAGCCTGGTTCTGATTTTTTAAAAAGAAGCTAACAATGTGGATTTTAATCTCCCAAGTTTTAAGCACTCAAAACTAATTCAAAATTTTCTAAAGATCACATTTAGGCAAACCAAAATGCAACAGTGGCCCATCATTGGCAGCTTCTAAATTATAAATGGTCCCATGTCACTCTGAGGGCAACTTCCCCTGAGTGTGTGGACAGTGTCGACCACTAGCAAGGGCTCTTAACCACTGGGGTCATAAACCAAATTCACAGGGTCCATGACCTTGAATGAGGGAGAAAACATCATCTTTGTTTTCACCACCCTCTACCTGAAATTTACCATTTCCTTTCACCACAAATATTGGCAGCAAACTGCAGAAATGGCAGTAAGGGGCACTCATCACCAACAGGGCCAGCAGGTGCTTCCATCCGCATGCCAGATGCCTCAGACACTCCAGCGTGATGCCCACGACCCTTCAGACCTGCCATGCCTTCATTCATTAATATGTGGACCATGAACCACATATCAATCATAATTTAAAAAGGCTCAAGACGACTGTACTTAAGGACAGCTGGTTACCTTTGTATGTGACTGCACGCACTTGGGCATAGTGTTCTGAGAAGGGGTCCTGGGCTTGTACCCCTCGGGGGCCGAGGGGTCTTGACACAAATGAAGTTAAGGCCCCTTGGTCTGTGGGGCTTTGGAGCATGGACTGAACGCATGACACCTGCACACATGTGGCTCTCTAAGGCAGACTGTCCTTTGCCAATAAACCACTGTTTAGAGCCAAATAGCCAAGAAGCACAACCAAATTTCATCCCATTCCCATCCCCAATCTTTCTGAAATGGCCACACATTCTGATGACGCCAAGTCCTCAAACCTTGCTGGGCGATGCTGCCTGGATTTTGAGGCAGGCTGGTCACCCCTTGGGCAACCCTGGAGAGAGGCGCCCACAGAGACACACACTCATGTCCTGTGAGAAGAGCCAGACAGACCTGTCTACTGACCACTGTGGTCTCCCAGGCCCCGAGCGTGGACTCCAGCTCCCCCTTCAGCAAAGCCGACAGTGTGCCCTTTGGGGATGTGGAGGGAAAGCGAGCTGGGAGCTGAGCCCAGACCAGCTCCGGTAGGAGTCAGAAGAATGTGCCCTGCTGCCAGTCTGAGGGTCAAAGTGCGAGAGCTACCCGGGTCACCTCCCTCTTCTGGGAAAAGCCAGCCTGGGAATGCTGTTGTTTGGGCGACAGAGCCACCCTGTTGGCAAGCAGCTTGTGCTCTGGAATTCAGCACCTGAAGGGCAACATTCCTCCCTTCCGCACGCCTACCAGGGGTCAGCTTCAGACTGAGAAGTCAATCCGTTTCCAGTCAAGCTGGACTGGACCCCAGCAGGCAGAAATCAGACAGTGTCCCCGGAATCCACAGTCATTCTCCCACTACAGAAGATGATGATCAAAAGCCTTTAAAACCCAATACAGCAGGCATTAGCTTCAAAAAGAACAGGCTAGGGCAGGAGGATTGCTTGAGGCCAGGAGTTGGAGCCCAGCTTGGGCAGCATAGCAAGGCTCCTATCTCTACAAATACACACACACACACACACACACACACACACACACACACACACATACACTTTAATTAGCCAGGCATGGTGACGCATGCCTGTAGTCCCAGCTACTCGGGAGGCTGAGGAGGGAAGACTGCTTGAGCCAAGGAGTTCGAGGCTGCAATAAGCTATGATCATGCCACTGCACTCCAGCCTGAGCAACAGTGAGACCCCATATCTAAAATAAATTTAAAATGGTAATAATAAAGGAAAGAAAAAGGCCGGAGACTCATGCCTGGAATCCCAGCACTTTGGGACGCCGGGGTGGGCGGATCACCTGAGTTCGGGAGTTCGAGACCAGCCTGACCAACGCAGAGAAAACCCATCTCTACTAAAAATACAAAATTAGCCAGGCATGGTGGCATGTGCCTATAATCCCAGCTACTTGGGAGGCTGAGGCAGGAGAACTGCTTGAACCTGGGAGGCGGAGGTTGCGGTGAGCTGAGATAGCGCCACTGCACTCCAGCCTGGGCAAGAGTGAAACTCCATCTCAAAAAAAAAAAAAACAAAAAACAGAAAAGAAAGAAAAATGCTTCTTCGTCATTACCACAGTACTAAGACTTTTGTTTCAGGGACACTAATCCCATAGATAACAGTCCAGGCATCATGAGGTTTTTACATGAGCTAAAAACGTCATCAGCTTCTACCCACCAGATTTCACAAGAGTGTGACTATGGGAATGCGGAGTCAGGGGCACTCCAGCTACCCTGGAAGAATGGTTTTCAAGTCTCTGTTACATAGTTCACTAGGGCCAAAGGGAGAACCGTGTTGATGCCTATGCCTAAAATAGTTTTCCATTCCAGATAAAAATGCCTGATTTGCCTTTAAAAAACTAAAAAAGGAAATAATAATATAAAAGGAAAGATCTTAGTAATGAAAGGAAACAGGAACTGAAGAATCACAAATGCTAGCCAGAAAAAAGTAAGAATTGTTGCTTGAACCCTATAATCTGTTATCTACCCATTAATGAATGCAAACCAATTAAATGCAGTTGCCCCAGCTAAAGAATTTACAAGCAAGCAGTTTTCATATTTGAAATTCTAAAATACTGCTTTGGAGATAATGTATAGCTTTTAGGATTGCTAATGGAAGAGTCAGGCTGCTCTCAATGAGCGCATTGTCCACACCAAGAAGGGCCAGTCCCGCAGGGAACAGAAGTTCTGAATTTAATCCTAATTGAATTTGAGTAGGGGCTCTGGTATGTAAGGCATGAGAGTGAACATAAGACAATGAAAATAAAATGGTGTCACTACAACTTGACCTTTTGCACTTGGCTTTGACAGATTCACAGTGTATTTGAATCCAAGGACCCTCACGCGTTTTCTGGAAGTTTGTGAATGTGCTCTGAGCCGGGCCGTCAGCCCCCTGCTGCCAACCCCATACACATGTCAGCCCCTGTATCTCTCAGAATATTGATTTCCTGTCTACAAGTATGGGCTTAAACTGAGTACTTCAAAGTCCCTCTCCCTGGAAACAGGATCAGGCATCTCTATCTCTATTGCCTTCTCCCCCAGACCGGAGTCCGTCAGTACCAATCGTGAAGCCAAAGCACTGAGAGTTCTGGTGGTTTACCTGGACTTTCCTGGAGAAATAAACAGCCTCAGGTCCAATTCTGGGGATGCCAGAGCCCCAGGCTGCCCCAGAAACAGGGCAAAAGAGAAAAATCACAAATTGGTTCAAATTCAACCAATGCAGCCAAGGGTCAGTGAGCTGCCAACCCTGGTCTGGTGAACGGAGCCAGGCTGCCGAGCCTGTGTGGCCACTACCAACACGGGCCTGACATCATCAGGGCTGGGGGCACGGGTTCAAGCCTGAGGAAGGAGCCCAGCCTTCCGCCAGACTCTCCCGCCTTTTTGCCTGGGCTGTCTCCAGGCCAAGCAGACGGGAGGATGGGTGAGTGACCGGAGCCTGGGGCTCTAGGTTCGACTTGTCCAGGAATTATTACTCGTCTATGTAGCAAATCCGTAAGTGATCTGCTCAGCTTTATGTCACCAACACATACAGACGAAGAGGTCAATTACCCCTGGTGGTGAGGGAAACCTGAATCTGTAAGAACGCCTCCAATGTCTGATCAGCCACACTGTTGGACAAACTACTGAAATGCAGCAAAACTGACCAGGACTTTAACCGTGAGTTCAGAGCAGCCAGAAATGAAGACGCCCTGCTCACTGCAGACAGGGCCCTGGGGAGGCAGGTCCCACCACCCCACCTCTACACAGACACAGGGCCCCGGGGAGGCAGGTCCCACCACCCCACCTCTACACAGACACAGGGCCCCGGGGAGGCAGGTCCCACCCGCCCCACCTCTACGCAGACACAGGGCCCCGGGGAGGCAGGTCCCACCCGCCCCACCTCTACGCAGACACAGGGCCCCGGGGAGGCAGGTCCCACCCGCCCCACCTCTACGCAGACACAGGGCCCCGGGGAGGCAGGTCCCACCCGCCCCACCTCTACGCAGACACAGGGCCCCGGGGAGGCAGGTCCCACCCGCCCCACCTCTACGCAGACACAGGGCCCTAGGGAAGTAGGTCCCACCCGCCCCACCTCTACACAGACACAGGACCCTGGGGAAGTAGGTCCCACCCGCCCCACCTCTACACAGACACAGGACCCTGGGGAAGTAGGTCCCACCCGCCCCACCTCTACACAGACACAGGACCCTGGGGAAGTAGGTCCCACCCGCCCCACCTCTACAGACACAGGACCCTGGGGAAGTAGGTCCCACCCGCCCCACCTCTACACAGACACAGGACCCTGGGGAAGTAGGTCCCACCCGCCCCACCTCTACGCAGACACAGGGCCCTAGGGAAGTAGGTCCCACCCGCTCCACCTCTACACAGACACAGGACCCTGGGGAAGTAGGTCCCACCCACCCCACCTCTACACAGACACAGGGCCCTCAGGAGGCAGGTCCCACCAGGTTTGTTTCTCGAATTTACAGATCTAAAAACACAATTGTGTCTGTTCACCTAAAGAGCTAATTCCACTCACTTTATGAGGTTTAAGTTCTGTCTAAACAAGAGAAATGGAAGCCAGAACAGGACTTCGTAATTTATAGCAGGGAATGAGCTGTTAACTTCCACGATCCCGTCCTGTATCAAGGATAGGAAGCGCTGCATTAGCTATGGGAAGAAGCATGGCCAGCACAGTGTGAGTCCTCAGGGTTTATTATGCTCGTGCAGGCTTCCCTTTCCCATGTTTTACAGGAGGAGGAACTGAGGCACAGATGGAGAAGGAGGTGGGCAACAGACACAGGAGCGGTGGAGCCCTGAGAAGCACGCTGGCAACAGGCACCCCAGGGAGTCTGGTCTAACCACCCCCAGAGGCAGAGGAAGGGGCCTAGGGCCCCTTTGAGGTGGGCTGCTGGGCAGGAGAAAAGCCTGCCTCCACCCTGTGATCCCACAGAGCACAGGCATTTGCAGAATGCAGCCACCTTCCCAGGAGCTCCAAATTTTACGCAGAGAACTATCCTGGAAGTGCCGGCTAATTCGCTGGGCAGGGACTGCAGAGCGTTCTGGTAAACAGCCCCCACTCTAGAGACAGACTACATTCAAATCCCCACCGTGTGACCTTGGGCAAGTCACTTAGACATGCGGTACCTCAGTTTCCCCGTCACTAAAATGTGGGTTACACCTGCCAAAGGGTGGCTGAGAAAGCAGAATCTGCACACAGGTGAACTGGCTGGAGCTGCACCCAGCACATTAGGCCCTGTAATAGAAGTGCTTGTTCCATAAATCGTGAGATTCCTCCCAAACCTAAGGATGGATGCCACCGTCCCAGGGCTGCCCATGTCCCGGGTCTCATCATCCCTCCATTTACACACCACCTCCTGGGGCCGACTGGGCGCTTTTGCAGTGGACCAATCTTCTACGTTTCTTATTCTCAGATGATGACCTTCTCCCTGGTCCTGGGGGTGCTCCGGATGTTGCCAGATCAGTGGAGCTGACATGGCCCAGGGTTCAGGCAGAAGGGGAAGGGAAGTCAGCACCCACAGTAATCCTGATTCACTGTTGCGGAACCAAAAACTGCCCAAGTGCTTTCCATTTCACTCTTCAGCCTTCCCAAAGCCAAACACAGCCAGGCTTCTACCCCAAGTGTTGTGTCGTTTTCACTATTGGTTTAAATAAGAGTGGGTTGAGATAGCCATCAGAAGCCACGGACACCCTTGGCTCACATCTTAAGCATGGGGTGGGGAGACTTAAAAAATACTGATGCTCAGACCCTGACCCAGCTGCCAGGGCAAGAGTGGGGCTGGCATTTGTATCAGCTTTAAAAGCGCCCCAGGTGAATACCAGGTGCACCAGGAGTGAAAATCAGCAATTTACCCAGTGAAAGTGGGAAATAAAAGGGCAGCTATTGAAATGTAAGAATTAGAAAGCTTGGTATTTCAATTCATTGAAAAGTGAGCCCTACCAGGAAATGCAAACACTGAGACAACAGGAACTTTCATTATTTATTTATTTACTTTTTCTTGAGACAGAGTCTTGCTCTGTTGCCCAGGCTGGAGTGCAGTGATGCAATCTCAGCTCACTGCAAACTCCACGTCCAGGGTTCAAGCAATTCTCCTGCCTAAGCCTCCCTAGTAGCTGGGATTACAGGCACACACCACCAAGCCCAGCTAATTTTTGTACTATTAGTAGGGACAGGGTTTCACCATGTTGGCCAGGCTGGTCTCAAACTCCTGACCTCAAGTGATCCACCCACCTTGGACTCCCAAAATGCTGGGATTACAGGCGCGAGGCACCACGCCCAGCCTATTTAATTATTATTTTTTTGAGACAGAGTCTTGCTCTGTCACCCAGGCTGAAGTGCAGTGGTACGATCATGGCTCAATGCAGCCTCCATCTTCTGGGCTTAAGTGTTCCTCCCAACTCAGCCTCCCGAGTAGCTGGGACCACAGGTGCATACCACTACACCCAGCTAATTTCTTTTATGTTTGTGTAGAGATGGGGACTTACTATGCTACCCAGGCTGGTCTTGAACTCCTGGGTTCATGCTATATTCCCAACTTGGCCTCCCAAAGTGCTGGGGTCACAGGCATGAGCCACTGTGCCCAGCGGAGAACAGAAACTTTTAAGATGAGTTCTCTGCCTTGCCAGATCGGACAGCCCCCTGGCAGGGAGCTCACAAAACATCGATGTGACAACCTGAGGAAAGGAAAAGTGCATATTCCCAGACCAGAGATGGGAGCAAAATAAGCAACTCCAGCAATGGCACCAGCAGCAGCGCAGCCTAGAGGAGCTGTGACACACTTCCCATCAGAGATTGTTCAAAAACACCACGACATGCTTTCTCCAGTGTTTGCAGGTTGCATCCACAAATACGAGCCAAAAGGTTATTTTAGTTCTATTTTGTAAAGTTGATGAGTTTTGGCTAAAGTTGAGAGTCATGGGACCATCTCCACAGGCATGATCTACATTCCCTCTAGGTTTGTTTTTTTAAAACCGATAGTGAACTTGGTTAAATAATGGTGCGTGGAGGCCAGGCACAGTGGTTCATACCTGTAATCCTAGCACTTCAGAAGGCTGATGTGGGAGGATCCCTTGAGCCCCTGAGTTTGAGACCAGCCTGGGTGACACAGTGAGTCCCTATCTCTACAAAAAAAAATTTAAAAATGAGCTGGGTATGATGGTATGTGCCTGTAGTCCCAGCTACTCTGAGGAGGCTGAGGCAGGAGGATCGCTTAAGCCCAGGAGGTTGGGCTGCAGTGAGCTGGGATACTGCCACTGCACTCTAGCCCGGGCAGCAGAGCAAGACCCTATCTCAAAAAGAGAGAATGGGATGTGGAAGCAACCATCCCCTCAGGAGCATTAGAAAAGAATAAATAATTGACTACTATAACCAACACTGTATTCAATTGTTTGTTGATTTTAGTGCAGTAAGGAAGGCCCACAAGAGTCCCTGGGTGCATGAATGGAGCTGGGCTGCCTGGAGCCAGCACAGGGCCTGGCTGGACACACCTGCCCCCACCAGTACGTGGAAAGTGGAGAGCTAGCAGGCAAGGGCCCCACGCAGTGGGCAGGCCCTCCCCCCAGAACCCACATGCACCAAAGCCTCCAGAGAGCCAATGGCTTGCCAGCCTCCACCCACCGTGATGGGGAACTGTATCTGGTCGGGCCCCGGTGCCCAGCAGTTTGGTCCTGCACTAGCCTGGACATGGCTGGGAAGGTGTTTTTTAGGTGGGATCAGCATTTACATCAGTGGATGTGAGAAAGCAGACAGTGCTCTGTGATGTGGTAGGCCTCGTCTAATCAGCTGATGGCCTGAGAAGTAAAGACTGAGCTCTTCCAGACACGAAGGAATTCAGCCCCCAGACAGCAACAAAGCAACCTTGCCTGAGCTCACACACCCTCTGTCAGGTCTGTTTCTCTGGGGAAGCCTGGCTGCCTTATTCACGTGGACTGCTCACTTGCTTCCCTGGGATGGAGGCTGTCTGCAAAGCTGAGGCTCTCCAGAGAGGCCTGTACAGCTCCCCCATTTTCAGGCTGTCCCCTGAGGCCGAGCCCCTACAAAGAGGTGCTGCCACCGTGATGTACGAGTGTGCCGGTCAAGGGTGCCGACCACGCCCCGACCCCTGCCTTGCCCCTCAGCCAAACAAATGTCCAGGGCAGGGGAAGTGGCATGACAGGGGCTTTTCAGAAAACTGCAAGGATCACTTTGACCCAAACTGGTCACTTCTTCATTGAGGGTTCCTTGCCCGGGCAGTTATCTTTCCAAATGCTGATCCAATATGAACACCCTCTACTGTGCACCCCAGGGGGCTTCCTAGCAGGCTTCAAAAGAGTGTGAACTCCACAAAACTGGACCTCATCATAAATGCACAAGTCCTCTCCTGCCAGCTGTTCAGCAACTAAACAGTAAAATAGGAAAAATATGATTTCCAAAACGAAGAGCAGAAGACATATCCAGCAATATTTTTTTGTGGAAACAGAGACAGGGTCTCGCTCTGTCACCCAGGCTGGAGTGCAGTGGCTCAATCATGGCTCACTGCAACCTCATCCTCCTGGGCTCAAGCGATCCTCCCACCTCAGCCTCCCAAGCAGGTGGGACTACAGGTGTGTACCACCACGCCTGGCTAATTTTTTAATTTTTAGTAGAGATGAGGTCTCACTAAGTTGCCCAGCCTGGTCTCAAACTCCTGAGCTCAAGTGATCCCCCCGCTTTGCCCTTCTAAAGTGCTGGGATTACAGGCCTGAGCCACCACGCCCAGCCCAGGAACATCTTTTACTGGCAGAGATGGAGAATGTAGTGAGAAATTTAAATTCAGAATTCTTCCTCATTTTGAAAAGCACACATCTCACCTAGAACTAGCCACATCTCTAAGTCCAAGCCACGTGTGGCCAGTGGCTACCATGCTGGATGGCACAGAGCAGACTCTGCTCAGAGCCGGAGACCCCCAACCCGAACCCACCCTGAACACCAGGTACAGTTCCTGGACCACAGCAGACACTCACGGGCTGCTTGGAACAGGCATGAAGGAGGCGTGAAGTTACAGAAACGAATAAATAACACATGAGGCTAATTCATACAACCACTTCGTGGGTCACGTCTTCATGGATCCTTAAACCACTCTGGGAAGTCTCTGTTTTCCATTTTCGCAGATCTACAAGTCAAGGCTCAGAGACTCTACTGGCGAGATTGGAACCCATTCCCTAGATTCCACCTCTCCTCCTCCTGCCTGCTCTGAGTGCCTCACAGCTTGGGCCCTTCCATTAAATGCCTGTGCAGTGACTAACTTTTCACAGGCAGCCGTGAAGCACCGCACACACCCGGCACGCTGGGCCCAGGCCTTCCACGCAGTGGCTGGCCCAGCGCCTCTGAGCGCCCACTGGACCACACCATGCTCTCAGCCCAGCAGCAGTACCCAAAGCTCCGGCCGCGCAAGGCCTTCCAACACAGAAATGGATTTCATTTCTCTCCTTGAAGGTGAACCAGAGGGCAGGAAACAGCACTTTCTGTTTAAAAATGGAATCATAAATGTATTATTATGGGTTCAAAAATATACATTCAAGTCTTCATCTCTGGCACCCATGAATGTGGCCTCATTTGGAAACAGGGTCTCTGCAGAAGTGATTAGCTAAAATGTGACCACATGGAGTACGGCAGACCCTTAATCACATCTAACTGGTGTCCTTATTAGAGAAGACACCCGGAGACACAGGGGCAAAGACGATGTGAAGGCAGACCCCCGGGGAGGAGACCATGGGGAAACAGAGGCAGAGATGAGAGCCACAGCTCCGCAGGCAAGGACGGCCAGCACCAGTCAGGAGCTGGACAGTGGCGGGAACAGCCTCTCCCTGGAGCCTCCTGAGGTGCACGGCCCTGCCGACGCCAGTTCAGACCCTACCTCCAGGATGGGGAGAGGATGAGCTTCTGCTGTTTGAAGCCCTCCCACTTTGTGGAACTTGGTGACTCAGACCCCTACTAAAGCATGGACTGGGCGGCAGGTGGATGGCCTCCCCCTAGACAGGCACCGAAAGTCAGGAAGAATGATATCTCCTCTCACCAAGGTCCATGTGACAGTCAGGCAGCCAAGAGAAGCTTCTGCTTCCGTTGCCTCCCCACTTCCTCTCCCCGAGGAAAGCCGGGGAAGAATCAAGATGATGATGAACTTCAGTGAACCCCACTAAAGGAGAAGTCAGTGAGGATGGGCCGGAGAACACTGAACTCAGACAACCAGAGTTCAGAGAGGAGGAGGCAGGGCCACCTCCAAGCCCGTCAGCAGAACTGCTCGCTTCCTGAAACAAGTCACAGCTCACAGAAATCACATGCACAGGAATATCTAAAATGGCTTTTTTTTGGGGCGGTGGGGGGGGGTTGTTTTTATGTTTATTTTACTTGTACTTTTTTTTTTAATGGGAATTTTTTTTTTATTACACTTTAAGTTCTAGGTACATGTGCACAACGTGCAGGTTTGCTACATATGTATACATGTGCCATGTTGGTGTGCTGCACCCATTAACTCATCATTTACATTAGGTATATCTCCTAATGCTTTCCCTCCCCCCTCCCCCCACCCCACAACAGGCCCCGCTATGTGATGTTCCCCTTCCTGTGTCCAAGTGTTTTTTTTTGTGTGAGACAGGGTCTCGCTCTGTCACCCAGGCTGGAGTGCAGTGGTGCAATCGTAGCTCATTGCAGCTGTGACCTCCCAGGTTCAAACAATCCTCTGCCTTAGACTCCCAAGTAGCTGGGACTACAGGCTCACGCCACTACGCCTGGGTAATTTTTATTTTTATTTTTATTTTTTTTTTGGTACAGATGGGGTCTCACTATTATTGCCCAGGTTGGTCTTGAACTCCTGCGCTCAAGCAGTCCTCCCACATTGGCCTCCCACATTGGCCTCCCACGGTGCTGGGATTACAGGCATGAGCTACCACGCCCGGCCGCTTTACTGTTTTTACATCAACCTAATGCCACCAGTATAAGGAATAAGCAATGCCCTCTAACCCAATTTACACAACAAGAAGTTGTCCAGTTCATTGTCCTTCTTCAGATATGTGAGAAGAAAGAGGCAGTAACCACTGAAAAAGATATCAAAGAAAAACGAATGATTTGTCCAGCCAAAGAAGCCATCAATTGTCCGCACCTTGAAGAGGAAGCTGCCACTAAACTCATAAAGAGGAAAGTGTCTCATCATAAACAGACCAACCTCAGGGTGGGACCAACACCATCTCCTAGACATAAGGAGCTGCATCCTCAATCAAGCAGAAGAACAGGGCCAGGCGCTGACTTGGGATGTATGACATTCCGGTTCCTAAAGTGAGTCCAGCCACTATTAACAGCTTTTAGAAACAGCTGACGCCCTTGAGCCCTCACTATGTGCAGGCATTGCCTCTTCAGCGGTTCAGCTCCCAGGACCCTGCGGGGCTCAGTGCATCACCCCCAGCCCAGATGAGACAAGCATGCAGGCCCCAGTCACAGGGGCCCTGGTCACATGGGCAGCAAATGGAAGAGGCAGGCCTTGAACTCCAGCAAGCAGAGCCCAGGGCTCCTATTCCCAACAACCATGCTACACTATCAGCTTCAGGTCCTCCACCAGGATGGATCAGGAAAAAAAGAGTTAGAAAAAAGAATGAAGGCCAAGCCAGGCGGATCGTTTCAGCCTAGGAGTTTGAGACCAGTCTGGGCAACATGGCAAAACCACATCTCTACAGAAAATACAAAAATCAGTGGGCATGGTGGTGTTCGCCTATAGGCCCAGCTACTTGGGAGGCTGAGGCAGGAGGATCACTTGAGCCTGGGAGGTCAAGGCTGCAGTGAGCCGTGGTTGTGCCACTGCACTCCAGCCTGGGTGACAGAGCGTGACCTTGTCTCAAAAAAAAAAAAAAAAAAGAAAGAAAGAAAGAAAAGAAAAGAAAAAGAAAAAAGACTATTGGTATTTCCTAATCTAAAAGAAATAGGCCAGGCACGGTGGCTCATGCCTGTAATCCCAGTACTTTGGGAGGCAGAGGAGGGAGGATTGCTTGAGCTCAGGAGTCCAAGACCAGCCTGGGCAACATGGTGAGACTTTGTCTCTCCAAAAAATACAAAAATTAGCAGGGTGTGGTGGTGCATCCCTGTGGTCCCAGCTACTGGGTAGGTTGGGGTGGGAGGATCACCTGAGCCCAGGAGGCAGAGGTTGTAGTGAGCTATGATCACACCACTGCACTCCAGCCTGGGTGAGATCTTCTCTCAAAAAAAAAAAAAAAAAAAAAGAAAGAAAAGAAAAGAAAAGAAAAAGAAATAAAGAAAGGCTGAGCAAACCCAAAAGTCAAGCTATGCATCAAGAGCAAAATGCCTGAATCCACTCCCAGAAAACCAGCTCCCTGGGGACGGCTGTTTCCTCCCAGCAAGGCAGCAGGGGCGAGACCGTGAAAGAACCATCCTGTGTTCTCAGCTGTGCACTTCCCTCACGTTCTTACTCTGAGACCAAGCTTCCTCCACTGTCCCTGGCCAGGCAAGAGCCCCACAATGGTCACCTGTCACCATCCAGGAAACATCTCATGAAAACTCTGCTCAATTGTACCAAGAAAATACTCTGAGCCAACATCCAGCAGCCGGATATGACTGTGGGAGTTGACAACAACCCTACCCCTCTAATAGTAATGCTTTTCTGCCAGAAGAAAGAACTAAAACCTCAAGACAAATTAATCAATCACAGGAAGAAAGGAGGCGATTAGGTGACCTTATTTTTTAAATAAGCTAATAATTCAAATTCAGTAATCCAATGTAGTTGCTTGCATTTATAGTTGCTTTAATTTTGTTCTGAATAGTCTATGACAATTAAAGGGCATTCAAAAACATAGCTGTGCTTTATGACATAAAGGAGGATGATTACTTTTCTAGTCTAGCAAGTCCAAGGGTTTATATTGGTAATAAAATAAAAATCAGTATTGCAGTCCTGCTTAATGACTGTCTACATCCAGAGACTCAACTACCAGGACTGCTTGGCAAATACTGACCGACAGCCATCCAAACCCCTGCCCGCGAAATGAAGCTTTTTTCCTTTTTGAAAAAAAGAGTCCAAACCTAAAACTATTTCCAGTTAACGGAACTGCAACATATGAGGCAGAGGAGAATTATTCCAGGAAAATGGATTTTTCACCTTTAAATATACATCAATGCATTTTTTGTTTTTTGTTTTTGTTTTTGGGTTTTTTGTTTTTTTTTTTTGAGATGGAGTCTCACTCTTGTTGCCCAGGCTGGAGTGCAATGGTGCAATCTCGGCTCACTGCAACCTCCGCTTCCCGGGCTCAAGCGATTCTCTTGCCTCTGCCTCCCAAGTAACCGGGATTACAGGCACCCGCCACCACGCCTGGCTAATTTTTGTATTTTTAGTAGAGACGGGGTATCACCATGTTGGCCAGGCTGGTCTCGAACTCCTGACCTCAGGTGATCCACCCGCCTCAGCCTCCCAAGGTGCTGGGATTACAGGCATGAGCCACCGCGCCCGGCCACATCAATGCATTTTTACCCAAATCTGCATGTGTCATTTCTGTTGTTTCTTCTTGATGATCTGAAGGATAAACTAAAAATAAAGCAAGTGTCATACGCCACATGAACCACTCACATCACTAACTGCAGGTAGAGTAGTTCCACCTGTGGCCCACTACGTGGCTTCTGGAAAAATGATGAATGTAAAGCAGGAAGAAGCTTAGTTCTCAAGTCACATCACTCTTCAGACATGAATGTACTAAAAATAGTTCAATGACAAAACCAAATTACTCAGAGATGTTCTTTAACACTCCGATATTAACAGAAACAGGCAAGTCCCAAAAAATACACGTATATAACAGACTTAGCTTTAAAACACACACTGGCACATGCCAGCATATGTAATCCAATCTCCTTTACCTTCAAGAGATACTCTGTTGTCCTGTAATAACGAATGTTTAGAATGAGATTATCAAATAAAAGTGCAGGTATTTGCTAATGTCTCCAAATAAAGTAAAACTAAAATTATTTCAGCTCTTTTCAAAGCACATTTTAACCTGTTTCAAAGTCAAGACTGAATTATAAATATCATATTAAGAAAACTTTTTAAATCTAAACAGGGAGGCCGGGCGCAGTGGCTCATGCCTGTAATCCCAGCACTTTGGGAGGCCGAGGCAGGTGGATCACCTGAGGTCAGGAGTTCGAGACCAGCCTGGCCAGCATGGTGAAACCCTGTCTCTACTAAAAATACAAAATTAGCCAGGCGGAGTGGTGGGTGCCTCTAATCCCAGCTACTCGGGAGGCTGAGGCAGGAGAATCTCTTGAACCCAGGAGGCGGAGGTTGCAGTGAGCTGCGATCGCGCCATTGCACTCCAGCCTGGGCAACGAGAGTGAAACTCCGTCTCAAAAAAAAAAAAAAAGTTAAAATAGTAAATTTTGTTATGTATATTATACCACAATAAAAAACCTCCACATTATATATGGAATATATACGTATCTCTCTCACGCAAAATAGTGTCTACAAAGAAGGCGAGGAGCTGGAAGAGCATGCTCTCCACTGCCCCGACCCTCACGGCTGGTCTCTGCTGGGCTGCAGCAAGCCCCGCGCAGCTGCCCATGCCCCTGGAATGGGAGTTACCTGGCTGTTGGGTTAAAGTACAGAATCTGGCTCAGGAGGCCTGGCTGGGTCCTGGGTTCTGCTGCTGCCAGCCCGAGGACCTTGCCGAGGAGGAGACGGCCACGCTTCAGCCTCTCATCAACCCAAGGTGAGAGCCGACCACCCCTCACTCTAAGTAAAACCTGACAGCTGATCTTTTCACACCTCACCACTCTCCTGCCTTCCTCTGATACTCTCCACCTGGTCACGGTCACGGCGCAGCAACAGATTCCTCAAGCAGTGAAAGCTGACCCCCAGGCCTCAGGAACATCACTCCTGCCTGGGTCTGTGGCACAGGGTAACAGGCCAGAGTTAATCAGATTTGGAATTAGTTAGGTTTAGAATGTGCTTTTGCAACTGCTGTAGAAAAGTGCCTGGCTAAGTAAACAATAGGCCACCAGCTTTAGCACATGGGAACGAAGTGTCTTCAAACAATCCAGAAATTGTTATCAGCCCAGGCACAATAGCAATACAACTGCCACATGAAAGCTCACCTCGTTCTTATCTTCTCATTAACACAAGATTCGCTAGAAGATTTCCAGTGACAATGTCAATTTGGAAAGTATTTAAAACTTCCTCCATTCCTTCTGACTTCTCATTTTTCAGGAAAAGCAGCCAAGTTAGCAGGGAACTGCCTGCCCTAATCTTGGTATTAGTGGAATTCTCTGGGCCAGAGCCCTTCGCCTGCCTGGGGCTCAGCTTCCTCAGTGTCCCTGCACCAACTGGATCTGATCCCTTTAACCAAATCAGTGTTCCTTCCAGGGACTTCCCTAAGGGCTAGCTGACTGCGAGTTTACTTCAAGTGCCAGGCGGAGTGTCCAGCCACACACACACACACACACACACACTCTCACATACATGCACGTACATGCCATGCACACATACACATACTCACAGTTGCATTTCTTTCTCCCCACTGTGTCCACATTTCACACATCTGGAATCAGAGACCCCAGATGCTCACACACGGAGACAGTAACCAGTGGCCACCATCAGCAGGAACGGGGTGCAAACAGCCTGGGGAAGGAACTGCCAAATAATAAGGGTGTTTGTTGGTTTTGTTTTTGTTTTGTTTTGTTTTAATTTTATTATTATTATACTTTAAGTTTTAGGGTACATGTGCACAACATGCAGGATGACGAGTTTTGTTTTGTTTTTAATCAGAACGCTTGCTGTATTTTATTCTCAGCTTTACTGGGGTATAAATGACAAGCAAAATTTGTAAATATTTCAGATGTACAACATGATATTTTGATGTATCATGAAATGATTACCCTATTAAGCTAATTAACACATCTATCACTGCACATAGCTACCATGGGTGTGCAGACAGAACATTGAAACTCCACCCTCTCAGCCAATTTCAAGCCTATCACATGGTACTGGTTAACTACAGTCACCTGCCTGGGGCTCTACATTAGACCTCCAGAACTTATTCAGCCTGCAGAACTGAACCTTCGTAGCCTTTGATTAAAAACTCCCCAATTCCCTCTCCCCACCCACCTGCCAGCTCCTTGTAACCACCATTCCACTCTGCTTCAGTGAGTTCAACTTGTTCAGATGCCAGGCATCAGTGAGACTATGTGGTATTTGTCTTTCGGTATCTGGTTTATTTCACTTACCATGATGTCCTCCGGGTTCACAAACAACAGGATTTCTCCCTTTTCCAAGCTTGGATAATACTCCACGGTGTATATTTACCACATTTTCTTGATCCGTGCACATCAGTGGAAGCTTAGGTTGATTCTGTATCTTGGCTACTGTGAACACGGGAGTGCAGACATCTCTGAGAAATACTGATTTCCTTTCTTCTAGACAGATACCCAGCAGTGGGACTGCTGGATCATTTGTTCTAGTTTTAATTTTTTGAGGAACCATCATGTCTTCCACCGCGGCCATACCCGTTCACATTCCCACCAGCAATGTGCGGGGTTCTCTTGTCTCCACATCCTCACCAGCACTTACCCTTTGTCTTTCTGATGACAGCCATTCTAACAGGTGCGACCTGACAGCTCACTGTACTGCTAACTTGGCTGTCTCTGCAATTAGTCATATTGAACATTTTTTCATATACCTGTTGGCCATTTGTATGTCTTCTTTTGAGAAATGTCTATTCAGTTCAGGACCTTTGCTCATTTTATTTTTTTTTATTTTTATTTTAGAGACAAAGTCTCACTCTGTCACCCAGGCTAGAGTGCGGTGGTGTGATCTTGGCTCACTGTAACCTCAAACTCAAGCGATCCTCCTGCCTCAGCCTCCCACGTAGGTGGGACTACAGATGTGCACCACCTCCCCTGGCTAATTTTTCTTATTTTTTTGTAGAGACAGGGTCTCACTATGTTGCCCAGCCTGTTCTTGAACTTCTGGCCTCAAGTGATCCTCTGACACCTCGGCCTCCCAAAGTGCTGGGATTATAGGTGAGAGCCACGGCACCTGGCCCTTTGCTCATTGTTTAATCTGGTTGTTTTCTTGTTACTCAGTTGTTTGAGTTCCTTATATATTTTGGATATTAATCCCTTATCAGCTGTATGCTTTCCAAATATCTCCTCCCATTCTGGATGTTCTCTCTTTATTCTGTTGGTTGTTTCTTCTGTTCTGCAGAAGCTTTTTGGTTTGATGCAATCCCATTTGTCTATTTTTGCTTTTGTTCTCTGTGCTTTCTGGAGTCACATAAAAAAGAATCATTAGCCAGACCAATACTGCAAAGCTTTTTTCTTATGTTTTCTTCTAATAGTTATAGTTTCAGGTCTTATGCTTGACTCTTTAATCAAATGTGGGTTATTTTTTTTTTTTTTTTTTTGAGACGGAGTCTCACTCTGTCACCCAGGCTGGAGTACAGTGGTGCGATCTCGGCTCACTGCAACCTCTGCCTCCCAGGTTCAACTGATTCTCCTGCCTTGGCCTCCTGAGTAGCAGGATTACAGGCACCTGCCACCACACCCGGCCAATTTTTGTATTTTTAGTAGAGATGTGGTTTCACCTTGTTGGCCAGGCTGGTCTCAAACTCCTCCTGACTTAAGCGATCCACCCACGTCAGCCTCCCAAAATGCTGGGATTACAGGCACCCAGCCTGATTTTTGTATATGGTGTGAGACAAGGGTCTGGTTTCGTTGTGCATATGGATATCCAGTTTCCCTGGTACCATTTATTGAAGAGGCTGTCCTTTCCCCCAAAGGTTCTTGGCATCTTTGTCAAAGATCAACTAACAGTAAACGTGTGGATTT
The DNA here is from genome assembly GCF_000001405.40 of Homo sapiens. Lineage (NCBI taxonomy): Eukaryota > Metazoa > Chordata > Mammalia > Primates > Hominidae > Homo > Homo sapiens. The sequence goes on from NC_000013.11 coordinate 110,544,218, forward strand.
GTTTCTGGGCACTCTACCCTGTTCCATTGGTCAATGTGTCTGTTTTCATGCTGAGGTCATGCTGTTTTGATTACTATAGCTTTGTAGCATATTTTGAAGTCAGGCAGTGTGATGCTTCCAGCTTTATTATTGCTCAAAATTGAGCAAGAATTTTGCTGGCTATTTTGGGTCTTCTGTGGTTCCACATAAATTTTAGAATTTTTTTCTATTTCTGTAAAAAATGCCATTGGAATTATGATAGTGATTGCATTGAATCTATGAGTGGGATTTTAAAGCAATTCTACCTTGACACATGTTAAAAAATAATTTTCCAAAAAGGGCAAAATCATGACTCTAATACAGATGTAAAAATAAAGACACGTTAAACTCATGCAATGAAGGAGCCAGACCTAGGTCATAACCAACTCAAAGAAGTCAAGGCACAGAGACGTGTGGCGCAGACAGACGGGAATACTGGAGCCTGTGGAGGGTGACATCTAGGAAGACACATGGAGAACCAGAGAGGAGTGCCACAGTGAGTGTGGAAACACAGGTAAAGCGCCTCACCGAGGGAAAGTGACGCACCACACACCCTCAAATCTCAAGTAGGTCTCTGATATGGTTTGGCTGTGTCTCCGTTCAAATCTCAACTTGAATTGTATCTCCCAGAATTCCCACGTGTTGTGGGAGGGACCCACAGGGAGGCAATTGAATCATGGGGGCATAGTCTTTCCCGTGCTACTCTTGTGGTAGTAAATAACTCTCATGAGATCTGATGGTTTTATCAGGGGTTTCTGCCTTTTGCCTCTTCCTCATTTTCTCTTGCCGCCACCATGTAAGAAGTGCCTTTTGCCTCCCACCATGATTCTGAGGTCTCCCCAGCCATGTGGAACTGTAAGTCCAATTAAACCTCTTTTTCTTCCCAGTCTCGGTTATGTCTTTATTAGCAGCATGAACACGGATTAACACAGTCTCCATTAAAAAATACCTAAGAGTGTAACTGGGTTGTTTGTAACGCAAGGGATAAATGTTTGAGGGATGGATACCCCATTTTCCACGATGCAATTATTATGCATTGCATGCCTATGTCAACACATTTCATGTACCCCATAAATATATACGCCTACTATGTACTCATAAAAATTTAAAAAGTATTAAATAAGTGTATTATGTCTCCCAAAATAGTGCCCATCCTAGCACCCCCTTCTCTTCCTCACAGCAAGTGTTAGAAATCGTATTGTGAATGCTCTTTGTCTGTGGTCGGTCTCCCCAACTGGACTGCGTATTCTGTCTACTGCCACTTGCCCACGCTTAGCAGAGCATCTGATTTATAGGCAGTCCTCCAAAAAGTGCTGAATAAATGAGCAAGTTCACACTCACTGAGTGTTCACTCTACACACATCAGGATATTAAAACTAGAAGGAGCTTGGAGATCCTTGTGCTGAGGTGGTGACTGAGGTGGACACATGGGCCCCCAGAGCTTGGGCAAGTCTAGAGAAGTGCATCAGTGCCACCTTGGGAAGATGATAAAATTCCTGCACTCCCCCTCAAAAAGAAGGAAATACAAAGCAACATATAAAAAGGGCACAATAGGAGTCTGTAAAATATGCCCTGTAATGTTAAGGACCTCTTTACAGTCCTTCGTTCTCTATTATTAAGCAATTAATGACTAGAGCCTTGCTGTGGGGGAAAATGCTGCATTTACTTCTGAGCTCTACATTCCTGTTTCATGATCTGACTCCACAGAAACACCGTGGATCCTGTAGTCTTCACCCAGAAGCCAGGACCAAGCATACAGCAAAGCAGATGAAAAGTCAATGTCCAACCAGAGCCATTCCAATCCATAATTCTGAAAGTGATTCCTTCACATAGCAGAGAAACCCCATGAGATAGGCACCAAAAAAAAAGCCTCAGCCATTTAATCCTTATCACCCTTTACAAAAGCTAAGGGAACCTATGATGTGCCAGGAGAAAGAAGATGACATTGCATTACTGAGAGTCGAGAACCATGCTGGGCTCCCTGCACATCTGTCATCTTATTTAAGCTTCATAACTGTCCCTGGAAATAAGGTTTATTACTACAGTTTTAAGAAGACATCACTGAGACTCAGAGACAGGATCATATCTTCATTTTGTTTTCTAAAAGTGTTCCAATTGATTCATCTAAAAAGAAAACCTGCTGATCCCAAATACAGCTGTGAGGGAAAGGTACAACCCTAAATTCACCTATTTGGGCAACATAAGTCATTTCAAGTTATGCCATGAGATGGTAGCGTCCCGAAAGGCAGTTCCAACCCACAAGGAAGCACAGTCACACATGAGTCTTCCATTTCTAAGTAGAAATGCCTCATTTTTTATTGATGCACTCAGCGGCTCTGCAGGCCACCCTTGGTCTGTGTGACAGGGCCACTAAGCGTGTGTCATGGCATGGTGCTGGGTGACACCCAGGCTCACAAATCTTAACTGACCTGGAGCATCTGTGAACAGTACAAGCTGAACTTCTGTTTTTTTTTGTTTTTTGGGTTTTTTGTTTGTTTGTTTGTTTGTTTGTTTGTTTTTGAGACAGGGTCTCACTCTGTTGCCCAGGCTGGAGTGCAGTGGTGCAGTCACAGCTCACTGCAGCTTCAAACTCCCAGACTCAAGTGATCCTCCCACCTCAGCCTCCCCAGTAGCTGAACCTACAGGTGTGCACCACCATGCCTGGCAATTTTTTTTCAATTCTTAGTAGAGACAGGGTCTCGCTATGTTGCCTTGGCTGGTACCTATCTTCTGACTTCAAGGGATCCTCCCGTCTGAGTCTCCCGAAGTGCTGGGATTACAGGCGTGAGTCACCACGCCTGGCCAAGCTGAACTTCTGTACCACAAACAATAGAAAGTGTTCCTCCTTCTCAAGGACTCATATGTCAGAAGCCTGGAATGCCGCCAGTCAAGGCCAGGAAGCTGACTGTTGCGCCAAATCACAGCGGTCTACACGGCGCCTCCTCTAACCAGACTGTCCTGAACTAGAGCAGCCAAGGTCAGGGAAGGGAACGGACCCCTGCCCCAAACACACTGAATCAGCTGGCTCTGCATAAATGAGAAAGCGCAGCTCAGACACGAGGCGCAACAAGCTTCCTATGTGAATGAAGTGCGCTTAATTCTACACGGGGAAAGCGTTAACAGGAATCTTAACACATTGATCTCGTTAGTGATGAGACAGGCCACAGGTTGAAACTGTTTTTCATTTACTATCGTTGGGTGCAGCAGGACTTTTCTAGTTCACAGGCACCCCATGCACGAAATAGAACGTAGCCCGATGTACATTTATTACCTTGTGTGAGTGAATGCATACTTGGAGCAATTCCTTTCCAGTTCCACTCTCACTTTAGGATCCAAGTCACTTCTACGAAGGACACAGCAGGCTGGTGAGATTAAGTGCATAAATCCTCGGACAGGTCTGCCCAGATCAGATCCCCACTCCACCACTCCTGGAAAATAACCTTGCTACCTGCTACGGTGCCAGAGAGGATTAAAGGAGCTAAAATGGGGAAGCGTTTTGCAGAGCCTCTGGCACATATTAAGTGTTGTGGAAGCATCGGCTATAATTTAAGGCCAAAGCTATAAGGCCAAAGTCTGTAGACTGGAACCTCAGTCTTGGGAAGCCTGCATGACCCCACAAGCTAATGCTAATCAGCCTACACAACAGTATTGCAAATAGGCCGTCCCATTTATTCTTTGTATCTAAACACTTACTTTAAAATATAGGTAAGCATTTCAGATATAACCTGGAGCAAAAAGTTTCCCATAGCAGGTATTCTATAACTGTGAAGCTACCACCAGAGCAACTCCTTATGCCGTCAAGGCTCTTAGTAATAAAATTGAGAATTTCCAAAATACAAATAGGAAACCTGGTCAACAGACTACAAAAATAAAAGACACTGTTATCCTCAAGGCAACTTCAGTTAGAATGCTACATCTTTTTGATCCAACAATTTTTCTTTTATGGATTAGAAAACACCATAATTCGGCCGGGCACGGTGGCTCACACCTGTCATTCCAGCACTTTGGGAGGCCCAGGTGGGCAGATCACTTGAGGTCATGAGTTCGAGACCAGCCTGGCCAACATGGTGAAACCCCAATTCTACAAAAAATACAAAAATTAGCCAGGTGTGGTGGTGTGCACCTGTAGTCCCAGCTTCTCGGGAGGCTGAGGCAGGAGAATTGCTTGAAGCTGGGAGGTGGAGGTTGCAGTGAGCCGAGATCACACCACTGTACTCCAGCCTGGGCAAGAGAATGAAACTGTCTCAAAAACAAAAATAAAAACAAAAAAAAACTCTTGTCATTCTGGAAATGTCCACAATTCAGTCTCACCTGCCTCCATCCTCATGAAGGCACCAGGGGAGCGCGGTGGGCTCACCTGATTTCTTGGTTAGGTCTGTTCTGTTCCTTTTTTATGCGGGGTCTGTCGGTGGGCACTGCTCCAATGTGAGGGGTCCAGGCTCCATCGTAGCCTCTTAACCAGCTCAGTGCCAGGAAGGGTGGACTTTGACAAAAACCCACCTCAAATCTGCACTCCCCAACCTGGAGTGCAACCTGTGGCAAGCTCCCTAGGCTCTCTGGGCCTCAGCTTCCTCATCTGCACCGAGAGGTGAGGATAACACCAAGCACACAAAGTGGATGCCGGAACAATGGACAATGCCAGAAGGCACTGAGTGTGATGTCTGGCACCCAGAAGCATGATAAATGCCTGCTGCTCTCACAGCCCAGGGCTCCAGCCAGGTAAGGGCTGGGTCCCTACAGAACCCAGAGGCCTGAACATGTGTGTGATGATTCCAAACTTCCCAGGCCAGTTTTTCATAGGACACTACCCTGACTTCCTTGCAGAACCCTAGCAGTAGGTAGCTGAGCTATTTCAGAGGCTTAAGACCAGTGTGCGGAGAGCGGTTAGGCCAGAGGGAGGAAAGACATCCGTTGCCATCAACATCTTGTGAGTCCACAAAACAAATCAGCAAATATTTACAAAATGCTTTGCTTGGAGCTACAAGCTTAGCTTGGTCTGTGTTAGAATATAAGCTACTAAAAGTTAAGTGTGTTGATTTGTATCAGCTTGGGTTAAGCAGGAAGGAATATTTCAGACAAAAGCTGAATTCTTGAATGCAGATTCATTTTGCCTGTGCCCTTTGGCATTTCCGAATTTCTAGCTTCTTCAGCCCTGAATCTGGAATCCAGGGAACTCACCACTGTGTCTTTTCATCCACGGTTCCTAGCTCATGATTCTTACAGCCATTGTTACAATCTATTGTTATAATGTTGGGTGCCTTAGGCCTCAGGAACAAAATCTTTCTCTCTGACCTTCTCCTGTCCTCCTTTCACCTGGCCCAGGCCGGACTCTAATCTGATTGTGGGTCATTAGACCCTCCTTCCAGAGAGGGTCCTGCCCCATACCCTAGAGGAAGGAATGCTGCAGAGAGGCCTGGGGAATCTGAACAGACAGGCCTTGCTGGGCTTAGACTGCACCCTTTTTATCCAATCACACTTTTTTAAATTTTTTTTTTTTTTAATTGAGATGGAGTCTTGCTCTGTTGCCCGGGCTGGAGTGCAGTGGCACAATCTCAGCTCACTGCAACCTCTGCCGCCTCCTGGGTTCGAACGACCCTCTTGCCTTAGCTTCCTGAGTAGCTGGGACTACAGGCACGCGCCACCAAGCGCAGCTAATTTTTGTATTTTTAGTAGAGACAGAGTCTCGCCATGTTGGCCGGGCTGGTCTTGAACTTCTGCCCTCAAGTGATCTACCCTCCTCGGCCTCCCACACTGCTGGGATGACAGGCCTGAGCCACCACACCCGGCCTTTCCAATCACATTTTGACATGATGCCCATGCCTCAACCACAGACAACCAATGAAGTCTCCATAAGAAGCCCAGAAAACAGGGTTCAGGGAGCTCCCAGAAAGCCGAGCACATGGAGGCCAACAGGAAGGTGAAGAAGAACTCACCCCCATGCCACAAGGGCACCCCAACTCTGTGGCACCCCAACTCCATGGACCCCAACTCTGTGGCACCCCAATTCCGTGGCACCCCTTCCAGACCTTGCTCCATGTGTCTCTTCATGCGGTTGTTCATTTGTATCCTTTGCAATATCCTGTCTAATAACTAGTAAACAAACATAAGCAACCGTTTCCCAGCAAATTAATTGAACCCAAAGAGGGGGTCGTGGGAACCCCCACCTGAAGCCGGTGGATCAGAAATTCCAGATGCCTGGAATTGCAACTAGGGGGAAGGAAGGGGTGGTCTTGTGAGACTGAGCCCTCACCCTGTGGTATGAGACGCTACCTCCGGGTAGATAGTGGCAGAATTAAACTGGAGGACACCCAGCTGGTATCCACTGCTCGCTGTGTGGGAAAAACCCTACACCTTTGCTCACAGGAGTTTCCTGTGTCAATGATGGCTGTGGCGCTGTGAGAGCAGAGGAAAAACTCGGGTTTAGAGTTTTTTCCTGAAACACATTCCCGAGGTATCTAGTGGATCTGCCTTCTCCTTGCCACCTTCCAGAGTCTTATGTTTGCTTTTAAGATAAAATCCAAGGTTTTGGGCTGTAATTAGAGGGAAGAGTAGGGGAAAATACATCTTTTCCAACTTCCCAGAAACACAGTCCTGGTATGTTAGTCTTTTTAATAGATTTGCAATGATATTGAACTCAAAAGAAATCAAGAGCTACTAAAGAAGTTTTTTAGGATACCATATAATTAATGTCCCAGACCCACAGTTCCCTACCACGCACACAATGGCCTATTGTATCACAGCACTCAGGACAATGATATTTCCACACTAATTTTATCATTCAGGGTCAATACATCGCTAAGAAAATGAAACTGCTAATGTCAGTCTGTGAATTTTCCCCACTGCTTTCAAAAGTTTCCTTCAGCAAAAACTTAGTTTCAAAAATATCACAGAGCAAAACATTACATTCTATGGAAAACTCCAAGTGAGTAAAACCCAAGGAGTTTATAAATCCAAGGAAAGAAAAAGAGATCAGAAAAACAGACAACCAGCAGTATGTACTATGGGGTGCAAGGTCACTTTGTAGCAGTTTGGTGGAAGGAGGAATTCTTCCCTCTGCTACAAAGACCAAGAAATGCTTCACTGAAAGATGGGATAAAATTCAAGCTGGGCATGGCCAGAGACGCTGTAAGCACCTGTGAGAACCGAGCAAAGACAGGGCACACAGGACGAACTGCAAATCGTACATCAGGGCTCAAGTGCCAGCAGGCAGATAAGAGGAGTGATAAGCTGGGGAGTGCTGGAGGGGCTCTGAGCAGGGAAGGTGACCAGATCCAGGAGGCCTGGCAGAAAGACCCCTCAGTGAGGTGCAGAAGAGACAGCACCAGGGAAGCCAGGGTTGAAACGAAGCTGGAACCTGCCTGGGCCAGCGTTCGCGGCCAGCTGGACCATGGAACTCTGTCGTCGCAGTGATGAATCCATTATCCTAAGAATCAACAGCTGTTTAGGCGTGTGTGTTTGTACGTGTGTGTATGTTTGTACAAAATTTATTTTTCTTGGAGAGGGATGTTATATGAAGTCTCAATACAGAAAGAAGGGCAATTTGATCTGGCATCATAAATTTTCAGCCAGGCATGGTAGCTCATGCCTGTAATCTCGGCACTTGAAGAGAACAAGCAGGGACGATATCTTGAGCCCAGGAGTTCAAGACCAGCCTGGGCAACATACTGAGACCCCTGTCTCTACAAAAAAAAAAAAAAAATACAAAAATTAGCTGGGTGTGGTGGTGCTGTAGTCCCAGCTGAGAGGTGGGAGGACTGCTTGAGCCCACGAGGTCAAAGCTGCAGTGAGCCAAGATCACAGCATTGCATTCTAGTCTGGGTGACAGAAGACGACCCTGTCTCAAAAAATAAATAAATAAATAAGACGGGCGCGGTAGCTCACGCCTGTAATCCCAACACTTTGGGAGGCCACGGTGGGTGGATTGCTTGAGGTCAGGAGTTCAAGACTCGCCTGACCAACATGGTGAAACCCTGTCTCTACTAAAAATACAAAAATTAGCCGGGCATGGTGGTGGGCACCCATAATCCCAGCTACTCGGGAAGCTGAGGCAGGAGAATCACTTGAACCCAGGAGGCAGAGGTTGCAGTGAGCCGAGATCGTGCCAGTGCACTCCAGCCTGGGCAACAGAGTGAGACTCTGTCTCAAAAAAAAAAAAAAATTAAAAATAAATAAATAGGGCCAGGCGCAGTGGCTCACGCCTGTAATCCCAGCACTTTGGGAGGCTGAGGCGGGTGGATCACAAGGTCAGGAGATCGAGACCATCCTGGCTAATATAGTGAAACCCCGTCTCTACTAAAAATACAAAAAATTAGCTGGGCGCGGTGGCGGGCGCCTGTAGTCCCAGCTACTCAGGAGGCTGAGGCAGGAGAATGGCGTGAACCCAGGAGGCGGAGCTTGCAGTGAGCCAAGACCATGCCACTGCACTCCAGCCTGGGGGACAGAGTGAGACTCCATCTCAAATAAATAAATAAATAAATAAATAAATAAATAAATAAATAAAAATTTCTATTTCTCCAGAGAGCTTAAAGATAACAAAGCATGAAATTGTCTCCCAAAGGCATTCAGTGTGACTCAGGTGCTCGTTAACAAACACAGTTGACCTTAATTAAGTTTCTCCTGAACCACAGTGCACTAAAGAGCCTGCAAGGTCCCCTGGCACCCCAGGATTCCCAGGCGCCACTCCAGGAGGCTGTGGGCCGAGCCTCCCAGCGCACACTGCTCGCAAGCGGCCACTGTGCTCTGCAATCTCCGAGTATAATGTCGCTTTGTCCACTCCTGCTGAGGCCAGGACAACCAATTAATTCTCTTTCCCCCATCTTAATACCCACATTCATATTCAGGCCACTGTTGCTGGTCAATAAAGCAGAGGGACTCTACAAATGAGGCCTTGCACCCAGAAGGCACCTGTTCGAAGTCCTCAGTAGAGGTGACCATGTGGACCCACATGTGCCTGGGGTTTTGCAGGTTGACCTTCCAGATACAAACCTTAACTGGCATTTCTTCCAAGATCTTTTGTTCAGTAGGAGCTGGTGTTCATCTTAAATCCACCCTCACTCCACTCTAGCTCAGTACACACACACAGTAGAAACTTGAGAGCTGCTTGTTGAGTTGAACTGAATCTTGGTGTCCTACAACTGCTGAATATTAAACCTTTTTAGAAGCGTCTATACCTATGGGAACAGACTTTTAGAGAAGCATTGTCTCCTTTACACAACCCAACCAGGGATCAGCAAATGTTTTCCGCAAAGGGCCAGATAGTAAATATGTTTGGCTTTCGGTGCTGTCTGGTCTCTGTTGCAATGACTCAACTCTGCCATTACAAGGTGAAAGCAGCCATAGACAATGCATTTAAGTGCATGCATGTGCATGTGGCTGTGCCAATAAAACTTTATTTACAACAACCAGCAGCAGGCCTGCGTCAGGCCCCAGATCTGTAGAAAGACCATGTGATTGACCAAATGGTCTCCAGTCACACAAACACTAATTGTCAGGCTGAGGGTCACCATATTAAGGCCTCAAAAACCACTCAGAAGCCTCTCCCGACTGAGGCTAAAATAGAAACTAATGTAATAGGAAAGCCAGCTAAAATCTGACTCCTGGCTGGGCGCAGTGGCTCATGCCTGTAATGCCAGCACTTTGGGAGGCCAAGGTAGGAAGATCACTTTAGCCCAGGAGTTCAAGGCCAGCTTGGGCAATGTAGCAAGACCCCGTCTCTACAAAAACAAAAATTGTTTTTTTAAATAAGGGTGCACACCTGTGGTCCCAGCTACTCAGGAGGCTGAGGTGGGAGGATTGCTTGAGCCTGGGAGTTTGAAGTTACAGTGAGCTGTGGTTACCCCACTGCACTCCAGCCTGGACAACAGACCAAGACCTTGTCTCAAAAAAATTAAATAATTATATAAATAAATAAAATCCCCCTGGCTCCACGTGTTTTGCAGGCTGTGCATTCACTTTTGCACCAATCTCTCAAGGCTTTTAAAAAATGTGCAGTCCTCACACAAGTCAAAAGTGCCGAATGTCAGCCAGCCATGGGGTCCCTGCCAAAGAGAGCTGCTCTCCAGGCCCACCCACAGCATCATCACAATTCCAACCTGAAGCAGCAACACATATGACACAGCCTCCACCCCATTCCGTTAGGAGCAGCTGTCATGTGGCTGGGGGCTGAGGTTTGTGTGTGGACTGGAAGGAGAGAGGTGGGGGCTCGCGGTCCTCTGAGCTGAACTCTCCCTCTCATTCGGCACCTTCACCCACAAGCCACCTTTGTCCTTCACAAAAGCCACCTGGGCTCTGCCTCAGACAGACAGCAGTTCACAGCATGCAGGCCAATCTCTTAGCTAACTTCACGGGAACGAGCACTTACATTCTCCCTCCTCCAGGCCCAAGATTTCATAACCAGAAACTCCAGCATCCTCTCCTGGGCTGCACTGCAGTTGTTCAGGTAAAGAGAAAGCTCTTAAACCAATTGCTCAGAATCTTGCCTGGGGCTTAGGAAAGAGCCTGCATGAGCGAAGCAGCATCTTCATTTGCTGCAGAGCCCAGCCTGGGTTCACAGCACCTCTGAGGCCAGAGAGGGCCTGGAGAACCTGAGATCCTAAACCCATCACGAGCCTTTCCTTGAAAAATCCTTGCATTTCGGCTTGGGAGGGAGGGACCTGATCCACTGAGAAACCCGTACTCTAGGTCCTGAGCCAAGCAGCATCCAGACCTTGGGTTCCCAAGGGCAGGAAGACCAAGCTGTGAAGCTGAGCGGCCCTGGCACCGTGTCAGGGAGCGACTGTGGGAGCCGCCTCCCCTCTGTAAGATGCTGCTTCCCAGTCTGTAGGACGGCAACGTTGACGCCTCCCAGGAGGAGCCTTGTGAAAAGGATGTAGCCCGGGAGTATGGAGCCTGCACAGAGCCTGGCACGTGGCAGGGACCCACATACAGTGGCAATTACTGTAAGTGTTGGAAGCACGAGTTTCGGAGGCAGCCCGTCCTGTTACACACAGGCCACACCTGCTCTCCCACCACAAACCTCCAACTACTCTAACGCGCCGGAATAGAACTCAAATGAGGCTTGAATTCCTCTTCCACGTGACAACCTTCCAACACTCAAAAACTTCCTGGGACTGGGGCTCCAGTCCTCTCCATTCCACACCACAGAGTCCCCCATTTTCTCAGTCCTGCCTTTTGTCACACAGATTCCAGGGCCATTGCACCCTGATCCCTTCTCAGGTGGCTCAGCCATCAGCATCCTCTAAAGAGGCCAGAGGCTGGGCCCATCTCTCTTCCACATCTTTGCCGTCCACCCGTCCTTGGGTTCTGGCACCAAGAACATTGGGGTCTGCAAGGCTCATGCCAAAGCTCAGACTTCTAGTTGAGACAGACAGAGGAACTGTTTCCTCGCAGCTTGGGCAGAGGACGCCACGGAAGCGCAAACGTGAATCAGCCTGTGCCTTCTGCGGGTGAAACCAGTCATCAGCCGGCCCCCTGCTCGACTCCAAACAGCAAAGGAAGAAATTCAATATGGCCAGGTCTCCCAGGTTGCTGAGCCCTTGGGTGGCAGATGGCGACTTTTATTCTCACTCTTTACCACGGCCACCGCGAGTGCCCCCAGCCTTCCCTCCTCTCGCCGTGGCCTCCCCATTTATTAGAGACTTGTTTGCTAGGGGCCCAGCTGAGCCTCCCTCCTCCCTTTGTAACATGCCTGCTGGTGTAACCTCAGTGACAGGCACCCAAGGCCAGGAGACAATGTTTGTTTAGCAAAACTCACATGGTACTTCCTCATTCTGGCCACTGTTCTGAGAACCTTGCCAGTGTTAACTGGCTGACTCCTAACAAAGCTCAGACAGGTGCCCCTTTCTTCCCTTATTACACAGGAGGAGCCTGATGCAAAAGGAGGTGACACAGCCACAGCCACAGCTGTGGTCGGCAGATGCCCTGATCTCCAGAACCTGTGCCCTCATCACATGGGTGAGGGACGCTGAGCCTGCCAGTCAACCACCCTGAAAACAAGGGCCAGGATGGATCCCACAAAATCACAGGGGTCCTTTAAACCCTTAGAAGAGGGAAGCAGAGGGGCTGGTTCAGAGGGATGCTGTGTAGGACAGACCTGACCTGACTGCCTTTTCGGAGAGAGGATAAAACCAGGAAATCAGGCAGGCTCCAGAAGCTAGGAAAGTCTAAGAAACAGGTTCCTCCCTTCAGCCTCCAGAAAGGAATGCAATCCTGCAAGCTTTGACTTTAGCCCAGTGAGAGACTCATTTGGGACTTCTGACCTCCAGACTACTTAAAGACAATATATCTATGGTTTTAATTTTTATTTATTTATTCATTTGAGACAGGGTCTTACTCTGTTGCCCAGGCTGGAGTGCAGTGGTATGATCATGGCTCACTGCAGCCTCAACCTCCCAGGCTCAAGAAATCCTCTTACCTCAGCCTCCCAAGTAGCTGGGACTACAGGTGCGCACCACTACACCTGGCTAACTTCTTTATTCTTTGTAGAAACCGTCTCCCTGTGTTGCCCAGGCTGGTCTTGAACTCCTAGGTTCAGGTGATCCTTTCACTTCAGCCTCCTAAAATGCTGGGATTACAGGCAGGAGCTACCATGCCCAGCAAATTTGTGTTGTTTTAAGTAACTAATTTGTTATAGCAGCAATAGGAAACTGACACAGACTTTGGAACTGGGAGCAGAGAGAGGCTGTCACGAATATGGAAGTGGCTTTAGAACTGGGCAATGGCAGATCTGGGAGGATCTGAGGATCATGAGAGGGCAGCCCGGATTGGCCTAAACAGATGGTTGGCAGGAAGGTGCACATGAACAGCCCTGCTGGTGAGGAATCAGAAGGAAGCGAGAAGCATAGCAGAGAAAACCTGCATCCTCGTAGTGAACACCTCCACCAGAAGGAGCCAATTACAGGTGGAAGCCTGGGGTCTGAATGAGGACTGTGTTATCAGAAGCTGGAGGAGGGAGGATGTGGTGCCAGAGAGCTCAGCTGAGTCGTGCCCCACAGCTGTGAGGGAAGCATCACTGTGTGATGAAGTTGGATATGTAGCTGAGGAGATTTCCAAGCAAAGTGTTGAAGGTGTGGATTTTTCTTGCTGTTTATATTAAGATGAGGAAGAACAGATAGGATGAGGGAAGAATTGTCGAACAAAGAGGAGCAGGACTTGGTGATGTGGGAAGTCCTCAGTCAGGCAGATTGCTGGGAGGCTCACACTAGGAGGCCCACCATCCGGAACGCCTGTGCTGGAGAGGAGGCCCTGGTGTGGCCACATAACCTTCTGCTGGTGCCTCAGAAGGACCCAAAGGCCAGAGGACTCTCAAGAGACCAAGATGTCTCATCTTTGCGGTGGCCACTATTCTGTCTGTCACAGCCTGGCTTCAGGCTCCCACAGACGTGCATCCATTCCACATGCAAAATGCACTCACTCTCTCCAACACCCAGTCCCCAGAGACGCAGCTGGAGCTGGATGCCGGCACAGGGAAGTGGCGCAAGTCTGGGCTCCCCGCCGCCTTCCAAGCTGGCTCTTCAAGGGCCAGGTGCTGGGGATGCAAACGTGAGTCAGGTAATGCCCCTGCTCCCCCCGCCTCCCGGCCGCCAGGCCACGGCCTTTAGAAGGGAAGGAAAACAAATGTGGAGAGCATTCTGTCTCCAGGGCTCTGGGGACCAGGTCTGTGCTGGGCACACCAGCCGCTTTCTCATCAGCCTGTCGTATTTTCTTCAGAGCAACGATCAGATGTGAAGCTGTACCATTCACTTCTTGCCTGCCTTTCCCCCTCCTCTGGAATCCAGGGCCTGCGGGGCAGCGGCCAGCCGGCCTGCTCACTGCTGTAGAACGAGGGCCCAAACAGTGCCCGGCACCGGGGAGCCTCAGTTTATATTTGCCAACAACAGGCAACACCACTTTAGGCTGTCCTGAGCAACCGGGCAACACAGAGGAGCACAGCAGTACGTCTTCTAGGGCTCTGCCTCCTCGCTGGGCAACCTCCTTTTGCTTCCTGGATGTACCCACCCATGCACAGCAACCACTCCACATCTGTGTGCCCAATTAGACAAGGGCTGGGAGTGGCAAGTGCCCCCTAAAAGGGCATAATGAGACAAGGTGAGTTGGAGTTGGATGAACCAAGGTCTAAATCCCACTTAACTTCTGCTGTCTTCCCACTTTTTTTTTTTTTTTTTTTTGAGACAGAGTCTTACTCTTGTCACCCAGGCTGGAGTGCAATGGCGCAATCTTGGCTCACTGCAACCTCCGCCTCCAGGGTTCAAGCGATTCTCCTGCCACAGCCTCCCAAGTAGCTAGGATTACAGGCGCCAGCCACCACACCCAGCTAATTTTTGTATTTTTAGTAGACACGGGTTCACCACATTAACCAGGCTGGTCTTGAACTCCTGACCTTAGGTGATCTGCCCGCCTCACCCTCCTAAAGTGCTGGGATTACAGGCATGAGCCACCGCGCAGCCCTGTCTTCCCATCTGTTTTTTTTTTTTTTTTTTTTTTTGAGACAGAGTCTCGCTCTGTCACCGGGTTGGAGTGCAGTGGCACAATCTTGGCTCACTGCAACCTCTGCCTCCTGGTTCAAGCGATTCTCCTGCCTCAGCCTCCCGAGTAGCTGGGACTACAGGTGTGCGCCACCACGCCCTGCTAACTTTTGTATGTTTAGTAGAGATGGGGTTTCACCATGTTAGCCAGGATGGTCTTGATCTCTTGACCTCGTGATCCACCCACCTCAGCCTCCCAAAGTGCTGGGATTACAGGCATGAGCCACCACGCCTGGCCCCATCTTTAACATGCAAATAATCACACCTCCCTCTGGAGGACTGTTGTGTCAATGGAATAGGGTAATGTACTTCTGCCCTGCCAACTCTCTTCCCCCTCTTCAGCTCCATCCACTGCCTGCCTTGCAGGCTACAAGCAGCCAGGCATTGGGTGTACACTGACCCCCATGCAATCGTTTTTACTATTAAACATCCTGTCGCCCTCTGCACACCTGCACCCCCACCCCAGCCCACCCTGCCTTGTGTGGCTAAAAGCAACTTTCAAAATGGTTCCTCCTCCGGCTGGTCCTTACCATTCTGCCTCGGTTATGACAATTACAACAAAAACAACTTGAAAAGCAATGTCTGTGGGGTGGAGAGAAAGTTTAGGAGCTCAGCAAAAGAAGGAAAAGAACAGGGTCCCCTAAATGTTAAATTCTGAATTTCCAACAATTATAGAAAAGGTATCTGTTCCTACCTCTCTTTTCCCTTCAAGTACCCGGTCAGGCCACAGGCCACCGAGGAGGCAGGCAAGGGTGCCCTGTGTCCCTGCCAACTCTGGGCAAGGGCCGCCTGAGTGTGTACACAGGAAGTCAGGAATGTGGAGAAGGGGCCTGGCCACTCTCTGTTCTGAGGAGCTCTAGTAATTCACCCTTAGGATCTTTCGAACAAGCAGCAGCAGCCTCGGATGCCAGGAAATGAGCTGCTGCCCCCCAGTAACGCTTCAAGACATCTGGGGCGTCACATCAGCACAACTGCAAAATCTCTGGTGATCAGGATTCCGGCTGCATCACGTCCTTGGTGCTGAAGAAGCAAGAGGCCAGTGGAAACGAAACTGCTGCTTCATTCCCTCCGATGCAGGGGCCGTTCCAGCACTGCAGGGCAGCTCTTGTTCCAGAAACACACCGTGTGTTAAGAGTCTGCCTCCAACGGTGGCCACTACAGGGGTTTCGGTTAGGGTCCCCCAATAACACTCCTGCATTAACCTTGCTACTTGTAAACCAAGGGCAGCAGTAAATCCCAGCCAACCAGCAAAAGCAGCAGAGGGGCAAAGCTTTGTACAAAACCAAATTGGGTTCAATTTGACTTTGTACAGAAGCAAATTGGGTTCGTGAATTGGGTTCGATTTGACTTCTAGAGCGTGTGTTCCATCGTTACCAAATGCTCAGTGTGAGGGAGTCAGCTCAGTAAACCTCATCCTGCAGCCTGAGGCAGAAGACAGAGTTGGAGCAAAGATCAGGGAAATGCACCTCTTTACCTGGGGGACATTGTTTTCACAAGATGATTGCCAATAAATTAGTCACGATGTTAACTGGGATAATAATAAAAAAGCATCAAAGAAGGCAAAAGGGAGGGGGAGAACTGGAAGTACCTCTGTGAGCTTCGTTAATTCAGTTTTAAAGAGAGAATTCATTATCATCTTGTTTATTCAGCATACTGATACACCCAAGATGGCAATTTAAGAATTCTGGACGGGGCCTTTGGGTATATGACTTTTTAAGATGCTAACATAAAAGAAGTCAGAACTTTCAGAGTTTCAGGCTTCTAAAAACTCACACTCATTGAAAATGTGTCACACTATTTCCAGTTTCTTCATTCACTTACAATATCTTATTCTTTTGTAAGGAGAAGGAAATATATTCCATTGCAATGCTACAATCACCAGTGTTATTTTCCAAAGTTAAACAGAAAGCCTGAATTGAGATCCTCTAAGTTGTACTTTTGAAAAGTCACAAATACTACACAATAAAAATAACTCATTACCTATCTTAAAAATGCTTCCACCGGAAGTCACTCCAACCCAAACCCATATGACGTATCTGAGCCAAGATCAAGCAGAAGATTAACTGTAAAAGGCAGATATGCTCCGGGCTAAGAGGTCCGGAGGCTCCAGTTTTATTTCCTCTCTCCTGACTAAACCCAACAGGGGGGAACACTCTGTGCCTCATTTTACTTTTTCTTAGAAAGGGGCTAATAACACCAGCTCTGCTCACCCCTCAAGTGAATCTCAAAGGATATCATGTTCCTACGGGTACGTGAAAACTGAAAATACCTAACAAAGCAGCCACAGAGGAGCGTCTCTGGTTCCCAGGGCGGCAGAGCAGGAACGCGGGGCTCGGGAGCAAAGGCAGCTTAGGTACACAAATGACCAGCGGGTTCTCTGCAACTTGGGTTGTCCCTGAGGTCACTGAGTGGCTGAGAGGCAGCGCTCAGCCCAACCAGCAAGGGAGGACGAGTGGGAAACCCCGAGAAGGAGGCATTTGCTGTCCGAGGCCGGGACCCTGTGCGCGGCCGGGTGCCCTGCTGGAAGCCCCGCGCCCCCCGTCCCCGGCGGAGCCCCAGGGCGGTGTGGCTCATGCGGCGCCGGCCTCACCTGCGGTGTCCCAGATGGAGATGTTGTAGGAGCGCCACTGCTTCAGGTAGAAGGCGCCGCCCACCGTGCTGACCGTGTCCGGGAAGCGCCGCTCCATATACCGCTGCAGCAGCGACGTCTTCCCCACGTTCATGTCCCCCAGGAGCACGATCTTGCTGTCGGGCTTCCTCATCTTCCCGTAAGAACCCCCAGCGCCCCCGCGCCCTCTCCCCGAGGCTGGCCGGCTCGTGCGCCCTGGGCGCAGCTGGAGGAGCGGACCCCGGACTCGCCGGGACCCGGATTCTCGTGAACGCTCCGGGACCTTCGCCTCCGGACGCCCGGGAGCTCAAGAGAGGAAGCGCGTGTGCGCGCCCGGGAAGGAGCTGGGTGCAGAGCACGGAGCCCACGTCGGGGGCCCGGACCGCGGCGGCCTCGCCTCGCCCCGCCCCCGCCCCCGCCCCCGGGCCCTTTCACCGCCGCGGCCCCGCCCTATCCTCCTCCGCCCACCGCCCCCGTCCCGCCCCTGCTGGACCTCGCCGTTTCGCAAGCATCCGAGTTCTCCAGCCGAGGCTCGGGACTGCTGCAGGGTGGAAAATGAAAGTTCTGAGAGCACCTTCCGCCCCTCCGCTTCTGCACAGCCGGGGCTGCGGTGCGAGGAGCTTGGCCGCGGGGCCCGAACGAGGCGAAGGGGCCGGGGCCCTTGGGGAACCCCCTTCTCTCTTCCACTCTCCCTTAGGTAAAACCCGTGTTCCTCTCACGCTCGACCCAGCGCCTTTCCAGCTGCGGTCGATTTGCTTCTCCGCGTGTAAGTACAGCCACCCTCAAGGTCATTGAAAAAGTTTGCTTTAAATGAGCGTCTGCGGAACTCGTCCTGAGGCTCTCACTGTTACAGATTAGAGATGGGGGCGCTTTCTAGTGGAGGATTTTGCTTTTGCTCTTCTACTTTTGCAAGAAGCTTTTTGTCCTGAAAAGTGGACAGTCATCTCCATTTATAGCTTGGAATGAAAATTTGACTATGGAAGTTGCAGTCGCTACTTGAGAAATATTTCCTCCTTCTTTTTTTTTTTTTTTTTTTATTTTTGACACGGAGTTTTGCTGTTGTTGCCCAAGCTGGAGAGCAGTGCGCGATCTCGGCTCACTGCAACCTCCGCCTTCCGGTTTCAAGCGATTCTCCTGCCTCAGCCTCCCGAGTAGGCGGGATTACAGGTATGTGCCACCATGCCCGGCTAATTTTTGTATTTTTAGTAGACACGGGGTTTCACCATGTTGGCCAGGCTGGTCTCGAACTCCTGACCTCGTGATCCACCCGCTTCGGCCTCCCAGGTCCTCCTTCCGTTTTAAAGGATAAACCTTGAAATGCTTTTAAAATATGCAGCGTGTAGAATTTGGTTAGTTGGTTGGTTGGGGTTTTTTAGAGAAAATGAGAGGTAGAATGGACTCTAAGTTAAACCCTGGGGGACAGTGTCACTCTGGCCGCTGGCCTGGCTGGGAAAGGCGATGAGACCCTGAGCAGGTTAAAACCCGTGTCCTGAAGGTGTCCTGTAAAGGGAAATAGGCCCGTTGCCTCCTTCGTAGGTGCCCTGAGACTCCGACAAGGCAGGAATGCCAAGGTATTTCGTACCTGCTCAGCCCTGGCATGTCAGGTTGCTGAGACCGAGCAGTGTGGGGCTGAGGTGGAAGCGGACCTTCTGGGGCGTGGAAAGCGCACCAGGAGACCCCGGCTCCTTCTCAGCCAGCACTGCCTCATCCTCAGAACAAATTTAAGTCAATTCAGCATTTATTCAATGCCTGTTGCATGCAAGTGACAACCTAAATAACAGAGAGGATCTCTAAAAGAAACAGATATTTATTTTGCAATAGAGCTTTGCAGTAGAAATATGCATGCCATGGTAAACTTGTGCATATTCAGAGAGGCAAGGAAAGCAAAGGCTTTAAAAAAAATGAGGCGGATTGCACAATTGTTTGAAAATAATTATCTGTGGCTACAAAGATCCATAACGAAGGCGATGCCAGTTCAAAGTAGGACAGCCAGTGGCTGGGCCATGTCCTTGCAGGACTAGTTTTTTGTGGGAGATTGCAGTGGCCTTTGTGCAAGGTTGCGGTTTTTCCAGAGAGTCCTTTTTGTTATCAGGCATGCACGCGCAAGAACCCTCTCTTCATGGCCTTCCCCGGCTCTGTTTGTCAGGGTTTTCTTAACATTAGCGGCTCCATTTCGATTCTGACAATTTTCACACAAGCTACAGTGCCTGGCCTGGGACGACACAAACATGAGTCAGGTTTGGTGCCTGTTGGCCAGGCGCAGTGGCACACACCTGTAATCCCACCACTCTGAGAGGCCGAGGCAGATGGATCCTTTGAGCCCAGGAGTTCAAGATTAGCCTGGCAACATAGGGAGACCCCCGTCTCTATGAAAATTACAGAAAAAATTTGCCATGCATGGTGGTGTGCACCTGTAGTCCTAGTCCAAAGTTGCTTTGACTATTCTGGAACATTTACACTTCCATATGAATTCTGGAATCAATGTATCTAACCTCAGGAAACACATTAATGACATATATAGTTAAATTTAGGAAGAGTGGATATCTTTATAATATTAAAATGTCCCATTTATGAACATGGTATACCTCTCCATTTATTCAGCGGGTGTTCAAGGCTCACCTAGAATTTTTACACTTCTTTCTACTTTTTTACCATCAGGAAGTTTAATCACTTCCTGGAGCATGCTTTTTGATTCTCCAAATTTTACCCCCTGTCTGCTTCTCTCACCTGAGCTCTTTGTCCATTTCTTCATCCACCTACTAAGCCTTTCTACATGGATGTCTCAATATGGCAACCCACCACATCGTTCATCTGCCCTTCTGTAAATGCAGAGTCATTCATTCTTTCACCTTCTTTATAACCATATCCAATTCATCACCAAGCCCAATGGATTTTCCCTTCTAAATAAATCCCTCTAACATCTTCTCTCTCTTTTCCCACAGACGCCCACTTGTCTGGAACCTTCTTACACCTAAATAGTTAGAATCCACTCCTATTTGGTCTCCTTAACTCCAAGCTCCTGCCGTCCCAATCACTGTCAGACTAACCTTTCATAACCACTGCTTTCTCTACCCAGAGACCTGCCACGGCTCCCTACTTTCTATCTCCACAAGTCCAAATCCTGCCCCCCGCCACACACACACACACACACTTACCACCCTTTTTACAGTAGCTCTCCCGCCTCCTTTAGCTCCTGTTGCCCTGTGTGTGGCTTATTTACAGGTTTGATGGTGCAGTTTCCTTCTCTAGGGTGTTAGCTCCATGGGGAAGCAGCTTCTTCTGTGTTGTTCACCACTGTGCCTGGTGAACACCACTGCACCTAGCACACAATGGGCACTGAAGAAGGCACTGAGTCGCAGAAGAATGAATGAATTCCCCTCCCTGGTGAGGCCAGAAGCAACATCCTGTAAGCATATCATGACCAGCTATTCTCCACTTCATTGCTCACTGAGTTTGCCCACTTGAAAAGCCCTCCAACCCCTCATCTGTGCAGGTTTGGAATTCTGTGCAGGACTCAGGGATTCCATGAGGTGCAGCCCAGGCACACCCCCTTCTAATCCTCTCCCTCTGGGGAGACCTTTCCTGCTCCTTCATATGAGTTTCTACCACCCTGCTGGCCTCTTCGATGCAGTTTAGCCCCTGACAATGACTAACGGACTCATTTGACTCTCATCATCTCTAGTAATTTAAAAATTCCCTAGGGTCAGGGAGCAGGTCCTAACCTCATTCAACACCTCACCCAGTGCCTTGTCCCTTTCTCAGCACATTCTTCTACTCAGTAAATGTTTGAAGAAGCCTCATGAGGGCAGGAATCTTTGTGTTTTGTTTCTCTTATGTCTCCCAAGTACCTGGCCCTGGAAGGCAATTGATGCTCAATCAATACACATTTTAATAAATTCGCTAGTGAACTGAAACACCACCTGAAACACTGCTGCTTTTAGAGTTTGTGGAGGGAGGGACTGTTCCCTGCACCTACCCCAGTGACTGGCACCTGGAATTCACCGAGCAAGTTGGTTGAAAAAGTTAAAGGAATTTTCCAGCACTTTGAAAACTAAACCAAGAGAATGTCTCCATATCAAATTTCAGCCACTCCTTATAAAAATGTCTTAAAGGCTGTAAATCACCGTATTCACCTGCAGGAAGCAGTGTTGAGGAAGGAGGTAGTATAGGGTTAAGGGTCTATTTAAACCAGCTGCTTAGGGCCAAGTTAGATGTTTATTCTGTCTAGTTTAAACCACTGGCTTAACAGGGTACTTAATTTTCCAGTTTCATCAAAGAAATGTGCTGTGAGGCCAAGAAAATTATGTAGTTCATTTTTTTAAAAGAGATGCAAACTGAGAAATTCTGTGACCATTAACAGTCTCATTAAAGAAATAAGAAAATATGATTGTTTCTCTTAGATTTTGCAAAATGGCTAAGGAGCATTTTTAGACACTTTGTTGTAGAACAACTCTCTTTTAAGCTACTTTCCTCCTTTCTTAAAAACAAAATATAGGCCGGGTGTGGTGGCTCACACTTGCAATCCCAGCACTTTGGGAGGCTGAGGCAGATGGATCACCTGAGGTCAGGAGTTCGAGACCAGCCTGGCCAACATGGTGAAACCCCATCTCTACTAAAAGTACAAAAATTAGCTGGGCGTGATGGTAGGCACCTGTAATCCCAGCTACTTGGGAGGCTGAGGCACGAGAATCGCTTGAATCCAGGAGGCAGAGGTTACAGTGAGCCGAGGTCATGCCACTGCACTCCAGCCTGGTGGTCAGAGCGAGACTTTGGCTCAAAAAAAAAAAAAATGTATTATCCATTTATTATGTACTCATTCAGCAGATAGGAGCAAAAGCGCCCATTCTACTCTTAAGTCCCAACCCAGAAATAGAGCAGTGAGGGAAACTGACAGCATCCTGGGCCTCAGCACCTGCTGGGAGAAAGAGCCAACAAAATACACAGCAACACACAGGATATAGCACCCTTGGTGTTGATTAAACGCTAGATGAAGAAAAGGGAGGAGGAGACGGGAGGAATGCAGGCTGAGGCGGTGGCAGGGGGCTCCATTTTAAACAGGATGTCGACAAAGATAGAATTTCAGCGAGTGCTAGAATGAGGTAAGGACTTACATCAACAATCTGCCCGCACCATTTCTTCTTAGATTTCAGAAACTGTTTTCGTTTGATTCAATACTGGTGCCTTCCTTCGGTTCATTTTCTGTTTATCATAAAAATTATCCTAGGTCTTCAAAACTAATTTAATGGAATTGTATAGAAATGGAAATAAAAGTGACTACAAGCTTCAAAAAGGTAGATTTTGGGTATAAAGACAATCTTATATATTTTTTTCTTTTTCAAGACAAAGTCTCACGTTGTCATCCAGGTTAGAGTGTAGTGGCACGATCTAGGCTCACTGCAACTTCTGCCTCCCCGATTCAAGCGATTCTTGTGTGTCAGCCTCCTGAGTAGCTGGGACCACGAGCGTGCACCACCACGCCTGGCTAATTTTTGTATTTTTAGTAGAGATGGGGTTTTGCCATGTTGGCCAAGCTGGTCTCAAACTCCTGGCCCCAAGTGATACACCTGTCTTGGCCTCCCAAAGTGCTGGGATTACAGGCGTGAGCCACCATGCCTGGCCAAAGTGGTGAATTTTATATTAGTGTGGTTTTGCAGTGGCTAGGTCTGTGCAAACCTATCCCCAAAGGCCAAGGAAACTGACAGGCTGAATAAAGAGGCTGACATACCCAGTTTCCTAGAAAGAAACATTTAGGGCCAGGCGGGAAGACTCACGCCTGTATCCCAGCACTTTGGGAGGCTGAGGTGGGTGGATCACCTGAAGTCAGGAGTTCGAGACCAGCCTGGCCAACATGGTGAAACCCCATCTCTACTAAAAATACAAAAATTAGCTGGGCCTGGTGGTGCACACCTGTAATCCCAGCTACTCAGGAGGCTGAGGCAGGAGAATCGCTTGAACCTGGGAGGTGGAGGTTGCAGTGAGCCCAGATTGCACCATTGCACTTCAGCCTGGGCAACAAGAGTGAAACTCCATCTCAAAAAAAAAACAAACAAGAAAGAAAAGAAAAGAAACATTTAATAAAGATTGGCGAACAGAAGCCGTGTCTGTGTCTTGGGCACCCTTACCTGCCAGACGCAGGCCTTCTGTACTACAGCAAAAGGGTGACTCAGAGGGGATGTGCAAGGGAATTGAAGGACGATAACATCAAGGTTGTTTCAACCTAAGGACAGGATTTACAATGAGGACCTGCTCTTACTCAAGGAACAATAAACTGGAAATCCTAGAGGCCTTCCCAGAACTGGGGTTAGTCAGAAGTGAACCCGGCAGATCGCGTCCCAGGTGGAGCTGCTTTAGCCTCCGTATGTATATTTCACCCCCAAGAAAGGTTAAACCGAACTGACAACAGAGACATTCCTCTCTGTACCTCTATTCAATAATGAGGCACAGCAAACTGTAGAACGCATGACAACCACAGATAAGGAAAGCACTCGCACGGTCCTGACGCCATTGCCCACCCTGACATTCGTTCATGGAGGTCGCCTGCACATTCCATCTTATTCAAAGGGGTGGTGGAATGGGGTGGGGGGAGAGCATCTGCTATTATCTCCGGTCGAGTGCTAGAGGCTTGAGCCCACATCTGGGGTCTGAGAGAGGATCCTGCACTAGGAACTGGGACTTGATAATGGCCTCGAGGACAGCTTGGAGCGTAGAAAATATTTTTGGGTTCACTGACATTTTAACTATAATTTTATATAAGAACTTAAATCATCAAAATGGGGGATCCAGGACTCTGTCCTCTTTATGGGGCTGCTGGGCAAACTGACTCGCAGAGAGATGATGAGCCATAAACATCCACTCACAAGCGGGAGAAAGTCAATGGAGACCGTGTGGAAACCACTTCCCCTGCTTAAAAATCACCAAAGCCGTAATGATGGACAGTGAGACAGCAGTGACCCTCAGTATTTCAATGGGACGTGAATAATGTTTAATTGTATGTTCATATATTGCTTAACAGTTTTAGAAAATCTGTTCTTCTGCAGCACTAGCCTGCTCTGCCCATCCCAAAAGTGAGTGGTGCCTGAAGGAATTCTGAGCCCCTCTGTGAGAGGAAGCGCGTCTGTCTTTTCTTTACGACCCCGGCACTGAGCACAGGGCTTGGAATACTATAAGAAATAAACACATCTTTTAAAAATAGTGAAAAACGGAGAGAACATAATCAAATGCCCATGTTATTATTCACGGCACGAGTGTCTTAGAGAATACAGGTGTTTAGGGCTGAAGTGAGTCCCCCTGAGATTCATGCTGAATCTCTAACCCTCAGCACCACACACTGAGCCTGAGCTTGAAGAGGGGGCCTTGAAAGGGTGATTAAGTTAAAATTAGGTCACTGGAGAGAGTCCTAATCTAATGTGACTGGTGTCTTTATAAGAAGTAATTAGGACACAGACACATGGACCAAGGGGCAGCCATGTGAGGCCTCACATGGGTGGGAAGGTGAACCCAGCCCGGCCGACACCTTGATCTTGGACTTCCAGCCTCCAGAACGGTGAGAAAACAAACATCTGTTGTTGAAGCTGATATAAGAGTTAAGAAGAAATCACTTAGGCAGATAGTAAGGGTGTGAGTGTCCTCAATAAGGCTTTTATTTTTCATGAAAAGCAGCCCCAGATCATTTTCTAACAAAGAGCATCCTGTAAAGTGGAGCTGCAGACATGGACAAGCAGGCTGGGAGCTTGCACGGGTGAATGCCAGCGGGAACTAGGGTCTAGAAACGTTCAAGATGGCGGCTGCATCTTCCCTTCTCTGCCAGCCACGTGTAATGTAAGGAGCAGAAAAAATGGCACCGATGGCCCATCAACTCAAAAGCCCATTTGCATAATAAGATTAGGGTGGGGTGACCAGCCTTCCTGGTATGCTATGTAAACGCCATACGTGATCAAACCAATTTGTGAGTCCTATGTAAATCAGACACTGCCTCCTCAAACTGGACTATAAAACCGGGCGCATTCACCACCAGCCAGTCTTTTCCGATTGGAGACCCCTTTCTCTATGGAGAGAGCTGTTTCTCTTTCTCTTCTCTTCTGCCTATTAAACCTCCCCTCCTAAACTCCTCGTGTGCGTCCGTGTCCTAAACTTTCCTGGTGCGCGACAACGAACCCCAGGGTATATACCCCGACAACGTAGCTGCTTCAAAGCCACCAGGTCTGGATGCTTTGTTGTGGCAGCACAGGAGGACTAGGGGGAAAAGAGGCCTCTGTTCTTGTTCCCAAGGAACAAGAATGGATGGAATGGCCATCCGTTTGTGGGGAATCAAACATAAAGACCCACATGCATCATGAGACAGATGTGTGGACAAGCCTCGAGACATAATAGGCATTGCGTGTGGTCCACACTGCCAAGGGCTGGAGTCAGGGAAAAGGGAGAGGGGGTGGACAACGTTCTCAGCACCCAGTTATGCTCAATAAATATCTGTAGCCTGAATGAGTCTGAAAACTTGAGCTGGAGTCAGTGAGGAATACAAAATCAAGAGATGTAAAGAGGAAGAAGTGTTCGAGCACCTTGGCTCACGCCTGTAATCCCAGTACTTGGGAAGGCCGAGGCTGGTGGATCATCTGATGTCAGGAGATCAAGACCAGCCTGGCCAACATGGTGAAACCCTCTCTCTACTAAAAGTACAAAAATTAGCTGGGCATGGTTGTGGGTGCCTGTAGTCCCAGCTACTCAGGAGGCTGAGACAGGAGAATCGCTTGAACCAGGGAGGCGGAGACTGAGTAAGCTGAGATCGCGCTACTGCATTCCAGCCTGGGTGAGGCAGAGTTAGACTCCGTCTCAAAAAAAAAAGTAAGAAGTGAAATATTTCAAGGCGGGCACATCCACAAAACACCAGAAAAGGCAATGCTTTCACAGAGAAGACAAACCATCTTCTTTTCTCTCCTCGGTCAGAGACCATCTGATGCTCTAGACAGTGGCTGCAGTACTGGCAAGACAGGCAAGTCAAGGAGGTAACATGGACGAATTTGCACAACTTAGAAAAGACCTGTAGGTATAATGTTAAAAACATTCAGCCCGGCGTGGCGGCCTGAGCTACTCTGGAGGCTGAGGTGAAAGGATTGCTTGAGCCCAGGAGTTCAGCTGCAGTGAGTTATGATCATGCCAATGAATAGCCACTGCACTCCAGCCTGGGCAACATAGTGAGACTGCAGCTCTAAATAGTTTTTTTTAAACTTTTTTTTTTTTTTTTTTGGAGACAAGGTCTGGCTCTATTGCCCAGGCTGGAGTGCAGAGGCATGATCTCTGCTCACTGAAACCTCTGCCTCCCAGGCTGAAACCATCCCCCACCTCAGCCTCACAAGTAGTGTGGACTACAGGTGTACACCACACCTGGCTAATTTTTGTTTTTTGTTTTTTGGTTTTTGTTTTGTAGAGACGGGATTTCTTCATGTTGCCCAGGCTGGTCTTGAACTCCTGGGCTCGAGAGATCTTCCTGCCTCCGTCTCCCAAAGTGCTGGGATTACAGGTTTGCACCACTGTGTCCGGCCAGCAAGTACTTTGGAATAGTTCCTTATTCCGTCTGCAAAGGACGGTTCCTAGGGCTTAGCAAGGGGAATTTGAACTGTTAAAGGAAAAACCTAAGCCTAAAGTATTAAACTATGGGGAAGGGCCAGGTGCAGTGGCTCACACCTGTAATCCTAGAACTTTGGGAGGCCGAGGCGGGCGGATTACCAAGGTGTGCCTATAATCCCAGCTACTCTGCAGGCTGCGGCAGGAGAATCGCTTGGATCCGGGAGGCAGAGGTTGCAGTTAGCAGGCCGTTAGGAAAGGTATTTGAGTCCTGTGACTTTCCACTATCCAGCAAATCACATCTGGTAGCTGTTATTCTCCTTATTAAACACAGATATCCATGTAGATAAGCATAATCTTCCCTTCATGCTTTTCCTTTCCTTCATTCATTTCCTTCATTCAGAGCCGAGATCGTGCCACTGCACTCCAGGCTGGGTGGCAGAGCAAGACTCCGACTAAAAAAAAAATGAAAATAATAATAAACTATGGGGAAGAATAAAGAAGGAATTGCCTACATTTAGAGGGAGGTAGAAGAACAAAAAGAGGAAAATATATAACTATTTTAAAACCTTTTTAACATAAGTCTTTCAAATCCTAGAAACTTGGGACTTGTGTGAGGGGAGGACCCTTCTCTCACTCTGTTATACTTTCTGAATGTTTTCAAAAGCACTGTAGACACGGTGATGCTTAGAACTGGGGGAGGCCAGGCCTCCTGGAAGAAGTTTGCTGAGGGCCTGTGGATAGAGAAGCAGAAACAGGAACACAGCCTGGGGCAAACATCGTGCGGATGATGGGCATCTCAAACACTGGAAATAAATGAGGCTGCGGGAGCAAAATTGCTGGTTCCCCTGCTGAGCACACCTGCCCTGCTTGGAACAAGAGCAAAGATGTCTGGTGGGGGAGCCGATGTGAGATGGATGGATAGACAGGGCCCCCAGCCTGGGGGATGGGACCAGGGACCATTTGTGAGATAAACCCAGGTATTAGCCCAGGGCAGAGGCTCCCAGCTGACCTTAAAACAGAGGCAGCCCAGCTCCACCCAGCACTTCTTCAGCAGGCCTGGGCTGGGGGTCAGAGAACTCGCATTTCTAAGATGTTCTCAGACTGAGGGACCCAGTGGAAAAGCGTCCTGATTACTGGGTTATAAACACCTGAAGAGTTCTGAAAGAAATGGGCCACACCCTCAGGATCCAAAGTCTTAAAGGAAAGCTGAAGAGGTGTCCTGTGAGTTCAGGGGCACCCCGGTGAAGCCTGGGGCTTAGAAAGAAAAGAAGTGTTTATACCAGGAGAGCAGAGAGCAAGGAGCAGGGAGGGGCCAGGGCAGCCCCCAAACCGGAGCCCGAGGCCGGACCCTGCCTCTGACGAGGAGCATGCCCGGCCACCATGCTGACCCCTGCATCCTTCTTTCTTTGTCCCTTGAAGCCCCTCAAAGTCCTTCCTGAGACACATCCCCTCCCAAGGCACACCCTGGAGGGTCTCAAGACTTGAAAATCAGTCAAGAAGCAGGCAAGGAGTGAGCTGATCACTGTAGTTAAAGAGACGGCACCAAAGACATTGTACAAAAGAGGGCAGGAAGATGTCCATGTGTCTGCACCAGACCTTCTGCGCCAGTGAGGGATGCTGCAGGCAAAGGCAGGGCAGATGGCAAGAGGGTCCCTACCCAGCCGCAGCACCCGGCAATGCCCACCAGAGCCGACCCCCTGCCCGTGTTCTGTGAGTCCACGTCGTCTGCATCAGGGTGCTGATGGCAAAGCCTCCGGGTGTCCCTCCGTTGCAGGGTCTACTCCTGCAGTGTGGACAGCAGAGACGGAGGAAGTTCTCCCAAGTGCGGGGAGGTAGGCTCTGTGGGAAGCCCTTCACTCAAAGGCACACTCATGGTTTTGTTACCAGAGCAGCTGAAGAATTCAAAGTAGCTTCTGAGAACTCTAACTGTCTGGACCATGCTATAGTAAGGGCTAAGCTAACTTAAGAGCCATCCAAAAAAAAAAAAAAAAGAAGAAGTGAAAAGGTGATTGATGTCAGATGTAAACCCAAGAGGGTAACACAGCAATGCTGAGACATCCGAAACAACTTCCTATTAGCTGTCCAGGACCTTAACCCAGGTCTTAAGGGATCCTGTCTTTTTTAGTCTAAGGCAGTTGAATACTAAATTATTAAAACAGGTCTTATTTTATGACCCTAATCATCGACAAGAGGCGCCTTTTGTTGTTGTTGACACAGAGTCTGGCTCTGTAGCCCAGGCTGGAGTGCAGGGGCGCATCTCGGCTCACTGCAACCTCCACCTCCCAGGTTCAAGTGATTCTCCTGCCTCAGCCTCCAGAGTAGCTGGGGTTACAGGCACACGCCACCATGCCCAGCTAATTTTTGTATTTTTAGTAGAGACGGGGCTCCATCACATTGGCCAGGCTGGTCTCGAACCCTGACCTTAAGTAATCCATCCACCTCGGTCTCCCAAAGTTCTGGGATTACAGGTGTGAGCCACCGTGCCTGGCCGACGAGGCACTTTTCCCTCAAGTTAACAAAAGGAAAAGAGAAAAGAGAAACCTTCTGAAGACAAACAATAGATAATTGGGTGAAAGATGGATGAATTCTCCCCACGTCTGTAACTCCTAAGAAACAGAGGCCCTATGTTCTGCATGAGGACATATCCGTTGTTCACAATCCCCACACTCAGCTGAAAACCACAAACCCACCCAGAGGGATTGCCTTTCTTCTTCTCCATTTGGGTACTTGCTCTCCAGCTGAATTCCACTTTAATTTCATCAGTGAAGGTCAGTTCAATTGGATAGACTGCAAGCTCTTTTCAGAATGTAAGGGAGGATTACTCTGTGAGAGATCTAATCATTTATTTTTAAAATACAGCACTTGACTAAGAAAAATTTCCTCTGCAATTAGGATTTTACCCACTTCTATGCGATGCACCGTATGTCATTTTCTAGAGTGGATCTAAAGTGCTGGAAGAAAAGAAACAAGAGTCACATCCACTTAAAAAGCCATATAAAAATTAAATTATGATATGTTCACAACACAAAAGAGTAAGGAAAGAAAATAAAGAACTAAATTTAGTTTCTTTAGAGATAAACACTAAAATGAAATGATAGCACAACTGTAATTGCAAATGAATTTTCATTAAATGGTAGGAAGACTAAATCAGCTAATAGTTCAGAAGCAAAGATGCCCTTTGTTATGGGTTAAATTGTGCCCGCCCCCCCAAAAAAAGATACTTTGAAATCCTACCCACCGTACTTCAGAGTGTGAACTTACTTGGAAATAAGGTTTTTACAGGGCAATCAAGTTAAAATGAGGTCATTAGGGTGGGCTTCAATCCAATAGGCGGGTGCCCTTATTAAAGGGAGGGATTTGGACACAGCCACACTGAGACGAAGATGCCATCTACCAGCCCCAGCACACTGGAGGTGCCGGGAGCGGAAGAGAGGCTGGACAGAGGCTCCCACGCAGCCTCAGGAGGAGCCAACGCTGCTGACACCTCAGACTTCTGTCCTCCAGGGCTGGGAGACAAGGCGTTGACATTGTTCTAAGCCACCCGATTGGTGGTACTGTGTTTCTGCAGCCTCTGAGAACTAACATACCTTTAAAGATCCAGAGGATTTAGTAAAGCATTGTGGCACATACTCAATGTGCACCAAAATTAGTCTTACCTGTTAAAAAAGCCAAAATCCCTCACTAACTGTACGTGGATTCTGAGAAGGCAATAGAAGAGCATATTCACAATGTGAAGTAAGACACATCAGAGTTAGGTTTGTTGCAGATTTTACAAATTTCAAGGACGCTAACCAATCAGCCACTGTAATTTTTCAATCAATTTTAGCAGAGGGGATCTACTCCCATCTCCTAGATAGAGCCACGCAGGTGTCACAGACTAGCTCACACGGCACAGAGACCCCCCCAAAATCTGCAGACAGGAACCACTCCTTAATTAAGATCTGAAGTGACTACTTACACATTAGGAAAAAAAAAAAAAAAAAGACCCAACAATAGCATTGGAAGATACATTCATCAGACCTAATCCTCACAATAGCCTTGGGAAGTAAGCTTTGTCCTCCAGCTTTACAGAAGAAACCGATCGTGAGAGGTGATGTCCCCCACCAAGTACACCAGGCAGGAGCCACAGAGCTGAGCCACGGTTCCCACAGGCTCCACGGGTCCAAGCTGCCCACCAGTACCTGGACAAGGACCCCAGCAGTCCAGAGAGGAAAGAGACAGCACAGTCCTTTATCTTTACTTCCTCAGTGGAATCACCAGGAATTGGTGTGCAAAATCATTCCACATTCTAAGGTGTGCAGTGTGGTTGTGCTGCACACATCCGTGTATTTTCAGATGGCTACAGTGCACTCAGCAAATCCATTATGCTGGACTTAGGGGCATTTTTTCTACTTTTGAGCAAAAAGTGTATCTGGCTTCAACATGACTCAAAACCAGAATTTGAAGCAATGTATCTGCTGCTACTAAATTTAAATCTGCTGCTGCTCTTCACAACCTGCAGGAGAAGGAACGCATTTCTTCGCTGGACAGGATGCCTTCCCCAGGGGCTACCATCTGCCCTTCCAGCCTCTCCCTGACACACATGGAACTTCTGGGTGGCTCCCAAACGCAGGCTGACGTCACCAGATGCTGATTCTGATCCTCACCCTTCCACCCCCCATGTCAGCCCTGACCTCAGAGCCTTGTTGCCCAGCAAGCCACTTCATTCTGTGCAGCCTCTGGGGAAGCTCCGTGGTGACCTCCGCTGGCAGGATCATCTGGCCCTGGCTCCTTTTTCATCCTTCATTGGTTAGCAGGTCAGTTTCTCCCGCTGGATGGAGAACTTCTGCAGAGACGGCCAAGCTGAGCCCTCCCCTCACCGCAGGGAAGAGCTGAGTCAGATGAGAGCAGGGAGGCCAATGTCACTTCCCCAATGTCACCAAACGTCAAATAGAAAAGTTCACCTGGAAGGAAGCAGTGGGGACAAAACCACCACAGGGCGACTTGTGGGCTCACAGACAGAGGCCCCGCTTCCCCAACACAACCACCTCTCTCCTTCCCTCCCTCCCACACACCCCAGAGGTCATCACAGCAGCTGGGCGTCCCGCAGCCCATTTGTCCATCCCCCACCCGCTCTGGGGGACCTGCTCCTACACAGCAGACCCTGAAACCAACATCACCTGCGACTTCGTCGTGGCCCAATCTCGCAGTCGCTTTAGCCTTTCAATCTACTTGTCTTGCACCCTGTTCCCCACTTCCTTCTTTTTGAAAATCGATCCTGGACCTTCCCAACCCACCTGACCACAGGGCCCTTTACCTCCCCAGGGATCTCCCTTTGATCAAGTGGGTTTGCTCTTTAAATAAACTCCACAAACACCTGCCAGGTGCCTTGCCAGTTTTCATCTCTGTGCTGGTTACGTAGAAAATTGTCCACATTTCCCCCAGTGATTCAGGAGGCTGAAGGGGGAGAATCACTTGAAACTAGCCTGGGCAACATAGCAAGATGCAGTCTTCACAAAAAATGTAAAAACTAGCCAGGCATGGGAGCATCTGCCTGTGGTCCCAGCTACTCCAGAGGCTGAGGCAGGAGGGTCACTTGAGCCCTTGAGTTTGAGGCTGCAGTGAGCCAAGAACACACCACTGCGATGTTGTGATCTCGGCTCACTGCAACCTCTGCCTCCTGGGTTCAAGCAATTCTCTTGCCTCAGCCTCCCAAGTAGCTGGGACTACAGGCGTGCACCACCACGCCCAGCTAATTTTTTTGTATTTTTAGTAGAGACTGGGTTTCACCATGTTGGTCAGGCTGGTCTTGAACTTTTGACCTCATGTGATCCTCCCACCTCAGCCTCCCAAAGTGCTGGGATTACAGGTATGAGCCACCATGCACAGCCAATAAAAAATTTTTTAAATAAATAGATTTTTTTAGCAGTTTTAGGTGTGCAAAAACGAGTGGAAAATACAGCGTTCCCATGCCCCGCTCACACTCCCTCTGTTCCGGTTTTCCCTATGACTAACAGCTTGGCATTCGTGTGGTACAGTTGTTACAATGGAGGAGTCAATATTGCATTAGTATTGGCACAAGTATTACAATGGAAGCATTGATATTGATACATAATTATTAACTAAAGTCCACAGTTTAAGTTAGGGTTCATTCTTCATGTTGTACCTTCTATGAGTTTGGACAAATGTATAATGACATGTATCCACCATTATAGTCTCACCCAAGATAGTTTGGTTTTTTCTTTTCTTTTTTTCCTTTTTTTTTTTCTTTCAAGGCAGAGTCTCACTCTGCTGCACAGGCTGAAGTGCAGTGGTGACATCTCGGCTCACTGCAATCTCTGCCTCCTGGGCTCAAGCGATCCTCCCACCTCAGCTGCCCAAGTAGCTAGGACCAGAGGCATGTGCCACCACACCTGGCTAATTTTTTTTTTTTTTTTTAGACAGAGTCTCACTCTGTCACCAGGCTGCAGTGCAGTGTCACGATCTTGGCTCACTGCAACCTCTGCCTCCTGGGTTCAAGTAATTCTCTTGCGTCAGCCTCCCGAGTAGCTGGGACTACAGGCGTGTGCCATCACACCCAGCTAATTTTTGCATTTTTAGTAGAGACCGGTTTCACCATGTTGGCCCAGATGGCCTCGATCTCCTGACCTCGTGATCCAACTACCTCGGCTTCCCAAAGTGCTGGGATTACAGGTGTGAGCCATCACACCCAACCAATTTTTTTTGTTTCTTGTAGACATGGGGCTTCTGTGTTGTCCAGGCTGGTCTCAAACTCCTGAGCTCAAGCGATCCAACTGCCTCGACTTCCCAAAGTACTGGGATTACAGGCATGAGCCACCAGACCCGGCCCTCATGAAGGATAGTTTGACTGCTCTAAAAATCCTCTGTGCTCTTCCTATCCATCCTTCCCTCCCCCAACCCCTGGCAACCCCTGGCAACCCCGATCCTTTTACTGTCTCCATCGTTTTGCCTTTTCTAGAATGTCATATGGTTGGAATCATACAGTATGTAGCCTTTTCTGATTGGCTTCTTTCACTTAAAAGAAAACTTTTGGGCCAGGCGCAGTGGCTCATGCCTGTAATCCCAGCACATTGGGAGGCCGAGGCGGGCTGATCATGAGGTCAGGAGATCGAGAGCATCCTGGCTAACACAGTGAAACCCTGTCTCTACTAAAAATACAAAAAGTTAGCTGGGTGTGGTGACGGGTGCCTGTAGTCCCAGCTACTCGGGTGGCTGAGGCAGGAGAATGGTGTGAACCCGGGAGGCAGAGCTTGCAGTGAGCCGAGATCGCACCACTGCACTCCAGCCTGGACGGAGCAAGACTCTGTCTCAAAAGAAAAAAAAAAAAAAACTTTTGAATTCTTTATTTTCTCTAAAGTTGTGCAATGTGATTCAGTAAAATCTTTTCTTAAGTCTATGCGGCGTATATTTGGATATGCACAGAAAAAGTATGGGATGTGAATACTAAACTGTCAGCAACCATCATCTCTGAAGGAATGAATGGGAGGGGATTCCTTCAGGTCACTCTGCGGTGAAGATTCCAACCTCTTCTTCCAGCATGGGTGTTTGAGCGCTGTGTACTCCGGGTCCTCTGGGTCTGAGTTACAGCCACTCGTGGGCGTGAGTTCATGATGACCTCAGCCCGCTGCTGCAGACCAACCATGGAAATAGACACTGGGAGTTTGGAGCACATGGAGATGGGGCCAGTAGGGTGAAAGAAGGAAGAGCAATGTGGGCAGCTGCTCATCCCTGCGCCGGCAGAAGTGAGAGCGGGACACATCCCCAGGCCACCTGCCATGGGATGGCTCACGTCCCTCAGAAGATACAATGATGTCCTAACCCTAGTGCCTCAGATTGTGACCTCATTTGGAAAGAGAGTTGTTGCAGACATAACTAGTTTGTTTTGTTTTGTTTTTGAGATGTAGTGTCGCTCTGTCGTCCAGGCTGGAGTGCAGTGGTGCCATCTCAGCTCACTGCAACCTCCACCTTCCGGGTTCAAGCGATTCTCCTGCCTCAGCCTCCTGAGTAGCTGGGATTACAGGCATGTGCCAGCATACTCGGCTAATTTTTGTATTTTTAGTAGAGATGTGATTTTGCCATGTTGTCCAGGCTGGTCTGGAACTCCTGATCTCAAGTGATCCGCCCGCCTCGCCCTCCCAAAGTGCTAGGATTACAGATGTGATAGTTAAGATACTTGAGTAGTATGGGCCCTAAGTCCAATATGCCTGGTATAAAAGAGGAAATTTATTTTTTGTGTTTTTTTGAGACAGGGTCTTGCTCTAACCCTGTCACCCAGGCTGGAGTACAGTGGCATAATCTTGGCTCACTACAGCCTTGACCTCCCAGGCTCAAATAATTCTCTGCCTCAGCTTCCCGAGTAGCTGGGAGTACAGATGCACACCACCATGCCCAACTAATTTTTGCATTTTTTGTAGAGTCAGGTTTTGCCATGTTGTCCAGGCTGGTCTCCAACTCCTGACCTCAAGTGATCCACCCGCCTCGGCCTCCCAAAGTGCTGGAATTACAGGCAGGAGACCCAGCGCCCGGCCATTTAATGTGCTTTTTAGTTTCCTTTGAGACCCGCTGCTTGACCCATGCGTTATTTAGAAGTGTGCTGTTTAGCTGTTTAGTTTCCAAGTGTTTGGAGATGTTCCTATTATCTTTTTGCTTTTGATTTCTAGTTTGATTTCATTATGGTCAAAGAAATATACCCTGTATGTTTTAGATTCTTTTAAATTGTTGCAGCTTCTTTTATGGCCCAGGATATAGTCTATCCATGGACAATTGAAAAGAATGTGTATTCTGCTGTTGTTTTTCTGTAAATGTCCGTCAGATCCTGTTGGTTGATGGTGTTGTTGAATTCTTTTATTGTATCCTTGCTTATTTCTGTATAATTGTCCTATCAATTGTTGAGAGAGGGGTATTGAAGTCTACTATAATTATGGATTTGTCTATTTCTCCTTTCAGCTCCTTCAGGCATTGCTTCCTATATTTTGCAACTCTGTGGTTTGCTGCATATACATTTAGAATTACTATGTCTTCTTGATTTATTGACCCTCTTATTATTACATAATGTCCTCCTATCCACCTTTAGACCTTTAGTAATTTTCTTCTTTTTTTTTTTTTTTTTTTTTTTTTGAGAGAGGGTCTTGCTCTATCACCCAGGCTAGGGTGCAGTGGTACGATCACAGCTCACTGAAGCCTCAAACTCCTAGGCTCAAACAATTCCCTGCGTCAGCCTCACAAGTAGCTGGGACTACAGGCATGTGCCACCATGCCCAGCTAAATTTTTTTATTTTTTGTAGAGATGGGATCTCACTACGCTTCCTAGGCTGGTCTCCAACTCCTGGGCTCAAGCAATCCTCCCACCTTAGCCTCCCAAAGAGCTGGGATTATAGGCATGAGCCACCAAGCCCAGCCAGTAATTCCCTTTAAAATTACGTATACAATTAGAACCACATCAGACTGTGTTACAATTTTTGCTTCAAACCTCCAATGTAGTTTAGAAAACTCAAAAAGGGAAGGGAGGTCTGTTACATTTGCCTTGATTTTTGCTCAGTGTGTTCTTGTTTTCTTGTGGGTGTTCCAGGATTCCTTTTATTAAACAATTATGGCCGGGCGCGGTGGCTCACGCCTGTAATCCCAGCACTTTGGGAGGCCGAGGCGGGCGGATCACGAGGTCAGGAGATCGAGACCATCCTGGCTAACACGGTGAAACCCCGTCTCTACTAAAAATACAAAAAATTAGCCGGGCGTGGTAGTGGGCGCCTGTAGTCCCAGCTACTCGGGAGGCTGAGGCAGGAGAATGGCGTGAACCCGGGAGGCGGAGCTTGCAGTGAGCCGAGATCGCGCCACTGCACTCCAGCCTGGGCGACAGAGCGAGACTCCGTCTCAAAAAAAAAAAAAAAAAAAAAAAACAATTATTTCTGTGGAGAGAACTTCCTTTAGCAATTACTTAAGGTAGCTTGGCCAGTAACAAACTCTCCTGCCTTCCTTCATGTGAGAATGTTTTGATTTCTCTTTCATTCCTGGAGGATATTTTTACTGGGTCTAGGACACTGGATTTTTTTCTTCCAGCACTTGAAACCTGTTGCATCACTTCCTTCTGGCCTTCATGGCTTCTGGTGAGAATTCTGCTGTCATTGGAACTGTCTTTCTCATTTCTCTCATTGATTTCAAGATTGTTCCCTTGTCTTAAGTTTCCAGAAGTCTAATTATAATGTGTCTTGGCACAGGTTTCTTTGAATTTATCGCGTTTGGGTTCAGTCAACCTCTGGGTGTGTAGATTTATGTTTTTAGCCAAATTTGGGATGTTTTCAGTCACTATTTTCAAGTAGTTTTAAAGCCTCACCCCGCTGTCTCTTCCCAGGTCTCTGATCACTGAAATGTCATCTTTTGTTATAGTCCCACAGGTCTCCAAGGTGCTGTTCATTTCTCTCTCTCTCTCCTTTTTTTTTTTTTCCAGTAGGTTTTCTCCTTTTTTCAGATTGGGTAATTTCTATTTTTCTGTCTTTAAGTTCACTGATCCTTTCCTCTACCGCCAGCCCCTCTGTTCTGCTATTGAGTTCATAAGTTACATTTTGAATTTTGGTTATTGGATTTTTCAGTTCTAAAATTTCTGTCTGCTCCTTCTTTATAACTTCTGTTTCTTTGCTGAGCTGAATGTTTCATTTATTTCAAAAAATCCTTTTCACGGAGTCCAACCTCTGTCCTTCCAGAGCAGGCACCTGTTCATGGTTTTCTTCATTCACGTGCTGTGTTTCCTGGTCTGGGTGTGATACGTGGCTGTCTGGCGAATGCTGTATGCTTGCACATCATGTTACGAGAGTCTAGATGTTAATGAGGCCTTGTCTTGTGGCTTCCCCTGATGCTGCTCCCTCAGGGGGAAGGGAGGGCACACAGGTGCCTCCCAAGGCAGGGGTTACAAATCCAGGGTCCTCACCTGTGCTCTACTGACACCCAAGAAATGGCTCCCTGTTACTGCCCAGTGGGTGGCGGCCCCCAACCTGGTCTCCACTGACACTGCAGTGGGGTGGCTCATGACTGCGTAGCAGAGGTGACAGTCCTGGCTCCCCACTCAGCCTTCTCTGACACCACCCCAGCAGGTCAGGGGTGGGGGTGGGGGCCTGGGTGCCTCACCGCAGCCTGGTGAGGGTGGAGGTCTCAAAGTCTAGGCTCACCTCTTGGCCTTCTCTGGCGCAGGTGGAGGTGCGACCACGCAATTTTCATGGTGTTTGGCTGCGACAGAACAATTGTCTGCGTTTTCTGTCCCGCTAGTGCCCGTTTCCTGGGGCTTTGGTTTCAGAGCTGGCTTTCGGGGGCTCTTATTCACTGTGTCCCTTGGCCTCTCTGGATTGCTGCTTCTTCAACACCAAGTCTGGGATTCAAGGAGCAAAGAGAAAACCCAGAGCGGTCGCCAGCACACCCTGGACCTGCCCCGAGGTGCTGGCAACTGCCTTCTCCTCTCCAGCTTCCAGGGCCTCCTCAGGCTGGTTTTCTGTGGAATGCCTTGCAGAGGGGGCTTGCAGGCAGACTCGGTGGAACCACTTCATCTTCGGCCACAGTGACTTTTTGAGGTAGATACTATTATCTCTATGTGTGCTGGGGCCACTGTGACAAAGTCCCATAGGCTGCGTGACTTAAAACCAAGAAATCTATTGTCCTGCAGGTCTGAAATCAAGGCATCAGCAGGGCCATGCTCCCTCCGAAGCCTGCAGGGGAATGCCACGCCTCTTTCTAGTCCTGGTGGCTCCTGGTCATGCTCCCAGCCTGTAGCACATTCCTCCGCTGTCCACCTTCACATCTGCCTTCTCGCACGTTCTCCACGCTTGCTTCTCCCCCATCTGCACCCTCTCACGGCCTCCTCCTGTAAGGACATGTGGGGTCAGGGGCTCACCCACCCCAGCATGACCTCAGCTTAACCAATCACATCCGCAACGAGCCAATCTCCAAACAAGGCCACATTCGGAGGTCCTAGAGGCTTGGATATCACACATCATGCTAAAAAGTGGCAGAGCTGGGATCTGAGGGCAGACCTTCCCTGCTCCTGCTACAGTTAGTTTATCCCACTTAACACCTCTGGGACTCATCTTCCTCAACCAAATAATTTTTTAAAATATTAATTAATTAAGCGAAGGGAGGTCTTGGAGGCCACACCAACAGATGAGTATTACAGGCCGATTTTTCTTTCTTTTGGTTAACTCCGTTTTTGTATGCCCATCAGAGCCGATTTACCATAGCGATTTAATTAGGTCAAGGATCAACATTTCACTAAAGGAGTTTGCAAACCCAAAGCCACAGCACACTCGTGGACCAGGTGGGAAGATTCATCATGATGAGAGCTTCTCCATCCACCTCTCATCGCACCATTGTCTTATGGCCTGTGCCTCCTAAATTTGTAAAGAAAAACGTGTACACGCACACACACACACACACACACACACAGAGGCATCTGGCACCTTTCTCAAGTATGAGAACAATGCAATTCACACATCTTCCAGGCTCTCAAATTATGTTTGCAGTTGCAGTGAAAGGTTTCAAAAGTGTTAGCACACTCTCTTCTGTAGAGACGACAAAAGTACGAATTTGTGAGCTAGCTACAGAATCTGTGGCTGGAACAAAGTGTTGATTCTCCTTGCAAAAATAAAATGCCTCTGATATGGTTTGGATGTCCCTGCAAATCTCATGTTGAGATGTAATCCCCAGTGTGGGAGGTGGGGCCTGGTGGGAGGTGTTTGGGTTATAGAGCAGAGCGCTCATCGCTTGGTGCTGTCCTCATAGCGTGCTCTCAATATCTGGCTGTTGCAAACTGTGTGAGTGCCACCCCACCCCGCCGCCCCCGACCCCTGCTCTCTCTCTCTCTCTCTCTCTCTCCCTCCTGCTTTTTCACATGTGACATGCCGGCTTTCTGTTCACCTTCCACCATGATTGGAAGCTTCCTGAGCCCTCCCTAGAAGCAGATGTGGGCTCTATGCTCTTTGTACAGCTTGCAGAACCATAAGCCAATTAAACCTCTTTTCTTATAAATTATCTAGCCTCAGGTATTTCTTTATAGCAATGTAAGAACAGCCTAATACAGCTTTCATAAGGGGCAAATTCATCATCATGGTACCACTTGGAAAATGTCTGAGAAGCCCCTAGACGTGTTTAGGCAGGCAGTTAGAAAGGTAAGAAATAAGTCGTGGAGTGAAAGGGAAGACACTGAGTTTCTGTAGGTGTATGGGTCTGTGTAGGGCTCTCTATTCAATTCAGTTTGTATACCTGTCTTCTCAGCAACGACACACTTTTTTAATGGCTATAGCTTGATAACAGCTCTCAGCAGCAAGTAGGGCAAGTCCACTCATACTGTTTTCTTAATTTTAGAACATTTTCATCACTCCTAAAAGAAACCATGAGCAGCGACTGCCTCCCAGCCCCAGGCAACAACTAGTCTGCTTTGTTTCTATACATTTGCCTATTCTGGATACTTCACAAAAATTGAACCAATATATGACCTTTGTGTCAGACTTCTTCCGTGTAGCATAATGCTTCCAGGGTTCATCCATGTTGTAGCATATGAAAGTACTGCTTTGTTGTTGTTGTTTTTGAGACAGGATTTTGCTCTGTTGCACAGGCTTGAGTGCAGTGGCACAATCTCGGCTCACTGCAACCTCTACCTCCAGGGCTCAAGTGATCCTCCCACCTCAGCCTCCCTAGTAGCTGGGACCACAGGCATGCGCTACCATGCTCAGCTAGTTTTTGTATTCTTTGCAAAGATGGGGTTTCACCATGTTGCACAGGCTGGTCTCAAACTCCTGAGCTCAAGGGATCCATCTGCCTCAGCCTCCCAAAGTGCTGGGATTATAGGTGTGAGCCACCGCACCTGGCCCAAAAGTACTTTTTCATGGCTGAAAAATATTCCGCTGTAGGGAGATACTATGTATTATTTATCCATTCACCAGCTGATAAACATTGTGATTGTTTCAACTTTTTAGCTGTTACGAATAATGATGCTATAAACATTCATACCGAGGCTTTTGTACTTGTATATATGTCTTCAGTTCTCTTGGGTGTATACCTTGGAGTAGAATTATTGAATTGTATAGTGGTTCTTTATGCTTTTATGTAAATTTTTGGCCATACTTGTCAATTTCCACAAAACATCTGTTGAGATTTCAATTGAAATCACATTAACTGTATAGATTGACTTGAAGAGAGCAGACATGCCCATGGTTTCCATTTTAGTTCCGTACAGAAACCATAGCACAACCCTCCATTTATTTGAGTCTTAAAAAATGTCTTTTCCAGTGATTTCATTTTACTGCACAAAAGTCTCACATATCTTATGGTTTTTTGGGGTTTTTTTGGTAACTTTTGGTTTATGTTTTGGTGGGGCATGGTGGCTCAGGCCTGTAATCCCAGCACTTTCGGAAGCCAAGGAGGACAATGACTTGAGGCCAGGAGTTCAAGACCAGCCTGGCCAACCTGGTGAAACCCCGTCCCTACTAAAAATACAAAAATTAGCCAGGAGTGGTTGCGTGTGCCTGTAGTCCCAGTTATTCTGGAGCCTGAGGCATGAGAAACGCTTGAACCCAGGAGGCAGAGGTTGCAGTGAGCGGAGATGGCGCCACTGCCCTCCAGCCTGGGCAACAGAGCAAGACTGTCTGAAAACAAACAAGCAAAACCTGTTGAGATTTTGATTGGAATTTCATTGACTTGATAGATTGTCTTGAGAAGAGTAGACATGTCCATGGTTTCCAGTTTAGTTCCATACTAAACTGGAAGTTCCATACAAAAATTAGCTGGAAGGTGTGGTGGGTGGCTATAATCCCAGCTACTCGGGAGGCCAAGGCATGAGAATCACTTGAAACCGGAAGGCAGAGGTTGCAGTGAGCCGACATCGCGCGCGCCACTACACTCCAGCTTGGGAGACAGAACAAGACACTGTCTCAAAAACAAAAACAACAAAGACATTAAATGAATGAAATGAAAATGAAAAGACAACATATCAAAAATTGTGGGACACAGTTAATGCAATATTGAGGGAGAA
Source organism: Homo sapiens (assembly GCF_000001405.40). Lineage (NCBI taxonomy): Eukaryota > Metazoa > Chordata > Mammalia > Primates > Hominidae > Homo > Homo sapiens. The sequence continues at coordinate 110,585,934 of NC_000013.11, forward strand.
ATTTCTAGTACCAAATGCATATGTTAAAAAAACTGAAATCAGCCAGGCATGATGGCTCACACCTGTAATCCCAGCACATTGGGAGGCCGAGGCGGGCGGATCACTTGAGGTCAGGAGTTCGAGACCAGCCTGGCCAACATGGTGAAACCCCATCTCTACTAAAAATACAAAAATTAGCCAGATGTGGTGGTGCACACCTGTAATCCCAGCACATTGGGATGCCAAGGTGGGCGGATCACTTGAGGTCAGGAGTTCAAGACCAGCCTGGCCAACATGGTGAAACCCTGTCTACTAAAAATACAAAAATTAGCCACGCGTGGTGGTGCACGCCTGTAATCCCAGCTACTTGGGAGGCTGAGGCAGGAGAATCACCTGAACCCGGGAGACGGAGGTTGCAGTGAGCCGAGATTATGCCACTGCACTCCAGACTGGGCGACAGAGCAAGACTCCATCTCAAAAACAACAACAACAACAACAAACAAACAAAACCCTGAAAGCAATACTCTGTATTCCTACTTCAAGAGCCTAGAAAGAGAAGAGTAAGGTAAACCCAAGGCAGGCAGAAGGAAGAAAATAATAAAAAACAGAAATCAGTGAGATAGAAAAAAGAAAAACAATAGAGGAAGTCAATGAAGCAAAGAACTGGTTGTTTGAAAAGATCAATAAAATTGACAAACTTCTGTCAAGACTGACAAGGGAAAAGGGGAGAAGACACAAATTACCAATGCCAGGAATGAAACACTACAGACCCTGCAAACATCAAAAGAACAGTAAAGCAATACTACAAACAGCCAGGTACACACATAAATTCAAAAACTTGGATGAAATGCATCAATTCCTCAGAAAATATAAACTATCTCAACTCACCCAATATGAAATAGATCATTTGAATAGCCCTATGACTATTAAGGAAATTGAATTAATAATTTTTTTAAAATCCCCAAAAAGAAATCTCTGGGTCTAGATGGCTTCATTGTTTAATTCTACCAAATATATAAAAAATATTTGATACCTATTCTACACAATCTGTTCTGAAAATAGAAGAAAAGGGAATACTTCACAATTATTTTTATGAAGCTAGTATTACCCTGATATAAAATCACACAAAAGTAGTACCAAAAATATATATATACACTGCAAGGCCAGGTGCGGTGGCTCTCACGCCTGTAATCCCAGCACTTTGGGAGGCCGAGGTGGGCAAATCCCTTGAGGTCAGGAGTTCTAGACCAGCCTGTTCATCATGATGAAACCACGCTTCTACTAAAAATACAAAAATTAGCCAGCAGTGGTGGTGGGCGCCTGTAGTCCCAGCTACTCAGGAGGCTGAGGCATGAGAATCACTTGAACCTGGGAGGCAGAGGTTGCGGTGAGCCGAGATCACGCCACTGCATTCCACCCTGGGTGACAGAGTGAGACTCTGTCTAAACAAAACAAAACAAAACAAAAAAACTACAAGCCGGCCGGGCGCGGTGGCTCACGCCTGTAATCCCAGCACTTTGGGAGGCCGAGGCGGGTGGATCATGAGGTCAGGAGATCGAGACCATCCTGGCTAACAAGGTGAAACCCCGTCTCTACTAAAAATACAAAAAATTAGCCGGGCGCGGTGGCGGGCGCCTGTAGTCCCAGCTACTCGGGAGGCTGAGGCAGGAGAATGGCGTGAACCCGGGAAGCGGAGCTTGCAGTGAGCCGAGATTGCGCCACTGCAGTCCGCAGTCCGGCCTGGGCGACAGAGCGAGACTCCGTCTCAAAAAAAAAAAAAAAAAAAAAAAAAAAACTACAAGCCAATGTGCTAATGAATATAGATGCAAAGTCATTAACAAAATATTAGCAAATAGAATTCAGTACTATATAAAAAAGATTATATACCATAGTTGAGGTTTATTTCAAGGATGAAAGACTCCGTCAATGCTGGAAAATTAATTAATGTAATCTACATATTAACGGGCTAAAGAAGAAAAATCACATGATGATATCAATTGATGCAGAAAGCATTTAACAAAATTCAATGCCTATACACGATTTTTGAAAAATAGGAATAGAGAAAAATATGATTCTCAGAAAAATAGGAACAGAGAAAAACTTCCTCAACTTGATAAAGAACATCTACAAAACCTTTATTTATTTAAAAACCCCCACTGCTTACATGATACTTAGTGGTGAAAGGCTGAGTACCTTTCTCCTAAGACTGGCAACAAAGCAAATATGTCTGCTATGTCTAGCAACAGAGTGCTAGAAGTTCTAGATAACATTATAAGGCAAGAAAAGTAAATAAGAAGCATAGAGATTGAAATGGAAGAAATAAAACTGTTTCTGTTTTCAGAGGACATAATTATCTATATAAACAATCCCAAGGGATATAAAACTATCTTTTAGAACTGATAAGTGAGTTCCACAAGGTGACAGAATACAAGAGAAAGGTGCAAACATCAGTTTTGTATCTGTTAACCAGAAATTGGACATCCATAGAGAACTGAACACACAGACACAAAAATTTGAAGTACAGTGGTATTTATAATTGCTCAGAAAAAAATGAAGTACTTAGGTGTAAATATAACAAAGCAGTTATAGAACTTCTAGATTGAAAATTACACAATCCTCATGAAAGAAATCAAAGAAGACCTAAATAAATGGAGAGCTATATTATGTTCATGGATTGGAAAACTCAGCATCATAAAGATGTCAGATCTCTTCAAACTGATTCACAGGTTTACCACAATTCCTCTCAAGACCCCAGCAAAATGTTTCTATAGGTATAGATAAGATTATTCTAAAATGTATATGAAAAGGCAAAGGAATGAGAGAACTAATACAATTTGGAAAAAGAATGAAGTGAAAGAAATATTCTACCTGATTCCACAACTTATTATATAGTTACAGTAATCACAACAGCGTGGTGTTGGCAGTGGAATAGACTCACAGCTCCATGGGACAGAATAAAGAACCCAGAAATGGATCCACTCAGATATGCCCAGTGGATTGTTGACAAAGATTCAAAAGCAACTTAATGGAGGAAAGAGCCTTTTCATCAAATAGTGCTAGAGAAATTGGTCATCCGTAGCGAAAAAAATATACCTACACCTTATACAAAAAAAGGAACTCAAAGTGAATCACAGCCCTAAATGTAAAATGTAAAACTATAAAATTTTTTTTTTTGAGACAGGGTCTCACTCTACTGCCCAGGCTACAGTGCAATGGCGTGATCATAGCTCACTGCAGCCTCGAACTCCTGGGCTCAAGCAATCCTCCCAAGTAGCTAGAACTACAGGTGTACGGCACCATGCCTGGCTAATTTTAAAAATTTTTGTAGAGACAGGATGTCACTATTTTGCCCACACTGGTCTAGAACTCCTGGCCTCAAGTGATTCTCCCACCTCAGCCTCCCAAAGTTCTAAGATTACAGACATGAACTACTGTGCCTGGCCTATAAAACTTTTAGAAAAACAAATAGGAGAAAATCTTCAGGATCTATGGCTAGGCAAAGAGTTCACAGACTTTACATCAAAAGCATAGTCAATAAAAAAATTTTTAAATTGAACTTTATCAGAACTAAAACTTTTTGCTCTGTGAAACACCCTATTGAATGAAAATATAAGCTGTAGAGTGGGAGAAATATTTACCAACCACATAGCTGGCAACTGACTAGTGCTTAGAATATATAAAGAACTCTCAAAATTTAACAGTTAAAAAAAACCACACAATCCAATTAGATGATGGGCAAAAAAAAAAAATGAGCATATATTTCACCAAAGAGGATATATGGATGACAAAGACATGAAAGAATATTCAACATCACTAGCCATTAGGGAGACACAAATTAAAACCACAATGTGATATAACTACATATCTACCAACCAGAATCGCTAAAATTAAAAGTGACAATATCAAATGCTGATGAGGATTTTGAGTAACTGGATCTCTCATACATTTCTGGCAGGAATGTAAAACGGTGCAGCTACTTTAAAAAACAGTTTGGCAGTTTCTTAAAAACAAAACCAAAAACTAAATATGCAACCACCACATGACCAGCCATTGCACTCCTGGGCGTGATCCTAGAGAACTGAAGACATGTTCACATGATAACTACACATACATGCTTGCATCAGCTTTAATCATACTAGCCCAATGCTAGAGATAACACAGATGCTCTTCAATGACTGAATGGTTAAACAAATTCTGGCCTATCCATACCATGGAATACTTACTGCTCAGCAGAGAAGGGAATCAAACTGTTGACACAGGCAGCAACCCGGATGAACCTCCAGAGAATCACACTGAGCTGGAGGGAAAATAAAGCAATTCCAAAGGTTACATACTGTAGATTCCATTTCTATAACATTCTGGAAATGACAAAATTATAGCAATGGAAAACAGTTCCATGGTTGCCAGGGGTTAAGGAGAGGGTTGGGGTGAAAGGGAAGTGAGTATGGCTACAGAAGGTCAATATCAAGGATCCTTGTGCTGACAGAAAGTTTGTAAATTTGGCCTGTAACAATGTCACCATTCTGGTTGCCATCTTGTACTGTAGTTTTGCAAGATGCTATCATTGGAGGAAACTAGGTGAAGAGCATTTGAGCTGTTTCTGTATTATTTCTTTTAACTGCATGTGATTCTATAATTATCTCCAGTAGTTTTAGAAAAAAGTCGTGGTGAGAGGCAAAGAGAATGATGTATGTAAATTCCTCAGCACAATGCCTGGCAGGTAGGAGGGACTTTAGTGCTATCACTGAAAAGTCCTGGGCAAGCCAGGACAGCTGGTCACCCACAGGGCAGGTCCAGAATTCGCTCACTCAGTGTCGCCAAGGACTCAGGTTTTCCACCTTCCCGCCCTGCCCTCCTTGGAATGCTGGCTCATGTTCAAGTCGGATGCCCTCAGGGTTACGGGGCAGCTTTTCCAGTTCCAGGCTTCATGTGCACACTGGTCCCCATGTCTCTCACCTCTCTCTAAGAGCAAAGAAACCACTCCTGGAGGCTTCCCTCCCTCACAGCTTGGTGGCTATGGTTGCTACAGTGATGATAAAAAGCCACTCGTTCATCACAATCAGCAAGGGAAATGGGACCGCAGTGCTGAGGTTGGGCCCGTCTGGATTTACCTCCAGACCCGGAGGAGAACCAGCCTTCCTGCGTCAAGTGGCAGAATTCTATCTATGCCAGCCAGTATGAAGGTTTTGGGTGGCCCCCCAGAGCTGTTCTTCCTCCTTTCTCAGGACTCCAATGGCCTAACATGCGTGGCTCTGGGCACCTGAGTTGTGTTTCCTGGACCCGCCAGATCTAAGCGGGTCAACACCAGAAACTGCGCGTGTTCATGTGGTTATCCTCCAGCATCTTGCAGGTGCCCCGTGCATGTAAAGCATAGTCACATATTTGCTTAAATGAATTCAGTAGCCTTCAACCTATTGATTCTGCCTCTCAAATGTCTAATTAAATCTATACCCACAACCATATCACGATGGTCCACATTAGAAACTTCATCAGGCGCCAAGCTGGCTACCTAGAGTGTCTCTTAATTTCCGCAGATGCAGAGCTGCAAATGTTTCTTGCTCTTCTGAGCACTCCTACATTTGATTTATTCATTTGGCATTTTGAAGTGAAGGCAAGACAGTGTTATTGTTAACTCCGTGCTTTTCTTTAAAATGTTTCTTTGCTGGCTGGGGGTGGCGGTTCATGCCTGTCATCACAGCACTTTGGAAGGCTGAGGAAGGATTACCTGAGGCCAGGCGTTCAAGACCAGTCTGGGCAACATACTGAGACCCTATCTCTACAAATCAAATAAAATAGGTCAGGCGCCATGGCTCACGCCTGTAATCCCAGCACCTTGGGAGGCCGAGGCAGGCGGATCACCCGAGGTCGGGAGTTCAAGACCAGCCTGACCAACATGGAGAAACCCTGTCTCTACTAAAAATACAAAAATTAGCCAGGTGTGGTGGTGCATGCCTGTAATCCCAGCTACTTGGGAGGCTGAGGCAGGAGAATCGCTTGAACCTGGGAGGCAGAAGCTGTGGTGAGCCGAGATCACGCCATTGCACCCCAGCCTGGGCAACAAGAGCAATACTCTGTCTCAAAAAAAATAAATAAATAAAATGAAAAAAGACAAGTAAAATAAAATAGCCAGGCGTGGTGGGGTGCCATCTGTGGTCCCAGCTACTTGGGAGGCTCAATGGGAGGATCACCTGCGCCCTGGAGTTCAAGGCTGTGGTGAGCCAAGATCACACCACTGCACTCCAGCCTGGGTGACATAATAAGATCCCATTTCAAAAAAACAGATAAAATAAAAATATTTATTTGTGATCCATCTAAACCTATATGAATTTCTGTACTCTTATTTATGTTTTCTTTTGTTTTTATTTTTATGTACTTATTTATTTATTTTTAAAAACAGGGGGCCTCATTCTGTCGCCCAGGCTGGAGTGCAGTCACTGCAGCTTCAGACTCCTGGGTCTAAGCAATCCTACAATTTCAACCTCCGGAGTAGCTGGGACTAAGGCGCACGCCACCACACCCAGCTAACTTTTTAAGATTTTTTTTGTAGTGATGGGGTCTCGCTATATTGCCCAGGCTGGTCTCTAAATCCTGGGCTCAAGCAATCCTCCTGCCTTGGCTTCCCAAAGTGCTGGGATCATAGGCATGAGCCATCATGCTCGGTTTATTCATGTTTCTAATTGTCCTCCCATCTTCTAGAGGGAAGTTAATATAACTTTGATATTTGAATTTTTACTTCGTGATTCATGTGGCATACTGAGTATGAAAATCATCTTCCTCCCTAAAGGCCATCGTTTTTTCTCCCCATGAACATTTATGCCAAATACTGTTTTGAATTTAATATTTCCACATCCCCTAAGCAGAACCCAGTCTGACTTCTCTCTCTTTTTTTTTTTCCCTGCCTCTGAGTCTACTATGAGAAATGATTCTGACTCATAAAATTGATGTATCTATAGAACAAATGGCAGTTGTGGCCCCTCCTGAAGATGACTCTTTGGGTTTCCACACTTTCTGGATTGGACTTGAATTCCTTGGTGTCATTTTCAGGGCCTCCTGCGGCTTTGCCCCACATATGCCTCAGACCCATGCAAATCAAGTCCTGGATTTTCTGGCTATTTTTACTCTAACACAGAATATAAATGTTAGACATAAGCCTTTAACAACGCCCAGCGATATTACTTCCGTCAAGAAGGAAAGATTGAACGAAACAATGGAGAATCAACAATCCCAGGCTGGGCGCGGTGGCTCACGCCTGTAATCCCACCACTCTGGGAGGCCGAAGCGGGCAGATCACCTGAGGTCAGGAGTTCGAGACCAGCCTGGCCAACAAGGCGAAACCCCACCTCTATTAAAAAATACAAAAACTAGCTGGGTGTGGTGGCATGTGCCTGTAATCCCAGCTACTCAGGAGGCTGAGACAGGAGAATTGCTTGAACCCGGGAGGTGGAGGTTGCAGTGAGCCAAGATCGCATCCCTGCACTCCAGCCTGGGTGACAGAGCAAAACTCCTTCTCAAAAAAAAAAAAAAAAAAAAAAAATTCCCAAAGGTCTATGATCCTTTCATTAATAAGATAGAATTACATAATTCTTTATTGGTTTAAGTTTTATCTTCATCAGAAGTTCTACTTGAAGGATCAGACCTAAATACAAACCATCTGATAATGACAGCTCTGGGCTAAACTGCAGGGCCCCTGGAACAGAATGTCATCTGAAGGAACTCAAGTTGGGGACATTTCCCAACACAGTCATCCTAGAGACAGTAGAGGGCACTACAGGCAAATATTAAACTAAAAAGTAAATGTCCCGTCAGGAAACAACTTGGAGTATTAGGTGTCGTACGTAATACAACAATGTAAAATTTCTCATGCTCAAAGCTAAATGAGTGTTTTCTGTTTAAGTTCTTAATGTTCTAGAGCTCTACTATTCAATATGGCAGACACCAACCACACATGCGTATTTAAATTTAAATTAATGAAAATGTAATAAAATTTAAAATTCAGCTCTTCAGTTGTACCAGCCACATTTCTTGTGCTCAACAGATATGTGGCTAGTGGCTACTATATAGGACAGTGCGGGCACAGAACATTTCCTTCATCACAGAAAGTTCTAGTAGACAGCACTGCTGAAGTCTCAGTTTCCATTATATATTACAATAGAAGGGGATTAGAATATGCCGCCTCAAGATATGCCACTTTGGCATAAAGATTATTTTGAACTGGAAGGCAATTGAGAAAAAGTAGACACAGGAAAGGCTCTCTGCCCTCCCCTCTCTGCCTAAAAGCCGGGCATAAATTTCTGTCATGGGGGTGTCCCCATCTCTCATACCGGGAAGGGAAGAACAACATCATCACTGACAATGGAGATGGCACCAGGATGCGTCTGCGTAAACTAGCTTTACTAAATAACCCTATAACCCTTCCCTTCTGTTCATTTTCCTCATATGCTCCTTTCCACAGTTTACCACCTCTAGAAGCCCAAACTCTTTTTCCTTGGTCTTGTCCTGTCTCCACAATTTATAGCCCTTTGTTAAAAGGGCATAGAACCCCAGCCCCACGGTTTTTGTTGTTTGGTTTTTTGTGGGTTGTTTTTTGTTTGTTTTTCATTTTTTGTTTTTTTTTTTTTTGAGACAGAGTCTTGCTCTGTCACCAGGCTGGAGTGCAGTGGCATAATCTTGGCTCATTGCAACCTCTGCCTCCTGAGTTCAAGCAATTCTCCTGCCTCAGTCTCCTGAGTAGCTGGGATTACAGGTGCATGCCACATGCCTGGCTGATTTTTGTATTTTTAGAAGATGGGGTTTCACCATGTTGGCCAGGCTGGTCTCGAACTCCTGACCTCAGGTGATCTGTCCACCTCAGACTCCCAAAGCGCTGGGATTACAGGCATGAGCCACCGCGGCTGGCCCCCAGCCCCATGTTTAACTGCTCCTGTGGGTCTTCATTTCTTTCCTGTGAAGTCCTCCATGCACACAAAAAATTAAAACTTATTAAAATATTAACATGAAGGCCAGGTGCAGTGGCTCACGCCCGTAATTCCAACAGTTTGGGAGGCCAAGGCCAGCGGATCACTTGAGGTCAGGAGTTTGAGACCAGCCTGGCCAACATGGTGAAACCCCATCTCTACTAAAAATACAAAAATTAGGTAGGCGTGGTGGCGCATGCCTGTAATCCCAGCTACTTGGGAGGCCGAGGCAGGAGAATCGCTTGAACCCAGGAGGCAGAGGTTGTAGTGGGCCAAGATCATGCCACTGTACTGCAGCCTGGGTGACAGAACAAGACTCTGTCTCAAAAAAAAAAATTAACATAAAATATAATTTATATGCCTTTCCTCCTATTAATCTGTCTTTTGGCCGGGCGCAGTGGCTCACGCCTGTAATCCCAGCCCTTTGGGTGGCTGAGGCGGGCAGATCACCTAATGTCAGGAGTTTGAGACCAGCCTGGCCAACATGGTGAAATCCCCGTCTCTACTGAAAATACAAAAATCAGCCAGGTGTGGTGGCATATGCCTGTAATCCCAGCTACTCAGGAGGCTGAGGCAGGAGAATCACTTGAACCCGGGAGGCAGAGGTTGCAGTGAGCTGAGATTGCGTGACTGCACTACAGCCTGGGCAATAGAGCAAGACTCCACCTCAAAAAAAGAGAAAAAAAGAATCTATCTTTTATCAGTGTGATTCACAGGCCCCAGCTACAGTACCTAAGAAGACAGAGGAAACCATTTTTTTTCCTGCCCTACACAATTCACTAAGAGTAACTGAGAAATAGGAACTATTCTAGCATGGAGGCTGCACTCCTCAGCTTATGGAGACTGTCATGTATACCAATGACATCTGTGGAAATGAAGTCACCTGGCTTCTAATCAGGTGAAGTCACCTAGCCACCCTTCTCTAATTTTCACTTTGGAGAAAAACTTAACAAAAGGTACAGGGGAGATATTTGTCTCTGTATCATTTACAACTTGCTGTATACAAATTACAGACTACTGAGAATCCTCGAGAACATTACTATGCATCTTAAGAGAGCTTTTTAATTATTTATTATTTTTTAGGAACAGGGTTTAGCTCGGTTGCCCAGGCTGGAGTGCAGTGGCATATTCCTAGCTCACTGTAAATATAAACTCCTGGATTCAAGTGATCCTGTTATCTATCTCAACCTCCTGAGGAACCAGGACTACAGGCACGTTGCCACCATGCCAGGCTAATTTTTACATTTTTTGTACAGATGCAGTCTTGCTATGTTGTCCAGGCTGGTCTTGAACTCCTGACCTCAAACAATCCTACTGCCTCAGGCTCTCAAAGTTCTGGCCCTGGCTCTCATCTTAGAAAGCTTTAAAACAATATTTTAAAAGCTACAAACTGGCTGGGTATGGTGGCTCATGACTATAATCCCAGCACTTTGGGAGGCTGAGGTGGATGGATTGCTTCAGTCCAGGAGTTTGAGACCAGCCTGAGCAACATAGTGAAACCTAGTCTCTACTAAAAAAGAACAAAAATTAGCCGGGCATGGTGGTTGAGGCTTGTGGTGCTAGGATTATAGGCATGAGCCACTCGGGAGGCTGAGGTGGGAAGATCACTTGGGCCTGGGAGGTGGAGGTTGCAGTGAGCCATGTTCACACCACTGCAGTCCAGACAGGTGATAGAGCAAGACCCCATCTCAAACAAACAAACAAAAAAGCTACAAACTAAATAAAGGTTAAATATAAGCAAATATATTACTATACCAAACACACGTCTCTAGAGCTTAGAGAAACATTGAAGTTTATCTAATCCAAATATTTCATTTTTTGATGATAAAAAAACTCTGTGAACCAAAAAGTTTAAGTAACTCTCTTAAATTCTTAAAGCTTAGGAATTGGAACTTTAAATCCAAACTCAACCTGGTGCTTTTTCCTTTAGGTTATGATTCTATTAGAGGTTTTTATTGAAAATGTGGGCCTTCTAGATTCTTTGAGATTGGAGCTCTGAAGAAAAGCCTGTCACTTCATGTATTATGATTGATATGTAATACAGAAGTGCACACACACAGCTGTGTTTCGCTCCCTCTCAGTCTGACTTTCTGAACTGCATAGGGATCAGAAAGGTGAATTCCATGCTCTCAGATCCTCTGGTTCAATGTGGCTTGTTTTGGTAAATGCAGGGAGAATGGATGGGAAAAAATCGATGGAGAAATACATGTCTCCATCCAAATGTGAGTTTGATGTAGGAGAAAATGAACAAGAATACCCCGACAGCACCACATGCACGTGTGAGGAACATGGGAAGGGCCGGGGTCGTCTGAGATGCTGATAACGAGCTTGCTCCCCGGCCCCCCACGCTGACCTGCGGAGCTGCAGTGGGAGTGAAGTTGCAGAGGCAGCTCTGTGCTCCTCCAGGGGTCCTGCCTGTATCTCCCCCACCGCCCCTGAGGGTGCTGCCGCTGCTGCAACCGGCAGCTGAGAGAGAAGGCTGAGGAGAGAAGCGTCCCAGCCATGGTCAAGCAGATCAATAACTGCATCAACATTTTCGCTGATCATTTGTGCTTTTGAAAAATATGCTGAATCATGGCAATCACTTAGAAAATAGATGACTTAATTTTTATGGGTAACAACATGTACCTTTGTGCTTCTGCCTTTCAAAAAAGCCCCCAGGGGAACTAAGTCTACCCAAGCCTGACCGGTTCTTCCTTAAGTCTGAAAGATAAAGTTTGCCTGATCCTGGAGATAAATTTTATTTTTTCCTCTGGCTGTATCCCATAACCATATTCCTCTTCATCATAAAGCTGAAAATAATGGGTAAAGTGTGACAACGAAGACCTCATCTCCCCGTTTCCACTAGGCAGGAAGAACAGCACCTCCTACGAACATAATTAAATTAATAAGAATGTAATTATTTGTTAGTGTTATGTTAATTCCAGTCCCTTCATGCTTACTCAACGTTTGGTTTCTTTTCTTCAGTAACTCCCCTTAATTCTGAAAAATTACAGTCACACTCACAGAGACAGAGAGTGAAATGGTAGGTACCAGGGACTGGGGGAGGGAAGAACCAGGGAGTCAGTGTTTTATGGGTAGAGTTTCTGATTAAAATAATGAAAAGTTCTAGAGGTGGACGGTGGTGATAGCTGCACAATGGTGTGAATGCAGTTCATGCCACTGAACTGTACACTTAAAACTGATTAAAATGCTAACATTTATGTTATGTATATTTTACCACAATAATAAAATAATTTTTAAAAATCAGTCTGGGTGCAGTGGCTCATGCCTGTAATCCTAGCACTTTGGGAGGCCAAGGTGGGAGGGTTGCTTAAGGCCAAGAGTTGAAGACCAATCCGGCCAACATAGCAAGACCTCATCTCTAAAATGAATAAAAAAACAAAAAACAAAACTGCACTAAATAGACCGAAAGGCTATTTTGTACAAGAAAATGTGCTTTAAAAAAATATGTAAGTTTCACCAAAAGAAATTGAGCAGGTCCGGGTGCCTTCCCCGCCAGGCCCTGAGAACCAGGTGGGGCGGATCTGGTTTGCGGCTCTCCACCCGGGAAGCTGACACCTGCCAGGGCGCATGCTCCACGGTTCTGCTGAATCAAGCTTCAGCCAAGCATTTCTCCGGGTTTGTCCTTGTCTAAAACTATGAGAAACCTGGAGATCATGGGCCCGCAAATAAATACATAAGAGGCGTCCCATGTGACAGGAGAGGTGGCCTGGCAGAAACGTGGAAAGGGAAAACGCAGAGAAATTCTGTCGAGAACCAAAACGCCTAGACCAAGCTTGTCCAACCCGAGGCCCACGGGCCACATGTGGCCCAGGAGGGCTTTGAATGAGGCCCAACACAAATTCGTAAACTTTCTTAAAACATTGTGAGTTTTTTAGTTCATCAGCTGTCGTTTGTGTTAGTGTATTTTATGTGTGGCCCAAGACAATTCTTCTTCCAATGGGGCCCCCAGAAGCCAAAAGATCAGACACCCCTGGCTTAGACAAAAGGAGCAAAGCAAGGCCAGAAAGAGGTCGCTCAGTGTCTCCCTTCCTGAGCAGGCTCCTGGCATGCCATGTCTCAGCATAAATTCGGCCACAGAGATCAATTTTGGGAACTTGGACTGAATCATTTCTGTGGAGGACATCTTCCCACAGGCTGTGGGAAAGTATAGAGACAAACTCCTGAGCACCGCAGGAAATGTGAGCAGGGTCCCCAGAGGGGCCAGGGTTTTAGGGCCAGAGTGCTCAAGAACTTTGAGAATGTGGCCTCAGGCCGGGTACACAGAGCACAACTCGTGGGAGACTGGGCTGGGATTAGGAGAAGGTTCTGGAGACAGAGCTGGACTTCCATCATGAATCCCCGGACCTTACCACCAGCTACCCTCTCCCTGGGATGAGAAGATGCTAGTTAGTTTTGCTTTTAATTTTGTGTTTTGCCTGGTCACACATGTCCTCTCTTATTTGTGATCGAATGGCTAATCTTTAGTCTATGTGACCTCCACTTGGATGTAGCAAAATCAAGTTTCAATCACAAAGAAAATGTAAGTTCTGCCACTTGTTTCTGAATATTGTTCCTGAAGAATGAGGTGCCAGGCCTTTCACATGGAGACTGAAGCTGAGGGGGCCAACCAGCACCAGACCTACCCCGCTGCCCGGAGCAGGCAGAAGCCACACACAGGACTGGCCACGGGAGGAACAATGAGACCCTGAGCCACAACATTCAGAGCAAGAAAGGCCACGCATACCAAACCCCGCCTCCTAACTTTACACACGAGAAAGCAGAGGGAGGCTGAGAGGGGAGGATTGCTTGAGCCCAGGAGTTTGAGGTTATAGTGAGCTTTGATTCCCCCTCTGGACTCCAGCCAGGGTGACAGAGTGAGACCCTGTCTCAAAAAAGAAAGAAAAAATAAGAAAAACAATCACATATCCCTTTTGTCAGCAGAGCGTAAACTGAAACCCACAGCCCCCAATTCCTAGTTCAACCTTCTTTCCTCTACCCCAGGCCTCACCTGTTGGATTTTTATTTGGGGTGCTATCTGCCTGTCTACTTTTTCTTTTCTTTTTTTTTTTTTTTTTTTGAGACAGAGTCTCACTCGGTTGACCAGGTTGGAGTGCAGTGGCACGATCTCAGCTCACTGCAGCCTCCACCTCCCAGGCTCAAGCGATTTTCCCGCCTCAGCCTCCTGAGTAGCTGGGACTACAGGCGCCCGCCACCGTGCCTGGCTAATTTTTGTATTTTTAGTAGATATGGGATTTAAGCATGTTGGCCAGGCTGGTTTCAAACTCCTGACCTCAGGTGATCCACCCACCTCGGCCTCCCAAAGTGCTGGGCTTACAGGCGTGAGCCACTGTACCCAGCCTTCTGCCTTTTTATCCCTTTTTTTACCCTTGGTGGCTGTGTTGGAGAGGCTTCTCCAGAAAAACAGAACCAATAGGATGTGTGTGCACGCAAGTGTGTGTGCGTGCGCTTGCGTGTGTGTGTGTGTATGTGTTGAGAAAGATTTAAGGAATTGGCTCATGCAATCATGCAGGCTGGCAAGTGCACAGTCTGCAGGGCAGGGGCCAGGCTGGGGACAAGGGAGCCTGAGGCAGTCTGTAGTCAGAGCTCCCTGCTTCTAAGGAAAGGTGGTTCTTTTCTCTTAAGACCTTCAGCGGATTGGATGAGGCCCACCCCATCGTGAAGGATAATCTGCTTTACTCAAAGTCGACTGATTTAAATGTTAATCTCATCTTTAAAATGCCTTCACAGCAATTTTCATATGTGTCTGACCAAATATCTGGTTGCTGTGTCCCAGACAAATTGACACTAGGATTAACCATTACAGCAGGAAGCCTTCCTTCCCTCCCGCCCAGCCAGCCCCAGAGCTTTTACCCTCCCGTGTCCTTTGCCCCAGCAATAGCTGGCTTTGCAAAGGGGAAGAGCGCTCCCCTCCCAGGAGTCAGTGCACTTTGAGAGAAGAGCAAGATTTTAAAATATAGCTTCGGAAACAGTCGCTAAGAAACTGTAGCGAGTGCAAGTATTTCCCTGTTGCTTTGTTGACTTGTTGCTTTGTTGCTTTGGGTTTGTTTTGTTTTTACTTCTAAATCAAACTTGCAGCCGCGAGTGGTGGCTCATGCCTGAAATCCTAGCATTTTGGGAGGCTGAGGCAGGACGATCCTTTGAGGCCAAGAGTTTGAGACCAGCCTGGGCAACATAGCAAGCCCCTTGTCTCTAAGATAGATAGATAAGTAAATAAATAAATAAATAATAAATAAAACAGTTAAAAATTAACCAGGCATGGTGACACACCTGCAGTTCCAGCTACTCAGGAGGCTGAGGCAGGAGGATCGCCTGAGCACAGGAGTTCAAGGCTGCAGTGAGCTAGGATCATGCCACTGTACTCCAGCCTAGGAGACAGAGTGAGATCCTGTCTCTCAAAATTTTTTTTAAAAAACCAAACTTCCATAAATAGCTGCTGTAAAAACTAGCCTCGAGCCGTAATGGGTGTCAGCATGCCCAGGATGCCTGCCTTCCCAGGTGTGTTTTTAGAGTTGAACTAGGTTCGAAATTCCTAGGTTCTCCATGTCACCAGGCACGGAGATTTGTTGCATCTACTCTCCAAATCATCCTCACCAAAGGTTCAGCACCTTCGACAAGAACTCACCTCTCTGGAAGCAGCCTCTTGACTAGACAGACTCACTGGAAGGAAGAAATCCTGAACTGTTTGTCAGATGTTAGCATTCTAGAGATACAACCATTCCACAGTTTTAGAGAAATGTTTTCAAAGACCCATGTCCCTGTCTTTGCAGCTCTGGTTTCTTAAATGGTAAGAAATGGCTGGGTGTGGTGGCTTATGCCTGTAATCCCAGCACTTTGGGAGGCCAAGGTGGGTGGATCACGAGGTCAGGAGTTCAAGACCATCCTGGCCAACATGGTGAAACCCCGTCTCTACTAAAATACAAAATTAGCCAGGCATGGTGGCGCACGCCTGTAGTCCCAGCTACTTGGGAGGCTGAGGCAGGGAAATCACTTGAACCCGGAAGGCAGAGGTTGCAGTGAGCCGAGATCGTGCCACTGCACTCCAGCCTGGTGACAGAGCAAGACTCTTGTCTCAAAAATTAAAAAAAAAAAAAAAAGGTAAGAAAGACATAAAATGTGTTAAACCCAGAGTCCCATTCCCTTGTCTGAAGTGTCAGCCTGTTGGCATTCCAGTGGTTATTTTTGCCCTGCAAGTATAAAATTAAATAGAAAATTCTGAAGCTCTCTATTTATTTCTCTCTTTTCTCTTCTGCCTGCTTTGAATCTGCTATTATTAGGCTACCCATGTTGAGATAAAACTTACTTCTCAAGGTTACTTGTAGAATTTGTTCTGGCTAAAATGTAAACCTTAGAAACTCACTTGAAACTGTGAAAGGAAAATATCTTGGGACCCAAAATGACTAAAGCTAAAGGGAAAAGTCAAGCTGGGAACTGCTTAGAACAAGGCTGCCTCCCATTCTATTCAAAGTCACCCCTCTGCTGACTGAGATAAATGCTTATCTGATTGCTTCCTTGGGAGAGGCTAACCAGGAACTCAAAAGAATGCAACCATTTGGCCGGGGCGCAGTGGCTCACGCCTGTAATCCCAGCACTCTGGGAGGCCAAGACAGGCGGATCACCTGACGCCAGGAGTTTGAGACCAGCCTGACCAACATGGAGAAACCCCATCTCTACTAAAAAAATACAAAATCAGCCGGGCATGGTGGCGCATGCCTGTAATCCCAGCTACTTGGGAGGCTGAGGCAGGAGAATCACTTGAACCTGGGAGGTGGAGGTTGCGGCGAGCAAAGATCACGCCATTGCACTCCAGCCTGGGCAACAAGAGCGAAACTCCATCTCATAAAAACAAATAAAGGAATGCAACCATTTGTCTCTTATCTACCTATGACCTGGAAGACCCCTCCCCACTTCGAGTTGTCTTGCCTTTCCAGTCCCAACCAATGTTCATCTTACATATGCTGATTGATGTCTCATGTCCCCTAAAATGTATAAAACCAAACTGTGCTCTGACCATCTTGGGCACCTGTCGTCAGGACCTCCTGAGGCTGACTCATGGGTGCATGTCCTCAATCTTGGCAAAATAAACTTTCTAAATTAACTAAGACCTGTCTCAAATTTTTGGGGTTCACAAAACTGAAGGAAGTGATAAGAAAAAAAAAAAAGCTTTTTAAAAACCAAATTTCCATAAAGATTACTTTACCCAAAATTTTGGTCCACAGCTCTCCTTGGATTACTGATTGGATGTCTGGGTCATTTTCAATTAAGGAAAGTTTAGGATACCGGAAAACATATCTCTAAAATTGTGGAATGGTCCAGGCGCAGTGGCTCAGGCCTGTAATCCCAGCACTTTGGGAGGCTGAGGGGGGTGGATCACCTGTGGTCAGGAGTTCAAGACCAGCCTGGCCAACATGGTGAAACCCTGTCTCTACTAAAAATACAAAAAAAAAAAAAAAATTAGCTGAGCATGGTGCTGCTCACCTGAAATAAGGAAGAAAGGAGCCAGTAAGTAGGGAAGAGAAAGATGTGATGAAAGTTATGGATGTGGGCCAGGCACCATGGCTCATGCCTGTAGTCCCAGCACTTTGGGAGACTGAGGTGGCCAGATTGCTTGAGGAGTTTGAGACCAGCCTGAGCAACATGGTGAAACCCTGTCTATGCAAAAAATTACAAAAATTAGCAGGGTGTGGTGGTTCATGCCTGTAGTCCCAGCTACTTGGGAGGCTAAGGCAAGAGGATCACTTGAACCCTGGAAGCGGAGGTTGCAGTGAGTCGAGATGGTGACACTGCACTGCAGCCTGGGCGACAGAGCAAGACTCCATCTCAAAAAAAAAAGAAAAGAAAAAGTAAAAGAAAAAGGATCTTGTATGGTAAATTATTGTCCTACGTTGGTGCAAAAGTAATTGCAGTTTTGGACCGTAAATTTTAAATCATTATAACAAGGCTCAAATACATCTTTATTAATCAAAATAGGAACCATTACAATCAACACATTTTTGCCAACGAAAAATAAATTTGTTTATTCCTGTAGCATAAAAATCCATGCTTTGGGATTTGACGAACTCTTGGAAAGCACTTTCTGCATGCTGCTGGTTGTGGAAGCGTTTTCCCTGCAAAAAGTTGTCGAGATGCTTGAAGAAATGGTAGTTGGTTGGTGAGAGGTCAGGTGAATATGGCGGATGAGGCAAAACTTCACAGCCCAATTTGTTCCACTTTTGAAGTGTTGGTTGTGTGACGTGCGGTGGGGGCGCTGCGGTGGAGAAGAATTGGGCCCTTCCTGTTGACCAATGCCGGCTGCAGGCGTTGCAGTTTTCGATGCATCTCTTCGATTTGCTGAGCATACTTCTCAGATGTAATGGTTTCACTGGGATTCGGAAAGCTGTGGTGGATCAGACTGGCACAGACCACCAGACAGTGACCAGGACCTGTTTTTCGTGCAAGTTTGGCTTTGGGAAGTGCTTTGGAGCTTCTCGGTCCAACCACTGAGCTGGTTGTTGCCAGTTGTGTAAGATCCACTTTTCATCTTACATCACAATCAGATCAAGAAATGGTTCACTGTTGTTGTGGAGAATAAGAGAAGATGACTCTTCAAAATTACAATTTTTTTGATTCTCGCTCAGCTCATGAGGCACCCACTTATTGAGCTTTTTCACCTTTTCAATTTGTGTCAAATGTTGATTGACTGTAGAATGGTTGACGTTGAGTTCTTTAGCAGCTTCTCGGGTAGTTGTAAGAGGATCGGCTTCAATGATTGCTCTCGGTTGTTGTCAACTTCCGATGGCCGGCCACTACGCTCCTCATCTTCAAGGCTTTTGTCTCCTCTTCAAAACTTCTTGACTCACCACTGCACTGTGTGTTCATTAGCAGTTCCTGGGTCAAATGCATTGTTGATGTTGCAGGTTTTCTCCGCTGCTTTACTATCCATTTTGAACTCAAATAAGAAAATTGTTTGAGGCCGGGCGTGGTGGCTCATGACTGTAATCCCAGCACCTTGGGAGGCTGAGGTGGGCGGATCACAAGGTCAGGAGATCGAGACCATCCTGGCTAACACTGTGAAAGCCCGTCTCTACTAAAAATACAAAAAACTAGCCGGGCGTGGTGGTGAGCGCCTGTAGTTCCAGCTACTCAGGAGGCTGAGGCAGGAGAATGGCATGAACTCGGGAGGCTGAGCTTGTAGTGAGCCGAGATCTCACCACTGCACTGCAGCCTGGGCAACAGAGCAAGACTCTGTCTCAAAAAAAAAAAAAAAAAAGAAAAGAAAATTGCTTGAATTTCCTTTTTGTCTAACATTATTTCCATAGTCTTAAATAAATATATAATAAAGCAGCAAGTAATAAGTCATTAGCAAAAAAAAGTGAGAAATGTGCATTAAAATGACGTATAGCATGACTGCATGTATTTAAGAATATATTATCAAACGGCAAATTTCAACAATGCAAAAACCGCAATTACTTTTGCACCAACCTAATATTTACAAAAGAGGGAAGTTTAGGACAAGTCAGAAAGTCCAAGCATTGCCCGAATGCAGTGCCTCACACCCAGAATCCCAGCACTTTGGGAGGCTGAGGCAGGAGGATTGCTTGAGCCATTTCGTAGATGGTCTGTGTAAGTTGTCATAAGGTTTGCAAATGGGAATTTAGGAAAGAAATTTTGTCTGCGATTAACTTGGTTATAATAATTATTATTTTTTTTGTGTGTGTTTCTTTTTTTTTTAAATGATTATTTTTAAATTTATTCTGTTAATTTGGTAGACTATGTTGATTGGTTTTCAAATTTTTTTTTATTATTTATTTATTTATTTATTTATTTTTATTGATCATTCTTGGGTGTTTCTCGCAGAGGGGGATTTGGCAGGGTCACAGGACAATAGTGGAGGGAAGGTCAGCCAATAAACAAGTGAACAAAGGTCTCTGGTTTTCCTAGGCAGAGGACCCTGCGGCCTTCCTCAGTGTTTGTGTCCCTGGGTACTTGAGATTAGGGAGTGGTGATGACTCTTAACGAGCATGCTGCCTTCAAGCATCTGTTTAACAAAGCACATCTTGCACGGCCCTTAATCCATTCAACCCTGAGTGGACACAGCACATGTTTCAGAGAGCACAGGGTTGGGGGTAAGGTCACAGATCAACAGGATCCCAAGGCAGAAGAATTTTTCTTAGTACAGAACAAAATGAAAAGTTTCCCATGTCTACCTCTTTCTACACAGACACGGCAACCATCCGATTTCTCAATCTTTTCCCCACCTTTCCCCGCTTTCTATTCCACAAAACCGCCATTGTCATCATGGCCCGTTCTCAATGAGCTGTTGGGTACACCTCCCAGATGGGGTGGTGGCCAGGCAGAGGGGCTCCTCACTTCCCAGTAGGGGTGGCCGGGCAGAGGCGCCCCTCACCTCCCGGACGGGGCGGCTGGCCGGGCGGGGGGCTGACCCCTCCACCTCCCTCCCGGACGGGGCGACTCGCTGGGAGGGGGGCTGACCCCCCCACCTCCCTCCCGGACGGGGCGGCTGGCCGGGCAGAGGGGCTCCTCACTTCCCAGTAGGGGCGGCCGGGCAGAGGCGCCCCTCACCTCCTGGACGAGGCGGCTGGCCGGGCCGGGAGCTGACCCCCCCACCTCCCTCCCGGACGGGGCGGCTGCCAGGCGGAGACGCTCCTCACTTCCCAGACGGGGTGGCTGCCGGGCGGAGGGGCTCCTCACTTCTCAGACGGGGCGGCTGCCGGGCGGAGGGGCTCCTCACTTCTCAGACGGGGCGGCCGGGCAGAGATGCTCCTCACATCCCAGACGGGGTGGCAGGGCAGAGGCGCTCCCCACATGTCAGATGATGGGCGGCCAGGCAGAGACGCTCCTCACTTCCTAGATGGGATGGCGGCCGGGAAGAGGTGCTCCTCACTTCCTAGATGGGATGGCGGCCGGGCAGAGACGCTCCTCACTTTCCAGACTGGGCAGCCAGGCAGAGGGGCTCCTCACATCCCAGACGATGGGCGGCCAGGCAGAGACACTCCTCACTTCCCAGACGGGGTGGCGGCTGGGCAGAGGCTGCAATCTCGGCACTTTGGGAGGCCAAGGCAGGCGGCTGGGAGGTGGAGGTTGTAGCGAGCCGAGATCACGCCACTGCACTCCAGCCTGGGCACCACTGAGCACTGAGTGAACGAGACTCCGTCTGCAATCCCGGCACCTCGAGAGGCTGAGGCTGGCGGATCACTCGCGGTTAGGAGCTGGAGACCAGCCCGGCCAACACAGTGAAACCCCATCTCCACCAAAAAAATACGAAAACCAGTCAGGCGTGGCGGCGCGCGCCTGCAATCGCAGGCACTCGGCAGGCTGAGGCAGAAGAATCAGGCAGGGAGGTTGCAGTGAGCCGAGATGGCAGCAGTACAGTCCAGCTTCGGCTCGGCATCAGAGGGAGACTGTGGAAAGAGAGGGAGAGGGAGACCGTGGGGAGAGGGGAGAGGGGAGAGGCAACTTGGTTATAATTAAAAGGAAATTGGCTAGGCACGGTGGCTCATGCCTGTAATCCCAGCACTTTGGGAGGCTGAGGTGGGCGGATCATATGAGGTCAGGAGTTCAAGTCCAGCCTGACCAACATGGTGAAACCCCGTCTCTACTAAAAATACAAAAAATAGCCAGGCATGGTGGCTCATTCCTGTAATTCCAGTTACACAGGAGGCTGAGGCAAGAGAATCGCTTGAACCTGGGAGACGAAGGTTGCAGTGAGCCAAGATCGTGCCATTGCATTCCAGCCTAGGTGACAAAGCCAGGCTCTCTTAGAAAAAAATTTAAAAAAAAATGTTTTAATGGACTTTTTAAAAAAGGAAATCATTTATAATAGTCCTGTATGTTAAAACAAAGCTTCTTTAAAGTATTGATTTGCTCTCAATAAAATTAATTGAACTTCTGCTTTTCATAATAATTCTATAATCTGTTTCTGCCTTTTCTCTGTTGAGAAGGCCTGAGATGGTAACTCAGCCTTTTTGTCAGCTCTTGTAACTTTTTTCTTCTGGTTTCAATTTTACTGTTACGGCCTAAGGCTGAAATGTTTTATCTTGAAGGTCAAAACAGAAAACATTGTTTTCCTCCGTTCTGTACTCTAGGCTTTTTTTGATATGTCTAAATTTTCAGTGTAATCAAGAAACTTCTCATGCTGTTCCTAAGAGTCATGTATTCCCGTGGTATGCTCATAACCTTGAACACACTCTTCCTGTGTCTGATTAAATTCCAGTACTTTTTCATCAAACTTGACTTCCAGGTTATCTAAGTGGGCTTCTCATAAGGAGAAGCAGTCACTGCAGATTTTTCTTTGCTTTTTTGGTAACTGGCTTAAGAGACAAGATTTTATAATTCTCATGCTGTCTTTATTAGGTTTTTGATTGCAAAATCTGAAATGTAAAAGGGTCAAGGTTTTTACATCCGTATTACCTTCTGTATTGCCTTTAAAGTCTTTTGATTATCACTTTTGTTAAGTAAGTAACTATTATTTTACAATGACCTGTGCTTCTGTTTGGATCAGATGTTTTGAGCCTTTTAACATCTTTAATAAACGTCCTCAAAATCAAAATCCTAAATTAAGTCTCTGAGGTGTCTTATTGCTGGGGCTTATTAAATCTATAAAAATTAATTGCTGCAAGGTTGTAGAACTTTTTTTTTTTTTTGAGACGGAGTCTCGCCCTGTCACCCAGCCTGGAGTGCAATGGCGAGATCCCGGCTCATTGCAACCTCCGGCTCCCGGGTTCAAGTGATTCTCCTGCCTCAGCCTCCCGAGTAGCTGGGATTACAGACACGTGCCACCACGTTCCAGCTAATTTTTTGTATTTTTAGTAGAGACGGGGTTTCACCATGTTGGCCGGGCTGGTCTCGAACTCCTGACCTAGAGATCCGTCCGCCTCGGCCTCCCAAAGTGCTGGGATTACAGGCGCGAGCCACCTCGTCCGGCTGTGAACATTTTTACAGCTTCCAGTCAGACCATGAACTCCACTATCACCACCTCTGGCCTGATAATTACATTTACTGGAAGCAAATCAGCTGAAGAACTCCCTTAGCCCCTTGAGGGAGTCCTTATCGGGGTCTATTAACTAATTTTCGTGCTGTTAAGTTGCAGGGCCTTGACTCCTGGGTACACATGTCGCATCTGAAGAACGCACTGACTCCTACCAGAAACTGACACCAAACTCAAGATGACCAAAGCCTCATCTTTAGACCTGGGCAAAGGTGACACTCAAAGTAAACTGCTTTCATGAAACACAGGGACAGGCCTGTATTCAAATACATTAAGGTTCATTTAGGCTGGGCGCAGTGGCTCACGCCTGTAATCCCAGCACTTTGGGAGGCCGAGGTGGGTGGATCCACGAGGTCAGGAGATCGAGACCATCCTGGCTAACAAGGTGAAACCCCGTCTCTACTAAAAATACAAAAAATTAGCCGGGCGTGGTGGCGGGCGCTACTCGGGAGGCTGAGGCAGGAGAATGGCGTGAACCCGGGAGGCGGAGCTTGCAGTGAGCCGAGATCGCGCCACTGCACTCCAGCCTGGGCGACAGAGCGAGACTCCGTCTCAAAAAAAAAGGTTCATTTAATAATTTTGCCTTTATTTGAAATAATGTAATATTTATTCTATGCCTAGATACTAAATAATTTAAAGGTTTAATTTTTTTTCTATCATTTGCAAAACTAGGCAGGGCTTGTGACCTTTTTGTTTAAAATGTTTTTAGCTCCTTGCGTTTGTTGTGCCTCCAGAATTTGAACTATACAATCCCTCCAGGCCCAGCATAAGATTGTAAGGGCCAATTCTGAGGAATAAAATTAATTCAGATCCTCCAACTGAATTAATGGATTCAGTCATTAATGGTCACAGAGATGCCTCAGCAGCTTAACAAAATGCTTGTGTTTTGTATAGCTAATTGCTACAAACCAGATTATGGTGGCTCAATGCACATAATTTATAAATAAGTCAATTATGTTACCTTGTCTTTTGGCTTTTGGTTTTTGGTTCTTATGTTGCTTAAAAGAGATTCGAAGGTTAATGAGTGCCTGCGCACTTCCATTCCATTTGGCTTAGAATAATTAATTGGTTATAAGTCTTTTGACTCTAAGTCCCTTAGCCGTAGGGGTCCCACTGAGGGACATGATAGACCTGGCACAGGTAGCACCCCCCCCCCCCCCCCCCCCCCCCGGCATCAATATGGGACAAAATAAAAGCTTGGCCATTGACACTGCCTCTGGCATACCTTTACAAAAAGCGGACTATAAACTAAAAAAAATCTGCATCCTCCCTAGTAGAATGGACACGCCTCTTGCCCAAAGGGGATCCAATTAAAAAAAAAAAAAAAACCTGAAAAACTAGTTCAGGCCATGATGGAAAGCTGGGGGTCAGACACGCCTCACTCCACTTTCCCCCATGCCTTGGAATTCAGGCACAAATGACCAGGCAAAATGCCTTTGCACCCTCGAAAAGAAAAACCCTCCTGCTGATTTTATGTGGGATGCTGTTAAAGCTGCTGTACCTTCTAGTACCTGGTTTTTACCACTTTTGGGCCCGTTAAGGGTGAGCTCATCGTTAATATTTGGCCCATGCATATTCAACTTGCTTGTAAAGTGCCTGTCTCTGGTTACAGCAGATCTAGGTAAAGGTGATCTTCAAGCTAGGGTTCCAGCTGCTTCCTGTCTTGGAATCAGACGCTCCTGCTGTCCCCTGGGGACCCTTAGATCAAGCAGCTGGAGATTCCCATGCCCTCGGTAGGCAGGGCCAGTGCTCTTAAATCAGCAGGAAGATGACACGGAAGACTGACCTCCTCCCTCATCTCCCTCAAGAATAAGGGATGGAATGGCTGAGCACGGTAGGTGGCTCATGCCTGTAATCCCAGCACTTTGGGAGGCCAAGGTAGGCAGATCGCTTGAGCTCAAGAGTTTGAGACCACCCTGCACAACATGGCAAAAACCCATCTCTACCAAAAATACAAAAATTAGCCGGGCGTGGTAGCACACACCTGTGGTCCCAGATACTCAGGAAGCTGAAGTCTGAGGATCGCTGGAGCCTGGGAAGGGGAGGCTGCAGTGAGCCATGATTATGCCACTGCATCCCAGCCTGGGTAACAGAGTGAGACCCTGTCTCAAAAAAAGAAAGAAAGAAAATAAATAAAAGAAGAAGGGATGGAAATCTCCAAGGGGGAAAATGAAATGGGAATAGCACTGGGTGGTCACAGGAGGATGGAAAAACCCAAACAACAGCTAGAATAAGAACGAGGCAAAGAAACCGCAGGTTAACAGAAAACCCAAAATAAGGAAGAGAAAATGGTCAAATCCTGGTCAGGGTGATATGTCCATGATCCTGGGAAAACTTGAATAAGGGTAAAAGTCTGTGGTAATGGGGGGAGGGAGTCCCTGAAATCACTCCTTTTCCAGAATACCTTATGATTATTCCACCCCCTAATTAAAAAAAAATCCATAAAATTAGAAACTCAAACTCTGATGTGACTCACTCTGCTGAGCACGCCCGCAATTCTCTTTTACGTGTGTGCTTTCGCTTTGCAGTAAAAGCTTCTTGCCTTTCGTTTCATTCTGACGTGTCCCTGAATTCTTTCTCATGCTGGTGTCAAGAACTTGGAAACTGGCTGGGGCTGGGGTCTCAGTGGCATCCAGAGACCCTCCGGAGACCTCCGACAGCTGTAGGTGATTGGGGGCGCCAATCACATAGGGGTCGGAGAGTGATGGAATGCACCTTAATTTTAATCTGAGTGTCATGGAAAACAGTTGGATGGTTCTATGCAGAGGAGTGACATGATCTGACTTATAGGAAAGATCATTCTATTGCTGTAGGAAAGCAGGGAGGTTAATTTATTAACAGAAGGTATTATGGGTTGAGTTGTGTCTCCTCAGAATATGTTAAATCCTAACCCCTAGTACCTGTGACTATAACCGTAACTGGAAGTGAGGTCTTTATAGATTATTGAATTAAGATGAGATGAGATCATTAGGGTGGGCCCTACTCCAATATGACTGGTGTCCTTAAAGGAGAGGAAAATCCCACGTGAGGACAAGGAGACCATCATGTGATGACAGAGGCAGAGGCTGGGGAGGGTGCCAAGGGCATTTTACAGTAAACCTGAAACACTCGTTCAGGCCGAGATGGAAAGGGGGGATGGATGCCTCATTATACCCTCCTCCCTTTGGAATTCAGGCACAGTTGACCAGCATTAACGTTAAAACAGAGACCTTAAGACTGACAAAGCAGAATTTTTGTAGCAATAAGATACCAATGTGACAGATTGCAAGCCCTGAAAGAAACTGGAGTATTTTACCCCAAATATATTCATTTGGCATATTTTGAAATAGCCTTGCAAAACTGTCTCTTTGGGGAAAAACATCTACATTCTGAGGAGACTCCCCTTCCTTTTCCAGGTCTTTTTCTTGATCCAGGAGATAATTTACTAAGAGTCCGGCACCTGAAGTTTGATAAGAAACATTTACAAAGTCCAGGTGAGGTGGGCCACACCTGTAATGCCAGCACTTTGGGAGTCTAAGGCAGAGGATCACTTGAGGTCAGGAGTTGGAGACCAGCCTGGCCAACACAGTGAAACCCTGTCTTTACTAAAAATACAAAAATTGGCCGGGTGTGGTGGTGCACGCCTGTAGTTCCAGCTACTTGGGAGGCTGAGTAGGGTGGATCGCTTGAACCTGGGGGGCAGAGGTTGCAGTGGGCCAAGATTGTGCCATTGGACTCCAGCCTGGGCAACAGAGTGAGACTCTGTCTCAAACAACAACAACAACAAAAAGAAACATCTACAATTCATTCTCTTTGAAGCCTGCTACCTGGAGGCCTCATCTGCACAACCCCTTATCTTAACCCAGACACTTCCTTCTACTGATTCCAAGTCTTTAAGTAAACTTTCTACCAATTGCCAATCAGAAAATCTTTGAATCCACCTATGACTGGAAGCTCCTCTCTTGGAGTTGTCCCACCTTTCTGGGCTGAACCAACGTACTTCTTACATGTACTGATTGATGTCTTCCGTATCCCTACCATGTATAAAACCAAGCTTAGCCCGACTACCCTGGGCACATGTTCTCAGGATCTGCAGGGGCTATGTTACAAGCCATGGTCACTCATCTTTGGATCAGAATAAATCTCGAATATTTTAGAGTTTGACTCTTTTCATTGACACTCATGCAGCAGACTATTGCCATCATCCAGGCCACACACTGTTAAATGGAAAAACCTTAGACACGTGTATGTTTTAACTGAGTGTATTTGAGCAAAACAAAACAGATTCCCGAATGGGGCAGCCCTCCAAACCAGAGCAGATAAGAGAACTCCAATCAGGAACCTGATCTGACAGCACCTATAGGAAACAGAAGTGTGTGATGGAGACAGCTAATTTGATTATAACTTCATTGCTTAACTGGTTACAGAGTTTCCTGCCATGAAGTAAAGCTCAGTTACTGTAGTTAAACTCCTTACTGGTTTGGTCTGGTAGGTGTAGTTCAGGGTTTCACTCTGTTATCAGAAAGGGGTTCCAATCCAGACCTCAAGAGGGTTCTTGGACCTTGTGCAAGAAAGAATTCTGGGCGAGTCCATAAATTGAAAGCAAACTTATTAAGAAAGGGAATAAAAGAATGGCTACTCCATAGGCAGAGCAGTGGCACTGGCTGCTTGACTGAATATACTTATGAGACTTGAAGCCAGCTGGACTTCCTGGGTCGAGTGGGGACTTGGAGAACTTTTCTGTCTTACAAGAGGATTGTAAAATGCACCAATCAGCACTCTGTAGCTAGGATTGTAAAATGCACCAATGAGCGCTCTGTAGCTAGCAAGAGGATTGTAAAATGCACCAATCAGTGCTCTGTAAAACGCACCAATCAGCAGGATCCTAAAAGTAGCCAATTGCAGGAAAGATTGAAAAAAGGGCATTCCGATAGGGCAGAAACAGAACATGGGAGGGGAGAAATAAGGGAATAAAAGCTGCCCCACCCCCCCACCCCCGCCAGCCAGCAGCAGCAATCCACTTGGGTCCCCTTCCATGCTGTGGAAGCTTTGTTCTTTTGCTCTTCATAATGAATCTTTTTTTTTTTTTTTTTGAGGTGGAGTCTCGCTCTGTGGCCCAGGCTGGAGTGCAGTGGCCCGATCTCGGCTCACTGGAAGCTCTGCCTCCCAGGTTCACGCCATTCTCCTGCCTCAGCCTCCTGGGTAGCTGGGATTACAGGCGCCCGCCACCATGTCCGGCTAATTTTTTGTATTTTTAGTAGAGACAGGGTTTCACCGTGTTAGCCAAGATGGTCTCGATCTCCTGACCTTGTGATCCACCCGCCTCGGCCTCCCAAAGTGCTGGGCTTACAGGCATGAGCCACCACGCCCGGCCTCTTCATAATAAATCTTGCTGCTGCTCACTCTTTGGGTCTATGCCACCTTTAAGAGCTGTAACACTGTGAAGGTCCGCAGCTTCATTCTTGAAGTCAGTGAGACCATGAACCCACCGGCAGGAACTAACTCCACACATAGTTATAGTTATCTCTTGATTATAGGCTAAATAAGGAGGGGATTATTCATGAGTTTTCTGGGAAAGAGGTTGGCAATTGCTGGAACTGAGGGTTCCTCCCCTTTTTAGACCATATAGAGTAATTTCCTGATGTTGCCATAGCATTTGTAAACTCTCATGGCGCTGGTAGGAGTGTCCTTTAGCATGCTAATACGTTATAATCAGCAAATAATGAGCAATGAGGACACAGAGGTCACTTTTGTGGCCATCTTGGTTTTGGTAGGCTTTGGGCCAGTTTCTTTACTGTGTCATCTTATCAGTGCGGTCTTTGTGACCTGTATCTTGTGCCCACCACCTCATCCTGTGGCCAAGAATGTCTAACCCCCTGGGAATGCAGCCCAGTAGGTCTCACCCTCATTTTACCCAGTCCCTATTCAAGATGGAATCGCTCTGGTTAAAAGGCCTCTGACATGTTGAGCCATCCTTTCACCTCAGCCTCTCAAGTAGCTGGACTACAGGTGTGCCACACCATCCCCTGCTAATTTTCCAAAAAAATTTTGGTAGAGAAGGGGGTCTCCTTATGTTGTCCAGGCTGGTCTCAAACTCCTGGGCTCAAACGATCCTTCCATCTTGGCCTCCCAAAGCATTGGGATCACACGCGCGAGCCACCGCACCTGGCCCCACAAGTTTCTTTTAGCACCATGACGGTGGCTTCAAATAGGGCGGCAGTGGAGGTAAGAGGCCATCAGCCACAGGAGGAGCGTGGGTGGGAGGGCAGGAGAGGTCAGAATGCCTTCCAGGGGTTTGGGCCTCAGCGTTGGAGTGATGGAGCTGCCCTGACCTGAGACGGTGGAAAGCGAAGGGGCCTCGCAGCGAGCTGGTTTGGGGTTCAGGGCAGAGGTTGCGCCTGGAGCAGAAAGGCACCTGACTGCTATACTGGGGGCACATAGTGGGCCTCGGCACTCCACCTGCCAGCAAAATCATTTTCTATAACGCCGCAAGCCTAAAAATGGGCCGATAAACACAAACCAGACCCTGAACCAGATCGTTGTTAACTCTTCAACCTGCCTTCCAGCCGAACCTCTTAGGCCAGAGCTGGGACCAGGCCGGGTTGGGCGTCGCGCTTGTCAATCATCTAGAACCGGGTGTGATTGAGCGAGTTGGGATCCCACTGCCGACAGCCGCGCGGAGGCGGTCGGGAAACCGGAAAACGCTTCCAATGGCTGTGTTTCCGGCGACGGCGCGGGGGCAGCTGGGAATCCGGAATGCTGCCCGATGGCCCTGGGTCCTCGCTGTGGGGCAATCCGGGCTTGCAGACGAGGTAAGGTCGATTCCATTTGGCCCGGGGATGGTCACACGCGCGGGGGCCGGAACTGCCGTCGCCGGCGCGGTCGTTGTCGCATTGCTCTCGGCCGCACTCGCGCTGTACGGGCCGCCACTGGACGCAGGTACCCGACCGCTGACCGCCTCTGCTGGCTCGCGGGGGGGAAGCGCCGCCGAGGGGCAGCCCGCGCGCGGGGCCGGGGCGCCGTGTGGCCTGCGGGGCGGAGTAGGGAGAGGACGGAGGCCTCCTGGAACGGCGCGGCGACGGCTGGGCGCGGCTTGGGTGATGGGAGCCTCCGTGCGGGGTGACAGAGGGGCAGAGGGTGGCGCCGGGCCGGAGCCAGTGCGCGTCCCAGGAGCGGCGGAGCCCGCGCGGTGGCCGGGGAACGGGGGGCCGAGGGCCGAGGACGGTAGGAGGGCCCTGGGGCGCCGTGGTGCGCTGGTCGGATCCGTCTGCTCTGCTCTGTCCCCGCTCCCGGTCTGGGAAAGATGCTCGCCAACTGCGGGCTTGCTGTTTGGTCGGAGCTGGATACGGGGGCCCTCCTGGGGCCCAGGGACGCGGCGGGCGTGCAGGCGAGCTGGCCGGCTGAGCGGGCTTCGCGCACACCAGGAGCAGGGCCGTGTCTGCATCCCCAATTTGAAGTCCCAGTGCGACTGGGCAAGTACAGACCCTGCACGTCCTTGGACGAGAGGGACTGGATATTGCGACGCCTGGGCCGCAGAAAAGGACTCCACCAGCCAGGCCTCCTTCGCCCGCCCCCGGTTCGGGGTGTGTGTGTGCGTGTAGGAGGTCCCTTGGGGAGGGAGGCTCACCTGAGTCATCCCCAGAACCTGAAGTGCTGGCCAGATGTCCCCGAGGGCCCTGCCCTGGCCTTGGCTGGTCCTTGCACGCTGAGATGCCTTTTCAAATAGAACGGATAAGGTAGAAAGAATTTAAACAGGAGCTGAGCAAGTGCTTGGAGCCCCATCTCTTCATAGGGTTTTTTTGTCTTTCTGTTTGCCTTGTTGGTATTGGTGTATCTAACATATTTTATACAGGAAGTAGTTCGTGTATATCTCATTTCTCATAAGGAGAGATTGCTGTTATCCACCTTGGTATAGAAGATAAATAGAAGCTCAGAGAAAGTGACTTAGCCAGGATTCTCCAGCCAGTGAGTGGCCGAAATGGTTAAACGCACCATTTGTTGCTGTAGTCATTAGATAGATTTTACCTTGTGTGTATGTTGGGCATCGTCAGAGAGTTTGGCTTTTTGTTTTCATCAGCACACACTGAGAATGCACTGGGTGGCGCTGAGAGGGTACTCTACACTGCACCTCACTCACACCAGCAGGGAGGCTTCTTAACACTTTATTTAGAGATTTATTTGTAGCTCTTTACCTTAAATTCACACACCGTGATTAGTAGCAAGATTTTTCATTGCGCTTGGTTGAGGATTTATTATCAGACTGCCTAAACTTTTACGAAAAGCCAGGTAGAGTTGTATATTACTGAGGCTTTAGGAAATATTTCAGTTAACTTAGGGATTGTGGTTAAATGCTCTAAATTAGTTATAACTCACATTAACTTAAAGTATTTTTGTTTTTTTAAGTAGAATTTTCCAGTACTAAAAGCACTTTTAGCACAAAGCAGCAGTGATAGTCTTCCCCAGACACGCTTCCTTAAAACAAAAGCCAAACAAATTTAACCTGTTCTTCCAGACTCAGAATTGTCTGAAGAGTTACCGAATGGGATACATCTTAAGTCGCCTATTGTCAAGGCCTTTTTATCCTTCAGAACTTTGATCTTTATATGTAAATGTTTCTGTGTTAACATTTGAAATGTTAAGTTCAAATGGTGACGTCAGTAAGCCAGCTGGAACTTGCTTCACTGCCAAGTGCTGGGAAGTTTAGTTGACCTGCTTTGGCCCTTTTGCTAACAGAAGCTGTTTATCTTAGGTGAATGCTGGTGAGCAGCCTGGATTTTACTTTGTGTTAATACAATTCTATTCAAGTGAAAATGCTATACTTCTTATTTTGCCTTAAAATGGCAGCATTTTACACCTACTGTGTGCCCACAAAAATAAAAACAAAAACATGGCAGCACTTTGGTAAAATAGTGTCTTGTGGCCTGGCTTGTCCATTACTAACCACAGCATCTGCACAGGTTTCTCTCTGGGCCCCAGTTTCCTTATCTGTAAAAGAAAGATAAAGTGCTAGTGAGGAGAGTGAATCACGATGTCTTGACTTCATCGAACATGTATCAAGTGTCTTGTTCTGTGCCAGGCTGTGTTCGAGGTGATTGAGTCCCACATGGAAGCAGTCAGTGCTGCAGCTTGCGGATGGTGCCACATTCCTCGTGGGCAGGCAGTAGTAGGGTGCTGATTCTCTGCCAGTCCAGACATAAGAACTTCCTTCTTATGTCCAGGTCAGCCCCTACCATGTAGGTTGTCTGTGTGCTCGAAAGGTTTCAGAACCCCACATGTAATAATAGTTACTTTTGGTATCACTTTGAATTTTTAAAATTATGTAGCAAAAAAGTTACTATTAATTATATTATGAGTTTAACATAATTTTAAGCTAGCTTCCATTTGAGAGCCGTTGTTCTCATGTGTAAATCTTGAAATATTCAGTTTCTGGATGGCGCTTCTTGTTCTCCAGGGTTCTTAGACCCAGCCCTTACGGTAGCATCATGGCCAGGGAACTGGGAATCTCACAAAGTCTTAAGATTTCACAACGGAACAGGAGCAGGAGGAGGCGACTCCCGCTGGTGGGTTGATCAAGTTGCTGTGAAGGTGGTTTGCACATTTTGGGCTTCAAAACACTACCTTCTGTATAAGATAAAGGAATAGCTCAGAACAGGATTCCCCCCGTGTTTTCTTCCTAGCTATGATAAAGATTGCCGTGTGAATGCAGTGGGTTTTACACACTCAGAATTGATATTTTTGGCTTGTGGTAAATGGGACTTTAATGCTTAACCTGCTGTAGAAAAATCCGCCTTAGAAAGTGGCCCTTATTCGTATATTGTATTCGATGTTTGAGCCCCCTGATATCTTATCATTTTAACAAAGCTTACCTTGAAGTGCAGGAAAAATTGTATGTGTTCTTGTCATTATTTGAATAACAACAAAAATCAGTATTAGCTTTAAAGCCTGTAGGTTTTAAGCGTATCCTTGCCTGGACTAGCATATCTCCTCTTTCTCAACCAAAAAGATCAGAAAGGTGCTATCCCAGTACCAAAAGTACTGGGAGGACTTTCAGCAGAGTGTGACGCAGAAGGGAAGCTTTTCCGCTCTGGGGAGCAGATGCGGAGAGGACAAGCACTTGGAACACAGCATCCCTGGGAGCTCTGGTGCTGCAGTTGTGACCCCGAGGCGGCCCTGCTGTGCCCTCCTGGGAGTGCTGGGCGACACTGGTTGCAGAGGGGCATTGGTGCTCCCCTCCACCTGACAGGTGCTCCACCTGGACTCGTGGCTGCAGCTTAATTTTGTGTCAGATCCTTTCCGGTAATGTATAGGTTATTTCAACTATGAGGCAAAGTGCAAATGGGTAGTTCAGTG
Source organism: Homo sapiens (assembly GCF_000001405.40). Classification (NCBI taxonomy): domain Eukaryota; kingdom Metazoa; phylum Chordata; class Mammalia; order Primates; family Hominidae; genus Homo; species Homo sapiens. The sequence continues at coordinate 110,619,186 of NC_000013.11, forward strand.
TGGGTTTATGGTATTTGCCCTTTTTGATATAAACATTAAATATTTCATACCTCACCTATAGTACTTTTTTTAAGACTTAAATCTGAAATTTAAGATACAGATGTTTGTAAGATATGAATCTTGGATATTGGGAGAAAGAAGCCTCCTGGAAAATATACAGTATTATCTGGTGGAACCATTTTATTCCTTTTCTTATTGTGAGAAATACACATTTATGAAGTATTACCATTTAGGAGTTGTTTTCATCAGGCAGGGTACATTGATATAAATGTTGATTTTTAACATCCGTAAGTTGAAGTCTGACTAAATTGTTTTTCTCTGTGATTTCATAAGTCACAATTTATATTTTATATGACCTTAAATATTTAATTTGAAGTACTGGTATATTTAAAGGTGCTAAAACTACACGCATGCATCTCTACTAGTGGTTCTTAACCCAGGCTCATTTTGCCCCATCCAGAAGACATTTGGGAGTGTTGAGATATTGCTGGTTGTCACCACTGGGTGCGTGTACATGCACTGCTGACTGGGTAGAAGCCGGGGATGCTGCTCAGCATCCTTCAGTGCATAGAACAGCTCCCCACGACAAAGACAGGATGCTGATCGATACCCATAAATGTCTTTTTTTTTGAGACAAGAGTCTCGCTGTGTCACCCAGGCTGGAGTGCAGTGGCATAATCTTGGCTCACTGCAGCCTCCACCTTCTGGGTTCAAACAGTTCTTCTGCCTCAGCCTCCCGAGTAGCTGGAATTACAGGCATGCACCACCGTGCCCAACTAATTTTTGTATTTTTAGTAGAGATGGGGTTTCACTATGTTGGCCAGGCTGGTCTCGAACTCCTGACCTCAAGTGATCCACCCACCTTGGCCTCCCAAAGTGCTGAGATTACAGCGGGGAGCCACTGCGCCTGGCCCCATAAATGTCTCTTCTAGACAAGTGTATTGTTTTAAAACCATAATTTAGCCCTCCTGGAGGGATTTCAAGGATGGGTGCATTGGTCCCCTGCAGGTAGCTCAGCAAGCTTCATTGTGTCTCTCCTTGGCCCACAGTTTATAGTGATTCTGTGCCGGGTCTTGTGTGTTGGTCTGGAAGAAGGTGAAAAGATTTGGGGTTGGGCTGAGCGCGGTGGCTCACACCTGTAATCCTAGCACTTTGGGAGGCCGAGGTGGGCAGATCACAAGGTCAGGAGATCGAGACCACCCTGGCCAACATGGTGAAACCCCGTCTCTGCTAAAAATACAAAAATTAGCTGGGCGTGGTGGCATGCGCCTGTAGTCCCAGCTACTCAGGAGGCTGACGCAGGAGAATTGCTTGGACCAGGGGGTCGTAGGTTGCAGTGAGCCGAGATTGTACCACTGCACTCCAGCCTGGCGACAGAGTGAGACTCTGTCTCAAAAAAAAAAAAAAAAAAGAATTTGGGTTGATGGGGATTCATAGGATCTTTTTATCTTGGGGAATCCCAGCATCTGCTCTATCAGCTAAGGCAGTTACATCTACTCATAAAGAAAATTCCTTCAAAAGTTTTGTTGAGTAAAAAGTAAAACTGTAAGAGTTAAAAGACAAAGCTCTTTTGCTGTGAAACGCTCAGTGAGCTTTGGACTGCAGTCAGTGGAACTTGTGACACTGGTTTTTCTCTGCTGCTGAGATAATTGGAAGGATAAAAATATTGAGTGCCTTGTTTGAAAAAATACTGTTTATATTTGCAAAGATCCTTTCATTCTAGGGAGAATGTATGCTTTATTCATTGAGCTCTATAGAACATACCAGCATTTCTCTCATAGCCGAGCTGTTTTAAATATTAAGGTAAAATATATAACACAGGAAGCTCTTCAAGAAAGGCCAATTGAAGTGTAGCTGTTTAGAGACAACTCAAGATGATGAAAATACATTAAATGCCACTTTGAACCCAATTTAAGAGGTGTGCCATATTTAGAATGCCATTTCTAGGTTATTTAATTAATACCCAGTTGAGTGTTGGAATACAGTTGGGAGTAATATGATGAATCTGTCAGACTTCTGAGCACCCCAGCGGATTACAGGTGGGAGCTTGCTTTCCAGTTTGTGAGGAGAGAAAAGACCTAATAATCCTAAAGGGAAATTGAAATGAAGTGATAGTTTATTAAGTAATAATGCATTTTTTTACTTGATAAAACTTTCTGGAAAATTAAATGGTCTTCCAAAATTTCAGATACATTTCAAAAATAAACCTGATAGAAATAGCATATGTTGTCCTGGTGGGGTGGCTCATGCCTGTAATCCCAGCACTTTGGGAGGCTGAGGCGGGCAGATCACTTGAGGTAAGGAGTTGGAGACCAGCCTGGCCAACATGGTGAAACCCTGTCTCTACTAAGAATACAAAAATTAGCAGGGCAGGGTGGCAGGTGCCTGTAATCCCAGATACTCCGGAGGCTGAGGCAGGAGAATCGCTTGAACCCAGGAGGTGGAGGTTGCAGTGAGCAGGATCGTGCCACTGCACTCCAGCTTGGGTGACAGAGCTAGACTCTGTCTCAAATAAATAAATAAATAGCATGTGTTACTATATGTGTTAATTACATGTGTTCAGGCTGGGCATGGTGGTTCACGCCTGTAATCCCAGCACTTTGAGAGGCTGCAGCTGGCAGATCACTTGAGGTCAGGAGTTCTAGACCAGCATGGCCAACATGATGAAACCCTATCTCTACTGAAAATACAAAAATTAGCCAGGTGTGGTAGTAGACACCTATAATCCCAGCTGCTCAGGAGGCTGAGGCAGGAGAATTGCTTGAACCTGGGAGGCAGAGGTTGCAGTGAGCTGAGATCACGCCACTGCACTCCAGCCTGGGTGACAGAGTCAGAGTTCGTCTCAAAAAAGAAAAAAAAAATTGCATGTGTTAATGTAATTTTGAACATCATATTTGCTTACAGAAATCCATTGGGTAAAAATCTATAGCATTCGTAATAACTTTGGAGAGGGTTTTGGTTAATGGGCTATTATGTGTACTAACAATATCTGTTTACCTTTCTGAATTATTCATTTTTCTTGTCTTTCAGTTTTAGAAAGAGCGTTTTCGCTACGTAAAGCACATTCGATAAAGGATATGGAAAATACTTTGCAGCTGGTGAGAAATATCATACCTCCTCTGTCTTCCACAAAGCACAAAGGGCAAGATGGAAGAATAGGCGTAGTTGGAGGCTGTCAGGAGTAAGTAGCTGATGTGCAGTGTTGGTGTTTAAAAAGTCAGTTGCTGGCTGGCTGCTTACCTGACTGTCATTCACGCTGTCTAGTTTGACCTCAGTAATCATTTCCAAATGCAGCCTGATAGGACACTCAGTATTTTTCAGTGATCCACTTTTTGATTAACTAGGAAATAACTCTGAGGAGCCCTGACTGAATTACTCCCTCATGTGTGTCAGTGTTAAGTTTTGTCGTAGTGGGGAAATGAGCCTGTTTTTTCCACTTTCTGCTTTTCTGTATTTAACTGGACTTCATACCACAAGCATGTTTTTTGTATTTAGGATAGAAACACTCAGCAACCTCTTGGTTTACTTTGTCAATTTAAAGATGTTACTGAAAGTCATTTATGAAATTTGACAAATCCCTAGCTTGCTTCTGTTCTGTTTTGCTGCTGTGTTTGGTACGTAGCTGTTTGTAAGTTGTCCTTGGGTGTGAAGGATACCTTCTGCCTCTGACGGAAAGCCTGCCGTGGCTCCTCTGTTTCTGCTTGCTTTCTGTTTGCATGGATGTGGTATCTCTCTTTGCCCATCCCTCCATTTGCAGCTGTTGATCGTGCCATAGGGTGTGTTAGAGTTGTTACTGGATCAGGTATGTGTGCATTTTACATGCTGGTGACGCTGCCGAATTGTCCCCCCATTGCGTTAGTGTGTGTTGCCTCCCAAGAGCACCTGTTCCCTGCAGCCCTTGGAGGACAACCTTTGCTAGTGAAGTCGACAAGCTTTCTTGTTGTTTTAATGCATTTCTCTTATTAGTGAGGCTTGTTTTCACATGATGGAAGAGTGTGTGCATGTATGTTGCCTGTTCTGTACTGTCTTTTGCATTTACAACGCTATTGACACCGCTTTGCAGGAGAAGGCCATGTAAGGTGATGGGTATCAGCATTTGCCCAGGTCTCTCTTTCTTGGGTTAGCAAAACATTTCACTGCTCGGAATGGACATAAAGGTTGCATTTGCCCATCTGACGGAGGGCAGGGCTCTTCCTTTCTGTGCCTGAAGTGCCCTTAGACCTGGAGAGCCAGGGATTCCAGAACAGCCAGGCGGAAGCAGCTGGGTGGTGGGTGCCGTTTCTTGTTTGTCCCAGGTGGCCCCCATCTGGCCTCTGCTGACTGTGACTCTTGGAGGACGGGGTCTGCCCACTCTGGGACCCTGTCCATGCCCGACTGCTCCGAACATGTGGTTGTCACTTTCTTCTCTCCAGGCAGAAGCCTGCGGTCAGCTCCTTACCTTGAACATTCACATTGCAGGGAGACTGCAGGCATTACTGCCAGAGATTCACTCTCCTGAAATGCATGAAGGTTTTATGTAAAAGATCGACATTTCTGGCTGGGCGCGGTGGCTCATGCCCGTCATCTTAGCATTTTGAGAGGCCGAGGCGGGCGGATCACCTGAGGTTGGGAGTTTGAGACCAGCCTGACCAACATGCAGAAACCCTGTCCCTACTAAAACTACAAAATTAGCCGGGTGTGGTGGCGCATGCCTGTAATCCCAGCTACTCAGGAGGCTGAGGCAGGAGAATCGCTTGAACCCAGGAGGCGGAGGTTGCAATGAGCCAAGATCGTGCCATTGCACTCCAGCCTGGGCAACAAGAGTGAAACTCTGTCTCAAAAAAAAAAAAAAAAAAGACATTTCTAGTCGAACCTGGTTCATGTTCATTGAACATTTGCTGAGCATCTTTTAGGTGTTGGGTTTGTGCTGTGTGCTTCATGTCTCTGTTATTTATTGATAAACCATGTCTATATTATTTATGTCTATTTTTTATTGATAACCTATTTATTGATCAAGGTATGCTTACCTTATTCTCAGAAGTTTTTGACTCTAAATACCTTCTTTTTAGGTACACTGGAGCCCCATATTTTGCAGCAATCTCAGCTCTCAAAGTGGTATGTTTACTTAAAATTTCTTTATTGGGATTTTTCTGGTAGAGAGTTTGATTATTTAAATATGATTAAAGCAAATGTTTTCTGATAGAAATCTAAATAATATCTTAGGGTAATCATAGCTAATAGAAACACCGTTAAGTCTATCCTGACATCTGTGCATAAACAAGATCACTTCAGTTGAAGCTCATTTTTTTTTGAGACAGAGTTTCGCTCTTTTTGCCCAGGCTGGAGTGCAATGGCGGGATCTCGGCTCACAGCAACCTCCGCCGCCTGGGTTCAAGCGATTCTCCTGCCTCAGCCTCCCGAGTAGCTGGGATTACAGGCACCTGCCACCACGCCTGGCTAATTTTGTTTGTATTTTTAGTAGAGTCAGGTTTTCTCTCTGTTGGTCAGGCTGGTCTCGAACTCCTGACCTCACGTGATCCATGCGCCTCGGCCTCCCGAAGTGCTGGGATTACAGGCGTGAGCCACTGCACCTGGCCTCAATTGAAGCCCATTTTTAAAACCTAAAGCGTGATTTGTATTGTACTCCACCAAAGTGCACCTGGGATGCCTTTGTAGGTCGCAGCTGAAGCCGCTGATCCTGCAGTTTCCCATGAGCTGAGCAAGTGCTAACGGCCGGCCTCTTCCTGTGACCCTTCCTCCTGGAGGGTGACCAGACCGAGCTGGGCCGTGCTGGTGTGTGTGGCTCTGACCCTGCCTCTGCAGTGGCGGCAAAAGTCTTTCTTTTTAGGTATTGTGCTCTGCGCCCTGGCCCTTTGCTAAGCCACCTGGCTGGGTGTAATCCGAGCTAGTACGTTTCTCATGCACGTCACCAGGGCTGAGTAATGAGCGCTGGACGCCTGTGTCTGGCGGGTGGGCAGCGATGCCGGAGCGATCCCTGAGTCGGCCTCTTGTGCTCCTTCATCAGGGCGCAGACTTGTCCCACGTGTTCTGTGCCAGTGCGGCCGCACCTGTGATTAAGGCCTACAGCCCGGAGCTGATCGTCCACCCAGTTCTGTGAGTCGCTCTGCGCCGGCTTCTCGTAGGTTCTCTTTCCCTCCTGCATCATTTGGGGTTTTGGCACTGACACCGAAAGCGTCCTGATGGATTTTCCATCCTCAGAGTTTCTCAGCAGGTGCTGTAGAGGAAGTAGGGAAATGAAGGAGCCCGTTCTTCTGGGGTCAGAATAAGACAGAGACGGCGGGGTGGAGAGGTGGGTGGGGGAGCTTGGGCCTGTTGGAAATGGCCGGGGCCCAGCTCCAGAGGCAGGGAGGCCCTGTGGGCTGTGTGTGACAGGTTTGCAGAAGGTGGAAACGAAGGGCCTCTGAGCAATAACAAGACCCTTCCTGCACTCGGCACATATGTCTGGTGCCAGGCCCTAGCCTGTGTTCCATGGGTCAGCGTGGAACTGGGCAGGCAAAAACCTGCCCCCGTGGGGCTCCCCCAGACCGCCTATGCTATAGAGCTTGCTGTGTGGAGGTGTTCTCTCTGCCGTCCAGGATTGTGGCCACTGAGGGCTTGAAATGTGGCTGGGAGGTGCGGGAGCAGAGCGTTTGCTCTTGTTTACTTTTCATTGTGTGTGTTTGCACCGACTGGATTGGGCTGTGCTGCTCTGGAGACAAGGGAGAGGAGGATGTCAGGTGGTGAAGGAACCGTAGAGAGCGGCAGCAGGGAGGGGGCTGTGAGAGTGGGCAGAGGGGCAGTTGGGGCGGCAGCACAGTGTGATGACGCCTGGGTCGAGCCCGGCCTCTCCACACCAGAGAGGAGCCGGCGCGGAGCTCCAGGTGCGGTGCTGTGATGTGTCGGGTGACCAAGAGGTGCAGGGCTGGGCCCCACAGGGTGTGGGGCTGCTGTCAGGGCTGTGGCTCTGGCCCTGAGTAAGCAGGGCAGGGCCAGTGTGGGTCATAAAGGCTCCTACGCGGCTGTGGGGCTGGGCCGGAGGCTGTGGTAAGGACCTGTGGGAGGGAAGGGTGCAGTCAGATGGTGAGAGGGGCCGGATTCTGGGTATGTTTGGAAAGTTTGGGGGTGGAATTTGCCGACAGATTGGATTGGAAAAGGCAAGGGGCACAGACTCCACCAAGGGTTTTGGTCTGAGCGAGTGGTCACTCCATGTGGTGGAAACGGGCTTGGGTGGGATGAAGATGAGGCGTTGGGTGTAGGGCGCAGTTTGGCTGCCAGTTAGACATCCAAGGGACGTGGCTAGAGGGCATTGGACAGTGGGGACACGGGCTTGGGAGTCATGCACATGTGGACGGTGCTTAAAGCTGGAAGACGAGGGAGTAAGAGGCGGAGGGGGGCTGGGGTTGGGGGCAGGGGGGACTTGGCACTCAGATGCTGGGAGCACGGGCTGGGGAGGAGGCAGCAGGGGCCTCCAGGAGTCAGTGAAGCCGCTGTTTCCAGACAGCTCCAGAAGGGCCTGTGTGTGCGACTCTGGGTCAGTTGGAGATGAGGCCTGAGAACAGTTGGTGCATCTCACAGTGCGGGGTGACCCTGACAAGGGAGCTTGTCGGGGAGGAAAGGGGACAGAAGCCTTAACAGTGGGCTCTAGGAGAGGTCACACCGAACAGGAAGGAGTTCTGAAAAAGCAAACCCCTGCCCTGTTCTGAATGAGAAACTGCAGCAGGGTCAGTGCGTTGTGTGGGGCCTGGTCTATAAGCACACAAAGTAGGCTTTACAGCCACACATGTATGTGATGGAAACAAACGGGCTAACTTTAGAGGGCAAAGATGATTTTGAAAATAGCCATCGTTCTTTTTCTAACTTGTCGTAACTGTTGAAAGCTAGGCATGTAAATCTGGGCATTAAAAGAGAGATCAGGGAGAGGCAATGGCCACATGCAGTGTGGGGCCTGGTTTGGGTCCTGACATGGGAAGAGGACATCAAGAGGAAATGGGAAATTTGGAAAATGCTGTGGTTTAATGAATAGTATTAACCAATGTGAACTTGGTCATGCTGATCCGGAATGTGGGTGTGTGAGGCGTTAACCTCGGGGAGGCTAGGCGAAGGGTACATGGGAGCCTTCTGTACTGATTAAATAATAAATCTAAATTACAGAAATTATTTAAAAGTCATTACTATTTATAAGTTATTTTTTCAAAATAAAATGTAAACAAATACATGACAGTAAGTAAATGAGGAATTGTGGGTAACCATCCTGGCCTTCCTTTCCTTCTTTAGTGACAGCCCCAATGCTGTTCATGAGGTGGAGAAGTGGCTGCCCCGGCTGCATGCTCTTGTCGTAGGACCTGGCTTGGGTAGAGATGATGCGCTTCTCAGAAATGTCCAGGTAATGTGTATACTCACTCACTTCCCTCATGACAGGCTTAGCCTTAGGCGTGAAGTTGGAACAGAGGCATTTCTCTTGCATTTTGTGTAGTGTTCCGTGTGCCTCTTTGTGGCATGATTGAGATAAGATTTGAGGGACGGAGGAGAAACTGAGTGCAAAGGTGGGGAGGAACTGTGCTGAGATGTGCTTCTCTCCGGGCCCGACTGTTTTCTCATGGAGCAGCTGCAGGAGGTGTGTGTGTGGAGTTGCTCAGTTGTTTTATGTCTGATGTGAGGAGAGGGTGAGCAGGACTGAGGAGGTGACAGAGGTTTGGGGTCAGGCCTGGGTGTATCTCCCAGGCCACCCCCTTCTTGCTGGGGGATCCTGGGGTTCCCTCAGCCTCCTGGGCCGTTGTTCCCACACAGCCCTGGCGCCATGCTCTGCTGACATCAGGCTGTGAGGTGACACGGGCCTGCTTGTCCGTGCCCACATGCATATGCGCATGGACTCTCATTTATGCTGGTATTTCTTTCTTAAAGTTCATCTTATGCCCACCTAAATCCAAAAGATGAAAGTTATTCTGATCACTTTGTGCCTGCTGTAAATAAATACCACCTGGGATCAGGGGCGATAAAAAGATGGGGATGGCTGCCAGCTCTGTGTTCCCTGCGTCCTCTGACGCTCCCTGGGCTGGTGTGTCTCTGCTGGGGGTTGTGCTCCTGTGGGGCTGCCCTCTGAGACCCTTTCTCAAGTTCCGGGGGACCCCTGTTAGAGCTCCTGGGGGAAGACACAGTGTGCCAGATGGCTTGGTGCCACAGGGTGCTCACATGTGCAAGGCGTGGTGACTGCATGGGGATCAGAGGCCGGGCATTAGTGAGGGACTACGCTTGAAGCCCTTAGAAGGTGCCTGGCCATTTTGTGTTCCCCAGATCAGCAGTCACCCTGAAAATGCCAGCCATCTGCATGGCACTCTGTTGGGTGCTTAGTTAATGGAGGGGTCTCTGAGGCTGCGGGGCTTGAAGGCGGCGAGTGATGGAGCCAGCAGTGCAGGATGAGTCATCTGAGGGGCAGGCAGACGCAGGCTGACACTGCACAGACCAGGAAAAGCGGCGTGGAGTCAGCACGGGAGCCCGTCTTTGAGCTTTAAGGTCTTACCCGCTCACCGGGAAGGAGGAGGTGGCCATGTTTAGGAGCAGTAGAACCCTCTGTCATCCCCGGGGAGAGGCTCTCAATGGGGAGTCCCATCTGCAGGCTGCGGGTCTGCGGTGCACGGCTGCTGCTTCCTGTCCAGCTCTGCATCCTGGGGGTGCGGATGAATTAGAGGTGAACGAGCCAGAGTGCTCTGCTTCAGGTTATTTTCTTTGTGAATTTAAGTTCACAATTTAAAAACTGGTATCTTAAAAAACCACTGTACTGCGTGGAAGTGTGAAAGGTGGGAAGTGAGGGTGTGCGTCGCTGCCCCTGCAGCCCAGACTCTGGACCTTGCATTCTGGTTCCTGTACACTGTTGCCGTGGTCTTGAGAGCCCTCAGGTCATCTAGCGTGGGCTGCCGCCTCCTCGTCAGCTTCCAGCTCGTGTCTGGTGCGGAGCAGAGGCTTCCTACTTCGTCGACGTTCCTGAATGAGGTCATCATCTGGTGTAGGCCTGAAAACAACCCGATTAGGTAGATTCCTATTCATAGCCCCATTCTTCTGATGACAGATTGAGTCCTGGCAAGGATTCAAGACGCCCGTGGGATCTGGTAGCAAAGAAACTGCAGAGATGGTTTTTTAAAAACGACTTTATTTAGATGATTTACCTACCATACCCCTCACCCATTTAAAGTGAACTATGCGGTGGCTTCAAGTATATTCATAGTTGTGCAACCATCACCATGATCAACCTTAGAATATGTTTATTGCCTCCAGAAGCAGCCCATCCCCGTTAGCATCTGCTCCCTGTTCCCCAGTCTCCCCAGTTCCTGGCAGCCACTCAGCTAGTATGCTTTCTGTCTCTCTGGATTCGCCTGTTCAGGACATTTCATATGAATGGAATTATGCAACGTGTGCTATTTAGTGATTAGTTATGTCACTCTGCATAATTTTATATTTAGAGTTACCTGTGTTGTAGCATGTATCAGTATTCCATTCCTTTTTATATCTAATATTTCACTGTATGCATACACCACCTTTGGTTTATCTGTTGATTAATTTATGGAAAATTGGTTTCCACTTTTTGTGTGGATGTGTTTTCACTCTCCTGGGTGTTAAGTGTTTCACATTTTGAGGCCCTGCCACTGTTTCCCATAGCGGCTGCACTATTTTCCATTCCCTCTAGCAGTGTGCGAGGGCTCTGATTCTCCACATCGTTCCCAGCACTTGTTACTGTTGTTGTCTACTTAGCAGCCACTCTAGTGGGCGTGGAGCGACCTCACTGTGGTTTGGTTTGCGTTTTCCTGGCAGCTGATGCTGTTGAGCATCTTTGCATGTGCTCATTGGCTGTTTGGGTATCTTTTTTTTTGTTTTTGTTTTGTTTTGTTTTTGAGACATATTCTCACTCTGTCACCCAGGCTGGAGTATAATGGCGTGATCTTGGCTCACTGCAATCTCCACCTCCTGGGTTTAAGTGATTCCTTTGCCTTGGCCTCCAAGTAGCTTGGACTACAGGCGCCCACCATCACACCCAGCTAATTTTTGTATTTTTAGTAGAGATGGGGTTTCACCATGTTGGCCAGGCTGGTCTCGAACTCCTGACCTTAGGTATCCGCCCGCCTCAGCCTCCCAAAGTGCTGGGGTTACAGGCGTGAGCTACCATGCCTGGCCTCTTTGGGTATCTTCTTTGGAGAAGTGTCTATTCATACCCTTTCCCCACTTTGAAAACTGTTTTTTGCCTTTTTTTTATTGACTTTTAGGAGTTCTTCATATACGTTCTAGACACAGGTTCCTTATCAGAGAGACGATTTGCCGATATCCTCTCATTCTGTAGGTTGTCTTTTCACTTCGATGGTTTTGTTTACAGCACAGTTTTTAATTTTGAAGTCCAATTTAGCTGTTTTTTCTTTTGTCCCTTGTGCTGTTGGTGTCTTATCTCAGAAGCTTCTGCCTAACCCAAGGTTTACTCCTACATGTTAAGAGCCTTATTGTTTTGGTTGTTACTTTAGCTCTGCGGTGCATGTCGAGCTGATGCTGGTGTGGTAGGAGGAGGCTCCAGCGTCAGTCTTTTGCTTGTGGGTGTCCAGCTGTTGCAGCACCATGTGCTGGAGAGACTCCTTTTTCCTCCCAACTTGTCATCCTCCCTGACAATCCGTTGACCCTAAATGTGAAGGCTTATTTCTGGACTGTTGTTTCTGTTTTGTTGATCTGTACAGCTGTCCTGCAACTGCCCGGTCTTGACTGCTGTGGCTGTGTAGGAAGCCTTGACGTCGAAAGCCCGAGTCCTCCAAATTCGCTCTTTTTAAGGTTGTTTTGGCTCTCCTGGGTCCCATGCATTCCAGTTTTGGATCAGCTTGCTGATTTGTGGAATAGGCAGCCGCAACTTTGGTAGGGATGATGTTGAAACTGAAGATCAGTTGGGGGAATGTCTAACAACATTAAGTCTTCTGGTTCCTGGGCTGGCTTTGAACCCACGTTGTCTGAATCTGGAGCGCAGGCTCTTGACCAATGCACCTGTCCTCACACTGTGCTCTTTGCACACTCGTTAACAGTGTGTCCTGGAGACTTTTTCATGGAAGGATATGTGGATACTCATTATTTTTAACAGCCACATCAGAATTTATGGATCTACTACAGTGTATTTAGTTCATTTACACTGTTTTCAGCTTTTTCTTCATGTTAACATCAGTGGTGTCCTGAATCTATGTGTTTTGTGCACTCTTTTGGGTGAAGTTCCATTGCTGAATCAGAGTAAGGACGTTTAAATTTTTGAGAGATGCCCCCAGATTTCTCCCTAGTGTACCAAGGTTTGCTTTCCCATGGGTGGGGACACCCTTCTGCGCTGGGTGCTCTGATGCTGCAAACCTTTCTAGGAGACCCATGTAACATTGCATTTTCCAGGGTTTGAATATTCACTTTTGAGTACTATTTGCAAATACATTAAAAGAAAACACAGAAACAGATGAAAATGTCAGATTGTTGCCAAATACTGCAACATGAAATCAGAAACTGATCTAAAATCTGAATTAGCAAAAGCCTGCCAGTTTTAACAGTAAAGCCAAACTCAGGGCAAGCAGACAAAGAATTTTTATTGTTAATAAAGGGAATAATAAACTTCCATGAAGTCTCAGGTACCTGCCTCCCTGGAAGGGGCTTCAGGACACACTGCTAATGCTCGGACCAGTGTCAGAGCCAAATACACACTTTCCTATGGCTGGAATGTGCGTCATAAACAGGCTGAAATGAGCACTTTGTTAGGCGAGCAGCTAATGCTTTGTCAGCTTTCAAATTTCATTTAATATACACGGCTTTAGTTTTCAATACTTTAAATTATTCTTAGCATGTATTTTTATGTCCAGAATTGGTGGGTTCTTGGTCTCACTGACTTCAAGAATGAAGCCGTGGACCCTCGCGGTGAGTGTTACAGCTCTTAAGGTGGCGCGTCTGGAGTCTGTTCCTTCTGATGTTCAGATGTGTTCGGAGTTTCTTCCTTCTGGTGGGTTCGTGGTCTCTGTCTCAGGAGTGAGGCTACAGACCTTCGCGGTGAGTGTTACAGCTCTTAAGGCAGCGCGTCTGGAGTTGTTCGTTCCTCCCGGTGGGCTCGTGGTCTCGCTGGCTTCAGGAGTGAAGCTGCAGATCTTCGCGGTGACTGTTACAGCTCATAAAAGCAGTGTGGACCCAAAGAGTGAGCAGTAGCAAGATTTATTGCAAAGAGCGAAAGAACAAAGTTTCCACAGCGTGGAAGGGGACCCGAGCGGGTTACCAATGCTGGCTCGGGCAGCCTGCTTTTATTCTCTTATCCGGCCCCGCCCACATCCTGCTGATTGGTAGAGCCGAGTGGCCTGTTTTGTCAGGGCACTGATTGGTGTGTTTACAATCCCTGAGCTAGACACAAAGGTTCTCCACGTCCCCATCAGATTAGTTAGATACAGAGTTTCGACACACAGGTTCTCCAAGGCCCCACCAGAGCATCTAGATACAGAGTGTCGATAGGTGCACTCACAAACCCTGAGTTAGACACAGAGTGCTGATTGGTGTATTTACAAACCTTGAGCTAGATACAGAGTGCCGATTGGTGTATTTACAATCCCTGACCTAGACATAAAGGTTCTCCAAGGCCCCACCAGAGCAGCTAGATACAGAGTGTCGATTGGTGCATTCACAAACCCTGAGCTAAACACAGGGTGCTGATTGGTGCACTCACAAACCCTGAGCTAGACACAGGGTGCTGATTGGTGTGTTTACAATCCCTGAGCTAGATATAAAGACTCTCCACATCCCCACCAGACTCAGGAGCCCAGCTGGCTTCACCCAGTGGATCCCGCACCAGGGCTGCAGGTGGAGCTGCCTGCCAGTCCTGCGCCGTGCGTTCGCATTCCTCAGCCCTTGGGTGGTCGATGGGACTGGGTGCCGTGGAGCAGGGGGTGGTGCTCGTCGGGGAGGCTCGGGCCGCACAGGAGCCCATGGAGGGGGTGGGAGGCTCAGGCATGGCGGGCTGCAGGTCCCGAGCCCTGCCCGGCGGGAAGGCAGCTAAGGCCCGGTGAGAAATTGAGCACAGTGCCGGTGGGCTGGCACTGCTGCAGGACCCAGTACACCCTCTGCAGCCGCTGGCCCGGGTGCTAAGTCCCTCATTGCCCCGGGCCAGCAGGGCTGGCCGGCTGCTCCGAGTGCGGGGCCCGCCAAGCCCACGCCCACCCGGAACTCCAGCTGGCCCGCAAGCGCTGCAGGCAGCCCCAGTTCCCGCTCGCGCCTCTCCCTCCACACCTCCCTGCAAGCTGAGGGAGTGGGCTCCAGCCTTGGCCAGCCCAGAAAGGGGCTCCCACAGTGCAGTGGTGGGCTGAAGGGCTCCTCAAATGCCGCCAAAGTGGGAGCCCAGGCAGAGGAGGTGCTGAGAGCAAGCGAGGGCTCTGAGGACTGCCAGCATGCTGTCACCTCTCATTTTGTTTAATGTTTTCTATTTTAATGTTTTGTATTATCAGGTGTCTGTCAAGTCAGGATCACTTTACATGCTACTGCAGTGTATAATCTTGTCACAATGTATTGGCTCATAATAATAAAAACCACCAAATATTACATATATGTGTGTGTATCTATACATGTAGTTTTTTTTTTTTAATAGAAAACCTTTGAAACCTTCACTGTAATCCTATCAGGGAAAAATGATTCCCTGTTTATTATTGTTGTTATTTTAAAACGTGTAAGTAAAGTGATATGAAAAATACATAATGACTAATGATTTGGGGAATTCTCAGGAATTCAGATTTCCTGCCTCCGAATGCTGCGTATTAGTATCTGTTGGAGAACTGGATGCCCTTGCTGGGGCGGGGGCTGTCTTCATGGGTTAGCCTAGGAGCCCAGCTGTTGTTCATAGCGTTTCCAGTGGGCTTCGCCTTTCAGAGTTCCCAGTGTCCTGCCTTGTTTACGGGCTCTGCGAGTTCATTGGGTCTTTCTGCTTCTCTATTTTATTCATTTACTTGATTATTTTCCATTTATTGTTTGATGGCCTGATGTTGCATTTTATTAAGAGTCTGCTCAATTTTCTGTCACTCTTGGGAAAAGTGTCTTAGTCGGTTTTGCGCTGCTGTAGCCGTACCACAGACTGGGTAATTGATAATGAACAGGCGTTTACTGGCTCACAGTTCTGAAGGTGGATGTCCAACATCAAGGTGCCGGCATCTGGCGAGGGCAGAAGGGCAGGAGAGAGACCCTTATGCCTCTTTTAAAGGTCATTAAACCAACCCATGAGGACACTGCCACATCACCTTTTAAAGGCCCCACCTCCCAGGACCCTTCCCTTGGCAATTAAGTTTCACCATGAGTTTTGAGAAGACACATACCCACACCATAGCAGCAGGCATGGTGCTCAGTCTGGTTTTCTCTTCTGGCAGGGCATTTTGGAAGTGTCAAAGGCCAGGGACATCCCTGTTGTCATCGACGCGGTGAGTTGACTTCTCTCCTCCTGGCTCGGACTCCCGGAAGGCCTGTGCAGTGAGCACGGCTCCTTGTTCTGTGCAGGATGGCCTGTGGCTGGTCGCTCAGCAGCCGGCCCTCATCCATGGCTACCGGAAGGCTGTGCTCACTCCCAACCACGTGGAGTTCAGCAGACTGTATGACGCTGTGGTGAGTCAGTGGACCCCCTGGAGGGTAGATGCAAGCCCTGTTCGTCCTGAAGAGGGTGAAGGACGAGCTCCATGCTTCTGCCCAGCCTGTCCCTGTGGACACACCTGCAAGTAATCGCTGTGCCTCTCCCAGCGGATGGCGCGTCTTCCCATTAATGCGCTTGGATTGGATGAACGATGGTGTAGTGGGCTTGGGACAGGCAGGGACTCGGGTCAGTCAGCCCCTCCTGCAGTGCACTCTGGACAGGTCACTTTGTCTGTGTCCTGAGTGCCTCATCTGTAATGTGATGATGGCATCAGCTTCACGGGGTTGTGAGGATGAGATGAGGAAACCTATGTAAAGCCGTGAGTCCCCACATGGTAAGTGTCCCATCAATGTTAGTGCCCAGTACGACTGGAATTTGTATTACTCCTGCAAAGCTCTCAGAACCCAGTCTTGGGTGGTCCTCCTTCAGCCTGCTCTGATGAGGTAGAGGATGGGCACTGGAGCAGGCACCGTGTCAGCACCTGCTCGGAGGACTCACTGCAGGTGATATCCTGGGCATCCTCCCACCTACATGGCCTTTAACAGGTGCCTGGGTGATCCCTTTAGACACGAGAGCATGAGTCTCATGGCGGATGGGACAGGGCTATCTGTCGTCGTGTGTCTGAGGAAGACTTTGCTTTTTCTCTGTCTTCCTGTGTTGTCATAGCTCAGAGGCCCTATGGACAGCGATGACAGCCATGGATCTGTGCTAAGACTCAGCCAAGCCCTGGGCAACGTGACGGTGGTCCAGAAAGGAGAGCGCGACATCCTCTCCAACGGCCAGCAGGGTGAGTGGCGGCTGCCCTCTGTGCATGGGCCAGTGCCAGGTCAGTCAGCATGGCCACACCGAGCATGAGCCCTGGAAGACCTCTCCCGTGCACACCCGTGTTCACACACATTCACACAGGGATTCCTGATGAGCTCGTCAACCACACTTTCTTCAGAGTCCATGTTTTGACTTTTCACTGTTTTGCCAGGGGAGGTGACAGTGGTGAGGGCAGGCTTTCGAGCCGTGGGCCTTACCCGTTGGTTGAATTCCCTTGCCTCAGTTATGAGAAGCAGTCTGGCGGGAGGGTGCCTGCAACAGCAGGGCACAGTGCAGGGTCCCGCGTCTCCAGCTGCCACCTTCATCTCACCTGTGGCATCCACCATCCATGCAGTTATTTGGGTATTTTATTGCATTTCATTCTCTTTTATCAAAATGACTGGAAAGTGCAGAAAGCCCCGAAGCTGATGCTGGTAGTGGAATCTCAGGCACTGAGTGTGGCGAGTCTCAACTGGCCACTCCCACGGAGCCTGGGGAGGCTTCAGCAAGAGCCAAGTGAGAGCAGGGCAGAGGCCGGGCCCAGCGCCAGCGAGGCATCTGGGGAGCCGTGCCCTTGTTAGCGCTGAAAATGGAAGCCCCTCCATTCAGGCCTGGACAGATGATGGGCAGCGAATGTGCTCACCTGCTGAGCTGTGGGGCTGGACTAGGTACCAAAATCAGGGTAGAACACTGAGGCGTCTGTGGGCGGGTGTGTGCACATCCACACTTGTACACTCACATTCACATGCACATATGTGCACACGCATGCAATTCATACACATGCACAGTTGTGCTCACAGCCTCGCACGCCCTTGCACACTCGCACTTATACACATGCATGGTCATGCTCACAGCCTCGCACACGCCCTCGCACACTCATCCACACACAGCTGTGCACAAGGAACACAGAGCAGATGTTCTCAGAGGGACTCTGACACCTTTGAGATGAGGGTTTTTTAATCACTGGAAGGCTCTCTTGGGTCTAACAGGTTCAGAGAATGTAACACCTGGTTTTCAAAACATTTTTCAAAGAAATAGAGAATTCCCATACACAGGCATACGTGACGTTATGAGGCCGGTGGAGGCCTCGCTCGGTGTTGCCCTGTATGGTTGAGCTGTGGTTTAAGGTGAACTCTGGAGTGTGGGCTGCAGGTGAGGGCTCCGTCCCTGGGAGCTGGTGGGAGGAGCTGGAGGCTGGCGCCGCCCTGCTCAGAGCTGCCTGCTTGGGCTCGTCTGAGGCGGTTCCGAGCTGCAGGTGTCTCCACCAACCTGCTGTGCTACACAGCGGGGTCTGGGGCAGCCTCACCACTGCGTGTCTTGGTTTCCTCTTCTGTAAAACAGAGGCTGCCTCCAACCCTTGGAACAAACAGGGAAGAGCCGTAGCAGGCAGGATGTGAGTGGAGCCTCAGGCTGCTCCTGGAGGGTGTGGCTCTGCCTGCCGTGCGGCCTTCCACACCCGTGGCTACTGTCACATTCACACACATGGCCATGCTGACACCTGCTCTCACTTCTGCCCTGTGCAGTGCTTGTGTGCAGCCAGGAAGGCAGCAGCCGCAGGTGTGGAGGGCAAGGGGACCTCCTGTCGGGCTCCCTGGGCGTCCTGGTACACTGGGCGCTCCTTGCTGGACCACAGAAAACAAATGGGTAAGGCCACGTCTTCATTTATTCTACTTTGAAACCGTCTGATTTTTCTAAGCTGTTTCAGTAGCTCATGCGTTGAATAAGTAGCCCTGGAAACACTGACAATGAACTCTAGGCTTCACTGGAGAGATCTCGGCACAGACGAACCCTCTTGGCAGAAGCTTCCACCCCACACTTGGGCCTGGGCCTGTCCATCATTCACTGTGGATGGGGCCTGGGGCAGGGGTGGTCTTCAGAGCTCTCCAGAGAGTTCCGAGGTGCAACCAAGGCCCAGCAGCACGCTGTTCTGGGAAGTTGAGTGGTTTATTCTGTGTAACACAGAATACTAAGATAGAAAACAGACAGGGTCAAGGCTTACTTAGACACTTGTTCTTAAAGATGTGAATTTTCTTTAAGAGACAGCAGAATTCTAGGACCAGGGCCCTTGGCCCAGTTCTGTAGTCAGAGAACTTTATGAATGCAAGCAGTTCCCATACCTCTAAGCATCTCCATTTCTCTTCTGTGAGCCCATCAAGGTGGTGGCTGCAGGTGCTAGGTGTGGCAGACCCGGGCTTCTGGAGGGTGGGCAGGGCTGTCATCCAGTGGCCTCATGTGTCCTCATTGCCGGGATGGCAGAGTCTGGGACCATCCCCCAAACTAGGTGTGTCCACATGAATTTGAGAGCCGAGGAGGTAGGGGTGTGGGCAGGAGTCTTACTGTTCATTCTGCTGTGTTCACTCGAGTTGCCTCCACCCCTCCCCCAGGAGATGGAGCCCTGGTAGCAGGAATCCCCATTCTCAGACCTCAGATGCCCTCTGCACCTGGGCACTGAGAGCACAGTCAAACAGGGCTAAGCAGCTTGTGCCGCCTGGCTTTCCCCGGGAACACCTGGCCCACTGTGTGCCCTAGCCCTGGACCTGTCTCCGAGTACATAGACGTTTCCTGTGTGCCTCCTGCCAGGGAGTAGTGGAGGGTTAATGGTGGTTTTCGCTGTGATAAACCTGCTTTCTCCTCAGGGGCATATCAGACTTGAAATTGACAATTTGGGGTCCTGAGATTGAAACAGGAGTCAAAACCAGAGCCCAGGGTAGCTGCGGCCCCCGGACCACGACGCCCACTTCCCCACACCTCCTGCTGTCCCCCTCTCCGCAGGTCCAGCCCTCTCCTGGTGGCCGCGTTTGGCGCCTGCTCTCTCACCAGGCAGTGCAACCACCAAGCCTTCCAGAAGCACGGTCGCTCCACCACCACCTCCGACATGATCGCCGAGGTGGGGGCCGCCTTCAGCAAGCTCTTTGAAACCTGAGCCCGCGCAGACCAGAAGTAAACAGGCACCTTGGACGGGGGAGAGCGTGTGTGTGATGGGAAAATCCGGACCCACGCGTGTGCTGAAGGCGTACGGTGCTTGCCAGATTTTCAACTTGAGCATAAATTGGTTGCCATTGAGAATTTAAGAATCTGGAATATTGCAGCTTTTGGTTAAACTTAATGCATGGTTGGAGATGTTATGGCGACACTAAACAAAGTATTCCTGAACTTTCCTTAGCTCCTTGGTAGTAACTGGGAAGACAGAAATGAAGAAAATCACATGAGAATGAAGAATTCTTTAGCAGCTCAACAGAGTTTCTCGGCCTGCTCCCAGATCGGCGAAGTTTCTACTTGTTACTCTCTCTGCCGGCGCCCTTCGTTCCTCCTCTGCTTCCCTTCCCTAGTCTTTCCTCCGGCAGGGAGCTGGGCAGGGGTCCCCGGGTGTCTCCCTGAGTCCCGACTGCACTGACTGGGTCCATCAGAGGGCTGCTTCGTTCTCCAGCTCATCTTCTTTTAAAGTGGTGACTAGCTTGGTGGTATCTGGCTGCTGGTGTTTGGCTTATTGACATACTCCAGGGTAATCAATGATGACTTTGTTTGGAAACCCTTTTGGAGGCACCATGGGAACAGAAGGAAACATGAGTGACGCTGACCCTTGAGTGTGTGGGTGGGGAGCTCTGAGACGCCTCCTGTCCCACGCTCTCCGGTGTCCGTGTCTACACAGGGGTCCCCATGATACCCACCGGCCCCAGCAGGGCAGACCGGACCGGGGACGGGCACGGTGAAGGGCTGCAGCCTGGGGTCTGACGTGGCCCCTAGTGCTGTCTCAGGAGAAGGCTCTGGAGGACTTGAGGCATGCTGGGCCTGGTGCAGTGATGGCGCTAAGGAGACCCGGGGAAAGACAGTATCGTGGTCACGTATGCTTAGGAAGCAGCACAGCCGTGTCCTTAGGGATGTTCGCGTCCAGTAAAGACACTGGTAACTGCGGTTTCAGCCAACACTCTTCATGGCAGTGTCGACCTCGGGTTAGCTTCTGTTGTCTTTGTGGATGGTTTTCCTGGAGCGGCCTGACGTTGACGTGTTCTCTGGTCCCATGTCTTAGCGGGGCATGGTACGGTTTCGTGCCTGACGCGTGCATTAGGGTGTTCTCTTATACTTTCAGTAGCATCTTTCCACAGCAAGGGCCAAACCCTCCTGGTTCCCTTCAGAGTCTTTTTGGCCTGATGATGACTCTTGAGTGATACCCTGTGATGCAGACATGCCCCAGATGGATTCTACTTTCTTTAAAACTAGGGACTTTCAAGATTAAAAAAAAGATTGTCACTACTAATTTGACGCCTAACTTCAGAAGCTTCACTGTCTACATGTGAACTTTTCCAGAAAAACTGTGCCATGGACATTTTTCCTCTGGGGAATTAACATCTAAATTCTGGTAACTATTAAAAGACAGATCTGGTTAATTTAAATTGAGTATTGTATTTTTTTCCTTAAACAGCTAAAGCTCACCTTTCAACTTTCTTAGGTGAGGACATTGTGTGAGATGCCAGGGAGATAAGAATATCTAAGCCTGTCTGTGTGAGATTGGCCTCCTCGCCAGCGCCTCTCCCGTGGTGGCTGCAATAAAGCACCTTGAAGGATAAGCCCAAGGCAGCCCCTTCTTTCCTTAGGAAATAGAATTCAGCAGTCACAGGAACTATTCGTCTGGTTTTTGTTCTAAGTAAAACATCCCTTTGCTTAAAGGAGAGAATGGGTTTTTTTACAAGCAGCTCATTGCTTCCATGTTCTTTCTCAAACCCACGTATTTCACGCACTCGCTCCAGCCGGACACGCTCCCAGGAGCTTCCCTGGACCAGGAGAGCAACGGGAAAGTGTGGGGGGGTGGGCGGCCCGTAATGCCCCAGTACTGAGCAGCCCTGTCGAGATGCCTCATTGTAAGGAGCCCTCTGGGGACTTTTTCTATGTGGGTAGCTTTACTAGGGTGATTTTCTAGGTGAGTGACTTCTGAACTGTAGACAGGAGACCTGTACCTCAGGGTCACGGTTAAATGATGAGCAAGCCCGTATCCCCAGTCACGGGTCCCGCTGCTGCCTGTGCCCTTGGGATTCAGAGATGCCAGTGTGACAGGGAGAGGCCTGGCCCAGGGTCTGCGAGCAGGAAGAGTGGAGAGGGGTCACCCTGCTGAGTCACTGACAGCTGTGGCGCTGGGCTTACCACAGAAGGGTGAGATCAGGAGCAAGGTGGGTGCTTCAGGAGGCCACCGGTCCTGTAGCCCAGGCAGCCTGCCGTGTGCTGGCCGCCACCTCCCGCTCAGGAATCCTGTCTGTCACAGCTCGCCAGCTGGCTTTCAGCCTGGCTGCCCTGACTCCTCCGGAACCAACCTTTCCCAGGCCCAGCTCGACCCCATCACTGCTCTGCACAGACCATGACCACCAAGATGGCCTGCAGCTGCCAGGATGTTAACTGCAGCGGGACTGCAGACGGGTTCTCAGCTGCATTTTTCCTATGCTGAATACGTTACTTTTGTAACCAGAGAGAAAACGTAAGATTGTGTTCTTGCTGGGGGAGGTGTCCCGGGGTTAGCATTGCTGGCGTCCCACCTCTGCTTCAGACTATGCTGCGTGGCCCACCCACCTCACCCATCCCCAGCCCCTCCCTCAGGAGGAAACAGGCTGCATTCTGCCGCCTCCCGGGGTCCCTGCTCTTCTGTTGGCTGTGTTGTCTGTTCCCTGGGCACAGGGCCAGCAGGTCTCACGCACAGGCACGTGTGCTGCTGGATGCTACTGAATGTCTGACACTACTTCACTCAATCGACGGTGAGTCTGTAGCCACAGAACGCAGTGAGTGTTTAGGCTCAGTTACTAACAAACAGACGCCAGTGGGACACTGTTGGTTGCCTTACTTTAATGCTGACCTAGCAGCCCCGACAGGAAGCTTTAACATAAAGCCTTGACCCTGAGAAGCATGGGTGCGTCTTGTCGTGAGCAGGTTCATGGCTGTGCTCCATCCTCAGCCCGCTGATTTTTGGTCTTTTGTCCTTTGATCCAGCAGTTCCCACGTGGATGTTGTACTGCTTCTGTCCTGGAGAAGAAGAGTGAGGTCCAACTCTGAGCAGACACCACGTCATGTGGCACAGGGGGCTGACAGGCGTAATCAGGTTCAGGGTGCCTGTTCCCTCACCGGCCTGTCCTAAAAAGCTTGCCAGGCGCTTAGAAAGGGCCCCACTACCTCCAGCAGAAGGCCAGGAGCTTCAAGGCACCTGCAGGAGGTGGCGGGGGCTGAGCAGGACCCACGTCCCCGTGCTCAGCGTCCCCTGCAGCCAACTTGGCCCCTCCCTCACGGCCCTCCCACCTCATTTTTTATGGGGGTGGGTTTCTCTACTCAGAAGCATGGGCAGGGCGCAGTGGCTCACGCCTGTAATCCTGGCACTTTGGGAGGCTGAGGTGGGAGGATCACCTGAGGTCGGGAGTTTGAGACCAGCCTGACCCACGTGGAGAAAACCTGTCTCTACTAAAAATAAAAAATCAGCCGAGCATGGGAGTGCATGCCTGTAATCCTAGCTACTCAGGAGGCTGAGGCAGGAGAATCGCTTGAACCTGGGAGGCAGAGGCAGAGGTTGTGGTGAGCCGAGATCACGCCATTGCACTCCAGCCTGGGTGACAAGAGTGAAACTCCGTCTCAAAAAAAAAGCATGGTCACGGGGGATGTCTGGGCCTCTGATGGCCCCACGTCCTGTTGACCTACCCGGCTCCTGGGGTGATGTCCCTGACCTTGGTGCGGCACTCACCTTGATGTTGATGCCGTGGGCAGTCAGGCCCCGGCGCAGGGTGTCGCATGCTTCCAGCAGGGGCTGCCTTTCTAGGAGCTGCTGCCGCCGGGCGTCCCCCGTGGCCTCGGGCATGGCCAGCGCAAACTGCCGGACCTTCTGCCGGAACCGCACCAGCTCGTCCACCACACCATGCAAGGTAGCCTCGCTGCCGTCTCCTGAAACGTACTGAAGCCAGCAGGGCGCGGTTACGTCCCCCGGAGACTGTGGATTGTGGATGCCCCCTCCCCACCCCGTGGTTGGGCTCTGGGCCGACACCCACCCAGCCCTGGGCTTCCCTGATTCCCTGCAGCTGGGCCTCTTTCTGGGTCTGGCAGGGATGGGTACAGCCCGCGAGCGCTGGGCTCTGGGCAAGGCTCCACTCAACTCTGAGCATCTGTCGTCCAAGCAAGGCTGAGTGATCCTCACTCGGGAGTTGGAAGAAAGGGCTGGGGGCTGCATGCCGCCCCGCCCTGAACACAAACGCTCCCTGGCTTCCAGACCTCACGCAATTGTGGCCGAGGTATCAGGAGCAACCTGAGGATGAGGCTGGGGGGCAGCGACTGAGCGCTTGCACACGTGTGTTTCGGCAAATGGTCTGAGATTCACAGCCTCAGGTGCTGAGGACGGGATTTGCGCAGAAGGCCTCGCGCTGTCCTCCCACTGAGAACAGATCCTGGGGCGGTGTGGAAGGGGCAGCTGTACCTATTTGTTAAATCCATGTGTGTAAAATAAGAAACAGACACAACATTTGACCTTGGTGTCAAACTACTTAAACCTCACACACCCCTCAGTTATTGCTTCCATGATAAAAGACAGTTTTTGTTATTACAGAAATATGAGCCCAGAGTGGGCCCAGACATTGGGCCTTGCGGCCAGAGGAAGGTGAATGAGATATCTTTGACAAGGGCTAGGCAGAGCTTGGCCAGATCCCACTTTTCTTACTCAAAACAGACTCCGGAAAGCCACCCCTAAAAATGAACATGTACATTGCAAAAACTTGGGTCATCTCACACCAGTCGACTTTTATGTGATTGGCAACAGACGCCGGACTGCTGGAAAGGGGAACTAAGTCTACCAGGTGATCAACAGGTATACAAATGAGCCAAACTTGGAAAAGACACTATAGTTCTCTGTTGAGAGCCAGCGAGACATGTTTGGCCCAGAGCCAGGCCTTCAGCACACCTGCTTGGGCCCCAGTCCCAAGCGGCGGGACCCTCGGGGTGCTGGGCAGCTGGTCTAGAGTGGCAGCCCCCGTCCAGGCAGCAGCAGCCGAGCCACACCCCAAAAGAGCCAGAGCGCCTTGTGCTGAGAATTCTACAAGGGTGTCCAAAGAATGACAGGGATGTTCAGGGACACAGCGCCAGCCCCAAGGGGCCTCTGTCAGCCACATACAAAGTGATGGTGGGGACTTTAAGAATAAGGCAGGAAACCTCAAATCTGTATTGATAGAATAAACGAGTTTCAGGTGAGCCTGATAAGGAAGAGGACATTTTCATAGGATCCAAGTCTCTTTGCAAAAATGCTCTTGAGTTACAACGGAAGAGAAGGAATGTGGAGAAGCCTGGCAGCGTCCACCTTCACTGCACAGCCAGGGTGAGCCTCGCTGGGAAGGTGCAGGTGACTCGTGCCTGTCGGGGAGCCCGTCCTGTCCGTACAAAACATGTGCCAGGCAAGGGGGCTCAGGTCGCCAACTTGCCCTCAAATGGGTCAGGAAAAAATGTTCTCTTACTGTGCCTGTGACTTCTGCACATTCTGAGAGTCTTTGAACATAAACGTGTGTGCAGAGCTGGCGACATTCTGTTGCTGAGATGGACTCATCTCTGGTTCTGCGCACGAGAGTTTGCCAACTGCAGAAGTAGAATTGTGCAATTCCAATTAATAAGTATTGGCTCTGAGTGTGTTTATTTTTCCAGGAAAGTAACATGTTTTTAAACAGGTAAATACATTAGTGTGGCATCATAATGCTCTATTCCAAGTTAAAAGGGTAAAGGTTATTGTCCCAACATGGAGAAAATTCCAGAATTAAGCATTTAAAATAATAGGACCTACCTGTTGATTTGCCAGAGAAATTCCAACAGTTTCAAAAAACTGTTCAAAGTAAGAGATGATGGCACCAAACACAGCAGGACTTCTCGGCCCTTCAGGTTCCTGTAAGAGATCATGTCGCAGAAGCTCCTTAAAAGCAGTCTTGATGGCAGTGGGCAAACGGAATTCAATGTCAAAAGACAAAGGCTTCAGCAGGTCACTTCAGTCTGGCCTTTCTCCTGGCTTCTATGGAGGGAGGACACAGCTCTGGCATCGGCTACCTCACTGCAGACCATACAACTATAGGTGCATGAGGAATCTCTTGTGCCTCAGTTTACCCATCAGTCATGTGGGTGGTGACTAGCTCATCAGGCTTCGCGGGTGAAGCATGACCGTGGAGTATGGCAGGTGGCGCATGGTAGGTGGAGGCTGAGTGGGCACTGGGCTGGGTTTCTCAGAAAACGGGGAAATCCTGGTACGTGGCTCACATCAGTTACCAAGCACAGAGACCCTTGGGTGACACTAGCCTTAGTTTGCAGGTGCCCCAGAATTGCAAAGCTTGGGAAGGAAAAGCGCAGGACAAAAGCCAGCCTCTTTACTTGTCCCGCCCCTTGCCACAAGAGGCCCCTGTTGCCCTAGAGCTGGGCCAGCCTGGTAGTGCCGGCAGCAGCTGCGGTGAAGGCAGGAGGCCGCGGACGGGCTGAGGAGGAGGAGCTCCCGTGCAGGAGCAGCCTGGCTGCGGGACCTGCCCCAGCCCGGCCTGGCTGCCTTCAGTGCGGGGCAGCCTGTTCCTGCAGCCGGCTGTGACTCAAATGCCCGCCCCCCTCAGAGGCGAGCCCTGCGCGTCTGCAGTATTTGGACCGAAGGCACCCGGCAAGGGCACATGGCACCCTGCCCCACCTGCTGGTGCTCTGAAACCCAACACTGCACGCAGCCAGGGATGGAGACCTCCACAGAGATGCTCAACTAACAGAGCATGTGGCCAGAACCCCCAGGTGTTTCCAGAGGTGGGAGAGGCACAAACAGCCTCGGCTTCCCGGGTCATCAAAGGTCACGGGGCTCCTGACGCAGCGCCTCCCAGGGCCTGGCAGGGGACCCTCAGACGTGCAGGAACCAAAGCCTGCCGCCGCCTTCACGGTCTTTGTCCCACCTGCCAAACACTTGCAGTGACCCACGAGTCCAGGCTCAGACCCCTGGGTGCTTGGTGTGGTCATCACACTGGGGTGCAGATTGCATAACAGTGCCTTGGGGTAAATGGGTCTTTCCTTAAAAAGTTCCCCACAAAAGCTCTCTCTGTGAAAGGGCCATGAATGCAGTGGGGACATGAGATGTGTCCCCTGAGGATCAAGCACACAGAATTTCTCAGCCTCAGGGGCTCCTGAGAGCTTGTTCCCCAGGTGGCCCTGAGGCCCGGGAGGGTCAAGCCCCAGGCTGGGTGCCATCCCGTGTGTCAGCGGCAGACTCGGGCTCCATGAGTTCCTCCACAGAAGCTGCGGGAGGCGAAATCAGCAGAGATGCCACCCAGCCGACATGAGAAAAACCCACCAGAGGACCCGACCCATGCCCCTGGCAGCAGGACCGCAAGGCCACCTGTTCGTTGAGCTACCTTCAGGGACGCCCTGAGCTGTCCATTCCCGTGGTGTGCAAGGCCCAGGATGGCATCAACCACCCTGGGTGTGTCAAAATCATCTGCCAAGGCCGCCTTCACGGCCCTCTTGGTGCTGGAGAGCCTGAGGGAAGAGGAGAGAACAGTCACAGCAGAGGGAGCTCCACTCTCCCCAGGCGGCCCCCACACCAGTCCTTCCCCAGGGAGAGACGCTGGGGGCTCTAATCTGGGGACTTTCTCTAGGTCATATTCCCAAAGACTTGAGTTCCTGAGTAGCAGAAAATTATGTAACATCAACTGCAAACTGTCATGTTACCCCAAGAAAAAGTCCCAGAGCAGAGGTCACCTGTGACACTTAAAATACAAGACACACGTGGGCATTTTCATGATGGTTTTAAAAATCAATAGATATTGAGGGGAGTGGCAAGGAAGACTCGGTGGGGGAGAGACGGCACGGCTGACCACTCACAAAGAGAGGCTGGGGAGGCCCAGCCCGGGGCTCCCGGATCTCAGCCTCCCGTGGCCACTGGCTGCCTACCCTGCTGAAGTGGCAGGGGTGGGTTATCACCAAGACCATCCGGAAGACTCTGCATGCCGGGATGAATGTGCAGCGCTGCCCAGGACACCCGTGGGTGGGGAGTGGAGGCGATGCTGTGGGCCCAGGCCTGTGTGTTTTATAGATTTTGGCTCCTCACAGTCAGGACTGGGAGGGATGAGCAGCTCCGCTCCTCGCACAGGGAACCCGAGCCCAAAGCCACTCTGAGCAGGGGGCTCAGAGCCCGAGGGCCCCAGGCACACTTCCTGCCAGCGCCGTCTCCCTGGGATGTCTCGGGAGCCCCTGACCCCACACCTCCTGTCCAGCACCCAGTGTCCTGTGGCCTCTGGGGAGCCCCTGACCCCACACCTCCTGTCCAGCTCCCAGTCCCCTGTGGCCTCTGGGGAGCCCCTGACCCCACACCTGCACCTCCTGCCCAGCACCCTGTCTCCTGGGGCCTCTCTGGGCAGTCCCTGACCCCAAACCTCCTGTCCAGCGCCCTGTCTCCTGGGGGCCCCTCTTCCCCTTCAAGAGCCCACCAGCAGCACCCAGCAGGCCACAGGAGGGGTGCCACGCCGGGTGCTAGGCGGGCCTCTTACCTCTCCCACAGCATCGCTTCCCTGACGGAGCCGCAGGCCAGCTGCCCCTTCATGTAGGCACGTGCGTCCTCCAGGAAAGAGCCCAGCCCCAGGAGCAGCTGCTGAGCTTGGAGCATGGCGCTGTCACTGTAGTCGATGGCTGAGGAGGAAGAGATGGTCACTGAGGCGGTGCCCACCATGCTGTGCCCCTGCCCTGGTCCAGCAGAATCAGTGTTTTCTGAGGGCACTGCCACCCAGGGACCACACGGAGAGCGGGACATGTGGCTCTCACGCCCTCCAGTGACCGCGAGTCCCTAGGCCCACTGGACACAGACCACAGGGTCTGTCCCAGCTCAGTGGCACCTGCCGTGGGAGAACAAGGTGGCGGTGGAGACATGCTCCCAGTGCTTCCAGCCAAGAGGTGCATTTCCACTGACTGGATGGAGGTGCGGATGAATGGCTGGCTCTGGAAAGAAGGAGCCCCGCCCTGGATGGATGGAGGTGCGGATGAATGGCTAGCTCTGGAAAGAGGGAGCCCCGCCCTGGGGTCAGAGGCACCTCTAGGGAAGGCCCTCCCGAGGGAAAGTGCCTGTGTGTGATGGGACAGCCCAAAGAGGGAGGGAGGAGCAGTCCCCAGACCTGGCTTTAGAGTCTGTGGGTGTTTCTTAGGCCACCTGGATGAGGGGCCAGTGTTTCTGTTTACATCTGTTCATTTCTTGTGGTTTCTAGTCTACTGCATTCTGATGGGTAAGACAACAGGAGTGAATCGCTTTGCAATGATCACATATCCTTGGATATCAGCAAAGCCAGCCACATATTTCTAGAACCTTCTCGTGCCTACTCTGTTTCCCAGGCTGTCTGAGTCCACAGTCCATGCTTTTGAGGAGTGCTGCTTTAAACAGCTCTTTGAAAACCACAAGAATAAAAAGAGCCTATCTGGACACATATGCTGAAAATTACATCTCAACATGCCTCCAAGTCCTGACTTCAAAACGAGAATTCCAAAATCAGACATGGCTTCAAGCTGGAAGCAACACAGTGAAAACCTCCCCCAGGGCTGTCTAATATCTTACTTAACATTTTTCCTTTTTTTCTAAATTCACTTTCAGTTTTTGCTTTGAATAGCTTGATAGAAAAGAGAAAAAGCCAGAAACCCACAAAGCGATCTGACAAAATTTAAAGATAATATTCGGGGACTGATAGAGTTGATGCATGGGAGGCTGTTAGAATAAGATTACCATTAATGACACAGCAAGATGAGGCATCCAGATGGGGAGGGGCAGACAGATGCCCAGGATGGAGACGCCTTCTGCCTCAAGGTCAAGGACAGCTGCATTTCTCCAAAGAGGATTCTGCTCTACAGATGGGAGACACTTCTCCAAAGTGTCAGCGCAGCACAGACTGCAAGGGATGCCACCACCGTCCCCCTCCATCTTCCCAAAGGTGAAGAAAGAATGTCTGGGAAGATCCCGAACTCCCACACCATTCGTGGATGGAAGCTCAGACAGCAAGCGACGGCCCAGCTCCTCAAGGCCACCTCCGACCTCGGCGGGGTGGGGCAGTCGTGTCCACTGTGGGGATCCACGTCCTGACTAACCTTGTGTTCCTAGAAATCCCTCACTGGCAGATCGGTGCCTCCTGAATCCCACCCAAAATTCCCACTGGGAATGTGTTCCTGAAAGAGCTGCCCAGGCTTGAGAAAGCCTCTTTTCAGACCAAACTTCGTATTCAAAGCTCAAAAAGAACTGCACACAATTAGGACAGTCATACAAGATGCTGCCCCTAATCCTGCCACAATCTGCGAGAAGGGAGGCGGGGCTTCCGAGGGCAAAGTGCCCCTGGGAAGGGATCCGCAGGGAACAGCTTTGAAAGGACCACAGCCCCCAGCCACGAGGGGAGCAAGCACGAGCCGGGAAGAGAGCTCTGCGCTCGCACACGGGATTCATCTCCGCCGCCTCTGCCCGTTTCCAGCAACACGGAGCCAGGCGGAAACAGTTTCTCCAGCCCATTCGCCTCCCCGACTCTTCCTCTCACGGCACGGCTGGGCTGCTTTCATCACGCGTAAGTGCACACCACACACAGATGCTGCACGAGGCCAGGCGAGCACGAGGCTGGCCACACTTCTTTCTCAAGCTCGTGCGCCCGTGAGCGCAGGTCCCCTGGGCCGATGCACTGCAGTTCCACCCAGGGGAGAGGTTCAGACCACGTCTCAGAAAACCTGAGTTTGCAGTAGAAAGCCAACGACGTGGCGTCAGAGCCAGGATAAAGACATGGCCCAAGGTAGCCTTTCGGTGGTCAAAGGTGCAGGTGTCTGTGTGCCCCTCTCACGCTGACAGGAGCTGCAGGCCGGGTGAAATTCTGCAGGCACAGCACAGGGGAGGGAGATGGATAGGGGACCAGCCCAGGGGCTCACCCAAACCCACCAAAGCTTTGTGTGTGACATAAAGTGTGCTGGCCAGATAGATTCACCCCATGGGGGAATGAGAATAAACTATGTTTCGGCTGCATGTCCCCACTCCCATCGTCTTCATTAAAAAGGTGAAATCATCAATTTGGAGCAAGAGAGCTACGTAGGAGGGACAAGAAGGGGGAGAGGGAGGTGGCATGACAACAGCAGCGACCCAGGGCCTCGGCAGTGTCAATGGAGCAGAGGGGACACCAGAGGCCAGAAGGACAGCAACCCTCGCTCACCAGGAAGGAACTGTCACCATCTCCAGAGGACACTGGCCCTGCTCCTGCAGCACTAGCCATACACTGGGACCTTATTGCCAGTTAGGTGGTCAAGCCAGGCAGGGCAGTATCACTGTCCCCAGCCCTCACTTGCCACCAGGGATGCAGCTCTGGATAACGACTTTTTTTTTTTTTTTTTTTTTTTTGAGACAGGGTCTTGCTCTGTTACCCAGGCTGGAGTGCAGTGGTGCGATCTCAGCTCACTGCACCTCCGCCTCCTGGGTTGAAGTGATTCTCCTGCCTCAGCCTCCTGAGTAGCTGAGATTACAGGTGCATGCCACCAAGCCAATTTTTTTGTATTTTTTTCAGATGGAGTCTTGCTCAGCCACCCAGGCTAGAGAGCAGTGGCATGATCATGGCTCACTGCAGCCTCTGCCTCCCAGGTTCAAGCAATTCTCCTGCTTCACCCTCCTGAGTAGCTGGGATTACAGGCACACATCGCCATGCCTGGCTAATTTTTGTATTTTTAGGAGAGATGGGGTTTTACCACGTTGGCCAAACTGGTCTCGAACTCCTGACCTCAAGTGATCCACCTGCCTCAGCCTCCCAAAGTGTTGAGATTACAGGTGTGAGCCATCGTGCCAGGCCTTTTGTATTTTTTGTAGAGATAAGATCTCACTATGTTGCCCAGGCGGGTCTCAAACTCCTGGACTCAAAACATCTGCCAGCCTCGGCCTCCCAAAGTGCTGGGATCATACACGTGAGCCACCATGCCAGGCCAGTGCTAGACAACTCCTGGCCAAGAGCCTAGCCCGGGGCAGCAGGTAACTGTGCAGCATGGGAGGAACCGTCATCACCCATCCAGGAGACCTTGCTCTGCTACACACCGTTCGGGGAAGTGCTGCCCCTGGGCAGGACAGGCAGGGTCACGTTTGAGGGCTCCCATGTTCAGGGGCCGTGCCAGGCTGGCCCCTTCCAATCTCCCAGTTCACACAGCAGGAAGCCGAGGTGCTGCGGGTTCACGACTTGTCCAGACCCAGAGAGAAGGAGTGGAGAGGACTCGAGCTTGACGAGGAAGCCCACATCCACTGTGGGCCGGGCCCAGACCAGCACTGGGATCCCTCGTCCTCTGGGTTCACTCTCAACCCGAACCGTAAGGCACACAGCAGCCTCACTCAACAAGGTTCTGCTTATTCTCTGGCCTGCATTTTGCTGTTTTCAGTCCTGTCAGAATGACTGTCTCCGAGCTGGGGGGGGAGTCCACTCCACGTGTGCTCGGCTCACCTGAGCGGTAGCTGCTCCGCAGGCAGAAGAACCGGAAGACATCGGGGGAAAAGGTCTTCAGAAAGTCCTGGTAAAGCGAGAGACAGGCAGTCACGAGGCTTTGCTTTTACGCTTCGCACTGTTCAGAGAATATGTTACTTTCTACAATTACATAAGTTATCTCTACCTATCAAGAAATCAGGAACCTTGATGAAAATGAGCCCTCCAAACTCACAATTACCACCTGTTTCCTGGTGATTTCCTCACTGAACTTTCCACGTTCGATCTCAGTATTTGTGGAAAGAGCAAGAAGAGAAAGCCGGTTTGCACTGAAAATCCGCACCTGCGCAGGCTCCAGGAGGAGTGTGTCCTGTGCTCAGCCTGGGCTCTCTTTCTGCACGACAGGGACGTGGGACAGACAGCATGGAGCGATGCTGTGCTCAGGAAGAGACCAGGTAGGTGGCGGGAGGCACACCAGCTCTGGCCTGCCTGCAACCCCCAGGAGAAGCTTGCGGTGAACGTCAGACCCGGCTGACCTCCAGCTCAGCCCAGCCAAGGGGCGACAGCCTCACTCATCCTATTTGGTGGCACAGTTCTTGTAAACACTGGGCTAAAGCATGCGCTAAGTCTGTCTCTTGAAGACTAAACCACCCAGCTTCTGGTTAAACCTAAGTAAAACTCAGAACCCAACCGGTATCCTCCTATAGATCAATTAGAAAACGTCTGTCCAGAAAGAAGTGGAGCTTTCTACATGAGGAAGCTTAGAAGAGGTCATTAGAGGCACTGCAAAAGCAGCTCAGCCCTCAGCAAAACCTCCTGTGGGGCGCTCAGGGTTCAGCTCTGGCAGCTACTTTTAAGAGATGAGATGAGTGGGGGAGAGAAGGAAGAGGGCTCTGCCCAGCTTGGGCTTCCACTGTGGCCCCAAGAAAGAAAGCCGAGCTCCGACTGCACCCCTGGCCAGGGACGCGCTCCGACGGGAGCCCGAGTGGCTCCTTGCCTGGATCTGCAGCACATGGTGCCGGCTCTGACCAAAGCCCCCTTTCCTGCCACCACCTCAGAAGACAGAACTGGCTCACCCCATGCCTGTCCACTGCGCAGGAAGCTGTCGCTGACCTTGCTGGAGTGAGAATTGCGTTTCCGTCTCCCTCGGGTAAACCCGATACCCTCTTCTCTAGGCTGATGGGCAGCAACACAAGCCCAGAGCACAGGGGCTGACACCAACCCACAGTCTGCACCCGCTCATCAGAGCTCAGATACCCACTTCCTCTGCAGGGTGGTCGTGGGAGCACAGAGCTGCCAGGGAGAGTGAGCCGGAAACGGCGGAGTCCAGCTCAAAATACTGCATCACAACACATGGTATTTTATGAGGCATAAAAGACCAGTCTAAGGCCGTGCTGCTCAACAACCCTACTGAGAGCAAAACACACACAACTGAAGAGCGTCTTGGGGTAGAAGGGGCTGTCCCTGCTTCAGGCTTCAGCGGCCTCGCCCACCCAGTAGAAAGGAGGGGGCTCCCTGGACTGCTGAGCTGGAAGGAGGAGGACACTGCTCCACCTGCCTCCAGGGCTCAGTCCCTTCAGAGGATGGAGCAGGTCTGGTCTGTCTTCTACCAGGAAGGAGCTCAGCCCCCACCCCACAGCCCAACTCCTGTCTGCCTGTGCCTGAGGCAGTGAGGGGCATTCTCATGTGGGGTGGCGTTAATCAGAAAGCTGCTGGGCCAATGCCCTAACACAGGGGTGCTCAACCTGGGGTCCACAGACCTCCTAGGGGCCCACAGAGAGAAGGTGGGAGGGCGGGGAGATCTGTGAACTGGGATGGTTCAACAGTTATGTGTTTATTTCTGCCAGCCTTGCACCGAAATGGGTATTTCCTTCGATGGTCAGTGTAGGCAGCAAACGCATCTGGAAGCACAGAGCCTGGCATGGTGGCCACAGCTGCCACAGGTGACCCCACAGGGATGACATCACACACCACAACTCACACGAGAGGATGGCAGCCATCAGACCCCACCCACGCTGAGCTAACCGCTGAGTCAAGCAGAGCCCCCGCTCCTCTACTTCAGTATCATCAACGGCCTTTGGGATCCTATGTATTTTATTTTACGTATTTAAAGCAAATTGTAAGGCTGGGTCCACAGACTTCACCAGGCTGCCACAGGGGCCTGGGGTGGGGAGGGGGGCTGGGGTATGTGTGTGTGTGTGTTTGTGTGTGTGTGTGTGAAGAGCCCCTGTCCAATCCAACAGTAGTTCATCAGTAATCACACTGGAATTCCATTTCCGTCTGTCCATCTCCCGGGTGCTCCTTCCCAAATTGTGAAAAAAGGAATATTACTCCTGGGTCCTCTAATTCGCAACTCGCAGGCTTACTTGACACCCTCCCTCACCCGAGGTGCTGTGGTTCCAATTAACGCACACAGCCATGTCCTGCCGGTTTCAGTTCAGGTTGCGCCCTATTTAGGTCTCCGGGTTTCGGTGTGGAAACACCACTCCACAAGCAGCCTCCACGCTCCCCACTTCATTCCAAAAACGATTTCACCTGGCTTTCTCTCAAAGGGGTTTTCCTCTCAGAATGTAAACGCATGCAGAATTAGCCTCAATGTGTTTTCACGCATCTCATAGTTCTCTGAAACCCCAACAACATTAAAGGCTTATCTTCCCTGCTCTTGCGGGGGCGGGCGCTACTGCAGCGAGCTATAGTAGTAGTTCTAATAGAAATCTGGAATCTAATCTTTCTAGAGCATTGAGTTTATACGGACTAAAGGAGAAACATATTATAACTTCTTCATTACACAGTATTCTGACAATGATGTGAAAACTCTTGAATACTGTGGGTGCACACGGACATTAATTTTTTAGCGTGTTCCTGCTCTGTGCCGGCTGATATCAGCAAGTTTCTATACTACTCCGGTTCCACCGTGCAACCTGCCACGGCTCCCTGAGAGGCAAAATGTGGCGACGGCAGTGTAAGCTCGTGCTGGAACTCTCCAGGAGGTAAGCAATCTCCCAGAGCCCAGGCCGGAGGACCGGATTGGCCTTCAGGTGGGGATGGTAACAAGCCATGTGAGCCCCAGTGAGCTCACGAGGTAACAGGGTGCACACTCACAGGGAGCCCGCTGGGTACACATGCCAGTTGCCGAGGGACTTCCTATGATGCCAGCGCTGCACACACCCCTGGAGCCCCTGGGCAGAAGCAGGCACCAGAGCCTCTCTACTGGGCCAGGCCCTAGCTTGCTTTGAGACGTACAGTAACTAGAAAGCAGGTTTTAAACCATTATCTGAGCTCCAGGGTTGAGCTCTTTCTACGTGGACTGTGGCCTCCATTACGCAGAAAGCATTGGGTTTTCACCCAGGCTATCATAAAGGTCTATCAGTGGTCTCCAAGACAAAGAGGACTGGCGGGAAAGGGTCTTATGCTAGAAACCAGGAATGTGGCAAGTATTTTTAAGATGTAGGGCAATAACTTAACATCTCCAAGGAACTATGGGCTAGGGTAGGTGCGAGCTACCAAAAATATAAATGAAAAATCACCAGTAAATACATATAGACAAATCAACACAGCAAATAGACAAACGCATGGAAATTTAAAATCTAGTTGCCATTCTTCACAAATTAACAAGAAAAATGGGCCAGGTGCCGTGGGTCACACCTGTAATCCCAGCGCTTTGTGAGGCTAAGGCAGGAGGATTGCTTGAGCCCAGGAGTTTGAGACCAGCCTGGGCAACATAGTGAGACTTCGTCTCTAGAAAAAATACAAAATCAGCAGGTGTGGTAGTGCATGCCTGTGGTCCCAGCTCCTCAGGAGGCTGAAATGGGAGGTTTGCCGGAGCCCACAAGTTCCAGGCTGCAGTGAGCTAGGACTGCACCAGGTGCCACTGCACCAGGTACCCAGGTGACAGCAAAACCCTCTCTCAAAAAAAAAAAAAAGAAAAAGAAAAAAAAAGAAAAAGAAAAAAAGGAAAAAAGGTAACCTGATTAAAATTCTAATTTGATGCTGGAGAGACCTGGGAAACAGACATTTTAATCTACTGCCAGTAGGAATGTAAATCACACTCGTTGATAAAGTCACCAGGGGCTCTATCCAAAACATTCCGAATGTGCCCGTATCTTCTGATGTGCGATTCTACCTCAAGGCACTTTTCTCAAGTCACTAATCATTAGATGTGCACAGATATTTAGCTAAAGGATATTCATCACAGCACTGCAGCCTGCAGAGTACAGGTCTCACAAACAAGCCCAACAACAGGGAAATAAAATCACGGTGCCTCCCTGCCATGAGCCACTAAGAGGCTGCTAAAAATAATGCAGACATGGCAATGTCTGTGAAAATTGAAAATGCACATACCCTAGTGGAAAATACAGTAGGATTTAAATGACCATCAATAGGGGATTCTTTAATTAAGCTGCACCCACACACTGGACTACACAGCCATTCGAGAGAATGAACCAACTCCATATGGTAGAAAACCGACTGAGGCCAAGAGATTAATCAAGCAAGCGCAAAACTACACGACTGTGTGTGAAGGGAAAGTGAGAAGCACAGCTATAGGGAGATGTGTGCACACACACACCTGCTCCGAGAAAACTAACCGCTGCTTCAGGAGAGAAGCCGGGCAACAGTGAACGTGGTCGGGCAGGAGGCCTGCTTTCCAGACTTAGTACCTTTGAATTTTTCTACCGTGTGGTTCTCTGTCTTGTCTGCAGTTTTCAAACTTTCTGAAATTAAACCCATCATGTCTATAATCAAATTAAAACCTCACTTAAATTGTTAGGGAAGAGGCGGCATGCATACGACACTGCCTCATGAATGAGACAGAGGAGAAAGGTTTATGTGTATTGGCCTATCGTGTGTAACGGAACACAGGAAGATGAATCCAAAACAGAGAACACAACTGTGGCTGCTGGGGAAGGAATGGGTGCAGGCGGGCTCCAGGCCAGCCTTCTCCATGCTCTCTTTAGTGTTAATGCTGAACCCTGCAAATGTTTCACAGATATGACAAATAAAAGTAAATTGGGACTGGATGCAGTGGCTCACGCCTGTAATCCCAGCACTTTGGGAGGCCGAGGCAGGTGGACCTGAGGTTAGGAGTTCAAGACCAGCCTGGCCAACATGGTGAAACCCCATCTCCACTAAAAATACAAAAATTAGCTGGGTGTGGTGGTGTAGGCCTGTAATCCCAGCTACCTGGGAGGCTGAGGCATGAGAATCACTTGAACCTGGGAGGCAGAGGTTGCAGTGAGTTGAGATCACACTAATGCACTACAGCCTGGGTGACAGAGCAAGACTCTCAAAAAAGACAAAACAAAAAGTAAATTGAAAAGGGGAAGAGAGAGACCACCACACTGGAAACAAACAGAACAAATGAACCTCTTGTGTTAATGAAAGGAGATCATTACATGCCGCGAGTGTATGTTCAGACCACAGAGCTTTAGTGGGGTGCAGTCCACGAGAAAAAGAAATTTCAGTCCAGAATAGGTGAATCACAGAAACAGAAAGTAGATGAGCGGCTGTCGGGGCTGGGAGGAGGTGGGAGTGAGAAGTGATGGCCCATGGATGTGGCGTTTCTTTTTGGGGTGATAAAAACGTTCTTAGAGGCCGGGCGTGGTGGCTCACGCCTGTAAGCCCAGCACTTTGGGAGGCCGAGGCAGGTGGATCACAAGGTCAGGAGATCAAGACCATCCTGGCTAACATGGTGAAACCCCGTCTCTACTAAAAATACAAAAAATTAGCCAGGCGTGGTGGTGGGCGCCTGTAGTCCCAGCTACTCAGGAGGCTGAGGCAGGAGAATGGCGTGAACCCGGAAGGCGGAGCTTGCAGTGAGCCAAGATTGTGCCACTGCACTCCAGCCTGGGCGACAGAGTGAGACTCTGTCTCAAAAAGAAAAAAAAAAAAACGTTCTTAGATAGTGGTCGTTTCACAACTGCGAATATCTTACAAACCACTAAGCAGTACCATTTAAATAGTATACTTATATAGTATGTGCATTACATTTCAATAAAGCTATTAGTTTAAAAAGAAATAAGAGAAGCCTTAAGTTTTACTCAATAGTTTTACTGTTAATGGTAATATTGGTATTAAGTTTTTAAATTTATTTTGTGTGTATTTTAAGATAAAACAAAAAGTTGATATGCTCTTATGTTTAGTAAGAGAGGAAAATAAAGAGCTAAAACTAAAAAGCCCTGTGATATTAAATTTTATTTGGATATATCAAAATTAACCCAAATAAGGAATCTATTTTGTATGTGCAGGTTTATCTCCCTCTCCCCTAGCTCTGACCCCTGAAAAAGCGTAGACGCAGTGTCACTCTGGTAGCAATCAACATCGCAGTGCCCAAATCTTGCCTTCAAAATCCCATTTCCCCTCAAAGGCAGGGTGGCTGCTTGGAGAAACGGCAGGTCTGGGTAGGAAAGCAAAAGGCAGGCAGGTGCAGGAGGGCACAACAGAGGCCGAGGGGTCTGTCCCTGGGGGACCGGAGCCAGTCAGAAGAGCCCTCCCTGGCTAAATCCGGGATGATTTCAACACCCAAAAGATAATGACTGAATTGACAATACACTAAATAAATATAAATCACTGACTCTGTCTACTAAAAAAAGAAAGACAAAAACACTTTTCTTTAAGAAGAATGCCAACTAATAAATGTAAAAGAGGGAACAATTAGACAACCATGACTTTGCAATAACCAATGAAATACCTGATCAAAGTGAAGCCTCTAAAACCATAGGGTGGAAGCTTATTAGGAAACAAATTACCATGCAGCATGCCACCTCTCAGATGCTTAATATTCATAAGAAGAAAATAAACTCTGCAGTAGAGGGATCTGGTAGTCATTCCTTAACAAATGGTAAAACTCACCATCATGAATCGTAGGACAACCTGACCTTGCAGCCCCCAGGGAATGCACTGTGAGTTCACAGCATCAACTACAAGGTATTCCTGCCAAAAAGCTTCTACCTGGATCAAACTGACCCTTTAACCCTCACTTCCCGTGAAACGAACTACAGGAGATAGAAGAACAAGCTAAATGACAACACAATGAAACAGACAAATCCAAAATGTGGGATGTTCAACAAGACAAGTGGCTCAATCTCTTCAAAAAGTCAACACCACAGGAAAAATAAAAGTAGAAAGACTGCTGTAGATTAGATTAGAAACCTAGAAAGAACAATGAAATATAATTCAGCCTAAAGGAAGGAAATTTTGACATGGAATAAAGGAGCACAGGTGAATCTTGAGAACACCATGCTAAGTGAAATAAGCCAGTCACAAAAGGACAATTACTATGTGAGTCCACTTACACGAGATCTAGAGCAGCCAAAATCATAGAAACAGAAAGTAGAAGGGTTGTTGCCAAGGCCTGGGGAAAGGGGAAATGGGAAGTTGTTCAGTGAGTCCACAGTTTTGGTTTTACAAGATGAAAAAATTCTAGAGATCTGTTGCATAACAATGTGAACATATTAACACTACTGAACTGTATGGTTAAGATGATAACTTTTATGTTACGTGGTTTTTTTAACCACATTAAAAAAAACCCTAAAAAGACACAACATACAAATGCAACATATGAACCTTGATCAACTCCTCGTTTAAAAATAAAAGTATAAAACACATTTTGGGGATAACTGGAGAAAACAGGCCAGGCGCAGTGACTCATGCCTGTGATCCCAGCACTTTGGGAGGCTGAGGCAGGTGGATCACCTGAGGTCAGGAGTTCCAGACCAGCCTGGCCAACATGGTGAAACCCTGTCTCTACTAAACAAAACAAAACAAAAATTAGCCAGGCATGGTGGTGTGCACCTATAATCCCAGCTACTCGGTAGGCTGAGGCAGGAGAATCATTTGAACCTGGGAGGTGGAGGTTGCAGTGAGCTGAGATCACGCCACTGTACTCCAGCCTGGGTGATAGTGAGACTAACAAAAAAACAAACAAACAAAAAAAGAAAAACAGACTACAGACTAGATAATATTAAGAAATTACTGCTAACTTTTTAGGTGTTTGGATTATGTAGGAAAGCATCCTTATTTTTAGGAGTTGGTTACAGAATAGAGAAGTGTGATGATGTCTTCAATGTATTTCCTAATGGTCAATAACAAGCATTATATACAGGTGTCCATGTGCATACATGCTCACACAAATGTGCACATGCACACACACGCTCACCACTCCCATAAACACAGATAAAGCCCCTGAAGGGTACCACAGCCTGCCAGCCCTGAATATGCCTCCCTGGCATACAGATTATTTTGAGCTAAAGACCACTGAGAACAAGCAGATGCAGGAAATGCTCTAAAAACAGGGTGCAAGTTTTCCTTGTAAACAAAGCTCCCAGTTGTAAAAGATGTATCCTGCTGTAGCAGGGTGAGGACTCCCTAACAACTCTCAATAGAGAGGCTCAATCTGCAAAACAAATTTTACTCAACAATCCTTGTTTATCACTTTTCCTAGTCACCCTCCCAAAACTTGCCTGCCCCTCCTCAAGCCCAGATCTCCTTTTTTTTTTTTGTTTGGCCTAGCATGGTTCACAGGCAGACCTCAGACATACTGAAGGGTTGGTTCCAGACCACCACAATAAAGCGAATATCACAATAAAGCAAGGCACACATATTTTCTGGTTTCCCAGTGCATATAAAAGTTATGTTTACACTATTATACTGCAGTCTATTAAGTATATAATAGCATTATGTCTGAAAGAACAATGTACGTACCTTAATGAAAAAATATTTTATTGCTAACAAAAATGATAATCATATGAGCCTTCAGTGAGTCATCTTTTTGCTGGTGGAAGGTTTTGATTCAATATTATGGCTGCTGACTGATCAAGGTAGTGGTTGATGAAGGCTGAGTTACTGTGGCAATTTCTTAAAACAAGACAATAATGAAGTCTGTGCCATCAATTGACTCTTCCTTTCATGAAAGATTTCTCTGTAGCATCCAATGTTTGATAGCATTTTACCCACGGCAGAATGTCTTTCAAAATTGGAGCCAATCCTCTCAAACCCTGCCATTGCTTTATCAACTAAATTTATGCAATAGTCTAAATCCTTTGTTGTCATTTCAACAATGTCCACAGCATCTTCACCAGGAGTAGATTCCATCTCAAGAAACCACTTTCTTTGCTCATCCATAAGAAGCAACTCCTCGTTTGTTCAACTTTTATCATGAGGTTGCAGCAGTTCAGTCACATCTCCAGGATCCATTTCCAATTCCAATAGTTCTCTTGCTATTCCCACCATATATGCAGTGACTTCCTCCAATGATGTCCTGAACCCCTCAAAGTCAACCATGAGAGTTGGACTTAACTTCTTTCAAACTCCTGTTAATGTTAATATTTTGACCTATTCCCATCAATCATACATGTTCTTACTGGCATCTAGAATGGTGAATCCTTTCCAGAAGGTTTCCAATTTACTTTGCCCAGCTCCATCAGAGGAATCACTATCTATGGCAGCTATAGCCTTATGAAATATTTTTCTTAAATAATAAGACTTAAAAGTTGAAATTATTCCTTGATCAATGGGCTGCAGAATGTTCTGTTAGCAGCATAAAAACAATATTACTCTCATTGTATGTCTCCATCAAAGCTCCTGGATGACCAGGTGCACTGTCAATATTTGGAAAGGAATCCTTTTTTCTGAGCAGTAGGTCTCAACAGTGGGCTTAAAATATTCAGTAAACCATGCTGTAAATGGATGTGCTGTCATACACGCTTTGATATTCCACGTATACAGCACAGGGAGAGTACACTTAGCATAATTCTTTTTTTTTTTTTTTTTTGAGATGGAGTCTAGCTGTCGCCCAGGCTGGAGTGCAGTGGCACAATCTCAGCTCACTGCAACCTCCGCCTCCCAGGTTCAAGTGATTCTCCTGCCTCAGCCTCCCAAGTAGCTGAGATTACAGGTGTCCACCACCACGCCCAGCTAATTTTTGTATTTTTAGTAGAGATAGGGTTTCACTGTGTTGACCAGGCTGGTCTCGAACTCCTGACCTCATGATCTGCCCACCTGGGCCTCCCAAAGTGCTGGGATTACAAACGTGAGCCACTGCACCCAGCCGATTTAGGGTAATTCTCAAGGGCCCTAGGATTTTTTGAATTGTCAATGAGCGCTGGTTTCAACTTAAAGTCACCAGCTACATTAGCCCCTAACAATAGTCAGCCTGTCCTTTGAAGCTCTGAAGCCAGCCATTGACTTCTTTCTAGCTACAAAAGTCCTAGACAGCATCTTCTTCCAATAGAAGGCAATTTCATCTACATTCGAAAGATCTGCTGTTTAGTGTGGCCACCTTCATCACTTATTTTAGCTAGGTCTTCTTTCCTTCAACCTCACAAACCAACCCCTGCTAGCTTCCAACTTTTCTTTGCAGCTTTCTCATCTCTCTCAGCCTTCATAGAACTGAAGAAAGTTAGGGCCTTGTTCCAGATTAGGCTGTGGCTTACAGGAATGTTGTGGCTGGTTTGATCTTCTCTATCCAGACCACTCAAACTTTCTCCATTATCAGCAATAAGGTTGTTTTGCTTGCTAATCATTCGTGTGTTCGCTGGAATAGCACTTTTGATTTCCTTCAAGAACTTTTCCTTTGCATTCACAACTTAGCTAAATATTTGGTGCAAGAGGCTTAGCTTTCAGCCTGTCTCAGCTTTTGACATACCCTCCTCATTAAGCTTAAGCATTTCTAGCTTTTGATGGAAAGTGAGAGATGTGTGACTCTTCCTTTCACTTGAACACTTAGAGGCCACTGTAGGGCTAGTAACTGGCCTAATTTCAATAATGTTGTGTCTCAGGGAATAGGGGAGTCCAAGGAGGGGCAGATTTAAAGGAATGGACAGTTGGTGGAGCAGTCAGAACATGCACAACACATACTAAGTTCTGTCTTCCATGGATGTGGTTCATGGAGCCCGAAAACAATTACAACAGTAACATCAGAGATCACTGACCACAGATCACCATAACAGATTTAATAATGAGAAACTTTGAAATATTGCAAGAATTACCCAAACATGACACACAGAAAGGAAGTGAGAACATGCTGTTGGCAAAATTGTGCCAACAGATTTGCTTGGTGCAGGGCTGCCACAAACCTTCAATCTGTAAAGACACAGCATCTGCGAAGTGCGGTCAAGTGAAGCTCAATAAAGCAAGGTCCCTGCAGTGGCCGGGCTCCGACCCACTCTGCACCATGCAACCCCATGGTCGGGTTCGGACCCCCTCTGCGTCATGCAACCCCACGGCCGGGTTCGGACCTCTCTCTGCGTCATGCAACCCCGTGGCCGGGCTCCGACCCCCCTCTGCGTCATGCAACCCCATGGCCGGCTTCGGACCCCCTTCTGCGTCATGCAACCCCATGGCCAGGCTCCGACCCCACTGCATACCATGCAACCCCGTGGCTGGGTTTGGACCCCCTCTGCGTCATGCAACCCCGTGGCCCCGGGCTCCAACCTTCCTCTGTGTCATGCAACCCTGTGCTCCACCTCCACGTGTGCCGTGCACGCTCTAACACATTTCTCTTTGTTTTTCTCTTGCTAATCTGTCTTTGGCCAGAGTCTAATTTACCAATTTAATTGAGGCTCCCCGGTGGGAGAATCTAAGCTGGGTAGGCGAAAAAGATCCTACACAGCAAATACAGCAAAATCATCACAACTACTGAATCTGGGTGGAGCCATAGTGATGTTTCTTTCAACTTTTCTATCGGTTTGAAATTTTGCCTAGGATAAAACGGAAAAATTCTACTTAAGGAAACTATATACAAATTATTTTGTGAGGAGCAGTCCCTGTTGGTGTATCCTAAATCTGATGGGTACAGCTTTCACTGGTTTGCTATTTAGGCGGTGA
The DNA here is from genome assembly GCF_000001405.40 of Homo sapiens. NCBI lineage: Eukaryota > Metazoa > Chordata > Mammalia > Primates > Hominidae > Homo > Homo sapiens. The sequence goes on from NC_000013.11 coordinate 110,662,836, forward strand.
GATCTGGATACTATTCTTCTCCATTTATTTTGCAATTAAATTAAATCTGGCTTTAAAGACAGGCCAGAAGACAAAGGAGGAGTTCAAACTATGTCAGCCAGAGCCCTCCGTGGGTGTGCCTGTTTTCCATTCACACGAAAATTCACATTCCATGTGTCAGCAGCATAGCATGATGCCATTTTTCAGGTTGGTTAAGGATCCAGCCAGCTCTGAGCCTATTAAGGGCAAACAGCAAAACCTAAACAAATCCCAAAGCCACACCAGTAAGAGGTGGTGGGTGAGGGCGGGAAGGAAGTCAGCAGATGCACCAAGAGGGAGACAACAATTATAAAAGGAAAAGGCAAGGAAGAGGGCGCCGGCCTTGAAACACGGAAAGAGAAAGGGAAGCTCCACCAAGAAAGGGACTGCGGAAACCTGCGGGAGGCGCACAGCTGAGGGCGCGATTAGGCGGAGAGCCACTTAAAGTGGGAGGGAGGTGAGGCAGGTCTCGTCATAAGAAAGGGGCCAGAGGGCACTGGGAATGGGATTCCGTGGTTCTCAAATGACACAGAAGCCTTTAAGATGGGTTCCACAAGCTATCGGCACCTCAGAGATACAATACAAAAAGCACGTTACCTTAATAGTAATGTAGTTCTTTAATGATTTGGACATTTTTTCTTCTTTGCCTTTGGCGTGCAAATGCCCTGAAACAAAAACAAAAGCATTCAGTCTGAGCTGGGTGAGGAGACTCTCTGGCCTCAGGGACACATGGCTCCCCAGGAAACGAATGGGAACCTGCACATATCCAATGTATAGACCAGTGTATGTTGGTATAAATCTGCCCCCAAATCTTCACCCGTGCTGGGCCTTCCGGGAAGACAGGACCTGCCCTTGTTCCACGGTGCAGGGACACCCAGCCCCACACTGAGAGCAGATGGCAGGGGTGCCCCAGCTGACTCAGAAGCTAAACAAGAGCCAGCAACCGTGGTACTGACAGCAGTATTTCATCTATTTTCTCCTCTCCTGTAATTCAGAGATACTGAATTCAGATACTGGTCAGCATCTGAAGAAACGACAAAGCTCTCATTTGACAAATCAGGCACTTGGCGGTGAAGCTTGTTGACCGTTGTCCAAAAACAGAGTGGCACTTGTGGGTCTCTGAGTGGGAAGAATCAGAGGTCCTGTTGCAGTTGGTTTCACAGACTTTGATGACCTGGGTATTATTTCATCCCCTATGTATGTGAAAGACAGGAGGAAAACCAAACTCATTTAAGGAACTCCTGAATCTGACCCTGAAATTCTCCCTGGCCTGTAGCTTTTTACAAGGCTTATCTCCAAGAGAAGGGCTTTCTGTTTCTAACAGAAGACTCTTCCTCTTTTTCTGACACAACTTCAAACAGGAGTCCTCCAGGCCGGACGCAGTGGCTCACACCCGTAATACCAGCCCTTTGGGAGGCTAAGGTGGAAGGACCGCTTGAGCCCAGGAGTTTGGAGACCAGTCTGGGCAACATGGCAACACCCGGTCTCTACAAAAAAAATTAAAAATTAGCTGGGCGTGGTGGGGCACACCTGCAGTCCCAACATCCCAACAACTCAGGAGACTGAGGTGGGAGGATCGCTTGAGCCCAGGAGGTTGGGCCTAGAGTGAGCTATGTTCATGTCACTGCACTCCAGCCTGGGCCACAGAGCGAGACTCTGCCTCAAAAATAAATAAATAAATACACCAACCAACCAACCAATTAGAATGTGATTTCCAAAAAACATATATAACTTTGAACATGTAATTCTATATAATGTGATTACACCAAGCACGATTCTGATTTTTTAAAATTGATGATAGTTGGAAAATAAAACACATTTGCTAAGGCCTGAATGTTTATGTCCTCCCAAATTCCTGTCAAAATCCTCAGCCCTCAGGTGACGGTAACTGAAGGCAGGGCCTGTGGGAGGTGATGAGGTCACAGGGGCAGAGCCAGTGTGAATGGAATCAGTGCTCTCATAACAGAGGCCCCTCGAGAGCTGACGGCCGTCTACAAATGGGAAGCAGGCCCTCCCGAGACACCGAGTCTGCCAGTGCGCTGACGCAGGACTCCCAGCCAGCAGAACTGTGAGGAATTCATTGCTGTTGTTCATAACACGCCCGCTTTCAGTTTGGCTATAGCAGCCCTAACAGGCTGGGATAGTGTCTGCCCACTTAGCTCTTCCATCCACTGGGTACAGGAGAACAGGTGTCACTTCTCCTGCGTCAGGAGACACTGATGTTTTGTTTGGGGCCAAACTAGTATGAAAAAGATCGCTGGTATCTTAACAGGTAGTAAAAAATCACTGAAAAATAGCCACAAAACTTTCCCACCACGTGCAGTGGCTCACGCCTATAATCCCAGCACTTTGGGAGGCAGAGGTGGCAGATCACTTGAGGTCAGGGGTTTGAGCCCAGCCTGGCCAACATGGTGAAACCCTGCTTCTACTAAAAATACAAAAATTAGCTGGGTATGGTGGTATGCACCTGTAGTCGCAGCTACTAGAACAGCTGAGGCAGGAGAATTGCTTGAACCCAGGAGGCAGAGGTTGCGGTGAGCTCAGATAGTGCCACTGCACTCCCAGGCTGGGGGACGGAGCGAAATTGTTTCAACAACAACAGCAAATGCTTTCCCATTCCCACATCGGAAGGTGAACACGACCTCCGTTTCTAGACCCGGCCCCTCCTCATTACCTGACAGGACGAAGCGTTGGCACAGCTAAGGCTGCCCTTCTTGCCCCCCAGCTCCACACTCGCAGAAGGGCTCACAGCAGGTCATGGTTGTCAGTAACAAACCCTGACCTACTGAACAGGATAAACCTGCAGACAGAAACGTGCCTGCGGAGGGAGCAACTCCAGCTCCTCAGACAGTTCAGGGAGCGCTGAACTGAGCCCTGAACGAAGTCAACGAGGAAGTGACTTCGGGGCAATCAGCCTCATCTATTTACTTTCATGAAGAAACCCAAGTGAACCCTGCTGCGGACCAGAAAACCGGAGCACTTCTGCATTTAATGTCACCTTACTGTGACATCTTAATTTCCCAATTCAAGGGTTTCAAAAACTAGTATTTGTTAATTTCCTGTATTTCAGATGTCAAAGTTTGCATCTCCAAATCTATCACTACCAAACACTCTTTATCTTTCTTCATCTGGGACAAGGGACACGACTACCTCTGTGCCTGAGACACAGTGTCTCAGCCCCACTATCTGGGCTCCCAGCACGCTTCCTCTCCAAGAACACAATTCAGAAGTCCTTGGGCCACGGAAGAGAGACCTCCTTCCCCATGGTCAAAAGTGGAGTGCAGGCCCCCGGCTGTGGAAATCAGTGCTCGGCTCCCTGAGGGGCGATGCCTTAAATATTCCACCACTGGGCAGCGTGCACCCCCTTCCCATGTGAGCGCCAGCTGAAACGGAAGTGAGGGCGGCAGGCGTTTGTTCTGATTAGAAACTCCACCGACACCGGAATAAAGTGGATTTCAGCTAGTGCTGAGCCCTCCCCAGGGAAATGGTATGGGGTGCTGGACAACAGCTCCTAAGTCCTCAAACAGCCACGCAGCCAGCTTTGTTTCTGCTTCATTTTTAGACAAAAACTGGGGCACTGTGAGAGGCAGACATAGTAGGTAATGGTAGGGGCAGAGCCGCCTGCTGGGTTCCCCGACTCAACAGGGTAAGCCCGGGGTGAAGGACATGCTGCAGGAAGTGACTTCGGGGCAATCAGCCTCATGTACTTTCACGAAGAAACCCAAGTGAACTCTGCTGCGGACCAGAAAACCAGAGCACTTCTGCACTTAATGTCACTTTACTGTGACATCCTAATTTCCCAATTCAAGGACTTCAAAAGATAGTATTTGTTAATTTTCTGTATTTTAGATGTCGAAGTTTGCATCTCCAAATCCTATCACTACCAAACACTCTTTATCTTTCTTCATCTCAAATACCTTAGCTGTCCATCCCCAAAAGGTAATAAGACTAGTTAATCGTGACCCTGTAAACTTGGAAATACGACTCTTCCAGTGCATCCAAGTGAATTCCAAAACTGCTGGGTTCGAGGTGTTGCTTAACTCATGGTGTTGCATCCACTTCTGAGAGCAGACAGCTGGGGTTCATCAGTTAGGTGTTTGAACAGTGGAAGAAAGGGCAATGTTATTAGAAGATGGCAGAGATGTCTAGTGACAACATTATAGCTTCAGAAAGGATGTTCATAATTATCGTTACATTGTACTACTTCAAGTTCCTTCTTAATAGTTTTACTTGAAAGAAACCTTATATAGAACAGCATTGCCAAACATTTTCCATATTCTAGTCAGTTCCAAAAAGGTATAATCATTGCTGCAATCCAAGGAAGCTCATGTTCAAATGATTGAAACTCAAAAATAATTTAAGAGGCAAATCCATTTCTTGACCTATTAGCTGATCTACTATGTATTTCCAAATGTAGCTGTTCCGCCGACAAAGACAGAACTGCTAGAATTGAAACAGAACAAATTAATCTGAAGTTATTACTTACCAGAATGCAGAAAATAATTTCCCCACTGCTCGCACTGATGAAAGACTTCGCACTGTGCAATTTCGTTTTCATGATGTGGAAAAGCTAAATCTATCCCACCTGAATGGATATCCAGTTGACTTCCAAATACCATACTGCAAGACACAGTGCAAAGTAGTGAATTCATTCAATCAAGCAACATATTTTCTTCTAACCTCGTCTATTTATTCCTTCCAGCCTTTTTAATTCAATGAATAAATGGATCTCAGTTTTGCATCAATTTGCATGATAATTTAACTGATTCAAATGAAAACTGAAATCCTGTCATCACAAGCCCGTAATTCATGACTTTTCATCCTAGTAAAGGCACTTAATTCTTTTTGCTCCAGGTTCTTTTTTTCTCTTTTTCTTTCTTTCTTTTTCAACTCAAAAAATTACCTTTACTTACTTTCAATAGGTAGAGTTTAGTGGTTTTCCAATTTTAACAAGAGATGGAACTATAAAATCATGACAGTGTTTCATTTGGCTTTTGCAAGTGTAACTAACAGTCACCTACGAATAACAAGGTAAGAGAGTTCAAAGCAACACAGGTTGCCATTTCTCCTACAGTGCTGTGCCATGCCTCCATAAAAACCGCGTTTCTGCAAACCCATACAAAAAAATTAATGGGGTTGATGGGGGAAATGAGGCTGGGCCAGCCCACTCGAAGCTCTGTCCCTGGACCAGCTGCAGAAGCATGGCGACGCAGCAGGCCGGTGGATTTTCTTAAAATGATAGATAGAGAAATTTCTAAGGTGCCAACACCTCGCAGAGGTCCTTCCTGCTCCCACTGGTCTGGTTCCCTGTGCTCGGGGAAGCACTGCACACGGAGGTCTCGAGCCTGGGGAAACAGGCATCACAGAAACACACGCTGTAGTGTGACGTTCTAAGACTTTTACATCTTAGCCGGGCGCGGTGGCTCACGCCTGTAAACACAGCACTTTGGGAGGCTGAGGCAGGCGGATCACAAGGTCAGGAGATCGAGACCATCCTGGCTAACATGGTGAAACCCCGTCTCCACTAAAATACAAAAAATCAGCCGGGCGTGGTGGCGGGTGCCTGTAGTCCCAGCTGCTTGGGAGGCTGAGGCAAGAGAATGGCATGAACCCGGGAGGCGGAGCTTGCAGTGAGCCGAGATCGCGCCACTGCACTCCAGCCTGGGTGACAGAGCGAGACTCCGTCTCAAAAAAAAAAAAAGATTTTTACATCTTAGTGACGGGTCGTCTTAGGGTAACTCTAACATTCCCTGCAGTTCAAATGCTGTGAAGGAGACTGTGGGACCAGGAGTGGGGAGGGGATGGGAGGGGCCTCATTTGTATTTGGATGGGCAATTCTCCCTTCCGAAGATCTGAAGCCAACACAACGACGTGAAAGTTTCACAAGCTGAACTATGGGGCCACAACCTTCACTATGTTAGTTTCGCTCCTGATCTCTACGTTACACCTATTTTAAAATCAGAGAAGGCTCAGAAGGAACAACAATAATGGTCTCTTCATTATTTAATCTTTCAACAAAAATAAGAATTTCACATAACATTACATTTGAAACTCACTAAATGTTTTCTACCTGCTTTAGAGAAATTATTTGAATCTAAAAAATGAATCTACAACCCAGTTTATATGCCATAGTCTGCTATTAAGTATTGATAAACACATAGAAGTAAAGTGTGACTGGTGACTGGACATTTTTACTTTTTTTTCATCAAAAGTCAGGCCCATGCTTCCTACTAACAACAGGGTTTGAGGTCTGAGGAATGACGGAAGCGTTTCCAGATGAGCCGCATAACCACAGTGCAAGTGGTGGGGGCTTAGCAGAAAAGGGAATCTCTTTCTGGGTCTTGAAGAAGATCCACCAAAATTTAGATAGGCAGGTCGTGGGGGACAAGGCCTTCCCTCCTGGTGGAATGGGGCGACCCTACTCGGCGCTGAATACTCAAGCTGTCTGGGAGTCCATGAATGGAGCAGAGTCCTCGTGTGGGAGATAATTATCTCCACCCAAACCCCCTCTACACCCAGCCAGGAAACACATCCTGGATACAAAGCCCACAGGTTTCGAGGTGACTGGATTTATCCATCTGAAAATCTCTGATGTAGCTACTAGCTTAAAATGTTTACCTTAATCATCCTTTCCTGTGTTTCTAATTTTTTAAAACTGTTTATTAAAATAAATATTTGCTATCAAGTATACTAAAATCCATGAGTTAACAGTGATTTTTTTAAAACCCATTTCTGGTGCCGTTTCCAAGATGGCCGAATAGGAACAGCTCCAGTCTACAGCTCCCAGCATGAGCGACGCAGAAGACGGGTGATTTCTGCATTTCCAACTGAGGTACTGGCTTCATCTCACTGGGGCTCGTCAGACAGTGGGTGCAGCTCACGGAGTGTGAGCCGAAGCAGGGTGGGGCATCGCCTCACCTGTGAAGTGTGAGGGGTCGGGGAATTCCCTTTCCTAGCCAAGGGAAGCTGTGACAGACGGTACCTGGAAAATCAGGACACTCCCACCCTAATACTGTGCTTTTCCAATGGTCTTAGCAAACGGCACACCAGGAGATTATATCCTGCGCCTGGCTCGGAGGGTCCCACGCCCACGGAGCCTCGCTCACTGCTAGCACAGCAGTCTGAGATGAACTGCAAGGCGGCAGCGAGGCTGGGGGAGGGGCATCTGCCATTGCTGAGGCTTGAGTAGGTAAACAAAGTGTCCAGGAAGCTCGAACTGGGTGGAGCCCACTACAGCTCAAGGAGGCCTGCCCACCTCTGTAGACTCCACCTCTGGGGACAGGGCATAGCTGAACAAAAGGCAGCAGAAACTTCTGCAGACTTAAACGTTCCTGACTGACAGCTTTGAAGAGTAGTGGTTCTCCCAGCACGGAGTTTGAGATCTGAGAACGGACAGACTGCCTCCTCAAGTGGGTCCCTGATCCCCGAGTAGACCAACTGGGAGACACCTCCCAGTAGGGGCTGACTGACACCTCATACAGCCAGGTGCCCTCTGAGACGAAGCTTCCAGAGGAAGGATCATGCAGCAACATTTGCCGTTCTGCAATATTTGCTGTTCTGCAGCCTCTGCTGGTGATACCCAGGCAAACAGGGTCTGGAGTGGACCTCCAGCAAACTCAACAGACCTGCAGCTGAGGGTCCTGACTGTTAGAAGGAAAACTAACAAACAGAAAGGACATCCACACCAAAACCCCATCTGTATGTCACCACCATCAAAGACCAAAGGTAGACAAAAACCACAAAGATGGGGAGAAACCAGAGCAGAAAAGCTGAAAATTCTAAAAATCAGAGCGCCTCTTCTCCTCCAAAGAAACGCAGCTCCTCACCAGCAATGGAACAAAGCTGGACAGAGAATGACTTTGATGAGTTGAGAGAAGAAGGCTTCAGACGATCGGTAATAACAAACTTCTCCGAGCTAAAGGAGGATGTTTGAACCCATCATAAAGAAGCTAAAAACCTTCAAAAAAGATTAGACGAATGGCTAACCAGAATAAACAGCATAGACAAGACCTTAAATGACCTGATGGAGCTGAAAACCATGGCACAACAACTATGTGATGCATGCACAAGCTTCAGTAGCCGATTTGATCAAGTGGAAGAAAGGGTATCAGTGATTGAAGATCAAATGAATGAAATGAAGCAGGAAGAGAAGTTTAGAGAAAAAAGAGTAAAAAGAAATGAACAAAGCCTCCGAGAAATATGGGACTATGTGAAAAGACCAAATCTGCGTCTGATTGGTGTACCTGAAAGTGACAGGGAGAATGGAACCAAGTTGGAAAACACTCTTCAGGATATTATCCAGGAGAACTTCCCCAACCTGACAAGGCAGGCCAACATTCACATTCAGAAAATACAGAGAACGCCACAGAGATACTCCTCGAGAAGAGCAACTCCATGACACATAATTGTCAGATTCACCAAAGTTGAAATGAAGGAAAAAATGTTAAGGGCAGCCAGAGAGAAAGGTCGGGTTACCCACAAAGGGAAGCCCATCAGACTAACAGCAGATCTCCTGGCAGAACCTCTATAAGCCAGAAGAGAGTGGGGGCCAATATTCAACGTTCTTAAAGAAAAGAATTTTTAACCCAGAATTTCATATCCAGCCAAACTAAGATTCATAGGTGAAGGAGAAATAAAATCCTTTACAGACAAGCAAATGCTGAGAGATGTTGTCACCACCAGGCCTGCCTTACAAGAGCTCCTGAAGGAAGCACTAAACATGGAAAGGAACAACCAGTACCAGCCACTGCAAAAACATGCCGAATTGTAAAGACCGTCAAGGCTAGGAAGAAACTGCATCAACTAACGAGCAAAATAACCAGCTAACATCATAATGACAGGATCAAATTCACGCATAACAATATTAACCTTAAATGTAAATGGGCTAAATGCTCCACTTAAAAGATACAGACTGGCAAATTGGATGAAGAGTCAAGACCCATCAGTGTGCTGTATTCAGGAGACCCATCTCACGTGCAGAGACACACACAGGCTCAAAATAAAGGGATGAAGGGAGATCTACCAAACAAAAGGAAAACAAAAAAAAGCAGGGGTTGCAAACCTAGTGTCTGATAAAACAGACTTTAAACCAACAAAGATCAAAAGAGACAAAGAAGGCCATTACATAATGGTAAAGGGATCAATTCAACAAGAAGAACTAACTATCCTAAATATATATGCACCTAATACAGGAGCACCCAGATTCATAAAGCAAGTCCTTAGAGACCTACAAAGAGACTTAGACTCCCACACAATAATAATGGGAGACTTTAACACCCCACTGTCAACATTAGACAGATCAATGAGACAGAAAGTTAACGAGGATATCCAGGAATTGAACTCAGATCTGCACCAAGCGGACCTAATAGACATCTACAGAACTCTCCACCCCAAATCAACAGAATATACATTCTTCTCAGCACCACATCGCACTTATTCCAAAATGGACCACATATTTGGAAGTAAAGCACTCCTCAGCAAATGTAAAAGAACAGAAATTGTAACAAACTGTCTCTCAGACCACAGTGCAATCAAACTAGAACTCAGGATTAAGAAACTCACTCAAAACCTCTCAACTACATGGAAACTGAACAACCTGCTCCTGAATGACTACTGGGTACATAATGAAATGAAGGCAGCAGTAAAGACGTTCTTTGAAACCAATAAGAACAAAGACACAACATACCAGAATCTCTGGGACACATTTAAAGCAGTGTGTAGAGGGAAATTTATAGCACTAAATGCCCACAAGAGAAAGCAGGAAAGATCTAAAACTAACACCCTAACATCACAATTAAAAGAACTAGAGAAGCAAGAGCAAACACATTCAAAAGCTAGCAGAAGGCAAGAAATAACTAAGATCAGAGCAGAACTGAAGGAGATAGAGACACAAAAAACCCTTCAAAAAATCAATGAATCCAGGAGCTGGTTTTTTGAAAAGATCAACAAAATTGATAGACCGCTAGCAAGACTAATAAAGAAGACAAGGGAGAAGAATCAAATAGACACAACAAAAAATGATAAAGGGGATATCACCACCGATCCCACAGAAATACAAACTACCATCAGAGAATACTATAAACACCTCTATGCAAATAAACTAGAAAATCTAGAAGAAATGGATAAATTCCTGGACACATACACCCTCCCAAGACTAAACCAGGAAGAAGTTGAGTCCCTGAATAGACCAATAACAGGCTCTGAAATTAAGGCAATAATTAATAGCCTACCAACCAGAAAAAGTCCAGGACCAGAAGGATTCACAGCCAAATTCTACCAGAGGTACAAGGAGGAGCTGGTACCATTCCTTCTGAAATTATTACAATCAACAGAAAACAAGGGAATCCTCCCTCATTTTAAGAGGCCAGCATCATCCTGATACCAAAACCTGGCAGAGACACAACAAAAAAGGAGAATTTTAGACCAATAGCCCTGATGAACATCGATGCAAAAATCCTCAATAAAATACTGGCAAACCGAATCCAGCAGCACATCAAAAAGCTTATCCACCACGATCAAGTGGGCTTCATCCCTGGGATGCAAGGCTGGTTCAACATACACAAATCAATAAACGTAATCCATCACATAAACAGAACCAAAGACAAAAACCACATGATTATCTCAATAGATGCAGAAAAGGCCTTTTGACAAAATTCAACAGCCCTTCATGCTAAAAAGTCTCAATAAACTAGGTATTGATGGGGCGTATCTCAAAATAATAAGAGCTATTTATGACAAACCCACAGCCAATATCATACTGAATGGGCAAAAACTGGAAGCATTCCCTTTGAAAACTGGCACAAGACAGGGATGCCCTCTCTCACCACTCCTATTTAACATAGTGTTGGAAGTTCTGGCCAGGGCAATCAGGCAGGAGAAAGAAATAAAGGGTATTCAATTAGGAAAAGAAGAAGTCAAATTGTCCCTGTTTGCAGATGACATGATTGTATATTTAGAAAACCCCATCATCTCAGCCCAAAATCTCCTTAAGCTGATAAGCAACTTCAGCAAAGTCTCAGGATACAAAATCAATGTGCAAAAATCACAAGCATTCCTGTACACCAATAACAGACAGGGAGCCAAATCATGAGTGAACTCCCATTCACAATTGCTTCAAAGAGAATAAAATACCTAGGAATCCAACTTACAAGGGATGTGAAGGACCTCTTCAAGGAGAACTACAAACCACTGCTCAATGAAATATAAGAGGACACAAACAAATGGAAGAACATTCCATGCTCATGGATAGGAAGAATCAATATCGTGAAAATGGCCATACTGCCCAAGGTAACTTATAGATTCAATGCCATCCCTATCAAGCTACCAATGACTTTTCTCACAGAATTGGAAAAAACTACTTTAAAGTTCATATGGTTTAAAGTTCAAAAAAGAGCCTGCACTGCCAAGACAATCCTAAGCCAAAAGAACAAAGCTGGAGGCATCATGCTACCTGACTTCAAACTATACTACAAGGCTACAGTAACCAAAACAGCATGGTACTGGTACCAAAACAGAGATATAGACCAATGGAACAGAACAGAGCCCTCAGAAATAATACCACACATCTACAACCATCTGATCTTGACAAACCTGACAAAAAAAGAAATGGGGAAAGGATTCCCTATTTAATAAACAATGCTGGGAAAACTAGCTAGCCATATGTAGAAAGCTGAAACTGGATCCCTATCCTTACACAAAATTAATTCAAGATGGATTAAAGACTGAAATGTTAGACCTAAAACCATAAAAACCCTAGAAGAAAACGCAGGCAATACCATTCAGGCCATAGGCATGGGCAAGGACTTCATGACTAAAACACCAAAAGCAATGGCAACAAAAGCCAGAATTGACAAATGGGATCTAATTAAACTAAAGAGCTTCTGCATAGCAAAAGAAACAACCATCAGAGTGAACAGGCAACCTACAGAATGGGAGAAAATTTTCACCATCTACCCATCTGACAAAGGGCTAATATCCAGAATCTACAAAGAACTTAAACAAATTTACAAGAAAAAATCAAACAACCCCATCAAAAAGTGGGCGAAGGATATGAACAGACACTTCTCAAAAGAAGACATTTATGCAGCCAACAGACACATGAAAAAATGCTCATCATCACTGGCCATCAGAGAAATGCAAATCAAAACCACAATGAAATACCATCTCACACCAGTTTGAATGGCAATCATTAAAACTCAGGAAACAACAGGTGCTGGAGAGGATGTGGAGAAATAGGAACACTTTTACACTGTTGGTGGGACTGTAAACTAGTTCAACCATTGTGCAAGACAGTGTGGCGATTCCTCAGGGATCTAGAACTAGAAATACCATTTGACCCAGCCATCCCATTACTGGATATATACCCAAAGGATTATAAATCATGCTGCTATAAAGACACATGCACACGTATGTTTATTGTGGCACTATTCACAATAGCAAAGACTTGGAACCAACCCAAATGTCCACCAATGATAGACTGGATTAAGAAAATGTGGCATATATACACCATGGAATACTATGTAGCCATAAAAAAGGATGAGTTCATGTCCTTTGTAGGCACATGGATGAAGCTGGAAACCATCATTCTGAGCAAACTATCACAAGGACAGAAAACCAAACACTGCATGTTCTCACTCATAGGTAGGAATTGAACAATGAGAACACTTGGACACAGGGTGGGGAACATCACACACCAGGGCCTGTCATGGGGTGGGGGAGTGGGGAGGGATAGCATTAGGAGATATACCTAACGTAGATGAGGAGTTAATGGGTGCAGCACACCAACATGGCACATGTATACAGATGTAACAAACCTGCACATTGTGCACATGTACCCTAGAAGTTAAAATATAATGAAAAAAAAAACCCATTTCTACAAATAGGAAACATACGCGTGGTTATTCACTAAGGAGATCTGTAACACTGAAACGCTAGGAACAGTCTAAACGCGCGGCTGGGTACCCTGCTGCCTGCAGAGGGTCAGGCCACACAAACCAGCACCACGGTAACAAACTAACCGTGGGCCAGGCGCAGTGGCTCACACCTGTAATCCCAGCACTTTGGGAGGCCAAGGCGGGCGGATTACCTGAGGTCAGGAGATCGAGACCAGCCTGACCAGCAGGGAGAAATCCCGTCTCTACTAAAAATACAAAATTAGCCGGGGTGGTGGCGCATGCCAGTAATCCCAGCTACTCAGGAGGATGAGGCAGGAGAATCGCTTGAACCTGGGAGGCGGAGGTTGCGGTGAGCCGAGATCGCACCATTGCACTCCAACCTGGGCAAGAAGAGTGAACCTCCGTCTCAAAACAAAAAAACAGGAACATGAAACTAACTGTGGCGAGCCCCATGGGCAGCTGTGCAGCACGGGGCACGGGCGGTATGCTGTCTTTCACACACCCCACCCAAGGTGCCCCTGGCTGTGGGCAGAGCCACAGGGTGTGGACACCTCAGGTGCGTCCAAGGGGACCAGGGAGAAGGCGGAGAAAGCTCTACTGAGAGGCAGAAACCAGGACAGAGAGGGTGTTTCCAGAGTAGGGGATGCCGCAGTGGGCCAGGAGAGCAGTGTCGTGTGACTGAGTGGGGGCGGCAGGCAGCTGCGGTCCCAGGCAGACAGTGGGAAGAGGAGCTTTGGTGACAGAGGACCCACATGAGGGTGGCTGGGGGACTCCAGGAAGATCTGGGAGGAGCTGGAGATTTCCGCCACAGAGCACCCTGGCATGCGAGTTGCCTGAGCTAGAAGAGCTGGCGGGAAGGCGGAGAGGGATTTGGGGGCTAGAGAAGTGCGAAGCGAGGAGGGATGTAGGTGCAAGCACTCTCCTCCAGGGCCCCAAGCACCAGCCACTACAGAGAAGGGTGAGGGAACAGGGCAGCTGCAAGTGTGAACCAAAAAGCAGCCTCTCCACTAAACAGAGGAAGTGCTGAGGTCAGGAAAGCTTGATGTGTCATGGGTTTCGTTCACCCCGTTCCATGGCCCGTCACACTCCGGCAAAAATCTCTTCCCAAAAAATCACCCATGGGCACACGTGCCAGGCTGCACCTGCTCCCATGCACATCCTCTGCTGCCCTGAGCAGGCACCAGGGGAACTTGAGCCCCAACCCCCAGGAAGCGGCAGGCACCTTACCTAGCGATGGCAGAGCACTCGATGTGCCAGCCCGGCCTCCCGGGTCCCCAGGGAGAGGCCCAGAACACCTCCTGGGGTTTGGCCGCCTTCCACAGGGCGAAGTCACTGGCATGACGCTTGTCAGAGTCCGCTGCAGATGACAAACGGTACATCAGTGGGAAGAAGCTCAGTCACCCCACCACGGATGCTCAGACATTCACCCCCACCACAGAAACCCAGACAGTCACCCCCACCATGGAAACACAGAAAATCACCCCAACATGGAAACCCAGACAGTCACCCCCACCACAGAGACCCAGTCACCCCCACCACGGAAACACAGAAAATCACCCCAACATGGAAACTCAGACAGTCACCCCCACCACGGGGACCCAGTCACCCCCACCACGGAAACACAGAAAATCACCCCACCATGGAAACCCAGACAGTCACCCTTACCACGGAAACCCAATCACCCCCACCATGGAAACACAATCACCCCACCACGGACACGCAGACAGTCACCCCACCACAGAAACTCAGTCACCCCCACCAGGGAGACCCAGACAATCACACCACAGAAACTCAGACAGCCACCCCGCCACGGAAACCCAGACAGTCACCCCCACCATGGAAACACAATCACCCCACCACGGACACGCAGACAGTCACCCCACCACAGAAACTCAGTCACCCCCACCAGGGAGACCCAGACAATCACACCACAGAAACTCAGACAGCCACCCCGCCACGGAAACCCAGACAGCCACCCCGCCACGGAAACCCAGACAGTCACCCCCACCATGGAAACACAATCACCCCACCACGGACACGCAGACAGTCACCCCTACCATGAAAGCCCAGACTGTCACCCCACCAGGGAAGCCCAGGCTGTCACCACCACCTCACCCCCACCACAGAAGCCCAGATAGTCACCCCCCACCACAGAAACTCAGCTGGTCACCCCCACCAGGGAAATCCAGCCGGCCACCCCGGTGGAAGCCCCTCCAGCCGCCAGTGGGCAGCACGCCCCAGGCTGTGTCTCTTCGAAGGAGCCTTGGCTTCTCGTTCACTCCTGTTTCACCCACGTGAGGGACAGGAGCACCGGCAACGCTTTCACCTCAGATGCACCAGCGCACAGGGAGAGCTGGGCGGCCGGGAACCCACAGAGGCTCATTTCTCAGGAATGTACTGTGGACCAGGTGGGGTTTTCCCATTTTTCCTTATTCTGTCTTACGAGAAATACTCTGCTTATCAGTAACTGAGTTTCAGGGTTGTTTTTTCCAAAAAGATACTAATCACACAGAGTGAAAGGCGCGTGATCGTGTCAGGTAACGCGGCTTATGGACCCGAGACTCTGAGCAAGGTGCCCATCACCGTGCGGTGAGGCTGCCAGTGGCGCATGCTCACCAAAACCTGCTGTCCCATCTGCCCAGGACAGGCACACCCCATGTGCACAACGTCCCAATATCACCCTTTCCACCCGGGAGCACTGACACAGGCGTCCATCACCTTTGATGAATTTAAAGAGTGCAGACACAGATACTTTTTCTGGGTCAGACTGGACAGGCTACGTTTTCATTACTAGTCACTTTACTAAGAATAACATCCTCTGGGCACCCAAGCAAACAGAACAATTCCTACATAGTGCATGGCAAACGAGAGCATCAATAACACCTTATGCCGAAGGAAAATACTTAAGGACAGAAAATGCGGCCAAGGACTGTATTTCCAGCCAAACTGACTTTGAAGTAGAAGGCAGCACACTGTCATCCACAGGCACAAATGCAGAGAATACTGTTCCCGAGAAAGGGCTCTTCCTTCAGAAACTGCTGGGGAATGAGCTTCAAAAACAACAGGGAAAAAGCGGACCTGGAGACGGTGGGAGGGGGGAAGAGTGGACGGGGCTACAGAAGGCAGCGCAGGCGGAGGCTGGGCACTCCAACATATGGACACGCGGGGCGGGGAGGAGGCACGTGCATGGGAACCTTCTAACCGTGGTCAAGCCTCGGGCAGGGCTGGTCCGTGATGGACTAAAGCAGGTGGATGCCCACTGGTCATCCGGTCACGCCCGTTGTCCTTACCACACATGTGAACAGACAGAGGGGTTAATGAAACCCCGTGGCCCTGAATTTGAGTATCAGTGTGACCTACGGAGCAGATGCGTTCATTACCTCAGTCTATGGGAGAGGCCAGGAAACAATGACAGACGGCAATGACAGATGGCAACAATGAGTATCCATGGTGCCCATGCTGTGTTCTCAAAACACCATTTCCCATTAAAAGTAAAATGGGAGCTGGGCGCGGTGGCTCACACCTAGAATCCCAGCACTTTGGGAGGCCGAGGCGGGCGGATCACCTGAGGTCAGGAGTTCGAGACCAGCCTGACCAATATGACGAAACCTCGTCTCTACTAAAAATACAAAAATCAGCCGGGTGTGGTGGCAGGTGCCTGTAATCCCAGCTACTGTGGAGGCTGAGGCAGGAGAATCGCTTGAGCTCGGGAGGCGGAGGTTACAGTGAGCCGAGATCGCGCCATTGCACTCCAGCCTGAACAACAAGAGTGACATTCTATCTCAAAAAAACAAAAGAAAAGAAAAGAAAGAAAGAAAGAAAGAGAGAGAAAGAAAGAAAGAAAGAAAGAAAGAGAGAGAGAGAGAGAGAGAGAGAGAGGGAGGGAGGGACACCGGGCGTGACCGGAGGGAGGGAGGGAGGGAGGGAGGGAGGGAGGGAAAGGGAAGAAAAGGGAAGAAAGAAAAGAGAAAAATGGGACTTCCAGGAGAAACAGCTTATTTTAAGATGAGCCAGGAATATCTTACCATATCAGATAGACAGCCACAAAACTATTAACTACAACAGGGCTGAGTGTAAGGGACTCGGGAGTAGCTGCTACCAGCAAAAGAGGGGGCACGCCGAGGCTCAATAAGGTGATGGCAGCAATGGGTTAAAACGGCATGTGCACTGAAGCCCACGAGCTCTCAGCAACGGAAGAACATGAACTGGTCACTGCCAGAGGAAAATATGGAAGCCAACTCCTTGTTCTGAAAACTGGTAAGTTAAGGAAAAGGTCCTGCCTTTCTTATACAAACTGTACCACTGAGTAACCAGATGACAGTCTGCCTGTATAAAAGTATTCCAGCAAATGGGCCAGGCACGGTGGCTCACACCGATAACCCCAGTACTTTGGGAGGCCGAGGGGGGGGGGGGGGGGGGTGGATCACCTGAGGTCAGGAGTTCAAGACCAGCCTGGCCAACACGGCAAAACCCCATCTCTACTAAAACTACAAAAATTAGCTGGGTGTGGTGGCATGCCCCTGTAATCCCAGCTACTCTGGAGGCTGAGGCAGGGAGAACTGCTTGAACCTGGGAGGTGGAGGTTGCAGTGAACCGAGATCATGCCACTGCACTCCAGCCTGGGCAAAAGAGTGAGATTCCGTCTCAAAAAACAAACAAACAAACAAACAAAAAAGGTATTCCAGCAAATAAAGCAGAATGGGAGTTGCACCACCATGCCACCTCTTTTTGCAGTGAAGGATCTAAGCCTAGAGCGGCCAGGGCTGCTGACACACAGAGGCAGAGCCCTTACGTGTCTCCTGGTGAGGAATACACCATCTACAAAGTAGCCTTCTCCAGAAATTTAGAACTGGATTAAGCCTCTACATTCAACTACCAGTTTGCAAAAAAACACACAGGACAGAGGGAAATGTTACAGACACTCCAAAACTCAGAGCAAGCGAAATCCCACTGGGGGAACCGTGAGACACATGACGTTTCTCCCTCAAATGAGCAGCAAGGGGAAGAAGCCAGGGGAGGAACATGTGGACTAAAAACAAGACACAAATATAGAACAGCTAAGGCTAAGTGTCGTGTTAAGGGACACGTGTTTGGGCAATAAACCCATTCAGAAAAATGAGGAGGTGGCCGCTGTCAGAGTTAGGGCAGTAGTTGCCCCCAGGGCAGGGCAGAGAGGCTGGCAGGCAGGGCCCGGGAGGTTATCGGCCAGGGCGTGGGACCCGGAGGACTCAGGTGCCTTCGCTCCCTTGCCATTGTTGTCTCCTTCCACTAGGGGGTGACCGCAGGGTCTCCACTGAACACAAATTCACTGAGCTGGGCATTTTTGTTTGTTTGGTAGAGACAGCAAGGGGTCTCACTACATTGCCCAGGCTGGTCTTGAACTCCTGGCCTCAAGTGATCCTCCAACCTTGGCCTCCTAAAGTGCTGGAATTACAGGTGTGAGCCACCATGCTCAACCAAGTTGGACATTTTTTAATGGTGTTTTCTATTGTTGTGTTATTACAACAATTTAAATTGAAAATTAAAAAGACAACACCATTGCTTTGGAAATAACATACACTAAGGCATTAAAATTTTTTTTCACCATATGTAAAAATGGTGGTTTTATTATCTTTGTTTTGTGTAATTCTATTTCCTAATTTTGTACCATTATAAATTATATAAATATGTTGCTTTTGTATAAGAAAATATTTTTTATTTTAAAAAGCACTGCTGTGAAGATGTGGAACGACAGGGACTTATTCCTCACTGGTGGGGATGCAAAATGGTGCAGCCACTCTGGCAGAAGCTGGGCAGTTTCTGACACAAATAAGCCTCTTCCCAGAGGACCCAGCATTGTGCTCCTTGGTATCTGCCCAAATGAGCTGAAAACCTGCACGTGGATGTTTACAGCAGCTTTATTCATAATTGCCAAAACTCAGAAGCAGCGAAGATGCCCTTCAGTAGGTGAGTGCTTAAGCTGCTGTAAATTCAGACACTGGGACGTGACTCAGTGTTAAAGAGAAACGAGCTCTCAGCCATGAAAAGACACGGAGGAAAATTACTGTGTATTCCTAAGTGAGAGAAGCCATTCTGAGAAGGGTGCACAGTGTATGACTCCAACTATATGACATTCTAGAAAAGGCAAAACTAGAGACTGTAGAAAGACCAGTGATTTCCAGGGATGGGAAAGAGGGAAGGATGAGCAGACAGACCACACAGGATTTTTCAGGGCAGTGCAAGTATCCTGCGTGATGCTGGAATGGTGGAAACATGTCGCTATACATTCACCCAAACCCAGAGCACACAGTGCCGAGAGTGAACCCTGATGCCAACTCTGGTCTCTGGGCAAAGCTGATGCGTCAATGGTGGGGGATGCTGACAGTGTGGGGGGCGGTGTGGAGGGTAGCAGGTAGACAGGAATTCTCTGTACCTTACTCTCAAATTTGCTATGAAGCTAAAATGGCTCTAAAAAGCAAATCTATTAAATAAATAATTTTAAAAAACCTTCCTGATGCCAGAATGTACAACTCTCAGAAACTTCTCCTCCACATGTGTAAGCAAAGCCCACACGGCCTGCTGGTAGCCACGCCTCACACGTGGCTGATGTGGGCGTCTGTGTTCCGGCCTGTGCGGGGAGCGGGACAGGGCACCACGGCGGGGGAAGGAAAGAACCTGAGGGGTCAGTGCTATGGATGGTTAGGATTCATTGGCACAGTTTATGGCGCAGAAAGACAGTGCCTAAAACCAGAAATACCTTGAACAGTCTTTGGGGTCTGTCCCTGTTATTCTTGTTTGATTCCCTTAGACAGTATCCTTTTCAAATTATTTTAAATTTAGTTCCATATACTGCGCTTACTATTTCTTCTCCATAAAAATGTTTTGACCTAATAACTCCCTGGAACAGAATAGAGCAAGGAAGAGATTCAAACAGATTGGAAGTTTAACACATAGTAAGACACGTATGGGAATTAAATGTACGGTAACACAGAAGAACGCGAAAATATGATGTACGTGTATGAGGTTTTCATGTGCGCTGAAAACCCTGGGGAGGAAAAAGGAGACAGTGACCAGCACTGTCTCCAGGGAATGGAGCCAGGCACGCTGGGGGCGGGGGTGGACGATGCCCCACTTGCCGTTTGAACTATATGCCTCACAAGCTGGAGCCATCCACAGAAACCACACTAAATTTAAAACACAGCTGTGACCTGGGTAAGGCCAGTGTCTGAGCAAGTGGAGGGGTCTGCGCTCCAGATCTCATCTCCCCAGAGCTGAGACCCGAGGCAGAGGTCAGGGACCCACAGGGCTGAGCCCGGCCAACCCACCTGGCTCTCCGACTGGACCAGGGACCACGCCGACCAATTTGCCATACTTGTCTCCTCTAGACTTCAGATCGAAGTAGACATTGCCTGTTTATAAAGACAATTATGAATTCATCACTTCTCAGTCTGAATATCAGCATATTGACAACCTTAACATCTAACAAGTAATTAGAATTTAAATACAGAACATAGCATTTGGCCCCATATACATATATAGTATTTATATTTTTATAGACAGGGTCTTGCTGTTGCTCAGGCTGGAGTGCAGTGGTACAATCACAGCTCACGATAGCCTTGAACTCCTTGGCTCAGGCAGTCTTCCCACCTCAACCTTCCCAGTAGGTGGGGCTATAGGAGTGACACCATGCCTGGCTTAATATATTTGTTAACCAGAATTAAAAACAATACTATAAGATAAATGCATGATTTGGACATATCATGAGTACACAGACGTGAAAGTGAAAACACAAATGTAAGTTCTCTGTAAACTACTGAGACAATTATTTAATCAGAAAAAAGAAAAGTGTTATCACTGACCTTCATTTAGATCTTGTGCCTTGTGTTACACAACAGCTAACAAAGACACTCTTTCTTTACTTTATGTTACACACCAGCTAGCAAAGACACTCTTTCTTTGCCCAGTCATCTTCTAAAACTACCTTTTTACTCAGATTGAAAACATCATCTGGCTGGGTGCAGTGGCTCACGCCTCCAATCCCAGCACTTTGGGAGTCCGAGGCAGGAGGATTGTTTGAGCTGAAGAGTTCGAGACCAGCCTGGGCAACATAGTGAGACCCCATCTCTACCAAAAAAAACACACAAAAAAATCATCTGCATATTGAAGTGTCTGTGAGGCTGAGTGCCAAGGTCCGCTTTGCAGTCTGAGGTCAGAACCTTCTCCAGAGCCTCCTGCAAGCCTGGGCTGCCCTTGCCCCTTCCACCACAAAGCCTAAGAAAGCAGAGCTGGGGAGGAGGCACTCAGAGTGGGAGCTTTGTCAAGAAGAAAGCACTACCAACCTATGCTCCAAGGCTGCCCGGCTGCAGCCGCTGTGTGTTCCAGGCCATGTGTCTCCCTAGGAAGGAGGCAATGCTCATCCGGGCTGTGACCATGGCCATTCTCAGTACCACAGATCCGCAGCCACCATCCAGCACCCTCCAACCACACAGCAGCATGTAGCTGTCCTCAGGCCCCAGGCGTGGGTGCAACTTTTAGCCTTTACAAAGTTTGAGTCTTCACATTCTTTTTTACTAATGCAGTTACTGATTTGCATCAGTACTGTCCTTACTGCGGACACTGGTGTTGGTAAGATCAAGGAAACTTTGCAACTGGCAAACACAAGCTGCACCCAGGACCTGCCTCATGTCCTCAGCCTGGATGTCCCCCTCCTGTCCTCTGGTTCATCCCCAGCACCGAGTGCCAGCTTAGTGGTCAACCCCGAATGACCAGGGAGGACGCTGAAGGGACAGGGCAGGGTTTTCTGTTGAAATGTCACCCGGCTTTGTTTGCCCAAGCCACACTGGCCTTTCCTCCCACCAGTGACCATTGTGCTCAGAAAACCCTGCCCTGTCCCTGCAGCGTCCTCTCTGGTCATTCAGGGTTGACCATTAAGCTGGCACTCGGTGCTGGGGATGAACCAGAGGACAGGAGGGGGACATCCAGGCCCTGGGAGCTGCTTTCTATGAAGTCAGAATATAAACAGTGCTTTAAAAGCGCTTCACTGGAGAGAAACCACTCCCTTAAATGGTGGAAACATTCCCCCTTCACTTTGCTTTATGTTATCAATTTGCTGAAGAAATTGTTTTTCACCAAGAGTTCAAAGATCAAATTACAACCAAGCCCTTGTGGAATTGTAACAAAGTCCAAATTACTGGGGTTTGATTGAATGTAAGTGTATTTTGAATTAATTATATTTATACTATCATTAAATTGTTTATAATAAAACACAGTAACAAAACAACAAACAGCATTCAATCCTCAAGCCTGTGAAGACGAGAATCCCTAAAGACTCGTGAACATTTATCACTTTATTCCTAAAATGGAAGCACAGGCCCACATATCTTATTTCAAGTTACACGACAGCAAAAAATTAATTCCTGTGTTTTCTGGTGCAAACTCTAATTCAACCACCTAAGTCCTTTAAAAAAAGTTTTTCCTGGGAGGCTGAGGCAGGAGAATTGCTTGAACCCGGGAGGCGGAGGTTGCTGTGAGCCAAGATTGTGCCACTGCACTCCAGCCTAGGCGACAGAGCAAGACTCTGTCTCAAAAAAAAAAAAAGTTTTTCTTTGAAACAAAATCTAAATATACCACATTAGAACAAGTAAAAAGCTACTTCCATACACAGAGCCTACTGAGCAGATCCTCAGGGCCTCACGTGCTCATCTTACGCTCCAAGTAGGACCCAGGAAGGACAGGAACGTCCAGGGCAGTGCTTCATGCTTTCTGACTCATTGCAACAAACATTCAATACCTACGTATCTTCAGCCGTCGGCTGGATACTTTAAGGCGTCATTCAGTAAAGCAAAAGGTTTTTATGGTCTGAGAATTTATGATCTAGATGGGGACAAAATATGAATACATTAAACAGCAAACTATGGCAGTGCAGAACTGGCTGCCAAATGGTACAGCAGAGATATCAAGGCTGAGAAAGTAAGTTCACTTTCAACTGTGCTGGGTGAAGGAGAACTTCATGGAGAGATGAGGCTGTGGTCAGGGTTTGCAGCCAGGATGGGTGGGATTTAGTTCGGATTTATGGCGATGCTTCATCACCAAAGCAGCAAAACAGCAAGACGCCAGCCTTGCCTGGGGTCCACCAGACAAAGATTAGCATCCGCAAACCAATGAAACCACCTGCAGTAAGCAACATGCAAATCTAAACACAGACTGCTCCACAGGAAAACTGACCTGTCAGAGTCTTGAATCTACATGTGCTTACCCAGAAAAAATGAAAAAAAAAAAAAAAGAGAAAAAAAGAAAAAAAGAAAGAGGAGGGGAAAAAGTGAGGAGACTAAACCAACAAATGCACACGCAGCACATGCCCTGGGGACAAGTGAGTATATTTAATACAGAGAGGACACGCGAAGCTAGCCAGAAATTCTTCATTGTCTGAGGTCTGACCATGACATCTGGACTCCTTTTATGCAGAGATGCATGTTGAAGTGTCATGGCTGATGCGACAGAACATCTGCAACTCACGCTTTTTTTTTTTTTTTTTGAGACAAGGTCTCGCTCTGTCTCCCAGGCTGGTGTGCAGTGGGACAATCATGGTTCACTGCAGCCTCGAATTTCCTGGGCTCAATCTATCCTCTCACCTCGGCCTCCTGAGTAGCTGAGACTACAGGAGCACGCCACCATGCCTAGCTAATTTTTATATTTTATTTTTGTAGAGAAGGGGTCTCTCCATGTTGCCCAGGCTGGTCCTGAACTCCTGGACTCAAGTGATCCACCTGCCTCTGCCTCCCAAAGTGCTGGGATTATAGGTATCAGCCACCACGCCCAGCCCTGCAACTCACTTTTTTATTTTTATTTTTTGAGACAGTCTGGCAATGTCACCCAGGCTGGAGTACAATGGTGTGATCTCGGCTCACTGCAAACTATGCCTCCTGGGTGCAAGCAATTCTCATGCCTCAGCCTCCAGAATAGCTGGGACCACAGGCGCGCGATACCAGGCCTGGCTGATTTTTTGTCATCTTAGTAGAAAGAAGGTTTTAACATGTTACCCAGGCTGGTCTCAAATTCTTGGCCTCAAGTGATCCACCCGCTTCCACCTCCCAAAGTACTGGGATTACAGGCATCAGCCACCATGCCTGGCCCTGCAACTTTTTGTTTTTTGTGCAGGGGAGGGTGGGTGGACGGAGTCTTGCTCTGTCACCAGGCTGGAGTGCAATGGTGTGATCTCGGCTCACTGCAACCTCTGACTCCCGCAACTCACTCGTAATGGCCTGTGAAAAAACGATAGCCAAACAGACGGGGGTGACCTGGGCTGACTTTTAATAAGAAGAGAGCAGGTCTCTGGAGGTACTGTGTTTGTCCCCAACTTTTTGTTAGGAAAATACCTAAACAAAGATGAAATAACACCACAATGAACACCTGTACACCTACCACCTAGATTCCACGACTGTTACCAAGACTAGCTGTCCAGACGTTCCCCTCTCCCTGGAAAAGATATTTAGAACTAATTCAACCATTTCGCAAAGAGACACAATATTGTAGAAAACCCCACAACAGCTTTGCTGTTGGAATCCTAGCAAGACAGAAGTAAATTTTAGTATGTTCCTACAGCTGATAAATACATCCAGTTTCTCCAAATCCCAGTAATGTTTTAGTTTTAAGAACATAAACCGGCTGGGCACAGTGGCTCACGCCTGTAATCCCAGCACTTTGGGAGGCTGAGGCAGGTGGATCACAAGGTCAGGAGTTTGAGACCAGCTTGGCCAACATGGTGAAACCTTATCTCTACTAAAAATACCAAAACAAAAAAAATGTAGCCGGGCATGGTGGCACGCACCTTGTAGTCCCAGCTATTCAGGAGGCTGAGACGGGAGAATCGCTTGAACCAGGGAGGCAGAGGTTGCAGTGAGCTGAGATAGCACCACTGCACTCCAGCCTGGGTGACAGAGTAAAACTCTGTCTCAAAAAAAAAAAAAGAAAAAAAAAAAAAGAACATAAACCCTACCTTTTGCCGTTGAATAAGCGTTCCCACGAGCAATGATTCCTTCAATGAAAGAAATTATCTGAGGAATATTTTCGGTTACCCTCAGGTACACCGTGGGTGGGAGAACCTGCAAGGAAGTGGAGACGTGACCGTGTTTCCCTCGTGAGAAGCACAGGTCAGCCAGCACCAGCTGTCATTGCTCACGCCTGTCACCCTCATGGCAGGAACAACCAGCCCCACACTTTACCTTCAGGGCTGCCATGTCCTGCTTGAAGTCTTCCTCATAAAGACTGGCGAGGGAAGCGGGGGAAATATTCATCTGCAGAAGGATTAGATGTGCACGTTAATGAGTCTGGGGCATTCGCAACAGAACCACCCAGCCACAAGAAAGCCCACGTGCACAACACGACAGCAAACATACCCCGGCCACCTCCGGTGCCTCGGCCTCAGTTTGCCCCCACCCACTCACCAAAGCGGGGGCACTCATTTTAGGTACTGAACTTTTACTAGTAGCTTAGCTAGAAAAAAAGGCTTATTGACCTTGTCTTCTGGTTAGAGAAGAAATAATGTCACAATTTCCATTATATAGTAAAAAACAAACCAGCTGGGTGCAGCGGCTCACGCCTGTAATCCCAACACTTTGGGAGGCCAAGATGAGTGGATCGTTTGAGACCATGAGGTTGAAGCTGCGAACAGCCATGATCGTGCCACTGCAATCCCATCCTTGGCAACAGGACGAGACACCATCTCCGAAACAAAAATAAAAATAAAGTAAAATAGAAAACAAAACATACCAAGGATCCTCCACTTTTCTAAGACAAGGGCAAAATCACCCTAGTCCAGTCTGTATGATAAGAAACTAGGTTCCTATCTTATCCCTTAATCCTCAGGAGAAAAAAAAAATAGTCAAAAATATACTAAAGAGGAGGCTGGGTGTTGTGGGTCATAGCTATAAATCCCAGCACTTTGGGAGACTAAGGCAGGTGGATGACATGAGGCCGGGAGTTTGAGACCAGCCTGGCCAACACGGTGAAACCCCGTCTCTACTTAAAATACAAAAGTTAGCCAGGCATGGTGGTGCACACCTGTAATCCCAGAGACTCAGGTGGCTGAGGCAGGAGAATCACTTGAACTCAGGAGGCGGAGGTTGCAGTCAGCCAAGAAGGTGCCACTGCACTCCAGCCTGGGCGACAGAGCAAGACTCTCTTCCAAAACAAACAAAAAAGAAAGATCAAAAAGGAACTTCTAAAGAAATATTTTGAAAGTAATTTAACACACTACAACTGGGATTTAATGGAGTACTCATTCCCTCGGGTCCCATGGCTGGGTTTCTGGAGATAGACCATCAAAACAGTCCAATCAATTCCAAATGTGGGGGCCTTGGGGGCACGCATCTGCAGCCCCTGCCACATTATCCAAGGAGGCTGAGACACAAGACTAGGTTCGCTCATGTTATTTCATAATTTCAATGAAAAACTCTACATGAACAGATGCACAAGACACTGTGAAGCTCTGGAATGGAGCCGGGCATCATAACTGCTGGTCCTGCTCAAATGGCCTTTGGGCCTCCCAAGCACAGCACCTGCCACCTGCTAGTCTCTCCGAGCTGCTCCACGCAGCCTCGGGAACCAAGTCTCCCCATTTCACAGGTGAAGGAATTACCACTCTAGAATACTGAGAAACTTTCTCAAGCGCAACGCCACACGTGGGGCCAGGTCCCAACCATGTGACCCTGAGACCCAGGGCTCTGAATGGCATAGTCAACCCAGAAAGCCCCACCAAAGAATACCCACTGAAGAAAGCAAGCTGGTGAACTATGCGTTGCTACCCAGGTGTTGTTTAAGCTTTGGGGTCTTGGGCAAATCAATAATCAAACCTCTTGGCCTTCAGTTACTTTACAGCATGGAGATATTCTACCTAGTAATCCCTTAGACTGCTAGAAGAACCACTGTGTATATACGGGCAGGACAGCTTTGTAAAAGAAAACATTACATAAATATCACATTAAAGAGAGAAAATACACAGCACCTAGCACATAGCTGGTACTCCAATACACTTCAGCCCCTCTCCTGCGGTACAGTTTTGTGGCAAAGCAGACCTTTACAACAATAAATCAGTTAATGTATGTCTATCCAGGGGACAAAAGACCAAAGGAAAAAACCCAAAAGTACTGTGTCTTCTTGCCGCTTCAGACTCCCCCGGAAGTCTCAAATTCCATGCAATTTTGGGCCTAAAGATCAGTGGGGTGGCCGGGCGCGGTGGCTCACGCCTGTAATCCTCACACTTTGGGAGGCCGACGTGGGCAGATCATGAGGTCAGGAGATCTAGACCATCCTGGCTAACATGGTGAAACCCCGTTGCTACTGAAAATACAAAAAATCAGCTGAGCGTGGTGGCAGGCGCCTGTAATCCCAGCTACTCAGGAGGCTGAGGCAGGAGAATCGCTTGAACCCAGGAACTGGAGGTTGCAGTGAGCCAACACTGCCCTACTGCACTCTAGACTGGGCGACAGAGCGAGATCCTGTCTCAAAAAAATAAAAAATAAAATAATAAAGATCAGCAGGTTGCTTAATCTATATTTTTCTGCAGAGGTAATTTATTGCCAGGAGAAGTCAAATGGCATGAAGGGGTGCCCAGACTTGGCTTTCCTCCCAGAAGGAAAATACAGCGACCAGTTTTCCCACAAGCATGAACGTGGTTATATATATACATTTGCATCTTTTTCTTGGAATCCCCAAATGCAGCCCATTCCACACTCTGCTCTGTGCTGCTAGCTTCTCTCCCTCGCAGCACACAGAATCCTGGGGGTCCATCATGCTGGACACACTGAGCTGCCTCGCTCCTTTCAAGGTGGCCTCTACTCCCCCTTCCAGATGTGTCGCTACGTGCTTACCCGGTCCTGTCCCGATGCACATCCCATCCTCACCACTACAAACACAACTGTGCACAGGTCACTTTGCAGCAGCCCAAGTGTGCCTGTGAGCTACACTCGTAGGCAGGAGACAGAGGGCACAGGCTCATGGACTTGGCCGCTCCTGCAAGCTGCCTTCCAGGAAAGCTGTGCCAGCTACACCCGACCAGCAACACCTGGAGGTGTCTGTCTTCCTCTGCCCTCACCTGCAGGGTCAGCCAACTTTCACATGGTGTCAGTGTGACAGCTGACAAGTGCTTTGCTCTTTAAGCTTTTACCTCTTTTGAGTAAATCTGAACATCTCCCATGTTTAGGAACTATCTGCATTAAATGACCTGTAGTTATCCACACCTGTGTTTCTATTGAGTGGTATAGGTCTTTTTCTTATTGGATGTTAGGAATTCTTTTCTTTTTTTTCTTTTGAGACAGAGTTTTGTTCTTGTTGTCCACGCTGGAGTGCAATGGCACAATCTCAGCTCACTGCAACCTCCGCCTCCCGGGCTCAAGCGATGCTCCTGTCTCAGCCTCCCAAGTAGCTGGGACTACAGGCACACGCCACCATGCATGGCTAATTTTTGTATTTTTAGTAAAGATGGGGTTTTTCCTTGTTGGCCAGGCTGGTCTCGAACTCCTGACCTCAGGTGATCCACCTTCCTCGGCCTCCTGAAGTGCTGGGATTACAGATGTGAGTCACCGTGCCAGGCCGGAAGTATTTTTATATTAAAGAAATTAACCTTTTATCGCTGATATAATTTCCATTTTTCCACAGTTTTTCAACTTTATGGTTGTTTCATGAAATGTAAAAACTGTCATTTTTATACTTAGCAATCTTTCATATTTCTGAATCTTTTCTCATAAATGGCTTCTGGATTTGGAAACAAACTTACAAAGCCTCCCCAGTATGAGGCTATCAAATTTGCCTTGGGGTCTCTTTTATATTTAAATCTCTGACCTGCCTTGAATGCGGCTATGACGCCTCTATCTACCTCTGGCTTATGTTTTTCTCCAGATGACCCCTAGCTGCCAACACTCTACCTCCCACCCCTACTGATTTGAAATGCCATCTTTTATCATAAAACAAACTCCCATTGATTATCAGGGCTGTTTCTGGACTTTTTGGTGTATTCCATCATCTGTTTATGCGTGCTTTGTACAGGTGTTTAATTTCTGCAGGCTTTAAAGCCACAGATAACAGATCAGCAGATGCTTGGACACCAGAGGGTTAGGGGGTGCAGGGAGGAGTCCCGAGGGGCACAGACACAGGGGTGACGGATGCATCCACAGGGGCATCCCTAGGTCAACATTTGGCAAACTGCACCTTCCTGAATAATACATGCAATCTATTGTAGGTCAATCCTACCACATAAAGCTGTGCAGAAAAAAAAAAAAAAAAATATATATATATATATATATACACACACACACATATATATATATACACATATACATATATATATACACACATACATATATATACACACACATATATACATATATATATATACACACACATATATATACATATATATGAGAAAACAAAAACCTTCTATAGCTTTTAAAATGTTTTCATATTTGGTGGCCGGGCGCAGTGGCTCACACCTGTAATCCCAGCACTTTGGGAGGCTGAGGTGGGTGGATCACCTGAGGCCGGGAGTTCAAGACCAGCCTGGCCAACATGGAGAAACCCCGTCTCTACTAAAAATACAGAAAATTAGATGGGCGTGGTGGCACATGTCTGTAATCCTGGCTACTCGGGAGGCTGAGGCAGGAGAATCGCCTGAACCCGGGAGGCGGAGGTTGCGGTGAGCTGAGATTGTGCCATTGCACTCCAGCCTGGACATCAAGAGCAAAACTCCGTCTCAAAAAAAAAAATTAATAAATAAAAGTTTTCATATTTGATAGGGCTAGTCCCTCTCAATATTCATCTTTTATAGACTTTTCCTATTCTTCCTTTTTTTTTTTTTTTTGCTGTTCTATATGAACTTTAGAATTAATTTATCTAGGCCGGCCTGAGCAACCTGGCAAAACCCTGTCTCTACAAAAAATACAAAACAATTAGCCAGGCGTGGTGGCATATACCTGTAGTCCCAACTACTTGGGAGGCTGAGGCAGGAGGATCACTTAAGCCTGGGAGATGGAGGCTGCAATGTCCAAGACTGTGCCACCACACTCCAGCTTGGGCAACAGCGTGAAACTCTGTCTCAAAAAAGGAATTAATTGGCTGGGCGCTGTGGCTCACATCTGTAATGCCAGCACTTTGGGAGGACAAGGTGGGCAGATCATGAGGTCAGGAGTTCGAGACCAGTCTGACCAACATGGTGAAACCCCATCTCTACTAAAAATACAAAAATTAGCTGGGTGTGGTGGTGGGCGCCTGTAATCCCAGCCATTTGGGAGGCTGAGGCAGGAGAATCGCTTGAACTCGGGAGGCGGAGGTTGCAGTGGGCAGAGATTGCACCACTGCACTCCAGCCTGGGTGACAGAGCGAGACTCTGTCTCAAAAAAAAAAAAAAAAAAAAAAAGAATTAATTTATCTAGTTCAGAAAGAGACAACATATAAACACACAAGCACACACACTTTAAAGGCTCATCAGGTAGAATACACCCCAAACACCCAATACTCCCTTCTCTGCACGTGGCTGCACCAGCACCAACGGCCCAGTCCTGGAGGACATGGCTCACAAATGCTACAATGACAAGGAGTTGTAAGTGGAATACCCACCTACTGCTGCTGGTGCTGGGGAGAGAAAACTTACATTCTTTTTTTTTGAGGCAGTCTCGCTCTGTCGCCCAGGCTGGAGTGCAGTGGCGCAATCTCGGCTCACTGTAAGCTCTGCCACCCAGGTTCACGCCATTCTCCTGCCTCAGCCTCCCGAGTAGCTGGGACTACAGGTGCCCGCCACCACGCCCGGCTAATTTTTTGTATTTTTAGTAGACACGGGGTTTTACCGTGTTAGCCAGAATGGTCTCGATCTCCTGACCTCGTGATCCACCTGCCTTAGCCTCCCAAAATGCTGGGATTACAGGCGTGAGCCACCGTGTCCGGCTGGAAACTCATATTCTAAAAGTCAAACTGCTTGCTACATTTAACCTGAAACATATGATCATTCCTCATACCGGGGTAGTGCTGCTTTCTCACTGCCATAAAACAAATAGACGAGGTAGAAAGGCGCTAAAATGGGGTCCTAGTCCTATTTCGGATTCTCTCAGGTAGCTCTAACGATCGTAAATCATTTTAAGTTAGCTATCTCTCCAGGACAGGAGCCCGCTGGCTGGGCCCTGTGTCCAGCCCTTCCTCAACATTTCACCTTCTTCCAGAAAGCCAGGGTGATGCAGGCCAGTGTCCCGGCACACAAAAAGAGAAACTTTGGCTTGAATTACTTGGAGACATATATAATAATTTTTCGGTTTTTTTGTTTTGTTTTTTATTTTTTGAGATGTAGTTTTGCTCTTGTTGCCCAGGCTGGAGTGCAATGGTGCGATCTCAGCTCACCGCAACCTCTGCCTCCCAGGTTTAAGTGATTTTCTTGCCTCAGCTCCTGAGTAGCTGGGATTACAGGCATGCACCACCATGCCCAGCTAATTCTGTATTTTTAGTAGAGACAAGGTTTCTCCACGGTGGTTAGGCTGGTCTCAAACTCCTGACCTCAGGTGATCCTCCCACCTCGGCCTCCCAAAGTGCTGGGATTACAGGCGTGAGCCACCGTGCCTGGCTTAATGATTTTTCTTAATATAAAATGTTACTGGCTGGCCGTGGTAGCTCACGCCTGTAATCCCAGCACTTGGGAGGCTGAGGCAGCTGGATCACCTGAGGTCAGGAGTTTGAGACCAGCCTGGCCAATATGGTGAAACCCCATCTCTACTAAAAATACAAAAATTAGCTGGGCGTAGTGGTGTACGCCTGTAGTCCCAGGTACTCGGGAGGCTGAGGCAGGAAAATCGCTTGAGCCTGGGAGGCGGAGGTTGCGCTGGGCTGAGATCCCACCATTGCACTCCAGCCTGGATGACAAAGTGAGACCCTGTCTCAAAACAAAAACAAAACAAAATGTTACTATGTGAATATATCCTACCTCTTTTAATTCTTACCCCAGATTTGTTTAAAACCTGTGCTTTCCATCTCTGACAACCTATAAAATGGTGCCAAAAATTAAAGTCAAGGGAGTGACTCAGGAAAGTGTATTATTATAATTTAAAATATTTTAAAAACAAGTCTTGGAGCAGATGGCACGAAAGATATTGTTATCATTTTAAAAGCTTGCATGAGAAGAAACCCAATGTCCAACGGTGGAAGAATATGGGTAAAGAAAACGCAGCACAGTCGGCTCTCTGTATCCTAGGGTTCTGCATCTGTGGGTTCAATCGATCTCATATAGAAAATATTAAGAAATAATGCCAGGCACAGTGACTCATGCCTGTAATCCCAGCACTTTGCGAGGCCAAGGCAGGAGGGTTGCTTGAGCCCAGGAATTAGAGACCAGCCTGAGCAACTTAGAAGGCCCTGTCTCTTCAAAAAATACAAAAATTAACTGGGCATGGTGACACATGCCTGTGGTCCCCGCTACTCTGGAGGCTGAAGTGGGAGGATCCCTGAGCCTGGGAGGGTGAGGCTGTAGTGAGCCGTGATTATGCCACTGCACCCCAGCCTGGGTAACAGAGTGAGACCCTATCTTAAAACTAAATAAATAATAAAAAATAATACAAATTTTTAAAAAATATAGTACTACTATTTATAGAGCATTTACATTGTATTAGTTATTAAAAGTAATCTAGATATGATTTAAAGTATATGGGAAGATGTGCATAGATTAAGTGCAAATATATTTTATATCAGGGACTCGAGCATCCAAGGATTTTGGTATGTGGGGAGGGGGTCCTGGAACCAAAACAAAAGCATATATATTCAGAAGATAGACAGCAAGGAGAGTGTACATGCAATGTGACATTATTCAGCCATAAAAAGGAAGGAACTTCCGGCACAGGCTGCAGGTGGATGAACCTTGAGGAATTATGCACCATTTAATGCTGTAAATGTACTTAATGCCACTGAATTGCACATTTAAAAATGTTTAAAATCGTAAATTTTATATTATAAAAAAGGTAAAGAAGAAAAATAAAAGTTTTAATTTTACCTTCAAAAAAGTTTACATTGGATAAAAAGAATTACCTTTTTTTTTTTTTAAATTATACTTTAAGTTCTGGGACACATGTACAGAAAGTGCAGGTTTGTTACACAGGTATACACGTGCCATGGTGGTTTGCTGCACCCATCAACCCGTCATCTACATTAGGTATTTCTCCTAATACTATCCCTCCCCTAGCCCCCCAACCCCTGACAGGCGCCGGGTGTGTGATGTTCCCCTCCCTGTGTCCATGTGCTCTCATTGTTCAACTCCCACTTATGAGTGAGAACCATGCGGTGTTCGGTTTTCTGTTCCTGTGTTAGTTTGCTGAAAATGATGGTTTCCAGCTTCACCCGTGTCCCTGCAGAAGACATGAACCCATCCTTTTCTATGGCTGCACAGTATTCCATGTGCCACATTTTCTTCATCCAGTCTATCACTGATGGGCATCTGGGTTGGTTCCAAGTCTTTGCTATTGTGGACAGTGCTGCAATAAACATACGTGTGTATGTGTCTTTATAGTAGAATGATTTATAATCCTTTGGGTATATACCCAGTAATGGGATTGCTGGGTTAAATGGTATTTCTGGTTCTAGATCCTTGAGGAATCGCAACACTGTCTTCCACAATGGTTGAACTAATTTACACTCCCACCAACAGTGTAAAAGCGTTCCTATTTCTCCACATCCTCGCCAGCATCTGTTGTTTCCTGACTTTTTAATGATCGCCATTCTAACTGGCATGAGATGTTATCTCACTGTGGTTTTGATTTGCATTTCTTAAAGAATTACCTTTTCACTAAATACTAAAAAACAGATGTTTTCATAACTATGGGTTTCAGATACATGTTTTATTACATTGAAGTCAGACATTATTTTGAGGAAAGAAACTATTCAATACCATCTTAGGATCTTGCTGTGTACCAAGTATGGAAATTCTCTGGTTCAAAAATTAACTACTCTCTACAGTTAGAATGTTTAACCAATTCTACCAAGTTTTTCATATTCTAATCATAACATTTTTAAAAAAGTTAACAACCAATCCCTCCTTGTGGCATCTGTGAAATTAACTCTTGCTTCTTCCTCCCTTTACCACGCTGGCCACCTCCTCCTTCCTGCAGTTCTCTGCTCCCTGGATTCGGGGCTCTTGTCCCGCTTCTCTGATGGCAACGTTCCTGCCCCACCTTCCCCATCGCCCCCATGACACCCTCCAAGTACACTGTGTCCTCACCTCTCCTCCCATCCCCTGCGGGGCCCTTTCTCTGTCCCATGGGGCTCCCTCCAGAACTCAGCCAGTGTCTCAGCCTCTACCAGCTCCCTGCCACCAGGACATGGGGACTGACACAATTCTTTCTGATCTTGAAGATTCATGAGAGGCACGAAGCTACCAAGTGCTTTCATTTCAGGCTCTGGCTGCCCCGACGGCAGGTGAAAGCCCCGAACCACTGACCTTCCTTCTTTACCAGTGGGGCATTTCCAAACACCACCTCTGCTGAGGGTTACCTGGTGACTAGACATTCACGCACAGCCTTAGACATCACGCACCTGCCTTCTAAATCCTGCCTCTTATAGGCTGGGGGTAAGGATGTGAAGAAATACATTTAAAGTGGGAGCCGATTTCCAGCACTGCCAGTCTCTCAATGATCTGACTCTCAGTTGCAAGATATCAAATAAACTGTTCCCCCTTTGACCTAGCAATTCCGCTTTGGAAATTAATTAACTTTTTATTTAGAGACAGAGTCTCACCCTGTGGCCCAGGCTGGAGTGCAGTGGCACGATCTCAGCTCACTGCAACCTCCACCTCCCGGGTTCAAGTACTTCTCGTGTCTCAGCCTCTCGAGTAGCTGGGATTACAGGTGCACACCTCCACACCCAGCTAATTTTTTGTGTTTTAGTAGAGACAGCGTTTTGCCATGTTGGCCAGACTGGTCTCTAACTCCTGGGCTTAAGTGATCCAGCCTTCCAAAGTATAGGATTACAGGCGTGAGCCACTGCACCCAGCCACAGGAAATATATTTATAAGTAAACAAAACAAAAGCATATATGTTCATAGCAGCACTCTTTTTAACAGCCAGAAGCAATACAAACAGCAATTGGGAAAAGGCTAGAACTGCTAAACAGCCCCATGCGGTGGGAGACTACCCAGTTATGAGAAAGACAAATCAATAGAAAATAGGAAGACAGAGACCTCAGTGAAAATGTTCCTCAAGGACCTCACACCATTCCTTTGACTCATGCCTAAGAGACAAGAGAAGAGCTCTGTTCACTCAACAAATGACAAAGTTCAGCCTCTTTTCAGATAAACGCCCCAGCCCAAAGGCGGCCTCTGACTTCCAATCCAAATCTTTAGTCACTAGTTCCACCCCATTTCACAAAAGGAAGATGCATGGGTGTGACGGGAGGTTAAAGAGGAAGGGAAGCCACAATGACAGACAAATGCTATAATTCAAATCTCACTGACTTAAAAAGTATGTATATGTATATTTTTTTTTCAAAAAAAGAAATCCAGGCCAGGCGTGGTGGCTCACACCTGTAATCCTAGCACTTTGGGAGGCCGAGGAGGGCGGATCACCTGAGATCAGGAGTTCGAGACCAGCCTGGCCAACGTGGTGAAACCCCGTCTCTACTAAAAATACAAAAATTAGCCAGGCATGGTGGTGGGTGTCTGTAATCCCAGCTACTCGGGAGGCTGAGGCAGGAGAATCGCCTGACCCCGGGATGTGGAGGTTGCAGTGAGCGGAGATAGCACCATTGCACTCCAGCCTGTGCAACAAGAGTGAAATTCTGTCTCAAAAAAAAAAAAATCCAGCAAGTTTTTTTTAAAAAGCACCAGAAACACTGCTATGGTTTGAATGTTTGTCCCCTCCAAAACTCATGTTGAAATTTATTTGCCCTTGTAACAGTATTAAGAGGTGAGAACTTGAAGAAGTGATTAGGCCGTGAGGGCCCCACCCTCTTGGATGGGCTTCATGCCTTCTTAAAAGGGCTTTCCGGCCAGGTGCAGTGGCTCACACCTGTAATCCTAGCACTTTGGGAGGCCGAGGCAGGAGGATTGCTTGAGCTCAGGAGTTTGAGACCAGCCTGGGCAACATAGTGAAACCGCATCTCTACTAAAAATAGAAAAAAGAAAAAAATTAGTCATGTGTGGTGGTGCACAGCTGAGTCCCAGCTACCAGGAGGGCTGAGGTGGGAGAACAGCTTGAGCCCAGGAGATCAAGGCTGCACTGAACTATGACCACACCACTGCACTCCAGCCTAGGCGACACAGTGTGACCCTGTCTCCAAAAAAAAAGAAAAAAAAACCCAAGGAGGGGTGGGGGCAGGGGGCTTTTGGCAGGGCTTCTTTCTCTCCCCTTGACCTCTTGCCCTCCACCATGGGATGATGCAGTAAGAGGGCCCTTGCCAGATGCTGGCACCTTGATCTTGGTTTCCAGCCTCCAGCATAGTGAGCAAATACGTTTCTATTCATTATAAATTACCCAACCTGTGGTGTTCTGTTACAGCAGCACAAAACAGACTAAGACAAACACCGTCTAATGCTCTTGGAGGGTCAAACTGCCAAACAGCAGCCCACCACTGGACAATCCACAGGTGGTCTCCACAAAAAGCAGAGAGAACAGGGGTGGAACAGGTGCTGACCATGGACGCCGGTGACAGGTGCATGGGTTCATATGCTCTTCTCTCTACTTCATGTATGTTAGAACATTTCCACTGTAACACATGCTGGTAAAAGCAGTGGTAACTGGCAAAGTATCACAAGACTACATCTCGTCTACATCAAAATTAGGTCAGCTTTACTTAAATTCCTTCATCAGATTCAGGAAAAGGAAATAGCCAGTCATCCTAACTAACACACAAATGAATAGACTGTCTTGTATGCTAAACCACAGTGAATTGTGAAAATGGGCAAAAATGTCCAGAGAGAATGGTGATTAGAGGAAGCACCCGCAATGGAGAAAGCCGACACAAGACAGCATGTGGGGCAAAGAGTGACAGCGTTTCATCAGAATGGCTTCTTTAGGAAAAGTCTTCCTCACCAGCAGTTAAAGTCAAAGGACCCACCAAAGCCCTTCCGGTAGAAGTGATGTGCGGGGCACTGGCCCCCAGCCAACAGGGAGAGCCCGAGGAGGCGCCTCCAATGTCCCACCTGCCTGTACAACCTCATCCACTGTGTCTTCCCAAAGCTTGCCAGGCACCACACTCCAGGTGTGGGCCAGACTCCAGTGGGGCCCTCAGCCTGCACGGGAAAGAGACTTCTGCTACCCGCCACAAGTGCGCAGGCCATTCCCACCTGGCAGGGGTACTTGCCCAGAGATAGCTGAAGTCAGAGCTGTGGGAGTGGCCCTGCCCCTGAAGGTCTGTGCAACCTCAAGATGTGATCACCTTAACCTCTTGACTCTTCTGCAAGATGGGGACACATCCAATGAACCTGAGTGGAGGGCCACCTTACAAAATCAAAGTCCTACAATCCTTGACAGTGTCAAGGACATGAGACAGGGAACTACTGAAGACTGAAGGAGACCGAGGAGACAACAGGACTCTGGAAGGGGTTCTAGAACAGAAAAGAAAGAGGCGCTCGGGGACAGGGACAACACCTGGGGTTGACGTCCATGTCACCCACACCAGCGCACTGCATCAATGTCCGGTTCCTGACTGGGAGGGCTGTGCGGGCCTCGAGAGCCAGTGACCTTGCTCTGAAGGCACGCGTGGCGTGTGCAGAGAGGGGAGGCGGCCTGGTGGGAAAAGTCTAGAACAGAGAGAAGATGATGGCCCAACGCAGCCAACAATGGCCACGAGGAAACCCAGGGTGGCTGCAGGAGATCTTTGTACTATTCTTGTCATTTTTCTGTAGATCTCAAATCGCTTCAAATAATTTTTTAATATGGAATAAAATGTGTTAAAAAAAGCACAATAAGGTCTGCTCTGCGCAGCACACAGGGTTGTTCTGAGACTGAAATACTAATAGATACAAAAAGTACTTTTTAAACTATCAAGACACAGACATGAAAGGCATCATTAGCACAAATATGAATACGTCCAATCAGTGGGTCTGGTTCCCTCAGTAAAGAGAAAGTCAAGTCATTTCCCTTGGAGGCCGAGGGGCCAGGGGAGGGAGTAAGATTGGAGCCAGGAGACGACCACAGAAGGAGGTAACGACACGAGGCCACAGAAAAGCCTTCAGCGATCACAATACGATAGATGTTAACTTCCTTTACTAGGGCACCAAAGAAACCCTGCTAACCCAGCACTGTTTCATGTCTCAGATTACACCCACTGGCCACACATGGACAATAAGATGTGAGAACTACTTGTAAAATGCAAACAAGAACCACTTTCTTTTTTCTTTTTTTTTTTGAGACAGAGTCTCCATGACCCAGGTTGGAGTGCAGTGGCACAATCTCCGCTCATTGCAACCTTCGCCCCCCCAGGGTCAAGCGATTCTCCTGCCTGAGCCTCCTGAGGAGCTGGGATTACAGGAGCCCGCCACCACACCTGACTAATTTTTGTATTTTTAGTACAGACAAGGTTTCACCATGTTTGTCAGGCTGGCCTCAAACTCCTGACCTCAAGTGATCCACCTGTCTTGGCCTCCCAAAGTGCTGGGATTACAGGCGTAAGCTACCACGCCCGGCCAAGAACCACTTTCAGGAAGGGCTCAGAACACTAATCAATGGCATTATCAATAGATGTAACTCTTCTCCACTTACCTCATTGGCTCTTTTGATGATTTTATCATCTACATCTGTAATACCCATCACCATGACTATGCTGCATCCAAAAACCTTGGTTAGGATCCTTCGAATGATATCAAATCTAACATATGAGCTGAAAGAAAAAAAGTGTCAGGATGTCTTTATTACACAAAGTCATCAGTTATCTTTGTAAAAAATCCATTACATTTTAACATGCTGCTCCATAACTTCTACTGTGTAGCACAATGGACAGGTCAGCGGAGCAGGTACAAGGAAACTCCCTCTCACTGATGGCACCAGGGCCTGCGCCACAAGGGTTCTCAGGAGAAACTGACAAAGGTATTGCATCAATTTCAGGACACAATATTAGCATTTTTAATTTTGGAGTTGTTGCTTAAGTGAGTTGAAGTCTATTTAATTGTATAAAAATTCACTCATAATACAATCTCTCAGTTAAGATCGTGTTTTCACCATTCTTGTTCATGTTCTAGAGTAATTCTAATTTTTCACTATGACAAAACAGAAGCAAATACCAAATCAAAACAAGTACGATCCCATTAAAGCCATATAAGATTACTCCTAAGAATGCACACACTAGTGTAGAATATTTAAAAATGCCAGCTTATTTATATACTACACTGGGGTAATTCAGACTTGTAAAACTAAAAGGGTTTAAAATCTACTTAGCATCTCAAGAATCTGTTTTCCCATAAAAGTTACCTTAAAACTCAAGGTTATCTAATGTCACACTCACCTCTGCTATCCATGTGGCCTAAATTTCAGTTCGTAAAATTGTTTTCTCTTAGGGTGGTGTGGGGGAATCCTAGCCATGTTATTGTATCACTTTAACCTCCCACACACCCCCTCCCTCTCCAAACACAGCTGAGACCAAATCTTGATTCCAGGGACAAAACTATCTCCAAAACTCAACAAGATAATTAACCTCTTACAGCTCAGTCGGCTTGCTTATAAATTTGGCAAAATCCCACCACCTAACAGGACTGCTGTCCAGCCTTACCGCCTGTGCAGCATGAATTCTAAAAACACAAGCTATTATTACCATTCTCATCACCATGCTCCTTCATTCACCTCAAGTTGGGAAAGAGTCTAAAAGATGTGAGATTTACAAGAAAAAAATTACAGGAACCTAAAGCAAATGAAAACAAGAGTCAAGTCCCTTGCTTGGCCCAGAGGAGCCCAGGCTGAGTCCCGGAACTGCCCTTGGAGACAGCAGAGGCTCCACAGCTTGGCAGAGCTGGCGGAATGCAGGGTCATGAGCAATTTGAGACCCTGAGACGCTGCAGGCAGGCTGTGACCACAGGGGCCACTCTATACACAAACACGCACACACACGCCTTGCAAGTGCCGGGCAGCCAAGTCTGAAGAACATGGCATCAGGAGACCTCAGCTTGCTTCTGTGACTCCACCATGAACCATGCTACCGTCAGCCCGGCTCTTTCTGCCCCATTTTCTCCATCCACTGGGTGAGTGTGCTCATCTGGGTGATCGCTGAAATGATTCATTTGCTAAGAGTCTTCCCTCAAAACGCTCCAGTGTGACTCCGTCTACCATGGCATGAAATCCAAACTCTCTGGGCCAGACCACGCAGCACCCTCCCCAGTCTGGCTGCAACTGACGCCCCATCCCTTCCCCTGCTCCTCCCCCCTAGCACCAAACTGATCTATTTGTTTTCCCCAAACAGGGTTTCCATCCCTCTGACCTCTTCTGGAAATGGTGGAGGCTATTTTTCAGGGTGTCTCTTTCCAGTGAACTGAGTGCTACCCATTGCTCAAATTCTACCTTTCTGCAGCAGGCACTGTGTGCATCCCTGTCCTGCTGGAGCTGAAATAATTACATCATGCTAACGACATCAGATGGTTGCATAAATAACCACTGAAGGAGTACAATGCTAGGAGAGCTGAGATGGGGAGAGGGAGGTGGGGCAGGCCAGCCCAGCAAAGGCCTGGAGGGGTTGGCCAGGCTGACAGGAAGGTGGTCAACAGGAGAGTCCCAAGCTCCCACCAGCCCCTGGGAAGGCCCTGTGTGGACACAGCTTATAACATGCATTCAGCTGCGCACTTAAGATGTGTATTCTTTTCTGTAGTCATAAAGGTAAATATTATACAAATTTAAACTGCAAGACTTGACTCTCCTAGTTGGAAATGAGAAGAGATTCTCTCCCCAACAACTTTTAGGATTTCTTCCTCAGTCCTCTTCAAATGCATGTCAATCTTTTAAATGGCTAAATAAACCTCTTGGCAGTTTTACAACTCAAGAAAATTTCAAAACCTGGGACCCACCTCTGAAATGTAATCAAGGAAAATAACGCCCCGTTTCCCAGTGTCCTGGGAGGAGATGGGCCTACCTTGTCATCTGACTCCACACTGTAACTCACCTGAAGCAATGGGTTATGCTATGGTCTGAATGTTTGTCTTCCCTCCAAATTCATGGTTGAAACCCTAACTCCCAAGGTGACGGTTTTAGGAGGTGGAGCCTCTGGGAGTGACAAAGTCATGGAGGCAGAGAGCTCATGACTGGGGTTAATGCCCTCATAGAAGAGACCTCAGAGAATTCCCTCTACCTTCTACCATGTGAGGACACAGCAGGCAGACCCTCAACAGACACCAAATTTGCTGGTGCCTTCATCTTGGACTTCCTAGCCCCAGAAAGAAAGAAATTTCTGTTGTTTATAAGTCATCCATTTTAGGATATTTTGTTACAGCAGACTCATAGACTGAGACAGGCTGTATCCCCAAAGCTCCATAGAAGGATGAGATTTCTTTCTGTCTTTGCAGTTATTTTAGCTCATCCCCTTCTGGTTTAAGGCTTATTCAGTAACAGAACTGTTTTCTTTCTCTTCTACCTTTGTGGAAAGGTTTTCCAGGGTGGGGGTTTTGTTTTTAATATTTCCCCAACATATTTTATAATTCAAGAAAGATGTCGAAATATGCTTTTGATAATTAAAAGTATGTTAGCCCAAAGTAAAGGGGAAAAATGTATATTTAAAGTATACAGAGTATGCCGGGCATGGTGGTTCATGCCTGTAATCCCAACACTTTGGGAGGCCAAGGCAGGTGGATCATTTGAGGTCAGGAGTTCGAGACCAGCCTGGCTGACATGGTGAAACTCCGTCTCTACTAAAAATACAAAAATTAGCCGGGCGTGGTGGTACATGCCTGTAATCCCAGCTACTCCGGAGGCTGAGGCAGGAGAATTGCTGCCAGGAGGCGGCAACTGGACCTGGGAGGCAGAGGTTGCAGTGAGCCGAGATTGCACCACTGCACTCCAGCCTGGGCGACAGAGCGACTCCGTCTCAAGAAAAAAAAAAAGTATACAGAGTAAATGTAACTTTTTACTTTTAGTCTAGGACTGAACAATACTAAGTTTTAAAAAATCTATAATATGTCATTTTTGTACATTATATTTTGGAAATGTACAAAATATTAGGAAAAGTGGTAATTTTGGCAAATGTAGGAGGCAGTACATCTTACAGTTAAAGAGGTCAAGAGAGCAACCACTTCGCAGTCAGAGAAACCAAGCCTCACCCCAGTTCCAATACCTCTTCAATGTGTCATCTTAGGAAAGTTACTCAATCACTATTGAGCCCCGTGACATCTCACATGTGAGGTACAGTGTTAAGCAGCATTTTATGGGCATTATTTACTAAAATTGTTATAAGATCCAAGTTATCATTCCCATCTCAAAGATGAAGAAACCAGGACTCAAAGCAATAAAGTGACCTGCTCAGTGCTGTGAAGCTAAGAAGTGGTGGGGCCCAGGAATGACTGATCAGCAGGACCCCGGGACCCCGCAAAGGCCTCTTGATGTCACTAAACCCAGCAAAAAACATCTAGTTCCAAAACGGGTCATTTTTCAGTGCTCCATTGTCTCCCTGAGTTTCCTCACCTGTAAAACGGGTGTAAGTGCTCAGAATCCCTATAAGAACCAAATGAGGTTGTAACATTTCCCACAATGCCTGGAATGTAGGAATTATTCTGCATCCCTAAGTTGCCACTTAAGAGATAAAAGAAATCAGCAAAAGGCTTTCAAAAATAAATGGTCCTTTGAAGTATGAAAATTCAAATCCAGGAAACTCACCAAGCATGGCCAAGGTGCGCATGATCATATACAGTTGGTCCACAGCTATACCTGGAAACAAAGTTAAAATCCATCGTGTGGAACATATTTGCAAGAAAGGACATTCGATTCTGAGTTATAATGATCATATAATTTTTAAAGTAATCACTTCTGGGGGATGAATAGCCGGGGTTTTCATACTTGCTCAATTCACACCCAAACCTGCAAAAGCACCGCGCACCCCCAGCTTCTAGAACGGCGCCCTCCATGCAGCTTCCTAAACGCCCTCCCCGAGCCCAGATCCCGTTCAGCCGTGGGAAGTCTCCGC
This sequence comes from Homo sapiens, assembly GCF_000001405.40. Classification (NCBI taxonomy): domain Eukaryota; kingdom Metazoa; phylum Chordata; class Mammalia; order Primates; family Hominidae; genus Homo; species Homo sapiens. The sequence goes on from NC_000013.11 coordinate 110,705,828, forward strand.
CACGATCGGCCCCCGCCCGTGCCCCAGTCCCGCGCGGCCCACCAGGAGGCGGCTTCGGCGTGCGCCACGATTAGGGGTTCCTTCCTCCCGGTGAGGCTGTTGTACACCTGCACACCCGTCTCCCGGCCCGTGGGCTGCAGCCAGGCCCGCCCGCGCCCCCCGCTCGCCGCCCGGCCCGCAGGCCAGTGCCACCCAGCCCGCCCAAGGCCCAGCGCGGCCTGGAGCAGCGGGGGGCCCAGGCCTGGGCCGCGCGTAGTCCTCAACATGTCAGCGGCCAGCGCCTACGACTGGGCGGAGACGGGAGCCACGCCGGGTACGCTGCCGGTCGCTCAAGAGCAGCACGGCCCCGCCCCGCCCCGCCCACGCCCTTGGGGCCACGCCCACTCCCGGAAGCAGTCCTCAGGTAGCGCCTCCCTTTGGCCTGGCTCGAGTCGCCCGCGGCAAGGGTGGAGAACCAGGGCCCGAAGAGGTTGGGGCGGGGAAGGCCCGGGGTGGAGGGAGGAGGGCGGTGCCGCGCCGGGAGGCCGTGGGAAGAGGCGGTACCGTGCCGATCTCCTCTCCTTATTAGCCCAGGTCCTGCGAGGCGTCCGTGTGCGCGCGGTACCAGCCTGGAGCTGTGTCCGCCGCGCGGGAGGAGCGTTTACAGTGCAAGCTTCTGTTGCCGGGCCCTGGCCTGTTAGCGAAGCACGTGTGCATCCCAGCACAGCCCACGTCAGCACGCTAATACACAGTGTCCACCCCAGAACACACGTCAGCACCCCAATACAGTGTGCACCCCAATACAGTGTGCACCCCAAACACACATCTGCGCCCCAATACAGTGTGCACTGCAGCACACCGTTAGCATCCCAACACAGTGCACCCCGATACACAATGTGCAACCCAACACACAGTCTGCACCCCAAGAAGTGTGCACCCCAATACACAGTATGCACCCCAGCACACACATCAGCATCCCAATACAGTGTGCACCCCAATACAGTGTGCACCCCAGCACACACATCTGCACCCCAATAGTGTGCACTGCAGCACACCATCAGCATCCCAACACAGTGCACCCCGATACACAGTGTGCAACCCAGCATACAGTCTGCACCCCAATACACAGTATGCACCCTAGCACACACCACATCAGCATCCCAATACAGTGTGCACTCCAATACAGTGTGCACCCCAGCACACACCATGTCTGCACCCCAGTACAGTGTACACCCCAATACAGTGTGCACCCCTAATACACTGTGCACTCTAACACACACCATGTCTGCACCCCAGTACAGTGTGCACCCCAACACAGCACATGTGCATCCCAGCAAACACTGTCTGCATTCCAATGCAATGTGCACCTCAATAGAGTGTGCGCCCCCACACATCTACACCCCAATACAGTGTGCACCCCAATACACAGTGTGCAACCCAACACACACCATGTCTGCACTCCAATACACAGCATGCCTCCCCCACCATGATCCCGTATCTTGAGAACAAAAACATTCTGAAAGTTACTCACAATAGCTTGACAAACGTGCCTCTATTGGGCCAGGCGCAGTGGCTCACACCTGTAATCCCAGCACTTTGGGAGGCTGAGGCGGATGGATCACCTGAGGTCAGGAGTTCGAGACCAGCCTGACCAATATGGTGAAACCCCGTCTCTACTAAAAATACACAAATTAGCCGGGCGTGGTGGCGTGCATCTGTAGTCCCAGCTACTGGGGAGGCTGAGACAAGAGAATCGCTTGAACCCAGGAGGCAGAGCTCACAGTGAGCTGAGGTCACACCACTGCACTGCAGCCTGGGCAACAGAGGGAGACTCCGCCTGAAAAAAAAAAAAAGTGCCTCTATTGGTGTCTTGCAATACGATGTCTCAAAAAAAAGAAAAAGTCCCCTTTGCTTTTCCAGTTCTCAAAACAGGAGACGTTCCTCTGGTTTTTTGTTGTTGTTTTTAGTTTGCTTTGGTGTTTTATTAAAAAGCAAAGGTTTAAGTAGAGACAAACAAGTGTGTACCTAGAGTAGTTTCTCAATATCCTGGAGTCCAACTCTGCAATTCTGTTTCAAGCTAACTGTAGTCTAATGTAATCTATTGTCTAATTTAATAAGGTTAAAATGTTAGAATTAGGAGACCCTATAGCCTACATCAATGCTAACCACTCATGTTACCTAACTACTCTAAATTCTCCTGAATATTATCACTTCTTGCCTGCCTTATGTTATTTTGTAACTTTCCAGTGCTGTGTGTATATTTATCTCCCTGAGTATCTTAAATTGTACATTATTTTGAACTTCTCACTGTGCCCTGCACTAAATTCAGAAAAGGACTTGGGTTTTGTTTGTTTTGTTTTGCTGTGGCTGGAAAAAAAAAATTTAGAAGAAATAAAAGGGCTTGTTGAATGTTGATGAATTAATCCCTTACGAAAGGGATTAATTGTGCAGGTGGGAAGAAATCTGGGTAGTAAAATACCTGATAAAGCTGATTCAGATATTAGATGTGCCAGTAAATAAAGCAAATTAACAAAAAGCTCAGTTGCAATCTGTGAGAACACACGAATTCAAGGAAATAACTGGAGCAGAGATTCTGAAAGCAGCTTAGTAACACTGAAGATCAAATCTGCACATGAATCTGGACATGCGGTATATTTGAATTGTTCATAGAACATCACAACTTTTAAATTAACAATAGTATCTTCTGTCTTCAGAAAATTCATGTAATGTTTTTAGCCCCTCACTGGCAGTGATTCTATTATGTTTTCTTTTTTTTTTTTGAGGCAGTCTTGCTCTGTCACCCAGGCTGGAGTGCAGTGGCCTGATCTGGGTTCACTGCAGCCTCTGCCTCCTGGTTCAAGCAATCCTCCTGCTTCAGCCTCCACAGTAGCTGAGATTACAAGTGCACACCACCGTGCCCAGCTAATTTTTGCATTTTTATTTTTATTTTTATGTATTTATTTTTGAGACAGAGTCTCACTCTATCACCCAGGCTGGAGTGCAGTGGCACGATCTCGGCTCACTGCAACCTCCACCTCCCAGATTCAAGTGATTCTTCTGCCTCAGCCTCCCGAGTAGCTGGGATTACAGGTGCGTGCCACCACGCTCAGCTAATTTTTGTATTTTTAGTAGAGATGGGGTTTCATCATGTTGGCCAGGCTGGTCTGGGACTCTGGAACTCCTGACCTCAAGTGATCCAGCCACCTCAGCCTCCCAAAGCGGTGGGAATACCGGCCTAAGCCACCACACCTGGCCAATTCTCTTTTCTCTTTTTTCTTTTTTTTTTTTTTGAGATGGAGTTTCACTCTTGTTGCCCAGGCTGGAGTGCAATGGCGTGATCTCCTGGGTTCAAGCGATTCTCCTGCCTCTTTCTCACGTCTCCCGGGTTCAAGCAATTCTCCTGCTTGTCTCCTGAGTAGCTGGGATTACAGGCATGTGCCACCATGCCCAGCTAATTTTGTATTTTTAGTACAGATGGGGTTTCTCCATGTTAGTCAGGCTGGTCTTGAACTCCCGACCCCAGGTGATCCGCCCACCTCGGTCTCTGAAAGTGCTGGGATTACAGGCATGAGCCACCGTGCCCGGCAGCTAATTCTGTTTTCTTAAGGCTTTTGCGGATCATCAAAACAAGGAGAAACATAGCTCATTACCTAATGATGGTTAGAAATGTGATCTTTTTGCATATTGAATATCTGCAGGTTGAATATTAAGGTAAAGTAAAATAGACTGCTAATGCTCTTCATTACTATACCTCCCAGCCTACATCTTTCTCCTGTGCTGGGTGCTTCCTGCCCTCGAACATCAGACTCCAAGTTCTTCAGTTTTGGGACTCAGACTGGCTCTCCTTGCTCCTCAGCTTGCGGACAGTCTATTGTGGGACCTTGTGATTATGTAAGTTAGTACTTAATAAACATATATATGTATATACATTATATATATCTATATCTCCATCCTATTAGTTCTGTCCCTCTAGAGAACCCTGACTAATACACCATATATACATAAAAAGAGGATCCATTTAATTGAAGTCACCTCCCTCTCCAATCTAGGTCAGAACGAGGAAGTGTGTTAAAGTTAATGATTCCAAAATATCACTAATGCCATTTCTCAGTCCTTAATGACAACAATAACAAAATCAAGTTCTCAGTATTACATTTTCTTTCAAGGCAAAATCTTGTAAATCAGAAGTAGAGTTGATTACGGTAGCATATGGTTTAGGGGTTTTCAAGTTTAAGATGAATGAGTTTGCATTTATTTTTTAAGCACTTTGAAACTTAAACAATTCTATGCTTGGCCAGGCGCGGTGGTTCACGCCTGTAATCCCAGCACTTTGGGAGGCCAAGACAGGCGGATCACCTGAGGTCAGGAGTTCGAGACCAGCCTGGGCCAACATGACAAAACTCCGTCTCTACTAAAAATACAAAAATTAGTTGGGCATGGCGTCCGGCACCCGTAATCCCAGCTACTCAGGAGGCTGAGGCAGGAGAATCGCTTGAACCCGGGAGGCGGAGGTTGCAGTGAGCTGAGATCACGCCACTGCACTCCAGTCTGGGTGACAAGAGCAAGACTCCGTCTCAAAAAAAGAAAAAGAATTATATGTTCATCTCTTATATCTGACTCTCATAGGTTTGAGCATTTTCAGTTAGACTGGAAATATAATTTTAGAAAAAAGTTTAATTTTAAATGTTTCTTTTTAATCCATTTGAAATTTCTGTTCTACGGAAAAGTTTTAACATCCATTTTTGCAACACGCCACAGGAAACAAAACTGAAAGAGACAAGATTCTTCAACGTATCTTCAAAATTAAGCACCTTTCTTCAATGACATTTAAAATTCGTTATCAAAGGTAATTATGTTTTATTGCTTGATCTTCTAAGTTTGTTCCAAAAAAGATAAAATCTTTTTTGACTTTTTATCCCAAGGGGTGGGCTAAAAGTTTTATGGAATGTAAAGCTCCAAAAAACTTTTCACTACTGTATCCCCAGCGCACGGACCAGTAGTTGGCACATGGTAGACACTCGTCAATATTCCTTGTTGAATGCTTAAGATGCCTTTTTGGTTTATGTGTATGTGAAGAGAGTACATAACTAGAGGAACAAAATCATTACTCAGATTGTACTGTGTTGTGATTTTTTTTTTTAAAAAGAAAACCTAGGTTAAACTCCATCTTATCTTTGTAAAGGGTAAATTACTTCCAATTTTATTCTTGAGTTCAGATAAACACTATTCATTCTAGAGCCAATGAATGCTAGGAATAGAAGAACCGGTCTATTTCTTACTATTGTACTTTTAAATTACTTATATGCTTTTTGAGGGAAAGGCGTAATTTTCCTTATTCAACTTTGTACTCCCTCTATACTCTGTATTCGACATAATGTTTGTTTCCACATAATGTTATCTTGTCGTAGTCTTTTTTTCTCTTTTTTTCCGGAGATAGTCTTGCTCTGTCGCCCAGGCTGGAGTGCAGTGGCACAATCTCGGCTCACTGCAACCTCCCCTCCTAGGTTCAAGTGATTCTGTCTCAGCCTCCCCAATAGCTGGGACTACAGGCACGCGCCACCATGCCCTGCTAATTTTTTGTATTTTTAGTAGAGACAGGGTTTCACCATGTTGCCCAAGCTGGTCCCGAACTCCTGATCTCAGGCAATTCGCCCGCCTCGGCCTCCCAAAGTGGTAGGATTACAGGCGTGAGCCACCGCGTCCGGCCAAGTGTTATAGTCTTTTGTGCAGACCAAGTAGTGGCCAATAAATCTTGTAGAAACTAAAGTACTCATTTGCTTTTAACTAGGCCAAGACTAGAATAGCGTGATCTGTAAGTAAAATAACAGCCATTTCCCCAAATATCAAAGCCAAAGCTCTCCTGCTGTGTAGGTGAGATGAAGGGGCTTAAAAGTGAAGATTAAATCCACTTCAAAGTGTAAAGAGTATCCATCCATTTATCATTGCAGCAACGTTGCAACGTGAACAATCCGATTCCAAATACAAAACAGCTTAATTCAGTCTCTTTGCCGTACTCACATCCATAGCACAAAATACCCGGCAGGGCCCTGGAATGAGCACCACTGCGGTTAATAATCTACTCTATAAATACTGGACGAATCCAAATTTTTACTGGATTACACAGAATACGTTTTTAAAAAATCCAAAGAGTTTTAGATGTTACAACAGGGTTCCATCAAATACCACGTTTCCAAATCTTACCACCAGAATGTGTATCCATTTCAACTGCAATTATTTTGTGTCTAAAACTGTGTACTCTGCTTTGCAACAGGATAAACCCGGTGGATAAAAGCTGAAATCCGACCCTGTCCTAATTAAGAGGCTAAGAAAAATGGAGAACCGCGCTGGCGTGGAGTTGATACAGAAACACTGCAAGGGCTGGGGACAGGGCTTAGTTCGTGGAATACACAGGCAGCACCACCAACCCGGCTCTCCGGAAAAGAGAAAGTCCAGTGAGAAAGGTGAAAACTGACAAGGCACCGTTCTCCGACTTGCTGAAAAAAAGACAATGCAAATAGAGCAGGGTCCAAGGCGGAAGAAAATCAGAGAAAAGCAGGCAGCCAAGCGTGGCGAACACAGCTCTCGGGGCCACCCCGGAGGGGACCCGCGGCGGCCGCAGCGGGGCGGAGGCCGAAGCCGAGGCCGCCCCGGAACCAGAGAGCCAGGCGGGAAGTGCACAAAGGCACGAGGCCACGCCCAGGAGGGGCGGGCCCTTTGGCCGGAAGGGGGGGGGCCGGCGCGCGGGGCCGGTCGCCTAGGCAACGGGCTCGCGTGGCGTCCAGGCTTCTCAGAAAGCCCAAAATCCGGGAGCTTTGGGAGGGTAGAGGGGCGACGCGGGGGAGGGCGGTCCGGGGAGCTGAATGGCCTCAGGACGCCGGCCGACCGGGTGTCTGCATACTGTGGGCGGCCTTTCCAAGTGTGGGGAGCGGCCTCCGAGAACGGTGTCCATGACACAGGGCGGGAAGAGATAAGGCCTAGGGAAGGCGCCCCTCGGGCCTATCCACCTCTTCTGGGGCTCGGCACTAGGAAGCAGCTTCCCTCTCAGGCCCCTTTGTCTCCAAGCCGTTCCAAACTGAGTACCGGGAGACGACACAAAGGGAGGGCGGTGACGGATGGCGCAGGCGCGGGAGCCGCCTAGGCTGCTGGGAGTGGTGGTCCGGCCGCGGAATGGGTAGGTCTCCCGCGCACTCTGCGGCCGCAGCTCAAAGGACACCGAGAGGGTGCCAGTGCGCATGCGCCGCCACTTCCGCCCGTGCCCGGCCCTCCCCTTCCTTCCGCCTCCCGGAGGACTTGGGTTTCTAGTAGTAAGAGTCCGGGGGGCATTACTCACGGTCTCCCCGCCTCCTCTTCATCGTGATTGGGCTGTCAAAGTGATGTTGGCAAGTAGATTGGCTACTGCGGTTGCCAGTTCTGTTTCGGGCCCTACTTATACTGCTCTGTGGGGCGGGGACGAAGAGTCAGGGGCTGAGGAGCGAGTTGCGGTAGTTGCTGTGTACCATGGTCTCGGAGGTTTCTGTCCCGCGGCCCGTTAGGTCCTGGTCGGGTTTTCAGCGAAGCAGGCCGCTCCCCTGCGTTTCCCAGCGGGCGTGCTGTGCCGCCCAACAGGCTCTGCCTCCAAGTGCCAAAAACTCCTAGTAAAGTTTGCGCCTCGCCCGCCGTCCACACCCCAGCGGCCCTGACGCTGTCCCCTCCGCGACCCTCGCCTCTGGAAAAAGTGACAGGCAAGGCCACGCCCCCGCGAGGGCCGGCCTGGAGCCCGCAGCCCCCAGGGCCTGGGACGGTGAGGGGCGTGAATGCGGCGGGGGGCGGGGCCGTTGCCGGGGGAGGGGGCCGGGGCGCATGCGCGCTGCGCAGCGGGGCTGAATGTTTCCCAAGTGTTTGAAACTGGTATTTGGGTTTTCCACGTTGGACAAGTGCGGCTCGGCGGCCAGCGGAGCGCGCCCCTTCCCGCTGCCCGCTCCGCTCCTCTCTTCTACCCAGCCCAGTGGGCGAGTGGGCAGCGGCGGCCGCGGCGCTGGGCCCTCTCCCGCCGGTGTGTGCGCGCTCGTACGCGCGGCCCCCGGCGCCAGCCCCGCCGCCTGAGAGGGGGCCTGCGCCGCCGGCCGGGGCGTGCGCCCGGGAGCCACCGCCACCGCGGCCCGCGCCCTCAGGCGCTGGGGTCCCCGCGGACCCGGAGGCGGCGGACGGGCTCGGCAGATGTAGCCGCCGGGCCGAAGCAGGAGCCGGCGGGGGGGCGCCGGGAGAGCGAGGGCTTTGCATTTTGCAGTGCTATTTTTTGAGGGGGGCGGGGGGTGGAGGAAGCGGAAAGCCGCGCCGAGTCGCCGGGGACCTCCGGGGTGAACCATGTTGAGTCCTGCCAACGGGGAGCAGCTCCACCTGGTGAACTATGTGGAGGACTACCTGGACTCCATCGAGTCCCTGCCTTTCGACTTGCAGAGAAATGTCTCGCTGATGCGGGAGATCGACGCGAAATACCAAGGTACGGCCGGGTGATGGATGGGCGGGGGCGGCCGCCTCCTTCCCGGCGGGTCCGGGCGCGCCGCGGAGCCGGGCCGGTCCTGCCGTGGACCGGAGGAAGCGGCCGGCTCCGCAGCGGCGGCCCTCGGCAGGGGCAGGAACAAAAGGTCTGGAGCGCCTTTGATTCGCCAAGGTCCTTGTGTGCAAAGCCCGGGACACGGAGGAGGAAGGAGGCGCGAGAGGTCTCGCTGCAAGGCTGCGCGACCAAAGCGCTCTTTGTAGTGAAGTGATGAGGCGGGTGCTGCGGGGGAGGGGGCGGCGGGTCCAAGCCGCGTCCTCTAGGAGGGGGTGCAGATTACGGCGCGAGATGGAGGGATGTGCCGGCGCCTGGGGCTATAGGGCGCCGAGACGGGGCTGCAGGAGGAGGGCGGCTGTGGGCCGGGGTTCCCGCGGACCCGGTGCCTCGGTCCCGGGCAACGCCGTTCCTCTGGCCCTTCTTCGTCGCCCCCCACTCAGTCCCGAATCTGAGTGTTACATAAAGTACCGGGTAGTACTCCGCTCGGGGTAGGTCGGCCGCCCCCGCCCAGCCCCCTCCGGCCCTCACTTGGAGCTGGACACCGAGTAGGGGCCGACTGCGAGGGGCGACGCCGCCGGTTGTAGTTTGCGGAGGACGAGGGCTTTTCTCTGTGTGCCGTAGGGAAGGGAAGGGAAGGGGAGGAGCGGAGGCGGGGAAGGCGCCCATCTGCGCTGCGCTCGGGGGGGCGCGGGCAGATCGCTGGCTTGGAGAGGACTGTGGCAGGTGAGAGGACCTGTGCGTCGTTCTCTGCAGACCTGGCCGCCCCGGGTGTCAGAGAGAGGTGGCGAGTTCGTGTCCGCCGGGAATTGTTGGCTGTTGGGGAAACTTTCCTGCGAGGTCAGTCAAGGCTTTGGGGGCTCTGTTTTGAATGTGGATCACCACTCGGAGTTTACTAATGTTTACAAGGCTGCGCAGTAGGGAAACGGAAGAGTTGGGTGGGGGCAAAAAAAAAAATTGACCGCTATCCCCGAAAGTACTAGACGCCTCTGCCGGGAAGGCGCCCCTGCGCGTTCTATCCGAGACGTAGCTTCGCAGCGAATTTTATAGGAACTTCATTAGCATATTATGGAACGTCCCGCCTCAGCCCCCCAGTAGTTGGCTGTGATGTCCTTCGTGGAATGTCCTTATCATTCCCCTGCGGAACGATTGGTCGCTGAGGCGGATGAAGGCGGGCCTAGCGCAATAACTGGTATGGGTCTGTGTTTCCGCTGTCTTCTTTTTTCTTTTTCGGGGAGGAGCGGGGTGGAGGGTGGACGAGTTGATTTGAACGTCTTCGGGTCGCTCGGCCTCCAGCCTTGGATTGGTTCTTCTCGCTGCTGGGGCGGGCCGTGCTCTTCCGCCCTGCGGTGTGGTTGGTTCTCCTCCTGGCCTCCGCCCTCCAAATCGGCGATTCCCATAGGCGGCGGCTCTCGGGGTGCGGGGCGAGTCTCCCGCTGGCCTCCTCCCCATTGGCTGGAGGCCTGGCGGGTGTCGCCCCGGCCCCTCTCCCCGCTCAGCCCGGCCACTTTCGGGCGCGGATTTATAGCAGTAGCAGTGATCCCGGGCCTGTGGGCTCGGGGCCGGGGCTGCAGTTCGGACCGCCTCCCGCGACCCGCGGGGCCGGCTCGGAGACAGTTTCAGGCCGCATCTCTGCTGACCCGAGGGTGGGGCCGCGCGTGGCCGTGGAAACGTGAGTGACTGGGGCTGCGTCCACGAGGGGGACCCTCGGCGCAGAAACTTTTCTGGAAGGTGCTGTCCTCGGGCCGGACGGGCCCCGTGGGGTGACCCTGGGGCTCCGGACGGAAGGAAGGCAGGGGCTGAGACCACTTTGATCGTTCGACGATAGAAAAAAGTAGCGCGGGGCGGGGTGCAGGGTTCCAGCTGTCCAGACAGCAAAGTTCATGGAGCCACTTTGTCCTCCTGTCGTTGCTGGGGAGAGCCTGGCTTGCTGCTTGCTTCATGTTCACCTAGGGTGATGAACTTTTTGGCTTCAGGAAAGATCACAGTCCTGCCCCCCCGGGAGTACTGGAGCGGCGCAGCTGGGAGCGCCGAGAAGCGAGCGAATCTGTCGCAAGGGTCACAGCTCCTTGGACTTCGGTGTAAATGCTGAGCTCTGCCGCGTAGTTCTGAAAGACTTCCACAGACCTACTCTGTAGGAAGTCAAACGTCTTTTGCTTAGTAGGCATCAGTTGTATGTTAATTCATAAACTTGGATTATAATTAGTTTGTCGATTTAAAATGGTGTTTGAGGTTGCTTGAATTATTTTTCAAACATTATCATAAAAATACCCACCCACCCCCTGGGAAGTTCGCTTCATAAAGAACTTCAGTGCAACCCGTATGTAAAATTAAAATACATTTAAAATAATTGGACAAACCAATTTAAATGTTGCTACAACCCCATTTAATCTGTAAATTGCATGTGCTGCTGCTTTCCATGGTAATGTTGGTGTGGAATATGTTTGGAAAAAAGGCAGTAGTGTCTGAAGCTGAGTTGCTGGCATTGAAAAAGCAGAGTGTCTGGAAGGATGGCTTCCTATTTAGCAGTGGTGTTGTTCCTGTTTATAAATATTTGTACTTAGTGGCTTTGTTGATAAAATACTTTGCTTGGAGTATCAAAGAAATATTAGGTAACAGAAATACTTCTTGGTAATTTTGCGATGGGATATCTGTTTCTCTTGCCCACAAATTAGGCTTCACCTGGATGGAAGCTTGCTTGTGATGTAAAATAACTTCTGTGTTATTAAATTTTAAATTTATATGATACAGTTTTCTGTGAAATGACAATATTGTCTTTAGAACTTTGATTACTGATGAAAAGAAGTGATACCATTTTGTAACCCTAAATCCATTTAAAAATAAATGGTACACATATTTTAACATTATGATAAATAAGTTGAATAAATTGGTATTACTTGGATACGTTGAACACAGCTATTTATTTTTATAATTAATTACTATATGAGACTAGGGCTTTCCTCCTGGTGGCAGGCAGCCTGCATTGTTCCTCTAGGAGTCTTCAAAGCTGTCTTTAGTTTGAGAATATACTCTGGAAAATATTACCATTTAGAGAAGCTTCAGCGTTGGCCTGAGTTCTTATGTTTACTCTAGTGTTAGGTATATGTCTTATAACTATTTGGAGATAAGATCTGGAAAGGAAGGGGGTAACATTTTAGACAATCCCTCCCACTCTCAGCCCCTCCCCTAGTTTACAAGTAGTATTGTTGGCCAGGCACGGTGGCTCACTCCTGTAATCCCAGCACCATGGGAGACCGAGGCGGGCGGATCACCTGAGGTCGAGAGTTGGGAGACCAGCCTGTCCAACATGGAGACACCCTGTCTCTACTGAAAATACAGAATTAGCCGGGCGTGGTATTACATGCCTGTAATCCCAGCTACTCGGGAGGCTGAGGCAGGAGAATCGCTTGAACCTGGGAGGCAGGTTGCAGTGAGCTGAGATCGCGCCATTGCACTCCAGCCTGGGCAACAAGAGTGAAACTCCGTTTCAACAACAACAAAAAAAGGTAGTATTGTTGCCTTGTTTAAAGAGACTGCAAAAAGGTTTTAGGAGAATAATCTGGTACTGTTTAATTTAATGGTTACTGTTTGAGGAAAAAGAACTCTGGAATTTCTGTGTATTTAAGTAGCCTTTTTAGCAAGGCTGTTTACTTCAACTAGATTTTTTAATAGCTTTTGTTTCTTGAGAAATTGCCTAATTACACTTGCCAAATTACACTTTAAAATCATATACACTGTCCTCTAACATGCCCAGGAAGGTTTACATTTAAATACTGAAGAGGTTTTCTTTTGTTTTTGATAACATTTTAAAGTCCATTGACTTTAACAGATGTGAAGATGTTTTTGTTTAAGCAGTAGATGCAAAAGTAAAACCTACCAGCTTCGCTTTAAAGCAAGGCTAGTGCATTCACTGCAGTTAAAAAATAATAATAATAGCCCATCACAGTGGTGCTTCTGTAGTCCCAGCTACTCAGGAGGCTGAGGTGGGAGGGTCCCTTGAACCTGGGAGGTCGAGGCTGCAGTGAGCCGAGATTGCACCACTGCACTCCAGCCTGGGCGACAGAGACGGACCTTGTCTCCAAAATAATAACAAGTCGTAATAATAATAAAGCAAAGCTAGGTTTTCTGGATTATTGTGGCAGAACTGTTCTTGCTGTCACTAATACAGAGGGATAACATGCTAGAATAAATGTGGGGACTGAAACTGAGGACCTAAGTCACAAAGTATCCTGGACCTTTACTGTTAACCCGGTTCTTTAAATCATAGAGAGCTATTATATAAATTTATACACATTCTCTCATTTAACAGGGTATTCTAGATGTTGGTATATTAAAATAAAGAAAATAAAGACCTTTTTTATTTGAAATATTCAAATAATTTATAATATATTTTATTAATGTTTGTATATTGTGTATAAATGTAATAAATACCATGTTTATATAATGTTATATGTATATTAATAATTGTATTCAAATAGAAACATTTGAGTAAAAATGATGGCAGTATAGACATAGTCATTAATAGAAAGTATTAATAAATGTTGGGTCCCGAGCACTGCACCTCATTTAAACGTTTCCTCTTAATGGCTTCGGGCGTTGTCACCCGTGCGTGCCTGGGAACTGTTCTCAGGTTCCCTGGGGTGGCTGGAGCGGCTCCTGCCGCTGTGGAAGCTGGGCCGGCATTTGTGTTGTGTTGTGTTGTGTTGTGTTGTGTTGTGGTTAGCACAGGAACAGATAGGCCCGGGAGAGCCTGTGGCTGGTGGGCTTTGTTCTGGGCAAGCCGTGCGCTGGCCCCTAGGCTCCCTGCCAGCCCTCTCCGTAGACCCGTCCGGGGCCGTGTGGGTTGTCCCGGTGTCCTGCTCGCGAGTGACGCCTGTCCTTCTTGCCCCCAGAGATCCTGAAGGAGCTAGACGAGTGCTACGAGCGCTTCAGTCGCGAGACAGACGGGGCGCAGAAGCGGCGGATGCTGCACTGTGTGCAGCGCGCGCTGATCCGCAGCCAGGAGCTGGGCGACGAGAAGATCCAGATCGTGAGCCAGATGGTGGAGCTGGTGGAGAACCGCACGCGGCAGGTGGACAGCCACGTGGAGCTGTTCGAGGCGCAGCAGGAGCTGGGCGACACAGCGGGCAACAGCGGCAAGGCTGGCGCGGACAGGCCCAAAGGCGAGGCGGCAGCGCAGGCTGACAAGCCCAACAGCAAGCGCTCACGGCGGCAGCGCAACAACGAGAACCGTGAGAACGCGTCCAGCAACCACGACCACGACGACGGCGCCTCGGGCACACCCAAGGAGAAGAAGGCCAAGACCTCCAAGAAGAAGAAGCGCTCCAAGGCCAAGGCGGAGCGAGAGGCGTCCCCTGCCGACCTCCCCATCGACCCCAACGAACCCACGTACTGTCTGTGCAACCAGGTCTCCTATGGGGAGATGATCGGCTGCGACAACGACGAGTGCCCCATCGAGTGGTTCCACTTCTCGTGCGTGGGGCTCAATCATAAACCCAAGGGCAAGTGGTACTGTCCCAAGTGCCGGGGGGAGAACGAGAAGACCATGGACAAAGCCCTGGAGAAATCCAAAAAAGAGAGGGCTTACAACAGGTAGTTTGTGGACAGGCGCCTGGTGTGAGGAGGACAAAATAAACCGTGTATTTATTACATTGCTGCCTTTGTTGAGGTGCAAGGAGTGTAAAATGTATATTTTTAAAGAATGTTAGTAAAGGAACCATTCCTTTCATAGGGATGGCAGTGATTCTGTTTGCCTTTTGTTTTCATTGGTACACGTGTAACAAGAAAGTGGTCTGTGGATCAGCATTTTAGAAACTACAAATATAGGTTTGATTCAACACTTAAGTCTCAGACTGATTTCTTGCGGGAGGAGGGGGACTAAACTCAACCTAACACATTAAATGTGGAAGGAAAATATTTCATTTAGCTTTTTTATTTTAATACAAGTAATATTATTACTTTATGAACAATTTTTTTTAATTGGCCATGTCGCCAAAAATACAGCCTATAGTAAATGTGTTTCTTGCTGCCATGATGTATATCCATATAACAATTCAGTAACAAAGGTTTAAAGTTTGAAGATTATTTTTTAAAAAGGTAAATGGTTAAATTTTACATGACAGATATTTTATCTATTGGCCTGTTCCCCAAATGGCCATTTTAAAATGCTTGGGTACACTTCTCTTAAGTGGTCTAGTCAAGGAACCTCAAGTCATGCTTTTGCTATCACCAATCATAGTGTACCCATCTTTAATTTATATCAGGTGTATAAATGTACATTTCCAAATGAACTTGCACTTGTTATATTATAATTGGAAGTGCAGTCAGCAGATGCTGTTGTGAAGCTAATGTCACAATTATGTGCAAAGGTGTGCTTCCTGCTGTATGTGAGCTGTAAAAATGTTACGTGAAGAAATAAATGAAACTTGGCCAGTTTGTTCCTCTAGTAGTATATTTAATTTTGACATAAGTAACTTTTAAAATTTGTCTTAAAAATTTATACACCAGCAATTTAGACAAAGCCTTAAGCAAATTTTGTATTATTGTTCTCACTTATTATTAATAATGAAGTAGAAGTTACTTAATTGCCAGCAAATAAATACGTGTCAAAAAAGAATCTGTATTCAGACCCTGGGTCAGGAAATTACTGCCCACTTGTCAAGTTCAGCCCACCATCTGTTTGAAGATTATATGAAGTTTAAATTCTAGTGTCCATAAATAAAGTTTCAGCGGAACACAGCCGTGCTTATGTGCGTATGTATTGTCTGACTGCTTTTGCAAAACGGCAGAGTTCAATAGTTGCACCTGAAACCATTTGACTTGACAAGCCAAAACTATTTTCTGGCCCTCTGCAGAAAGGGTTTGCTGACCTCTGATTTAGACTAGCATCTAACATTGATTTGCCCACATATTGAAAGGGTCAGTGGAGTTTTCATTTATTATTTTTTATTTTTTTGAGATTGAGTTCCAGGCTGGAGTGCAATAGCGCAATCTTGGCTCACCGCAACCTCCGCCTCCCAGGTTCAAGCGATTGTCCTGCCTCAGCCTCCCCAGTAGCTAGGATTACAGGCATGCACCACCACGCCTGGCTAATTTTGTATTTTCAGTAGAGACGCGGTTTCTCCATGTTGGTCATGGCTGGTCTCGCACTCCCGACCTCAGGTGATCCACCTGCCTCAGCCTTCCAAAGTGCTGGGATTACAGGTGTGAGCCACCGTGCCCGGCTGGAGTTTTCATTTTTTTTTTTTTTTTTTTTTCTGAGATGGAGTCTCACTCTGTCTCCAGGCTAGAGTGCAGTGGCCCAGTCTTGGCTCACTGCAACCTCTGCCTCTCGGGTTCAAGCGATTCTCTTGCCTCAGCCTCCCGAGTAGCTGGGACTACAGGTGCGTGCCACCATGCCCAGCTAATTTTTGTATTTTTAGTAGAGATGGGTTTTCACCATGTTGGCCAGTATGGTCTCGAGCTCTTGACCATGATCCGCCCACCTCGGCCTCCCACAGTGCTGGGATTACAGGCGTGAGCCACCGTGCGCTGAGTGATACGTGGTTCCCTTTAACTTCGCACATGGTAAAATCAGTTTCTTTCCATGATCTGTTTCACAGTCTCTGTGAAGCTACCTACCACAAAGAAGTAGTGAGTGATGACTTTCTAGAATCTAAGTATATGGCATGTATTTATTATAAGTAAAACATTAAGTTTGCTGATTGTTTACTTGTGATAAACAATTATTGTGAACTTTATTTGTGCTGGACATAAGTGTCTGTTTTACAGTGAAATTCCATTATAGAGGGTTACTTGGTAGAGAAATGCAAATTGTAGTTGGTCATATACTAAAATTTGAACTTTTTACATATCAATACTTACAAATAGGTGTTTATTTTCCCACAAAACTCCAGAACATTTAAGAGTCTCGGGTGTTTAAATTTGATGAGATTTACCCAAACAAATAGTGAACAAAAGGTTTATGAAAATAAGTTATGAAACTAAAATACTTAATAAACATCCAGTGACAATAAAAATAGCTTGAGTCTTTGCTTATATAAAATTTCATGCTAATTTTTCACTTCTATATTAATTGGAGGTAATAATGCAAATTAAGTTATAGAAATGAAGATTCAATGAAATGCAGTTGCTCATCCTGGATTTCTTCATATTCAGTTTTGGTGTAGACAACTGGTGAAGAGAGATGGCTCAGAGGCCAAGCCTTGCAATCTAGGAGCCCAGCCCTGTCCTTTAAGGGCTTGATCTTGAATAAATTGCTTAACAGTTGGTCTATAGTTCTACACTTTTAAAGTATGTTTCACAGAGGGTGGTTCCAATAAATAAATGCACTGGCATATTCAAATGTTGGATAATTTTTCTCTAGCTTTCTTCAAGTTTCTCATAAGGACAGGTGGGTAGCCACTTATTCTTTAAAAAAAAATAGATACAATACAGAGTCGTGTTGGACTGGCAGTCTTAAATCACTCTTGTTATTTCCAGTGGACATTAAAAAAAAATCACAGATAAGTACTTAAAACACTCAAGATTTGGGATTTAGATCATGATTAGATACAATAGAAAGATCCTGGAATCCCGACATGAGGACAAAAATGGTACTGAATTCTTTTTGAAAAATAGATTACTGAAAAGCGATCTAATATAGAACAGTTGCTTTTACTTAGATGTTCAATGCATATTTGTTGTATAATAACCAAGTTATTACAGTTCAGATAAAGGGTCCAAAGTGTTTTCGTTATGATATAATACTTTCTATTGTAAACTGGACTAAAGAAACGTTGTATGTTCAAGGAAGTGTTGAGCAGCCATGGTGTTCCTGGGACAGGCTCCCCAGGTGCTGAGAGAGGTGCTGCAGGAGTCACAGACCTGCAGGCACGCACTTGCCAGTGACTGGGACGTTGGCTGGTGGTTCTCTTTTGGTGTGATTAGAGCTATGTGAGTTGTCTCAATACTTGAGACTGTCGGTGGTTGCCAATGCTGAATAAAGCATTTATCAAAGTAAAAGCCATTTCCTCTTATTATATATTATTTTAGAAAGAGTACACATTTAGTTGTGATATCCTTTTGTAGTTCACATTTATGTAGTGTTCCAGGTAATAAGTTACCTGGAACTTACCTGAACACTTCAATATTTCATTAAAGTATTAAATCTTTTTCTTAGGCAAAATGATTAAGAGCTTCATCTGTGCACTTCTAAAGACATGATGTGCTCTCGAGGACATCTAGCTTTTTTCCTTCTATCTAATGTAATTTATGGCTCTAGAATCCTTGGCATATATGGAGAGAGGTTTTATTGATACTGTCTGCCTCCCTCTCCATTTTAGCGTGTAGAATGTGCCTCTTTCATCGCAGAGTCCAGGCAGTTCTCAGCACCTTGGGGGCTAGATTTCCGGGGTTTTTTTAATCTGGAAAAATTGCTAGTCCGTGACTGCATTTCTTGAGGCACTCGTGTTCTCTGCACAGGCTCTCATTGTGAACTCGTGGAGGGCTTAGGAAGACACCGCTAATGGGAAGGAGGTGGGAGAGCAAATGTGTGTTGTGTTACTAAGTCAAAATTGCCTCCTGAGGCTTTTTATGAGGGGCTTTGTTTCAGAGTATTTATTTTAACTATTCCGTCTTTGTTTTTTAAGCAGCTCATCAGTGAGAATCCAACTATTACATTTTTTTCTAACAAACCAAACATTAGTGAGCTGTGCCCCCTGTGCCACCAAAAGAATGAGAGGAATTCTATAACTGGAATGAAGAAAATCATTAGGCCAGTTCTCTTTCCTTACCTCAAATACTCTGTATTACTTGACTGTTCATAAAGATGGGGTTGGTATTTTTCCAATTAAAAACCCCAATCTGAAAAGAAGCTACTACAAACTGAGTAACAGGTTAAATCTTTTTTTTTTTTTTTTTTGTTTCCCCTGAGACGGTGTCTTGCTCTGTCACCCAGGCTGGGGTGTAGTGGCCTGATCTTAACTCACTGCAACCTCTGCCTCCTGGGTTCAGCGATTCTCCTGCCTCAGCCTCCCGAGTTGCTGGGATTAGAGGCATGCACCACTACGCCCAGCTAATTTTTTTGTATTTTTGGTAGAGATAGAGTCGCACCATGTTGGCCAGACGGTCACAAACTCCCGATCTCGTGATCCGCCCGCCTCAGCCTCCTAAAGTGCTGGGATTACAGGTGTGAGCCGCCACGCCCAGCCCAGGTTAAATCTTGACTGGAGCCAGTAAACTCCATTAAAGTAAAATTTTTCTTTTTCTTTTTTCTTTTCTTTTTTTTTTTTTTTTGAGACAGAGTCTTGCTCTTGTTGCCCAGGCTGGAGTGCAATGGCACGATCTCGGCTCACTGCAACCTTCGCCTCCTGGGTTCAAGCTATTCACCTGCTGCAGCCTCCCGAGTAGCTGGGATTACAGGCGTGTGCCACCAAACCCGGCTAATTTTTGTATTTTTAGTAGAGACAGGGTTTTACCATGTTGGCCAGGCTGGTCTTGAACTCCTGACCTCTGGTGATCCACCTGCCTCAGCTTCCCAAAGTGCTGGGACTACAGGTGTGAGCCACCGTGCCTGGCTAAAGTAGAAATTTTCTTTTTTTCTTTTTTTTTTTTTGAAGTGGTTAGAAAAATTTATTTTGTGCTTAGGATTTTTTTCTTTTTCTTTTTTCCTTTTTTTTTTTTGAGACGGATTTTTGCTCTTGTTGCCCAGGCTGGAGTGTAATGGCGCAATCTTGGCTCACTGCAGCCTCCGTCTCCTGGGTTCAAGAGATTTTCCTGCCTCAGCCTCCCAAGTAGCTGGGATTACAGGCAGGCGCCACCACGCCACACCCAGCTAATTTTGTATTTTTAGTAGAGACGGGGTTTCTCCATGTTGGTGAGGCTGGTCTCGAACTCCTGACCTCAGGTGATCCACCCGCCTCAGCCTCCCAAAGTGCTGGGATTACAGGCATGAGCTACAGCACCTAGCCCCTTAGGATATTTTTCTAAGGCATCACAAGTTACACATCCAAACTCTTCAATGGTATAATATTTTATATTAAAGTAGAATTTTCTACGAAACAAGAAAATGCTTGTTTCAGCAGGCAACTTTAAATAAAGGTACTCAGTGTCGTGGTGTATGTATATCAATATAGCCACCATTTATTGCCTCCTATATGCTAGACATTGCTAGCACTGCATACTTCATATTTTATGACAACCCTGCCAAAAAATGGCTGCTTTTCCTGATGAAGGTGCTGAGACTCCAGCCAGGGACCTGACTTGCACAAGGCCAACGCCCTGCATCTGGCTCCAAAACCAGCATCCTTGACCACCGCCTGGCACCCGGAGGCCTCCTCATGGTCAGGACCTGGCGTTGCTGCTGGTCTTCCCTGAACGCCTAACATGCCAGGAGTGTGCTGTCCTCCCAGCTCTGTGGGGGTCTTACAACTGAGAAAGCCATAGAAGGTGAAAGAAACGCTCATGGTCTCACGGGAGGAGAGAGCGAAAAAGTCTTAATTGCTGGGCTTCTTTGCCTGAATGAAGGGATCTGCAGGAGCCACGGGTATTTGCACTACCAAGTTCTCATGCTTCTGATTTTCCTCCAGGTAAACCAGGATGCTTACTTCAAGTTTCTTGTTTTGCCCTACAGTGAATTTTAGGATTGTAATTTACCTGCAAGGTTTTTGTTTGTTTGTTTTGTTTTGTTTTTTCGAGATGGAGTTTCGCCCAAGCTGGAGTGCAATGGCGCAATCTCTGCTCACTGCAACCTTCGCCTCCCGGGTTCAAGCAATTCTCCTGCGTTAGCCACCCGAGTAGCTGGGATTACAGGCACGCGCCACCACACCTGGCTAATTTTGTATTTTTAGTAGAGACGGGGTTTCTCCATGTTGGTGAGGCTGGTCTTGAACTCCTGACCTCAGGTGATCCGCCCGCCTCGGCCTCCCAAAGTACTGGGATTACAGGCATGAGCCACCGTGCCCAGCCTACCTGCAAGGTTTTAAGCAATTCACTAGGAGCCATGCACGGTGCTAGAATCAGCATGAGAGTCAAAGTCAGATTTGAATCAGGACTAGTTTATCACAGGTTAACCTCAAGGAAGTCACTCTTCTGTACCCAATGTTCTCAGAAGCAAAATAAGGACAGTGATAATGCCCATCCCAGGAGTGGAGGCCCAGACTTGTTAATGTCTGAAAATACTTCAGAAATGCTAGAGCACTGTACAGATAACAATTTGAGTAATATTTTTGGTCAAATTATTCTAGTTTAACACATGTATTCTTAAAAAATGGACTTGTGATTCCTTACAGCTAAAGAGAATCAAGTCCACCCTTAGCATGTTAGCGGTCACTGCCAGGTTCCTGCTGCACGAGGAGGAAGTCCTCCATGGCTGCTTTTCTATAAACAATTCCATTTCTCGTTGTAGAACACAGAAGTAAATACATCGAATTTTTATTTTTAGTAGCAATCAGAGCCTACTAAACTTCCTTTTGACTCACCTCTTGATTGAATTCAGAGTAGGCAGAAAATCTCATTCAATCTCTTCACTGTGTGGGTGAGGAAACCGAGGCCCAAGGGTGATGAAGCCACTTCCTCAAAGGCACTCCGTGAGTTGGTGGTGGGGCTGCCGGCAGGATGAAGTGCTGTTACTCCAGGCCAGAGCCACTCCCCCGCTTCATCAGCCATGCTGTTTCATGGGTGCACCTGTTCTCATTTATGTGGACGTTAGGAACCGTGGGTCTCTCGTGTTAAGCCATAGGCCTTTAATAAAGACGTGTAGAGTAAAGCCTGAATCCAAGAATTGACATTTAAACATGAAACATTTTCTTTTCTAACTTGGAAACCAGTTCTAAAAACACACCTAAAAGGGAATTTCAGTTTGATTTGTGTGAAGGGAATATTTTTGGATAAATCTGTATGCCATTGGAAATGCAATATTTCTAAATGATTAATATTTGAGACATTAATGTAATGAGACATGTAATGTCATGTAATGTAACGAGACATGTAATGACATGTAATGTCATTACATATTTGAGACATGTAATATTTGAGACATTAATGTAATATTTTTATTACATTTAATAAATTTTATTTTTATTATAAAATTTTTATTATAAAATTTTATAAAAACAAATGTAATGATCAATCACAGAGTTTAACAATGTATCCATTTACAAAGATGCCTGGAAACAGTTTGCTGTCTCCCAAAGTGTTTATTTAACATAAGAAATTGTTAGATAAATACTTATTTTCTCTATTATTTGAGCATCTTTTGGTTGCAAGTAACAATAATTGACTATGTCTCAAGCAAAGACAGGAAAGATAAGAGAAGTGTCAGAAAATTCAGGAATCGGAAGAGCAATGAGGACACCGCAGCAAGGATTTTTCTCTGCAGCACAGATGTGTTCAGACACAGTGCGGACCAGGTGGAGACCCATCCACGAGGCTCACCGTGGCCAAGGGGTAGATGGTGTGGTGGACACTGAGCTGCTGGAGTCTGTTGTGGACAGTCAGGTGCTATGTTAGAGCAAATCTTTCCATTTTAAAAACACTTCCCCGGCCAGGTGTGGTGGCTCAAGCCTGTAATCCCAGCATTTAGGGAGGCTGAGCCGGGTGGATCACAAGGTCAGAAGGTTGAGACCATCCTGGCCGACATGGTGAAACCCCGTTTCTACTAAAAATACAAAAAATTAGCCAGGCGTGGTGGCACTTGCCTGTAGTCCCAGCTACTCGGGAGGCTGAGGCAGGAGAATCACTTGAACCCGGGAGTCAGAGGTTGCAGTGAGTCGAGATCATGCCACTGCACTCCAACCTGGGCGACAGAGCGAGTCTCCGTCTCAAAAACAAAACCAAAACCAAAAACAAACACTTGCCCTGATAGGTGCTGTGTTTGAATAGACGCTTGTGCCACCCTGACAGCTACTGGCTCTGGCTTAATTCTTTTCCCTTTAATTGGGATGTGTTCAGGGAATGGAAATTAATTTTTGTATTTTAAAGTAAGTAAAAGTTAGATGGAAGAGGGGAAATTATAGTTTTCCATGGCCAATATACACAATTTTCAAAATATTTATGACTCTTTGCACCATCAATCTGTTCCATAAACATGAGAAATTAGAAGTCAACTAACAATGAAATACTTTTATGACACAAAGATCTTCAATAATATGAGGTAGTTGAAAGTCAAGATATACAAGGATGACCTTCCTTGGCATCTTGGAAGGCTGGTAAGAACCATTTCACTTTGCAAATTTTGAAAACTACACTCGACCAAGAAGTTTAATTCTTTTTTTTTTCTTTCTTTTTTTTTTTTTTTGAGATGGAGTCTTGCTCTGTCTCCCAGGCTGGAGTGCAATGGCACGATCTCAGCTCACTGCAACCTCCGCCTCCTGGGTTCAAACGATTCTCATGTCTTAGCCTCCTGAGTAGCTGGGTTACAGGCACCCGCCACGTGTAATTACAGCCACCCGCCTGGCTAATTTTTGTATTTTTAGTAGAGACGGCGTTTTGCCATGTTGGTCAAGTTGGCCTCGAACTCCTGACCTCAGGTGATCCACCCACCTCAGCCTCCCAAAGTGCTGGGATTACAGGTGTGAGCCACTGCGCCCAGTCAAGACGTTAATTCTTTAGAAAGTGCCAAGTCGGATGTGGAGAATAAAAAGATGAGCAGCTAAGAACCCAGTCTACAGAAGTAACAGCTAGATTGCACTGCAGGGGAGGAATGGGAATAGAATGTGTGAGGACAATTAGGAAACAGCTTGTGAGGCTTACTGCATGTGGCTCCATACTTCAGGAATGATCTAGAAAGGTCAAAGGAAAGCAGCACGGGAGGACTGTGATAAGCTCTCACAGGACACTGGTGTGAGGCAGATCTTACATGAGGTTACAACTCCTGCCACTGAGGATGCAGTGCAACCTAAATTTTGAAAAATATAAGACATAAATAGACCATAGAAGAACAAATTTAATAATACCAGGAATACTGTTTCTTGAGGAACCAAAATACATGGACAGATTTACTAATTTTATTTCCTCTTATATTTCTATAATGTTATTTTGTAGAATGACTCTTATGACAGTTTTATTTATATTCTTAATATCCAGCATAGGGGAGAAGCTAATGAATGACATTTCTGGCTTTACTGTGAAATTATGTCACTGCAGTGTGTTCATGGGATAAAATATTGTTCTATTACCAAAGGCGTTGTGTTCCTCTCTTCAATGATGGGGCGACTTGAAATCTTTTTATAGGGTGCCAGGCCAACATTCCTCTAGTGCAGGGAAAGCAGAGGGTCAAACCTAGAAACAAAGATCTGGAAACTAATGGCTATCAACCAGACAGCAGGAAGTCAGTTGGTACTATCAATCTTTTTTTTCTTTTTTGGAGACAGGGTCTCGCTCTGTCGCCCAAGCTATGGAACAGTGGCAAGATTTTGGCTCACTGCAGCTTCCACTTCCCAGGCTCAGATGATCCTCTCACCTCAGCTTCCCTGGTAGCTGGGACCACAGGCGTGCGCCACCCTGCCAAGCTAATTAGTTTTTTGTATTTTCTGGAGGGACAGTGTTTTACCATGTTGCCCAGGCTGGTCTGCTCAATCTTATAGAAGCCATGAAGAGCATCGTTTCAACATGGTGGACTAGGCTAGTCCCTAAACACATACAAATTTTGTATGAAATATGGGGGAAGGGAAAGGTTTTAAATACATACCCAAGAGGAAACACAAGAGAATTCTCCGTGTGTCAACACAAAAGAAATCAGAGCAAAAATGGCAAGCAGTTGCTGAAGAGGTAGGCATGTGACCAAGGTCTGTCCATTAAGGTGCCCCACCCTGCTGGCCACAGTGACCAGGGTATGAATGGGCAGGTACCCCACATCCATCACTACCTATCTTTCCTGGGACTTTTCTTCTGGAGCCACCAGCAAAAATACCTTTTGTCTTTTCATTGTTGCTGCTAAACCATGAGGATGTATGCCTGGACACCTGGTGGTATCTTACCCAGCACACAGAGAGTCAGCCTGGAAAATGGAGAGAAATACAGTGTCCTGATGGCATTGTTGAAACCCCTGAAGCCACATGAACCCTGGAACTGTCAGTTATGGAGGTCAATAAATCCTTTTGTTCTTAAGCTAGTTCAAGCTGGGTTTGCATACTAACCAATTCACCCACCACCTCTATTTCCCAATCCTCCCAACTTCCCCAAGTCAACAGTCATCAGCGGTTGGTGGGCATCTATCTCTCCAGCTCTTTTTCTTTTTTCTTTCTTTCTTTCTTTTTTTTTTTTTTTTTTTTTTTTTTTTTGAGGCAGAGTCTCACTCTGTTGCCCAGGCTGGATCTCGGCTCGCTGCAACCTCCACCTCCCAGGTTCAAGCACTTCTACTCCCTCAGCCTCCTTAGTAGCTGGGATTATGGGTGTGCACCACCACGCCTGTCTAATTTTTGTATTTTTAGTAGAAACGGGGTTTCACCATATTGGCCAGTCTGGTCTCGAACTCCTGACCTCAGGCGATCTGCCCGCCTTGGCCTCCCAAAATGCTGGGATTGCAGGCTTGAGCCACCATGACCAGCCCACAGCTCTTTTTCTATGAGATGATACACACACTTTTAGGGTGGTTTTGAAATGTGCACAAACCTCACACTCCTCCCATCCGAGTGGAGCCTGGTTTCCCTCCCTTAACTGCAGAGGAGCCTGTATGCCTGGGTTAACGTGGAGAATGCATGGGACGTGACACCATGAGACTTCCAAGGCAGCGCAACAATCACAGTTTCTGACTGATCCCTTCCTGTCTGTGGATGCTCACACTTGGGAGTCTGCCTCCTGGAAGGGCTGCACACAGGTGTTCCAGCCATTTCTTCAGCTGAGGTCCCAACTGGTAGCTAGTGCCAACCATCAGATACATGGGCAAGATCGCTTGAAGGCGCTACCAGCCCCAGCTTCCAGCTGACACCCAGTGGAGCAGAAACAAACTGTCCCTTCCCAGCCCTGCCCAAATGGCAGATTCATGAGCAAATTAAATGTCACTGTGTTAAGCCATTACACTGTGGGGTGAATTGTTATATTGCAGTAGATAACCAGAACAATACCTATGTAAAGATACAGTTTTGCTTTACTTTTTCTTTTACAGAAATGCGATCATACCCTATGTATTGATTTGCAATAAGCAATTTTTTTCCCCTGTGTAATACTTTGCCCTGTTGGTCATTCCATATCAATACATAAAAATTAATTGACATGTTATTAACTATCACAAACAATTATGTCCTATGGATATGCTATAATTGAAACATTCCTTTAATGATCAATGATTAGAGTGTTTCAAATTTTTCTTTATGGCAAACCATTCCGAGATAAATATCTGTGTATTGTTTTCATCCTGCATATGAATATTTCTCTATGATTGATACACAGAAATAAAATTTTAGCAAAAAAGGTTTTCACACCATCTGTAGAGGCTAAGGCAACTCCATTCTTACATGCTAATCCACCATGCTGACATCTGATTAAGCCCAGTTCCAGGAAGGCCTCTAAGATTTCTATGTTATCTACTTTAAGATATATCCCACCAGCATCTGTGAGTACTTACTTCTCCTTACCTTTGCTGTCATTGGATATTAACCAAATAGAATTTTTCCTGTCTTGAGAAAAAACATTTATACATAGTTATGTAATACATTATATTTATAATTAAAATATTACATATATAGTACATACATATATAATATATCCATATTGTATATTTTATTATTATTATTATTTGAGACAGAGTCTCGCTCTGTCACCCAGGCTGGAGTGCAGTGGCACAACCTTGGCTCACTGCAACCTCCACCTCCCAGGTTCAAGCAATTCCCTTGCCTCAGCCTCCCAAGTAGCTGGGACTATGGTTGCCTGCCACCATGCCCTGCTAAATTTAGTATTTTTTTTTTTTAGTAGAAACAGGGTTTCGCCATGTTGGCCAGGCTGGTCTCAAACTCCTGACCTCAGGTGATCCACCCGCCTCAGCCTCCCAAAGTGCTGGATTGCAGGCGTGAGCCACCACACCTGGCTCATATTGTATATTTTAGGTATATAAACATATGTATTAAGAATATATAATTTGCGCTTCCCTTGTTTCTGTTGCCTTTGTACAACTTTTCAGATGGTATTGGCCATTTGTATTTATTCTAAAATGATTAATTTTTCTATTTATTACAGACAAAAATTTTCTCCAAGTCTGTTATCTTATATTTGTTTATGGCATCTTTGTCATAACAAAGCTTTAAATTTTTGAGATCATCATGTCTGAGCTCTCTTCTTTACAGAATTTATATTATATTTTGCTTAAGAAAGTTGTTCCCACCCCCAAAATTATAAAATATTCTCTTACAGTCTTTACATGTTTTTCAAATATCTCTTTTATCCATCTGGAATTTATTTTGGTTTTTAGGGTGGGGAGTCACTGAAATTCTTTGACAAAATGGAAGAATGTGAGGGATGCCATGTGGTATAGGGAAAGAGTGCTGGCCCTGAAGCCAGAGGACCTGGTTTCAGTCTCTGGCACGTACCAGCTGTGTGATCTGGGTGGAATTTCTTCATTTCCTTGACCCTTCGTTCCTCATTTATAAAATGAGTAATGATGCCTACCCCTCAGAGTGTTAATTCATACGACGTTCAAATGAGATAATGTATTAGTCCATTTTCACACTGCTATAAAGAACTGCCTGAGACTGGGTAATTCATGAAGAAAAGACATTTAGTTGACTCACAGTTCGGCATGGCCGGGGAGGCCTCAGGAAACTTACAATCATGGCGGAAGGTGAAGGGGAAGCAAGGCACGTCTTAATGGTGGAAGAAGAGAGAGAGAGCAAAGGGTAAGTGCCGCACTTTTAAACCATCAGAGCTTGTCAGAACGAACTCACTGTAACAAGAACAGCATGGGGAAAATCCACCCCCATGACTCACCCAGGTCCCTCCCTTGACATGTGGGGATTACAATTCGAGATGAGATTTGGGTGGGGACACAGAGCCAAACCATATCAGATAATATATGTAAAAGTGGCCATAACTTAATGATGTGTATTAACCCCTCTAAGTATTTCCTCAAATAGATGGTCATTGTCTCAAGCCAGTATTGAATACTCCATTACCTTCTCATTCATGAAATGTCAGCTCTATGATATATTAAATTTTCATAGACACGTGGGTGTCTCAGTTAGTTTCCACTGATTTATTCATTTATGTCAGTGAAAAATCTTCACTGTTTTCATTTCACTAGCTTTATAGTACTTTTTAATATTTAATAAGGCAAGCGCTCTGTTTGCTTCCTGTATAGTTCATTTTTGCATTGCTATAAAGAACTGCACGAGACTGGGTAATTTGTGAAAAGAGGTTTAATTGGCCTATGGTTCTGCAGGCTGTACAGGAAGCATGGCTGGGGAGGCCTCGGGAAACTTACAATCATGGTGAAAGGCAAAGGGGAAGCAGGTATGTCCTTCATGGCCGGAGAAGGAGAAAGAGAGTGAAGGGGGAGGTGCTACACACTTTTAAACAACCAGATCTTGTGAGAACTCACTATCACAAGAACAGCAAGGGGGGAAATCCACCCCCATGACATAGTCACTTCCCACCAGGCCCCTCCTCCAACAAGGGAGATTACAATTTGACCTGCGATTTGGGCAGGGACACAGATCCTAACCATATCACTTCCGTTAATGATTATAGATTAACTTGGAGAACACCTATACGTTTGGAACATGAATCTTCTCATGCAGAATATGAAGTATTTCCATTTATTCACGCTATCTATGATAGCCTTCAGTTATATTTTACAGTTTTCTTCACATTTCTTTCTGGTGTGTTGTGTTTTAGTTGCTACCACACATGGATCTTTTTTCCATGACTTTGCTCCATTGGTTCCTATTTACATGTAATAACAAGTTAATGTTTGTAGGTTGATCTCAGATCTGGCCACCTTGCTGATATTTCTCATTTGTTCTAGAAGTTTGTCAGTTGACTCTCGTAGACTTTCTAGGTAGAGGACTGTCAGTACAACATTGCCAGTGCCATGCCCGTGACTGATAGTGGGCATCTCTGCTTCCTTTCCTTTCGTCCTTTAATTCCCTCTTACTGAATGAGCTGGGACTTCAATGAAAGGTTAAGTACAGTTGGCAATAGCAGGCATCAGAGTCTTGTTCTGATTCAAATGGAAATGCTTTGAATATGTCACCATTATTCTGATGTGCCAGGTATTTCCAAAAAATATTGTTTTGTCAGGTACAGGCAAGTTTCTTTTATGATTTTTGGTATTTTTAGAGTATTGCCAGAAGTTAATGCTGAATTCTGTCAAATACTTTTTTGGGGTTGAGGCTGAGGATAGCTATGTGAGCTACGTGTGGATCTTCTCCATTTATTTATTTATTTTAGGGACACGGTCTCATTGTGTCACCCAGGCTGGAGTGCAGTGCTACGATCAAAGCTCACGGCAGCCTTGAACTCCTGGACTTAAGCAATCCTCCTGCCTCAGCCTCCTGAGCAGTTGGGATTATAGATGTGAGACACCATACTGGCCTTTTTTTTTTCAATTCAGTAAATTTTGATCCCATTCCAGCATATGTAGCTTAAAAAACAATAATAATAATAAATGAATTTCGAAAAATCTTGGCATTATTGGGATGGACTCTTCCTGGCTGTGATGGATTATTCTTTTAGTCACCACTGTATTTGATTTGATAATTTTTTGAGACAGAGTCTTGCTCTGTCACCCAGACTGGAGTGTAGTGACACAATCTTGACTCACTGCAACCTCCACCTGCCGGGTTCAAGTGATTCTCCTGCCTCAGCCTCCCGAGTAACTGGGATTATAGTCACCCGCCACCACACCCGGCTAATTTTTGTATTTTTAGTAGAGACAAGGTTTCGCCATGTTGGCCAGGCTGGTCTCGAGCTCCTGACCTCAAGTGATCCGGCTCCCTGGGCCTCCCAAAGTGCTGGTATGACAGGCCTGATTTGATAATATTCTATTAGTAAGTTTGTGTCTCTGAGATGGGGCTTTTAAAAAAGCTATTCTTGTAGTGTGTGTGTGTGTGTGTGTGTGTGTGTGTGTGTGTGTGTGTGTGTGTGGAGTATATTAACCTTATGGAATGAATTTAGGAGGTTTACCTTTTTTTTTTTTTTTTAATGCCCTGGAAGCATTTATTTATCCTTCGAGGGCAAATTCCTCTTCAAGGAATTATTTGTCCCTTGAATATTTGTTAGAAATAATAGGCAAACAATAATCTTTGCAGTAAGTCTTTGACTACCTTTTCAATTTCTTCTCTTCAGGGTCTCTATCTCTTTTTTTTGTTGTTGTTGTTGAGACAGAGTCTTGCTCTGTCGCCCAGGCTGGCGTGCAGTGGCACGATCTCGGCTCACTGCAACCTCCACCACCTGGGTTCAAACGATTCTCCTGCCTCAGCCTCCCCTGTAGGTGGGATTACAGGGGTATGCCACTGCGCCTGGCTAATGTTTGTATTTTTAGTAGAGACACAGTTTCACCATGTTGACCAGGCTGGTCTTGAACTCCTGGCCTCAGATGATCTGCCCGCCTCAGCCTCCCAAAGTGCTGGGATTACAGGCATGAGCCACTGTGCCTGGCCTCTATCTCTTCTTGACTCAGTGTTATCACTTTCTATTTTCTTTATCCCATATTATATTTTCCATGAAAATGTTCTATTTCATCTAGGTCTTAAAATGCATTGGCATACTGTTGAACATAGCACTTACTTTTTCATCACCTTGATGACTCTGGTTGTATCACCTTTCTCATTTCTAATATTATCGATTGTATCTTCTCTCTTATTTCTTAAATTGGCTTGTCACATACTAGTCCATTTAATTGATCTTTACAATAAACCAGTATTTGGTTTTATTGATTAAATCTATTCTTTTTTTTATTTTTTTTATTTGAGATGGAATCTTGCTCTGTTGCCCAGGCTGGAGTGTGATGGTGATATCTTGGCTCACTGCAGCCTCTTCCTTCCAGGCTTAAGCAATTCTCCTGCCTCAGCCTCCCAAGCAGCTGAGATTACAGGCACACACCACCACCCCTGGCTAATTTTTGTGTTTTTAGTAGAGATGGGGTTTCACCATGTTGGCCAGGCTGGTCTCGAACTCCTGACCTGAGGTAATCCACCTGCCTTGGCCTCCACAGTGCTGGGATTACAGGCATGAGCCACTATGCCCGGCCTGTTATTATTTTTCTTTTATTGATTTATTATATTATCAGCCTGATTTTTACATTTCTTTCAGTTTTTTTTCTCATAGCTTCTTGAGTTAAAAGCCTCTTGTATTTTCAGTCTTTCTGGTTTTCCAATACATGAATTTAACACCGTAAAATTTCATCCAAATACTCCTTTGTTTGCATCCTGCATATTTATAATGTCATTCATTTCTAATAGACTGTATTTTTAATTTTATATTTTCTGTGAGTAGTTACTTAGAAGCACATTTTAAATTTTTCATAGGTATAATACTCTCCTTCAGCTATCCTATTAATTTTATCACTGATTTTATGATGCTGTGGCCAGGCATTCTCTGGTCCTCATGATTTCTGCTTTTTTTTTTTTTTTTTTTTTGAGATGGAGTCTCACTCTGTCACCAGGCTGGAGTGCAGTGGCACAATCTCAGCTCACTGCAACCTCTGCCTCCCGGGTTCAAGTGATTCTTCTACCTCAGCCTCCAGTGTAGCTGGGACTACAGGCGCGTGCCACCACGCCCAGCTAATTTTTGTATTTTTAGTAGAGATGGGGTTTCACCATGTTGGCCAGGATGGTCTCGAGCTCTTGACCATGATCTGCCCACCTCAGCGTCCCACAGTGCTGGGATTACAGGCATAAGTCACCACACCTGGCCTGATTTCTGCTTTTTAGAAATCTTTTTGTCCCTCTGATATTCTTGCATGTGGTCAATCTCCTATTATTTAGACATTGTGTAGCCACAATTATTTAATCTGTCAATTTCTAAGAAAAGTGTATTCATGTAATTTATATGGTTGTGGATTTGTTAGTTTCTTTTATTTCTACAAGTTTTCACTTTTGTGTGTGTCCTATGTATATACATGTACATATATATTACTCTATGTGTATATATGTGCTATATGCATATACATATATGTATATGTACATATATACCCACATTTTATACATGTATGTACGTATATGCGTCTGTGTATATTTATGGTATATGGTGTGTATATATGTGTATATATGTATATGCTATATGTATATGGTGGATATACTTTGGCTCTGTGTCCCCACCCAAATCTCTTCTCCAATTGTAATCCCCATGTGTTTGGGAAGGGGCCTGGTGGGAGGTGATTGAATCATGGGGGCAGACTTCCCCCTTACTCTTCTCATGATAGTGAGTTCTCACAAGATCAGGTTGTTTGAAAATGTGGGGTACTTCCCCCATTGCTCACTCTCTCTCCTGCTCCACCATGTAATACATGCTTGGTTCCCCTTCTCCTTCTGCTATGATTGTAAGTTTCCTGAGGCCTCCTCAGCTGTGCTGACCTGTGAGTCAATTAAACCTCTTTTCTTCATAACTTACCCAGCCTCAGGTAGTTCTTTATAATCCTATGAAAATGGACTAATATGGATTATGGTATCTGGAGTGGGATACTGCTATAAAGAAACTTGAAAATGTGGAGGCTACTTTGGAACTGGGTAATGGGCAGTTTGAATAGTTTGGAGGGCTCAGAAGAAGACAGAAAGATGTGGGAAAGTTTGGAACTTCCCAGAGACTCGTTGAATGGTTTTGACCAAAATGCTGACAATGATATGGATAATGAAGTCCAGGTTGAGGTGGTCTCAGATGGAGACGAGGAACTTATTGGGAACTGGAGTACAGCTCACTCTTGCTATGCTTTAGTAGAGACTGGTGGCATTGTGCCTCTGCCTTAGAGATCTATAGAACTTTGAACTTCAGAGAGATGATTTAGGGTATCTGGCAGAAGAAATTCCTAAGCAGCAAAGCATTCAAGAAATAACCTGGCTGCTCCTGACAGCAGTCGTATGTGTTCACAAAGAGATGGTCTGAAATTGGAACTTTTATTTAAAAGGAAAGCAAAGCATAAAACATTTGGAAAATTTGCAGCCTGTACAATGGTAGAAAAGAAAAATCCATTTTTTGGGAAGAAATTCAAGCCAGCTGCAGAAATTTACATAAGTAAAGAGAAGCCAAATGTTAATAGCCAAGACAATGGGGAAAATGTCTGCAGGGGATTTCAGAGAGCTTCATGGCAGCCCCTCCCATCACAGGTCCAGAGGCCCAGAAGGAAAAAATGATTTCATGGGCTCAGACCAGGATCCTATTGCTCTGTGCAGCCTTGGGGCATGGCACCCTGTGTCCCAGCCACTCCAGCTCCATCTGTGGCTAAAAGGGGCCGAGGTACAGCTCAGGCTGTGGCTTCAGAGGGTGTAAGTCCCAAGCCTTGGTGGTTTCTATGTGATGCTGGGCCTGCGGGTGAGAGGAAGACAAGAATTGAGGCTTGGGAATCTCTGTGCAGATTTCAGAGGATGTATGGAAATGTCTGGATGTCCAGGCAGAAGTCTGCTGCAGGGACAGAGCCTCATGGAGAACTTTGAAGGGAAACGTGGGGCTGGAACCCTCACAAAAAGTCCCCACTGGGGCACTGGCTAGTGGAGCTGTGAGAAGAAGGACACTGTCCTCCAGACCCCAGAATGGTAGATCCACCAACAGTTTGCATCATGTGCCTGGAAAAGTCACAGGCACTCCACACCAGCCTGTGAAGGCTGCCAAGGGGACTGTATCCTGCAGAGCCACAGGGGAGGATCTGCCTAAGGTCTTGGGAGCCCATCCCTTGCATCAGCGGTCCCTGAATCTGAGACATGGAGTCAAAGGAGATTATTTTGGAGCTTTGAGATTTAATGACTACCCTGCTGGATTTCAGACTTGTATGGGGCCTATAGCCCCTTTGTTTTGGCCAATTTCTCCATTTTGGAATAGGAGCATTTACCCAATATCTGTACCCCCATTCTATCTTGGAAGTACTAACTTGCTTTTGATTTCACAGGCTCATAGACAGAAGGGACTTGCCTTGTCTCAGATGAGACTTTGGACTTGAACTTTTAAGTTAATGTTGGAATGAATTAAGACTTTTTAGGAGACTGTTGGGGAAGCATAATTGGTTTTGAAATGTGACAAGGACAGGAGATTTGGGAGGGGCAAGGGGCAGAATGATATGGTTTGGCTCTGTGTCACCACCCAAATCTCATCTTGAATTTTAATCTCCATGTGTCAGGGGAGGGGTCTGGTGGGAGGAGACTGGATCATGGGGGTAGATTTCCTCCTTGCTGTTCTCATGATAGTGACTGAGTTCTCACAAGATTTGGTTGTTTGAAAGTGTGTGGCACTTTCCCCTTTGTTCTCTCCCTCTCTCTTGCTCCACCATGGTAAGATGTGCCTGCCTCCTCTTTGCCTTCTGCCATGATTGTAAGTTTCCTGAGGCCTCCTAGCCATGCTTTCTGTTAAGCCTGTGGAACTGTGAGTCAATTAAACCTCTTTTCTTCATAAATTACGCAGTCTCAGGTAGTTCTCTATAGCAGTGTGAAAATGGACTAACACAATGGTGTATATATGTATATCATGTACATGCACACATATATTTATAGAATGTAAAATGTGTGTGTGTGTGTGTGTGTGCGCGCGCACAAGGTGCTTAACTGTTCATTATTGTTTTATGTTTTTGGGAGATTGTAACTTTTTCTCCATAGGCAAATATCCATAAAAATTATTTAGACTTCATTCTAAATGGTCATTCTGTTCTGGGTTCTGTTGAAGTTAAATAAAATATGTAGTGACAAAACTTATTTAATGCTTTACTTGGGATACAAGCATTGCAATTTGGGGCATACACACAGGTGGGTGGTCCTCCGCATGTCTGAAGAATAAAAAGGAGATTGGAGGTTTTATAAAAAGGAGAAATGTTGTGTATTCCTCTTTGAGAAAGTTCATTGGCACTAGCAAAGTTTGGGGCAGCTGGCAAGCTCTGATCGGTGAGTGAAAATGGTAGTCATTAGCCTTACAGTTGTAGCAGGTTGTTTCAGTAGCGGTTAGATAAAACTGGTCTCAGGCTATAGCAGGCAGCTTTAGCAGGAAAGCTTGCAGAAAATTACATTCTTGGAGCAGTGTTATGTTTCCTGAGTCTCTTTTCCTCTGGCTTCTTGATTTATTTTAGTTGGTTATGGCAAGAGTGACCCAATTCATATGATCAACTTTCACACTTACCCCTTTTGATCAAAATCTTTCTCTGAAAGCAGCACTGATCAACCATTTTGAAGTTAGGCTTAATTTTCCTTCAGTGCCAGGATGGACCTGTCACAATTGTGTCTGTCCCATGTTGGGGGGAATATAGGTTGGTCTATATAAGGGTCCCAGGACACATTTGAATAACAAAGAGGCCAGAAGGAAAACTCTCAGGACAGGTTTGTTTGGAATCCAGCATCAAGTTCCATATGGTCAGTTCCATAGGCATCAGCAATCATCTTGAAGCACTGGGCTAATATTATTCTATTAAGAGAGTTTGCTTTACAAGGATTAGACAGGCTGTAAGAGCAAAGCTTAAAGAACTATGCTACAAAAAATAATCAGCAACTATATAATAAATCCAGTTTGT
Source organism: Homo sapiens (assembly GCF_000001405.40). NCBI lineage: Eukaryota > Metazoa > Chordata > Mammalia > Primates > Hominidae > Homo > Homo sapiens. Next base: position 110,740,945 of record NC_000013.11, read on the forward strand.
ATAATAGTTCAAAGTCATGAATCTAATTTTGAAGGCAACCAACTGTAAACATTAAAAAGTCCAGGCATATCTGGTGAGACTTGCTGTAGCTACTGAGTAGCATTTTATGACTGGGTTGAATCAATGCAGAGAATGCCAATATTACAAAAAAGACCATCAGTACAATTAGAACAAAAAGTTGTGTTAGGGATATTTTTAAAGTTTCCCACTATATGGACTAAAATAATTTTTTTTTTTTGGAGATAGAGTCTTAGTCTTGCTCAGTCACCCAGACTAGGGTGCAGTGGTGCAAGCTTGGCTCACTGCAACCTCTACCTCCTGGGTTCAAGTGACTCTTGTGCCTCAGCCTCCCAAGTAGCTGGGATTACAGGTGTGTGATACCACACCCAGCTAACTGTTGTGTTTTGGTAGAGACGGGGTTTCGCCATGTTGGGCAGGCTGGTCTCTAACTCCTGGCCTCAAGTGATCTGTCTGCCTTGGCCTCCTAAAGTGCTGGGATTACAGGCATGAGTCACCATGCCCAGCATAATAATTTTTTAGGTCAGATTTTCTCAAGTTACCAGCAGAAGCTACTGATTGTGAAATTTTAATTATACCATTATACTGTCGAATGAAAAAGATAGTATTAAGGTGGATAAAATCTCATTATGAAACAGAGTCTTGTTCTGAAATCTTAGGAAAAGCTGTTTACAGTGTGGAAAATGTCAGCTTCTCACTCTGATTTGCAGTTTCAATGTCTCTTGGTATAGCATTGGCAGTTTGGTGAACTTTCTTTGTGGCTCATACATCAAGCATGAGACTTGTTCCTTAAAATTCATCTTGTTTTAGCTAATAGGGCTTTGGGAACAGAGAAGTTCCCACTTTACTACCTTTATAGAAGAAAGTTGGAATAGAGGAACATAACAGAATTTGGAAAATGTACAGAGCTACAATTTAATAACAGTTGTATTATAGCTCTCCTTTAGAGGCATGACTTTTTCCCCCCACATTGATCTTATAGGAATCTCAGATTTAAAAACCTCTTGAAATTAGGAAGCCAAACAGAGGCAAACTTTAGATTTTACTTATAGTCTTAAGGTTCCTGGGCCTGCTGGGAAGTGAATGATCGTTTTTCTTTACTCACTGTAAGGCTGAGAACCATTGAAGTCAGATGGTGTATGCATGTTTTGTTTTTATTTATTTTTTTAGAGACAGAGCTCACTCTGTCACCTAGGATGGAGTACAGTGACACAATCACAGCTCACTGAAGCCTTGAATTCCTGTGCTCAAGTGATCCTCCCACCTCAGAATCTGAAGTAGATAAGACTATTGGTGTGTGCCACCATGCCTGGCTAATTATTATTATTATTTTTTAGAGACAGCATCTAGCTATGTTGCTCAGGTTGGTCTTGAACTCCTGGCCTCAAGTTATCCTCCCACTTCAGTTTCCCAAAATGCTGGGATTCCAGGTATAAGCCACCACAACTGACCTATATTTTCAAATATGACATTTCAGTTGAAGCCTTGGCAATATAACAAATATTTTGTATTGTATTCTGCTATAAAGAGAGAGTAGATTTTTCTTGGACTTAGGTAAATAATCATATTGCCATAAAAATACCCAGAAATAGTTTTTGAATTCTGGGACTCAAGTAAGAAGGAAACAAAAACAAATGCTTTTATCTGTGTTCACAAAAGTACACATGTATTAGTCCATTCTCACACTGCTAATAAAGACATACCTGAGACTGGGTGATTTATAAAGGAAAGGGTTTTATTGACTCACAGTTCCACATTGCTGGGAAGGCCTCAGGAAACTTACAATCATGGCAGAAGGGGAAGCAAACATGCCCTTCTAGCAGGATGGAGAAATGCAGAGCAAAGGTTGGGGGAAAGCCTCTTATAAAAACCATCAGAGCTCATGAGAACTCACTTTCACAAGAACAGCATGAGGGTAACAGCCCTCATGATTCAATTACCTCTCACCAGCTCCCTCCCACTACACATGGGAATTATGGGAACTACAAGATGAGATTTGGGTGGGGACATAGCCAAACCATATCATTCTGCCCCTTGCCCCTCCCAAATCTCATGTCCTCACATTTCAAAGCACAATCATGCCTTCCCAACAGTCCCCCAAAGTCTTAGCTAATTCCAGCATTCACCCAAAAGTCCAAGTCCAAAGTCTCAACTAAGACAAGGCATGTCCCTTCTACCTATGAGCTTGTAAAATCAAAGCAATTTAGTTACTTCCTAGACACAATCAGGGTATAGGCATTAGGTAGATACACCCATTCCAAAGAGAGAAACTGGCCAAAACAAAGGGGCTACAGGCCCCACGCAAGTCCGAAATCCAATTGGGCAGTCATTAAACCTTAAAGTCCCAAAATGATCTCCTTTGATTCCATGTCTCACATCCAGACCCTGCTGATGCAAGAGGTAGGCTCCCATGGCCTTGGGCAGCTCTGCCTTGGTGGCTTTGCACAGCCCCCTCCTAGCTGCTTTCATGACCTGATGTTGAGTGTCTGCGGCTTTTCCAGGTGCATGGTGCAAGCTGCTGGTGGATCTACTATTCTGGGGTATGGAGGAGAGTGGCCCTCTTCTCACAGCTCCATTAGGCAGTGCCCCAGTGCGGACTCTGTGTGGGGGCTCCAATCCCACATTTCCCTTCTGCACTGCTCTAGCAGAGGTTCTCTATTAGGGCTCCACTCCTGCAGCAAACTTCTGCCTGGACATTCAGGTGTTTCCATACATCCTCTGAAATCTAGGTGGAGGTTCCCAAACCTCAGTTCTTGACTTTTGTGTACCCACAGGCCCAACACCATATGTAAGCCACCCAGGCTTGGGGCTTACATCCTCTGAAGCAATGGCCCAAGCTGTACATTGTCCCCTTTTAGCCACAGCTGGCACTGAAGCAGTTGGGACTTAGGGCACCAAGTCCCTAGGCTGCACAGAGCAGAGGGGCCCTGGGCCCAGCCCATGAAACCATTTTTGCCTCCTAGGCCTCGAGGCCTGTGATGAGAGGGACTGCTGTGAAGTCTCTGACATGCCATGGAAGCATTTTCCACATTGTCTTGGTGATTAACATTCAACTCCTCATTACTTATGCAAATTTCTGCAGCTGGCTTGAATTTCCTCCCAGAAAATTGTTTTTTCTTTTCCAGCACATCATCAGGCTGCAAATTTTCCAAACTTTTTTGCTCTGCTTCCTTTTGTGTGCTTTACTGCTTAGGAATTTCTTCTGCCAGACACCCTAAATCATCTCTCTCAAGTTCAAAGTTCCACAGATCTCTATGGCAGGGGCAAAATGCTGCCAGTCTCTTAGCTCAAACATAGCAAGAGTCACCTTTATTTCAGTTCCCAAAAAGTTCCTCATCTCCATTAGAGACCACCTTAGTCTGGACTTTATTGTCCGTATCACTATCAGCATTTTGGTCAAAGCCATCCATCAGGTCTCTAGGAAGTTCCAAACTTTCCCATATCTTCTTTTCTTCTTCTGAGCCCTCAAAACTGTTCCAGCCTCTGCCTGTTACCCAGTTTCAAAGTCATTTCCACATTTTTGGGTATCTTTATAGTATTGCCCCACTACCCAGAACCAATTTACTCTATTAGTCCATTTTCATGCTGCTAATAAAGACATTCCTGAGACTGGGTAATTTATAAAAGAAAGAGGTTTAATTGACTCACAGTTCAGCATGGCTGGGGAGGCCTCAGAAAATACAATCATGGCAGAAGGGGAAGCAAACACACCTTTCTTTACATTGCGGCAAGAAGGAGAAGTGCAGAGCCAAGAGGGGGAAAAGCCCCTTATAAAACCATCAGATCTTGTGATAACTCATTATCATGAGAACAGCATGAGGGTAACTGCCCCCTTGATTCAATTACCTTCCTCTGGGTCCCTCCCATGACATGTGGGGATTATGGAAACTAAAATTCAAGATGAAATTTGAGTGGGGACACAGCCAAATCATATCAATACTTCACCAAATTGCTATAAATTATAGATAGTTTAAGAGAGAAAATTTTCTTAAATCCGTGAAAGAAAGCATTTCAGTAGAGAACAATGTTTCAAATAACACTCATAAAAGCATTATCTTCATCAGTTATTCAATCTCATGTAGTCAACTTTTGTTCTGCTTGATCTCCATTAGTTTCATGAGTTCTTCGCCTCTTTATTAAAATTCTGGAAATCTTTATTTATCTTAGGTGTGGCAGAAACCTGTATTTAACAGTACTTGCTGGAGTCTTTTCCACAAATCTGATTATAAAATTTTTTGAGAAGAATTTTCTTTTTTTATTTTTTTTTTGAGACAGAATCTTGCTCTGTCTCCCAGGCTAGAGTGCGGTGGCATGATATCAGTTCACTGCAACCTTTGCCTCCTGGGTTCAAGCGATTCTCCAGCCTTAGCCTCTTGAGTAGCTGGGATTGCAGGTGTGTGCCACTACACCTGGCTAATTTTTCTATTTTTAGTAGAGATGGGGTTTTGTCATGTTGGCCAGGTTGGTCTTGAACTCCTGACCTTGGGTGATCCACCCACCTTGGCCTCCCAAAGTGCTGGGATTACAGGTGTGAGCCACCACACCCAGCCGAGAAGAATTTTAAAGAATAACTGTGGATGACAAAAACTTAGAGTAGTCATGGTTAAAAATCTGATAAACATAATCAACAAGGAAATTTAGTTATTTCTATTACGTATAGTATTTCAAGATAACCAGAATTATGACTGATAGCATATTAGATTTCTATGACTATGTAATTTTAGAAACATATAAACAGCATACCTGTAAATGTAACTAAAAGATCTAGTATCATGTATTATTTGACAATGTTTTTCACACAATTTACCAAATAAGCCTAATCATTTAATATCTCTACAAGATGAGAAATATATCTTTCAAAGCTTTCCACAGGTCTGACTGGAAAATCTCAGAGTTAATTCAAGGTGAAAAAAACTTAAGTTAGGAGTTGATATTAGGGACATTTGTCAAAGATGTCAAAAGGTGCAAAACAGGTCATGCATAGTGGCTCACGCCTGCAATCCCAGCATTTTTGGAGGCAAAGGCGGGCAGATCACTTGAGCCTGGGAGTTTGAGACCAGCTTGGGCAACATAATGAAACCCTGTCTCTACAAATAACCAAAAAATTAGCCTGGTGTGGTGGTACATATCTGTGGTCCCAGCTACTAGGGAGGCCGAGGTGGGAAGGTCACCTGAGCCCAGGAATTTGAGGCTACATTGAGCCATGATTGTGCCACCGCACTCTGGCCTGGGTGACAAAGTGGGACCCTGTCTCAAAAAGGAAAAAAAAAAAAAGGCCCAAAACACTTGATCAAAACAGAATCAGAGGTCACTATAAAATAATAGTCATTCATTTAACCAGAGTGACAACTGAAAGACTTCAAAAGCAATATGGAAAGTTACACGATTGTAAAAATATTAACCCTTCCAAGCTCACTTTTCCTAAGTAATCAAAAACCTACAAAAGGCAACACAGGAAATTATCTTGGTAAAGCATAAAATCTTTGTTTCTTAGGTCAGCTACCAAAAAGGCAAAGAACCTTGCACAGTGTGATGATTTCTCGTTACAGAAAGTTCATTTAGATAACCTGGAGGTCAAACCTGATAAAAAAAAAAGGGTGCTTGAATTTAATTAGACAGAGGAAAAATGTGTTCAAGATTATGAGTGTACACTACATCATAAAGGAATGTAAACAAGAAAACTAGCAGCTTAAGCAGAGGAATATATGGCTTTTAGTAACAGCATGGGAAGTTTCTTGGTTACATGGAACAATTCAGACATATTAAGAAAAGCCAGGAGTACAGAATCAAGTTATGCTAAACAAAACATTGCTTTTCTAGGTCTTCAGGGTAAACATTTCAGTGTCAGGCAGCAGAGTTAGAACAGAGGGGGATAAAGTTACAGGAGTGTGCAAGAAAGTTGAAGGAAAGAGTTATAATCCTAGGACTTTTCAAGGGGAGAGTAAGTTGGAGGCAATGATATATGACTGCAAATTATGTGCAGCAAATACAGCAAAAGTTAGACTTCTGAGATACACATTTGAAAAATCTCTAAAACAAAACTCTAGCTCAAGAAAAAATTATGTTAAATGAAGAGGACAGCATTTTAAATCTAAAACTAGGGAAATGAATCTCAAAAAGCAGATGGCTGTTAAAGAAACAGATTTTTAAAATTAAAAATCAAAACCTCTTGCAATTTAATTCACAGCAGATCAATACTTTCAGAAAACTTTCATTTGAAATATAGAGGTATAGACTCTGGTCCTGTGTCACGGTGCCGTGGACACCAATGTGGAACTTTTAGAAAAATACATAATTTATTTCCAATCCCAGACAATCTGATTACACATGTAACTTACTTCATTAGGCCCATCTTTTATAAATCCTCTTTGACTTGTTTAGACCTTTTATCACTTTCTTAAAACTTCCAGTCTTAGTCCCATAATTTTATTTTTAAACAACAAATTATTTTGTCATAGGACAAAGATTTACCACATAAAATTCTCATGCAAAATTATTTTTTCCTAAATTCATATTTTAATTAATAGATCTAAATATATTTACTTTTTATAAAATTTAAGAAGCCAAAAATGACGTTTTGTTTATTTAGCAATTTGTTTCAGTTTTAAGAAATCTTATTTAGCTACAATCCAGATATTTAATGTGCATTATTTAATTTTACATAACATAATTTTAACATTTACATGAAAAGTTTATTTATAAACATTTATTTTTATTTACAATCATCTAATTTCTTTGTTTTTAACAGTTACATTTTATGGGTGCTCTAGTTTAATGCCAAATACACAAAGCCAATTAAATGTAGCACTGAATATGCAGAGGCCAACTGAATGCAAGTGCAGATGGAAAATAAAGTGTGTACCTCCCAGGAAGGACGATAGGCCTTCTCCAAATGAAGGACAAAATCCCCTCATCCAAACCTTGGAGCTGAGGTCAACAGGAGGAAAATAACTTTCCCCAAGAGGAGATCTTTCCAACAGGAGTGGGACAAACCCTCCCAACCAAATCACGAATAAAATGGAACTCGAACAAAATGGAGGGGGAGAAGAGGCCACTTGCAGATGCAGCGGGGTTCAAAAGGCTCCACTGTGGGCACCTCACACCGCTGTTCCAAGAACCAGTAATTCTTCCCGAGGTGAGTCAGCTTTGGATTTTACTAATGACGCTGTGTATGATAAAGTCAAATAAAATCTGTAGAGAAAAATCTCTAAATTTAACATTTTATTTGGGATATGAGAATTGCCATTTGGGGCATATACACACAGACCAGGTGGTCTTTGGGATGTCCAAAGAATAAAGTTGAGGTTGGAGATTTTATAAAAAGGAGAAATGCTATGTATTACTCTTTGATCATTGGCACTTGTTAAGTTTTGGGGAGCTGGCAAGTTCTGATGGTGAGTGACAGCAGTGGGTAAAACTAGTCTTAGAGGTGCAGCACGTTGTTTCAGAAGTTATCAGGTAAAACTGGTTTCAGGTTACAGCAGAAGTTCAGCAGCCAGGCATGCGAAGGGTTCAATTCTCGGAGCAATGCTGTGTGGGCTTAGAGCTGCCCCCCGGGCTTCTTGACTCTGGGTTAGTTGGGCATGACAGGAATGACCCAATTCATAAGAACCACTTTCCCAGTTGCATATATTAATTCAGAATAGATGATTGCTGGGTGGTTCAATTTCTTGCATGTCTGAACTTATTCTCCTCCATTAAAAAATATATTCCTTCTGGAATTCCTCTTCCTATTTTCTTGTTTAATTCCTATTTTCTTTCTTTCAGGGCTTGCTATGTTACCCAGTTATTTACTGTTTCATATACATTGTATGTTTTTTTCTTCTTCCAGGTTTGTCCCATAATTCTTCGGGCCTCTCTCAAGCCTTCGAGTGGATGCTGTTTCATATTTCATCCAGCCTGGGAGTTGGAGACCTGAGCTGCATTACCTAAGCCACTGTTAGCAGAAGCCAATAATAATAATAATAATAATGATAATTCTTTTTTGTTTAACTTATCTTTTATATCTTCTCTTATTACTGCTCTATATATTCCGGAAGATTTCTCCAATTATATTTTCCATATCCCCTACTTGTTCTTCACCGTTACCTACTGTAATATTATAACTTGAAGAAATTTTTTAAAACAACAAATAGAGACAGGATCTCGCGCTTTTGCCCAGGCTGGAGTGCAATGGTGTGATCATAGCTCATTGCAGCCTTGAACTCCTGGGCTTAAGCAATCCTTCCACCTCAGCCTCCCAAGTAGCTGGCATACGCCACCATGCTCGGCCAATATTTTATTTTAAAATTTTTTGTAGAGACAGGGTTTCACCGTGTTGCCCAGGCTGGTATCAAACTCTTGGTCTCAAGTCATCTTTCCACCTTGGCCTCCCAAAATGCTGGTATTACAGGCATGAGCCACTGCACCTGGCCAACTTTTACTTTTATTTTATTTTATTTTTTAAATGGAGTCTTGCTCTGTCACTCAGGCTGGAATGCAGTGGCCAGTCTTGGCTCACTGCAACCTTTGCCCTCTGGGTCCAAGCAATTTTCCTGCCTCAGCCTCCCAAGTAGCTGGGACTACAGGCATGTGCCACCACGCCCACTAATTTTTGTATTTTTAGTAGACAGGGTTTCGCCATGTTGACCAGGCTGGTCTCGAACCCCTAACCTCAAGTGATCTGCCAGCCTCTGCCTCCCAAAGTGCTGGGATTACAGGCATGAGCCACCATGCCCGGCAGCTTTTACATTTTTAATGTAAAATGTAAAATGGCTGCACCTGGCCAGCTTTTACATTTTTAATGATGTAAATGTAATGAAGGATTTATTATTATATATTGCATTATAAATGTAATGAGAGATGTATTCGAGGAGTTTTGGGGAGAAATCTGGTGTCTTTCTAATCTTGCCTTGGCTATGTTCCTTTGTAGGTGTTTGAAGTTAACATGCTTTATTTGTTCTCTGTTAAGATGCTGCACCCGCACTATGAGTCTCCGCATACAGGTGGCTCACTTTTTTCTATGAATTAATTGAAACATATCAGAGGTAGAGGAAGTAATGTGTTAAACAGCATATGTCTTCCACCTAACTCAGAAATACAAGTTTACAGATTTAATGTGGTCAAATTTATTTATAGTTTGTGCTCTTTTGTCTTACATGAGAAATGTTTTTTTCCACATTCAAAAAAAAAATCTTGATATTTAGATATTTTGCCGTCTTTTCTTTCTTTCCTTCCTTCCTTCGTTTCTTTCTTTCCTCTATTCCTCTCTTTTCTTTTCTTTCTTTCAGGGCTTGCTATGTCACCTGGTTATTGACTGTTTTATATACATTTTTGAATCTCTTATCATAGTCCATGAAAAGCCCTGTCGAGATTTTACCTGCAATTGCATTCAATGTACACATAAATTGGACAAACATTCTTAACACATAATGTCTGTTAATTTACTTTGGTCTTCTATTAATTTTCTAGATCCCTCCTGCCCCCGCAATAGACTAGTACATATTTTGTTAGCTTTGTTCCTAGAGTCTTATGTTTTACCTTTTCAAAATTAACATATTTGGCCGGGAGTGGTGACTCATGCCTGTAATCCCAGCACTTTGGGAGGCCGAGACGGGTGGATCGCTTGAGCTCAGGAGTTCAAGACCAGCCTGGGAAACATGGCAAAAACCCATCTCCACAAAAAAAAAAAAAATTAGCCAGGTATGGTGGCACACGCCCGTGGTCCCAGCTACTTGCAAGGCTGAGGTCAGAGGATGGAGCCATAGTTATAGAGACATTGTTATAGAGACATTACATTGCCAGAATTGTGTTGCTGAAGCAGGCTGGAAATGGAGGATGTATTCTGACCTTTCTATTTCTCCATTCTCTGACCATCTACTAGTGACTCCCCTTGGCTGATTTCAATAGGGAAGCAGAGCGTCATGAAATCTGGGTGATGCCATCTGTGGAGTTAGCACGCCCAGGACACAGAGCATGGAAGGAAGGGCAGGAAACGGATCTGAGATTGAAGAACAGAGAATAACCAGCAAGTGTGCAACTTTCTCATATATCCACTGGGTTAAATTTGTTATTTAAGCTGTTCAATTATTTTATATCATTACGATTTTTTGAGGGGGCTTATCATTTACTAAGAGATATAAAAATTCCTCACTATGTTTGTGGATTTGTTTATTTCTATTTTGTTTTTAAATTATGCTTTTTACATTTTTTTTTTTTTTGAGATGGAGACTCACTCTGTCACCCAGGCTGGAGTGCAGTGGCGTGATCTTGGCTCACTGCAACCTCCGCCTCCGGGGTTCAAGCGATTCTCCTACCTCATCCTCCTGAGTAGCTGGGATTACAGGAGTGTGCCACCACACCCAGACTTTTCTTGTTTTAGGTATGTCTCTGCTTAACAGCATATAGCTACATGTTCTTTCTTTATTTTTTTAAAATCCAGTCTAGCATTGTCTTTTAACTTGAGAGTTTAGTCCACTTATATTTGTTGTGATTTCTTATTTGTATTTATCTATGCCATCTGCTTATGTGCTATTTATCCTGCCCTTTCTGTTTTGTTTCTTTCTTTCTTACTATATCATTTAAATGCCCAGTCAGGAAAACAGAAAATACCGTACATATTTCACATAAAGGGAAATTATTATAAAAGTATTAGAAGTACTGGAGCAGAAAGGGAGTATGATGTTACCCAAAAATTAGTAACTAAAAATGATTATTGTTATTCCTAGAGCTAAAGAGGCCAAAGAGAAAATGAAGTTGAAACCATGCTGCCTGCTACACTTGACAGTTGCCACTCTTTTTTTTTTTTTTTTTCAGATGGAGTCTTGTTCTGTTACCCAGGCTGGAGTACAGTGGTGTGATCTCCTCACTCCAACCTTCTCCTCTTGGGTTCAAGTGATTCTCCTGCCTCAGTCTCCCAAGTAGCTGGAACTACAGGCATGCACCATCATAGCTGGCTAATTTTTGTGTTTTTAGTAGAGATGGGGTTTCTCCATGTTGGCCAGGCTGGTCTCGAACTCCTGACCTCTGGTGATCCACCCACCTTGGCCTCCCAAAGTGCTGGAATTATAGGCATGAGCCACCTAGCTGACAGTTGCCACTCTTGTTGCCACCAAACACTAGGGGAAAAATGAATTCTCCCTCCTACTCTTCAATCCCCACAGGTGCTTTCCACTGGCAAAATGTAGCAGAAAGCCAGACAGCAAGGAGCCTGGCTTCCCACTTCTATACTCAGAGAGGAGTATAGAAGAAAAAATGTTGCTAAACAAATATTATCTATCACTCTTGCTTTCTTTCAAAAAATTAAAGATATTTTATTATTCAATTTTTATTGTTTAGAAGTTATACATACTCTTTGTTTTTCTAGTAGTTACTGTAGCCATTGACTTTGCAAGACCTGAAGTTAATATCTTTGCCCTCCCCAATAATATAAAGAGCAATTTATATGCGTTGTTATCCAGTATTTTGATATTTTTTTCTCACAAATTAGACATTGTTTTATAGAGTCAATTTTTTGGCTTTCATTAAAACTTATTATAATAATATCTTTGCTTACCATGCCTTCTTGCATCTCAGAAGTGCTTTTTTTGCCTTAAGTACTGACTTCAGGATTTTCTTTAATGAAAATCTATCAGTTTACCCTTTAAGATTCAGTCTAAAATATATATATATATATATATATATATATATATATATATATATATATATATATATATTTTACCTTCATTTTTATAAGGCAGTTGCTTGAGGCAAAGATTTCCAGAGTGACATATTTTATTTCTTTCAACACTTTGAGAGACTCTTCCACTGACTTTTGACTTCCATTGCCACAGTACAGAAGTCAATAGTTCATTCAACTGCCCTTCCTTTATGCTGATCTATTTTTTCTTTCTGCCAGCTTTTAAGAACTATTTACCTTCTGAATTCTGTAGTTTTACTTTGATTGGTCTATTTTGTTTTTAAATTTTTCTAAGGATCCACTGAGCTTCATTGATCTGAAGACTGGAAGCTGTCAACAGTATTAGAAAATACTCGTCCACCCGCCTCAGCCTCCCAAAGTGCTGAGATTATAGGTGTGAGCCACTGGACCCAGCCAATTTAAAATTTTCAATTATGTTTTTTATTTCTAAAGCATGCTTGGTTATTTTTAAGACTTCCTGCTTCTTTGATCATATCGTTGAGCTTCTAATATTTAAAAATCCTATTAAACATAGTTATTCTATAATCCTTGCTAGTTCTAATTTCTGAAGTCTTTGAGGATTTTACGTTACTCTCTATCTGGTTCTCAGCTGTAGTACCTTGTTCCCTTGTATGCTTTGCAATTTTTAAAATGTATTTACTTATTTCTTTTTATTGTGAGAAGCTAATATCTTTGGAATTTCACCTGTAGGAATTCTTAATGCCTCAGTTGAAAGTGAATTTCTTCACTGGGGATTTGCTTTTATTCTACCAACTGACCGAGGTCACTAACAATCTGGAAACCAAGTTAAAATCTCAGCTTGGGGTTTTTCAATAAGTGGTATAAATGCAGACTGTAAACACTCATAAAAGCTGGCTGTGTCTTAAAATTTCCCACATCACACAGTATGTTGTGACGAGGTTGAGAAAGACAAAGCTTCCTTATTGTTCTTTTCTGCATGGCAAATTTATTCTCATTTTCTTTATATTGAAGTAAAGTTTTAGCTTTGTGAGCATGGGCTACCATAGACTTTCCAACTGATGCAGGATCTGGGCCAGATCCTTGCAAGTGATGTTCCTCAGTCTTTGTGAGCCATGAGAAAAGGTGGGAAGCTCTGCCTGGGGCTTGACCTCTTCTTCATTCCCCTTGGCACCTTGGGCCCCACATAGCCATCCAAGAAGGAGCCCAGGAGCTCTGGCTTTGGCCTATGATAAAAGATACTTTTGGTACTAACAAGGATTTCTGTTTTCATTAAAGTTTCAGCCTCTATGGATTTTTTTTAACCTCCTGCCATCTCAGCAATGCATGAAAAAACACATTTTAGCATATTCAGCACTTCAGTCTGAGAGTTGTTTAGGATATGTAGCCCGCTATATTGCTGGATATAGAAGTCTTTTATCAACTCCCTCCTGCCCAATAAACATTGACTTTCTAGAGACAAGGGACTGTGATTGATTCATCTTTATACCCTAGGACCTGACATACATTAGTGGACGCACAGGTATTATTTGAATAAATGCCAAAACCAATCATTTCAAGTTCAAGAAATTGGTTTGAATTTTTTTTTTTTTCCTGAGACAGAGTTTCGCTCTTTTTGCCCAGGCTGGAGTACAATGGCACGATCTTGGCTCACTGCAACGTCTGCCTCCTGGGTTCAGGCAATTCTCCTGCCTCAGCCTCCCAAGTAGCTAGGATTACAGGCATGTGCCACCACTCCCGGCTAATTTTTGCATTTTTAGTAGAGACTGGGTTTCACCATGTTGGTCAGGCTGGTCTCGAACTCCTGACCTCAGGTGATCCACCCACCCTGGCCTCCCAAAGTGCTGAGATTACAGGTGTGAGCCACCACACTCGGCCATTGGTTTGAAATTCTAAACACAATCAAAGCAATTTCCTTTCTAAAAACTCTCAAGGCTTTAACTCAACACCATAATTTAGATTAGAGAATTCCCTGGGAAGTTGGTTATCCTTATGAGCTATCTGTTTTAGTTAAATTAACTGGCAATATGCCCACTTTGTACTTTAATTTGAATCACATGGGTTCACTCCAATAGGACAGTAGAAAAGTTTATGTTGTAGCTAAATTGCCCAATTACATGAATCAGATTGCAAAGGTTAGAAAAGTATTCGTGGCATAATTTAAAAAATTTTTTTTATTCCTTCTACTTTCCAATGATATTTTACATTTCATCCTTGGTGTTGATATTTGCCATGATCATTGGATTCTCCCATTGGTCCATTCCTTCATAATTCAGTGTTCATTTCTTCAATCAGCTTTTATGGAGTGTGCATCACATGTACTGTGCTAAACACTGGGCCTGCAAAGGTCATGCATATTCCCTGCCTTCAGTGTTCTCCCAGTCAGAGGCTCACATTCATAATCGCAATACCATTAAAAAAACAACAGTAGAAGTATGTATTGGGCACAACAGTGGCACAAAGGAGAGGGTGGGCTACTGTATTTAGGAACAGCTGGGAAGGTTTCCCTGGAGAAGAGAGTCCTTTGTTGAAGCTGGAGAGATGTGAAACCAGGGAGGCAGGAAGCAGTGTCTGGCCCAGTCTCCCCATTAGGGGTCCCAGGTTGCCTTCCTGTGATGGACAAGGCTGCTCAATGCTCATGCATGCCCAGATGTTCTTTTTAAAAATTTATTTGAGATGGGAGTCTCACTCTGTCACCGAGGCTGGAGTGCAGTGGTGCCATCTCAGCTCACTGCACCCTCCACCTCCCAGGCTCAAGCAATGTTCCCATCTCAGCCTCTGAAGTAGCTGGGACCACAGGTGCATGCCACCACACTCACCAAATTTTTGTATTTTTAGTAGAGATGGGGTTTCACTATGTTGCCCATGCTGGTCTTGAACTCCTGAGCTCTAGTGATTGGTTCACCTCAGCCTCCCAAAGTGCTGGGATTACAGGTGTGACCGTGCCCGGCCAGTGCTCCAATGTTCTTGACCACTCAAGAAGTCCTAATTTTTCTTGACCACTTCCTAGGACTATGTTCATTGGCCCTTCTGAGGTGACAGTTGCTTAACAGATGGCCTGCCGCCTGTCTTTGCTCTTCCTAGACAGTGTGCATTTTCACATACCTCTGGCCTCAGTGTCCTTTCTTCTCCTACTTCTTCCTCCCTCCCTTTCTCTCTTAATATCACATAGAATTTTAATTTATTCTTTGCTATAGCTCTCTTCTTATGAGAGCTAAGTTGAAATTTAATATCTTAAATAAATATAAATTCAAATTGCCCTATCTCAATTTAGAAACATAAGTGATAAAATTTAATACAAACCAAGAGAAAACACAATACAAATGTCCAGTCTACAGGGTCTCCAACTAGAAACATGTTTCTAGTCCCTCAAGAGCATGCTTCCTGTTTTCACTTATCCATCCTCTCTTCAACTCGCATTTCTTATATTCTGAATTAAAATGCAGTTTGCATATATTTTTCCATTACTTCCTATAGTATTTTAGTAGACTCTCCAAAATTATACATTTGCATGCAGGAAGAAAATATTAGAACTAATATTTATAATGTATTTTTTAAATCTTATCCTTCTAGAATGGCTATTGTGCATGTTTTCTAATATATGTTAGTATATTTCATGGGCATAATTTATAAGCGAATATGCTAAGCTAGGGTGCATGCTCAGACATTACTTGCTGTGGGGTGGACTGGTTTGTTTAATCCTGTTCTCAAGCCAAATGCTTCTGGTTTTACCAGGCAACTGCCCCCATTTCCTAATCCTCTCAGCAGCTCTGCCTAACATAAGACTTAAAGGGGTGAAAAATCTGAATCATAAACATAGCCTTATCTTGCTAATGTT
This sequence comes from Homo sapiens, assembly GCF_000001405.40. Taxonomy (NCBI): domain Eukaryota; kingdom Metazoa; phylum Chordata; class Mammalia; order Primates; family Hominidae; genus Homo; species Homo sapiens. The sequence continues at coordinate 110,756,436 of NC_000013.11, forward strand.
TTGTTCAGTGATAAGAATTTTGTTGTCTTTCTGAATTTGTTTTCTAATGCCAAGAATTCCTGAGCTGCTTAGTAAGGATGGAGGTTCCTGGGAGGTGGTGGGGGAGATACTTTGAGAAAAGCATAAATTGGCAGTTCCTCCCTCAAATCACGTCATCTGAGCATTTACTGACGTGGACTCCTTGTGGCCCTGGAACTGAAGGGTCTTTCCTGACTAACAGACCTCAGGGGTGAAGCCTTTTTCTGCCCTGATAATTAGTTCTAGTTAATCAAGTGCCCCTTTGAAAACCTCACAAATGCCTGCACCATCATTTCACGGGCTTAGAAGTTTTAAAATCCCACCTCTACTTTAAAACAAAATTTGAACAATTTTAAAGCCTAGTTTGCTTTTCTTTGCCAATTCAGTGGGAAATGAACAACATTTTACAAGTTTAATATCAAGTTTAATTTTTTTATTACATGTACCTGATTCAGAATTCAGAATGAGTTTTGTGGCTCCTTATACATTGCAGCACGGGTGATGGAGGCTCACTTCATCCAAAGAGTCCCAGGTCTCTTGTGTTTCTTGTGAAGTTCTCTTCATCACATTTTAAAATGGGCTCAACACTGAAACGTCTGCTGAAGCCCATCGCACTGCCTTTCCGAGGAAAAGACGTCTTGGAATCTTGGCCCTTTGATAATTTATGGTTTGGAATCTGCATCAAATGAAGAAAAGTTAGCTAGGTTCAGGTGCCTTTCTAACACAAGTCATTCCTAAATAAGGCTTTTGATCTTTCAAAAGTAGCTTGAATGTTTCCACATTTTTTATTTTACAAGTAACAAAGTGTGGCCACCCAAGGACGCGGCAAACTCTACGGGCCCTGTGACTGCCTGTTCCTCTGCCCCGTGCCCCTTCATCTTCTTGCCTGATCCCCAACTCCTTGCTAACACCTGCAGGTGCCAGTGCGCCTCCAGGAAGGAGCTCCTTGTCTTTCACCGCCCGTGAATCTCTCCGCTCTCGTTTCACCATTGCTAGGTCCTTCAGTGAAGTCAGAGCAGTTTTCCAGCCACCCCATGAGTGTCTCTTCATGGCTCGGCCATGAGGCCTGACCTTTGGGTAGGAGTGGCTGGTCCTGACAGTGGGATGCAGGAGCCTGGAGACGCTGGCCGCCAGTCGCTGTGACTAGTCAGGCTGCGAGTCTCCGTCAGATCCACTCGGAATGGTTTTCTGAAGCAGTCGCCCTTCTGTGAAGAATTGCAGTGTGAAGTCTGAAACCAGCTGACGGGGTTGGGTCTCTGCCACTTCCCAGCGGGGCTTCTTGCCCAAGACTTCATGTTTTAACCTGAGAATGGGTTAAATAATGACTAAGAATACCCAGCACGCTTAATCTAATGGGGTTATTATGAAAACTAAATGACAAAGGTGTGAACAAACATACTTTGTAAGTTATAAAGTTTATAATCTCAAGTTGCTATTTATTATACTTCAAGTTAGATGCCTTTTCCCAGCTAATTTTTTGTTAAATTCTAATACTTGGCCCCAAATTCAGCATCATGCAATATATTCATGTAACAAACGTGCACATGTACCCCTAAAATCTAAAAAAAAGATCATAATATTATAATTAACTAATTTGACCTAACTGACATACATAGGAAACTATACTCAACAATGACAAATTCATACACACATATATAGATATATAGATATATAGATTTTTTTTAAAGATAGGGTCTTTGTCACCCAGGCTGGAGTGCAGTGGCACAATCACAGCTCACTGCAGCCTAGACCTCCTGGTCTCAAATGATCTTCTCACCTCAGCCTCCTGAGTAGATAGGACCACAGCCACATGCTGCAATGTTGGGCTAATATTTTCACTTTTTTGTAAAGACAAGGGTCTTGCTATGTTGCCCAGGCTGGTCTCGAACTGCTGGTTTCAAGCAATTCATCCACCTTGGCCTCCCAAAATAGTGAGATTACAGGCATGAGTCATCATGCCTGGCTTTGAATTCTTTCCAAGTACGTGTGAAATGTTTATGAAAATCAATTGTGTTCTGGATCACAACCAAACACAAATAATTCTAAAACATTGAGATCATTAAAAAAAAAAATTCTATTGCTCAGTTGCTTGGGTGGCACCTAACCTCAGGCAGTTTCATGAAGCTGCCCAGCCTCAGAGCTCTCATTTCCTCACTGTCTCCTAGTTTTCCCAGGGAATTCCCTCAGCAGGGAATTCCAAGTTCCTGGGTCACTGTGTTGTTCACCCAAATCTGCCCTCTCCAAGTAGCAAGGTCCACCCCACAGACCCTCTTCCTCCTCCCAACTAGCACCTCCCGACCCCGAGAAACTTGTCATTCTCAATATCTTTCCCTTCTAGTCTTATTTTCAGATTTTTCACCCAAAGCGTAGCTTAAATGCAATAGATTTCTAGATCAGAAAAGAGAGATGAGTGTGAGGGAGAGGGTGTGACTTTTCATTGGCCTTTCAGTGGCTCTGCATCAGCTTCTTTAGACCTTGGACTCCAAGAAGCCCCTCTGGATCACCAGGACCCATGGTTAGCCAAATCTTTTCCTAGAATCCTATTTTAACAAACTTAGAGAAACTTCTAAGTTCCACCTTCTTCTGCTCTGATGGGGAGGGGTGGGCTGTAAATTGATGTAATCAATGGAGAAGACGATTTGCCGTTGTTTCAAACTTAGGATGCACTTCCTGTTTGTCCCTACAATATCACTTCCGAAAGTTTTTCATAGGAAAATAATCAGAGATGTTTACATTGAAGTTTTATTTATAATTTATACTACTATTGATCATTATTTTAAATAATGGCACAGTTTCACTCTTGTTTCCCTGCCTGGAGTGCGGTGGGACCATCTCGGCTCACTGCAACCTCTACTTCTTGGGTTCAAGGAATTCTCCTGCCTCAGCCTCCCATGTAGCTGGGGTTACAGGCACCTGCCACCACGCTTGGCTAATTTTTGTATTTTTAGTAGAGACGGGGTTTCACCAAGTTGGCCAGGTTGATCTCAAACTCCTGACCTCAGGAGATCTGCCTGCCTCGGCCTCCCAAAGTGCTGGGATTACAGGCATGAGCCACTGCACCCAGCCTGTTTCCTCTTTGTGTGGTGGGGCTGCCTGGGAGATAGGACACTGAGGATGGTACAGGGCAACATCATCTTAGGGTGCAGGGTGTTGAGGGAAGGTAGGGTCAGAGGCTGAAGGACTGGAAGGGAGACGTGGGGATTAAGTAGGGAATCTTGGAGGGCCTTGTTTCAGTGTCTCGGGTGGAAGCTGACTGCTTCATGTCATCTGAGGCTTCTGCCGGTCTTTGGAGGTCAGTTTATTTCATATTGTCATGTGTGTCTGGGGGCTCCTGCAAGAACCTCAGTTTAAGGTTTTCTGCTGGGGGTGGATTTCCACTTGGAGTAAGACTTGCATTTTTAATATTGTGAAACGTGAACCCAAGGTTGTACTTCTGGTAGCTTTGCTGTGTCATTAGTGACTCAGTAGGCTGAATAATGCGTCCCACCAATGGCAGGGAAAAGCTCCTCCCATTCTGAAAATGTGCAGACTGGGATTGAAATATATGCATTCCCAGGAGACCTTAGGAGTTCAAATCCCCTTTAACTGTGGATGTTTCCATACTCGTTACCAAAGACCTTGCAGATATGATTAAATTAAGGGTCTTGAGATGGGGAGGCTGTCCTGAATTATCTGGGTGGGCCCTAGTCATCAGGGTCCTCATGGGAAGGACACGAGGAGGTCAGAGGAGGAAGCAGCAGGCAGGAGAAGTGATGGTTGGAGGGAGGCAAGGAGAGGCTGCTCTCCCAGAACTGCCAGGAGGAACCAACACCTTGAAATTCACCCAATGAAACGGACTCAGTCTTCTGCCCTCCAGAAGTGTCCGAAAATAAACTTGAGTTGTTCTAAGCCAGAGCATGTGGGACCGTGTGAGAGCAGCCACAAGAAGCCAGTACAGGAGGACAGAATTGGGTCCCTTCCATCTGGGTTCAAGGTTTGACTTTCATTGGTGTCTTTTCCGGAAGGCCAGGTCTCGAACCTGAAGATTGTATGAAGGCTGTGGTGGGACGTCTGGGGAGAGGCAGCCTGGACCGTCGGGGGACAAACATGAGTGCGCTGTATGAGAACCTGGCGGTACTGAGGGTGGGACTGGCTCAGATTCAGGTCTCCTAAGGTCCAGGAGGAGTCAGACTTGCACTGGCGGGTGGCAATTATTTCATAAGAGGATAGTCAGTGTTGACTGAGGGGAGGATTGAGGGATCTTCCGGACTAGAGGCAAGACCGAGGACTAAGGCAGGCTAAGGTCCTGGGAGTTTGGCTGTTTGGAGCTGAAGAGCTCCCTTGGCTCATTCTGTACTTCCAGAGGATTGAGGGGGTGAGGACAGTGCTGCTCTTGTGAGTGGTAGCACTCAAATGATCGTATTGGAGAAGCGAGTCTCTCTCTTGCTGGAGAGAAACAGAGATTCCTCCGGTGGGGAGAATTCTTTCCAGCAACAGCTTGGCTTCAGTGATGGCAGTGGCTTGTTTGCAGGGAAAAGCTCCTCTCATCTGAAAATGTGCAGGCTGAGATTGGAATGTGTTCATTCCCAGGAAACTTTGGGAGGTGAACAAATCCATTTGCCAGTGGAGAGGGACCGGAGAACTGGCTATCGTCCCCCTTGCCCTTGCTCCATCTCTGCTTGTGACCAGGACTGTTTCTGGCAGTCAGGGCAAGTTGAGGTTGCCTGGACCACCAGTACTTGTGGATTTCCTTTGCTGCGATGTGTAACGTTGTGGAGGTCGTTGGACTGCTGATACAGTTTGGATGTTGTCCCCACCCAGATTTCTTGTTGAATTTTCATCCCCGATGCTGGAGGTTGGGTCTGGTGGGGCGTGTTTGGATCCTGGAGGTGGATCCCTCATGGCTTGGTGCTGTCTGTGTGATCATGACTTCTTGCAAGCTCTGCTCGTTTAAGTCTGTGGCACTTCCTGCACCTCCCCAACCCACCATCTTGCTCCTGTTCTGGCCATGTGACGAGCCTGCTCCCCCTTAGCCTTCTGCCATGATTGTACGATTCCTGAGGCCTCCTCAGAAGCCAAGCAGATGCCAGCATCATGCTTCCTGCAAAGCCTGTGGAACCATGAGCCAATGAAACCTCTTTTCTTTTTGGTTTTTGTTTATTTATTTTTTTGAGACAGAGTCTCACTCTGTCGCCCAGGCTGGAGTGCAGTGGCATGATCTTGGCTCACTGCAGCCTCTGCCTCCTGGGTTCAAGTGATTCTTGTGCCTCGGCCTCCCGAGTAGCTGGAACTACAGGCATGTGCCACCACACTCGTCTAATTTTTGTATTTTTAGTAGAGACAGGGTTTCACCATGTTGGCCAGGCTGGTCTCAAACTCCTGACCTCAAGTGATCTGCCTGCCTCAGCCTCCCAAAGTGGTGGGATTAGAGGCATAAGCCACCACACCTGGACTAAACTTCTTTTCTTGATAAATTACCCAATCCCAGGTATTTATTTATAGCAATGCGAGAATGACCTGATACAACTGTATTTCAGGGGAGGGACATGGGAGAGACCGAGCAGTCGCCTGGGTATCTCCAAGCCCCAGCTGAGTGGATAAAATACCCAGTCTGGTTCCCAGGAGCCCTTTCAGCCTCTGTGCCAGCAGCCACTATGCCTTGAGTCTCCTAAGTCAGGCTTCCATCCCTAGAGGAGACTGGGCAGTGGAGGCAGGCAGTGGTTGAGGAAGAGTCGTCTTAGGAATTGGCTATCTTAGCATATTTGTCAGCCAAGGACTTTCCTTGCGCTTCAGGGTGTTAACGTGAACTTTCATTTGAGAATAGCTAATTTCTTGAGTGACAGTAAAGCCTCTTGTAAATTAGCCTCTTGGGTTCCATTTTTAAAATTGTTTTTTATTGTGGCAAAATATATATAACAAAAAAATTTATTATTCTTTTTAATTTTTGTAAATTGTTTTATTTCTTCCATGATGATTTAGGGGATTATCTTCAAATCAGTACAAATATTTCATAAATAATATCTGGCTGTTTTCTAACCAACGGAGTAATTTGTGGCACAATAAGCTACATCACATCTTTCAGCAAGAAATACATGAAATTTGAATAGTAAAGACATTACATATGAATCAGGACACAATTAAAATTTGCTTTAAATATTTCTTTGGGGGAGAGGACTCCACACTTCTATTCAATGAAAAGAAACATTTTTACAGTCCAGAGGTCTTTTTTTAACACCTATTATGCCATGAATTCACAGGGAAAAGGTCCCAGAAGCACTGGCCCTTCCCACTGGTTCTCACAAAGTGTGCTTCTCTGGGTGGAGCAGGCTGGCACTTCAGTTGCACCCAGGTACCTTTCTCTTTGGCTTGTTTCTTTTTCTGATCATTGTCCTTCACGCGTGTCAGGAAGCTCTCTTGGCTCTTAGAGTGCTTCATGTGCTCAATACACATATCAGTTCTCTTGGCAGGAATCTTGCCCTTAACTTGTTGGTTTACAACAAAGCCAACGGCATGCTGGGGAACACTGTAGACTCTTCCAGCTTTGCCATGGTAACACTTGTTGGGCTTCCTTTTTGAACAGTTCCCATTCCCTTGATGTCTACAATGTCACCTCTCTTATAGATTCGCATATACGTAGCCAAAGGAACAACTCCATGTTTTCTAAAAGGTCTAAAGTGACTCTCCTCTCTCCCTTTGCTTTTGTCATTTTGGCGAATTACTGGAATATGGCGGTTCTGGCTGAAAAGGCCAAAATTGATTATTTTAACCATTTTTAAGTGTATAGTTCAGGGGCATTAAACGCATTCGCATTGCTGTGCCACCAGCACCAACATTCATGTCTAGAACTTTTTCATCTTTCCAAAGTGAAACTCTGTGCCCATTAAACACTCACTTCCTGTCCCCCTCCCCTGACCCCAGCGCCATTCTACTTCCTCTCTTACGAATTTGACTACATAAGGGACGTCAAATAAGTGGGATCAGACAGTATTTGTTCTTTTGTGACTGGCTTATTTCACATAGCATAATGTCCTCAAGCTTCACCCAGGTTGTAGCAGGAACTAGCATTTTCTTCCTTTTTAAGGCTGAGTAATATTCCATTGACATACACACTGTGTTTTGTTGATCCATTCATCTGTTGATGAACACTGGTTGTTCCCACCTCTTGGCTCTTGTGAACAACGCTGCTGTGGACGTGGGGGTGCAGGTATCTGCTTGAGTCCTGCTCCCGGTTCCTTTTGGGTTCCGTGTTGAGGGCTCCCCGGCACTGTCCTGAACTCTCTTTGTTTCCATAGCGTACCCAAATCACGTTGGAGCCCAGGCGTCTGCTTGCCCTCTGAGTAACTGTTGGCCCTATCACCTTATGCCTGGGGGTGAGCTTGTGTCTGTGTGGCCACTCAGGCTAATGTAGCCTCAGGAACTGGCCCTCCATGGGTGTGGGGAGCTGTGGGGTGTGTCCTGTCTGAAACTCCCCCTTTGTGCTCCAAAGGTAGGAGTCTTCTGCTAAGAAGGTGACTTGCGGTGTTTGAGAGGAGTTTGGCAAGGCTGGGGTGAGGATGAGTAGAAGACAGATGGCGAGGCATGGGGAAGTCGTCCCTCAGAGGGGGCAGGGAGGGGCTGCACTGAGGTTGGGAAGGTGGCGAACAGCAATAGGAGCGGGGCATACTGGGATTTCATAGCAAGTGAGTCTGGAAACAGAAAAGTGTTGGGTGTTCCCAGGTCTGAACCACATGGGGAACACTGAGGTCAAGTGGATGGCTCAGAACTCGGTCAGCAGTGGGCTGGACTGACTTGGGGGCAGTGGTAACTGCACACAGCCAAGAGGCTGATGCCAGAGCCACAGAGTCCAAGGCTGAAGTGCCTGATTAATCGGCCTTTGGCCGCCATTGTATTCTTCAATGAGGACAACTGAGGCAGGTCCTGCCCTTTCATGTGTAGAAAGGCAGATTGGCCATGGGTAATGGGGAGTCTAAGTGGGGGAAGAAAGTCTGGAGAATGACATGGTTTGGATCTGTGTCCCCACCAAATCTCACATTCAATTGTAATCCCCGATGTTGGAGTAGGGCCTGGTGGAAGGTGATTGGATGACGGGGGTGGGTTTCTCATGAGTGGTTTAGCATCATCCTCTTGGCTTTGTTCTTGTGATAGTAAGTGAGTTCTTGTGAGATCTGGTCATTTCAAAGTGTATAGTTCCTCTCTGCTCTCTTTCTTTTGCTCCTACTCTGGCCCTGTCATGTGCCTGCTCCCCCCTTCATCTTCCGCCATGATTGTGTTGCCTGAAGTCTCCGCCAGAAGCTGAGCAGATGCCAGCATCATGCTTCCTGTACAGCCTGTGAAACCATGAGGCAATTAAACCTCTTGTCTTTATAAATTATCCAGTCTTAGGTATTTCTTTATAGTAATGCAAGAACGGACTAATACAGAGAGGATTTGAGGTTTGAAATGTAGACATGGAAGGAGAATCCCAGGCATAGGATTCAGTGACAGTCTCCTTAGTCATAGCATCCAAGGAAGATAAGATGGGGGAAAGTTAGGGATCCAGTTCTGTCAGTAGCCAATTTTAGAAACCCCCTGTGTCATTGTTTGGTCTCAGGGAGAGGGGAGTGGGTGGTAGTGTTAATTTCTTTAGGGAATAAACTCTCCCCTGAAGGGAAGATATTGTGTCCCAGGTAATGCAGTGGGGGCTGCATAATTGCATTTTTTCTTTAGAGACCTTGTGGTCCTTGTAGGTGAGAGCTTGGAGTAAATGCTGGATGTCAACTGCAAGCTGCCAAAATCAGAAAAGCAGAGAAGATAGTCATCTACTGATATAGTTTGGATGTTTATCTCTTCCAAATCTCATGTTAAAATGTGATCCCCAGTGTTGGAGGCAGGGCCTGTGGGAGGTGTTTGGGTCATGAAGGTGGATGCCTCATGAATGGCTAGTTGCATTCTCCCGGTAGTGAGTGGATGCTCACTCTTAGTTCACATGACATCTGGCTATTGAAAAGAGCCTGGCCCTTTCTTCCCCCTCTCTCTTGCTCCCTTCCTCTTGTCATGTGACACTTGCTCCCCTTTACCTTCCACCTTGAGTGGAAGCTTCCCAAGGCTTCCCCAGCAGCAGATGCTGGTGCCACACTTCTTGTGCAGTCTGCAGGACTGTGAGCCAAATAAACCTCTTTTCTTTATCAGTTACCCAGGCTCAGATATTCCTCTACAGCAATGCAAAACGGACTAAGACATGTACACACTGGATGAGGACAGGGCTTTAGAGAAAAGTTAAATCCCTCAGGTTTGCATTTAGGGTTCAAGAGAAATAAGTAGGGCTCAGTAAGCCCCTGAGACACAAAAGTCCATCTGCATTGTTGATTTTTCCATGTGAAGGCAATAAGTCTTGTAAGCTGAGGTGAAGAAGTATACTGAAAACTCAGAAGAGTATCACTGAAGTGAGTGGCCAGGTGAGCTAGAGGCCAGGGGAGCTAGAGGCCAGGGTGTTGCTGAAGTTAGGAACTGGAGGAGTTCTGGGTTTGACTATTTTGTTTATTGTTTCTGTCTGGGACTAGGTAGTTTCCCTCACCATTAGTCTGCTTTTTGGGGAAGATGGTGTTATTACAGGGATTGGGCATGGGGACAAAGAGCCCCTGGTCAAGGAAGCCTTGAATTATGCAACCATGTTGGGAGGGCATGGAAAGATCTATTTCAGCCTCTCAAATTTGGTCTACATCAGGTGAGTAAGCAGCCCAAAGGAAGTCAGGTGTTGCAGTGAATATACACTACAGGTACTATGTACTTGAGAGTTTAAAGGGGGTTCAGGGGCTTTGAACAGGAGCAAGAAAATGTAAGTGGTCAATGAGAGTTACACAAGGACAAAGGTTCACAGACATGGAGTCGGGGACTTCAGGGGCAGGCCCTTGGCAGCGCCAAGAATACTGGAATTCAGGTTGGGGAGGAGCTCTCCTCCCAGAAGGTTTGCTCAGGGTTGTGAAGCTGAGTAGGAAGCTGTGCTGGGCACTCAGAGGTCCTAGTGAGAAAGGAAGAGGTTTAGGTAAAGTCAAGTCATGTAGGAGATGACCAAGTATGGTTTTCGTGCTCTAAGCATGGTCAGAAAGTAAGAGGCGCTCGTGGTGGAACATTGCCCCTGAGTCCACGAGGAAGGTGGTGTGTGGCCATCGATGGGCTGATGAATTCTCTTCATGCATCTGGTTAGTGTGGGCACACAGGGGAAGTTCCCATGGAAAAAATGAACTGGGGAGATGGACACTTACTCCTTTTTGCATCTTAAGGCTAGACAATCCAGAGTCTTTATTTATAATATCTACACTTCTTTACAGTATCTTCAAGAATCCCAATCTGTGGGGGTTTGGAGGGAACAGATTGCCTTGGCTTGTTTTCTCTGAAGTGTTTAAGTTGTGAAACCATTAGTTTGCACTGTGTTTACTTGACTTTTTCTGCAATGGAGTCCTCATGTTTTTGGCCTAGTACATGCATTTCAAAGAGAGGAGCATTTTGCTAATTTACATAGTGTTTTTGGCTAACATCCTAATTACTGGTGTAAGCCATTTATGAACCTAGTGACCAAAGTAGGAGCCATCTGGATGTTCAGAACGAGACCAGAGCAGTCCTTCCAGATATTGTCTACTTTGTGTCTACAGGGAGAGACAGATTCATCTCTGTTGACTGCAGTCTTTTGTCTCTTTGACTAATCAGTTTTTGAGGGATGACAATGGGAACAGATTCCGAGTTTCTCCACTATGGTTTCAGCCTCAGGGATGTTCTCATTTCTTGAAGGTTCTTGTGAAAAGGCCCATCTGGCTTTTTCAAACCAAAAAGAGGCATCTCCAGGGCCCACTGACAGATGAGCACATTGCTAAAAACCAGGGACCATATGCCCCTGGGGACTGCATTAATGTCTAAATTCTTCCCTATGTGTATGGGGTCCAGAAACAGCAGCATGTAAATGTGAGTGACAGCAAGGCACGGAATCCTGCTCACGTGAGTGCTCAGATTATTGGCTTTCCATCACAAATGGAGAAGGACATAGCCCAAGCTGGGATGAAGAGCTGGCACAGGGCTGGCTGATAGAGGCTGGGAGGGTTGGGGAGGGCAAGGTCCGGGGACTTGCAGGGGACAAAGGAAGAGATAGAAGCAGGAATCTAAAAACTTCCCAAGAAAAGCTCAGATGGCTCACCCTTTACTTGTACTACTATTCAAAGAAGAATTAGTATGAATTCCTCACTCACTTCCAGAAAATAGAAGAGAGGCATGCCTCGCCACGCATTTTCTGAGGCCAGCATTACCCTGATACCAAACCCACACAAATATTTTGCAAAAAGAGAAAATTCCAAACCAATATCTCTTATGAATAGGGACATGAAAACCCTCAACAAAATGCTAGCCGATGGTGAGCGTCCGTTGCACCTCCCGGACACTGGTTGTTTTCACTCAATCCTTGTATGTTTTGATTTTGTTCTTTAGGTTAAGCCTGTTTTCCCTCAGCTTATTTCTGTAACACCATCTGGGATAAAATGTTAAAATACTTTATAAGTGACTTTATTTTTTTTTCACTTTGCATGCCAACATTTCTTCATCCATTACATGTAATTCTTTTTAAATGCTTACACAAAGGGGCCCATTTTCTATTTATATAAATTTCATGACATATTTCTGTTTTATCTTGACTTTCTCCTTTTAATTTTAAGTAAATTTGATATCTTCCTCTCCTCTAAGATACATTTTTTCTCTGTCTAAAATGGCCAGGTTAGCTTTCTACCTCTTTTTTTAATTTTGTTTTTTAATTTTTAAATTTATATATATATATTTATTTTTTTTTTACTGGCAAGGACATGGAGCCACAGGAACTCTTATTTATTGCTGGTGGAAATGCACAATGGTACCGCCACTTTGGAAGACACTTTGGCAGTTTTTTACAAAACTAAACATTTCTTACCACGGGATCCAGTAGTCATGCTCACTGGTATTTACTCAAATGAATTGGAAGCTTATGTCCAAACAAAAACCTACACACAATGCTTATAGAGCTTTATCTATAATTGCCAAAACTTGGAAGCTACCAAGATGTCCTTCAGTAGGTGAGTGAATGAACTGTGGTACATCTAGGCAATGGGATGCTATTCAGCACTAAAGGGAAATGAGTCGACAAGCCTGAAAAGACATGGAAGAAAGTTAAATGCATACTAAGAGAAGGAAGCCAATCTGAAGAGGCTGCAGACTGTATGACGCCAATTATACGACATTCTGCAAAAGAAAAATATGGAGATAATAAAGAGATCAGTGGTTACCAGGTGTTACAGGGGAGAGAGGGGCGAGCGGACTGAGCACAGATGCCTTTTAGGGCAGTGAAACTGTTCTGCATGATACACAATGGTGGGTACATGTCGTTATACATTTGTCCAAACCTATAGATGTACAACATCAAGAGTGAAACCTAATGTAAGTCATGGACCTTAGGTGCTAATGATGTGTGGATTTATGGAACGTAACAAATATGCCACGGAGACGCGAGATCTTGACAGTGCCAGGGAGGTGGCGTGTGTGCGGAGACAGCAGGCATATGGGAACTCTGTACTTTCCACGCAATTCACCCTTGAACCTAAAGCCAATCTAAAAATAAAGCTCATTAATTAAAATCATAAATAAATAGCATCTTGAATAAAAACATTTTTCTTTTAACAAATGTTAGCCAATTACTTTAAAAATAATTTTTGGAGGCATAATTTAAACACATTAAAATTGACTTATTTTAGGTGAATAGTTTAATGAATTTTGGTAGCTGGATACAGTCATGTCCCCATCATCACAGTGAAGATAAAGAATGGTTCTATGCCTCTGAGTAATTCCTGTTAACTCCTCCGTGGTAGAGTCCCTCTCCCCAACACCTGGCCCTGGGCAATCACTCATCCACTTTGTCACTACAATTCTGCCTACCTAGGTGTTCTCATCAATGGAATCATACAGTACATAGCCTTTTGTTTTTGCTGTTTTCACTGATTATGATTCTCCGGATATCCATCGATGTTATTGCATGCATTTTAGTCCATTTCTTTTTTTTTTTATAGTGGAATAGTATTCCATTGTATGAATCTACCACCTGGTGTTGGATATTTGGGTTGTTTTCTAATATTTATTTGAGATGAGTATTACAAAACTGCTATGAACAGTCATGTAAAACTTTTTGTATGAACATAGTTGTTCATTTCCCCTTGGAAATGAACTATTATACTTGGGAAGGACTAATAACTTTTCATCTTTGAAATTTTTTTTGCTTAAAACAAAACATTTATTATTATGATTATTATTTTTATTTCAATGGTTTTCGGGAACAGGTGGTGTTTGGTTGCATGGAAAAGTTCTTTAGTGGTGATTTCTGAGATTTTGGTGCATCCATCACCCGAGCAGTGTAGACTACACCCAATGTGTAGTCTTTTAGCCCTCACCTTGCTCCCACCCTTCTACCCGATTACCCAAAGTCCATTATGTCATTCTTATGTCTTTGCATCCTCATAGCTTAGCCCCCATACTTCTTTTTTTAAAAATAGAAACAGGGTCTGTCTCTCTCACCCAGGCTGGAGTGCAGTGGTGTGACCATAGCTCACTGCAGCCTTGAACTCTTTTTCAAGCCTCCCAAACCACTCGGATTAAAGCCTTAAGCCACTATACCCGGCCTACCAAATCACTTTTTTTTTTTTCTGATCTTGCTTCTTTAACGTTTTCCTTGCTCTGTAGTTGACTTCTATCTTTCATGCCTGTCTTTGCAAACTTCCTAAGAGTCTATCTCCCTAGGGAAAAGAAAATCTCATTTTGGGAGATTGCTTACCTTTCACAATTAAAGAGGTGCCACTCCCACACAAGGGTTAAGAGAGTAGGTTAGGGGAGCTGCTCAGGAGGTAAGGGTTGGATTAGGGGAGCTGATCAGGGGTAGGGGGTGGTTAGGGAGCTGCTCAGACGTAAGGGGGTGGTTGGGGAGCTGCTCAGGAATAGGGGGTGGTTAGGGGAGCTGTTCAGGAATGGGGGCGGTTAGGGGAGCTGCTCAGGGGTAAGGGGGTGGTTAGGGGAGCTGTTCAGGAATAAGGGGTGGTTAGGGAAGCTGCTCAGGCATAAGGGGTGGTTAGGGGAGCTGCTCAGGAGTAAGGGGTGGGCTGTGGAAGCTTCTCATCCCTTACCAGGATGGTTTGAGGAGCTGCTCAGGTGTTTAGAAGTTTGTGTTTTTCTTGTCAGGGACATAAGCCAGAGCCTAGAAAATTGGAAAGAATCTATCAGCCTCTGTGACTGAATTCAGATGGCTTTGAGCGTTTTTAGTCGGCAGTAGTAGTGTAGAGTAGAATGTACTGGAAATTGAGGTTCTCGTCATTGGCGCAGATGTGTGTGTGAGTTTGACGGGGACGGGCTCAGCAGGTGAGGCAACAGTCTTGCTCGCATTCATGTTTGGGGTGTGTGGAGGCTGGAGGTGGGAGAGGAGCTCTCAGTCCCCGGTCAGCCCCAGCTCTCATGACTTGCAGGACTGTGGACATGACATGAGGTGTCTGCTGCCCTCTCTGGTTCTTTCTGTTCAATCAGAGACAATGTTTTCACGTAGATTTTTGTCCCCAAACAATTCACTAATTGAGTTGTCACTAAATGGTTTCTGGCTGCTTTTTTTTTTTTTTTGGACGGTATCTTTCTCTGTTGCCCAGGCTGGAGTGCAGTGGCACAATCTCGGCTCATTGCAGCCTCAAACTCCTGGTCCCAAGCGATCCTCCCTCCTCAGCCTACTAAGCAGCTGGGACTACAGGTGCACAATACCACGCATGGCTAATTTTTGTATTTTTGGTAGACATGGGTTTTGCCGTGTTGCCCAGGCTGGTCTTGAACTCCTGGCCTTAAGTGATCCACCCACCTTGACCTCCCAAAGTGCTGGGATCACAGGCGTGAGTCACTGTGCCCAGCCACTGGGCTGCTTTTGTGTGTGTGTGCGCTTGCTTTTCATTTATAACCTTGCCCTTACAGGGGAGTTTCCTGCTGCCCCTGACGTCTAAGGGAGTGTTAATGTGACAAGGAAGGATGTGCTGATCTATGGCAAAAGGAACTTCCGGTTAAGTGGCCAGCCAACGCAACCATCAGTTAATAGAGGACTGGGAAATTGAAATTGCAAATCTGATACTGAATATCGTTCTTTAGTCACGGGGAATGTTTTCCATTTTAAAAAGATGTTTTTCTTTAATAACATTTTAAAGTATGTTTTTGAGGTTTTGATACAGATGGCTAAAGCTCAATGAGCCGTTCAACTTGTAGAAAATAATAGGAAGAATTTCAAAAAGAAATAAGCAAGTCGTTTCACCTCCTTTGTTTGAGGACAACATTGCCTGCTCCAGAGGTTCCCAAGGTTACTTAAGTCAGGGCACCCTTTTAGGGCATGGCAGCTTTTCTCGTGGCACCCCTTGGATAAAAGTAATACCTAACAGTTTTGTTTACTAAGTAATAATGCTCAGACAACTTAATAAATATCCATGTCCTCACAACCAGGTATAATATACAAAAATAACACACGTAAATCAAACTAAAAGAAAATATTTCATTTCATCCTTAAATAGCCAGGGCCACTGGCTCATGAGTGAGCACACCTGCTGGTCACACACAATTCCCCCGTCTCTGGAATCGCTGGACACAGTCACCCTCATTTCCTGGTCCACCTTGACTTTTGTTTGATTCTCGTTTTTTTTGTAGCAGCTGAGGAAAACCCAGCTCCACAAAGATATGGCATCGCCTACTAGTTTCCGGGAATGTGATTGTGTGTTCTGAAAGCAGAAACTGTCCTGTGGCACTCCTGGGAGTCCATGGTCTCACCAGTGTTCCTTAGCACACAGTTGGGAACCACTGGAGCAAGTCCAGTTTCAAGTTTGCAGCTGCCCTCTCGGGGAATGTACAGATGAAACATCAGCCACAGAAGGCTCCTCATCCACTGTCATGTGACTGTAAAAGATTTGTGAATCTGTAAGCAGCACTTAATGGAAGGTATCTCAATGGCAACAGAAGTCAAGGAAAATCCTTCACCTCTGCATCCCTGCAAGGGCACGTGATGCAAATTAATTTGCCAGATCTTCCTTTTTGGGTGAAAAAGTCCAAGTAACAGTGGAAAGAGAATTCTGCCTCTCTTGGCTATGCTTTGCTCTGTCTGGCCCCGAACTGAAAATTGAGCTCAGTTTCCTCATTCTGAAGTGATCTGGGGATGGCGCCTTTGCCCAGCGTGCTCAGGTGTGGTATCTGTCAGATTTGATCATTAAACCCCCAACAGGGACTGCTGGACAAGACAGGAGGATTGGGACTCAAGGTCGGGGATTGAGCACACGGAGCCTTTCTTGTGCTGATGACCGGTCAGACTTCAGCATGGCCCAGTCAGCTGTGGCCATTTCTGAGCCTGATTGATCCCTTTGGGAAATGACCACACATTAAAGGAAATCGGATTCAGTATAAAGCCTGATTTGTTGTTTCCGTGACTGGAAGGGACTTCCCAAATGGGCCCCTGCAGGATTACAGTATTGGGAGCTGCAATTATTTGAGCTCTGTGGCTGAGTTTCCATACAGAAAAAACAGACCAGAAATCCTTCCCTGGGTTTTGTAAAAGTTGATTCAGACAGATGGGCCTGTCTATTACATTTTTGCTCTGGGAAATAATTATAATTATTTAGATGGCTTAAACCTTCAGGTTGCTATGTATTTCTTTAAAGTCCATGTCCTTAATTCTACTGTTTTTCTTACTGATCAGAATTCTTAGACCTTTTCCATTTGGAAAACTCTTTCTCTAATCCCCACACGCTCCACTAGTCTCACCATAAATGTTTCTGCCCCTTTCCTTCAAGCCATGAAGGTTCACCAGGGTGAGAGAAACAGAAATGGCATCTCAATGTAAGCCGGTAGGAAATCCCTTCTATAGATTCATCCTTTTAGGATGGATCTCAATGTGAGATGAGGAATACATTTCCATGAAATTTCGTTGAATAGATAATCCACAACATTGGTGGAGGTGGAGAGAGAAAAGAAAATGTCTCCTTAAGTTAGACCCAAAGAGAACAGCCAATTATACACAGGTGGATGCCCACTAACCTGTTATTAAAATAAATTTTTAAGTTTTGAATGAATTTAGATTTACAAAGAGGATGCAAAGATAGTACAGAGCGCTCTCGCATAGAGAGCCCACACCCCATTTCCCCTGTTGGCAACATCTTATGTTATCATCGTGCATCGAGAAACCAGTGATGCCACCTTGCTATGGACCATGCACTCTGCACGTCATGTGGGTTTTGTCAGCTTCTCACAAATGTCCTTTATCTGTGTCACAGTCCCATTCAGAAACCTCATGTATAGTCACCGTGTCTCCCTGGCCTCCTCTGGTCTGTGACGGTTTTCTAGATGTTCTTTGCTTTTTAGTGACCTTGACAGTTTTGAGGAGAACAGGTCAGTATTTTGTAGGATGTCCCTCAATCTGGGTTTGTCTGTTTTCTCACGATTGAAGTGGGGTTCTGGGCTCTTGGAAATAACACAATAGAGGTGAAGTGCCCTTCTCTGGTACACATGTTCATGAATCTTGGCTGTGCATTTACCTAGCAGGGAAATTGCTGTGAAAGTGGGTGTGTGTATCTTTAACCTCTGTAGGTAGAGTCAAACAGTTTCCAAGGTGGTAGTCCAATTTACAGGCCACCAGCAGTGTCTGAAAGCTTCTGTTTTCCTACAACCTCACCACAGGTGTGTCATAGTTCATTCAAGCTACTATCACAAAGGATCTTAGACTGGGTAATTTATAACCATGGAAACATTGCTCACAGTTCTGGAGGTTGGGAAGTCTAAAATCAGGGCACCAGCAGGCCATTTGGTGAGGGCTGCTCTCTGCTCCATAGATGGTGCCTCACTGCTGTGTCCTCACATGGCATGAGGGATAAAGGACCAAACAGGCTCCCTCAAGCCCCTCCACTTCTTTTTTTGTTTGAGATAGGGTCTCGCTCTGTTGCCCAAGCTGGAGTGCAGTGGCATGATCTTTGCTCACTGAAACCTCTGCCTCTTGGGTTCAAGTGATTCTCCCGCCTCAGCCTCCTGAGTAGCTGGGATTATAGGCATGTGGCACCATACCTGGATGATTTTTGTACTTTTAGCAGAGACAGGGTTTCACCATGTTGCCCAGGCTGGCCTCGAACTCCTGAGCTCAGGCAATCCATCCGCCTTGGCCTCCCAAAATGCTGGGATTGCAGGCGTGAGCCACTGTGCCTGGCCCTCAACCCTTATATAAGGACACTAATCTCACTTACGAGGATTCCACCCTCATGACCTAGCCACCTTCCAAAGGCCCTACCTCCAGATGCCGTCAAATTGGTGGTTAGGATTTCAACAAATGAACTTGGTGGGAAATACACATTTGGACCACAGCAATGTATTACCGTCATTCTTTTTAATGTTATCCATTCTCTGTGTGTTGTAGAATCTCAAAGTAATCATTTTCATCTTAATGAGGGTGAGAATTTTTTTATATGCGATTGGCAACTTTAATACTCTCTTTGGCAAAGCACCTGTGAAGGTCTTTCCTGGTTTTCTATGGGGTTGTCTGTTATTTTCATATCTGTGGGAGTTCTTCGTATCATTGAGATACAATCTCTTTGTCAGTTAAATATCTTCTCCCACTCTATGGCTTGGATTTTTTGCTCATTTAAGGCTTCTTATAAAGGACAGAGTTCTTCATTAAAATGTCATCCAAAATTGCACTTTTTCATTTATGGTAGAGTTTTTTGTGTCTGCTTAAAGTGTCCTTCCCTACTCTGAGGTCATGAAGGTATTTTGCTGTGTTTTCTTACCAAAACATTACTGTTTCACTTTTCACATTTTGGTAAGCTGGTATTGATTTTTATGTATGGAGGCAAGTGGAGGTTAAATCTTTCTTTCTCCCTCTTCTTTTCCTTCCTTCCTTCCTTCTCTTTCTTTCTCTCCTTTCTTCCCTCTTTCTCTTTTCTTTCACCTCATATAAATACTTAATTGTCCCATCACATGTATTAGAAGTCCTGCCTTTCCCTGCACTCTGCGGGGCCACCTCTGTCACAACCCTGGAGGCCATCCATGCAGTGTGTTTCTGGAGTCTGTTCTGTTTCAGTGTTTTATTTGTCTGCACTATGGTCTGAACGTTTGTGTCCTCCCACATTTCATATGCTGAAATCTAATTCCCAATGTGATAGAATGAGGAGCTGGGGCCTTTGGGAGGGAGGAGTTCATGGGGGCAGATCCTCAGGAATGAGATTAGTGCCCTTGTAAATGAGGCCCCAGAGAGCTCCCACATCCCTTTTGCCATGTGAGGTCACAGCAAAGAGATGGCTTCCCTGAACCAGGAACCAGGCTTCACCAACACCAAATCTGCTAGCACCTTGATCTTCCACTTCCCAGTCCCCAGAACTGCGATAAATACATTTCCGTGGTTAGAAGCCACCTGGTTTGTGGTGTTGTGTCATAACAGCTAGGACATGCTGAGACGGTCTTCCACCTCCACCACGGCATCTCTGACCTTCAGCTCTGGGCAGTGCGACTGCCCAGCAGAGCAAGCTCCTGCCTGGATCCTGCAAGGCTCTTCCAGGCCTTTGCATTTTTGTATAACTCACTTAAAAAAATTTGGTAAGTTTTTACGTTGAAATAATTTGAATCTTACAGAAAATTTGCAAGAATAGCACAAAGAATTTCTGTAGATACTTCACCTAGATTCGCCAATTGCTGATACTTGCTTTATGGTCTCTCTCCTTCCATATGTATGTAATATACACATTATTTTTCTGACAATTTCAGAGTAAGTCACAGTCATGATGTTCCTTTATCCCTAAAGATTCCAGTAAGTATGCACTAAGAGTAAAGACATCCTCTTAGTAACTACAGGCACAGTTATCAAAATCAGAAAAAGAATGTAAAAATAATACATGTACAATACTGTTTTCTATTCCTCAGACTTTATTTATTGTTTTACCAATCAATTGTTCCAATAACATGTTTTTATGCAAAAACATTCTGCTCCAGGATCCAGTCCAGGGTCACATGTTGTACTTATTTCCTAGGTCTCTTCAGTTTTCTTTAATCTGGGGGATTCTTTAGTCTGGCTTTCTCTTTTGAGACCTTGACATTTTGACCACGATTTTGTAGCATTTCCTCACCTAGGGGTTGTCTCATGTTTCTTCCTGATTAAACTGAGGTTGTGAATTTCTGGCAGGAGAACCACAGAAGTGAGATGATGCCCTTTTCAGAGCAACGTCAGGAACACATGCTTCCCAGCGCCACACAGTTAAGGAGATGTCTGACAGTCCTCTTTTCTGTACAGGTAATATTTTTTTTGCTTTTGTAATTAGTATTTATTCTGAGAGGGAGATACTTTGATACTATGTAAATATACTGTTACACATCATTCTTTAATCCATTAGTTTTAGCATTTGTTGATGATTCTAATCTGAGTTGATTGTTAACATGGTGGTTTTCAAATGATGATTTTTCTAACCCCATTGTTCCTACATTTATTCCTTGGTGTTATGGGTTAATTGTGTGTTCATAACCTCTAGCACCCAAATTCATAACTCTTAGCACCTCAACATGTGCCCTTATTTGGAGTTTGGTCTTTACAGAGGTGATCAAGATAAAATAAGGTTATTAGGGTGGGCCCCAATCCAACAAGACAGGGGTCCTTATAATAAGGGAAGATTTAGGTGGAAAGACACACACAAGGAGGATGATAGGAAGGCCCAGGAGAAGGCAGCCATCTACAAGCCAAGGAGAGAGGCTTGAACAGATAATCCCCCAGCCTCAGAAGGAGTCAACCCTACGGACACCTTGATCTGGGACTTCCAGCCTCCAGAGCTGTGAGACAATACGTTTTTGTTGTTGAAGCCACTGGGTTTGTGGTGTTTTTTACAGCAGCCCTAGGAAACAGTTCTCTATGATAAGGAAGAGTTCTTTGGCCCTCCCTTATTGGTTTAGTTACTTTGATCAGTGTGAACTTAGGGGACTTTGCTGCTTGCATTGTCCTAGATGAGGCAGGAGAGTCCCACACACTGGTGCCATGTCCTCTGGACCTGCCTCATCATTGTTTTTGTCCAGGGTGTGACAGGCCCACTTTGTTCTCTCTCCATGCCTGGCCTGAAGTCAGCCTCTTTCCCACAGAGTCCAGGTTCCTGAGAGTGAAGAATGATGTTCAAAAACCAAGATCTGTGAGTCACGTAAGCTTTCTGAAACAGCTTGTCATTTTTCACAAACAGATCTGTTTGAATTGTGGTGGGATTTCAGTGACCTGTAGAATACTTTAGGGAGTGTTGATAGTTTTACAAAAACGAGGCTTCCTCTTGTTAAACTCTCCATTTTATGAGGTTTTCTTCAATTTGTCACTCTTGTAGTTTATGGTTTTCCATCTAGAGATACTGTGTGTCAATCAGATTTATTCCTAACTTTTTGATGTTCTTTCAATACTATTTTAACTTGTTTTAGCTCTTCTAAAACTGATTTTCTTACTGTTTATTATTGATATATGGAAATATAGTTGATTTTTGCCTGTTGGTCTTATGTCTAATAAACCAATTTACTGGTTCTGATAATTTATTCGTAGATTATTTTGGATGGTCTACACACGCAATTATATTTCCTGAGAAAATGGCAGTTTTATTTCTTCCTTTTTGATACTTAAACATTTAGCATCTTTTTCACACCTTTCTGCACTGGCAGGACATTCAGAACAAGGCTGAAAAGAGAAAGAGAGAGAAGGCATTCTTATCTTCTCACAGTCTTCAAGGGAAAGCTCTCAGCATTTCATAATTGAGTACGTTTGTGGTAGACTTTTTTTCTGTAAATACTTATTGTCATATTATAAAAGTTTCTTTCCATTTTAAGTTTACTATGAGATTTTCTAGAAATCATTAATAAATGTTGACTTTTAATGAAGGCATCTATTTATATCTACATCTATTAAGCTAATCATATGATATTTCTCCTTTATTCTGTTAATGTATGCAATTATATTGATTGTCTTTTTACTTTTGGAGACAGAGTCTCACTCCGTCACCCAGGCTGTAGTGCAATGGTACAGTCATAGCTCCCTGGCTCACTGCAGCCTTGAACTCGTGGGCTCGAGCAATCCTCCCACCTCAGCCTCCTGAGTAGCTAGGACTACAGGTACATGCCATTGAACCTGGCTAATTTTATTTTATCACTATTATTATCAGTATTATTATTTTTTGAAATGAAGTTTTGCTTTTGTTGCCCAGGCTGAAGTGCAATGGCACGATCTCAGCTCACTGCAAACTCCGCCTCCCACACTCAAGCGATTCTCCTGCCTCAGGCTCCAGAGTAGCTGGGATTACAGGTGCCTGCCACTATGCCTGGCTAATTTTTATATTTTTAGTAGAGACGGGGTTTCACCATGTTGGTCAGGCTGGTCTTGAACTCCTGACCTCAGGTGATCTTTGCACCTCGACCTTTCAAAACACTGGGATTACAGGCCTGAGCCATTGCACCGGGTCTGAACCTGGCTAACTTTAAAAACATTTTGTAGAGATGAGATCTTGCTATGTTGCCCAGGCTGGTCTCGAACTCCTGACCTCAAGTGATGCTCCCACTTTGGCCTCCCAGGGTTTTGGGATTACAGGCATGAGCCACTATGCCCAGCCGGATTGCTGGATAGTAAAACAACCTTGCATTTCTGCTATAAGCAACGGTTGATCACAATGTGTTACGCTTTTTATTTACTGCTGAGTTAAATTGGTTAATACTGTGTATAGAACTGTCTAAATGTCTTCCAGATGCTATAACAAAATACCATGGACTGGGTGTCTTTTTACAACAGAAACTTATTTCTCACAGTTCTGGAGGCTGGGAAATCCCAGACTGAGGTTTAATTATTTTGGCAGAGTCTGTGTCTGGTGAGGGCTTCTTGGTTCATAGATGGAGCCTTCCTGCTGTGTGCTCACATGGTGGAAGGGGCAAGGGAGCTCTCTGGGGTCTCTTTTATAAGGACATTCATCCCATTCACAAGGAATCTGCCCCATGAGCTCAAGACCTCCCAAAGGCCCTACCTCTGAACATTATCTATCACATTGGTGATTAGGTTTAATGTATGAATTTTGGGTGGACACAAACATTTAGTTTACGGTAAGAACTAAGTATCAAAGCTCTTGCGGCTTCATAAGACGAGCGGAGATCAGGCCCCTCTTTTCCCAGCACTGGCTTTAGCTTCTTCCTTAAATGTTTGGTAGAAGTCATAAGTAAGTTAACCCCTTTTCCATTTAGAAAAATAAAGTCCAGCTCACTGCCAGCGCTCATTTGCTTTTACATAAACACGCTCTTTGAGGCTGGAGCAAATCTAAATGATTTTCAATGTGAAAATAAAATATAAAAACTGTTCTTGGAGTTATTTCGAAACAGAACTAACATCAGAATCATCTGCATCATCAGAATCATCTATTTTAGAAAAATCGGATTTATCAAATGAATCTTCAGCAACAACTGTGAGAACCACGTTAACATCACGTGTAGGAATTCTACATTTTCTAGGATTTGACATTTTCAGCAATTGAGGATTATTGTATTTTGTAAATGGAAAATACCACTACTAAAAGCAGAATGCTATAAATAGAATGATGTATTTTGTTTCCAAAGTTGATACATTCGAGCTATGCAAAGATAATAATAAAAGTGAGATATTTTGTGGAGAATTATCTCGGGGTAAATGCTGCAGCCACAAACATAGCCAGCGAGTATGCTCAGGCGAACAGTAAAGGGTTAAGTTCTACCAACAGTAGGTTGTAACTTTATGGGAACTTGTCTACTTCATTTAATTTTCAAATAATTATAAAATTACGCATGACATCCTCTTGTTGCCATGTTTAATTCTGCAGGCTTTGTAGATATGCTCCCTTTTCATTTTTGATGTTGAATATTATTTTGTGTCCCCCACCCCCACTTCCCTGCCACTTGTTTCTTGGTCACTTTTGCCAGAGGATTATTTATTTTGCTAGACTTCTGCAAGAACCAAGTTTTAGTTTTCTTGATTCTCTTTACTGAGTGTTAATATTTTTAAATTTCTATTATTGTCTTTATTATGTTCTTCCATCTAGCTTCTCTGTGTTTATTTTACGTTTTTTCAACTTCCTGAGCACCAGATTCCCCTCCCTAGGCCTACTCATTGGCCTGACCATTTTACACACCCGTACCACAGAGCAGATGTTTGCATGTTTTGCCAGCTTTTCTAGTAGTGCTCCACAGAGAGTCTGGTCCAAATTACCCATTCAGTCATTACTGGAAGCAGAAATTTCTCATTTACACATTTTTAATCCCCATTACTTAGGAGTCTACTGACCATATTCAATATAAAAAAAGGAACAAAGTGTCCATTTTTATACTGCTATAAAGAACTACCTAAGACCGGGTAATTTATGAAGAAAAAAAGGTTTAATTGATTCACAGTTCCACATGGCTGGGGAGGCCTCAGGAAATTTACAATCATAGTGGAAGGCAAAGGGGAAGTGAGGACCTTCTTCACATGGTGGCAGGAGAGAGAGAGGATGAAGGGGAAAGTGCCACACTTTTAAACCATCAGATCTCATGCGAATTCACTTACTATCATGAGAACGGCATGGGGGAAACTGCCCCCGTGATGCAATTGCCTCCGACCGGGTCCCTCCCTTGACATATGGGGATTACAATTCTATTTTTTTTTTGAGACAGAATCTCGCTCTTGTTGCCCAGGATGGAGTGCAGTGGCACAATCTCAGCTCACTGCAACCTCCACCTCCTGGATTCAAGTGATTCTCCTGTCTCAGCCTCCCGAGTAGCTGAGATTACAGGCACACACCACCACACCTAGCTAATTTTTTGTATTTTTAGTAGAGATGGGGTTTCACCATGTTCCCCAGGCTGGTCTCGAACTCCTCAGCTCAGGCAATCTACCTGCCTTGGCCTCCCAAAGTGCTAGGATTACAGGTGTGAGCCACTAAGCCTGGCTGGGGATTACAATTCAAGATGAAATTTGGGTGGGGACACAGAGCCAAACCATATCATTTCACCCCTGGCCCCTTCCAAATTTCATGTCTTTCTCACATTGCAAAACCAATCATGCTTTCCCAACAGTCCCCCAGAGCCTTAACTCACTCCAGCATTAACTCAAAACTTCAAGTCCAAAGTCTCATCTGAGACAAGGCAAGTCTCTTCTGCCTATGAGCCTGTAAAATCAAAAACAAGTTAGTTACTTCTAAGATACAATGAGGGTACAGGCATTGGATAAATGCTTCCATTCCAAAAGTGAGAAATTGACCAAAACAAAGGGGCTGCGGGCCCCATCCAAGTCCAAAACCCAGTGGGGCAGTCATTAAATCTTAAAGCTCTGAAATGATCTCCTTTGACTCCATGTCTCACATCCAAGGTATGCTGATGCAAGGGGTGGGCTCCCAAGACTTTGGGCAGCTCCACATCTGTGGCTCTGCAGGGTACAACCCCCACAGCTGCTTTCATGAGCTGGTGTTGAGCTTCTGTGGCTTTCTCAGGTGCACATTGCAAGCTGTTGGTTGATCTACCATTCTGGGGTCTGGAGGATGGTGACTGTCTTCTCACAGCTCCACTAGGCAGTGCCACAGTGGGGACTCTGTGTGGGGGCTCCAACCCCATGTTTCCCCTCTGCTCTAACCTAGTAGAGGTCCTCCATGAGGGCTCCACCCCCTACAGCAGAAGTCTCCCTGGAAATCCAGGTGTTTCCATACATCCTCTGAAATCTAGGCGGAGGCTCCCAAACCTCAACTCTTGCCTTCTGTGCACCTGCAGGCCCAACATCATGTGGAAGCTGCTAAGGCTTGGGACTTGCCCCCTCCAAAGCAATGGCCCAAGCTGTATCTTGGCCCCTTTTAGCCATGGCTGTAGCTGGAATAGCTGGGACACAGGGCACCAAATCCTGAGGCTGCACAGATCAGCAGTAGAGCCCTGGACCTGGCCCATGAAACCATTTTTACCTCCTAGGCCTCTGGGCCTGTGATAGGAGGGACTGCCTTGAAAATTTTTGAAATGCCCTAGACACATTTTTCCCATTGTCTTGGCTATTAACATTTGGCTTCCCTTTACTTATGCAAATTTCTGCAGCTGGTGACTTGACTTTTTCCTCAGAAAATGGGTTTTTCTTTTTTACCACAGGGTCAGGCTACAAATTTTTCAAACTTTTATCCTCTTCTTCCCTTTTAAACATAAGTTCCAATTTCAGATCATCTCTTTGTGAACCCATATGACTGTATGCCTTCAGAAAAAGCCAGGTCACATCTTGAGGGCTTTGCTGCTTAGAAGTTTCTTCTACCAGTGTATTAGTCCATTTTCATGCTGCTGATAAAGACAGACCTGAGACTGGGCAATTTACAAAAGAAACAGGTTTAATAGACTTACAGTTCTACATGGCTGGGAGGCTTCACAGTCATGGCAGAAGGCAAGGAGGAGCAAGTTACATCTTACATGGATGGCAGCAGGCAAAGAGAGAGAGCTTATGCAGGGGAACTCCTCTTTAAAAACCATCAGATCTCATGAGGCTTATTCACTATCATGAGAACAGCATGGGAAAGACTTGCCCCCATGATTCAATTACCCCCCACTGGGTCCCTCCCACAACACATGGGAATTCAAGATAAGATTTGGGTGGAGACACAGTCAAACCATATCAGCCAGATACCCTAAATAATCTCTCTCAAGTTCAAAGTTCCACAGATCTCTAGGGCAGGGGCAAAATGCTGCCAGTCTCTTTACTGAAGCATGGCAAGAGTAACGTATGCTCCAGTTCCCAAGAAGGTCCTCATCTCCATCTGAGACCACTTCCCTGGACTTCATTGTTCATATCACTATGGTCAGTTTGGTCAAAACCAATCAACAAGTCTCTAGGAAATTCCAAACTTCCCCACATCTTCCTGTCTTCTTCTGAGCCCTCCAAACTGTTCCAACCTCTGTTACCCAATTCCAGAGTGACTTCCACATTTTCAAATATCTTTGTAGCAGCTCCCCAAGCTCCCAGTATCAATTTCCTGTATTAGTCTGTTTTCACACTGCTGTGAAGAACTACAAGAGAATGGGTAATTTAAGAAAAGAGGTTTAATTGACTCACAGTTCCACATGGTTGGGGAGGCCTTGGGAAACTTACAATCATGGCGGAAGGCAAAGGAGAAGCAAGGACCTTCTTCACATGGTTGCAGGAGAGAAAGAGGGAGAGAGAGAATAGGGGAAAATACCACACTTTAATCAGATTTCATGAGAACTCACTCACTATGATAAGGAAACCACCCCCATGATTCAATTGCCTCCCACCAGGTCCCTCCCTTGACACATGGGGATTACAATTCAAGATGAGATTTGGATGGGGACAGAGAGTCAAACCGTATCAAAAAGTAAAGGTGGTTTTGAACAAATGTGCTGGTACAGACCCATCCAAGTCACCGTGTTCTTGTCCAGATGGTTGGCTTGCAAGGTGCATATTTACCTCATGGTGCTGCCAGGATCAATGCTTTTGGAGTTCTTTCTCGGAAAATTTCTTCAGGCCAGCGTTCAAAACACCATTCTTCTAAAAAATGTTTAGTTTCTTAGAGCACTTTAGGTTTACAGCAAAATTGAGGTGTATTTAGGGGTATATGAGAGTTCCCATATTTGCTCCCCACACATGTGCACAGCCTCCCCTATTATCAAAGTCCCTCTCCTGTCCCAAAGAAAGTGCCTCATTCTGTATAATAAATCACTTTATTTATTAGTCTTTGTTTTTAGTTATTTTGAGTCACTGAAAAATTAAAACTTAATTTCAAAGAAAGAAGCTTTACAACTATTAGAATACCTCATGGGTCCAAAATACAGTCCCTGGTGGAAAATCCCAAATGTGCTTCAGACAGGTTGGGTGTGTAAGTGCAGAGTGCTGTGTGACTGTGTCTTGCTTGTCAGGCAGATGATATGTGACAACAAGCAGCATTGTTCTGCAAGCCGGGTTTTGTTGGTGCACACGCTCCATGCCTGAGAGGCTCATGATCATGGGCTCACCGTTTCTCTAGCTTTTTAACTCAGAATCAAAACACTGTAACTTCCCTTCAAGAACAAGTATTTTCTCACCTAATGTACAGCCTAATATCAGAATATTAGAATTGCATAACATTTTAGCTTCCAGTTGAGTTTCTTGAAACCTGTATTCAGATCAGAATGATCTTCTCATGAACTTATTCAAAGTTTCTGAATAACCATGGTCAGATCATGACAATTGATTAATCTCAATTCACTTTCAGGATTAAAGCCTGGGCTTCATAGTGAGAGAATTTTCAAGCCATCTGAAACTTTAAGTCATAAAGAACTTGAAAACTATTTGTCAGTAGCTATCAAAATTGTAAATGCACCCTTAACTCAGTCATTCTAGGTTTCTGTCCTGCTGAAACCATTGCACCACTGTCCAAGAATGTGTGTTCAAATCACTGAGGCATCATTTATAGCAGTAAGCAATTAAAAAGCAATCTATCTATGACTCAAGGACTGTTGACGAAATGTACAGCATATTCACACTATGGCATACAGTGCAGCTGTCAAAAAGAGTGAGGAGAATCTACTGCTCTGACATGAACATTTGCGAGAAAAGAAAAAGCTACAGATGAATATGTGTGCAGCCACTGTGGAAGCTGGCTGGCAGCTTTCAGACAGCTACACACACAGTGCATATGACCCAGCATTTCCAATCCTAGGTGCATACCCACAAGGATTGAAAACATATATCCCCACAAAAGCCTGCACATGAATGTTTATAGCAACCTTATTCATAACAGTGGAAACAACCCAAATGCCCATTAACTGGTGTATTAGCCCATTCTCACACTGCTATAAAGAACTTCCCCAGACTGGGTAATTTATAAAGGAAAGAGGTTTAATTAATTCACAGTTCTCCATGGCTGGGGAGGCCTCATGAAACTTATAATTATGATGGAAGGAGAAGTAGGTACATCTTACATGGCGGCAGGCAAGAAAGTGAGTTGGTGTCAGCGCAGGAAAAACTGCCATTTATAAAACCATCAGTTCTTGTGATAATTTACTCATTATCATGAGAACAGCATGGGGGAAACCACCCCCATGATCCCATCACCTCCCTCCCTTGACACATGGTTACAATTCAAGATGAGATTTGGGTGGGGACACAGTGCCAAACCATATCAACTGGTGAGTGGATAAATGAAGTGTGGTCTGTCCATCTGGTGAATATTACCTGCCATAAAGAGGGATGGAGCACCGACCCATGCCATGGCATGGAGGAGCTTGGAAAACATAGTATTCAGGGAGGGATGCCGGTGGCAAAAGCCCACGTGTTGTTATGACTCCATTTGTATGAAATGTCCAGAATAGGCAAATCCATAGACACAGAAAGCAGATTAGGGGCTGCCTAGGACTTGGGATGGGGGTAAGGGAGAGTGGGCATTCCTGCTACAGGGTAAGGGGATTCTTTGTGGGGTGAAAATGTGCTGAAGTTAGATAGTGGGATATCATGCAACTCTCTGGATATACTAAAAGCTACTGAATTTCAAACTTTAAAATGAGTGTTATCATATGTGAATAATATTGCAATAAAGCTGTTATTAAATAATACAGAGAATACAGTCAATTTTTTTTGAAAAATGTGTATGACAGAGGATGGGAAGCCTTTCCCCCAGCTGGTCATTGTTGTTCTAGAGTTGAGACATGAGGCAGATGCCCTCTATCCTCATACATTGTATCATTTATCAATACATCATGTCTGTGTTGATTGCACTTTCCATGAGTATGTATTACTTTTGTAACTAGAAAAAAATTGTTGAGGGGAGAAAGAAAAAAACTTCTCTTTAAAAATAAGATTTGATAGCAGGAGCTGTGATAGACTGATAAGTCAACTTCATAAAAAATTAAAAAGATCTTCATGGAAAAATATCACCAACTTATGGGAAAATGTAATGAAAAACAAAGTGTCTTGCCAACCCAGAAGATCGTGCCACAAAAGTAGAAAGTAGAGAAGAAAAACAGTGTTTTTAATTGAATAAGCATGAAACCAGAATGTGATGTGCATCACAGGCTTTCGCCAAGAGATGGCAAAGATGGAAAGAAATCTCCCCCTTTCCTTCTAGGCGATACAACCTGCACATTCATGTTCTCAGTAGAAACAAGGTAGGAGGACTTGACAGCACCACTTGCCACACTTAGCTCATCTTCAGCTCACCTGGTAACTGGGTGGCCATCTGTGTTTGCTAATTGTAGTTATCCAAAGGAAAAAGAAAACTTCTCCTATCTTCATGACAGGAGAGAGGCTTGCAGCTGGGAGCCAGGCACCCACAAGTCAGCTCCTGCTCTCCCATGGAAACTGGGAGAGGGACTGCTCTCTTCCTTGATGCATTTCAAAGAGATGGCTTCTAGGTTCTTGGGAAAGACATTCCTGGGTTGTAATGCTGGCAAGAAGCTTATTTAGGTTTGATATAGTTTGGATGTCTGTCCCCACCAAATCTCATGTTGAAACATGGTCCCCCATGTTGGGGGTGGGGTTTAGTGGGAGGTATTTGGGTCTTAGGGGCAGAGCCCTCAGGAATGGCTTGGTGCTCTCCCCATGGTAATGAATGAGTTCTCACTCCGGTAGCTCACATGAAAGCCGGTTGTTTAAAAGAGCCTGGCATCTCTCTCTTGCCCTCGCTCTCACCAGGTAATGAGCCTGCTTCCCTTTTGCCTTCCGCCATGATCGGAAGCTCCCTGAGGCCTCTCCAGAGGCAGATGCTGGAGCCATGCTTCCTGTACAGCCTGGAGAACTGTGAGCCAAATAAGCCTCTTTATAAATTACCCAGCCTCAGGTATTCCTTTATAGCAACGCAAAATGACTAACACAGGTTTAAAAAATAGCTACACACTTCTGAAACAGACAGAGAGAGAATGTAAAATAACAAATTGTCTAAAGTAAATGCTTTAAGAAAAGGGAGAGGGGAATCTCTTACCCCTTTTTGTAGTAGGAAAAATTAATTTTTAAATAGTTTTTGTTTTGCATTTACCCTTATACAAGAAAGGTAGTGTCACAGACAAACGCTTAGTGTCTCTAATATATAAAGATTTCCTGCATGCCCTACCATTCTCACCCATGCTCCTGCCTTGTGGGAATATATATTTGTATATTCTTGTGGAGGGCAATTTGACAAAATCTATAAACGTTGAAATTAATGTGACTTGTCATTTTCACTTTCAGAAATTTATGTTACAGGCTTAATCACACAAATGGCAACAGATGTATGAACACAAGTATGTTCACTGAAACAACATTAAAACCTGTTTATTATGGAAAATGCTAACCTTATTCAAAAATAGAAAAAATAATAATGAATTTGTGAGTGTCTGTATCCCAACTTTAGCAATTATCAACTTGCAAGCAATCTCAGTTTGTCGATTTCCTCACTACTTTTAGTCCATCGTAATATTTTGAAACAAATCACAGACTTCACATCTTTTATCCGTATACATTTTTGTATATATTTCAAAAAAGTAAGAACTCCTAAAAACAACAATACAATCATCAAACTTAAAGTAACAGTTATTCCTTAGTATCATCAAATATCTAATCAGATTCTGAATTTTCAATTGCATCATAAATGTAACTTGTTTTAACAGTTGTTTGTTTGTGTCAGGGTCCTAATCAATTCCAGATATTTTGAATGGTTCTTAGTCTTTCAATCCATAAATCTTTACTTTTTTTCAAGAAACTAAGTTATTTGCCCTATGGAGTTTCTCACACTTTGGATTTTGCTTGTTGCATCTTCACTTTCCATTTGATGTATTCTTTTGTCCCTGGGATTTTCTGTAAATTGATAGTTGGATTCAGATGCACGTTTTTGTTTTTTGACAAGGCTACATAAGAGTAGGCCATTCTTTCGGGCGCGGTGGCTCACGTCTGTAATCCCAGCACTTTGGGAGGCCAAGGCAGGCGGATCATGAGGTCAGGAGATGGAGACCATCCTGGCTAACACGGTGAAACCCCGTCCCTACTAAAAATACAAAAAATTAGCCGGGCGTGGTGGCGGGCGCCTGTAGTTCCAGCTATTCTGGAGGCCGAGGCAGGAGAAAGGCATGAACCCGGGAGGCGGAGCTTGCAGTGAGCTGAGACCGCGCCACTGCACTCCAGCCTGGGGGACAGAGCGAGACTCCGTCTCAACAACAACAACAACAAAAAAAGAGTAGGCCATTCTTCCATCCAGAGGTACAAATACTTCACATGGCAACAACTAGGGAGCAATAATGTGTCCACCAATAGAGAACTGACTAAATCACTATGGTGCTTCCATATAGTGGGACATGATGCAGCTCTAGCCACACTTACTTGGAAATATTTCCAACATATATTCTTAAATATTAACAAGTGCTAAAGAGCATGTATAGTAAGAACCATTTGCTTTTCTTTGTTTTCTTATTTTGGATAAAAAAACATTAAAACAGCAGACGTGGGTTGTCTCCCAGCTCTAGAAGCCATGAGTCTGAAGTCAAGGCGTCGCGGGGCTGTGCTCCCTCTGAAGGCTCTAGGGAGGCCCCGTCCTCGCCTATTTTACCTTCTGTGGCTGTGGCCCCTCTTGGCGTTCCTTGGCTTTAAATGCATCGCTCCGGTCTCTGCCTCTGCCGTCACTTGGCTTCCTCCCTTGTCTCTTCGTATAACCTTCGCTCTGTTCTGCCTGTCTCCGTGTTTCTTCTCGTAAGGGCACCAGTCATATTGGGTTGGGCACAGCCCTACTCCAGTATGACCTTATTTTTACTTAACTAATTTTATCTGCAATGACCTATTGCCAAATAAGGACACATTCTGAGGTACCAAGAGTTAGAAGCTCACATGTGTTTTATAAGCCCTAGGGCAACTACTAAAAAACTTTTTTTGAAGGTTTATAAATCATAAGTCAGCAGTGAACATACATCGAAACTATAACTCGTAACTTAGTTTCCTGGAAAAAATAAATTGTAAAATTGAAAGATGTATATATTGAAAGACTAAGAACCATTCAGAATATCTGGACTTGATTAAGATCCCAATACCAACAAACAACACACTGTTAAAAGAAGTTATAACATTTATGATGCAACTGAAAATTCAAACACTGATTAGATATTTGATGATTCTAAGGAACAATTGTTAACTTTGTTTGATGATCATATTTTTATTTTTAGGAGTTCTTACTTTTTTGTAATATACACTAAAATGTGTATGAATAAAAGATATCAATACAACTTAACCTACAATAAATATAATAAATATTATTGTGCTCCCTACCCTGAATATTAAAAAATGTTAATGATGAATCATATTTACTTTAGTTTAAAAATAAAATACATAAAACATTACTGGTAATTATATAGTTGAAACCTCCTTGGTGACTTTTTCCAAGCTCAGTCTCCTCCTCTCCACAGAGGGATCACTGTGTATCTCTGTTCAGTCAATATTATTATAATTTTGCTGCATAAAAACAGACAGGCCCATATAGCCTTACACACAATATGTCTTCTTTTTGTGTTCACAAAAATTTACAACAAGCGTATCTTGTCTCTGCCAATAGCTTTTCTCCTCCTCAACATTACATTCTTATACTTAAAATGGGCCTTGAAAACAGCATATAGTTGTGGTTTGCTTCTTAGCCAAGCTGGCAGTCTCTGTCTTTTAATTGGTGCGCTTAGACCATGCATGTTGAATATCATTATTGATGTGTTTGAATTAAAATCTGCCATCTTGTTAGCTATTTTCTACTCACTCATTCCATCTGTCTTTGCTTCTTTTCCCTTTTTGTCTTAGTTAACACTTTTATAATTTCAATATATCTCCACTGTTGACTTATTATTTATAAACCTTCAAGAAAATCTTTAGTGGTTGGTTGCCCTAGGGCTTACAATACACATCCCTAGTTACTCAGAGTGTGGCTTCATGTAATATTTCACAGCTTTCCATGCAGGTTCAGAAGGCTGTCATTTGCATGAATCCACTTCTGAGCTCATTCAGGTAGCTGGCCAAATGTAATTTCTGTGGTTGTAGGACTGAGGTTCCAGATCCCAGTGGGCTGTCAGGCAGGGGCTGGACTTTGCTCCTGGAGGCTGCTCACATTCTCTCTCCTGCTTGCCATGAGTTTCCGTCCAGCAATGAAAGATCAAGCTCCTCCCATGCTTTGAATTTCTGACTTCCCTCTTTTTGCCATATCTCTTTGCCTTCAGCTAAAGAGAGTTCTCTGTTTTTTGTTGTTTTTTTTTTTTTTTGACAGAGTCTTGCTCTGTCACCCAGGCTGGAGTGCAGTGCAGTGGCCCCATCTCAGCTCACTGCAACCTCTGCCTCCCGGGCTCAAGCGATCCTCCCACCTTAGCCCTCCCAGTAGCTGGGACTACAGACATGCACCATCATGTCTGGCTGATTTTTTGTATTGTTTGTAGAGACAGGGTTTCACCATGTTGCCAAGGCTGGTTTGGAACTCCTGAGCTCAAGCAGTAGGCCCACTTCAACCTCCCAAAGTGCTGGGATTACAGATGTGAGCCACCATGTCTGGCCAAGTTCTCTGTTTTTAAAGGGTTTTGTAATTAGAGTTGGGCCACACTGATAATGCAGTATAATCTTCCTATTTAATTCATAATCTTAACTATATCTGCAAATTCCCTTTTACCACATAACATACCCTCTTCACGGATTCAGGAATTAAGACCTGGACATCTTGGGTGGGGGGACATTCTGTCAATCGCAGATATCATAGTCCTTCTGTCTCAAGAACTTCCTTTAACATTTCTTGTGGTATATATCACTGTCAATGAATTCTCTCAGTTTTTGTTTTTCTTCTGCATTTTGAAAGATATTTTTTGCTGGGTATAGAATTCTGGGTTTACAGTTTTCTTTCTTTTAGCACTTAAAAATATCACCCATTGTCTTCTGACTTACATGGCTGTTGATGAGAAGTCTGTTGCAGTTTTTGCTTGTTCTTCTGTATGTTAGATCTCTTTTTTTTCTCTCACTGCCTTTGCAAATTTCTCTTTGCCTTTTGTTTTCAGCAGTTTAGATAGCATATACCTAGTTATTGTTGTTTTAAATCTTTTTTGGTGATCTTTGAGCTTCTTGGAAATATGCTTTACTGTCAGTCAGTAATTTTAGAATATTCAGCATTATTTGTTTGAATTTTCTTCTGTCTCATTTTCTTTCTCTGTTTGCCCTCTGCTATTTCAATAATACATTTGTTAGACATTTTCCTACAGCTCTTAGATTGTCTGTTCCATTTTTTCTTTTACTCATTTTTCTTTTGTGTTTCAGTTTGGGTAATTCTACCTGTCTTTAAGCTCACTGATTCTTTCCCTGGCTGTGTCAGTTCTGCTACTGAGGTCCTCAAAGGCATTCTTCATCTCTATTATGACACTTTTTATATCTAGCATTTCCAATTGGTCCTTTCTTATAGTGTCTACAACTTCACGTGTAGTGTAAGAATCTTATAATTCTTTGTTCCTAATTCCTCTCTCCCATCATTGGTGCTATTATATTTTATAAATAAGCACACAATACGCTACTACTACTTTTGGTTTAGATAATCAGCTATCTTTTGGAGGATTCAAAAACAAGAAAAAATGAATTTTATTTTATCTTCATTTATTCAATTTTCAGCACTCTTTATTTCTGCTAAAATTACCTGTCTTAGTCATCTCAGGGTGCCATAGCAAAAATCATAGACTAGATGACTTGAACAACAGAAATTTATTTCTCACACTTTAGGAGGCTAGGAAGTCAAGGATTAAGATGCCAGCTTGTTCTGCTCCTGGTGAAGGCTCCGTTTCTGGCTGCCTGTGGCCATCTTCTCACTGCACTCTCACGTGGCCTTCCTTGGTGCATGCACATGGAGAGAGAGGAAGGAAATGAGGGACGGATCTTGCTCTCCTCATACAAGGACAGTAATCCCTCACAAGGGCCCCACTCTCATTACCTAATCTAACCCTAATTATCTCCCAAAGACTTCCCTCCAAATGTCGTCACATCGAAGGTTAGGGCTTCAACATATAAATTTGGGAGGAATGAAAACACCCAGCCTATAACATTACCCCTCTGAACTTGCATTGTCTTCCTATTTCATCAGGGCCTTTAACATGTTAATCACAGTTATTTTAAATTCCCCATCATTTAGTTCCAACATCTGTGTCATATCTGAATTATTTGGTTTTGCTCACTGCTTTGTCTTTTAGGTGTGTATTGTTTTCTTGCATTTTTGTATTCCTCATAATTTTGTGCTGAATGCTAGACATCTTGAATGGGAGGTCAGAAACTAAGGAAAGTACTTTAAAGTTAGAAAATGACAATGTCTTTACTTTGGCTAGGTGTTTAGGGTGGTGGTTTGGGTTAGTCTAGTCAGTAGTTCAGCTGGAGTTGAGGTTTGTCATTGCTATGGTTATCCATGGTGTGCTGCATGCTTCAAATTGGTCTAGTGTTAGTGAGGGCAGCGGTGGCCCATTTGGAGTGGCTGCTGCAAAGATGCCACCTGAAGCAGAGGAGGCATGGCCAGGGTTGCATGCTCTGTGAAGTTGGTGGGAGCTGGGAACAGGTGGGAGCCCTTCTCCCTCCCAAGTTGGCAGGGTGGGAGGCCTGCACTCCTGGGTGCAACTGCACCTGCCCAGCCATGGCTCCAGACCCAGGTATCCCTGAGCTCTTGAGGGCCCAGGAAGCCACCTTCCTTCACAGGCTCCAAAGTGCCTGCTCCTGCCACCTGGCCTCTCCCTGCTCCCAGTACCCACTCAGGGCTGAAGCATAGTTGTGGCCAAGCCTGGGTGCTATCACAACCTGGCTGGGTTTGCGCACACTCAGAGCTGTGCTGTCATGCCAGCCCCCTGCTGTCTTAGCCTCCTCCGAGCTTTGGGTGCCAACAAGTATGGGAGGGAGGTCGAGGAGGTGCTGAGGGCACCTCAATATGGACCTGTGGGCATCCTTTCAGCACAAACAGCCTGAGCACGTGGACAACATGTTGATGGTGGCAGGAGGCAGACAGGCTCCTTGGCAGAAAGGGGTGGGTCCCTGGTGAAGCTCCACCTTCAAGCCAGGGATAGCCTGAAGCATGGGGGCTGGCTGTCAGTTAGGAGTGGAGTCCACAGCCCGGAGTGAGAACTTACAGTGCTTTCTCTGGCCCACCATGGCCACCCATAGACCAATCAGCATGCACTTCCTCCCTTCTGAAGCCCATAAAAACCCTGGACTCAGCCAGACTCAGAGACTTTGGGACTACCAGCTGTGGGACAGAGCTAACCACTTCAGGTCTCCTTGACTAGTCAGGACAACCAGCCTGTGGAAAGGAGCTACCCTCTGTGGGCCTCCTCTCTGCTGAGGGCTGCACACTCGTTGGGATGACTCACTTGCAGAAAGGAGCTATCCACTCTGGGTCTCCTCTCCACTGAGAGCTGGACACTCATCAAGATGAGCTGCCTGCAGATAGGAGCTACCCACTCCAGGTCTCCTAAGAGCTGTCCTGTTGCTCAATGAAGCTCCTCTCCCCCTTGTTCACCCTCCAGTTATCCTCATACCTCATTCTTCCTGAATGTAAGACAAGAACTCCGCACCAACCAAATGTCGGGACTGAATGGGCTGTAACACAAGCAGGGCTGAAACATGCCCCCCGCTTGCCATGTTGCAGGCAATGAGAAGGTGAGAAGAGCTGTGGCCCTTCTGGGAGCCCAGCCCTCGGGGTTCCCTGACCTAGGTCTGTGATATGCTGTAACACCCTCTTTGGGGCTCTGGGGTTCCTGGTGCCCCTGCTAATGTGCCATTGCATTCCCCTTGTCCAGATGCTGGCGCCTGCAATGGAAGCTGCCTGTGGTACGTCTGGTCCAGTTTCAGCCTCTCACAGAGCTGGCACCTGTGCCGGCACCTGGGGCTGCCTGTTCTGCCACAGCAGCCAGTATGCCTGGCTGTGTACAGTGGCTGGACCCTGCGCTTGCTCGCCCACATATCCCTCGCCACTCTGCGTCTGGCTCACCCTTGGCAGGTGTGGAATCTGGGCTGGTAGCATGAGCTGAGTGCAGACTGCCAGGCTGAGTGGGTGAAACAAGCCCAGCTGGTGTGAGCAAAACCCAAGCAGAGGTGCCGCTGGCCACAGAGGTTTCCAGCTGGCAAAGTGACACCCAAAAGATCTTGTGACATTAGCTTGTCTTTAGGGTGGGGCTGGTTTTCCAGAGGGTTTTTCTCTGTGTCTGCTCTACCTTCAGCTGCGGGGCTTCTTGACCCTGGGTCTCAGTGAGAGTCTGTCTTTGCAGCTCTCTCGGAAGTGTCTCACTGTGACTTTGACTTGATGCCTGCTACCTCGTGAAAGGGAAAAAATGTGCTCCACAATGTTCTCATCATGCTCAGTGTTAGGCTGGACCGAATCCAGACCCTGCATCCCTGGGTTTCATGGGTATGGCTTTCAGACATGCTTCTGCCCTTCTGCAGGTGTTGTCCTGGACCCAGAATGTACACATGTCCTCCCAAAGGTAGATTGTTTTGTTTCTCTTCCCTCCCTCTAACCCCAGGTGCAGTGGGTTTGACAAATGCTTTAAAATGTAATTATTTTGGTGCTCCCCTCCCCAGATTAAGGCTTTTGTTCCAAAGGAGACAGGAAAGGTCTGGGCGGAGTTTTGTGTTCCTCCTGCAGAGGCTGCTCCCCCGCTGCCCAGCAGTATTCCAGTGCTGCCTTTACTTAGCGCTTTTTAGCCTATGTTCGCTGGCCAAGAGCATGTGTTCACTGATGTTCTATATTATGCTTCAGTACAAGTTTTCTAGGCTTATGACATGAGGGAAGCTTGTTCAAGACTCCCCGTGTTCTCCCTGAGTGCCTGATTGGTCTGATGTAGGAAAAACTACAAAATGGTAGGAACAGCCTACATCTGTGGCCCCCAAGGGCTTGTGCTCTCCCACCAGCTTCTCCTCATGGTGTCTGGCTGCATCTGCCCCAGGTAAGCAGGTGTCTGCCTTGGGCCCCTGTTTCTCCTCTAATTCCTAGTGAAGCCATGTCCTTTGACCTCAGTGTTCTTATGGGTTCAAGAAAAGTCATGAATTTTTAGCTTGCCTTTCTTCTTGTTATAAGGGTGAAAGCAATAAATATTCTTTCCAGCTTTTGACATCCACAAGTAGAAACTGAGATGGCATTCGGATTTTAAAATCTACTCGTGCTTTTGAGTAGAATCCGTAGATCAAGCAAGAAACCTGTTTATATTTTGAATAGATACTTGTAGACCTATTTTTAAAATGGCTGTATGGCATTCTATCTTATAATTATGTGATAGTTTATCCCCTTTTTCTATTGCAACTGTGCTTGCACACATTTCTTGTGTAAACTGTGAGTGTTGGTCAGAGTATATCTTAGTGGACAAACTGCTAGGTTTTATGAAAAATGCATTAAAAATGCATGACATTAAAAAAATCTCATGCAAGACATTATATGTATATGTATAAGTGTATGTGTATGTATATGTATATGTATATGTGTATGTGTATGTATATGTGTATATGTATGTGTATGTGTATGTATATGTGTATGTGTATGTATATGTATATGTATATGTATATGTATATGTATATGTATATGTGTATGTATATATGGAGAGACAAGGTTTTGCTCTGTCACTCAGGAGTGCAGTGATATGATCACACCTCGCTGAAGCCTTAACCTCTTGGGCTCAAGTGATCCTCCCAGAGTCCCATACGCAGCCTCCAAGCTGAGTATGGGAGCATCACTTGAGCCAGGAATGTGCGTACCACCACACTTAACTAATTTTTAAATGTTTTATAGAGACGAAGTCTTGCTATGTTGCCCAGGCTGGTCTTGAACTCCTGGCCTCAAGTGATCCTCCTACCTTGGCCTCCCAAAGTGCTGGGATTATGGGTGTAAGCCATCATGCTCAGCCTGGTTTCTTAAATTTTAAATTTACCATTCCCTGATTACTGGTGAGATTGGGCAAGTCTTTGGATTTTCATTGGCTATTCTGGTTTTTTTTCTTTCCACCAACCTGGATGCTTAAAAAAATTACTCTTTATACACAGAATGCCTGTAGAAAGGTATAACAAACATTAACATAGGGTGACCTTGGAGGAGGGAGGTGTGTCTTGGGGTCAGACAGGAAACTTTTTAATGTGTCACTTTCTGACTTAAAGAAAATCATGTGCATGTATGAACTATTTAGGTGGGTAAATTAATATTTATATATATATAACTGAGACCAGTCAGTCCTAAGCACTGCCATTAGTTGTATGAATGGAGGTTCAGAGCCAGGGCCACCATAGCTGGGAGCCTGTGAGCAGGGAGCAGGAAATATGACCGCGGAGGGACAGAATCTATAGAGAGGCAAAGGGAGCAGTGGCCAGGGAGGAAGAACTAAGGGGCTAGTGTGGTCAGAGTAACCTCCTCGGTCCCTGGGATGGTTTTCCACATCCAGGTTCCCAGTAGGTCCAGCCTGCTTTCTTTTCTTTTCTCTTTTTTTCTTTTCTTTCCTTTTCTTCTTTTCTTTTCTTTCTGTTCTTTTTTTTTTTTTTTTTTTACATTTTCTTCTTTCTTTTCTCTTCTTTTTATATCTTTTTATCTTCTGAATAAATTCTACTCTCATTAGAGCCAGCTTCAGTTTCTGTTGCTCATGGCTGTAAGTACTGTGACTGGCACATTGCACCAGAGGCGGGGGTCATCTCACAGATAAGAGCAAGGTTCTGGCACCGCTGTGCCTGGGTTCAAACCCTGGCCCTGCCACTCGCTAGATGTGTCACTATCATTTTGGTGCTTCGCTGATGAATAGTATTTTGTTATATTTTTCCATTCTCCTGCTGATGGGCTTTTGGCAATTCCCAGCATTTGGCTATCACAAATGAAGCTGCTGTGAACGTTCTAGTCCATGTTCTTTGGTGAACATGTGACATTTTTGTTAGCCAGAAATGTAGGAACTGGTTTGCTTGTCATAGATAGGCATTTGTTCAGCTTTATAGATACTGCCACACAGTTTCTCGAAGTCCTTTTGCCAATCTGCACTCCCCCAGCAGCGTGTGCCAGCTCCAGCTGATTCACTTCCTCACCAGCACTTGGCACTGTCAGTCTTTTTCATGTTAGTTTAGGGTTTATTGCATTGTTAGAGCTGTTGGGGTAGGGAAGCTTACAACAACGAGAATCATTGAAGAAACGTGAGTGATGCTCACCTTGACCTTGCTCAGGGTAATCGGCTTAGGAAATTGGCTTTGAGTATTTCTTGTCCTCCAGGCAGGAGAGAGGCTCTGCCAGCAGGGAGCAAGTTCCCGTGAAAACTGCATTTGTAATGCAAATGAATAAACTGGCATCACAGTTTCATACACCTGCCTCATGAACTTAGTTAACATGTGCTCGTCCTGAGAGATTAGCTGGCTCCTAGTGGGTTGCTGTGATCAAGTGTTTAAACTCATGCTGGTGAAAGCCACACATGGTGAGGAAGAACGCCTTTTTACACCACAGAACCCAGTCTACCCACTGCAGACTTACTTTACTCCTTATCTGGGATTTCTTTGTAGGGTATTATTCCTGCCTTATAGAAAAGGAAATACATATATTTAGGGAAGTCAACGGTAGAAAAAAAAATTGCTATCTTTTAATAAAAATACTGAATATATTAAACATATCCTATTGATGATCTTAATAATCTCAACAATCCAATGAAACAGTTATTCTAATTTTTTTTTAACAAATTAAAAAAAAAATCCCTGGAGCTCAGAGAGGTTACATAAGTTGCCAATGGTCTCACAGCTGGAAAGTGGCAGAGGCTGGATCCCAGCCCACCTGCACTTGCCTCCCAAGCCTGTTCTCTTCACTTGCCAGCCTCCCAAACTCACTTTCCTTTCTGCTCTTCCAAGCCCTATGGCCTCTTGCCATGGCGGGGATTCAGAGACTGGCTTGGGGGTCACACTAGAGCTTCTGCCAAGTCCTCTTCTAAGGACTAGGGAACCTCTCGGATAAGAGTGAGGTGGGTGCTGAGATGGAAAAACATTTGAAAGTGAGTCCAGAGTGGTTGCAAAACTGAAGGGGCCCAAAGTGGATTCGATGGACCCAGAGCCACACTAGGAGCGTTGAGGCTGGGACTTGGGTGGGGACGTCAGAGCCAGCCTAGGAGATTGGAGAAAGATGCAGCGCTGGGCCGTGTCTTGAGATCAGATTGCACTGGAACAAATACTAGTACGTTTCACGGTGGAGGGAAGAAAAGCATTTGTATGGATGTGGCCCAGCATAGAACAGAGGCTTAAAATGGAAGAGAGAAGAATCTGCGATCGGGCAGTCCTGCTGCAAATCCTCAGATAATGCTTGGGCATTCCCTTGTGGCCATCGGGATCCCATAGCCTCAGGTTCACCTTTGTCCTGAGATAAACAAAACCCTTGTTGGATAGTGTTTGTCGATTTCAAGCTGCCAAACGGCTGGCACTGAACTTGGAGTAGGGAGGCGGGGCTAACAGCTCTGGCCATCCTGGGAACTGTGGTTGGCGTGCCCTGGCGGAGTCTGGGTTCTCAGGCCTGTGGGTATCACCAAGTCCACCTCTCACTTCCCTGGGAACACTCTGCACCCACCAAAGTGCAGTGGACAAGTCAGCCCTGGCACGGGGAGAAGGCGGGAAGGAGGAAGCAAGTGCAGGAGCTGGTGGGGCAGAGTAAAGAGCCACAGACCTGGGTAAAGTCAGAATCCATCACGCACTAGCTGCACGGCCTGGCAACGAGAAATAACCAGTGTCCACCTGGGGGGCTGCTATAAAGATTAGAGCCCTCGGTGCGGTTTCCGGTGCATAGAGACACTCAGTAAGTGACAGCTGGTGGCATTTTTCTAGGCAGCTCTGGCAGGGGTCACCTGGAGGTCTATTGGGCAGTTTCCCTAGCCTCACAAGTCCCCTACACCACAGGCTGCCTGGAAGGTCCATAGAGAGGCCAGATGCAAAACGTTGCGTAGGAAGAATGGATTCTTCTGGGAATCGCAATTGCGTTGCCTCAATCCCTGGGTGGATGGGTCATGGGCTGGGGAGATGCATGAGAGGAAACTCTTGGCCCTGGGCATGTCCTGGGTCTGGACCTGAGGCACACATGGGAAGGTCACAGAGCTGTGCGCTTAAGATTCGCGCACTTCCTCTACTGTGTGGTATGTGTGCTGGCCCTCCGTTTAGAAAAACTAACTTAGCGCACTTTTCTCTCCCTGTTGGATGGACAAAGACCTCTTTCAGCTTGGGCACCGAGGAAGGGAAGCGTAGCGTCAGAACAGAGAGTGGATCACACTGTCGGGCTCAGCACGAAAGACTGACAGTCTGGGCACAGCACCCGGTCCTCCCTCCCAGCGCTGACTGCAATCCCGGCCAGGGCTGAGGAAACCGCAGGACCATGCGTGGATGGAAGGGTAGAAGCCTTCCTGTTTCCTGGCAGGTCAGGAGAAAGGGCAAGTTAGGAAAAAGGGCTGAGCTTCCAGTGTATGAGGCGCCACACTGGGTTTTCCAGTAAAAGGAAACCTAGTTGCTCAGCTCAGACTTTGAAAAATATTATTTGGTCCCTGAGTAGAAACAGATGTTGTTTCCTGTTACAGAAATGAGCTGTAGCTCTTCCACACACACACACTGGCAGCCCACGCATTTCGTTCTCCCTCCAGGATCCGATCCATGAGGCAAAAGCAAATGGAAAGAATTCCAACTTCATCTTCTCTGTCATTCGTCTTGTGAGAAGTGGGCAGAAAAGATGTTTTTCCTACTGAACTATATTTCATCATCGTTTCCCTTCCCTTCACCACAGCAGCTGGAAATGTAATGTCAGTGCCCTCCCAGACTCCTCTCCACCGAGCGTTCAGAGAGCGCAGCGGCTGTTCACGGAAGGACTTTCTTTTTCTTTTCTTTTTCTTTTTTGATATGGAGTCTGGCTCTGTCACCCAGGCTGGAGTGCAGTGGCACGATCTCAGCTCACTGCAACCTCTGCCTCCCGGGTTCAAGTGATTCTCCTGCCTCAGCCTCCTGAGTAGCTGGGATCACAGGCGTGCGCCACCACACCCGGCTAATTTTTGTGTTTTGTTTTAGTAGAGACAAGGTTTCACCATATTGATCAGGCTGGTCTCAAACTTCTGACCTCGTGATCCACCCGCCTCAGCCTCCGAAAGTGCTGGGATTATAGGCTTAAGCCACCGCGCCCAACCTCATGGAAGGACTTTCTTTGTCATTAGGTGTGAGGGGGTCAGGGCTGCTGGCTGATTGATTGACTGATTGTATCTCAGCTCCCACCCATCTAATTTGTCCAGTGTTGGAAAGTGGCATTTGCTTCTTTGCCCAGGCTAACAAGAGTTGCTGCTGGAAATACAGATGTGCAGATGCCAAGGCGATGCTTTCAGGCACCCGGGCGGCTCCCTGTGCAGTGGGCAGTGTCTGTCTGCAGTGCTTTGCTCACTCCTCGCCTCTCGGTCCCCTGCAATGGCAGCCCTCCTCCCACCTGCCAGGATGCCCCTCCCCTCTCCTTCAAGGTGTTCACGCACTCTCTCTCTCTCCCATTTTGTGGACATAGTTACACCTTCTAAAGGATTTTCACCCAGAATTGTATTTCTTTGACATTCTTATAAGCTGCCCCAGAAGACAACACAGGGCAAATAATAATGCTCTATCTGTTTTGACAGTTTGAGCTATTATTTGCCTTGATTTATGGGGAATTAGACCTGAGGTAATGGTTTTCTCAGATGTTGCTAAGCACAGCAGAGGGTGACAAGAGCATCCTAGGGTCTGTCTGGGTTCTCCAGCAGCTGGGAGAAGCAAAGTCGTGAAAAACCCTGCCCAGGGAGGCTGACAGGAGTGCCTCCGCCATGGCAGACTCCCCAGCCCGGGGCTTTTGGGT
Organism: Homo sapiens; assembly: GCF_000001405.40. Taxonomy (NCBI): domain Eukaryota; kingdom Metazoa; phylum Chordata; class Mammalia; order Primates; family Hominidae; genus Homo; species Homo sapiens. Next base: position 110,801,234 of record NC_000013.11, read on the forward strand.
ATAGCCTGTGCACTAGCGCTTGGCAGTCACTAGCTCACCCCAGTGTTCGACTGAGGGGATGCTACTCTGAAGTCACCAGCTACAGAGGGCAATGCACGGGACAAGCTTTGGAGCTTCAGTTTCCAGCAGGATCTTCTGCAGCGATGGAGAGGTTCTGCATCTGCTCTGTGCAACATGGTGGTCCTCAGGTTGGGACTGTGCTGTTGGGCACTCAAGATGTGGCCTGTGCAGATGCAGAACTGAATGCTAATTGTATTTATTTTCAATTAACTTACAGTCACATTTAAATAGCCACATGTGTCTGATGGCTACTTTATTGGACAGTACAGCTTTGGAGAATGGGAAGAAAATAATCTGAACTATTTACATTTATTTTCATCTAAGAAATGGAGAAATTAACTTTACCAATATGTGATGTTCAGAGCAACACTGGGACCCTTGCTGCATTTGTTTCTCAGTGGTCACTGCCATGTGGATGTGCAGGGGTCCTGGGGAAGGTCCCCAGCCAGAGAGGGGCAGTGGTGCCTTAGTGGCTTTTATCGGAATCTCATAAATAGCTGAGGTGTACTTGTTTTACTGGATTTACAAACTATCTGTTTTTAAAGAAAACTAATCCTTGCTAAGGGAGGCATTGACCTAAACAGAAACCTGCATACAATCAGCTTGACACTGTTTGTGAAGATGCAAACTTAAGCAAACAATGTTGGACGATAAAGATGGCCTTTCTACCCCTCCCACGAGCTGGTGTTGGCCGCTCTACAGGTTTCAACAGTGACAATCTCATCACGTCTGACAAGAAGGCTGCACAGATCACAATGACCAAGACTATTTGAGGTCTGGATTTACATGCCCAGTCGCCAAGGGTGACCCACACCGTAATTATATGCTGTGTCTTGAAATATTAACTAAACCGTCTCAAATCAAGATAAACAAGACAGTCAAGTACTAGACACTTGGAGATGGAGATGAACTCTTATCATTTGTAAGATCCTCACTACAGTACATTATAAAAATTCAAGAAGCATGTGATAAATTTCCAGAAGCCTCTTTTGAGTTTTCTGACTTAGTAGCAATTTTAGTCAAATACTATTGAGGAAACACTTCCAGCTGTGGTTCAAATTGCTGATACAAAGAAAATAACACAGTGGCAAACCAAAATGTATTTCCTTGTCATAAAATACTCTCGGAACGCATGTGGGAAACGTCACTGAAGACAGAAGGAAATAGGATAGAACAGGCTACATCGTGTGGGAGATTTGCCACACGCTTGGAGCAAAGTATAGATGTTCCCTTTTTAACTTCTTATTTTAAAAATAATTTCAGATTTACAGGAAAATTGCAGAAGGAGTACAGAGAGTTCCCACATACCCTTCAGCCAGTCCCCCTAATGTTAACACTTACATAACCACAGTACAGCAATTGAAACCAGGAAATTAACACTGACACCACACTATGAACAAATTTTCAAGCTTTATCTGAATTTCAACAGGTTCCCACTCAAGTCCTTTTCCAGTCGGACCCCATTCCGGATCCCACATGGTGTTTGGTTGTGGGTTTCCTTTGACTTCTCCAACTTGGACAGTTCTTCAGGTTCTCCTGGTCCTTCGTGGTGTTGGCACTTCTAAAGAGCACTGAGCAGGTGTTTTTAGGATGTCTCTCCCTTTGAGCTTGTCTGATTTCTTTCTCAGGGATAGACTGAGGTGGTGCAGGAACACGTGGGGGACATGTTGGGTCATTCTCAGCTCCTCTCTTGGAGGTGGCGGGTACATGAGGTTGATATGATCTCCTGGTGATGTTGAACTTGATCTCTGAGGTAAGGGCCTGTCTGGCAGATTTCTCCTATAAAGTTAATATTTTTCCTTTTGTAATTAATAAGTATCTTGTGGGGAAACACTTTGATACTGCAAATATCTTGTTTCTAATCAAGGCATATATATATATATATATATATATATATATTTATCTCCAATGTGTCTTGACTCATGATATTTGCTGTATTCTGTTTAAAAAATAAAATTTTAAAAAGATATATCTGTCCCTGTGTATCCGAAGAAAGATGTGCCATAGAACATATGTTCTTACCAGTATTTATTACAATAAAAAATTTTTGATGGAAAAACTATTAGCCTTATGGACTGAAGTTAACAAAACAATGAATCTGGGGTGAGGTCACAGTTGCTGCAAGACACGTGAAACTCACCCGTTGTGTGCTGCATGAAGTTACAACAAGCAGAAGTCAGCCAGGTGCCACAGATCACCAATGTATTGATTTAAAGATAACAAACAGACATTAAAATATAAAAGAATATTTATAATACTTTGTAATGAGGTGGAAATGACCATGAAAATATTTTGTACCACACAAAATTATTCTGGATAAATAGTAGCAGGGTAGTTAGAAAGGAGTTGAACTTAAAGATGAATTACACAGTTTTCTTTTACAAAAAACCCAGTTGTTCAAAATTTGTGACCTATCATTGGGAAAACAAATGTTTGTTAAAAGTATGTTTCTTGGCAAATGCAAAAAAAAAAAAAAAAAACCAGAATAAACACTGTTAATTTGTTCCTTCAAAATATGTGATTTAAAAAAATAATGAGTAAGAAAGTAACATCTTTTGGAAAAAAAACTTGAGAGAACCACTTGAAAGCAGATGGGCTAAAATTTTTATTGATGCTAAAAGTAATGGATGTCACCTGTGAAAATGTTCCTGTCTGCATACTTGAAAAAATAGCGATATCATTTTCTATCTTATCTAACAATCCTCCCAACAACGGTGAGTTTAAGTCCATTTGTTAAAAAACACAAGCATGCATTGCTTAATGATGGAAATACTTTCTGGGAAATGTGTCCTTAGGTGATTTTGTCACTGTGCAAATGACAGAGTACACTTACACAAACCTAGTGATACAGCTTACTGCACACCTAGTATGCCTATGGCTCCTAGGCCACGAACCTGAACAGGTGTGCAGTAGGCTGTGTGTCACTGCACTATGTATGTACCACACATAGTATGGATGGTACAGCCTATGGCTCCGAGGCTACAAACCTGTTTAGCATGTGACTGTATTGAATGCTGTAGACAACTGTAACACAATGGTAAGTGTGTATCTAGGCACACCTAAACATAGAAAAAGGAACAGGAAAAATACAGTATAATAATCTTACGGGACCACTGTGGTATATGTGGTCTGTTGTTGACCAGAACATCATTAGGTGGTACATGACCGTATTAAAATGTAAACCTTCTGATTAGTTTGCCAGAACAGCTAATTGATATCAGGGAAGATATTACCAGCTGAGTTTCAACAAAAAATGTTTACATAATTGGAAGATGAAATTGAAACATAAGTAACACGATTCAATAAGTCAATTATTCATTACTATCTGGATCTGTGCTTCTTTGAGAAGTACTTTAGATCAGTTTGACAGCCATTAAAATCAAGTACTGAAATTAACCGAACTGAGAGTCAGACCTTCAGATGCTGTATCAGAAAATGTTAAAGTAAGATTCTCAAAAATAGTGAGGTGTGTTCAATCGCACTGCTCTCCACTAAAAATATCATGAAGAACAGTAATATTTTAGTGAGCATAAAAGGTTTTAATATGACAAATAATATAAAATTATTTTAGAGTACTATTAGTTTAATCTTTAAATCATACTTTAGACATTTTATTGTTTTATAATATACATAATATGCCAGCATGGTGGTACGTATAGTTTATAGATACCTATGTATGCATTGGGTGGGTTTGCTCAAACATTTCACAGATAGGGGTGTAAGATTAAAAAAATGTTATAAATGACTGCACTGAAGGTGGTAAACCAAATACTATCTGACTGTACTGCAGAGTGAATTTTTACATGCGTTATCTCATTTAATTCTCACAACAATGAGATGCAGGTATTATTTTTCAGGCAATAGTTGTGCCTAGTTTTTAGTTCAGAAAACCCGAAATCTAGAGAAGTTAAAAAATGTATTTGTGTTTTCAAAGCAGTGAGGGATTCGCCGGGACTGGAAACCAAAGCTTTTGGCTCTTTTCATGTCATGGTTGTGACTAAGAATGGAGACTGTCCTCAGGGCTTCACGGTGTGTTCTAAAATGGACTTTCCACTTGACATGCAGCCTGAAATCGTAAAATCAGCAGTGACCCTTAAAGGAATACTTGCCAATGTGCCTTCACATGCTGGGTGTCCAACAGATAGAAGTTGGACCTGTAAATTTACATCGACAAATAAACAGCACACAATCCTCCTCTGAGCCATTCCCTAGAGTAGCAAGGCCGTTCTTCCTAGCATGTGAAGTAGTTTATTCCTCATGCAGGAGAGCATTATGAATCCTAATTACTGCTTCACATTTGTAAAGCACCTTCATATGGCTGGCTCATCTCATCACAGGTACTCTTAGATGGAACGGCGCTTACCCTCATTTTACGGAAAAGGAGACCCAGGCACAGAGAAGCTGACTGCTGCTGAGCTGGGCCAAGCCTAGAGCTCGCTGCTCCGATCTCAAGTCTGCCCACTGGATGGTGTATCTCCTGACCCAAGGTGCGGCAGACACCCAGTTACTTCTGCACAGCCACTTCAGAGAATCTCCTTCTGGGTGTAGTAGATTTGCCTCTGGGAGCCATTTCTTAGAATGCAGTTACGCTTTGGAAGAGATGGTGGCTATTATCTATTTATGCTGAAGTATTATTTAACCTATTAGGTTGCTTTCTAAACCATCAAATGAATAGAATTTTGTGCCAAAGAAAATGAGACAGGAGCCATGCCTATGATCTTGTGGGCAGAGAGGGAAAGTGGGTCAGGGCTCAGGGGCCTTGCAGGCATTTGGAGGGTGCAGCAGGGTTTAAAGTTCAAAAGTCACTCTTGGTATTTATACTAACCTAATGAAGGAGGAGAAGAGGTGATTCTTAGCCCCCATTTCACAGATAAATTAACTGAGGCTCAGAAGGGAAACTAATGTAACTTTCTTAAGGTCACACAACTCTTAAGAGGTCCCTACAAAACATTGAGTCTACTTTTTTTTTCCTTTTTATCTTTTGGAAACAGGGTCTTGCTCTGTCACCCAGGCTGGAGTGCAGCGGTGTGATCAACAGGTCATTGGAGCCTTGACCTCCTGGGCTCAGGGCATCTTCCTGCTTCAGCCTCCTGGGTACCTGGGATCACAGGTGCCTGTCAACACACCCAGCTAATTTTTGTATTTTTTTTTTGTAGAGACAGGGTCTCAGTATGTTGCCCAGGTTGGTCTCAAACTCCTAGTCTCAAGTGATCCCCCAGCCTCAGCCTCCCAAAGTGCTGGGATTATAGGCATGAGCTACTGGGTCCAGCCATCAGTCTACTTTTTCATTTCTGTTGCTAATACTTCACTTGGGTGGCTCTTACTAGGGGTAGTTCTGCCTCCTTGGAGCTGTTTGGTGTCTATGGAGACACTTTGGCCATCTTGATGATTGGCAGTGCTGCTGGTATCTAGGTAGGGTATCTGGTGGGCAGGGCTAGGAGTGATGGAGGTTTTAGAAAGTGCCAGGCATCCCCACACAGGAAGAATTGCTTTGCACCAGCCCTGCTTCCTAAAGGCCAGCTGGACATTCATGCGGAATGGCTTGACCTAGTGCTTGTGAGTTTTTGAGCCTAGAATGTAAAGCTGCACCCAGGTTCAGCGACAGACAAAACAGCAGGGCGCTCAGAGCCCCCCTGTCCAAGGTGCACAACCGGGGTTCAGACCTTCCCTATGAAGTGGTGCCAGGGTCCAAAATTCCCCTGGGAAGTGGCTGGAGGTCCCTTTCCAAACTCTCAGTGGTGCCTTGGGACTGCCTCTGCTTTGGAAGTATTTGTTCTTTATCTCTCTGCTCATATGCAAAAGAACTTATTAAAAAGCTGTAATGGAGTCTTGGGAAGTTTTTGTGATTGGATGCACCTGAGCTCATATCTTGGTTCTCCTACTTTCTTGGGCAAGTCACTAAACTACTCTAGATCTTGGTTTCTTTATTTGTAAAATAGAGTAAAATGCCCTTTTCATTTGGCCATCCAGAAAGTTAAATGAGATCACATGTGTGTTTAAAGCACATAGGCCTATTCCCATTTGATTCTTTCATTTCTTCTTCTCCCTTCTTTCTGATGAAGGAGGACTTTAGTTTGCTTCTGTAACTTAACCCATACTTAAACAGGAAGAGTATATTTAGCATTGAGAATATATTTTTTTCTGCAGCTGTCCTAGATTAAAATAAACAAAAATAAATAAATGAATGCCTACCATTCTGAGCAGCTCAGGGTGTATGTTTGAGACTGCTTTGAAACTCTAATACAAGCACAGGCATACCTGTCCTGGTGCTTTTGCACACAAGCCTCACACTGTCCAAGAGGACAGAGTGTGTGTGGCTCCCAAATGCATGTGGAGCCCCCTCCAGATCTGGGGAGGCTGCCCCATATGGTGCTGGACAGTGGCTGCACCAGGACCTGGAGGGGAACCTGAGACCTAGGCCCAGGCAGGTGGGGGCTGTGAACATGTGGCTGGGAGAGGCCATTGTCCATACACAGACAGCCCAAGTTGTTCAACTCCATTTGCCAACCCATGCCCTGCCCCTGGCTTGACTGGTCCCCCTCCTCTTCTGCTACTAAAGTATCTCCTGAAGCTGAGAACAAGCCAATGAGGATGATGGTGCCAGGGAGAGAGGATCCTGTGTTGGTCAAGGATGTGCGAGTAGCTGTTACCTCCATTGGCAGTTTTGTCACTAAAAGACCTCATTCACTTGAGCATTTGAGGATGACCAAATAGAATCACTAACTTTGGTTATTTCCAGTTTGGTCTGCATTAGACCATGACCAAGGAAAGCTGTGCCAATGACAAACCATATGCTTAAGTTTTCACCACATAAAAAGTTACTTTTAGGCAGAAGTCATGATACACTTTCCAAGAAATGGTTGTGGAATATTGTCCAAGCTGCGGGGGATTCGTTAAGTGGACATTGGAGAGCAGTGGTGCCTGGTGGCTTGGCACAGGTTCAGATGGAGAGACAAAAAAAAAAAAATTGCCATAAAATAAGCGAAGCATTGGTAGAGCCCAGAAAAAGTACCTGATTTTCCAGTTGGAAGTAACCCAAAAACGTGGTCAAGAATTTATATTGATTTTTCAAGACCTTTCTAGGGAAAGAACTTGAGGATCCTGGTAAGCTTTTCCAAAATGACTCAGAGTATCCATTTCTGTTTCTTCTCAAACCTTGCTATATATAATCACTGCAGGTCTGAAGAAACTCCACAAAACCTAAGCAGCCTCAATAAGAAGAAATCTAAACACACCATGGTCAAACTGCAAAAACCAAATCTTATGATACAGTGGGCAGTGGGCTATGTGTGCCAGAGAGGGCTTGATCTCAGGGGGTCCCTGGGGGTCTCCTGGTTTGTGTGGTATGTTGTTCTCAGAATATGACTGCCAGTAAAGTGCTGTATTTTCCAAGATGTAATCATTCCTTGTTTATTCGTTCCTGCCACCCTACACAGAAGGCATCAGAGTCCTAGAACGGCAGCTTGTTTTAATTAGAATTTCATGCAATTGAGAGAATTTAATAAGGTGGGTAGGATCTCATGTATTATATGTGTAATTAATAGGCAAAAATTAACAACCATTTATGCCAACTACAAACAGAAGATCTGATGGAATAAAGGACAACTTTTATAATAACAACAACTACTCGGAATACTGCAGGATATTACTACTACTTCAAAGTACTTCAAGATAAAGAAGAGGATAAAACAAGTGGAAAACCATAGTATGTTCACGGGTAGGAATCTACCTCATCATACAGAAATCACTTCTCTGTAGTTTATTTATAAGTTAAGCTTGATCCCATTTAAAATACGAGAAGTGTTGAGGATTTTTTAAAATGAGAAAAACCAATTATAAACTTTATAAGACACATACATATGAGATTTACATGAACTGTCTCTGGAAAGATGCAGGAGAAATGGAGTCCATTGGCTGCTCCCTGGGAAGGAAATAGGATGACTGGGGGAATGACTGGGAGATTTATTTCATTGGCTCTCATTTTGATTTATTTTTATTTTGAACTATGTGAGTATATAATTTTTGAAAATAGAAAATTATTTAAAATAGTAGTATAGATATTAAGCAATCAAGAAAACCCAGGAAAATACTGAAAAATAAAACAATAAAGTTTCCCATGTATTAAAACATATTATAATGTGGCATTAGTTCATGAATAGAGGGATGGAACTACCTAGGAAGTCCAGAAAATAGATGCCATATTATTACGTAATAAAGTGGCATTTGAAATCAGTGGGAGAAGTGTATTATCATCTGAAAGAGAAAGCTGGATTCCAACCACTCACATTTACAAAGTAAATTTCGTATGGATGGAAAATTTACACATGAAAAAAATGAAACCTTAAAAGTAACAGAAAAAACTGGGAGAATTATTAAATAATCTCTGATTCAGAAAGGACCTTTTTAATTCTGACACAAAATCTTTAAGCCAGAAAAGAAAAGATTGAGAAATTTGATCAACTCCCCACCCCTCAAACTAAGATATTCCTGAATGGCAAACATCACCAGAAACAAAATTAAATGATAATAAATTAGGAAAAATTCATGTACTTCACATCAAAGGAAAACGGCCAAAACAGTTAATTGTGTTGTGTGTTTTAAATATTGATTCCTAAAAATCAATATTTAAAAAGGACAGTAACTTAATTTAAAAAGTACCTGAAAACTGTACACACATACATAACCAGTTCCTTGGTGCTCAAACTCCTTACAATAAGAACGCAAACTAAAACAACACTGAAATACAATTTTGTTTGCTTATCAGATTGGCAAGGAATAGTACAAATAAAGTTTGTTCCCACACTGTATTTGTAAAGATGGTTGGGGCGGGGGGGTGGGGGGAAATGCGCAGTTTATCTTTGCTGCTGGAACTGTAAACAGGTAAAATTTCCATGGAAGGTTCTTTGACGACAGCTAACAAAATTTAATACGCATGACGTCTTCAACCCAGCAACTCTAGGTGTTTAGCCTATGGATCTACCCCAAGGGTGCAGAACGACTCCTGCACAAGTGCACTGAGCACGGTGGTATTTGTCAAAGCAAGATAACGGAAATAATTTAATGTCTGTTAGTGGGGATGGTTCAACAAATATTTGTACTGCCATACAATAAAATGCTATGAAGCCATTTCAAAGAGTGAGGATGCGCTATATGTGCTGAAATGAAACAATTTCCAATATAGAAAGTTAAAAAAACTAATGTGAAGAAGTAAAAAGAAAAAAAAAAGAACAACAAACAAAAACAATGTGAGGTATGTTTAGGATACTGTCACTCATATAATATATTGTATATGTGTATACACGTATGTATGTGTATATATGACATATATTTATGCAGATAATGCATTATATAATACTTGCATTGCCAAGAAACTGGTAAGCGTGCTCATCTCTGAATGGTAGAAGTAAGTGCTGGAGGAATAGAGGGGCATGCCAGTGCATGTTATATATTCAAGAAATGAAAAAAATAAATAAAATAGTAAAATAAAACAATTAAAACCTTTAAATTTATCCTTTCAACAGCTTTTACTAAGCATCTTCATTGCTGGCCCTGTGTTAGATGACAGCATAAACCAGCAAGACAGACCAGGCTGAAGCAAAATTAAGACTGAGAGACGAAACCAAGGTTGAGCCCAGGTTAGGAAAGTTTAACCTCCCAGCTGGGTGCTCCAGCCCCAATAGCGTCGCGATGCTGGGGACGAGGTCTAGGAGAAGGGAAATGGGGGGCACTTAGAGCCCCAAATCCATGAACCACGCTGGTCTGTTTTAGGAAAGCAACATCTTGAGGCTTCATGGTGTTCTGTGCTCCCTGCTGGGAAGCGCTGGGCTGGCTGGAGGTTTTCATCTCGGGACTGGGGGTGCATCCCCACACTGCCTGGCTGAATATGTTGGTGCTTTCCCAATGACCTTGACGTCTGGTGTTTGTCTGGTGCAATACGTCAGTGGGGAGACGGTCGTGCTAACAGCGTATTCGGCTCAGCAAAAGCTTTCATTGCATGCATCCATGGCCTCTTTGCAAAGATGGGAACAGCACGTCTCAATAACACACAATTTCATCTGGCTCTGATGATTCAGAAGGCGCCCCGGTGCCTCAGGCTCATCATTAGAAGCCAATGATGGCTCTGTAGATGTGGTAGTAAAGTCCAGGTAGCCGAAAGATTGAGTAAGGAAGCATTTGCTGGGAAATGGGGGTCTCTTGCCGCAGTGCTCCCCAGACACCTCAGGAAGTGACCTTCTGCCTGGGGCCTCTCTCCGCTGACAATAATGTCACACACTTCCTTGTCTCAAAGTTGAACACTGCCAGAATGATCCACATCCAAGGTAAGCTGGCTTCAGCTTGTTAATTTAGTCCTGCTCTCAAAGAAAAGGAAGAGGTCCTCACCCTGGCTGACACCTCTGGCCGCAGTGGCCCTGGTCCCCAGGGTGACAAGGGCCACACTCCTTAAAGAGCCTGAAATTCCCAGGAAGCTCCCCTTTTAAATCCAGTTAGGGAATATTATTTATAACACACGCCTCACAGATATTAATTCATTAAGAGAAATAATGGATGCGGAAGTGCTGAGGACTGAGAGTAACCTGCTAACACGGCCCCATCCTCAAGGGGCTTTCCCCATTTAGCCGGGGCCTGAGAACTGTGTAGGATGTTTACTTAGTGCTTTGAAAGAACTCACTGCATCCCCTCAACAATCCTTTCATGTGGCTGTTATAATTTTCTCCATGGTTGCAGATGAAAAAAAAAATCATTCGGGAAGGTTGAGCCATTATCCATGGCCACAGAGCTCCAAAGCGGTGGAACTCGGAATTGAAGCCCAGGTCGGTTGAAGCCAGGGCCGCAAACGTGCTCCCTGCCGCCCCACTGCCTGGCCGACACACTCACGGGTGCCGGGGCCACTGCACGCATGACAGTGCCAGGAGCGTGCACTTACTCCCCGAGCCCTTCCCTCCACGGCCAGGCCCGCAGTGTGAGTGCCAGGGCCTTCGGCGAAGCCCAGGGAAGCCCAGCGCCCTCGCCCTGGTCCTTTGACACATGACGAGACCTCCTCTGGGCAGAGGCCCCTGGATTCTGGGGCTTTCTGCCAGGCAGGGGCTGGGGCAGGCCCCGCACGCAAGCACCTGCCCCCGCACACAGGCATCTGCGACCCCGGGACTTAGCCCCCGCTGGCCCGCTGCAGTCTCCATTCCTTAAGCGCCCAGAGCTCCCTCTGCGCTCTCCTGTGCCCGCGTCTCCTCTGTTCTGTTTCGTTCCGCTCTGCTTCGGGCTTGTCTCAATTACATTTCCGTAAGGGTTCGGGTCCTCGGCTTACTAAGGGGCCTCTGAGAGGCCAGCTGGCCACCGGGACTGTCTTTCCTGCAGTGGAACTTTCCAGATTATCTTCCTTTCCCCCATCTCGCCTTCTGCCTCCTGCCGTCTTCTCGGTGTTTAGCTCGGGCAGGGTCCCTCCTGCAGAAACCGCTCCTGCCCGCAGCGCGCGCGCTTGCTGCCTCCCGCCCGGCTAAGGGAGGGCGGTTTCAGACAGATCCACTGGAGGGCAGATCTCCAGAGCCGGGAGCCAAAGGGGGCTGTGGCAGAAGGGGAGGCGGCCTTCGGGCTCAGGCGAGACAGGCTGACTCCCCCAGGAGGACCGCGCTGCCTGGGGGAGGCGAATGCAGGGCCCATGAGGCACTGACAGGAAGAGCCCCTGACGGCGGGGGGCAGCTGAGGAGCGGGAGCTCCAGGGGGAGGGGGCAGAGACTCGCCTCACAGCGCGCCCCTCACGACGTCCCCGTCACGACGCCCTCCACACGACGCGCTCCCCTCACGATGCCCCCGTTACCACGCGCCCTCCTCACGACATCCCCCTCACGACGCCCCCGTCACGACGCGCCCCCTTCGTCACGTCCCCCTCACGACCTCCCCCTCACGACGCCTTCCTCACGACGTGCCCTCCTCACGACGTCCCCGTCACGACGCCCTCCACACGACGCGCTCCCCTCACGATGCCCCCGTTACCACGCGCCCTCCTCACGACATCCCCGTCACGACGCCCCCGTCACGATGCACCTCCTTCAGGAAGTCCCCCTCACGATGCTCCCCCTCACAAAGTCCCCCTCACGACGCCTTCCTCACTACGTGCCCTCCTCACGTCGCGCCTCCCTCACGACACATCCCCCTCATGACGCGGCCCCCTCACAATGCGCCCCCCTCACGACGTCCCTCTCCTGACCCCCCCTCACCACGCCTCCACTGACAACGTCCTTCTCACGACGCCCCCCTCACGACGTCCCCGTCACCACGCTCCCCCCTCACGACGTCCCCCTCAGGACACCCCTCTCACGACGTCCCCCTCACGACGTCCCCCTCACACTACCGCCCCTCTTGGCAGCTTGACCTTCAACCCTCCAGGGTTTCTTTTTGACCTTTGCTTTCCTTCCAAACTTTCCCGCCTCTGGAATAAAAGAGTCGCAGAACAGAGAAAGGCTTCAGGGATGGGCTGTTTTGCAGGTGAGGAAACAGGCTCAGAGAAATCCGCCGGGGAACTGCCCAAGGCGACGCGGACTGGCAGACCCAGGCCTCAGACACGGATCTTCTTCCTCAGGCTCTTCCCCCAGCCGGCCGTCTTCCCACTCCGACACGCACGGCTGCATGGGGGCTGCGTCCCTTTTCAGCAGCTGTGTTCGGAGCTGAGCAGCTTGGAGCCACACACGTGCGTTATCTCAGGGTTCCGGGACACGCGTGCTGGGGGCGCTGCCCGGGCCCTCACTAGGCGGGATCAAGTGTTGGCCGCGCTGTATTCTTACGCGGAGGATCCGAGGACGGCCTGGAAAAGAATCCACCTCTTCGGAAGTTCCCACAGGCTGTTGGCCGAGTTCACTTTCTCTCTGAGGGCCCCAGGTCCAGGTCCGTGGCTGCCCTCAGTTTCTCTCCACGCGGAAGTTTCCAGTGCGGCCACTTACGTCATCAGCCAGCAGGGAGGCTCTAGAGCAAGTGAGCTGTGGGTGGAGGCCAGGGAATGTACCTGGATCATGGGAGAGACGTGCTATCCCTCTACCATATTCTGTGGATCAGAAGCAAGTCACAGATCCCCCCACATCAAGGAGAGAGGATTTCAGCAAGATATGAACACACTAGGAGGTGGGGACCCTGGTGCCACCTTAGTGTCTGTCCAGCAGAGGGACCAATTCCCAAATGAATGCATGCACAGCCGCACACACTAATCCCAAACAACAGCAACACAGTCATGTGGTCAACAGTGTTTTTATTTTATTATTTTATTTTATTTTATTTATTAAGTGCTAGGCACTGGAAACATAGCAGTGAAGAAAAAGAAAAATCCCCGTCCTCATGAAGCTTAGATGACGCTGGCGCACACTAAATCCACCAACAGCGGTCACAGCTGTAGCGTCTACATGGTTGCGATGCTTAATTTTATGTGTCCATGTGGCTGGGCCCAGACGTGAAGTCAAACCTCATTCTGGATGTCCCTGTGAGGATGTTTTTGGATGAGATGAACATTTAAACCCGTGCACTTTGAGTAAAGCAGATGGCCCTTGCTAGTAGGTGGGCCTCCCCGGGTCAGCTGAAGACCTGAATGGAACAGAGACTGACCTCCCTGAGCAAGCAGGGGCTGCAGACACGGTCTTCCTGGGGTCTCCAGCCTGCTGGCCCACCCTGCAGATTTCAAATTTACCAGCCTCCATAGTCACCTGAGCCAATTCCTTAAAAGTAATCTCTCTATATATACATATACACATATCCTGTTGGTTCTGGTTTTTTGTTTGTGTTTCCTTCTAGAGAACCTGCTATTACAGTGGTGTATATGCATTCCATTCCATGATGGGTAATATAGTAAGAGACAGCTTTTATTAGTTTTCCTTCCAAATATTCAATGTGTTAATATGCTCAAAACCCTTAATTCAATTCTCTGAATCCTTCTAATTGGGGATGGGGTAATGTTTGCAGAAGAAAGTCCACCTAGAGGATCGTTTTGTGGAGGGCTTTGTGTCTGAGAAGGGGCTTCCTTGCCGTAGCATCTGCCCTCCTGCTGCTCACATCTGAAGCTTTCTTTTCTGTCAGCTGCTCCTAGGTATCTGATCTTTCCGGCCTCTGCGGTTTTTTTTTTTTTTTTTTTAATTTTTCCCTCTTTTTCCCAGCCTCAAACCTGTCATCTGCATCTTTCCTTCTTTAACCACTGAGCCAGGTGCTCTAAGGCTTTGGGCTCCTTGGTACTTTACGATTCACCCCCGCCCTGGGGCCGGACAGCCTTGGAGAATTTCCAGAAGGGAAAGTCTTCTGGTAACCAGATAATTCTTTCAGAAGTAGGTGTGTTTTTGCAACATTAGTCAATATCTCACGTCCTGCAAGGGACTTTCCATCGATTCCTTTTGAGAGGCCTGTAGGGTAGGTTACGGTTAAGAAGGCTTTTCAGAACAGTGTGAAGGAAGGAATGGCAAGTGCATTTCATGGCCTCGTAACCCTTCTGTGTCCTTGTTGGTGAAAAGAGAGGGTGGAGCTTTATTCCTGAGCGCCAGGTGCCTTTCCCTGTGGTCACAAACGTGTAAATGGATACATTTCTATTTGCTTAAGGAACAAATATTGCTGTGGGAAGTGACTAAATAGCTTCCCAGAAGCAGCGGTCATGGGGCCTTTGGACCAGCTGGGCATCTTCTAATCAAGGCAGGAGGGGGAATGATGCAAAAACAAGATGGGTCTATGCTGGAACATTTCCACCGTCAAATTCACCAAAAATGTGTGGCAGGCTCACTCCCCAAGCCACAAAGCTCTGATTCACAGACACTCCTGGTACACGAACAGCAGGGGCCCCATCATCTGCCATTCACTCTGATGTTGACTTTGAAACCAGTCTGTGTGGCCACTTCCAGCTTGAAAGGCCTTGATCAATTTACCCAACCTCCCTGCCGCCTCAGTTCTCTCATCTGCAGAATGGAAATGTTGCAGCAGCTCCTTCCAACAACCCCTTGGAAAGGCAGGGAGGAAGGCCAGTTGTCACCTGCGACAACTGTTCCCACTGTGATGTTCCCACTGTGATGTTTGCCTTGACAGGGTGGTATTGCCACATTTCAGGGTCTGGCTTCAATTTTGTAGGCCCAGGAAGTCAGTAGATAATATAGAATAATTGATCAAGCACCTAAGAATGGCTGCTAAAAGAACTCACAAGAATCTGAAGTGAGTATTAATTTACAGCAAGAACTGTAACCAACTGGACAGGACAGAAGCGGCCGGGGCTCCCCTGCTCCTTCTTTAAAGGCAAAGCTATACGCAGGGCCAAATGATCATTGCCGTGGGATTGGAGTTTGCTTGCTGGGTGTGAGTTGGGTGGAGGTGGGGCTGAGGCTGGACAACACTGATGGCAGTGGTCCCTCTACAAGAACCGAGGCTTCTGTGGCACTGTGAGGAGGCCCTTACAGGCTTGGCAGGTCCCATGAGAGTCCCTGCCAGTGGCCTGGCTGGCAGCTCCCCCTCTTGCTGCTTCCCACAACCACATGCCCCAAAGTCCACAGTCATTACTAAGGTGTAGCAAGGAAAATAAGACCATAGGCTTGGAAAAGATAAAAATAGCAACCAGTGACACCAGACCCAAAAGCCCTCAAGGATACCAATTAATCCCCTTAAAAGTAGTCTTCATCAGCCTCTTCTTCCTCTTCTTGTACAGCAAATGTTTCCTCAAGGATCAACACTAAAGAAAAATAATACATAATTCTTACTAAATGTTTTATTATTGTTCCCCTTATGTTGGAAATAGATTATACATATAAAAGAGTACATAAAATTTGCATATCTGTTTAAGGAAAAAGAATAAGGACAAACACCTGCATATGCACCCCCGGGTGACATGCCCCTACCTGTGGGCACCCTGACCTGCCCCTGCACAGGAGGCACCACCTGCAGGGTATGCAACAATTCCTGTGCTTTTCCTGTGTGTTTTCCACTATGTGTGTCTCAGTGGAGAAACGTCCTGCTCGGTTTTGTTGTTTGTGAACCTTACACAAATGGCATCTTACATTACGTAGTCTTCTATGACTTCTCTTTGCTCAAGATACATCATGTGAATTCAAGTGGCTTTGTTTCATTCTGTGTCACTGCTATAGAGTGTTCTAACACAGAACAGACCACAATCTATTTATCCAGCTTACTACTGATGGAGATGTTTGTGTTGCTTACATATTTTTACTATTACAAACAATGCTGGTGTGAACATTCTTCTAAACATCCCTATTACATAAGGGCCAGAATTTTTCCAGGCATACAACAAAGAAGGGCTATTATGGGCCATGGAACGGACATGCTCACATCTACCAGATGACACCCAGTTCTTTCCAAAGTGGTCACCCGAGTTTCCACCTTCCCCAGAATTGAAAACGAGTCCCTTTTTTGCTACATTCACATTTCTGCCAGCATTCGCTGTCGCCTGATTTTTAAGTATAAAATGGTAGCTTATTGTTTCCTTTTCTGTGAATTGTCTGGTGGGGATTTTTGAGCACTTTTCTATTAGGTTGTTTGTCTTTTACCTTGTTGACTGATATGAATTCTCCACATCTGCTGGATATGAATGTTTTGTCAGGTACATGCCCAGGCATTCTTTTCTACTTCCTGGCTCGTCTTTTTAATCTCTTGGTGGGATGGTGTCCTTTGATGAGTAGAAGTTCTCAATTTTAACATAGCTTAGCTTATTGGTTATTTTCATGATTGTGTGTATGTATGAGTGTATTAAGAGCCCTCCCTGCTCTGAGGTTTAGGAGATAACCTCTACCTCATCGTGTAAGAGGTTCATAATGGCTTTTTTTTTTCACATCGAAGTCTTTAATCCATGTGGAATTGATTTTTTAAAATATAATGTGAAGTAGGGATCGAATCTCATTTTCCTTTGTTTAGTGCATTGCCTCAGTACTGCTTATTGAGTAGTGTTTATTTGCTGTTTACACACTTATGCATATGCCATTATTAAACACGGCAGACCTGTTTTAACGGAGGTCTGTTTTCTGGGTGAGAGTGGGCTTGGCCTGCTCTGCGGCACTGCCCGTGTGTTCGTGGTCTTGCCAAGCTGCTTGTTCTAAAGACTTCGCTTTTGGAGTTGTCTTGAGCTTTGAGAGGGCACAGCCCCAACCATGTCCTTCCTGAAGAACAAGGGTCCTGGCTGTACCTGGTCCTTCATTTATTTCCATATAAATTTCAGAATCAGCTTTTCAAGGTCCATAAGAAAAGAAATCTGTGATTTAGATGAAATTGTATTGACTCTACAGTAGGTGTTTTTACTTTGTTATTGTTGTTTCCTTAAAGTAATCTTACTCAAAAAGAAATGTAAGCTCTGCGTAGAAAACAGTGAAACACGGGGAAATAAAGGAAAAAAGAAGCAGTTACTACATCACCTCGACTGCCCCCACCAGACAACACTGCTAGCATTTTAATGTCTTTTATCTTTAATATATATTTTATTATATATAAAATATCTAATAAATATATGCATACATAGTGTACATTTGCATACCCATGTATTTACAGATGCCACACACCACGTGTTCCCAGCTCTAAGAGGCCTGTTTGTCCCCATTTTACCACCTCTGGATTCAGGACACGCCTGGCTGCATTGTCTCCTTGTCTGCATAGAAACTTGTGGGACAGAAGCCGCTGGCAGACGTTGGTGGGGACCCTCACAACGCCCCCAATTCAGGCCCCTGAGGCCACAGGAAAGGATGTGGCACAAGGAGGCCAACCATGCAGTCCTGCTTGGAGCGGTGACTGGGAAGACAGACGTACCCTGAAGAAGCACAGAGGAATCGAGACCAATTGTTTTTGCCTTATTTTCCTAGTTAAGTATACAAAGGAGTGATATCAATAAAAACCTATGTCTAAATAAGTAAAAACTGCTCTTTTGACAGGTACGAAATGAAAACTCTGTGTTGAGAGCAGCTTTCTAGTTTGGGGGACAATCTTGATCTCTCTTAGCTGAATGGGAGTCTTCGATTCTATGAAGGGCCAGACGCATTGCTGGTGGGTGGGTTGGCACAGTCCACTGCAAGCCTTCACCAATGGCACTGGTGCCGCCGCTGACGCAGGGAGGAGAGGGCTGCTCTGCGGATTGACCGGTTGGAGGCAGGTGCAGGTTCCAGAGACCCCCATGCTCCCCAATGCTTGGGAGGCGCTGTGGTTTGACTTGAATGCTGCTGTGGAGTTATTGGTGGCTCCCCCAAGCATAGTTCACAAATGAACTGAGGTTTGATGTTGTTTTAGGTACCATACGTGTTATTTTCTCAAAAATATGTCCTGGAACGTCCCTGCCTCCGATGGCTTTCTTTGGGGACATGAGTTCCCTGGCATGTGGGTGGCAACACTGCCCCCTGCTGGTGTTGGGCAGCATCATCAGGCACCCGGGCAAAGGCTCCAGCCTCAGCCTCGGCCGTAGGTCACAGCCGATTGGACACAGAACCTGAGATTTTCCTACAAAGTTTAAGATTTGAACTGAATACCATCCAGAGGTGTGATCCTAAAGCAATGGCGACATTGCTACTAGGTTCAAGCAGAACTTACTTTTTCCCTACTGCTCACCAGGTATTAAATATTTAGTGACATTTCTGTTACCTGGCATTGTAATTATTTCAAATGAATTCTTGTGTTCTATATTGTTTCGTTTTTATTGGACTATGTTTTTCTTTACATGTATTGTGGATACCTTTGTAAAGACTCATCCAAATTTATTTTTTTGCTCCATATTTTGTAAGAATTTTTAGTAATGCATTTGCCTTGTCAGTATGAATCTTATATAAATTTATTCTAATTCATTTCATATTGTGGCTTGCTTTCTATTTACTGGCATTTCCTGAAATACAATGTCTATATTTGCTTTTATATGATATGTGAAGTACTTGTAAATTTACAAGTAAATTTATTGTGTTTACTTGCAGCCTATATACTTGTATTTATAAACACAACATATTTCTTGTTAGCTACGTGGCTTTCCATTTTTCTTTTTTGGGTTTAGTAGAAAATTACCACATATCTAAAACTTATTATCTCAACCAGATTCCAATATACAATATAACTTTATTTATGCCCGTGTTTTCCTATAATATCTCTTGAAAATAGCTTTCAGTACATAAATGCTTAAGGTTTTTTTTTTTCAAAAAGCGTCCTGTGGGTTGGGAGGCACTGATGTGTCCCCAGTGCCAGCAGGTGTGTTGGCTGTTGGTGATGGGCCGCTAATCCAGCTGCTGCCGGCTGACTGTTACCGTGGGGATGACTTTCAGGTGTCTGATGGCGTTGTCAAGCAGACTCTGTGGACACAGGGAACTTAAGGACTGCCTCGCTCTGAAGTGGTTATCTCTGCAGTTAATGTTTCCACCGAGGACTCTGCTTCCAGCCTGTCCATCCTGCCCACCTAAGAAAACCCTTAGAAATAAGGGGTGAGTCCCTCGAGGATTTAACTGTTTAGTTGTGAAATGGGCACGTGGCGTCCAGGGAACACAAGCAGCAGCGGAACTGGACAGCAAGGGCTTCGTGGGGAGCTGAGTGTCCTCTGAGGGTGGTGGCTCCTGCAGGGAATGACTTACGGGTTCAGGGTCCCTGATCTGGGAAGGCCCAGCCCCATGCCCCGTGTGCTCTCTGGGGCCCACTTCCCATCCATAGTGGACTGGTTCAGGCTAGACCCTCTGCAAATCTGGAATAAGGTTTGCCTTCTGCCTTGGTGGAACTGAGAGGTGACAGCATGCTGGCAGTCCTCGGAGCCCTCGCTTGCTCTTGGCACCTCCCCTGCCTGGGCTCCCACTTTGGTGGCATTTGAGGAGCCCTTCAGCCCCCCCACTGCACTGTGGGAGCCCCTTTCTGGGCTGGCCAAGGCAGGAGCCCACTCCCTCAGCTTGCAGGGAGGTGTGGAGGGAGAGGCGCGAGCGGGAACCGGGGCTGCGTGCGGCGCTTGCGGGCCAGCTGGAGTTCCGGGTGGGCGTGGGCTTGGCGGGCCCCGCACTCGGAGCAGCCAGTCAGCCCTGCTGGCCCGGGGCAATGAGGGACTTAGCACCTGGGCCAGTGGCTGCGGAGGGTGTACTGGGTCCCCCAGCAGTGCCAGCCCACCGGCGCTGTGCTCGATTTCTCGCCAGGCCTTAGCTGCCTTCCCGCGAGGCAGGGCTTGGGACCTGCAGCCCGCCATGCCTGAGCCTCCCACCCACTCCATGGGCTCCTGTGCAGCCCGAGCCTCCCCGACGAGCACTACCCCCTGCTCCACGGCACCCAGTCCCAACGACCACCCAAGGGCTGAGGAATGCGAGCGCACGGCGCAGGACTGGCAGGCAGCTCCACCTGCAGCCTCGGTGTGGGATCCACTAGGTGAAGCCAGCTGGGCTCCTGAGTCTGGTGGGGACGTGGAGAGTCTTTATATGTAGCTCAGGGATTGTAAATACACCAATCAGCACCCTGTGTTTAGCTCAAGGTTTGTGAGTGCACCAATCGACACTGTATCTAGCTGCTCTGGTGGGGCCTTGGAGACCCTTTATGTCTAGCTCAGGGATTGTAAATACACCAATCAGCACTCTGTATCTAGCTCAAGATTTGTAAACACACCAATCAGCACCCTGTGTTTAGCTCAAGGTTTGTGAATGCACCAATCGACACTCTATCTAGCTGCTCTGGTGAGGCCTTGGAGAACCTGTGTGTGGAAACTCTGTATCTAACTAATCTGATGGGGACGTGGAGAACCTTTGCATCTAGCTCAGGGATTGTAAACGCACCAATCAGTGCCCTGACAAAAACAGGCCACTGGGCTCTGCCAATCAGCAGGATGTGGGTGGGGCCAGATAAGAGAATAAAAGCAGGCTGCCCGAGCCAGCATTGGCAACCCACTCGGGTCTCCTTCAACGCTATGGAAGCTTTGCTCTTTTGCTCTTTGCAATAAATCTTGCTACTGTTCACTCTTTGGGTCCATGCTGCTTTTATGAGCTGTAACACTCACAGGGAAAATCTGCAGCTTCACTCCCGAACCGAGCGAGACCACGAGCCCACCGGGAGGAAAGAACAACTCCAGACATGCTGCCTTAAGAGCTGTAACACTCACCGCGAAGGTCTGCCGTTTCACTCCTGAGCCAGTGAGACCACGAACCCACCAGAAGAAAGAAACTCTGAACACATCTGAACATCAGAAGGAACAGACTCCAGACGCGCCACCTTAAGAGCTGTAACACTCACCGCGAGGGTCCGCGGCTTCATTCTTGAAGTCAGTGAGACCAAGAACCCACCAATTCCGGACACAGAATTTCATGGAGCCTGGAGCCCAGGTAAGTAGTGAAAGCCGTCTAGAGATGGAGGAGCAAAGCGAATACACAGGTGGAGGCTGAACGCTGAGAAAAAGAGTGCTGGGGTCTTTGCAGTTTGGGTTGTAGCCACTTCCTGAGGCTCGGGATCCTGAGACAGCCCACATATGAAACCTCTCTGTGTCCTTTCCTCACTCCAGCCTGAGCTTGCGTCTGTCTTTTTCAACCCAAGTATGTGAATGAACACCGCAGGTGGTGCTCGTCTGTCTGATGTTATAAGAACTAGGCCTGTGTAAGAAGTCAGGAAGTTCAAACGTCTTTCTTTTTTTTTTTTTTTTTTTGGGACGGAGCCTCGCTCTGTCGCCCAGGTTGGAGTGCAGTGGCGCAATCTCAGCTCACTGCAACCTCTGCCTCGCGGGTTCACGCCATTCTCCTGCCTCAGCCTCCCGAGTAGCTGGGACGACAGGCGCCCGCCACCACGCCCGGCTAATTTTTTGTATTTTTAGTAGAGACGGGGTTTCACCGTGTTGCCAGGATGGTCTCGATCTCCTGACCTCGTGATCTGCCTGCCTCAGCCTCCCAAAGTGCTGGGATTACAGGCATGAGCCACCGCGCCTGGCCTCTTTAATTCTTAATAGTTTTTTTTTCTTTTTCTTTCTTTCTTTATTTTTTTTTTTGTGACAGTCTCCCTCTGTCACCTAGGCTGGAGTGCAGTGGCACAATCTCAGCTCACTGCAACCTCTGCCTCCCGGGTTCAAAGACTCTCCTGCCTCAGCCTCCCAAGTAGCTGGGATTACAGGCGCACCACCACTATGTCATGCTAATTTTTGTATTTTTAGTAGAGATGGGATTTCACTCTCTTGGCCAGGCTGGTCTCGAACTCCTGACCTCAAGTGATTCGCCCACCTCAGCCTCCCAGAGTGCTGGGATTAAAGATGTGAGCCACCACACCCGGCTTAACTCTTAATATTGGATATCAGGTTAATTTTATAACGAATGATCATTTCTTATAATTTTATTTCTTGGTTTGTTGCCCAGGCTGGAGTGCAGTGGTATGATTTTAGTGCATTGCAGCCTTGAACTCCTGGCCTCAAGTGATCCTCCTGCCTCAGCCTCCTGAGTAGCTGAGACTAGAGGCATGCTCTACTGTGCCTGGCTCATTTCTCGTAATTTGAAAAGTTAAACATCCAAGCTACAGTGAACTGAATCCAGTATTAATAGAGTGGTGTCACTTGGGGTGTTTGTATTTTATTTTGACACAAGAGAACTGACATTAAAATAGCCGAAGGAGTATGGTTTCATTCTGAAGAAGGATTGGTCAGCAGGGAGGCTTAGAAATTGGAGATTCAGGCTGGGTGTGGTAGCTCACACCTGTAATCCCAGCACTTTCGGAGGCCAAGGTGGGTGGATCACCTGAGGTCAGAAGTTTGAGACCAGCCTGGCCAACATGGCGAAACCCGATCTCTACTAAAAATAGAAAAAGTAGCCAGGCATGGTGGTGGGTGCCTGTAATCCCAGCTACTCGGGAGGCTGAGGCAGGAGAATCGCTTGAACTTAGGAGGTGGAGGTTGCCGTGAGCCGAGATTGCGCTAATTTTTGTATTTTTAGTAGAGATGAGGTTTCGCCATGTTGGCCAGGCTGGTCCAATCTCTAAGCTTCCCCTGCTGACCAATCCTTCGCACTAAGGCTTTGTGGAATCTAATGGGGGTGGCTTCTGGCCACAGGTGACTTGTCGCTTGTTCCATGCAGGCAGCAACTTCTTGGAAATACATGCTCTGTATTCGAATTGAGCAAACGTTAGCCTGGTAACAGATAACCCCCCAATCCCAGCAGTTTAACCCTTTCCTATTTGCTCCAAGAATACTCACTGGTGGTGCTTGTGGCTGCAGCGTTTACCCCGAGATAACTTTGCCACACAATATCTTGTTTTTATTATTTTCACAGTGCTCGAGTATATCGACTTTGGAAACAAAACACATCATTCTATTTATAGCACTCTGTTTTTAGTAGAGGTACTTCCATTTACAAAATACAGTCATTCTCAATCGCTGAAAATGTCAAATCCTAGAAAACGTAGCATTCCTCCGCGTGATGTTAACATCATTCTCAAACAGTTTTTGGCTGAAGATTCATTTGATGAATCTGATTTTTCAAAAATAGACAATTCTGATGATTCAGACAATTCTGATGCTAGTTCTGTTTAGAAATAACTCCAAGAACAGCTTTTATATTTTATTTTCACATTGAAAATCTGATTTGCTTCAGCCTCAAAGAGCGTGTTTATGTAAAATTAAATGAGCGCTGGGAGTGAGCTGCACTTTTTGTTTTTTCCTAAACAGGAAAAGGGTGAATCCAATGCAGGCTGATTTCTGGCTTACATCACAGTCCAGTCTGATTTTCTGCAGATTACTTTCTACAAGACGATTTGGGACCTCAGTTTACCACCTCCCAGCGGACCGACGGGTGCGGTGAGTGGAGATGATTTTGTGAGAGTTTTTAGGACAATCCTGGAAGTGGGTTTGTCACTTCTGGCTGCACTCCATTGGCCTGAAAGGAATCACACGGCCCCACCCCAATGCGGGAGGCTGGGAGTGTTCAGCGCCTGCAGAGAAGGTCAGGTGGGCTGGAAGCCCTGCGCCAGGCATGGCCACGCCCTGGTGAAGGTGCTCGACAAATGTGAACATCTCCACCTAAGCCCCCCTTGGCACCACCACTGAGTCAGTCTGTGTTTTGGATGTTTAATTTTGGGGTTCAATTTGCTGATGGTGAATTTGACAATGATGTTATTGATTAATTCATTTAAAGGGAGGAGAATCACAAATATTGTGGCTAGTACAGAACAACCTCTTCCACCAAGCCAGTTGTGACTGTTGCGGATGGAGATGGACACCTAGTGAATGATTTAATCCACCAACAATTGTGGCACACAGGCATCGTCTTCCCCACGCCAGGACTCAGAGGCTGAGCCCAGGGTGCTGAGAGGCTGAGCCCACAGCTCCGGGGTGAGGAATGGAGCTCCCCGAGCGCGGCTTATCTTTCAAGGGAGCTCACACTCTTTTACAACAACCCTCGAGGTGAGGGCTCCTTCAGACTCTCCCAACTCCACCCATGGCCACAGCCTCCGGGGCAGGGCTCCTGTTCCTACCCACCCCTCAAGCTCCTTCTCATCCACATGCCCAGGCTAACGTTAGCCACACTGGCAGCGGGGGAACTGACCCTGAGCAGCAGGCGCTGGCCCCTGCTCCAAGCCCTGCTTTCCGAGTGAACTCTTGTACCAGCTGGAATTGTCTCCGGGTGCTTCCTCCGTCAGACCACGGTCAAGTGCAGGTCCAGTGTTTTGGGTCAGATGTCAGTGGGCAGGCTCAGCATTCATCCAAAGAAATAGCAGCTTCGTAATTGGTTACTTGTAGGGGTAATTAGCTATCTGCATAAATTAACTGATTCCTCCTCATAGTATGTCCCCTATAGACAGTGAGGGTTCAATTTGCTGTTGGTGAATTTGCTAATGTGACTTATTGATTAATCTTTTTAAAGTGGGGTGGTTCCCAACACTTGAGGCCACCTGAGCCCATGGAGAGGGTGGAAACTGACCCACAAAGCTGCCAGCTGCTGGGGAACACGGGTCAGCCCAGTGAGGCAACTCTCTGGCCACATTGCCCACCGCCTGCCCTTCACTCCCACCAAGCATGGCTCCCTCAGAGTCCCATGGCTGCTCTGCTGCCCAAGGAAACTGTTCCTCTGGGCGTTCTCAAAGGCCTGAATGGATGAGTGCCATGTCCAGTGCTATGAGTCTCCTGATGGTAGATGGACACTGTGTCCCATGTCCAATGGTGGGGACTGTGCCATGCCCTGTGTCCAGTGATGCTGGATGGGCCATGCCCAGTGTCCAGTGATTATGGACAGGCACCGTGCCAAGTGTGCTATGATTATCGATGGGTGCCATGTCCAATGTCTAATGATGATGGACAGGTATGTTCAGGGTCAATTGATGGTGGATGGGCACCATGCCCAGTGTCTAATGATGATTCAATTGATGGTGGATGGACGCCATGTCCAGTGTCTAATGATGATGGACAGGTATGTTCAGGGTCAATTGATAGTGGATGGGCGCCATGTCCAGTGTCCAATAATGGTGTACCGTGCTCAATGTCTGATGAGAGTGTACAAGTGCCTTGCCCAGTGTCCAGTGATGGTGGACAGGCACCATGCCCATTGTTCAGTAATTATGGTCATTGGACATGCCAAGTGTCCAATGATGGTGGACCATGCCCAGTGTCTGATGAGGGTGTATGGGTGCCATGCCCAATAATGGTGGACAGGCATCATAGCCATTGTTCAGTGATTATGAACAGGTGCTATGCCAAGTGTCCAGTGATGGTGGATGGTGCAATGCCCAGGGTCCAATGATGGTGGATGGGCACCATGCTCAGTGTCCATTGGTAATGGATGGGTACAATGCCCATTGTCTAATGAGGGTGTATGGGCACCATGCCCAGTGTCCAGCTCATTGTCCAGTGATAATGGATGGGCCCCATGCCCAGTGTCCAGTGATTATGGACAGGCACCATGCCCAGTGTCCAGTGATTATGGACAGGCACCATGCCCAGTGTTCAGTGATGGTAGATGGGCCTCATGCCCTGTGTCCAATGATTATGGACGGGCCCTATGCCCAGTGTCCAATGATTATGGACAGGCACCATGCCCAGTGTTCAGTGATGGTAGATGGGCACCATGCCCGGTGTCCAATGATTATGGACAGGCACCATGCCCAGTGTTCAGTGATGGTAGATGGGCACCATGCCCAGTGTCCAATGATTATGGACGGGCACCATGCCCTGTGTCCAATGATTATGGACAGGCACCATGCCCAGTGTCTAATGATGGGGAATAATAGAGTTTGGATGTTGTCCCCACCCAAATCTCATGCTGAATTGTAATCCCCAATACCAGAGGTGTGGCCTGGTGGGAGGGGATTGGATCATGGCAGTGGATCCCTCATGGCTTGGTATTGTCTTCGAGACAGTGAGTGAGTTCTTGCAAAATCTGGTCATTTAAAAATATGTGGCACCTGCCCCTCACCTCTCTTACTTCTCCTTTTACCATGTGATGTGCCTGGTTCCCATTTGCCTCAGGAAGCTTCCTGAGGCCTCCCCAGAAGCAGAAGCTACAATGCTTCCTGTAGAGCCTGTGGAACTCTGGGCCAATTAAAACTCTTTTCTTATAAATTACACAGTCTCAGGTACTTTTTTTTTTTTTTTTTTTTTTTTTTTTTTTTTTTTGAGACAGAATCTCACACTGTTGCCCAGGCTGGAGTGCGGTGGCATGATCTCGGCTCACTGCAACCTCCACCTCCTGGGTTCAAGCAATTCTCATGCCTCAGCCTCCCGAGTAGCTGGGACTACAGGTGCACCTCATCATGCCCAGCTAATTTTTTTATTTTTAATGGAGACGAGGTTTCACAATGTTGGCCAGGATGGTCTCCATCTCTTGACCTCGTGATCCACCCACCTCGGCCTCCCAAAGTGCTGGGATTACAGGTGTGAGCCACTGGTGCCCGGCCTCAGGTACTTATTAATAGCAATGCAAGAAAGGTCTAACGCAGTGGACAAGTACCATGCCCAGTGTCTGCTGAGGGTGTATGGGCAGCCTACCCAATGTCCTCTGATGGTGGGGCATTTGTCCATGGGTCTGTGAAGAGCCAGGAATACCTCGGCCATGTTGGGGACAAGCTCCCCAGCCTGTGGAGTCCCCTCATCCTTCTTTCTGTACCGTGAGTGCTCCTCCAATCGGAGAATACTTTTCTCCTCACCACATTCCACCTGTTACCATAGGTGTTTGTCTTTTTGGCCTCCCTGATAAATTTCAGGCTCCTCAGGGACTGGGCCCACAGAAGCCCCTAGACTCTGGATCTCCTAGCACTGGTCCTTAGCAGTGTTAATGGATGGATGGTTGCCGGGGTACATGAATGGTTCAACTTTTCTTCATATATTTATCACAAGTTAGAGGGAGGATTCCATTCACACCTCCCAAAGAGTCCAAACTGCTCACCACTTAGACCTGGAAGCCTTTACGGGAGACAAAAACTCCTGGTGAGGAAGGTAGAGCTTCTAGGGAAAGAAAGAAAAAAAATTAGCAACTTTATATGGGACCTTGTGTTCAGCCATTCTTGCACTGCTATAAAGAAATACCTGAGACTGGGTAATTGATAAGAAAAGAGGTTTGATTGGCTCATGGTTGTGCAGGCTGTATAGGAGGCATGGCACCGGCATCTGCTCAGCTTCTGGGGAGGCCTCAGGGAGTTGTTACTCATGGTGGAAGGTAAAGCGGAAGCAGGCCTGTCTCATGGCGAGATTGGGAACAAGAGACAGCAGGAGGTGCCACACGCTTTTAAACAAGCAGATCTCACTCATGACCAAGGGGATGGTACTAAGCCATTCACAAGGGATCTGCCGCCGTGATCCAATCACCTCCCATCAGGCCCCACCCCCAACACTCAGGACCACATTTCCACATGAGATTTGGGTGGGGACACACATTCAAACTCGATCAGACCTTTGCCTTCGCGATTTCACCAGGTCTTGCTGCGAGCACACCCACAGGGCCATCTGCTGTCTGCCATCAGTGTCTATTTGATGGCAGTGCCTCATTCGGGCTGCCTGGCGCCACGATGTTTCAGTTGTCCCCTTTTGATGGCCATGCCTGAGAAGCCACAGGAGTAGTTGCTCAGTGTCAGGACTCAGGCTTCTGGTCCAAAACCCAGACCCACTTCTTAAGGCAGTGTGACCTTCGGCAGGTCACTTAAGCTCTTTCCTGTCTCTGAAATGACTGTAATAATGAAAAGCTCTTCCTACAGTCATTGCAGGGACTAAGTGAGTTAATGCAGGAAATCCTTACAGCATTGCTGCACATCACAGCGCCCAGTAAACAGTAGCCATTGATGCCTCCATTTCCCAGAGGAGGAAACTGAGGCTCTGAGAGGTTCAGAGATTTGCCCAAGGCTGCAGAGCTAGTACGCGGCAGAGAGAGGACTTAGAGCTAACTCTGTCTTCACCTATTTACTGATCACAGGCTTGGTTAGACCCCAAGGTCTCCCGCACACTCCCCAGTGGACATCTCCACTGATGTGGCTCTGACGCCACCAGCCCCAGCCCTGGTGTGTATCGAGCCAGCGGCGGTGGTGGGGCCAGTGGCAGCAGGGTAGGGCAGTTGCTTTCACTGGAGTCTTTAGCACACAAGGCGATGGGTCCAGCTGGGTCTTCTGATGCTTAGACATGGAGTTGGGCTGAATTGCCTGGACCTAACATCATTTAAGGATGAATACATTGTTCTGGGATGTTCTCATAAGATCACAGAGACACAGAACAGAGACAGAGGTTTTCTCTTTCTATTTTTCTGTTTCTCTACCTTGATGACATCACTTATTGTAGTGTGTTTGAATTGTGTCCCTGCCAAATCCATCTCTACCCAGAGCCTCAGAATCTGCACTTATTTGAAAATAGGGTTTTTTGGCCGGGTGTGGTGGCTCATGCCTGTAATCCCAGGCACTTTGGGAGGCCAAGGTGAGCGGGATCACCTGAGGTCAGGAGTTCAAGACCAACGTGGCCAACATGGTGAAACCCCATCTCTACTAAAAATACAAAAATTAGCCGGGCATGATGGCAGGTGCTACTTGGCAGCTACTTGGGAGGCTGAGGCAAGAGAATCGCTTGAACCCGGGAAGCGAAGGTTGCAGTGAGCCAAGGTCATGCCATTGCACTCCAGCCTGGGCGGCAGAGTAAGACTTCATCTAAAAAAAAAAAAAAAAGAAAATGGGGTTTTTGTAGATGTCGTGAGTGAAGATGAGGTCTTCCTGGAGTAGGGTGGGCCCTAAATCAAATGACTGGTGTCTCCATAAGCAGAGGAGAGGACACGCAGAGGGACACCAGGGAAGAGGGTGGCGAGACAGTGGAAGCAGAGGCTGCAGCGAGGCATGGACATCTACAAGCCGAGGCACAGCTGGGATGGCCGGCCACCGGGAGCTGAAGGGACAGGGAAGGAGCCCCCGGAGGAAGTGCTGCTGGCCCACACCTTGATCTCGGACTTCCAGCCTCCAGAGCTGGGAGAGAAGAGATTCCGTTGTGCAAACACCTGGTCTATGGTGCTTCGTCCTCGCAGATGCGGCAAGCGGGTCCAGCCAAGAATAAATGCGAGGTGGGCAGCAGCGGAATCACTTCTCACTGGGGTGGGATGAGGCCAGAGGGAAACGAGGAGGTGGGCTCAGAAGCCCAGTTCCCCAGTGGGGTTTTCTTTTTCCCTTCCCGGGGGGTGGCTCCTGCGTGGCTCCTTTTGCTGCCGTCTGCCCATCCTGACTTGATCTTATTTGCCCTGGCGGAGCTGCCTTCCCCCTCGTGTCACCTCTGCCCTTTCCGGGAGGGGCCCTTGTTCTCCGCCCCCAGCAACACTCCCATCCCGTGAGCCTCAGGCTTTGCTGCCGGTCTCTGCTGTCCCAAATGCGCGGCTCACTCCTGTCCTGTGTGGGCTGTCACCTGGCGGGGGAGTGGGTGGATACAGAGGTGGTTAGGCTTCAGAACGGTTTCCCTCTCCTCTGTGACTGGCAGCTCTGTCATTCATCAAACCCTGAGATGCCAGACAGTTTCCTATCTCTCAAACAAAGGTTAAGCAAATCAAGTTTTCACAGAGTAAAGCTGATCCATTGACAGGACAAATTGCTTAAGGAGAATTCATCTCACTGTCGGCAAAATCCATCAATCTAGGGTTAGTCATTGAGTATCTCCTGCCAGAGCAAGGGACCAAAAAATGAAGGGATGAGGGCGAGCAGGAAATACTCAGGCCCTGCCCGCAGTCAAGGACAGGTCCTGAGCAGGGGCTGTAATGGAACAAGAGTGTTTCCTGTTCCTCTCCCTAACCCAGGCCCTCACTCCACGTACCTAATGCCGGGTCGAGCACTGAATAAAGCACCAAGAGATACTGTGCATGGCACACCCCTGTGGGCAGCCTCCCTGCTCTCCTCGGTCAAGCAGGGCCCCCTTGTGTATCCCCATCTACCCCACTGCAGCCCCACACAGGTTCTCCCCAGCCTGTGGCCCAGCCCCTGCCCCTGCCATGCAGTTGCCCCCCACAGCCCCCCATGGAGGCCTCTGCCCAGCTCTCAGCCCTGGGGTGAGCTCACCTCCCAAGCCTAGCCAGAGGGAGCGCAGCCCTCCTCACACCCTTATCTCACCTCCCCACCTCTAGACTGTGCAGGAGCTTTCTGCTGTGTGAACCCCCAGGCCATGGTGCCTGGTCCCTGCAGACACAGCGAGGGAACCACCCAGAGGTGCATGTGGAGTGGGTGGATGGCAGCCAGGAGGCTCTTCTCACCCAGGGGATGAGGGCAGAGGAAAACCAAGAGGGAAACCAGGCCACAAGGGGCTCACCATGCCTCTGCCCCTCCTGTCCATGGCGATGACCACGGTGGACACCAGCAGGCCCCAGGCGAGGCGGCGGGAGGCAGCAGGCAGGATGGGCCATCCAGGGAGGGAGCTGGGAGGCCGAGTGGGCAGTGATGGGCTTCAGTCTCCCTGAGGGGCTGTCCTCCCACTGAGGAGTCCTCAGCCTCATTAAATAACCAGGGTTTGTCTCTGTGGCGTGGGTGGCAGGGACAAAAATCAGTGCCCAGGAATCACGGCTTCCTCCCTCCCTCACTGCCCAAGCGGGAGATCAGGCTCCTTCCCCACCTCACAGCAGCCAGAGGTGGGGGCCTGGGAGCTGGGAGAGGAGAGATTCATATCACCCAAGGGGCTCTGTGGGAGGAGGTAAAGGTGCCTTGGGGGGAGGAAGGGTGACGAGGATCAAGGATGATGCTGGGCTTGGGGAGGAGCATGGGGAAGAAGAGTGTCCTCCCAGGGCTGTGGGAAGGCAGGGGAGAAAGAGCACATGAGAGGCGGCACCACCCTGGTGTTCCCTGGAGAGACCCTCACAGAGGCGCTGGTCTGTTGGTTGCTATGAAGAGGGTCCCCTTTGATTGACATGCGGAGGATGCTGCATGAACTTGGAGCCGAGGCAGTGGGGTTTTCACAGCTTGGAAAAGCCCAGACTTGGTATTTGTTATGGGTTGAGTTGTGTCCCGTGAAAACCAGGGTTCTGGAGCCCGAAACCCTGGTACCTGTGAATGAGAGCTTATTTGGAAATTGGGTCTTGCAAACATGATGAAGTCATGGGGATCATGAGGGTGGGCCCTAGTCCAGCATGATGTCCTTATGGGGAGGCGAGAACCCTGTGTGAAGACTCCCACGGGACAAGGCCTGAGATGGAGGCAGAGATAGACACGGCACATCTAAAGCCAAGGAACCCTGAGCCTCACGGCAGCCCCGGGAGCTGGGGAGGGGCTGTGGAGGACTCTCCAAGTCTCAGGGAGGCGGCCCTGCTGACATCCTGACTTCAGACTTTCCAGCCTCCAGAACCGGGGGATGATAATCCCTGTTGTTTTAAGGCCCCCCAGTTCGTTGTTACAGCAGCCCCAGGAAGCTAATTCAGCACTCTAAGTTGCATTGCAAGCAGAGTCCTTCAGGAGAATGCGAGGAACTGCGTGGTCCAGCTTGGGCTGAGGGCAGTGAGCAGAACCTTGCCAGGAAAGGAGACCATGGCTCACCAGGCCAGGCAGCCCTCTCTCCTCTCTGGCCCCAACGGGCACAGCAAACTGAGGCTCCAGACAGGAGGCTGAGCACAGGCTGTCTCTGCCCTGTGCCCACACCTGCTTGTAAGCTGAGGGCATTTTATTGGCACAGACTTCAAAAGCATTAAAAAACATCCCACATGGTAATGTTATGTACAAGCAAGGTAATTCTACATGTCTGGAGAATGGATGTAGCATAAATTGGGTCTTTTGGCCAAAATGAGAAATAACAGATGCAAAGATATTGCTATTTAACAAATGCACAGTTTTGCTCCACTTTTGGTTAAGAGTCTTGTTTGCTTTTGATGAAGAGTCAAGGACTGAAATAATGTAAAAAAGTTAAGAATATTTATTTAAACAGGAATTTTCATCTAAGGTCCAAGCACAAATAGCCCCGGCAACACCACGTTCCAGCACCGAGCACAGTACGATAACTGTGCTCAAGGTTACCTTCCATTTCAAGTTGTAAGCATTTTTCCAGAAATATCTATGACTGGAGTTAGAACCATGACGGCTCAGTCATGTTGTTAGTCTCATGATGAAGAACATGAAATAGTTTGGAGAAAAAGACAGATACATTTAATGGTTCCAAATTACAGATCCTCCACGGTGGATCAAAAGCTTACTGGGACATTTTTCTTTAAGGGCAAGGGAATTCAAGATACTGGTGGCGCCATTTCAACAAATCATTGCCGTAAATGTGGTTTGCGGGAGGCCACCAGGCTGGTGGACATGGGTTGTTCCACCAGGCTAGAACACAATTGCTTTTGTGTGTTGTGTGTATGTGTGTGTCTTATGTATGTTTCTGTGCCGCGGTGTGTGTGTGTGTGTGTGTGTGTGTGCACAATCTCAATGCAGGTAGGTTATCCAGGCACACGGGACACCTGGTAGAGCACCTTTAGGAAGATGAGCCAAGAATTATTTCCATAAACCATGTCAGAATCGTCACTGAACACTTGCCCTTCCTCCTTATGAAAATGTTTAATTTACTCATTGTTAGACAAAAAGGCAGACGCTTAAGATTTTTCATCATTGTAAAAGAAGTGTTATCTATGGCAAATGAGTCAGTAAACACATCCTAATAGCAATATGCTGCAAAATGTGTCAATTTGAGGCCAAACATGTTCCTTTATTAGAATTGATGTTCTCCATCCTGAAGCTCCTATTACAGCCTCATTTGGGTGGAAGGAGGAATTTCAGGGAGCAATGCAGTTCAGCAGAAATTGTTGACACGTTATCTCCCTTCACCAAAGGTCAACATTTGATGGAAAGTTACACATAATAAAATAATTCCCAAATTTGGTTTCCAGAGCAGGGTTCTTCACCTGGCTGCCCCTTGGTCTCACCGGGGGAATCACGACAACGTTCTGATATTCAAGCTGCACCCTACACCACCTCTGTCAGAATCACGGGCTGTGGAGACCAGTGTATTTTTTTAAGCTTCCAGATGTTTCCAATGTGCAGCCAAACCTGAGACCCAGGGCTCTACTTTGCTATGTGAACTGTGGTTCTTGGATGAGTGTTATCAGTGCCACCTGGGAGCTTGTTAGCACCGCAGACTGTCAGGGGCGCTCCAAACCTGCTGAATTCCAGCCTGCATTTTAACAGGATTCCTCGGGACTGCTGTGCACGTTAAAGGTTGAGAAGCTTAGGCATGGAGGCATTGCTCTGCCCCTGTGTGGCACTTGGGAGGCCAAATGTGTGGAATCAATTCCCTATGGCCAGGACAGTCTCAAATAGAGGGGAAGAAAGCCTCTGTATCGTGGGCCCTGGTCGCTGACAACTCTCTTGCTAATTTGTGGGTCCTTAGGCTGAGCACCCACCAACTTCTGGGGAAACATGTTTTCTTGGGCCTCACAGGCATGGAGAGCTTTAGGGGAACCCTACACACATATGTATTATTTCTTAAAACTGGTCTACCTGAGAACACCTCTCTTCTGCCACACTTCCTCTCCTTTCACTTTTGAGCCCCTGCCACCATTCATAAGGCAGCCACCACTCACACCCATCCCACTTCTCCCTATGGTGCTTTGCTTTGGAGTTTGAAATACCTGCTATATTTGCAAAAAGCAACACAGGGAGGATAACCCAAAATGAATGAAATGATTTTCGTGTAAAGGTGGATGGGAATGGGGTGAAAGGGATGGGGAATATATCTTGTTTGTAGTTTTGAATTTTGGAATTGCGGTTAATGATTCATATGCTTATGAAAATAAAATGAAATAATTAAAGATAGGGAGAAATACTCTAAATTGAATACAGCCAGAAACAAATAAAACTTACTGTATTTCAGGTGAATAACATAACCACAGTGATGGAAAACAACTAATCTAAGCAACTTCTGAACACAGTAGTTTACTATATATCTTCAGTTTGATGGGAAAAAAAAAACTGTAAGCAAACCTTGAAATCTCAGCAGGTTTATGTTTTGCCGTACAGTGTAGTGATTCTGAAACTCTTGGCTATGTTGTAGAATTGAGAAAAATGAGCAACCATATTGATGGTATTAGAAGCCAGCATTCTCAGTGTTGAAGAGAGAGAACTACAGGATGGGAAAAGGCAAGGAAGGATCCATGGGTATCATTAAGAACTTTTGGAATAAGAGTCAGAAGTGGCATTTCCCAATGGAAGGGCCTAGAAACACTGGCAGCCCGGCAATGAGCACATTTTGCATGCAGATCTTGATTTCTAAACACCATTCTATAGTGAAAGGAACTGTGGCATTTTGGAGAAATGGCTGATTCTAGAGAAAAGACGGGCCAAGTACAAGATAAGCCTGGAATGTCTTGGTCTATAAAGTAGGAAATGCTCAAAAAATGAAAGGGATGTGTCAGAATGGCATAGAAGTCAGCTTGGAGACGTTTTCTACTGGCCAAAGCTGGGGCAATTAAGCACATAAAAATGAATGCTAACAGTAATAGAGTATAAACCATTAAACAAAATAAGAATTAATGATCCACCTTAAAAAGAGAGGAAAGAAGGAAGGAAGGGAGGGAGGGAGAGAAGAAGGAAGGTAAAGGAGGAGGGAAAGAGGGAACATTACTTAAAGTAGAATGCCAATTAATAAATTTGGAAGGACTGACGGAGTTAGAAAATCAACATTTTGCAAACACCACGTTAATATTTAACTTGAGCAAGAATCATCAATACATACTAAAACTATTCTGCAAAGAGTAATGAGAAGCAACATATTTACATGGTGTTAACTTAAAATCACACACTTTATAAATTTAGAAAGGAGAGCCGTATTTCTTAAGAAGGGAATTACAACCTGCAAGCAGGAAGTGCAGTCTCAGGCTAAAAGAATGAAAGCAAGCACTTCTAGGGAGGGAGGGGTGGGGTAGGCTGGCCGAGTATACATATTCAACAAGATATAGAGGGGGTTATGAATATTCATGAAGGGGAGTTCTGTGCATGTATGATAAGCAAACATATATGTTCCATGTATGACATGTTCACCTGTATGTCAAAATTTGAGGCAGGGACTTAACGGCACTGAGTGTGCAGCCTCTGTAAACCAGCCAGAACCAGGCCATGGTCAGTGATCTCTGATCAGGAGAAAGTTACTGAAATCAGTCTCTTGTCCGATCAAAGCTGTAGCTATAGCTGGTGGAGTTGGGAGTCAGTCAGTCAGAGTCTGGTGGTGGGTGGGCTGCAGCTGCTTCAGCATTGCTTAACTCAAGGCCAGTGCTTGATTATCTGCTAGAGAAAAAGGAATTAAAAAAAATACCTTGTGGCGAGTAGAACATAGACTTACTCTTTAAGTGTAGGGGTGGGTGACTTAACCTTTGCCAGGCATGGCCTGAGGTCTAGTTTATAATTCGATATCTTATTGTTACAAAGAGTTCATTCAATCAGTTTTACTATCTCTATTTTAACGTTAATGCTGGTCAGTTGTGTCTGAACTGAAAAAAGAAGGGGGTGTAATGAGGCGTCTCCAATCTCCCACCTGATCATGGCTGGGAACTCAGTTTTTGAGGTTTCTCTGGGGTTCCATTGGCCAAAAAGGGGTCCGTTCAGTCAGTTGGGGGGTTTAGGATGTTATTTGTAGTTTACTGAAGGGGGCCTGCCCCTCCACACCTGTGGGTATTTCTCGCAAGGTGGAGACGAGGGACCGAAAAAAGAAATAAGACACAGAGACAAAGTACAGAGGAAGAAAAGTGGGGACTGGCGCTCAGCAAGTGAGGACCTGCACCAGCACTGGTCTCTGAGTTCCTCAGTATTTATTGATCACTATCTCTACTATCTTGATGAGGGGATGTGGCAGGACTGTAGGGTAATGGTGGGGAGAGGGTCAGCAGGACAACATGTGAGCAAAGGAGTCTGTGTCATAAATAAGTTTAAGGAACGGTGCTGTGCCTGGATGTGCACATAGGCCAGATTTATGTTTGACTTTACACAAACATTTCAGTGCAGTAAAGAGCAGTATTGCTGCCAGCATGTCTCACCTCCAGCCACAAGGCAGTTTTCTCCTATCTCAGTAAATAGAATGTATGATCGGGTTTTACACCAAGACATTCCATTCCCAGGGATGAGCAGGAGACAGATGCCTTCCTCTTATCTCAACTGCAAAGAGGCCTTCCTCTTTCACTAATCCTTCTCAGCACAGACCCTTTATGGGTGTCGGGCTGTGGGATGGTAAGATCTTTCCCTTCCCACAAGGCCATATCTCAGGCTGTCTCAGTTGGGGGAAAACTTGGACAATACCCAGGCTTTCTTGGGCACAGGTCCCTGCGACCTTCCACAGTACACTGTGTCCCTGGGTAGTCAAGAAAGGAGAATGGCGATGACTTTTACCAAGCATACTGCCTACAAACACATGTTTACCAAGGCACATCCTGCACAGCCCTAAATCCATTAAACCTGAGTCAATACAGCACCTGTTTCTGCGAGCACAGAGTTGGGGCTAGGGTCACAGATTAACAGCATCTCAAGGCAGAAGAATTTCTCTTAGTACAGATCAAAATGTAGTTTCTTATGCCTTCCTTTTTCTACGTAGACTCAGTAACAGTCTGATCTCTTTTTCTTTCCCCCACAGTTTGCAATAGTTTCAAAGTAACCCCTTCCACAGACACAAATTGTTCATTAGTTATAAATAGAACAACAGTAACTTTACAGTGGAAAAAGCTGGCGGACATCATTTTAGCCACATAATCAAAGTTAACGTCAACAGTAAGGAGAAAATCAACACCACGTGTCTTCTGACAACAACGCGCTGATGGGAGCCCAACATCATTTACACCATAAATCAAATGTTTATCCGTTGGCGATTCCAGCCAAAAATAGATAACCTGATCCAATCATGAGGGAACTTCAGACAAACCCAAACTGAAGGACATTCTACAGAATAACTGGTCTGTACTCATAACAAAGAATCAATGTCATGAGGGACCATGAAAGGCTGAGGATGTCCCACAGGTTGAAAGTGACGAAAACAAACAAAAAACAACCAGCAACCAACTACGATGCACAACCTTGGATTGGAGCCTTCTCAAAATTGCTGAAAATAACAGTGGAACAAGTGGTGAAATTTGAATATGGGCTATATGTTAGGTATTCATTTTATGTCAATGTTAAATTTTCCGACATTGATATTTGTACCAGGAAATGTAAAAGAAGGCCCAAATTTAGCGATAAATTATGCCTGCCACTCACTCTCTCCAATGATTCAGAAGATAGTACGGATGATGAACAGATGACAGAGACATGGTAGGTAGATCAATAGATGGATGGATAGATAGAAAATATGAAATAAGAAACTCCTGGACACGAACCGTACAGACCAAGTTCATCACTCCTGTGAGGGAGAACCTTGAATTCCCATAAGAAAAACTGAATGTGCAGGAAGCGTATCTCATTCAGTTCACAAACCATGATGGGTTCTGTGTTCACCCTGGCTAACTATCTACTTCTACCTCTCCTCTCCTCCTCTCCTCTCCTCTCCTCTCCTCTCCTCTCCTCTCCTCTCCTCTCCTCTCCTCTCCTCTCCTCTCCCCTCCTCTCCCCTCCCCTCTCCCCTCCCCTCTCCCCTCCCCTCCCCTCTCCTCCCCTCCCCTTTCCTCTCTTCCCCTCCCTTCCCCACCCCTCCCCTTTCTTTCCCTCCCCGCCCCTCCCCTTTCCTCCCCTCCCCTCCCCTATCTTGAAATTGGAATTCAGAAGTAAAAAGGTTGCCACAGAAATATATAATAGTAATGTGTTTATTTGAATTAGAAAAACAAGGTTAGAAAAACACCAATTAGTGTCTGGGTTTTGGCATCCTGACTTGACAGTGGGGGCTGGCCTTGCCAATTAGGTCATATGGCAGATATTTTGCATGAACTAAGTGAGTCAAGTCTGAATTCCAAGATTTTGACAAAAATACAATTTAAAGCATGTATAGAATGCATGATAACCAAAAAAAAAATTCATTGGATTATGTAAATATATATATAACTTAAAATTGTGTACAGAGAACTATTTTTCAAAATTATTTCAAAGATAATGAGCAAAATGGCTGGCACACAGGTTGAAGAAGGATAAGGGAATGAATATCATTTCTTCTTTACTTTTTACTTTTGGTATAATTTCAGACTTAGAGAATAATTGCAGCTGTGTATTTCTTCCCCTACTCTTCACCCAGACTCCACCCAAGTTGAGATGGTGCCATATTCTATCTCTTCCACCCTCTCTTTCCAGCACATGATTTTGTCCATCTTCTTGAATATAGTCATCTCAGTGGGTGTGACATTGTCTCTCATGGGGGTTTTGATTTGCACTTCCCTCATGGCTAATGATGTAGCTCATCTTTCTTGTGTTTGCTGACAATTTGTATATAGTGTGTGTACAAACAAAAAATTTGGATTGAAATCCTTTGCCCAATTTTTAATTCTGCTATTTATCATTTTATTGTTGAGTTGTAGGAATTCATTATAAATTCTGCACACTAGACCATTGTCAGACATCTGTTTTTTGAATATTTTCTCCCCTTCTGTGGGTTATGTTTTCACTTTCCTGCCAATATACTTTGAAGCACAAGAATTTTTAATTTTGATGAAGTCCAACATGTCTATTTTTTAGTTGCTGTCGGTTATGAGTGCTTGTGGTGTCACAATGAAGAAACCATTGGCTAACTCAAGATTGCAAAGATTTACACCTATGTCTTTTTTCTAAGAATTTACAGATTAGCCCTTTAATCTATTTTGAGTTAATTTCATGTGGGGTGAGTAGGGGTCATGTTCTTTATTTTGCATATAAATATCCAGTTGTCTCAGCACCATTTGTTGAAAGGACGATTATTTCCTCCATTGAATTATCTTGAAATCCTGGTCAAAAATCAATTCCCCATAAGTGTATTGGTTTATTTCTGGACTCTCCGTCCGTTTCCATTGATCTGTATTTCAATCCCTAGGCCAGCACAACACAGTCTTGGAAAAGGTAGCTTTGTGGTAAATTTTAAAATCAGAAAGTGTGTGTTCAACTGTTCTTCTAGTTCAAATAATTGTGACTATTCTGGGTTCCTTGCATTTCCACATGAATTTTAGGTTCAGCTTATCAATTTCTGCAATAAAAGGCAGTTGGGTTCTGGTAGAGAATGTGCTGCACCTGTAGATTAACTTGGGTGAGATTGCCTGTTCTCAGTACGAAGCTGTCCACTCCGTGTGTTTGGGATGTCCTTCCATTTATATTTAGGCCTTTAATTTCTTTCAATGATGCTTTACAGTTTTCAGTGTAGGAGTCTTGCACCTCTGTGGTTAAATTTATTCCTAAACAATTTATGCTTTTTGATAATATTGTGAATGGAATTGGTTTCTTAATTTCATTTTCTAGTGTATAAAATAAAATTGATTTTTTTCTTGATCTTGTATTCTGCAATCTCTCCAAACTTGTTTATTACTTCTCATAAGATATTTGAAGATTCGTTAGGATTTTTATATACAAAATCTTGTCATCTGCATACAGAGATAGCTTTTCTCTTTCCTTCCAATTTCATCACTGCTTATTTCTTTTTCTTGCCTAATTGCCTTAGCTAGAAACTTCAGCAAATTGCTGATTAGAAGTGGCAAAAGTGAACATCCTTTTCTTGTTCCTGATCTTAGGGGAAAACTTTTCAGTCTTTCACCACTAAGTACAATGTTAGCTGTGGGTTTTGTTTTTTTTTTTTTTGTTTTTTGTTTTTTTTGCTGATCCCTTTCAGGTTGAAGAATTTCCCTTCTGAATCAGTTTTCTAGGGTTGTCATAACAACGTGTCACTAAATGGGTAACTTAAAACAACTGATACTCATTCTCTCATAGTTCTGGAGGCTCGAAGTTCACAATCAAGGTGTCTGCAGGGCCATCTTCCCTCTGCAGCTTCTAGGGGAGGATCCTTCCTGTCTCTTCCAGCTTCTGGTAGCCCCAGGCACCCCTTGGCTTGTGGCAGCATCCCCACAGTCTCTGCCTCTGTCTTCTTGTGACCATCTTCCCTGTGTGTCTCTGTGTTCACATGGCATTCTCCTCTTTTTACAAGGACATCAGTCCTATCGGGCTAGGGGCCCACCCTATACTAGTATGACTCCATCTTAACTAATTATGTCTGCAATGACCCTACTTCAAGTTAGGTCACATTCTGAAGTATTCAGAGTTAGGACTCCAGCATGTCTTTTTGGGAGACACAATTCTACCTATAACACGTCACCCTCTGCCTCCCCCATATTCATCTCTTTCCCACAAGCAAAATACATTCCCCATCTCAACATTGACTAAAGTTTTAACCATTCCCACAGCAACTCTAAGGCCAAAATCTCGTCTAAGCAGCACAACTCAAAGTCTCAAGTCCCATTATCTAAATCACATAATCAGAGACTTGGGGCATGGTTTATCCTGGGGCAAAATTCCTCTCCACCTGTGAATCTGTGAAACCACATAAGCTATCTGCTTCCAAATGACAATAGCATGACTGGCATATGATTCACAGTCCCATTCCAAAAGGGAGAAACTCGAAGGAAAAGAAGGATCATAGGTCCCAAGCAAGTCCAAAATCTAGCAGGAAAATTGTATTTGATTTCAATAATTCTCTGTGGCTCGATGCTCTGTCTGAGCTTTGCAAAGCACCTTTGGACATCTAATTCGTCAGCTTCTCCTCTTACACTTGTTGGTGAGCTTACTGTCTGCCCAGCTGGCTGACAGCTGCAAAGTTAAACAATTATCTCTAATTCTTTCAGCAAACTCTGAAACTGGTCAAATAAAGACCACGCTGCAAGTGAGGACTTCCAGGCAGCCACTCAACAGGTCAGATAATGACAATTTTGTGGAAATGAGGCTTTGGATGAGCACCGATCCCATCCTGTCCCTTTGCTGATGGCCAGGCTGATGGGGGCCTCTGGGTTCCAATGCTGCAGCAGAACTGGGGAGTGGGAGATGGGAACAGGAAATGCTAGAACACACCAAGATCACTGCTCTTCCTGAAACTCAGCAGTTCTTCTTGATACCCCCCTCAATTGCTGCAATCATTTAGTTAACTTCCAGAGTTCTGAAAAAGTTGATTCTAACCATTTTTGCCAGTTATTTATTTTTATGAAAGAGAATTTTCGGATGTTCTTACTCCACCATGTTCGCTGATGTCATCCCTCACCTTTATTCATTTTAAAAGTTATTCATTTTAAAAGTTATTTAAAAGTTATGGTAAAAAATACAAAACATGAAATTTACCATTTGAACTATTTTTCAGTGTAAAGTTCTGTGGCATTAAGGACATTACGTTGTTGTGCAACCTTCACCACCATCCTTCTCCAGAACTGTTTCATCTTCCCCAACTGAAATCTGTCCC
Organism: Homo sapiens; assembly: GCF_000001405.40. Taxonomy (NCBI): domain Eukaryota; kingdom Metazoa; phylum Chordata; class Mammalia; order Primates; family Hominidae; genus Homo; species Homo sapiens. Next base: position 110,842,962 of record NC_000013.11, read on the forward strand.
CATTAGACTCTCACCCTCAAACTCCTCCCCAGCCGTTGTGACCTATACTACTTTATGTCTCCACATCCCAGTGGTCAGCTCTGGAGATTATCTGAAAGGTGCTGAGAGAGCTAATGTGGACCATATGGGACCCAGAACTTTTCACAAAGGGCCTGTGGGACACAGATGTCCCTGTTGGCTTCTCTTGGATGCACCTTGGTGGACACATCCAACAGGCATGGTAGGGTGGGGTGGGAGCTGGGCCCAGTGTCATGAGCAAGGTGCATGTGGGCCTGCCAGTTCCACTGTCCAGGCTCCACATCAGGGAAGCCGTGAGGGCTCACGGCTTCCTCTACTAGGTGATTAGTAAATATATTTCCCAGACACCGTTTATGCCTTTACTGAAGAAACAGTATCTCTTCCACAAGCAGCATTCCATCCTCTCCTGAGGAAAGAGTGGGCCCCAATGTGTCGCACTGGGCTCTTTGCTGATGTGTCTGGAGACCTGGCCACATCACAGAAGAGTGACATCAGCTTTGTTCTGCTATCACATTTTCATGGATTATAACACATATCCAGTAAAATGCACAAATCACTAGTGTATGGCTTGAAGAATGACTGCAAAGGGAACAAACTTGGAAAACCGTTATCCTGGTCCAGAAATCAACATCAGCCCAGAAGCACTCTGTGCTCTCCCAGCACTAACCAACCTACCTCTCCGAGGGGCGACTGTTATCTCGACTTCTAACACTACAGTTTAGTTTTGCCTGGTGATATGGTTTGGTTGTGTCCCCACCCAAATCTCACCTTGAATTGTAGTTCCCATAATTCCCACATGTTGTGGGAGGGACCCAGTGAGAGGTAATTGAATCATGGGGGCGGTTACCCCCCATGCTGCTGTTCCCATTAGAGTGAGTGAGTTCTTATGAGATCTAACGGTTTTATAAGGGGCTTTTCCCCCTTTTACTTAGCACTTCTCCTTCCTATTGCCATGTGAAGGACGTGTTTGCTTCGCTTTCTACCATGATTGTAAGTTTCCTGAGGCCTCCTCCCCAGCCATGCTGAACTGTGAGTCGATTAAACCTCTTTCCTTTACAAATTGCCCAGCCTCGGGCAGTCCTTTATTGTGGCAGGAGAACAGACTAATACACCTGGTTTTGAACTTTATATGAATAGATTTTTTGTATCTGCCTTTTTTCAGTTAGTATGTCAGTGCAGTTCCCCTATATTCTCGCATGTTGCTATAGCTCATGTGTTTTCATTGCTGTATAGTCTTCCATTGTACCACTATACCACAGTTATTTACTCATTCTATTAGTGATGGAGACTCATATTGTTTTCAGTGTTTCCATATTATGAATAATGCTGCTGTGAACATATAACTCACAAAGAGTTCATATCTAGAATAGCTAAAGAACTCCCGTAAATCAACAAAAACAGGACAGAAAACTCAATAGAAAAGTAGGCATGAGACTTGAGCACTCACTTACCAATAATGACATCCAAATGGCCGATAAATCTGTGAGAAAACAAGCCTTCACTTCAGTAGTAGTCGGGGAAATGAGTAGCCCGAGAGGCATCCTCAAAGCCACCGGAAGGACGGAAATGGAAAAGATGGGCAAGTATGTGGGGTGGAAGGAATTCTCATACCTGCTGATGATACTATGTTGGTCCTTGTCACACTTCATGACATGCATTCTAAGGTTGAACTGGTAGATGCTCTACGACACAGCAATGGCCCTCAGAAGATTATACCTGGTAGACATGTGTGCATATGGCTCCAGGGCATAGAGAAGGTTTCCATCTGCTCTCAGGAGCTGCTCTATTTCCTAGGAGATGGTATTGGTTCTGATTAAATTTTTTATTGAGTTTCCCTTCACAGATAAAGAAGGAACATTGATGGTTTAAGGCAATGCCCCTCAACCCATCACAGATCAACTAAATCAAACCTGTAGGGGTGGAGCCTTTTTTGGTGGAGGGTGGGGGTTGCTGTGATCTTAATGGTCCACCAGGGTTGAGAACCTCTTGTTGCTTGAAGGAACAAATCCAAGGTGACAGAACAAGTGATTTGTATTGAGGGAACTCCAGGAGAAAAAGGAGGTGAGAAGTAAAAATGTAAATATATAGTATAGACTTTTAAGGACATAAGAGGGCTCAGAGAATTTCTAGAATTTAATACACAGATAGAAGAAGTAAACATTAAAATGGCCACTTTCAAAAGCAAATTGAGTGATCTAGAAAATTAAATGGAGGAATCATCTCACAATACAGATAAAAAATATAGGTGAGTGGGAATTATAAGTAAGACTAGAACAAGAGACCTAGTGCCTGAGTAACAGGGATTCTAGAAGGATGGAACAGAACAGATGCAGGAGAGAAAGAGGCATGGAAATGGAGAGAAAAAATCTTCCTGAAACAGAACAAAGGTGAATTTCAGAACAATCTTACTGATTGGTAGGAAGCCCCTAAAAAGTCACTCGTCAAGACACATCCTGATGAATGTTTGAACTCCAGGAGAAAACATCACAGGTTCCCAGATAAATTTACGTTATTCACAGCGGAGCGAGAATCAGGTTGGCACTGACTTTCTTATCTGCAGAAGGCAGTGGATAATACTGACAGATTTTTTAGATGAAAAGCACTGTAATCCTAGAATCAATCCAGTATTATTTATATATGAGAGACAAAGAAAGGCATTTCTGAACACTCAAAGAAATTATTCAATAAAGTACTTCAGGAAAATCAAAGACCGAGGATGATGCAATGTGTAGGAGAGAGTGGGGAATAACAAATCCAGTTAAATATGAGCCTGAACCTAATGGATATTTACTGTGTGATCATGAACTACAACAGAGGTTAACAAAGGATTCCTAAAATAGAAGAATTGTACGATAAGAAAAATAATAAGGAAAGTGAAATTAAAATTCAAAATTATTTCAAACAAACCTGGGAGTTTGGTGCTGAAGGAACGACAAGTCAAAGCTGGCTACGGAGCTTATCTCCAGTGGAAGGCAGGAGGCAGAAGTATTGTTTATTTTGGTGCATTGACATTGAGGTAGAGGTATGATATGACTCTCAGAAAGGTAATCACTCTTGGTCCAGAGACATTATATTAATAAAACATCAACTACCAATATCAAAACCTAAATGAAAATTCTTTTGAATAATTTGATAAATATCAGGAAAGAGAAAAAAAGACTAAAATTGAAGTATATAATGAGTTGGTAACAGTACATCGGAAGTGAGCAAATTCCTTTATAAGAAGACAAAAACTCAGATCATTGAAAGCAAAACACTGAGCTATATTATTTTTATGAGGCAGCCTAAAAATATTATAGAGCTAAAAAGAGGAACATGCACGTGTGAAATAGCAGAACAGCAGGCAAAGTGGAATTTAAGGCCAAAGGGAAAGTTCCCAGGAAGCAGACAGCATCCTCGAATTCGGATGGTCTGAGGAGGGTTTTCAAGGGTGGGGCAGTGTTGAGGCTCCCGCAGGTGACATTCTGTAGTGGCAATTGTGGGACTGTCTTCTGCCAAGGCTTGACAGGGTGGGGAAGGGAGTGGCTACCAGGACCAGAGGGAAGAGTCGGTGGGAAGGACCCTGAAGCTGTTGGGGAAACATTGGCACCAACCTGAGCTGAGCCCTTGGGAAAGGAGCGGCCTCTCTGCAATCTGTGGGCCAAGGCGCAAAGCCCCCCAGGGTGCAGGTCAGCCTATTCAGACAGACAGCAGGGGCAGGGATCCGGAGGGACCAATGTGACATCCACAGGCATCACTAGGGAAGGGATGTTTTGCCAAGTTAAAAAGAATAATCAACTAAAAAGGTAAACCACCAAGAACCTTTATGCACCAAACCACATACACAAGGCAAAAACACCAAAAATGCAAAGAGAACGTGTTAAAATACAATCCCAGTGGGAAGCTTTAATATCCCTCCCTCAGAATTTGACTAATCAGGAAAGAAATGCACAAACACTCAGGGTTTAAATAGGATGGTATGTGTGTGTGTGTGTGTGTGTGTGTGCACATGCACGCATGTGGGGAGGGGTACTTTCTTTTCTTATAATAGACATTTTCCAAAATTTCAAGTTCTTAATATCAAAGACGTTTTTCATAAAAATTAACAGTTCTTCTTAAATTAATATAGAGATATGATGCAGGTTTTTTTTGAGGCAGGGTCTTGCTCTGTTGCCCAGGCTGGAGTGCAGTGGCACAATCACAGCTCACTGCAGCCTTGACCTCCCAGGCTCAAGCCATCCTCCAGCCTCAGCCTCCCAAGTAGCTAGGACTACAGGTACACATCACAATGCCTGGCTACTTTTTTAAAAATCATTTGTAGAGATGGGGATCTCCCTACGTTGGTCTCGAACTCCTGGACTCAAGCGATCCTCCTGCTTCAGCCTCCCAAAGTGCTGGGATCAGTTCTAGTCAGAAGCTCCAAGGAGAGCTTTTGGGTAACATGATCACTCAGTTCCAATGTTCAGCAGGAAAAATAAATGTATAAAATAAATAAATAAGCGTTGTAGACAAAAAAAGAGTAGGAAGCTGGCACAAACATAGTCAAATGCCCAGAGGAACAAAGCAGAACCCAGTGGCCTGCCCAAGCACACACAGAATTCAGTACATGGTTAAAGGCGGTGTTTCAAGAGTGTGAAGAAGTCATTCAATAAATGTTTCTGGGGCAGTGCCTATACATGTAGAAGAAAATAAAAGTGAATGCTTCCTTCATACCACATGCAAAAATAAATTCTAAATGGATAAAGAACTTGATATGGCCAGGTGCTGTGGCTCATGCCTGTAATCCCAGCCTTTTGGGAGGCTGAGGCGGGTGGATCACGAGGTCAGGAGTTCGAGACCAGCCTGGCCAATATGGTGAAACCCCCATCTCTACTAAATACACAAAAATGAGTTGGGTGTGGTGGCGCACGCCTGTAATCCCAGCTACTCAGGAGGCTGAGACGGGAGAATCACTTGAAACCAGAAGGCGGAGGTTGCAGTGAGCCGAGATCATGCCACTGCAATCTAGCTTGGGTGAAAGAGTGAAACTCTGTCTCAAAAAAAAAAAAAAAAAAAAAAACTTGACATAAAACAAAGTCACAAATGAATAAAGAATACGTAGCAGCATATTTTTGAAATTTTGTGGTCAGGAAAGCAATTTTATATAGGAAATTAAATTCAGAAACCATAAAGAAGATGGGGACAGATTTGACTACTTGAAGACAAAAATGTACAGGTTAAGGATACTAGAACAAAGTTAAAAGCAAGGGACAGAAAGATGAGAATACGTGCCACATATAAGCCATGATTGGAGCTGTATCAGTCTACAAAGAACTGCCTGGGACTGGGTGATTTATGAAGCAAAGAGGTTTAATTGACTTACAGTTAAGCATGGCTGAGGAGGCCTCAGGAAACTTGCAATCACGGCAGAAGAGGAAGGGGAGGCAAGGCCCCTTCTTCAGAGGGCGGCAGGAAGGAGAAGTGCGAGCAAAGGGGGAAGACCTCCTTATAAAACCATCAGATCTCGTTAAGAGCTAACTCACTATCACAACAACAGCATGGGGAACCGCCCCCATGATTCAGTCACCTCCACCTGGTCTCTCCCTTGACATGAGGGGATTATGAGGATTACAATTCAAGATGAGATTTGGGTGGGGACACAAAGCCTAACCATATCAGTAGCTTAGGAAAGCAACCAGAGATCAATAAAGACAGTCTGACATAAAGCTAGACAGACCATACAAGCAAGTCACATAAAAATAATTCAGATGGCCAATAAGCATATAAAAATACTGCCAGTGAAGCTTCCCTGTACTGAGGCTGGCTTAAAATTCTGTTCAAGCCCTTGTTTCAGTTCTGTTGAAAACATTTTGCTCCATTAGAAGTATTAAAGTTTAAGACTGATTCTGGAAAGTCTGTATTTGAGGCAGTTACCTGATCTGTTACCTGATCTTTTAATTTTGATCAAGTCTGACAGGTACAAATGACAATTCTTTTTTTTTCTTAATTTGCAAATTTTTATTCATTATGTAGAGTGATCAATCAAGTTGTCTCATTATGTTAAGGGCACTCTCCTGATTTTGGCAGAAACGCATTCTTGTCACATTTCATAAGTTAAGTAAGGTTGAAAAAATGTTTCTATTCTTTAAGCACAGAAATTAAAAGCTGGATGGGGGAGCAGAGCGTGCGACTTACTGTAGGACAGCATGTGTCACATCAGGAAAGCTGCTGGTTGGACATCAATTGCATTTTAATTTCACTTTTAGTGTGTTTCTAATTTCTTTTCCATGAGCTGTCTCTTCCAAGGTTAAATGAGTTGATCCCTTGGCAGTTTCAAAAATAGCCACTAATACTTTAAAAATCACCATTCCAGCCTTAAAAATCCTCACACATTCCATGGGCCAATTTAATTAACATTGGTTTCCAGGATTGAGATCTGAGGCAATTTGAATAAAATGATTAAATTAAGGATGGACCAGATCATGGTGGGCATTTTGGGTAAATCAAAGAAACCGCAGTTTCCCCGAGGCTTTCTGGGCAGCATCCTTGATCATGAAAGTGACACCTCTGCTCATGGTTCTTGTCCTTGACTCTGTCCTCCTGGAACAAAATTACTCTTGGCTCCCATCTGGTCCTGGACTTCCTATGATATACTAATTTTTCTGTCATCTTGTTTCCCCCCATCTCTGCCAGTTTTTAGAGTCTTTTAAAAGAGATTTATTTTATGACTTGGAGATATAGATAGATAGATAGATAGATAGATAGATAGATAGATAGATAGATGACAGGTGAACTTCTGTGTTTGGGGAGGCATGAGGAGCTCTCAGTCTCTTTTTAAGACTTAAAATATTTGCAATATGCACATTACCTGGATCACTTAATTTCCAACAACAAACACCAACCAGGTGCATGGCAGGATATTCATGCCACAGGTCTCTGAGAAAGGAAGAATTTGTTGTCACCTTTTTAGAGAGCCTGTGAGAACAAAAGTAGCCTTAGCTGATCACAGCCTTCTACAATTTCCACCCAGATTGCCTCCCCCACTCCTCTGTTCCCAATCCCTCCTCCTGACACAAACATTTAAAAAAAAATGAGTGTGCCAGAATTTAAATGTCATCTTTCTTCTGGAGATTAAATCCGTTGTGTGTGTCAAAGGGCTTGGAAATATTCCTACGTTATAATGCGATCATTTTACTTCTGGGGTTCTATCTTAAGGAGCTAATACCAAATATGGAAAAAGCCACACGTTCAAAGATATAAATTGTTTCATTGTTCATGCACTAAGATAGGATCATCTGCCCTCCCTTGCCTTTGAGGTAGAACACTTATCCACCCCTCTACAAGGGATCTGGGCCATTCCAAAGAGTATAATACAATGGGATCTTTTGTAAAAGAGAGAAAACAACAGAGACTGTACTAGCAAAACAACACACTGCAGATGACAATAAGATTCACTGCTTTCCTGGCTATCTCATTCCTGTGGGAGTGTGTTCTTCTTCCCCTCCTCTGCCATATACTGGAGAACTTGAAGCCCTCCTTCTTCAAGAAAGAAAACTGTTGGCTGAGAGTCTCTGTCATGAACCAAGTATGAGAAGAGCACAAAAGACCCTGGGACAAGACAAAAAGAAAAGGTTGGGGGGCGGGGAACCACAGGGATTGAAAAGCATGGGAGAAGAGGAAGGTAGACCAGATGCCCCAGTGGGCTGGTGCCTCAAGGGGGAAAGCAGCAAAGGATTTTCTGAGTCCTTTCAACTCTGTACATGCCTATTCGTTCAGTAGAAATATTTTCTTTTGTACTGGACCTCCTTGCTTGGGTTCCCTTGAAAACAGAGACAGAGGCAAGGATGAAAGTGGTTGTGCCTTATTTGGGAGGTGCAGACCTGGGACAGCAAGGGTGAGGGTGCGGGGCTGGAGGCAGGGAGAGGAGGAGACCATGTGGAGTGACGCAGCCCTGCGCACCCTGCAGCTCACACCATGCCTGCATCCACTTGGTGTGAGGGCTGCAAGAAGCCACGCCCCGGAGCACCACAGACCCCGAAAATGGAGGGGGCCAGCTGCTGGCCACCCTCTGATCTCTGTTTCCCATTGCTCAGTGCTTGCCTCTCCTGGCTGCACCACCTGCCTTTCTGTCCCTTGAGACTGCTTGGAACTCAGGTGCGCACTCAGCAGGATGGGAAGAATAAGAAACAGCAACTAGACATTCAGCCATGTGGGGCCGGGAGCAGGACTGGCACCCTGTGCAGTGACCGTGGCTCTGGAGCTGGAGGAGCAGCCGGGAGGCCGGCACTGCAGAGGGAAGCCAAGCAGTGCTGAAGCTGGAGAAGGAAATGAGTACAGTGATAAAAGCAAAAGTGTGAAATTAGCTGTATGTCCAAATGGTAAGCCAACCATCTACCTAGTGGATAAAACATTAATCAGCCATTAACATAATTTAATGAAGATAACACTATAACACAAGAAAATGTTTATAAAATAAATTTTAAAAATTCATCCGTATTCCAGGTTACTGGTATACTGTGATTACAGTTATGTTAAAGCCAAATAAAAGTTGGGAGATTCACTTCTGAAATGACAGATGAGGGTTAACAGATTGTTCCTCCAAAAAGCTACTATAAAATTGGACAAAACTGTGACAAACAACCATTTTAATGCTCTGGAAATCATCAAAAGTCATATAATAAACCTTATAAAAATGAAAATATAGCATATCCAAATTTATGGGACACAGCATGATGAGAGGTAAATTGAAGTCACCAAATGTACACATTAGAAAAGATCTGAAATCATTAATCTAAGCTGCCGCCTCGAGAACCCAGACAAAGAAGAACAAAATAAACTCAAAGCAAAGAGAAAAAAGAAAATATGAAGAAAAGAGAAATCTGAGAAATTGAAAACAGAAGAACAATCAATACAAGCAATGAAAGAAAGAGCTTGTTCTTTGAAAAGATCAATGCAACTGACAAACTTCTAGCAAGACTGACACAGAAAAAGAAGAGAGAAGACACAAATGACCAGGATCAGGAATAAAACAGACATTACCACAGGCCATAAGGACATCAAAGGGACATTAGGGAAGTGTGTGATCAACTCTACATACATAAATGTGACAACTTAGAAGAAATGGGTCAAAAATGTTCCTAAAAAGATGCAAACTGCCAAAACTCACACCATATAAAATGTATGTTTTGAATAGCCCTATAAATATTAAGAAAATTAAATTTTAATTTTATCCCCACACCGTTACAATCAAACTTAAAGAAGTCTCCAGGTCAAGATGGCTTCTCTGGACAATTCTACCAAATATTTAAAGAAAAATCAACACAAATTCTACACAGCATCTTCCAGAAAATAGAAGAGGAGGGAATATGTCCCAATTCATTCTATGAAGCTAGTATTATCCTGATATCAAACCAGACAAAAAATATACAAGAAAAGAAAACTATAGACTACTATCCCTCTTGAACATAGATACAGAAATTCTTAACAAAATGTTAGAAACCAAATCCAGAAAACATAAAAAAGATTAACATGATCTAATGTTATTCATTCCAGGACTACAAGACTGAATTAACATGCAAACTTCAATTCTCCTTGTATACCATATTTACAGAATAAAGGCAAAAAAAAAACGCATTCTATTTACATTCATCTCAATAGGTAGAGAAAGAGCATTTTTGGACAAACTAAAGAACTATTCATGATAAAAGAAAAAAAAAACCTCTCAAAAACTCGGAGTGAAAAAGAACATCCTTAACCAAATAAAAATAAACGGTAAAGGACAACTGTGAAAAGCTTGCAGCTGACTTCATCCTTAATGATTAGAGACTGAGTGTGTGCTCCCTAAGACCAGGAACACGAGTCGGATGTTCTCTCTCGACACTCCTAATTAACACTGTACTGGACGGTCTAGCCGGTGCAATAAGGCTAAATAAAGAAATAAATGTAACCAAATTTCAAAAGAAGAATAAATAAAATGTTCTTTATTTTCCGATGATTTGATCCCATATGTAGAAAACCCTAAGAAATCCACAAAAAGCGCCTAGAATGCGTGAGTGTAGCTGGATTGCAGGATACGAGGTCGGTATACAAAACTCGGTTGTCTTTCCACAAACAGGCAATGAACAATCTGAATATGAAAGTAAGAAAACAGCTCCATTCAAAAAGAATGTCTTACAGTAGAGTGTTCAAACCAGCAACCAGGCCTCATTTAAGGATTGCCATGGTGTACCTCAGAGAAAGGGTCCGTGAGGCCAGATTTGCATGGGGGATGGGAGAAAATGGTTTAAAAAATAGGTCGTATCTGCTGTCCTGTCGCCCACACATAGGGGTGAGACACCAGTGCTGGGGAGGAGTGCTGGGGACTCAGAGGCAATGCAAATACAGTTGACTTCTAGAGACGGCGCTAAGTTCAGCCCAGAAAACCGCGTCCAAACCAGGCTGCATTCCAGTGGGGCTCAGTGCCTGGCAGCTACGGAGCGAAGCCCCAGGGAGGCTCCAGGCTGCGCTGGTTTCCTGGGTCGCTATGACACAGCTGTGCAGGCTTAAAGCAGCACAGATTTATCATCTTACGGCTCTAGGGGTCAGAGGTCAGAGCCGTGTCAGCAGGGCTCCTGGAGAGAATCCTTGTCCCCGCCTCTTGCAGCTTCTAAGCGGGTGCCGCACCCCTGGGACCCGGCCTCAGTCACTCTGACCTCCGACCCTCCCGCCTCCCACCCGTGTGATTCCAGGAAGCCCGCCCCGTCACCCAGGAGAATCTCCCACCCCCAGGTCCCCAGCTCCCCTCAGTCTACCAAGTCCCTGCTGCCAGGCGAGGATTTGGGGATTGGGATGTGGACATGGGTCGGGGGCGTTATTCTGGCTACAGGAGACACTGGGGAGGCTCGGGAAAGGAGCCAGGGGGTAAGGAGGGCGCCTGGGAACTGTGGGTTTTTGTTTTTTGCTTTTGTGAGACAGAGTCTCGCTCTGTCGCCCAGGCTGGAGTGCAGTGGCGCGATCTCGGCTCACTGCACCCTCTGCCTCCCAGATTCAAGCGATTCTCCTGCCTCAGCGTCCGGAGTAGCTGGCGATTACAGGCCCGCGCCACCACACCCGGCTACTTTTTGTATTTTTTAGTAGAGAGGAGGTTCTGCCATGTTGCCCAGGCTGGTCTCAAACTCCTGGCCTCAAGTGACCCGTGTGCCTCGGCCTCCGAAAGTGCTGGGATTACAGGCCTGAGCCACCATGCCCGGCCTTGTTTTATTTGTTTTCATAATTGAAAGCAACCTCAGCTCTTTGTCCAAAGTCAAATGTAGAAAGACACTTAATAAAAATGGAAAGTCCCTCCCCACACACCTGCCCCTCATCAGAGGTAATAATGCAAGTTAAACTGTGTTTTCCACACAATTACAAATAATTTCTATATTTTTGCCACACATTTTTACATGGTTGCTGTTCAAATGAGATGGGAAGGTTTGTAAAATGCCTGCACAATAAATACATTTTTCCATAAAATCCTTTTGTTCAATCGAGTTTTTTAAAGACAGGTTTCCTGAGGCACAATTTGCGTATATTAAAATTCACCCTTTTAATGTGTAGGTCTGAGTTCAGTGTTGACAAACACATAGGGTCATGAAACCACCTTTACACTCAAGATGGAAAAATTCCAGCCCCCCAATTCCCTTGTGCCTCTTGGTAGACGATTCCTCCCTGACCTGGCTAAGCCTGCTCTGTTTATGGGGCCGCCACACTTTGTCTTTTCTGGAATGTCATTAAAGGAAATCATGTCGTGTGTAGCCTTTTGAATTTGGCTTCTTTCACATGGCATGATCTCTGTGTATTTTTAGTATGAATCTCAGTCTATTATCTCCTGGGCGTCAGAAGTATTTTTGGAGATTTTCTGGAAATCCACTTTACTCTGGCTTCGCACATCAGTCTCACCGGGAGGCGGGAAATGCAGCCGCTGCTGTTCTTGAGCCTCCACCCCCTGCTGGGTCTGGGTCTTTCTTGGTTCCACACCAGGTGCTGCTGAGATGCCCACCGTGCACTGGCACTGGGGTCCTTCAGGTCTCCCCTCTGCTTCCAGCCGGGGCCCAGCAACCTTGCGAGAGGCTGGAAACTCCAGTCCAGAATCCCACTCCCTGGGGCACCACTGCCTTGGCGCACAGCCTTACTCCCCGCACTTTCCGCAGGGGCAGGCCCTCCCCACCCTGGTTCCCTCAGTGAGCTTAGACTGCTGAACACCAAAGCTTGGTTGTCTTGCCACAGTGCCTTGGAGGCAGGAAAGCCCTGAGCAGGCCACCTTGAGCAGGGGAAAGAGTACCTGTGATCCCAGCTACTCAGGAGGCTGAAGTGGGAGGATCGCTTGAGCCCAGGGGGTTGAGGCTGCAGTGAGCTGTGACCACGCCACTGCACTCCAGCCTGGGTGACAGAGCGAGACACTGTTTCTGAAAGGAAAAAAAAAAGTTCAACTCACCTTGTCCAAAACTCTGTGTGCCTTGTGGGATTTACCGGTGTTTCATTGGGAGCTCCACGGGGTGAGCAGTGAGGTAAGTTCTACCCAGAAAGTCTGGTTCCTCTGGCCTAAGGACACAGCACCACTGACCAACAACCCAACCACTGGCCTTGCAACTGACAGAGGCTGTCGGCCAGGCAGCTGGAGTCATGACTGCCAGGAACAGAGAGACAGCTGGGGGTTGCACATCCTCCTTGCTGGCTCTGCAGAGAAGGTCCCCCAGGCTCACAGCTGGGCCATTTGAGGCCTCTTGTCACACCTCGCTGTGGGTTCTCTCTCCCGAGGAATGGTGAGCTTCTGAGGAACCACACCCGTCCTGTCTTCCCAGATGTTTCCACCTGGGAATTTCTTTTTCTGTCATTCGCTCTTCTGTCTCTGCATCCCCTCATCTACTGAAAGTCCTACTTACAGGAGATATAAAATTTTTCTTTTCGATTATAGGTCTTCCCTGATAGTAAATAAATTCCCTGCAAGCCCTTCCATTTTACAACTTGCATTCACGTCAACACTTTTCTTTCAGCAGGAACTTCATTTCCTGTTTCCTTTCTCTCCAGTAAATGTGTGTGCCAGGTATTAGGGCCACTGCCTTTTATGCGGAGAGCTCAGGTTTTCGTTTGGTGATCATCACCCACAAATGTTCGGTCTGGTGTGTGTGCCCAGCACGTTGTGGGGAGAGATGGGATGAAAGGCACTGGGCCTCCCTGGCTCTCCCTGCCCTCTTTGTTCCAAGAGTCGTTGCACTTGGCTGTGGAATGGATGGTGAAGTGTGAATTTTGGGAGGCTTCACAGGGAATAGATTGCCCGTTGTGATGAATGCACTTTAGAAATGACAACAAGAATAAAGTTGACTTTGAGCCTACCGATCTCGTGCAGCAGTGCTCAAGGAAAGATGATGGACAGAATGCCTGCACAGCCCGCCTTCTGGAGTAGGACGGTGCCTGTCTACACTCTGCAGCACTACTTCCTGGTGAGGGCTGCCAATAACTAGGTCCTGGTCAGAAGTTGCGCTGACAGAAGAATAATGGACTAAAGTGGACCACACGCAATTTGAAGGGGATGATTTTAAAGTACTGTGGTGGGTCCATCAAGCTCATCTTCATAATACAAGATATGTTTATGTTGACATTGGCTTTTGGGTGACAGGGACCTTGACTGGAGACAAGAGAGGCAGTAAAATAGACTCCAAAACAGCCATTCAACGTTCAGCGTTTAGAGCACCGTACAGTGTGGTGCCATTCTGCCCTCTTGGGTCAGACCAAACCTGCATTAGTCTGCTGGATAACAAATTACCCTAAAACTCAGCAGATGCAAACCACAAGCGCACACTTGCTCTCCTGATTCCTGTGACTTGGGAATTTGGTAGCAGCTTGCCTAAGTTGTTCTGGCTTGGGGGTCTTGTGAGATTGCAGTCAAGATGAGAGCCAGGAGCAGTCATTTGAGGGCTTGATGGGGGCTGGAGGATATTCCATGGCTGATGGGTTGGTATTGGCTTCTGGTGGGAAGCTTCCATTGCTTTCCATGTAGACCTCTCCCAGGGCTGCTTGAGTGCCCTTACAACATGGTGGCTGGGTTCTCCAGAGTATGCAAGGCAAGAAAGAGAGAAAACTAGGTGGAAGCTTTATTTTTTAAAAAAATTTTGAATAACCTAGCCTTCCTAGTGGAAGCCACACAGTTTCTCTTCTGTCACTATCTATTCATTAGACATGAGTCATGAAGTCCAACCACCATCCAAGAGGAGGAGAATTAAACTCCACCTTTTAAAGCCACCATGATATGGTTTGGCTGTGTCCCCACCCAAATCTCATCTTGAATTCCCACATGTTGTGGGAGGGACCTGATGGGAAGTAATTGAATCATGGGGGCAGGTCTTTCCTGTGCTGTTCTCATGATAGTGAATGAGTCTCATGAGATATGATGGCTTTATAAGGCGGAGTTTCCTTGCACAAGTTCTGGCTCTTTGCCTGCTGCCATCCATGTAAGATGTGACTTGCTCCTCCTTGCCTTCCACCGTGATTGTAAGGCTTCCCCAGCCATATGGAACGGTAAGTCCAATTAAAACTCTTCCTTTTGTAAATTGCCCAGTCTTAGGTAGGTTGTTATCAGCAGTGTGAAAACCTGCTTTTTTCTGTCACCACATGCTTTTCTCTGGTCAGACCACACTCAGGAAATGGTGTTTTCTGTGAGGAGGTCAGACACATGGGGTGCTTGTGCAGGGGGAAGAGATCAGATGGTGAAGAAATGGAGCCTGTGAAACCTAAGAAACCATTGAAAAGGCAGATGACATTTAGCCTATGTTGGGGGAACACTACAGCATATCCTAACCTTTCCTGTACTTGTCTTTATGAAAATGGAACTGCATAAATTATTTTGTGTTAAGCTTCTTTTGCTTAACCTTATGCTTATAAGACTATATTTATTACTGGGTATAGTTGGACTTCTTCCATTTTTCTTAAAAGATAACTCCATTATAGTTCCGTATTCCATTGTATGCACATGCTACAATTTCTCTATTCATTTTACTTTTGACGGACATTGGGGCTGTTTCCAGTTTTAGGGTGTTGGGACTAATGGAACTATGAACGTTCTTGGACATGTCTGCTGTTGCAGATCTGCATATTTCTCTGTTAAATAAATGTTTAGGAGGAGAATTGCTAGGTCACAGGGAAGTGTATGTTAAATGTCAGGAAATAATGTTCAACTGTTTCCCAAAATGGCTTTACAATTTACACTCTGACCAAGGGTGTATTAGAGTTCCCATTGCTATATCCTTATCAGCATTTGATAATGTCAGTGTTTTTAATTTTAGCTGCTCTGGTGGGTGTAAAGTGATACCTTGGTGTGGTTTAATCTGCATTTCTCTCACTACTTAATGATGAAATGGATCATCCATCAATATGATTATTGGCCAACTGGATACTTCTATTTATTTGTTCATTTTTTGTGAAGTGCCTGTTCAAGCCTCTTACATATTTTATTATGGATTGTTTGTCTTTTTCTAATTGACATATGAGATTGTAATATAAACTCCTGATGCAATCTTCTTGTCAGTTACATATGTTTCTTCCATTTCCTGGCTTGCCCTTCTATTCTCTTAATATTGCATTTTGATGATCAAAAGCTCTTATTTTTTAAAAATTCAAGTTAAAAAATTTTACAAAAATTTCAAACACCATTTATAAGTATTTCAGTACATATCATGGAAAGATAAGGACTCCTAAAATACAGATCAATATTAACAATAATTTATTAATATCATTAAGTATCTAGGGTTCAAATTTCCCCACTTGTCTCACAAATGCTTTGATTTTAGTTTGTTTGAAGTGAGGTCCAGAAAAGCTCCCTGCATTGCCGTTGGCTGACACATCTCCTAAGGCTCTTTTAATATCAGTTCACCCCTATATTTTACTCATTTTCCTCAGCAATTTATTTGCTGAAGGAACTAGGTCACTTGTTCCATAAGTTACTCTAGGTTGGATCTGTGCTGTCCAAGAGCAAGTGTTTTCATCAACCCAGGACCAACCTCAAGCCCTGGACTCACACCCAGGCAGTCAGGGGACTGTCTGGTTGAGGCAGCAGAGACTCCAGGTGGGGCCTCTGTATCCCCTGCCCGCATGCTGCTTGTGCTGAGCCCAGAGCATCCCCTTCTTCTCACTACATGCTTTAAATGGGAGTAATAAAGTGAAGGGTTCATTTGTCTTCATTTGCTCTGAGGCTGTGTGTTTTGTGGCCTCTGGGATCACCTATCTGAGAGTGACCTTGAGAGCATGCTTGCATGGAGATCATTCCCCACACAACTGCCTGTAAAAATCCATTGATATTTATTTCCATTGCAATTTCAGCTACCTGAGCATCATTCAGGGAGAACTAACTTCTTTATGACATCATCTTTTCAATTCAGTATCTCCTCCATTTATTTAGTATTTATTTCTCACAATAATGCTGTTTCTGCACAGAACTATTGCATACCTTATGTTAAATATATTTGATAGTCGATGTTTTTAAAACTGGCGTTCCTGATTAAACTGAGGTTTCTGTTTGTTACTGGTGTATAGAAATACAACTAAAAAAAAAAAAAGTTGACCCTATAGCTGGGCGTTGTGGTGTGCATCTGTAGTCCCAGCTACTCCAGAGGCTGAGGTAGGAGAATTGCTTGAGCCCCGGAGGTCAAGGCTGCAGTGAGCTCTGGTCACACCATTGCACTCCAGCCTGGGTGACAGAGTGAGGCCCTATCGCAAAAAAAAAATGTTGACCCTGCACCCATAAATGATTTAAACTCACTTATTAATTCTAATTATATTTGAAGTCTTTTAAGCTTTCTACATACAAAATCATATCATCCACTAATAGAATTTTTTTTCCTACCCAATCATTTTTATTTCCTCACCTTATTGCACCAGGAAAAACCTCCAGTAAAAGGTGAACATATGTGGGTAGGTGAGCATTCTTGTTTGTTCCTAATCTCAGAACACTATCAACATTTTGCTATATTCAGTGTGATGCCTGCTGTAAGGTTTTTGTTGTTTCCCTTAATTTGGATAAGAAAGTTCCATTTTCTTATATTACAAATGTGTATTTATTGAACACTTTTCTGCACAGATTAAGATAATCAGATGATTTTTCTTTTTTCTTTCTTGTTAACGTGATGAATTATACTGGTTAATTTCCAAACGTTAACCCATCTTGTATTCCTGGAATAAACCTGACGTGCTCACGGTTTCCATCTAGGCTCGTGAGTGGTTAGTGATGTGGTTTGGATATTCGTCCTGCCAAATCTCATGTTGAGATGTAATCCCAGTATTAGGGGTGGGGCTCGGTGGGAGGCGATGGGATCACAGGGTGGATTTCTCATGAGTAGTTTAGCATCATCCTCTTGGTGCATCCTTAAGATAGTGAATCAGTTCGCCCGAGATCTGGTTGTTTAAAAGTGTGTGGCACCTTCCGTCTCCCTCTCTTTCTCGCTCCTGCTCTCAGTGGGTGACGTGCCTGCTCCCGCTTCACCTTCCGCCATGAGCGAAAGCTCCCTGAGGCCTCCCAGAAGCCGAGCAGACGCTGGAGCCAAGCTTCCTTACAGCCCGCAGAACCAGGAGCCAGTGAAACCTCTTTTCTCTACAAATTACCCAGTCTTAGGTATTTCTTTATAGTGATGCAAAACCGGCCTAACACAGTTGGCTTGCAGTTTTCCTCTCCTGAAATGTCAGGTTTTGGCATCAGTGCTGTTTTCGTGTCATAAAATAAATATGCAGTGCTCCTTCTTTACTTATTCTCTGTAAGAATTTGTGTTTGCCATTTCATTGTTAGACGTTTATAAGAATTTACTGGCGAATTCATTTGGGATTAAAGAGTTCTTTGTGGGAAGATTTTAAATTGTACCTTCAGACAATAAATTTAGAATTAGGACTATACAGATTTCTTTCTGGTGTATATTTTGAAAATTTGCACTTCTTAAAGGAATTTGTCTATTTTATCTAAAATTTCAAGTTTATTGATTAAAAAGTTGCTTATAATATCCTCTTATCATTTTAATGAGGAAGATTCTATATGACCTTTTACAGTCTTGAAATTTTTAATCTTCCCTCTTTTCTTTGATCAGTCTCACCAATGGATGTTTAATTTTTTTAGTTATTTCAAAGAACCAAGTAATGGTTTTAATTGATCTTCTCTATTATACATTTATTTCCTATTTCATTAATTTCTTCTTTTATTTTTATAGTTTCTTTGGGTTTAAAATGCTGCTGTTTTTCTAACTTCTTAAAATGCATACTCAGCTTATTTTGGCTTTTTTCCCCTATAATATATGTTTCTAAATTCATACTTCTCTTCATGCAAGGCTTTAGCTATAACCTGAAAGCTACTGAAATGTAGTACTTTTATTATCATTTAGTTCAAAATACTTTTAAGTTTCCACCATGGTATCTTCTGTGGCTCATGGGTTATTTAGATGTGTATATCTTACTTGCCATACATGAGGATTTTCCGAGTGTCTTTTTATTACTTATTTCTAGTTTAATTCATTGTGGTGAGAGAAAATATCCATGTCCTTCAACTCGAATCATCTTTCATCGTGGGCATCCTAGTGGGTGTGAGATGGTGTCTCACTGTGGTTTTGATTTGCATTTCCCTAATGATTAGTGACGTTGAGCATCTTTTCATGTGCTTCTTGGCCATTTGTAGGTCTTTGGAGAAATGTCTATTTAATTGCTTTGCCCATTTTTGAATGTTTGTTGTTGTTGTTGTTGTTGAGTTGTGGGAATTCTTTATATATTCTAGATATCAACCCTTTATCAAGTATCTGATTCGCACATATTTTCTCACACCCCATGGGTTGCCTTTGATGGCTGTGTCCCTTGTTGCACAGGCTTAAATTTTGATGTGATCAAATTTATGTCTTATTTCCTCTGTTGCCTGTGCTTTCAGTGTCATATCCAATAAATTACTGCCAACTGCAATGTCATGAAGGTGTTGCCGTGTGTTTTCTTCTAAGAGTTTTATAGTTTTAGTCTTACATTTAGTAAGAGCTAAATCTTACAAAATAATACTTAATAAGAGCTAAAACTATAATTAATTAAGTGTATCCATATATGGTAATTAATATTAAGTAATATTTGTATGTGGTGGAAGGTAAGGGTCCAACTTCATTCTTTTGCACGTGAATGTCCAATTTTCTCAACATCACTTGATGGCAAGACTGTCTTTTCCCTCATTGAATGATCTTGGCACCCTTGTTGAAAATCATTTGTCCATATATGCAAGGGTTTATTTCTGGGCTGTGTATTTTATTCCATTAATCTATAGGCATATCTTTATGCCAATACCATATTTTAAAAATTACTTTAGCTTCGAAATGTTTTGAAGTCCGAAAGTGTGAGGCCTCCAACTTTGTTCTTCCTCAAGATTGTTCTGGCAATTCAATGCCCCTTGAGATTTCATATGAATTTTAGGATGGATTTTTCTATTTCTGCAAAAATGCCATTGGGATTTGATAGGCTTTCTGATTCACTTTTGAAGTATTCTCTATATGTGGAAGGACATTAGCCCTTGGTGTAGCTTGTGACATTCATTTTTTTGTTCCATGTGGAATATACCTTGGAGCATGGTGTGAGGTGGTGATTTAAAACTTATTTCCCCCAATGCTAAATCATATTTAATCCTTTCTGTACTGATTTCTGATAACACTATATATAAATTTCCCCTTTTCATTGGTCGGCTTCTGGTTTATTTACTTTGATCTGGCTTTACACATTTTTCTATTCCAAACTATCTGAAGTTCCTGCCCTATCATGCTGCAAAACTTTGGTGTGTGATTCTGAGAAACAAGGACACACTCCTCCATGGTCACCCCTAGCCACCATGCATGACAGCTGTGCTGACCACCATCCCACCCACCCTCAGGCTTTATTCACATGTCTCCAGGTGTCACAATAATGTCCCCTACAGTGAAGAATCCGGTTCACTGTAAAGGACATTATTGCAGCCATAAAAAAGAACGAGATCCTGTCTTTTGTGGGAACACGGATGGAGCTGCAGGCCATTATCCTTGGCAAATGAATGCAGGAACAGAAAACCAAATACCACAAGTTCTCACTTATAAGTGGGAGCTAAACAATGAGAACTCATGAACACAAAGAAGGGAAGAACAGGCACTGCGGTCTAGTTGAGGAAGGAGGGTAGGAGGAGGGAGAGAAGCAGAAAAGAGAACTATTGGGTACTGCGCTTAATACCTGGGTGATGAAATAACACGTACAACAAACCCCTGTGACATGAGTTTACCTACGTAACAAACCTGCACATGCACCCCTGAACCTAAAATAAAATTAATAAAAATAAAAATGAAAGAAAGAACCTGGTTCAGAAGTCAGGGAGCACCATGCTCAGGTCTCTTCGGTCTCCTGCCGCTGGGACGCTCCCCGGGCGCTTTTAACCTTTCTGACCCTGGCACAGGCCCCCAGTTCCTGGGTCAAGGTCGCAGCTTGGGTTTCTCTGGTATTTGCTCTGAGTCAGGGTCAAGGTCTGTGCCTCCGGAAGGAATGTTCTGGAAGGCACATCTCCATGTGCTCCATCGTGTAGGTGAATGTTTGTGTCTGCACATTTACATTCATTATGATGCCTATTTTTATGTATTGGAAACCCTGAGCTCATGCCTGTGCCTCCAGATCCAGTCTAACCCCACAGGCCCACTCTCATTTCCTGCTGTGACCTGAGGTCACCCTTCACACATGCAGGCCTGGTGAGCGGCCTCTCCTCTCCAGGTGGCCATAGCAGCGGGAGTATCACATACCTGGCTTTTTTTCTTTAATGTGGAGTACTCCATATAATGATAGGAAGCTAAAATACTTTTGACAAAGTTCATCTTTGATAGAAAGCATCAGGATCCAATAACACTCTGAGCAATGCTTGTCAAAACCTCCCTCCTACTTTCGTCACCGGGCAGTGCTGTGGCCAGAGCCCCATTGTTCAGTGGGGCCCTACGAGGTCCGTGCCTGCTCTTCCTTCTGCTGCGACCCCTGTGGGGTGAGTGGTCCTCAGCTCCCAGACTGTTTCTCCCAAGCATAAAGTCAGGTAGAAATTTAGCAATTTTCAGAGTTACATTACTGTGTAATTCAGGTGCTCTGTTTACACATTAAAACAGAAACAAATAATATTTATTTGCAAACCAAATCACTTGGTGTAGGGAGCCTGCATTGAGTTAACTGGGTTAGCCCTGACCTGCCCTGCTGCTGAGCTGTTCCCGGCACGCACTGCTGTTGTTACTGGGCTGCCATTGCTGCATCCCATCCCACACACTCACACCCCACTGTCTTTTATGGCTGGGAAGGGTTGTGAGTGTCGAATATACTTTCTATATAAGCTTACACTTTTAAAGAAAATTTCAGAAGGAATATAGGAATCCATGCTCATGGTAAAACTGCCAACAACATAGAAGCTGATTGTCTTAGTCTGTTCTCTCACTGCTGTAAAGATACTACCCGAGACTGGGTAATTTATAAAGAAAAGAGGTTTAATTGACTCATGGCTCTGCATGGCTGGGGAGGCCTCAAGGAACTTACCATTATGGCAGAAGGGGAAGAGGCACGTCTTACAGGGCGGCAGGCAAGACAGAGCGAGCAAGAGCAGGGAAAACTGCCTTATAAAACCATCAGATCTTGTGAGAACTCATTACTATGAGAACAACTGGGGGAAACCACCCCTAAGATCCAGTCACCTCCCAACATGTCCCTCCCTCGATATATGGGGATTATGGGGATTACAATTCAAGATGAGATTTGGGTGGAGAAACAGCCAAACCATTATCATTCTGCCCCTGGCCCCTCCCCAATCTCATGTCCTCCCATTTCAAAACACAATAATGCCCTTCCAACTGTCCCCCAAAGTCTTAACTCAAAAGTCCAAGTCCAAAGTCTCATCTGAGACAAGGCAAGTCCCTTCCACCTATGAGCCTGTAAAATCAAAACCAAGTTAGTTACTTCCAAGATACAATGGGCGTACAGGCATTAGGTAAATGATTCCATTTCAAATGGGAGAAATTGGCCAAAACAAAGGGGCTATAGGCCCCATGTAAGTCCAAAATCCAGTGAGGCAATCATTAAATCTTAAAGCTCCCAAATGATCTCCTTTGACTCCATGTCTCACATCCAGGTCACGCTTATGAAAGAGGTGGGTTCCCATGGTCTTGGGCAGCTCTGCTCCTGTGGCTTTGTAAGGTACAGCCCCCCTCCTGGCTGCTTTCGTGGGCTGGCATTGAGTGTCTGCAGCTTTTCCAGGCCACAGTGCAAGCTGTCAGTGGGACTACATTCTGGGATCTGGAGGATGGTGGCCCTCTTCTTACAGCTCCACTAGGCAGTGACCCAGTGGGTACTCTGTTATGGGGGCTACAGCCCCATATTTCCCTTCCTCACTGCCCTAACGTTCTCCATGAGGGTTCCACCCTTGCAGCAAACTTTTGCCTAGACAGCCAGCTGTTTCCATACTTCCTCTGACATCTAGGCAGAAGTTCCCAAACCTCAATTCTTGAATTCTGTGCAGGCTTCCGGCTTGCACCCGCTGAAGCAGCAGCCTGAGCTGTATGTGGCCCCTTTTAGCCACGACTGGAGTTTGAGTGGCAGCAGCTAGGACAGAAGGCATCCAGTCCAGAGGCTGCACAGAGCAGTGGGGCCCTAGACTTGGCCCATGAAGCCATTTTTCCCTCCTAGACCTGTGCTAAGAGGGGCTGCTGCGAAGCCTCTGACATGCCCTGGAGACATTTTCCCCATTGTCTTGGTGACTAACCTTTGGCTCCTCGTTACTTATGCAAACTTCTGCAGCCAGCTTGAATTTCTCCCCAGAAAATGGGTTTTTCTTTTCTATCATATTGTCAGGCTGCAAATTTTCCAAATGTTAATGCTCTGCTTCTTCGTAAACATGTGTTCCAATTTCAGGTTATCTCTCTCACGTTCAAAGTTCCACAGATCTCAGGGCAGGGGCAAAATGCCACCAGTCTCTGCTAAAGCGTAGCAAGAGTGACCTTTACTCCAGTTCCCAAGAAGTTCCTCATCTCCATCTGAGACCACCGCAGCCTGGACTTTATTGTCCACATCACTATCAGCATTTTGGTCAAAACCATTCAACAAGTCTCTAGGATGTTCCAATCTTCCCCACATCTTCCTGTCTTTTTTCTGAGCCCTCCAAACTGTTCCAATCTCTGTCTGTTACCCAGTTCCATAGTTGCTTCCACATTTTGGGTATCTTTATAGCAATACTCTACTCTCCGCAGTACCAATTTACTGTGTTAGTTCATTCTCATACTGCTATAAAGAACTACCTCAGACTGAGCAATTTATAAAGGAAAGAGGTTAAATTGATTCACAGTTCTGTATGACTGGGGAGGCCTCAGGAAACTTACAATCATGGTGGAAAGGGAAAAGCCATGTCTTATATGGCGGCAGGCAAAAGAGAGCGTGTAAGAGCAGGGAAACTGCCTTATAAAACCATCAGATCTCGTGAGAACTCACTCATTATCATGAGGACAGCATGGGGGAACCACCCCCATGATCTGATCACCTCCCACGGGATCCCTCCCTCGACACGTGGGGATTATGAGGATTACAATTCAAGATGAGATTTGGGTGGGGACACAGGGGCCACAGCCAAACCCTATCACTGATGGACAAACACCTTGTGAGGGCATCAGCTCATTTAATCCTCACCACCACCTTATGAATGAGGAGTGGGCATTGTCACAGACCCCGCTTTAGAGAGGTGGAAATGAAGGCACAGAGAGGTTTAGGTATTTTGCCCAAATTGCACAGCACTAAGTAGGAGCAGGATTTGAACCCAGGCAGTCTAGCACCAGGCAAAAGCCCTTCTTCACCCTCTCCCCACGCACAGCTAACCCCTCCTGTTGTGGGGTGACAGACGCATTACAGATGGATGTACTCATGTCCCCGTGTAAATGCACAGCTTGGGGCTTGTTCTTTTTCTCCTTTGAAAATACAGATAGAGCAATTTTATCCCACTGATGCTTGGAGACGCCTCTCCGTTTCTCACCCGCCCACAGTATCCCACAGCCCCACAGCTCCACCACTAGACCGTTTCCCACAGATGGCACTTAAGTTGCTTCCCATGTTTTGTCACAACAATGTTCAACCCTCGTCATCCTTTGTATATTTTGTGTGCTCTCGTGAATATTTTGTGAAAATGTCCCCTGGAAGTGGATGCTGGATGAAGGTTTGAATGTCGTCACTGGGGGTAGATGTTAACCTACTGTTCTCGAGGTGGCACCACTTTCCAGCCCACCCTGACCTGAGACTGTCCACTTCCCACACCTCCCCATGCCACAGGCTGCCAACTCCTAAGCTCACATCTTAATATATTCAGTTTTCAATAAATTCACATGTGCAACCAGAAACCAAGAGGAGATTCCCCATATTCCCACTTTTCAGAGGCATCTTACGGTCATTCCTCCTCTTTACCACCAGCCTGGTTTGCTTTTGTCTCTACTTCTTGATCTGTCGACCTCAGATATTACCTCTCAGCCTTGATGATCAAAGGTGAGGATCTGGCTCACTCGTGCTGGTGCTGCCGGAGGGAGGCAGCCATGGCATTGGGTTTTGCTTTTCCAGGAGGCACTTGTGGCAGCGAGTGCCCATGTGTTTCCCCAGCATCCCTCTCTGCTTCATGGCAGAAGATCCCAGTGTCTGTCCCTCCCTAGTTCCTGGAGCCCTGGAAGCCACAGGCCGGGAGGACTGGAGGTGCATGGTGGGGTGTGGCAGAGATGCAGGGCCGTGGATCTGATGACACTGCAGCTTTCAGACTTGTTTTACCAGAGAGAAACAACTTCCATTTCATTCCCTGTGGTTTGAGGATTTTCTGTGATGTGCACCCTAATTTAACCCCAAATAAAGTAATGTCATTACAACTGTGTCTGTTGTTTTGTCTTCCGCACTCACTCCATGAGGGCACGGTACCCTGACTCTCCTCCGTGCCTCCTCTCGGCCACCACCAGGTGCTCTTGCCACTGCCACACTCCCCTCACCTGGTACCGGGTGACAGGCCACCCTTTTCTACAGAGACAACTGAGTTCTGTGCTTTGTCCATAGTTTAGTCCCAAAAAAACCCTAAGCTACACGTGCATTACTACAACTGCATGAACACTGGTCTCCTACCAAAGTCTGCAGAGGTGGAGCCCACAGCCTCCCCAGACAGGTGGGAAGCTTTGCCTCCTTCCCTGCATGCCCCACCCAGCTCATGAGGAGCTAGTTGGAGATTCTGGGTACCGCTGTGCACACCCAATGCACCGTTTACACACTCAAGTATTTGGACCGCAAATGGTACTTGTGTCTTTACTCAAACTGTTGCTATTATGGATGTTGCGGGGCAGTGGTGGAGGTGTTTGGCCAAAGAGTGACCATCATCTCAGTCTGACAGAGACTGTCCTAGTGTTAGCATTAAAAGTCCCATGTCCATAAAAACCCCTCAGTAGGCTGGGCACGGTGGCTCATGCCTGTAATCCCAGCACTTTGGGAGCTGAGGCAAGTGGATCACTTGAGGTCAGGAGTTCGAGACCAGCCTGGCCAACATGGTGAAACCCCATCTCTACTAAATATTGAAAAATTAGCCAGCATGGTGGTGGGTTCCTGTAATCCCTGCCACTCAGGGAGGCTGAGACAGGAGAATTGCTTGAACCTGGAAAGTGGAGGTTGTAGTGAGCTAAAATCACGCCATTGCACTCTAGCCTGGGTAACAGAGAGAGACGCTCTGTCTCAAAACAAAGAAACAAAAACAAACAAACCTTCAGTCCCAAGCAAATTGGGACAGTTGGTGACCCTGGTGGAGCACATGCTGTAAGATTATTTCCTAAACTATGAGTGGATAAGAATTGTTCTGAGTCTGTCCCTGTTCAGAGTCCTCATTCTTTTTCCTTTTCCTGTCAAAGCTAGTTTGATTCCTAGCAGGATTCTAGGTTAAACAACGGTTTCTTCTCAGACCTCTGGAATAGGTCCCATTGGCAGGCCACCCACATTGTCCTGAAAGTGTTCCTGACTGTCCACACGCATTAGTCCACAGGACGGAGCCACACAGCCAGGACGGAGCCGCACATCTGTTCTCCTCCACCTTTGGTCAATTCTATGCCCACCTGGTTCTTGGAAATGAACCAGGATATGTAACAAAATCCATTTTTTTCTCCTTAGGATGAAATGATGTTGAAGGAAAGAATGTTATTTGAGGACCTGCTGTCTGTCCTTTTGTTTAAAGTTGCCATTTCCAAGAACCTAATGACGACCTTAAGTGAGGAATTAGTGTGCTCATAAAAAAGTTTTAGACGTTTTACGCTTACAGGAAAATGGTGAGGATAATGCAGAGAGTTCTCATGCAACAGAAATTTCTACTATTATTCATGTCTTACATGAGATGGGCACACCCTGTCCCCGTGTCCGAGGACTGGACAAGCCCACTCTAGCGGTGCACAGCTGGGGCGTGCCCCTCGGCAGTGGGGTGACCTGGCCCTCTCGCCCAGTGATGTCCTCATGCTTTGTGTCACGTGAACCACAAAATCTGAGTGAAAACGAAAGTCCATGAATGTCCAGGGCAGCTACCAGACGTGCGCAAGTAAGTCTCATGAAACAAAAGCTTCCCTGGATGGGGACAAAACACACTTCCTTCCGCTTGTCACCATCCCTGGCTCCTTCAACTCGGTCCGTCTCCATGACGTGTTCCTCTGCTTCTCTTCCTCCGAATAAAAAGGAAACATGCCTCGTAAGGACAGCAGTGCCGGGCTGGAGCCGCCTCTCCCCATCAGCACTAATGGCGTGGTACCTCTCTGCCCGCCCTTCTCTCTCCTCACCTGTGTTTTCCTTTCTTCCCGAACCTCCTCTTGGCTGAGGCCTCATGGGAAAAATAGGGGCACTCGCCCCATGGGCCCCAGGGAAATGCCAGTACCCCGGGCCGGAGAGTAGCCGAGCCCCAGACTGAGTCGTTGCTCCATGGGCCACAAAAGCTGGTTCCCGCACAGCAGCCGCCCTGGGCCCCGGCAGACACGACAGAATGGGTTTCCTTACACAAACCGCGCTTGGCAGATGTTGCCTGAAAGACAGGAACTCCGAAATTCCAACAGAACGGCCAGCGGGTGGCTCTCTGCTCTGGCAGGCTGCAGGCTCTCAGGGACGCCATGTCTCCGGAAGGTCAGCGTCAAATGCTGGTGAGAACTCACTCACTCCTCACCTCCGTGACAGGCACGTGTGTTGGCTCCACCAGGGTGCAGAAGCCACACGAGCTGCTTTAACAGAAGACATTCATGTAAAGCACAGCTCTCGGGCCGTGGGGCTGTTAACCAGGAGGGTGCACAGTGCATGCACCGCCCAGGTTCCGGTCAGTTTTGCTCCCACAGTCATCACCCTGGAGGGCGTTTCATGTTGTTGCTGTGAGAATTTGCCGTTGCTTGAGTGAGTCATGCTGACGTGGCCCCTACTCCAGGGTTTCCAGTCTTTCTGCTCCTAGACTGACTCAGCGCTGGTCATTAGGTGCTGTCCATCAAGGGGAACTTGCCCTGGGCATGGAAAATGCTGACCAGCTCCCTGTTTTGGAAAATGACCTCATCCCCAGGCTGCCCACAGGAGGCGGAGCATGCCAATGCCGTTCCTTACTGGTGTGTATATTACTGTTTTTGTCCTTTTCATGCAGCCTGCGGAGTGTACCTCTATAGCTGTCATTTCACTCCTGTGTTTTCTCGGCCTTGGGCGAGGATCCCATGCTGCTGGTAATGAAAGCTGCCTGTTCCCTCGGTTGTTTTCACAGTCCCTCCTTTCTCTTCCAGAGAGAGGTTTTGTTTTGTTTTGTTTTGTTTGAGACAGGATCTCACTCTGTCACCTAGGCTGGAGTGCAGTGGCATGATCTTGGCTCCCTGCAACCCTGCCTCCCAGGCTCCCATCCTCCCTGCAACCCATCGTCCCACCTGTGAAGGGAAAATAAATCTTGGGCCCCCAAACTCAAGCCAAAGGGAAAAGTCAAGCTGGGAACTGGGTCATGCAAACCTGCCTCCCCTTTTGGTCCCTAAATAAGATGCTGCAAGATGAAAAACTGCACACCTCCCCTATA
This sequence comes from Homo sapiens, assembly GCF_000001405.40. Taxonomy (NCBI): domain Eukaryota; kingdom Metazoa; phylum Chordata; class Mammalia; order Primates; family Hominidae; genus Homo; species Homo sapiens. The sequence goes on from NC_000013.11 coordinate 110,870,995, forward strand.
TTTTGTCCACAAGGAAATTCCTAGTGAGCTCCGCAATCTTTACTGTAAGGTGTTTCTGTTAAGATTTCACCACAGCAATGCAAATCGATAGCTCATCTTTACAGGTGCAGTCAACCCCTGCCCGCCAGACACAAATGCAAACCTGATTGTTCCCCTGCCCCCTTTGTCTAAGTCATCTTGTGTAAAAATAATGCAGATTCAATGAGCCAAACGCATGACTATTTTTCTCTACCCGCCTCTTAGATGAAAATTGTGTACTTGTCATTATCTCACCCTTTCCCCTTTAAATTTGGAGCCCTCAAAATCATCTTCGGAGAAAGGTACAGACTGTCTCCCGAGTGTTCGTCCTTAACTTTGGCGAGTAAACCTCCTAAAATGATTGAGACTTGTCTTGTCATTTTTCTCAATTGATACACCTCAGTCTCCCAAGTAGCTGGGACTACAGGCATGCGCCACCAAGCCCAGCTAATTTTTGTATTTTTTGTAGAGACAGGGTCTCACGTTGTTGCCCAGGCTGGTCTTGAACCCCTGAGCTCAAACAACCTGCCCGCCCCGGCCTCCCAAAGTGCTGGGATTACAGGCGTGAGCCACTACGCCTAGCCAAGAGAATTTTAAAACCATTGAGGAAATAGTGCCATTGTTGTGAATCAGAGACTTGATGTGCTATTTCATGTAGTGGTTCCTGTCGTTTTGCTTGCAAAATTGGCTTCAATTATCTTGAATTATATGAACTGTCAGAAAAGCCCTGCGGCAGATGATGGTAACGAAAAGACATCCTTTAGCAGACAGGGAATAGGACTGATTCACTGATGCATCTGAGTTGCAATTTTTTTAGCTGCTTCTAAAAATCTTGTAATTAAATTCACTGGTGAGAGCACAGTAGCCTTCATAAATGGGAAAACAGAAACATCGAAGTTGTTCTCAAACCATCCTGGAATCTTAAAGTTCAGGGGGCACCTGGCAGAGGGGAGCCACAGAAAGACGGCAGGGAAGGGAGGGTTAAGGCGAGGCCGGGATAAGCCAAGCAGGGCTGTTCTGGTTTATCTTTCTTACTTTGTTCTTAAGAAAACTTGCTGAATGTAGTTGGCTTCAGATCTTCCTGTTTTAAAAAAAACGCAGTAAGATGAAAAACCTGATGTGTCCTCTGCCCTTCCCCGTCCCTCCCGCCTCTCCCTGCGGGGGGTGAGCACTCCTCAGAGTGCCTGGTGGAGAGGCCCCTGCCCTCCCCTGCACGGAGCTGGGGTGGCCTTAGGCCAACAACCATCAAAGAACTCAGGCCCTTAGTTCAGCGACCCGGGGGGAACTGGGTCCAGTCACCAGCCATGTGCGTGAGCTTGGATGCAGAGGCTCCAGGGGAGCTTTCAGATGAGACTGCAGCCCTGGCTGACACTGCACTGTGATCTCCTGAGAACGTGAGCCCAAGGAAGGGGCCCCTCCCCGGGTGGGACGTCCTGCCTCACAGCTCAACGCTCTGCTGCTGCTGTCAGTGCTGTGTTTTGAGGGGGATGCCCAGTTCTGCACTGACCAGCTCTAACCCTGGGGACACTGCAGCCCTGGTCATGGCCTGGGGACCCCTTCAAGGTGACCTTCCAGCACAGGTACTGGGCGAGTACCCACCCCTCAGCCTCTGCCAGACTTTGCCCAAGAGGCACATCCCTCTTTGCTGCACTGTGGACCTGCCTGCCCAGGTACTGGGGCACTTGGTCATCTGGTGGCTGTGACCATTACTGGGATGAGGCCTGAACTCCAGGTGGAGACCCCTTTCCCAAGCCTGCACTTCCCGCAGCCCCTCCCTGAGCCCTGGGACCTCCCAGAGTCCTCTTGACCTGTGTGGCTCTGCTTGCACAGGTTAGAAACTTCTAGTTCAGCTTCCCTGGCTGAGCCCTGCCGGTTTTTCTGCTGAATGCCCAGAGAATTGGGGGACCCATGGCCCCCCGCCCCGCCTGGCCACGGGGCTCGACAACACAGCAGCTGTAGGGCTTTTCACCTGGCCCTCACCTGTGGGGCCTCCGCCTCGTCCTCAGCTCTCCCTGCGGATTGACCACAAAGTGGTCACTCAGAGTCCCCTCGGGGATGGTTTCAGAGCTTCACCGGCCTCCCTTCCCCACCCTGCAAACCTTCAAAGCCCGAGCCCACGCCTCGCACGTGCTATTCCCAACAGAGAAAAATGTGACCCCATCCACGTCCTGCCCCAGACACCCAGGAGCTCCAGTCCTCTCCCCTTTCCGCGGACTGGAAGCTTCTCCAGGGCTTGAGATGTCCACCTTCCCAGCGATTCCTGCCCGGGAGACTCCGATTCCGACCCCATTCTGTCCACATGTCCCCTTTCCAGCCCCATCTCCCCCTGCCCATTTCCTGAGACCTCTCTAAGGACCCTAGGCTCCTGAGCGGACCCCAGCAGGGCCCCTGAGCTCCATGATTCTGCACTGCCTGGGCCTTCCCGCCAGAGCCGACCCTGGCCCCCAACAGGAGGCCGAGCTGCCCTCAGGGGCCTCTTCACGGTGGGCAGGCGCCCCCGACCCCGGCCTCTCCTCCCCAGTGGCCTCTCCGCCCCTCCCCTCCCCCATGGCCTCTCCTACGCTCCCTCCGCCCTCTCCCATGGCCTCTGATCCTCCTCCCTCCCCCCTCGCCAAGCGCCTGCTCTTCCATCCATTCTCCACATCGCACATCACACACAAGACATTCACACACATGCATATATTCACACCCACACAAGTCACACATATATTCACACACACACGTCACACGACATTCACACACATGCATACATTCACACACATCCACACCCACACAAGTCACACACACATAACATTCACACACGCACATTCATCCACACATGTACAAGTGACACATTCACACACCTGCATTCACACACATCCAGATACACAAGTCACATTCACACACATGCCCACACCTCGACACAACACCCACATGCAACATTCACACACATCCACACGTGCACAATAGCCACACACGTTCACACATGCACACATATAACATGTTTCACATACACTACCACCCATGCACATCAGCCACACATATAAAACAGTCACACCTGCACACACACAGTCACAAACGTCACACACATATAGCATTCACACATGCACAGCAGCCACATTTACACACATCCACATGCATCACACATTCATACACATCTGCACACACGTCACACAAATCAACATTCATACGTGCGCACACATCATACACATCCACACACATCACGTACATTCACACATAAACATTCACACATTCACACACACCAGATTACCACTCACATCCAATACTCAACGCTTCCCTTCACATTCTCACACATTTGCACACTCACACATTGCCAACGACACACTTCCCTCCACATTCCCCCTACATTCCCACACTGACACGCTCTCACACACTCCCAGTCCTCGCACACATTTGCACACTCACATCCATACATGGACACACATCCTCATGCTCGCTCACTCACATGCATTTGCAAACACTGATACACATCCTCACACGCACACTCGCACACTCAGGGTCTCCCTGGCTGCAGCTGTGCCCGGGCTCACTGTTACCGTTGCTCAGTGCAGACTCTTGGGGTGGTGTCCACCTCCAGCCCCCAGCTCCAGCCGTGCCCTGCCGCAGCCCCCGCTACCCTCCCACCGCCCCGGGACCCCTCACCCGCCCCGGCCCATCCCAACCACGGCCTCGCCCCAACCTTGGCTGCGGTTCCCCAAGCAGAGCCGCGCCAGAACCGCCCGGCTCACCCCCCTCTCCCCGCCCCTGCGCCTCTCTCCCGGTTCCCGCCCTCCTGATGGTTCGTCCCTGCACCCGCGCCGGCGCCCCGCCCCCGGTTCCCGCCCTCCCGAGGGCTCCTCCCTTCCACCCGCTGCCTGTTTCTTGGCTCCCCCTTTCCGGGAAACTCTTCAATGTTTCCCATGTTCTGTCTCCAAATTATTCTCCCGTTTTCTTCTCCTTAATAAAACCCCGAAAATCCAACCTATGGAAAAGTCAAAAAGGGTAATTCAATGAATACCCAGTCTACATTTTCCAGTATTTATCACTAGTTGCTTAGATCTCATCATTCAAAACATTCCAGCAGTTCTCTCACTGTGGCCTGCAGAACCCCAGGGTCCCCAGGACCCCATTTCAGGGGGTCCCCAAAATCAAAACGGTCTCATTACCGAGATGTGATTTGCCTTTTTCAGTGTTGACTTCGGCACTGAGGGTTCAAAAGAAATGGTGGGTAAAGCTACTAGCACCTTAGCAAAAACTGCCCCGGCCTGATCACCTTCATATTCTTCACTGCCGTGCAGTCAAAAAAAAGAAAAAAACCCAATTTCACTTAAGAATGCCCTCAATGCTGTAAACATGAGTAAATTTTGACAGCACACGTTCTCTGTGATGTAAAGGGAAGTGTGCATGAAGGATTTGTTGTGTACAGCTGTCTCCAGGAAAAGCACGGCTCTGGCTGATTGTGCGATAAGTGTATCCAGTGACTTTTTCAGAAACGTCATTTTCATTTGAAATAATGATTGACAAGCTATGTGATTAAAAAAAAAATAACCAGGTTGTAATGCAGTGGCTCAAGCCTGTAATCCCCGCACTTTAGGAGGCCAAAGTGGGCGGATTGCTTGAGGTCAGGAGTTTGAGACAACCTGGGTAAAATAGTGAGACCCCATCCCCCCAAAAAAAAAAAAAATTGCCGGGCATGGTGGTGCACGACTGGAGTCCCAGCTACCTCCAAGGCTGAGTCAGGAGGATCCCTTGAGCCCAGGAAGTCAAGGCTGTAAGGAGCCAAAATCGCATCACTGCACTCCAGCTTGTGCGACAGAGTGAGACCCCGTCTCAATTTAAAAAAACCAAAAAATTAACCAAGTGAGTCTTCTACTTCAAGGAAAACTGACAGTATTTGTGTCCAATGATAAAATTTGAGTTTTTCAGCAAAAATCAGGATGTTGTAAAACTTGTATCCAGTACCATGAGCTTGACAACTTCCAACTTTTGACTTTCATGAGATTATTGGTGATCAATGTTTTATTTTTTTGAGACAGAGTCTTGCTCTGTTGCCCAGGTTGGAATGCAGTGGCGTGATCTCGGCTCACTGCAACCTCTGCCTCCCAGGTTCAAGCGATTCTCCTGCCTCAGCCTCCCAAGTAGCTGGGATTACAGGTGCGTGCCACCACACCCAGCTATTTTTTTTTTTTTGTATTTTTAGTAGAGATGGGGTTTCACCTTGTTAGCCAGCATGGTCTCTATCTCCTGACCTCATGATCCACCTGCCTCGGCCTCCCAAAGTGCTGGGATTACGGGCGTGAGCCACCGCACCTGGCTGGTTATCAATGTTTTAATATTAATGAAAAGTTTCAACATTTGAAAGACTTGCAGAACTCAATTAAAAAATATTTCCCAAGTAATGCATAAAAAATTATGCATGGGTTAAAGGTCCATTCTAAGTGAAAGATGGACTCTACAGGAACGATACAAGAAGCTCACTGATGTGGATCCTGATTCAACATTGCAACTAGCCTTTAAGAAACTACTGTTACTGAATGGAAGGTCTTGACTGCGAGTTGTCCAGGTTCCTGGTGCAGCTGAATAAAGAATGGAACCAAACACACAAAGCAACAAAAGAAGTAAACAACGAAAGAAGCAAAAAAAGCGCAGATTTATTGTAGCAAAAGTACCCTCCAGAGTGGGAGCCAACTTGAGCCAGGGTCAAGAGTGCCCCCTCTAGGGTTTTTACTAAGCTAAAAGAATTTGGTAACACCCCTAGGTGACCTTTAGAGGCCTCCAATTGGCTGCACCCTATGAAAGATTAGCCTGCAACCAATCAGAGGCTGAAGTGGAGACTGTCTTGTTATCACAGGTAGGAGGCTGTGGTCTGAGTGCTGCCTAATCTTGCCTAGAACTGGCTGTACCTGCTGTTCTTTTGCTTATGCCTTAGCCCTTGGTTACCCTAACTTCCTATTCTCCTGCCCCACGACCACTACAGAGTTTGGGCATGGTATCAAGTACTCACAATTAACTGCAAAGACGATTCAAATATCCCTTTTTCCAATTACCTATCTGTGTAAGGCCAGATTTTCTCCACATACTTCAACCAAAAATTTATTTAGGTATTCTATCTCTGAGTAATGTTTTATAGTTTTCAGTGTAGAGGTCTTGAACATCTTTTGTTAAGATATTTTCATAGGTATGCCATGGTTTGGGTGTCACTGTAAATGGGCTTTATTTCATTTTCCAATTGTTTCTACTAGTACAAGAGAATGCATGCATGGGAAAGTATCTGCAGGCCAAAAAGGCTAAGACTCAGTGAGCTATTCTTGCAGTCAGTATAAACGTCAATTCTGGTGGACACAGAAATACCTAAGCTTATTCTCAATGTTAAAATGACAACCATATTTTTTAATAGAGCATTTTTTCTTCAAGTCCTGAAAAAAAAAACCCCAAAAAACTTGTCTCAAATAAATACAAAATACACAGACTAACGCACCTTCACATACCCACCACCCAGATTTAACATCGGCCTGCACCAGTTGTGTTTGATCCTTGTCTCCACTCACCAGGGATCATGGGCTCCACTCATATTTTTATGGTTTGAAGCAAATTCCAGGCATGAAAGCAATTCCATCATCACCATTTCCTTATGTATCACTAAATAAGAACTGAATATACTGGTGTAAATGACTCTAAACTAGAATATGACAAACTACTTCAATCATCCACTCAAGTGTGGATGTTGCCCTACTCTAGGTTCTATGCAACATTTTTGTTCCTAAGCAGTCATCTTCTGTCCAAAAATTCAAGACTAATCAAAAGTATGTTTACTGTGTTTTCAGAGATTCACAACGTTTTTCAGCAAATAATTAAGTCACTATAGAACATCTGGAATACCTTAGAAAACAGTCCAAACGGGATGGCATCAAGTTTCATCTCTCTTAAAAACTCAGTAGTGTGGGTGGCTTCTTGGATCAGTCTGAGGCCAAATCTCAGTTCTAAGCTTGATTACTAGTGTCTGCCATAGGATGGGAGGCGGTGGCCTGGACAGCGCCATGCATTCTCTTCCTGTTCTCACTGTAATTTTTGCAAAACTTCCAAAGCATAATGCTCCCTCATTGTGGTCTATTAAGTTTTTACAAGAATATGCATGATGCAGTGAATGTTTTAAATTGCATATGTAGGCATGCCAGAATGGCTATATTGGTGCTATTTATAACTGTAATTCATATTCCTAAAAGGCTTACATTAATTAACAGTTGCTAAAACCAAAGAAGTTTAGAACATTATGGTTGCTGTCTTTTATGAAAATAAGCACCCAGGCACAATACTGAACTGACATGCAATTCATCCTTCCTCCACAGAGGTTCAGTACCAACGGTGCCCATAAAACTAGAGTAGAAACTCAAAAATAGAAAAAACACCGTATGAAGAGTGTCAGAAGAGTCAAGTAAAATCTTATAAGCAAAATGAAACAATAGTAAACTTCTCTTCCCTTCCCATTCCTTCCACAGATATCCACACCCCGCCGGCCCCCAAGCCCAGAGAGAAACCCCAGGGACACACTGAGTGTGAGAGTTTTTTATTCAATTTGTGAAGGACAGTTTTAGAACAAAATGTTAGTAACACTCTTAGAACACTGGTTTGTTCATTTGACATTTTATCTGCACCAATTTTTATTACAAAAATCAAAAAAGTAAAAATTCATTACAATATTTGCAGAGTATAACCACTAGTTGCCTAGACAAAAGCTAATTTCTACAAAATCAAAAACTTAATGCAGTTTTATTAAGAGAGTCAAAATTCTCTCAGTTAACTGGATATACATAGTGGTATATATCTTAAAGCAGAAAACCCCAAAAAACAAAAACAAGGAAAAAAGAAAATACATGTCAACAGTCAGTTAAATATTTTGACCTGACAGTTTCTACAAATAGTGATTTCCACTACATATAAAGGAATCTGTTACATGTGGTAAAACTTCCAGAGACCAAGTAGGAAGTGTGGAATAAAAACAATAAATCCAAACGCAGCCCCAGGCTGGGCCTGTTTTCCATGAAGCCCAAGGCAGTGATCTTCATCATTAAGGAGGGACCACTGTGTCCACAACTAAAACCTTCAACCACATGGTGATCTGCAAAGCTTCATTGAAAAAGACAAACGTTCTCTTCTTCACACAAATCACTGCAGAAATCTTTGTAAGGCTGTACCTTGCATAGGGAAATAGCTGTGTTCCGTCAAATTCTACAGAAAAGAGTGGAAGCAAGCTTTTTAAAATGATGCCCATGTGCAAAGAGATAAATTACCAGGCACCTGATTTACCACCCCAATTTATCTTGATCATATAATCTTTTAACAAAAAGAAAAATGGCAATATCTGGTGACAGTATTAAAAAGACAATGTTGAGATTGGCATCAGAAAAACTCCAAAAGTGCACCTTATAAAAAGGACACCTCACTGTAGAAACATCTATGCACTTAGTAAGCCCTACTCATGCACAAACAAGCAGTTGCTGGGAACTTGTCGAAGTTTACTTTTTCAGAAAGTTGAAGTATATAAAAAACGTACAAGTTGTGACATTCGTTCAAGTTGCTGCTACATGGGTATTCTGAGCTGGCTACCAGGAAGGACTCCTGCGTTTCCGAGAGCCAGGTCAGCGTCTCTAGGAGCCGTGGTGCAGGTGCATGGTGCCCAGCACGGCACTGTCGTACCGCTCCTGCACCTTCACGGACTTGGAATGCTCGACCACACTGTTCAGTTCTGGGATGCTTTCAGCAGTGTCCCCAAACCCGTGGTAGTGTCCATAGTACAGGTTATCCCCAATGTCTTCCACCCAGGAAGGCCTACTGGCTATGCAGCTACTTGGACTCCCGTTCAGGTGCAGAGAACCGCACAACTCAGGGTTAGCTCTCAGGGTCTTCTCTGGCTCCTCAGTCCCACTAATGCAGAGAGAACCCTGGCTACTCGGAAACGGCTGTCCTGGGGCTAATCCACTGCTAATTCCGTTAGTTCCTGTCAAGCACTGGCCATTCCTGCTTTCCATCCCACTGAGCGGGGTCGTGGAGGGGAAGTCCAAATGTCCATTGATGACACATCCATTTGTCAATGTATTCGATACGGAGCTACTGTTTTTCATATCTGCATTAAGAAATACACCTGTCACCAAAATTCAGAACCAATGAGGGAGGAGAAACTATAAAATGCTTCACTGCCATTACAATTTTAAAGAATTTTAGTTTCTTTTTTTTCCTTTTAAACCAGTTCTTTTTTCAAAGTAAAATCAATGTGCATAAGTAGACTTACTATTAAAACGTTAACAGTAGTATTTGCCTGGTAAGATAGGAAAATCATGTGTGTGTCAGTAGCATCAGGTAGCTCAACTGAAAAATGTAAGCTGACAAATACACTGCATGAAAAATACCAACACAGTCCTGAAAAGCCATCAATAAAGTGCTCTCATTTTAAGACTACTTTCGAGAGCGGTTTTTAAAAAATCGCCCCTGAAAAGGTCCATCAGAACTGAGTGTAAAGTGTTCTACAGAGGGTTCCAACAGAACACAAACTTCTCTAGTTCTCAAGCGAAAATGGAAAAAAAGGTAAATGAAGTGAATTAAGGAAGCTCTTTGAACTATGTATGACAGCATCACATGAGGTTTTTAAAAAATCTTCTCTCCTCATAAATCAGGTAGGGACTCTTGACCCTCTCCTAAGTCTCAAATCAGGGCTATTAAAAGGAACCACTGTTTTTATTTTTTTCAGTAGCACAGAAATCTACGTAGTACTTCTGCCAAATGCCACATGAGAGCAGTGGCAGAATACAGAGAGACCGGCGACCACAGCAAGGAACTGTAACGGCCAACAGTCCTCAGGCATGCAGGCCTGGGCCAACAGCACAACGCAGAGTCGCTTCTTCTCAGTCCAGCAATTAAAATGACCATGGCAGCCAGGGTTTCATTAGGTTACTTTCAAAAACCACCTTTGCTGGAAAAAATGTTGGTAGTTTAATCTGCATATACAGACATCTATCAGGAGGGAGACGTCTTATGGGATAAAACGTCCATCATGGAACATCTGGGTACACCAGGACAGGCAATGACAAGTTATTCTTCTGTATACTGGAACTTGAGAATCAGTAATATTCATGTTCACAGGAATTCACGTAACAGTATAAGGGATGATCTAAAATTATCTCTAACTCGGTAATACTAGATTTTATCTCAATGTTCTTCACTACCAAAGCAAAGCATGTTATTAAATCTAGAAGAGCTCAGTTCTAATAACTTTTAGAATGAGGACGCAGCTTAAATACATCCGATTACCCTAACATGTCACACACCATGGGACTCTTCCCATAGAGGGCTTCCCCTCCATCTCACCTCCTGTAAACCTCTGACAGAGGCTTCTGATATGTCCTGCAAGTCTTCCTGCCAATAAAGGATCACGGCTTCTTCAGTGAATGGAAACATTATCTAAATATTCCATTAATCATCCTTTTTTTTTATATTTAAGCAACATAGTTTAATAATTGCTATAAATTCTTCACAGGACAATAGATTTTTTTTCCCCCAAATTAAATGATAGCTTTTCTATTTGGCTAAAATCCTAGACTAGAAAACAAGTGTTTCAATAGAAAATAAAAACTGAAATAAAACAAGTTATTCCCAGGGGAAATTCATATGAATTTTTTCAAAAACAAAGTATAAACAATGTTTTCCTAGGTGACAAAACTCAAATATGATGGCAACCTTGACAGTTGTTTATTGTGTGTATAGTTTTTACTAAGAGAATAAAGTAGGTAGAATTTTACTTCAGTGCCCAGTTAATCTGTTCAATTATTTAATCTCAAAATCAAGGCTGGTTGGTAAGCTCATGTTGTTACAGAGAATCTAATAAAACTAAGCATAACAACAGTGGGCACCTCAGACCTACTGAGGCAGAGCACGCACATCACGACCTCCAACGCTCTCCCTTCCTCTGCTCCCAGCTGCCAGCCAAGACCCGCACTTCCCTTCTGTCTGCCCGGCCAGCCCTCGGATCCCACGAACATCCAAACACAATGCTGGGGATGAGGTTTCAGACAAGATCCTACTTCTCTTCCAGCCAACCCCATAGAGAAGATCAGGATTTAGAAGCAAGCACCCTCCTATCCGAGCCCTTTCCAGGGGTGGGGACACTTGACCCTCCCGAGTCTCAAACTAGGGGCATTTAAAATGCAAAGATAGCTGTACACAGTTGTTCAAAAATGTAGAATTCTTGGAAATAATTTTGGCAGAACAAAAATTTGAAGTTACTCAAGTGTTTAAAGGAGAGCAGCCTGACTTTTGGTCTGATTCTCAAAGGACTGTGAAGGCAGCTCCCTCAAGCTTCCAGTGGACGTGGAGTGCCATGTCCCACAAGGAAAGCCTCGAGTAATCTCTAGTGATTTAACACATTGCTTACTCAGTCAGAGTGTCATAAATCAAATGATGGGAAACACAGGGTGTATGGACTCGGCATCTGGTAGACGGGATGGGCTGGGTTTTTCAAAAGTATGTTCCAGCTTGGATAAAGTTTAACAAATAACTAATGTCTGAGGAATAAAAGGTGGCCACTTCTGCCTATTCAAAAGAAGGTAGCAAGGTCACTTTTAAAAAAAGCAGGATTTGAGTTTTGTTATGGATCTTTAGCTAAGGTCAAATAGCCCCTGACTACAGAAAACCTATTATTTTAAATATACTAACTGATCTGAATTTCTCTACTGGGAAGAAGGTGACCACAGCAATTCTGTAGCTTCCAGAAAGATGAACACATTTTCTTTTAAGTTTAGTGAACACAAATGATTTTTTTCATGTGGGTTTGGGAAACAATATACATACTCTTCTTTTTTTCATCCCCAGTGAAGAATTTGCATAAAGACATAATAAACTTAAAAAAAATCTACTTCTAAATATTCATACATGTTAAGAGAATGGCTAAAAATGTTTTTGTAGTCACCTGAATAAAAAAGCAATAGCTAAATGGACAAATCATTTTAGATATTCTAAATGCTATAAGAACTGAGCTGCTTCTGCTTCTTAAAAATTGGAAACAGGAATACTGTTTTAATATACTAAAAACATTAATGTATAAAATGTGTGTTGTGAAACACAGTGTTTACCATTTTAACAGACTCAGAATGAAGACCACAGAAACCAGAGCAACCAAGTCCTGGGTAAAAGATTCCATGCTGGAGTGACTGGGCTGAGTCAGAACCACATTTACTAGTTTCTCAGTGTTTACTGCTAGTCGTCCTCTTTGTGGTATATTGGTTTGAAAATATTAACTGTAGCATGTTCGGTATATTCACCCAAAGGCCATATGTCAGAAAATTAAAAATGCAAACCTCATTAAAAATAAGCAAGGCACATTAAGCAATAGCTTCAAATCAGAATAAAGATTGCACTTACATTTTTCATGTCCACAGAATATACCCAAAACACTTCTTGTATCTACAAACTTGCCCAAGATATGCAAATTATAGTATAACATTTTTAAAAAGACACTGGACAACAAAGTGCAAAACATCTGAGAAAAACTTATGTTAGAAATAATATGCATACTGATTCCTGCAACGACAGGGGGTCTGCATTGCTGACACAGTATATATTTCTATTTCTTTTGGTCCAACAGAACCACTCTCCTGCTGTTTGGTGTCTTCAACCATTGGATTGTTGTTGCAGCTAACAGGAAACTGTCCACTCCCACCTGTTACAACAGCAAACTCCCTATCAACGTGCATTTTGTCAGCATCGTCTTCTGTGTCGCCATTCGTGAGTGGCACGGCAGAATCCAAGCTTTGAGCTGCACAGAAAACAAAGACTATTTCAGATTCCTTTGTCTGTAACAAGATAAGTGTTCAGACACACAGTTTACATTATTTTGTGTGAGCACTGAACACTTTAAACAATCACATAAAAAAAAATCGACAGGTCACTAATGAGCTTAGCACACAACTGAAAAACTTTTCCACAATCAAAAAGATTTCTTGACATGTGCAGATTTTAAGGTCATGGAATTTCAGATGCCTATTATAGATTTACTTGATGGCAAAAATTCTAATTTTCTGGACATTTAGAAGACATGAAGTGGTTATATAACCTGGAAACAATTCCAAACTCCATTTTCAAATTCAGCAGATTTTTTTTTAATACTAAGACAATTCTTAAATTTACATACAATTAAAACAATCCTGATTTTTTAAAAAAATCCACTATTTCCATTAACAAAAAAAATAATGTAAAGGCTAAGAGACTCAAGACTAGTCTGTCAGCACTGTCCCAGAGTGGCATTTGATCTGAGCACCAAAATACAGTAAAATAATTACACCAAAATACAGAAAGCGTTAGAAATGTGAAGCTAAAGCTACACGGGCACTTCACTTCCAAGATGACCATTCTCTGTACTGTGGAGATGCGAATGCCCCATGTCATACCCACGCTGCACAAGCACCTCCGCCTCTGAATCCTAGCAAGACTCACTTCTTACAACAAGCAGCTCCATGTGTCTGAACGGCTTCTCGTGTTTAAGAATGTTTTTACCAAAAAGGATTCTAACAAATCACTGTTACACCTTGCTTTATTCATTTACCATGGCATAAATGTCCTATCAGTTAATTTCAAAACAATCTTTCCTCTGCCCTATGGCTGTATTACGATTCGCCTAACCAAATTCCCTGCAGCTGTCTGGGCTGCTTCCCTTTTCCTTCCTATCATGAATACCACAATTAACATACTCATAAATGCATTTTTATGTGTATTTCTGGTTAACTCAGATACTTAGAATTATTTCTGGGCCAAAGAATATACACCACAAATAGCAACTTTCAGTGCTAAATACCTCCTTCATATAAACATTTAAAAATAGGGAGAATGGAACTTTGCAGCTTGAATTAGCTCTAGTTTTAGAGGCCCACGAGTCATTTTTGATTATACTGTATATATGATATCTGGATTATTCTACAAAGATGCTAATGTACAGAATGAGAAACCCGATTTCTGAAATTAGTATGGGGGAGAGAAACAGAACAGTGTGATTTGTGTAGTTGGGGGGATGGGGGGTAGTCAGAAGTCTGATTAGGTAGGAGGCCAAAAGCATTCTTCAAATACAAGTGCTTTAAGACCAGAGGCATTCAATGGTGGATTTTAGTCTTATCCATTCAAAGCTTTAAAAAATCTTCCACAGGCCAGGCTCCACTTTCACTATGACTCAGGCATGCACTTTTAAGAGATCAGTGTGTAAGCAGGGCATCTTTTGAAAAAAAGAGAGAGAAAAAAAAAAGGGCTGGGCATGGTGGCTCATGCCTGTAATCCCAGCACTTTGGGAGGCCGAGGCGGGTGGATCACGAGGTCAAGAGATCGAGACCGTCCTGGCCAACATGCTGAATAAATACTACTAAAAATACAAACATTAGCCAGGCGTGGTGGCGAGTGCCTGTAGTCCCAGCTACTGGGGAGGCTGAGGCAGGAGAATCACTAGAACCCAGGAGGCGGAGGTTGCATTGAACAGAGATTGCGCCACTGCCCTCCAGCCTGGTGACAGAGCGAGACTCCATCTAAAAAAAAAGAAAAAAAGAAAGAAAGAAAAAGAAAAAAGAATGGGAGAGGGGGGTGGTGGAAGAGCAGATCCCCCAAGTGTGCCAAAGTCGTCTCAACCTCCAGGAGCCTTCATGGCACGCAGACACAGAGAACCTGCAGCCAAGAGCGGGTCAACGTTTGCTCCTCCCACAGGCTGCAATCCTGCAAAGCCACACACGAACACGGTTTGTACAAAAGAGTGGACTTTGATGGGAATACAATGCAGACAGCTTAAAATACCTACACACTCAATTGGCGTTCAGATGCCAATGTTCCCCGGATAAAGTGGCAACTAGGGGTTACCTGCAATTTCACACCTCTGAAAAGCAGGTTAGAAAACCGCAACAGAGAAGAGCTTCACGAAAGCTGGGGTGTTTGTCTTCTCCTTCACTAGGCCCAGTACCTAGAATAGTACTCACATCAGCAGATGAAGCCCACCCACTAGCCAGGAGAAACAAAAACACAAGGTAAACAAAAACAAATGATCAGTAGCTGGCATAGCCTGTAATACAACCTGAGGAGTCACAACCATCCAGGCAGGCCTGGCCATGCGAGGTGCAGGGACATGCACCCTGAAGGCAGAGGTGCCACTAGGGGCCGGAAGAGCCGCGTTAAGGGCAGCCCAGGGAAGAGGCAGCGGGAAACACACTAGTCTCCCAGCAACAATTAATCCTGTAACTATAAGGCTCACAGTGACCAGGGACCTCTCAGAAACTGCTCCATTGAGTAGATGCATCTTTTGTTAATGCAGATGGTTTCTCTAATAAAGCAGGATAAGAATGAAAGGCTTCCATATTTTACCAATCAAGATTCTATTGTGGGAATCATTCCAACAGAACCTTAGAATTTCATTCCATCTCCATAGATACAGCCTCTCTATACGGTGTAGTTCCCACAACCAGCTGTCACAGAGCCTTGGATAATGCTGTTTCACGAGTGCCACCTTCTTCATTCCTAGTAGCTATACATAAGTTAATTGGCTGGTAGAGATATTAAGCCCGCAATTATCTCTTTTAATTATGTTGTAAGCCATGAAATTAAAACTGGCCTCTCAAAATTTTAAGAACATTGGATTTGGACCTGTAAGACCCTACCACCTGTGGCATTTTCCCCCACACCTGTTGCCATTGCTGAAGGAATCATTTAATTACACCTTGCATTTGAGAAGGGTGGCCTGTACAGACATTTCAGAAAAACATGTCTTCCAAGGTCATCAGTTTACTCAGTTTGGGAAAGGAAGCACTATACTTTCCTATCTTAATATTGATTCTTAAAGTTACACAATGATTGAATGCTTCTGAAAATGTTAGTATGACCACTTTTTTCAAAGGGTCTTCACCTGCTGACTGTAAAAGCAGGTGTCAGGTGTCTGTTGGGAAGACAGGCTTCTAGTACACCTGAGACACAACGTTCAGGATGGAAACCTATCTAGGACTAGCTCAAAACCTCCAGCCTCCCTGCTCAGAGATACAGCCACAAGCCAGGTGTGGTCACTGCCTGCCCTCCTAAGTGAGAACTAGAGCCAGTAGAGCACGCCTCTGGCTGAGAAACCCACATTCCTGACCCTGGGGGACACACAGAGATGCTCCACTTGGGGCTGATGCCCAGGGCAACTAAACGGTCTGCATTTGTATTTTCATCTGAAATTTGGGGGTTGCACAAAACCCCTAAAGCCAGTTCCCAGTAACTCTGTAACTGTATGAGCTATTCAGGATCAAGCAGCTTGAAACCATGAAAAAAGTCTTAGTTTCAAGTCCGGGAAGGTCTGCTGCATTACAGAAGTAATGCAATTGGACACCAAGGTCGTGCCACTACAGAGGCTTATGGGAGTGCTGACCAGGTGGAGTGAAGACACTCCAGTGCACCACTCATACTGACACACAGGAAAACAGGACTGTAATTGCCAGGCATGCCTGCAGATACATGTAAGGCTTAGGAAAAATGCCTGATCACAACTTTAATCTTTACATAAAAAACCAAAAAGCACTCTATAAAGTCATACTTTGGGATATGAAGTGCTCCAATCAGCCAGCAGGACATTACTCCCAAGACCCAAGCCATACTGGTTATATTCCCCAAGACTAAATCAGGAGACATTTTACAAGTCAGAAACTGCCAAGTAGTTTCACCCAATGAACTTAGGCAAAGCTTGAGATCCTGACCTAGATTAGTCATCTACCTTTTACTGTGCCTCTAGGTGCTGTGTGGAAGGGTCCCAGGTGTTGACCCATAACCCTTGAGAGGTGGCCAAATGGCCCAGGACCCCTCCCGCCTGTGGCCTTTCCACTGAACTGAGTGCATCCTGCTGCTGCTTCCACTGGGGAAGCCTCAATGTCCTCTCATTAAGGCAGCAAGGAAAGACACTCTGCCTTCCTGGTTTCCCACCAGCCATTACCTGGAACTATTCTTTGTTCTGCTGTAGAGCACATTTTACTCAACTTTTTAAGGTCCTGTTAAAACCAAATTGTTTTTCTATTATGAGGTGACCTTTCGCGGGACCCGCCAGGGCCCAGATTCCAGCAGTGCAGAGGGTTGGGATGACTCCAGGCAGCAGGAAGCAGCAGCGACAAAGGACAGAGAAGGGAACTGAGTGCTCTGGAAAGACCGGGGGGGACTGGGGGTTTGGCTCAAATAATACAAAAGCGGCTTGTGATCAAGTGTGCCAGTCTTCGTTTTGCTTCCCACTGGAGTGTCCACAACTGTGCTGAGGACAACTCAGGCCCATGAGGTTTGCTCAAATGGAGACTTTTAACAGTGGAAAACGCAGACACTGTCTGGACTGGAAGTGTAATTCAGACTGTATTTCAAGACGTCACATCTTCAGGGATCAAGAAAAAACAATCACTCCTTATTTGAACACAATTAGGTAGGTGTGTTCTATCATCCTGGCCACATTTTTATAAACAAATATACTGCAAATTTGAAAACAGTGAGGACGTCAGGAGTTAAAGTGCTATAATATGTAACTAAACTAGAAGGAACTAAATTACAAATTTACTCCTGGGAGGCATTTTATTTCCTCTCAAGTTTCAAGCAATAAACATCTATCATTTAACAAACCAGCTGGTCATATCTGCCCTCCTTTACCAAGTCTTTAACCCTGCTCAACACGAACAGCTAAGGACAAAAGGCAGAGATCCTTTATCCAGGTTAAATCCACTCTGGGAAAGTGTTAAAACTTTCCACCGGTAATTTTACCTTTAAATCATCATGTTGTAGATACTTTTTTCTGTAAGGTGTTTTTATATTCAATACCTTCACAGTATGAATGAGATTCTAAGATCAGTAATATGCCTATGTGATTAAGACCGAGCTGTGAAGTCAGTTTGACACTTGAGATCTGCTGTCACCACAGCCTACTTCTGGGGCAAATGTCCCAATTGTGAAATTGAAGTTATTGGGTCAGTTTTTAAACTCACTGTGTTCCCCTGCTTCTTCCCCACGACTCTAGAGCTCCATCCAAAACAATTATCAATCAGCAAAATCAAGTTTTCACTCATGGAAGGGACTGGCATTCTTTTCTAACCAAGATCATTGAAAAACGACCACAGTTTCCAAGGAGTACATATAAAAATAATTGTATTGGGTTATTCCTGAAGATTAACCAAGAACGCTAGCAAACCTGAACTGAGTTTTATACAGTGGTGCAGCTGGAGTCCTGAAGCCCATGCATCATACCATCAGAGCAAATGATTGATAAAAACAACAACAAAAAAATTAAAGACTGATACTTCCTTGCACCATCTAAAATGAACAAAATCCCACACTGAGGAAAGTATTATCCCAAGATACTTTCCATCAAAACAGACTGCTTAAGTAACTGTGGATTTTATTTCACACTCCAGAGTTCATGTCCACACCTATTATGTCTTACGTTCTGACTAAACTGCATTTGACACAGATGCAAATAATTTTATGAAAGTATGACTTCTTGTAGCATAACTTCCTTCCAAGACAGTTAATATTCAAGCAATACAAAAGGCCAAGTCTTTCTTCTTCACTTAAGATCTTTTACATCAACAGCTTCCAAAAGAAAATTCCTCCAATTTAAAATACTTGAAAGTAGTTTACTAAAAGCAGACACTACTTTTTGTGGGGAAGAATGGTTAACATTCAGACTCAGGATTCCAAAGTGTTTTGGCTTTTTCTTTTTCTTTTTTAAAGGGTGAATTTTACAGGGATCTCCTTAAGAGGTGACTTAGCCAGAAAACTTTCTGGAAGTAATTACTTTTGTAAATATAAATTCCACACTAAAAGCATCAATATTTGTAACTCTTAAATTCTAGGAAAACAGAACGCACTAAGTTTTATTGGTAAGATACAAGTTACGCAGCCAAGATATTATCCCTGGCACCTGTAACTTTTTTTGTTTTTAAAGCCAAACAAAACAAAAAACCCAGCTTAAACTCTTCTAAATATTTTTATATGTGAAGTTACTCAAAGTATTTTATATACATGTGTTAAATGAGGAAAAAAGAATTTATCATTTCTTTTACTCTGGCATGAGAACCAAAAACCTAATAAAATAATTCAGATTAAGCAAAACTTAAAACACACATTTAAACAAAATCAAAACAAGATGCCAGAAATTACAACGAAAACTAAAGCAACATATCTTTAATTCAAAACTAAAAAACTGGTCAGTTAATATGGAAATAATTATATATCTATTGAAACCAAGAACAATTTCATGTAGAACATTCAGGTAATTGGCAGAAAAAAAAATCCTGTTTTAATGACCAAGAATGACTCCCAATACCCGACATCAGCACTCTCAGTATGTAATGGTAAAAGGGGGGCAAAAAATCACCTTTTCCCATAGGGAAACGAGTGGTGGGAGTGCAGGTGAGCTAAAGATGCCCATCTATGCTCACACAGACACAAAAAAATATAAACACACTCTTGTGACGAGTGTGGCAAATCTAAGGACTGTCAACTACATAAAAGACAGAACCATCAGAAGTTCCAGGAAATTAGTAAAGTCATGGTCAGTATACAAATTAGGAAAACCAAGGATGAGCAGCTTTGAAGTAATGTGCATCTTGGCTGAAATATTTCAACTGTGATAATCACAGAAACATCAGTCATGTACTGTGTACCTGCAACAGTGGCTCAACCTGTTAGGTCTACGTATTACCTGCAACACTTAAGCAGAAGTGCCGGCTCCAACCATATTTTTGTCTAAATTAGCACCCTCGGGCTTGGGACCAGGAATGTATAGTTTGGGAAGGCTGCATGGTGAGTTTAATGTGCAAAATGTGAACTTCTAATCACTGGTCAACCAAAACAAATCCTCCTTCTAAAGGAAGAAAATAAAACCCCCAAAGTCAGCAGGACTCTTTAAACCAAATTTATGTAGTTAACGAGGATTAGGAAACAAGGAATCCTCAGAAATGCTTTTCAGGGTAATTAAGCAATGTGGTATTGGCCAATTCAACTGACCTTAGAAACTCTGAGACTAGTTTTACGAACTCTTCTAGGTGCATTTTGAGTCCAATTAGCATGTTAAGTGATCTCTTTTTAAAAATACTAAACAGAATTTAAGATTTATCAGCAATAAGAGAAAATGAAGCATAAATCATTTTTCAAGGACATTTAGACTATACAGTGACATACAGGGACAGACATGTACAATTCGTGCATGAGGGCATGAGGCCACTCTACAATACTAACCAGGCTTTAATTAAAGGAAATGACAAAGGATTTTTTTAAAAAGTGGATGCTCTTAAAAAGGCGTTGAAACTACATTAGAAAAAATATATTAAAACATGGTACAAATAAATGACAATGCTGAATACATCACCATTAAAAAAGACCATTTTGAATTTTATGCAGATCTTCATGTCATGCTTATGATTTTAGCATCTTTCCAGAAATGCTTAACTCATAAAAATCTTGAATTTGATAAAACTGTTAAGTTCATACATTACTATAAAAAGTCTTATCACAGGAATTTTTATGGTGACAAGATATAGTTGTGAAGTACATAATACTGACATTTTATCAACTTTATAGGGAAAAAATGTTTCACTTGGACACACTCATTAAATAAGGTAGAAAAGATGATGTTGGTTCATGAAATTTAACCAAAATCTCTAGATTTTTAAGTGATTAACTGATAGTCACTCAGTTTTCCTTATGCTGTAACTTGCACGGTTGATTTTTTTAAACCAACGGGCAAAACTTTGTGCTTATACTCAGCAAATCTGAGCTCATAATCTGCTTCATTACTTCACACTCCCACCTCTCCCCCTAAGTTCACTAAATATGCCTGCCAAGCTATCACATTTACCTTCTTATTAAGACTTTTTTTTTTTTTTTTTTTTAAATAGAGACAAGGTCTCACTATGTTGCCCAGGCTGGTCTCGAACTCCTGAGCTCAAGTAATCCTCCTGCCTCAGCCTCCCAAAGTGCTGGGATTACAGGTATGAGCCATGACAACTGGCCTAAGACATCTTATATATAGATATAGATGATTTTCCTATAGGAAAGGGAGATGTTTTCAACTTCAAGAGTGACTGGCTGACTGCTTATTTGCAAACTCAAACCTACCTTAAAAACAAAAAACAAAAAACCCAAAAAACGGCTAGGCACAGTGGCTCATGCCTGTAATCCCAGCACTTTGGGAGGCCGAGGCAGGTGGCTTACTGGAGGCCAGGAGTTCAAGACCAGCCTGGCCAACATGGTGAAGCCCCTTCTCTACTAAAAATACAAATTAGCCCAGTGTGATAGCATGCACCTGTAATCCCAGCTACTTGGGAGGCTGAGACAGGAGAATTGCTTTAACTTGGGAGCCGGAGGTTGCAGTGAGCCGAGATCACAGCATTGCACTCCAGCCTGGGTGACAGAGCAAAAAAAAAAAAAAAAAAAATGGTGGGAGAATACTTACAACGAAAATAACTTACCTTAGGGACTTAAATCCTCAAGATCAAATTATACACCAGATCTTGCTGTGATAAGTCAACACACATGTGAGGTACAGAGACCACTGAGGTCAAATCATAGTACAGAAATAGTACAGAAAACATTCACCTTCCCGAATGTGAAAATGTTTTACTGCCAGACCATCAGCAATTTTTATAAGCCCAGGAACATTTACAAGAAGCAAATTAAAAAAAAAAAAAAATTCAGGCACAGTGGCAGATTTTCTTTAATAGATATATTTCAAACAGATACAACAAATTAAAAAATCTAATTCATGGCAGGTAAACATGGGTGCTCAAAAAGTTCCACATAGACATTTACACTTGGGCCATCAGTATTTCCCTCACATTCCCTTTTGTTAAGTCCCATCTTCGCAGTGGCAGTACAGGAGAAATCTCCACCGTCACCGCACAATCCACCAGGCGCATTACCACCTGAAGTGAAGGTCTCATCTCGAAGGTGCGCTCAGCCATAAAAAGAAAACATATTACAGAAAGGAAAAATAAGTGTGCTCTTCCCACCCGCAAAGCGGTCTCACCTTCAGTTCTAGCTTTCTTTACTCCAAAGTCTTCTGAGTCTTCCAAGCATCTCTTTCGATTTGTTCCCACACTAATATGATTAGGAAATACATTCTGATGACCCCCATTTAAGATGCCATTGTTATAGAAATGGTTCAGATGACAATTCTGGAGGTTCAAGAGAAACTGGGCACACTCTTGGAAACCCTGGGTTTGTGCAATGTCTGCTGCTGTCAGGCCACTGGCATTTCTCAGGCTGTACAACACAAAAACACTGAATTACACCCCATCCGCGTGCTAACCTGGTCTCTGCTCCTGCTGAACTGACTAGCTATCTGAAGGTGGTATGAAAGAGTAAACAAATTCATAGCAAATCTTCATTAAAGAAGTAGTTAATCAATCTAGCTCTGTAACTAACTTCTCTTATATACATTTGATTTCTAAGCAAGATTTGGGAGATAAACTAAATATGCTAAACTTCTAAAAAAGGCATCTTCCTATTTAACTTCTCAAAATCATGTTTTATGTTAGTCTGAAGAATCTAAATTTACGCTAACTTCAGACTTGAAACTGAATTCTATATTATATGCACTTAATTTTAATACCCATTCCTTTAGCGTGAATAAAATCATAACAAACAACATGTACTGAGATTGTCCATGGCATTCATAACTGTCTTCCTAAAAACAAAGCAATGGCTCACCAACGAGCCAGCCTTCATGCTTACATGTGACACTGTAAGTGGAAGTTTAGAAGGATGTCCTGACATTAAAAAGTAGCCTATCATCAGATTCCAGAGCTGAACAGCTGTGTTTTTCTGTCAGATTTTGATTGTTTTGGCCTTGCTTGGGAAAACCTGCAGGAGTATTGTATTTTTGGCATTGTAGAGCATTTGAGTAGTTGGTTCCTTTAAAAAGGCTTTGAATACTGTCCTAAAAACTCATCCCTACCACTCACAAGAACCAAAGTTTTACCTGGCTAATAGTACTAAAAAGGAAAGGTCTGAGACCTCTACAGTAGCTAAAACTCAGATTCAAGTAGGAAGTGATGGCAGAGTAAGTGAAAGAGCTGAATAAAATAGAGTAAGTTGAACTTGTAAACCTTTAGACACTGAATTAAAACTGAGGGATCAAAAGTAACTCCATGTTGAAGTTCCCCTGGAAGACAAGAATGTACACTGCTCTGTGAAATAAACCTGTAAAAAAGCAGACATCCTGTTAGCTGCAGGTTGATAAACAAACGGGAGAAGTACTTAACAGCAAAGACAGCTTCCATACCTGTTCAGCAAGCTACACTACATCCACAGCAAAAGCATGATGAAATCAAGGCCTTGTGCTGTGTCACTCAAACAACCACTCCAGAACCCTGATGCCTTTCTTGGGGTTACTGTTAATGCAAAAAAAAAAAAAAAAAAAAAAAACCCCGCATTTGAGAGTGAAAACTACAGAATTAGGGACAAATAATATTTTCTTATTTATAAGGACTGACAATAGCCTTGTATTCGTTATTTGCAGACATCATAGAGCTCTGACCTTGGAAATGAGAAGTGTGCATGGACACTAGCTAAGCGTCTCTACTTTTTAAAGCATAAGATAAATGCATTACACCTTTTGAAAAAAGACCCAAATCCTATCTGATCAGAGATAAAAGAGAATTGAGAATCTCAGAAACCAACAAAATTCTTAAAAATATAAGGCGGCTATGTGCAGGACTATTACAGACTAAAGTCACTATTTTTATTAGCCTTATTAAGACTGCATGGCTATGAATGGCCATGAGTATTTTCTAGTATTGCATAATATTTTTATTTTGATATATGAATTAAATGAAAAGGAAGCACCAAAGTTTGGGCAGATTGTATTACATTAATTATACTTTGTACAAAATCAGATCACCTTGTTATTGAAATAGAAAATATACTAATATTACGTGACAGCTTCATCATATAGCTGGACTTTTTTTTAATGGTATATTTCACTTTCAAAAGATATCAGAAGTGCAGATGACCTGGGAGGGTCTATTCTGTCAAGAATGTGAACAGAAAAATAAGTTGCCACATGAAAATTCAAAAACTCTTCAAGGAGAACATAAGTTTACAAACTGATTATTTCTATAGATAAGCATAGACTTGCTCTCCAAAATCAAGAAACAGAGAAATGAGAAGCTACCACTTAGTATTAGGACAAATAAAAATATGAAATAAAGCCCACAGTAAAGATTACTCTTTAGTGGACCAGAGAATAAAAAAGAGCAAACAGATTTTTGAAATGGCACTTAGAATCATAAATACCATGCTGGGCACGGTGGCTCACGCCTGTAATCCCAGCACTTTGGGAGGCCAAAGCGGGTGGATCACCTGAGGTCAGGAGCTTTGAGACCAGCTTGGCTTACATGATGAAACCCTGGCTCTACTAAAAATACAAAAAATTAGCGGAGTGTGGTGGTGGCACATGCCTATAGTCCCTGCTACTTGGGAGGCTGAGGCAGGAGAATCGCTTGAACCTGGGAGGCAGAGGCTGCAGTGAGCCGAGATCACACCACTGCACTCCAGCCTGGGCAACAGAGCAAGATTCTATCTCTAAATAAATAAATAAATACCAATTCGCTGAGGGAAGTTTAGATGCTCAAAGGGCATGCCAACATTCTGAAATTGTTAAAAGAACATCCAAAGCACATTCGATTCCTTTATTCCTTATTCAGAAGCTGAAGACTACACTGAATTTGGGTTAGAACAGCAAGTTTACTGATCTTCCAAAGAAATATAACCTTATAGAAAAATAATCAACAAAATAGTGCCAACATATGGAGATTCCTGGAGACTGAAGTTTCAGAGTGTCAGCCTACACATAGGTAGCACTGGTAAGCTCTCCCACTTCACTTTTTCCCCTGCCAAAGGTAGTTAAATACGTGCTTGTCCTCTACTTAGACCAACCAAATTTCCATGTGGTCTTAGGTATTATCTCAAAACTTACTTTACTAGAAGAGCTCAAAAGACGGATTCTGGCCCAATCATGCTATGTACTCGTACGTAAGGACCAAGGAAGCAAGAACAATCACAGGTCAAACAACTTCTAGCATCTCACATAATTTTGGGGCACTAGAAGGCAGACATGATGGGGAGGTGAAAAAGTTCTAGAAATTGTATTGGACAGGTATCGGAATCTAGGACACATGGTAACTGGAGGAATTACTTAGAGGAGACTGTAATTTTGCTCTACATTTAAGTGGCACTATCTATGCAGCATTATCGGAAACAGAAATATCCAGCACCCTTTCTCTGCTTCTAGTGAGGTACAAGAACATTTCAATTCTATCATTTTCCTTGTTACCAAGGGCTGAATGTATACAACATACAGTTTAATTTGTTAGCATTTATATTCTACTCAGAGGAAATCTGTTGGTACCTGACTCAGGAACACAACACAAAATGACACCACCATCTCTTGCCCCTGAAAGTCCTCATTCTCATTTCCTCTCCTTACCTACATTCATCATCTCTACTATCCCTGCTCACATTAAAAATCTTGCAAGTGGTCACTCAACTGTGTAGTGCACATTATAGAAATTGGCCTGAAATGATCATTAAGGATCATCTAATCCAGAAGGCACTTTTCTAAAAAGGACTATGTAGTAATTATTTTAGACTTTGGAGACCATACATTCTCAGTCCTAACTACTCAATTCTTTTGTTGTAGGCTGAAAGCAGCCTCAAGGCAATTGAGCATGGCTCTCATAAAGCTTTATTTATGAACACTGAAACTGAAATTTCATCTAATTTTATGTATTAGAAAATATTATTCTATTGATTTTTGCTCAACTATTAAAAAATGTAGAAACCATTCTTGGGCCATAGGTTATACAAAAAAAGGCAGCAGGCCAGAACTGCTGAATAACATTTAACCAAATAGATGATACTGTAAATATTCCTCTATCCTTTATTATGGGGTACATTGTAAATTCCAATACAATGTATAGGGATTAAAAAAAACCAGCATAATTGCATATGCATCACCTCAAACACTTTCCATTTGTACTGAATTAGCCATACAAAAAAAATAAAAAATTACTGTTAGTCACCCTACAGTGCAAGGTAACACTAGAATTTATCTTTCCATCTAGTAACCACTGTTTTTTAAAGAGACAGAGTATCTCCCTGTTGCCCCAGCTGGAGTGCAGTGGCACAATCATAGTTCACCACACCCTGGAACTCCTGGGCTAAGGGATCCTCCTTAGCCTCAGCCTCCCAAGTAGCTAGGTATACAGGCATGTGCTACCATGCCTGGCTACTTTTTTTTTTTTTTTTTTAATTTTGAGAGATGTTGCTCAGGCTGGTCTCAAACTCCAGGCCTCAAGTGATCCTCCCACCTCAGACTCCTAAAGCACCGAGATTAGAGGCATGAGCCACTCTCTACTTCTATGAGATCTTTTTTACCTTCCACATAAGTACAGTACATGGAGTATTTATCTTTCTGTGCCTGGCTTACTTAACATAATGTCTTCTAAGATCATACATGTTGCTGAGAATAACAGAATTTTGTTTTTTTAATGGCCAAATAGTATTCCACGGGGTATATATACCACATTTTATCTGTTCATTTGCTGATAGACACAGGTTGATTCCAATCTTGGGTACTGTGAATAGTGCTGGAACGAGCATGGCAGGTGCAGATGTCTCCATATATGGATTTTCTTTTGGATATATACCCAGTAGTGGGACTGCTGAATCATATGGTAGTTCTATTTTTAGTTTGTTCAGGAACCTCCATACTCTTCTCCATAACGGTTGTACAAGTCTACATTCCCACTAACAGTGTTTAAACGTTCCTTTGCCTCTGCATTCTCGTCAGCATTTGTTACTGTCTTTTGGTAACTGTCATTCTAACGGGGGTAAGACAATCTCTCATTGTGGTTTTGATTCTCTTTAGAACGAATATTTCTCCTCATTCCTCTACTCTTAATAATGGATTTTCTGAAAAACATCTATTAATTTTATGCACTATTCAATTCAAACAACTTTTTAAAAGTTGCCAAATCTGTCACAAAATATTAAACAACAAGAAAAATATCTAAAGGTAAACTTGAGAGGGGTGTAAAACAAAAGACTCTGAGAGCGCACTTAGCTGTAAAACAATCATTCCTATTCCTAAATTGAGTGTTTTTGGTTACATGTTCTAAGTGCCTTACAATAAACCAGGCAATGTGCTTTATCTGGAGAAAGGGAGCCCTAACTTCAAAGTTTGAGTTCCTCCAACTTTTTTAATAGTTAAATTTCAAGTACGTTAGACTGAAAATAATTTGGGTTTCCAAGTCAAAGATTAGAACAAATAATCATTAAAGATCATAAAAGAAGTTCAGGTCTTTAAATTCTATTTTCATTTGTTAACCAATATTTCAGTTTTCATGTTTTAATTGCTAAAATTCAGTAGGAGTTGAGCACGTAAATGAAACACTTGATTTACAGGTTCTGTGTTTCCATCCACACTCAACTCTAGTACTTACAGTACTTTGTTCTGTCACAGTACTTTTTAAATACTCCATCCTTTACCCTTCAATCCACAGGTTTTTTTGTCTGTTTGTTTTAAACAGGGTCTCACTCCCATCACCCAGGCTGGAGTGCAGTGGTGCAATCACAGCTCACTGTAGCCTCGTCTACCTCCTGGGCTCAGGTGCTCCTCCCACTTCAGCCTCCTGAGTAGCTGGGACCACAGGTACACAACACCATACCCAACTAGTTTTTCTTTTCTTTTTTTTTTTTTTTTTTTTTTGAGACGGAGTTTCACTCTTGTTGCCTAGGCTGGAGTGCAATGGCGTGATCTCGGCTCACCGCAACCTCTGCCTCCCAGGTTCAAGAGATTCTCCTGCTTCAGCCTCCCGAGTAGCTGGTATTACAAGCGCCCACCACCACACCCAGCTAATTTTTTGTATTTTTAGTAGAGACGGGGTTTCACCATGTTGGCCAGGCTGGTCTTGAACTCCTGACCTCAGATGACCCACCCACCTCAGCCTCCCAAAGTGCTGGGATTACAGGCGAGAGCCACTGCGTCCAGCCATTTTTTTTGTATTTTTTATAGAGACCGGATTTCACTCCACAGGTATTGACTTAGTGTATTACATGACCATAGGCACTAACTGCTGGCCACTCCTGTCAACCTCAAGTGAGGTATCAGTAGTAAAGTTCATCCGGACTGTGTTTACACACTATTCCAAAGGGAAAATTAAAGTATCCAGAAGAGTTTAAAGAGTCTCAAAAACTATTTTGAATGCAAACTGGTAGTAATGAAAGTGTACACATTATTTTCAGATGAAATCTTCAAAACAGACGCACTTTTGAACTTAGCATCCCCAGTTTGATGCACCTGGATACATGGGCTGTGCCTGACCTAAAACGTGTGTCTGTTCGTTTCTGAAAATAGGACTGTGTTGTTCTACAGCTATAGCCTACCTCCTTGGTCCTCTCCTACATCCATTTGAAAAATCTTTGAAAATGGGAAGAGATTTTTAAAACTCAGACAACGGTCAACTTGAGGTTCAAACTGGTTCTAGTTTGAAGTTCTAAAATTAACTTTCTTTAAAAGAAACTCAGCATGATCAGATTTTTAGGCTAGCAAGCTAAATGTGCTGCAATGTACTGTGGAAACTACGATGACTGTGCTTTTATCTATAAATTCAATCTCCTGTAACATTCACCAAGACTACGAAAAGCAATCACTGAGCAGGCCACCCATTTTCTCTCTACTATTCTTTCAAAACAGGAATATTAAAATGTGGTACAACACAGAATCATCTTTACTGTGAATTACATGTTCTGCTAAGTAACTTGCAAAAAAAAAAAATCAAACTGGCAGTAACTTTACTAAAGATACAAATGCTTATATGCTATATTTTCTTATTCTGAATAGAATATTAAAATTTATTACCTCTAAGCCAAGCACAGTGGCTCAACCCTATAATCCTGGCGCTTTGGGAGGCAGAAGCAGGAGGATCACTTGAGGCCAGAAGTTTGAGACCAGCCTAGGCAACACAGGAAGACCCTGTCTCTTCAAACACTCAAATTTATATCTAAGAATTCTCCCCCAAAGAACTTTCACTAAAATTTATATCTAAGAATTCTCCCCTAAAGAACTTTAAAAATTAGGCTCCACTCTGAAGCCAGCCAGGGTCCCACCAGTTTCCACTTATAGTGCCACAATTCCAGAACAAAGGAGAAGCCATTCTGATGAGAACGACTTTGTTTCAATTTTGAAAAACCACGGATCAGGAAATACCTGAAGTATAATTTTTAGAATCCGAGTTGTCACATCACCTTCAGGATGTTTTCTTATTGTTAATGCCATGTGACAATAAAAGATAACAATTTTTATATAAATAATATTTCTGTTAAAATTCTGATCTCAACTTAGCTATTGTTAGTTTACAAATAGAAAGGTAGATATCATAAATTAGGTAAGCAAAGCATGCAAATCTAAAGCATCTCTATCTGAATTCCTAGATTAGCGTTAAAACCAATCACCGCAACAAATACCTCAACAGTATGCCTCGTGTGCAGAAAGGAAGCGATACTGAACATTCAATGCCACAACTGTAAGGTTTTCGGAGAAGCACCTGTGGCAGTTTCAGCAGTTTCTATATGGAATGCTCCCCCTTTCTAGGATTACTTGAAAAAATCAAGTCAATTCGAATTACGTAGCTGTAAAACATTGACATGTGTAGTTTTTACAGATTCAGAATCTTCTGTGTGATTTAAAACGGGCAATGGTTCATAATACAGGAAACTTAAATAATAAGGGATCACATATTTGCAGGCAACATTTGGATTAAAAATACATAGACAACATAAGGTGCAGAAGCACACTGAGCTTAAGCCATTGTCATGTGACCACCTTGACCATGAGCTACTGCTCTAAAACACTGCCTTTTAAATTACCTTTGGTAATTTTTTAGCATGAAGCCAATTTAAATATGTCAATATTTCAACATAAGTTTAACAGTATGGACTAAAAACCATCAACTCACGATTCTGGTTACTTTAAAATTTGGTATGCTGTATCTCAAATACATTAGTAACTATTCCTAGATGGAAATAAGCAAATACATGGAATCATTAAAAAAAGATAAAAAACATTACTAAATTGTCCATTTGTAAAGATAAAACATTAGCAAACATCTAAGATATCTTCAGCAAAAGAAATACATGTGTATTTTTAACCCTTTGGTATCCAAACTCTTATTTAATTATGAAGACTTTCTTAAATATATTCTTCAGTTAATAATAGGAAGAAACTATTTTTAAAGAGTTTCTACCTAAATAAATTTGGTGCCAAGTTTTCAAGTTTAAAGTTACTGAGAATAGTTTTACACTGCAATTGAACCAAAATTATGTTTTCAAACATTAAAATGTAAAACCATCATTCCAGTAGTCTGATGAAATATTTAGCATGCTCCTGCTATAATTTAGCAAGGGAGAAAGACATTTGGATTTAGCAAACACTGGTTTTATTTGAAAGCACTACCTATAAAAGTAGTAAGGAAATTATTAAAATCTGTATTTTAATCAAGCTGCTATGAAAAACAATCAAAATTCTGAACAATTTCTTAACAAGTCTAGAATGATATCAACCCACTTACTGTCCCTTTCTAGCAGGCAGAACTTAATAACTATCTCAGGAACTGATTCCTCCATCCTGAAACACCTTAACAACCGGAAAATAGCCAAGACCAGACAAGTCTGCTGTGGGGACAATTAGATAAAAGGAGGCTGCACAGTGGCTCACACCTGTAAACCCAGTGCTCTGGGAGGCCAAGGTGGAAGGACTGCTTGAGCCCAGGAGTTTGAGACCAGCCTGGGTAACACAGCAAGACCCCATCTCTACTAAACATTTTTAAAAATTAGTTGGGCATGGTGGTATGTGCCTATAGTCCTGGCTACTCAAGAATCTGAGGCAGGAGGATCACTGGAGCCCAGGAGTTTGAAGTTGCAGTGAACTATAATCATGCCACTGTACTTTAGCCTGGACGACAAAGGGAGACTCTGTCTCTTTTTAGAAAAAAAAAAAAAAAAAAAAAAGAGGAGGCAAAAGTAGGATGTGAGGATGACTAGAATTCAGAGGACCTAAAATCAGAAAATATGAATTCAGAGTCATAATTCTGGTAGATTTTGTAACTGAAATATTATTCTGATGGGCAAAAAAATGAACAAATATAAAGAAACCACGAATTTCAAAATGAATAGCTAAAAGTAAATCTAGGTTACATTTTGCTAAGGGCAAAAGTCACAAATGAATTTAACACTAATATTAAATATGCTCATCACCTGTATTTGACCTAATGAAAATCTGGTTTCTAGACAGGGCTCTATGGTAAACAAAGGTGGGTCATAAATGGTCAATTATGATCCAAACTAAGACAATTCCATTTTAATTAAAATTTCTTTTAATTAAAGTGAAGCAGTATTCTTTGTGGCATTAGAATAGTCTACTAACATCACATTCTAGGCTTTGTTATAGCCAACTGTGCCTACTTCCTAAACTAGGCAAGAGAGACTTTTCTAGAGTGAGTCACTGAATTTGCTTATATAAGGCTATCGATGCTTCTCAAGCTATCTGATGATCCCAGTTAAGATAAAAATAATTAAGTTAAAATACATGTAGCCCAGCTGAAAATCTGGTTACCACAGAATAAATGGCTTCTCAAGAAATCCTCTCCTGTAGAAAAGTTCTGAGACTCTGCCATTAAACACTGGCATCCGTATAATGCAGTATTAAAACGGACCTACAAATCTGCCTGAGATGCAAGTCATGCTGGTTTCATTCTAAATCTTTTTATTTCTACTCAGTGGCAAAAAGCTATTTTACTAGCTGGTTGATATGGAAACATCCTCCACTTATCTCTCAAGAAAATAAACACAAATCAGCCAAAAGTAATTGGTACCAAATTACTGAAAGTACAGCTATTCCAAGGCCCGAATTCTATTTACAATGCTAGTAGTGAAAAGGTCTTCTTAATTATCAGCAGACAGCAAGTTTTCAAGTCTTTTTCCAAAATCACATTAAGACTTAATGTTATGCTGTTATTTGTTCCATCGTTCAAAAGAAAAATGAGATGACAATCTTTTTGTAATAGTATATCCTCTTCTTCCAGTCAATACCTGAGTACCAAGCAAGCAGCACTCAAATATTGGGGGCAGTGGAAAAATGGAACTACCATATAAGCAAGATTAAGGATGGTGACAACTTCACGTGCTTGCTGAAAACTCCATACACAGAGATTTAGGTCCTTTAAAGTACACAAACATTTAGTTTGGTCACAAGTTAGATTTAATCCTGTGCGTTTTAATTTTTAGATGTAAACAATGGCAAATAATAATGACCAACATATAAGCCAGAAACAGAGCCTCACACACAGAAAACTTGGCACCAAAACTCAAGATTTAAAATAAGAAAAGAAAAAGAAAGTCCATTAACATACTCACGTGTGGTGCTAGAAAATTTAATACGATGCACAGCAGCTGAAATGCGTTATCTTACAGATGCAACCTACATTAACAAGTAAGTTATATAACAAACCATTCTAGCCACAGACACTTAGTGTACTTGCCCTTATTATTATGTACCTGATGTCCAAAAAAGCACAACAATTTAAGACTTTGGGCACTTTATGTAGCAGATATATAAAAAGCAAAGCAGGAATTAAGAGCAAATGAATTTAATAATACTGATATAAGGCAGCTTTTAATCTATTCACAGGAAAAGGAAAAATTTATATTATCTCCTAAATATTATAGCATGTAATATGAAGAGTTAATAATCTCGTCCATTCTGAATGAAAAAAACTAACTTTAAATAAGTTAATTCTATGCTCCTTGAACGTCTTAAAAAAAAGAAACGGTTATGATTTGCTAGGACTACACTTTACCATATGAGCAGCGTTACAGGGAATAAAATAGACCTAGTACCATTATTTTGGAGATTCAAACTGTTACACGTTGGTGGACTAAATGGGGTAAATTATTAAAATGTGCAGAAATCAAGAAGCAACTTACAAATTAACTTACTGACAAAACTGACATTTTATCTCGATGTTAAAACTAAATAACCACATATACAATAGCAATGAATAATGATTACTTGTGCTCTATCTCCAGGCCAAAGGCTTATAATTGTTTTTGGCTAGGTAGCTCAGGCTAAATACTTCTTCTAAAAAAAATATGAAAGCTCAGTCCAGGGAAGTCACCATAATGCAGGGTCTTGAGTGGTGGCTCTTATACTGAGAAGGAAAAACAGACTGGCACCTGAGCCCATCTCAGCCACACCTGGTGGAAAAGAGACACTTGAGGGCCCTGTAACCAAGGACAGAATTGTAAATAAAAGATTCTCATTTTTTAAAAGACACCTACTAAAAAAAAAGGACATCGTGATATTTATTGGCTGAAAAGATTAAGCTATCCATAAAATGAATAAAACATCTTTGTAATAAAATGTTCAGGACCAATTAGAGTATTATTTAGAAAGTCATTAAAAATATCAACTTCTAATTATCCACTGTTTGAATAAATGACAAGCAATTTAATCATGTTATGACTCCGTATTTTATAATGAAAGTTTGTTATAAAAATTAGAGTTTTAAATCTAACTACAGCTAAGAAAAATGCACAAATAACTTTGCTTTAAAGCAATCCACTGAGAATCATCTCAATGTTCTACTAGTATATAAAACATACTATCAATTGTTTCTACATTACCTTTAGTCACAACTATACATGAAGTCGCGAGAGTCCCTGCAATGTAACAGTAAACAGAGGCCATGTTTATAATACCAGATCACTATATAAGGATCACAGCCCAAACTAATGGCGAATCTTGCCAATAAACTTAACAAAACAGAAGCTAAGCTATTCACAGATGATTGACAGCCTCCGGTACCTACACACGTCGTGCATTAGCCTGTATGGTTTTGCTGTCTAGGATCTATTTTCAATATAATACAGAGTCAAAGCAATGAAATGGAAACCAAAGGGTTAAACTAGTTTTGTGGGTTTTATTTCCTCCGAAGTCTAAATGTTCACATTTCTGATTAGAATAATGTGGTTTATAATTAATTTTCATGAATTATTCATAACACTTAAGGTAAAACAAAAAAGCTGATATTGGTTATTTTGGTTATTATAGCTCTATAGCTTACACTCAACATTTAAGGGTGAAAACCGCATCCATTTTGTTAATGCTGTGAACTGCAGAAGAAAAATTTTTATAATATAAATTTTTAAGAAAAAGTTAATACAAATAAATGTAACAACTAAAATAAATGTATAATGCCATGGCTAATGATTTGCATATAAGATCTCATTTCTAAAAGACTACACGTAAACATTAAGATTGTCCTATCAAAGCATAAATAAGCTAACTGATGTAAGCTGGGCTAAAACGAAAGATATTTAAAAATAATGCCACCAGTACCAGAAGCTTACAGCAAGCTTGAGGTCTTTAATGTAAATAGTCATATTTTACAAGGAACTATCAACCATTAAGTTACAATGGGCTTTAAAACATAACTTTCTCACATCTGCTAAGACGTGGAAATCAAAACCTAGAAAAGTGAATTTTCTTCAGAAACCTTCTGAGCCAGAGAGGTCTGAAAAGATATTTTAATCCAATCCAAGCTTCTTGTTTTGAAATCAAAATTAGGCAAAGAAAAGTTTAAAGACCACAGTGACACAACTAGTTAGTGGCAAAGTAATGGTGGCAAAGTAATGATGCCAAGTTCCAAATCTAATTAGTTAACTGTTCTTTCAGTTCAAATACACTCTCTCGACAAGAATATTGAGGCTGCTGTGAAATTAAACCCCCTCCTCTAGAGATCAATTTAATCCACACAATTTTCCTCACTAACACCAACTGTTCTAAAAGGCAAAATTACATTACTAATTTTGAAAACAAAGTTTTAGGACTTTTGCCTGCTTATGTACTGCCTTTAAACAAAACATCCTCAACTACATCTTTAGCTGGAAAGAATAAACGAAAGACACTTACTCGACGTGAGCCCCATTCGCCACAAGGGCACTGATGCATTCTAGGCTCCCAGAGCGAGCTGCCTTGTGAATGGGAGTTTCACCCTCACAATCCTGAAACAACAAAAAGCAAAATATACACATACTTAGAACAAAACTTCTGACATTTTGGAAGTAATGTCATTAACACAGATCAGAGACCTTCTCATCCTTTTTTGAAGTAAAACATGTTGAGCAAGATCTGAAGCAGAACACAAAGAAATCTATACGTGAATGGAGGATGAGAACGAACCAGGAGGGGCCAAGATATTTGGTCGTTGACCAAATATCTTGGGGCCTCTCCAGTAGTGACAGCGTGATTGCTCTCAACAGTGATTTATAAATCACTTTACACTGGATCTTAGCACGTGTGTTTTATATAAACCCAGAATAAGTAACCAAACAAACAAGCCAACCAACCAACCACACAC
The DNA here is from genome assembly GCF_000001405.40 of Homo sapiens. Taxonomy (NCBI): domain Eukaryota; kingdom Metazoa; phylum Chordata; class Mammalia; order Primates; family Hominidae; genus Homo; species Homo sapiens. The sequence goes on from NC_000013.11 coordinate 110,906,481, forward strand.
ACACATTAAAACGGTCATCAAGGCCAAGAAATAGCACATAATAGCTGACATATGGTCTCAGCTACCCACTTTCCTCTGTGCCTACCCCAATGCTAACCCGAGTCAACATCATCAATGCCGATCTTGAATCTTCTGCTTTGAACTTGAAGTGGGACCACAACTTAGACAAGATGGCTTGAGGTTCAACAGTTGATCTATTTTTCAGTATTTACTAGAGGGAATATTTACTAAATATTCCCAATCTATTTTCAGTATTTATTAGAGGAAAGGGAGAAGAACACAAAGGTAAAGCAAACCAAGCTTCATAAGAATGAAATTCCTGGTTCAGAAAGTGCAGAGGGGGTGGGGTGGCGGCGGTGGGGAGGTGAAGCACACACAGAGGCAGAGAAAAGTGAGCAGACCCAGGAAAGCCACTGTGAACATCAGCAGTCAACCCAGGTCTACACTGCATGAATGAAACAACCTGAAAGACCATCTTCATAGGCTATCAGCTAAGCAAGAGAGGGGAAAGGCAATCAGACACAGCAATCAAGAGAAGAAAGTGCTTTCCGGTGGAAAATGAAGACTGGGAAATCCTGGGGGCTCCACAGCAACACTTCTTTTTTTTTTTTTTTTTTTTGAGACGGAGTCTCGCTCTGTCGCCCAGGCTGGAGTGCAGTGGCGGGATCTCGGCTCACTGCAAGCTCCGCCTCCCGGGTTCACGCCATTCTCCTGCCTCAGCCTCCCAAGTAGCTGGGACTACAGGCGCCCGCCACTACGCCCGGCTAATTTTTTGTATTTTTAGTAGAGACGGGGTTTCACCGTTTTAGCCAGGATGGTCTCGATCAGCAACACTTCTTGAATACTCACACTGCAACCTCACTGGAAGCTGAACTGCGCAGACTACCACACAATTAAGAGACCAAGATAAAAAGGAGTGCAGCAACTGTGGGTCACTTAGAAAACAGTTCATTCCTAAACTCACTAAATAGCTAAGCTCCTTCACCAACTCATACTCACAGGAATAAACATGAGGTGAGGGCCACCCAAAGTTAAAAAAAACAGTGGTAGATTAATTTACAGAAAAATAAGAGTATGAAAGGCTCGAGTGCTTGGTAGAGGGAAAAGTGTGCACATTTATTTAAACAAAGGTCTAAAGAGACTATAAAGCAATGTAAAGTTCTAAACAGAAAAATCCATTTTTGAAGACAGAAACACAGAAAACCATGCGGCTATAAACTATCCAGTCAACTCGGATTTTTTAAAAAGCGAAAACCTAGCCCTATCCTCCCCAAAAGAGAGGTGAGGAGGGGAGAGAAGTAGTACAAAATAAAGACAAATAAAAATTACATAAAAACATTCCCAGGAAAACTGGAGCTGAGATTTAGATAAAGTTTTGCCAAAAAAGAAAAAGGCTAAAAAGGAAAAAAGGTCTTTAAAGCTATCCTTGGAACAAGACAAAAAAGTAAGGGTCTGTCACGGTGGGATATTAACAGATGACAATGAAAAAGCAAAACTACCAAGCTCTGCAGGGACAATCTTTAGGGGCAGAGCAAACACTAGAGAAAGGCCCGGACATCCTGAGAGAAGGTAGCCAAGAGAAAAGATACGTAAGACTAAAGAGCCAGGTGAAGGTGCCCGGGCCTCCAGCTCAGCCCAGTCACATCGCAGCCACAGCAAATTGAGTGATCTACAGGGAACTGGGAGCAGTGCCAGAATGCTCAAGACAGGCTGGGCACCCTGGGTTTTCATAAAGAAAAATTTCATTTCCAATCTAGATATGAAAAATTAAAGACAACATCAAATGCCAAAATTCTAGAAGAGGCATATGAAAGAGAAGGTTTGCTAATTACGCACCAAGGCTAGTCAATATAGATTCACTAAAAACAAATCACAGGAAAGCTGGCTTCATTTCCTCTTGGGGAAATCGAGAACACAGGCCTCTAGGCAGCATACGAGCTTTGGTAATCTCACCTCAGAGACTGCCAAAAAAGTCTGTGGTATTAACTTTGAGGAAAATGAACTTAGAACTGTTAGTAGCTAACATGCCAAAAGATTAACAGACTAGAAATTGGCTTAAAACACTGCATCAACAGGTTCAAAAAATTAAATGGACACAACAAAGGAGAAAAACCTGGATTGGATTTGGCATCCTGAGTTTATATGAGAAATGAGAGAAACTGTCTACCTGGAGATGAGTCAGCAGGTAGGCGGGGTGGGGAGCTAACAAAAGGGCTATTGTGTCCTCTAGAGTCACTGGGTGCCCATAACAAGAGGTGTTGAAATTCACCCACTACATAATAGAGTGAGATGATGCCTCAGATTCGGATGTAAACTCCACATGCCAGCAGACCACAACTACCTAAGATACACTAAGGAGAAATTCCAGGATGCTTTACAATGCCAAATGATATGCACTAGGCACATGTGAGGACTTGGAAATGTCTACCCGGATACTTCAAATACAGGGAGGGCTGAAAAGAAAAAGATTTTAGGATCCTGCCTGGGAAGAAGCAGAGTGCGGTAGAAGTTTCCAGGAGGTGTTATCTAGAGGCATCTGAGAGGAAGGTGGGAGACCCAGCAGCACACTTTCTGCCTCACTCCCTTTATCTACTGAAAATACTGAACTGCCATAAGACACTTTGAAAAGGGGGCTTCTTGATTTAAAAAGGTCTGGAAAGCAGTGTTAGACAATTTCTCTAGTCCTCTCTAAATAAGATGCTATGTAACAATTTGATGAAAATTAACCTACAAAAATGATATACTTAAATTCCATACTATTAATTACTGCCATTCATGGAATTATTAACTGTATTTTACTGATAAAGAGATTGAGCCACAAAGTTAATGACTTGCCCAAGGAATCAAGCCCACACTGCCCTTTCTACCAGGGGACAGGGGTAGGGAAGAAGGAAAAACACAAGGCGCTGCCCAGCACATAAGGGTATTGAGTAGGTAATTCATAACTCTCGAATTTATGAAGACAAGCAACAGAGCAGCAGAGAAATATACATTATGTAAAGGCACACGTGTGGAGATGGAAGGAGAGAAGTGGCAGCACAACCTTAAAACTTGTCCCATATCCCACATTTCAGTTTAGTAACAAACAGGCCTCAACTCTTGGCCACCTTCCATTTTCTTTTCTACTTCACATCTTTTAAGGGGACAAACTGCCTTATAACTTACCCCACTTTCCCATTGATCCTTGTTTTAAATCATGGCTAAAAACACCTTCTTTCTCAATTACTTACTGCTCAGGTGGGTAGCTGGGTTTTTAGAAGAGGGACTAGCAACAACCTTATGCCTGGTTATCATGAAGGACTGAATCTTGGGAAAGAAAAGTAGAAAGACGACTTTGCATCCAAGACCTTGATGACTATAAAGCATTTAAAGATAGGAGTAAAAAAGGCATAAAAACCAGCTCCCAGAGCCCATGCCCAGGTCTTAAGAGATGAAAATTATCAATTAGTCTAAGGACTAATCCATCTGCAGCAAAGGACGCTGAGTCTAGGGACTGCTCCCAGTCAGACAACCTAATGGTTATTAGATGCTGCTTGTCTCACACAACTAAGTACCTAACAATCTGAATGCGTGTGTGTTTGGTTTAGGTGAAATGATACTGAAAACACACCATGAAGAAAAATCTGGCACGATTATGTTCCTGTCAGTATGTTTAAATACCAAGTCCTCAAGTCACTTACTCTTCCCACTTAGTAAATGATACTTAGCACTTATCTGCATCAAGGCATCAACTTGTATCTGAAGCTCACTTTGGAGCTGACTTAATAGCCATGCTTTTCCCAGGATGAAAATGTTTTCATAATTATCTGTGGAAATGAGGCTAAGGCAGCTATGAGTAGAAAGCCAGGAAACCTGGGCTCAAGGCCAGGCTCCTTTAATTACCAGCTATAACCTTGGGCACATCACCCTGGATCAGTTTATCACACAACAGGTGAAAGCACTCTATGAACAGAAAGCATTCCTATGGAAAGGGCCTACTATCCTCCACAAACAACTGAAGAAACATAAATTCCAGTCTGCCCTCAGGTAAAGATATCAAACTCTAATTAAGGCCTCGATTTAAAGCAATACCGTGTATAATTATAACTGCAAAAAGAAAAAGCAAAAGCAAACCAAGTCCATCACCAGCACTCTTACCGGTTTGTTAATGTTGGCTCCTGCTTGAATCAGCCAGACCAGGCACTGAGGATGTCCCCCAAAGGCTGCAATGTGGGCTGGCGTCTGCGCGTACCGTGTGGTGGAGACGTTGAGTGTGGCTCCCGCTCTCACCAACTGCACTAAGCACTCCAACTTCGAAAACAAGAGGGGTAATGAAAACACGCAGACATGTCAGTACACTATTCAATATTACATGAATAATCGAAATTCTATAATGGTGACAAATGGCATTGTTACCAGTTTTTTAACAGATTAAGTCACTCTTTCCCAATGCCATGCAAATTTTAAAGGACATTTAAGATAACATATTCCCTTGTCCTTATGAAAAAGACGGTAGATAGAAATAGAAAAATGCAAAAAGACGACTAACACTATACAGATTTAAATATTTGTTTCCCTACAATTGAATAAGCCAAAATCAGAAAATATTGGACTGCGCTGTTCCAAGACTTCTATCAAAACTGTTTGTTGCACAGACTATTCTAAACAAAAACGTTAAAGGGATTGGTGGGTTAAAAAACTTTGTGTAGGCCGGGCGCAGTGGCTCATGCCTGTAATCCTAGCACTTTGGGAGGCCAAGGCGGGTGGATCACTTGAGGTCAGGAATTCGAAACCAGCCTGGCCAACATGGTGAAACCCCATCTCTACTAAAAATACAAAAAAATTAGCCGGGCGTGGTGGCGGGCACCTGTAATCCCAGCTACTTGGGAGGCTGAGGCAGGAGAATTGCTTGAACCCAGAAGGCGGAGGTTGCAGAGGGCTGAGATCACGCCACTGCACTCCAACCTGGGCAACAGAGCAAGTCTCCATCTCAAACACCAACACCACCACCACCACTTTGTGTAATGCCAGGCGCAGTGCCTCATGCCTGTAATTCCAGCACTTTGGGAGGCCAAGGCGGGTGGATCACCTGAGGTCAGGGGTTCAAGACCAGCCTGGCCAACACGGCGAAACCCCATACTGGGGTTTCAAAAATACAAAATTACAAAAATTACCTGGGTGTGGTAGTGCATACCTAGAATCCCAGCTACTCAGAAGGCTGAGACAGGAGAATCACTTGAACCTAGGAGGTGGAGGTTGCAGTGAGCAGAGATCACGCCGCTGCACTCCAGCGTGGGCAACAGAGCAAGACCCTGTCTCAAAAAAACAAAAAACAACAACAAAAAACCCCACAAACTTTGTGTAGCCATAGTAAACTCGTCATAGTCAAAGACTATTTTCTATAGTGTGCACAACTGTGCACTTTTACACAAGCCAGCACTGAATACTCATTGAATAATCAATAGAGGCCCCATTCTCCACATTTTTTTACTCTTTTCAAAACCCTATGGGGGAAAAAAGCCTACAGCATAACTGAGCAATGCACCTAGTGGGTGACTAACATGGCAAGTTAAGACTTTGTGGCCAAGCACCAATACCATGATAGCCTCTGGCTAAAATAATTTAGCGCATTCAACAAATTTACCAAGTGCCTACCATGTGCCAAGCAACTGTTCAACCCACGTTCTCTGATCCTGGACTGCTCATTTTCCCTCACTCCAATCACAATGCAGTTAGGGAACAAGCTATGCCTGACTGCAAGCAATTCTCTTCAAGAGGAGAGACCTCACCTGAAGACAAAACACCTGACACTACCATCTCAACTCAAGGTTTCTTTTTCCATTTCTCTTAGCACTTTCAGGCTTTCAGTAAACACTCCTGTGAGATGAAGAGTACACAGATTCAAAACACCCTCTTCAACCAACTTGGACCTGGGAGTAAAGGCTGATGTCTATTTATTGCCTTTATTAATTCACTGGGTGAAAATGAAAGTATTAATTAGCGATAAGATGAACAGGTTGCAAATCCAATAAAAATAAAACGGATGAAAATCACTTGGCGTACCAAAAATCAGCTATTCAGGGCTCGCTGGCTTTAAACCTGTTACCCTTGGGTTCAATTTAGAAACTTGGATTTGGAATTCTGGAAAGATACTGTTCAATATGGTATAAAAGCTACAACAGAGATTTTAAACAACTCGTTTAGTCCTCTGGCAACAAACGAGTCTTACCAACGGTTAGGGGATCTTGTGCACCACTAGCACATTTCTAAGAACACGAGCCTGAAACCTGTGTAAGAGGGCAGCCGTTAGCAGGGCTGGGGAGAAAGCCTGGACTTCGCAAGCGGTAGCCCTGAGTCCTGGCCTGATTTCTGTCCTAACGGCTTCTTCTCAGAAGGGAATGTTTGGACACTGGACAGGGGCTTTCTAAGGCCCCTTCCGTATCTAAGACCAAAGAGCCCTATGATTCAGACAGCTGGAAACAATGAAGTAACTGCTTCTTGTTACAACATTTGATGACCAAGGTAAAGCTACTACTCAAAGTCCCATGGAAGTAGACTTTTGAAAAGTGATTTCAGTCGGTGTTTTTTAAAAAACTGTGATAAAATACACATTAAAAATTACCATTTTAAAGTAACTATTTTAATCCCCAGAGACAAGTGGAGGCACCACTGGATTAAATTTTCTAAGTGACCATCTGTAATGAGGCTTTAAGCATTCTACAGATCGTTGTTCACTGACTATCACCCAGTATTGTGTCGTTCTCAACCAGGGTAGAAAGGACAGAATCCTAAAGTTTAGTGTAAAAATAAACCACAGCAAGAGACACTCTGGAGGGAGGAAATCCTCAGATTACTGACTGCCTCGGGAAATCTATTTAAGGCTGCACGCAGAAGCGCAGGGAGGAGGCTTTATTACTTTTGTTTGTTAAGAAACTCATTTCCCCTGGGCACCTGTTTTCTCCAGCAGGTACTACGGTTGCACAACTTCAGAGACAGTGCCACAGGAACCTAACAGCCCTTGAGGACTGATTAACTTGCTTGTCCCACCCCGATCGTCAAAACTCCTTTTCATTTCTTTTATTGAAAGAAAAGTGACTTTTCCACTTTAAAAGAATCAGAAACTGCTTTCCAAAAGACACAGCTGCTTTGTGAATGTAGCACCAGGGGCAGCAAGGTAAACCGCAACTTCATCAGCTGGTAACGACATTACCAGGGCCAGGCCTTCTTAAAGTAACTTATTTCACATTACCTCTCACATATTTCTGCAAAACCATTTAACCCCATCTCATCACTTACGAGAAAAACACTATACACATCCCTGAATTTCAGTGAATTAAGAAATATTAATTAAAACCAGTCACTTCTGAAATGCACGGTGAAATCTTATTTAAGATTTCTGAGAGCAAGTACCCCAACGACTTCACAGATGAGGAAACGGTAGCTATCCAACCTTTTAAAACCTTAAAGCAGCACTGTGTTCCCCCAGAATTTTCAGTTTAAGAAAAAAGAGGGGAACGTAAAGCCTCCACGGGAAGAGAATTCTGCTTAATTTAACCACTTCTGCAGTAATTTAGATCCAAGATAAACACAGCCGTCACTAATTTTGCTGAAGCGGGGCCAGCTACAAGCCTTAAAGCAAACCCAGAAGCTGGAGAGCCGGCCTCCATCCCACACAGCTGCCGGGGCCTTCCAGTCCCGCCGGGGCGCTTGCTCCTCGGCTGAGCTCGTCCGCAGCGCGGCCCTCGGCTACTGGCGAGGCTGTGCGGAACCAGAAGGTCGACCGCGCCCGGGCATTCCCCGCGCGCCTCTGACCCCAGCTCGGCTCCCCGGAAGCCGCCTGGGCGACTTCGCGGCCTAATACCCGGCTCTGCGAAATCGCTCGCGCCTCCGGCCCGGCCTGGAGGGCCCCGCACCATCCGCGCGCGCGCGCGCTCGCACAGGATCCGGCCAACAGGCGCCGGGACCCTTGGAGCCCGCCTTGTTAGAAACTTGCTACGCGCGCCGCCGCACATGCGCCCTAGGCCCCTCCGGACGCAGGCGCCACCGACCTCGCTTCCGCCCCGCGCCCCCCGGCTGCCCCGCCGCGACTCCGGGCCGCGAGCGCTGCCGCACAGGCGCCCTAGGCCCCTCGGGGCACAGGCGCCGTCGATCCCGCTTCCGCCCCGCGATCCCGGCACGCCCCACGTCCCCCGCACCTCAGACCCGCTTTCCCCGACTCCCACTGGACAGCCGGGGAAAATGGCGCCTTAAAGCGTTCGCACCCACCTTGCCGAAATGCGCGGCCCAGTGCACGGGCGTCCAGCCATAGAAGGAGTCCTCAGAGGCCAGGTGGGCGTGGGGTGTCTGCTGCAGCAGCGAGCAGAGCGTGGCCAGGTCCCCGTCGCGGCAGGCGCGGTGCAGCGGGAAACGGAGCGAGAGCAGCTCCTCGCTGGAGAAGCCCGCCTCTACGCCCGCGCCCGCTCCCGCCGCCGACATGGTCCGTCACCGGAGAGCGCGGGGCTCGCTGGCCTAGAGGACGCGTCGGGGAGGACTCGAGAAGCCGCCGCCGCAGCACAAAGGAACGAGACTAGCGCCGCGGTCGCGTCCCACAGGCTGCCGAGCGGAGCGCGCACAGAGGGGGCGGGGCGGGGCCTGGAGCGGCCGGGCTGGGGGCGGGGCCTGGCCCAGAGGACGCCTTGTGCAGCCGGGCAGGGGTCGGGGCCTGGAGCCGCGGACCTCTGGAGCCGCCGGGCAGGGGGCGGGGCTTGAGCCGGAGGCCGCCTGGAGCAGCCGGGCGGAGGGCGGGGCTTGGAGCTGCGGACGCCTGGAGCGGCCGGTAGGTGGCGGGGTCTAGCCTAGAGGATGCCTGGAGCAGCCGGGTAGGGAGCGGAGCCTGGACCAGAGGACGCCAGCAGCAGCCGATTAGGAGGCGGGGCATGGGGCTGTCGACGTCTGGAGCAGCCGGGCATTGGGCTTGGGCTAGAGGACGCCTGGGGCGGTGGGCGCCTGGAGTAGCCAGGCAGAGGGCGGGGCCTGGCTTGGGTCCACGCCTGGGGCGGCCGGGGGCGGGGCCTGGCTGGAATTGACGCGTGGAGCTCCGGTGGAGGGGGCGGGGCCTGGCTGGGCCGCTGCCTACAGCGGCTTCCGGGGCTTGGAGGTCACGGGGCTCGGAGGTCACGGGGCTCGGAGGTCACGGGGCTGGCTGTGTGGGGGGCTCAGGGGCGTAGAGTGGCCAAGCAGCGGTCTGAGCGGGTCCCGGGGCCTCCGGCGCGGTGGGTCTCGGCTGCGCCCCGGGTGCGGACCATGATGTTTCCAGCCTGGGAGCCGGTCCGGGCGGGGAATCCCGGCTGCCGGGGGCGCGGGTTGAGGCTCTGCGGGCCCGCGCCCAGAGCGGGTGGGAGTCACGGGTCTCCCGGAGGCCCAGTAGCGCGCGGTGAAGTTGTCCAGTAAAAATTTATGGAGCGCCTACGGGGAGCAGGGATTCTCGTTAAAATCTGGGAATCAGCAAGCCCTAGTTCCTTACAGAGCAGGACAGATTCCTCGGTTTTGTCCGAGGGACGCCTTCTTCGGAACCGAGTGCGGTGGGCTAGGACTATACGTTTGCAAGTTTAAGAGATAAGCGAGAAGACCAGACAGAGCAAACAATAAAAGGCTTTTTGTTGAGAACTGTATAAATGTAAGGGAGTACCAAATCCCCTATTTTGAATGACAGTATCACGGACTTTATTACATATGTAATTTTATTCTGATTATGAAAGCATCAGTAATTTCACTATTGAGGAATAACCACAATGTTTATGAATATTTCCTTTGCTTCTAAATATGCGGTCTTTTTAAATCATGTATTTTATTTCATTTGTATATATAGTTTTTCGCTGTGTAAACTTCCTTTTTGCAAAATTCTACGTCACAAATTGAACAAGGCAATTAGATGTCTAGGGAAGTACTGATGCACGAGAAAGCATATTGCAGCATTGGTTAATAAAACGAAAAAATAGAAACCTAAGATTTAACAAAGGGAAGTTGTTAACTAGTGGTGTAAACACTCAACACAGACATGTCTTCATACAGCAAACATTTGTTGAGTACAATGCTGAATGAAACACATTGAGAAACACTCTATAGTGGGGAAGTAGCAAATATTTCAATTCAGTGAGCAATTGCTAATGAATGGAAAATATGACACATAGAATCTATCTTCTCCCAGGGAGTTTGTAATCTGTTAGTGAAGCAGGAAAGAATAATCAAGCAATACTTTTTTGTTTGGACCAAAAGGGTGAGAATAGACTATAAACTCATTTCAGGTTTTGTTTACTCTAGAACGTAATCATTTTTCTTCTCACATGCCATGTTGATTTTAATCTAATCTCTTTAAAATATATCCCCCTGATTTCCATCTTTCTTAGGAGAGAGGTGTCCCATTTTGCGAAAGGACGTGAGTGTATCTTGTCCTCCATGTAATGAAAGGGAGGGATTACTTGCTAGGCTGCATTCTGGGAATGGTGAAACAGAGATGGTGGTAAGTCAAGGAATTTGTCCAAGGGCAAACTGCATGCCTGTGGCAGAGCTTAGAATAATATCCAGACCTAGGTTCCAACCCACTGTTAGATTTTTTTTAACTTTGGAATTTATTTTGCATAGAGTATTAAGGGCTAGGAAGATAAAATAGGTTATAGTGATAGGGTACTTCGTGTACGTCTTTCCTCACTTCAGATGACTGGGTTTTTTAAAGGATTATTTAGACTATATACATATTTATTTAGCTGTACAGGAGTAGACTGACATATATACGTGGTGATGGATCCCCAAGACAGATCCTGTAACTGTGGCAGGAGGATTGTGGATAGGATGGTGTCTACTGACTATTCCCAATGCCAGTGATCTAATTGGTTGGTCACCCAGATTTTGCTCAACTCTGATAATTGTCAGATGCATTCCAACTAGAACTACTCCATCTTAAATGGGGCTGGGTAAGATGAGGCTGAGACCTATTGGGCTGCATTCCCAGATAGTTAAGGCATTCTAAGTCACAGGATGAGATAGGAGGTCAGCACAAGATACAGGTCATGAAGACCTTGCTGATAAACAGGTTGCAGTAAAGAAGCCAGCTAAAACCCACCAAAACCAAGATGGTGACGAGAGTGACCTCTGGTCATCCTCACTGCTACACTCCCACCAGCGCCATGACAGTTTATAAATGCCATGGCAACATCAGGAAGTTACCCTATGTGGTCTAAAAATGGTAGACATGAATAATCCACCCCTTGTTTAGCATATAATCAAGAAATAACCATAAAAATGGGCAACCAGCAGCCCTCGGGGCTGCTCTGCCTAAGGAGTAGCCATTGTTTTATTCCTTTACTTTCCTAATAAACTTGCTTTCACTTTACTCTGTGGCCTCACCCTCAATTCTTTCTTGAGTGAGATCCAAGAACCCTGCCTCTCCTGTGGTCTGGATTGGGACCCCTTTCCTGTAACAATCATTACCAATCTCAGATTTCCTTTGAGACTCTCATTTTTTAAAAGCTCCAAAGAGAAGAAGAGTAGATTCATAACATCTTTTTCATCTGATGAAGCAACCATACACAAGCCAACTTAGGCATTTGAAGATACAATCCAAATCCATGAAAGAAAACAGGAAAACTCAAAACTTAACATATTAAGATTGCCTTTAGACTGGAATTTTTTTTTTTTTCAAAAAAGGATTGCATTGTATGAGAAATTGTGGAAGTGGGGTAGGGCTCAGTTGTGTGAATGGCACAGTGATTCAGTGTCCATACGTGTGACAGACATTGATGGGCATCTCTTGAGTGTCGTTATTACACCAGGAGCAGTGCGCCCTGAGGGACGTGGGGTTGGAGAGCAAGGTAGGCCCCAGTTGATGTTCCATATTAAGCATGCCATGCTAAGGAGTGGCTTTTTACTTTCAAAAAGTTTGGGAACCAATGAGGGGTTTTGTTGTGCCATTTAAGGGAGGGAGTGATGACTTGGGATGGAGGGGTGGGGGGACCCGGGTCAGACTTGCAGCTTGGCTATGAGGATGGAGATCAGGGAGCCCACTGTGACAACACCTTCAGGACTCAACGTGGGCCTGCAAGCCTTGCTGTTTTCTCCTCGGCCCCTTCTCCATTCCTATCCACATCCACTACGCTGGCAAATCCATCTTTTGAGAGGGCAAATCTGCTTAAAAATTGATGTAGGAACAGTTTCCAAAACTTGTCATTCAGATACCACCTGCATGTGGATTTTTTTTTTTTTAGACAGGATCTCACTCTTGTCACCCAGGCTGGAGTACAGTGGTACAGTCATGGCTCACTGCACCCTTGACCTCCTGGGCTCAAGGGATCCTCCTGCTTTGGCCTCCGAAAGCCCAAAGCACTGGGATTACAGGTGTGAGCCATGGCTCCTGGCCATATGTGGACTTTTATATCTACATAGGATTGATATTTTTTTCTTAAAACTGGTTCACTTTTTTAAACTTAGCCACTTCATTCACATCCTCTCATTAATAAACCATTAGTGAGTTTGTGGTGCTGGTTACATTCTCTCCCTACCCATTTAAACAAATAGATATCAAAATAGAGTTTGATCTATAAACCTTCCAAATTGGCTCCTGCCATTCGAGGTTTTCAGACCACACCTGGGAAAATGCTCCCAGCAAGCAAAGTCCAAGATCAGACCCTTGGCTGGGTAATGTCCTTACAGCCAGGGCCGACTGCCTGTCTTTGGACTTCTTGTTATGTCACTGCCCAGGGCTGTCCAGAGCATGTCCTTGACACTGGGGCTACCTCTGCCTTGAAGGCTGCTCCCTGCCCTGTCCCAGAGTCCACTCCTTCTGATCTGGGTTGAATTGTGTCCCCCCCAAATTCATGTGAAGTCCTAACCCCCAGAACTAAGAATGTGGCCTTATTTGGAAATAGGGTCATTGCAGATATAACTAGTTGACATGAGGTCACACTGAAGTAGGGTGGGCCCCCAATCCCATATAACTGGTGTCCTTATAAAAAGGCGACATTTGTCATGCCTGTAATCCCAGCACTTTGGGAGGCCGAGGTGGGCATATCACCTGAGGTCGCGAGTTTGAGACCAGCCTGACCAGCATGGAGAAACCCCGTCTCTACTGAAAAAAAAAAAAAAATACAAAATTAGCCTGGTGTGCTGGCACATGCCTGTAATCCCAGGTACTCGGAAGGCTGGGGCAGGAGAATTGTTTGAACCCGGGAGGCAGAGGTTGCGGTGAGCTGAGATCGCACCACTGCACTCCAGCCTGGGCCACAAGAACAAAACTCTGTCTCAAAAAAAATAAAAAATAAAAATAAAGGGACAGTTGAACACAGACACAGGGGAAGACGACCACGTGAAGATGGAGGCAGAGATGGGGGTGATGCTTCTACAAGCCAAGGAATCCCAAAGACGACGGCAAATCACGAGAAGCCATGGAGAGGCCTGGAGCAGATCCTTCTCTCACAGCCCTGACACCTCCATCTGGGCCTTCCAGCCTGCGGGACTGCAGGACAACACATTTCTGTTGTGAAGCTGTCCAGCTCCAGGAAATAACACACTGGTCCTTGCTGGGTTCCACCTCTCTCGCCCGAGGTGGGGAGGCACCAGCCACCCCCTGGATGCCTCTGTGCACTGGCTTCTCCAGTGCTGTTCACTTCCCTTTCCAAAGCTGTTTCCCATGTTAGGACAGGAGCTTCTGTCCCCTGCAGGCAGGCCCGGGAGGATCCAGGTGTCTAGTCTTGAAAATGTTTTCAACTGATTTCTGAATTTCCCCATGTGGGTACCATAGAGGAAAGTCCCTAGTGAGTCCCTAGCGAGTTATTAAAATGGCTTCTGCTGATCTTCCTGGGAGGGGTGCTGGTGGCCTTGCCATGCTCTCCTCCTCTGGCCGAGTGCCCAGCCACTGACCGGCTCCTGGCTGGACCGGGCCCTGGTACCTGGTGTGACTCAAGGGATTTATATCTTCCTCACCCTTCCTGAAATTGCCACTATTGTATTTATTCCTTAAGAACATTCTAGAAAGAAAAGCATTTACCCTCACAGGATTTCCCGTCACCTCCAAATGAAACAATTTAAAAACCAGACAAGTAAATGTTACTTCTTTTTCTAATCGTGAAAGAGAGAGATTTTTAAAAAAATCCTGACTGTGGAGAGGCGTGCCTGAGACTGCATCCCCCTATTCATATACTCTTGTAATTAGAAACATGCCAGAGATTTGCTTCTGTGGGCTTTAAGTGTGGAAACCAACGATTGTCTTTCCAGCTGCCCCCGCTCTGCTCTGGAGGGGAGCTCTTGGTGAGCCCCTTAAGCAGATAGAGGAGACTGCTCTGAAAATATTAAATACTTCTGGCTGATGCTCCATGTTCTGCTGAGCAGTGTCACAGATGGATCTCTGTCTCTCTCTCTCTCTCTCCATCATTACTGTATCCCTCGAACGTAGGAAGTAGGACAGTGCCCAGCCCATATTAAGTCCTTAATACCTATTTCCTGAATGGCATGAAATTGAAATGGAAGACTGAGCTTCAAATCAGTTGATAGCTCCCTTCAGAAAGAGAGAAAGCACCATGGACCGGGGATCTCAAATACAAAGAACATGAAGATTCTAGAATCTTACTAATCTTCCTGTCTTGCTTTTGTCTTGTTAAAAAAGTGATTAGCAAAATCACTTTAAATTAGCAAAAGTGATTACCCATTAAAAAAAAAAAAAAAAGGAAAAGTCCCCAGTTCTACTCAGAAGCAAGGGCAGGTCTGTCTGCTGGAGACTGACCGTGGCGTGGGGAGGGATGGGTGGGCGACGGTGTTGAAGGAAGGAAAGGGAAACAAGCTGCCAGCTGGTCCCTGCCACCTAAGGAAAGAGCAAGCCACCGGAGGTGCTGCTGGGGGAGGATGACCCGCAGGTGGTTTCCTGACATCTTGACCTTTAATTTAGTAACCCAATGCAGTCCTTGAAAATGTTTTCAACCGATTCCTTAATTTCCCCATGTGGATACCATAGAGGAAAGTCCCTAGTGAGTCATTACGGTTATTAAAATGGCTTCTGCCGATATTCCTGGGAGGGGTGCTGGTGCCCCCGCCACCCCCCACACATGCTCTCCTCCACTAGCCGAGTGCCCAGCCTCGAGTCAGGGCCCACTGACCCGCTTCTGCCTGGACCAGACCCTGGTACCTTATGTGACTCAAGGGATTTACATCTTCCTCACCCCTCCTGAAATTGTCACTATTGTATTATTCCTTAAGAACATTCTAAAAACAAAAGCATTTACCCTGATAGGAATCTTCATGACCTAGGATAAAATAATCCGCCCATCTCATGTTATAAGAGGACGTGGATGTCACCTTAAAACCGCTCATACCTCACAGCACAAGACTGAGTGAATGCAAGTCCCAGCCATGCAGAAGCACCAGGGCGTGGGGAGCCAAAGAGATCAAGTCACAGTGTGGGCTCTGCCTAGCAGAAAGATGGTTGATTGTCTCCCTTTATCCTATAGCGCCTAAAACCTTCCACAACCCTCCAGGCTCTTCCAGACTTGAGCGCTGACTATAAGCTTAGCTAACTGTTTTACAGAGCAGCCAGAAGCAGGGATGGAAGCTGGAGAAAACAGCACAGCTCTGGCCCTGGTGCAGAGCCCGTGGATGACTACCGGGACAGTTCAATTTCTTGTTGTGACAGCCTTCTTTTTCTTTTCCCTGTTTCTGAAGGCTGGGTTGAAAAGAATATTGCAAAGAATATTGCACAGGGGGTTCTTCTGCTGGAGGAAGGGTTTCCTCCCTGCCCTGCCTTAGTTTCCTCATTTGTTAAAGGAAGACAATAATTATCCTGTCCAGGTAAAGGTCATTGTGAGGGTCAGGTGAGCTTTTGGGTGTGGAAGAATCTCTAGACTAGGAAGATGCTGGGTACTAATTGCTCTCCCAAGTGCCTTTATGAATTTACACTGCCAACAGCAATTCACCAAAATCCCAGTTCCCGATTCTTTCTGATACTAGGTATTGCTATTAGATTTTTTTTGTTTTGCTTTTTCATGAAGGCTAAATTGCAGTGGTAATGGCTGCTAGGGGCTTTGTTGTCAGAAACTGGCGCCACTGAGGGCAGGCCAGCTGCTGAGAACATCCCTGGTGCCTCTTGGGCTCCTGTGCCCTGCTCCTTGGACCTGGTGCCCCTGGGGGACTGCTTCACCTGGCACTGTCCTCTACACAGGCTGCTGCGGCTCCAGCATTCTGACCTCTGGCCGGGGGCAGTTCATCCCAACTGTAGGATGGCTGTTTCCTCTTCATTCTCCAAAGTGCGGCAGCACTCAGCCTGTGACTTTTATCCACACTGACTGCAGGTTCGGTGTGCTGGCAAGGACGTGTCACTCTACAGAGAATAACCGGGGCCAGAGACCCAGAGTTGCTCCTGTTTACTTGGACATGCCTTCCCCCTGCTTCACTCCAGCCTGACTCCAAGGAGCAGGGGGCGAGGACAGAGGAACAATTAGAGTTCAAACACACTCAAAAATCTGTTCCAGGTGGATTAGACTTCAATGTGAAAGCAAAATGGAAAAAGATTTAGAAGAAAAGACAGCAGAACATCTTTATGACCTTAGAGGGTTGGAGGATTTCTCAACAAGACACGTAAAGCACAGCCATAGAAATGTCCAGACTTGCCTATAAGTAATAATATAATAATGTCTTTCAGTTGTTATTAATAACTTCTTTCAAAGCAAAAGACAAGCTACAGAACAAGGGAAATTGTTTGCAATTCATTTAACACATACAGTCATGCCTCGCTTAACAGCAGGGATACGTTCTAAGAAATGCGCCATTAGGCGATTTCCTCATTTCAGCATCTTGGAGGGCGCCCCCACAAACTTGGATGGTACCGCCTGTCACACACCGAGGCTAGATGGTGGAGCTTGTTGCTCCTAGGCTACTAACCTGTACAGCATGTTCCCATACAGAATACTGCAGGCAATTGTGACATAATGGTAAGTATTTGCATATTTAACATACCTAAACATAGGAAAGGTACAGTCAAAATATATTAATAGTATTATCATCTCATGGGACCACTATTGTATATGCAGCCTGTCATTGACCAAAAGGTTGTATGAAGGGCGTGACTGTAAAGCATTCGCATTCAGCATATAAAAAGAACTTCTACATATCAAGAAGAGAGAGATGAGCAACAGGGGCAAAGGATATTGACAGGCAATGTACTGGAAACAGACACAAATGTCCAATAAGCAAGATGCTCAGAAATCAGTAATTTATCTGCTCTACTGAATGGATTAGTCCCCTCATCAGGCAAATCTGCTGCGACCACTTACAGTGGTTCTCTACCTTAATATAAGCACACACACTCATCATACCCCCTTCTAGCTCCTGCCCATCCCTCCTCTGTCCTTTCAAAGGATTGTCTGCAGCCATCGTCTCCCAGGCCCTTCTCAACCCTTTCCAACTGGGCATTAGTCCGCAGCACTCCCAGGGATAACCAGTGAAATTCATCATAGTCCTTCAAATCTGCCAAATCAAATGCTCAATTCTCTATTCTTATCTGGCTTTATCTTGCTGGAGCATGCAACAAGTTGCCCATTAGCTCCTTTTTGAAACACTCTGTCCTGGCTTCCATGACACACCAACTCTTGCTGGACCTCCAAATGTTCAAAGACCCCAGGGCTGGGTCCTAGATCCTCCATTCTCTGTATTTTCTTCCTAGGCAATGTCATTTAATCTCACACCTCCAAACACTACTTACAACTGGTGATTTCTGAATTTATGTGTCTAGCCCTGACCTCTCCTCTGAGCTCCAGACTCAGATCCTGTGGCTTAGTAAATATCTCCATTTGGATCTCTGAGGGGCATCTCTAGTCATGCCCCAAATTAAATTCTTGAGTCACCCTCCCCACACCTGCTGCCCATCCCACACATACATAGTGTTCTCTAACTCTGTAAATAACACCACCACCTATCCAGGGGCTTGAGTCCAGCACCTGCAGGTCAATACTTTCCCAACTCCCACGTGCAAACCATCTGCAAGCTCAGGGGGCCCTACCTCCAAATATATCTCAAGTCCACACACCTCTTTCTTTCTCCCCTCCTATCTCTCTGACCCATTCTCTCTCACTTAAACTGACACAGTAACCTCTCAGCTTTTCCTGTCCAGCAGCCAGAGGATCTTTTTATGATATAAATCTAATAATAGCGCCAGCTTAAAACCTTCCAATGCCTTTTCATTGAACTTGGAACAAAATACAAATGGCATAGAGACTTGGTTCCCCTCCAGCCCAGCCTTTTACTGCTGTCTCTTGCCCTCACTGAGGTTATGCAGGCCTCGGGCTTCCTGTTCCTGGACCCAGCTCTGTCTGCTGGGAATGCTGTCACCCAAAACTCACACTGCTGACTCCTTGTCTTTCAGGCCTCCCCTTAAAATGTCATCTTGGAGGAATGGTATGGCCTGAACCCCAGCCCGAGTCGTCTTCCACAGCGCCATCCTGCTTTGCTTTCTTCCCAGCACGTACCTCTGGAATGATCCGATTTCTCACTAACTGTCCTGGCCCCCTTGAATGGATGGCCCAGAGAGACAAGGCCTCCTTCACAGCGGATGCTCAGAATTTAACTAAATGATTTAACGAATAAATTTAGGTAAAACTAAATTTACAGTGGAGTTTTGTCTTTAGGGATTGAGTGACAAATTCGAATCATTCGCTGCTTGTTTCCCAGTCAAAACTGCCCTTGTGTCTGAGGTGTGTGAACCAGGGCAACTCCATCTTGAATAGGGACTGGGTAAAATGAGGCTGAGACCTACTGGGCTGCGTTCCCAGATGGTTAAAGCATTCCAAGTCACAGGATGACATAGGAGGCTGGCACAAGATACAGGTCATGAAAACCTTGCTGATAAAACAGGTTGTAGTAAAGAAGCCAGCTAAAACCCACCAAAACCAAGATAGGGATGAGAGTGACCTCTGGTGGTCCTCACTACTACAGTCCCACCAGCACCATGACGGTTTACAGATGCCATGGCAACGTCAGGAAGTTACCCTATATGGTCTAAAAATGGGAGGCATGTATAATCCACCCCTTGTTTAGCATATAATCAAGAAATAACCATAAAAATGGGCAACCAGCCGCCCTCAGGCCTGCTCTGTCTATGGAGTAGCGGTTCTTTTATTTCTCTACTTTCTTAATAACCATACTTTCACTTTAGGGAGTTGCCCTGAATTCTTTCTTGCAGGAGATCCAAGAACCCTCTCTTGAAGTTGGGGACCCCTTTCCTGTAACACTTGCAAATCTCTTTCAATTGCTTGTAAAGGACAGTAGAAAGCTGTGTGGGCCGTAGCAGCTGCTGGCCAAAGGGTGCTTTTGAGCACTTGAAATGTGGCCCGTCAGACTGAGGAACTAAATTTTAAATTTTATTTAATTTTAATTTATTTAAATGTGAACTTAAAAACTGAAGCCTGATTCAGTTATTGGAAAATTCTTAAGTATGTTTGGAACAACTTAGATCTGTGCATGGAACTCTTTCAAATGTAATGGTCTGGAATCTAAGTAAGGATCAACTGTTCTCAGTGAAACTTCAGTGCCCCATTGAGACGTGCTGTGAAACACACACCGAACTTCCAAGGCTGAGTGAAAGTGAAGGAATATGAAATAGCTCATTAATCATTTTAAATGTTGAATGTATGTTAATATATGTAAATATGTTGATATAATAAATTGATAATACTTAGGATACACTGAGTTAAAGAAAATATATTGTTCAAATTAATTTCACCTGTTTCTCTTTACTTGGGATGTGGTTAGGGAAAGGGTTTAAATAACATATATATCTCAAATTTTATTTTTATTGAGTGGCTGTGATAGTTGAGTGTCAACTTGATTGCATTGAAGGATGCAAAATATTGATCCTGGGTGTGTCTGTGAGGGTGTTGCCAAAGGAGATTAACATTTGAGTCAGTGGACTGGGAGAGGCAGACCCACCCTCAGTCTGGGTGGGCACCATCTCATCAGCTGCCAGTGTGGCCAGAATAAAAGCAGGCAGGAGAACTTGGAAAGACTAGACTGGTTTAGTCTTCTGGCCTCCATCTTTCTCCCATGCTGGATGCTTCCTGCCCTCCAATATCGGACTCCAAGTTCTATAGCTTTGGGACTTGAACTGGCTTCCTTGCTCCTCAGCTTGCAGATGGCCTACTGTGGGACCTCACCTTGTGATGGTGTGAGTCAGTACTCCTTAATAAACTCCCTTTTATATGTACATCTATCCTATTCATTCTGTCCCTCTAGAGAACCCTGACTAATACAGTGGCACTGGGATATTGGAGACTAATATGTACCTCATCTATCAATAAATCACATAACTAGTTGTTTTGTTTCTTCTGCTAGGAGAATACTGTTTCTTTGGTTCAGTACCAGACTTGACCTGGGGCCCATCTTGAAGAAAAAAATAAATGGCTTTAAAGAATGGAACCCCACCCAGGGTGGCAAAATGCCCACAAGAGACTCAGGAGGATGGAGAGCAGCTGAGTGAACAGCAGGGCCAGGTCTTCTAACTCACTGCTGGGCTCCAGGAGCAGAGCCGTATATGACATTATCGTCTGCTCTGTGAATTGTTCTTCTCTCTTTCCCCTCTTCCCTCTCTGTTTACTAAGTATGTACAATTATACTTCTCTCTCCCCATAGAAAGATCTGGAAAATGATTTTCACCTGAGAGTTTTTGAATGGTACATGTTGGGGACATTTCTCTTTGGAACATTTCTATATTGCTTCATTTTTAAAATGAGCATTTTCTTTTGCCAAAAATAATGGTTCTTGTAACAAAGTCTAGACATTACAGAAATATATAAAGTAGAAAATGAACCTAAAGGCAGGAATACCAGTTGACCTAGCAATCCCATTACTGGGTGTATACCCAAAGAAATAGAAGTCATTCTACCATAAAGGCACATGTACTCGTATGTTCATCACAGCACTATTCACAATTGCAAAGACATGGAATCAACCTAAATGCCTATCAATCAGTGATAGGCTGGATAAAGAAAATGTGGCACGTATACACCATGGAATACTATGCAGCCATAAAAAGGAATGAGATTATGTCCTTTGAAGGGACATGGATGGAGTTGGAAGCCATTATTCTCAGCAAACTAACACAGGAACAGAAAACCAAACACCACATGTTCTCACTTATAAGTGGGAGCTGAATGATGAGCACACATGGACACAAAGGGGAACAACAGACACTGGAGCGTGTTGGGGGTGGGATCGAGGGAGGGAGAGCATCAGGAGGAATAGCTGAGGGATGCTGGCTTCATACCTAGGTGATGGGATGATCTGTGCAGCAAACCTCCATGGCACACATTTAACTATGTAACAAACCTGCACACCCTGCACATGTACCCCTGAACTCAAAATAAAAGTTGAAGAAAACAAAAAGAAAGTGAGATGAAAGCCCCTTGTAATTCTATCCTAGAGGTAATTTCATTTGTTGTATACATTTCCACACACACACATAGATATAAATACAGATTGAGCATGCCAAATCAAAAAACCTGAAATCTGAAATAGTCCAAAATTCAAAACATTGAGCACCAGTATAACACTCAGAGGAAATGCTCATTGGAGAATTTTGGACTTTGGATTTCTGGATATGGGATGCTCAACCGGTAAGTATACATAAGGCGAATATTCCAAAAACTCCATATCCAAAACACTTCGGGTCTTAAGCATTTTGGATGTGGGGTACTCAACCTGTATCTTTATATATTAATATACCCATGATTTTTCAAGTAAAATGGAATCATATTACACACACTGTCTGTAACCTGAGTCATTTACTTAACAAATTTCAGGCTTTTCAGGCTGGTAATAGACATCTCTACTATTCTTTTTAATAGCTGTGCAATATCCCAATATGTGCCTGTAGCATAATTTATTTACTCCTCCTTTATTGGTGAATTCATCTCTTTTTGCAATGATAAACAATTTTGAGGTGAATTTATTTGTGTATGGTTCTTTGCTTGTTTGTCTCATTTCCTGAGGTGGAATCTCTGGGCCAGTTTTATGCACATTATAATGGCTTTTCCAGGTCTCATTTCCTGGAAAAGTTTCAGATTTCCTTCCAGAAAATTTTGGCTAATTTATACTTGCACCAACAATGTTTGAGAGTACCTGTTTCCCCACACCCTGGCTAATATTGGGTATTACCCATAGTTTTATGCAAAAATAATTCATTCAACAAGTATTTATTAAGCACCCACCATATGCCACTGTTAATTTGCACTTTAAAAATTGTCAATGAGGCTGCTACCAATGTATTTCTATGTGTTTTATGTTTTCATGTGCTTTGTGTTTCTGCTCTGAGCTGCCCTTGGCATGTTGGGATTATTTGTGTTTTATTAATTTATGAGTCTTTTTCTATTCAAGGGTTGCAGCTCTCTGTTGTATTGCAGAGCTGTCTTGCCTGTTTTCGCAGCACCCTTCACTGTGCAAAGTGTCTCTATTTCAGGTAGTCAAGATTGGCATTATGTTCTCTTTTGAGTTTCTGTGGCTGGAGTTACATTGAGAGACATACCCTGATTATAAAAATATTTCTTTGCCAGTTATTGATTTACTGCCTCCTACCTTCAAACTTGATCTCTACTCTGCCATATGGACTTGTCTTTTCAAGCATTTCTCCTTATCGATGTTAATTTTTCTTTTTTTTTGAGACAGGGTCTCACTCTGTTGCCCAGGCTGGAGTGCAGTGGTGTGATCATAGCTCACTGCAGCTTTGAGCCCCTGGGCTCAAGCCATCCTCCTGCCTCATCCTCCCAAGTAGCTGGGACCACAGGTGGCCACTGTGTGGGCTCACAGTGTTAAGTGTCCCCACCGGAAGATGCTAGAGGATGTGGCAAGAGGAAGGGACTTTTCCCTCCTGGGCCAGCTGTGCTGTGTCTGTTCTCTTCTTTGTTCCTACTGAGGGGTCTCTCTGTGGTGCAGGAAGGTGGGGACATTCCAGGGGGCTCTGCCACAGCCCCTGCTCAGAGGGTGCAGCCCCTCAGCTGCCTGACCCTGGGATCCCTGCCCAGGAGTCTCCTCACATGACCTGTGTGCCCAGACCTCACCTGCCCACCCACTGCCCAGGCCCAGGAGGCTGTGTCCCGTGCCCGGCTAGGGAGCAGCTCTGGCCAGAAAACATCCTCACAACCCCATGGTTGGCAGCCAAACCTGGACAGTGACTCTGGACCCTGGCCTGGGGGACAGGGCTCCTTCCACATTTCTCCTTTTTGGGGCCCTTGCCCTCAGCCCTGGTGTGCCTGTCTTTTCAGTCTTTATAGTTACTAATCTGTCTTTATAGTTACTCCCTAATCACACTTAATAATTCTTTATATTAAAGTTCTGTTTAAGTTACTTACTAGACTCAGAATGGTACAATTCCCTTATATTTCCTTTTAGTCATTCCATGCTTTTATTCTTGATATTTAAATATTTAGCTCATCTCAATTTATTTTATTGTGTGGTATGTGTTAACGTTTGAACTCAGAGTTTTCCCAGTCATTTACCCATTGTTCCCAAATCTTTCACATCCTCATCATATGCTAAACACCAGGACTCTCAGAATTTCTGGACACTTTACTCCATTCCATCGATATTCTGTCTATTCTTGTGCCATACTGTTTCATACCCTGTAGTTTCGTAATATGTTTTGAAATATGGTCTGGCAAATTCCCTTTTATTTTTCAGTTCTAAAATGGAAATTTCAGTAATCATCACTAACCCCCCTTCTCCCAAATACTACACAACCTGTGTCCATAATAAAATTTTAAAAATAGCAATTAAAAAATCCCTAATTTCATGGAAATTAAAAAGTATTTTTCCAGAAGCAAAAAGGAAATAACTAAAATTATGTGGTAGTTGGGGATTAATGACACCAAGAACATGTTGAGGTATTGAACATCTTCCCCAAGAAACTATGCCCACATAGAATGTGTGAAAAAGAAGCCAACATGGAATATGTGATGCAGATGTATTTTAATTTGCAAAACCAAAATGCAGATGCAGCTTCAAACCCTAAAACCCACTCTGCCTGATGTGGAACTAGGGGAGCATCTGCTTACATTTTGCAGGGATGAGGGGACACAAAGGAGCAGCAGGTGCCTCCCTGGAGACCACAGAGTCTCCTCCACCTCCAGAGTCTTACACCTTCATTCTCTCCTCGTTCACGAATTCCTTGGAAGATGGAGTGTCTTCTCACTGCCAAGACTACCCGGTCCTCACTGAGCTCCTGGTCTTGGGCCGCTGCATGTGCTTGCTCAGGATACGTGGCACTGGACAAGAGCATCTGTCCAAAGAGACTCTGTGGGCTGAATCTCAGCCCCCCACCCTGGCTGTCACACCAGCACTGGGTGGCCTCTAGTGGGAGGGAGGGATTCCTTGTTCACTTTTGCTATATCCAGATTATAGCCCAAAGAGGAAAAATGTTGGAAAACGTAGAAAAGTGCATGAGAGTTAAACATTCTATTGCCTTTGCATTGTCCGTGAAGTCGTAAAAGTACCGATGGATTGTAGGTTCTAGTAAGGCAGAGAGTTATGTCATAATAGCTATCATCATTAAAAGAATGTTTAATAATTTAATAGAAGGAAAAAGGAAAACAAAAATACCTAATAAATACAACAGAAGACAAGAAAGGAGAGAAAAGGACTATAGAACAGATGGGACAAATAGAGAACAAATACTGAGGTAGCAGATAGAAGCCAAACTACATCCCCAGTTACATTTCATCGAGTGGAGTAAATACTCCAGTTAAAGGCAAACCAATGGTTGCAGTAGACTTCTAAAATCCTCCTATATGTTGTTTGCAAAAGATATACCTTAAATATAAGGGTGGATATCTTAAATATAAGGGCACAAAAACGTTGAAAATGAAAGAGGAAAATAATATGCAAATACTAGTTAAACGAAAGCATATTCAAATGAATATTGAACAATTGTACTCTTGAGGCAAGAAGATTTTGGGAGATGAGGAACATTTCTCATTCAATTTCAAAGGATTGAAACTATGGAGAAGGGAGGAGTGTCGCTCCAAAATGTCTTCCTTCCCGTCCCACTCACAGCAGGGACGAAGGCTTTCTGTGGCAGCCATGGCCACCCAGAGGCAATCTCCCTTGCTCAGCCGCCACACCTTCTACACCTTCCGGGGGTTCTTCCTTCTCCATGGAGTGCCCGTCAGATTAGATACACAAGGAAGGCTCACTTCCAGCTCAGCAGCAAATCTTCAGTATTTGCTACCTATAAACTGATTTATCAGTGGTTTTTGCTAGCTAATATTAAACATATTTTTATTCATAAAGTTATTTTTGTTCATAAAGTTAGATTGTAAGCCTTCTGAAGCCTGTAATTATGTCTCCTAGGGCATTCAGAAAAATCCCTGGACTTGTGCACACTTCATAACTGCTGAGGACACTGGACTTAACATCTTTAAAACCTTTGAAGTAATTTATAAAATAAATTCTAGCTCCACAGAAGTTGTGAAAAGAGTACATAGGGTCCTGGGTACCTCCTGCTCAGCTTCCTCCAATGATGGTATCTTACCTAACTGTAGTGCAATATGAAAGCCAGGAAAATGACATTTCTACAGTATTATAAGCCCTATGCCATGTGCACCACGTTTGCATGCATGTGTGCATGTTTGTGTGTGTCCTGTGCAATTTTGCCCCTTGTACAGGTTCATGTGACCAACACTACATTCAAGTTACAGAACTATTGAGCCAGCACAAAGAGTTCCTTCATGACTCCTTTATTTATTTATTTTTTCAGTTTTTAGGGTTTTTTTGTTGTTGTTGGTTTTGTTTTTTTTATTTGTTTTGTTTTGTTTTTTTTTGATGGAGTCTCGCTCTGTTGCCCAGGCTGGAGTGCAGTAGTGCAATCTCGGCTCACTGCAACCTCCGCCTCCCAGGTTCTTTTTTGGAGGCAGGGCCTCCCTCTGTTGCCCAGGCTGGAGTGCAGTTGCAAGATCTTGGCTCACTGCTCACTGCAGCCTCGACCTTCTGGGCTCAAGCAATCCTCCCACCTCCCAGCCCTCCAAGTAGCTGGGACTGTAGGCATGCACCACCACACCTGGCTAATTTTTTTTGCATTTTTTTGTAGAGATGGAGTTTCACCATGTTGTGCAGGCTACAATACCCCTTTATATTTGCACCCCCAACTCCCAGTCCCTGGCTCCTGGCACCTACAATGTTTTCCATCTCTCTTGGTTTGTCATTTTGAGAATGTTGTAGAAATCACACAGTATGTAACCTTTTGAGGTGAGCTTTTTCCACTGAGAGTAATGCCCCTATGATTTTTTTACTGAACACAATTGCCTTTGAGATCTACCCAGATTGTTCGTATCACGGATTGTTCCTTTTTCACTGGTGAGTAGTATTTCATTGTTTGGATATACCAAAGTTGAACATTTTGGGGTTATTTCTAGGTTGTTACAATTATGAATAAAAGCACTCTGAATATCTGTGTACAGATTTTGGCGTGAATATAAGTTTTTATTTCTCTGAGATAAATGCCTAAGAGTGTGACTGCTGGGTTGTATGGTATTTTTGTGCTTCATTTTATAAGACATGGCCAAATAATTTCCCAAAGTGTCTGTGCCATTTTACATTCCTACTAGCAATGCATGAGAGGTCCAGCTTCTCTGCCTCCTCACCAGCATTTGGTGTTATCACTGTGTTTTAATTTAGCTGTCTTAATAGGTATTGAAGGAAATAACGTATGTGGTGGTCCATTTCCGAGACAAAGTACCTCGAATAGGCTTGGGTCTGCAAACCACCAAAGAACAGACTACATGAGGCCCCTACTTTGATAGCCAGCACCTGCTTGTTGGGGCCCCTTAGTTGCCCTCACCCAAACCAAAGAAGTTTAGTCTAGAAAAAAAGTTTACTAGCCTCCAAAATAGCTTGCTTTATCTATTCTCATCAACTTGCCTACCTAGGTCATAGGTCAAATATTTAAAAAGCCCCTGAGCTAACTATAACTGCAACACATTGTGGACTGCAACAGAATGCAGTGAGGTGACCCTAAAAATATACCTAAAAGCCCCTATTCAATGACCAATAGGCAATGTCTGGGAAGATTGTGACCCCATAGTACTCATCTTATGAGGAATCAGGGGAGGGACCCGTGCACTAGGGGATAAATTGCTTATGGTAACCGTGTTGAGTGTGCCTGTCCACCAGGCCCCCGATCTTGCAAGACTGTCACTAAAAGTCTCGCTTCTGCTGCTCTCTGTGTCTCTGAGTCCCTTCTTTAGGTTTGAAGGGGTGAGTTTGTTTTTCACAACTTGGGGGCTCATCCGGGATATCTGTGCCTGCATGGAGTGGGACTCCAGCCTAGACGGGAGATGCGTCCCACCCACTTTAGGTGGCCCACTCTGTCTGGGCATAGCAGCTCCTGCAGAAGTCGTAGACAAACCCAAGACTGTTATTCAGGAGGCAGTGGAGACGACACAGGGTCAAAAGCAGGCACTGCAGAAACCAGGCAACCTTTTGCACTAGCCAAGGTCGGAAAATTGGACTGTAAGTATTGCCTGGGTGGTGGGGCATTTTTGGAGGTCAAGTGTGTGTGACTGAGATGTGTCTTAGATACAAGGCAAGTGTGGAGTCCCAATCTGTGGTTCTGTTCTCCCACAAGGGAAACAGCCAGAGATGGAGGAAGCCATTCTCAGCGTGTGCAAGAAAGCTCTTGTAGCAGGGGCTGCATACCAAGGGAAAGCACAGACAAAGAGACGAACTGAAAATTCTAGGCCTAGCGAACAAAGGAAACAGAGAACTAAGGAGACTCCCTCTGACATTCCCACGGATAGTCTGTTGGGGAGAATGCTGCAGGTTTGGAGGGACAACCCTCAAACCAGGGACAAGGAAAAGCAAAAGATGATAAAGATTGCTGTCTTATTGGGCCCAAATATCCCATTTGTAAGCCTTTGGTCTTTTGGCCTAAGTTTGGCTCGGATGAGGATTGGGTGTGCCAAACTTTAATTCCACATATGAATAATAAAACCTCATCCTCACAAGAAAAGATGGGTTATGCTCTCTTTTGGGTCAGGGAATTAGCCCCCATGTTCCTCCTCAAAGAAAAAGAAAAAGAGCATAGTAAAGAGCCCTCACCTGATAAAAAGCCCTGGGATGCCCTAACACACTTGCGTACCCCCCTCTTCCCCCACCATACATCTCACAAAATAAGGAACAGGGAGATCAGGGGACAGCAGGAAGGCTGGAGGAAGAGAAATCTGGGGGCCATGAGGAAACTAAACCCACTGCTCCCTTAAATCCTTATCTGAACTTAAGGAAAGAATTAAAGCAATGTAAGAAGAACATTAAGAATTTCCCTATTCACTCTAAACAGGAGATGTCCAACATGATTCCTCTTAAAGAAGGCCCTGTGGGACTGGGAGAAGTTGGATTTATGAGTGTGCCTTTAACAAGTACTGAGGTTAGGAATTTTAAAAAGGAAATGAGGCCACTTTTAGAAGATCCCCTTGGTTTAGCAGAACAGCTAAATCAATTTTTAGGACCCAATTTTTATACTTGGGCTAAGATAATGTTTATCATGAATATCCTGTTTACTGAAGAAAAGAGGGCAATAATTAGAAGGGCAGCCATGATCATTTGGGTGAGACAGCATCCTCCTGGGCAAGGAGTCCTACTGGCTGAGTGGAAATCCCCAAATGCGAATCCTGAATGGGATAACAATGACCCCAGGCATCAGGCCCAAATGCAAGGCCTTAGGGAACTAATCAGGGGGATTAAAGACTCCGTTCCTGGGACACAAAATGTCTTGAAAGCATTTGAGATTCAACAAGAAAAAGAGGAGACTGCCTCTGCATTTCTGCAGAGGCCCTGGGATCAAATGAAAAAATACTCAGGAAATAGATCCAGAGGACCCAGTAGGGCAAGGCGTTTTAAAGGTTAATTTTGTAACTAAAAGCTGGCCTGATATTACTAAGAAACTACAAAACATTGATGGATGGAATGAGAAACCGATTGAGGAATTACTGAGGGAAGCTCAGAAGGTCTTTGTAAGAAGAGAGGAAGAGAGGAAGAGAAGCAAAACAGAATTCAAAAATCATGTTTTCCACTGTAGAGGAAGTAATCAGAAAGAGATTAGATCAAGACCCCTCTCAGAGGGGACAAGATAATACTAGGTCTCAGCAAAGAGACTGGAGGCAAATACAAGGAAAAACTCCCAAGACTGTAAGTGGATGTTGCAAATGTGGGAAACCAGGACATTTTTTTTTTTTTATTTTGAGATGGAATCTTGCTCTGTTGCCCAGGCTGGAGTGCAGTGGAGCGAACTCTGCTCACTGCAAGCTCCGCCTCCTGGGTTCATGCCATTCTTCTGCCTTAGCCTCCCGAGTAGCTGGGACTACAGTCACCCGCCACCACGCCCGCCTAATTTTTTTGTATTTTTTAGTAGAGACGGGGTTTCACCGTGTTAGCCAGGATGGTCTCGATCTCCTGACCTCGTGATCCACCTGCCTCGGTCTCCCAAAGTGCTGGGATTACAGGCGTGAGCCACCGCACCCAGCTGAAACCAGGGCATTTTAAGAAAGAACGTCCGGAATGGAAAAAGGAAGAAAAGGTAATCCCCATTATGAGTTTTAATGAGGACTGGGAATCAGGGGTTCCTTCTAACCAGGTCCCACAAGGAACCCTTCATAAACTTGAGAGTGGGACCCGAAGGGGAAAAAATGACATTTTTGGTCGACACTGGAGTGGCTTGCTCTTCCTTAATATACCCACCAAGGGGCACATACCCTCTAAGGAAAAGTTAACAGTATCAGAGTAAAAGGGGAGGGATTTCAAGTTCCAATATTCAAGAAAATGTTAATTAGGCAGGAATCAGAACCAATTAAGGAGTCACTCTTACATGTTCCCAAAGCAGGAACTAACCTCCTGGGTTGAGACCTGATTGTAGATTAGATTTAGCTTTAGGATTAGGAGTAGAGGAGGGACAAATAAAACTAATGATGGTTCTCCTAACAGAGGAGGAAGAAGATAAGATTAACTCCCTTTTGTGGGTTAAGGAAGGCAACGGGAGGATTAAAAAATCACACCCTTACAGACCGAATGAAAACATCCAGGAGAAAGAGTTTACAGGAGACAATATCCCATACCCATGAAGGGAGGAAAGGTCTCCAACCGGTAATAGAAGGACAAATTAAAGACGAACTATTGAGCTGGGTACTCGGGAGCCTGCGGCCAGGTGAGTGTGGGCGGGGCGGCAAGGCGGAAGCTCCAGGCGCAGGCGGCGGAAGCGCGTGTCTCCAGGTCGTCGCGTCGGGCTCCTGGGATTTGGCGGCAACTGTGGGAGGATGGCAGAGTCCTCGGATAAGCTCTACTGAGTGGAGTACACCAAGAGCGGGCGCACCTCTTGCAAGAAATGCAGCGAGAGCATCCCCAAGGACTCGCTGCGGATGGCCATCATGGTGCAATAGTCCATGTTTGATGGAGAAGTCCCACACTGGTACCACTTCTCCTGCTTGCGGAAGGTGGGCCACTCCATGCGGCACCCTGACGTTGAGGTGGATGGATTCTCTGAGCTTTGGTGGGATGACCAGCAGAAAGTCAAGAAGACAGCTGACGCTGGAGGAGTGACGGGCAAAGGCCAGAATGGAATTGGTAGCAAGGCAGAGAAGACGCTGGGTGACTTTGCAGCAGAGTAGGCCAAGTCCAGCAGAAGCAAGTGCAAGAGGTGTTATGGAGAAGATAGAAAAGGGCCAGATGCGCCTATCCAAGAAGATGCTGGACCCTGAGAAGCCTCAGCTAGGCATGATTGACCCCTGGTACCACCCAGGCTGCTTTGTCAAGAACAGGGAGGAGCTGGGTTTCCAGCCTGAGTACAGTGCGAGTCAGCTCAAGGGCTTCAGCCTCCTCGCTGCAGAGGATAAAGAAACCCTGAAGAAGCAGCTCCCAGGAGTCAAGAGTGAAGGAAAGAGAGAAGGCGATGAGGTGGATGGAGTGGATGAAGTGGCCAAGAAGAAATCTAAAAAAGAAAAAGACGAGGATGGTAAGCTTGAAAAGGCCCTAAAGGCCCAGAACGACCTGATCTGGAACATCAAGGACGAGCTAATGAAAGTGTGCTCTATTAATGACCTGAAGGAGATGCTCATCTTCAACAGGCAGCAGGTGCCTTCCGGGGAGTCGGCGATCTTGGACCGAGTAGCTGACAGCATGACGTTCGGTGCCCTCCTTCCCTGTGAGGAATGCTCAGGTCAGCTGGTCTTCAAGAGCGACACTTATTACTGCACCGGGGACGTCACGGCCTGGACCAAGTGTATGGTCAAGACATGGACACCCAACCAGAAGGAATAGGTGATCCCACCGAGAAATCTCTTAACTCAAGAAATTTAAGGTTAAAAAGCAGGACCGTATATTCCCCCCAGAAACCAGTGACCCAGTGGCGGCCATGCCCCCACCCTCCACAGCCTCCGAGCCTGCTGCCATGAACGCCTCTGCTCCAGCAGATAAGCCGTTATCCAACATGAAGATCCTTACTCTTGGGAAGCTCTCCCGGAACAAGGATGAAGTGAAGGCCACGATTGAGAAACTCGGGGGAAAGTTGATGGGGACGGCCAACAAGGCTTCTCCGTGCATCAGCACTAAAGAGGAGGTGGAAAAGAAGAAGAAGAAGATGGAGGAAGTGAAAGAAGCCAACATCTGAGCTGTGTCTGAGGACTTCCTCCAGGACTTCTCTGCCTCCACCAAGGGGCTCCAGGAGTTGTTCTCAGCGCACATCTTGTCCCCCTGGGGGGCAGAAGTGAAGGCAGAGCCTGTTGAAGTCGTAGCCCCAAGAGGGAAGTCAGGAGCTGTGCTCTCCAAAAAAAGCAAGGGCCAGGTCAAGGAGGAAGGTATCAACAAATCTGAAAAGAGAATGAAATTAACTCTTAAAGGAGGAGCAGCTGTGGATCCTGACTCTGGTCTGGAACACTCTGCACATGTTCTGGAGAAAGGTGGGAAGGTCTTCAGTGCCACCCTCAGCCTGGTGGACGTCGTTAAAGGAACCAACTCCTATTACAAGCTGAAGTTGCTGAAGGATGACAAGGAAAGCAGGCATTGGATATTCAAGTCCTGGGACCGTGTGGGCACGGTGATCGGTAGCAACAAACTGGAACAGATGCTGTCCAAGGAGGACACCACTGAACACTTCATGAAATTATATGAAGAAAAACTAGGAATGCTTGGCACTCCAAAAATTCACAAAGTATCCCAAAAAGTTCTACCCCCTGGAGATTGACTACGGCCAGGACAAAGAGGCGGTGAAGAAGCCGACAGTAAATCCTGGCACCAAGTCCATGCTCCCCAAGCCAGTTCAGGACCTCATCAAGATGATCTTTGATGTGGAAAGTATGAGCAAAGCCATGGTGGGGTGTGAGATCGACCTTCAGATGCCCTTGGGGAAGCTGAGCAAAAGGCAAATCCAGGCCGCGTACTCCATCCTCAGGTCCAGCAGGTGGTGTCCCAGGGCAGCAGCGACTCTCAGATCCTGGATTTCTCAAATCGCTTTTACATCCTGATCCCCCACGACTTTGGGATGAAGGATCCTCTGCTCCTGAACAATGCAGACAGTGTGCAGGCCAAGGTAGAAATGCTGGACAACCTGCTGGACATTGAGGTAGCCTACGGTCTGCTCAGGGGAGGGTCTCACGATAGCAGGAAGGACTCCATCGATGTCAACTATGAGAAGCTCAAAACTGACATTAAGGTGGTTGACAGAGATTCTGAAGAAGCTGAGATCATCAGGAAGTATGTTAAGAACACTCATGCAACCAACCACACACGATGCATATGACTTGGAAGTCATTGATAGCTTTAAGATAGAGTGTGAAGAGGAGTGCCAGCACTACAAGCCCTTTAAGCAGCTTCATAACTGAAGGTTGCTGTGGCATGGGTCCAGGACCACCAACTTTGCTGGGATCCTGTCCCTGGGTCTTTGGATAGCCCTGCCTGAAGCACCTGTGATGGGCTACATGTTTGGTAAAGTGATCTATTTCGCTGATCTTGTCTCCAAGAGTGCCAACGACTGCCATACATCTTAGGAAGACCCAATAGGGTTAATCCTGTCGGAAGAAGTTGCCCTTGGAAACGTGTGTGAACTGAAGCATGCTTCACATATCAGCAAGTTACCCAAGGGCAAGCACAGTGTCAAAGGTTTGGGCAAAACTACTCCTGACCTTTCAGCTAGTATCCCACTGGATGGTGTAGAGGTTCCTCTTGGGACCAGGGTTTCATCTGGTGTGAATGACACCTGTCTACTGTATAATGAGTACATTGTCTATGATATTGCTCAGGTAAATCTGAAATATCTGCTGAAACTGAAATTCAATTTTAAGACCTCCTTGTGGTAATTGGGAGAGGTGGCTGAGTCACACACGGTGACTCTGGTATTAATTCACCCTAAGCGCTTCTGCACCAACTCACCTGGCTGGCTAAGTTGCTGGTGGGTAGTACCTGTACTAAACCTCCTCAGAAAGGATTTTGCAGAAATGCATTAAAAGCTTTTTCCCAAATTTTTTAGTCTCTTGTTTTGTGTTGTGTTTGTGGGGAGGGGTTGTTTTTGTTTTTTCTTGCCAGGTAGATAAAACTGACAAGCTGGAGAGAGATTCTGTTTGCATGGATTAGTCCTCTGGAAAAAACCAAGCTGTGCTACAATATCTGCCTTAGTGGTTTCCCCAGGGAAGAAAAAATATGTTTCCACCCTTTTTTTTTGTTTGTTTGTCTTTAGTTTTGATTTTGGAAAGATGTTAAGCATTTATTTTTAGTTAAAAATAAAAATTGATTTCATACTAAAAAAAAGATGGGTTATTGAAACCCTGTATGTCACCATACAATACTCCAGTTCTCCCAGTAAAGAAACCAGATGGGTCATACAGATTAGTGCAAAATCTAAGGTCTATACATAAAATTGTCCAAACTTGACATCTTGTGGTGCCTAACCCCTACACCCACCTTAATAAAATACTCTATAAACATAAGTGGTTCAGCATAGTGGATCTGAAAGATGCATTCTGGCCATGTCCCCTAGACTCTAAGAGTAGGGACCTCTTTGCCTTTGAATGAAAAACCTCATAACTGGGAGAAAGCAGAGGTATCACTGGACTGTGCTGCCACAAGTTTTCACGGAAGCCCCAAACTTACTTGGTCAAGTCTTAGAAAAAGTTCTGGAGGAATTCCAACCATCCAAAGAAACCCAGCTGTTACAATATGTGGATGATCTTCTAATTTCTGGGGAAAGGAGGGCCGAGGTATCAGAAGCCACCATAAGCTTACTTAATTTCCTAGGGGAAAAGGGGTTGCGAGTCTCCAAAACCAAATCGCAATTTGTAGGAGAAGTTAAATATTTAGGACACCTAATTAGTGAAGGAAAGCAGAGAATAAACGCAGAGAGAATATCGGGAATAGTGGGTCTGCCCTTGCCTAAGACAAAGAGAGAACTCCAAAACTTTTTAGGTTTAACTGGCTACTGTAGGTTATGGATGGACTCATATGTTCAAAGGACAAAGATTCTGTATTTTAAGTTACTAAAAAGGGAACCCAACCCCTTGCAAAGGTCCCCAGAAGAAATTAAGGCAGTGGAGGATTTAAAGCAAGCCCTCACACAGCCCCAGTCCTGGCCCTCCTATCTTTAAATAAAACGTTTCATCTGTCTGTAACAGACCAGGCCCTTGGGGTGCTCATTCAAACCTGGTGGGGTGGAGGGGGTGGGCGGGAAAGAGGCAACCTGTTGCTTTTATCTCCAAGCTTCTCAATTCTGTCTCAAGAGGGTTTATAATTGCTTATGGAAGTATTTTTAGAATTGTTGCTTTAAAATCATGTCAGATATCATCTCAGTGTTCACATCTGTATTGGTTCCCTAGGGCTGCCATAACAAAGCAACACAAACTGTGTGGCCTAAAACAACATAAATTTATTCTCTCACAGTTTTGGAGGCCAGAAGACAGATCAAGGTGTCAGCAGGGCTATACTCTCTCCAGAGGGTCTTCCATGGAAGATTGCATTCATTGCTTTTTCCTTCTGGTGACTGACAGCATTCCTGGACTTGGGGCTGCATAGGTCCAGTCTCTGCCTCCATCTTCATATGGCCTTCTCCTTTTCTCTGACTCAAATCTCCTTTTGCCTTCCTCTTATGGGGACATGTGTTGGCGAATTTGGAACCCAGGGTTATCAAATCTCAAAAGCCTCAACTTAATTACATCTATGAAGATCTTACTTCCTAGTAAGGCTGTATTTGTAGGTTCCAAAAGGTGGACATAGCTTATCTTTTTGTGGGCCACTGTTTCAACCCACTACAGCATCTGTTTATTGTCTTTTCTTATTCAAGTTGCAATCATCCTAGTTCCTGGTATATTCAGCAGTTTTGAAATCATGCCCCGAACATTTTCAGCATCATGTTGTAAGACTGTGGGTCCTCTTCAGTCTTTTTGGACAGGCACTTACCTGTTTATGCATTGCATGTAGGCATGGGTGGGGGTGGATGTTCAGTTCCCTGCTGGGCCCTGCCAGTATGGGAAGGAGGTGGGGCAGAATTTGGCTGTGACTGGCATTGCCACTAGCATTGCTCCCTCATTGCCACTGGGTGAGGATGAAAATTTGGCTGCCAAGGACCCAACATGTTGATTCAGCTGTTTTTTGATACTGTCACTTAGATTGGAAACATTTTTATGTGACCAAAATATTAAATTATTAAAGTTTTAGTTTTGAAAATTACTGTAATGAGAGATGTTATAAGATTTAGGGGTAGAACAGGAAAGGAAAAGGTCAAGCACACTTGTTCAACCTATAGCGAGATAATGAAAGAGAATTTGTATATTTTGTCTTTTATATGGCTTGGCTGTTTCCCCACCCAAATCTTATCTTGAATTTGTAGCTCTCATAATTCCTATGTGTTGTGGGAGGGACCTGGTGGGAGATAATTGAATCACGGGGGCAGTTTCCCCCACACTGCTCTCAGGGTAGTGAATAAGTCTCATGAGATTTGATGACTTCATAAGGGGTTTTCCCTTTCACTCATTCTCTCATTCTCTCTTGTCTGCAGCCAGGTAGGACATGCCTTTCACTTTCTGCCATGATTTGAGGCCTCCCCAGCCACATGGAGCTGTGAGTCCATTAAACCTCTTTTTCTCTATAAACTATCCACTCTCAGGTATGTCTTTATCAGCAGCATGAAAACGGACTAATACAGTCTTATCTGGGGTCAGTATGGTGTCAGAGCATTCCCTGGGGGAAAATTGATTCCATCAAAATATCCTGATTGGCAAACAATGATGCGGTCATGATTTTAAGAAATTTAGTGGGGAGATTGTGGCTTCTGGATTGGAAGGCCTGGGCTGGAATGTTGATCCCCACTGACCACTGGCCACATGATGGTGTGACGGTGAGTAAGTTGTTGGTTATCTCTGAGTCCTCAGTCTTCCTCATATAAAGTGGAGGTGATGTCTATCTAACAGCACTTTTGTGAGGATTCAGTGATGTAATGTGCATGGGAACAATTCATCAATCACAAAAAATGTTTCTTGGAAGTCAAGTATAAAGCCAAAAGACAAAGAAAATAATTCACATTGAAATAGTCACTTTTTGAAATATCCAGTTGTTGAGGGGAGAGCTGAGGAAAAACTAAAAATTAAAAAAAGAACAACAACAAAAATGAAGTCCAGATGTGGTGGCTCATGCCTGTAATCCCAGCACTTTGGGAGGCCAAGGTGGGTGGATCACCTGAGGTCAGGAGTTCGAGACCAGCCTGGCCAACATGGCAAAAACCTGTCTCTACTAAAAATACAGAAATTAGCTGGGCGTGGTGGCGGGTACCTGTATAGTCCCAGCTACTTGGGAGGCTGAGGCAGGAGAATCGCTTGAAGCTGGGAGGCAGAGGTTGCAGTGAGCCGAGATCACACCACTGCACTCCAGCCTGGGTGACAGAGCAAGACTCCGTCTCAAAAATAAATAAATAAATAACTAAATAAACAGTGAAATATCCATTTGTTGATCCATTTATTGATAAACAATTATGGAATGGTTTAGTAGAAATAGGATAGTGTTGGGCATCAGAAATATTTGCATCCTGCCCTGCTACCGACTTACTGGAAGGGCAAACAAAGGACTGAGGGATTCGAATCAGAGACTGTTTTTACTGGAATAGCCCTTCCAGGCCTTTCATGCAACCCCTTGTGTCCAGATGAGAAAACTGAGGCAGCGACTAGTGACTCACTAGTTACTGAGTAAGTCAGTAGCAGGACATCATGGAAAGAGGTGATGGGACATTTTTGTCTTTTCAGAAGAGAGCACAGCTGGAATTACAAATAAAATGGCATCATTTGATTCCATTTCTAACCGCCTTTGGAATGGTGTTTTGGAAAGAACACCAATCCATTGCTAAGACTGTCCCTAGGGAACAAAAGTTCTCTATCTAGAGATGTTCTAAGATACGATCATGAACTTCTCCTGCCTTTCTGGAGAAATGGGAAAAATCACACACTTTAATGTAAATAACACCCCCCAGCCTGATCATATCAATGTGTTGAACAGAGGTAGGTACAGCTTGTCTACAGCCAGAACCAGTTTGCATACAAAAACTTGCAACAAGCTGACAGTTGCTGAAAGAAAGGTTCTTGTTTCCCAGAGAATGTTGGTGAGTCGAGTCCTTTGCAGGTGAAATACTGATGACAGGGTTTATCTCTACAAGTCTTTGCCAGCTCCCCAACGACCTTCCATTCTCTCTTCACCATAACTTTTTCCCTTTTGATAAACTGGAATTTCAATGCATTGAAAATTTCTTGAAAGTGAGTCATTTCCTGGGAATTGGAAAGCGTTTTGTTTTTTGTTTTGTTTTGTTTTGTTTTCCTCTGTAGAGACTTTGGTTTCCTTCAGGGCTGACATTCAAAATACTGTTAACAACCTTTGAGTTTGGCCCCTGGTCGTGACTAGCCTGACTACACAGAGGCAGAATATGAGCCCTGGCTTTCTGTGACACTCAACCCAGACACTTTGGTAATGCTGTTCCCTCTCCACACCACAAAAGCGCAAAGAGCCCTTGCTGAGCACCAGGAGGCAGTGGTGTTCTCTGTGTGCACACATATTCTGCACCTGTGTATGTGTGTTTTGCAATGTGCTGCAGTAGGAAAGGGTGAGAGGGCAGACTTTCCTAGACTCTGTTCTTAGACATAATCCATCACGGGCTGTGATGGTGAATCTTATGTGTCAACTTGACTGGGCCACAGGGTGCCTGTGATATCCTGAGATATTCAGTCAAACATTCTCCTGGGTGTGTCTGTAAGGGTGTTTTGGGAGAGATTCGCATTTGAGTGTGTAGCTTGATTGTAGCAGACGGGGCTCCCTAGATGGGTGGTGGGTGTCCTCCAACTCTGAAAGCCTGAACAGGACAGAGGCTGGCTCTGCTCTGAATACACGGAACTCCTCCTGCCTGCCTGCAGCTGGGACATGGGCTGTTTCCTGCCTTAAGACTGGAACTGAAACATTAGCTCTTCCTGAGTCTCCAGCTTGTAGACTCTGCAGGTCTTGGGACTTGTCAGCCTCCATAATCACATGAGCCAATTCCATATTATAAATATCTCACACACACGCACATACACACACGCATATATTCACACACACAAATACACATGCACACACACACCACACATACACTCACGCACACACATCCACACACACGCACACACACATGCACACGCACACACACATGCACACGCACACATACACGCACATCCTATTAGTTTCCCTAGAGAACGCTGACAAATACGCAGGCTCTGAGGTTATGTTTCTTCAAAGCTTATGCTATCAGACAATAGCAAGCTTCGAATGCTGTTATTTTCCAGAGTTAATTAGGTTTTCATCTCTTTTTATTAAGGAAAAAAACCATGTTGCCTCTAACTTAATATTTAAATATGTTTATTTTGTTTGTCATCCTTAGAATAAGACAGTTTTCCTTTATACAGAATGTTCCATAATTCGGCGTCTGCCCCAAGGGTGGGAGTGAGTGGAGAGTGCAGGCTCTGCCGGCGGCCCTAGTCCTAGCCTGGCGTGGCGTCCGCCTGTAGTAACTGGCTCTCAGTACACTTTCATGCAGCTTTCTCTTCTGCTTTAGATGATCTCCTGTTGGAAAGAACAGAGTTTCTTGAGAAACTGGGTGTTTCATTAACTGTTCTTAGAGCCTATGTTTCAGACCCACCGTGGCTCACTCCACCAATAAGCATGGGCTGTGAGGCTGACGGGTGTGGCTGGTAGCATTAGACTCCCCTTCTTTGAGTGTCCACGCCCCACACAGATGCCTTCTTAGGGCTGCACAGGGTGGCCTTCCCCAGGTGCAGGGGGTGAGTACCAAGCGCTCCCTGTGTGCCGGGCCCTGCACTCAACCCTCTGCAGACAGCATCTCCTTCCATCTCCTCAACACCCAGTACAGGTGCTGTGATTATCCCACTTTGAAGATGAAGAAGGCTTAGGATGCGCGGTCATTTGCCCAAGGTCTTCCCAAGGTCACACAGCTCATAGGGGCCAAGTTGGGATTGGAACCCAGGTCAGACCGGCTCCAAGCCTGTGCTCCAGCCCCACCCAGCCCCCAACAGAGCCTGATCCTCTGGCTCTATGAGTGGGTGTGGGGCTCAGGGAGCAGAATTCTTGCTTTCAGTTTCCCAGGAAGGCGCTGGGTGACTGGAAGGAGAGACAGGGAGAGGCACCTTGAATGGAATGAGGCCGGTTGGTCATCTGAGTGGGAGGTGCTGGGATGGCCCCTGGGGGTGCTCCGGGTGTGCTAGGATTCAAGAGGCCCAGAGAGGGCCAGGCTGGCATGGGCATGGGGGTGGGGGCTCAGATGAGCCTGGCAGCGTGCAGTGTGAGGGGAGATGGGCACCAGCAGGATTGGGGGGACACCAGGGGACAGGAGGAACTGAGCCCTCAGTTGTGGAGGGAGGGGAGAGCCCTGTGGATGTGTCCGGGGCAGGAGGACGGAGGGGGCGCTGGCTGCGTCAGGCTGCCTTTGGCTCTCCTGTGGGGCCACCCTGTCCAGTGTCATTTCCCCTGCATTCTCCCTCAAAACCCATTGACAACTCCAAGCTTGGCGGAGCTGGGCTGGTCCTCCTCCTCCTCCCCTCACAGCGGCCGGCTGTGGATCTCATTCCTGGGATGTCAGTACCAGGAGGTTGGGGACTCCTGGTTCTTCACTGTCCAACATTGCCAGGGCTCTGGAAGTCCCCACTGTCACCTCCGGGGCTTCTGTTGCCGACGGCCACACCTAGAGGTGCTGGTGACGTACAGGAGCTTCATCAGTGCAGAGGCCCCTGTCTTTTGCTGTTAGAGTTATAGGAGAATTTGTGGTTCTCCCTGCAGAACAGTCAAGTCCCAGGGAACTGGAATCTTGACAAGGTCAATCATGAAATTGTATCTAAAGCAGCAGAGGTTGTCCTGGACAGCAGCACAATCTGGGAAATTGGCTGTAGCTTGAACGACCGCTCACTGCCCTTTCTACACCGCGTGTGTTGGCCTGGTCCCTGCTGCTGGGGCACGAGCAGACCTTGTGGCCTGGGGTTTTGTGGTCCTGGGACTGACACTGGCCTGGCAAAGTCTGAACATGGGGGGCTAGGGGCCCCACTTCAGAGAAGCTCCTGGCCTGTGCTCGATGACAACTGGTGTAGCAGGGAGGTCTCCAGCGACGCTTCCCGGGACCGTCCTCTTCGGCATTTTAACAAAGGACGAGCTGGCCGGCTTCCCACGCTTGTGGACAGTGAGGGGCTGGGAGCAGCAGCCGACAGGCTGGATGGAAAAGTCAGAACCCCAATGCTTTAAGAGGGGACAGGGAGGCCCACCTAACTGTTCTCTAGCAGGTAAGCTCCCAGGCAGGGCTCTCTGTTTTATGTAGAAACCCCAGAGCCTAGGACAGTGCCTGGCACGTGGTGGGTGCTTGGGAAGCACCAGTGGAGGTGAGTGAAGGTGACAGGGTCTCAATGTCTGGCTCTGTGCTCGGGCTATGAAAAGCCAGCCATGTGGCTCGGCAATGGCTCATTTGCCAAAGTCTTTGGAGTTCACAGACAGCAGCTCGGGATTCATGGTGTGACGCGCTCCAGACGGAGGGTCTCAGGCTGCGTGGACGGGCAAGTGCTGCAGGGTATGGGGGGAGGGGCTGGGCACACTGGGCTGCCATGTGACTCAGGGATACCGGGAGGACAAGAGGGCTGTCAGCCTCACCCAGGACTGGCTCCCAGGTGTTCTGGAAAGCTCTGAGAAGCCTGGGGCCAGGGACAGAAGCCACAGGATCTGCATGGCCAACTCTTAGCAGGTGGACAGTGGTGGAGCTGTGTGAACAGGGAGTGGAGAAGGGCTGGACTGGGGGTCCCCACCCCACGAGAGGGTGGGGGGCCTCCTGAAGGGGGTGTGGGGGCCCTTTCTGGGCCTGTCATGGGGGAGAAGGCTCCCGTCATCACATGGTTGAGACCCTTGAGTAGGTGGGTGCTGGCAGCCTTGTGAGTCCTGATTATTCCTGGGCTGAGAAGAGAGAGCGTGCTTTCATTGATGTGGCCTGCGACTCCTTGAATTTGGACTTGTTGGGACAGGTGAATGTCTGGACGGGGCTCCCGTGGAGCTCAGGCGGGTCCACCTGGGGGCTGGACTCACTTGCTCTTCCTGGAGCTGCTCAGAGACACACGTGTCTGCTGAGTGGGAAAAGAAATCCCCTAGCAGCAACCATTCTGGCACTTAACTGTCATCAGAAGGGTCTCACATTCTGTTTACCTAAAGCTCTTGGAAGAGTGTCAATGACCTTTTCCAGAGCTGTGAGGCTTTTCATCTCACACATTGTTTCTCTCTCCTCTTCTGTGGAAAAAATTCAGGACAATGATCAAGATTTGACAAAAAATGATGACTTAACTCCAAGCTCTTGTTTTTCCTTTCAGCCAGGCCATGGGGCTCTAGACCCCAGGCCATTAGCTTCGACCCTGCCCAGTCCCAGAGAGCCACCATAAACCTTGTTCCACGCCCCATCAGCTCCAACAGATGCTGAGAGAATTGGTTGGATCTGAGAGTGTAGACCTACCACCCTCTGTCTCTTCACCGGCAAGTGAAGTGAAGTCACTGCTGTGTGCCACTTTTCCTTTATCTTCTGAGACCATTCTTGGAACGTCCATTAGAATATGATTGATGTCATTAAGAAGCCAAATATAAAAGACTATGCCAAAAAAGATCAGCATCAGAACAAGGAGAAATCACATGATAGGCTCCATCTTCCCTCGTCGTCATGTCTGCAGATTTTCCATTGTGTAAGGAAGCTAGCCTAGCCCCAGGAGCAGAGCCAGTGAGTGTCTGCAGGTTTTCCATTGTGTAAGGAAGCTAGCCTAACCAGGGGATGAAAGGGGTCAGTGTCCACAGGGTTTTCCCTGCTGTAACAACTGAGAGTTTTTCGTTCCTTTGAGCCCCACTTTGAAAACTCTCTGCCTCATAACTGCAGGGTGCGGGGCCCAGGGCCGGTTCTGCAGAGGCTGCACTCTGGAGCAGTCAGTGATGGAGCTCAGGCTGGCCCTAAACAATGAGGACCAGGATCCTTGGGATGGCCCTACCTGTGGAATAAATGGATACAAAACCCACTACTGGGAGCCAGGCCTCATATCAGGTGTTTGTCAGGTGCGTCTGTTTGAAGAGGAGGAGTGGGATTCTGGAAGGGGCAGCCCAGCCAAGGAAATGCCCTGTCTTTGATGCCAGGAGCATTGGGATTTGCATCTGCTCCTGCATAGCTGGGGCGTTTCCAGAATCGAGGGTGGAGAGAAGCAAAATGGACACCAGCCTGGCGGCCTGACCCTTCAGGGAGCCTGGAACACCGCCCAGAGAAGTTCCAAGGGCTGGACAGGCCATAGGGAGTGGTGGGCACCGGGCCGTTCTGACCATGCAAACAGCAACACCTGCGGTCCCACCTGCTGCACGGTCCCCACGGGAAGCGCTCTGATGGGAAGCTGTGATGGGTGCTCCTAGGAAGGCCTCCCCCGTCACGGTGGGCCTGGGCCTAAGGATGTGAGGCCTCTGCCATGTGTCCCCATATGTAAGAGGGGTAAGTGACACCACTAGCCTTGTTCCTGCCCAGGGCCCTCAGCCTGCTTGTCCCCTGGTGACTGTGAGGGTAGAGGAGCCCACCTCAACCAAATATTTGGACAAACAAAAAGTCTGAATATTCAAAGAGCCACTTAACATCTTAAATTTGCCATCAGTTGCCCACTGAGCAGCTATTGCAGACTGGTGGCTTTCTGAGATGCCATGTGATACAGTTTGGCTGTGTCCCCACCCAAACCTCATCTTGAATTGTAGTTCCCATAATCCCCACATGTCATGGGAGGGACCCAGTGGGAGGCAGTTGAATCATAGGGGCGGTTACCCCCATGCTGCTGTTCTCGTGAGAGTGGGTGAATTCTCATGAGATCTGATGGTTTTATAATGGCTTTTGCCACTTTTGCTCAGCACATCTCCTTCCTGCAATCATGCGAAGAAGGACGTTTCCTTCCCCTTCTGCCATTGTAAGTTTTCCTGAGGCCTCCCCAGCCCTGTAGAACTGTGAGTCAGTTGAACCTCTTTCTTTTATAAATTACCCAGTCTTGGGTATGTCCTTACAGCAGCGTGAGAACAGACTGATACACCACGTCACCAAGTATCTGTTGCTCACTGCAGACCCTACGTGGGGACGCTCCTCTCCAATCTCCCCTGCCCTCCCTTTGCTTGGCATCTCTAGGCACCACGCCTTCCCTCTCCCCAGTCTACCAGGCTGTCATGTTAGCCTCTGTGTGTCCTCACATCCCCTTCTAGACTGGCCCTCCCCATTATCCCAAACTCATCACTTACCTTTCTTTTCTCTCAGTCCCTAATGCAGCTGGTCTTGGCTTGGTGGTTAGGGGCAGAACAATTCAATTACATTGATTCATTTACACTAGAGTGTGGCTTTTGGGGCCCAAAGGAGTCTGGTGCTGTCCCGAGCTCAGGAGTTGTGTAGGGAGGAAGGCTCCACCTGGAGG
Source organism: Homo sapiens (assembly GCF_000001405.40). Lineage (NCBI taxonomy): Eukaryota > Metazoa > Chordata > Mammalia > Primates > Hominidae > Homo > Homo sapiens. The sequence continues at coordinate 110,950,436 of NC_000013.11, forward strand.
CCTTGAAGCGGCCTCTAGGGCTGAGCAGAGGAGGCAGCAATGACATGGTGGAGGCTCAGGACTGTGTGGGCTGACTTCCTGGGCTGCCCTCATGCCCACCATGCCCTCAGAGGGCGGCTGTGGCCCCAGGGCCCTGGAGGGCTCTTTCTCTGTGGCTTCTCTGACAGCCAGGTGTGCCTTATGCTGTCCCCTCTTCCTCTGCCGCTTCCCCAGACTCAGACCTTCCCCGTTGACTCCATCTCAGCCTCGGCCTCACGGCTTCAGTCTGTTCTTATTTCCTCTCATTCCTTCAGTGCGCTCATGGGTCTGATTCACAGAGCTGGATCCTGAGGTCCCTCCTGTAGACTCACCTGTGACCTCGCCTGCCAAGGAGATGCCCAGTGATATTTAACCCATAACCATCAGGCAATTTGCACAAGCCAATGAGTGGGAAAAATTCAGAGATACTAAGAATGTTAGGTTTAAATAGAATCTTATTCTTGCATAAGCCCAGAACATCTCCAGTTCAATCCTTCCCGGCTCCAGAGGCTGGCTTACTGGGGGACTGTTTGAGGAATGGGTTGGGATGCAGATTCCTGGGACCCAACAGAGATGCTTGACTCAGGGATGGATATTTAATAAGCTCTTCTCCCTGGTGCCTGGAGCATAATTAGGCTCGGGAGCTGTGACCTGGTCCTGGGTGTGGGGTATACCACAGACATCCTGCACATGTGTGCTGGGCAGGTGTCCTTTCTGGATTTGAATCTCTAGGATAAAGAGGAGATATTTCACACCATATGGAGTCTAAGTGCCTCACCCTCTGAGCCTTTGCACACTTGTATTTTTCGCAGCAAACTCATCTGTTGGAGGGAGGCTTTTCCTTACTCCTGAGGGAACCCTCCAGGGGCACTCTGGCTTTCTCTGCGCCTGCCCCGGGGAGGAGAAGTGACATAGCTGAAGCTTTGGGAGAGAGGACCAGGCATTGTGGCAGCACCTGCCTCCCTGTCTTGACATCTGCCTGCCCACGAGACATTTCTGCTGTGCTTCTCTGGGCTGTGGTTTTTCCAGGGTTGGCCCCATGGGAGGGGGTGGGGGGTGCTAGGGGTCCCTCAGTCCTGACAGAGACCGGGAGATCTGCCCAACTGGGGGCAGCGGGCACATTCTTCCACCAAGGGTTTATCCTCCACAAAGGAGATGTTTTTGCCTGCGTCTGCCTGCCTCCTGCCTCTTCCGTTACAGCTGGACTTGGGCAGGGGTAATTGCAAGGCTGAAATTACCATCGAAGGAAAATCTGCCTGTATTCCCAGAAGAGGGTAGCTTTTTCTGATGTTTCTGAGAAGTGCTGTTGTCATAATCCTCTTTAATATGGACTTCTTTGATTAAGAACATGGAAAAAATGGGATGGGGAAAAGTTTTCTTGATTACACATGTATAAACATTTTTGGCCCATGCTTTATTTTAAAATGCAGGGATGGGATGCTAATACGGTTTGCAAGCTCTATTTGGAAATGTGTGTTGGCAAGTGAATGTGTAAACAGAGTCAGGTGTCCTCTGACTCCCTTGAACCAACAGTGTGGACCTTGGCAGATGGCAGGTGAACCAATCCTAGGAACTGGAATTTACATTCTGGGTGCAAGATTTCAAGAGAGTGCTGAACTTTCCTGCTGCCGAATACACTTTCATGCACTGCGTGGGGATTTCTGATTCCCAGTTCTCTCCTTGGCAACTGTTGATTCAGTACTCTGTCTTGGTTCTAAATGTGCTGTTCTATTTCCTTGCATATGTCTTTGACCATGTGAAGCTGCACTTGGGGAAGGCCATTCTTTGTGTTGGTTCATGACTCACTGTGTGGCTTGGGCAAGTCATTTGCTAGACCTTGGTTTTACCTTCTGTCAAATGCGATGATGATAACTGCCCTGCTCTCTCAGAAGCCTTGGGTGAGCGTGAAGTGAGAGCATGGGCGTGTGTGGGAGGAACTGTAAAGTGTTGGTTAGTGCAGGGTTCTCAGGTTCTTGTGCCCTGTGTTCCTGCAGTGGCTCCCGAGGGCGAGAACGTGCCTGAACATGCACTCCAGAGATCCCAGAGTAAAGGGAATTATCCCTGCCAGTCTAGGGTTGACTTCCTCTGTCTCGGGAAGCTGTAGAAATGGTTTTAGATGCCATATTGTTCACATCTCCATGTGCCCTTGCCCCAGAAGTAGCTGGTCTTAATGCTCAAATTATAGGGTCACATATTCCATACCACAGACCTCCAGGAATAAGGGCAATTAGAGGGTTAGAAAGGGGTGTGCTTGCTTTTCTCTTTACGTATCGGTGTTGATAATGTGGATGCTGTACTTGGCATTTTGCTCGGTGTTGTTTTATTCAGATCCAAAATCTCCTGGACCAGAATTTCATCTTGGGGGAAGCACACAAGATCACGTTGGAGTCGGCCCTGCAGGGCTGGCCCTTGGCTCCTGTCCCCTAAGGCCATCTGTACACACAGTGAATGGGAAACAGGAACTCCGGGAACCCAGGGGATGTGGGACTTGACTTTCGAACGAACCTTCTCTGGGTGGGCAGGCCGCTGCCTCCCTCAATAATTTCAGAAAAACTGAGACCATTTGGACGTTTTGGACACTGAACATTGCCCCCCAAAGGTACAAGGCTGGACACTTGGCCCACACGTGGTCCTAAGTCTCCTTCCTGCCCTGGGTCCCTCTGTCCCATCTCTGAGGCTCTCCCAAAGCTGCCCTCTGTGTGTGAGTAAGCGTCGCTCCTGATCTCTGTGTCAACACAGCCTCATTTTCTTCTTTTACGTCCCTATGGGTCCTCCTAGGGAGCTTTTACCATGAGAGCCCTGAGCTTTGTGTCTGAGAGACCCAGAAAAAACACACAGGCTCTGCTCCCACCAGAATGTGATCTTGGACAAGCATCCTCACGGCTCTGAGCTTGGGTTTCCTGTCTGTAAAACGGGGGTATGTATTTGCCTGTGGGCTTTTCTGAGGGTCCAATAAAGCAGTGTATGCAGAAGGCGCTCAGCACGGATCCTGGGCCATGGCCAGGTGTTGTGGCAACCGAGAGTCACCGCTGTCTCTGCAGCACAGTCACCAGGCCAGACTGCAGTGCTGGGCTGAGCAGTGGGTCCTGGTTTGCTGGGGCCCTCTGGGTTTAGCCCAAAAAGTCCCTCAAAGAGGAGCTCCTCAGCCCCAGGCAAAGTGGGTGTCTGGTCTCTCTAGGACCAGCTCGTGCGGAATTCAAAGGTAAAGGGGAAGAGGCTGGAAATGAAGATGCCACCAATACGCCCGAGAAAAATGCTTTGTCCTGGGCTCTTGGTGTCTCGCCCAGCAGCCGCGCTGTCCCTCTTTCTCGCTCACAGAGCTGGGTTTTGGCAATGTGTGCCCCCAGTGAGGCCCTCTGTGGCCAGGTGGGCTACAGCCCTGTAAGGTAGGAGGAGTCTACCAGCTCTGCAAGGAATTTGCTCCTCCTGATAAAAGGGGAACCAGTGTCCAGGCCTGCACCCCCGCCTCCTGCCCTGGGAGTGGACGAGGCGTCTGGCACTGTGGACACCATCCTTGATCATGAGGCAGGAGCTTGAAGAGAGGCCAGGACAACCTCAGGGACATGGCCTCGTATTGCGGAGCTGCCGGACCAGAGCTGCGTGCCACCTGCCTCTTAGCCGCGGGCGCCCCAGGATCCCAGCCAAGGGGCTGGGCGCTGCCACTCAGGCTCTGTCCGCTGGGGCCAGTGATTGGACGGAAGCACCAATCTTAGGAATTCCAAGTTCCTAAACAGTCGTGGTGTCCAGTGAGATGGGGTCTTGGAGAAGAGTGGATATGCATTTGAATGGCAAGCATTTACTGGGCACTCATCTGAACCAGACACTGCCAGGTACTGGGGGCCAAAGACAGCCCAGCCTCAGTCACTGGTCTCTGTCCCACTCCAGCCAGCCATGTCCAGGAGTCAGGATTCTATAGCTGTGAGCAGGCACAGCAGGTCAGCAGTAACAGAGCACCCACCAAGGGCAAATGCCCTGTCCCCAGGGCAGATTGGGGCAGGCAGAGGACAGGATTCAGCTGACCAGCCCTAAGAAGTGAGCCCTCCTGGGGCACTGTCTGAACTTCCTGGCCAACTCTGGCTTCGGTTGCCCCATTGTTACTGGGGATCACCCCCGTCCATGGCGGATGGGCTGTCTCTGCAACTCTCCATCTCTAACAACTGTACCCACAGTCCCTGACCTGTCCCAGTGTGACCCAGTCCACTCCATGCCCGAAGCTGGGAGTGGCCTCCTGGGGACCCAAACTCCTCAAGCTGCAGACACCCTGGGATTCCCTGAGATGGGCGGATGGAGGCCCAGCTGCGGGGAGGCGCGTTCCTGCTCGGAGAGCAGTCAGGGCTTTGGGGGCCAAAGAGAGGCAGGAGGCCGAGCCACCCCGTGGTGAGCTGCCCAGGGCGAAAGGCTGCCTTGACCCTTCCACGGGCCTCCCTACCCTCGGGGAGATTGGTCAGGGCTAGAAAAACGCTTTAGGTAGAGATGAAGCCAGCAAGTGGAACAAGGTTAGGAAGCTCTTTGTTTTAAAACCATGTGTAACTGCTGATGGTTGAATTTTTTGAGATAGGAGAGGCTGAAATACAAACAATGACGAGCACAACCATCAAAACAGAGCCAAGCACACCTGCAGCAGCCAGTCCAGGGGGCTGGCCTGCTCCACAGTCAGACTTGCCAGAAGTCAGACCTCCTCTAGCGACGACTCAGGCAGCCACAACGCAATCCCTGGACCAGCCGGCCCCAGAGGGCCAGGAATGCATCCATCACCGACAGGTCCTATGGCTTTTGTCCTCGCTTCCAACTCAGAGCCAACCAGAGAAAGCCACACATGCTCCCTCACCAACCCCTCACCGCCCGTCTGATGAGCCACCCCCAGCACACCCAGCTGCAGCCTGCACGGGACCTGGGCTTCCTTTGCCTTAGTGAGGCCCCATCCCCTGCCTGACTCAGAGGCTCTGAAATTGCATGTGATGGTGACTCAGAGGCTTTGAGATTGCACGTGATGGTGGTGACTGCCCTCCCACAGCAAGCTCTGGACAGAGAGTCTCGGCCTGGCCTGCCTGGGTGGGCTTCACTGACCTCCACAGGGATTTGAATTCTCACTGTCAATGCTTTCAGCTTTCTACCTAGAAGAAATCTGGGGGTGTGGATGGGGGTAAGAGCTGCTGCTTCCTTCTAGGTTTAGTTGGTCAGGACCCAGGAAAAATATCAGAAATGCCAGCCACTCTTTCCTCTTCCAGAATCCTTTTCTGAGGCCACTGTTTCTCTGGGGGTGGCTGAGACACTGGCTGGAGCAGGTGCTGGTCTCAGGACTAAAACTCTCAGAATCTGGCAACCGCCAGATTCACCAGGAAAGTGAGTCCAGTCACAGCCATTCCTTGACCTTGGGGAGTCTAACTCCTGCCTGGGGCAGTTCGCTTGAGTACCCAGAAAGTGGACGGGGCGGCAGAAGCGAGAATGGGAACACCCATTCATTCACTGGAGCGCTCACTCATCCATCCACCTAACCCATCAAACACGCAGGCAGGCAGAGCTTTTCCCAGGCCTCTCCCACCCAGATGTGGAAAGGGAGCAAAGCCTGACTTCTGACAGCGACAGCTCCTGGAAAGGGCCCAGCACCTGGGGGCCCTGCGTTCCCACGGGAGCCCCTGTTCGAGGCCGTGCAGCCTTCACAGCCGCAGTCCCGGGCCCTGCCGGGTGGAAGGTGGCCCCATCCTCTACCCCGACCCCACTCCACAGGCAATGCTGGCAGAGAGGTCCTGGGAGGTGACTGTTTCCCAAGGGCATCGATGTGAGCAGGGGTCAGGACTGCATGCTCTGAGTCCCAGCATTCTGGGCCTCAGTTTACCCACATGTAAAACGAGAGGTCAGAGCAGAAGTGCAGGCACTGGCTAAGCGCTCACACCCTGGAGCGCGGCTGTCTACGTGGAAATGGCCGTGAAGGCAAAGGACACATGGAACTGTGGAGAGCCAGCGTGATGGAAAGACTGAAACATCTCACTAGTAATTTGACACTGATCCCATGTTGAAATCATCACGTGAAATACAATGTTATTGCAATGAGTTTCATCTGCATCTTTTTAATGTGGCCACTAGACAATGAAAAGCACATCTTCGGCTCATGCTGTGTTTCTATTGGACGGCCCTGGCCCAGGGCAGCAGTTCTCAGCCGGCTGTACTTTAGCATCACCTGCAGAGCCCTAGAGAAGCACAGAGGCACCAGGCTCAGCCAAACCAGCACGGCCTGCATCCCCGGGGTGAGGCCAGGGGGTCTGTAGTTTCCACCATCTTTCCAGGGGGCTGGCAGGGCTGAGGCGGTGGAGGAGGGGACGGCTCAGCCATGGGGCCTCTCAGGTGCACAGGAATCGGTGGCATCAGGTTGAATGCGGTGCTGGTGCTGGAGGGCTGGGCCCGGCTTGCCGCTGGGCGTTTCTAACAAGCTCCCCAAACCAGATGATGCAGACGCTGAGGGTCCTTGGACCTCACTTTGAGAAGCAAGGCTCCCACGCACTTTTTAGGTGTAATGGTCTAAAATTCTGTCTTCCTTAATTTCTTGAGAGTTTGACTCTTAGATGTCAGCAGTAAAGCTATGGGCCATTGGTATATGATTCTAGCCCCAAACCAATCAGTTCCCTCCACTGTCTGCAGTTGGTACCAGGTTATCTGGGAAAAAGCCACAGACAACCATCCAGTCCCCTTCATGTACAGGCCAGAGGTTGATAGGAGGGGCTTCCTTACCAAATACTGTGGTCATATCGTCATCCATATTTTTAAAACTTGACTAACTTGACGGCAGTCCAGAACTTGAACCTAGGGGGAAATAAAAGCCCTATAGTTTAACAATGTTCATTGAATTTGCATTTGCTTCTCTTTAAATGGATACCGTTTTGTGGGTGCCCACCAGCCCCCTCTAGAGGAAGGAGCCTGTCACGCGTATCCATATAGAAGACCACCTAAACAGGCTTTGTGTAAGCAACAAGGCTGTTTATTCACTTGGGTGCAAGTGGGCTGAGTCCGAAAAGAGAGTCAGCGAAGGAAGATAGGAGAGAGGCAGCTTTATAGGACTTGGGTAGGCAGTGGAAAGTTAGAGTTGAAGGTAGTTATCTGTTGTCAGCAGGAGAGGGGGGTCACAAGGTGCATGGTGGGGAGATCATGAGATCCATTGTCCAGGAGAAGAATGTCACAGGGTCGATTGATCAGTTAGGGTAGGGCAGGAACAAGTCATAATGTTGGAATGTCGTAAGGTTGGTTAATCAGTTAAGGCAGAAACTGACTGTTTCACTTCTTTTGTGGTTTCTTGGCTGCTCCAGGCTTCTTGGCTCCTGCTGGGCATCTGGATATATACGTGCAGGTCACAGGGGTTACAATGGCTTAGCTCCAGCTCAGAGGCCTGACAGAGCCCTGCCTGAGTTCCAGTCCCTCCTGCAGGCCATGAGAGATGGCCCTGGGAAAGTTCTTTGGGATTTGGGCTTCTTGTCTGGAAAATGGGGGGAAATGTTCATCCTCGGGGTGGCTGTGAGGATGGAGGACAATTGCCCAGGAGCTCTGAGCTAAGCCTGCCCTCCTGGTCCCTGGTCCCTTGAGAGGCCGAGACAACATCCTGGTCCCAAGGATGTCTAGGCTTACCCAGCTGTTTTGAGGTAAGCAAAGTAAGAGGGCACATCTCCTTTTGTGAAAGCAACACTTTGACCTCTTTCATGACAGCACCCGCAATGCATGCACCTGTGTCAGAGGCGTTTGAACCAGAGCCACTCCATCTTGAGTAGGGGCTCGGTAAAATAAGGCTGAGACCTGCTGGAGTGCATTCCCAGGAGGTTAGACATTCTAAGTCACAGGATGAGGCAGGAGGTCAGCACAAGATACAGGTCATAAAACCTTGCCGATAAAACAGGTTGCAGTAAAGAAGATGGCCAAAACCCACCCAAACCAAGATGGCAACAAGTGTGACCTCTGGACGTCCTCACTGCTACATGCCAACCAGCGCTATGACAGTTTATAAATGCCATGGCAATGTCAGGAAGTTACCCTATATGGTCTAAAAAGGGGAGGCATGAATCATCCACCCCTTCTTCAGCATATCATCAATAAATAACCATAAAAATGGGCAACCAGCAGCCCTTGGGGCTACTTTGTCTATAGAATAGCCATTCTTTTATTCCTGTACTTTCCTAATAAACTTGCTTTCACCTTATGGATTTGCCTTGAATTCTTTCTTGCGTGAGATCCAAGAACCCTCCCTTGGGGTCTGGATTGAGACCACTTTCTTGTAAAATCTTTCCGGTGAACCATGGAAGAGATGATACTAAAGAGACCCCCAACCCAAAGGAAATAGACTGCACACTGATTGGCTGACCTTGTAAGTCATTTGCATTTACCCGGGTGAAGGGTGGGATTGGGTTAGAGGCCCAACTTAAGGGAGTTAGAGTCTCTCCTAAGACAGAGTGGGTTAAAGGCAACTCTTAATAAAAGGCAAGAAAGCTTGACTGAACTTGGGTTCAAGGCCCAACTTAGGAGGGTTAGAGTCCTTCCTAAGATTTAGGGGGTTAGAGGCCCCTCTCAGTAAGGTCCCTCTCAGCTAAGAACATGTTTGGCACTAAGGGATGTTAACTGCTATTCTCTTTGGATTAATCTGCCTTGCACTCTTTGCTGATGGCTATGGGTGACAGAATCATGGGACATGGGGGGCTTTTTGCTCCCTAAAGGGGGAAACTTGAGAGCTGATGGGACTGCTGGAAAAGATCCCTTTGCTACTGACAAGCGGCTGCCCGAACTTTTCAGTGTCACTACAATGGCTGGGTCTTTCTCTGGCCTCCTTGAGCTCTTCACCTTCCCCACCCTGCCACAGGCACTGCTTTCTCTCTCTTTCCTTTTCCTTTCTTATCTTTTCTATTACTCAGGGCGACCATCTTGCCCAGAGACCACAAGTTGAAACTCCCGGTTGGGGGTTGGATTAAAAGTGATGGGGCCCTGAAACCCCGTCTCTACTAAAAATACAAAAAAAAAAAAATTAGCCGGGCGTGATGGCGGGCGCCTGTAGTCCCAGCTACTCTGGAGGCTGAGGCAGGAGAATGGCGTGAACCCGGGAGGCGGAGCTTGCAGTGAGCCGAGATCACACCACTGCACTCCAGTCTGGGCGACAGAGTGAGACTCCGTCTCAAAAAAAACAAAAAACAAAAAACAAAAAAGTGATGGGGCCCAACCGGGGGCAAGCTTGAGCTTTGCCAGTTTGATATTGAGTGCTAAGCATAGTGGCTAATGTCCATGTTTTGTCATGTATTTTGCTCTGGCCAGAACAGAAAAAGATTATTTTCCTTTGTGTCGCGGCTTTGTCCCCAGGGCTGTGGAGCAGCGAGCCAGGTCACTAGGGCCATTCAGGGAAAGGGAACCCACCAGCCTGGCATGCCAGCAAAAGGGAAAGGATTTCTTACCAGTCAGACTTCTGGCCTCTCTCGTTCTCTCTGTGCAAACCATTCTCTCTCTCTGTGCCCGTTGAATGAATGGTAAAAATCAGTTTATCTCTTTCTATAAAGTTTTGATTAATAGGAAAAGGGATTCGTAAGGCTAGTCTTAAGCTGTAGTAAATCTGGTGTGCTTTGCATATTTTTCTGTATTGTTCTGTCATAAAGAGGGGTAACTTAGGATAGAATGCAGGCTTAGGACCCCATAAGCCTGCTGTTCAAAATGGCCTTGCAAACTGGTCAGTAACAAACTTTGCTGCAGGTCCCTGAGGAAAAAAAAAAACTGAATAAAGTTTTCCTCTCATCTTGTTTCATGTCCTTGGGAGCTTGACCTTGTAACCATATGGCGGTACTTTCTCTTGGTCTCTGTCATCTGGAGAATAGGAATTTTGGAGTTCATGTAAGTTAGCCCTAAAAATCATCTCAAGCAGTTAAAAGCCTTCACAAGCTCAAAATCTGCTGCTCTGGGCTCCTTCTGATAAGAGCAATGGAGACTGCCCAAGGCTGTATGTAGGTCAGTAGCTAAGGCTTTCTCTCTTCACAGTGGCGGCCCAGGTTCAGGGCTCAATTCCTGTCTTAAAAAATAAGTCCTTTCTGGTTTAATATCTGTGTAAACATTTGTTAATTCTCTTCCCCTCCACAAATGGTTTTAAATTTTCCTTTCTCTAAGCTCCTGGGAGTTTACCTTTGGTAAAGTTCAAAAGCCAGAAATACTGGCCGTTTGGCCTGGCTAAAGTTGGGTAATAAGAAATTTAAAAGGTTTTTTTTTTTTTTTTGAGCTCAGTTGGGCGTGGTGGCTCACGCCTGTAATCCCAGCACTTTGGGAGGCTGAGGCGGGCGGATCATCTGAGGTCGGGAGTTCAAGACCAGCCTGACCAACATGGTGAAGCCCCTGTCTCTACTAAAAGTACAAAATTAGCCAGGTGTGGTGGTGCATGCCTGTAATCCCAGCTACTCGGGAGGCTGAGGCAGGAGAATTCTTGAACCCAGGAGGCAGAGGTTGCGGTAAGCTGAGATCACGTCATTGCACTCCACCCTGGGCAACAAGAGCGATATGCCATATCAAAAAAAAAAAAAAAAAAAAAAAGAAAGAAAAGAAAAAAAAGAAAAAAAGAAAAATAAAGAGCTCTGTGGTTAAAAATCAGCTTAATTAAAAGCAGATATTCAATTTCTAACCTGCTGGAACTCCTTGGGAAAAACAGAGGAGGCACCACAAACCCCATTTTGGAAAAATTCTGTTTTTCTCATAAAACCCCAGGAATTAAGAATGGATACGTCCCTCTCAAAATCTAAGGCTCTATTCTATTTTACTTTGTGTTATCTGACATTTATGACTTTTGGGGGTATCAAAAATTACTTCACATTATAAAAAAGCTTTGGTGTATAATAACTAGGTAAAAAATGTAATTTTATGAATGGCTAATGGCAGTTATGGGGGGATATGCTGCTCTTTGCACATTTGGATCAGAGAAGCATGCTCTTGGCCACCTAAAAGTTATGGAAATGTGTCCCCTAACACACACACTAAGAGATAAGACTCCCATGGGGGAAACGCTGATCACAGAATGGGCTAATGCTCTCTTTTTAGAATCCAAAATCTGATATAAAAATGAGACCTTTAATTTTGGGGGATTTGTTTTGTCTTCCAGCTGTGCCTGCTTATTAGGCTGTAGAAACTGTTTTCCCAGCCCCATTTCTCCAAGGGCTCCACCCTGAAGCCAGTAATCAAATTAAAAAATTGGCAAATGAAAAATCTTACATGCACTAAATATTGGTATGTGTTCCAAAATTATGGAAAACTCTTATAATTCTAATAGGACTTCGTGTACATTATCAGTAATAATTATAATTGTTGTGTTATTGTGTGACGCTGAGGTAAAAAATTTGTTAATTGTGGTTTTGACCATGGCTACCCTAAGACTTTGCCATCCACAAACAATTGTCTTGTGCTAATCTCCTTCAAAAGGTGGTTTTATAATCAACTATAGGACTTTAACAGGTATGCTTAAATGCAGGTTTCTAATAACTTTGGAGATTGTAACATTAGAATAGAGGAAAAAAATTTTCAGCACTCATGGACAGCTAAAATGTTCATAAATATCAAACCAGAGTTATGCATGGACCAAACTAATAGAAGTCTAAAGTAGTCTTTTATCCCTTGTTTTGTTTTTCGGAGTCAAGGAAACTTTTCTTTTAAGCTATTTACAGCTTTTAACAATTAAGTCTACTCCTGTGAACAAAAGTTGAAGCATATTTGCCTCTCTCTACCTGATTTCTTCAGAATTTGGAAACTATTTGTAAGTATTCTTATGGCAATACAGTTATTTGCATAAGTGAAATAAAAATCTGCTTTCTTTTGCAACAGGACACAATTAAAGAAACTGGTTATTTTACCAAGGATTTCACTGGAGTGATGTGCTTTCCTTTAAGGAATCAAGCTTAATTTACAGAGCCAATGAAAACCCTTTGGGGGCTGGGCACAGTGGCTCATGCCTGTAGTCCCAGCATTTTGGGAGGCTGAGGTGGGCAAATCACATGAGGTCAAGAGTTCAAGACTAGCCTGGCCAACATGGTGAAACCCTGTCTCTACTAAAAATACAAAAATTAGTTGGGTGTGGTGGCATGTGACTGTAATCTCGGCTACTTGGGAGGCTGGGGCATGAGAATCACTTGAACCTGGGAGGTGGAGGCTTCAGTGAGCCAAGATTTTGCCACTGCACACCAGCCTGGGCAACCGAGCAAGACTCTTGTCTTAAAAGAAAAAAAATCCCCTTGGTAAAACTGGCCTCATACCTTGTCTACATAGTCCCTGTACAGGGTTCCTGACCTGTGTTAAGTAAAAAATGTCACTTTCTGACAGGCCCAGGAGCCCCAAGTTATCTTAAAACCTCAAAAGAAAAAAATTCACCCAACTCATATAGGTATTTGAGGATACAAACCCATGTCTGAACTCTGCTTTTAAAAAAACTGTCTTAACTGAGATTCCTTCTATGGAACAAAATTCCATCAAAGCCAATTTTAAAAGCCTGTGTGAATAATAATTATTCTTGCTGCACTTTATACAAATAATCAGGCCAAGTATAATAAAGCAAATCAGTCATACCACAATTTGTCTTTGGTAAAAATGGGAGATGGGAAAGAAAAAACATTATGTTTCAAGAACTATGGTGTACCTGTTATTAAATTCTAGTCTCATCAGTTGTTTTTAAGTTTTTTTCCTGCAATTTAGACTAACTTTTCTTATTCCTGTGAACCAACCAGTGATCTATGACTGCTGCTCAGAAGAAACAAGATGTATGGGTAATGTAAAAGTCTAAATCAATATTCTAATTTTGGGCATGTATTAAAATCAGCTAGCAATCCCATATCAGCTCAGTTTCAACAATTGCCCATTTCATAAAATGCCTTCTAATTTAGTTTACTTGGGATAATTTTACTTATTTTGCTTTACTGTTGTAAAACATATTGCCATTGTACTCTTTGTGTAAAAAGCAGAATAAGCTTACCAAATGTTCTCTTAAATTAAACACTTATTAATCTTCCAGATATCACCTTTTGCTGGAACTCAAAAGTTATGAATGGCCCTTGCCACACCAATGCTTTCTAATTAAACTCCTCTCTACCCTGAATGCAAGAAACTCAATAGTTAGGAATATCATTGCCCCTGTTCAGCCTAAAAAAATTACAAAAGATGGTCTTTGACCCTCTACAACTCTTAGGATTAAGGGTTCTCCTATAAAAGAGAGGGAGGGAAATGTCAGAGGTGTTTGAACCAGAGTAACTCCATCTTGAGTAAGGGCTTGGTAAAATAAGGCTGAGACCTGCTGGAGTGCATTCCCAGTAGATTAGAAATTCTAAGTCACGGGATGAGATAGGAGGTCAGCACAAGATCCAGGTTGTAAGGACATTACTGATAAAACAGGTTGTAGCAAAGAAGATGGCCAAAACCCACCAAAACCAAGATGGTGACGAGTGTGACCTCTGGTCATCCTTACTGCTACACTCCCACCAGCACCATGACAGTTCACGAATGCCATGGCAACATAAGAAAGTTACCACATATGGTCTAAAAAGGGGAGGTTTGAATAATCCACCCCTCCACCCCTTGTTTAGTATATAATCAAGAAATAACCATAAAAATGGGCAACCAGGAGCCCTTGGGGCTGCCCTGTCTATGGAATAGCCATTTGTTTATTCCTTTATTTTCCTAATAAACTTGCTTTCACTTTACTCTACGGATTTGCCTCAAATTCTTTCTTGCATGAGATCCAAGAACTCTCTTGTGGGGTCTGGATTAGGACGCCTTTCCGGTAAGACCTGGAAGCTTAGAAACATGTTCTGGGGAAATGGGAAACAGTTTGCAATGCTATGGCTGCATCATGAAGACCTGGCTTCATGGCTCTGTTTTAGGAGGGGCAGGACTCAGAGAGACGGGCCACCCCCTTTCTCCTCCTTCGTAAGCAAAGTGATTTCAGGGTGGCCCCATTTGCAGATAAGAGGTGGAGTCATGTGGGTGAAATGCTGATGTCTGGAATGTGGGTTATTCACAGGACCTGTGGCCTCCTGACCTGTAGCCTCAGCTGCCTGGCTGATAGCAGCTGACCCTGCTGAGTGACTCCGACAGTGAATGGTGATTCTGAGCACTTCTTTCTCCTTGTTAGCCCCCAAACAATGGTTCCTTCCTTCTGCCATTCACAGTTTTTCTTTATTGGAGGTGTGGTGTCTCAGTGTCCTGGGGCATTGCTTAGGCTCAAGGTCAAGGTCAAGGTCAGTCTCTTCCTCCAGCCCCGAGGTTGGGCTCAGCAGGGCCATGCACCTTCCCTTTCCTAGTGCACAGAGCTTTCCAGTGGTGTCTTCTAGGATCTGAAGTTCCAACACTAAACCAGTGACAAAGCTGATTTCCAAATGGCTTTAATGACAGACAATCTACACACCAATCAACTAGTCTGAGCACATGAAGGCTCAGAACAATGAGGACAAATATGCAAAAAGGTCTGAGATGTGATGACAATTGCTTCCCAGTATGCTGACCTTCAGTAAATGAAACAAAGTATGGTTCTCTTTGGATGAGACATTAATGATCATTAAGAATGGGTACGGCTGCATCGTGCAAGTGCTTTGTTAAAAATATTCTTTTCATTTTGTGTCTGTCCCGTAATTATAATGGAAGTATTGTGCAAGTCAGCCAGTAAGCATGTGCAGTAAAATATTTGGGTTTTATAACATCAGTGTGGTTTTTGAAGTTCATTGTCAAGTGGAGTGGCTTTGCCATATCCTTCATGTGTCACCTCTGACTTCAGCCTCACGGTTTAAGATGAACCATGATGTTCATCTTAATGATGAATGCTGTGTAATCATGATGTTAAATATGAGTTATAAATTTCTCTTCAAAGAATTAATATGACAGTATGTTCAATTCTTTGCCTTCTACTTTTAAACTTAACTTCCTTGTAAAGCAACCTTTTCTGATTATCTACTCCACCCTGACTCATTCTCCACCTTGACTCATTCTGATTACCTACTCCATCCTGACTCATTCTCCACCCTGACTCATTCTGATTACTTACTCCACCCTGACTCATTTTCCACCCTGACTCATTCCGATTACCTGCTCCACCCTGACTCATTCTCCACCTTGACTCATTTCATAACCGTTTTTCCCTCCAAACAACTCACCCTGTCACTCTCTTTAAATTACTCAATCAGAATTAGTTTAGCCTGTACGGTCTAACCCTAGCCAATAGGGGAATGACAAAGCAGTAGGGACCATGTGCATAAGGAAAAATAACCCCTTTCCCTCCTTTGTCCAGGTGTGCACTCACCAGTCCTCCATCTGTAAGGGCATACCCTTCTATAGAAGTACCTTGCCCTGCTGAGAATTAAAAAGAAAATTTTATATTCGAGTGCTATTTCTTTTGTGGCACCGAAACTTTACTTATAACAATTTGGGGGCTCATCCGGGATTACATTCCCCTCCGGGGGTGGTCTCTGGTTCTCTCTTGTGAGGAGGTGCACCCCACCCCACTGTGGCGGCCTCAGGGGTGAGAAATCAAGACCCACCCAGTGTGAAGAATAACCTGAGCTCTCAGCTACATGGAAAGAAACTGGCTAGCAACCTAGCTTAAAGCATCCTCCATAAGGGCCACACAAGTGTGTGCATGGACCGAGGAAAAGACACCATGGGAGCCGGTAAAGTATTTCCTTGGTGGTTGGGAGCAAGGTAAGAAAGCCGTGGCAGGGGGTGGTGAAGTACTCCTTGGTCAGGGTGGCTTAGAGGTTAAAAAGAGGTGAGACATCCCCATTGGCAGGGACTGAACCTCACACAAACCTCCAGTAATAGAAAAGGCAAGTATGTTCCAGTGGTGGAAATTGAACCTCACCCCGAAAGGCAAGAAATTTCCAGTGGGGGGAATTGAGCCTCACCCCAAAAGGTGAGAAATTTCCAGTAAGGGAAATTGAACCTTGAACTCTACCCCAAAACCATCAAGATGGGAAATACCCCAAGCAAGACAGGGAGCAAGAAGGATAAAGATGGTAACAAAGATATCCCCCCAGATAGCCCCCTAGGTCTCATGCTAAAATACTGGAAAGATAATGAAAGGATAATGAAAGGATTAAACATAGGAAAAAGCAACAAATGATAAAATATTGCTGTTTTATTTGGACTCAGGGACCCATCCTCAGACCCTCAATCTTCTGGCCAAGGTTTGGATCAAATGAGGGTGTAATGTGTCAGCTTCTAATCTGATACATTAATGATAAAAGTCCAGTGTCCCAAGAAGAACTAGGCTATGCCCTTTGTTGGAGGGAAGGACCTGCCCTTCTTTTTCCCTTAAAAACAGATAGGGAAGAACCCAATCTAGCACATCAAAATTAAAAGTCAGAGGAGCCAGCTCTCATGCCTAAAGACTCCAGTGCATGGGATCCCCTAGACTATCTTCCCCCATTCAGTGTCCTCAGTCTTTCCCCTCAGACAGCCATTGCCGCCTCAGATCCCTTTCCAAATTTCCCCTCTACTCACGTTGTCCCTCCTCCTTATAACCCTGACTCTTGGGAATTACTGTCCCACCAGCCTGTTCCCTCCCAACCTAAATATCCCTCTCCAAAAGGACTCTAGTGTGAGGTAGAACAATGTAAAAAAGATATTCAGAATTTCCCATTTCTCTCTGTACCTAAGAGGTCAGCCCTGACCCTCTTCCCTTTGAAAGAGGTACCACGAGGTGGGGAGGGCCATTGGCTTTGTAAATGCTCCCTTAACCAGTTCAGAAGTCTGGAATTTTAAAAAGGAGCTTAAACCACTACTAGATGACCCTTATGGAGTGGCAGACCAAACTGACCAATTCTTAGGACCTCAGTTATACACTTGGGTGGAGTTAATGTCCATCTTGGGCATCCTCTTTTCAGGGGAAGAAAGGAGTATGATTCACAGGGCTGCTATGGTAGTTTAGGAATGTGAGCACCCTCCTGGTGAAAACTTTCCTACCGCAGACCAGAAATTCCCTGCCCCTCGAGACCCCCAGTGGGACAATAACGATGCAGGTCACTGGGAAAATATGCAGGAACTAAGGGAGATGATAATAAAAGGAATTTGGGAATCAGTACCCTGAACCCAAAATCTTTCTAAAGCATTTGTTATACAACAGGAAAAGGATGAAGGGCCTATGAGATTCCTAGACAGACTGAGGGAGCAAATGAGGCAATATGCAGGCCTCAATTTGGATGATCCCTTTGGGCAAGGAATGTTGAAATTCCAGTTTGTCACTAAAAGTTGGCCAGACACTTCAAAAAAGTTGCAAAAGATAGACAATTGGGAAGACCGTCTGCTAAGTGAGCTCCTCAGGGAAGCTCAGAAAGTATATGTGAAAAGGGATGAAGAAAAACAGAAACAAAAGACAAAACTTATGTTTTCCACCTTCCAACAGATGGCTCCAAACCCAGGTACTTCTAGACAGAGTTTCCAGGGAGCCAGAAACTATAAAGGGTCTAAACCCTATTTTAAAGGACCCAGCCTCCATCTGGAGGACCAAGGTCCAAGTTTACCAGGCCCCCTAAAGAGTATGGGGGAGCAAAGTTAAAGAATCCCAGAACTAAGAGGAAGGAAGGACAAGATAAGTGCTATAGATGTGGAAGAACAGGCCACTTCAAGAGAGGATGTCCTGAACTAAGAAAGGAGAAAGAAGCCCTTCCACTCATGACTTTCAAGGAAGAATAAGGGAGTCAGGGGCTCTGTCTCTTTTATCTTGAGTCCCACCAGGAGCCCCTGATAAATTTGGAGGTGGGACCTAAACATGAGCTTATCACTTTTTTAGTTGATTCAGGGGCTGCTCACTCCTCTGTTTGTTTCCCCTCGTCTAATGTTGTCTCCTCCTCAGAGGAACTTTTAGTCTCCAGGGTAAAAGGGGAAGGGTTTAGAGCAAACATTTTAGAAAGCACAGAAGTTAGATACGAGGATCACTCAGCTCATATTCAGTTCTTGTTAATCCTTGAAGCAGGAACTAATTTACTGGGGAGGGATTTAATGTTAAAGTTGGGCATAGGTCTACAAGTCAGCCCAAGAGGATTCCTCACTTCATGAAACCTACCCACCAATGCGGATGAAAAATATATTAATCCTAATGTCTGCCCAAAGAAGGAAACTGAGGGAAACTCCAAGTCCCTCTGATCCACATCATGCTAAAAACCCCGGGAGAAGTAGTAAGAAGGAAGCAATACCCTATTCCCCTAGAAGGTAGGATAGGGTTGAAACCTATAATCAAAGGCCTTATTAAGGACAGGTTTCTCAAGCCCCGTATGTCTCCATATAACACCCCAATACTGCCAGTCAAGAACAGACGGGTCATACCGGCTAGTACAGGACCTTAGAGCTATCAACCAAATAGTCCAGACTACCCACCCCATTGTCCCCAGTCCTTACACCATTCTTAGCAAGATTCCATATAATCATCAATGGTTTACTGTAATAGATTTGAAGGATGCTTTTTGGGCATGTCCCCTGGCTGAAGACAGCTGATATATTTTGAATGGGAGGATCCCCACTCAGGGCGGAAACAACAATATCAATGGATGGTCTTGCCTCAAGGGTTCACAGATTCCCCTAATCTTTTTGGCCAAATTTTAGAACAAGTACTAGAAAAAGTTGTCATCCCAGAACAAATATGCCTTCTTCAGTACGTGGATGACATTCTTATACCTGGTGAAGATACAGAGAAGGTAACTGACTTCTCTACACATATTCTTAACCATCTGCAGTTTGAGGGGCTACAAGTCTCAAAAAGAAAGCTTCAGTATGTAGAGCCCGAAGTTAAATATTTAGGCCACTTGGTAAGTGCAGACAAGTGAAGAATAGGGCCTGAATGAATCGAGGGAATCATGTCCCTACCCTTGCCTCAAACTACCAAGAATGAAAAACTTGCCCAGCAGAAGCCTAACCATCTCCTGTGGACTTCTGAGGAAGTTTATCAAGTTGAGGAGCTGAAGAAAAGGCTCATAGCTACCCCTGCTTTAGCCTTACCCTCCCTAGAAAAGCCATTCCACCTTTTTGTTAATGTGGACAGTGGGGTAGCTTTAGGAGGCTGACTCAAGAACACGGAGGCCACCAGCAGCCTGTAGCCTTCCTATCAAAGGTCTTAGACCCAGTCACTTGTGGATGGCCTCAATGCATCCAGTCTGTCATGGTTACAGCAATACTAGTCGAGGAAAGCAGAAAGTTAACCTTTGGAGGAAAATTGACAGTAAGCATGCCTCACCGAGTTAGAACTATCTTAAACCAGAGAGCACGGAGATGGCTTACTGACTCAAGAATCTTAAAGTATGAGGACATTCTGTTAGAAAAGGATGATTTAACATTGACCACTGATAATTCACTCAATCCAGCAGGTTTCCTAACAGGGAATCCAAATCTAAGGAGGGAACACACATGTTTAGATTTTTTAGACCAGACATAGGAGAAACCCCCTTCTGGACTGGACAGCACTTATTCATAGATGGTTCCTCCTGGGTGATTGAGGAAAAAAGACAAAATGGGTATTCAGTGATTGATGGAGAAACTCTTACAGAAATAGAATCAGGAAAATTGCCCAACAGTTGGTCTGCTCAAACGTGTGAGCTGTTTGCACTCAGCCAATCCTTAAAGTAACAGAACCAGGAAGGAACCATCTATACAGATTCCAGGTATGCCTTTGGAGTGGCCCATACATTTGGGAACATTTGGACTGGACGAGGTCTCATTAATAGTAAAGGTCAAGGCCTTGTTCACAAGGAGCTGATCACTCAAGTATTGAATAATCTTCAGTTGCCGGAAGAAATAGCTATTGTCCATGTTCCCAGCCACCAGAAAAGCCTTTCTTCTGAAAGTCGAAGAAATAACCTAGCAGATCAGGTAGCTAAGCAGGCTGCTGTGTCTTCTGAAATGCGTATTTTTCACTTAACTCCCTGTCTCCCTCCTCTTACAGTAATCCCCATTTTCTCTTCCACTGAAAAAGAAAAACTAATAAAAATAGGCGCTAAAGAGAATTCAGAAGGAAAATGGGTACTGCCAGACCAGAGAGAAATGTTGAATAAACCCCTTATGAAGGAAGTCTTACCCCAACTACATCAGGGGATCCATTGGGGGCCCCAAGCCATGTGTGATGCAGTTCTCAGAGTTTATGGTTGTATAGGGACTTTGTATGTCTGCAAGGGGACAGAGATGGGGGAGAAATTAAAATACGGACTGGGTATTAGCTGCTATAAGGATTTTTGTTAATTTTGTTAGTGTGATTATGTCATTGTGGATACATTAAAAACAGTGCTTTAATCTGTTAGCAAGAAAACATTTTACATGAGGTGATAAGACACCTGGGGCAGTGCTAAAATATTCCTGATAATGACAAAAGTGTGTGTGTGTAGAAAAAGCAAGATGGAAAAATGTGCACAATTACTGAAACTGAAGGATGAATATGTGGGTGTTCATGGTATTCTTCCTTGACTTCCTGCAAGTTAGAACATTTCCATAAAGTAACAAAAAGTTAAAATATATAATGTATGTATGGAGTTCTGAAATTATAAATGGCTTCAAATACAGAAAAACTTCTTAAATTCCTCCATTGCCCAAGGAATAAATGTCCAGTGGTAAAAAATTCAGGGAGATAGGCAAGGATGATGTCTTCATCTATTTGTTCTGCTATAACAAAAATACCTGAGACTGGGTAATTTTAAAAGGACATAAATTTATTTCACATACTTCTGGAGGCTGGGAAGTCCAAGATCAAGCCACTGGCTTGTTTGGTGTCTTGCAAAGGCTGCTCTAAGCATCCACGATGGCGCCTTGTTGCTGAGTTCTCTGGAGAGGAGGAACCCTGTGTCCTCACATGGTGAAAGTCAAGAGAGCCAAATGCTGCACAAAGCCTCTTTCATAAGGGCCTTAATCCCATTCATGAGGGAGCACCCTTTTGACCAATCACCTCTTAAAGGTCCCACCTCTTAATGTTATCACTATCAGTTTAAATACCTGAATTTTTGAGGGGACACATTCAAACCACAGCAGAGAAGGACTCATGGGAGAAGAGACTGTCACCTGCCTGATTCAGACCCATGGTTTTCTGTTTGCCCAACCATCTACTTGGGACTCTACCTGAATTCATTCTTATTGGCCAGGTCTTCACTTCTTGCCAGCAGCACAGCAGGAGGACAAAGCAGAGGGTCCCGTCTCCTTGGCTCACTGCTGTGCTCCCTCCAGCTGAGGGAGAAGGACCTTATAAAAGTCTTAAGTGTCCCAGCCTTGGTCTCCAGGACAGTGTGGAATGTCAGGACCTGTGACATCATGACCAGGAAGGGAGCTGCTGGCATCTTGCCTGGGCTGAGCAGAGTTTCTATCCAGTCTATGACTGGGTAGGAGGGAGGAGGTTGGTGGGAGTCTTAAGGTAACAGAGATCCTCTCTCCCATTGCTTTTTATGGTGACTTCCTCCATCCTGAGGACTCTGAAGACTGAAGGGGTAGACACTAATTAGAACTCTAAGTGCCAGTAGCCAAAAGCCAACAAAATCTGCTCCCATGGAAAGAGGTGTATTTGAAGGATGCTGGAGAGGTCATTGAGTTACAGAGCAAGTGCCAGAACCAACAGATCCAGAGGGTCTAATCACCTCTTAAAGGCCCCTTGAGGAACAGAGCCTTGAAGAACAGAGGCCCGTGGCCCCATGTCCCTTTCCACTCTCTCCCACCCTCAAAGTTCCAGGGTGGTGAAGAACAGGAGACAGATGACCCAGGTTTCAGCATCCTTTCCCTCAAACCTTCTTTCTCAGCATCAGTCCCAATCTCCCCTTGGCAGTGAGACTTTCATCACAAGAGGAGAACATGGCTGCATTTCCATGTTATCATCCTCCCAGCTTGATTTCCTAGACTTTCTAGAGCTTTCTTCATCAGCACAGTGACAAACCCCAAAGGAGTCACTCTGGTTGACCCCCCTGGATCCTATCTCACCCCTGGACTGACTCCTATGTCCAGGGCTCAGAGTGGGGCACCTGGTTTAGACTGGGCCAGGAGTGGGGTCCCGGGTGAACAGCCCTCAAATCTCAGCTCCATGGTAGAGAGGGAGAAAGAAGTGGTCCTGAATGTACAACCGTGCCTCCTGAGACCAGGTCAGGACCCTAAGGATGGCTTGACCACCAGGGATCTTTGACCCTATTTTTTTATTGCTGATATGGGGGTTTGAAAAGACTTTCTCACTTTAAACATTATTTTTCACCTCGGAATTCTTGTTTGATTCAATTTCAATTAGCTGGGCTTTATGTTTTATTATTACATTTTCATTTCCCTTAAAATGAATGCATGGATATTATAATCTGTGACTTCACTGTGTATCATTCTAACAATGAAATGATTGGGAATGATACACTTGGCTCAGGCTGTCTTTTCCTCAGAATTTCTTAAAAATAATATTTTATTTTTTGGAGTAGTTTTAAGTTAACAGAAAAATTGAACAAAAAGTTTCCATATACCTCCTTATAAATTTTAGAGAAATACTGAATGTTGCTGTGGAGAAGTCTGAGGCCAATGTGATTACCGTTCTCTGCTGTGTGAGATTTACTTTGCTGTTTGAACACGTGAAGTATTATTTCCTTATCTTGAAGTTCAATAGCATAATTAGGATTTATCTTGATGTTTTTATTCCCCATTAAGTTTCACAGAAAAAAAGGTATGTTTGATATGCAAATTTAAACTTTTAGTTTCAAGAACTTCTCTTATCTTAATCTTTGCATGTACCATCAGGTATCTGTTTGGTTCTTGACTCAGGGACACTGGTTTTTCTTATATTGGACTTTCATTGTCTGTCTTCAATGTCTAATAGCTTTTCACTGACTAATGTTACTCCTTTGTCTTTTTCACTTCTATTCATTTTGTTTTTGTCCATGCAAGTCATTTAATTTCTAGAAATACCTATATTATTTCTTGTTTCTATTCTCTATTGTAATATTGTTAGATCCTCAATTTAATTATGCCCCTCTATATCAATTCTATTGTGTTTTGTTCATCTTTGGGCTTTTTTGTAATGTGTCAGTTTTTCCATCCCATGAAGAATTGAGAGGACTTTCCTCTGTCTTTTGTATTGTGTTTCCTCTGTGTTGTTGTTTTGGTTGGCCTTTTGCCTGGTATTCTTTTTCTTTGATTGCTATTGTTTTAATAAGTTTGTGCTATTCCGTGTATTTCTTTTCACTTTGCTTGTATTTGGGCATGTCTCTCAGATGTTATTATGATACACAGTGAATGACCATTTGGTCCTCTTCCAATCTTCTTTAAGTCATATTTGTTTTCTCCTCACATTCCTGTACCCTATTCTAAGCAAGAGTTTGAGGACTGGGTTGTGTAGGCTGCCTCATTTTCTATGGCCTAAAGAAATGGAGTTGGGGAAAGAGGGTGGAACAAAGAAGGTGCGGTAATAATGTCACATTTTTTGAATTTCTAAGTTCATAGAACAAATTTCTGCTCCCGAAAAACATGATAAGAAAAAATAGAGGTTTCAAACCACTGGGAGGAGATGAGATCATTAGACCGTTCATCTTTATGTAACCAGACTCCTCAGTTAAAGGTCATTTTCAAAGCACACCTGCACTTGTTTTTTTCTTATGAAAATATCCTGTATATCCTTAATTTGGCAATATAAATGTGACCAATTGTTTTAAAAACAGAAGTGATGCTGGATATTAAAATGTAAACTGTTTTCTAAATGAAAAACTTAAAGGAATGTAATTAGAGAAGTATAAACAGTGGTTAATATGCTGCTTCTTGAAAAGACATATTACAACTTACAGTCTTTCTTCATAAGTGTATGTTGTTACTGTTTAATCAGGAGTGTGATTGTATTCAGCTGTTAAGCAATCCTATTAGCTGGGAAATTGCATTATTATTTGCTGGTCTGTTTATGTTATATTGTTGTTGGCACTCTAAGTTTCTCTTTTTTCTCCAAGCCTTTCTTACTCTGGTCTCTGTAATCTGTATAATTGTCTTTTTTAACTTTTATCTTTAGAAAATATTGAATAGAGATACTGGGAGTGATTAACTGTGTCAGAATCACAAAGTTCTAGTGCTTTTCAGATTAATCCTGGAGACATTATGTTGCTGTTTTAAAAGACAGAAGGACCTAGATCCATCATGGAGTGCCACAGCAGGGTTGTGGCCAATGGTCCTTCCTGCCTAGGGAGAATCCACAAATGGTATCTAGGAAGACCTGCTGCTGACCAGACCAAGGCCACTTCAGTGCATGACATCTTCTTGGACTCATCAACCTTGACCTCAATGGTCAGAGATCTCTCTACTAGTAATTCTAAGTGTTGGCAACAAAAATGAAGAGAGCAAAATAGGGAGTGCTCTCTATTCTGGGGAAGCAACAGTGGAAGATTTGCCTGAGTAAGAAAATCTCCTAAAAGTTTTCTGTGTCCATCTAAACATTCATACATTCATACATACTTCATTCCTTTGTTCATTCATTTATTTTCCTTGTCTTCTCATAGAATATGTTTTCTGAGATCAGGTTACTATGTTGCTGTTACAGGAAATCGGATTAATTTTAAATTTCTATATGCAATAAAACAAAAGCCTTTGACATCTCCCTTTTATTTTCAACAGTTAATGAGTTTAGAAGCTCATTGATACGGTTTGGCTGTGTCCCCACCAAAATCTCATATTGAATTCCCACGTGTTGTGGGAGGGACTCAGTGGGAGGTAATCGAATCATGGGGGCAGGTCTTTCCCATGCTGTTCTTGTGGTAGTGAATAAGTCTCATGAGATCTAATGGTTTTATAAAGGGGCGTTTCCCTGCATGAGCTCTCTCTCTTTGCCTGTCACCAGCCATGTAAGACAGGACTTGCTCCTCCTTGCCTTCCACCATCATTGTGAGGCCTCCCAAGCCACATGGAACTGTGAGTCCATTAAACCTCTTTTTGTGTATAAATTACCCAGCTCTGGTATGTCTTTATCAGTAGCATGAAAATGGACTCATACACTCAGTTTTAAAACAAGTTACATGAAGTTGCAGAGCTCTTTAAGAAAGCCATGACTTGCCCAGACAAATCAGTACTAGTGTGTTAACTGAACTCAATTTGATTTTTCTGGGCTTTGCTTTGTATTGGCCCCTTCTTGTTAAATAAAAATAAGAAATTAAATAAAAATGTTAACAAATAGTTTTGACAAAACTGAATATAATACACAAAACATTGTGATGCAGCTTAAAATTTAAAAAGAAAAAAAGAACAGCTTCAAGAGAATTAAGTACTAATTAAGTACTAAGAGAGCAATCATCAGAGCTAGATACAAAACATCTAATATCTTTTGAGAAACATTCCTTATGTTACCCAATTCTTCCTTACACATCTTACTGGCTAATTGAGAAAGCAATGCATTAAAATCACATTGAAATGAATTAATATGATAACTGGAAGCAATGAGAGGTAACTGAGACATAATTGCAAATGCAGAATTTTTTTCAATTTGAAATTGAACATTTAACAACCAATTTGGAATTTTCTATTTTTGAAAATCCAGTAGCTCTTGGAGTGAATAGACCAAATGACTCCATTTTAATAGGTCTCATCATTGATCTCTGCTTATGAAATTTGCTTCATTGCCTTTGTGTACCTGAGACTGAAATGCAGAGCTGTTCTGGAGCCTCCAGGTAGTCCAGGATTTCAGTGCAAACTTGTCTTACACAAAGAGGTCTGTAAAAATAATCTGGCTGCTATGATTTGAATGTCCTCTCCAAAACTCATGTTAAAGTTTAATTGTCTTTGTGATGGTATTAAGAGATGGGACCTTTAAGAGTTAATTAGGTCATGAGGGCTCTGCCTTCCTGAATAAGTTAATGCCATTATCATAGGAGTAAGTTTGTTATCTCGGGAATTCAGCCCCCTTTCTCTCTGTGTCTTGCACCTGCCTCACCATGTGATGCCTTCTGCCATGTTAGGATGTAGCAAGAAGGCCCTCACCACCTGTGGCCGTACAGTCTTGGACCTTCCAGCCTACAGGACCCTGAGACACACAAATCTCTCTTCTTTATAAATTACCTAGTCTATAGTATTCTATTACAGCAGCAAAAACAGACTAAGACACTGGTCTTTTACTTTTGATTTTGTTTCTATTGATTTTTACTAGGTACATCTAATTTCACCTCTTGAAGATGGCTGACATGGTCACTGAACTGAAGCTTTGTGGTGAAGAAACTATTAAGCAAATGGGGAGGAAGAGCCATACAATTTCACTTTAGTGAGGAGCTAAGAACTAATTTTATTCCAAAATCAAACTCATGCCAAAAACGGGCCAATGCAATCATTTAGGGATAAAGAACCTAGAGTTTCAGGCATGAGTGGAAATGTGCTGAGGGGTCCAGAACATGCCACTCCAAAAAAACCCTCCTTGGCATAAGGATTGTTTTGAGCTGAAGGCAATTGAGAATCAACAGATGCAGGAAAAATTCTCTACCCTTTCTTTTGTGCCTAAAAGCAATACATAAACTTGTCTTTGTGAAAATGACATGAGTTTTTCCCTCTCCTGAACCAGGATGAAGAGAGCTACCCTTATCACCACATATGGAGAGCCAGCACCAAGATGAGTCAGTATAAAAAGACCTTACTAAAATAACCCTTACTTTCAGTAGTTTCCTGATATATTTGCTAGTCACTTTCCCACAAGTTATCACCCCTAGAAGCCTAAAACCCTTCTCCTTTGTCTAGTCACTTCTTTAAAATTTATTGCCTTTTGTTAAAATGGTATGTAATCTCTTAAGCCTAACTGCTTCTTTGTTTTTTTTTATTTTTTTACTTCTTTTTTTTTATGAAGCCCTTGTGCACACAAAATTAAAAATATTAATACTATTTTTATGCCTTTTCTCCTGTTAATCTGACTTTTGTCAGTTTTGTTCACAGACTCCAGCCACTGATCAAAAGAGGGTGGAGGAAATGTTTTCCAACCCTACAATGCACACTGTATCTCTGTGCAGCATACACCTCTGTACGACAATTTCCCTTGTTGTTTGCCTGAAGACACATGAGCTGCAACTCTGAATCGGGAAATAGAACTTCAATCACTTTCGTGGAGCAATTGGGGAATGAAACAACCTTGCATGCTCCTCTGAGGAGTATGCCATGAGAGCTCAGAGGCTACTATTATTGGCTGAACATTGGTGTCAAAATCTTGATTGATGTCCAAATGCTTCTGGTCTCATCCTAGACTTGTGAGGTGTGATCTCCATAGGTCTATTCCCATCCCTTTCCCCTCCACCACGCCTAGTCCCACATTCTTTTCTGCATGCAGTGTGCTCTGCTCTATTGATCACCTTAACCCAGCTGTGCGCACTCTTCCACTTGTCCTGAAAACAGCACACCCACGTAGCCTTCTTCGGTGATGTCTGGGCCATGTGTTGGTGTTGTGCACACTCTTATTATGATCATTTGAACTCTTATAACACATTGTTTAACACATGTGAAAACGTAAGACAAACTTGCAGGTTTCAGTTATTTAAAGATAAACCACGATATAAATGTTCATATCTATTCAATATATTTAAGATAAGCACTTCAAATTCTCATTTAAATATCTTAGTCTTGCTTCATCTATAAAGTCATAACTTTATTAGTTAAAATGCTTATTTGGATAATTTCAGACTTTCAAAAAGGTTGTGAAAATTGTACAAAGATTTTCTAAATACTCTTCACTTAGATTCCTGAAATATTCCTACATTAGCATTCTCTCTCTCTCCTCTCCTCTCTGTCTCTCCTCTCCTCTCTTGTCTGTCCTCTCTCTCTCTCTCAAGGTTCTACAATTACTGATCCTGACACTTAGGATGTGAGTTTAGGTAGAGATTTGGGAAGTTCAAGATTGCTCATCATTTTATCTGGTAATGTCTTTTGCTCAAGTGACACCTTTTACTTCAACTGCTATTGTTTGCCTCACTAGTTTCACTTGTGGGATTTTTCAAAAATGCATCATGATTGATAGAGTTAAAATTAATCTTTCTTGATGTAAAGCATATTGTGTTCATTGCTGTGGGCCTGCTATGTTTAGTATTGCAATGCCAGTGGGTTTATATCACCTACCAGTTTATCTTGTTATAACTCATCTGACTGCTTTATCTCTGTGAGGTAGCTGTTTAGAGCTTGGGTTCTGAAGTCAGATGATTTGAGTCTGACTCTTGGCTTTAGTTCCTGAATCCTGGACAAATACCTTCACCTCCCTGGGCCTTCCCTTCCACATCTTCCAGATGTGCACATGGTAGTGCTTATCTCATAGGATTTTGTGTATGTGTGAGGATTGAGTCAGACAAATAGGAAGTGTTCAGTATGTTGTCCATTGTTACATTAATCTAAAAAGAACATTGGATAACATTTGAATATCTTCTGTGCCTAAAATGTCTATAGCCTTTCTCTTATTTATTTGTAATTCTCTGCTGTTTGAGTTTCTGACAGGCTCTATATTTCTAAGCTTTTATTTAGTCTTGATTAATTTTAGTGAAGTTTTTCTTCAATTTAGTCAAAATAATGTATTTACCATAGGAAGTTAATAGTTAAAGATAATTGTTATGTTTGATCTTTACGTAATTAAAACTTGAGAATTTTATCCTTTCAGTTCCTATGTAGGTTAGTTTTTCCTCAATATGGCTAATGTGGGTGGTATCTTGGATTGAAATATCTTATTTCCTCAAGTGTACAATCCATTTTAAATAGCAATTTGTGTGGTTGGTAACCATTAACTTGATAGAAACGTTAGGTCTGAATCTGTCTCTACAAAATTCATGTGTTTGGAACTTAATTTCCAGTGGGGTAGTGTATTAACTCATTTTCATAGTGCTATGAGGAAATACCCAAGACTGGGTAATTTATAAAGAAAAAGAGGTTTAATGGACTCACAGTTCCACATTGCTGGGGAGGCCTCACAATCATTGTGGAGTGTAAAGGAGGAGCAAAGGCACATCTTACATGGTGGCAGGCAAGCGAGCGTGTGGAGGGGAACTGCCCTTTATAAAACCAGCAGATCTCATGAGACTTATTCACTATCACGAGAACAGCATGGGAAAAACTCAACCCTATGATTGAATTACCTCCCACCAGGTCCCTCCCATGACACGTGGGGATTATGGGAGCTAAAATTCAAGGCGAGATTTGGGTAGGGACACAGCAAAAACATATCTGGTAGTATTAAGAGGTGGGATCTTTAGGAGGTGATTAAGTCACGAGCATGGAGCTCTTAAGAATGGAATTAGTGACCTTACAAAAGATGTGTGAGGGAGCTGTTTGCTGCTTCCACCTCTTCTGCCAGGTGAGGATGCAGCAACAGGAAAACATGTTGGAAGCAGAGAGAAGTCCTCACCAGACACTGAATCTGCCAAAACCTTGATCTTGAACTTCCCAGCCTCCAGAACTGTTCAAAATAAATTTCTGTTCTTTCTAAATTATCCAGTCTGTGGCATTCTGTTATAGCAGCAGGAATGGACTAAGACAATTTTATTGAACATCTATCTAAAGAAATGCTACTTCCTTTACTCAAAAATAAAACATGAAGTTTCTGCGGGTCAGGAAGACCTCTTAGACCAAGTCATTGGTCTGACTATGAGATTCAACTTCCAGGATCCTTTTCTGAGTCTTGCTTCTCTCTCTCTGCTAAATTTAAGCGCTCCTGTTCACCGTGGAGTCACTATGTTTAAGTAGAGCCCTGCGGCTCTCACACTGCATGTCTGTTTGGATGCTCTTGGGGGCCTTGCAGGAGTTTTAATGTGGACTGATGTAGGCATGAGGATTCTCAGAGCCCCATGGTATGTTTGCCGTGCAGTGAAACTTGAGGACCACGGCCTACCCAACCTCTGATTCTCTGCAGCAACCCCCAGGGTCACGTGGGGACCTGCAAAGTTTGTTCTAAAATTGAGGTGATGAGAGGGGGCTGAGTTCGGAGTGCTACCTCCTTCCACACCAGCTCTACACACTCATCTCCCCTCCACACTCACACTCCTCTGTGCAGTAGTGCAGGCTCCAAGAAATTCCCTTAGAAAGAACTCCGCTTAACTTTGCTCTATACAGCATTTCCAAACTTAATATCAAATTAGTGCTGTGGTAATACGTGGGCTTATTTTATTAACACATTAAATAAGGATTAGTGGCTATTTCAAAACACCTGCAACAGCTTAACATGTGAAATATATGGTTTCTGTTGGTGACAAAGGTACGGGTACCGTGGTTTGTTAGTTGCATTTATAATTAAAGGAAGAGCTAAATTTCAAATAAAAATTACTGAAAATAAACATGAGATTATTTTTTATCCCAAATTCACAGACCCCCTCCCAACCCCACCTTCCTGCCCCATGCTGCACTCTCTGTCCATGGGCCCTGGTTAAGGGAAACCCAAGTTGGAACAGGACTCAGGGCTTTTCTTTGACCTGGCTTTTTACAAACACAAGAAATGCATGGGCTGGGCATGGCGCTGGTGTGAGAGCTGCACTTTCTGTAGTGACCCGAAGCCTGAATTCACCTCGACCTCCAGTTCCTCCTGCCTGGGAGCTGGTGAATGCCCGTTGGATCCATTGGAAGGGGTGAATCTCCCTCTTGGCTGTCTCTGTCCAGAGCTGTTCCTCAGGGACTTCCTTGCATTGGGCTCCTGCCAGTCTCAGGGACTTCTCAGTCTCTCTGTTGATGGCCCATCAGAGCTCACTCCACTTGTGAAGGCTTTCTCCTGTCATCCTTCCTGGAAGCTCTTTGAATACCGACCACGGCTGAGCACTGCACTGCCTCCCTGCCCAGCTGCCACTGGGCTTGGATGATTTTCAACCTCAACATGAAAGGGAAACTTTCAGATGGCATCTGGGCTTTGCTATTTCTGGTGTGGTGTCATTAAAAGCTGCCTCAGTCTAGCATCTGTGATTTCACTTTTTGATATAAAAAAGATATGAACTGTTAGTGCAATAGTGCAGAGAATGATATCCAACTTTTATTTTATGTATATATTTTATTTGTGTCTCATAAAGGGGTTCAGGACACAATAACCCAAAGCATGGCACTTTGACATTTGAGAAAACAGCAGAAGCAGGAAGGTCTCTCTCATCTTACTCTGCCCTTCTACCCTAAAGCAGGTCATGAGACCCTCATTCAAGAAGTACACACCCTATACCCAAAGAAAAGAAACATTCTTATCTCTGAAGACACAGAGACACACAGAGAATAATCTGAACACACCAGTCTTACTAAGCCACCCTATGCCTCCCAGGTTACCACCGTTCGATCACGCTCCCTTTGTCCAGCCATACTTCCCCGAGACTGTCTACTCTTCATCAAACCTAGCATAAAAAACATGTTTCCCTATTTCTTTGGGTCTTTATTTCTGAAGACTCCCATGTCACATACAAATTATATTAAATACACTTGTCTGCTTTCTTCTTCTTAATCTGTCTTATAGGAGCCTCAGGCATAAACTTAGCAAAGGGTGAGAAAATATGTATCTTTTTATTCCCTACATTTGTATTTATGTTGAAATGCAAAGACAGGCAAAAATAGAGGGCTATACGAATTCAGCAGGATTCTAAATTATTAACTTGGAAAGTACTTTCAAACTCTGGAGGAAAGTTTCTAATTACTTTTGGAAGGAAAGGCAGTATTATGTAAGAAAACCACATTTTCTATCATGCATTACTAAACTAACTACGGAAGTCACATCCTTATGCCTTTTTGTAGCTAACATTGTTTCTGACCCCTAAGAACTGACTGAAGCAAACAGATCAAGTTGATTCAGTGTTAGGTAAATAGGAGGGTGGTGAGATTTTAAGATAAACTTACCAGAGCAAGAAAGGATCAGTGCTTCAAACAGGTGCAAAACAAGTAGGGGAAAGGTAGAATTAAGCACTCTTGTTTTCAAGTTACAAAACGTTCACATTTGTTTCTAATGTTTACTTAAACACTCTAATACCCTAAAAAATCGACATCCTTGAATTTGAAGGTCAGTAAAATATAAATAACACAGTTACTGCTTTTTGGAATATCTCTGTGGATTCATTCAGCACTCTTGCTATTTATTTATTTATTTATTTATTTATTTATTTATTTATTTATTTATTTTGAGATGGAGTCTCGCTCTGTCACCCAGGCTGGAGTGCAGTGGCGCGATCTTGGCTCACTGCAACCTCCGCCTCCTATGTTCAAGTGATTTTCTTGCCTCAGCCTCCCGAGTAGCTGAGACTACAGGCGTGTGCCACCACGCCCAGCTAATTTTTGTATTTTTAGTAGAGATGGGGTTTCACCAGAGTTCCAGGCTGGTCCGGAACTCCTGACCTCGTGATCCACCCGCCTCGGCCTCCCAAAGTGATGGGATTGCAGGTGTGAGCCACCGAGCTTGGCCGCTCTTGCTATTTTATTTCTTTTATTGTTTTGCTAAGAATTTTAAAAATTTAAATGTTTACCATATAAAATATCTTACTGCCTTGGCATTTTTATACCATACATCTCAGAATATTATAATTTGTTAGTTTATCTTGTAAATTATCCCTTGTTATACAGAGAATCTGACCAACTCACCCATTCCCTGGTCCAGTTGCCATTTTATTTTCTCTAGGAGATTTCTCTTTGGAGAAATATCC
Source organism: Homo sapiens (assembly GCF_000001405.40). Taxonomy (NCBI): domain Eukaryota; kingdom Metazoa; phylum Chordata; class Mammalia; order Primates; family Hominidae; genus Homo; species Homo sapiens. The sequence goes on from NC_000013.11 coordinate 110,982,979, forward strand.
TGGTAGCTGCCTGCATGATTGGCAAATTGAAGTTGGAATTTTTTATGGTCTGTATTAATTGATCTGATTCTTAGAAATTAATTCCCTTCCTAAGAAAAGTACCCTCTTCATTTCTGCTTTTTGCAAGGAGTCATTGGCATTTGTCCAACAGTTAATGAGAAATTATTATATAATTACATTTAACTTTTTTCTCAATTCTTTCTGTGTTTGACATAATGTTGAAAAAGAAACTTGAATGGAAAATGCATCAATAAAATAAAAGCATATTGCAATTATATTCTGACCTTGGCTTTTCCCTCTATATTTCTCACAGGTTAATTATATTCTAAAGCATACCAAGCTCTTCGTGTTTGCTGCTGGAGTGACTGTGTGTTCCCTTGCCCTTAGATGAAGAAATGCTTTCAAAACCTCTGAAGATGCCTGAATGGTCTGAGGTTCTAATGGTTTACATTTTCTTATCGTTCATATGGATAAAAATATGGCTGCATTCCAACTGTCAAGATACATTTGTGTGTTGCCTATAAAACTAGCTCTTCTGTTTAAATGAAGAGCAGATAAAAAGCATGTATGCAATTAGTCTAATCGGTTCAATGGCAAATTACAGAGCAAAGATTGTGGTAGGATAATCTTTCGGATTATTCATTCTGAGTTTAAAAATGTTTTGGCTTCTAACAGAAATCCTTTAATTATATGCTAAAGTGGTGATAACCTCATTACAATAGTTTTGCTTATTCCTCAAAGCATTTATTAGTTTACTTCTTTAAAATTTGAAAGTGACTATAAAGTTAGGAAGTAAACATTTTTGAAAGGATCAATTAATGATTTAATAATTTGAATTGTTCTCCAAAGATTAGACATGGCAATTGAAAATAAATGTAGAAATCTCTTCCCTATGCTCATCAAAATTTTGACATGTATTCATATGCCTACTTATAAAGGAGATTGGCAGCACATAATTGATACCATCTAGCCTTTATTTACAGCAATCAAACATAAGACCTTGACAACATTAACATGCCCTGTGTGCATGTGTGCACATACTCATATATACACACACTCATATATACACACCCACACATATAACACCCATACACACACATACATATACACACATATACACACAGATACATAAACACACACATACTCTTCACAGTCTTTCTAGGTGAATCCCCCAATCTAAAATGGCCTCCCTCCACACACCCTGTTTGTTTGTATTATCTCTAGCTTGCCTTTGCTTTTTGTCATTGCCCAGGAGTGCCAAATGCACCCAATTTCATCTTCATTTGTTTATGGGCTTGTCTATCTCCCCACTGGAACAGTGCCCAGGGGGGATAGTGGCTGTTTCTGAATTGTTCACTGCTGTATCCTCAGTACCTAGATCAATGCACGGCTCACGATAGGTGCTAAGAATTTGTTCAGTGAATAAGTGACTGTTCCCATTTGGACTTAAGCTTGTGCAGGGAAAAAAACAGACTGCTTTTCCTCTGCTCTCACCCCACAATCAACACAGAAGACTTCTATGGCCAAATGTGTGCATTTTTCCCCCCATATACTAAGCAATCAATCTGTTCCACAGCAGATGCCAGCTGGGAGTCCTCCAGCCCAGGCAGTGCTGAGTCTACTGGAGATAGCGTCAGACCCCACGGAATGAAGGCTCAGTCCCACAAGACTGCCTCCACTTCCGGTGCCAATCGCAAACCCCAGGTTGTTCACTTGTCTTCTGACTGACCAGCTATAAATCAGGGATCCCATGGAGCCGCTCATAGAACTCAGGAAATCTCTTATGTTTGCTAGTTTATTACAAAGGACGTTACAAAGACTGCAGATGAAGAGGTGCACAGGACAGGGCATGGGAGAGGGGTGTGCCACCCTCTAGGCACCTCCACGTGTTCAGCTGTTTAGGAAAATCTCTCAAACCCTGTTCTTCCTCTCCTCTCACACCTCAGCAGCCATCAATGCAGAAGACTTTTGTGACCTAATGTGGTGGGGTTGGTTTCTTCACATAGCAATCAGTGGACACCAGCTGGGTCCCTCTAATTCAGTTCTAACGCTATCTACTTGGAGGTAACCTCAGATCCCACAGGTTGAGGCTTAGTCCCCAAGACAGCCCGCCTCAGACACCAGTGGCAAGTCCAGGCTCTGAAACTTCTGACTGACTGGCTGGCTATAAATTGGGGATACCAGGACCCTCTTTGGGTTTAATTTGTTGGAGTGGCACACAGAACTCAGGGGAACACCAACTTGTGTTTACCAGTTTATTGTAAAGGATATTACAAGGATACATCCATCAAGGATACAGATAATGAGATGCGGAGTGAGGTATTGGGGAGGGCACAGAGCTTCCACGCCCTCCGTGGGTATCACGCTCCAGGACCCTACCCAGGCTCAACCACCCGGAAGCTCTCTGAACCCTGTCCTCTTGAGTTTTTATGGCAGCTTCATTATGTAGGCATGATTGATTAAACCATTGGCCATTGATGATCAACATAACCTCCAGCTTCTTCCCCTCCCTGGAGATTAGGAGGTGGGACTGAAAGTCCTAGCCCTCTAATTGTGCCTTTGTCTTTCTGGTGGCCAACCATATCCTGAAGCTATCAGTAAACATCAGCAAACAAAAAGACAGCACTTCGAAGTTTCCAAGGATTTTAGGAGTTGTATGCCAGGAAAACTGGCGAAGACCAAATATATGTATTTCATAATATCATAGCTTCCTTCTCTGAATTTCTGTAAGACTTTAGCTTCACATGTGAAAATAAGTAATTCAAAATCTAAGCTACTGAAACTTTGAAATATTTCAAGCCTTAAGGAAATGTGATTATGGGATCTGAGTCATGCAAACAGGCAGCTGTAATGTAGGCAGCTGTAATCTTTATTTCTCTGATTATAGATTAGCCTTCTTCCTTACCTACAGTGTTTTGTAAAATGCTGCAAATGACTAAAGAGTGACAAGAAAGACCCCTTCCCTCTTCACTACTGATCTTTGTTATAGATTAACATCCTTCTTACCTTTCTCACACAAAGACTTTGGCTATCACCTTGCCTAAAATAAAATGTTAAATATACACTTTTAAATTGGAAACAAAAACTAGCTGTAAAGAAAAGAAAACGTGTCACATGGAGAAAAAAGCAAACTGCACTAATTAAATTTTTGCAACTAATAAACCAGACTTGCATAGAAAATGTTATAATCCTACTAAACTTCTTTGTTTTCTGCCTAATGAGAAATAAAAAATAAAATCCTAAGCCCCCCATGTGACTAAACAGACTCCCTCTTAGCCAAGAGGACCCTGAAGAAACCTTAAAAAAAACAGCTCTCAGCCATGACAGTATAGGATGTCAGATGGGCCTCATGATAGACCCTCCTTTGCTAAATGCCATTAGACTTTCTTTTCCTAAGCTTTAAACAAAAACCAGCCCTCCTGAAAGACTTACTTGACTGCTGATTTCAACCAATCACCTGACACTACCCCGGTTTGGTGGACAGCAACTGATCAACATTCCTTCCTGGTAAGAGACCACCAACCATGGAGTGGTTTGGATCAGTTTAAAGAGACTGCACAATGAGGGCCTTCAGGTCATCTGCTTTACCTTTTGATGTATAGGATCTAATTATAATACATTTAAATGATAAGTCTCCACCCCAAAGTAAACGTGGGATACATGTTACTTATGTGTTACTCTACTACACATGCCTATGCCTCCCCTTTGTAAAATATTCAGAGCTCCTCTTATAACCTGTAGAATATATATACCTAGCCAATCTGTTCAACATAAGTTCCTGTCTTATCCTTCCCTCCCTTGAAGTGCCTGCTTTCAGCTTCTGAAAGAGGCTATGCTTCCCAGCCTACAGGCAGCAACCCTTTATGAGAAATAAAGCTCTCCTTTCCAAATTTATGAACCTCATGATTCTTCAGATGACACTATATATAAAAGCAAAACAACTTTTAAGTTCAAAGTGCTGACCCTACTTCTCTAGTGTCTTTGTCTTCCAGATGGTCATTCCCAGCTTTTCACCAGAATAAGCTTTTTAAACTGGATTCTGATCATTTCTATTATTTCAGGCTGACACACATAATTCATCACCTCCTTCATCTTACTACAGTCATTCATTCATTTACCATGTCTTCCTGTGAGCTCCCTGAGAGCAGGTTCTGTGGTAGGTAAATTTGTGTTCCCTCTGGCACTCAACTCAGGAACTTGACATTGAAAGGTGCTTAAACATATTATTGAAGAAATGCATTCATCTATTCAAGTCCTGTTTCCTAAGAACATTTCAGTAAAGTCTATTCTGTAAAAATGTTCATCTATGGACATGTATAGATATTTGTTTGATTATAGCTAGGAGCCAGTATTAGCATTGAAGATTTGTTCTTATAGTGCATGTTCTCATAAAACCAAGTCTGGACACGATCAGTTTCTGTCCTTGGCACAATTGGAGAAAGATCTTTGCTGCCACAATTTCCTAAATGCCTGTCTTGTTGTCCAAGCATGAAAGGGTTTCCTTTGCCACATCCTCACTTTGCACTTCTCAGAGTCAGGTTCTCTGTGTCCCTGGTGCTTAAATCATTTTAGGCTAAAGGAAAATGATAATGAAGACACATATTCTCCCTCTCATTCACTGCCTCTCTCTTCTGGTGGTTTCTATCTTAATGGATTGATATAGTTTGGCTCTGTGTCCCCACTCAAATCTCATGTTGAATTATAATTCCCAATGCTGGGGGAAGGACATAGTGGGGGGTGATTGGATCATGGGGGTGAAATTCCCCCCTGCTGTTCTCATGATAGTGAGTGAGTTCACACCAGATCTGATGGTTAAAAGTGTGTGGCACATCCCCATTTGCTGTCTATCTCTCTCTCCTGCCACCATGTAAAGAGGTGCATTAGATTAAATGAAATGAAATAATATTTACTAACTACGTCCTCTTCACCTTTTGCCATGATTGTAAGATTCCTGCGGCCTCCCAGTCATGCTTCCTGTTAAGCCTGTGGAACTGTAGGTCAATTAAACCTCTTTTCTTCATGAATTATCCAGTCTCAGTAGTTCTCTATAGCTGTGTGAGAACAGACTAATACATGGATCTTAATCCTAGAGATGGACTCTTAAGCATTGTCTTTTTTGGGACAGCACTGGAATAAAAATTTTCAGATTTACATGAGCCAAGAGAAGAGAGCAACGCTCTGAATTATCCTTGGGGAAACGGGGGAAGACAAAGTCTGCGGCACCCTGCAACTCACCCCGTAAGCTGTCGGCCTGCTGTAAAGACATGTAGGGTGTTAATTCCTTATATGACAAAACAAATTTTGATAAATTTGATTAGAATTTTATATCTTGTGCTGTTTTCTAGGATGCACATGGGGAAGACGGACATTTTTGTAATTTTAGTAAAGTTCTGTAGGATGATGCACTGTGTAGCTAAAGGTGGTTGTTGTTGTGATCTCATGTTATGGTTCTAGATTTCCAGGTAGTAATTTAAGTGTAGAGTAACATAATGGTGCCAGCCATTCATTTTATGTTAAGTGTGCTTTTCCCACTCTCATACCACAAAGGCAATGTTAAATAATTACAGAGAATTGATTATGAGGCCAAGAAAATGAAAGGCTACTTTTGAATGATGCTTTAATACAACTTAAAAGTTAAATGTGAAGGAAACAGATAGACTTCTAGATTCATTCAGAGCCCAAGGCCCTGTTACTTCTAAAATCACAGAGTTAATAATCTCAACTTGGGGAGACTGATTTGCTGTTAAAGATCATGCAAAGAGTGAGGCTAGTGAATATTAGTGATTCTAGAAAAGTGATTCTCAAATATTTTATTACGTTGCGGCTAACAAAATTGTTAAGGAGAGACCTGAGTAGAGAGACTCCTGAGTGTAACACTTAGTACCCTGAAAGTGTAAGATTTGGACTCCATTTTATGAACATTTTAATCCACGTGATCATTGTTTTGATTGAAATGTCTATATAATTGAGCCTGGTCTTAACATTTCCTTAAATATTCACCATTAGAAGTAATCTTCTGTGAAAAAAAAAAAAAAGGATCTCTTAGTTGGCTGATCTTGGCTTGCTCATTTTAATACTAGGAAAATGATGTTAATTTTTTTAAGAAAGACTTAATGGTGCCATGATTAAGGGTGATGGTTACTGGTGCTTAAAAAAAACTTCCCTCCCCAATTTTATGATATTTGTGCATTTTAGAAATTTTTGGATATCTTTTAAGGAAAGCACTGAGCATGTCACAGATAACCTCTGTTGATATTTTTACGTAAACCTTTCTTTTTACTGTGCTTACGACATTTTTAATAAAATAAGATCACATTGTGCAAAGTAAATATGGAGTCCTTTGTAATCTGTATTATTTTAAAACTGAAGTATTAAAGATTATTCCATTCCACTTAATATTATTTTTCTGCATCAGGCATTTGAACATGTGGTCTGTGACCCCACATAAGGAGGTGATGGCAGTGATGCCACCGCCCATCAGGAAGGCAGCTGCAGCCTCACACCCAACAGCATTGAACCTTAAGGTCATGGCTGGGAATGTAGACCCGTCCAATGTTCTCAATTTGTTTTCCAGTGAGGGCTCTAGGACGAAATCCTCTTTCATGAGTCATGTGAAAGATGAAACGTGTGGCACTGAGTTTTGCATTCAAAATAAAAAGAATAGACTATTCTAACATCTGTTACGTTGCTGTTTTGCTTATTCTTGTGGAACTTAAGAACAAAGTGAAAACACCTATTGGTTAGTTGCTTTCAAATAAAATGTATTCATCGCTAATTTGTCCTTGTGAAAGGGTGCCCATTCCTAATGCAGGTGCACTGGCCGTGTGCACTCCATGGTCCCAGCAGCTCTCGCTCCCTGGACTCCCGCCGTAGTGAGCGTTTACTAAGGACCTGTTGATCTGGAAAGACAAACCCAACCCAAAGGAGATTAAGGTACAGGGAATAAGTTTGTGGATCGTTCTTTTCTGAAACAATATTTTACTCCTTTTGCTTCTTTTTAGGGTATCGTGCAGCAGTTTTTGGTGTTACTGACGACCAGCTCTGACGAGAGTCTTCGGTTTCTTAGCTTCAGGCTGGACTTCAACGAGCATTACAAAGCCAGGGAGCCCAGGCTCCGCGTGTCTCTGGGTACCAGGGGGCGGCGCAGCTCCCACACGTGAAGCTCGCGGTCCTCCCAGGGAGCTGCGGGTGATGTTCGTTGCACTGCTAGACACGAAATTCCCATTGACGTCCTGCAGGAACTGCATGCTGCAGGTGTCCTGCCCTTCCGCCCACGAGTGCGCCATGTTTCAGCGGAGCGGCGTGTGGGAGAAGCCACGTCGTGTTGCACACGTCGGAGTTGAATGCATTTGTAAATCACTAAGTCAAGTAGGCTGGCTGCACTGTTCACATTTGTCTCTAAAAGTCTTCATCCCCAAAAGATACCATAATTTGCTGAGGCTTCTGAATCTTAAGTGCTCTAAGTTATAACTTATATTTGTCACTTTAAAAGAACTGTTTGTTTAGCAAAATCTACAGCAAGGGTATATTTATAAAGTGATAATGTCATTGCTGTTATTTAGCATCCTCTTCAGAAACTTTTTTTTGCAATATTATTAGATTAAACTGAAATACATAGAAAATATAGAGAGCATTTTATTATCTTGGTATTCAAGGTTGTAAAGTGTGAAAATTTTTGTATCTTACATATATCTATTCTTTTCTCTCTCCTTTCAAGGTTTACACTTACAGATTTAATTTACTATTCTAGATAACTTCTAAAATAGTACAGAACACGAGTAGGAGTGTTGTGGAACAAAAACATCCTTAAACTTAAATTTCTTGACGCCACCAGCTGAAGCAGTGTGGCAACAGGAATGACTAGAAAGTTAACAAAGTATTTTATTTTTACAATTTTGATGAGCATTATAAAGAAATCGATTTGGATAATGAAGGTTTCTTTTTTCTTTGACTAATTTTTCCTTGTAAATATTTATATACTATTGACCAGATGCTGGGGAGAACGGTGTCTGTAAAAAGTCACGTCATATCAGCTTGCCTTTATTATGCTGTATAAGTGAAAACTTAGAAAACTGAAAGCAATTATCTTTCAAAGCATTGGCTGTTTTTTGAATAGTCTATTAAGTGACAGTTCATTTGCCAGGGGGGCGGGGATTGACAGGATTTGATTTAATGTAGTACAGCATATGAATTATTTAATCATAATTAGAAACCAAGAAATTAGATTTTGTGTGACTTTCGGTGTAGAAGCAAACGCAATGTCACCACTCAGGTCTCAGGAGCGGTGCTTTAGTTATCTGAATCTGCCTCTGACTCCTTTAGGTGTGGATTCCCTTTAAAACTAAAGGGGCCATCAAGAATCCTGGCCATGCAGAAATGATTCCATGGCAAAGGCCAGAAATTCTTAGGATAAAAACTTAATTTAATTTTAGTTTTCAAGTTCATAAAATCAGAAATTTGAAACAGATTTCTCCACTGCAAGTTGTCCTAGAAATTATGGCGTATTGTGTATCTCCGAGAGAGGTTTACCAAGGTTATTAACCATGCAGCCAGCTTTTATTTTATTTTATTCAGAGAGTTGTTCCAGGGATTAATCCTCGGTAGAAACCACCCTAGCAAAGGCCCACCTCGATTTTAGGGATTACGACTCCATTGGAGTGTAGGAGTCACCAGGACTTAGGTCAGATCTGTGGGCTATGGAGGGCTTCCGGGAGGTGCGGCCCTGGGGGGTGCCTGCGGGTCTGGAGGGTGGGAGCTGGGATGGGGTGAGGCCTCTGAGGAGCTGCGTGAGACCCACTCTCCGTCATTGTGGGTGCACAATCAGGCCCCTTAGGGAGCCAGGGCCCCAAAACCCAGCATCAGCCAAGCATGGATGACTTGGGGGTTCCACACTGGGGTTGTGCGTAAAGGAGAGCTCCTCTCAGGGGTGGGTGCGCCCGGCCCGGGGGTGCCACGTCTTCACCCAGAAAACGAGGCCGAGTCTGCAGGGGCCCTGCTGCATGGATGGAGGTGTGGGTGGTTGGTAGGACCCCAGGCCGGTCTCCAGTAGACCCAGGGGCAGGAGTGCAGGTGCCCTTCCTTCTGGCTTCCACAGTGGGAGGCAGCAGAGCCCGCCGGCTGGAGATGGGGGCCCCCCGCAGTCCAGCCCCCTGCACCTGCAGCACAGGCTCTCGGCGAGGAGGACCAGGCCTGGCTGGAGGCTTCCAGGGCTGCGGGGCCACCCCCAACCCGTCTCTTTTCCTGTGCAGGCCATGCCTGTTTTTAAGGCACCTCCTCCTTCTCCATCGTGGCTTCTGGCCCTACCCTCAACGGCACAGGCCACACACCCGGGCCTGCGAGCCTCCTCCCGCAGCCGCTTGCTCCGGTCCTGGGGTCTTCTGGCTCTGAGGCCAACCCCGCTCCCCCATCCCTGCTCTGCTCTGAGGTGCCAGCCAGAGCCGCTCAGGGTCCTCCGTCCGGTTTCCCGTGGGCCTAACAGCAGGGCCCTGGGGCCACTACCCGCACCTCCCTGCCTCCATCTCAGAAACTGAAGCCTGGGAGCCCCCTGGGCCACCTGAGTCTGGGAGACGCAAGCCAATCCCGGGGACAGGCCCCGGCCCCTTCCTAGTGAGGGGCACGCTCTGGTCAATCGTGGGGCAGAGAAATTTGCTTTTTAACATAAAACGTATCCTTTGTCCCTAGAATGGCAGGCTACCTCCCTGCCTTATTCTGTGAAGATGTAGTTCTTTTATTAGCAGAGCTTACTTTGAAGGTAGAATAACAATAAATATATAAGCAGTTGGAGAGTAAAATCACTACAGTATTCAAGTCTAAATATATTACAAATGCCAAGTTTTATTGGAAAATTATATATAAAATTCTTATATACATTTTAGTAAGCCTCCATCTTAGTATCTAAAACTTCATCCACTTTAATTACCAGAAGGCCATGTATTTGACTTTTAGAATCAGTTACATTTTCTTTTAAAATAAGTTCTGCTGTGGTTTGAATGTATTCCCCAAAGTTCACGTGTTGGAAAATTAATCCCCAATGCAACAGTGTTGAGAGGTGGGGCCTAATAAGAGGTGATTATATCTGAGGGCTCTAATGTCTTTTGGAGTGAGTGAGTTAGTTATTGAGAGGCTGAATTTGTTATAGAAGTGAGTTTGGCTCCTCTTATGCTCTCTCAAGCACTCTCTTGCCCTTGCAACTTCCACTATGGGATGACACAGCAAGAAGGTTCTCACAAGATGCCAGCACCTTAATCTTGGACATCCCAGCCTCCAGAACTTTAAGAAATAATTTTCTTTTCTTTATAAATTATCTAGTCTGTGGCATTCTCTTATAACAACACAAAATGGACCAACACAGGTTCCCTTTCTTCTCTGTTGTAAAAAGGAAACTTACTATATTAGTAAGAATGTCTTATGACAAAAACATTATTTTTTTCATTTTTTAGATTTTAAAATGTATTGTAAATTATAAATAAAAATTGTATATATTTATAGTGTACAACACGATGTATTGAAATATGTGTATATTATGAAATGGCCAATAACATTCTTGATAATTCTATATTAATCTTTCCTTCTTGCTATAAATAGAGGTGTAATCTAACTGTGTTAACAATAGCTTATTAAAATCTAGGGAATGTGCTTAAAAGTGAAAGTAGGAGCTGTGATTTAATCTTTTTTGGGAGTTTCTTTTAGTTAGATTTTTAAATTTTGAGACCATTGTAGAGTCACATGAAGTTATAAGGAAAAATACAGAGAGATTCCGTGTATTCTTTAACCAGATTTATCCATGACAACATTTTGCCAAACTATAGTACAATATCACAGGACATGGACATCAATAGAGTCAAGACGAAGGACATTTCCATTACTACCAGGATCTCTCATGGTGGCTTTTGCAGACATACTCACTTCCCTTCCACCTGTGCGGAGGGGCGGCCATCACCACTGCTGTGGCTGCCTGCTGTCTAAGATGTCTGAGCTCCTTGGGGGAAGGGCAGCAGCCAACACTGCAGCTGCAGGGCCTCCCTGCAGGAACTCCAACTCTAGCCAAGGGCTCAGGGACAGAACTCTGATCTCCCTGGGTCTGATTCCCTAGGGGGAGGGGTGGTTGTAGTCGCTGCGAACCAGCAGACTTAGTCTTTCCTTCTGCTAGCTCTGAGGAATCTGGGCAGCCCAGAAGTGTGGGTTTCCCCCAGCACAGCACACCCCCTCCACCAAGGGACAGCCAAAGTGCCTCATTAAACGAGTACTGTTTCCTGTGCTACCCAACTTGGTGAGACCCTCTGCCCCCAACAGGGGTTGTCAGACATGCTATATACAAGAGCATTCCTACTGGCATCAGGTCGGTGCCGCTCGATGTCAGAGATCCCAGAAGAAGGAGCAGGCACCCATCTTTGCTGTTTTCCAGCCTCTTCGAGTGATATCTCAGGTGCAGGAGTAAACCAGATGAATAGGGCCTGAAGTGAACCCTCAGCAAACTGCAACATCCCTACAGAAACGGGTCCTGACCATTGAAAGAAAAACAAACAAACACAAAACAACAATAGCATCAACAAAAAAAGTCCCCACAAAAACCTCATCCAAGGGTCAGCAGCCTTAAAGATTGAAACTAGACAAACTCATGAAGATGAGAAAGAATCAATGAAAAAAATGCTGAAAACCCAAAAAGCCAGAGTGCCTTGTCTCCTCTAAATGATTGCAACACCTCTGCAGCAAGGGTGCAGAACTGGACGGAGGATGAGATGGCCAAGTTGACAGAAGTAAGCTTCGGAAGGTGAGTAATAACAAACTTCGCTGAGTAAAGAAGCATGTTCCAACCCAATGCGAAGAAGCTAAGAACCTTGATAAAATGTTGAAGGAGCCGTTAACTAGAATAACCAGTTTAGAGAGGAACATAAATGACCTGATGGAGATGAAAAACACAGCTTGAGAACTTCATGGAGCACACACAAGTATCAGTAGCCAAACCAATCAAGAAGAAGAAAGAATATCAGAGATGGAAGACTATATTACTGAAATAAGGCAGGCAGACAAGATTAGAGAAAAAAGAATAAAAAGGAACAAACAAAACCTCTGAGAAATATGGGACTATGTAAAAAGACCGAACCTATGACTGACTGGAGTACCTGAAAGAGATGAGGAGAATGGAACCAAGTTGGAAAACACACTTCAGGATACTATCCAGGAGAACTTCCCCAACCTAGCAAGACAGGCCAACATTCAAATTCAGGAAATACAGAAAACCTCACTAAGATAACCCCACTAAGATACTCCATGACACACAATCATCAGATTCTCCAAGCTCGAAATGAAGGAAAAAATGTTAAGGGCAGCCATAGAGAAAGGCCAGGTCACCTACAAAGGGAAGCCCATTGGACTAACAGTGGATCTTTCAGCAGAAACCCTACAAGCAGAAGAGAGTGGGGGTCAATATTCAGAATTCTTAAAGAAAAGAATTTTCAACCCAGAATTTCATATCTGGCCAAACTAAGCTTCATAAACAAAGGAGAAAGAAAATCCTTTTCAGACAGGCAAATGCTGAGGAAATTTGCCACCACCAGGGCTGCTTTGCAAGAGCTCCTGAAGGAAGCACTAAATATGGAAGGGAAAAACTGGCACCAGCCACTCCAGAACACACAAAAATATAAAGACCAATGATACTATGAAGAAACGGCATCAACTAGTGTGCAAAATAACCAGCTAGCATCATGATGAAAGGATCAAATTCACACATAACAATATTAACCTTAAATATAAACAGGCTAAATGCTCCAATTAAAAGAAACAGATTGGAAAATTGGATAAAGAGTCAAGACCCATCAGTGTGTTGTATTCAAGGGACCCATCTCACATTCAAAGATACACATAGGCTCAAAATAAAGGGATAGAAGAAAATTTACCAAGCAAATGCAAAGCAGAAGAAAAGCAGGGGCTGCAATTCTAGTCTCTGACAAAACAGACTTTAAACAAACAAAGATCAAAACAGACAAAGAAGGGCATTACATAATGGTAAAGGGATCAATTCAACAAGAAGAGCTAACTAAATATATATGCACCCCATACAGGAGCACCCAAATTCATAAAACAAGTTCTTAGAGACCTACAAAGAGACTTAGACTCCCAGCCAATAATAGTGGGAGATTTTAACACCCCACTGTCAATATTAGACAGATCAATGAGACAGAAAATTAACAAGGATATTTAAGACTTGAACTCAGCTCTGGATCGAGTGGACCTAATAGATATCTACAGAACTCTCCACTTCAAAACAACAGAATATACATTCCCCTAGTGTCACATCACACTTACTCTAAAATCAACCACATAATTGGAAGTAAAACACTCCTCAAAAAATGCAAAGGAACTGAAATAATAACAAACAGTCTCTTGGACCACAGTGCAATCAAATTAGAACTCAGGGTTAAGAAGCTCTCTCAAAACCACACAACTACATGGAAATTGAACAACCTGCTCTTGGGTAAATAATGAAATTCAGGCAGAAATCAAGAAGTTCTTTGAAACCAATGAGAACAAAGAGACAATGCACCAGAATCTCTGGGACACAGCTAAAGCAGTGTTAACAGGGAAATGTATAGCATTAAATGTCCACATCAGAAAGCTGGGAAGATCTGAAATCAACATCCTAACATCACAATTAAAAGAACTAGAGAAGCAAGAGCAAACACATTCAAAAGCTTGCAGAAGACAAGAAATAACTAAGATCAGAGCAGAACTGAAGGAGATAGAAACATGAAAAACCCTTCAAAAAATCAATAAATCCAGGAGCTGGTTTTTTGAAAAGATCAACATAATTGATAGACTGCTAGCAAGAAGAATAAAGAAGAAAAGAGAGAAGAATCAAATAGACACAATAAAAGATGATAAAGGGATATCACCATTGACCCCACAGAAATACAAACTACCATCACAGAATGCCATAAACACCTCTATGCAAATAAACTAGAAAGTCTAGAAGAAATGGATAAATTCCTGGACACATACACCCTCCCAAGACTAAACCAGGAAGAAGTCAAATCCCTGAATAGAACAATAACAAGTTCTGAAATTGAGGCAGTAATAAATACCCTACCAACAAAAAAAAGCCCAAGACCAGACGGATTCACAGCCAAGTTCTACCAGAGGTACAAAGAGGAGCTTGTACCATTTCTTCAGAAACTATTCCAAACAATTGAAAAGGAGGGACTCTTTCCTAACACATTTTATGAGGGCAGCATCATCCTGATGCCAAAAGCTGGCAGAGACACGATAAAAAAAGAAAAGTTCAGGCCAATATCCCTGATGAACATCAGGGTAAAAATCCTCAATAAAATACTGGCAAACCAAATCCAGCAGCACATAAAAAAGCTTATCCACCATGATCAAATCGGCTTCATCCTTGAGATGCAAGGCTGGTTCAGTATACACAAATTGATAAACGTAATCCATCACATAAACAGAACCAATGACAAAAATCACATGGTTATCTCAATAGATGCAGAAAAGACCTTTGATAAAATTCAACATCACTTCATGTTAAAAATGATCACTAAACTAGGTACTGTTGGAACATATCTCAAAATAATAAGAGCCATTTATGACAAACCCATAGCCAATATCATACTGAATGGGCAAAAGCTGGAACCATTCCGTTTGAAAACCAGCACAAGACAAGTATGCCCTCTCTCACCACTCCTGTTCAACACAGTATTGGAAGTTCTGGCCAGGGCAATCAAGCAAGAGAAAGAAATAAAGCGTATTCAAATAGGAAGAGAGGAAGTTAAATTGTCTGTTTGCAGATGACATGATCCTATATTTAGAAAACCCCACTGTCTCAGACCAAAAACTCATTAAACTGATAAACAGCTTCAGCAAAGTCTCAGGATACAAAATCAATGTGCAAAAATCACAAGCACTCTTATACACCAACAATAGACAAGCAGAGAGCCAAATCATGAATGAACTCCCATTCAAAATTGCTAAAAAGAGAATAAAATACCTAGGAATACAGCTAAGAAGGGATGTGAAGGACCTCTTCAAGGAGAACTGCACACCACTGCTCAAGGAAATAAGAGAGGACAAAGACAAATGGAAAAACATTCCATTCTCATGGATAGGAAGAATCAGTATTGTGAAAATGGCCATACTGATCAAAATAATTTATAGATTCAATGTTATTTCCATCAAACTGCCATTGACATTCTTCACAGAATTAGAAAAAAAACTACTTTAAAGTTCATATGGAACCAAAAGAGAGCCTGCATAGCCAAGACAATCCTAAGCAAAAAGAACAAAGCTGGAGGCATCACATTACCTAACTTCAAGCTATACTACAAGGCTGCAGTAACCAAAAGAGCATGGTAGTGGTATCAAAATAGACATATAGATCAATGGAACAGAATAGAGACCTCAGAAACAAGACCACACATCTACAACCACCTGATCTTTGATGAACCTGACAAAAACAAGCAATAAGGAAATAATTCCCTATTTAACAAAGGGTGCTGGGAAAACTGGCTAGCCATATGCAGAACACTGAAACTTGTACCCCTTCCTTACACATTATGCAAAAATTAACTAAAGACTTAAATGTAAAACCCAAAGCCATAAAAACACTAGAAGAAATCCTAGGTAATACCATTCAGGACATAGCCATAGGCAAAAATTTTATGATGAAATCGTCAAAAGCAATTGTAACAAAAGCTAAAATTGACAAGTGGGATCCAATTAAACTAAAGAGCTTCTGCACAGCAAAAGAAACTGTCATCAGAGCGAACAGGCAACCTACAGAATGAGACAAAAATTTTGCAATCTATCCATCTGACAAAGGTCTAATATCCAGAATTTACAAGGAACTTAAACAAATTTACAAGAAAAAAAACAAGGAACCTCATCAAAAAGTGGCCAAAGGACAGACACTTCTCAGAAGAAGACATTTATGCAGCCAACAAACATACGAAAGAAAGCTCAACATCACTGATCATTAGAGAAATGCAAATCAAAACCACAGTGAGATACCATCTCATGCCAGTCAGAATGGCAATGGTTAAAAAGTCAAGAAACAACAGGTATTGGTGAGGCTGTGGAGGAATAGAAAGACTTTTACACTGTTTTTGGGAATATAAATTGGTTCAACCATTGTGGAAGACAGTGTGGCGATTTCTCAAGGATCTAGAACCGGAAATACCATTTGACCCAGCAATCCCATTACTGGGTATATACCCAAAGGAATATAAATCATTCTACTATAAAGATATATGCATGCTTATGTTTATTGCAGCACTATTCACAATAGCAAGGATATGGAACCAATCGAAATGCCCATCAATAATAAACTGGATTAAGAAAATGTGGTACATATACATCATGGAATACTATGCAGCCATAAAAAGAAATGAGATCATGTCCTTTGCAGGGACATGGATGAAACTGGAAGATATCATCCTCAGCAAAGTAACACAGAAGCAGAAAACCAAACATCGCATGTTCTTTCATAAGTGGGAGTTGAACAATGAGAACACATGGACAAAGGGAGGGGAACAACACACACCAGGGCCTGTCAGTCGGGGAGGCGAGGGGAGGGAGAGCATCAAGACAAACAGCTAATGCACGTGAGGCTTAAAACCTAGGTGATGGGTTGATAGGTGCAGCAAACCACCATGGCACACGTATACCTATGTAACAAACCTGCATGTTCTGCACTTGTATCCTGGAATTTAAAAAATAAATTAATAAATAAAAACAAATTCAAAAAAACTTCACTCATAGGCTTTTAAAAGTCCTACAAAGCTATTACCAAAGTTTTGAAAAAGCTGTGCTTTGAAGAAAGAAGAATACATAAATTTTAAAAGATGTGTTTTTTACACACTTTTTTGGACAATAAACGTGTACTTCACACTTTATGCTTTCCACCCAATCTGTTCCACACCTATTATTAGTTCCCAACACCTGGTGATATTTGGGAAGAAAAAAAGATTGCACTTTAATTCTGACCTAATCCACATATGGCATTCCAGTTGTTTTAGGAGAGGTAGACCATGACCAGACTGTCCTGAGCTCCCAGGCTAGGAAAAGCAAGTGTTGGCAGGCACACCTAGGACCCATCCTCTGCTGGGGGCGTCCTGCCTTAGGTTTTCCCTAGGGTGCATTCTCGAGGTGGGAGTCACAGCCCGGCATTTGGGAGGATGAGAAGTTGCCTGTCTGTTCCTCACTTTTTCACGCCCTCTCCTCTCTTGGGAGTGCAGACCCATCATTAGCTGTGAAGTCATGCAGCCCTGTGCAGCCCTACTGATCACTTTCCTCTTCCCTGTGCCTTCCTGGCTGTGTGAGGGAGGGTTCCAGGGCATTAAGCCTGTGAAGAAGCCACTGCCCAGCAAGTATAACTGTGCCTTCTGACCAGGGCCCTGACTCAGTGCATCACCAGTCCCTAGCATGAGACCTGGTACTGGTGTGGCAGCTGTCATGTTGGTGTTGGGGAAGAAGTACAGCATGCTGGCCAGAGGCATGGCTCTGACCCCTGCCCAGCCCAGGGTTCACCCCTGGCTCTCCCCTCCAAGGCTGGAACAGATTTTGCTTAACTTCCCTTTGCCTCAACTTTCCTGTCTATACAATGAGGATGTTCCTGCTGCTATGGACTGAATCGTGTCCTACCCAAATTCATGTGTTCAAGCCCTAACCCTTAATGTGACTGCATTTAAAATAGGACTTCCAGGAGGCAATGAAGGTTAAAATGAGGGCCTAAGGATGGGGTCCTAGTCCTACAGGATTGGTGCCGTATAAGAAGAGGAAGGTCTCTTTCCTCTCCATGCTCACACATCAAGGAAAGGCCATGTGAGGACAGTGGGAAGGTGGCCATCTGCAAGCCAGGAAGAGAGCCCTCACCAGGAGCCAACCCTGCTGGGTCTTAGTCTTAGGCTTTCCAGTGTTCAGAACTGTGAGGAAACAAATGTCTGTTGTTTCAGCCACCCAGTCTGTGGTGTTTGTTACTGCAGCCTGAGCTAGGTCACCTGCCCTGTAGAACCACTGGGAGATGTGAGATGAAGGTGGCCTAGCACCTGGCACAGGGTACATCTTGCAGGGTGGCTCTTACCCCCACAAGAGCTAGCTTCAGAGTCTCTAAGTCCACTGTACTCCCAGGATCATTTTCTCATCTGTCCCTTTCACGACAGGTGTGAGGCTAAGAGAAAGCCCTGTGGAGACTGAAAAGCCATGTGCACCTGTAAAGCCCAGGTGAGGCCTGGACTCAGACCCACTACAGTATGCAGAGGTGGATCACTAGTTCTGCCTTTCTATGGACACCCCAGGGGCTCTGAAGTAGACTTTGAAAGGAGTGTTAGGGTAGAGGGACAGCTCTCTAAGCCCTGAGAACTCAGAGAACTGATTTGAAGTAGGGGAGACAGAGGAAGGATGTCCATTATTCTTCAGAACACAAAGGTAGATTAAAAGGGCTACTGGAGTAGCCCCTGTTCCAGCCCTCATGTTAATTCTTTAAAGAACTTGCAGTGAGTTCAGCTTTCAGAAAGCTGTTCACTGTTTGTCTATTTCTTTCTTTTATGTATTAATTTGTGAATATCTGCTATGAACGACTCTAGGTAGATGCTGGGAGTAGAATGTGGAGGAAAAGAGAAATTATCTCTGCCATGTGGAATGCAGAGACTATCAACAATACTGCAAATAAAAATATGATGACAAATTATGATGAGTTCTATGAAGGGGAAAAATAGAACTATGAGTGGGGACTTGAAGGGAAAGCCACTTTAGCTTGGTTGTTCTGGGAAATCGTCTTTGAGGGAACAGAATGTGAGCCAAGGCCTAAAGGACAAAGTGGAGCCGTGAGCACATGTGACATTCTGTGGAGACCATAGGGACATGGTGAGAGAGTCTGAAAAAGACAAATGCAACTAAATAAGCAAAAAACACCTTAGAACTCCAGAAGTTGTAGAAAATGAATAGAAATGCAAATGATCTTGTCCATAGAAATGCAGATTGTGTCCAGTAGAATGCAATTAATTATTGCCCTGTGGATAGTGACCAGTTTTGCATCTATTTATAAATTCATTTCTATATTCTTTGTAGGACCTGAAATGCGGTAGTCATTTATAGTCACAAACAACTGTATAAATATGACTAGAGTCATTCCTTACATGACTATAAAACTTTGAATTCTTCTTTGTAACATCTCTATGTCTGAACATCTGAGCACTATATGTCTTGTGATTGTTTGTGCACAATTCAAAGCAGTCTTTACCTCTTGTGGGAGTGTGTAAATGTTTTCTTATCTCTGGATGGTTGTACAGCAAAATAAACTTTAGATCACAGCCAAATATTGGGAGATCAGGGATTCTCTGGATAGAAGGGAACTCCCAGGCCTCAGCAAATTGTCCTGTTGGTTTGAGCCATAAAGATAGCTTTAAGAGATCGCTCAAATTGAGTTAATTAAGGTATAATTTGTGGACACCTAGATGATTTCTAAGTAAGACAGAATATTGAAACACTGATTACTGAGCATAATTTTAAGTTTATATACTTTTGATTATTTTTATATGCTAGATAGAGGCTACATCTTTGGGTCATGCTAATGAACTAAGCACGGTAGGAGATTTGTCAAAGGTCAGGGGCACTTCCACTCAGAGTCCCTTTGTGGTTGCCCAATTGTAAACCAAGAGGTATCTGAGACAGTTCTCAATCAACTTAGAAAGTGTATTTTGCCAAGGTTAAGGACATGCCCGTGACACAGCCTCAGGAGGTCTTGATGACATTTGCCCAAGGTGGTTGGGGGCACAGCTTGGTTTTATACATTTTAGGGAGACATAAGGCATCAATTAATATACGTAAGGTGTACATTGCTTCGGTCTGGAAAGGCGGGACAGCTCAACTTGGGGAGGAAACATCCAGGTCATAGGTAGTTAAGAGACAAATGATTGCATTCTTTTGAGTTTCTGATTAACCTTTAACTGAATGCACAATTTATAGGAATAGTCATTTATGCCTTAGTCTGGCTTAGTGAAACAAGAGGGCAAAGGAAGCAATCAGATATGCATTTGTTTCACTTGAGCAGAGGGATGACTTTGATTTCTGTGTGCCCTTCATCCACAAAGAATTTCCTTGTGGGCAAACTGTGAGGGAGGTATGTAGCTTTTTTTATCTTGGTACCTGTCTTATTTAGGAATAGAAAGGGCGGCAGGTTTGCAGCTCCCAGCTTGTCTTTTCCCTTTGGCTTAGTGATTTTGGGGTTCCAAGATTTATTTTCTGGCCGGGCGTGGTGGCTCATGACTGTAATCCCAGCACGTTGGGAGGCCGACGTGGGCAGATCATCTGAGGTCGGGAGTTTGAGACTAGCCTGACCAACATGGAGAAACCTCGTCTCTACAAAAAATACAAAATTAGCTGGGTGTGGTGGTGCATGCTTGTAATCCCAGCTACTTGGGAGGCTGAGGCAGGAGAATCGCTGGAACCTGGGGGGCGGAGGTTGTGGTGAGCCGAGAGCACACCATTGCACTCCAGCCTGGGCAACAAGAGCGAAACTCAGTCTCAAAAAAAAAAAAAAAAAAAAAAAGATTTATTTTCCTATCACAGTATTGATAAGTTAAATTATAAAATATCTTAAGTTTAAGGCGGTCTGTCTGGCTTACAGAAATAAATAAGCACTTATATAAAGTGAAAATTTCTAAAACTTCAAAAAAATAAGGAAATTGAACTTCATTAATGAAAGCATGCTTTAAATGTAGTGTGTGTGTGTGTGTGTGTGTGTGTACAAAATCCAATTCAGAAGTGTTCTAAGAATTCAAGTTTAAAGAATAAGCAAAACTTTGGTAAATGAGACTAATTCAATCCAGTCTAAAATCTAGTTTTAAAAGAGCTCTCCCTGATTTATCAGTGTTAAGTAGAATACCTAACTACTTGGGTTTATTCTTCCTAAACTAAAACAAGTTTACTGATCAAATCAGCTAATATTGCTCCCTTGTAATATATAAGATTATAAAAAAAGTAAGTTTTTCGGTAAATGGAATCCTTATTCTGATGAGCTGTTTTCTTCAATGGCTGTTGTGTTGCACCGTCAGCTTGAAAATAGTTTTCAAGATCTTTACATAACCTAAGATCTTAGAGTGATTTCAAACTGAGTTAATTAAGGTGTAATTTGTGAATACCTGGATGATTTCTAAGTAAGATAGAATATTGAAACTCTGATTACTGAGCATAATTTTAAGTTTATATACTTTTGCTTATTTTTATATGCTAGATAGAGGCAATATCTTTGGGTCATGCTAATAAACATGTTCATTTTTGCTACATTGGAAAGGGATGTGTCTGGCTTGTAGAAAGTGGTATGAAGACATTGCTAGGATGCTAACATGTTCACGTATGACAGGCAGTGAAACAGAACTCTCGGGATATTCAGATCTAGAGAGAGAGATTTCGTATAGGGAACTGGCTCCCATGATCACGGAGGTTGACGAGCCCAAGGTCTGCAGTCAACAACCTGGAGACCCAGGAGAGCCCCTCCTGCGGTATAAGTTCCAGGCCAAGCTGTCAGGCTTCAGACCCCAAAAGGGCCGATGTTTCAGTTTGAGTCCAATGGCAGGACAAGACCGATGTTCAGCCCAAGGTAGTGAGGGAAAGGAGTTCCCTCTTAGTTGGCATGGGCAGGAGGCAGTCTTTTTTGTCCCATTCAGGCCTGAACTGGTTGGGTGAGGCCACCCGCATTGTGGAGGGCCATGTGCTTTGGCCAGTCCACAGATTCAAATGTTAGTCTCAACCGGAAACACCTTCACAGACACACCCAGAGTAACATTTGACTAAATACAGGGTAGCCTGCGGCCCAGTCAAGATAGCACACAGAATTCAGCACCACCCTAGCCCCCAGGTTTCTATTCTGAAATATAGGTGAACACACTCGTAGCAGCAACAGCAGGGAGACGCATCCAGGCCTGCCTGTGGTTTTGGTAAGGAGAAAGGTAGTTTTGTCCTCAAATGGTGGTTTTACCTTTTTGATCTCTGGGCACCTTTAACACTCTTAGAACTTAACAAAGACCTCAGCTTCTGTTTATGTAGGTCATAGCCATATTTATTACATTCAACACTGAGGTTGAGAACTTTTAAAAAAATATGTATTGTTTCACTGGAAAGCAGCAATAATAAACACATTGCATGTTAACATAAATGAAATCTCAATATTATTGCAAAATCAATTTTGACCTCGTAGACCCTCTGAGATCTGTTTCAGAATAGGATCATCATGAAGGACAAAAATTGGAAAAAGATTTTTATTTGCCTGATTTTATGATATCTGAATCTGAAAATAAAGGCTTTGAAATGTGTAAAATCTCAGCGAGGGCCACTGAATTTTGATGGGCTTGCCCCGTGGTGACTGTTTCCGACCTTTCCCTACAATATGCAGGGTCATCTTCCCTTCTCAGTCACCCTCGATGTCTGAGTGGGCTTCTCAGCCTCCATGGTCGCCAGGTGACATCCAAGCATCCTGCCTGCCTTCCCCAGGAATCCTGCTAGGTGGATTTGGCCACAATCCCCCATGGCCCTGAGATTTCCGCTTACTCATTTTCCATCCACTGACCCCACCCTACTCCTTAGCTACAAATTCCAAGTGCTTGTGCTGTCATCAGAGCTGAGCTCATCTCCCTCCACTGCGAGACCCACAGCAGCAGTCCCTGAACCTGTGGCCACTGCCCCTTGAGTAAATTCTGCTTTCCCTCTTCAGCAAGTATCATTGGATCATTTTTCTCTTTCGCCGTAGCTTTAGCTGAGTAATTGGAAGTTTCAAGCCTTCAAAAACACAAGAAACGCCTGCTGTACCCTACTTGCAGGGATGTGTAGAATCAGGTGCAATAATGTGAATCAAAGTATATTTAAATATTGTGGAAGTAAAAGGAGACCACTCAGACGAGAAACGCAGAACCTATCATTCGGAGCTTGCTGTAGCGAGGGCATCAGCTGCCGTCTCAAGAGCTTGAGAGGTACTGGAAGGCAGGCAGGGGAGTGGGAGAGATTTATGATGAAGACAAGGGGAGGCTCCTGCAGGCACGCCCTGAAGGTGGCTGTTGGCCTGAGGATGCTGCAGGCTGTGGCTGAATGAGGCACGCCGTGTGACCGGTGAGGGAGCGTGTTTGGCTCTCTATTCTTGCTCCTGAGTTGGAAGTAGGGACAAAAATTTGGGAAATTATTAATCTAGTCTGGACCATCGGGCCGATTGTTCCAGAATTATTGTTTGCAATCTGACTTCCTGCAAGTTTGACCTGCATTAGACGGCTGCCCAGGCTGGGCTTTGTGTCTCCACCCGGAGCTGGCTTCCGGGGCAGCAGCTGCAGGCTGTGTGTCCAAGCTCTGTTTTTATGTCTGCCCTGGCCACTGTCCATGTGTACATTTCGTTTCTCCACATGTATTAAAGTACTAATAATAATTCCTAATATGTGACTAAACTGATTTATGACATTAGTGTCCAATATTTCTGAAAATAGAGTATTTTTAAGCAAAATTCCAAAATATTAATTGAACTAAATAGACACTTTCCCAGAAACTTCCTTCAGAAAGCAACAGCTGCTGCTATTTAAAGATTTCCCTGAAATCAACTGCCCGGAAAGTTGAGCTGGTTTAATTGTGAGGTCCTCCGGGCTCGGGCTCAGCAGAGAGGGTGGGAGTAGGAACAGGTGGCTGGACTCAGTACCCAGGCCACTCTGTGCCCGGTGCCTGATTCTTCTATCAGAAGTCACAGAATTGGGAAGGAGCTCAAAAAGGGGCTTGTCCGGACCTCTCCCTGGAAGAGTACGTCTACATTATTTGTTAAGCAGTTCTACTGAGACCACAATCATCTTACTTGGCAGCTGATTGTGGATTCTAACTTCCAGAAAAGTCAAGTGGGAGGAGAAATTATATGAGGAGCCAAAGGCAGCCATGGGAACAAGGCAAGGAGTCTGTCTGTGGGACTGAAGGCTCCACACGAGGACGTCGCGACTGTTCTGGAGCCTTCGCTGGCTGAGGCTGAGTCATAGGAGACTGTACTGTCAGCGGGAGACCTCCCACCAGGCCTGAATTGGCCGACCTCACAGTAACACACACTCAAAAGCCCTTGGCTAAACACTCTTATTCCTGTCCTCTCTTTAAGACTTCACTTTCTTAGCAGCAGGCGTTGCCAAGGGATTTTGTTATTTTTAATAGCTTTATGGGATATGTAATAGTCTGTTTTCACACCGCTAAAAAGAGCTACCTG
Source organism: Homo sapiens (assembly GCF_000001405.40). Lineage (NCBI taxonomy): Eukaryota > Metazoa > Chordata > Mammalia > Primates > Hominidae > Homo > Homo sapiens. The sequence goes on from NC_000013.11 coordinate 111,007,193, forward strand.
AGACTGGGTAATTTATGAAGAAAATACGTTTAATCACCTCAAAGTTCCATAGGCAGTACAGGAAGCATGGCTGGGAGGCCTCAGGAAACTTACAATCATGGTAGAATGCAAATGGGAAGGAAGCAAGTCTTTGTATGGTGGGGCAGGAGACAGAGAGAGAGCAAAAGGGGAAGTGCTACACACTTACAAACCACCAGATCTCGTGAGAACTCACTATCCTGAGAGCAGCACGGAGGAAAGTGCCCCCATGATACAATCACCTCCCACCAGGTCCCTCCCCCAACACTGAGGATTACAATTCAGCATGAGATTTGGGTGGGGACACAGAGCCAAACCATATCAGGGTGCAAGTGCATACATAGCTTGTGTAGTGGTGAAGTCAGGGCATTTAGAGCATCCATTACTAGAATGACATGTTGTACCCATTCAAATATTATTTTTAATGCACTTTAGAAAATCTCAAGCGTATATAAAAATTGTCACTTGCACTACAATAAAATGCTTCCCCTCACCCTAACCATTTGAGAATAAGTTGAGGTCATGATGTTCCATCGCCCCCAAATGGCCTCAGTGTACATTTTTTATGCATTTTTTATGAGGGGTTTCTCTCACACAGTTACAAAATGCCTATCCAAGTCAGGAAAATTACATTGTTACATTATACATTATGTAATAATACATTTCAGAACCATTACCACTATCTTATCCTTAGGCCCAGTTTAGCATTAACCCTTAGCCTCAAGTTTAGCGTGATGATGAATATACTGATTAATAGAATCAAATAAATAGCCTTTCCATATGTCTATGATAACTAACTATAAGATGTAATTTAGAAACATTTCTCACATATGAGAGGACTTTAAAAAGTTTATGAAAAAATGGAATTAAGAGATAAAAGTTTAAAATATGATTTTATTTCTCAACACGAGTTCCATCAAGTTCCAGACACTTTTGTAAGCAATGATACCATTCACTTAGTCCATCCCTAAAGAACTAAGTGTCCTGGGAATTTAACCATGTCAGTGCAGTCTTTTTTACATTATTAACTGGGAAAAAATGGGTGTCTTTTACAGATTTTTTAAATATTAGGAAGTAAAGAAGTCAGAAGGAACCTATCCAGGGTGGATGGTTAAAGATTTCCCATTGAAACTCTCGCAAAATCGCCCTCACTTGATGAGAGGAATGAGCAGAACCTTTGTTGTGGTGGAGGAGGACTCTCTGGTGAAGCTTTCTCAGGTGTCTGTCTGTTAAAGCTTTTGCTAACTTTTTACAAGCACTTTCATAATAAGCAGATGTTATCGTTCTCCGGCCCTTCAAGAAGTCAACAGGCACTATGCCATGAGCATCCCAAAACACTGTTGCCACGACCTTTGCTCTTGGCCAGTCTGCTTGTGCTGTGACGGGGCCACTTCCACCCTCGGTAGCCATTTCTTTGCTTCTGCTTTGTCTTCAGGATGGTAAAGGGAAAGTTCAGCTCCCATGGCAATTCTTTGAAGAAATGCTTCTGGATGTTGATCCCATTTCTTTAAAATTTCCATCAAAAGCTCTGCTCCTGTCTGCAGCTAATCTGGGAACAATAGTTTTGGCACCTGTGGAATAGAAAGTTTGCTCAACGTTATTTTTTCAGTCAGAATTGTGGAGCTCAACCTATTCAGATTTCTATAGTGTTGGCTATTGTTTCTGCTGTTAATCATTGGTCCTGTTTAATTATTAAATGAACACAACTTTTTTTCCTCAAAAATTGATGTAGATGGTCTACTGCAGAGGGCTTCATCTTCAGAATTATCTCATCACTTCTTAAAACAAGGTATCCATTTGTAAACTGCTGATTTCTTTGGGAATAGCATCTCCATAAATCTTTTCATAAAGCATCAGTGGTTTCACCATTCTTCCACCCAAATATTTGAGATCAGGTGCAGTGTTTCACACCTGTAATCCCAACACTTTGGGAGGTCAAGGCAGGAGGATTGCCTAATACCATTTTGAGATCAGCCTAGGCAACATACCAAGAGCTCATCTCTACAAAAAAATTTTTAAAATAGCTGTGTGTGATGGGACACACCTGTCGTTCCAGCTACCGGGGAGGCTGAGGTGGGATGATTACTTGAACCCAGTGGTTTGAGGTTACAGTGAGCTATGATCATGTTATTGCACTCCAGCCTGGGTAACAGACCTGGTAAGACCTTGTCTCTAAAAAAAATAAAAAATTTAAAAAGTTGTTTGTTCTTGCTTCTGTCTTAGCAGAATTCATGTTGTTCTGACAGGTGCTCTTTTCAAACTGATGTCTTATCCTTCTTAGTGCCTCAAACTATATCCTGTCCAGACATGTTATAACAAGTTAGTATGAGTTTATTTTAGTGCAAAAAAATTGAATTCACATATAGTTTTTTTCATAATATGCATTTTTCATGGACTTTTTGAAGACCCCTCATAATGACAAAACTATACTCTACTAGGGATATAACCCTAACACACCCAGTGGAAAATATACAAAAGATGTCTGGTTTTAAGAAAATGTAATAAAGTTGGGCATTTCTTCTTAGAGGCATTTTTCAGAAATGGCCCCAAAGCTGAAAGAATAAGAAACAGAAATGCTTACTGTATTATACAAAATATGAATACATTTGAAGTCCTGATGCTCTGAACAGGAGAAAGAGCTGCTGAAGGCAGTAAATTCCCCTTGTAATGGATGAAGTTGTGAAAGGAAGATACACTGTTTAGTTAAAAAAAAATAAAAACAGACAGTGCAGAATGACTTCTATAAAATCGTTAAATTTATGTGTTAAAGAAACAACACACAAAATCGTAAAATGACACTACATGGTTTGACTACACCGTGTACAGTCACCGACTGCAGAGCAATGTTTGGGTCAATGGCAGACTACATACATGGCAATGGTCCCATAAGGTTATAATGAAGCTGAAACATTCCCGTTGCCTAGTATTTACCATACTGTACATTTTATTATTATCTTGGAGCATACTCCTTCTCCTTATTAAAAAAAAAAGTTAACTGTCAAACAGCCTCATGCAGGTCCTTCAGGAGGTATCCAGAAGGCATTGTTCTCACAGGAGATGACAGCTCCATGCATGTCATTGCCCCTGAAGATCTTGCAGTGGGACAGACCTGGAGATGGGAGACAGTGACAGTAATGATTCTGACCTGTGTAAGCCTGGGCTAATGTGTGTGTTTATGCCAGATTTTTAGCAAAAAAAATGAGAAATAGAAGAAAGCTTATGGAATAAGGATATAGAGAAAGAATATTTTTGTACAGCTGTACAATGTGTTTGTGTTTGAAGCTAAGTATTATCACAACAGTCAAGTTAAAAAATTAAGTTTTTGAAGTAAAAATATTACAGTAAGCAAAGGTTAATTTATCATTGAAAAAAGAAAAGTATTTTAAATAATTTTAGTGTAGCCTAAGTGTACAGTGTTTATGAAGTCTACAGGAGTATACCGTAATGTCTCAGAACTTCATATTCACTCACATGTCACCCAGAGCAACTTCTAGTCCTGCAACCTCCATTCAGGGTAAGTGCCTTATACAGGTGTGCTATTTTTAATCTTTTAGACTGTATTTTTTACTGTACCTTCTCTATGCTTAGATGTACAAATACTATTGTGTTACAATTGCCTACTATATTCAGTATAGTCACATGCTGTACAAGTTTGTAGTCTAGGAGGAATAGGCTGTACCATCTAGCCTAGGTATGTAGTAGCCTGTACCATCTAGGTTTGTGGAAGCATACTCTATGATGCACAAGACAAAATCGACTAACAATGCATTTCTCAGAATATATTCCCACATGACTGTGTTTTCTATGAGAACACAGAATGTAACTGCATAAAAGATCTGAAAAGTCCATACCATTTGATAAGAGGGTACCTGTGGGAAGCAGAGGCAGGCACTGGGAAGACATAGGTATTCAAGGAGAACTTTAGCTTTATCTAGTATGTTTTGGTTTTTTGGAATTACCTTAAAATGCATTTGCAGTGCTTCTGTCATTGAAAAGCTAATTTAATAACAATCTCTCCTTTTGCCAAGCAGTAGAGATCAGAACAGGACAAATTCTTGTCCTTTCATGTACCTCCAACTGACATCAACTTGTAGAAACAGCACTGAAGATGGTCTGAATGGGAACTATTACAACACTGGGAGAAATAGAAGATAATCTTATTATCGGGGAAATAGTTACTACAGCCACACCAGCGTACAATAATCTCAGGACTTCAGTGAAGGTGAGATGCAGACTGGATCCAGAGGAACTTTGTTAAGAACTTAAAACACATGGTGTTCTGAGGACACTGGCACACACTTTCTCAAATGAGGACTTCCATCATTAAAATGAACCTTGAACTATAATCTCTAATCATTCCCAGTCCTATGAGCTCTGTTTTTCTTTATTATTGCTATGTCATGTGTATTTAAAATAGAGGTTTCCTTACACCTAGCTGCTAACCAACCTGCTGCAATCTGACTTCTGCCGTTGGAATTGCTCCTGCCACATCCATCAAAGGCATAGCAGTTGCTGAACTTGAGAGCCATTTTTCAGACCTTTTAAGTATTCTCTTAGACATTGATTCTGCTGAGAGTTCCTCCTGAACTCTCCTCCCTTGCTCTACGAGCCTAGCATCTCTGACTCTCTTCTTATTTCTCTATGAATTCCTTGGCCTCTTTCACCTGCTATTCTTTTCTTCTGCCTATTTCTTAAGTATTGATGTCCCCCGAGCTCAGTTCTGGGTCCCTGTGTGAGTTGCCAAAATGGTCCAAATTCTACCTCCAACCACCCCACCCAAAGCCCTCACAGTGTGACTTTGTAGGGTGGAGTCTGTTTCCTCATTCCTAGAATCAGGGCTGGTGCAGAGGAAGTGATGCTGTACTAGGTCTGGGCCAAGGCCTTGCATGTGTCATCTCTGTCTTAGAGTCTGCCCAGCAGCAATGGAGCAAAAGCCTGAGCTGATTGGCGAGCTGTGCAATTGCAGGGTCAGATCCTATTTGACCTTGCCATCCAAGTCCCAACCAATTGCCAGCAGCCCTAGAAATAGAGTGACCTCGTTGACCAGCAGCTGAACCTAGACCTTTGAGAGAGTCCAGCCAGGACCAATAAAACCATCCAGCTGAGTCCAGCCCAAAGAGCTGACCCACAGATGTATGTGCTAAATCAACGCTTGTTTATTATGCAGCAAAAAGCCAACTGTTACCTCCTCTTCTCAATTTTGGGGGACCTCCTTACAGACAGGCACGACTTCAGCTTCTATGACCTGATGATGATTCTAACACAGTGCAAAAAAATGTTTTGATGGGATGAAGACACAGGCTTTTGAGACAATGCTTTTGAAGAATATTCATTCTCTGGATTTCTTAGCTCCAGTACATTCTCATTTAGGACTTCCTCCTTTTGTTATATTCTGGACTTGATGTTATAGCTATGGTTATTATTTTCAAACTTACAATGACTTATTTGAACAAAATAATTGGGAAGATCAGAAACTGAAAGAAAACACACAGTGCTAGCTTTTACTCCTTATTAATGCATTTGAATAAAACCCCACAGTACACTTGAAAATAAATCCTAATGCAGGTGTTTGGCTAAGGTGCACATGAATGTGGAGCCTGCCCCAGTCACTAGTGGTGCCTAGCAAACCACTCCAACATTTAGTGACTACATAAAACTCCATCTTCTTAGGCTCACAGGGTTGGGGATTTGGAAAGGGCTTGGCAGGGACAGTTTATCTCCACCCCATGATGTCTGGGCCTCAGCTAGGAAGGTGAGAAGGCTGAGGGGTGAGTCAATGGCTCAGGACTGGAATATTCTGGTGGCAACTTCACTAACAAGTCTGTGGCTGAGACTGGCCATTGGTTGAATTTCAGCTGGACGTTGGACGACTCTCCAAGTGCTCTCTCTGCCTTGGGCTGGTTTGGGCTTCCTTACGGCATGGCAGCTGGATTCCCAGAAGAGGCATCCCAAGAAAGCCAGGTTGAAATGCTTGGCATCTTTATAGTGTCGTCCAGTCTCAGAGGTCACATAACATCAGTTTAGCCACACTCTTGGTCAAGGCCATAGTGCAATTTGCTCAAATTCTAGTGCAGGAGGCTGCTTGCTCAATAGAAGGAGTGTCAAGGTCACACTTTTTTTTTTTTTAAAGCACATGGAATGGATGACATTGTCGTGGTCATTCTTGGAAATTACAGTCTGAAACTGAAGCATATGCAAAATGCACCTGAAAATTCAGACATCTGTGCCTTGTAAGGAAAGGAGACACCACAGATCACCCTTTGGGAGGTGAGTTTGAGAAACAAGGAGGCATCTTCATAGACATTTGGTAGCTTGCCAACTTGATAGGCTGTTTAAATAACCTAAAACAGTGTTATCCAATCGAGGGCCCTTCCTCCATGAGAGGTCTTCTATGTCAGTCATAAAGGCATTTTTAATATTTCAAAATATTAGAGAAATTATGCATTGATTGGGCACAAAAGTAAGTGAAATATAACTAAAACTTTTTTCCTACTTTGGGATGGAATGCAGGCTAAATGAAGCTGTGACTCACAGTTACATATGTTTTTATTAAATAAGAAAACAATCACTAAATGAATATATCTTATTTGGTAGATAACTACTTCAAAACATGATAGCCTGCCATAGAAGGACAGGGATTGGAAACAGAAATTTTGTTATAAATTGTTTTGACAGATTGAAAAAAAAGAGCAATAAAAATAGTGGAGCTAAGACCTGGGAGCCTCCCACCCACAACTGGCGACTGATGACATGATGTCAGATTCACTCCATCTTTTAAAATATAAATGAAATAAAACAAATGAAGCTGCCTTTGTATCATCCCTGCTTCTGTCTCCCTTGCCCTCAGAGATAATCATTAAGAATCACAAATATTCTAACACCCAAAAATGCTCCATATGTATTTATATTCATGAATAGTTTCTATTGCATATCTGATGATTGATATAATTTGTCTCATGCTGCAAATGTCTTTTCCATTCAATATGTTTTTGAGTTTTTACATGTTGTTATAGAAAAATAGTTCACCTCTGCTCTATAGGATTCCATGGTGTGAATGCATCATAATTCTTTTTTTTTTTCTTTTGAGACAGGGTCTTGTTCTGACACCCAGGCTGCAGCTCACTACAGCCTTGACATTCCAGGCTCAAGTGATCCTCCCACCTCAGCCTCCCAAGTAGCTGGGACTACAGGCACACACTACCACGCCTAATTTTTGTAATCCCAGCACTTTGGGAGGCCGAGGCTGGAGGATTGCTTCAGCTCAGGAGTGTGAGACCAGCCTGGGCAACATGGTGAGAACACATCTCTACAAAAAACACACGCCTGTCCAATTTTTGTATTTTTTGTAGAGATGAGATCTCACCATGTTGCCCAGGCTGGTCTCAAACTCCTGAGCTCAAGTGATCCTCCTGCCTTGGCCTCTCAAAGTGCTGGGATGAAGGTGTGAGCCACTGCTCCTGGCCTAACTTATCTTAGTCTAACCAGCCGGTGGATGTTTAGGTTATTTCCATTGTTGTGCTATTCTGAAGAATGTTGCAGTGGAGCTCCTTGAATATGTCCTACTGTGTCTACGTGGAAGAGTTTCTCTCTGCAAATATCTAAAGGTAGAATTTTTTAGGTCACAGTATATGTACATTTTCAATTTTACTACATACTCCAAACAAGTTGTATGTATAAATGCCTTGGCAAATTTTATTGAAAATGTACTGTGTGCAAAACATTGTTTTACCACCTGTGAGAATATGCAGGTGAACCACAGTCCCCGACTGAGGACAGAAGTCGCCCAGTGCTCTGACAGCCGACATACCCCTCATCATAGATGTTTACCAGAGGCCAGATAAGAATCAGTCCAGAAACCAAGGCCTCAGAATTAAGGAGAAGATCCAGATGATTCTCTGGATTCAGGTTCATTTAAGATTCAGTGATTGGGCTGGGTGTGGTGGCTCATGCCTGTAATCCTAGCACTTTGGGAGGTTGAGGCTGGCAGATCACTTGAGGTCAGGAGTTTGAGACCAGCCTGACCAACATGGTGAAACCCCGTCTCTACTAAAAATACAAAAATTAGCTGGACATTGTGGTGGGCACCTGTAATCCCAGCTACTTGGGAGGCTGAGGCAGGAGAAGCACTTGTACCTAGGAGGTGGAGATTGCAGTGAGCCGAGATGGCGCCATTGCACTCCAGCCTGGGCGACAGAGTGAGACTCCAAAAAAAAAAAAAAAAAAAAAAAGCAGTGATTGCCTGCAATTCTTATGTTTACCTTCCCCTCCAAAGTGATAAATATTTGTTTACTTTATTTTCTACTTAAATTTTTTTTTGTATTTTGCTTTTGTAAACATAATACATGTTCATTGTAAAAAAAATTAAGAAATTAAAAATAGTACAAGGAAGAATGTATTAAAATCACCCCATATGGCAGTTTCTCAAAAAATTAGAAATAGAAGTATTATATGATCTAGCAATTTTACTTCTGATTATATAACCAAAAGAATGGAAAGCAAGAACTCAGAGATACGTGATATATAAACACTCATGTTCATAACAACATTATTCATAATAATCAAAAAGTGGAAGCCACTCAAGTTTCCATCTACAATGAATGGATCAACAAAATGTGGTGTGTGTGTGTGTGTGTGTGTATATGTGTGTATATACGTATACATATATATGTGTATATATATACATGTTTATATATGTGTATATATGTGTATATGTATATACAAATAATATATATACATATAATTATATATAATTATATGCATATATAAATATATACATATAATATATATAATTATATGCATATATAAATATATACATATAATATATATAATTATATGCATATATAAATATATATTTATATACATTAATACATATAATATATAATACATATATATGTATTTTATATACATACATAAAATAACAGAGTATGATTAATATATAATATATATAACATAACAGAATATGATTGAGCCCTAAACAGGGAGGAAATTCTGACACATGCCACAACATGGATGAACTTGAGGACATTATGCCAAGTGAAATAAGCAATAATAAAATAAAGAAAATAAACAGTAATAACCAAGTGAAGAAATATCTAATTATTCCATTAATGTAAGTTATCTAGAGTAGTCAAATTCATAGAGACAGAAAGTAGAATGGTGGTTGCCAGAGGCTGGGGCAGGGAAATGGGGCATTACTGTTTAATGGGTATGGAGTTTCAGTTTTGCAAGGTGAAGCGTTCTGGAGATGGACAGTGGTGATGGCTGCTGATATGGTGGCTCTGTGTCCCCACTGAAATCTCAGGTCAAATTGTAATCCCTAGTATTGGAGGAGGTTCCTGGTGGGAGGTGATTGAATCATGGGGTGGACTTCACCCTTGCTGTTCTTGTGGTAGAATTCTCAGATCTAGTTGTCTGAAAGTGTGTAGCACCTCCCCCTTTGCTCTGTCTCTCACTCCACCATGGGAAGAAGGTGCTTGCTTACTCCTCACCTTCTGCCATGATTGTAAGTTTCCTGAGGCTTCCTCAAACATGCTTCCTGTACAGCCTGCGGAACTGTGAGTCAATTAAACCTCTTTCTTCCTAAATTATCCGGTCTCAGGTAGTTCTTTATAGCAGTGCGAGAGCGGACTAACACAGTTGCATAACGATGTGAATGTACTTAATGTCACTGAACTGGATGCTTAAACGTGGTTAAGATGGTAAATTTTATGTTATGTGTATTTTGCCACAATTAAAAAGAAATCTTAAAAAGTAAGTGGCAAGAATGAGAAATGTTGTCATCCTCAAGATACTAAAGATCTGTTTCAATGACACGGATAAAGAAATCACCCTAAATATCACCATCTTCAACATCAACATCAAAGATTCTGAAATTTAGTTAAAGAAAAAGAAGTGAAAGTGAATGATTTCTTTACTCAAAGGTTAATAAGAGAGAGTTTTTTTTTTTTTTTTTTTTTTTTAGTTAAGAGGGCAAGTCATAATGGTCTTTTAAACTGTGTTTAAATTTTAAACAGCATTTGACTTCTGGCTCTAAAAAATGAGGATTTTAGCACTTTTACACTTCTTCCCAACTTCTGTCTTCTGACCTCCCAAGTTTTGTGAAGATTTTTACTCTCAAGGCTGAGAAATATACCTTCTATTCTGTAGTCTTAAAGTGACTGGGGCTCTAGCATTAATGCTCCATTTACATGAAGCATTTACTTAATACCATTCCCGTGATGTGCCTTTATTTTCAAGCGTTTTTCTTAAAAAAAAGTATTAATTGACTGTATTTCATTAAGAAAGGGTCAAATGTGTTGAGCTTTCTAACTCTTTATTATGTGGACACTTTTCACGTGGCCTATATACTCGAGCAACACCTTGGCTTGGAATAAGTGCCTTTGGTTGCATTGCATTTCCTTCGGAACTTTGTAGATTGCTACTGTATTTTTTGGGAATAGAGTAAAATACCAACTCAATTTATACCCCTTGTGAAGGATTTGAATTTTTTTTTTTTGCCCCATAGAATGAAGAATTTTTCCCTCATCTTTGAAGTTCAATAATTTAATACATTTTCCAGACCATGAATCATCAGGGAAATGCAACTTAAAAAAAATGAGATGCTCTATGCACACATTGTAGCAGCCAAAATTCAAAAGACGGACAGCACTAAACCCTAGTGAGGATACAGAACAAGGAAAACTCTCATATCCTGTGGTGGGAATGTGCAATGATACGGCTACTTTGGAAAACTGTTTAGCGGTTCTGTGAAAACTTAATCATACACCTGCCATGACTCAGCCTTCCCACTTTCATGTATTTCGCCAAGAGAAGGAAAAACTTACGTCCACAAAAAGACTTGTGATAAAGGCTTATAGCAGCTTCGTTCAAAATAGCCAACACTGGTGGGAGGAAATCAGTGGTAATTGGATAAGCAGGATATATTATCTCCAGGCAATGGAACACAATTTACCAATAAAAATAAATCACTGGAGGGCGATGTCTTCCTGCGTGGGGTGGGTTGATTCCGGAGCTCTCTGAGGTCCCCAGCGCCGCGCCCCTGCCGCTTCATCTCGCAGGGCACACGAGCAGCCCCAGCAGCTCCACGCTCCCCATGCGCCCCAGCAGGTTCTGGTCCTCTCTGCTGGGACAGATTAGGACCCTTGCAGGCCACGGCCCTGATGCGCCAGCCCGGGCTGGCGCTGGAGACCGGGGCGCCCTAGGCAGGACGGGGAGGCGGGTCACGGTTGATTTCTGGTTTCCCTGTGACCTGAGCAGGTTTGCACACAGTGGAAAGCGCTGCGTTTCTTTTCTTTTTTTTTTTTTTTTTTATTATACTTTAAGTTTTAGGGTACATGTGCACATTGTGCAGGTTAGTTACATATGTATACATGTGCCATGCTGGTGCACTGCACCCACTAACTCGTCATCTAGCATTAGGTATATCTCCCAGTGCTATCCCTCCCCCCTCCCCCCACCCCACAGCAGTCCCCAGAGTGTGATATTTCCCTTCCTGTGTCCATGAGATCTCATCGTTCAATTCCCACCTATGAGTGAGAATATGCGGTGTTTGGTTTTTTGTTCTTGCGATAGTTTACTGAGAATGATGTTTTCCAATTTCATCCATGTCCCTACAAAGGACATGAACTCATCATTTTTTATGGCTGCATAGTATTCCATGGTGTATATGTGCCACATTTTCTTAATCCAGTCTATCATTGGTGGACATTTGGGTTGGTTCCAAGTCTTTGCTATTGTGAATAATGCCGCAATAAACATACTTGTGCATGTGTCTTTATAGCAGCATGATTTATAGTCATTTGGGTATATACCCAGTAATGGGATGGCTGGGTCAAATGGTATTTCCAGTTCTAGATCCCTGAGGAATCGCCACACTGACTTCCACAATGGTTGAACTAGTTTACAGTCCCAACAACAGTGTAAAAGTGTTCCTATTTCTCCACATCCTCTCCAGCACCTGTTGTTTCCTGACTTTTTAATGACTGCCATTCTAACTGGTGTGAGATGGTATGTCATTGTGGTTTTGATTTGCATTTCTCTGATGGCCAGTGATGATGAGCATTTTTTCATGTGTTTTTTGGCTGCCTAAATGTCTTCTTTTGAGAAGTGTCTTCATGTCCTTCGCCCACTTTTTGATGGGGTTGTTTGTTTTTTTCTTGTAAATTTGTTTGAGTTCATTGTAGATTCTGGATATTAGCCCTTTGTCAGATGAGTAGGTTGCGAAAATTTTCTCCCATTTTGTAGGTTGCCTGCTCACTCTGATGGTAGTTTCTTTTGCTATGTAGAAGCTCTTTAGTTTAATTAGATGCCATTTGTCAATTTTGGCTTTTGTTGCCATTGATTTTGGTGTTTTAGACATGAAGTCCTTGCCCATGCCTATGTCCTGAATGGTAATGCCTAGGTTTTCTTCTAGGGTTTTTATGGTTTTAGGTCTAACATTTAAGTCTTTAATCCATCTTGAATTGATTTTTGTATAAGGTGTAAGGAAGGGATCCAGTTTCAGCTTTCTACATATGGCTAGCCAGTTTTCCCAGCACCTTTTATTAAATAGGGAATCCTTTCCCCATTGCTTGTTTTTCTCAGATTTGTCAAAGATCAGATAGTTGTAGATATGCGGCGTTATTTCTGAGGGCTCTGTTCTGTTCCATTGATCTATATCTCTGTTTTGGTACCAGTACCATGCTGTTTTGGTTACTGTAGCCTTGTGGTATAGTTTGAAGTCAGGTAGTGTGATGCCTCCAGCTTTGTTCTTTTGGCTTAGGATTGACTTGGCGATGCGGGCGTTTCTTAAGATATTGTGGGTAGCGGCAAATTCATCCGCGAGAAGCGCTGGGAAGCTAAGCGCTCAGGCCCTCTTTCCACTCCATTACCCAAATGGCGCAGACCCCCGCAGGCCACCCACGAGGTCGCCCTACCTGGCAGAGTCAGGAGCCGAGGCACAGCCTGTGCCAGCAGGAGGTCCGGACGTCCTAGGTATCCCAGGTGGGAGTCCACGCAGGGGTAAGGGCACACTCTCCGGGACACCCCTGCCTCCCTCACTTCCACGCGCACGGTGGTGACATCTGGGAGGAAACTCTCCGCGATGCAAGCACCCCGCTCCAGCGCTGCGCCATACCCCACCACTTGGACCTGCACGGGGCTTCCTCCTAGGATGAGCGGCCAGCTGGTACGCACATAGGAACAGCTCCATGGGAGACAGCCCCAGTGACTTCCAGCACCTTCAGGGCAGAGCCCACAGCCTCCTGCCGGGAGACTCCACGAAGAAGCCTCACCGTGGCCAGTGGGCTTCCTGACGTGCATACCATTCCCAAGATTGCTTCCTCAATGATGTGGTGGAGGAGCAGAGGGAGCACACCATGAATGCCGATGACATCGAGCTGGAGAAGGACAGACCCTGGAGGTGGAGACACAGGGCTCCTGAGGGCACAGGCTCAGACCAGGAACTGCAGTCCGTGGTGAGGAAAAGGGCGCAGAGAAAAGCCCAGGCTGGCCACCACCTGCTGGTCCCTGAGTGCCCTCCCTCCTCCTGTCCCCCAGGTGGGAGCTGCCGGGCTCTGCTCACCCGCCCTCTTCCTGTCTCCTAGGTGGGAGGGCAGCCAGCAATGAATCATGGACCACAGCATGTCAGCACCCCAGGGATCTAGTCCAGGGATTCTTTTTTTCAACACCTGTAAACATGGGAAGCTGTTTTTCAAACAAATACAATGTGTGAAACAGATCAAAATGAGAAACTGGAAAAAAAATAAACAAATGACTGATATGCACAGCACCATGGAAAAAATCCCCAAACCATTATACACAGTGAGAAAAGCTACACACAAAAGATATATAACTGAATGTTCCTTTTTGTATAAAATTCTAGGAAAGGCAAACTAATCTATAATGTCAACAAGCAGATCAAGAAAGCTTGGGTCAGAGGGAGGAACAGACTACACAGGAGGAATATCTGCCATTGATGGAGATGTTCTGTTTTCTGGGTATTTGCAGTGGTTTTTGGGTGTCTCTGTCAAACTCAGTGAACCACACACTTTGAATGGGTGCACTTTATTGCACATAAATTAGACCTCAATAAAGTTAAATCTTATCAACAATATAATAATTTAATTAGTGTATCTCTTGGCATTGAGTCCTAGAATTTGATGTGTTCTTTTGGTCTAAAGATTTAATTTATTTTTCATTTAGGATAAATTTTCTTGTAACTCTTCTTAATGTACTGTTTATTCTCTGTTTAGTTTGAAATCTCTAGAACACCAATTATGCATATGTTGGATCATCTTTTTTGTCTTCAATATCAATTAGTTTTACTCTGACCTCTAGGTTTTTATTATCTGCATTCATTGTGATTATGTTAAACCTTTCTTCTATGGCAGTAATTCCCTTTCAGCCACGTCTGTTTTGTATGTAGATTTTTCAAATTTCTTAATTAGTTCTTTAATATTATTTTGTCTCTGGTTTTATGCTTTTCACAAAATTTTTCATATCATGGCAGACACAGAAAATGATAATATTTTTTCAGCATATGGATATAAATGGCTGATGTTCTTTGTGGTCAGAAGATAACTTATCCAATAATCTTCACTATTATAGGCCTTCTTCAGCCTTCCTAAAGGCCAAGAATATCAGTATCTGACACAAGTTGAGCAATTCTGCCCTATTTGTTTCTTTGGGCTGCAATATTTCTTTTAATTTCATTTACTTTTTTAGACATCCTGTCTTTTAACTCTTTTGTTTTATTAAATTTCTGTTGTTAAATAGTTGTTTTATAATCACAGCCAACAGGCATATGAAAATATGCTAAATATCACTAATTATCAGAGAAATGCAAATCAAAACCACAGTGAGATTATCATCCTACTCCAGGTAGAATGGCTATTACTAAAAAGACAAAACCAACCATCCAAACAAACAACCAACCAAACAAAAAATAGATGTTGGAGAGGATGTGGAGAAAAGGAAACTCTTATACACTGCTGGTGGAAACTAGTACAGTCACTATAAATAACAGTATGGAGGTTTCTCAATAAACTAAAAATGGAATTACCATTTAATCCAGCAATCCCACTACTGGGTATCCACCCAGAGGAAAGGAAATCAAAATATCCAACGGTTATCTGCACTCAAGTGTTGATTGTAGCACTATTTACAATAACTAAAATATGGAATCAACCTAAGTGTCCACCAGTGGATGAATGGATAAAGAAAATGTGGTACATATACACAATAGAATACTATACAGCCATGAAAAATAATGAAATCCTGTCATTTGCAGCAACATGGATGGAACTGGAGGTCATTATCTTAAGTGAAATAGGTCAGGCACAGAAAGACAATATCATGTCTTCTCACATGTATGTGGGAGCTAAAAACTTTGAGCATGTGGAGGTACAGAGTGGAATATAGAGAACAAACTGGGAAAAGTGAGTTAGGGAAGACAGGGGGAGGATGAAGAGAAGTGAGTTAAATGGTACAATCATACAATAAGATAAAAGGAATAAAACCAATGTTTGATAGCAGCACAGGGTAACTATGTTTAACAAAAACATTGCACTTGGCAGATGGACACCCTGAGGATCCTGGCTTGAGCACTACACATGATATGCATGTCACACATTTCTTCATGCGCCTCATGAATTTGCACAAAAAAATGTAAAAAAAATTGTTTTATGTATCAAAGCACTTTTGGAGGATTTACTCCATTTTTTGGAGGAAAAGATTGTGTGTACGTGCATGTGTGTGTATTTTACATTACTCTCAAGATATATTTCCATTTGGATGAAGTAATATTGTATAGAGCCAGCATTTAAAAAAAATTCTTGCTCATACTTACGTGGCTTTTTGTGTTGATACAGCGGTTATTTTCTCCATTGTGCTATTGTTTGAGATCCAGGAATTTTGCGTTCCAGACAGTTTTTGGATAGCCTATGAGTAAGGCAGGGAGGAAGGTGTCCAGCTGAGGTGATGCTCAGTCTTCCTTAGACACTTGTACCCTAGTCTCGCTTCTGAGAGTTTGCTATACGTCCATGGCAGTATTGACTCCTCCCACCTGGAATGTATACACCATCACAGTGGTGGGGTCTGACCCTGGCTTCAGGGTACAATTCACTGTATAAGCTTCCCTTTCATGTGATGTCACTAGCCATTGCTGTTTATGCCTCTTGTTTTACGTATTTTTTTCATCTTTGCAGCTCTGCGTATTTTAGAATATGAGTACAAAATTCTCAGATTTTATTTGTTTATCTGACTTTTTTGTTTTAACTTTTATTTTAAGTTCAGGACTACAAGTACAGGTTTGTTATATTAGTAAACTTGTGTCATGGGGATTTGTTGTGCAGATTATTTCATCACCAGGTATGAAGCCCAGTACCCATTAGTAATTTTTCCTAATCCTTTCCCCCTCCCAACCTCCACCCTCCAATAGGCCCCAGTGTTCCCCTCTATGTGTCCATGTGTTCTCATCATTCAGCTCCCACTTATAAGTGAGAACATGAAGTATTTGGTTTTCTGTTCCTATGTTAGTTTGCTAAGGATAATGGCCTCCAACTCCATCTATGTTCCCACAAAAGACATGATCTCATTCTTTTTCATGGCTGAATAATGTCCTTTATAGTGAACCAGATCCCTCACTTTAAAGGACATTATTGTGACACCTGGAGACACATGAATAAAGCCTGAGGTTGGGTGGGGTGGTGGTCAGCAGAGCTGCCCTGCGTGATGGCCAGGGGTAGTCTAGGAGGAGTATGTCCTTGTTTCTCAGAATCACACACCAAAACTTTTGGGCATGATAGGGTAGGAACTTCAGATAGTTTAGAAAAGAAAAAAGTGTAAAGCCAGTTCAAAACAAATAAACCAGAAACTGACTAATGAAAAGAGGAAATTTATATATAATGTTATCAGAAATCAGTAGGGAAGGGATTACATATCATGACTTAGCATTGGGGGAAATAAGTTTTAAATCACCACCTCACACCACTCTCTAAGGTATATTCCACGTGGAATAAAAAGATGAATGTCACAAGCTAGACCAAGGGCTAATGTTCTGCCACATGTAGAGAATACTTTAAAAATACTTATCAAATCCCAATGGTATTTTTGCAGAAATAGTAAAATCCATCCTAAAATTCATATGGAATTCATATGGAATCTCAAGGAACATTGAATTGACAAAACAGTCTTGAAGAACAAAGTTGGAGGTCTCACATTTCCTGACTTCAAAACATACTACAAAGCTATAGTAGTTTTAAAAATGTGGTACTGGTATAAAGATATACCCATAGGCCAATGGAATAAAATACACAGCCCAGAAGTAAACTCTTGCATATATTGACAAATGGTTTTCAACAAGGGTGCCAAGATCATTCAATGCAGGAAAAAGGAGTCTTGCCATGAAGTGATGTTGAGAAAATTAGAGATTCATTCACGTGCAAAAGAATGAAGATGGACGCTTACCTTCTACCACGTATAAATATTACTTAATAGTAATTACCATATATGAATACACTTACATTAGTTATCATTTTAACTCTTATTAAATATTGTTTTGTAAGATTCAACTCTTACTAAACATAAGATTAAAACTATAAGACTCTTAGAAGGAAACACAGGGGAACACCTTCATGACATTGCAGTTGGCAGTAATTTATTGAATATGATACTGAAAGCACGGGCAACAGAGGAAATAAGACATAAATTTGACCACATCAAAATTTAAAACTGCACCACAGGACACAGCCATCAAAGGCAACCCATGGGATGTGAGAAAATATGTGCGAATCAGATACTTGATAAAGGGTTGATATCTAGAATATATAAAGAATTCCCACAACTCAACAACAACAACAACAACAAACATTTTTAAATGGGCAAAGCAATTAAATAGACATTTCTTCAAGGAAGACCTACAAATGGCCAAGAAGCACATGAAAAGATGCTCAACATCACTAATCATTAGGGAAATGCAAATCAAAACCACAGTGAGACACCATCTCACACCCACTAGGATGCCCATGATAAAAGATGATTCGAGTTGAAGGACATGGATATTTTCTCTCACCACAATGAATTAAACTTGAAATAAGTAATAAAAAGATACTCGGAAAATCCTCACATATAGCAAGTAACATATACACATCTAAACAACCCATGAGCCACAGAAAATAACATGGTGGAAATTTAAAAGTATTTTGAATTAAGTGATAATGAAAGTACTACGTTTCAGTAGCTTTTAGGTTACAGCTAAAGCCTTGCATAAAGAGAAGTATGAATTTAGAAACAAATATTATGGGGGAAAAAAGCCAAAATAAGCTGAGTATGCATTTTAAGAAGTTAGAAAAACAGCAGCATTTTAAATCCAAAGAAACTATAAAAATAAGATAAAAGCAAAAATTAATGAAATAGGAAATAAGTGTATAATAGAGAAGATCAATAAAACCATTATTTTATTTGGTTCTTTGAAATAACTAAAAAATCTAATCATCCATTGGTGAGACTGATCAAAAAAAGAGGGAAGGTATAAAAATTTCAAGAATATAAAAGGGCACATCTAATCTTATTAAAATAATAAGAAGATATTATAAGCAACTTTTTATTCAATAAACTTGAAATTTTACATAAGATAGACAAATTCTTTTAAAAAGTACAAATATTTTGGAAATTTGTACAAAGAAAAAATCCTTTATCATCCTAATTCTGAATTTATTGTCTGAAGATGTAACTTAAAACCTTCACGCAAAGAACTCTTTAATCCCAAATGAATTCGCCAGTAAATTCTTATAAACGTCTAACAATGAAATGGCAAACACAAATTCTTACAGAGAATAAGTAAAGAAGGAGCACTGCATATTTATTTTATGACACGAAAACAGCACTGATGCCAAAACCTGACATTTCAGGAGAGGAAAACTGCAAGCCAACTGTGTTAGGCCGGTTTTGCATCACTATAAAGAAATACCTAAGACTGGGTAATTTGTAGAGAAAAGAGGTTTCACTGGCTCCTGGTTCTGCGGGCTGTAAGGAAGCTTGGCTCCAGCGTCTGCTCGGCTTCTGGGAGGCCTCAGGGAGCTTTCGCTCATGGCGGAAGGTGAAGCGGGAGCAGGCACGTCGCCCACTGAGAGCAGGAGCGAGAAAGAGAGGGAGACGGAAGGTGCCACACACTTTTAAACAACCAGATCTCGGGCGGACTGATTCACTATCTTAAGGATGCACCAAGAGGATGATGCTAAACTACTCATGAGAAATCCACCCTGTGATCCCATCGCCTCCCACCGAGCCCCACCCCTAATACTGGGATTACATCTCAACATGAGATTTGGCAGGACGAATATCCAAACCACATCACTAACCACTCACGAGCCTAGATGGAAACCGTGAGCACGTCAGGTTTATTCCAGGAATACAAGATGGGTTAACGTTTGGAAATTAACCAGTATAATTCATCACGTTAACAAGAAAGAAAAAAGAAAAATCATCTGATTATCTTAATCTGTGCAGAAAAGTGTTTAATAAATACACATTTGTAATATAAGAATATGGAACTTTCTTATCCAAATTAAGGGAAACAACAAAAACCTTACAGCAGGCATCACACTGAATATAGCAAAATGTTGATAGTGTTCTGAGATTAGGAACAAACAAGAATGCTCACCTACCCACATATGTTCACCTTTTACTGGAGGTCCTCGCTGGTGCAGTATGGCATAGAAATAAGAAAGATTGGGTAGGGAAAAAATAAGACATTTCTATTAGTGGATGTTATGATTTTATATGTAGAAAGCTTAAAAGATTTCAAATATAATTAGAATTAATAAGTGAGTTTAACTAGTTTATGGGTGCAGGGTCAACATTTTTTTTTAAGACGGGGTCTCATTCTGTCACCCAGGCTGGAGTGCAATGGCATGATCAGAGCTCACTGCAGCCTTGACCTCCAGGGCTCAAGCAATCCTCTTACCTCAGCTTCTGGAGTAGATGGGACTACAGACGCATGCCACAATGCCCGGCTATAGGGTCAATGTTTTTAAAAAAACAGCAGTTGTGCTTCTGTACACGAGTAACAAACAGAAACATGAGTAAAAACATCAGCTGTCAAATGTATTTAACAGGAGGTGTGCAAAGGTTCTGTGCAGAAACAGCATTACTGCGAGAAATAAAGAAATTCTAAATAAATGGAGGGAGATGCTAAATTGGGAAGATGATGTCATAAAGGAGTTAATTCTCTCTAAAATGATGCTTAGATAGCTGAAATTGCAATGCAAATATCAAAAGATTTTTACAGGCTGTTGTGTGGGAATGACCTTGATGCAAGGGTGGTCTCAAGGTCACTGTCAGGCAGGCGTTCCCAGAGGCCTTTGACGTACTGAGTCTCTCACACATCTTTGCCGGTTGAGATGTGTAACTGAAAAATCCCTGCCCAAAACAAGAGTGTTGGGGTCATGTGAAAGGATTCCTTTGTTCATACCCATGGGATCCACGATGTGGCCTCAAGTTACATATAAACCTTTGTGCTGGTAGAAGAATGATGATAGTTAATGCTCGCTGAGTACTTACAAGGATGGCAGTACTTTAATCTTTTCACGTTATGCGTGCCACTCGCATGACATGTACACACACCAGCTCATTTACTCTATGTATACTGCTTTGATTCTGAAATCTTGCTCAATACTGTAACACAAAATGCACCGAGGAGAGGTGCTAGAGAGTTAGGAACTGCATCTTCAAGTGGAAAAATACCAAAACTCCATAAAATATGTCAAAGAGGTTTATTCTGAGCCAACATGAGTGACCGCAGCCTGGGGAAAACACAAACCCAAGAAGCCCTGAGTGGGTGGTTTCGAGGCAGTCGGTATGCAACTCATACATTTCAGGGAGGCAGGAGGTACAGGCAAAGTCATGAATCAATACCTGGAGGTTATACTTTGGCTTGGCACAAAAAGGTGAGATATCTTGAAGTGGCGGCTTACAGATCATAGGCGGGATTAAAGATTCTTTGATGTGCAGTTGATTAAAAGAACAAAGCTTTCTCTGAAAACTCGGAGTCAGCAGAAAGGCATATTTAAGTTGAGATCAGGACTTCTGCTCATCATCATGGGGTACTACGCTGGAGCCAGGTTGCAAGTGCAAACCACAAGACACTGGAAGAAAATGACCTGTTTAGCAAGATTGACAGTCTGCAGAGATGACTCCTCCAGGCCCCTTAGGAAGGAATTTTGAATAAAGAGAAAAAGTTCAGGTCTCAGACTCCTAAGGCAGCATGTGGCTTTAGTCCCAGGGCCAAGAGCAAGGGTGGCCCTTGCTGATGCCTCCGAGGCCCTGTGTGCCCTCTGAGGCTGGTTGAGGGCAGCTTGAGAAGAGTCTGTGCTTTATCTGGATGATGAGGAAGCCTGGCAGCGTCCTCTTTTGGAAGATCCCCACAGAGGCCCTGCAGAGGTATAGTCAGGCCAGCATGCTGGAGAGCCAGGAGAAAAGCCAGCAGGCACTGAGCTAAGGCTGTGTAATAGGCTGGACAGGAGGGGAGAGATTTGGGAGAAATTTAAGAAGCAGGCTGGGCGCGGTGGCTCATGCCTGTAATCCCAGCACTTTGGGAGGCCCAGGAAGGCGGATCACAAAGTCAAGAGATCGAGACCATCCTGGTCAACATGGTGAAACCCTGTCTCTACTAAAAATACAAAAATTAGCTGGGCATGGTGGTGCGCGCCTGTAGTCCCAGTTACTTGGGAGGCTGAGGGAGGAAAATCGCTTGAATCTGGGAGGCGGAGGTTGTAGTAGCCGAGATTGCACCACTGCACTCCAGCCTGGTGACAGAATGAGACTCCGTCAAAAAAGAGAGAGAGAAAGAGAGAGAAAGAAAGAGAGAGAGGGAGGGAGGGAGGAAGGAAGGAAGAAAGGAAGGAAGGAAGGAGGAAAGGAAGAAAGAAATTTAAGAAGCAAAATTCGCAGGACTTGGTGATCTAGTGGGTGTAAACATTGCAAGGAAAAAGCCATTTAAGATGAATTCCAAGTGACCGGCTGAAATGTGCAACGGATATTCACTTTCTAAATAGAGTGCGCAGGAGGGGGTGTTTGGGTGGAGAAAATGGGGAGATGATTGGGTGCCTGTGAGCTGCAGTGTGGAGCACTCACGTGCCATAGAGATGCCGGGCAGGGTCGGGAGACTGGGCTCAGCAGCTCGGGGGTGCCGAGGTGGTAGCATCCAGGAGACCACCTGGGAGCGTGTGTCCAAGGGAAGTGGACTCCTTCCCCCCACCACACTCTTCTCTCTGCTGCAGGGACAGCCCCCAGAACAGTTCTTCTGTGGAAGGTTCTGAAAGACCCAAGACAGGTCAGTTCTCCATGGAACGTGGAAAAGGCTACTAAAAAGTACAGGCGCGTATTACTTAGAATCTGGTTTGGGGGACACGAAGCAGAAGGAAAAGCACGACATTGTAAAACAGATATGACTGTTGCGCCCATTGCTAAATTATACAGTGTGCCACAAGGGTCAAAAGGATGGTCCGTGAACACGCAGGCTCAGGGTCGGACTCCGATGGGGATGCATTTCCAGATACACGCCAGGTCAGTGCTGGGCATTCCTGCCACTCGGGTCCTCTCCCTAACGCCTCTACTGGTCCAACTGCCTTGTAATCACCGCTCTCCACTGGTTCTTTGACAAAGGGTTTTCAACCCCGATCTGCAGGGTTTAAAAGTGTTTTTAACCCCTACCTTGTTGCTGACCTAGGAAAAGGTTGCTGTCCCATTCTGTGCTAGTGATGCTAGCTGAGCACTTTTTTTACAGTGAAATTCTGGCCAGAGCCCAGTGGGACCCGTGACAGGCTGTTTCCGAGTCCTCCCAGGCTCTGCTGGAGGCTGCACACCTACGTTCGGTCTTGTGCCTTTGTCCCACATCGCCACGATGGGCCTCGAGCAGTCCCTGCTGCCCAGCGCTGTGGAACTCCCTGGGTGTGTGGGCACAGCATGGCTGCAGGGCTCACTGCCCTCAGCCGTTGGGACTGCCATCCTGGGTCGCCACTCTCTCCAGAGAGTGCCTACCATCCCCACGCTCCAGCCACGGTTACAGGGCAGAACTCCCTGTCTTCGTGGGCAAAGCATCCGTGGACTCACCGCTTTGTGCCATCGAATTGCAGCAGTGTGGCTGGAGCAGTTGGCGGCCCTGATGCCCAGCGCACAGAGAACGCATCCGGGATGCGCTCAAGGATGCTGCCAACAGGGTTCTCAGCCTGCCCGTGGAGCCTGTCTTCCTAACTTGGCACTCGTGCCATCGTTGGACCAAGATGTCATTGGGCACCGTCCCCTCCGGACAGATGCTTTCCAGCCCAGGCAGCCAGAAGGACACTAAGCTCGTGGCATTTGGGACGGCACTGATAGACATGGCATTAAAGCCGACTTTAACCTCTTCTTCTTCCTCTTTGTCACGGGGTAGAAAAGTGAGCCGCTCCAACACCCAGCTGCACCAATTTAAGGTCTTAACCATAGCCTCTAAAGGAGGTCTAAAGCCCTCCCAAATGTGGTTGCTGTAAAAATTGAGACCGTTTTCCACATGCTGCTCCTAAATCCTTTACCTCTTTCCACCTTTTCTCTCCCCATAGGCAAATGGCAACTATGGCCACAAGAGAAAGCCCAGCTCATTTAAGTAAAGTAATTGATTTTGACATCTGAAAACTAACAGCAGTTAGAAATTTTAGAATGAATCACTGAGTAGACCAAATGAATTTAAATCAATTATCTGAGGTTTAATGTTTAAAGGGGGTTTAATTTTATGTATCTAGTTGCACCTTGATTATTCAGTTTTGAAGTTCCATGCATCAAAGTTTTAATCTCAGAATGAACACTAGACTCCCTGGGCTTCCCCTGCAGACTGGTATGTGCTTAGGGAACGCAGGTGAGCCATGAGGCAGCCAGTCATGAAGTCAACCGAGGCTTCTCAGCTGCCATGCCAGCCGCTGTAGTAGTTCCCGAGCAGAGTTCACCCTCAGCGTCGTCACAGACAACTTTTGTGGAGAGCTCATGTGTGCTTGCCAGTTCTCTGTGCCTCTGTGGCTTTCTCACAACGGGCAACATTGGGTCTAAATCTTAACTTTCTTGCAAAGAAGTCACACTTCTCAAATACAGGCTGTGTTAAGCGAATGATCATTTGGGCAGCCATGTTTAATAGAAATGCTGTTGCTATCCCAGGCTCATTCTTGCTATCTTAAGATAGATTTGTTCATCATTAACAGCTGTTTCACCAATGGGTGTCTGTTTGCTGAATGACAAGTCCTGCAGTCTCATGACTTCATGCTGGATAACGCCAGGCGCAGGTGCATTTAGAAGGGTGAAGTGGCTCTTTCTGTAGGCCCAGGCCAGCTCTGGCCTTTCTCTTGTAGCCAATGAGCTGTGGTAGAGACACCTGTCCCCAGGAAGCAGCTCACTCCTGTCCTACAACCCTGAGGCGGGCAGGGCAGGCACTACCGCCCAGCTGTCCTAGTCCTGATGTGAGTCAGTGACCTAGAATCCGGAGCCTTCCCAACAGCCAGTGGAAACATCCTGTCACATGTGGTTTTTATTTCAGAACTCGGGCTTGTGGTGCTGCCCTGCACCCTGAGACACCCTTGCTGTGGTCGGATTCGTGGAAGCACACTGGCTTACCCAAGTACCTCAGTCGATTGCTCAGCAGCTCTTACTTGTGATCAGAGCTGATGGGGTGAGCAACTTATTCTTGGGGAGAATTAGCTCCTGGAAGGTCTGGCTTGGGGCTGGTGCCGCATCCCATGGCCTCAGCTTGAGGATGGAGGAAGGGGTCAGCTGGGGAGTGTGGAGGGATGGGGAGCTGTTCCCAAGCTTCACACCACTGCTCACCACTGGGCAATCCAGTGAGCTTCCATGGATCTGACCACACTTATGGGGTCTCAGGGCACAGGACTCTGCACCGAAAGCCCAAGGTTTGAAATGAAAATAACATGTCCTCCACTCCTCCAGGGGAATGTGTGTAGAACAACCTGGGACCAGCCAGAGAAACATGGTGGGCGGGTTCCTGGCTTGGTGCCCCTTTCCCACTCCTCTCCCAATAATCTGGTCCTGTGAGGATGCCCCACACTCCTGACCACCTCAGGCCTGCACCCTCGTCTGAGCTAACCCTCATCTGAGCTGTTGGGCCTTGCTGGAGAGATGGGGGCTGAGCAAGCACAGGCCTGCTGGGGCCTCTGGATCCTCTCACTGTGGTGATGGCCAGGCCACCTCCTGCAGGAACTGCTGGTGTCTCCTCCATGACCAGAGGCCACCACTGGGGATGCCCAGGCCTCCCTGTCACATCCTCCCCACTTCTGGTGCAAACTCTCTGAGAGACACATGCAGGACAGTGCTTGGACCCAGGCCCACACTAGCTTCCTACCAGTCACTGCACCCCAAATCAACTCATCCACTCAGCCACAGGTGGGGCAACTGCACCCCAGCCCAGGGGGGTTCCTGACGGGGAGAGTGAGTGCATGTGTGTGAAGAGTGGCAGGTCCTGCAGACCGAGAGAGTCTAGAACATCCTCTTGCGGGAGGAATGGCCTAGAGTCAGGGGAGGTGACAGCATTCCCCTGGTACCTCCTCAAGCCATCATGTCTGCCTTACAAGCTCTGGAGGGTTGAATACTCCTCATGCCCCATGCGCAGGATCATGCAGAAGCTCAGAATGTGCCCTTATTTGGAAATAGGGTCTTATACATGTGCTTAGCTAAGGATCTTGAGATGAAACCATCTTAGATGTAGGGCGGACCCTAGTCTAATGGCTGGTGTTCCCATAAGAAGAGGGGATGACACCACAGGAGGAGGCCATGAAGTCAGAGGCTGAGATTGAAGGGACACAGCCACAGGCCACAGAACTCCTGGGGACACCAGACCCCAGCAGAGGCCAGGAAGGACCATCCCTGGAGCCCGTGGAGGGAGTGCAGCCATGCAATGCCTTCACACAGACTCTGATGTTCAGAATCCTGAGGAAAAAACTGCTTTGTTACAGCAGCTCTGGGACGGTAAAAGACAAGCCAAGGCAGAAACAAGGGGGAAGAGATAGAAACAGAGAGAGAAAGAAAGGAGAGAGAAATGAAGAGAGAAGAGAGAGAGAGAAACAGAGAGAGAGAGGAGAGGGAGGAGAGAGGGTGGGAGAGGGAGGCACAGAGAGAGATACAGAGACAGACACAGAGAAAGAGAGGAGAGAGACAGAGAGAGAGGAGAGGGAGGAGAGAGTAACAGAGAAGAGAGAGAGAGGAAATAGAGAGAGAGAAAGAGAGAGAAGAAAGGATGGGAGAGGAGAGAGGGAAGAGGAGGAGGGAGTCCTCTCTCCCGGCAGTGTGTGTACAGGGCAGGGGGCGGCTGGAATCAGGAGGTGCTCGTGCTCCCTGCTCGTACCTCCATGAGCCAGGGTCCTCACTAAGGTATCTGCATGGGACACGGTGCTGCCTAATCGCGTCCAACAATCTGTTCCATGAAACTGCTTTGCCTCTGAATAGCGAGTCACAATATTGAGTCACAATTTGTATTAAAGTTGTGATATTTGATTTCACAATATTTGAAAGTCTATAAACTCCTCCTTAGAGTTGATTGAGGTTTTCCCCACCGTAAGCCTCTAGCTCCAATGCTGTGCTCATCACATCCTAGAAGTGACTTTATAGGTGGGAAAAGAAAAGAGAAAAACTGGGAAGAATGGCTTTTTCTGGAAGCAGTCCCCGAGCCTGTGCAACCTCCTGTTGCCCTGAGCCAGGAGGAGGCGGGCTCCACCACGTGGGGCGACGTGGACAAGGACTCCTGCTACTGCCAGAGGAGCCCATGAGAGAGGAGCAGCTCTCAGGGTCCAAGGATGGGTTGCAGGGTGTTTAAAGTAATTTTTAAACTGTTGGTTTTATTAATATCAAGTGGCATTTTAATATGACTGAAACCGTTAGTGAAAAGGTACCATGCTTATAATTGATCACAAAATCCCTTGTGTGGGCTATCTCATGCCTTAATTCTTCTCCTGGACAAGCTTGTCGTGGTCTATTCCTCTTTGTCTCTCCCACTTAACTTCAACAAAGGAACCGGAGGTGATCCTTTCCCCTGGAAGTCCTCTCTGTACGCCCAACTCCTGGCTAGACTCAGACGTGGAGTGGAAAAAATATCTGTTAAATTGGATGGAATAAACATCAAAAATCAGACATAAGTCATAATTAAAAAAAACAATATAATACCAGGTGTGGTAGCTCATGCCTATAATCCTAGCACTTTGGGAGGCTGAGGCGGGAGGATCACTAGAGCTCAGGAGTTGGAGGCTGTAGTGAGCTATGATCGTGGCACCGCACTCCAGCCTGGACAACAGAGTGAGATCTCACCTCAAAAAATTAATTAATCAATTAATTAAATTAAAAATAATCTAGTAAAACAATGAGGAATCAATTGCAGAATGTAAAAGGATTATGGTAAAAATTATTAAGAGACTAAGTGGTTCTAAGCATACATGTAAAAATAGACTCCATAAAGGACCAAAGAGACATTAAAGGAAAATTTTAATTGCCTAAATTATATTTATAAACAAACACACTGGAGGAGTAATGACAGATGACAGTATAATAACACATGAAGAATGCTTATGGAGCAACAAAAGACAAATATACTGTAGGAAAATGAGCAAAGGACAGGAACAGATAATACACAAAAAGCATAGAAAATAAATATCCTATAAGCCTATGGAAAACATTTTTTCTCACAAATAATCAAACAAATGAAAATAGTATATCTTCCCCAAATGAGGTACCAAATATCAGACAATTCTCACATGTTGTTGGTGAGAGTACGATTCATGTCCAGGGAATGTGCAACTCACAAGACCTTCTGGAGAACAGTTTGTCAGTATCTCTAAAGTCTGGCTCATGACATCTACTTCTAGGAACTTATCCTAAGGAGTTACATAGATGTTTACACAGATTTGTCTATTGTTATCTCAATAAGATTTTTTAAGTCTGTGAGAAGTTGAAAACAACCTATATATTCACTCATAAAATACATAAAACATAAACGATGGTACCTCCATAAGATGAAGACTGTAACAATTTTAGAAAATCTATATTTTAATCCTTATAAACAGATATTTATTTGTATGGGAAATATTAATAATATGAGTAATAAAAGGCAGATTACAAAACTGTATATAGCATGATTCTATGTTTATGTAGAAATTCTGTACACCTATGCAAAGTATTAACGACCATCTTATCTGTGTAGATAGGGTTATGAATGCTTTTATTTTCTACTTGGGCTTCACTGTATTTTTCACTTTTTAACTTATAAATGGACAAAGACTATTACTTATAAATAGTTCAGAACTATTATTAAAAATTAAGCTGTGATAGTGTAGTGGTAAATGAAATAGTAAATACAGTTACTATATTTTAATGATATTTAGGGAGGTGACTGAACTAATATTGAAAATGTCCAAAAACACTTTTGTTGACACACTAGTGAGCACATATTTTTTGCAAAGCAGCTTCATAGGGTACGCTGTGGTCAGATTCGACTCCCACATTCCCCAGAATGAACAGTGGCCTGGCTTGAACACTCCCCCTGCCATTCTTTCACCTCTCCGCAGAAGACACGCTTATCAGGTGATTTAGAGCTCTGCCAATTTGGGTGATTTTGAACAAAGATTATTCTCTTTGCTTACGTTATTCAGATGATTGATTAACTTCAAATTCTAACATAATTATCTCTCGACTACTTAATTTTCTAGAATAGGGTCTCTCGACGGATGACCTTTCAGCTGGAGAATTCTGTCGTGGGGCCGTCCTGTGCCCTGGCGGGCACTCAGCAGCCTCCCTGGCGTCTATTCGATGTCAGGAGCCCCTCCGCCCTCATTGTGGCAACCAAAGATGCCTGCAGACATTGCCAAAGGTGTCCGGAGGGGAAAATCACACCCAGTTAAGAACCACTGCTCTAAAAGAAGCATTGTTTTTTGCAATTAGAGAAACAGACTTGTCCATTTCTTTACCTAATTTGCACTCCATTTTCAAAATTGCTCCTAATTTTGTAATACTTTTATGTTTAGGCATTTAATACCTGAAGCATTACATCAGTAGAATCAGATGGAGAGCTCCATGACCTCTTTGACAGAGTATTATTAAGAAATAAGTTTCAGCCTGCAATTATAAAATGGGGTAAAATTATTCACTTATGGTATTCAAAATGCAATTTTTTTTTGGTAAAAAGTATTCCAGCTAAATTTTAAAATGGTGACCTGGGTTTTTTTTTGTTTTGTTCTTTTTTTTGTTGTTTGTTTTTTGAGACGGAGTCTCGCTCTGTCACCCAGGCTGGAATGTGGCGGCACAATCTTGGCTCACTGCAAGCCCTGCCTCCCAGGTTCAAGGTATTCTCCTGCCTCAGCCTCCCAAGTAGCTGGGACTTCAGGCATGTGCCACCATACTAGGCTAATTTTTTTTTTTTTTTTTTTAGTAGCGATGGGGTTGCACTATGTTGGCCAGGCTGGTATTGAACTCCTGAGCTCAGGTGGACAACTTGGGTTTTCATACAGCCCAGAGGAACATCTCCTACTCTTGGTCTGAACTTGAACTGCAGCTGAAAGAATGGTTAAAAGAAGAATCTGAGAGTTGAGTAGTGAGGATCCGATGGGCAGCTAAGGACATTTCTGCTGGTGAGCACGAAAGTGCCCAAGGCAGGAGTCAGATAAACATCCTTAAGAGATACCAGATTATTCTTTTCTGTAAAGGTAACCCGCCCTGGTTTTTTTCCTGTCCACCCAATAAATTTGCAGCAGTCAGTGCACATGGAAAGGCCCTGCTGCAGCCTTGGTTCCCGCCTGGGAACACGCTCCTTTGCGGTGTCATGGTTTACTCTGGGTTTTGCTTTAATCGTTATCTTAGTCTATTTGTGTCTCTCTCTGACTTGTAGGTTTTAACATGTGCTGACTTAAAGGAAGACAACAGGCTGTAGACAAGGGGTTGCAGCTCCAGTGCTCTAAGGTCCAGTGAGGTGGGGAAGTGGGGGGAGTGGCCCAGGCGATTGGGAGGGTGGGGACTCATGGGGGCAGCTCTGGGGACAGTGGAATTCATGCACAAGTGCACATCCCATATGGACAGATGGCCCTATTTTTAAAGACAAGTCAGAAATTCATATTTTATGTGAACTTTTCCTATTTTTAAATGTGCCTAACCAATTTAAAAGAGATTTAAACCATTTTGCAGCTCAAACACATTTCTGCAAGCCAGGCACAGCCCCCACACCGGGTCGGAGGACCATCTGTTCATTAGGAAACCTGTGTGGAACCTGTTTCCACACCTGGTAATAACCCTTCAGATGAAAACACTTTGCATTTAGATGTGGTAAGCATCTTGCCAAACCCCACTTCTGAAAATTCTGTAAACTCTTCCCACCTGCCTAAAGATGCCCTGGTGTGGCGCTCACCAGCCTGTCTGGCAGATGAGATAATTAACTCGAGGAAGCCTCTGCATGCAGGTCTCCTGGGCTGAAAGAGCACTGTGGATGGAACGCATGGCCCCTCCCTGCACACATGAAAAGGTAAGCTTGCAGCTCCTGGGAAGCAGGTGGGCCTGGGCCTCATCTCAGCCTCAGGCGGTCCAGCTGGCTCTACTGGACATTGAAATCCCAGGGGCTCTGGGACTGGAGGGATCAGGGCAGATTTTCTGCAGGTGCATGCCAGCGTTCTCTATCTTCGTGTGATAGGAAATGGAAGGAGAAATGGAGGGCGGTTCTAACAACAGGCAGGAAGCCAAGGAAATGCTGCAGCTCAGATGGGATTTTTGCACGTCTCACTCCTCTCTTTACCTCTTTGCATTCGGAATTCCCAGAGACACTTGGCAAGGAAAACGGCACTTTTCAGCTAGCATTGATATCACTGTTGGGTGATTATTGATATTCATATGCAAACCTGGAGATCTTTAGAGAAGGAAACGAGTACATAAAATAATCCACAACTTGGAGCTCAGATGCAGATCAGCGCCAGACCTTGGCTGAGATGCACGGAACCGCATTTAGGTCGTGTTGGTGGTGAAGTGCCTCCATCTCCCGGCAAAACGCGGCTTCACTCTTCACGCTGAGAATTTTTGACTGAAATGTGTGGTCTTAACCAATTCTATTCAGTTTCATTTAACTTACTTTTGTCCATAAATGGGGTAGAAAAGCTCCCCCAAAAATGAATTTATAAAAGCTTCTGAGTATCTGACCTATTACATTTAGAAATAGAGTCACATTCGAAGACACTAAGGACTAAGGACTTCCACACATGAATTGGAGGGAATGCAATTCAACCCATAACAACGGTATAATTATTATTGGCATAGAAGAGAAACCTAATCCTTGCCCCATTGATCAGTCGCTCCAAAAAATTTTTGGAGCAGTGACAATTTGTCATTATTTATTTTTTATTTCCTAGCAACACTTCACAAAACACACCTGCAGGGCAGTTTGACCTATCAATAAAACTAATTGAAATTATCTGTGTCTTAGAAAATTTGCAGTGCTTATTTGAGATGACTTGGAGACAGGAACCACTCCAGCTCACCATGGAAATCCTACTGGATATCACTGGCCTGGAAACAGCTTAATGTTTCTGAGCAAGAAAACGGACGTGAACATTAGGTTTACACAGATTCCTTGAGGCTCCACCTTTGGAGAGGCTTGCATCTATCTAGGTCTAGAGAGAATTAAAATAGAAATGAGC
Organism: Homo sapiens; assembly: GCF_000001405.40. Lineage (NCBI taxonomy): Eukaryota > Metazoa > Chordata > Mammalia > Primates > Hominidae > Homo > Homo sapiens. Next base: position 111,038,878 of record NC_000013.11, read on the forward strand.
TGAGACAGCCACGGGGCCCCTGTGATCTGGACAGCGCTGTGACTCCCATGTAGACAGCCCTAGGCAACCGTGTCCATACAGAGGAGAGACCCAAGGCTTGGGTCATCCATGAGTGATTGGCACTTCTGGTTTGGACCAAAAGCTGTAAGCACTGCTGCATCTAGGAGATATTCAGGCTGAGGTCTGACCTCCTGGGGCTCTCCCTGCACCCACGGCTGTCTGGTTGCACACTCTACAGATTCAGGGATTTGACGTCCAGAAATGAAGGTGCAGGACAGTGGTGGAGAATGTGGGCTGACTTCCCACATCCGTTTACCCACAGGGAGCCACATAAGCCAGTAGTTTTGGGCCCTGTGTGTGCGTGTGTGTGTGTTTGAGAACTTATGTATTCCTATGATCTTTTGTTTCAAGATAACCAAAGAAAAATGATTCCTTACCTGTTTCTTGTCACCAGCCTGTGGACAATCCATGACATTTTACCCTAGGTAGTTCCTTCTTTGCTAATTCTCCCTATCTTCCTAGAAAGGATAGTTCATTCACTCATTTGTCAAGTATTTATTGAGGTTTTCTGTATGCAAAGCATTATGACAGAAACTATGGATGTGAAAAGGGTGATTAAGTCATAGACCCTGCTTTTAATTAATCGATAATCTCCTAAAGGAAGTTACCCAAAAGACTATGAATACAAGCAAAAATTTACACCAAAAAAGGTGTGTTCTGCAGTTGCGTAAGATTCTATAAATATCAGTTAGATTGAGGTAGCCGATAGCGTTGTCCGGATTTTCCACGTCCTCACTGACTGTTCACCTAGTTGATCTACCAATTACTGTGAAAGAGACGTGAAAATCTCCAACTATAAATGTGAGTTCTTCTATTTCTTCCTTTAATTTTTTTAATGTTTGCTTCATGTATGTGGAAACTCTTCTTAAGCATCCGCACATTTATGACGGTCATGTCTTCTTGATAAGTGACTTTCACTGCTACGAAACATCTCTCTCTACGTCTGACAGTACTCATTGTCTTGTGGTCTATTATCTGAGCCACTGCAGATTTCTACCACCATCTGCAGGGTAGAGCTTTTAATGTCTTGTTACTACCAACCTAGTCATGTTTCTATACCTACAATGCATATATTGCAGACAGTGTGGACTTAGACTGGGCACTGGAAGCACCACTATGGGAATTTGGAAAATTGAAATTAGAGACCCTTTGATGAAAAGGCAGCATTTAAAGTCATTGGGATAGATGGGCTCGTGGCAGGTTGGAGAGTGCAGAAAGAAAAGTATTACAGGAAGGACCCTGGGGAGGTCCCAACATGTAAGAGATGGACGAATGCAGGGAATGCCACTGAAATCAGGGAGGCAAGAACATCAAGAAGAAAGAAGCGACTGATGGTGTAAAATACGTACAAGAGTTTCGGTAGAATGAGGACTTGGGAGAAAGTCAGTTTTGACACAGCTCATTGTTCCTAATCTATCATCTGAGCCACTCCGGATTTCTGATAGCATCCATATGGTCTATTTTTTAATATCTTTTAATTGTTCTACTAAGCTCTTTTTGCATTTTTTCCTGATTGCTATAAAGTTAGCAACATCAGTTTGTAATTTCCCACTGTCTACTTAGTTATTGTCGTGCCACTTTATGTAAAACATAAAACAACTTTACCATCACATATTTTTACTTATTTCTGGCAGTCATCCTATGGCCATGAGATAAATCAACCTTGGATGACATTAACCTTACAAGCAGAGGGAGAAATAGGTCTATCGGGGTCTACAGTAACCTAATGGAATGCTGAACCAACCCGAACTAAGTCTAGGCTTTTTTTTTTTTTAGACAGGGTCTCTCTCTGGGACTACAGGCGCGTGCCACTACACCCCGCTAATTTTTGTATTTTTTGTAGAGACGGGGTTTCACCATGTTGCCGAGGCTGATCTCAAACTCCTGGGCTCTAGCAATCTGCCCACCTTGGCCACCCAAAGTGCTGGGATTACAGGCGTGAGCTACCCCATCCAGCCAGTTTAGACTTCTTGTTGGTAAGATAATGAATATCTTATTGCTTAAACCACTTATAGTCAGGGTTTTTCACGATTTGCAGCCAACCTGCTGTAACTGACAGAAGCAGCCTCTTCTTCACTGCGGAGTCACTCAGTACTGAGAATACTAGACGTGCTGACTCAGACAGAGCAGAGTGAGGGGAGGGGCACATCTCAGGGAAAGCCTTGGGAAGGCAGACCACCGTGCTCAACGTGACCCCTCTTCTGCCTGGGACTCTTAGCACTTTGCACATAACGTTTAAGCATAACAGTATTTTTTCAGAGTATAAGATGCTCTTTTTCACCCTTTTTGCTCTAAATAGTTCAAGAGAAAATAGGCATACTTTTGCCCTGTAACACTTTGCTTCACATGATTTTGGAAGACAGCAGGGTACAAACAAGACTTGTCCTATTTAGTCTTTGTCCTAAAAGCCACAGGTGGGCCGGGCACGGTGGCTCATGCTTGTAACCCCAGCACTTTGGGAGGCCAAGGCGGGCAGATCACTTGAGTCCAGGAGTTCGAGACCAGCCTGGCCAACATGGCGAAACCCTGTCTCTACTAAAAAATACAAAAATTAGCCAGGTGTGGTGGTGGGTGCCTGTAATCCCAGCTACTTGGGAGGCTGAGGTAAGAGAATTGCTTGAACCTGGGAGGCAGAGGTTGCAGTGAGCCAAGATTGCATCACTGCACTCCAGCCTGGGCGACAGAGGGAGACTCCATCTAAGAAAAAAAAAAAAAAGCCACAGGTGAATGACTTTGACTTATTTGTCCTGTTGCTGAGCTCATCTGTTGTCTTGTCTGTGAGCATGCGGTCTGTAAGGTAAGTAAATACACCATCTTGTCTTATGTCTCACAACCCTTTACCAGCCTACGTTAAAAGAAAGGCATACTCCCTCCTCTTCCTCACTTCTCAGTCATGTCTCAACTCCGAGAAGTGTGACTTCTGATGCATCATGGAATGGAAACCACACTCTTTAAGAGCACTAATCACTTCTCAATTCACCAATCCAATTGGCTTCTCTTTCGAGTCCTTGTTCTGCTTAAACTCTTCTCCATATTTTACACCATCAGCCTCTCCTTTCTTCTCGATGTTCTCTCCTCCCTGATTTCCATGACATTCCCTGCGTTCGCCCATCTCTTACATGTTGGACCTCCCCTGGGTCCTTCCTATAATACTTTTCCTTCTGCACTCTCCACATCCCATAAGCCCATCTATCCCAATGACTTGAAATATGAATACCACCTTTTCATCAATGGGTCTCTCATTTCAATTTTCCAAATTCCCATCGTGGCGTTTCCAACTCCCAATCAAACATCTTCGTTTGTTTACCCTGAGAGACTTCAAGCATAATATGTCCCAAGCTGAATGTTTGTTTGGGGACACATTATCTATTCCCTCTCCTGCTCTCCTTCCCAAATCTGTTTTTCCTCCCCAGTTCCCTCTCCTCTTACCTACTTGTCCAAACTCGAAATTCATAACTATAAATGTCTACTCTCTTTATTCCCCAAATCCACCTGCTCACTGAGGCCTTTTGATTCTGTTTATGATATTGTCCCACACTTTGCATCATTGGTCATGGGGCACACGGGGACCTGGGCTGGGCTTGAGGAGAGGAGGGTTAAGCCCTGGGGGTTGGGGCAGTGGCACACTTGCCTCTCTCCACAGTGGCCAGGAGACTTGGTCCCCAGGATGAGAAGGAACCATGTCTGTGCCCAATCCAGGTGGAATATGTCATCTGAGGCTGCCTTTCCACCCAGAGGGTCAGAAGTGGCCTGGGGCTCTGTCACCCGAGGGTGTGGTTGAACACTGAACATCCGGGGGATCAGTCCCTGTTTGCCTGGACACCTGAAGTGGCTGAATCCATTCAGAGTCCAGGTCCACAGGGGAAGTGAGGCTGCGGCTGGGACCCATCCAGCCTGGCGTTAGGCACTCAGCAAACTAGAGGAGGGGCTGGCACTAGCAGGGTTCATCAGGCTTTAGCATCAGTGCCTTTTCCTTTAAAGAAAGGTCACGTGGAACTCACCCTCAGCAGATAAGACAGGCCCCGAGGATGAAATGGGTGTAGAGCTCATGCCCCCTTGGCAATCTGACGCACCCTGACACAGAACAGGCGGTCGGTGAGTGCATGCTAAAGGCCATGACTGAGGGTGGTGTCCTACGCTGCCAATGTGCCTGCAGCCAAACAGTCCCTCCTCTAGTTTCCAGAACTTTCCAGTAAAATATACATGGGCCTCCAAGGAGGCACAGTGGTGAAAATGTTCTCTTACATGACTGCACAGTCAGCAGTGTTCGTGACTGTATACATCTGTTGAAACTCATCAATTTATGTTCTTAAAGTTGGTATGTGTATGTAAATGATATGTCAGTCAAATTGATCCCCCCCAGAATAAAAGAGCCTGGTGTTTATGACATTTGGAAGCTGAAAAGAAGTAAACATTTTAATACTTTTAATTAGCAACAGTAAAAACACGGGAAAAAAAGTCTTAATGGCTGTAAACAAATATGACTGAGTTGTCATGAAGTGTGGGATTCACACCCTATCTCCCTTCCTTCTGCTCCACGTTCAAATGACAGTATTGAACATATTGAAAGTATTGTCACCTAAATCTTGACCAAGTCCGCCCCCTTTGGCATCTCCGCTGTGGCTTCCCTGTGAGGACACAACCCCCTGCGTGGCCTCCCTTGGTCCCTCTCTGTTGCGCTGCTCTCCAGCGCACTGTCCCACGCCCTGAGTGTGTAGCGTCTGGAGGACGCGTGTGTCCCTGGGGTTTCTGTGCTCGTCATGGATGACAGCACAGAGTCCATGTCACGTGAAGACCCATGTTCAGCCTCTTCCTGCCCTCCAGGCCCATCCTCTGCACACACCCTCCCCTGGGGAAGGCCCTGAGGCTCTGGGGCCAGATGGCTGGGCAGTGAATCATCTTGTGGCCTCAATATCTCGTCTGCAAAACGGGTACCATGGTGATAAGTGACAGCAGCAACAACAACAACAAGAAAAACACACCAGGGTTTCAGGAGGGCCACGTGAATTAATATGAGCATGTTCAATTTACAGTAGTGCCTGCATCTTCTATGAGCTCAATATTGTGGGCCAGTGTTGTTTCTCATGATTTCTTGCCTCACAGCTTAAACTTCAGCAATTATAGAAATACTTGTTTGCTCCAGCACACACATACAAACACACATACACACCATGCACACACACACCACACACACACCATACACACATACACACCATGCATGTGGACACGCACACACATGCACATACACATACATGTGCACACACATATGTCACATATACACACATACACAGCACGCAGACGCACACACACCATACACATACACACACATATACATGGCATGCACATAGACACACATGCACATACACCATATACTCGTGTACACATGCAATACATATACACACATACGCAGCACGCACGTGCACACACACCACACACATACACACACATACACATCATGCGCATAGACACACACACATACACCACGTACACATGTACACACACACTACATATACACACATACGCAGCACACACACACACACACCATGAACATACACACACATATACACATCATGTGCATAGACACACACGCACATACACCACATACACGTGTACACATGCACCACATATACACACATATGCAGCATGCACACACACATACCCCCAGCCTCACCTCTGCTCCTCTGTCCCCTGGCCAGATACTGCCCTCTTGGCTGCCTGAGTCCTGGGTGCTCACAGCTCAGGACTCCTTCACAAGATGCTCCTCTGCCTCTCTCCGAGCTGAGTTAGGGACCCCTCTGTGCTCCGGGAATAAAGTGGGTCTGCTCTGCGTGGCCCCCGCACACTGGATAAAATGATGCGTGTTGACGGAATCCTGGCACTTGGAGGGGGGCGTGCATGCAGGTCCTGGAGAGGCAGGGGCACAGTCTGCGTCCTCGGCAGGGGGCCCCTCTATGAACAAACGTGGGCTCTGTTACACTCCCGGGGCCCCCTCTATGAACAAACGTGGGCTCTGTTACACTCCCGGGGCCCCCTCTATGAACAAACGTGGGCTCTGTTACACTCCCGGGGCCCCCTCTATGAACAAACGTGGGCTCTGTTACACTCCCGGGGCCCCCTCTATGAACAAACGTGGGCTCTGTTACACTCCCGGGGCCCCCTCTATGAACAAACGTGGGCTCTGTTACACTCCCGGGGCCCCCACTATGAACAAACGTGGGCTCTGTTACACTCCCGGGGCCCCCTCTATGAACAAACGTGGGCTCTGTTACACTCCCGGGGCCCCCTCTATGAACAAACGTGGGTTCTGTTACACTCCCGGGGTGCCCCAGCACTCCCTGCATCTACATCTGCAGCCAGGCCAACCCCAGTAGGGCCTGCGAGGAGGGGCCATGCCAAAGGGACCATGTGACTCTTCCCATCTGCACGACGGGAGTGGGGAATCTTCATGGGGGTGGACAGTGAGGGCATGGGGTGATGGTGGGTGATGCTGAGCCAGGCTGAACCCATGGGTGTGTGTTCACTATGTGGGGATTGCAGAATCCGTGTTCTAGTTTAAGGCAGAAAGGGCTCTGGGGCTTGCTGGCTAAAACATGGGCCTAGGGGTGCCCCGTCCTAAATGAAGTCAGTGTGTAACCTGTCTTGGGATGCTGTGGAAGAAACTGCAGCTCACAGCAGTGAGGGGAGAGGATGCTGTGAAAGAAGCTGCAGCTCACAGCAGCAAGGGGAGAGTGGACCAGCAGAGAGGATTGCCATGCAAGACTTGCTTATCCTGGGAGAGTCTGGAAACCCTACCTGACTGTGATAGCAAACCTGGGAGGGGATCTACACCCTTGCAGAGCTCTTCTCTGCAGCCCAGACCTCACAGTCAGAGCCACAGCCACCGCCGGAAAGCTAAGGGCAGCGAGAACCATCAGAACATGGTTTCAAGGTGGGGTGGTGCCCACAGGCACAGCAGAGGCCAAGCAGCAGCCAGGGGAGGATGGCTCCCAGGGCCCCGTGGCCTTGGCTGGTGATGGTGGTGTTCCTAGAAGGGAAACGGAGGGAAGCCTACTCAATTCCTTCTTGATCTACATAAACAGAGAAGTTCTAGGCCAAGTGAATGAAAGCCTACTCTGAATCATAAAAGCAGAGTGTTGCTGCCCCTAAAACAATTCCCAAACAGACTTGAGCCAGCTGACAGATCCAGAGCCCTCAAAGAAGAAGCCCAAGGAAGGACCCCACTCTCTTCCCAGAGTTTGTATTGTTACTCTTTCTCCCAGACCCCCCAAAAGGGACAGCCTTTCACCCACGTCACTGTGCACGGGAAAGGAAATAATCAGAACTTTCCAGGGCTATTGGACTCTGGTTCTTAACTGACTCTGATTCCAGAAGGACCAAAATGTCTGTGGCCCCCAATCAGAGTAGGGGCTTATGGAGGTCAGGTGGTCACTGAAGCCTTAGCTCCAGTCTGTCTCCCAGCGGGCCCAGTAGATCCCCATCTTGTGGCTCCTTCCCCAGGTCTGGGGAGCATAAGTGAAACAGACACACTCAGCAGCCAACAGAACCCCCTCCTACCCCTGGCTGTTCCCAGCATAACGTAGTACACAAACTATGCTCTCAGAAGCACTGTGGAATAGAAGAGCCATCTAAAGAGTAATGATATTATTGAACACGGTGCGAGCACCAGGGGTCCGCTCACTGGGTTTGTGTTTGCAGCTGGTGGTGTGGTTCTGACTACCGGCCATGGCTCTGGCCCATCCTGCTGTCCTGCTCTTGCTCAACGGGACCACGTGCAACAGGGGCACCTCCTGGGCCTCTGCAGACTTGGTTCTGGTGGGACAGCTGTCCCATCATAAGCTGCAGCTGTCGCAGCTGCTCTCACTCCCACATCCCTGGCACATGACCCTTCCATTCATGTTTTAGGATTCTTCACTAAGACCCCAAACAGCCCCCGGTTAACTTAGGTCACCTTGGAACACTTGGTGCACTTTCTTCCTCAAGTATGTGTTGAGAGAAGATTCAGAGACATGACTTCATTGGTGCTTCCGTTTTCTCTATTTACTGGGTCTCTTTGTTTTGATGTGGGGGTGTCACCCCATATTTTTAGAACGAAGTCCACATGACAATGACTCACCCCTTTTAAGCTCCCCTTGTGGCAGCACAGGGCTCAGCCATCTTTTACTTCATCTCACTGCCTTAAGAGTAAGCAGAAATTTGAAACTGAAAGATGTTGATTATAACAGTTTATTTGCTATTTCCTTCTTGCTCCATAAAATGGAAACCACTGCATTGAATCTCTTTACTTGTCCAGTCACCTGTATTTATGCAACTGCATTTCATATCAAATATGAAATAAATGATCCAAGATGCCCCTAGATGATTCTACAGTCAAATTCAGAAATTATCTTGCTAACTCTTGCATTAAAATAAACTGAAGACCAGGAAGTAGTGAATTGCCTCAGATTACATAAAATATGACATAATATTATTAATTTTTAAGACACTTAATTTACACGAGAAATAAGAAAAGAAAAGTGAGAACTGAAAAGGGAAGTGCAAGGCACAATGGGAGTAAAACATGGGCTGGTGAGGGCACAGCCAGGCCACCTCGCCCACCCTCTAGTCCACAGCCCCGCAGGCTGGGCCACCTCGCCCACTGTCTTGTCCACAGCTCTGGCTCTGCACTCAGCATGCAGTAGGTCCTCAATCAGGACTCGTTAAATGATCACTAAGTAAACAGACAACAGAACACAAGCCCAGTCACCACTTTGGTTGCTTTTGTTCATGAATTGACTGTACATGAAATAGAAAATAATATCTATTATCTATGTACAGGAAAATACCAATTCATTGTCAAAATCTGGTTGTAAACATAGAAATGAGGTAAGAAAATGCAAAGTATGGCATGATGAATCTAAGCTCTGTGTCTATATCTTCTCTACTTTGTTATTTAAAATATGAGTTTCACCATTTTGGGAGGCTGAGGTGGGCAGATCACCTGAGGTTGGGAGTTCAAGACCAGCCTGACCAACATGGAGAAACCCCGTCTCTACTAAAAATACAAAAAAATTAGCCGGGCGTGGTGGCAAGCACCTGTAATCCCAGCTATTCAGGAGGCCGAGGCAGGAGAATCGCTTGAACCTGGGAAGCAGAGGTTGCAGTGAGCCGAGATCGCGCCATTGCACCCCAGCCTGGGCAACAAGAGCAAAATTCCATCTCAAAAAAAAAAAAGTTTCTGAAAAGTCTTCAGCTTTCCCTCTTTCTTAGGAATAGGATTTGTGTTTCACAATATGTACAGTTAGGGAGACCCAGGTAAACATGCTGATGCTGGAACAAGAACGAGCCTCAGAAAAGTGGAGTCCTGTGGTTCTCTGTCTTCATCAGAAAAAGAGGACAGTGTATTTATTTTTTAAATCAATAAGTTCCTAATAAAATTGAGAGGACTGAGGGTCTTTTTCTTTCCCTTTAGATAAAATTAATTTTAAGGTTCTTTCTAGAATGGCAAAGTCATTGTAGGGGAACAGACTGGCTCCCACGTGAGTCAGGGAGGACAGTAGACAAGGGACCAGGCAGTGCCCTGGGGCAGGTCGGGATGCAGAGAGTCACTCCCTGAAAACCTGGAAAGAGGATCTAGGGCAGAGCTCCTGTGGGCTACCTCTGGTACCGTGGGCTAGCTCTGGCCCCGTGGGCTAGCTCTGGCACCTTGCTACCTCAGCTTGCTCCACGCACACACTCTCAAACAGCAGAAGGCACAGCTAGCCAGGTGGGAGAGATGGCGTGTTTGTGGAAGGCGTCCACATGAAGAGTGGTAGTGATAAGTCGACATGCAGCAATGTCCAGTCCATAAAAAGGATATGCATGTCCATCAGTGAGCACATCCTTGTCAAAACATTTTCAGCAGAAGTAGAAATGATGTAGGTGTAGGGACATACTCCACAATATCAGCTCCTAGAAGCATCATGGAGAAATTTCATTAAATACCACCTACAGAAATATGATGGAAAACAGCTATGGGTCTTTGTAAGCAAATTGACCAGCCCCATGTAAACTTAAGCCTAAGTATTCCAGGGAAGGCAACTGCAGAAAATCCTTTCAAAAGAAAGAAGGCTTCACTGCACAGCCCTGGAGTTTGTCTACCCTGTTCGCCTCCCTCTTGGGGAACTCTCACCAGTGAGGGCCCTGCTGCATGTGGAGGACTTGGGACTTCAACGGCCTCGTTCCTTGAGCTCTGTTCTCTTCTCACATTTCCCATTCCACTTGGTCTCTGTGAGTGGGTTTTTTTGTTTTTTTGTTTTTTTTTCAGATGGAGTCTCGCTCTGTTGGCCATGCTGGAGTGTAGTGGCATGATCTTGGCTCACTGAAACCACCACCTCCCAGGTTCAAGTGATTCTACTGCTCAGCCTCCTGAGAAGCTAGGACTACAGGCGTGCACCACCAAGTCCGGCTAATTTTTGTATTTTTAGTAGAGATGGGGTTTCGCCATGTTGGCCAGGCTGGTCTTGAACTCCTGACCTCAAGTGATCCGCCTGCCTCAGCCTCCCAAAGTGCTGGGATTACAGGCGTGAGCCACCGCGCCTGGCCCTCTGTGAGTGGTTTCACCCACACGTGGCCTGAAGGGTCATCTCTCTGCAACTGACTCCCAGCCCCATGTCACCCCGGGGACAATGCAGCAGCATCCCGGTATTTGCAAGTTTCATGTGTATAGAACAATGCGGTCCCGTCCAGTCACAGTCAGGTTCAGCTGGCCTCAGTGCTGTGACGTGGGCTTCCACAGCAAAAGGGTCCATGTGGAATTACTGGGTGCCAGGCTAGCCATGGGCAAGGATGACAGAGTGTTTGGGGCCAGTCACCATACACATTTCTAAGGCAGGGCTGCATTAGACTTCTCACCAATTTTGAGAAAATTGGCAATTTTAAGCACAGCTCTATGGAACAAATGGAGTTGCAGGTCGTCTTGGTCTCTGCACCTGACTTCAGGCTCGTAGGCTGCCGCATCTTGGTTGATACAGCGGCCCCTACCACTTCTGCAGAGGCTGCGAGGCCCCCGCAGCTTCTCCACATCTTCCTCTTATGACATCAAGCTGCCCGAGGGGACAAGGCTGGGCTGCCTGGTTCTTTGACCCAAAGAGCACTGGTGATGAGGGGACCATGAGAGAAACCGTACTCGCTTTGGTCCTGTCCCCTGGAGATGGAGGCGGAAGGGCAGGATTACAGGGGTGTGTGTGTGCACATGCATGTGTGTGCGTGTGTGTGCAGGTGTGTGCGTTGTGTGCACCTGTTCATGTGTGTGGAGTAGGGGTGGTAGGGTGCAAAGAGGCCGAGGTTGCGGGAAAAACCGAAGGACACTCAGGGGAGGGGTTTTGGAGCTGGGGAGGGGTGTGGAGCTGGGGCGGGGCCGCACCAGCACTGACCTCTAACTGCACATTTGACCAGACCTACCCTTGGCGGGTTGCCAGCCATCCAGTTCAGAATTGGGGTGCGCAGTGGGGAAGGGGGGAGAATTCCTGAGCAATTTAATTATGCCTGGGGTGCCCTCTGGTGGCTCACCTTTTATTCTGACTCCAAGTTCCAGGAACTTGGAAACTCACTCACTTAGAAAACTGGGGCAGTTTGGGGGGACTTGGACATTTGTTGTGGCTATGAATGAATGAAGCCTCTAACAAGATCCTACTCACTGGAAACACAGAACCTACAGAGGAAGCAAACAGGTTTCTGTCTACAACGACGGGAACTGGGGAAGCAAAGTGTGTTCAGTTTGCTAAACATTCCTCAGCCAGCCTGGGTTATAGAACAAGGTCACAGTCCTTTTGTTATTAAATAAGGGTGGCCCTAAGCCCTCATCTCTCGATTCTGGAAATGTCTGACTTTTGTCCTCAGGGTCTACCTTCTGTGATATGTCCAGACACCTCAGGCCAAAAAATCAGCCTCCTGGATAGAAAACCAGGAAACGTTGTCACCCATCAGAGGCCTCATTCTCACGGTCATCGCTCTGTCAGGTCATCTGTCCTGCTGTGCAGGAGCCCTTAAAGACCAGGCACCTCTCTGCCCACTCAGGCCATAAGCAAGGTCACCACAGGGCCCTCCGAGAGGAAGGGAGGCTCTCTCCTAACAGCTTCCATGATGCCAGGGCTCATGGTGGCCCAGTTCTTCTTCATGTATCTATGCAGCAGCTCATGTGTGTGTGCACACATGCATGCATGTGCAAAGGTAGGCACCCACTTACACACATGCTTGCACACACAGGCATATGCACCCACTCGCATGCATGCACACATAGACATAGGCACCCACTCACACACATGCATGCATGTGCAAACCCATGCACCCACTCACACACATGCATGCATGCACACATAGACATATGCACTCACTCACACACATGCATGCATGTGCAAATGTATGCCCCCACTCACACACATCATGCATGCACACATAGACATATGCACCCACTCACACGCATGCATGCACACACAGGCATATGCACACACATTCACACACAGGCATATGCACACATTCATACACGTGTGTGACACACTCCTACATCTCTCTTGCCCACAAGAACAAATTAAGGGAAGAGCATAGAGAGAAGTTTTGAGGATTTCCAACAGAGAGGGGTCGCATCTCTTCCCTGTCTACCCCTTTTGCCTCCAGGAGGTCTCTGCCTGGTGAGACGCCAGGAGGGTGGGGACTGTAGCGCAGCTGGCAGGCAGCTGGTCAGTGCTGCTGGAGTACTTGTTTAGAAAATGTAAGTTTTTCCCAGCACATTTGAAGTATTAGAAAACATTTTGAGCATAATGCAAGATATGCATTTGTTTCTGTGTGATTTCATCCACTAGAAGCACTAGGTGAAAGTGGGAATACAAAACACACACGTGCTCGTACCTCAAGCGTTCGCCAGCCCCCTCAGCCCGCCGCAGGTGTTATGAGCCACCCCGCCCTGTCTGTGTTACAACGGACAGGGTCAGGACACACTACCACACACTGGGGCACCTGGCACACTGGCTATTACTACCCACACACTGGGGTGCCTGGCACACTGGGTATTTCCAGTCGAATATTTTCAGGTGGCAGATGCAGGAAGAATTTTCTGACCTTCCCCAGAAGCAGGTCACGAGACCCTCATGTGAGAGCACGTCACGAGACCTTCATGTGAGAAGCAGGTCACGAGACCCTCACGTGAGAAGCAGGTCACGAGACCCTCACGTGAGAAGCAGGTCACGAGACCCTCACGTGAGAAGCAGGTCACGAGACCCTCATGTGAGAGCAGGTCACGAGACCCTCATGTGAGAAGCAGGTCACGAGACCCTCATGTGAGAAGCAGGTCACGAGACCCTCATGTGAGAAGCAGGTCACGAGACCCTCATGTGAGAAGCAGGTCACGAGACCCTCATGTGAGAAGCAGGTCACGAGACCCTCATGTGAGAAGCAGGTCAGGAGACCCTCATGTGAGAAGCAGGTCACGAGACCCTCATGTGAGAGCAGGTCACGAGACCCTCATGTGAGAAGCAGGTCACGAGACCCTCATGTGAGAAGCAGGTCACGAGACCCTCATGTGAGAAGCAGGTCACGAGACCCTCATGTGAGAAGCAGGTCACGAGACCCTCATGTGAGAGCAGGTCACGAGACCCTCATGTGAGAAGCAGGTCACGAGACCCTCATGTGAGAAGCAGGTCACGAGACCCTCATGTGAGAAGCAGGTCACGAGACCCTCATGTGAGAGGGGCCCTCCCTGTATCTGGAGGGACACCAAGGGAAATCTGAAGAAACAGGCTTTGCTTTCCACAGTTTGCTACACTCAGCTCATACTTTTTTAGTCCTATCACATTTTCCCATGGCTTTCCACTCTTCACGAAAGCTAGGATCTTCAGTTACCTATGAAGGCTCATGAGTCACAAACAGCTTATATGAAACCAGTGTATATGCTGTTCTCTTGGCAATCTGTCTTTTGTTGCAGGGGCCCAGATGATGAACCTAAGACGGTTAGAAGAAACAGGTGTTTTTCTTCCCCTACACGGTTTTCCATGTGATAGCAGGTAACTGCCCCCACACTTCACAATGGTCACAGGCAGCCACCCCTATCACCCACTTCCACAAAAAAACATCAGGGCTTTTTCACGGTAAACTGGTATTTTTTCTGTAGCTCTTATGTATTTCTTAACCATTTAATGTGTGTAAAGCTGTTCATGTTTTTATTGGGCTAATTTTTTTCTATTTATTAATTTTTTACATGAATAAGTTTTTTTAGCGGTGATTTCTTAGATTTTGGTGCAGCCATCACCCGAGCAGTGTGCACTGTACCCAATGTGTAGTCTTGTGTCCCTTACTCTCTTCCTACCTCTTCCCCTGAGCCCCCAAAGTCCATTATATCATTCTTAGGCCTTTGCATCCTCAGAGCTTAGCTCTCACTTATGAGTGAGAACGTATGATGTTTGGTTTTTTATTCCTGAGTTACTTCACTTAGAATAATGGTCTCCAATACCATCCAGGTTGCTGCAAATGCCATTATTTCATTCCTTTCTATGGCTGAGTAGTATTCCATGTTATACATATACCACATTTTCTTTATCCACTCGTTGATTGATGGGTGTTTCAGCTGGTTCCATATTTTTGCAATTAAGAATTGTGCTGCTATAAACATGCATGTGCAAGTATCTTTTTTGTATAATGACTTCTTTCCCTCTGGGTAGATACCCAGGAGTGGGATTGCTGGATCAAATGGTGGATCTACTTTTAGTTCTTTAAGGAATTTCCACACTCTTTTCCATAGTGGTTTTACTAGTTTACATTCCCACCAACAGTGTAAAAGTGTTCCCTTTTACATCCACACCAGCATCTATTTTTTTTTTTTCATGTTTTGATTATATCCATTCTTGCAGGAGTAAGATGGTATCATATTGTGGTTTTGATTTGCATTTCTCTGAAAATTAGTGATGTTGAGCATTTTTTCATATATTTGCTGGTCATTTGTATATCTTCTTTTGAGAATTGTCTATTCACGTCCTTAGCCCACTTTTTGATGGGATTGTTTGTTTTTTCTTGCTAATTTGTTTGAGTTCCTTGTAGATTCTGGATATTAGTCCTTGTCAGAAATATAGATTGCGAAGATTTTTTCCACTCTGGGGGTTGTTTGTTTACTCTGCTGATTATTTATTTTTCTGTGCAGAAGCTTTTTAGTTTAATTAAGTCCCATCTATTTATCTTTGTTTTTGTCGCATTTGCTTTTTGGTTCTTGGTCATAAAGTCTTTGCCTGAGCCAATGTCTAGAATAGTTTTTCCAATGTTATCTTGTAGAATTTTTATGGTTTCAGGTCTTAGATTTAAGTCTTTAATCCATCTTGAGTTGATTTTTATATAACATGAGAGATGAGGATCCAGTTTCATTCTCCTACATGTGGCTAGCCAATTATCCCAGCACCATTTGTTGAATAGGGTGTCCTTTCCCTACTTTATGTTTTTGTTTGTTTTGTTGAAGATAAGTTAGCTGTAAGTATTTGGCTTTATTTCTGTGTTCTCTATCCTGTTCCTTCCATCTATATGCCTATTTTTACACCAGTACCATACTGTTTTGGTGACTATACCCTTATAGTATATTTTGAAGTCAGGTAATGTGATGCCTGCAGATTTGTTCTTTTTGCTTAGTCTTGCTTTGGCTGTGTAGGCTCTTTTTTGTTTCTATATAAATTTTAGGTTTGTTTTTTCTAGTTCTGTGAAGAATGCTGGTGGTATTTTGATGGAAATTGCACTGAATTTGTAGATTGCTTTCGGCAATATGGTCATTTTCACATTGATTCTACACATCCATGAGCATGGGATATGTTTTCATTTGTTTGTGTCATCTGTGATTGCTTTCAGCAGTGTTTTGTAGTTTTCCTTGTAGAAGTCTTTCACCTCCTTGAATAGGTATATTGCTAAGTATTTTGTTTGCAGCTATTGTAAAAGGGGTTGAGTTCTTGATTTAATTCTCAGCTTGGTTGCTGTTGGTGAATAGCAGAGCTACTGATTTGTGTACATTAATTTTGTATCCTAAAGTTTACTGAATTAATTTACCAGTTCTAGGACTTTTTGGATGAGTCTCTAGGGCTTTTTGGATGACCCTAAAGTCAAACAGTGACGGTTTGACTTCTGCTTTACCGATTTGGATGCCCCTTTTTTTTTTCTCTTGTCTGATTGCTCTGGTTAGGGCTTCCAGTACTATGTTGAATAGTAGTGGTGAAAGTGGGCATACTAGTCTTTTTCCAGTTCTCAGGGGGAATGCCTTCAGCTTTTCCCCATTCAGTATAATGCTGCTTGTGGGTTTGTCATAGATGGCTTTTATCACCTTGAGGTATTTCCCCTCTATGCTAATTTTGCTAAGGGTTTTAATCACAAATGGATGCTGGATTTTGTTAAATGCTTTTTCTGTGTTTATTGAGATGATCATGTGATTTTTGTTTTTAATTCTGTTTATGTGGTGTATGGCATTTGACTTGCATATGTTAAACCATCCCTGCATCCCTGGTAGGAAACTCACTTGATCATGGTGGGTTATCTTTTTGATATGCTATTGGATTCAGTTAGCTAGTATTTTATTGAGGATTTTTGCATCTATGTTCATCAGGGATATTGGTCTGTAGTTTTCTATTTTTGTTATGCCCTTTTCTGGTTTTGGTATTAGGGTGATACTGGCTTCATAGAATGACTTACAGAGGATTCCCTCTTTCTCTATCTTTTGGAATAGTGTCAATGGGATTGGTACTAATTCTTCTTTTAATGTCTGATAGAATTCAGCTGTGAATTTGTCTGGTTCTGGACTTTTTTTATTGGTAACTTTTTAATTATCATTTCAATCTCACTGCATGTTATTGGTCTGTTCGGAGTTTCTATTTCTTCCTGGTTTAATCTGGGAGGGTTGTATATTTCCAGGAATTTCTCCATCTCCTCTAGGTTTTGTAGTTTATGTGCATAACGATGTTCATAGTAACCTTGAATGATCTTTTGTATTTCTGTGTTATCACTTGTAACATCTCCCATTTCATTTCTAATTGAGCTTATTTGTATCTTCTCTCTTCTTGGTTAATCTCACTAATGGTCTATAAATTTCATTTATCTTTTTAAAGAATTATCTTTTTGTTTCATTTATCCTTTGTATTTTTTGGTTTCAATTTCATTTAGATCTGCTCCGATCTTCATTATTTCTTTTCTTCTTCTGGGTTTGGGCTTGGTTTGTTCTTGTTTCTCTAGTTCCTTGAGGTGTGACCTTTGATTGTATATTTGTGCTCTTTCAGATTTCTTGATATAGGCATTTAATGCTGTGAACTTTCCTCTTAGTGAGAGACAGGACTAGCTGGATTTCCTAGGCCAGCTAAGAATCCCTAAGCCTAGCTGGGAAGGTGACTGCATCCACCTTTAAACATGGGGCTTGCAACTTAGCTCACACCTGACCAATCAGGTAGGGAAAGAAAGCTCACTAAAATGCTAATTAGGCAAACACAGGAGGTAAAGAAATAGCCAATCATCTATCACCTGAGAGCACAGTGGGAGGGACAATGATCAGGATATAAACCCAGGCATTCAAGCCCGCAATGGCTACCCTCTTGGGTCCCCTCCCTTTGTATGGGAGCTCTGTTTTCACTCTATTAAATCTTGCAACTGCACAGTCTTCTGGTCCGTGCTAGTTACAGCTCAAGCTGAGCTTTCACTTGCCATCCACTGCTGCTATTTGCCACCATCACAGACCCACTGCTGACTTCCATCTCTCCAGATCCGGCAGGGTGTCCGCTGTGCTCCTGATCCAGTGAGGTGCCCATTGCCACTCCCAATTGGGCTAAAGGCTTGCCATTGTTCCTGCATGGCTAAGTGCCCGGGTTCATCCTAATTGAGCTGAACACCTGTCACTGGGTTCCACGGTTCTCTTCCATGACCCACGGCTTCTAATAGAGCTATAACACTCACTGCATGGCCCAAGATTCCATTCCTTGGAATCCGTGAGGCTAAGAACTCCAGGTCAGAGAACAAGAGGCTTGCCACCATCTTGGAAGCAGCTCACCACCGTCTTGGGAGTTCTGGGAGCAAGGACCCCCTGGTAACATTAGCACTGCTTTTGCTGTATCCCAGAGGTTTTGATAGGTTGTGTCACTGTTATTGTACAGTTCAAAGAATTTTTAAATTTCCTTCTTGATTTCATTGTTGACCCAAAGATCATGCAGGGGGTTATTTAATTTCCATGTATTTGCATGGTTTTGAGGGTTCCTTTTGGAGTTGATTTCCAATTTTGTTCCACTGTGGTCTGAGAGAGTACTTGATATAATTTCAGTTTTCTTAAATTTGCTGAGACTTGTTTTGTGGCCTATCATATGGTCTGTCTTGGAGAATGTGCCATGTGCTGATGAATAGAATGTATATTCTACAGTTGTTGGGCAGAATGTTCTGTAAATGTCTGTTAAGTCCATTTGTTCTAGGCTATAGTTTAAGTCCATTGTTTCTTTGTTGACTTTCTGTCTTGATGACTTGTTTAGTGCTGACATTGGAGTATTGAAGTCCCCCACTATTACTGTGTTGCTGTCTCATTTCTTAGGTTTAGTAGTAACTATTTTATAAATTTAGGAGCTCCAGTGTTAGGTGCATATATTTTTAGGATTGTGATATTTTTCTTTTGGTCGAATCCTTTTATCATTATATAATGTCCCTCTTTGTCTTTTTAAACTGCTGTTGCTTTAAAGTTTTGTCTGATATAAGAATAGCTACTCCTGCTTGCTTTTGGTGTCCATTTGCATGGAATATCTTTTTCCACCCCCTCACCTTACATTTATGTGAATCCTTATGGGTTGGGTGAGTCTCTTGAAGACAGCAGATACTTGGTTGGTGAGTTCTTATCCATTCTGCTATTCTGTATCTTTTAAGGGAGTATTTAGGCCATTTACATTCAATGTTAGTACTGAGATGCGAGATACAATTCTACTCATCATGCTAGTTGTTGCCTGAATATCTTTTTTTATTTTTTTGCATTGTGCTATTGTTTTATAGGTCCTGTGAGATTTATGCATTAAGGAGATTATTTTGGTGTATTTCAAGGATTTA
Organism: Homo sapiens; assembly: GCF_000001405.40. Lineage (NCBI taxonomy): Eukaryota > Metazoa > Chordata > Mammalia > Primates > Hominidae > Homo > Homo sapiens. The sequence goes on from NC_000013.11 coordinate 111,057,973, forward strand.
TTTTGAGATTTAGAGCTCCTTTTAGCAGTTCTTGTAGTGCTGATTTGGTAGTGGTGAATTCTCTCAGCACTTGTTTGTGTGAAAAAGACTGTATCTTTCCTTCATGCATGAAGCTTAGTTTCACTGGATACAAAATTCTTGGCTGATAATTGTTTTGTTTAAGGAGGCTAAAGATAGAACTCCAATTCCTTGTAGTTTGTAGGATTTCTGCTGAGAAATCTGCTGTTAATCTGATAGGTTCAAAGAGAAGATCTGGGACTCAAGGGCTGCTGTTCAGATTCTTTTGTCCCATGGGGGTGCTCCCTTGATGTGCTGCTCTCCCCTTTCCCCTTAGTGATGGGACTTCCTGAGAGTCGAACTGCAGTGATTGTTATTTGTCTTCTGGATCTAGCCACCCAGCTGAGCTACTGGACTCTGGGCTGGTACTGTGGGGTGTCTACAGAGTCCTGTGATGTGCTCCATCTTCAGGTCTCTCAGCTGTGGATACCAGCACCTGCTCTGGTGGAGGGAGCAGGAGACTGAGGTGGACTCTGTGAGGGTCTTTGGTTGTATTTTTGTTAAGTGAGCTGGTTTTGTTTGTTGGCCTCCAGCCAGGAGGTGGTGCTTTCAAGAGTGCATCAGCTGTGATTGTATAGGGAGGATCAGGTGGTGGGTGGAGCCATGGAGCTCTCAAGAGATTATGTCCTTTGTCTTCAGCTACCAGGGTGGGTAGAGAAAGACCATCAGGTGGAGGCAGGGTTAGGCATGTCTGAGCTCAGACTCTCCTTGGGTGGGGCTTGCTGCAGATGCTGTGGGTGATGGTGGTACGGCTCCCAGGCCAATGCAGTTTTGTTCCCAGGGGGATTATGGCTGCCTCTACTGCGTCACACAGGTTGCCAAAGAAGTGGGAGGAAGCCAGCAGCCACAGGACTCACCCAGCTCTCATGCAGCCCACAGCCCAAAAGGCCAGTCTCACTTCCACCATGCCCCAGGGTTGGAGTGTGAGCAGGGCTGAGAACTTGCCCCAGGCTACAAGCCTCCTGCTGAGAAAGCAAGCAGACTCACATTTCCTTGGCTGTCCCAGAGCCTGGAGCAGCAATCCACCTCCTTCAAAGGGTCTGTGGATTCTCTTGGCTTTCCTGGTATGTTCCTGCAGTACTTCCTGGAGCAAAAGTTCACAGTGTGGGTCTCCACATGCTGCTCCGTCCATCCAAGTGGGAGCTGCAAGTTAGTCCTGCCTCCTATCTGCTGTTTTTCCCGTACTCCATTGTCAGGTTCATTTTTTTAATGTCACTGCTCATGCATTTGAGTGCTCTGCCTCTCACCCCACTCTTCCCATAGCCTCTGTGGTTTTTAAGGCATGATCCTGCATAGTGTGGTGGCTTCTAGGAATGCACATGATGTACCACAGTGGAACTGACTAGTATGTACAAGGACAGTTGTTATAAGTAAAGTTTCGGTGCCACAAAAGAAATAGCACTCGAATATCAAATTTTCTTTTTAATTCTCAGCAAGGCAATGTACTTCTGTAGAAGGGTGCACCCTTACAAATGGAGCAATGGTGAGCACATACTTGGACAAGGGAGGGGAAGGGGTTTTATCCCTGACGGACACAGCCCCTGCTGCCGTGTCGTTCCCCTATTGGCTAGGGTTAGACCACACAGGCTATACTAATTCCGACTGGCTAATTTAAAGAGAGTGATGGAATGAGTGGTTTGGTGGGAAAAATTGTTATGGCAGAGCAGGAAATCGGAATGAGTCAGGGTGGAGCAGGTAATCGAAACAGGTTGCTTTACGAGGAAGTTAACTTTAAAAGTAGAAGGCAAAGAATTGAACATAGTGACATATTGTTTCTTTGAAGAGAAATTTAGAACTCATATCGAACACAAAGAATCCAAATCAATATAGCTCTGGAAATTTAAGTTTTGAGACAACTCCTTGGCTCCAAGCACATAGCAAAGATATAAAATATACAAAGAGAATACTGGAAAGACATCGCAAGTTTCAAAATCATGATCATCTCTCCTGGCTCAGAAATAAAGAGCAGAAAGTGGCATCCACAGGGCTGCAGCTGAGATCCCACCATGGAACTGTATGCAGGAACAGTAAAATAATTCTAAAACATTGGTAACAAAATTAAAAGCTTGGAAATTAAAACCATTGTTAGCAGTTTTTCTAACGGAGATACTTGAGAACAATCCGAATTTCCTCAATAAAAGAATAAAAAAATAAGCTGTGAAATATTCATTTACCATTAGACTATAAGTTAAAATAGCAAGAACAGGCCAGGTGTGGCGGCTCATGCCTGTAATTTCAGCACTTTGGGAGGCTGAAGCAGGAGGATCACTTGAGGCCAGAAGTTCAAGACCAGCCTGGGAAACAGGGCAAGCCCCAATCTCTACACACACACACACAAATAAGCCAGGCATGGTGGCTCACACCTTCTAGCTACTTGGGAGGCTGAGATGGGAGGATCAATTGAGCCGAGGAATTTGAGGCTGTAGTGAGCTATGATTGTGCCACTGCACTCCAGCCTTGGTGACAGAGTAAGATCTTATCTCAGAAACAAATAAATAAGTGAAGTAGCAAGAGCCACATCTATCCACATATATAATAAACTCCTGAAATATTACATTGAGTGGGGGGAAACCATTGTAGAATTACATACACAGTGTGACATCATTTATTTGAAAAAATTTTAATGTAAAAAATACTGTATATCAGTGGTTGGCAAACTACTGCCTGAGGGCCAGTGCCTATTTGTGTAAATAAAGTTTTATTGAAACATAGCTGCACATGATCATTTGTTTCTATATTGTCTGTGGCTGCTTTCACACACAGCGGCAGAGTTGAGTTATGACAGAGGCCACGTGCCTACAAAGCTTAAAATATTCATGATCTGATCCTTCACAGAAAAAACTTGCTGACTCCTGTTGTATATTATTTATGGATATATATACACATACATACACACGTGTGCTATCAAACATAAAAGCAAACATTTGCTTGGGGTTAATACACCCAGACTTCAGAATAGTAGCTGTGTCTGGGAGACAGGACGGGAAGAAAATTGGGATCAGAGAAGGGCACTTTAAGGGGCTTCAGCTGTGTGAAGTGTTTTTTTATTTAAAGGAATATCTTAAGTAAACATGGTAAAATATTGATTTGCTTAGATGGGTAACGAGTACACAGTTATTCTTTATGTCCTGTGTACTTTCCAGTGTTTTAAAAATACTTTATAATAGCGAGTATTGAGAGGGAAAAAGATGAATGTGGTTGATCCAAGGGCCTGATGAGGCCCAGTGTCCGCGCTGTGTCTTAGTGGCCAAATCAGGGTGCAGCATGCATGTCCACTGGGCGGTGTTTGTGGAGAAAGAGGGAGGAAGTCCCTCCTTAAAGGAAGAATATACCTTTTTGTGTTTGGGGGAATTTTTTTGCATGTGAATGTACTAATATAACTTAAATATGAAAAAGAATGACTAGGAACGTAGCACTTAATCTCCTCTTGGCCACATGTTATTTTCAGACTTGTCACACCATCTCTGGGTGCTGGCCATCACCAGCCACAATAACACCATGTGGCTGTGTCACTCAGTCAGTCAATGGGCATCTGTCAAGTGTCTGCATATCCAGGCTTGCATGCTGCTCCACCCTTGATTTATGGAAAAATGCATCACAAATCTCATCTCAGAGAACACAGTCATGAAGCAAGAACGTGTCATGCAGACTTGGAAACCCTGTTCCCATTTGCTAGGAATGCCGAAGTTCTAATGCAAGTGAGGAAGTCTATATCCCAGCTTGTGTGCGGGTCCCTGGATTCTGCTGCTGGTCGTGCGGGGCCTGACTCAGAGGTGAAGGCCATGGTGTGAGTGCTCTGGGAACACAGCTCACCCCTCAGAGAAGCCAGGTGGGCTCTTAAATTAGAAAGGCTGGCTGGGTTCATCCTCACCCTGGAACCAAATAAAAGTGGCAGCATTCACTCACTATCCCCAGCCTGCAAGTGGCTGCCCTAGTCTTCCGGTCACTTTGGCACAGAGCTTGCCCCTGTAAGGCACCTCCTTGAACTGCATTGACCCCACAGGCCTACCATACCTGCACTTGTGAGGTTGGGTCACGACTAGTCTGTACCCCACGGTTTAGAGCAGGCGGCGGTCACGGCTCCATCTCTCCCCAAAGTTTAGAGTAGGTGGTGGTCACTACTCCTTCTCTCCCCGAGGTTTAGAGTAGGCTGTGGTCACTGCTCCCTTTCTCCTGGGCTTTAGGGCAGGCGGAGGTCATGCTCCATCTCTTCCCGGGGCTTAGAGCAGGCAGTGGTCACTGTTCCATCTCTCCCCAAGGTTTAGAGTGGGTGGCAGTCATGGCTTCATCTGTCCCCAGGGTTTAGAGCAGGTGGTGGTCACTGCTCCATCTCTCCCCAAGGTTTAGAGCGGGCGGCAATCATGGCTTCATCTCTCTCTGGGGTTAAGAGCAGGTGGTGAACACTGCTCCATCTCTTCCTGGGGCTTAGGGCAGGCAGCGGTCACAGCTCCGTCTCTCCCTGGGGTTTACAGCAGATGGTGGTCACTGCTCCACTCCTCCCCAGGGTTTAGAGCAGGCAGCGGTGGTCACCACCTGGTGGTCCATCTCTCCTCGTTGGTAGGACTTTGCAGGCTGTGGGCTGCCTGTTGTCTGGTTCAGCAGAAGTGTACAAGCATCACTGTTGAGGGTGAAGCTCCGCCCCATCTCTGCTCACTCTCTTTTCCTAAAGATCAAGTTGCCCTACTTTTATTTCTAATTGAGTCAGTTAGAAAACCAACTTGTTTTTCTAGTTGCCTAGATGACCAAGTAGGGTACCTAAGAAGCGAATCTGTAAGTAATAAGCATCTAAAGTTGTGCTTTATAGATGATCTTCAGAGTGACCTGTTTATTACTCTAAATGATGAATCAGATACCAGTCTCCACTGTAGAAACATCCTTCCTATCCTAAACAAAATGGAACTCCTGACTATATTCCTGGTCTTCTACCCAATTGGGGATGTAATTCAAGTGTGTCAGGCCTCTGAGCCCACGCTAAGCCATCATATCCCCTGTGACCTACATGTATACATTCACATGGCCTGAAGCACCTGAAAAACCACAAAAGAAGTGAAAATAGCCAGTTTATGCCTTAACTGATGACATTCCACCATTGTGATTTGTTCCTGCCCCACCCTAACTGATCAATTGACCATGTGACATTCCTTCTCCTGGACAATGAGTCTTAAGAGCTCCCCCACCGAGCACCTTGTGACCCCCACCCTTGCCCACAAGAGAAAAACCTCCTTTAACTGTAAATTTTCCACTACCTACCCAAATCCTGTAAAACTGCCCCTCCCCATCTCCCTTTGCTGACTCCTTTTTCAGACTCAGTCAGCCTGCACCCAGGTGATTAAAAAGCTTTATTGCTCACACAAAGCCTGTTTGGTGGTCTCTTCACACAGATGCACATAACAAAGTGTGGGTGATGCGAACAATGTTTATGTAATCAACTTTTGGTTAAATCCCTTCCTTAAAGATTTGAATCTTGGTCTAGAACATCACTCTGGAATGTCATATTTATTGTATCATGTAAATGTCCAATTTAACATCCTATAACCCCACGGCATATTGGGTACACGTGCGGCACAAGTTACCTTATACTCTGAACAAGAAATGGGTCAGGAAGAATACGAGCCTTGTCCTTGCAGATTTTCTCAATTATTCGTCATCTATAATGCATATGTGTAGGGAAACTGGCAGGATGTAGAAATGAATAAAAAGAGGAAACATCTTTTTTCCTTGCTTTATATGACCAGCAATCAGTGCCACTGATGTAGCAAGTGCCATGTAAACATCAGTTATTTTATTCATGTCAATGATCCTGTGTGCTAGAAATTACCTCATTTTATTTATGGGGTGACAGAGGCTCAGAGAGATTAAATAACATGCTGGAGTCTTACATCTTGCAGGCAGCAGAGCCAGGATTTAAACTCACCCAGAGCCTGTGCTTTTCCCTGTGTGCCACGAAGCCCACACACAGCAGTCCACTCTCCTCCAGGTCCCTCACTGCATCTTCCATTCTTCTGGGCAAGGCCTGAGAGCAGAGGCCCTGAAGCCCAGGGCCCAGGCCCCTCAGGGAAGCTTCTGGTGTAAAGCAAAAATAAAATGCTAAGCCCCCTAACCATCTGAATGAACCCCTCTTCTTGGAATGCCAAGGGCATTCCAAAGTTAATCTGAAAAACGAGTTCAGGCTATGATGGGAAGCAGGGGTTGGACATGCCTCAATATACCTTCCGCCCTTTTGGAATTCAGGCACAGCTGACCAGCATTAACATCAACACAGACTTTAAGTCTGATAAGAAGCATTTACAATCTATTCTCTGTGAAGCCTGCTACCTGGAGGCTTCATCTGCATGACAAAACCTGGCTCTCCACAATCCCTTATTATAACCCAGACACTCCCTTCTATTGATTCCAGGTCTTTAGATAAAAACTCTTTCAACCAATTGCCAATCAGAAATTCTTTGAGTCTACCTGTGACCTGGAAGCCCCTGCTTCAAGTTGTCCCACCTTTCCTGACCCAACGAATGTACACCTTACCTGTATTGATTGATGTCTTAAGTCCCCCTAAAATGTATAAAACCAAGGTGTAGCCTGACTACCTTGGGCACATGTTCTCCTGACCTCCTGAGGTTGTGTCACAAGTCATTGGTCCCTCATATTTGGTCAGAATAAACCTCTTCAAATGTTTTACAGAGCTTGACGCTTTTCGTCCACACTATGCAAAGAGAACAAGACAGGGATGGGAGATTTTGGTTCCACTTGGTGGCCAAGGCTCCTGGTTTCTAACCACATGCAGGACCAAGCTGGCACGGCCTGTCACAGCACCCACATCCCTACTGCCTTCTGGAAGCTGCTCCTTTTCCTTCAGGGCTAAGCAGGGACCCAGACCCCTTCCTTCACTGTCCTGGAGGCTCCAGCACCTGGTCACATTTCTGCTCTCAGCCTTGAAATGTGGAGGGCTCATCTCATCTTCTCAGAAAGTAAAACATGTGGCAGCCTCAGTGAGCCCATACAGTTTTCTTCAGGGCAGCCCACATGGCACCTGGCATGGTCTCCTCTCCCTCAAAGCAGGAAAGAGACCTTCTCATGGGTAAGAGAAGGCCCATGGTGGAAACACAAAGGCAGCCATCTGGCTGAGAAGGAAAAAACACTGATTCTTCCAGATGAGTCTGCAGTGGCGGAAAACAAAGCTGGGGTGGCTTCCCCACTGCAGTGCTTAGTTCTCGGGGGGATCTGCTGCTCATTGATTTCTAACATTGCCTTCCAGTTACATCATGGAAAACAGGAAGAAAGAGGAAAAAATAGGAAAGGAAGAACAAAATGCACTGAAGCAAGAGCAGGAAGAAAGGGTAGAATGAAGCATTTAAACAGAGAGGAAGAGAAAAATAGCAATCACAGAAAGAACCAGGGAGTTTATAAAACAGGCTGCATGAAAATCATTTATCAAAACACTGTCCAGGAATTTTTGTTAAAAATAAACATAAAACAATTAGCTAGTCACAAAAAGACAAGTACTGTGGAACTCCACTCATTGTTAGTCAGTGGCGAGGCAGACATGAGCAGGGCAGGAGAGGGCCCACCCCACCAGGAACCTCTGGAGACCATCAGGTGATACTCAGGCAGTGGTTAAACTGGTTCTCTAAAATAGTAATTGGTTGCAGCTGTGCCAGGGAAAGGCGGGCTCCCAATAGCTGGAAAACACCTGAAACTGATCAGCAGCTTTCTATAAGATCTCAGGAGTGGGGCGAGGTGGCTTAGGCCTGTGCACTAAGAGGTAAAATGTAGTTTAACTGGTGTGTGACCTTCCTCCAGGAACACGAGACAGGTAAGGGCAAAATACTTCAGGTGAGCATGTGCACAACTTCAGTAATACAGCGCGCACGCGGCCCCGCCCAAGCGCTGGCCGGTCACTGCGCATGCGGACAGCCCACCCCAAGGAAAGGTCAAGGAAGGGGAAATGGAAACCCTGAACCATGCCCATGTATAAAACCCAAAGTGGGGGGTTGTACCCTGCACTTGGATCTCTCAAGTCGCCTACTTCACCCTCTCCCAAGTGTACTTTACTTCCCTTAATTCCTGCTCTAAAGCTTTTTAATAAACTCTCAGTCCTGCTCTAAAACTCGCCTTGGCCTCTCACTCTGCACTATGCACCTCGGCCGAATTCTTTCCTCTGAGGAGGCAAGAATCGAGTTGCTGCAGACCCTACGGATTCCCTGCTGCTAACAGTATTAGTCCCTGGACTAATCAAATTCAGACACACAAAGTGGAATGGTGGATGCCAGGGGCTGGGGAGGGCAATGGGGAGTGAGTGCTTATTTAAGGGGGACAGAGTTCGGTCTTGCAAGATGAAGATGTTCTATTGATTGTGAAAAATGTGAATGCACCTAAATGCCTAAAAATGGTTAAAATGGTAATCGTTATGTGTATTTTGCCACAATTTAAAAACATAAAAAATAAGAATGTCTGAGTAAATAAACGTATAACGCGTTCTTTAAGTCCACTGACAGCGGCGTGGCCTTGGCCTCTGTGCTCATCTTTCCAGGACAGAGCCCCGTTTGGTGTTTCTGGTTCTGTGCTGCGTAGAGAACTTGGCACCCTGGTCCTATGCACAGAAGAGGAGCTTTCCGAAGGCTCCGGGAGAGAACGCTGGGGAGTCAAGGCCAGTCCGAGCACAGCAGCTGGGGCCAGATTGGAGACAGGGACTTTTTTATTCGAGAGAAAGCGAACGTAGTATCTAAGCGGAAGAGCCCTTGCAGGCGCGGGAAGGGAGGCCGCGCTTCCCCGGGCCTGCGGGGTCAGAGGAGGAGCTTCTGCGGGAGCTTAAAGGGGCCCCACAGCCCCCTGCACCCCTTCCACGAGCTCTGGGGAAGGCGTTCCTCGTGGGAGACCTGTCTCCCACGTTGTTGCCGGTTAAGAAGTCAGAGCTAGGGGACAGGCCGGGTGCGGTGGCTCACGCCTGTAATCCCAGCACTTTGGGAGGCCGAGGCGGGCGGATCACGAGGTCAGGAGATCAAGACTATCTTGGCTAACACTGTGAAATCCCGTCTCTACTAAAAATACAAAAAATTAGCCGGGCGTGGTGGCACGCGCCTGTAGTCCCAGCTACTCCGGAGGCTGAAGCAGGAGAATTGCGTGAACCCGGGAGGCAGAGCTTGCAGTGAGCAGAGATCGCGTCACTGCACTCCAGCCTGGCGACAGAGCGAGTCTCCGTCTCAAAAAAAAAAAAAAAAAAAAAAAAAAAAAAAAAAAAAAGGAGAGAGGAAAAAAGCAAACTGTGCCTTTAAACCAGGGCGACCTTCATTCCCACAAGAAGGACTCCGCCTTGGTCCCCTTGGGTGAAAGCTGCCGCTGCTGAGCGCCTCTGCGGCCCGGTGAGATCGGGGTTCACAGGCTGACCCAGCGTTAGGAGGTGCCGGGCTGATCACGACCGCCAGAGCTGCTGAGGTCGGAGCCCCGACCCTGGGAACGCAGCACGGAGCCTGGCCGCGGGCCGTGAACAAAGCGGTGTGCAGGGGACCCAGGTTCACAGCGCAGGTGCGCGGCTCCCCGGCGGCTCTGCCGTCCTAGCTCACGCGGTCCCGGGGCAGCTGCTTTGCGCCGAGCCCCAGAGACGTGGCGGCGGGTCCCGACTGCGCTGCCGCCCGTGAGAGGCACCGGACCTGCCCTCCAGGGCGGGGAAAGGGAGGACTCTGATCCCATGAGAACCCAGACAGTTCCATGTCCAAGGAGGCACCCGGAATGTTCTGAAACAAACCTGCGATTATGACAGCTCCGTATCATGTACTAGACGAAATTCTTACAGCTCCAACCTCTTTTTTTACATTTTCTATTAAATTTTAATACCGGTTTCTCGCGCCTATGAGCAAAAAGACAAGTGTTAAAGCTAGCAATCGTTTGTGCAATTTCATCGATTGGTTCCACCGCTGCACTTGCTGCTGGTGACCAATAGGGGGTGTTAATTGTTAATTATAATCAATATTCTGCCCACTGACAACAGCAAATCCTAAAAGCTCAAGTTTCAACTCAATTCTTAAAACGAAGATTTAACTAGCTCCTTGAATCTTATAGGACTTTTATCACTCTCAGTGCTTCCAGTTACAGGTTCTAGTCTCAAAACTAGTTGACCTAAATGTCTTCAAATAAACTTTAAAGGATATGGATGGAGTTTTAAGCCAACTTTTAACTGAAAGTATAGCATATATATAGAAAAGCTCACAAATCATAAATGTTCAGCTGGATATACATTTTTTACAAAGGCTCACACATCCATGGGGCCAGGCCTCGGGTCAGACATAGAATCTCACCAGGGGACTCCCTCACACACTTCCCAGCCCTTATCCCACCTCAGAGAATAGCCATCTTCCGACTTGTTCCAGTGTAGATGACCCTTGCCTGTTCTAAGCTTTATATAAATGAGTTATATAATGTATCTGGATTCTTTTGCTCAGTGTTTGCTCGTGAGACTGTCCCTATTCTGAGTGCAGCCATATTATGGGGGTGTAATGTGTGCGTACTGCCCTGCAATGCAGTACTCCCCTTTATGCACACACCACGAGGGGCATCTCCAAACAGCCGCTCCCAAGCATCGGGGCTGCTTTGGGCTTGGGGCAGTGATGAACGATGCTGTTATAAACCTTCTTGTGCATGTCTTTAGGCACACATATACGCATTTCTGATTGGCATATATTTAGGAGTAGAATTGCTGGGCCATAGAGTGTGCACATACTAAACTCAGAAGATGCTGCCAAACAGGTTTCCAAAACGGTTGTACGAATTTACACTCCCACGGGCTGCATATGAGAGCTCCGTTGCTCACATTTGCTATCATAAATGTATTTTTATTGCATGGAATTATTATAGTACTTGATGTATAGCTTTTCCAGGGTTTTCCAAAGAGTATAATCTTAGCCAGATACTAGCAAAAGAGTAATTAAGATGTAAGAACTATGTAAATTGTAAGCACTCAGAATATGTATTTACCACGCAGGATTCTCACAGATATCTTAAGATGCTGTTCAAATTAGGGAGGTCTATTCTTGATGCATGGAAGGTGTTGTGGATGAAATTCTTTTGCTTTATTTCTGCACAGAGTAATCTCATAGTAAGTTTAAATTACTGCAGGGATTTATCCCCAAGTCCTAACTGAGTGTCAATGTTGGGATGACAAAGACGGTCTAACCTTACACATCTGAACCAAGTCCTCATTTTCTCAGAGCCCAACAGGAGGCTGAACCCAGCGTCCCTGTCATGTCTCACCCTCTCAGAGGTGGCCTATGTAGTACCCACTCCAACATTGTTTCAGTTCTGCCCTCAAATGAAGCCAGAAGGTGATGGAGCTGTGGGAGGGGAGAGTGTAAGGTTGACAGTGTCTAAGCAAGCAGGACTTGACACAGATGACGAGGCTGTCTTTTCTATTCAGGTTCAGCTCATGAGCACTGGAGAGTTATAGAAACTTCTAGAATCAGCAGAATAGTTAAATTCACTCTCCTTTAATGCAAATGAAGAATGTCTTTCCTGGACTTCAGGAGTCACACTTCTCTTATGCCAGCTTCCTCTGAGAATTCCAGATATTCTCTGAGTAGAGGTGAATCTTCTGCCGGGTCTTCTGAAAGAGACCCCACCTCTCATCATGGGCTGCTCCTGACCTCTGCCCCCTGTGATAAATGAGCCAATTAACACTAAACTGGAGATTCCTCAGGGGTTTTAGGCTGGTTTTCCCAAGCCAAGTGTTACTCCTCAAATGTTCTCCATTCATCTTGTAGAAAGGGCCATGTTTGCAGGATTCCCAGCTCGCACGCAGTGGGTGATTGGTGGCTGTGGACAGAGCTTCAGGCCTGCAAAGATCTGATCGAGCAGAGCCAGGTTCTAGCAGGTGCTACCTAAATGAGTTGATTAGAGCACGCTTTCTGGAACCAAAATAAAAAATGAATTGTTCCTATTGTTTTAAAGTTAGTTGTAATGAAGAATTCATTTAATTTTGTTGTGGTAAAATATCCATAATCTGAAATTTACCGCTTAACCATTCTTAGGTGCACAGTTCAGTGGCATTAAGTGCATTTACATTGTTTCTTGTGCAACCATCACTATACTGTCTTCCTTCTCCAGAACTTTTTCTTCTTCCCAGACTAAAACCCTGTCCTCATTCAACACTGACTCCCCCTCCCCCATCTCCCCAACTCCTGGCAGCCCCCATTCTACTTTCTGTCTCTGTGACTTTGAGTCCTCTATGGACCTCATCTGTCTGGAGTCATACAGTATTTGTCCTTTTGTGGCTGGTGTATTTCACTTAGCGTAACATCCTCAAGTTTCATCTGTGCTATGGCACATGTCAGAGCATCTTTGCTTGTTGAGGATGGATAACACCCCATTGTTATCCATGGGGTGGATGACATGAAGGGCCCACATTTTGTTTATTCATTCCTCTGTTGGTGGACATGGGTGGCTTCCACCTCTTGGCTATTTTGAATAATGCTCCTAGGAACATGGGTGTACTGATCTTTTTGAGTCTGCTTTCAGTTTTCTTGGGCATTTAGCCAACAGCAGAATTGCTGAATCCTATGATAATTCTAGGTTTAATTTTTTCAGGAGCTGCTATACTATCTTCCACAGTGGTGAAAAATTCTCCTTGTGTCACTGGGACCTTTCCTTTGCCATGGCTTGTGTACATTCTCAAGTAGCTTTCAGAGTTATTTCAAAAGAAGTCGGGACCAGCGATGCCAGCATGGCTGAGCTTTTCACAAGTTTTACACCTAGAAATGGGTGGTACAGCAAGGTCCAAGGCAAAAAGATGGCTCCTCTGACCTCTAGGACACCCCACACCCCACTCTTTGATCCAGAGGTGTTGGAGCCTGTGAGGAAGGATGAGGTGGCAAGGTGAGAATTGAAAAGCGTGATAGCAGAGATGGGGAGTTCTGCAGAGGTGAACAAAGAATTCAGGAGATTCTGCAGAGGCAAAGAAAGAATCAGCAAACATGAAGATAGGGCCATAGGAGTGACCAAAAGCAAGGCACAAACAGGAACAGGGATTTTTAAAACAAGCACACAAAAAACCCAGAGCATGTAAGAGCTTTGGGAAATTATCGGACATGCTAACAGATGTGTAACTGGAATCCCAGAAGAAAAGAAAATCAGCAGAAGAAATATTTGAAGATATTGGGGGAACCTGCTCCCCATATTTCAACATAGGTTCTTTTTATTTCCCATAAGTGTCAGCCGGCTGAGAAATAAAGAGAAAGAGTACAAAGAGAGGAATTTTACAGCTGGGCCGCCAGGGGGTGACATCACATGTTGGTAGGACCGTGATGCCTGCCTGAGTCTCAGACCAGCAAGTTTTTATTTAGGGTTTCAAAAGGGGAGGAGGTGTAAAACAGAGAGTAGGTACAAAGATCACATGCTTCAAAGGGCAAAAAGCAGAACAAAGATCACATGCTTCTGAGGGAACAGGACAAAAGGCAAAACAGAACTACTGATAAGGATCTATGTTCAGCTGTGCACGTATTGTCTTGATAAACATCTTAAACAACAGAAAACAGGGTTCAAGAGCAGAGAACCAGTCTGACCACAAATTTACCAGGGTGGAGTTTTTCCCCACCCTAATAAGCCTGAGGGTACTGCAGGAGACCAGGGCGTATTTCAGTCCTTATCTCAACTGCATAAGACAGACACTCTCAGAGCGGCCGTTTATAGACCTCCCCCAGGAATGCATTCCTTTCCCAGGGTATTAATATTAATATTCCTGGCGAGGAAAAGAATTTAGCGGTATCTTCCCTACTTGCATGTCTGTTTATAGGCTCTCTGCAAGAAGAAAAATATGGCTCTTTTTGCCCAACCCCGCAGGCAGTCAGACCTTATGGTTGTCTTCCCTTGTTCCCTAAAAATCACTGTTATTCTGTTCTTTTTCAACGTGCACTGATTTCATATTGTTTAAACACACATGTTTTACAATCAATTTGTACAGTTAACACAATTATCACAGTGGTTCTGAGGTGACATACATCCTCAGCTTATGAAGAAAACAGGATTAAGAGATTAAAAGACAGGTATAAGAAATTATAAAAGTATTATTTGGGAACTGATAAATGCCCATATTAAAATGAAATCTTCACAATTTATGTTCCTCTGCCATGGCTCCAGCCGGTCCCTCTGTTCGGGATCCCTGACTTCCCACAACATGAAGAGTTAATGTCCAAGAATATTTAAAATTCATGGAAGACACCAAACCACAATCCAGAGAACACCCAGGAGGACAACCACTGCTAATAATACTAATAACCACAACAATAATAAACACTGGCTAGACCAAGCATAGTACAACTGCTGCTGGAAAAACAGAGAAAACAGGCACTGCAAACAGAGGAACAAAAAGAAAATCACAAACTTTGAATTAGAAACCATCCAAGACAGAAGATAATACAGCGACATTTTAAAGTATTTAAAACAACATGCCTTTAAAGCTAGAATTCTATTTCAGCAAAAATAATCTTTCAAAAATGAAAGGCAAATAGGAGACTTCAACTTCTGACCAAGATGAACTAACAAGAGCAAGATTAACCATCCCATGAGGAAAAAAAACCCAAAAGGAAAAACCAAAACATATGAAACATTTTCAAGATAGTGAGCATCAGGCAAGAAGGCCAGGGACCCAGAGAAATGGGCAACCAGAATTCGAAGCAAAGCAAACCCTAGAGATGTGAAGAGGGCCACACTTCCAAGCACATGTGGAACATTTTAAAAAACAATTCTGCAGTGTGGTGGCTCACGCCTGTAATCCCAGTACTTTGGGAGGCTGAGGCAGGTGAATCATGAGGTCAGGAGTTTGAAACCAGCCTGGCCAACATGGTGAAACCCCGTCTCTACTAAAAATAAAAAAAAATTAGCTAGGCATAGTGGCAGGTGCCTGTAATCCCAGTTATTCAGGAGGCTGAGGCAGGAGAATCACTTGAACCCAGGAGGTGGAGGTTGCAGTGAGCCAAGATTGTGCTACTGTACTCCATCCAGTTGACAGAGTGAGACTCCGTCTCAAAAAAAAAAAAAAAAAAAAAACCATTCTCCACTGGGCCATAAAGGAAGTCTCAGCAAATTCCAATGACTAATATCATACAGACCACATTCTCTGTCCACAATTCAATTAAGTTAGAATTTTTTAAAAAAAGAGATGTATTTTGAAACTGAAACACAATATAGAAGAACTCTTGAGTTGAATTAACAATCATCATGAAAATTTAAGAATATTTAGAACTTACTGTGTATGCATTCCTAAAAAATATAGCTTAATTTTGCCTAAAGAAACTTGCCTAATTTTATATAAATGTAATCATATTGAACTTATTATGTCTTGCTTATTTTGGCCAACATGTTTATAAAGTTTATCCACTTTGTTGCACATAGTTGTCTTTGTTTATTTCAATCAATTATCAAGTCAGGATTCTGATTACTTCTGAGACAGGAAGAAAGGAATTGTGATAGGAGCAGCACATGCGGGCTTATTTTGGGCTAAATTTCTATGGCTTTGGTAAATAAAAGGATTATTTGCCAGATTGATGATTAGATTGAAAATAAATCTAATTGCATTTAGGTGTCCTGACCACATTTTATTCAAGAGATTCACAGTGAAGTCTTTGCAATGTATACAATCATAATATAATGGAAAGGTACATATTTAAAGAACTTCCATTGTAAATTTCTGCAGTGACAGGTCCTTACTGGAAACTAGTAATCACCTCCTTATTTCTGCAATTTAAGAATCTAGAAGTCATGCAAGTTTGCTTGTACTTGTGGCCACTGTAGAGTCTTTTTTGTCTCTTTTTACTGTTTTTGACTTAAAGTCTGTTTTATCTGATTTATATATAGCTATTCCTTCTCACTCTTAGTCTCTGTTTGCATGAAATATCTTTCCATCTCTTTATTTTCAGTCCATGTGTATCTTTACAGGTGAGATGAGTTTCTTGTAGGCAGCATATGGTTGGGTCATTTAAAAAAAATCTATTCAGCCAATCTGTATCTTTTAATTGAAAAGTTTAATTTGCTTACATTCAAGGTTATTTTTGATACCTGAGAGCTTATTCCTGTCATTTTATAATTGATTACTGGCTGTTGTGGATACCTTTTGTTCCTTTCCTTCTCTTTTATTTTTTATTATTATTGTTTGCTGGTTTTCTGTAGTGGTAACATTTGAATCCTTTTGTTCCTTATGTATTTTCTCTACCAGTGGGTTTTATACTTTTGTGTGTTTTCATGATGGTAGATATCGTCCTTTCACTTCCAGGTTTAGGACTTCCTTAAGCATTTTTTTTATGGCTAGTCTAGTGATAATGAATTCTCTCAGTGTTTGCTTGTCAGAGAAAGACTTTATTTTTCCTCCATTTATGAAAGAGAACTTTGCTGAATCTAGTATCCTTGGTTGCCAAGTTTTTTTTTTCTTTTGGCACTTTGAATATATCATCCCATTCTCTCCTGGCCTATAAGGTTTCTGCTGAGAAATCTGCTGTTAGTCTAATGGGAATTCACTTATAAGTGACTAGACACTTTTGCTGTTTTCAGATTTCTCTCTTTGTCTTTGACTTTCACCCTGACCATAATGTGCTGTGGAGCAGACCTTTTTGAATTGTATCTATTTGGAGATCTCTGAGCTTCCTGTATCTGGATGTCTAAATCTTTGGCTAGATTTGGGAAGTTATCAGCTATTATTTTGTTAAATAGATTATCTTTCTGTTTCACTTCCTCTTTGCCTTCTGGAACACTGAAAATTCAAATATTTGGTCACTTTATAGTGTCCCATATGTCATATAGGCTTTATCCATTCTTTTTTTTTTCTTTTTGTATGACTGGGTTATTTCAAAAACTTATCTTCAAGTTCTGAAATTCTTCTGCTTGATCTAGTTTATGTTGATGCTTTCAAATGTATTTTGTATTTCATTCAATAAAGTCTTCAGTTCCAGTTTTATTTTTGTGTGTTGTTGTTATTTGTTTGTTTAGAGACAGGGTTTCGCCCTGTTGCCCAGGATGGAGTGCGGTGGTGTGATCATGGCTCATTGTAACCTTGTACTCCTGGGCTCTAGCAAGCCTCTTGCCTCACCTTCCCGAGTAGCTAGGGCTACAGGCATACATCATCATGACTGGCTAATTTTTTTTTGTTTTATGTAGAGACAAGATCTTGCTATGTTGCCCAGGCTGATCTTGAACTCCTGGCCTCAAGCCATCCTCCTGCCTTGTCCTCACAAAGGAATGGAATTACAGGTATGAGTCATCAGGCCTGGCCCAGAATTTCTGTTTGTTTGGTTTTTTTTTTTAATAATGTATATTTCTTTGATAAATTTTTCATTCATATCCTGAATTGTTTTTCTGATTTCTTTGTATTATTTATCTATGTTCTCTTATATCTCACTGAGCTTCTTTAATATCATTATTGTGAATTCTCTCTCCAGGATTTCATATATTTCTTTTTATTGAAATATGTTGCTGGAGAATTATTGTGTTCTTTGAAGGTGTCATATTTCCTTGCTTTTTCATGTTTCTCGTGTCCTTATGTTGACATCTGCACATCTGGTATAACAGTCACTTCTTCCAATTTTTTGAATTTGCTTTTGTAGGGATGGACTTTTTCCTGAAGATGTATTTATGGTTTGTTGAGTAGGCTGGGATAGGAAGTTTGGTTTTGATTCTGAGTACGTGCAGTAGTGAAGTCTCTGTATGGTTTCTTCAGCTGTAAACAGTGTCATTGGTGTCTCTGATTTCTTCAGTGGCTTAGGGTGTGGTTGTTAGTGGATGCTATGGTTAAGTTTTATTGGGGATGGAGATGCCAGGTTGGCCAGTCCTTGGGACCCAGTGGTGATAGTGATGGACCAAGTGTGTCTGTCCTTGGGCTTGGGTTGTGCATGCTGGCACTATTGTTAGCAGGTCCAGGTGGGCTGATTCTTGGTGTCCTCCAGGTGACTTGCTTGGGTGCCAGCAGTGGGAGAGGTAGGCTGGGCAGGTGGGCAGGTCTTTGGACCCCTTGGCAGTGAGCGTGGTGTTGGTGATGGCAGTAGCAGTGGTGGGACAACCCTCTGGCTCCCAAGTGGTCTGTGCTGCTATTGGCAGTGGCTGAGACAGGAGGGGTGGTTCAGTCCCCAGGCCTTCATGTGGTACATGCAAGAAGGGGTGGTAGTATGTGGTGGTGGTAGTGGGAGTTTGGGTGGGTCCATCCTCAGGCCCTGGGAAGAGTGCTCAGGTGGCAGTGATGGTGAATGGAGCAGGGCGATCCCCAGGC
Source organism: Homo sapiens (assembly GCF_000001405.40). Classification (NCBI taxonomy): domain Eukaryota; kingdom Metazoa; phylum Chordata; class Mammalia; order Primates; family Hominidae; genus Homo; species Homo sapiens. The sequence goes on from NC_000013.11 coordinate 111,076,259, forward strand.
CCCAGCACAGTGTTCTCAGGCACTATCGGAGAGTGGAGCTGGTATCTGCCCTCAGGCCCCCCGGTGGTGCATGTGGGCACTGGCTGTGGTAGGCAGGGACAGGGTGCTCCCCAATCCCCCTGCAGGATGCTAGTGTGGGGTTCGCAGCAGCTGCATTATGGCCCTGCTGCTGGGGAGGGCAGGGTTGCTTTCAGTGGCAGCAGCCCTTGACAAGCAGCTGGGCGTGCGGGCTTCAGCCCCAGGTGTGAGTGAGGTTGTGAGTGGGGAGTCTGTCCTCCTGGTGCTTGTAAATGCACAACAGCCCCGCTACTGGGGGTGGTGGAGTCAGTCACCAGGGCTTGCACTTTGACCCTGGTTGCAGCAAGCAGTAGGAGTGGTGGCCACAGATGGGGGATATCAGTGGGGCTCCAGGAATGTGGAGATACAGGAGCTGTTGGGCCCCCAGTCAGGATGCAGTTTGGTGGGGGCTGAGCTTCTTAAAACAGTGCTGTGCTGTAGCTGCTTATGGCTGTGAAGGTGGGGGGCGTAGGACCCAGCATGACCTTCCTCTCTGGAGCGGGGCAGTCACATGGTCTCTAGCCAGCTCCCTGTGTTAGTGTCATGGCCCAAGAGGGCTGAGAGCGTCTCCCATGCCTAGGATTGCAGGCGTCCATGGGGAGAATGTGGACTGCTGGGGCCTCTCACTTACCCTTTCCCTGCCTGGGGAAGCTCAGCAGAGCAGGCTGCCTCAGTCCCTCTACTCCCTTGCTTTTGGTGCTTCCCGTCACTTCTCTGTTGAATATCAGTGTTCTGGCTTGGGAGATCTATTCTAAGTGTGATTCTATACCCCCTCTTTTTGTTTATTCATGGAGGAGGCAAGTGCCGGGTGCCTCCAGTCAGCCATCTTGAAGCAGCTCTAGAACCTTCTTTAAAAGTCATACTTAAAAAATGTTAGAATGCCAGTGTGGCATTCTTTTTTTTTTTTTTTTTTTGAGACAGAGTCTCACTCTGTCACCCAGGCTTGTGTGCAGTGGCATGATCTCAGCTCGCCGCAACTTCTGTCTCTAGGGTTTAAGCAATTCTTCTGCCTCAGCCTCCTGAGTAGCTAGGACTACAGGCTTGCACCACCACGCCCTGCTAATTTTTTTGTATTTTTAGTAGAGATGGGGTTTCACAATGTTGGCCAAGCTGGTCTCGAACTCCTGACCTCAAATGATCCATCTGCTTCGGCTTTCCAAAGTGCTGGGATTACAGGCATGAGCCACTGCACCCGGCCCTGGCATGGAATTCTTGAACCTCATTTTTACAGACATCTGTTGATGGCATAGTAAAATGCAAGCACACTAAAGTAACTAAATGTAATGATTAAATCAAGTAATAAAACGTGTTTGTCTCTGGCATTTTAGAAACATCCCTACGTTCTGCAAAGAATCCCATTTTTTGTTGACTTTCTTAAGCCAAGGCACAACTCCCTCTGACTCCTCCCGAGTGTGAGCCCGTTCCATCTGCAGCCAACACTTCCGGAAAAAGAGAAGAGAGGGGAGAAACACCATCTCATTGTTGGCATGTGGTGTGACGAGCCAAGTGATGGCCCTTCCCACTCGGTCTTCAGCGCTGAGAGGAGCGTTTCTTCTCCCCAAGAAAACACATCCAGTGATTGACCTCAGCCACTTTATCCTGGGCTGACCATGGGATTAGGACCACAAAGAAAATATGATCAAGGGGTTATGACTCTTAGGCAAAAATAAAGATTCTATTTTATTGTTTTTAAATACAGACATTTTATTAAGAAGTTAAACATTCTATAAATTTCAATCTCACTAACGGATATTAGAAATTTTTAGTTATTAAAGTACTCATGAGATGTTTTAAAATTAAGCATCTATCTTGATAAATGAACTCTAAGTAATACCATCTAAATGCATGGACTTGGGTTTTGGGGGTGAATGCTGGAGCAGTTTGCAAACTTGCAGCTATACAGTGTATCGATTACAGGCATTTTATAGCCACAAACTCAGGTGTGCCAAGATGAAACTTCACTTTTTCATGATTTTTAAATGCTATTGGAGACAAGGTTTCTGTCGCCCAGGCTGAAGTGCAGTGGTGTGATCATAGCACAGTGTACACTTAAACTCCTGGGCTCCTGGGCTCAAGAGATCCTCCCACCGCAGCCTCCCAAGTAGCTGAGACCACAAATGTGAGCCACTAAACCCAGCTAATTTTAAAAAAATTTTGTTTGTAGGGACAAGGGTCTCACTATGTTGCCCAGGCTGGTCTCAAACTCCTGGGCTCAAGTGATCTTCCCACCTTGGCCTCCCAAAATGCATATATTTAAGTTACAGATAATTAGGATACAGAGGAGCCAACAGTCACCATGCAGGTAAAGAGGAGTAAGTCACCAATGCATGGAGCTCCCCATGTGCCCCTCCCTGACCCCATCGCTGCCTTCCTGACCTCACCAGGAGTAACCCTACCCCAAACTGTGGGTTTGTTATTCTCTTCCTTTTTATTTGAGCTTTATTAATATATCTGAAATGCTAACCAGTATATTGTTTATTTTTCCCTAATTTTACCCTACATATAACTGGAATTGTATTGTATTTTTTCAGTGACTTGGTTGTTTCTGCTCATGCCTGAGATTTATACATTCTGCTGGTAGAACTGTGCAGTATTCACATTTCACTGCTTTGCAGTACTCCAGTGTGTGGATATATCACAATTCTTCTAAAATCCGTTCTTTCATATTTTTATCTTGAAAAAATTTCAAAACTAGAGAAAAGTTGAAAGAATTGCACAATGAGCACCATATGCCTTTCACCAAGTTTCCCAAGTCAGTAACATGTTGGCGCATTTGCCTTCTCTCTCTTCAGTAATTTTCTTCTCCCTGAACCACGTGAAATTCTTTGTAGACATCATTACATTTCGCCCCTACATATTTCAGGGATACATTTTCTATGAATGGGGATATTCTCCTACAGAAACACAATGTCATTATTATACACAAGAAAACTAACTTCAACTCAATAATATTATCTAATAGGCAGTCCATGTTCAAATTTTTTGAGCTGTCTGAAAAATGCCTTTATATGGCTGTTTTTCAATTCCGGAGCCACTGAGGACTCCCTCATTGAATGTTGGGTTTGCCTTTCTCAAGTGAGCTCTAAATCCCTCAGGAATTTTATTTTTCGGTTGTGGAATGAAGTAGGGGTTGCATTTTGATTTTTTTCCACATGGACAACCAAGGCCATCACCATCTGCTGAACAGGCCACCGCCCTCTCTGGCCTGGAGTGCCTCATTCACATCAGGGGCCCATCCGCGAGTGTGAGCTGAGACCCCACCAGTCCCCCGGCCTGCGCGGCTGCAATCACACCAGTGCTGCTGTGCTAACCGCTGCAGCTTCACACTCATTCCCCACAGCCCTGGAGGCAAGCGCCCCGCCCTGCCCTCCCTCCCGCACGTCCTGGCTGCTTTCCCCCCTTTCCTTTTCCACCTGACTTTTGGAATCAATTTGCCAACTGGGATTCTTAGTAGAATTACTTTGAATATGTGGATCAATTTGGGGAAAATTATACTTTTATGGCAGGGTATATCTCCATTTAAGCCTTCTTTAATGTCAGCTCATTTTATAGGTTATTCTCCAGAACATTCTTGTACATCTCTTCTTTACATTTAGTCCTAAGTATTTTTTTTTTCTTTTTTGAGATGCAGTCTTGCTCTGTCACCCAGGCTGGAGTACAATGGCACGATCTTGGCTCACTGCAGCCTCTGCCTCCAGGTTTCAAATGACTCTCCTGCCTCAGCCTCCCAAGTAGCTGGAATTACAGGCACCCACCACCAAGCCCAGCTAATTTTTGTATTTTTAGTAGAGACAGGGTTTCACCATGTTGGCCAGGCTGGTCTCAAACTCCTGACCTCAAGTGAACCACCTGCCTCGGCCTCCCAAAGTGCTGGGATTACAGATATGAGCCACTGCGCCCGGCGGTCCTAAGTATCTTTTATCACAATGTAGCTATCTATACCTTTTGATTACACTTAAATCTTTGTTACTGGAATATACGAATAAAATCGACTTTCCTTATGTGATTTTCTATTCAGCAACCTTAGACATTTTATTTACTTTGTTCAGTTATTCCTAGTTTTTTGGGTGGCAGAGAGTTTTTTGAGGGATGGGGAACACTTTTCAAGGTGTTTCGTGTAGATAATCATATCATTTGTAAATGAAACAATTTTATTTATTTCTTTAAAATCTTATGCTTTCTATTTCTTTTTATTTTTGCCTTTTATAATTGGCTATAATCTCTTATATATTGTTGAATAGAATTGGAGACAATGGATATTTCATCGCCCCGTAAATGGGGAAATTTCCACTTTTTTCACAGATATGCATGATTTTGCTGTAGAGTCTTGGTAGATATCTCCTGTGGTTTGAATGTGTCCCCTCCAAAATTCAGCTGTTACCAATATGGTGATACCAAGAAGCAGACCTTTGAGAAGAGATTAGGCCATGAGAATTCCTTCCTCCTGGAAGGGATTAAAACTCTTGAAAAGGAGGCTTCACTCAGCGATTGGCCCCTTGGCCTTGTTCCTCCTGCCCTGCAAGGACACAGCGTTCCTCCTCTCCGGAGAATGCACCCCTCCCCAACACCAAATTCCAGCACCTTGATCATGGATTCGCAGCCTCCAGAGCTGTGAGAAATACATTATCATTCTTTGTAAATGGCCTAGTCTGAGGTGTTCTGTGATAGCAACCACAAGCTGAGGGAGATAATACCCTTTCACATGCTAAGGGAGATTCTTTCCGCTCATAATTTGCAGAGTTCTTATGATGAAAGTTGAATGCTAATGATTTATTTTTCCACCCACTGAAGTTTGTCCTATTAAACTGACCAGGAACTCAAGGGATAAACCTGAATATTTGTGTTTGCTATTTTTGTATACATTGATTTGCAAATGATTTCTGTACAGTTTTGATGCTCACGTTTGGGAGTGACATGGGCCTGCAAATTTCCCTTCTCATACAGTCCTTGCTGGGTGCAGATGCCAAAGTGATGCTAGATCAATCATACGAGTGGGGAGTGTTCCCGTTTTGCACAAGTCCAAGGAGGCCAGACTGCAGAAGTGCAAATCTTGCCACAGACAACTTTCTGTGAGACAGACACATTCCCCCACTCCCTGTGTGAAATGGTCATCTTAATGCCCCTTGATAGTCAGGATCAATCACCCCGGTCATAACAAGAACCCTCTTCTTTCCCATAAGTTCGTTGGCACGAGGAGGCCAAAGTGACCAGGGGCCAGCATCCTCCAATGCCATAACACATGCATGTGTGTCCTCCAGTACAGGATGGGCGTGTCTTCCTTCTGTGACTGGGAACTAAGACCCCAAGTAGCTGGGATTACAAGTATGCACCACCACGCCTGGCTAATTTTGTATTTTTAGTAGAGATGGAGTTTCTCCATGTTGATCAGGCTGGTCTCGAACTCCCGAACTCAGGTGATCCACCCGCCTCGGCCTCCCAAACTGCTGGGATTACAGGTATGAGCCACTATGCCCAGCCCACAAAGGTGTCTTTCCAGTGAGGACAGATCACTGCCCATTCCCTTGTGGACCAGTGTAATCAGGCGGCCACCCAGTCCTCCTAGGGCATGGTGCCCCACAGCATCTGGGCATGAGGCTTCGGTATTGACAGGTAGCCCCCTCCACAGGGGCTGCAGCCAGATGGGCCTTGATGAAGGAAGGCTTGTGGCATTGAGCTGGTGCATAACCACCATCCCTGCTACCACAGGCCTTCTTTTTTGTGAGCCCACTCAACAAGGACCCAGGGGCTAAAGAGAGAGGCTGACACCCACAACATGGATTGCCATGTCCACCTCACCATTGGGCACCTGCCTACTATGGTTGGCTTGGCCTTGGAGACCCTTCCCATGGGACACACATATCTCTTTAACACACCCATTCCATTCTGGAAGTCACCTGCAGTACCTTTATCTTAGACTTCCCTGTCCTCAAAGTCCCAATCTTACTCCTTTCCAGTTCCCAGAATCCACATCAGTCCATATCTCTGCATCTCTCTCTTCCCAGAAGAAGTGAAAAACTAGGTGCACTGCTCCCAAGTATTTCCACAGAGAAGAAAAGCTCCCCCAGCGTCCTCCTGGCTGCCCTGAATGAAGCTGTCCTAATGCTGCAGGCATCCACTTGCGGGGGGTGTCATCTGGCAGCATTGCTGGTTTCCCTGGAGCAGTGTGAGACTTCATGCCCAAATGTGGTATATTGTGTTCCCAGCATCCAGAGAAGCCTGCTGGGCTTCATGCCTCTTCTTGGCGTCAGAACGGACAAGATGTAGCAACCCTTTCTTCACCTTTTGTAGGGTGCCCCAGACCACTGGACCCTTACAAAGTTCATCAGTATCACAGGTCTCTGAAATTTTCGTGGAGTTTATTTCACTTACTCTGGTATGAATGAACATTACCAGTTGGTTTAATGCATTTACTATTTTCTGCTCAAAAGACCCACTCAGTGAGGCCATCAATATAGAGGATCAGCTTGATGTCTTTCAAAACAATGAAGGGCCCCGAGATTAGGTTATGGCCAAGCTAGACAGCTGCCATGGCGCTGAGTGCAAGTGAAGATGCAGTAGTGCTCCTGCTGGGTAAGTAAATAGCTGCCAGAGACCATTTCTAATGTGTGTTAGGAAAAAGGCGGCGGGGCACAGTGGTTCACGCCTGTAATCCCAGCACTTTGGGAGGCTGAAGCAGGAGGATCGCTTGAGTCCAGGAATTCAAGACCAGCCGGAGACCCTATTGTGTCCGGAATTGGTGGGTTCTTGGTCTCACTGACTTCAAGAATGAAGCCGCGAACCCTCGCAGTGTTACAGCTCTTAAGGTGGCGCGTCTGGAGTCTGTCCCTTCTGATGCTCAGATGTGTTCGGAGTTTTTGACTTCTGGTGGGTTCGTGGTCTCGCTGGCTCAGGAGTGAAGCTGCAGACCTTCGCAGTGAGTGTTACAGCTCTTAAGGCAGCGCGTCTGGAGTTGTTCGTTCCTCCCGGTGGGCTCATGGTCTCGGTGGGCTCATGGTCTCGCTGGGCTCAGGAGTGAAGCTGCAAATCTTCGGGGTGAGTGTTACAGCTCATAAAAGCAGCGTGGACCCAAAGAGTGAGCAGTAGCAAGATTTATTGCAAACAGCGAAAGAACAAAGCTTCCACAAAGTGGAAGAGGACCCGAGCGGGTTGCCAATGCTGGCTCGGGCAGCCTGCTTTTATTCTCTTATCTGGCCCCACCCACATCCTGCTGATTGGTAGAGCCCAGTGGCCTGTTTTGTCAGGGTGCTGATTGGTGTGTTTACAATCCCTGAGCTAGATACAAAGGTTCTCCACGTCCCTGTCAGATTAGTTAGATACAGTTTCCACACACTGGTTCTCCAAGGCCCCACCAGAGCAGCTAGATACAGAGTGTCGATTGGTGCACTCACAAACCCTGAGCTAAACACAGGGTGCTGATTGGTGTGTTTACAATCCCTGAGCTAGATATAAAGACTCTCCACGTCCCCAACAGACTCAGGAGCCCAGCTGGCTTCACCTAGTGGGTCCCGCACCGGGGCTGCAGGTGGAGCTGCCTGCCAGTCCTGCGCCGTGCGCTCGCATTCCTCAGCCCTTGGGTGGTCGTTGGGACTGGGCGCCGTGGAGCAGGGGGTGGCGCTCGTCGGGGAGGCTCGGGCCGCACAGGAGCCCACGGAGGGGGTGGGAGGCTCAGGCATGGCGGGCTGCAGGTCCCGAGCCCTGCCCCGCGGGAAGGCAGCTAAGGCTCGGTGAGAAATCGAGCGCAGCGCCGGTGGGCTGGCACTGCTGGGGGACCCAGTACACCCTCCGCAGCCACTGGCCCGGGTGCTAAGTCCCCCATTGCCCGGGGCCAGCAGGGCTGGCTGGCTGCTCCGAGTGCGGGGCCCGCCAAGCCCACGCCCACCCGGAACTCCAGCTGGCCCGCAAGCGCCGCACGCAGCCCGGGTTCCCGCTCGCGCCTCTCCCTCCACACCTCCCTGCAAGCTGAGGGAGTTGGCTCCGGCCTTGGCCAGCCCAGAAAGGGGCTCCCACAGTGCAGTGGTGGGCTGAAGGGCTCCTCAAATGCCACAAAGTGGGAGCCCAGGCAGGGGAGGTGCCGAGAGCAAGCGAGGGCTCTGAGGACTGCCAGCATGCTGTCACCTCTCACTATCTCTACAAAAAAAGAAAAAGAGAAAAAAGAAAAAAATTAGCCAGGCATGGTAGCCTGCACCTGTGGTCCCAGCTACTCAAGAGGCTAAGGTGGGAGGATTGCTTGAGCCAGGGAGGTCAAGGCTTCAGTCAGCTGTGATTGCACCACTGCACTCCAGCCCGGGTGACAGAGCAAGACCCTGTCTCAAAAAGAAAAGAAAAGAAAAAGAAATTTGCAAGATCAATAGCTGCCTACTACGGTCTGTGTTTATATGCTTGAAGAAAGAGACTGTATCTGGAACATTAGGTACCTTTGGGTCAACAGATTATCAATTCAAAATGATCCACTGTCATTTTCTAAGATTCATCTGTCTTTGGCTCAGTCCAGGTAGAAGTGATTAAGGATGTGCTAGGAATCACAGCCCAAGCATACATCAGAGCTTCGATGATGGCATTCATCTTTGACATTCCTGAAGGAATGTGGCATTGTTTTCCTTATTGTTGAAATTCAGGTATAGTTCCCATATAGCAAAGTTCAGCTTTTGTAGTCTAGTCTGAGAATTTTGGCATACGCATACAGGCATTTAGCCATCACTGACATCAAGACATAGGGCAGGCCTCTATAGCCTCTATAGCCTGGTGCCTCTGTAGCTGACCCCTCCCCTCCCTTAGCTCCCCAACACACCTCTGGTTTCTGTTCATATTTTTTTCTCTGTCATATAAATGGAATCATATGGCATGCACTGCTTTTTTGGGGTGAGAGGGGGATCTGGCTTCTATTATTCAGCAAAATGCATTTGAGATTCATGGTTTTGACGTATCAATACTTCGTTATTTCTCATTGCTGGCTAGTATTCCCTTGTAAGGGAAAAACCAAAATTTGTTTATTAGTTCACCAGTTGAAAGGCATTTGGGTTATTTCCAGGTAGGGGTGATTAAAAGCCACTATAAACATTCATGTATGCAGGTAGGCATGGTGGATTATGCCTGTAATCCCAGCACTTTTGGAGGCTGAGGTGGGAGGATGGCTTGAAGCCAGGAGTTCCAAGACCAACCTGAGCAACTTAGCAGGACCCCAACTCTACAAAAATTAAAAAAATTATCTGGGCATAGTTGTGCGTACCTGTAGCCCTAGCTAGCTACCCGGGAGGCTGAGGCAGGAGGATCACTTAAGCGCAAGAGTTTAAAGCCACAGTGAGCTATGGTGGTACCAATGCACTACAGCCTGGGTGACAGAGCAAAAGCCTGTTTCTAAAAAAATAAAAATAAAACAAAAGTAAACCAAAAAACCATTTAGGTATGGGTTTTGTGTAGACTTATATTCATTTCACTGTAAATATACCTATGAGTGAGTTATCTGGGGCTTTCGGGGAATGTATGTTTAACTTTGGAAAAAACTGCCTAAGTGGTTTCCAAAGTGGCAGCACTGTTTTGCATCCCCACCAGCAGCATTTGAGAGCGCCAGTGCACCCAACCCTGCTCAGCACTGACACCGTCTTTTTCAAGCCATTCGTACTCATCACTCATTGTGTTTTCTAATTGACAGCTCATGGTGGGTTTTTTGTGCCAGGTTTGTCGATACGTAATCCATATATGATAGAAGTCACCCTTTTAAAGTACAGGCATATCTCTGTTGTTTTACTGTGCTTCGCATATATCGTGGGGCTTTTGTTCAAAATAATTTCGACTTTTACTTTAGACTCAGGGTACATGTGCAGGTTTATTACATGGGTATATTGTGTGTTGTTGAGGTTTGAGGTATGATTTTTACTGTCACTCAGTGATATGGTTTTGCTGTGTCTTCCCAAATCTCACCTTGAGTGGTAATAACCCCACATGTCAAGGGTGAGGCCAGGTGGAGATAATTGAATCACGGGGGTGGTTTACCCCATACTGTTCTCATCTTAGTGAATAAGTCTCAAGAGATCTGATCGGATGGTTTTACAAATGAGAGTTCCCCTGCACAAGCCCTCTTGCCTGCTGCCATGTAATACATGACTGTGCTCCCCATTCACTTTCCACCATGATTGTGAGGCCTCTCCAGCCAGGTGGAACTGTGAGTCAATTAAACCACTTTATAAATTATCCAGTCTCTGGGATGTTTTTATTAGCAGCGTGAGAACAGACTAATACACCCAGGTAGTAAGAACAGTACACAACAGGTAGTTTTTCAGCACTTGTCTCCCTCCCTTCCTCCCCACCTCTAGTAGTCCCCAGTATCCATTGTTCCTTTCTTTTTTCTTTTTTTTTTTTGAGATGGAGTCTCACTCTGTCGCCCAGGCTGGAGTCCAATGGCACGATCTCAGCTCACTGCAGCCTCCACCTCCCAGGTTCAAGCAATTCTCCCGCCTCAGCCTCCTGAGTAGCTGGGATTACAGGTTCCTGCTACCACACCCAGCTAATTTTTGTATTTTTAGTAGAGACGGGATTTCGCCATGTTGGCCAGGATGGTCTCAAACTCCTGACCTCTTAGTCTGCCCGCCTCAGCCTCCCAAAGTGCTGGGATTACAGGCGTGAGCCACCACACCTGGCCCATTGTTCCTTTCTTTGTGTTCACATGTACCAATGTTTAGCTCTTACTTACAAGTGAGAACACATGGTATTTGGTTTTCTGTTCCTGTGTGAATTTGCTTAGGATAACGGCCTTCAGCTGCACTCATGTTGCTACAAAGGACATAATTTCATTCTATTTTATGGCTGCATCATTGAGGTTTTAGCATGCACTTCCCTTATGACTCTCGATATTGAATACATGCTTATTTGCCACCCACATATCTTCTTTAGTGAAGTGTTTGTTCAAACATTTTGCCCATTTAAAAAAATGGAGTGCTTTTTTGTCATTGATTTTGTAGCGTTCTTTACGTATTCTGGATACAAGTCCTTTATCAAGTGTATAGTTTGCAAATAATAACTCCCAGTGTGTGGCTTGTCTTTTCATTCTCTTACCAGTGTCTTTCAAAGAACAAAGTTTCTAATTTTTCTAAAGGATAATTTATTAATTTTTTCTTTTATTATATTAGTAAGGCTTTTGGTGCCATATCTAAGTAATCTTCACCTAAACCCAAGATCACACAGATTATTTCCCCCAAAGTTTTCTCTGAAAAGTTTTACAGTTTCAGGTTTTCCACTTAGGCCTGTGATCATTTTGAGTTGATGTTTTCATGTAGTATGAGAATATCTCCTCATTAATTTAGGTTTTCTTTTATCCCTTCCATGTTTTATCACTGTTTTGTCATTTTTTTAGCACACAGATCTTACACATATTTTGTAAAATTTATATGTAATGTATTTCATGTATATTTTATCCCCCTAAGTATTTCACAGTTTTTGGTGCTATGATAAATAGCCTTATTTTTTAAGTCTCAATTTCCAATTATTCGTTGGTAGATATAGAAATATAGCTAATGTTTTTGTATTGACCTTTTGTTTGGTATTCTAGCTAAACTCATGTATGAGTTGAAGAGCTGCAAAAGTTGTCAGGATCAAAATGGAGTCACTTGTGTAAAAAAAACCCTGACAAACACAGTTGAGGAAGGCCATGAAGAGAAGGTTCATGCATAAATGACTAATAACAAAAACTATCACAAAAGATTCTACGAAAAACACGACCTTGCACAAAGGCCATCACAACCTTATACAAAAAAAATACTTCTGTGAGGACATCTGTCCAGCAACTGCCTATTCAATCTTGGACTGGAGTCATCCTGTATCCTTACAGCCAAGAACAATAGTCTCAAAACAATTCTGTAGAGCTGAGCACGGTGGCTGCCTATAGTCCCAGCTACTTGGGAGGCTGAGGTGGGAGGATCACTGGAGCCTAGCGGGTCGAGGCTCCGGTGAGCTGTGATTAGGTCACTGCACTCCATCCTGTGCCACAGGGTGAGACTTTGTCTTTAAAAATAAAATAAAATGATGTAACCTTCCTCATTTTTTTCCTTTAAAAATCTTTGTCTTCCTTTACCTCCTTAAATATGCACATAGTTTACTATGATAAGCACACTTACTCCTATTGCAATGTCTATTCCCTAAGAAATATAATTTTCTTTTAAAGAGCCTCTTTATGACAGAGCTTTTTTGGGGACGGGGAGATGGTGGCAAATTTTGTTGGTTTATCTATGCAAACGTCATCTGCAAGTAGAGAGAGTTTTAGTTTTTCTTCCCAATCTATATGCCTTTTATTTCTTTTTCTTTCTTATTCACTGGCTAGGACATCTAGTACTATATATATATATATTTTTTTTTTTAAAGCAACAATAGTCTTTATTTTAGCCTGTATGCCTTTTTTCATTCGGGAAGATACATTTATAATGCTAAAAACAGATAAGTGATATTGGTTGTAACTGGTGTATTCTAGTACATCAGTTGCTTTCAACATTTTCAGATTGTTACATGTTTTCATATTTTTATTCCACATTTATCCTTTATTCTGACTATAGTGAACTATCGCAAGAACAAAAAACCAAACACCGCATGTTCTCACTTATAGGTGGGAATTGAACAATGAGAACACATGGACACAGGAAGGGGAACATCACACACTGGGACCTGTAGTGGGGTGGGGGAAGGCGGGAAGGATAGCATTAGGAGATATACCTAGTGTTAAATGACGAGTTAATGGGTGCAGCACACCAACATGGCACATGTATACATATGTAACTAACCTGCACATTGTGCACATGTACCCTAAAACTTAAAGTATAATTTAAAAAAAAGAACACTTGAGAAAAATCTCAATTTATAATTAAAAAGTTTAAATATTTTTATATATGTATGCAATGAGAAACACTGGAAGAAAACATGCCAAAATCATATCAGTAATTATTCTTGGGGTTTGGGTCATAAATATATATTTTCATCCAGTACTATATTAAAAGAAGTGTTTGTCCTTGACCTTAGGGAAAAAGCAGTTCATTTTTCACCATTCAGTATGACATCAGGTGTAGGTTTGTAGGTAGAAATTCTTTCTTGGATTTAGGAATTACCTTCTAGTTTGTTGAGAGATGGAACGATGAAATTTTGTCAAGTGATTTTCTGTGTCTATTGAGATGGTCGTATGGGTTTTCTCCTTTAGTCTGTTGGTAGAATGGATTGAATGGTTTGATTTTCAAATGCTAAACAGGCCTTGCATTGCAAGCTTTGTGTGAACATAGAAAACAAACTTGGTCATGACATATTGTGGTTTTTTCATATTGCTGGATCTGATTTGCTAATATTTTGGTGATCTATGTTCAGGAAAGGGTATTGGTTTGAAGTTTTCCTTTACTGTAATGTCTTGGTGTGACCTTGGTACCAGGGTAATGGTAGCTTGATATACAATGAGTTGGGAAGTGTTTTCTCCTCTTCCCATATTCTGGAAGAGTGTGTTTAAAAGTGGCATTATTTTTTAAACATTTGCTAGAATTCATCATTGAAACTATCTGGGCCTGAAGTTTTTTTGTTTTGTTTTGTTTTTTGAAAGGCTTTTAATTAGGGATTTAATTTATTTAATGAATATAGGGCTACTCATTGTTTCTTCTAGAATGGGTTTTGTTCATTTGAGTCTTTCAAGTAATTTGTCCATTTAATCTGTTATTTTTGGCACATAACTCCTGTGTTGCTGTTTCTTTCTGTGAACAAGGCTTCTCAGCACTTACATTGATAAAAATTTTAAAAGGGACAAAATTGGTGATTGTAATGTTGCTCAGTGGTCATTTTGGGCTCCAGTAGACATCTAGACTGGTCAGGTGGGCAGCCTTTCCCTCTGGAGGGGGGCACATCTGTTGAGGACTTTGGAGCCCTGTGAGCCTCAGAGATGCTAAGGCAGAGCCTCTCAAGACACACAGGGTGCAGCAGGCTGGGTGGGTGGCTCCCTGCACTGCAGCCTCCGGCATTCACACCTTCCCAATTCAGATGAAGGGAACCAACCAGTGCCACTTTCATCACGGACAACATCACCTCGCGACGACACGGCTGACACACACCTGGATACAGCTTTCAGGGGACAGAGCTGGGGAGTCAGCCCAAGGTCAGGTTTCTGTGGTGAAGAAAAAACTTTAACATAAAAGCTGAACTTTGTTTCACGTCAGCTGTCAGAAATATTTACCCATGGACATATGAACTAATTGAAAAGTAAAAAAGCCCTATCCATCTCATTTTTATTTTTAATACTGTTATAAAATTGGTATGCTACATTGTTTTTATCAGTCAGGAACTGATAAAAATTATAATGATAACAATCTAAAAGAAATGTTTTTGACACTTGGAACTTTATGATCACATTTTAAAAGATATATATTTCTACTTATATATGCATTTTGGCTGCAAAGTATGCTAGACTGATTAATAAAAGTCCTGCAGGTATAAAAGTATATTACATTATGATAAATTTGATGGAGAAAATTAGAAATACAATTTTGGGAAAAAAGGTAAAACGTAAAGTTCAAACTTTTAAAGAACTTGGTGCATTTTAAAATGGATAATGGTGGGGATAAAATTTTTATAGTACAAAAATTCAATACAGTTAAAAGATTGATACATTAATGTTTATAATACACTGAAAGTTAAATCCTTTGCAACTATTTTCACTTATGATGAAATCCTTTAGATGTCAATTTAAAAACTGAAAAGCTATAGTAGTTTTCCATTAGTAAAAATATGAGAGAAAGCTGGGTGTGGTGGCGCACACCTATCCCTGCTACCAGGGAGAATGAGGAAGGAAGATTCCTTGAATCCAGGAGCTTGTGGCCAGCCTAGGCAACATAGCAAGACCTCATCTCTAAGCGCACACACACACACACACACACACACACACACACACACACGGGAAGCACTGCTCTAAGGTCCAGCTTTCATGAGTTTAGTGGTTGTATTTGGGGATGTAACTTGAGTCACCCAGCTAAATATAAGTGCTCCATTTATTCACTGATAACTACCCTGGGCGGCTCTCAGCCTCAGCAAGGTGGCAATGGGCCTGTGTTGACGCTTCTGTTGTTTTTTTAGTAGTAAATTACAGCAAGGTTTTAATACGTTAGCTGGAGGGCAGAACATTAAAAATTATTGAGATGTAAAATATACAGGCATGCCAAAAATAATTGTAAACTGTCAACATAAATAAATTAAAAGTCATATTTTGTGAATCTGCATTTTGGACACGGGTTGCTAGTAAGTTTCTGATATAAAAACCTGTGTACACATCTTAACTTTGCTATATCCTTGTTACGAAAATTGTCCACAAAGCTTGAGCATTTTCTATGTAACAGTAGCATCACGGAATTGACGAGTAAGCCCTCCCAACACTTTTATCCATTCTGTCAGCTTGTCCAGAATGCCGCGGTAATTGTGATATGTGGAATAGAAGAAGAAGTTGATATGTCTGAAAATTGATTTCATCGTGCCTGGGCTTGCCCCGCTCTGCGTCTGCCACCGCACTTTCCCTGAAGCCCTCATCGCCACTGGCCGCTGGCCCTCTGAAATTGCCAGCCTAGAGGTAGGAGAGTGAGAGGCTGCCCCTCTCAGTTCATGGCTACAGATGCTGTGGTCGACTGGAATCAGGGAGAGGCCCATGCCAAGGAAAGAGCTGATCCCTGTCTTGATCTCATTTTTGATCCCTAGCCACAAACATTAGGTTTGGCTTGTAGTTGACCCACAAAAGCCAGGTAAATGAGTTTGTTGGGAGGAGGAACAGGAGGAGGTGGGATGTTTTCAGCCTGAGGTGGGGCAGAGTGTCAGGTGGCATGCTGTTGGGAAGCAGTGTCTCCGAGAGGGTGTCCCCCTAATTCATAGGTTGAAGCCACAACCCCCAGTGTGACTGTATTTGAAAATGGGACTTTTAGGAGGTAATTAAGGTTAAATGAGGTTATAAATGTGGGGTCTTAATTCTATGGGCTTGGTTGCCTTGTAAGAAGAGGCAGAGAGAGAGAGACAGATAGAGAGAAAGTTCCCTCTCTCTTCCTCATCTTATAAGAGGACCGATCTCTCTCTCTCCGTTCCTCTCTCCCCCTCCAGCCCCACCTGCCCCCTCTGTGAGGACACAGTGAGAAGGTGGCTGTCTGCACCTAGGAATAAGCCCTCACCAAAACCCCACCATGCAGACACCCAGATCTAGGACTTCCAGCCTCCACAACTGCGTGAAGTAAATGTGTGTTGTTTAAGGCCATGGTATTTGACTAAGACAGGTGGTAACTTATTTGCAGAAACGTTGTTTCAAAGCCTAGACCTGAATTTTTCAGGACCAGGAGCTACAACCTGGTACTGTGTAGGAAGGTGACGCAAGTGAACCAAACCTCCAACGGACTGATGTATAAATCAGATCGCCAGTTATGAACTAAGTACAGGGGTCTTGGGGACCAGCCAGTGAGGTCTCTTGCCAGCACAGTGACCACCCCTTGCATCAGCACAGGTGTTGCCTCAAGCATTTCTGCAGCACAACGAGTGGTACCTGCATGGGCCCCAGTGGGTGTCAGCAGGCTTTGAGGGCATCAGGTGCCCCCACTCCCATGGGCTGGCCAAGTGGATGGTGGTCTGTGAGCCTGGACATGTCTTCCCCGACCAGTCCTGGCGTCCAAGACGGGTTTTTGCACCTTGCCTCCATTTCCTGCTTCATGCTGACTTCTCCATTTGGTCAGGATGTTCTTTCTACAGAAAAGAGTCTCCAGTTTATTAATAAGCTGCCCTCAATGGGATGAAAACAGAACGTTACTTTATTCTTTCTCTCCAAAGCCCCTTTAAACAGATCTGTCCACTCTTTCTCCGCAGGCGTCCCAGAAACGCTCGGAACAGATCTAGGGCACAAGCCTTGGCCTTCCTGGTCGCTGTCAGGTATGCGCCAAGCATCACAGCGTTTGGGTATGAAACCGCCCAGTCACCCGATGTGAAACCCCCACGACTCCTCTCTCCTCCCCCGCCAGGCTCCGACCTTGACTCCGGACTGACGCAGTGGGGAGGGGGTGCGGCGTGACTGGCCTCTTCAGCCCCATCTTCCACCTCCCCCAGCACACGCCGCCTCTGGCTCCCCCATGGAGGGAGAGGAGGGGAGAGAGGTGAAGGCAGGAAGGTTCTCCCCTGCCGTAGAGTTGGCACCTCGGGCCAGTGCAGAGCTTCTGCAGGTTCTCCTGAGACGTCCCTGCAGGGATCTCCAGGTTGTAGTTCCCTGATGAGGACGGAGCCTCCTCCAAGTAGCCCTGAATGCCCCTGAACCCCTGGGCATCAGGGATGCCCCTACTCTCTTTCTGGAGTTGCTGCATCTCTCCCGATATCCGTTTCAGGAGGACCCGGGTCTGGATCCCTCTTACAGGGTCCACGTCCAGCCCCAGGGAGACATGAGCACACCTCATCCCACCATACTCCTAAGGCAGCCTCATGTCTCCCTGCTACCTGTCCCTGCGCCCCCTGCAGATCTGGGGGATGGCATGATGCTCTGAGGGGTCCCTCAAGCCCCTCTCTTGGCTTGGCGGAGTGAAGCACCCCCTCCTGGTGAGAAGGGAGAGAGCCACAGCGCACCTGCCCTGCCGACCTTGCTCCCCTGACTGTCCCAGCCCCCATGTCGCCTGGAGGTGGGGAAGGAGGGAAGGCTGGCAGACCCTTCTCATGGGGGCACCTCAGCACCTTATTTTAGAATGTGGGGTCCCTGAGCACTTGTTTTTATTCATATAACTCAAGGCAGGAAGAGAGTCCTTTAACCCTGTATGCATGCAGAAAAAGGGTATGGAAGGATAAAGAAAAAAATCTTAGCAGCCATTCTTTCTGGGGAGAAGAGAAGGAAGGGAGGTTTTTAATTGTGCATCTGATTCCTCAGCATGGTTTGAGTCTCTTGCTCTGTGCTTCATGGCATTCTGATCAATTGGAGCAGTTGTGACTGGATAGACTGCTAGCTGATCAATTAGTACAGTCATGATTGGATAGACTGCTAGCTGGTCAATTAGAGCATCCATGACTGCATAGACTGTTAGCTGATCAATTAGCACAGTCGTGACTGGATAGACTGTTTGCTGATCAATTAGTGCAGTTGTGACTGGATAGACTGTTAGCTGATCATTTAGACCAGTCGTGATTGCAAAGACTGCTAGCTGATCAATTAGCACAGTTGTGACCGGACAGACTGTTAGCTGATCAACTGGAGCAGTCGTGACTGGATAGACTGTTAGCTGATCAATTGGAACAGTCCTGATTGCATAGACTGCTAGCTGATCAATTAGGGCAGTCATGACCGGATAGACTGTTAGCTGATCAATTAGTGTAGTTGTGATTGCGTAGACTGCTAGCTGATCAACTAGCACAATCGTGACTGCATAGACTGTTAGCACTCTGCACAGCTCCTGGTCCTCACGCCATCTCTGTGAGCAATTCTACTCCTTTCTCTCCTTTTCTCTTCCTTGCCTAATACTTTTTCTGGCAAACTGATTACCCTGTTCCATATAACACTGACTCCTCGTTTCACTAAACACCGTCCTCAGCTCTTTGTATCTAACCCAGCCCTTGCCTGGCTTCCGTGCGCTGTCCCCTCCTCAATGCCCATGCTGGCTGGGGTCCCCTGGGAAGCGGCATGGTTGTCTGCCAGGTAGGATTGCACCTGAGGGACCGGTTGTTCAATAGAACCCACTGGAGGCCACAGGTGAAGGGGGCTCTGAGCTTCCATGGGGTGACCCGCAGGAGGCCACTGCCTACAGGGCTGGCAGGAGGGAAACGTGACCATCAGAACTGAGAACGGGGGCAGGCCCTGTGGACCTGGAGCCCAGGCTCGACAGGGAGGGACTGCCAGGCTGCTGGAGCCCAGGGGGTGCTGGCCAGTCCACGGGGACAGCCTGGGAGAGGAGGCTGCCGGTTGCTGGTGGGGCCTCCGGAGGCTGCGGAGGGCTGGTGTAGGGGAGTGGGGGAGGAAACTGAAAAGGGGACAGACAGCTCTGCCAGAGTAGGGTGGCAGGGCAGCAAGCCTGGACGAGGAGCGCAGCTTCAGCCCCTCTGGGTGCCACTCTTGGCAGCACTTACAGGGGTGGGGTGGGATTGGCTAGGGTGCAGGGGAACAGAGCTGCGAGGCTCCAGCGCAGTGTGATGCGGCAAAGCACAGGAGGGCGTGTTGGGAGCTGAGAGAGAACAGCACCAGAACAGGTATGACCTGCCTTTTAGGACATTTTGTAATTCAGATCAGTGTTCGTGTTTGAAGAGAGTCACCGTCCTGCCATGGGAAACACTTGCATCGTCTTCCAACCTTGACAGGATTACGCGCGCTCCTGGACCGCATCCAAATAGAACTCTCCCTTATGCCCAGGGCTCGATGTGGCGACCGGCTGTGGGGGTCACGGACCCCTGCTTTTCTGGGGTGTGGCTGTAGTTGTAGTATAAACGGTCGTGCTTATTTTCTATACACTGACCTCACGCTCTTCACGTTCCTGCTGACCTCACAATGGTCTGTGAAGGTTCTACCCTGTTTACCACGCCCTTTCCCAGTGATACGAATATTTCCAGGCTCCTACATGAAGTAATTACACTGCTATGAACACATGTATGTATGCTGCCTTTTCTTCATTTAATGTGTTTCCTTATCCTAATACTTTACTTCTAAGCCACCTTTAGCCTTACATTTGAATTAGCTGGCACCCCACACTCACATTTTATTAGAACCTCCAGTGCTCGCATATTGCCATGAGCCTAGTCTCTTTTTCTTTCTGTCCTTTCTGTGTTTCGTTCTTAACCCCTTTGACCGATGACTTCTTTATTGGGCTGGTTGTTCCACTCCTTATTTTCTTAACTCCTCTGTGAACCCTTCGTTTCGTTTTACTGCCTTCATCTCTAACCAGTTTCCTGAGCTAAGGGAACCCCCTCCACCAGAAGTTGTTTGGTGGGGATGAGGCTTTCTCACCCCGGGCTAATTAGCTCACACTATCTAGGCAGACTCTTAATGAAATGTAGGACCAGGACAAGCTCAAAAATCCCTGTTTCTTAAAGGTCTTCTGTATATTCAATAAGACGCGGCTTCTAAAATTGGGTTCCAATTAATCAAACTCATAATTTAATTGATGTGCCTTTTTTTCCGGGAATAAATAAAAATAAAAACAAAAACAGCAACCAGGGCAATTAAAAATGCTTCCCTCTGGAAGTAAAATTTACATTCAAATGGCCAAAGCCATATAAAGCAAAAAATGTTCATGTAAGATTGATTTACTACCCAGGTACAAAATATGGCAGGGAACTAATTATGCATCAAATATTTATTTGTTGGTATCTGCTTCTGTTCTGCTTCAAAAAGTACTTCTCCAGTATAATTTTTTTTTTTTTAGTTTTGCACAGAATATAGGTAAAGCATGAACGGGCATTTTAACAGAAGAATCACAGTACCGCTCACTTCTAAGGCAGTATTTGTTTCAGGCTTTGCGACCAATCAGCAGTTTTCACACCCAGTCCTGGATTCGGTCTCTGCTATTTTACACCCAGGCAAGGGCACTGAGGACAGCACTTGCAAGCCTCTCTTAGGTAAATTCACCTGGAGAAGAAAACAGCTTTTATTTGTAAAACATTTGGCTTTCCAACAAGCCTTGTCTATCATGGCATCCTGATGATGCATACAAACAAGAGCTCACTGGACTGGCTTAATCTTCCAGTGCCTGCTGCTTTCTCCTGAGTAGGTTTTCTGGGCCGTGGAATCCTTCAGGCTCGTGTGTCCTCCACTGGCATTTGCTCCTGAGCGAGCACACGCTTAATGTGAAGCCCATGGCTACACCCCAGGGCATCCAAGTGCCCTCTGAAATGTTCTGTGTTGGAGGAGAGTTTCCTTAGCTTCCACCAGATTCTCAAGAGGCTTTTTAGCCCCAAGACCATTAAGAAAGAGTGTTATCCTGTTTTGGACCTTCTTGTTCGTGCTCTTTCTGGAAACAAAATGGTGCGAGAGCCTTTCCTACTTAGCCCTGGGGAAGTTCTGGTACCTGCCGGGTAATTATAACTTCCACAAAAAATATGCTTCATTCCTAGTTTTGAGGCTCATTTAGCAAACTAGTGAAGGAGTTTTACTCAACGCAAGTGTGATTGAGGGGTGAGGAACTAGGAAGGGGAGGGAGAATATAGGACAATAACTTGAAGAGAAGATGATAGGGTTGTGGAGAGATTGTTAAAGGTTAGGATTGGAGACAAGGAAGGTGGAGAGAGTAGGGGTGCGGAAGGCGAGGTGGGGAGATCCAGGGAATATTTCTTAGCAGAAGAGGTGAAGGGACCCATCCAAAGGATGGAGAAGACAGAAAAGGGATGGGAAAGTTAGCAGAATACCATCCAGAGGACAGGAGCAAGAGTTCTGGTGTGATAAACATACTCACCAAATTTGGGTTGTATTTTGGAAAGAAGGAAATGAGGAATTGGAGTGTGGGGTCTGGGGAGGGCAGAAATGCTGGGGGCAGCTGTGCTGTGAAACAGGAGAGGGGCTGCCACTTGCTCCAAGCCTCTTGAGCCTTCTTTCCCCCTACTTTGGCCATAAAATAATGGAACAATTGTTTTAACCACCACAAACCCCTGATGGTGAAGGAGAGAATTTTCGTTCTGCAAATATACATTTATTTCTGAAATTATAAACACAAGACAAAAATATGCTTATGGAGTTTTAAGTGCAACACACACACACAACTTTCTGAAGCTAAAATAACAAAATAATTGATGAATTAGAGGAGAAGAACATCCAAATGATTGGACTAGCATCTAAAAGAGAAGACAAATCTCAAAGCACAAATCTCAGGCAGTTTAGGCAATTCATAACAGAATGTGTGCACGTGTGCTCTCTCTCTCTCCCCAATCTACACAGATAACGTGGGTGTGTGTGCGTCCATCTATCATTGCTCACAACCATTTTGTTTTCTTCATCCCTTCATGCAGCGTAAGGCCCCTGTTCTGGTTTGTGTGGTGTTGGTGTGATGTCTGAAGAGATTTACCTCCAGTGGGACATGTGGGTGATAAACGATATAATTTCATCTGTTTGATTCCCCATTTACTTCTTCTCCAAACACACATACCTTGCCCATTTCAAATTTGGTGAATGTGTTTATCATACCAGAACTCTTGCCCCTGTCCTCTGGATGCTATTCTGCTAACTTTCTTATCCCTTTTCTGTTTTCTCTGTCCTCTGGATGGGTCTCTTCACCTCTTCTGCTGACAAATATTCCCTGGTTCTTTGAAAGTGAGTGGAAATAGAAGGAGATGGAAATCATTAGGAAAAATATCAGAGACACTGAAAACACGTAAAGAATTCACAGGAAAATAATAAAAGTTCTAAAATGTTAAAAGAAAGAAGACATGGAGGAAAGGTATTAAACAAATAATCAAAGAAGATACTTCTAAACTGAAAAGAAATTGAGTCAGGAATTTGAAAAGACTCATGAAGTTTCAGGCAAAAATGATGATAAACATGGATATGTGCACACATGCACTCACACACATGTGCACGTGCACGCACATGTAATCATAGCCTCATGAAAGTTCTAATATCTAATGATAAGGAGAGAATATTATAAATTTGTAGACCAAAATAACCAGTTATTCACAAAGAATAAAAGGATCAAACTAGCGTAGGACTCGTTATCTGCAACACCAGAAGCTGTAAGATAATGGAATAATATCCTGCCATTACTGAGAAAGACAGACTGCATCTTAGTCATTCTCTATCCAGCCAAGATAGCAATCACTGGTTGGGTGATAAAAACAGATTTGCAAACATGGATGAAATTAAATAGTTCATCACCCATATGTCCCACTGGAGGTAAATCTCTGAGACATAACACCAACAACACACAAACCAGAACCAGGGCCTTAGGATGTATGAAAGGATGAGGAAGAAGAAATGATGCGAGCAACAGTAGACGGACACCCACCCACCCATGTTATTTACATAGATTAGGGGAGAGAGAGTGCACATTTGATTACATTCCCTGAGCATGTGTAATATAAGAGCTAAATAAAAACTCCTGGAAAAGAAGGGATATTCTACAAGTGAAACTCTAATAATAATTGAAAACTAAAACGACTAAACTGATTGAAAAATATAGGCACTGGAGGCAAAGATGAGTGGAGGCCAGAGCTCTCTAGTGGTTGCTCTGGGATGTGAGTGGGGTGGTGCCAGGAGCACAGCTCAAGGCCCTCTGCATGTCTCTTCCTGCTCATGTGGGTGGTGAGCTGGAAGAAGAAAGAACCTACTGGTGGAAAAGCAGTGCATTATGGTATCCCACTTTTAAAACTAGAGGAATATGTGTCTGACTGTAAGCCAATAAAGGGTAGATAACTATTTTCTAAATGGAAAATTATAATGCTGTTTTTAAGTTTTAACAAAAGGACAAAAACGGAAAAGAAGAGTAATTTGAACAAATGAACTAAAACATGGGAAATGAAAATAGAAAACAACAATGTAAAATAAATAATACTTTATTAAAATAAAGAGAATAAAATGAATGTATCAGTCAGTACAGGATGGACTATTTTTCTTTTAGAAAATACACTGTCAAGTACACAAAATAAGCCTGATTTCATGCTATTTATGCATATTCTCACTTAAAACGAAGTCTTGAAAAAAGCTTGAAAATAAAGATATGGACAAAGAATTATCAGGTAAATACAAGTATAAAGAAAACAAGGATAGAAAAATGCCAGACATGCTAAAATTAGGAACAGAAGAATGAGGAAGGGACATCATGAATTGATTTAAGGCATAACATGAGAAAGATGCAAAAGTTTTCAACCAACCTGTGCATCTAACATCTTATGTAATTTTTAAAATAATTTGGAATTTAGGGAAAATGATTTAAAAATTTATGTCCGTGAGAGGAGGGGCCAAGATGGTGAACTAGAAGCAGCTCATATGCACCACTCTTACTGAGAGGAAACAAAAGGGCTGGTGAACACTGACCCTGCAGGTCGATCATCTGAGAAACCATGTCGGGATCCATCAAGACAGCAGTGGGACACAGAGAGCAGAGAGGAGCAAAGCTGGGCCCCAGCCAGTCTGGGCTTAGTGAGTAGCCAGGAGAACCTCTCCAATATGGGAAAAGATGAGTGAGTGAGTGGAGACCCCTGGGGGATTCACACTCTCCACAGGGACCTGTGTAAGATTGGGAATGGGAGAATCTCCCTGGCACCCCCAAACACCCCCACTGTGCTTCTAGAGTCAGGCAGAGAGCCACCTGGACATTTTGTGGGGGCAACTCTTGAGTCCAAGGGCATCTCTACAAGCATTGGGTCCCAGAGCAGACCAGCACTGGTGCCATAGCTCCAACAGAGCCACAGCTGCAGGACGTGGGAGGAGTAAGATTGCACCACCAGTCCTCACTGGACTGGGCTTGGCACTAGCTTCTGGCTCAGCAGCCCTGCTTTTACCTGAACTCAGCGCAGCAGCAGCCTCCTGCTGTCCTAGAAAGCACCCTGATAGCAGGGTGGGAGACCCCACCCATCCCCACCCATCCCCACCACTGGCAACCACGTAAGCGACACCTGCTAGCGCTTCCAGCCCAGGATTCTCACTTCTGTGTGAACTCAGCCAGAGGATGTAGCCTCCTGTTGTCCCAGGAAATACCCAGACAGCAGGATGGGCAACCCTATCCAACCCCACTGCTGGTAGCCAAGTGGGCAAGTCTTGCTAGAGCTTTCAGCCCAGCAGTCTCTCTTCTGCCTGAACTCTGCTGGCAAGCACAACCTTGTGTTCCTTCAGGAGGCACTCAGACAGCAGATTAAGGCTGACCCAACAAGGGTATGGCCTCTCTGCCAACTGCGGCCCCTGCCTGAGGGAGCCCCATGGACAAGAACACCCAATAAGAGAAGCATAGGCATGGAGACAGTGGTTGAAGGGGCCTCCTCCAAGACCCAATAGTAGACTAGAATCGAGGCCAGTTGACTGAACCCACCTTATACCACAAACGAACCCCCGAGGGCATCAAAGAAACTAAAAACAACCCCATCAAAAGGACACCAGTTTCAAAAATTATAAGAACATCAGCCTACACAAATGAGAAAAAAAAACAAAACAGGGCAAGAGCTCTGGCAACTCAAAAAGCCAGAATGTCTTCTTTCCTGCAAATAACTGCACTAGTTCCCCAACAGTGATTCTTAACCAGGCTGAAATGGCTGAAATGTCAGAAAAAAGAATTCAGAATATGGATAGGAATAAAAAGCATTGACATTCAGGAGGAAGTTGAAAACCAATTCAAGGAATCTAAGGAATACAATAAAATGATACAGAAGATAAAAGACAAAATGGCTGTTTTAAGAAAGAACTGAACTGATAGAGCTAAAAAACTCACTTCAAGAATCACATGGCCGGGTGCTGTGGCTCATGCCTGTAATCCCAGCACTTTGGGAGGCTGAGGCGAGTAGATCACTTGAGGTCAGGAGTTCGAGACCACCCTGGCCAATATGGTGAAACCCCGTTTCTACTGAAAATACAAAAATTAGTCTGGCATGATGGTGCGGGCCTGTAGTCCCAGCTACTCGAGAGGCTGAGGTGGGAGAATCACTTGAACCCAGGAGATGGAGGTTGCAGTGAACTGAGACTGTGCCACTGAACTCCAGCCTGGGCGACAGAGTGAGACACCATCTCAAAAAAAAAAAAATTCATAATACAGGCCAGGCATGGTAGTTCACACCTATAATCCCAGCAGTTTGGGAGGCTGGCACAGGTGGATCACTTGAACCCAGGAGTTCCAGACCAGCCTGGGCAATATGGAGAAACCCCATCTCTACAGAAAATACAAAAATTAGCCAAGTGTGGTAGCACACACCTGTAGCCCCAGCTACTCAAGAGGCTGAGGTAGGAAAATCACTTGAGCCTGGGAGGTGGAGGTTGCAGTGAGCTGAGATCACACCACTGCACTCCAGCCTGAGTGACAGAGTAAGACCTTGTCTCAAAAAAAAAAATTATAATACAATGTAAAGTATTAACAGCAGAATTGACCAAGCTGAGGAAAGAATTTCAGATCTAAAAGACTGGTTCTCTGAAATAACTCAGTCAGACAAAAATAACAACAAAAACAAAACAAAACAAACAAGAATGAACAAAACCTTCAAGAAATATGGGATTATGGAAAGAGACTAAATCTACAACTCACTGGCATCAGTGAAAGAGGGAGAGAAAGCAAGCAACTTGGAAAACTTATTTGAGGATACCATCCATGAAAATTTTTCCAACCTTGCTAGAGAGGCCAACATTCAAATCCAGAAAATGCAGACAACCCCTGTGAGATAGTACACAAGATGACTGTATTGGGTTGTTCTTGCATTGGTATAAAGAAATACCTGAGACTGGGTAATTGATAAGAAAAGAGGACTAATTGGCTCATGTTTCTGCAGGTAGTACAGGAAGCATAACATTGGCATCTGCTTCTAGGGAGGTCTCAGGAAGCTTTTACTCATGGTGAGTAAAATGATCCACCCCCATGATCCAAATACCTCCCACCAGACCCCACCTCCAACACTGGGGATTATATCCTAACATGAGATTTGAGCAGGGACAAATATCTAAATGATATCAATGACCATCCCCAAGACACATAGTCATCAGATTCCCCAGGGTCAAAATGAAAGAAAAAATATTAAAGGCAGCTAGAGAGAAGGGTCAGGTCACCTACAAAGGGAACCACATCAGGCTAACAGCAAACCTTTCAGTAGAAACCTTATAAGCCAGAAGAGATTAGGAGCCTATATTCAGCATTCTTAAAAAACGTAAATTCCAGCTGAGAATTTCATATCCAGCCAAACTAAGCTTCATAAGTAAAGGACAAATAACATCCTTTTCAGACAAGCAAATGCTAGGGGAATTTGCCACCACCAGGCCTGCCTTATAAGAGGTCCTTAAGGGAATGCTAAATGTGGAAAGGGAAGACTGTTACCTGCCACCATGAAAACTGACTTAAGTACATAGACCATTGACATAAAGCAACCACACAATCAAGTCTGCATAATAACCAGCTAACAACATGATGACAGGATCAAACCTGCACATATTAATATTTAATCTTTAAAGTAAATGGACTAAATGCCCCAGTTAAAAGGCACTGAGTGGCAAGTTGAATAAAGAAGCAAGACCCAACTATATGCTGTCTACAAGAGACCTATCTCACTTGCAATGACACCCATAGGCTCAAAGTAAAGGGATGGAGAAAAATCTAGCGAGCAAATGGAAAACAGAAAAAAATCAGGAGTTACAATTCTAATTTCAGACAAAACAAACTTTCAACCAACAACAGTCAACAAAGACAAACAGAGGCATTAGACAATGGCAAAGGATTCAATTCAACAGGAAGACTATCCTAAATATATGCACCCAACATAGGAAGACTCAGATTGATGAAGCAAGTTTTTACAGACCAATGAAGAGACTTAGATGACCACGCAATAATAGTGGGAGACTTCAACACCCCACTGATGGTATTAGACAGATCACTGAGGGAGAAAATTGACAAAGGCATATGGGACCTGAACTTGACATTTGACCAAATAGGCCTAATAGATATCTACCGAACTCTCCACACCAAAACAGCAGAATATACATTCTTCTCATCTGCACATAACACATACTCTAAAATCAGCCACACAATTGGCCACAGAACAATCCTCAGAAATTTTTAAAAAACTGAAATTATATCAAACACACTCTTGGACCACAGTGCAATAAAAATAGAAATAGAAATCAATTCTAAGAACATTACTCAAACTCATATAATTACATGGAAATTAAACAACCTGCTCCTGAATGACTTTTGGGTAAACAATGAAATTAAGGCAGAAATCAAGAAATTATTTGAAACTGATTAGAACAAAGATACAACATACCAGAATATCTGGGACACAGCTAATGCATTAAGGGGGAAGTCAGTAGCATTAGACATCTACCTCGAAAAATTAGAAAGATCTCAAATTAACAACCTAACATCACACCTAGAGAAACTAAAGAAACAAGAACAAATCAACCCCAAAGCTAGCGGAAGACAAGGAAGAGGCAAAATCAGAGCTGAACCGAAGGAAATCAAGATGCGAAAAACCACAGAAAAGATCAATGAATCCATGAACTGGTTTTTTGAAATAATAAATAAGATTAACAGACTGCTAGCTAGACTAATAAATAAAAGGATAAAGAAGATCCAAATAAACACAATGAGAAATGACAAAGGGGACATTGCCACTAAACTCACATAAATACAAAACCCCCTCAGAGACTACAATGAACACCTCTATGCACACAAGCTAGAAAATCTAAAAGAAATGTATACATTCCTGGAAACATACAACCTTCTAAGATTGAACCAGGAAGAAACTGAATCCTTAAACAGACCAATAATGAGTTCTTACTGAATCAATATTAAAAAGGCCACCAACCAGGAAAAGCCCAGGACCAGATGGATGCACAGCCAAATTCTACCAGATGTATAAAGAAGAACTGGTACCATTCCACTGCAACTATTCCAAAAAATTGAGGAGGAGGGACTCCTCCTTCACTCATTCTACAAGCCCGGTGTCATCCTGATATAAAAACCTGGCAGAGACACAACAAAAAAAGAAAACTTCTGGCCAATATCATTGATGAACATAGATGCAGAACTTTTCAACAAAATCCTATCAAACCAAATCCAGTAGTATATTGAAAAGCTAATCCAACACAATCAAGTAGGTTTTCTCACTGGAATGTAAGGTTGGTTCAACATATGCAAATCAATAAAGTGATTTTATTTTTATTTTATTTATTTAAAAAAGCCAAAAACAAAACCACCTGGTCATCTCAATAGAAACAGAAAAGGCTTTTGATAAAATTCAACATCCCTTCACGTTAAAAACCCTCTACAAACTAGGCATTGAAAGAACATACCTCAAAAGAATAAGAGCCATCTGTGACAAACCCACAGCCAATATCATACTTACTGGGCAAAAGCTTGAAGTATTTCCTTTGAGAACCAGAACAAGACAAGGATACCCACTTTCACTATTCCTATTCAACATAGTACTGGAAGTCCTAGCCAGAGGAGTCACGCAAGAGAAAGAAATAAAAGGCATGCAAACGGGAAGAGAGTAAGTCAAACTCTCTCTGTTTGTAGAAAATATGATTATGTACCTAGAAAATCCATAGTCTCTGCCCAAAAGTTCCTAGATCTGCTACACAATTTCAGCAAAGTTTCAGGATATAAAATCAATGTACAAAAATCAGTAGCATTTCTATTCACAAACAATGTCCGAGCTGAGAGCCAAATCAAGAACATGATCTGGCCAGGCGTGGTGGCTCATGCCTGTAATCCCATCACTCTGGAAGGACAAGGTAGGAGGATTGCTTGAGCACAGGAATTCAAGACCAGCCTGGGCAACAGAGGGAGACCCTATCTCTACAAAATTAAAAATTAGCTGAGTGTGGTGGCTTGTGTCTGTAGTCCTAGCTACGTGAGAGGCTGAAATGGGAGAATTGCTTGAGCCCAGGAGGTTGAGGCTGCAGTAAACCATGATCACACCACTGCACTGCAGCCTGGGTGACAGAGTGAAACCATGTCTCAAAAAAGAAAAAAAAAAAAAAGGAAAAAAAAAAAAAAGCAAATGCAATCCCACTCACAATAGCCACAAAAAGAATAAAATACTTAGGAATACAACTAATCCAGGGAGGTGAAAGATCTTTTCAATGAGAATTACAAAACATTGTTCAAAGAAATCAGAGATGACCCAAATGGAAAAACATTCCATGATCATGGGCAGGAAGAATCAATATTGTTAAAATGGCCATATTGCCAAAAGCAATTTATAGATTCAATGCCATTGCTACCAAACTACCAATGATATTCTTCACAGAACAAAGAAAAACTATTTTAAAATTCATATGGATCAAAAAAATGGCTCAAGTAGCCAAGGAAATCCTAAGCATAAAGAACAAAGCTGGAGGAATCACTGTACCCGACTTCAAACTCTACTACAAGGCTACAGTAACCAAAACAGCATGGTACTGTACAAAAACAGTTACCTGGACTAATGGAACAGAATACAGAGCCCAGAAATAACACCACACACCTACAACCATCTTATCTTCAACAAAGTCGACAAAAACAAGCAATGGGGAAGGGACTCCCTATTCAATAAATGGCTAGTCATATGCGAAATATCGAAACTAGAACCCTTCCTTACACCATATACAAAAACCAACTCAAGATGAATTAAAGATTTAAATGTAAAACCTAAAACTAAAAACCCTGGAAGATAACCTAGGAAATACCCTTCTGGACATAGCCCTGCCAAAGATTTCATGATGAATATGCCAAAAACGTTGCAAAAAAACAAAAATTGACAAATAGGACCTAATTAAACTAAAGAGCTTCTGCACAGCAAAAGGAACTCTCAACAGAGTAAAAAGACAACCTACAGAATGGGAAAAAAATAACTGCAAACTATGCATTCGACAAAGGTCTAATATCCAGAATCTACAAGGCACTTAAACAAACTAATAAGCAAAAAACAACCCCATTAAAAAATGGGCAAAGGATGTAAACAGACATTTTTCAAAAGAAGACATACACACGGCCAACAAGGATACAAAACAAATGCTCAACATCATTAATCATTAGAGAAATGCAAATTAAAATCACAATGAAATATCATCTCACACCATTCAGAATGACTATTATTAAAAAATCAGAAAATAACAGATGCTGGCAAGGTTGTGGAGAAAAGGGAGCACTTATACAATGCTGGTGGGAATGCAAATTAGTTCAATCATTGTGGAAAGCAGTTTGATGGTTTCTCAAAGAATTTAAAATAGAAGTACCATTTGATGTAGCAATGCCTTTATTGGGTATACACCCAAAGGAATATAAATCGTTCTCCCACAAAGACACATACACATGCGTGTTCACTGCAGCACTATTCACAAGAGCAAAGACATGGAATCAACATAAATGTCCATCAGTTGTAGCCTGGTTAAAGAAAATGTGGTACATATACACCATGGAATACTATGCAACCATAAAAAGAGGAGATCACATCCTTTGCAGCAACATGGATGGGGCTGGAAGCCATTATCCTAAGGGAACTAATGTGGGAACAGAAAACCAAATACTACACTTGTTCTCACTTGTAAGTGGGAGCTAAACATTGAATACACATGGACACAGAGAATGGAACAGCAGACACTGGGGCCCACTTAAAGTTGGAAGGTGGGAGGAGGAAGAGGATCAAAGGACTGCCTATCAGGTGTTATGCTAATTACCTGAGGGATGAAATAATCTGTACAGCAAACCCCCATGGTATGTAATTTACATATTTACATATGTAACAAACCTGCACATGTACCCCTGAACCTAAAATAAAAGTTAAAAAAAAGTATGTCCATGAGAGTCGACATTTCTAATAGACAAAAAAGGTGGGAACAGGAAAAAATTTAAAAACTCAATTGGCTATTGGGAGGCTAAAATGGTAGGATTGCTTGAGCCCAGGAGTTTGAGACCAGCCTGGGCAATAGAGCAAAAACTGTCTAAACAGAACAAAACAAAACAAAACAAAAAAGCCTCAATGGCGCACAGTGTGAGTCTGAAAAAGTAGCTAAAGGGAAGTTTTTTGTTTTTGTTTTTTGTAGTTTTGGGAAGAATTCTGTGGCCCGATTGTGGCAGTGGTTATAAGAATCTATGCATGTGGTAAAATTTATAGAACTATCTACACACATAGACATACAGTACATGTAAAAACTGGTGAAGTCCAAATAATGTCTATAGTTTAGTTAATAGTATTGTACCCACATCAATTTCCTTATTTTGAAAGCATACTCTGGTTATGTGAGACATTATCATCAAAGGAGCTGGGTGAAGGGCACATGGGAACTCTCTTACTTTTTGAAACCTGTTGTGAATATAAAATTATTTCAGGATAAAAAGTGTTTTAATAAATTACAAAAACTTTTTGTAATATAATTGCATATTCTCTTGAACAGAGTATACACATTTTTTCATAAGTTCATGAAATATTTAAAATCCTAGCAAGTTTTAGAGAGTAGGAATATATAGGCTTGATTGCCTAATCTCAATCAATGGCCGATGAACTCTGAAGTCATTGATAATTAAGAAAACATGTTCCTAGATAAAGATTTGGTCAAAGAGGGGGAACCCTCATACACTGTTGGTGGGAATGTAATTTAGTACCGCCACTGTGGAAAACTGTATGGAAGTTCCTCAAAAAACTAAAAATAGAACTACCATATGATCCAGCGATCCCACTGCTGGGTATATATCCCAAAGAAAGGAAATCGAGCCAAGTACGGTGGCTCATGCCTGTAATCCCAGCACTTTGGGAGGCCAAGGTGGGCAGATGACCTGAGGTCAGGAGTTCCACCAGCATGGCCAACATGGTGAAACCCCATCTTTAATAAAAATACAAAAATTAGTGGGGCATGATGGTGGGCACCTGTAGTCCCGGCTACTCAGGAGGCTGAGGCATAAGAATTGTTTGAACCCGGGAGGCAGAAGTTGCAATGAGCTGAGATCAGACCACTGCACTCCAGCCTGGGTGACAGAGCGAGACTCTGACTCAAGACGAAACAAAACAAAAAAACTAAAAGAAAGGAAATCAATATATCAAAGAGATATCTACACTTCCACGTTTATTGTAGCACTGTTCACAATAGCCAAGGTAATGGAATCAACTTAAATGTCTATCAACAGATGAATAAGATTGGGTGTGGTGGCTTACACCTGTAATCCCAGCACTTTGGGAGGCCAAGGTGGGCAGATTGCTTGAGGCTAGGAGTTCAAGACCAGCCTGGGCAACATGGCAAAAACCCACCTCTACAAAAAATACAAAAAAATTAGCCAGGCATGGTGGCACATTCCTGTAGTCCCAGCTACTTGGGAGGCTAAGGTGGTAAGATCACTTGAGCCAAGGGCATCAAGGCTGCAGTGAGCTGCAGTCACGCCACTGTACTCCAGCCTAGGCAACAGAGTGAGACTTTGTCACAAAACAAAACAAAACAAAACACAGATGAATGAAATTTTTAAAAAGTGGTATATATAAACTATGAAATTTTGTTCATCCATACAAAAGAATGAAATTTTTTTGTAGTAACATGGATTAAACTAGAGGTCGTTTTGTTAAGTAAAATAGGCCAGGCACAAAAAGACAAATATGGCACGCTCTCACTTATATGTGAGAACTAAAAAAGTGGATCTCATGGAGACAGAGAGTAGACCGGTGGTTAGCAGAGGACAGGAAGGGTGGAGGGGAGCGAGGGGTGAAGACAGGTTCCTTAATGCATACCAAAATATAGTTCGATAGGAGAAAGAAGACCTAGTGTTTGATAGATCAGTAGAGTGACTATAATTTACAATAATCTATTACATATTTCAAAATAGCTAGGAGAGAATAATTCAAATGTTTCTAGTATAAAGGAAAGACAAATATTTAAGGTTATGGATATCCCAATTACACTGACTTGATCTTTACAATAAATCTTTATATGAATGTATTAAATTATCACATGTAACCCCCAAATATGTACATCTATTATTTATCTATTTAAAAAATTGAAAGGATTTGGCCAAAGAGGAAATCGAAAGGGAACTTATAAATCCCCTTGGAAGCAATGGAAAAGAATGTACTTTCTAATAAAACTCATGGGACACAGTGAAAGTTATATTTAGAAGGAAAAGGGTAATTGAGCATTCATCTTGAGAAATGAATAAAGGCACTGTGAAGAACTAGAATGGATCTGAGCTTTTACCCAACTTACAAACTAAGACAGTCAGCCACAGTTTCATGGATGCTGGAAGAAGACACGAGACTCCTGGGTCAGAAACAAACGACCATATGAACCCTGGCTGAGCAGGCAGCATGGGCTTCAGGTTCATAACAGGCTCCTTGCTTCTGAGTCCCATGAGGCCATGCAGAGGTGGCCCAGGGGAAGGCTGCAGGCATGGTGGGCTTGTGTCACAGCTAAGGGACTTCAAGCTTGGGCAACCCTAGTCTTTAAAGGCACTGCAAGCAAACCTGCTCAAACTCTCCCAGAGACAGACATTTTTTAAATCTACTGGTTGGCAAGCAAATTTGTCCTCTTCCCAAAAGGGGAACAGTATATCTACTTTCCAAGGCTGTTTGCTTTAAAAGACTTTTGAAAATATAGTCTGCAACAAAAGCTGTCATTACCTCTGCTCAGATATTCAGAAGTGGAAGAGACTCATGGAGAAAGGTCTCCCAAGAATTCCAAAAAGAGAAATTAAGAAGAGGGAAATAAGAAATTGAAATGTATCAAATGTGTTTTTCAAAGTCTGTGAATTCATAATGGTATTCAGAAAAATCACTGGTCTCCTCTGCAGGATGCTGGAGCACCAACTCGTGATGCTGAAAAGTGGTAAACAATGGAAAATGAGTGAGCATTTATCTTGCCTTTCCTGTAGGAACTACGTTTCAGAGTACACATATAGCTGATAAAGAACAGTACCTCTTGCAGAATTCTAGCTGAAATATAACTGAAGGACTTATCAAGATATGGCAATTCTGAATGAAACACTGAATCTAGTAGGAATTATGAATAGTTGCTGAAGCAAATAGATGATGATGGGTGGAATCATAATGGATGGATCTGGATAGTAACACCAGAATGCACCAATCGATCCTGCATCACAGAGATCCCAGGACACCACGTTCCTTCTGAGTGATGATAGTAAGTTCCACTTCCCCTTCCTCTCATGTAATATTTCTGGGGCAGGGTCCTGATTTCTCAAAGGGCACTATTGGGAGTAAAATTGTCCACCAAAAGATATGTTGAAATCCTAACTCCGAGTACCTGTAAATGCAACCTTATTTAGAAATAGGTTCTTCACAGATACAATCAAGCCAAGATGAGGCCATCCCAGATCAGAGTGGGTCTTCACCCAGTGACTAGCATGCTTATAAGAAGAGAGAAATTCAGACACTGACACAGAGAGGGAGAAAAGTCCATGTGAACACAGAGGCAGAGATTAGGGCGATTTATACCCAGTACAAGGAGGTTCCCTTGGATGGCTGGCCACCCACAGAAGCTGGGAGAGAAACCTGCAGCAGATTCTCCCTCTGGGCCCCAGAAAGAACCAATCCTGCCCACACCTTCACTTCAGACTTCCAAACTTCAGAAATGGGAGAGAATATATTTCTTTTTATTTGAGCCGCCCAGCTTGTGAGACTTTGTTACGGCCTCTCCCAGAAATGCATAGGCCCCAGTAGGACTGCAGCCCAGGTTCCCGTAGCAATAACCTGCCAACAAGGCAGCCTTGTGTTTAGCTTCTCCCCTTCCCTGTCCCATCGTCCCATTTTCTCCTTTGTGCTTTTCATGGTCACTTCCCAAATAGGCAGCCTGCACTGAAGCCCTGGCTCAGGGTCTGCCTTCGGGGACAGGAGGGGACAAACCAAGGCAGATGGTATCAGAGGGGACCTTGGAAAGCAGATGCCCAGGGGGAGAATCCCAAGACACATCTCTCCCCAGCCAGATGGCACGGCCTTAGGACACTGTGTCAGTCAGCGTTCTCCAGAGAAACAGACCAATAGAATCTCTTTCCATTGACCAACTGATCAATTGGGAGAAAGGGAGACAGAGGGAGGGGAGAGAGACTTATTACAGGGAAGCAGCTCATGTGACTATGGAGGTGGGCACATCTGCTCTGCAGGGGGCCCACAGGCTGAAGAACCAGAGAAAATCCTCCCTTACTTGGGGAAGGTCAGTCTTTTTTTCTATTCAGGTCTTCAACTGATTAGATAAAGCTCACCACATTGGGGAGGGCCATCTACTTTACTCAAATGTTCATTACATCCCAAAACCCCCTTTCGCAGACACACCCAGAATAATATTTAACCAAATGTCTGGGCACCCTGTAGCCTCGTCAAGTTGACACATAAAACTCACTGTCACAGATGCCATTGTTGATGCGCCATGAGTGGCAATCTCCCACGCCCATTCTGCACCATCACAGTGACTGTGCCGCTCACCTGTGCGGAACTGGCATGTGGAGCAGGTGCGGTGGAAGCGCTGGCTTATGAAATAACGCTAATGCCTGCAGTTGAATTGTCCCCCAAAAGATACGTTGGGCTCTGCTGAATCAGAGGTCACTGGTGGGGGAGCCCTCAATCCAGAGTCCATGGGTAAAGTCAGCCTTCCTGCCCTCTGGCCAGAAGGTGCTGAGACCTGTTCCACTTGTTTCTCAAGGGCCCCCCAGGGGAACAGAGCCCTAGTGCTCATTTTCACCCCTTGACTCCCTTACCTGCTTCACTCCCCTTCCTCACTGTCCTTCCTGGGGTCACTCCCTAGCAAGCCACTTGCACCCAATTTGTGGGCTCAGGGTCTGCTTCTGGGGGAAACCCAACCAGGAGAAGCGTCTTGTTGGCATCATGTTTCATAATATACTATACTGGTCAAATGCTTTCTGATCCTGCATACTCCTCCAGCCATATGTGTTGATAAATTAATGTTTCCTGCCTTGCATCTTTTAATTTTAGCATTTGATCATATTTATCCCAAATGAACAGGACCTTGTTTCATACAATAACACACAGCAGATACAATGAGCTGCATAGAGCCACTTCGTAGTGCATTCTCCAATCTAGACAGGGTCCAGTTGGATAAGGGTAGTTCTACAGGGAGTGATTACTACCCACTCTAGGTAAATGGTCATCTGATTGTCCAGCTTAAGTTTGGAGTGAATTTTGCCTTATTTTTTAGATTTTGGCATTTTTATAGTGACCCCACACACGCTGAGTTGGCAGGGTTCAGCTGAGCTTTGGGTGGTAACTGGTTTGCAGTAGGGTTTGTGCGTGAACTCCTAACAGTGATGTGGAAGGTGCCTACCAGGCACTAGCAAGCAGCCAAGCTGGGTGTGAGGCTGACATTCTCTCATTAGAAACGAAGGAAGCGAAGCCACAGGCTTGCGTGGAAAGCCATTCTCCACCTCTTGAGGCAAGTCCAGAGGAGAGCCACAGAAAGGGCTAAACTTCCCCTTAGACAATAGTCTTAACTCGAGCTAACCCAATAGCCCAAAAGTGATGGGCACCAGATTGCACTCCGCGTGGCCTCTGTAATAGGAACCTGGAAAAGTGCTAAGGAAAGTTTAACCAAAATGCCCACTTTGGATACTAAAACAACTCAATTAAGCACCTAAAAATATCTAGCTTTGAGCAATGTTACTTTCTAAAATCCCTTCCAAGTAAACTCTTTTTCTGAAATTAATAAATACCCAACATAAAAGAACGCAACTAGTAACCATAAAGTGTTTAAAAGTCTGGGCTTCTCCCCACCAAGAAAAGACGAGTTGTAATACCTGGACTGTGGGTCTCCAGTCCGACAAGAATTGGCTCTCTGCTTCACTGGTCTCGTAAGGTCACTCCCTAGAATTGGCTTTCTATAGGACCATTTAATTGAGTCTATTTGAATCTTACTCAAGTCTACCACCTTATAAGTATCAAACCGAATTTAGTAGGATTCGAAATGGTAAGGACTGCATTAAATTATTTCTCTAATTCAGCAGTAAGGAAAGTGAACAGAAGTCTCGGTGTACAACCACGCCCCGGGTTGACATCTTTCCTTCCACGAAGACACTGGGTACAAGCCTTGATGTAGCTGTTAATTGCCCTCCTGTTTCCTAGAAAGCTTATAGGGCAGCAGTAGGAAACGGGTTAGGTATGCCTTTCCTGGTAGGAGCCGAGCTTTGGGTCTTATCTCTGCCACTTGTTCGGCATCTGATCAGTAAAAGGGGACCATGATGGGAGGCGAGGCAGTAGACAGCACTTTGTGACGGTTCCTAACCAGTCGCTGTTATCACTGAGCACATTGTCCTCGTAATCCAGAATTCATACTGCCATTTGAATATTTTTTGTATTTGCAAAGAAAATTTTAACCACTTAACTCAAGGCTAGAAATAAAAGCAATTAGTGATTGCAAGAGAAATCCACCGGCAGAAGGCAGGGGGAGACGACTTAAGCCTCTGATTATTTTTGGAAGCTTTATATGCTTTCTAGCCTTTGTCATTGAATGGATTAATGTATGTGCCTGGCATAGACTAAGTGCTTTGCTTGTTAAACTGCCCGCGGGTCATAGCGAGCAAACTGGGGGAGCGCCCAGGGACAGTGGATGGAGTGAGTGGAGACTCGTGTCCTTTTAAGAAGAGGCTCCATTTCTTCCTCGCATGTCAATGTGTGCGTGTCATCAGTTGTTCGAGGAAGCTCGCGCATGACGCGACACTTGCCGTCTGGGCTCTCCAGGTTCGGCCTGCTGCTTTCACAGCCCAGATCTTCGGCGTCCCCGAGACGCAGCCAGGCGCCCGGCCCGGCCCGGCCCGGCCCTCTGCACAGCCCCACTTCAGGCCACGCCGTTTCCTTGACCTTCCCCCGGCAGGGTCTGAAGCGTCACCGTCCGTCTAGAGCAGAGTCGCGCAGGCCCCTGCCCTGCCGGTGAGGTCGGCGCCGCGCTCCGGAGAGTCGGTTCCTCCCGATTCAGACCCATATGGCTTCAGATGGAACCATCATTTCTGTTCCGTCATGACCGGCTTGCAAGGTAGCAAAGCGAAACAAACGTCTCGTTTTCAGCCTGTCCCCGCCACCTTGAAATAAAACCGGCAAAAATAAAAAGAGCATTCTGGGAAGTACTTCATCATTTCAACGCTCACGAATTCAAAACATAAACAAAGGCTTCCGAGTGCCCCGGCCAGGGGCGCGGGGCGCACGGCGGGCCCGGGGCAGGTAAGCGCAGGTGCGCGCCCGCCCCCACCCCCGGCTCCCTCCCCATCCGCTCCCCGCTCCCCTTCCCCTTTCCCTTCCCCGCCCGCTCCCAGCCGCCGCCGCCGCCCCGCGCACGGCCTGGAGCGGAGGCTGCGCAGGGCGCGGGGCGGCGCGGGCCGGGCGCGGGCCGGGCGGACGGCCGCGTCTTTCTTCTCCTGGCGGTGATGTCATTGGGCGACGGCGGCCGAGGCCGGGGGGCGGCGGCGGGCGCCCGCAGGTTCCCGAGCCGCTCCTGAGAAGGCGCCTGACAGCGGGCCGGGGCGCACGGAGAAGCGGGCCGGGCCGGACCTGCTGGGCCGCGCCGAGCCAATCGCCGGCGCCGGCCGCTCGATGGGCGAGGCGGCGGCGGCGGCGGCGGGGGCCGCGGGCCGGGCCGCCGCTCCGAGGTGAAGGCGCGCGCCCCTCCCCGCCTGCCTCCCGGGCCGCAGCGATGAATTCCGCCGAGCAAACCGTTACGTGGCTCATCACTCTGGGGGTGCTGGAGTCGCCCAAAAAAACCATCTCGGACCCGGAGGGCTTTCTGCAGGCGTCGCTGAAGGATGGGGTGGTCCTCTGCAGGCTGCTGGAGCGCCTGCTCCCCGGGACCATCGAGAAAGTAAGTCCCGGCCCGCGCCCCCGCCCGCGCCCCCCGGTCCGGCCCGCTGCGGCCCGGGATGCGCGCGGAGCACCTGAGGCCGGCCGCGCTCGGGAAACCCGTGCGCCCTCCTTTGTGCGCGGAGCGGCGGCGCGGCCGGCGCCAGGACCGTGGCGGGAGCTCGGGGGGCGCCATTGTGTGCGGGGCAGGGGGAGGGGGCCGGGGAGCGGGGTCGGGGGGAGGGGCGGCGCGGGCGGCGGGGGTCCCCGGGAAGGAGAGTGCACCGCAGCGAGGAGACGGGGCTTCTGCGCCGCCCGAACGCTAAGTTGCCCCTCCGCGTGGGGGGCCGGCCCCGCTCCCTGGCAGCAGCCGCATCGGAAACCGCGTTCCGACGCGGTGCGGCTCACTCCGCTGGCTTTGTGTGGACAGTTCTTGCCGGTGGCGTTGCGTGAGTTTCGCCTCCCAGGTTAATTGACCGGTTGCTCTGTATTTTTAAAGAGGCACGCATCTGTAGCTGAGGGCTGCGCTGTGAAACGATCTACTACTTTCCCCTCGAGAAAATTCCCCACCTATCCGAGCCGAGAGGACGGCAGACACAGGGTCTAAGTCCTGGCACTCTTCAAGGCTTGTTAAAATTCTAGATTTCGTTCTCAGGTCCCTCCCTCGTTCTGAACAGAACCTTTAGTCCTGCAGGCACTGCTTCTCCCTTCCGGCTGGTGGTTCCCAGGCTGGAGCGTGTGAACCCTGACCCGAATCTCTGGAAGTGATTAAAGTTTGTTTTCATCGCCCACAAGCCGGCCAGCAGGGCCGAGGAGGCAGGAGAGTTTCTAAAAACGATGTCTCCCTGTAGCTCAAAATACTAAAATCTTATTCCCAGGGTGTTTCTTCGGGGGGTGGGGTGGGGGTGGGGGTGGCCAATATATAGCGTTAAGATCAACAGTTATTTAAAAGGTGTTAAATATAGAAATTGAAGTGTACCATAATTAGGAAGAAGGATTTCAGTTTTTAAGTGGGGTGTATTGGCCCCCATACAGGATGACAACAACTTGTAAATAAAATGCCACGTAAGTGACTTGAAAAAGTAAAATGTTTAATTTTTTTCATTCACATGTACATATTCTCTTGCTACATTTTAAATGAGGTCAGAAAACATTTTATTTAATATGAATTTGGCTTGCATTCCACTTTTAGCTATTTTTCTTACTTGGAACATCTTTATGAAAACAGAATCTGCATATTAGAGTGAATGGCTGCCTGCCTGTCCATGAAATAAAAATGTTCCTTAAAAATGAACCTGATGTCACAGTGAAATTATGATTTAAGACAGGAGGACTGAGGAGCAGGAGCTGACTTTCAAGGCATTCAAAATACTTTGCTGTTTGGATACTGGTACCTCTGGTAATGAAAGACAGATGTTGAAAAGTGTTGAAATGCATGCAAAGTTCACCAAAATAGGCTTAAATAAAATTCTGTTCCATCCCTAAGAGCAAAGCTTTAAGAAGTGTCATATGCTGTATTGATAAAAACATGTCGCCATCAAAGAATATGTTGTTTGGCATATTAACTGTATTAATATTGATTGGCCGACTTCAATAATCATTTTCTTTTAAATTATAGAAAGATTTTCCTAGAAAACCGTAGCGTTCATTTCATCTCTAAAACAACAAAGAGAAGAACGAATAAAATGTTGAGCTTGCAGAAGCCAAGTTGAAACAACTCAACATATTCTAAAACTACAGTCATCTGGAAATTTCTTAGGTCAGAGCTGTTTTTGATTCCCCCTGAGCTCCAGTTGGTTTGTGTTAAACTGACTCTGTCACAATGAAAGTTTAATGTGAAGGCAGCGTATTGTAGACACAGTTACTGGTTCTCTGGAGTTCAAAGGTAGGTTTTTGGAGTAAAATATTAGCCGTTTTCTGCCTCTGAGATCCCTGTGTTTCAGAAGTTTTGTGAGCTTTTTCCATTTGCTAGGCAGAGTTATCTGGGTTTCTTTCTTTCTTTTCTTTTTCTCTTTCTTTCTTTCTCTCTCTCTCTCTGTCTCTCTCTCTCTTTCTTTCTCCTTCCTTCCTTCCTTCGAGATGGGTTCTTGCTATGTTGGCCAGGCTGGTCTTGAACTCCGGGCCTCAAGGGATTGTCCCATCTAGGCCTCCCAAAGTGCTGGGATTACAGGCGTGAGCCACCACGCCCAGCCAGTTATCTGGGTTTTTGGTGTTTTCATGCTTACCAGATAATCTATGCCACAAAGCACACATGCTGAATAACTTTTACTTAAATGTGGGAATGTGAGTCTGAGGATGTTTTTTCCTTAAAAAGAAGCATTTGGAAACTTAACTGAATGTTCATGTGGACATGACAGGGGCTTCGCTTGACCTCTGCTGCAGGAGTGCCCTGACAGCCAGTGAGCGGAGGGCAAGTGGCCTGCAGCCTTCGCCTCTGCAGGCTCACAACCTGGCATGGGCCATGAGGCTGGGGATGAGGGCAGAACTAAAACGTGGCTGGGTGCCTCGGGCTTCCCATATGTCTTTTATTAAGAAACCATGCCCTAATGTGTTTCTTCCATTACGCTCATTTGTTCTGTTTCAGAGTTAGGAAGAGGGTGGAGGGAGCAGAGAGGACGTTCACGGCGTGTCAGATTCTTCTGCTCATTTAAAGGAAACTTTCCACCCAGGTTCCCGCTTTGCTTTTAAGGTGGAAGGTTAGACAGTGAGAAGATGGAATTATAAACTTTACATGAACAGTTCAGAAAAGAGACACTTTTCATTATACTGGACAGATGTTTTCTGCTGTAGGGGAGAGGAAAATGGGATTAAAAAGTTTTCGCCTTCTCTGTATCTGGAGATCCTGCACTTTGGTTTTCTCCAGGAGGGGTCAGGATGTTTGGCTGGGCTGCCCATGTCTTCGGCTTCCCACACTCCTCCCGTGAGCAGAGGTCATGACGTCTAGGGAGCCCTGGAAGCCCTTTTCTCACAAATTCACTTTAAACATCCCTAGGGTATTTAGTCAAAGGAGGTGAAATCAAGATACATGAATTGTAGAGGATGGAAAATTTCTATAAGACTAATACAACACATTAAAATCATGGAAATCATGAAATGCTCTTTTAATTTCACTTGTGAATGCAACAAATGAAGTCTCTTAACTCACTATAAAAAACTCAAGGAACTTGGTTCTTTCTCTGTGTGTCCCAGGAGAACAGAACACAGAGAACCTTCCTGTGTAATCCATGTGATGTGCTCCCGAGAACCCTGGCTAGGTGTTTGTGGAATGTAATTGAAAATCAGACGCTGCCTCGGGTCTTAGTGCTGGATGTGGAGGCATTTGTCTCTCAGCTCTGGAGGCCCAAAGTCTGGGATTAAGGTACCTGCAGGGCCTCGTGCCCTCAGAAGGCTCCAAGGAGGGGTCTGTCCCAGGCCACTCTCAGGCTTCTGGTAGTTCCTGGCTTGTGGCAACACAAGTCCAATCTTCACATGATGTCCGTGCTGTGGTTTCTTCTCTGTGTCCAAATTCCTCCTTTTTAGCAGGACATCAGTGGAATTGCATTAGGGGCACCCTACCCCAGTATGGCCTCATCTTAACCGATTACATCTGCATTAACTTCATTTCTGAATAAGGCCCCATCCTGAGATACTGGGGGTTAGGACTTCAAAATACGAATGCTGGAGGAGCACAGTTCAGCTCATGACAGGTTGTTTCTACATTTGAACCAGATCAGTTTATTAGCTATTGATCTGATTGCACAATGCCAGGTGCTAGGGGAGATTGCAAAACCTAAATAATAGAGTCTTGGGGGTTCCAGTACAGAAAATGTAACTCGAAAGACAAGAACAGCATGAGGCAGAAGGAAGTCAAGAGTCGTAATGTCAGATATGGATGAGAAGGAGCAAAAGAATCAAGGAGCTAAAAAGACCAGCATTTGAGCAGGTCAGACCCAAGACTTTGCTGACGTGTGGGTAAGAATATGGTTTGCATTTCCCAAACTGTAACCTGGCAGCCCTAGGTGATTTTCCACAGGC
Source organism: Homo sapiens (assembly GCF_000001405.40). NCBI lineage: Eukaryota > Metazoa > Chordata > Mammalia > Primates > Hominidae > Homo > Homo sapiens. The sequence goes on from NC_000013.11 coordinate 111,119,684, forward strand.
TTGCAGAAAATCAGCAAATCTGATGTTGCATAGGAAAAAAGGAAATACTTTTTTCTAGGTAAACTGGAGACTCACTTTCTGCTCAGTGTCAGGATTCTGGGGTTGGTTAGGGGCTGGGGTGAGGAGAAGCAGAAGTGCTCACCTGCTAGAAATGTGCCTTTTCTTAGGTCCTTTGGCCCTAAAAAGAACGTGATGAGTGATCACATGTGGTGGTAGGGTAAGGTTCTCACTCAGGCCCGTGACCTGTAGCCGTCATAAAGACTTGTTGATTGGCTAAGTCACTTATAGAGAAGTTATAATATGGTATCTCCAGACTGTGTTTTTAAGGAGACTTCTTTAAACCCTGCAAACTGAATAACTGGTTATATCAAGTTGCTTCTAACTAAACTACCCTGAATATGGTTCCAGAATAGTGAATTTTGCAATAATAAACATTTCCTTTTGAAGCATGTGACTTTATAGTCCTGTCTCAACCCTGAACCAGTGTGATTCTTGTTTGGGTTTCAGGCCTAGGGAAGAAGGTAGCTGGAACTGCATTTGCTGGCTCACTAAAAAGAAAGCAAACAAACTGAAATTCAATTTAAATCAGGAGTGCCTGAAGAGATTTCCTGAGAACCAGACTAGAAACTAGTGTTTATGTTGGCATCACACAGACACAGGAGAGCACACACACAAGCATACACACACGCATACATGCACACTTGCACATGCATGTGCACACACGAACTTATGCACACACGCATGCATGCCTGCACAAACATGCACATACGTAAACACATGCATGTAAATACACACACACACAGACACATGCGTGTACATAGACACGCACACACGCACACACAGACACGTCTGACGGGGGTTGAGGGAGTGGGGGAAGGAGTGCTGGCACATGTGGCATTCCATTTTCTCAGGGGCAGCTGCTCTGTGAACTCTCCAAGCCCAGTCCAAAGGATGCCATCTCAGGACCCGGCCCTCATTCTATTAATAGAAGTCACTCCAGAATCTGCCTGCTCGCCTCCTTTCTTTAGGCACTGCCTGCCTTTCTATACATCTTAAAAGAGAATAAGATGTCTGCCCAGCATGGCAGGCAGCATGCTCCTCTCGTTTGCAGGCGCTGTCCCTCGCAATACCCATACTGCAGATGAGGACCCTGAGGTCTGGCAGTTAGCTTTGCCCCAGGTCATCTGGCTGCACTCGGAGGCGGAAGATTCCAGCTCAAGACTGTGAGCTTTCTCATGGAAAACAAGACTGATTCTGCCACCTATACTGAACTTAGGGGAAGATTCGCAACCACTGCCTTCAGAAATTTACAAACCAGATCAGGAAAGGAGACGGAGGCAGCAGTGTAACTGAGCACCCAGGGGGGACAAAAGTGAGGACTGGAGGGGCTGGCTCAGGTCACCGGCCACAGGGGCAGAGTGGGAGCCCTCAGGAGTGCCTGGAGCCACTGCAGGTGTCTCACTTCTCGGGACATCTGGAAGCAGCTCTGCCCTTCAGTAGACAGACCCCAAAGGCACCCAGGGTAGGGCCCCTTGCCCTGGGGGAACCTGCAGAAGCTCCTGCAGAAGTCTGTGTCTGGGCCTTTCTCCCCGGCCGCAGAACGTGTGTTCCGTGTTCCTGTACCATCCAATAACTCACTGTAGTTTCTGGGCTTCCCTACTCTGTAGGGCTTACCAGATTTCCACTTAGTCCAAGATTTCAAACTGTGTGCATCTACACCACACACACTTTTAAAATTCAAGTACTATGTACACACGAACATCTCTCTCCCTTTAGAGGCCACTGATCACTCTAAAATGTAAAGAGTGGAGGCGATGGGGGCTGTGAGGTGAGTGGGGGCAGAGCCGTTTGTTCTTGTGTAGGGTGGATTTTAGCCGTTTGGATTGGAGTCTTGTGTAGGCTTGACGCCCACGCGTCTCTCACTGCACGAGGGAGGTGGCAGAGGCACATCATCCCTTTGGGCACGCAACTCTACCACGTGCATCGCTGGGAGATGGGAGGACTGGCATCCCCCGAACCCACGGGTCCCTGCCTGGAGACACTGGGAGACCCGGTCCTCTGCGTGCTTCAGAGTCAGGCACACCTGGCTTTGTTCCCGCAGCCATTTGCTCTGTGACTTCCGGCACCTGTCTAACCTCTCGGAGTCCTAGTTTCTTCCTCCTAAAAATGAGATGAATGATATCCACTGGTGGGGGCAGTGAGGTCATTACCAGGGTAAATGAGTAGATGTGCTGGGCACAAAGTCATTCCTCAGTACGCAGTAGTTACTGTTTTGTTGATTGACACTGAAAACCTTCCCCATCGTGTCCAGAAGACTGTAAGCCAAGATTTGAACCTCAGAGCCATCCAAATCCAGGAACACGGGTTAATTCTCACAACAGGGCAGACTCTTGCAACTTTCGGGGGCTGGCAGCCTCTGCATCCCACTCTGGACAGACCACCATTGTCTGGGTTGGTGGGCCTGCTGAACGTGGCTTCCAGGGCCCTCTGGTCAGCGCCAGATCTGGGCGCAGCTGCTGAGTGCACACAGCTGCTGGTTGGGGAGCGGGAGGGCTGAGCGGGTGGACTCAGGTTTCGCTTATATAAAGTTTCATGCATCAGCAGGGCCGGGAGTCAGAGATGGGAAGTGAGGGCCAGCCTGCCCCACCTGGTGTCTGCAGAGAGAGGGCTTTGGGGCCGCCCCGGTCCGACTGCTTCCCGGGTACAGCTTCTGACTTCTCCCTCCTTTATCAGTTCTGTCAAGTTAGGGTAGGAGAATTAATCTCTTGATGTTTTTATATTTCTAACTTTAGCTTTGAATTTTTAAGGTTTGATGCACCAGGCTGGCAGTTCTCAACTCTGTTTTTGCAGGATGGTGTCATGTCTGCTGGGGTCTCAAGGCGAGGCGGTGAGGGGAACTGAAATGGAATGTGTGCACAGTGTATTTCAAACACATGTATGTGAATTCATTTAATCATCCCTTTTACCAGGTTCCTATTGTGTGCGTGCTAGTGACCCAATCACACGCATGGAAGCGCACGCATGGATGCCAGCCATACCACCTCTTCAGGCAGGTCAGAAGAGAAATGCTAGGATCTTGGGTATAAAGTATTTGTGAGTTCTCAGGATGAAGGAATGTAGAGTCATCCAGCCCAGACGCCTCCTTTTGCAGATGGCTTCACTGAGGGCACCTGCATGTGGTTGTGTAAGCTGTGTACTGCCCGGTCTTGGGAGAACCGTTCACACTGTAGTCTAAGCAAATGGCTCCAAGGCCTGTGCTGGGAGGCGGCCCTGGGATACTGTGTATAGAGGTCAGCCTCCCAGGACACAAAGCAGAGTGGAGAAGGGTTGGGGTAGACGATAGAAGTGGCCCCAATTCTCCAACCCTCCCATGCCCCTGGCAAAGTGACCTTGTAGCGCCTCCATCAAGAGGTAGGAGTCTGCTTCCTCACTTCTTGAATCTGAGCTGTGACTTGTTTTGGCCAATGGACTGTGGCAGAAGTGGCCAGTGTTAGTTCCTAGCCCAGGCCTTGGAAAGGCTTGCACTTTTCTGCACTCTCTCAGGCCCTGTGTCTACCTCCGAGGAGACCCCAGGGCTTGGGTGCTGGTGGGGTGTGATCACATGGAGGAGAACTCAGTTGTCCCTGCTAGGCCATCCTGGACCTATCCACAGCCAGCCAACCTCAAACATTGAAGAGAGCCCAGCCAGGGTCAGCAAGCTGCCTGCCCTGCCCAGAGCAGGCACAGCTGCACCAGCAGGCCCGGACCAGGCTGACTCAAGCCAGCCACTGAGGTTTACCATGGCCATAGATAACAAATCACACACACACACATACATGCCCGTGCCATTCTTAACTAGGGGACATGCCGATATATGTAAATACAGTCCATCCCAATCACAAGAGTGCTTGTACCTTTGTTTAAAATACCCTCTATATCCTTTATTTCCTTGATAATTTCCTCTCTAGTATTTTCTCTATTCTCATTTTTTAGAAATCTTATTAAGACTAATCAGAGATAATATCTATTGAGTGCATACTGTATGCCAGGCACTGTTCTAAGGACTTTGCCCATAATAATGGATTTAACCCTCCTCACCACCCTATAAGGGAGGTGGTGACAGGATCGCCCCCATTTTCAGATTAGGAAACGGAGCTCCAGAGCGGCTGGTAACTGGCCATCGTTGGCTGGTGGGCTGCGCCCCCCCCCCCCGGCCCCGCCCCCTGCCCCTGCGGCTGCCAGGCCTGCTGGGTTGAGTCTCTCATTTGCTGACCTTTCCACTTGTATGTTTCTTCTCCTTCTGAAAGACATTTCCTTGACTTTATCTCCCAACTTTTCTACTAACATTTTTTATTTTGACCTACTTTGGCTATTTTTTTTTTAATTTCTAAAAGTTCTTTTTTCTCGTTATCTGGTTTCTCTCTGTTTCTTCCCTTTCAGTCAGTCCCTTCCTGTTTCTGGGAAGATTCCTCTCTTCCTGTGAACATTCATTACAGTTTCCTTGAAGGGTGCTTCCTTCCCTGCATTCACTGTCTCTGTTTCCTCTGAGTCCTCTTATGCAATTCTTTTTTTCCATGTTGGAGATTTACTGAAACATCATGTGATCTTTCAAGTGTGAGGCCCTCAAAATGACCAGGAAGTCCTGTGTGACTGCTGGGGCCCAGGGACATGCAGGTCTCGCCATGGGGCAGCCTGGTGATGCCCAGAAGTCTGAACCTGTTGGTCTCTTCTCCAGCAGCCGTGAGTCTCTCCAGAGACTCCTCCATCTGCTGCCTATCAGAGCAGTGTCCATCCTCACCTTGGCTCCTGTCCATGCTGGCCCTCTCCATGTTCTGGCCTCTTTGGTTCACTTTTCCCCAGAGAATAAGCCTCGGACCCCTGCAAGGATGGCAAGAGGGGTGGCCAGCTGTGATGGGGCTGGGGCCCCTAGGCCTGCATCTGACTCTCAGACAGGTGGCTTGTCTACCACCTGGGAGGGTGCACTTGCCACTGGCTACTGGGATGGGACCTTCTAGTCTCTGCTGAAGCCCCACCCATCCTCCGTCTGCTCCCTGCCTTCATAATGGTGGCCTGGGGATAGGTGTCTTCTAGTTTTTTTTGTTTTGTTTTGTTTTTTAGACAGAATCTCACTCTGTCACCCAAGCTGGAGTCCAATGGCACGATCTCGGCTCACTCCAACGGCCGCCTCCCGGGTTCAAGTGATTCTCTTGCCCCCGCCTCTCGAGTAGCTGAGGCTACAGGTGTGCGCCACCATGCCCGGCTAATTTTTGTATTTTTAGTAGAGACAGGGTTTCACCATGTTGGCCAGGCTGGTCTCAAACTCCTAACCTCACGTGATCTGCCTACCTCGGCCTCCCAAAGTGCTGGGATTACAGGTGTGAGCCAGTGCGCCCAACCAGGTGTCTTCTAGTTTTATTGAAGATGATGCTTGTGTTTCTTGTTCTCCTGGCTGTTTTGGAGGGATTTTTTTTCAAGAGAAGTGAGGCTGAAATAATTTTACTGTACTGCTTTGGACCTGGAATCTTTCCATGATGAGAAAAAGAGAGAGAGTGAGAATATATGAATGAATATCCATGTCCTATGCCCTGGGTTTCATATCTCTTCTTCTGAGTACTTTAAAATTACTAGAGAAAACAAAACTGGAAGCTGGTTATTTGAAATGTTCTTTTTTTTCTTGTTGCTTGGTATTTTGTGCATAACTTTATTATTACACTTGGAGCAGCTTTTTTTTTTTTTAGGGGCTGGTGATCATCCTATCTTTTCTCTATAGAAGCTATATATAATTCAGAATCCCAAAAAGTGTATATAAAAGAAACGTAAGCCTCGTCCAGTTTATATTAAATTGCCTTTGTCTAAAATGGGCATCCACAGCTCCAAGTGTGTTTGGATTTGCGTGTTCTCTCGCCATGAAGCCTTGTTCTGACAGTGTGATCTATTAGCAACGCCTTTAAAGTGGCCTGGTTTTGATTATTTGTAAATATTATGGCCAGTGATGGCTTTTCTCCCTCAATTCTGAGTGTCTCACTACTAATTTCCTGTGCCAGAATACTTTTTCACCAATGTCCTGTCCTTAAAGTAGCTTAAGTTCATAAGGGACTTTTAAGTACCCATTTGTAGTTAGCAGATTTTTCAGATGTCTTTTGTTAGGAATACAGATTTTCTGAAAAAGCCTTTTGCTTTCTGAACACATGCCAAAAGATTGTGGCTTTGTCATTCACTTTAAGGAAGAATGCTACAGTGATTTTGATAGGAAATTGGGAGATTCAGAGGATATTCCTGGTTCTGATTGTGTCTGTTTGGCTCCTCAGGAAGAGGGAGAGCCTCACCTGCCCATGTGGAATCAGTCCAGGCCTCTGTTTACCTTGAGCAATGTCATTGGGGCTTCCTCTGTGGTGCTTAGGAAAGTGCCTTAAGACCTGGGTTTGTCTCACTGATCTCATAAAGCACTGGTGCTGGTGACAGATGTCTTCTGGTGGAAACACATTTTCTGGTTATAATCATCCCTATTTGTTAAGGATTTTTGTTTCTTTTGAAAATAGGCTTTAAGGCTGGGCGCGGTGGCTCACGCCTATAATCCTAGCACTTTGGGAGGCCGAGGTAGGCGGATCACCTGAGGTCAGGAGCTCAAGACCAGCCTGGCCAACATGGTAAAACCCTGTCTCTTCTAAAATACAAAAATTAGCTGGGCATGATGGCGGGTGCCTGTAATCCCAGCTACTTGGGAGGCTGAGACGGGAGAATCACCTGAATCCGAGAGACAGTGGTTGCAGTGAGCCGAGATCGTGCCACTGCACTCCAGCCTGGGCAGCTGAGCGAGACTCCATCTCAAAAAAAAAAAAAAAGCCTTTAACAAAATAGAATATGGCCAAATTCTTGTGACTTGTGACAAAGGTTAAACTTCCAGAAAGTGCCCTAGAAGCCATAATTTTCCATGATAAGAGACTAGAATGGAATGTCTTTCAGACTTTATCAATTGATGACAAATGGAGAAAAATAAAAGTTCATTTATGGCACTTCTGACCAAGCTCATTTCCCTAGATTGAATCTGAGTAATTGCAATGTCAGCTATCTAGGGTTGGCTCTTCAAACAAATAACCTGGAGTCATAAGCACACTGTTTATGAATTCCTCAAATGAAATTCTGGGAGTGAGACACCACTCACCCTGCACATAGTCAAATCTTTTGTTGCCTGTAATGGAGCTTCCACCTTAAGAAACTAGAAAAATAAGGGCAAATTAAACTCAAATTAAGTAGTAGGAGAAAGAGAATAATAAAGAACAGAATGGAGATTAGAAAATTACTAGCGAGAACAAACAAAACTGAAAGGTGGTTATTTGAGAAGAATCAATAACATTGATAAACCTGTTTGTGGACTGATTAGGAAAAACGGGGAAAAGACAGAAATTACCAACGTAAGGAATCACCACAGATCTTACAGATATCGAAAGATAATAAGTGGATATGAAAACATTGTTATGCCAACAATTTCTACAACTTAGATGAAATGGATAACTTTCTTGGAAGACACGAAGCTCACTAAAGAAGAAATTGATAACTTTAATAACCCTACATCTATTACAGAAATAAATTTGTAGATAAAATTCTTCTCATAAAGAAAATTCCAGGCCAGATAGTTTCACTGGTAAATTCTACCAAGCTTTTAAGAAAAAAATAACTGTAATTTTACACAAGCTCTTCTAGGAAATAAAAATTGGGCCAGGTGCAGTGGCTCACATCTGTAATCCCAGCATTTTAGGAGGGAGGATTGCTTGAGGCCAGGAGTTTGAGACCAGCCTGAGCAACATAGTGAGACCCTCCCCCCATCACTACAAAAAATTTTAAAAATTAGCTGGATGTGCCTCTGGTCCCAGCTACTTAGGAGGCTGAGGTGGGAGGATCACCTGAGCCTGGGAGGTTGAGGCTGCAGCGAGCCGTGATCACACCACTGCACTTCAGCCTGGGTGCCAGAGTGAGACTCTGTTTCAGAAAAAAAAAAAAAAAAAAAAAAAAAGAAGGAAGGAAGGAAGAAAGATTAATAGTGAGGTTGTACTTCCCAAACCATTCTAAGTGGTAAGCATTATCCTGGTAACAAAACCTGACAAAAATATTATAAGAAAAGACTATAGGCCAATAACCCCTATGAACATAGATGTAAACCTTCAAAAAATTTAGCAAATCAATTTCAGCATTACATGTAAAAGATAAGATATCATAACCAAGAAGCATTTATCTCAGGAAATAAAAATCAATCAATACAATTCATGATATTAACAAACTAAAAGAGAAAAATCCAGAGGATTATCTCAATGGATGGCAGAAAAAGCATTCAATGCAATCCAATCCAACGTAAACTCTTGGTAAACACTCCCAGTGATCTAGGAATAGAAGGAAACTTCCTCAACATGCTAAGGGGCATCCATGAAAACCTACAGCCTATGTGAGACTCAATGGTGAAAGACTAAAAGCTTTCCCCCTAAGATCAGGAACAAGACAGGGGTGTTCACTCTTACCACTTCTGTTCAACCTTACACTGGAGGTCTCACCCAGTACAATCAAGCAAGAAAAAGAAACCAAAGCCATCTAGATTGAAAAGGAAGAAGTAAAGCTGTCTTTATGTGTAGACTATATGATTGTGTAGGAAATTGTATAGGATCTACAAAATAGCTACTAGAACTAGTAAGTCAGCTGGATGTGGTGGCTCACACCTGTAATCCCAGCTACTCAGGAGGCTGAGGCAGGAGAATCGCCTGAACCTGGGAGTTGGAGGTTGCAGTGAGCCAAGATTGTGCCACTGCACTCCAGCCTGGGTGACAGAGCGAGACCCTGTCTCAAACAAGCAAACAAACAAACAAACAAACAAACAAAAAACCAGTAAGTCAGTTTAGCAAGGTTGAAGGGTTAATATACAAAATCAGTTGTATTTCTATATATTAGCAACAAATGATCAGAAATTGAAACTTAAAATACCATTTACAATAGCAAAGAAATGAAAGAAAAGACAAATGCTTAGGAATAAATCTGACAAAAGATAAGAAAAACATGTACACTCTCAGCAACATATATTGCTGAGTGAAATGAAAGATCTAAGTAAATGGGGCTATACATAACATTCTGGGTCAGAAGTCTTGCTTTTAAGCTGTTCTATTCATATTGATCTATAGATTCAACAGAGTCACAACCAAAATCCCAGAATTTTTTCAGTAGAAATTGATAAATGATTCTAAAGTGTCTATGGAAAGGCAAAGGGCCTAGAAACAACTTTGAAATGGAAGAAGAGAGTTGGAGGACTTGGTTTCCAGGGTTTTCATAAAACAACAGTAATGGAGTCAGCACAACGTTGCAATAAAGATAGAGAAATAGATCAACAGAACAGAATAGAGGTAGAATTAGATCCTTAAAGACATAGACAACTGATTTTCAACAAAGGTGCCAAGACACTTGGCTGTCCAAAGGACACTCTTTTCAGTAAATGATACTGGAACAAGTAGATACCCATATTTTTAAAGATGAACTTTGATCTATACCTCTTAGTATACAAAAATTAACTAAAAATGAATCATAGATCTAAATGTAAAGCCTAAAACTAAAAAACTCCTAGAAGAAAATATAAGAGAAAACATTTGTGACTTTGGACTAGGCAAATATTTTTTATATATGACACCAAAAACATGATCCATAGAAGAAAGAATTCCATAAAAGAAAGAGTGGACAAATTGGACTTAATCAAAACAAAAAGAACTTCTATTATTTAAAAGACGCTGTTAAGAGAATGAAAAGACAGTCTATATATTGGAAGAAAATATTTGCAAATCACATGTCTGTTTAAGGATTTGTGGCTAGAATATGTAAAGAACTCTCAAAACTTAATAAAGAGCCTAATTTTAAAAATGGGCAAATGGTTTGAATAGACATTTCACCACAAAATATGTACAGATGGCAAATAAGCACTCAAAAAGAAGCTCAACATTATCAGTCATTAGGGAAGTGGAAATGAAACCTGCAAGGAGATAGATACCACTACACACGTATCATCACGGCTGAAATCTAACAGAGTGATCCTCCCAAGTGTTAGCGTGTATGTGAGGGAACCAGCACTCTCATGCACTGACAGTGGGAAGGTAAAATTGTACAACTGCTTCGGAAAACAGTTGATCCGTTTCTTAAAGGAGTAAACATACATCTACCAAATGTTTCAGCTATTCTACTTTGAGATGTCTGCCCAAGAAAATGGAAACGATACGGCCATACCACGCCTTGCACACAAGTGTTCATAACAGCTGTATTTTTAATAGCCACAAACTGGAAATAATGCAGATGTTTTACAGTTGGTGAATAGATAAACAGATTGTGGTATATTCCTGTAATGGAACACGGCTCAGCAATAAGAAGGAATATTCCATGACATGGATGATTCTCAAAATTATGCTGAATAAAAGAAGCCAGACAAGAAAGTACTTAATGTATGATTCCATTTATAGAAGATTTCTAGTGACAGAAAGTAAATCAGTGCTCGCTTGGGGACAATAGCTGGGGTAGGAGAAAGTGATTGTGGAGTAGCTCAAGGAGACCTCTGCGTGAGGGGCAGAGTCATTACCTTGCCTCTTGTGACAGTTCCATCAGGTTGCACTATGTCAAAACTTATCAAAGTGCACAGTTTACATATGAGCAGTTTATTGCATGTCAGTGATACCTCAATACGGCATATGACAGTCTTTACCCTGAGCATAATTACGTTTTTGTTGAGTGTAATGGAGCTTTAACTCATGTTATTTGCTGTCCCCTACTTTTGAACCTAATCGTGAATTTAGAAAATGTATAGAATTTTAATGTGCAATGGTAAATTGTGTACTTATGTTTTATTAGGGGAAGTGATTTATTGACAGTTCATTTATTGATTTATTTGTTTATTTTCTCATCAAATCTTTACTATGTTCCAAGGATAGTGCTAGGAACTGGAGATTTCGCAGAAATAGACTCGCATACTATTTAGTGGGGGAGAATAACGTGAAAAGAATTACACGAACTGATTGTATCACACATGAGCTATGTGCGCTGAAGGCAAGAGACAGATTTCCAAACACGCAGCAGAAGAAACTATGCCCCTTGGCAGATGGGGCCCCAGTGGCGGTTTGGGGAAGGCTGTCCTCAAGAAGTGGCATTTGAGTTGCCCTCTGACTGATGCATAGCTGTCGTAAGAGGAGGGGCATGCACCCCTACACAGAGGGGCCCTTCAAGGCCTGGGGCAAGAGGAGGCCTGCTTTGCTGGGAGTGGCGAGGAAAGGCCTGGATGGGTAGTGCTGGAACCGAGGGGACGCGGAGAGACAGGCAGAGCCAGGCAGCACAGGGCTGGTGGGCCCTTAGTTTGCAAAGGTTTTGATACTTTTCAAATTTTTAAGGGAAGAATGATATGATCAGTTCTGTGCTTTGAAAACAATACTCTAGCCATAGCGTGGAGAACAGATGAAATGAGCCCAGGATGGAGGATGTGAAGATGGTTATGAAACTCCCACGGTTGCCCATGGAGAGCTGTGGGAGCCTGGGCTGGAGTGGAGGCAGTGCTGACAAGGAGATGGGGATGGCACCAAGGGAGCCCAGGAGGGTGCGGCGGCGGGCAGACAGGGGGACAGTGATTTGGGTGACTCCTGGGTTTCTGGTTGCACAACAGGATAGATGGGGCGGTCGCCTGTGCTGGAGCCCTGGGCGAGGCTTACCTAGGTTTGGGGCAAGGAGATCAGGAATGGATTCAGGGTTGGGTGTGTCGTTGGAGGCATCCGCATAGAGCTGTTGGAGCTTAGAGGCCCCCTGGACTGAAGCATACACGTGGGACTCGTAGTACAGAGATATGTACTGAAGCTGAAGGACTTGTGAGGTTTCTTACAGGGCAGTTAAAGTGCGAACGTGAGAAGGCCAAGGGCCAGCCTTGGGAAGGGTGGAGATGAATAACCAGGTGGTGCTGATGAGCCTGAAGAGAGAAACTAAGGCAGGGTGGTCAGAGGCCATTAGGAGACGGGCAGTGACCTGAGGTCAGGGGACGAGAGTGCTGGTGTGTTTCTGAGAGGTCAGGTGAGTGCAATTCAGAAGATTGTCTGCTGGCTTGGGCCTGTGCTGGGTGGGAAGGAGGGTGCTATTCCTAGCTGTTCTAGGACAACTGGCCAGCACACACCCAGAGCCCACATACTGGAGCAATGCAGGCATGCCCAGGACTGAAGAGGGGGCTGGGAGGGAGCCTGGCAGTCGCAGAGGGGAGTGGAAATGTTGGAATAGAGTTGTGGAGTATGAGAGAGGGGTGGACTCAGTGAGGGGGTGGACCGTGAGCCCTGTGGAAACCCACCCATGGAGGGGTGCATGCACCTGTAGCAATTGGCAGGGAACTGAGCGGGAGATTAGGGCACTCATTAACTGTCTTGAATGTTTGGTTAAGAGGAAGTGATCTTCAGTGAGGGTCAGCGTGTTTTTCTTGATAAAGGAGGCTCTAGCAAACTGTATCCCTTTCAACCGCTTTAGGGGAGAATGTCTGATATTTTTTCTTTCCTTTCCCACATTTTAAAGTGTGTTCTTTTCCTTCCTGATGGATGCATCTGGTGGTTTAAGGCCAATAAGTGTTGCGTTGAGCCTGAACAGTTGTTTGTTACTCTCAAAATGTCTAAGACTTTCATCTCCAGCTTATACATGTATTGATGTCAGGTGTTTAATATTTCCCCTTTGATTCATTTGATAGTGAATGGCTTCTGAGGTCAGGATGGGGACACTGCCAAAACTAGCTGCTCTCTGCTGAGTCTCTGTTTTGCAGGTGACATTTGATAGTCTAGATTTGATATCATTAAGGTATTTTAGGGAAGTCAATGTATAAGTTTTAGAAAGTTCAGGTGCATGTTGAGGACTATTGTTGTGAGAATGTTATGAATACACTTGTGTCTCTCCTGGGATTGACTTTTTCTTTCCCTTTAGAAAACGCTCACAGTGTATTACATATCATGCTAAATGGATGGAGATGAAGCAAATCCAGGGGTGCTCATTGGGAATATAGTTCCTAAATAACTGCAGTAAATGTAAGTCATGTCCTGGGGAATTATTTTTCTAACTCAAAGCATGAAAACATGAACAATTCAGTTCTGTCTCCATGTGTGGGAGAAGTAAACTCACCACTTACTTTTTTCTTTTTAATCCTTTTTTTTTTAGAGGAAGGTGGGTAGAGAGTGTTATTGGGAGTAGGGGTAGGGATATTGAGGGAAGGGAGAATGATATACACACACACATACATGTACACACATAAGTACACACACATCTATGCATATACACACATGCATCTGTACACACATGTATATATACACGTATATGCATACATATTTATATATACACATGCACAGATATACACATGCATATACACATATGTATGCACACATATACACATGTATATACACATGCATATATACACATATACATACATGCTATCTACACATTTATACACGTGCATATGTACACATGTGCACGTGTATATATGTGTATATATGTGCACGTGTATGTATGTGTATATATGCGTGTATATGTGTATATATGTGTGCATTATATAATGCACACATATGCGCATATATACATACAGTATATACACACCTCTATATGCACGTATCTATAAACACATATGCCTATACACATGGATATGCACATATGCAGACATACACATGCACACACATAAACATACTTGAACACGTGCATATCTATACACATGTTGATACACGCATGTATATGTATGCACATATATACATACGTTTCAGCTTATGGGCGGAAAATATCTGGGTTGGTTTGGTTTTCCTCCTTTTATAGTCAGAAATGGCAGAGCTGCTCAACACGAACTTTTGTCCATCACATACAGAAATGTCAGTGATGTCACTGACATCAGAATTGGCAGTACATGTTTTTCCAAGTTGTCTTCAAGTAAGATGGTTCTTCCATCTTTTTTTTCTTTTGTCTAGGTGGTTATATGGTTTGTAAATTTGGGTGTATGTGAGACTGCCCAAGGACCTGTGGAAATTGAGTGCTGGACACCACCCCCAGAGTTCCTGATTTCGTAGGACTGGGATGGGGCAGAGAATCTGCTTTTCTTTATATATATATATATATATATATATATATATATATATATATATATATATATTTATTATACTTTAAGTTCTAGGTACATGTGCACAGTGTGCAGGTTTGTTACATATGTATACATGTGCCATGTTGGTGTGCTGCACCCATTAACTCCTCATTTACATTAGGTATATCTCCTAATGCTATCCCTCCCTCCTCCCCCCACCCCACAACAGGCCCCGGTGTGTGATATTACCCTTCCTGTGTCCAAGTGTTCTCATTGTTCAGTGAGTGAGAACATGCGGTGTTTGGTTTTTTGTCCTTGCGATAGTTTGCTGAGAATGATGGTTTCCAGCTTCATCCATGTCCCTACAAAGGACATGAACTCATCCTTTTTTATGGCTGCATAGTATTCCATGGTGTATATGTGCCACATTTTCTTAATCCAGTCTATCATTGTTGGATATTTGGGTTGGTTCCAAGTCTTTGCTATTGTGAGTAGTGCCGCAGTAAACATACGTGTGCATGTGTCTTTATAGCAGCATGATTTATATTCCTTTGGGTATATACCCAGTAATGGGATGGCTGGGTCAAATAGTATTTCTAGTTCTAGATCCCTGAGGAATTGCCACACTGTCTTCCACACTGGTTGAACTGGTTTACAGTCCCACCAACAGTGTAAAAGTGTTCCTATTTCTCCACATCCTCTCCAGCACCTGTTGTTTCCTGACTTTTTAATGATTGCCATTCTAATTAGTGTGAGATAGTATCTCATTGTGGTTTTGATTTGCATTTCTCTGATGGCCAGTGATGATGAGCATTTTTTCATGTGTCTGTTGGCTGCATAAATGTCTTCTTTTGAGAAGTGTCTGTTCATATCCTTCACCCACTTTTTGATGGGGTTGTTTGTTTTTTTCTTGTAAATTTGTTTGAGTTCTTTGTAGATTCTGGATATTAGCCCTTTGTCAGATGAGTAGATTGCAAAAATTTTCTTCCATTCTGTAGGTTGCCTGTTCACTCTGATGGTAGTTTCTTTTGCTGTGCAGAAGCTCTTTAGTTTAATTAGATCCCATTTGTCAATTTTGGCTTTTGTTGCCATTGCTTTTGGTGTTTTAGTCATGAAGTCCTTGCCCATGCCTATGTCCTGAATGGTATTGCCTAGGTTTTCTTCTAGGGTTTTTATGGTTTTAGGTCTAACATTTAAGCCTTTAATCCATCTTGAATTAATTTTTGTGTAAGGTGTAAATTTTGTATAAGGATCCAGTTTCAGCTTTCCACATATGGCTAGCCAGTTTTCCCAGCACCATTTGTTAAATAGGGAATCCTTTCCCCATTTCTTGTTTTTGTCAGGTTTGTCAAAGATCAGATAGTTGTAGATGTGTGGTATTATTTCTGAGGGCTCTGTTCTGTTCCATTGGTCTGAATCTCTGTTTTGGTACCAGTACCATGCTGTTTTGGTTACTGTAGCCTTGTAGTATAGTTTGAAGTCAGGTAGCGTGATGCCTCCAGCTTTGTTCTTTTGGCTTAGGATTGACTTGGCAATGCGGGCTCTTTTTTGGTTCCATATGAACTTTAAAGTAGTTTTTTCCAATTCTGTGAAGAAAGTCATTGGTAGCTTGATGGGGATGGCATTGAATCTATAAATTACCTTGGGCAGTATGGCCATTTTCACAATATTGATTCTTCCTACCCATGAGCATGGAATGTTCCTCCATTTGTTTGTGTCCTCTTTTATTTCGTTGAGCAGTGGTTTGTAGTTCTCCTTGAAGAGGTCCTTCACATCCCTTGTAAGTTGGAAGGTATTTTGTTCTCTTTGAAGCAATTGTGAATGGGAGTTCACTCATTATTTGGCTCTCTGTTTGTCTGTTATTGGTGAATAAGAATGCTTGTGATTTTTGCACATCGATTTTGTATCCTGAGACTTTGCTGAAGTTGCTTATCAGCTTAAGGAGATTTTGGGCTGAGACAATGGGGTTTTCTAAATATACAATCATGTCATCTGCAAACAGGGACAATTTGACTTCCTCTTTTCCTAATTGAATACCCTTTATTTCTTTCTCCTTCCTGATTGCCCTGGCTAGAACTTCCAACACTGTGTTGAATAGGAGTGGTGAGAGAGGGCATCCCTGTCTTGTGCCAGTTTTCCAAGGGAATGCTTCCAGTTTTTGCCCATTCAGTATGATATTGGCTGTGGGTTTGTCATAAATAGCTCTTATTATTTTGAGATACGTCCCATCAATACCTAATTTATTGAGAGTTTTTAGCATGAAGGGCTGTTGAATTTTGTTGAAGGCCTTTTCTGCATCTATTGAAATAATCATGTGGTTTTTGTCTTTGGTTCTGTTTATATGCTGGATTACGTTTATTGATTTTCGTATGTTGAACCAGCCTTGCATCCCAGGGATGAAGCCCACTTGATCATGGTGGATAAGCTTTTTGATGTGCTCCTGGATTCGGTTTGCCAGTATTTTATTGAGGATTTTTGCATCAATGTTCATCAGGGATATTGGTCTAAAATTCTACAGAACTCTCCACCCCAAATCAACAGAATATACATTCTTCTCAGCACCACATCACACCTATTCCAAAATTGACCACATAGTTGGAAGTAAAGCACTCTTCAGCAAATGTAAAAGAACAGAAATTATAACAAACTGTCTCTCAGACCACAGTGCAATCAAATTAGAACTCAGGATTAAGAAACTCACTCAAAACTGCTCAACTACATGGAAACTGAACAACCTGCTCCTGAATGACTACTGGGTACATAACAAAATGAAGGCAGAAATAAAGATGTTCTTTGAAACCAATGAGAACAAAGACACAACATACCAGAATCTCTGGGACACATTTAAAGGAGTGTGTAGAGGGAAATTTATAGCACTAAATGCCCACAAGAGAAAGCAGGAAAGATCTAAAACTGACACCCTAACATCACAATTAAAAGGACTAGAGAAGCAAGAGCAAACACATTCAAAAGCTAGCAGAAGGCAAGAAATAACTAAGATCAGAGCAGAGCTGAAGGAGATAGAGACACAAAAAACCCTTCAAAAAATCAATGAATCCAGGAGCTGGTTTTTTGAAAAGATCAACAAAATTGATGGACCGCTAGCAAGACTAATAAAGAAGAAAAGAGAGAAGAATCAAGTGGACGCAATAAAAAATGATAAAGGGGATATCATCACCGATCCCACAGAAATGCAAACTACCATCAGAGAATACTATAAATACCTCTACGCAAATAAACTAGAAAATCTAGAAGAAATGGATAAATTCCTCAACACATACACCCTCCAAAGACTAAACCAGGAAGGAATTGAATCTCTTAATAGACCAATAACAGGCTCTGAAATTGAGGCAATAATTAATAGCTTACCAACCAAAAAAAGTCCAGGACCAGACGGATTCACAGCCAAATTCTACCAGAGGTACAAGGAGGAGCTGGTACCATTCCTTCTGAAACTATTCCAATCAATGGAAAAGAGAGAATCCTCCCTAACTCATTGTATGAGGAGAATCTGCTTTTCTAACAAGTTCTCAGGCAGTGCTGGTGCTGCTGGTCCTGGGGCCATGATTGAGAATCACTGACCTAGCCCACTGAGCTCATTAGCCCAGCAGCACCATGACCTGGACCAGCCAGATGGTGTGCATGACCCTTGAAGCAGACAGGAGGCCACGGTGTCCTCACCTGGGCGTCTTTTCCGTGCGTGGCACAGGCTGCTCACTCACCTTGGTGTGCCCTCCCCATCCTCATGCTTAACAAGTTTCCTAACTAGTACCTTCTTAGTTCAAGACAGAGCAGACCCCGAGTGCTGCTTCCTCATGGGCTTTTGGAGTATTTAAGCATGGAGGCAGAGAGACAGAAAGGACATCCTGCTTGGGTTGGAAGGGGACTCGGAAATTTATCTGAAAAATTGGAATCCCATTTGTTTCTGTGCATAATTTTTTAAAATAAAAAAGAATATGTTTTTTTTTCATACAACAGAAGAGAAACAATCTCCATTAAGAGGCCAAGCTCAGGAGGTTTGTACAAGATTTGATGAAATATGTTACTTAAATTGAGGCATGTATGGAGACATCAGTGAAATATTCAAATTAGGGTTGGGAAGAACTATAGCTAAATAAGATATTGAGTCACAAAAAATGAACAGAAGATGAAGTCACACTGTTTTAGGTAAAGATGCTTTTTAATGCTGAGGCTTTTAAAGAAGAGTAAATCAACCATGTTGCCTGGTTGTGGGAACTAAGGGCAGCCTCAGGGAAGAGTCTGGGTTGCCAGTTCAAAAACACAGCTGGGGCCAGGCACGGTGGCTCACGCCTGTAATCCCAGCACTTTGAGAGGCTGAGGCAGGAAGATCACTTGAGGTCAGGAGTTCGAGACCAGCCTGACCAACATGGAGAAACCCCATCTCTACTAAAAATACAAAATTAGCCTGGTGTGGTAGCACATGCCTGTAATCCCAGCTACTCGGGGGGCTAAGGCTGGAGAATCGCTTGAACTCGGGAGGCAGAGGTTGCAGTAAGCCAAGATCTCACTATAGCACTCCAGCCTTGGCAACAAGAGCGAAACTCTGTCTCAAAAAAAACAAAAAAAAATTAGCCGGGTGTGGTGGCTCATGCCTGTAATCCCAGCTACTTGGGAGGCTGAGGTGGGAGGATCACTTGAACCCAGGAGGTGGAGGTTGCAGTGAGCCGAGATCACACCACTGCCCTCCAGCCTGGATGACAGAGCGAGATTGCATCTCAAAAACAAAAACCAAAAAACACAGCTGGGCGAACGGCTGCTCATCAAGGAAGCAGTTCATGTTGTGGAGTTCAGCTGAGCCGTAGCCTCTTTCTAACTCGAAGGGGTGGTGGGTTTTGCCATCCTTAAATTGAGGATGCCCTTGTTTTCTGAAGGTCTGAAGCAGCCTGCACCGCTCGCACCGTCCTTTCGGCAAAACCAAAGACACATTGCTCAATTTCAGTCCAGCGTATGCTTTGCAATTCAGTGGCCAATTGAGGGTCCATTTGTAAAAACTGAATGTGGAGAAAATGATGACAATTTTGACAACACCCCACCCCAAGTCTGGCCATAGGAGAAAACACTGCATCATGTAGAGAAAGAGCTGGGTCTGGAGAACCGGCTCCAGCTGGCACAGAAGCTCCTTTTCTAGATGGTTCATTCCCTGTGGCTTTGCTGAAGCCTTTGGTGACCGTGGCTGCTTTCATGAATGGCGCTGGAATCACCTGACAAGGATTTCCAAGCAGCCATCATGAAAAGGGCTCAAAAAGCAATGACAGGTTCTCTGGAAACAAATGAAACAATGGAACATCTCGGCAAAGAAATAAAACTTATGAAAAGGAAATTAAAAGTATAGAACTGAATAGAATAATGGAAATAAAACACTGGATGGGCTCAAAGGTACAGTAGAGATGGCAGAAGATTGATTAGTGAACTTGATCGAGGACTCATCAAGGGAGGGGCTCAGTGTAGACAAGAGAGAAAACAGACCTCAGAAAGCAAGGGCTGCCCAGGGCGGCACACACTGCAGGACAGCAGACAGTGTGGGAACGACAGCAGGATTCTTCCCTTCCCTCGCCGGCTCCTTGTCTCTCCCTCTGTGTCTCTCTGTGACTCTGTTTCTCCCCTTTTTGTCTCTCTGTATCTGTGACATCCTCTACCTCTCTGTCTCTCCCTCTCTGTGTCTATGTCTCTGTCTCTCTCATCTCTGAACTGTCAGAATCACAGGAGGCCTCCAGAGCGTGTTTTGTCCCCCTTGGTTGAAGAATGAAAGCCACCCTGTGAAACCTGTGGCTCTTGTGGGTGCCTGCGTGGAGCACTGGCGGGTGCCTGCGTGGAGCACTGGCGGGTGCCTGTGTGGAGCACTGGCGGGTGCCTGCGTGGAGCACTGGCGGCAGACAGGGGCCTGATGTGGGCTGCAGGAGCAGGCCAGCTGCTTAGGGGCAAACCCAATTTGGGGCCTGCGATTTTCCTTAGTGATAGGGAGGCAGGAGCTGTAACCAGAGCTTGCTCTGGACAGCACTGGCTGAACTGATGCCCATGCACAGAGGAAACTGAGCCATGGGCCTGCAGGTGGGCAGTCCTGGGAGAGCACTGGGAAGCCCATGGGCAGCTGGCCGCAGGCAGAGCCAGTGGCAACAGGATGCAGCCATCAATCTCAACAGGGAGGGTTGAAACTTTTAAGGTAAAACTAAGACAATCTTTCATTTGTCTCTCACTTTGTCTACAGTGATCATATTTCCAGGTCTTTTTCGGGATAGTTCCTGTCTTAAACATCCAATTCTCACATTAGACCAACTATATTACTTTTTGGTATATTACTTTTTGCCATGTCAGCATCACTGAACTTCACTTTTGGTAGCCATAATCAAGTGATTTATTAGAGTGTCACAGGCACAGGTCCTTCGTTCATTAATTCACAAATAATATACCAAGTGCCTGTCTGTATATGCCATCTGTTAAGATTCAACCGTCATCCAAACAGACCAAATATGCTGCAGCTGGAGCGTGTATTGTATAGTGCAGGGAGAGATTCTGTAAACATCACACAGAAATCAATGAGACATTTCATTTACCAGTGATATGTGTCATGGAGGAAAACAGCAGGTGGCGGGTGGGAAGTGCCAGCACCTAGGGCGGTGGTGCAGGTTTACATCAGGTCATCGGGGAGGTGTTACTGAGAAGTGACATGAACAGAGACTTGATGAATGGGAGCAAAGAAAGGAATGATGTGAAGATCTGGGAGGATGGTGTTGCAGGCAGAGGGAACAGCTAGTGCGAGGTCCTGGGGTAGAAGCCTGCCTGGCGAGTTCCAGAACAGCAGAGGCCAGTGAGAGTGGGGAGGGTGGTAGCTGGCTGACGAGGTCAAGGAAGGAATAAGGGAGCGATTGTGTAGTACCTGCTTGGCCATTCGAAGGACTTGGCCTTTTATTATTAACCTTTTTTTTGTTTGTTCGTTTGTTTGCTTTTTTAGAGGCAGGGTCTTTTTCTATTGCCCAGGAGGGAGTGCAGTGGCAGATCACAGCTCAATGTAGCCTTGAACTCCTGGGCTCCAGTGAACCTCCAGAGTAGCTAGGACTACAGCATACGTCACCATGCCCAGCTAATTTTTAATGTTTTTATAGAGACAGGGTCTTGCTATGTTGCCCCGGCTGATCTTGAACTCCTGGTTTCAAGTGATTCTCCTGCTTTGGCCTCCCAAAATGTTGGGATTACATATAAGTTCTAGGCATGAACTACCACACCCAGCCTGGACCTTATTTTTTAGAGCAGTTTTAGGTTTCCAGAAGAACTGAGCAAAAAGTACTGAGTTCCTATACACTCCCTTCTTTCAGCCCACCCACTTTCCCCCATTATTAACACCCTACATTAGTATGATGCACCTGTTACAATTGATAAGATGATACTGATACTTTATTATTAACTAAAGTTCACAGTTTCCATTAGGGTTCACTGTGTGTTGTATGTTCTGTGGGTTTTGACAAGTGTATAATGACATGTAGCCACTGTATAATATCATGCAGAGTAGTTTCACTGCCCTGAAGTCCCCTTTACTCCGCCTAGTCATCCCTCCCTCAACTCAACCCCTGGCAACTGTTGATCTTTTTACCGTCCCCATGTTTTTTTTTTTTAAATTACATTTACTGGTTTATTATAAGAATATTGCAAAGGCTACAGATGAAGAGACATGTAGTGCGAGCTATGGGGGAAGTGTCGCACAGCTTCCATGCCCTCCCTGGGTGTGCCCCCTTCAGGAACCTCTACGTATTCAGCTGCCTGGAAGCTCCAAAAGTTTTATCTTTTCCAGAATGTCATATAGTTAGAACAACACATTCTGTAGCCTTTCTGATCGGCTTCTTTCACTTAGCAATATGCATTTAAGGTTCCTCCATATTTTTTTTTTTTATGGATTGATAGCCCATTTCTTTCTATCACTGAGTAATCCCATTGTATGATGTACCACCGTTTTTTCTCCATTCACCTATTGAAGTACATCCTGGTTGCTTCCAAGTGTTGGTAATTGTGAAGAAAGTTGCTATAAACAAATGTGTGCAGGGTTTTGTGTGGACATACGTTTTCAGCCCCACGTGGGTAAATATAATACCAAGGAGCACAATTGCTGGATCATATGGTAAGCCTACATTTAGCTTTGTAGGAGACTGCCCAACTGCCTTCTAGTGGCTGCACCATTTTGCATTCCCACCAGCAATGAATGCGAGTTCCACTGCTCCACATTCTTGCCAGCATTTGGTGTTGACAGTTTTGTGGATTTTGGCCATTCTAATAGGTATGCAGTGGCATCTCCTTGTTTTAATTTACATTTCTTTTATAATATATGATGTTGGATATCTTTTTATGTGCTTATTTACCATCTGTGTATCTTTGTTGGTGTTTTTTTCAGATCTTTTGCCCATTTTAAAAACTAAGTTGTTTTATTAATGAGTTTTAAGAGTTCTTTGTATATTCAGAATACCAGTTATTGATTAGATGTGTTTTGCAAATATCTCCTCCCTGTTGGTGGCTTGTCTTCTTGTTCTCTCAAGGACTTCGGCTTTTCCTGAGTGAAATGGGGAGGTTTTAATGGTTTTGAGTGGAGGAGTGACATTACAGGCAAATTATAAATAATGATAGTAATATGAACCAAATGGAAGATCAGTTTATAAGTGGTTTTTAAAAAATGCATTTCCCAAGTACAGATTGCTACACATCTTATTCACAACTATGGCCCTATTGATTTCAGCCCACCCTGCTGATACTTGAGTTTTGGGTAATAATGATCTTTTTGTCAACCTTTTTATTACTCACAGATAATATGAAAGTCCCAACTGGCCCATCTTTCATGCAAGAGGCTTTTATAGCCCACAAGTGTCCTTGGCCAATGCTTCCTGCCCTCTCTTCCTATCCTCTCACCTCTCTCTCTAGGGCAGCCCCAACTGCTATTTATAGAGAGATGTGCTTAACTGTGGATGTCCTCAGCTGTTTCCAGTCCCCTTATTTCACTTTCTTCCTCTGGGTGAATGGCTCCCTCCTGCTTCACCATCTCCTCTCCAAAATGAGCCTGCCTCTTTGCATGCCTTCAAATCCCCCACAAGTTAACATGTGGATGAAAACAGTTTCTTCCTAGGTGGCCGGGTTCAGTCTTCTCTTAGGTGGCTCTGAGACTTGAACTTGCATTAAACACAGCTTTGAAGCAAAGACTCTTGAGTGGGAAAGGCCAGGAACAAAACACTGCATGACTGCGGAGCTCCCACTCTTGCCCCCTGACTTCACTGTGTGTGGAGCTGGGTGGCAGTAGGACACTTCAGAAGCAAATCTGAGTGGTGGAGGCAAACAAAGGCAGGGCCGCCATAAAAAACCCTAGACGTCTGAGAACACAAGTATGAACAGCGGAGTAGCACTCGGGACTGCAGGGACAGGAGCTGCCATTCTCACCAAGGTGCCTTGGTCAAGAATAGGACATTGGGTTATTGGTGAGGCAGAGTAGATACAGGAGGCAGCATCCCGGCAGAGAACAGACTGCTTGTGCTGAGGGTGGACATGACCCTGCCTCATTTTGAAACTCACCCAGACAATGACTACACAGCTAGTACCCACCTTGGATTCACTAGCACATTTCCGTCAGAGGCCACAGCCTTCTCCATAGGTGTCTTTAACAATGGGCAATAAGAAAATAATCACCAGCCATGCTGAAGTGCACTCAGTGGGAGAGGGAACATGCCAAAGGGTGGGAAACAATAGAGCAAGGGAGCTTAACAAGAAAGTGATGGGCAGCTCTGATTCACAGAATGCCATGCCATCATTTACAGTCTGTTTCCATTAGGTCACAAGCATGAAGGTGAAAGAAAAAAGACAATTATTCCACGTGAACAGGTGAAAGAACAATCTTCGACCACCAGACTCAACTTGAGTTGTCTTATGAATCTGTACTGCTCTCAGTTTTCTTGTACCCAGATTCTTCAAGGGCACATGGAATGGTGGCTGCCGATGGAAGTGGCGAGACCTCAACGGTGCCCACCCCAGCTGCACTTGCTTCCTGGGGATCTGCATCGCTGCAGCCTAACCTTGAGGGGTGGCAGGGCAAGTGCTGTTTCCCAGCTCACTCTCATTCAACAATTAAGATACAACTGCTACGTTTTCATCTAACAATACTGGGAGAACAAAATACGACTCAATGGTGAAATGTATTCTGGGTTATCTGATGAAGTTTTATCTTTAAATATTTTGTTATCCATTTTTGGCATTGCTATGAATTTGGGACTGTTGCCACCAACTCTGAGGGATTTTAAACTGCTTTTAGAGTTTGTGAGAACCAAGCCTCAGGGGATGCATGAGTCAGTTGAAGCACTGTAGTCTTGTTGGTCTCTCTTTGACATTTCATGTCTCTGGCATATCTGAATTTAGGTTGGGAACTGGAGGTTTGGTACACTTGTATCTATTACTACCCTTCATAATCTGGCCAGTTCCATACTCATGGAAAACAATTTGTTTGTTCCCAGATGGCTGCAGCATTTCATTTAGAGTTGGGCTTTGGGATTTCTTGAAGAAGGAATGCAAAAGAGAAACATGCTTTAAAAAAGGTTTAAATTTCTTCCAGTAAACGACTTGCTTAGTATGCTGAAGACTTTTTGGGGGAGCAGCTTACTTATCTGGTATTTAGCAGTCAAATCCTTGGCATTTCTGCCTGTTGCTTCATGTTTTCCAATGGATTTGGAGGAAGAGTTGTCCTGGAGACTTCCAAGTTAGCTCCACTGACCTACATTTTCACTCCATTTAACATTATTGACTGTGGAATGAGCCAGAGTGCCGTGGAAGAGCATAATTCCTGATCAGAAGACAGCTGCAATTTAATTAGAATAAAGCAGTGACTACCATGTAATTAAAAATTAGATGAACCATTGAATGCTAAGCGGACTTCTAGAAGGTGAACTTAGGATTTCAAACCTACCACTGCATCTCTGCATGACATGGTGGAGATCTGCCCTATGAAGACCCCAGCACGCTGGCAGCCCATCTGTCTTGAGGACTGTTTTGTGACGGGGGAGTCACGTTGGCCTGAGGGGAAGAATAATAGATTGGGAGTGGTCATCGTCTTCTTCTCTAATGTATTTAATAATACTTGCACATGGGACAACATTCAAAGGGTACAATAAGTAGAGAGAGAAAAGCAAATTTCCCTTGTTCCCTTGTCCTCCATGCCCAATTCTCTTTCCCCGTAGGGAACTCTTGTTAAGTGGCATATGCTTGCAGAGACAGCTCCATGCATTTCTAAACACCTACATACATTTTCTTCTTGCTTTTTTTTTTTAAAAACACAAAAGGTAGATATTATCCACGGTGTTCCCCACGTTCCCTACCACACCAAACATAACTTGGAGATTGTGACATATCAGGATATAAAGCTGCCCCTTTTTTAAAGGCTGTATGGTAGTGGTGATAGTCTGTTTGTGGAAGCATTAGAATTCATTTAATCTGTCCTCTAGATTGTTTCCAATCGTTTGCCATTACATTGTGTTCTAATTTTAGATGCCGCCAGGAAGCTCTCCAGGTTAGGGCCAGGCAGAAAACAGATAGATGGCACACTGAACAGAGGTGGTTTATGAGACGATTTATGAAGTGAGGGCAGGAAGAAGGACAACCTAGAAGAGATGGGTTAATGACAGAAAAGTCATTAACTCTCCCTGACCCCGAAGCGAAAGGTCAAGGGAAGGAGGGTTTCTCCAGCCAGTGAGAGCTGTAGTTACAGGAGAGGCTGCCTGACAGGAGCCATGGTCTTCCGCGAGTGGTGTGTTGGTAAATGTTAAACACCTGGCTGTCTGGGAGGGGTGGCCCTGGCGTGTACCGTTTGCTGATTTCTGTGCCGTAGGTACTTACACCAGGGCTTTAAAGGCACCAGTGTGACGGGGTGACACCCATACAGCCCACTGTGAGCCAGCTCCAGCATCTACTGCTCTAGGCCCCTGCTTCCTGCCAGGGCCTCCTATTGGCTCAACCCCACCAGAAGCCAGAGAGCAGGGAAGCCTGGTTGATGCAGTCCTCAGAGGCTGGTGCAGGTTGGTGAAATCCACGGGCTGTGTAGTTTTGGACCTGACATTTCAGCTGTCTGAGTCCCTGTTTTCTCATCTGTAAAATACCAGAACTACCTCAAAAGTTTTCTGTGACCCTTTCAGCTAAGGTTCTTTGTTTCACTTACTCCGTGATGAGTGGATTTGGTGACCTAAGTGAGTTAGGTCATTTAGTGCACAGTTGCTGACTGTTTAACATGAGACATCGGTGGGCCCTGCAGTTAGGGAGCTTATGTCTAATGAGGGAGATGAGATGTGCACAAGTAGGTCCAGCCGTGTTGTAGGTCTAGCTGTGGACAGAACCACATGCATTCAGAGGAAGTGATCTTTCATACCTGGGGTGTGAGATTTGATGGCAAAGACCTGGGGTGACCTTCATTCTGTGGTTGGGAGTCTGCATTATTCTCCAAGTAGGAAAAAAACAGAACACTTCTAGAGTCAGTCTATATATACCACTAGGTTCTCTAAGTATGGTCCTGATACCATCAATGTCTACAGGGAACTTGTTGGAAATCCAAATTCTTGGGTTCCACCCCACCTTCTGAATCTGTGTTACTCCAGGTGATTCTGATGCATGTAGATGTTTAAGAAACACTGAGTTATACCATACCAGTGGTTCCCAAACCTGGCTGAAAATCAGAATCAGATGAAGACTTTAAACATACACACACATGTGCACACTGACGCTAGGCTCCTGGGCTGTACTTCAGATCTATGCAGAATCAGAATCTCCCTGGGGAGATAAATACTTCTCAGATGTGACTATTTTCTACTGGTGATCTTAATTGTTGAGATAACATTGAACCTGTTTAATTATTTGCCTTGCTGATACTGCTTGTTCTTCCTTCTGTAGTGGTTTTTTTACTCAAACTCTTTCAAAGTTTGAGAGTCTTTAAATTCTGAGAGGTGGCAGCTGTCTTAGTCGGCTCTCTGCTTTGGTTGAGGGTGGAGATGATTGTTCCTGCCCTGGAGTAGTTGGTAAGGACTTGACATGAAAACTGGATAGCTGTGGATGCTTCTGAAGTCTGACCTTAATGTTGCTTTGTGATTAATTTGCAGCAAATTTTCATATCACACACACTGCTTATCAAATATTAAGTACAAAAGGCATACTTTGAAGGAAAATTGTAATGATTCTGGGACTATGTCTCTGCCTGGTTAGAGTTCTTGATGGAAAAGCCTGGAGTTTATTACCACGGAGAATTTGGCACAGGATTTCTGAAAAGTGAACTGGGCAGAGTTGTTGGTCACTTGAGGCCTGAGTTTTCTGAATATTTCTGGAGACTACATGAGAAAGCAGACTTCCCCACCCCTTTGAATTGTGAAGGCTTTGCTGATTATAAATAAAGCTATGAACATTGCTGTACATGGCTTTCAGTGGACCTATGCTTTCATCTCTCTTGGGTAAATACCTAGGAAAGGAATTGCCGGTCTTAGGGTAGATGTATATTTAACTTTGCAAGAAACGGCCAGTTTTCTAAGCATACCATTTACACTCCCATTAGTCGTGTCTGGGAATTCCAGTTACTTTACATCCTTGCCAACACTTGATATATTGTCAGCCCTTTCCATTTGATCCATTCTGGTGGGGTGCAGTGTTATCTGTGGTTTTAATTTGCATTTCCCTAATGACTAAAGAGATTGAACTGTTTTTCACGTGCTCACTGACCATTCGTTTGTATAGCTTCTTCAGCGAAATATTAAAGGGACTTTCAGCCATCTTGTTTGTATCACAATATTCCAAACATGTTTTTCCACCACAGCTTCACCCATGATCTCAGCTGCCCTTTTTTACTCGCCATCCTTGAGAACACCCTGGACT
This sequence comes from Homo sapiens, assembly GCF_000001405.40. NCBI lineage: Eukaryota > Metazoa > Chordata > Mammalia > Primates > Hominidae > Homo > Homo sapiens. The sequence goes on from NC_000013.11 coordinate 111,147,624, forward strand.
GCCAAAATGGCACACCTTTGAGATGCAGTTCCATTTGCCTCTTCACCCTTCCAACTCAGAGGTCACCTTTTTTTTTTTTTTTTTTTTTTTTTGAGACGGAGTCTCGCTCTGTCGCCCAGGCTGGAGTGCAGTGGCGGGATCTCGGCTCACTGCAAGCTCCGCCTCCCGGGTTCACGCCATTCTCCTGCCTCAGCCTCCCAAGTAGCTGGGACTACAGGCGCCCGCCACTACACCCGGCTAATTTTTTGTATTTTTAGTAGAGACGGGGTTTCACCGTTTTAGCCGGGATGGTCTCGATCTCCTGACCTCGTGATCCGCCCGCCTCGGCCTCCCAAAGTGCTGGGATTACAGGCGTGAGCCACCGTGCCCAGCCGAGGTCACCTTTTATGCTGGTTAAGCCTCTAGCCCTGCCCTATCTCTGCAGAATTTAGGTTTCCCTCTGCCATGCTTCTGTAGTGCTGAGTCTACATCTCCGTGGCCACACTTGCCATGCTGTGTGCAAGCTTCTGTGCGTCTCACTCTTTGCATTCACCGTGCTTATGCCATCATCTGCCATGGAGTCTAAGCCCAATATTGCTGGATTAATTTATTACCCATTTCATCCTCCCAGCCACTCTGTGCAAAAAGATGTGTTAGCCTTAAATCAGGGACAAAGGCATAGACCCAAGGGGTCAAGTGACTTGTCCAGTGTGACACAACATATTTGTTATACAGCCAGGCACTACTTACTATAAAGTTTTGACTCTTTGACATTACAGTTTTCCAAACAAGTATGTTTTAGGTACAGTGTTCTTTGACCTAGCTTGCTACAGGTACCCATGTACATGTACAGAAATATTTTTCAAGGGATATGCAGGCACAGGATGGTTTTAAGGGAATCCACTTCCAGACCCTCAACTTACATACACAGTCACCTAAAACTGACTAGCCTTAGAAGGTGCCAAGCCATGGAAGACATGAAGCTGGTTGGGCCGTCCCATCTCCTCTCTCATGATGGCCATTCTCCCAATTCATACAGAAAGGCAGACTTTGCACCTGTCATCTTCCTGAGGTGCACTGCTGCAAGATGGAAAACTTCCAGGCTATGTAACAAAGAGACAATGAGAAATATTGATGGTATTAAGAAGTCAATGACTTTAACGACTGAAATGTTGCTACTCAGGGGTTTCCACTTCTTAGCTTTCACAGAAATCAAAGGAGACCTAATCAAGATGTTAATAAATGATTTAAAATATTTTTAACTTACGAGAGACCATATCTGGACTTTGTCCATGTAACTCAGAAGACTTCAAAGAGTTAAGATATATCATGACAAATCTCCTTGCGTTTTCAAGTATTTATTTTTGTGAACAAAGTTTTTCCGGGTTTGCATAAAAATCCTCCAAGACAGGAAAACAAGCGATGCTGGGCCATACCTCACTCTAGCAAAAAGTGATAGTCATTCAGGGGTAAATTAACAAACTAAAAAAAAAGCCCTATACATTTCATTAAAAAAACCATTTCTGTCCGGGTGCGATGGCTCACGCCTGTAATCCCAGCACTTTGGGAGTCTGAGGCGGGCAGATTGCTTGAGCCCAGGAGTTCAAGTCCAGCCTGGGCAACATAGTGAGACCACTATCTCTGAAAAAAAAAAAGAAAAGAAAAGAAAAAGAAATACACTTCCAGATAAAACTTTGCTTTTTATATGTAATAATTTATAAAAATGGTAACATATTGTTTTCATCATTTGTGTACTCATAATAGTTGTGTTAACTCAGTTCAGAAAAAAATCATAGCAATTAGATTCTTATGGCTTAATACTCTTAAATGTAGAGTCAATTATCATTATTTGTGGTAGTTATGTTCTAGAAAGTTACCTTGATCATTGAATTACTGACAAATGCAACACTGCTCTGAGGAGAAATATAGCGTTAGGATCCACGAAGACTCTGGCCAGAACATTTTGCCAACCAATCAATACATAACCTTGTTTTATGTGTATTTTTGTTTGAAGATAGCTTATTTAATATAAATTTCTTACAAGTACTCATATGCAGTATTTCTTTATAATAAACACTGTGTTTCAGTTACAGCATTATGTACTCCTATGACTGTACTAGTTTAATTCTCAGTCATAAGTACACACATGCACACAATACACATACATATACAGTACTCACATAACACGGAATACTGTGAACATGCTTTATACTGTATAGCACAGTAATAACAAATACATAAAGTCCTGAAAAAAGCATTAAGTGAAGATTAAGCATTTAAAGTTTTATACACATTAACTAAAGTCTTACTGTAATGGAGCTGCAGGATGTGTGATGGTCAGTGAGTGCACTGTGGTTTACCCTATCAACCTTAGCTTGCCCCATGAAAATCAAAAGAGGCTGGTGGAACTCACCCTGCACAAGAGGAAGATGTCAGTAAGAGCAGCACATTGTGATCTGGCAGAGCTACCTTAGGAGTTTGTCTTTTGCAACTTGTTGATGGTGTTGGCAACTGTCTCTCAAACTGGCTAGAAAAATTGGTTCAGCCTTGTCTGCCTGGCTTTTTGCCTCAAATCTTTAAGCATCTCAGAATAAGGGATAAATGCAGTGGAAGTGAGGTGCTTAAATGTGAGGCCACGTTCAAGTACAGGGTCACATTCTTCCATGTCATTGAAAATGTTTTCCAAGGCAGAATTCTATTCTGATATTTTGGCTGCTGTGAGAAGGACAATTCTTGGAGTCTTAGGGTGACTTTCATCCCTGACTATGCTCCCATGTTTTGCCATCTCATCCAGGTTTTTGTTTGTGGGTTCTACTGCCTTCTCTGACAAAATTTCCTCCACATCTTCTTCCTTCATGTCATTGAAACCTTCTCCACTTATTTGCCTTGCAATATGCATTGTTTTTTTACATTGTTTTTTATATTTTCTGAAACACCTTCAAAGCCTTGAAAAGTTTTCACAGAGTCTGGCCAAATGTTTTCCCAGCAGTTATTGATAGTAGCCTGCTTGATGCTGTCCCACGCTGTGCCAACATAATCAATAATGCTGCGTATAGTGAGTGATTTCCAGTAGTCTGTCATGGTGGCTTCCTTGTTGGCGTCAAGAGCCTCACAAGCTTTACAATAAAGTTCCCTCGTGTAGTGTGCCTTGAAAGTTTGTATTATGCCCTGAGGGGCTGGACGAGAGATGTAGTATTGGGGGCATGAAAAGAACTTCTTTGTTGGGGTGAGCATTTTCAAGTTCATCGTGCAATGAACTGGGGCATTATCCAAAATTAATAAGACCCAGAAAGCAAGGTTTTTGCCCTAGAGATATCGTTCAACTTCTGGAATGAAGCAGTGGTGGAACCAATCCCAGAATATTTCAGATACCAGCCATGCTTTTCTGTTCTACCGCCAATGGACTGGCATGCAGTTCAGATTTTTCCCTTTAAGGGCTCATGGGTTTTGGGCTCTGTACACCATCAGAGGTTTGCACTTAAAGTCGCCCTTGGCATTGGTGCACAATAGCAAGGTTGAATGCTTTAAAGTCAGGGGCTCGTGTGACCATTTACATTACATAGGTTCATTTGCCAACATTCTTATAAAACAAGCAGTCTCATCAGCATTGAAAACCTGCTCTTTACCATAACCCTTTAACCCTTTTCACGTATAACACTTAGCAGACATTTTAAAAATTCTTCCGCAGCCTCCTTATGGCAGAACCTGCCTTGCCTGCAAGTTTAAAATTTGATTTCATGCTGTACCGCCTTTTGAAACGTGCCAGCCAGCCTGCACTGGCTGAGAAGGGTTTAATATTTTCCTGACCTTGGGTAACATGGCTGTAAATTTCTTTGGCTTTCAGCCTCACAACAATACTGCTCACTACACTACAAAAGTCCATATATGACTTTTTTTATTGGTTGTCGTCTCATGAATCCACAATTTTAGCTGCTTTTCCATCTTTTCCATAGCTTCATCACACACTATAGATGTTACTTTAGCACTTTCTGGAGCAGCCTCATGTACAGATGTGAATGCACTGTATTGTTGATTCATTAACATTGAACTCATGGCCAACAGCACTATAACTCATGCCCGAACAAAGCTTATCTAACACATGTATTTTCTCTGTTAAGACACATCACAGCCTTCTTGCGCTTAGGGACATTAGACAGCATTTCAGCACTACGTTTGGGGGCCATTTGAAACAGAAATCACCATCGGAAAGCATAGAAATTTGAAAAATGTGACACTAAGTAGAGTGAGAAGAGGACATATGTTTACAGAATGAGAACTAAAAAAAAAAGGCAGAGCATGGCCTTATTCAAGCACAGCTGGGAACGTGTACATAAGGTGATCCAAATTTTTCACTGTTCTGCTTGTGTCCATATATGACTGAGAGTGCTTCAAGTATTGATTTTTGGGTTACACATAATTTTTAGCCAAGTAGCTGAGTTCATAAATACAGACTCTTTGAATGATGATTGACTGTATTTGTAGAGGTTACTTGCCAAAAAAGAGTGTGTTTCAAGCATAAAAATAGACTATATGAGGATACAACTTTTTGGGTGAAGTGGAATGAATTAAAGGAGAAAGAATTAATGTCTGACTTGTTCAGAAACTTTTTAGATGGAGAAATGGGTATTATGTTTCTATTACACTTAGATTCTATTGGATATATTTTTTATAAAGGATGCAATGGTTTAATTTAAAAATGTCATCAGAATGTCAGAAATTACATCCTTTACAACTATTTAAAACTATGAAGAAAAAAATTAGGTATTACCTAGATATGTGATAATTTTTGAAAATTATTTTAAAGAGCAAAACGGATTAGGAAGCAGCTTTGCTTTTGCCATTCCACTGAAAAAATGTACAGTTTCGATGGAAACATGTCAGCACTTGCTTGAAGGAATTTTTCAACTATAGAAAGAAAAAAGCTTCATTTCATCCCTTTTGGCATTGCTGAACACTTGGTTTTGATGTATAATTTTAAAACACCTGAGCACCATAAAATGAAACCACAGTATTCCTGAGTAGCCTGGTGAAATGTCGTGATTTTCTCCTACAGTACAGAAGGACAAAAATGCCTTTAATGTCCTCAAATGCTAGAGTTCTAGATGACGCATTAGTTTAAATGTCAACGCTTAATGTCTTCACATGTAATTTGGAACATAAGTTTTCTTACAGTTAAAATAATCCTTAGAGCAAAAAACAAAATAAAGTTTTTCGTATGCCTCAGGCTTCTTAAAATTTTCTAGTAATTGGTACTGTTTCTGGTTTCCTTAGTTTCTTGCCGTGGGTAAGGTCCAAACACCTTACATGTGTTGCTGGTGGCCCTCACAATTCTACCTTGGACTAAAGCACTAGGGAGTCTGTAGGCGCCTTCCTGCGCTCCTCCACTGCGGTGGATCCACAATTTCTTCTCAGCTGACTTACTGGTTTTCATGTTAACTATTTCGGTTAATCATTCATGAAGCGCGTGGCTTATATTTGGGAAAACATTGCACCTTAATCCCAACATGCATAATTTATGTTGCTTAATTATTTTAAGTCATTGCATTAGAATAGTAACTGCGCTCTCCATGAGCCTAGGCTAGAAAGAAGGGAAAAAATCCCAGGTTCTCTCCCAACGATCAGGGGTTACTCAAGCCGCCCGAGTTCTCTGGGGCCCCTCTGGGCCAGGCTGCGTCCACTTGGGAGAGGCCGAGGACCTGGCGCCAAGAGGCGGCGGTGTCTGCGCTAGGGGCCGAGCGGGTGCGCTGTGTCTGCGGGGCCAGGCCAAGGACCTGGAGCAGGGAGGAGGCCGAGCGCGGAGCCGGGCCTTGTCGGCTGCGTCCGCGGGGCTAGGGTAGAGACCGAAGACTGGACAGGAGGAGGCGGCGGTGGCCGCGCGCGGGGCCAACCGGTGGGCTCCCTCTACCGGACCGAGGCCCAGCACTGGGCCAGAGGAGGTGGCAGCTCGCCGGCAAAGCAGGGTGGGCTGCGTCCGCGGGGGCGAACACCCGACGCTATCCGAAGACGTCCCGCGCGGGCCGGCGGGGGCGCGGTCTGAGGACGTCACTTCCGGCGCCGGGGCTCACTTCCTGGTGCGGGAAGGGGCAGAGATTGGTGCAGCCCCGGAGGAAGAAAAAAGGGTGAGGAGAAGCAGCGGCTGAGCGGGTTGGCATCTGGGGCAGCGGGCTCGCTCCAGGCCGTCGGGGGCCGCTCGCCAGCGTCGCCCGCTGTGTTGGGAGCGCGGGCCGTGGGCGTCGCTCGGCCTTGTCCGCGGCGTCCCCGCTGCCGGCCACGGCGCTCAGCGCTTGTGCTCTGTATTGCAGGTCTACCCCGAGCCCCGGAGCGAGAGCGAGTGCCTGAGCAACATCCGCGAGTTCCTGCGCGGCTGCGGGGCTTCCCTGCGGCTGGAGGTGAGCGCGGGCGGCCACGGGCCGAGGGAGGGGCCGGGAAGACGGGGTTGGGCCCGGGGTGGGTGCTTCGCTCCAGCCGGACCTCCTGCCTCCTCCGCGCCCGGATCCGACCCTCCCCGGCTGCTCGAGAGTCCGGGATGTGTGGAACGGGGCGTTGCGGGTTTGGGTAATGGCCGGGAGGTGGCGGCGCGCGGGCCACCCCCAGGGCAGGGTGGAGTCTGCGTGTGGAACCCCAGACATTGCTCTCGTTCCAGTGAGGAAGAGTGGTTCTGGTCGCTGGTGGTGCAGGTGACACACATTTTCAACAACCGTTTATCAGGGGTGTGAACCGATTTCTTGGCACCTGCCTCAGCATGAACTCTGCTTTTAGAGATTGTCATCTAAGGGCTGGCATCTAGGTCTGGGTCAGGCCTTAGAATCCTCAGCAGGTGATCAGGCAAAGTCGTGCAGAAATAAAATGGGCCAGCCCTCCGCCTGCTTCTCCCAGCCGCACTCCTTTCTCTGCTTTTTCTTCCTGAGACCAGAAATTCGGTGGTTTTTCCGTACCCTCAACACTTAATGTCCAGAGAATTCACATTAACCAGTATGTGACGTTTATAAAACATGCTGTCGGGGAACATACTGGGCGGGGTCTCGATTCCCTGTTGTAAAATGTTGTGTCACTTTACTAAACATTGTCTTTTCAGTCTTTCAGTGGCAGTTTCTGGGAATTTAACTCTTTCATTTTATTTTGCTATTGCGATTCTTCCTACACTTGGGGTAGCACTTTAAATACAGAAATCTAGCTTTGCTTTTCTTGGGATCTGCTTAAGTGGTTGCAGTCAGTCCTGTACTTAAGTCCTGCCGTTTATGTTGCCACTTTGTCACTCTTAACCTTAGTTTTCTTATCTGTAAACTGAGATGGGCAATATCAAGCTCCCAGATAAGAGTACAGTCGGCCCTCCGTATCCAAGGTTACCCACCCGTGTATTCAGCCAACCTTGGATTGGAAATACTGGAGGAGGGGGAAACCAATTAAAAAAAAACAATAAAAAACAACACAGTATAATGATTATTTACATATCATTTATAATGTACTAGGTAGTGTATGAAACCTAGAGATGATTTAATGTTTACGGGACTATGCCATTTTATATAAAAGACTTGAGCATCTGAGGGTTTTGGTATCCACCGGGATCCTGGAACCAATTCCCTGCTGATAAAAAGGGACAACTGTATATGAAAGCATCTTTGTAGAACCTGTTATGTAGGATAACCCAACAGAGGTTTCCCTTCCCGAAGAATATTTTGCTATAGGTTTCTCGGAAAACCTAGAACATCAAATCTGTGAGGGCAGGTTACATGGAAAGTTTATTTAATTGAATTAGACATGTAGGAATTCATAGATTAAAGTATTACTGGCGTTGTTTATGATTGTAAACACAAAGAAATTTATTGTTGGTAGTATTTCATGTTGGCAAGGAAATTATTACACGTAAGTGAAAGTGCTAGGGGAGATTCCAAGAAACTTAGGGCCTTTTCAAAGGGGAAAAAGACAGTGTTTCAGTAGTCTTTCCCTGATACCCTTTGTCGTATCAGCTTTGTCATTTGTAATCCAGCTGCCTTATTGGCTGTGATAATATGCCTTGCTAGTGGCAGGTTTTACTTTTTCTTCACCTTTGTGAGGGATTTTATTATATTATCCTCTTGAAACTACTGAGTTTTGTTTACGTTAACATACTTTTGAAACTCAATTGGCACATTAAGATTATCTGACTTTAGTGTAAAACTTTTTAAAAAAGTTTTGTTTTAAAGTAAATTGAGGCTGGGTGTGGTGGCTCACGCCTGTAATCCCAGCACTTTGGGAGGCCGAGGCGGGTGGATCACATGAGGTCGGGAGTTCGAGACCAGCCTGGCCAACATGGTGAAACCCTGTCTATACTTAAACAAACCCAAAAACAAAAATTAGCCCGGCGTGGTGGCGTGCACCTGTAGTTCCAGTTACTCAGGTGGCTGAGACAGGAGAATCCCTTGAACCCCGGAGGCAGAGGTTGCAGTGAGCTGAGATTGCCACTGCACTCCAGCCTGGGTGACAGAGCAAGACTCCCTCAAAAAAAAAAAAAAAAAAAAAAGTAAATTGAATGTTAAAAACTTACCGTTTTTAGTTTTCCAAAGGTTGCTGACATTTCATACAGTAACTATTGTTTTTATAATTAAGAGTTTATTTGAAGGTTTTCTGGAAGAGAGTTTTCACTAACATATTCCAAGCATCTACAATAGTGCTTGGCACATAATAGGCTTTCAATAAATATTTGTTACTAATAGAATGAACTTGAGGTTGTAAGTGATAGCAAGTGAGTTTCATTTTAAAGTAAAAAATTAGTTTTGACTTATTTTGTGCTATTTTTAAAGAGTAAATATCTCTTCCAGTAAATTTAAGCAAGAGGCAAATGTTAGCATTCTTCAAGCTTAGTGTGAGTCACACTTGTAATTACCTAGGAGATAATAAAAATGAAAATATGAAAACAGCACATGAAAAACCTGATAAATTGTTCAGTCATTGTGTTTTTTGGGAAGTTACCCTGAGAAGTCATTTTGTATGCTATGCATCCAGCTCTGGCTTCCAGCCTTGTAAGGTGATGTGAAGGGACAGGGCTGGGCCCTGAAGGACTTGGTCATCTCCCATGCGGGCCACAGTGCAGCAATTTCCCAGTGTTTAAGAATTGCTTAGGGAGTCAGGAGGGAAGGGCCTTGCACTTGTGAAATATGTTGTGGGATTTACACATTTCATTTTCACAAAATTCTGAAAGGTGGGAAATTGATAAGAAATGTTTTGAAACTACAGACACAAAACTTAAAACTAATAGCTTAAATTCTAGATTAGCTTTTGTTCTATAGTTGTAAATGTCAAGGTGCTTTTCTTCCAGGGGTTAGTTTAGACTGAATTGTGTTTGTAACAGATTGTTTTTGGTGTATATATTCTTATTTACTGTCAGTTTAAGCTCTGCTAAGATTTGTTAAAGGGAAAAAGGAAGTAAACTTGGTTAATATGTCAGCTGTTTTGGTGCATGCCCTCCTTAATTACCTGTAGAAAATCAGATATTATCCCCCAATTGTTTTGATTATGAAAATATTTTTATAAATTGGTTTTAAAGGAATATTGTGTGAGTCGCATTTATTGGTAAACTTTGAGAAGCACTGGGTTTTAAGCTGGAAAACTTTGAAATTTGGAAAATTAAAAAAATTTAATTACTGTTGGAAAGCAGTGCAACTTGGATGACTTCATTTTCTTATAACTTTTTTACTTGGCATGCTTAAATTTTTTTTTTTTTTCCAGTTAGGGCAAAAAACCCCTAGGCACACAATTTCTATTTGTATCTCAAAAGCAACCAAAATAATAATTATTAATAAGAATAATGATGATGTTGGCTGGGTGCAGTGGCTCATGCCTGTAATCCTAGCGCTTTGGGAGGCTGAGGCGGGTAGATCACCTTAGGTCAGGAGTTTGAGACCAGCATGACCAACATGGTGAAACCCCATCTCTACTAATCACGCCACTGCCCTCCAGCCTGGACAACAGAGCAAAACTCCGTCTCAAAAAAAGAAAAAAAAAATGATGATGATGATGATGTTTGTAGAATTTCACTTGAGGATAAGTAACTTACTGAGGCAAACCAAGCAAGTGATAGGACATTTCTTTGCATTTTCTTAGGTAAACAGCTACAGAGAAATTCAGAGTGATTTCTGTTTCCAGTATTTTGCTATGTTACTGTGGAATTCTGATTCAAGTGTTGTAGCTACTGTAGGATGTGTATGTGTGCATGTGTGTGTGTGCACATGCTTGTTCACTGAAAAGGTCACAATGAATTAGCTTCCAAGATGTTCCCACCCTATGCAACATTGTCTGATTAGGCATCTGACAACTAGGGAAGCAGGTGAAATGTAACTGGCAAAAGCAGATTTTATGTTCCTAGGAGAAAGCTTGTTTGGTTAAAGCCATCACGCCTGTAACATGTTTACCAGTTTTTTATTTCAAGAGCTGAAAGTTAAGGATATAAGATTCCAGTTAATTGATACATTATTAAGCTCACATTAATAACGTGGTTTCAGGAATATTAGCAACAAAATTATTATAATAAAGCTATGGATTTTAACTTAGTTCTGTTTGAAAGAAAGATGTCTACTGTTCTTGATACTTAGCTATATTCATACATAATAGAAAAGGGTAATCTTGATGGATAGTTTGATATTAATGAGGCTTTTTTGCTTAAGAATTGACTGTGGGCTCACATACAGTGTTACCATCACTACTTGAAAGGAAAACAAAACATTTCAGATGAAACTGGGTGAGCCTGTTCTCATAGTTGCCAAGAGGGAATAAAGCCAATTTGTCAAGTGTAAGGAAACCACAGCTCTTTCTTGTCATAGACCATTTCTGGAATAGTTATGTTTGATATGATAGGGATGGTAACCCTAATATATTAATAATTGATCTTTCCAGCTCCTTGGCACTGCAACTAATACTAAAATTATCTGCAGGTTTCACAGTTGCTGTTCATTTATTTAACTGTTTTTCTGGAAAAGTGGAAAGCATCCAAAGGCCCAGGTGGTTCAGAACAGAAATCTGCTCTTTTCTCATCCTCACCCTTGGAAGTTTTTGGTTGGCTTTTGGTCTCTCAGATCAACAGAGCATGAAATGTAGACCAGCTAGTCACATAAAGCTTGCCTCATATCCAGTTTCTTTTCTTTAATTCTTATATTTTGTTTTTAAATTGACAAATAGTTGCATGTATTTATGGAGTAACATCATTATGTTATGGTATATGAATGCATTGTGGAATGATTAAGTCGGGAATGAACATATCCGTTACCTCACATACTTCTTATTTCTTTGTGGTAAGAACATTTAAAATCTAATCTTTTAGCAATTTTGAAATATACTTTAAATTATTGTTAACTGTAGTCACCTGCTGTACAATAGATCACTAAAATTTATTCCTCCCGTCCGACTGAAATTTTGTACCCTTTGACTAACATCTCCCCTTTCCCTGTCTAGCTCCTGTTTCCTCCTTCCCAGCCTCCTCAGCATCTGGTAACCACCATTCTCTTGTCTGCTTCTGTGAGTTCAGCTTTTTTACACTTTACATATAGGTGAGATCGTGCAGTATTTGTCTTTTTGTGCCCTGCTTTCTCTTAGCACAATGTTCTCCAGGTTCATTCATTGTTGTTGCAAATAACAGGATTTCCTTTTTTTAAAAGTCTGACTAGTATTCTATTGTGTATATATCCCACATTTTCTTTATTCTCTCATCTTTCAGTGGACACTTAGATTGATTTTATATCTTGGCTGTTGTGAATAGTGCTGCCATGAAAATGGGAGTGCAGACATCTCTTCAACATACTGATTTTAGTTTCTTTGGCTATATACCCAGTAGTGGGATTGCTGGATCATATGATAATTCTGTTTTTAGATTTTGGAGGAACCTCCATACTGTTTCCCAGAATGGCTTCAGGAATTTACATTCCCACCAACAATGTGCAAGGCTTATCTTTTCTCCACATCCTTGCCAACACCTGTCGCCTTTCATCTTTTTGATAATAGCCATTCTACAGTTGTGAGATGCTCTCATGATTTGAATGTGCATTTCTCTGATCATTAGTGATGTTGAACATTTTCTAATCTGTTGGCCATTTGTATGTCTTTGGAGAAATGTCTGTTTGGGTCCTTTGCTCATCATTTTTTAATCAGGTTTTTTTTTGTTACTGAGTTTTTAAATATATTTTGGATATTAGCTTCTTATCAGATGTATGGTTTGCAAATACTTTCTTTCCGTTCTGTGAGTTGTCTCTTAATTCTGTTTTGCTGTGCATAATCTTTTCAGTTTGATGAAATCCCATTTATCTTATTTTTGCCTCTGTTTTCGGTGCTTTTGGGGTCATATCCAAGAACTCATTGTCCAGACCAATGTCTTGGAGCTTTCCATGGTGCTTATTTCTGGTAGTTTCATAGTCTCAGGTCTTACATTTAAGTCTTTAGTCCATTTTGAGTTCATTTTTGTATGTGTTGTGAGACAAGGTTCCAATTTAATTTTTCTGCATGTGGATATCCAATTTTCCCAGCACCATATGTTGAAGACTGTCCTTTTCCCATTGGGTGTTCTTGGCACCTTTGTCAAAGGTCTATTGACTGTATCATGTGAGTTTAATTCTCAGCTCTCTATTCTGCTCTGTTGGTCTGTGTGTCTGCTTTTATGCTAGTGCCATGCTGTTTTGGCTGCTATAGCTTGGTAATACACTTTGAAATCAGGTAGTGTGATGCCTCCAGCTTTGTTCTTTTTACTCAAGAATGCTTTAGTTATTGGGGTTTTTTTTTTTTGTGATTCCATGTGAATTTCAGGATTGTTTTTCTATATCTGTGAAGAATACCATTGTAAATTTGGTAGACATTGCATTGAATCTGTGGATCACCTTGGATGTTTTAACAGTACAGGTTAAGCATGCTGACTGATACGGTTTGCCTGTGTCCACACCCAGATCTCATCTTGAATTGTAATCTGCATAATCCCCACGTCTAGGGAGAGACCTAGGGAGAGACCCAGGAGATTATGGGGATTACAATTCAAGATGAGATTTGGAGTTAGAGATCAGCCTGGGCTACGTGGCAAAACCTCATTTCTACAAAGAAAAAAAAAATCTATTGGACAGTGCTGGATCCAGTAGAATCCTAGGAGATGGGATCATGGGGGTGATTTCCCCCATGCTGTTCTTGTGATAACGAGGGAGTTCTCAGGAGATCTGATGGTTTTATAAGGGGCTCCTCCCCCTTTGCTCCTCACCCTTCTGTCTCCTGCTGCCCTGTGAAGAGGTGCTTTTCGCCATGATTGTAAGTTTCCTGTGGCCTCACCAGCCATGTGGAACTGTGAGTCATTTAAACCTCTTTTCTTTATAAATTACCCAGTCTTGGGTATGTCTTTGTAACAGTGTGAACGTGGACTAATGTACATGCCAAACCTGAAAATCCAAAATGCTCCAAAATCTGAAATTCTTTGAGTACCAATGTGACACTCAAAGGAAATGCTCATTGGAGTGTTTTGGATTTTCAGGATTTGAGATGCTCAACTGATAACTATAATGAAAATATCCCTAAATCTGAAATACAAAACACTTCTGATGTCAACTTGTGTCACTTCTGAGAATGTGTACATGATGCTGAGTAGCACAGAGCATGCTTGTGGCATGGGTGCTAAATGGTTAGCTTGGCACACTCACAGCTAGTAATTGTGACTTTGATCTTCAGCTGATTTCTCCTTTTTTGATTCAGGGTTATTGCTCACTCCTGGTAGCTGCCCATGATTATCAGGTATTTGCTTTGCGGGGGACGGTATAGGGGGAGGGAATGTAGTGCCTGACCCCAACCCCTTTCCTGGGTTGCTGTCCTGTGTTGCCACTCGCCAGCTGTGCCATCAGGAAAATGGGTGTCACACGTGCTTGCCCTTTGTGTCTGTCGTGAGGATTACATAAATTCATGCAAAACTCTTAGAACAGTGCCTGGTAAGTTGGAGGTGCCAAAGAGACAATAGCTGTTATTATCATTTGCATTATTATTCTTTCGTGTAGTTGGAGCCATATGGTATATTTTAAATCTTTACCCAGGGTTCCATATTCATTTTTTAAACTGCAGTAAATAGAGCTATGTAAGAAGAAAATGAAAAGCTGTATAATGCTACCGTTTAGAGATACCAGTGTTAAAATTAGTATTTCTTTTTTGGTAATTTTTTTTTTAACCATTGCAAATATGTAAATATATTTTTAAAATATCCATGACATCATAGATACATGTAATGTTTTATAACATGCTTTAATTTGATCCAGTGTGAGTCTTTTCCCATGTTAAATAATTATTTTACTACTGATTTTAATGGCTGCCTCTTAGTTCCTGGTAATAATCCCCATTTTTGGATACAGAGGTGGATTCTAAGTTTCCACGGTTGTGAACAGTGGACTGTGCAATGGACATTTCTGTACCACACCCTTAATCCTTGATTTTCTTTGTAGGACAAATTCCCTGATAGGGCACTGCAAGGCCAAAGGTGGGGGCTTTCAAAGGCTTTGAACACCTGCTACCATACAGCTTCCAGAGAACTTTTGCCAGTAGCAGTACATGAGAGTACTCCTTCCTGTCCTATGGATGTCCTGTGGACAGCTGTCTTGAATCTTTTATATATTTTCTTTCCCTTAGGAAGATGGAAAACTTGTTATGGATAAACATTTTGGCTTTTCTATCTTATATCTTCCACAGTGCTTTATATTTCTGGGGAGATTGCAAACTAAAATAAATGTAAGTCAGTCAACATTTCCTGCATTGGACTTTTGAAAGAGGATGTGAAAGAAAAGCTGCTAGAATTGGAAATAAAAGTTGAAAACCCTAGAAATTTGCAGTGTTATCAGCTGTTGCACAAGTAACCTTGCATGGCACTGGGTGGGACATTCTTGGGCCACTCTGTACAAGCTGGAGTTCTGGCTGTAAATGCATCTTGAGACGGTCTGCAAAGGTGAGAGGGCAGGTTTTCATTTTCTCACTTTACAGTCGAGAGACTTCAGAAGGAGTTCAGGTGGGCAGTCCAGCATCGTAAGGAGCTGGGATAATTTAGTGAGTGAGAGGTTTTGGAAAAGAAATTGCCTTACCTGTTTCTGAAACACTCATCTTCCCTGTGTATTTCTGAAGGACAAGTTCTTTTATTATACTGCTCTGCCTAATGCTCAGTTCTCTTTTAGATTTTTTTTAGCCAAGATTGTGATTAGGATTTCACCCACAAGAATAGTTAAAAATATTAACACTTTTGAAAGAATTAAAATGTGGGAACCACTTACTGAAACTCAAAACTTGTTGATGCAGGCTTAATAATTAATTGCAATAAAAACAGAAGTAAATCTATAGTCTGGGATGGGACGCCCAGCCAAGTGTTGTCTTTGTTCTAGATTCAGACAGATGAGGAGGTAAACTGTTTATTGAAACTTGGCATTGAAGGTTTATAAGCACCAAAGATATGTTTGAGGCATTCTTTTTAGCTGGGCACCCTTCTATACTGTTGATACCAAGCGTGAAACGGTTGGTCACAACATAGTGTTTATTGACTGATTCATTGAATAAGCTGTTGAAGCTTATTCCTGTGTAGGACTTTAGTTAAGGAAGTTAAGTAAAAATATTGTTTGGGAGAAGAAATGAGTAACTATTCCCTGAACATTTTGTAGGTAGTTTAAAGAAAGACAGTTTCCATTCAGATACTGTAATTGTGTTTTAATTTCACCTGGCAAGAAGTGTCAAGAGATGGCCCTCTGTCTTGTACCTTAGTGCCTTGCTGTACTGTCTTGCTGGGTGAACATGAAGTGTTCTGGTTATCCAGGCTGCTTTTCTAGTGTAGACAGCTAGACTTCCCCCTTCGTTTCAGATCTTTGGAATGTCTTCTTTGTCTAGATCAGCACTGTGCAGTAGGAATATACTGGGAGCCACAGATGCGATTTTAAGTTTTTTAGTAACTACTTTAAAAAAGTGAAGCAAAGTTAATTTTAGTTTTCATTTTTAAATATTTATTTATTTATTTATTTATTTTTGAGACAGAGTCTCACTCTATTACCCAGGCTGGAGTACAGTGGCGTGATCATGGTTCACTGCAGCCCCCACCCCACCAAGTACCTTAGACTACAGGCATGCACCACTATGCCTGGCTAATTTTTGTATTTTTTTGTAGAGATGAGGTTTTGCCATGTTGCCCAGGCTGATCTCTAACTCCTGGGCTCAAGCAGTCTTCCCACCTCAGCCTCCCAGAGTGCTGGGATTATAGGCATGAGCCGCTGTACCTGGCCTAAAGTTAATTTTAATAATGCATTCTATTTAACCCAGTGTATCCATAAAATTATTTCAACATGTAATTGATACATATTAATGAGGTATTTTAGTTTCTTCACATTAAGTCTATAAAATCGTGTTGGAATTTGTTATGGCCACAGCACATCTCGGTTTGTATTAGCCACATTTCAGTTGCTCAGCAGCCCATCTGTGAGTGGCCCCCGTATTGCGTGTTGCGTTTGGATTATTTAAGAGGCTGGGGAAATACGGTGATCTTTGAAATGAAATGGGACCCAGGTTTGTTGAGAACAAATTGTGTGTCTAGGCATTTTCCTTGTACTGTTTTGTTGAAACCTCACGATGCCCTGCAGAGAAGATGGCAGTTCCCCACTTAGCAGATCAGGAGGCTGAGACTTGAAGTGGTTCAGAAGTCACAGGTCCCGGCTCAGCCAGTGAAGAGATGCGGAATTTGAACTGAGATGCATCCACTCCACTGGCTGGGTTCTTCATACAAGCATGCTGCTGCCTAGTGTGGCATTAGGTGAGGTGTTTGACAACATCAAGGCAATACTCTTAGGCTGACTCCTGGCAAGGCCCATGGGCAAGTTCTCAGGAGAACTTACCTGGTGACAGGGCCTGCCTCGTGGGTGTGCGACTAGTGTTGCCACACAGGGCCCTGTGCTTGGTTTCATGCTCTGCTGTTGCCATCAGAAACTCTTAAGAATTTTTTGATAAGGAGCTTTGCATTTCCAATTCGTGCTGGACCCTGCAATTGAGTACTTGGTCTAGCCTGCTGGTATTGTTCTTAGAGGTCTGTGATCAATAACAGGATTAAACAGCATTTTCTGAGTGCCTATTATGGCCTAGGCCCCATTATGAAGTGTGTGTTAACCCGGTTTGAAAGTAGCTGTCTCAAGTTGTTACCACCATTTTCCTCACACGATTGCATCCGTGACCCCAGGCAAGCGGAATCGGGATAAGAATAACCCTCAACAATCCCTGCTACTAAAGAATTGCTTAAAGTACTTCCTCCTGATAGGAAGTTAAGATAATTTGTTGTCTCTCATGCATTAAAAATTGCCACAGCTTCCAAGGCAGCCACCATTTTACCTGTCAGTGATAAGGACCCGTGATAATATTGGCTATGGGTTTTGTTTTTCTAAAGGATCCTTTTGGGAAAGCCATCCTCTCCAGTGTTGGGATGATAAAAGGATGGGAAGTCGGAGTCAGCTTGAACTTACCAATCAGAGAACATGTAGGGGTTGAGTGGAGGGGAAGATCCTCTCCAAGGAATTGGAGAGAACTTTCTACTCACATTACGTCTAACTAGCCAGAGGATGGGCACTGGGACTGTATACTTGTAAGGTTCCTTCAAAGCCTGAATTGTGTGAGTCAGTGATGCAGCTACTTTCTAGATGAGCTACCAGTTTAATAATAGGACTTAGCCCCAGATTCCTCTCCCTTTTTGGCCCTTGACATGGGACACAGATCCCTTAGTAGATGTTCATGCCTGGCCCATGTGGGCAGCCGGGTAAGTCTTTCCAGTGCAGCTGGTCAGTTGGTCTCACCCAAGAGTTGCATCACTTGTATCTCCGCTGGTTGTTCAGCAAGTACTGGCAGCACTTAACACGTGCAGTAAAGCAGTGAGGCTGTTTTGCCACCGTGACAATGCAGTTGAGTTTTGCCTAACGTGAAAATACTAAGTTTCTGTGTATTCTCTGCTACCCACAACCAGAAGGCTTGGAGGAACAAGCGTTCTGGTTTGTTTATCTGCATCCCTTCCCCTTGATAAAGCAACTGTGAATTTGGTCTTCATTAGCTGTAGTCTGTTGAACCGACTCAGTATAGCCAGGGTAGAGGCAGAAGGAAGTGTCCTGCACAGCGGTACAGCTGAGGGCTTCGTGCTCCTGAGTTCGTGGCACAAGAGAGGGATTCAGTGGTCAGCTCTGCATAGTCTCTCATTTTCTAGCAAATAGAAACCAGAGTGGATGGCCTCATATGTGTAAGTTCTCATGAGACTCAAATGGAAATTAGTTGTCCCTGAGGTTCTTCATGCTTGGCTGATTGAACTAGATGGTTTGAGAGGGATATTTTGTAGATTAAAGGGTGAGATTAGGGCTGGGGAGAACAATGGTGGTAGAGTGGCCTTAAAGACCAGCCTCCAGGAAAGCCTCTGGCAGTTGGAGTCCCCACTCCCTGCCATTAATCATCTGTCACATCTGGTTCATCTTCCTTTTACTAACCCCAGAATCTTGGCTTTTCTCTTTGCCCACCACCATTAGCCCAGGCTGTCCACATCCCTCACCTGGATCACTGCAGCAGCTCCTGGCCAGTCTATCCTTGCTTTTCTCCAGACTGTTTTTTTCTGAAACGCAAGGCTGATTTTGGTCATTTTCCTCCTGACTCTGATTTTACCTAATGTCTTAGAATGAAACCCATGACCCTTGGAAGAGATGGGGAATAATAGGAAGTGAGGCCAGGGAGTCGTGGGGAGCGAGATCAGGTGGTCCTGTAGGTCCTGTCTTTTCCTCCAAGTGATATGGAGCCTCTGAGGGTGTTTGGGCAGAGGGGAGAAGGGATGTGATGTAAGTTTTAACAGGATCATTTTGGCTGTGTTTTGAGTATAGACTGAAAGACTCAAGGGCAAAAGCACGGAAACCAAAGAGGACAGGATGGCACCAATCCGGGTGACCTCCCAGGTGATGGTGGCTGGAACCACAGTCCCGTCAGCATAGGTAGCAGGAGAGACTGAATTCTAGTTTTTATCAAGAGGGTAGAGATGAGATGATTTACAGATGGACTAGATGGGGTATGCAGGAGAGGAGTCAAGGAGGACCAAGGGTTTGGCCTGAGCAGTTAGAAGAAGTTGTCTTTGGGATGGGGAAGTCTGGCAGGGCCAGATGTGGGCACTCAGCTTCAGACATGCTCCATCAGGATATCTGTGAGATGCCTCAGTGAAGATCAGGTCTGGACTTCAGGGATGCGGCCTGGGCTGGGATATCAGCTTCAGACTTCGGCACAAGCAGGTTCTGATTGTGTAGAGTGATGTTCCTGTTAGTCTGTATCATGTGGAAGAGTGTCTTAAACACATATTGTGGGCAGGTGCTGTGGGGAGGAGGACATCCATGCCTCAAAGAGAATGAAGGAATACCTGGTGAAGGGCTGGGGGAGGAAGTGAGGAGATGTTAGTCCCAGAACATTTTAGGCCCGCTAGACGTGCGTACTGACGTTGCTCATTTCCTGGCCAAGCTGTAACCACCTGAGTAAACGGTTGGTTTGTTCTTGGGTCAGGTGTATCCACAGCAGTCATTCAGTGCGAGGGTACTTAGGTCCTCTTTATCGTCAGAAAATCACAGAGAAGCACCATGCAAAAATAGGTTTGTGGTCATATAGCGTGAAAGTTGGCAAAGATATGATCTCTGGGCTATTTGTACGTGAGCTTAGAAGAAACTGAGGACTCGTCATCAAGTTGTATTTTATATTTCTTTTATCCAATAAGACTTGTACATAGCTTAAAAGATAAACAATACTTAGAGCCTCAAAAGGAAACACAGTCCTCCCGCACTCTCCTTATCCCAGAAA
This sequence comes from Homo sapiens, assembly GCF_000001405.40. Taxonomy (NCBI): domain Eukaryota; kingdom Metazoa; phylum Chordata; class Mammalia; order Primates; family Hominidae; genus Homo; species Homo sapiens. Next base: position 111,167,400 of record NC_000013.11, read on the forward strand.
CACACTCTCAGCTGGTGTTTCTTCTTGGTCTTTACTTCCTCCTTTCCATATTGTATCCTGGCACTGTTGTTTCTTATCAGTTTTAGTTAATAACTGTCTAAGATGAGGGTGTAGCTCTTTGTATCACTCCTATCCCCCAGTTCAGGAGAATCATTCTTTGCCCTGCATGTGTGACATGATATCCCTTGGTGCAATGTTAGTTGTTTTAGCCAATGTTTTTTCTTAGTTATAAATGACATGTGTGCATTCTGAGCAAACAGAGTGTTACAGGCACACGTAAAGGGAAATGTCCACTCTTCTCTCTCCCTCCTAAATACCCTAACCCTGCTTCCTGCAGGAGCCACTGTTGAATGCTGAGGCACACACGGACTCTTTTTCAGGAACTGAGGCCATGCTAGGAATGCTCTTGTGCAGTTTGCCTATTTCCACTGAGAATGTAGTGCCTTTCCTGGGGGCACCACTGTGGTGGGCAGCACACCAGAGCGTGACAGCGACATAAGGCGCTTTCCGGAGGACAGAACACCAGAGCCACCCCTTCCTCACAGGACACTTGAACAGTAAAACTGAACCTTCTTGCTGTGACAGTGTGGAGTTATGGCAGGAGAGCAGGGTGACTGTCCAGCCTCGATAATGTTCCCTCCTTGGCAGAGTGAGGTCCTTCTGCTCAGTTTGCCTCTTGAGGAGTTGGGTACCAGGAGCCTGAGGAGAGGGTCCTGGCTTACCTAGGTTTTTCCTCTCTCGTCCAGGTCATAGGGAGACTGTCAGGGCTGAGATGGCCAGGGTAGCTGGTGGAAGGTGCTAGCCCTCCCCTGTGCCTGCTTCTCTGCCTCTGCCGCTCTCCCGCTTGGTCTCATCTACTCTGTCTCTGCGGTGTGCGACAGCTGTGTGAGGCCCCACTGTGCGACAGCTGTGTGAGGCAGGGGTGTGGGTCCCCTCCAGGCCTGCCCAGCCACCTAGCAGCTGTTGCCATTCCAGGCTCAGAGTCCCCGCCTCCTGCAGATTTCTTCAAGCTTCATGCTGCCTTGAGGATAAACACGAGTGGAGAGTTGACACTTTTCCTTCCATGTCTTTATGTTCTCAGAATGTTCCAAGAACTTGGAATATTAACAGGGAAATACCAGGGTTTCTGCATAGAGGTGGATAAAATAGGCAAGAATTGTTCAGGTTCAGTCTTGAAAGGTAATGATTGAAAAGGGATATCCTTATAGATTATACAGTTTTGAAGGCTATGAAAGGGTTTCAGTAAATTGTCCATTCCCACCCCCAGAAAAAAATCACAGAATCACAAAACTTGGGTTTAGTTTTTTGAAGCTTGAGAGATGATTTTTGAAACTAAACAAAGGAAATATTAAAGATGTAAAAATGGCATAGTTTTGTGGTTTTGATATGTTGACTCCAAGAAAGTGATGCTGTGTTGAGAGAATAGGTTCCTTGATGACTGATCGCCAGTGAAGTGTTTATGGAAGCCAGGAGTGTTGGATGACATGAGGAGGGTAGGTGACATTGCTTCTATAATATGTTCTTTGATGCCTGTGCCAGAGAGGATGCAGACAGCAACTCAGTATTCACAATTTGAAGCAGACCTTATCATTTCTCTTTTAATCAGTAGTTCTGAACTTTTTGGTGTTCAGTAATTCGGGAAGTTGGCTTAGGTAACAAATAATGACAATAGTAGCGGTTAAGTTTGGGGATGCTTACTGTGGGGTTGTGCCAGGCAGAGGCAAATCCGTTTAACATGTACTAGTTTACTTAATCCTTAAAAAAGTCACTTGGCATTGTTGGGAAGAGAAGAAAGTCGTGTGTTAGGAGAGAATTGCAGAGGTCGTTAATGCCACTGTATTAGTCTGTTCTCACATGGCTATAAATACCTGAGACTGGGTAATTTATAAAGAAAAGAGGTTTAATGGGCTCATGGTTCCACAGGGTGTACAGGAAGCATGATGTTGTCATCTGCCCTGTTTCTGGAGAGGCCTCAGGAAACTTACAATCGTGGTGGAAGGCAAAGGGGAAGCAGGCTCGTCTTAACTGGCCGGAGCAGGAGCAAGGGAGTGGGGAGGTGCCACACACCTTGAAACAACCATATCTCACCAGCACACACTCATCATCACGAGAACAGCACCAAGGGGAAATCTGCCCCTCACGATCCAGTCACCTCCCACCAGGCCCCACCTCCAACATTGGGGATTATACTTCGACATGAGAACCAAGCCACATCAGCCAGAGGCTTCTTCCTGGTCCTTGCGTTGGTAACCAGGACCTTGCTTGTGAGACATTATTGGAAGATTTTTTGGTGGAATTATATTTTTAACTTTGGAGTCATTCTTACTGTAAAATATATTTATGCTGTTACAGTAATGAACATTTAATGATCACCTCTGTTTGCTAGACACCGTTCTAGTTGCTGGAGGTGGCTTGGTGAGTAAGGGAGGAGGGGCCCTGCTCTTAGGGAGTGTAATTCTAGTTGGGGAGACACTTAAGCAAAGGAATGAGCGTGTGAACAAATAAAACTGTCATGCGCAACAACTGCAGAATATCAGGGGGTGAGGTGAGAGAGCACCTGAGTGCTGACTTAGATTGGGTGATCAGAGCAGGCCCCTCTGCAGAGGTGACGCTTTTAGAGATTGGGTGATCAGAGAAGGCCCCTCTGCAGAGGTGACGCTTTTAGGATTTGCTCTCACAGCCAACGTGATACAAGCTAGCCACTCTTCTTTTTTTGTAGACAGAGTCTTGCTCTGTTCTCCCTGCTGGAGTGCAGTGGTGTGATTTCAGCCCACTGTAACCTCTGCCTCCTGGGATCAAGCAGTACTCATGCCTCAACCTCTCGAGTAGCTGAGATTACAGGCATGTACCACCATGCCTGGCTAATTTTTGTATTTTTAATAGAGACGAGGTCTTGCCATGTTGGCCAGGCTGGTCTTGAACTCCTGGCCTTAAGTGATCCACCCGCCTTGGCCTCCCAAAGTGCTGGGATTATAGGCGTGAGCCACCGTGCCTGGCGCAGTTAGTCAATCTTCTGAGGAAGACCAAACGTGGACGTCAGAATTGCTCTTCTGTTGACCATTTTCTTCCTTCTTACTGGAATTTCTTCTTATTTTATCTCTTATGTAGGGAAGCTGGGTGAGAATTGATCATGTTACTGGCGTTATCAACGGCCTTGCACAAGGCTGCTCACTCAAGCCTTCCTGCCTTTACTGAATGCAGTGCTAAGTGGCCGGGGAAAGTGCTGTGTGTTACCCTTAGGCCAGATTCACTTTCTGGAAGGTTCTAGAAGGTTCCTTGTTGGGAGATGATGGTGGCTACCCCAAGGGTCTGGCTCCGCTCTGGGAGGACTTGGGAGAACTCTGATGACGGATGGTGCCCAGGCCCCTGGAAGCAGAGCCTGCTGCTGTGTGTTTGAGGTAAAAATGGGAGACCTGCTTGTTGGGTACTTGGGACAAGAAGTTTGATTTGGGAATTTAATTTATGGCAGATAACAGATAATCAGTCTCAGTCTTTTCTGTTGCAGATATAAAAAGCAGCAGTGGTTATCTTTAATTTTTAAAAGCATTTTATCCTTTTTCTGTTGTTTGTGTCCATAAGAAAAATGCATGCATACCAAATATCCATCATAAAATAGGGAACTAAGAATTTTGTGTGCACTGGATTTTCTTTTTTTAAAATTATTGTTTGAAATCTGTTAAACAAGGGCTTGAACTCAAATGAAAGAACTGGCTTTTACTTTAAGCTTAAGCTCACCAATGCACTCTTAGAGTTACTTTTGTTCAGGGCTCTGTATAACCAAATGGAATTAGCCTGAGGAAGGTACGGTTTTTTCCACAGCATTTTGTTTGTGATGAGGAGGCTAAGATAGTTTAAACTGTGTGAGCTGGCACTGTTGTAACCATAAAGATTTGAGGTATTTGGGTTTTGGTTGTAGCCAAGCCTAGCTTGGGAGCTGCGTGTGCAGGAGTACAGGTGTCTGAACAGAGTGTGGCTGCTCAGTGCTGGATGAGGCTCTTTGGTGACAGTCTTTGAAAGCAAATTAAAAAAAATAAAGTGAAAAGCATTAAAAATAATTTCACTTTGTTTATAGAGTTACACTTTAATATCGCTCCAGGTTACATGCTTGAATCTACAAGTCCTTTCCCTTCATGCTTTGATCTTTTAGTTGAGGAAGTTGGCTCATTATGTATGTGTTCAATTTGCATGAGCAATTTTTATGTGATGGAGTAAACATCAGTGTGATCTTTGAAGTTAGCTTGGTGAATGCTTTTCTAATTGGGGAAAGCTGTTAAAGTTTGATTTCAAGAGAAAAAGGAATGAGCCTCTAAAAACAAAGCTCTTCTGTGGCTGCCATGGTCTGAATGTTTGTGTCTCCTCCCCAAATTCCCATGTTGAAATCCTAACCCCCAAGGTGACAGTATTAGGAGGTGGGGCCTTTGGAGGTGACTAGGCTCATGAATGGGGTTAGTGCTCATATAAAAGAGGCCTCAGAGAGAGACCTCTGCCCCCGTGCCATGTGAGTTTGCAGTGAGTTCATCTGTGAAGAAACAGGCCCTCACCAAATACTGAATCAGTCCATGCCTTGATCTTGGACTTCCCAGTTCCAGAACTGTGAGAATACATTTCTGTGGCTTATGAGCCGCCCAGGTTATGGTATTTTCTTACAGCAGCCTGAACGGCCCAAGGCAGTGGCAGAGAGCATCAGTACACGGTACCCTGAGAAAACACGTTCGTAATCTTGACGAGGGGCTGGTACTCTAAATACGTAAGTAGCTCTTACAAGCCAGTAAGGGAGATTGTAACAAAATGAATTCAGTTCTTTAAATGGAAGCACTCACTGATCAGTGCTCTAGGGGCCTTTAGAGCATAGTCTCTTTGGAAATGTGGTCCTGGAAGTATATATTCTCTTAATATCCCTAAACGAAATAAATTCAGTTCTATAAATGGAAGCACTCACTGAATCAGTGCTCTAGGGGCTTTTAGAGCATCGTCTCTGTGGAAATGTGGTCCTGGAAGTATATATTCTCTTAATATCCCTGAAGTCATGGCATTCTCCAGTTCCAAGTCACGTGGTGGTGCCGCTCTCTAAGGCTGCAGGTAAGTTGGTGATCACCTCATCCTGTGACAGTGTCACATCCTCTCTGACTGCTTCTGCCCTTCACACTTTTTGGGAACCATTTCCTCAAAGAAACTCAAGCCATAATAAAACTTGGTTTTAAAAAACCAGCCTCTTTTCTTGCAGTAAATTTGAACTGTCATTTGCACACTTAGTAAAAACACCCTACAGACTGGGTTAATAGCAGAGAGAGGGGTCCTGGTGCTGTAAACCAAGGCTTGGCAGTTTTCTGTAAAAAGCTAGACAGTAACTATCTTGTGGGGGCTGGGGTGGGGCAGACCTCTGTCACAATTATTCTGCCGTTGTTGTGCGACAGCAGCCAGAGTTGGCATGTACAAACTAGGCATAGCTGTTTTCTAGTCAGACATTACTGATGCTGCCTTTTTCTCCCGATTATAGTAGCTATGTGTGTAGACAGGTTGAGCATCTCAAATATGAAAATCCAAAATCTGAAACGCTCCTGGTCCCAAGCATTTCAGATGAGGGATGCTCAACCTGTGTATAGAAATAAAAACTGCAGAAAAGTATATGAAAAAACCATTCCACTTGTATCATTAATAAGTTACCTTTATTAACGTGTTGCTGTATTTCCTTCCAGCATTTTTTAATGCCATTTGCTCACTCTCAACCCACACCTTTTTTCTTTTCACAGAGTTGGTGTCAGAGTGCACACAGATCCTGCCAGTTACCTCCCCCAGAGCATGTTGCGTTTCTGGGCAGAAACAGCCTAGCCATGGTTGGGGTGGAATGCATACTGCCTGGGAGGGCTGGCCGGTCTCAGAGCCTGGCAGCCTGGAGGGGTGGTGTGCTTGGCTAGCTTGTCTTGATATTTTGCCCCCTTTTAAAGTCTTCCAGTCACTTTTATCTTCACAGAGTAGCAGGGTCATACTGGGGAGTCAGAACCAGGAAAATTACCAGGAGTTTGACCAATTCCAGGCCTCTGTGTCTGTCTTGGGAGGATGCTCCACCTTCGTACCTACTTTGTGGCATCAGTTGGAGATGCTCTGTAGCGTAAGCTCAGCCCCAGGATGTGGAGGGACAGGGCAGAGTGCTCACTGGGGACACAGTGTATTCACTGATTGGAAGCCTGTGAAATTTCATCCACGGATTGCTTTCCCAGGAGGTTGGCAATTTGGAAAGCACATTTTGGATGTGCTGTTAGGGTCAGCTTTAAGTCGGCTTGTGTTTCATGGCTGCCAAGTGAGCATGGAGACCACTGCCTCTCCCCACATTGAATGGAGATGTCTCGTGTTTGAGGATGTCATTTGCTACCTGCAGCACCTGGTCTTGGAGGGTTGGGAGGTCAGGGGGTGGGTGGGGTGTGCCCGTGAGACAGGTGCGGGTGTCTGTAGAGGGATGTGGGTGTCATTCAGTTTTATCAGGCTGCTTAACTGCTTGTGGTGGTGTTTGCATTGCACTGACTGGGTCAACTTGTGTAGTGATTACTATGATAAAAAATTTACTTAATTTTCAAGACAAATTTGTGATCTCCGATTGGTATTAATAATTCATAAGGTAGATTTCCCTCCTTTGTCTGGCACCCAGCCCTCCCCCTGTACTATTCGGATAAGATTAATGAAGCGCCTGAGGTAAACAAGGTAGAATCCGTGTTAGCTTATTTCAGTGTAAAAGGTTTGTTTTGAAAAAAGGAATGATATTTGCTGCTATTTAAAATCTAGGTAATATTTTATAGAGACTGCTGAGATATTTTGGGATTGAGGATAATTAAAATTGGTTACTCTTATTTCTCAGAGCTTATACTCTAAGATCATTTACTGATTTTTACATTTAACCACACTGTTAAAATGTCCAGACGGCAGTGCCTGTGGAATCCCTCTGTTGGCACCTGTTGTGTATTGGCATCTTCATGTCTTCCGAATTCTTCAAGGCTTTTTTCTCCCCCTTTGGTCCTTGACAGATTTCTGCCCACCCAGCAAGGAAGAGGCCATCTTGCTGTCTTCTGTCATCTCCTTGTCTGTCTCCCTTTCTTGCTCTTCCTTCACCTTTCTCGCAGTCTTGCTCTTGCATTTTATGACTTCCTGGTCATTACAAGGAGCTGGGAAATGCCATGCATTATCTGGGCATACGTGGCTTAGTTCACTAAGTTTTCCTGTAGTGCTATTTTGAGTTCATTGTCTTGCCTTAGTTAAAGTAGACATCTGGAGGGCCACTTTGCTCCAGCTTTGTGAAAACACACCTTCTGGGTTTGCCCTGCTCTGTGTCCACACCCCGTGCCTCAGCTGTGCTAGCGGTCTGGTCCATCTGTACGCTGGGGGTCGTAAGCAGAAAGGAGAGGAAACACCGGGAGGTCCTTGCAGCTCCTAGGAAGCAGTTTGCTGATAACTCAGCTAGGCGTGCGAGGACTAGAAGTTGCTGACAGTCCTCGGGTTGGTTTTGTGCAGCACATGTGCTTGTGCGTGTCGGGTGAAACCTAAAAGCTCCATCTGTTGCCTGTGTCTCGGGATCTTGCTGTCTCCTCCTCAACCGTCCTCCTGTGTTGGGAGCATACAGCAGTGTGAATTTGACTCTTCCCTGTTTTAAGTTGAATTAAATTAGATTGTAGCCTTTCCACAAGGTAGATCTGCCTTCTGGGAGTGGGACGAGCTTCTCTAAATTGAATATTTGTTTGTGGTAAGCTGCTTATTTCTTTTCGTAATAGTTCACTGAAATAGCCACTAAGGAGTTGATGGGATAATTCAGCAGCTGTGCACTGAGGGCCCCTGTGGGTCCCACACTGTCTTAGAAGCTCTAGAGTCAAGGCCCACACTTGTATGGTTCAGAATGTACAGAGGACAGACATGTTCACAACAGAATTCCTGGCGCTGATGGAAGCCATGAAGAAGACAGAGTGAGGGGAGAGTGAGGGAATGGGAGAGGGTGAGAGAGCAGGGCTGCCCTGTGAGACTCAAAGCCTGGGAGCACCTCTCTGGGGGCCCTCTCAGTCAGGGTGTTGCCATGTGAGTGTGGGGAAGGGCACCCAGGCAGAAGAGTGCCTGGGCAAAGGCTCTGAGATGGAATTGAGCCTGCCTGCTGCAGGCTGGAGCCTGCAGTGGGGTGAGTGAGCTTTTGGGGGAAGGACTGGAGGCCCCAGGGGCGGGCCTCCTAAGCTGCTGGCTCCTCACTGGGCGTCCTCTGCTCCAGGCGCTTTGAAAGGTATTGCCTTGGACGTCCTCATAGCAGCCCTGGGAGGTGGGACTGCCCACTTCTCTTTGTGGATAAGGAGACTGAGGCACAGGGGTTGAGTCTTTCTGAATGTGTTAGTCTGTTCTCACACTGCTATAGAGAACTGTCTGAGACTGGGTAATTTATAAAGGAGAAAGGTTTAATTTACTCACAGTTAACACAGGGCTGGGGAGGTCCCAGGAAACTTAACAGTTGTGGCAAAAGGGGAAGCAAACACGTCCTTCTTTACATGGCGGCAGGAAGGAGAAATGCAGAGCGAAGGGCAGGGAAAAGCCCCTTATTAAACCATCAGATCTTGTGAGAACTCACTGTCACGAGAAGAGCATGGAGGTAACTGCCCCATGATTCAATTACCTCCCACTGGGCCCTCCCATGACACGCAGGGTTTCTGGAAGTAGAAGTCAAGATAAAGAGTTGGTTGGGGACACAGCCAAACCCTATCAGCCACACAGGTAGTCTGTCACCAGCACCATGCTCTGCCTAGGACTCTGAGCCCCCTTCTGTAGGTTGATGGAAGTGTGGATTTTAGTCTAATGATGGCCAGAAGCTGCTGGAGGATTTTAAGCCTGATCTTTTACCCATAGAAAATGCGACCATTGCTGCTATGTGGAGAATGACTGTAGGTGAGCAAGATACTTTTTGATGTCAAATTGCAGTGTTTGAGGTGTGTAAGGCAGTTTCTGTTTCCTGAGAATTGTGCGTGATGTGCCTCTCCCCCTCTGGCATCTGGCTGCCATTTGTGTGGTGGATCTGGTTAGATGGCCGGCCCCTGGAACTTGTGTTTTGCTTCCTCCCCAGTTTCTTCCTAGGTCCCACTCTCTCCTTTCTCTTCACTGTGTGCTGTGCCCTGTGGGGTGACCCACGTAGCCCCTGCCTGCCACCTGTCACTGCCTAAACACCCTCCCTGGGAAGTTTCCCATCAGGTAGGGTCATGTCCAGGAGTGTAACCATGATGAGTGGGACCCCCGCGTGCGGACGTTTGTCCTCCTCTTGTCCCCCATCTGCTCTTGAGCTTTCCATTTCAGGCGTGTCACATGATCTGAGATGTCCTTAGGTAGTATTTGCTGACTGGCTTATTTATTTATTTATTTTTTTAGATGGAGTTCACTCTTGTCACCCAGGCTGGAGTGCAATGGTGCGATTTTGGCTCACTGCAACCTCTGCCTCCCGGATTCAAGCGATTCTCCTGCCTCAGCCTCCCCAGTAGCTGGGACTACAGGCGTGTACCACCACGCCCCACTAATTTTTGTATTTTTAATAGAGACGGGGCTTCACCATGTTGGCCAGGCTGTTCTTGAACTCCTGACCACAGGTGATCCACCCGCCTTGGCCTCCCAGAGTGCTGGGATTACAGGCGTGAGCCACCGCGCCCGGCTGACTGACTTATTTTATAAATAAGTGGTGTGTATTCTGTGCTAGGCGTGGTTCCAGTGACTTCACCGAATTAACTCATTTAAACCTGTACCAGTGCTGAGGAAGCAGGCATCGCTTTGCGGGAGAAACGGAGGTATTGAGAGGCCTGGGAACTGGGCCAGGGCCACACAGCTGGTGCATTGTGGCCGGGGCTGAGGCTGGGCCTGTTGTGATGCACTTCCTGTCTCTGTGCCTGCGTGCATATTGAAGAAACACAAATGATGTTGTGTTATCGTCCTTTTGTCCCTCTACTCTCAAAGGAGTCCACATTCTTCCTGTTGCAAACTGGTCAAGGCCCATTGGTCATTCTGGGAGCTGAGCTCAGGCGGGGTGTGAGATGTGCTATCAGTGGAGTCAGTGTGTTCTGAATGCGGCTGGAATCTAAGGAGCAGGTCTGTGCTCACTGAGGAGGGGAGGGTCACACCCCCTGAGAATGTGTTCTCAGTATCCCTGAGCCGTGTTGGTGAGTTTGCAGGTTCTCACACGGTCCTGCTGGCAGTCCCATTAGGCACTGCTGCCCCGGTGCCACTTGTCTGGACTAGCTCAGCTGATGACGTTTGTCCTTGGGACTGTCACTGGGAAGGCCTCTCACTAGCCTCAGACAGAGTGGCCCAGACTGGGTAAAAGGCATGTCTTTCTGGGTATGAAATATGTGCTATCTTGAATATATTAGCTCACGTGCATTTTTCAACATGCTATTGAACAAGGATGTTTGATGTTGGCCAGATGGTGGGGAAAAAAGTGTTAAGAAGGGTATATGTTGTTATTTTCTAAAAGTCCTTGTGAAAAATGAAGCAGACAGTCATGACCAGTGAGTGGGAACAGTGAAGCTTGAACTCGCACGCAGTGTGGTCCCGAGAACCCTGGAATAGCTCACCTCCTCTTCTCCATGCGCAGGGAATTCTGTGTTCACTCAGTGCCTGTCCTTTGACCTCCTTCCTCTCTCCTAAACTTCCTGTTTCTCAGCTTGACTGAGGCTAGTAAAGCAGGGTTCTTTGATCATCTTTTAGTCATTGCTTTTCTATTTTCATTTAAAAATAAAGCAAGAAAATGCCAGCTGATCTTGTAGGGATGGGAAGTCCTCCTCTCTCTTTTTCTTGACAGGCGCTTGCCCTGAAGCACTCTGAGTTCCTGAGGAGTTCCCTTATGTCCTGGGAACCAGCGAGAGAACAGGTTCCCAGTGAGTAATTACAAAAACACAAAACCCTGAGTTCTTTTCAGACCATATTTAGATGTGCAGTCTACATTTAATGTGTTTTTAAAAATAGCATTCTTATCCAAAATATGTGTTTTTGGCCAGATTTTTGTCAGTTTACCTTGTATGTTTTCTGTGATAGTTTAGAGAAAGGGAGTGGTCTTCAGTTCAGAGGTGATACAGTATTCAGATGGAATGTTCACTCTTGCCCTTTAGGGAAGGTTTCAAGGTTAGATTGGGTGGTATCCACTTGGGATTCTGAGTATGCGAGTGTTTTTAAAAAATGCTGACCCCAGCATCTCTCTGGAGAGTTTCTGACTGAGTTAGCTTGGTACTTAGCGCTGTCCAGCTGGGCATGGTGAGGAGTGCCAGCCATCTGTCAGGGAGGCAGCTGCCGGTACCCACCCAGCTTGGAAAAGGCAGGGAGGAAGCCACACTTTTCTCTAACTGTCTCGTTGTAGAATGGGCCAGCCCAGCTATGCTGAGAGTTTGAGGGGAAGATTAGTGTGGCAGTGACTGAGATCTTTAAGAAATGTCGGGCCGGTCAGAAGGATTGTTCATGTGGGTGTTTATTTGCACGAAAGCCCCACAGATGATGAGTGAAATGCTTTATTTTCCTCCTAGGCTACGGATGGTGAGCGGATGCTAGAGAGAGCCACTTAATGTGCCGTCCCCCCCCTTTTTTTTTGTTTTGAAAACTTTAAAAGTAACAAAGGTTGGGAGACTAGAGTTCGGTGAACATCCGTGTGCCCTTCTCACAGGTCACCAGCATTCTGAGTTCAAATGCCTGTTCTTTTTTTTTTTTTTTGAGACAGAATCTTGCTTTGTCACCTAGGTTGGAGTGCAGTAGTGCAACCTCAACTCACTGCAGCCTCTGCCTCCCGGGTTCAAGCGATTCTCGTGCCTCAGCCAGCCTAGTAGCTGGGATTACAGGCACGTGCCATCACTCCCAGCTACTTTTTTTTGTGTGTTTTTAGTAGAGACAGGGTTTCGCTATGTTGACCAGGCTGGTCTTGAACTCCTGACCTCAGGTGATCCTCCCGCCTTGGCCACCCGAAGTGCTGGGATTACAGGAATGAGCCACTGCACCCGGCCTCAAACGCCTGTTTCTGTTTTATTTTGCCAACTGTGTAAGTCATGTTGTAGATCCCATGATCCTTACCTCTGAATACTTCAGCATGTGTATCTTAAAAATAAGAACATTCTCCTACATAACCATGGTGTCATTATCACACCCAGAAATTTAACGTTGTGTTGCCGTATGCTATATCCTATAATGTTATCGCTTATGCAACCCATATTCAGATATCTCTGGTGGTCTCAGAATGACGTTTATGGCTTTTCTTTCTGTTAAATGTAGGATCTGAACAAGGGTCATGCATTACATCTGGTTTGTCTCTAGTTTATTTTCCTGTAGGATCGTTTTTCTGCCTTTATCGCTTTAACGTTAGGATTTGACGCTTTTGAAGAATCCAGGCTTGTTAGTGTGTAGCATGCCCTACAGTCTGGACATGATTTGGTTCAGGTTAGACATTTCTGGCATGAATTCTGCATAGGTAATACTCTGTACTTCCCATTGGGTCCCAGCGGAAGGCACTTACTGTTAGTGGGCTCCGTCACTGCTGGTGCCACAGTTGGTCACTAGGTTAAAGTGATGTCCACCAGATCTCGGTTATAAGGGTGCCTTTCCCTTTGTGCTTAATCCATGGATGATACTTTACCCCCAAACGTTTCACTGATGCTTCTAGCATCCACTGCCTACGTGCCTGAATTACTTCCTGTTATGGTGGTTCAGGTGGTTCTCAGGCCCTTTGATTTGAGGCTTTCTTTAGGGCCTCAGGCTCCTGTTGGCACTGGAGGGTGGTGGTGGGCATCTAAGCCCGCAAGTTGTGGGATGTGGGAGAGGAGAAAATGTTACTTTGCTTTCAAGAATCCAAAGATTCTATAACATTTGTGAACTTAGTCATTTACTTCTGAGGTCTGTTTTACTTCCCTTACGAGCTTTTCATTACCAAGCAAAAAATCAGTCTTTGACTCAGACTGAAGCCATGAACTGAATTTTATCCATGTGAGCTTCAGGAGTGAATAGAAGGAAGTTGATTGACAGGGAAGGAACACATACAGATAGGATATTTTCCATTTTATGAGAAGTAACGGTGGAAATACAGAAGAGGTAGAAATGTAAGATTCTTTAAAACATGCATGACAACAGCTTAGTAGTAACAGCTGCTGCTTCCAGAGGAGCTTCTCAGTACCAGAAGCCCCAGAAGGCTGTGTTGTAAGGCAGAGATAGTGATCACACTACAGGAAGGAGAAGCTGAGATGTAGAGAGGTTAAGGAAGATGCCCAGTGTCTAACATTTACTAGGTGGCAGAGTTGGTATTTGAATCCAGGTTTATGGTGATTTCAGAACTTCCAAATTGAGAATTAAAGATCAGCTCCAACAAGAGAATGAGAGCAGTACAGTTGGTGGAAGATTATAGACACCTGGAAATTTAATCTTTATGGGGAACTATATACTGTAGTGTCCATAATGTTCTGCATTTTGAATTTTTAATACGTGTGTTTATATAGATAATATACATAATCTGCATCATGCAACTGGAAGGACATTTAAGATTTAAGATGTCTGATTGCAAAAATGTTAGTGTTCAAAATGCCCCCCATCATTCTGGGCATGATGTGTAACTCAGTGAAGGCCGTTGAGTGTAGTGAAAGACTTACTACTTGGAAAATAAATTGGAGCAGGTGAATGGCCACTTTAAAATTTGAGTAGCTCCTGTCCCTGTTGTATTTGCTAATTGTTTATCTCTTAGTGGTGAATTTATTCAAAATTCAAACTTCAACAACTTTATGGATTCTGTGTGTATTGGTTACATTGTGAAATACATTTTTTAGTGTGGATCATGGTCAAGAGTTTGAACATTGATCACATGGGGGTCTTAGAAGGATCAGGACAAGGGAACTTTGGAATTGGTAAATTTGTGTATTAAGGGTTTCAAGTTGTCCCAACTTCAAATTTTACATCCCTTTGCTGAGAGAAGACCTGGAAACCTACTTTTGTCTTGTTTATGGCAGTTGATTGGAATCTTAGTTTAGAACTGGCCCCTGGAAGAGGTGGAGGTCATTTTGTAGGACTTGGAGCATGCCCAGAAAGAGATGGGACAAAGTCATGAGATCCTTTGACTGGGGCATTTCTTGGATAGATCATGTTTTTTTTAAACAACAACAACAACTGGGGAGCATAGTCTGGATTTCATTGTGGTGGAGAACTTGGAGTATTTCTCCAGGTGCTGTTCATCAGTTTGCACTCGGTTCTGAGGAAGTGTCTTGAGCTGGGTGCCTTGCCCTGAGGGAGTATAGAGGTGAACAAGATATCTGTGCCCTGAGGCATCATGGAACAGTGCACTGAAGTGGAAGGAACCCATGTAACCTGAATAGGGGGCAGCAGCTGTAAATGCTTCAAGAGAGGCGCAGCTGTCATGGGGTTGGGACTCAGAGAGGGGAAGAAACATTCCAGGTGGAAACAGGAAAGAGCTTCAGGTAGGAAGCGACCTTTGAAAGGGCAGAGGGGCCAGACATCATGCAGGTAATGCTGCTGCTTGGTTGGCCTGTGAGCTTTTCAGGTTGATGTGTTGAACTGAACCAACAAAGCGTTGTGGATTTGGTGAGCTGTCCTAAATGTGGAGTCAGGGGAAATGTGAAAAGCCTGCAGCATTGTGCATCTTGACTGCTAGGGGATGGAATAACTTGAACCTGATGTTTGTTCAGAGGAAGCTGGGAGGGTTTTATTCACAAGAGTGGCCTTAATTCACAAGAATTGGAGACCAGGAGGGTGAGAACACCGCCGTTCTGGATCGCAGCAGTCTCGTTGATCTTCACGGTGTCGAGCGTGCTGGTGTGCCGCCTCCATACGACAGGTCCCTGTTCGCCGGAGGGTTCAGGACTTCCTTGGGAAGCATTTCTGAGACTCTTTTCCTCTGTACCTAATGGAGCCCCCGTGTTCTCTGGCCAGCTTCCTTCCACGGGGTGCTGAGTTACTGCCCCGTGTGTCATACAGTGGACCTTCAAGCTGCCTTTGGTGGTAAAAGCTTGTCTGCATGTGTTGCATACAAAAGGCTTTTCTCCAGTGTGACTCCATCCGCCTTTAAATCTGAGGAGCCGGAGAGGATGAGAAGGTCTTCCCACACCTTGTGCATCTCTGTTGCTTGGCTGTGGGCATGGCTGGGCCTCTTAACAATGGTGTCATGCCCAGGGGTGGGGGGAACGTGGCCTGGGGTCTGACGAATACCAGGAACTTCAGCTTTGATGGAGTTGGCTGGGCTCTGATAAACTTGGAGACTGCTCCCACCTTCCATCTCAGCGTGGCCGCTCTCAGCTCTGCCCCCGCCATCGGGAGACTTGGACTAGATGTTTAGAAAGCAGTTTTAGGGTTCAGAGAAATTGGGCCTAGCATCTGTGGGCTCATACAGATATGGTTCGTCATCTCCAGTGGTTCAACTTACATGTTTTTTTGACTTTGCCATGGTGCAAAAGCAATGCACATTCAGTAGAAACAGTGCTTCGAGTACCCATACAGCCAGTTTTTCAGTATTCAGTACGTCACATGAGCTATTCAACGCTGTGTTATAAAATATGCTCTTGTGTGAGATGATTTTGCCCAACTGTAAGCTAATATGAGTGTTCTGAGCAAACTTAAGGTAGCTAGGCTGAGCTGTGATGTTGTGTAGGTTAGGTGTATCAAATGTATTTTCAACTTCACGATGTTTTTCAGTTTACAGTGGGTTTAACAGGATGTACCCCATTGTGAGTTGAGCATCTGGGTGGCCCTACAAGGTAGAACCAAGGTGTAAATAGTCAAGAGTTAGAGGAAGGCAGATTACTAGCAGTCACATTGCACGCACGCTATGTCATTGTACTCGTGCTAGCAAGTTTTGTTAAATGGCGCTTATTTTGAAATACATATGCAGTGGACATGTACTGGGAGTTAGAAATTAAGTGCAGAAGGCAGACAGCTATAGCATTCTATAGCATTTGGATGGGAGTATTGGCACCTTTTTTTTTTTTAAACAAAAATGTTCTCAGTGAAAATGTGGTTATAAGCTTATTTTTTTCTATTTCTCTCAGAAGCTGTCTGGCAAATGTTTTGATTCTTTGGATGTTTTTTGATGGGGTCTACCCTCAGGTCTCACACCTCCGGCATCATCTGTGGCTTCGTCTTTTCTAATCAAACCTCCTTTGAACTTTTCATGTTGTCTGCTGAAAGTTACATTTGCATAGCATCAAATAGTGCATAAACTACATGTACATTGTCATTTTATCAATTATTATAAAGTCCTGTGGATTTTTACCTATAAACCCTCTTCTAATCCATTTCTTCTCTTCCCCATTATGGCCTCTTTATGAGGGAGGGAATTTAATATACTTGCTCTGTCTCTCACCTTCCCCACAGCCCCTCTAAATCCCAATTTTTGCTAATTGTACCGGTTTTATAATTTTCAATTTTTTAGTAGTCACCTTTTAACTGTATTTCTAGTATTTCTTGACTTGTCATCTTAGACTTCTCTCCTGTGTAAAAGATGAGGAGCTCTGTAAGTCTCCACCAGGACTTGTGGGGAAGGGTTGACGGGGGTCACTTGCTTATGGCCGGGTGCGGGTGGGACTGCATTTTTTAACCCTCTCTGTGTGGTTGGGGTAGGATGGTGTTATGGTGTGACTCTGTCCCCACCCAAATCTCACCTTGAATTATAATAATCCCCACCTGTCAAGGGCGGGACCAGGTGGAGATAATTGAATCACGGGTTGGTTTCCCCGCCGTTCTCATGATCGTGAATTAGTTCTCACGAGATCTGATGGTTTTATAAGGGGCTTCCCCTGCTTTGCCTGGCACTCATTCTCTCTCGTTGTCCTGTGAAGAGGTGCCTTTTGCCGTGATTGTAAGTTCCCTGAGGCCTCCCCAGCTATGTGTAACTGTGAGCCAGTTAAACCTCTTTTCTTTATAAATTACCCAGCCTTGGGTATTTCTTCATAGCAGCGTGAGAACGGACTAATACAGATGGTTATTGTTGAAGTTTTTTGACCTACTAGGCTGCCCTGTCCTGGTCCTTTGGCTAGAGAGGATAGGTCTTTCTTGAGGCTTTTCTTCTGTACCTGTTGGTGTTTCTGGGTTGCTGGCTTGTTTAGCACTCAGTTTGGAGCATTTGAGGCAAAAAGAAAACCCAGAGAACCCGCTGGCATGGTTCCCAGCCCTGAAACCCTTAGCCGGTCTGCCTCCTCTCTCACATTCTGAGGCTGACGTTTGTTTTATAGGCAGCATCCAGGGCTTTTAGCTGCATTCAGCTGGAGGGAGGGGGAGATGTGTCTTCTCCATCTTTTTGGGAGTCATAGGTCAGTTCTCTTTGTGCTATGCTGTTATTTCCTATCAGGTGTGGCCTTGATGGGTTCTTCCTGTTTGTGAATAAAAGCCCAGTTGACTGGCATCAGAGCGGAGGGGACTGTGCAGTCCTGTGTGTGGGTTACCGGCCCCGTGGGCTTCACTGTGCGGGTTGTGTGTCTGGGAGCAGGTGGGGAGAACCGGATGGAGGGCTCTAGAAGCAGCTACACGAGCAGAGCTGAGGGAGACACTTTCTCTGCACCTGTTTCCTGTGTCACACTTCAGATGGGGGATAGTCCAGGCTGGTGGTGGAGCTCCCAGGGGATTTCGCTTCTGGGTAGAATTGTCATTTTTTTTTTTCCTCAGAGACTGTTGTGTGGGCCTAGTGGTGCATCAGGTTCCGGTTAGAATCCAGTGCAGGCCGCAGGCTTCTCTTTAATTAGAGAGGGTCACTTCACCTCCGGTTAGAATCCAGTGCAGGCAGCAGCTTCTTTTTAATTAGAGAGGGGTCTGGGTGCTGAGCTTCCCATCAGGAAGAAGGGGCTGTCGTGCTGAAGTCCTGAGGTGGGTCACGTGTCCCTTCCTGTGTTAGAAAACCGTCTTTGGTGCTCCTGGGGCTCCCTTACAAGTGCTGTTCTGAACTGTTAGGTCATTCAGAGTCCATCTGCGTCCTGTCCCCAGGGATCTCCTCAAACCCTGTTTAGACTGCTCATAGCCTTTCCCTTTTTAGCACTACAGCGGGTTCTTTCTCTGTTAATTTTTTGAAGCTTTTTCTTTCTCTCATTTCGGTGGCACCTTGGGAGGGATGGGAGTTAGATAGGTGTTTGCAGTGGGCCATCTTGAGAAACTTCTCAAAACTGGAGTCTTGTAACTGCTTGCATTTTGAAGTTAATGGAATGGGCGCATTGCCTTTATAGCTGTAAATGTTACTGCTTCACTTACTGTTAGCCCAAGCCAGTGTGTTGCATCTGCCCAGATCCTTCTTTGTGGTATGTGCTCACTTTCTGGCGACAGCCAGGCTGTTCTTTGCAGGCATGTGCTCCTAGCAGTCGAAGACAGAAGTTTGGGGGCCTGTGTAGGCTGTATGGGCTGCTGTGTGTGTGTACGTGGTGAGTTGTGTCTGAGACCACCCCTCCTCCCCTGGGTGCTGCCTGATCTGCCTGCATGACCGCTGTGGGACACCACTGTCTCTGGTGTCCTTTCCTGGCTGGCAGTGTGGTGGTGTGGGCAAAGCCAGGCTGGTGGGCTCCGATCTTGGTTCTGCCTTTGTAAGCTTTGTCACACTGTCTTTTGGGAGCTCGTGTGTGTGTGTGTGTGTGTGTGTGTGTGTGTGTGTGTGTGTGTTTTCGTTTTCTGCCTGTAAGATAAACTGGCATGCAGTCTACACTGAGGTACGGGCTGTGTGGGCCAGCACAGCATGCCGTGGTCCTAAGCAGGGAGGTGTCCTTCCTTTCCCCTGCCTGTTGGGGCTGCGCTTCCCTGCCTCGTGTGGAGGTTGCGCCCGGTCTGCAGAAGGCAGAGAGCATCTTGTTGGGAAGAGCCCTGCCTGCCTTCCCGTTGCTGTGCTCCTGCCTCCCTGCTCTGCTCCTCTCACCCCTTCCTGGAAACTACCTAAAATACTTGGTTACTTCTTTTTTGAAGATGTATTCTCTGTCCTAGTGTTTGGGTGTTGATACAGTGGAATCCACAAAATTGAATAAGATTTGATTTTCATTTTAAAGTGAAATAAATCATTTGGGTGCATGTTGGGTGAAAGTGCCGTAATTGATAGCATCCGTCATCAGACTTTAATTTTACCCCTGGGGTGTAGGAGTGGGTGGGATTAAGTACAAAATCTGCAGAAGCCAGGAAGTGAAAACGTACTGCTGGATTTCTGTTTTTCACATGTCCCCAACAATATGGACCATTTGCATTAAACTTAAATAGCACCACTTATTTAAGATTCATTTTTTACTCTTGTTCTGAAATCACAAGTTCCATTTGACAGTGATAGGACAAAATTATATTTTTAAACTTTGCAAACCACACTCCAGAGCTGTGCTAAAAATAACAATTTCTTGTGTCAAGAATAACTTTCTCAAGTTCCTGGAGGAGGCGAGCTGACTGGTGGCAACGCAGACCACTAAAGCTTCAGTGAGCCCAGAAAGTGTGCGCTCAGTCCCACATTGCAGAGGCCTCTCCGTCAGTATTGAGATGGTGGAAAGTGAGGAGAAGCAAAAAGACGACTACTTCTTTCCCCATTTCCCGGTCTGGTCTTTTTGGGGTCTACTACGTAGAGGTGCATCAGCCAGCGCTACCATGGAGGCAGGAGGCATTCTTTTGCTCTCGTGTCAGTACTGACGGGGTTGATTAAGGTTGCTGTGCTTGTTGGTGTGGGTATTGGGAGGGTGGTGTGAAAGCAGTTGGGCTGGAATAGAGCTGGTCAGTGTGTCCTTTTGCGTGCATTTGTGTGGCCCTAGTGCTACAGTGGTGTCCCTTAGCTCTGGGGGACTGTCTGAATTTTTGTGCTCTAAATTATTAATACATGTTTATGTGTGGGTTTGCCAGAATGCTGTGTCCGTTATTGTTGGCTCCTTGGACAGCTCTCCTTGTTCTGCTTCACTGGCTGTGAAATTGGTTCACGTGGTGGGCTCTGGGTCCAGCGAGATGCATCTGAGGTGTTGACCTGGTGGTGTGGGCCTGGGGCTGCCAGTGGTCCTGTTGCCTGATGAGGGAGACCGTTCCTGAAACTGTGGCGCACACTCAGGAGAGTAGGAAAGAGAGCGGAGAAAGCCTTCCGGTTCTGAGCTTGTGGCTCTTGCCATTCCTGACTTGTTTGTTGTGCGAACCAATAATTTCCTTTTTTTGTTTAAGCCAATTTGAGTTGGGTTTACTTGCTTGTAGTGGAAAGGTTCTGACACAGGATCTTTATTATATGAAGTATTTTCATAATGTACATTGTGTTATATATTAGACATATCACACGATCTATTTTGTGATGTAGTTTGCTTTGCTGTTTTTATTCTGTGGAAGATATTCCTGAATTTCTACACTTCCTATGAATTTGGAAGTGGGGTGAGGCAAAGTCACTAATATCGGGGTATCAGTAGGGGAGCCTTTCGAATCCCAAACATTGGAGTGTCCTTCTGTGACCCGTTTCTTTGTCAACTTTTGTCCGCTAGGCAGAGTGGCTGTGACATCTGACATCCAGTGTGAAGGTGTGGTCACTCAGCTGGAAGAGAAAAACCTAGCACTCTGAGAGTGGGTGGATCTGCTGGTGATTTTCAAGCAATGTCTTCCCGTTTTTGGATGCTCATCCCTTCTGTAGTTGGAGCCTTGTTCTCTTTTCCTTGAGTACAGGTGGGGCTGATGACTCATTTCTTATGAACCGAGCACAGCCTGCCTGACTGCTGAGGCTAGCTCATAGGATTCCTGAAGCTGCAGGCCCTGCTTTCCTTCCTGCGTGTGCCCTGGGATCACTCGCTCTGTGGAGTCCGTTGTCCGTTCTCTGAGGACTCAGGAACTGAGGCCTCCTGCTCACAGCCACGCTGTGGAGCTGTCTTGGTAGCACCTCCTCAGTCCCTGCAAGGCCTTAGGCTGCCAGAATCCCACAGCTTCAGCTGACATCTCAACGACCTCCCCTGAGACCCAGAGCCACATTCACCCAGCTAAGCTGCCCTGAACGCTGACACGCAGAAACTGAGATAACAGATGCTTGTTGTTTGGGCCACTGAGTTTTAGAGTGAGTTGCCTGTAGAAATGGATGAGCAGCATCTGTGCCTGGAGGTGAAGGGTGGAGCCAAGTGCATGTCTGTCAGAGTCCACTGCTATCCATCCTTTCCCTGCCTGCCTTCCTCCTACACGGTGCTGGATCCCCCAGAGGATCAGCAGCCGAGAGGCTTCTGCGAAAGAATGTGCTCCTTCAGGGCCGACTTGCATTTGTGTCTTTTTTTCTTGGAGATTTCTGTAAAACAGCAGCCGTTAGCAGTTATGTGATTACTGTGTTTAGAATTTGAGAAGAAAGGGAAAACCTTGTTTGCCATGGAATACATACTGTGTTGATAAGTCTTCCTTATTTTGAATAATGGAGAATTCTCTGTGTCTTAGCCAGCTAAGAGCTACTTACTTTTATCATGTTGTGTTAAAATGATAAAAGTTACTCTTCGGTGACCTAACTGCTTCACTTAATGAGTTTTGATTTTGTTTTTGCAGGATGCATTTCCTCTCCTTCAGGAATAAGTTCTGTTGGGGAAATTATGAAATATGGACATGTTACCACCTCCTGCTAGATGATGGCGTATTAATAAACAGTTCCTACATTTCAGTGTTTTGCACCCCCAAAGGTTTATTATGTCAGTTATGTGTTAGCTGCAGATAAGGTGTTGCTCTGCTCCAAGTGTCTTTCTTCAGCATCCAGGCTGATAGAACAGCTCCATTTTGAGCCTTGCCATTCTCATTTAAGGAAAAAGGATAGGAGGTTGGCTGGAACACCTGAAGGCTTCCAAGGCTTCTGCTTAGAACCAGGGTGCTTTCTTTCAGCTTGGAGCTGGTGTCTGCCTCTTCTGTCATATTTTGTCCGGAATTGGTTCCTTCTGGTGGGTTCTTGGTCTCGCTGACTTCAAGAATGAAGCCGCAGACCCTCGCGGCGAGTGTTACAGTTATTAAAGATGGTGTGTCTGGAGTTTGTTCCTTCAGATGTTCAGATGTGTCAGAGTTTCTTCTTTCCGGTGGGTTTGTGGTCTTGCTGACTTCAGGAGTGAAGCCGCAGACCTTCGCAGTGAGTGTTACAGCTCTTAAAGGTGGCGCATCCGGAGTTGATTCTTCCTCAGAGTAGGTTCGTGGTCTTGCTGACTTTAGGAATGAAGCTGCAGACCCTCGTGGTGAGTGTTAACAGCTTATAAAGGTAGTGAGGACCCAAAGAATGAGCAGCAGCAAGATTTATTGTGAAGAGCGAAAGAACAAAGCTTCCACAGCGTGGAAGGGGACCCAAGTGGGTTGCCGCTGCTGGCTCGGGTGGCCAGCTTTTATTCCCTTATTTGGCCTCGGCCACATCCTGCTGATTGGTCCATTTTACAGAGTGCCGATTGGTGCGTTTTTACAGAGTGCTGATTGGTGCATTTACAAACCTTTGGCTGGACACAGAGCACTGATTGATGCATTTTTACAGAGTGCTGATTGGTGTGTTTACAGACTTTTAGCTAGACACAGAGTGCTTATTGGTGTGTTTACAATCCTTTAGCTAGACAGAAAAGTTCTCCAAGTCCCCACCCGACCCAGAAGCCCAGCTGGCTTCACCTCTCAATCCGCCCTCTAAATAGGAGACTCCAACTGCTGTTGGGAATTGGGCAGTGACCGCTCTAGCTACTTCCTGCTGGATAGGGATGAAGAAGGGGCCCTGAAGTTGTAGTGTCCTCCAGAGGAGAACTATTTAGGCTAGTGAAAGGGCCAGTGGGTTTGTCCAGGGGCCCTTGGTAGAAGTTGTTAGTTGAGCTCATTTGGGGTTCCATTTGTAAGACCATCTGTAGCTTGATAGCCTTGATTCTAGAGGAAACACATTTGAGGAGGTTAAAAATACAGGGCCCGAAGGCGAGTAATAGCAAGATGGCTGCCACGGGACCTAGAAAGGGGAGAAGCCATGTTGCCCAACTCCAGAGGTTCGTATAAGAGTTTGAAAGGCATTGTCTGACTTCAGAAGCCTTTTCCCGTAAACACCGGGCAGCATCTCGTACTATCCCTGACTGGTTAGTGTAAAAACAACACTCTTCCCCTAAGAAGGTGCAGAGTCCTCCTTTCTCAGCAGTGAGGAGGTCTAGGCCTCGGTGGTTTTGGAGAGTCACTGCTGCCAAAGAGTCTATTTGGGATTGTAGAGTAAGGATAGATTTCGTTATTTCTTGCAAACTGAGAAATCCTTTGAGAGTGTGTGGTAGTAGGATAATGAAGTAGATAAACTGGCTACTCCGGTTCCTGTAGCAGTAGCCATTCTTAACCCTATAAGTAGGGGTATTAGTTGTATGGCTCTGCGATGACAGACTTGAGCTTTGAGGGGTACTGATAAAGTCTGATTTCCTGAGGCAATGTTAATGTTGGGACTTAGAAAGACTAAGGTGCAGGTGCCTGTCCAGTTGGTGGGGAGGCAGATATAGGTCGATGTTCCACATAAGAAGAATACATCTTGGCTGGGTAGACAGAACTGGTTGTGTATGTTAAAAAGGTGTGTGAGTTTGTTGTTTTCATTTTCCCATACTCCTAGAGTACTTGCCAAGGTAGCTCTGGTGAGTGGCTGGAAAGGGGTGTTGGGAGCAAACTGAGTGGCTCCCTGTGTTCTGTTTTCCCATTGGAGAAAAAACTGTTTTGTATCTACTAGGAACCATTCATTAGAGAGAGTGATTGAAAGAGGGGATGAGAAAGCATTCACTAGTGGTGGGGGCGCTGCTGCAGGGGGTCCAGGGGTGAATGGTCATGCAGGGAGTATGTTTGCCATTACAAAACCTGGACTGTTTAGGGAGGAGGTGATGATTTTGGGGGGCCCTGAGAAGTGGACAAGCCGTCCGCATGGAGCTGTTTGGGTGACTTGGAAGTTACTATGATCAGTTGGGGCTTGAAGTTGTGAGGTGTAATTACACTGATGGGGTGGTAGGTGCCCCAGGGGCAGGCCTGATAACAGGTTGCATTGGATGCATAAAGGGACATGGAAAGTTAAGATGGTATTCATAGTAACAGGGCCGTGTATGCGCTTTTCATTGCTTGTGTAATAGATGAGGTTGGAAATGTAAGAACGTAAAAGTTGGATTGCACGTCCTGTTAGGGTATTCTTGGTCTTATCAGAGATGGGGAAGTTGGCTAATGATTGCATATTTAGAAGTTGGAAAGGGTCTTTTCCTTCATAATGAGGGTGATAGGTTAAGTTGGTAGAGACCCAGGTTTTTGCAGGAATGGGAGTGGCTACGTAAGCAGAGATTGATAG
The DNA here is from genome assembly GCF_000001405.40 of Homo sapiens. NCBI lineage: Eukaryota > Metazoa > Chordata > Mammalia > Primates > Hominidae > Homo > Homo sapiens. The sequence continues at coordinate 111,191,605 of NC_000013.11, forward strand.
ATACAAAGCCAACAGTCATTTGTGAGGGAAGGATTGGACTGGTTTAACAGAGAGTGGGTTGAGAGTCTTGTAGAGGTATTTAGGAGCTAGTGGAAGGGGAGGGGTGATTGTATGAGGTATCCAAGGAAGCAGGAGGGATAGATAGTCAAAGAGTAAATAGGAAGGTAAAGAGGGTGCTCTGGAAGACGAGATCATTTTATCCAGGCTGAGTTAAAGGTAGGAGTAAATTGCTGTCAGAAGGAAGGAAGATAGAAAGAAGGTTGATAAGATTAGGATTTTCGTCCTAGCAGGAGCTGTAGTATATAGCCCTATCACAAAGAGTATGGTTAGTATGCTGCTTAATCATATGATGAAATAGTAAAAGGATTCCATTAAAGGGTTAAGGAGAGGTGTTAAAGATTATGTAGGTTTTCACTTATCTTTTTTAAGGAGGAAGGGGTTTTTCTTCAGGATCAGTGGTAGGAGCCTTTTTAGTCTGGGATATTTCCTTCCAAAACAGGAGATGCAAGTCCTCCAGTGGTTCGCAGGTGTATCAAGGCTGGTCTGGCTGATCTTGGGACTCCTGAGCTGATGGTCCTGCAGGTTTCTCAGCGGGTGTCCAAAATTTAACTCGGGTGTGGTGAATCCAAGATTCCACTCCTGCCACCTTAACTGCAGTGGGGGTAGAGAGGATTACCGAGTGTGGTCCTTCCTACAAAGAGCCCATGGATGGGGAGGTAGAGGGGAGAGATTTGACCAACACTAGATCTCCTGGTTGAAACAACTCTGTTCCCTTTTCTCTGTGACATCCTTCAGGTAGGATTTTAAGGTTTTGTTGATATTTTGCCAAAGAAGTTATATCTTTGACGAAGTTGGCCGTTTCCTGATGAAGTAGGACGTCATTTGTGAGAAAAGGTCGTCCATACAGCATTTCATATGGACTGAGCCCCATTTTGTGAGGAGAATTTTGGATTCTCAACAAGGCCATGGGCAAAAGAGTAGGCTATGGGAGATGAGTTTCTTGTGTTAGTTTCCTTTAGTGCCTCTTGAGTGTTTTGTTTGCCTTCTCGACCTTCCCTGAGGATTGTGGCCTCCAGGCGCAGTGAAGGTGATATTGTATCCCTAGCGCCCTGGAAGGGTACCGAGTTACCACGGCTTTAAAAGCTGGACCATTGTCGCTCTGTAAGCTTTGGAGAAGCCCAAATCTAGGAATTATTTCATGAATTAGGACTTTAATCACTTCCTGAGCCTTCTCTGTCTTGCGAGGGAAAGCCTTTATCCAATTTGTAGAGGTATCAACACACACCAATAATTATTGAAATCCCTTCGACTTAGGCATATGGGTGAAGTCTAAATGCCAGTCCTCTCCGGGCTAGTGACCTATTCTTTGTTCCCTTAGAGGGGACTTATGATGGACCAAGGGATTATTCCTTTGGCACACCTCACAGACTTTGACTACCTGTCAGATGGTCCGGAGGAGATTTGGCCCTGTAAATAGGGATTTGGCCATTTGATGAGTGTTTTCAATACCCATATGAAAAGTTTGTTGGAGGGTTTTAAGTATTTTCCACTGGATGGCTTTGGGTATAAGTACCTTTCCTCCTTCTGTCATTAACCACCCCGAGGGGAGACAACTATGCCCCCGTGAAAGTCCCCATTCTGTTTCAGTTGGGGAATACTGGGGCTTAATCTCTTGGAGGGGGTTGTTCCATACCAAGGGTCCTTCCGTAGGTATTTCTAATGGGAGGTTCCTCCTGGCAGCAATTTTGGCCTCAGCATCTGCCCTGCGGTTTCCTTCTGCCTTTTCTCCTTCACTTCCTTCTGCCTTTTCTCCTTACACTTTGGCAGTGTAAGACTGCCACCTCCTTGGGTTTTTGCACTGCGTGCAATGACTCCATAATTTCCTTGTGGTATTTAATGGGGGTTCCCTCAGAGGTTAGGAACTCCCTTTCTTTCCATATTGCAGCATGGGCATGTAGGATTAGATAAGCGTACTTGCTATCTGTATACACATTTATTCTTTTTCCCTTTCCCAATTCCAAGTCTCGGTTAAGTGCCACTAGTTCTTCTAACTGGGCACTGGTCCCTGGGGGAAGAGGCTTACTTTCAAGTGTCGTTACATCACTAACTATGGCATAACCTGCCCTTTGTATTCCATTGTCCACCAATGAACTTCCATTGGTATACAGGTTAAGGTCAGGATTAGTTAAGGGGACTTCCAAGAGATCATCTCGGGCAGCATAAGTCTGGACTATAATTTGTTGGCAGTCATGCTCGATTGGTTCGCCATCCTCTGGGAGAAAAGTGGCAGGGTTGAGGGCCACGCATGTACATATTTGAAGCACTGGTCCCTCAAGGAGTAGTGCCTGGTATCTGAGTAGGCGGTTGTCTGATAGCCATAAACTTCCTTTGGCACCTAGTATGCCATTTACATCATGAGTAGTCCAGACAGTGAGATCCTTTCCTTGTGTTATTTTGATAGCCTCTGACGCTAAGACGGCCACCGCCGCAACTACCCTTAAACAGTGAGGCCAGCCTTTTGCTACTACATCGATTTCCTTAGTTAGGTATGCCACCGGTTGTGGGGTTGTCCCACGAGTCTGAGTAAGGACTCCAAGAGCTATTCCTGCTCTCTCTCTGATATATAAAGAGAAGTTTTGTCCTGTGGGAAGGCTTAAATCTGGAGCTTGTACTAGGTTCTGCTTTTTAAGGTTTTGAAGGCTGTTTCTGTCCCTGGTTCCCATTCTACTAGATGAATATTTGCCCTCTGGGTCTCCTTGATTAGAGTATGGAGGGGCCTGGCTATCTCGCTGTATCCGGCAGTCCATAGTTGGCAAAACCCAGTGATTCCAAGGAACCCCTGCAACTGTTTTAATGTCTTAGGGTGAGGATAAGCCAGTATAGGCCGTACTCATTCCTTTCTGAGGGCCCTGGTCCGTCTGGCTAAGATTAGGCCTAGATATTTGACCTGCTATAGGCAAAGCTGGGCCTTCAACCTAGATGCCTTGTTCCCTTGATCAGCTAGAAAGTTCAGGAGATCTAGAGTAGCCCACTGACATGAGGCTTCTGAACTGGTAGCCCAAAGTAAATCATCCACATGCTGAAGGACCAGAGTGCCTGGACTTGAGAAGTGGCCTAGATCTTGGGCCAATGCCTGACCAAACAGGTGAGGGCTATCCCTAAACCCTTGGGCCAAGACTGTCCATGTAAGTTGGGATGTGTGGTCTGTGGGATCCTCAAAGGCAAAGAGAAACTGTGAGTCAGTGCAGGGGAATACAGAAGGCGGCATCCTTGAGGTCCAGAATAGTGAATCATTCTGCTTCCTCTGGTATTTGAGAGAGCAGGGTATAGGGGTTGGGTACAACTGGATATAGAGGAATTACTGCCTCATTGATGAGTCTAAGGTCTTGCACTAGTCTCCACTGACGATTGGGTTTTTGTACCCCTAGAATTGGGGTGTTGCAGGGACTGCTGCATTTCCTTACTAAGCCTTGAGCTTTCAAATGTTTAACAATATCCTGTAATACTTTATGAGCTTCAGGCCTTAAGGGATATTGCCTCTGATAAGGAAAAGTGGTGGGATCTTTTAGCCTGATTTGGACTGGGTGGGCATTTTTTGCCCTTCCAGATTGTCTTTCCAATGCCCAGACTTCAGGGTTGATTCCCTCCTCAAGTAGGGGACAACAAATGGGTAACTTGTTCCCCATATTCGTGTAGATAATAGCTCCAGCTTTGGCTAATATATCCCTCCCTAATAAGGGTGTGGGACTTTCAGGCATAACAAGAAAGGCAAGTGAAAAGAGCAAAGTCTTCCAATTACAACTGAGGAGGTGGGAGAAATACCTGGTTACAGGCTGCCCCAGGATTCCTCGGATGGTAACAGACCTTGAGGATAGTCGTCCAGGACTGGAGATTAACACTGAGAAGGCCTCGCCAGTGTCCAAGAGGAAGTCAATTTCCTGGCCCTCAATGGTTAAATGTACACGGGGCTCAGTGAGGGTGATGACAAGAGCTGGCGCTTGCTCTGGGCACCGTCAGTCCTGTTGTTGGATCATCTGGTTGGGGGCTTCTGGCCCAGAGAACCATTGCACTCTGGGGCAGTGCGCCTTCCAGTGATTGCCTCGGCATAGCGGACATGGATGAGGGGGTGGCTTCTCGTTGGACAGTCTTTTTTAAAGTGTCCTTGTAAACCACACTGATAACAAGCCCTACTGGGTGATTGGCCTTTTCCATTTTCTGTCTTCTCTGAACCACCAAGGTTTGTCTGTCTGAGGGCCATGACTAAGGCTGCTGCCTTTCTCTGATCTCGCTTTTCCTTTTGGGCCTATTCCTCTTGGTCCCTATTATAGAACACTGAGGTTGCCAGGTTTAGTAATGCCTCCAGATTTTGTTCAGGGCCCAGGGCTTGCTTTTGGAGCTTTCTCCTGATATCTGCGGCTGATTGGGTAATAAACTTATCTTTTAGGATCAATTGACCCTCTAGGGAGTCGGGTGACAGGGTAGAGTATTTTCTTAAGGCCTCCTGTAGCCAGTCGAGGAAGGCAGAAGGATTTTCTTCCTTTCCCTGAGTTATGCTAGACATCATTGAATAATTAATGGGCTTTTTCCTAACTCTCCTTAGTCCTTCTAGAACACAGGTCAACAGATGTTTATGACTCCAGTCCCCATGATCTGAGTTGAGTCCCAGTGGGGATCCATACTGGGGACGACTTGCTGACCGGTAGGGAATTTGTCCCTTTCTTCGGCTGTCATTCTGTCATTTACTTGACTAAGATACCAGGTATCACCAAACTCTCGGGCTGCAGCTAAAGCTGCATTCTTTTCATTAAAGACTAGGGTTTGATCTAACAATAGCATGACATCTCTCCAAGTGAGATCGAAGGTTTGCCCTAGACCCTGTAGGAAATCTATCAGGATCATCTGAAAACTTCCCCAGGTCTGCCTGGATCTGCTTTAAATCAGAGAGGGAGAAGGGGACATGTACCCAGCTTGGGCCAAATTCCTCTCCCCCTACAGCTTGAAGGGGACATAACCGATAGCCCGGGGGTTTTTGTGGTCCCTTGGAGATTTCTTTGCTTATTTCCTTCTGGGCAGGGGAGATTAGAGGAGGCTTATCATTAATAGGAAGGGGAGCTATAGGGAGGCTAGGATATGGGGGTAAGCTGAGAGGTCCTCCTGTGGGACATAAATTGCAAGCTTTGCATATTCTCCTTCAATGAAAAGAAAGCTGGACATAAGGTATTTCAATCCATTTGCCTTCCCTCTTACAGAAAAGGTCAAGCTGCAGGATAGTATTGTAATTTATACTTCCCTCAGGTGGCCATTTTTACCCATCAGAGAGAGAATACTGGGGCCAAGCCATAGTGCAGAAAAAAATAAGCTGCCTCTTTTTCAGGGTTTCTGGGTCAAATTGGTCCGAATGGCTTAGGATGCATTTCAAGGGTGAGCATGTTGATGCCTGAGTGTTTCCCATCTGAAAGACAAAACCACCTGCAGTTTTGGTTTGTTTTTCTCCCCCTGCCCAAGAACCTATAATGGTCCCTGGACCCTGCTGATCGGAATAGTTGCGCTCACCGACGCAGCAGCAGAAACACCTCTTGCCCAAGAACCCTGGACCCTGCTGATGGGAATAGTTGTGCTCGCCGACGCAGCAGCAGAAACACCTCTTGCCCAAGAACCCTGGACCCTGCTGATCGGAACAGTTGCGCTCACTGACACAGCAGCAGAAACACTAGTTTCCCTCCTAGACCACAAGGAGGACTGAGGAAGGTTGGATTTAGTGGCCCTTACCGACGCATTCTCGTAAAACCTGCACCTTGCCTGTCCTCCTAGACCACAAAGAGGACTGAGAAAAATCAGATTTAATGACCCTTACTGACGCATTCTTGAAAACCTGTTAAGAGTCCTAAGCGTTCTCCTGTTAGTATTGGGACTTTACTTGTGTCCTATAAAGATGTTATGCCCCCAAAATGAAGTGGAGGGCCATACCCTGAGGGAGAGAAGGGATCTCCAGGGTTGGAAGAGTGATGCCTTTTGTCCTCACTTATATGAATAGGAAGGATACAATTTCTGAGGCTCCCCATATCCTAGCTTCAGGAATAGCTTTTGTTAGGCCTGCTTGTCTGAGTAGGGGTGCTAAAATTCCAGATAGTACCCCCTATGACAGGGCTTTGGGCAAAAATTATGTCTTTCTGATTGGCGGGCCCGGGTGCCTAAAGAAGGGAACAGAGTCCTGAAACTAGAAAAGAACTAGAGACAGGGAGTGGTTTTTAGAAGCAGGACTAGCCTCAGAGAAGAGAGGTGAGAGGACGTTTGTCTGACAGGCATTAGGACCCAGGAGGCAAGGGTCAGGATGGATAGGATAGATGGGCGAGTCTCACTTGGGCGACATAACTTTGAGAGTTCCGCTCATGGCCACAGGGTCAACCAGCTTGTTGTTGGGACCCCGGAGTTGAATGGCTTTCCTCTCTGTTGACCGTTGGCTCAGCCTGGAAGTACAGGAGAAGTGGAAGCTGGTACCAGGCAAACCACCGCTCCCAACTCTGAAGAGTCGGGGGTTGTTAGCCCTTTCCCAGAAAGCCTGACACGCGTGTCTTTAGTCCGGTGGCTGTGCTAGTTGCTTTTAACTGGCCGACAGGTGCCTGGTATTTAGCCCCCGAATTCTACGGAAAAATAGGACAGAATAGCAAGCAAAAGGGGTCCGATGATACTCACTGCTTGGCGATAGTCCCATCTGGGTCGCCAAAATGTGTCCAGAATTGGTTCCTTCTGGTGGGTTCTTGGTCTCGCTGACTTCAAGAATGAAGCCGTGGACACTCGCGGTGAGTGTTACAGTTCTTAAAGATGGTGTGTCCGGAGTTTGTTCCTTCAGATGTGTCCATTCCTTCAGATGTGTCCAGAGTTTCTTCCTTCCGGTGGGTTTGTGGTCTCGCTGACTTCAGGAGTGAAGCTACAGACCTTCGCAGTGGGTGTTACAGCTCTTAAAGGTGGTGTGTCCGGAGTTTTTTGTTCCTCCTGGTGGGTTCGTGGTCTTGCTGACTTCAGGAACGAAGCTGCAGACCCTTGCGGTGAGTGTTACAGCTCATAAAGGTAGTGTGGACCCAAAGAGTGAGCAGCAGCAAGATTTATTGTGAAGAGCAAAAGAACAAAGCTTCCACAGTGTGGAAGGGGACCTGAGTGGGTTGCTGCTGCTGGCTTGGGTGGCCAGCTTTTATTCCCTTATTTGGCCCTGCCCACGTCCTGCTGATTGGTCCATTTTTACAGAGTGCTGATTGGTGCATTTACAAACCTTTAGCTAGACACAGAGCTCTGATTGGTGCATTTTTACAGAGTGCTGATTGGTGTGTTTACAAACCTTTAGCTGGACACGGAGTGCTGATTGGTTCGTTTTTACAGAGTGCTGATAGGTGCGTTTACAAACCTTTAGCTAGACACATAGTGCTGATGGGTGTGTTTACAATCCTTTAGCTAGACAGAAAAGTTCTGCAGGTCCCCACCCGACCCAGAAGCCCAGCTGGCTTCACCTCTCAATATCTCATTGGTCAGAGAAAGTCATGTGGCCAGGCCTGCCCCTGCCTGTAGGAAGCTGATGGGCATCACTGGGCTGGATGTAGACTCCTCCTCGAAGGGCAGGGGGAGTGAATGAAAGCAGCCATACTGTCTGCTGCAGTGAGCCTGGGTTAGAGAGGCAGAGGAAGTTGGAACATAGTGTACTGAATGTGAAAATTTAAGTTTGGGTCAATATCAGCTCTTAGAACTTTTGTCTGCTGAAGCCTTTTTATTTTAGAATAATACTCTTTTTGATTGAAGCTGTCCTGGAAACCACTGTGGATATTTCTGCTAGTAGTCGTCCTCTGGTCAGAGGTTTTCATATTTGGGAGCACAGGTGACTATAAGCTCCCTGATGTTGCCTGTGCATACTTGTAAGGTTACCCTAAGGGCCTTAGCCTGCCAGATGCTTGCTGGTGACCAGCCGAGCCCCATCTTCCTCATGTCCAAATGAGTCCTCCTTTTGTCAGGTGTTAGTTCAGGAGGTAAACTTAATAATAAATGTGGCTGCTTTGGTGTAACCATAAAATGAGGAATATGCTAAAATAGAATTCCTTTGGAGGCATGGCAAAAATTAAGGCTGGAAGTTGAGTCTGGGCCAGATTGTAGAGCCTTTGATGACTGGTTCCAGCATCTTTGGCTTCAGTTTCTTCTGTGGGGTTAGGAGTTGGAGTGCTGGGTGCCCAGGAACAATCAGCCTGGGCCTAGAGACTGGACAGCAGTGGGGAACGGGCACCAGACAGTGACCTCCTGATATGCCTGTTACAGATGGTGGCCTTAGGTCCACATTTGCATGGGCTCACCCCTCTTCCTTTTTTCTGCTCCAAAGTCTGTGCCTCCATTGGGAGCACATACAGTTGTCACCCACTCTGTGAAGCCCTTTCTGACTCATGTTACGGGTACTTGCTTTCTGCCGCCGTGGACTACTCGGTGACTCCTCCTCCTCTTCCTCAACACCTAGGGCGACTTTTCCCTACCATCTTTCTGTGTCTGTGGACATCACCTCTCTCGGCCCCTAGATGGGAGGGGTCCTTACCAGCCTTGGGCTGCGGCCTCTCTGGGGAGAGCCCAGTGCCCTCCCTGCTGCATCCTTCATTTTCCTCCCGGTCATCTCCAAGCCGAGCCTCCTTTCTCTGGAACCAAGTGTGGGAGATGCAGTTGTGGTACAAAGGAATGAATGCCCACTTGCCTTAACTCATTTTTTTTTCTCTTATTGTCCTGTAGCCAGCTGCTGAATTCCTCACCACTCACCTTCACCTTTCTCTCGTTTTCTGTTCAGCCAGCTCTCTTGACCCTGGTGCTTCCTTGCTCGAAATCATGTCTTTTTTTTTTTTTGACAATACACTGTGTCAGAGGAATCCTTGAGTTTTACAACTGGAAGTGACTTTAGAGGTTAGCTGATTCAGCTTCTCTCCCTTCCCAGGTGAGGAACGGGACACCCACAGCTGTGTGGAGACTTATCCACCCTGCAGGTGCCAGCTAAATCCTTCAAAATGACCTTTCCAAAATTAACGCCATGTTCTGACATAGCCAAAACTGTAATGTCTGTCATACATGACAAGGTTAGTATTGATGTCTCAACACCATCTGATACGTAGTCTGTATTTACATTTCCCCAGGTGTTCCCAAGTACACTTTGTAGATGGTTTATCCAAAACGGTCCAGTGCAGGGCCCCTTCTGGCATCTGGAATCTCTTGATCCAGAGCAGTCTTGTTTTCCATGGCCCAGAATTGTGGACAGACTTAATGTCTGGCTTTTGTAGGTGCCCAGAAGCTGCTTGTTCAGTGAAGACATGGTAAAGACAATGGGGATGAGATACTGAAGACATTTTTTTCTTCTTTGGCTCGGGGGGGATTTCCCTCAGTCTTAAATATTAATGAAGTTCGGCCTTCAATTAAAAAACCATGCCCTTGGTCGTCCTCCATGCCATTGTCTTCTGAACCTAGGACTTGATCCCCAGGCTTGTTGGCTCCTTCCAGTCTCTCCCCAGTGTTTGTCCAAATCCCCATCGTCCCCCTTGTTCCTGTGGCTGAGGTTCTCCGACCTACGATTGCAGAAATCTTCCTCAGATAGTTTCTCTGCGTCTCACTATTTTCTTCTATGGTTTGTATAGTTTAGCACCTTCTAGCCATTCTATTTTATGCCCAAATCGCTTTATATATGGCCTGTGTATTTCACAGAGGGCAAGATAATTTTCCTAAACAGTGCCAGCTACAATTCAGCTTCCTAAGAAGCAATTTCTGGAAAGCACTGCAAGAGAAACGAGGTCCAGTAAACATACTCTATGAGAATAGAGTTGAGAAAGTCATTGTACTTTGGGGCTTCATTTTATCTCTAAATGAGAGGGCTGACCTGTAAGTCATGTAGATGATTCTTCTCTCTGTTCAGTGGGCTTTTTCTTGTGGTTATTTTGCATTTTTAAAAGTAAGAGTTTTCCTTGGCAGAATGGAGTTATCTGTAGGTCTGTTTTGATAAGTGAGATTTGGTGTGCCCTTTTCTTTTTGAAAGTGTGGGGCATTCCAGTTGCTGCTTCCTGTCCTCAAGCATGTTCCCCTTTCCCTGGTGAGGATGAGAAGTCTGAGGTCTAAGGGGCCCAATGCAGGGCTGTAGCAAGCAGGTGGTCAGGGAGGCTCTGCTCCGTAGTCTCAGCCCTCTTCCTTCTTCCAGCACCGCCGTGTCCTTCCCACAACGTGCCGCATTGTGTTGTGCGGTTCAGTGTTAGACCATGGGAACTCCCCTCCCCGCCACTTTTAAGAAGGTATTTTTCTATCCTTGTTTGAATACTCTGGGCTTCTTTTATCCCTGATTTGGTATTGTATTTGATTATGTAGTTTCTATTGAGAGCAAAATACCAAAAATAAGCTAAGGAATTTTAATGTTAGTTTTCTGGTGGAAAACTGGTAGGATGATTTCATTTTGGGAGTATCGGATCATTCTATTGCACATTTAATTCACTTAAATGTAAAAGTAAGGGTGAGTGTTTGAAATACGCTTTTTCAAATGGATAGATCCTAAAGCGTATTATGGTGCGAAGTGTGTCTGTGCAGCCACCCTTGTCCCCAGCATGGTGCCTGTGTGGGGTAGTGCAGGTGGCAGGAAGTGTGCCTGTGCTGGCATTGAGGCTTCAGCTGGGCAGGATTCCTAATGACCTTCCTTACCTCACCAGGAGCGCTTCTCACGCTTGGCTGTGTGTTGGAGTCACTTGGAGAGGGTTGGCATTTTGATTTGAGTCTCTGGACTCCAGAACACTGCTGGAGTATCCTGCCCTTTTACAGCCCCCCAGGAGGTCTTAACATGTAGCTCCTGCTGAGAATTGCTGCTCCTGAGGCTGAGGCTTCCAAAAGGAGGCCTGGAGACAATGGAATATGGTTTGTACTTCCTTCCCTCCTGCTGCTCCTTGCCATTGCCAAGAGTGGAAATACTGCTAAAGCACCCAGCAAGTCATGGTGGGGAATGAATGAATCCCGTCTAAGACACTTGTTTTAATAACCCTAGGGAACAATTTAGTGTGCTAAATGTCATGGTAATTCTTACATACACACTGATTTACTTTTTGCAGAGAGATTTCTATAAAAGTTTTGAGACTTCCCTATTATTCCCATAGTACAAAATTTCTCTGTACTCAGATTTTTCTGTTTCTGTTTTTTGTTGAATAGATTTCTATTTTAGGAAATAGTCTGTTATCTTTCTCTAGAGAAGCACTTCAATCGAAACATTTTGTTGGCTGAGAATGTGCATTTTCCCCCTCTCAGGGGTAAGGATTTGCCTCATCTCATTGTCTAGCTTCCTGTTGAGAAGTGTGGTGTGTGTATTCACTTAAACTCTGATGTCATATTGAAGCCCATTGGTGGGCAGTTTCAGCCAATCAGATGCTTCCTGGGTATCCAAGTAAGAAAGATATATAGTTCTGGAATAACAGGAAACTTCACATTTTTCACATCCTGTTATTCTGGGTTTTGTGACTTGCTGCCTTGCCACTATGAAGGTTAGTAGAAATTTATGTATGTATTTCTTTTTGTAGTATACAAAATTGACAAAATAAAAAATGACTTGAATTTTCAGAGCACTAAGATTAGATCTGTAGAGCTGAAAGACATTCAGATCTCCTATTTAAAAATGTTATGATGAAGAGAAATTTTATGTTTTGCATATAAGGAAGCTGAGGCCTATTTAATTCCTTTTAAAAAATGCAGCTTAACCCGTATTTGTTATAGGTGGTTATGTCAGCCTAGATGCTGCTCTCATTTGAGTTGGGATTTCTTCTTAAATAATAAATATTACAACAAATGTATTCTGTATGAAAGATGATTCTAAAGACTATCTGTTCTAAGGACTGTTTTTTAAAGGAAGGATTTAGCTTCATGAAATCAGTTATATTTTGTGCCTTTTGTTAGAAATGGCATCGGTAAGCACATAGAATGCTTAGATGTGTTCACAGCTTTCCTTTTACGTTTTGTGGTTCCATCTGATATTTCCTTGTGAACTTTAAGAAAGTGACCTCTGGTTTTCAGCTCCTTTCTTGACTCTTTTAGTGATTTGGTGGGTTTTTCTCTTGAGGTAGTTTTTCAAAGTCTGGTTCTTCTTTATTTATGTTTAAACATCTCATGACTATTTTTACTTATTTGGAAAATTATAGACAGAAGGCCTTTAGCTGCAGATGAATTTTGAATAATACAGCAGGACTTTTTCACATTTGGTGTCACTTTTCTTAGCTTCTCTTGGCGTGAGCTTCATTACAGCAGCATGCGGTGCCTGCAGGGTGGGTGGCTGGTTGGATGCTGGTGCACGTCTCCATTCGGATGCCTTTTCACTGTGCACCGGCCCCTGTGCTGGGTGTTGGGAGATGTACAATCTGCCACTGCAGATTTTTAGTCTAGGGAGGCCTGTAGACATCCACCATCAAACTATCATGACACGTGTTCTGGGGGAGCCTGGCTGGGGACCTGACCGGGTGTGGTGGGGGCAGCCAGGCTGTCAAGGCAGGGCTGTGTCAGGAAGCAAGATGAATAAGGATTAGCCAGGAAAGGGAAGGGACCGAAGGCAGGAAGAGGAAGAAGTGGGGCTTCTGGCAGGGTCTGCTAGAGGTGTGGGGAGAGGGCAGGACTGACAGGAGGAGACGACAGCCCTGGAGAGAAGGTGGGGCCCTTGTCCACTGATGCTTATTTCCGGTAATCTCAGTTAGAACATATGGCAACAGGATACACGTTTTGGTTTTTAAATGTATCTTTCTGTTATTGGCACCTCTGAAAGAATTTTTTTCTTAATTTTTCTGGAACATAGTTGTGGACGATTTGACTGTTTATCTTTGCTTGAGGTTATTTGGTGATCAGAAGCCATATGTAGTCTTTGGGCAGTATCTGAGATGAGAGCTCTGTTTGTTTTGACATGGCTGTGTGTGTGCACACGCGTTCTAGACACTAGTTGCCACATACCTAGGCAAACCAATGTGCTTTACCTTTCCAAGCTCCAGGATGGTGGTGGGAAGTGCCTGCCAGTGGCAATGTGACCAGCTCCATCGTGGTCCCAGGGCTCTAGATAGCCCTGGACTGGAGGGGATGCGGTTGTGGGCTTGCCTGGTTCTGGCCTCAGAGCTCTGAGGGTGGTGGTCTCTTGTCCCTGCCCCTTTCCTATCTGGGATCTGCTTCTCCTGTCTGTCCTCCTTTTACCCTCACATCCACTCTGCTCTCTGATGTCCGCATTTTCTTTTGCTGCTGTTAGCTTTGGAATCGACTGTCATTTTCCCTTATTTTCTGTGGCTAGGAAAGAACATCTGTAGCACGCCTTGCCTGGGGCCTCTGTGTTAATCTAAGGAGAGGAGGATTGCGCAAGCACCGTGCTTGCTTGCTGAATGCCAGCAGCCCACCCCCCCACCCCGCCCCGCCCCCGTGAATGAGCTCACACTCCAGAGGGGCAGGGGCGGGTGTTGGGTAGGGAATTGGCCTAATGCCGAGGGGGGACCCTGCACCTAAGTAGGAGAATTTTGATTGGGTTCTTACCTCAGGACTGAGAGACTGAGCGTGCTGGTCTCCCTGTCGCAGGTTGTGCGGTCTCCTTAGGATTTCAGGCTGAGCATCGTCGCGTTGCTGGGAGAACTTAGTTCATCCTGCACCCAACATAAGACTCTACTAATTTTGCTTGTTTAATTTTTCCTTTCAGACGTTTGATGCAAATGATTTGTATCAGGGGCAGAATTTTAACAAGGTCCTCAGTTCCTTAGTGACTCTAAATAAAGTAACAGCAGGTAAGACTCTTTTTTATTGAACTCGAGGGGGTGGGAAGACATACGGGCTGACACCTTTGGTTTTCTTGTTTTACCAAAGCCAGGGGAGCATTACTGAATTTAAAAAATAAGCTTTTGTTGCATTACGTTTTGATTGTTCCTTTTGCTGTGATATTTTATTTGCCTTGTTAGAATAGAATCTTCTTTAAATGTTCTGGTATATATCAGGTGTTTTCCTTTCTGTGGGTGGAGAGATTTCTCACCTGAACGTATAGCAGGAGAAAAGTGTCTAGTTCTTATGGGAAGGCTCATGGGCTGTGTTGGAGCTAGAAGCACCTTTCTCTCAGTTTTTACTGAGTGTATGCTGGTTAAAATTTGTATCTAGTGGGCAGAAGTTTTGAGCTGTGACCATGATAAGGGAGTGGCTCGTGGATTGGCCTGTAAAGTCCACACTACCTGTCCAGGGCTCCTGAGGGCTGTGGCACCCAGGTACATGGTGTGTGTGGTCCTAGCCCCCATTAGTACTGAAGTGGAGAGGAGGTTTTGGGGACATGGTGTGCCCCTCTCATGGGCCACAGCGAAGACAGGAGTTGTTCAGACAGGTCCTCTGAGGGAAGGTGCATGTTGTCCATGATGCCAAGGTCCCCGGAGGAAATGCTCCATGAGCCCTGAGGAGCTCTTTCTTGGATTTCTGTGTGGCTCAAAAGGAAGGAACTTTTTAGTTGCTTTTTTGGTCTTATTAGAGTAATTTTTTTTTCCTATTTACCTTCACGGATGTTAAATATCAGGTTTGTGGGGGAAAGTGCCGTGTCCTTTTCAAACAGAAACCTCCTGAGTTGATTTTGTCGGGGTCGCTTCTCAGCTTCGTCTGGCCCTTCAGAGGGGGGGGTGTACTTGCCTCACTGCACATTGAGGAGAGACGGGGGTTATGCATGCTTTGGGGCTGCAGTTCCTGGCTCCCGGAGGCTTCATCGGTGGTGCAGGGACTGTCCTTGGTGCTGCCTCCCAGCGCATGTGTGCTCTGACTGCTGTCTGGAAGCTGATGCTGCTGCTGCTGATGCTGATGCCCCGGCGAGAGGCACTGGCCCCCATCCCTGGGAGCAGGGGCAGACCCCAGGCAGAGGTGTGGCTGTGGCTGCGTGTTCACAGCTTGACTTCTGAGGTTTAAAGGACTGTTCAGATGAAAGCATCGAGGAAACAAAAATTTAAATGGCAGGATTATGAAGATGGATGTAACTAATGAAAATTGTCACATTATTTAATGCCTTCTCTGTCTCTACAATCTAAAAATGATCCTTTTAATATGAACAAACAATAAGAAAATCACAGCCGGGTGTGGTGGCTCATGCCTGTAATCCCAGCACTTTGGGAGGCCGAGGCGGGCGGATCACGAGGTCAGGAGATCGAGACCATCCTGGCTAACACGGTGAAACCCCGTCTCAACTAAAAATACAAAAAAATTAGCCAGGCGTGGTGGCGGGCACCTGTAGTCCCAGCTACTCGGGAGGCTGAGGCAGGAGAATGGCGTGAACCCGGGAGGCGGAGCTTGCAGTGAGCCGAGATCGCGCCACTGCACTCCAGCCTGGGCGACAGAGCGAGACTCCATCTAAAAAAAAAAAAAAAGAAAAAGAAAAAAAAAGAAAATCACTTATCTAAAGTTATGGATGACATTGAAAAGGACATACATTTAGAGTGGATCACTGGAATTTAATACAAGAAATACTGCAACAGGTGATGTACAGAAGTGGCATATTCATGTGTCCTGACCACATGGGGGAATCTGCCTGCAAACTCATATTCATCCATGCCTCAGAGTTTTGAATTATTTTTTATGGAGGCAGGGTCTTGCTCTGTCGTCCACGCTGGAACACAGTGGTGTGATCTCAGCTCACTGAAGCCTCAGCCTCCTGGGCTCAGGCAGTCCTCCCACCTCGGCCTCCTCAGCAGCTGGGTCTGCAGGTGTGTGCCTCTGTGCCTGGCTAATTTTTGCATATTTGTAGAGATGGGGTTTCGCTGTGCTGCCCAGGCTTGTCTTAAACTCCTGAGCTCAAGCTATCTGCCTGCCTTGGCCTCCCGAAGTGCTGAGATTACAGGCTTATGCCACCATGCCTGTCCTAAATGATGTGCCTTATAATTAACGTAGATCTCTGTGGCAGATGGGGCAATAGCACAGATATGTAAAATCTACAAGTAATCCTTAATTTGACTCTGCTCCCATTGAATACTTTTTTAGAGGTTGCTCACAGGAGCAGAAGATAGTAACTTTGAATTTCATTGTAGATGTTTTCTCTGCTTTTGCTGTAAGTGGGGGTGCTAATTAGGACGAAGTGGCTTTAGAACATGGCTTTAATTTGTACACTCAGTCTTGGGATTGTCAACCATCTAGGTTTGAGACGGTAGGATTTACAAGTAAATAAGAGAAGTCAGAATCCAGTAGCTCTCAGGCTATTAGTTTTTACCTCTACCTTATGGAAATGTATTTTGTATATGTTCTTGGTATCATTGGCTATGTGTTGGATGTAAAATAGATAGCTTTGTTCTTTACAAAGACAAATTTGGAAGTTACCACATAAACTTGGTACTTTTAAGCTTTTAAACTATAGGAATGACCCCTCCTAGATGGAAGGAATGCTTTGCTTTTCTGTTTGCCCTTTGTTTTTGTTTTTGAAGTCAGTGGGAAGGCAATACCCGTACGTTTTCTTTTTGAGACAGAGTTTCGTTCTTGTTGCCCAGGCTGGAGTGCAATGGCATGATCTTGGCTCACCGCAACCTCCGCCTCCTGGATTCAAGCGATTCTCCTGCCTCGGCCTCCCGAGTAGCTGGGATTACAGACACGTGGCACCACACCCGGCTAATTTTGTATTTTTAGTAGAGGCGGGGTTTCTCCATGTTGGTCAGGCTGGTCTGGAACTCCCAGCCTCAGGTGATCCACCAGCCTCTGCCTCCCTAAG
Source organism: Homo sapiens (assembly GCF_000001405.40). Lineage (NCBI taxonomy): Eukaryota > Metazoa > Chordata > Mammalia > Primates > Hominidae > Homo > Homo sapiens. The sequence goes on from NC_000013.11 coordinate 111,208,304, forward strand.
TGTTAGGATTACAGGCATGAGCCACTGCGCCTGGCCTCGTTTCTTTCTAGATTTCAGCTTTCCTTGATTGGCAAACAGTAAGACAACTGCAGCAGCCACAGTTACTGTGGACATTCTTGGGAAAATTGTCATTGTCTTTCTGCTTCTGTCTCTTAAAATCATATGTGTTCTCAAGGCATTTAGTTGACTGTAACTGGCCTTTTAATTGGATAGAAGAAAGCTTGGTGATGGGGAAGTACAGAATGTCTTCAGGATGGCCCTCCTTGTATGAGAATTTCCTGGAAGGCTGTGGCCAGCAGAGCACTGCAGACCATGGCCGGGAGCCCTGTAGAATTTGCTGGAAATGCCCTTTTAGCTGGTTTTGTGCTGCGGGTTGCCTGAGACCCCTGTGTTCTCAAGCAGAATGTGCTCTATAGAGATTACTCGTAACCTGCCCTCAGCAGGTCCTGGGAAGTGTAGGGTGAGGGGGTGACCTGAGAAGAATTTAAGATCGTTGGAGTAGCAAGCCCCCATCTGTGGGGTCAGGCAGGTGGCGTGAAGGGAGGAGCTGGATGGAAGGGCATGGGTGCTGGGTCCTCTCAGGACAGCCCCTGCCCAGCTCTGAGCCAGCTTTACCTGATGGGATATAGACCTGGTGTGGCCACATCCTAAATGTGTCAAGAGCAGTGGGGAATCTGGGTTTTTGGTGATACCTTCAGACTTTTCGATGTTGACCGTTTAATTCAGAATTTTATAAGATACGTGCAAGCCAATCCAAACACCTGGGAGGAAGCTGGGACCTGGAGACTTAGGGTTGCTTTCATGGAAGCCTCCCTGGAGTTTAGGACATGGCCGGGCACGTGCCTCTCAGAACAGCGATTTTCCCAGCAAAGTTTTTCACAGCCTCATTCTCTCTTTTTTTTAATTGAGTCACTTTTAAGAATAAATTGCTATTATTTATTTGTTGGATGGCCTGTGTGGAGTGTCTTATGAAGGGAGATCCAGAGAACAGAACTAAGCCTCTTACTGTCTGTTTACTTTGATTCTGTCAGCAACTTCATGAGGTGAGTAGAGCCTGTGCTGCCTTAGTGTTGGGGAAATAATCCTCACAAGGTTCTCTCTGGCTGAAAAATACACTGGATTTTCTCTTTTAAATAAGAGTCTTTTCCTTCTGTTGCTTATTGCATGACACATCGTCCTGGAAAAGTGGGCATGTGGTGGTGATGCTTTGGAGAATCAGTACTTGGTTGTTCTCCGCTCCATAATCAAATTTGAGAGGCTTTTTTTTCCAGGTGAAGGGAAAATCTTTAAAAGTTATAATACATTTCACAAACTTTTGAAAATTATATTAGAGAAGAACTGATTAATAGTTATCTCCAGATAATTTCTGGAAAGGTAGTTGGGGAATGAATGCAAGTCATTTATGTAGCAAATAATTTGTTCTTTGTTTTCTGCATAAATGGGCTGCTTTGTTGTGGTCTTTTGGTGTGTCCCTCTGTGCTGCCCTAGTTTTAAAGTCTAGTGTGTAGTGTGGGTGCGTGGTATCAGGCGCTCTCAGCTCTCTTTTTCTGTGTGCATGCTCTTTGCAGACATCGGGCTGGGGAGTGACTCCGTGTGTGCCCGGCCCTCGTCTCACCGCATAAAGTCTTTTGACTCCCTTGGATCACAGTCTTTGCACACTCGGACTTCAAAACTGTTCCAGGGCCAGTATCGGAGTTTGGTAAGTTTGAGAGATTTTGTTACTTAAATATGTTTGGGAAGGATATGAGTGTGTATGGATATATCTGAGAAGATACGTATGCCTCCATTAATGGTGTTAAACAGGGCAAAGGTAGCTGGACTTCGCCTCCGTTGTGCCTGTAATCTGGTTTGGCATTTGCTCATTACCAGATGATCCAGATATTATGCTTAATGATTGCTTTTGAGAAACTCATTTGTTTTTAGGTTGTATTGCAAGACTCATGACTCGATATCTGGAGTGATGCTGCTTTAAAAAAACACACCCCTTGTCATTTGCATGGCATTATCAGCTATGCACATGTACAGAAATATTGAGAATAAGAAATATGTATGGAAAAGTACTCAGCTCCGTAAAGAAGAGATGGTTAAAACTAAAGAATCTGGCCTTTCTTCTCTTCATGAAAGCATGGCTTAGTGTGCTTTACTAAGTCAGGATTTAGTTTACAGGGGAGGGAATCCCTTAGAATGACTGATTGGGACGCAGAGAAAGAAACTTAGATGATCGAACAGTTGTCGTGGAGAGTGAAAAAATACTCGTTTAAAAATGCTCAGGATACAGGCTGTGAGTAAAGCCCATGGAATGTAATAGTGAAGTTGAAAATGAGAAACTCAAGCAGGGTTAAACAGGGCTGCCTGTAGAGTGTTGGGGCAGAGCCAGGGCTGCCACTCTGCAGTCCTGCACCCTTCTCTGAGCTGCAGCTGGCGGGCAGTGACTTCGATTGGCTGCTGGGGATACCACTGCTTTCTCGCGACAGTACATACTTTGTTAGAAACATAGTGATCTTGTAACGTGAGTCTAGAGAGAACCCTATTCTAGAGTCATGAAGGGTCCATGGATTTTCCTCTGCCTTAACATGGGGGAGTATTGCTAAGTAAGCTGATGGTGGTCCTCAAGAAATAAAAGTTAATTTAGATAGAGTCGTGATTTGTAGAGGGAAATAAATTACAGTGGTTTATGAAGCATGTGTGAAAAATGGAAAGATATGCGAGGAATGTGATTTTTATGTTTCTGAACTTTTTGAACTCAAGCTCGCTATCATTGCTGTGTCTCCTCTTAGAGGATCCCCGAGGGGTCTGACTGCTTCAGGCGTGGTGGGCGGTGGGCTGCATGGCCTGAGTGCTGCAGTCCTCACAGCAGCCCCGAGAGGCCTGGCTGTTGCTGTTTCCTGCTTTGCAGGAGCCTGTTCTGGAAGAATTCTGTGGACTACCATTGGGAGCATTAGGATTCCAAGTTAAAGAGGACTAAACAAACCACTTTAAACACACTTGAAATGAGCTCTGTAAAACACATGAGGAAAACATAAGAGAAATCAGCTCGCCTTGGGTAAAGCTGTGATTTGCTGTCTCACCCGTTCACTGGTGGCAATTTTCATCTGATTTTTTTTTCTTTTTGAGTAGAGGACTAGATTACAAATGTATAATTTTAAGTAAAATAAAGTTAAATGTAATGTTTGTTGGTAATGTTACTGAGATCATAGTAAGTATTGGATTAATTTTTCATTAGCTGCTGAAATTTCGTTATACTAGAAATAGACTTGCGCTCTCTGACCTGTGTGAAGTCTTTTTGGGCTGATGTTTTGATTGGGTGCTAGAGAGCTGCTTTCTCTTTGATGGAATGTGCAAGACCTCTCTCAGCCATGCTAGGTAAGAATGAATGTTTCTTTACCCTTAGGTTTTTCTGTGTAGTTTATCGATAGCACTTTGTAGTAGTTTTCTTGGATTAAAAATTAAGAACTTATCTTGAAACAAGAATGGCCTAACATTCCTTTGAAGCTGGGCAGTGGATGCATGGAGGGCCACCTGTCACTCTCTCCTTTTGTGTGCATTTGAACATTTCCATGATAAAAAGTTAAGCTAAAAGGCAACTTGCAGTTTCTTGAATGTCAGTTTTGAGATCATATTAAACCTAAGCTTTGAGATTGCGTAAGACGCTTCCATCCCCCAGGCGAGGATCTGTGTTCTGAGGGGCTGGTGTTGTTTATGCCCCTTTGCTCTTGTGTTGCTCCTTCATTACCTGCCTCCCTTTCAGTGTAAGAATGTGTCCTCCAGCCACCACTGCAGTTGCTGGTTGTTTTTATAAGCTTGTTTTTCATCTGTGAAACCGTCAGCCCCCTGCCTCGGGACAGATTTCCTGTCTTGGGATATAGGCAGGCTTGAACAGTTTGATGTTGCGTTTACTGCTTTGCACTGCAGTGGAGGTTTTCACTTGTCTGCGGTGCCCCTCCACCATTCCAAGGAAAGAACAGTCAGGGGAGAGTTCTTACCCACTTCCAGAGGCTGAACTAAATCGAGCTCTTTATCCAGTTCGGCTCTGTGATGGGCCTCGGTGGTGAAGAATGTGGTAGGCGCCAGTTGTAGATTTAGGTATGGTTTTTCTCATAGATAAGGCATGAGTTCATACTTCACTCTTTGTTCGACACCGCTGGAATTCCTGGTGACTGCTGTGCTTTTAGTCTTCAACTGCTGGCTGCTGATTGGTACAGCCTTGAGTGCTGAATGCTGTTCTCAGAGTTTGGGGATGGCGTTTGTGAGGTGATTGTCCCCATCATCCTTCATTTCTGGGAGAGGTGACTTGATTTCTTAAAGTGCTGCTTCTGCTTCTGGAAACCAGGGACCTGTACGTCTGGCACAGTCCTGATGCTGGCAGCTAACCTTGGCTTTGGACCAGTCACCGAGTGTATTTCCAAGACATGCAAGAAATTATATCCAAATGTATTGTACACATTGTTAAATATTTTCATATACCATATTTTGTCAATTCAAAGACTTCTCTTTTTAAGTCATTTTAACACATCTGGAAGTACGTGTATCTTACAGTTGATGGTATGCCATAATGTAATTGACAGTATTTGGTGGAATATAAAGGCATTGTCTAATTTTTGGCATCTTATATTGGTTGACATGAGGAAACTGAAGCTTAGAGAAGATATTTACCCAAGATCACAGCACTCAGAAATAGTAAAGTTGGAGTAAAAATTGTGTCTCCGTCCTTTGGCAAGCATTTCTCCTTCTGTAAAGGAAATTATAGGTGCTCTTAGAGAGCGGAGGAGAGGGTATTGTTGGTGTGAAGCAGCACTCCAGAGTGTCCTGGTTTTGGATTGTTAGGGTAATTTCAGAACATGGGATACAATAAAGTAATCAGGTGATTAATATCCAAGATACTGATGGGTGGTGCTTTGGCTCCAGGCATCAGAAAGAGGCCGTTAAGGAGCATGGTGGGCATAGATGACTGTGCCCGGCCAGGTCGTGTGTGCCTGGATGGGGTCTCTTCTCCCTTTGGGTTAGGGCAGTGGGGGAACTGTCTTCACTCCCCTCCAGTTACTAAATTTTATTGACACGTAACGTACATAGAAAACCAGTTCATGTATTGTGTGCATACAGCGTGATGTATTGCATGATGAAGTTTTATACATGGAACATTCCCGTGTAAGCACCCAGATGAGGAGGCAGAGCATGACCAGCCTCCAACTCCTCGATGGAGCTTGCGTTCCCCAAGGTATCTGCTGTCCTGATGTCTGATGGTGAAGATGAGTTTTATCCATTTTTGTATTTTTTTTAGCAATGGGATTCTGTGGCATATCCTTTTGTTGTTGTTGTTGTAACGACTGGCTTGTTTTTCTCAACTGAATGATTTAGATTCCCTTAGAGTGTCATGTTGAGTCCAGACAGGTAACAAGCTACAGTTTCAGGAGAGCTTTTTAAAAAAGGGAAAAAAACCCCACAATGATAAAATAGTGATGAAATCCATCTCTTCCAGCTTCCTGTAACACTACTGACAGTGAACGGACCCCTCACTCAGCTGCCGTGATTTTAGGCTGAACGTGGTAGTATAGAGTGTGTAGTTGGAATATAGCCTTTTCTAGGACACCCTTTTCCAGCCAGTCCCATGCATCTTGCGCTCTGATGGAGCACTTCTTGGCATGTTCTAAGTAACCTGTCTTGAGAGTAATAGGCAGAAAGAACATTACAGAGCCCACATGTCCTTCAGTGTAATGACTGCTGAAGAATGGAGGTATGTTGCGACGTTTCACCTGGATACCTGGATCTGAAACAGCTGCCTGCCCCCTGTACCCTTCCTTGGATTCCCCGCTCTCTTAGACGCCGCCCTTTCTTTCTGGGGTGTTGCATTGATGAAGTAATGTCAGTAGGCGTGCCTCCCTCACCCGTACCTTAAGTGTAGAGCGTGCATGCATTTGCACACTCAAGACTGAGGTGGAACTCCGCTGCCTCTTGATCATACCTCATCTCCCCTCTGCTTCCATTCAGGCCTGCCCTGGCCTCAGCCCTGGTGCTGGCTGGAGCCTCAGGGCTGGCCAAGGGTGATCTCGGGCACCTGACCTGGGAAGGGGCCTGCTGCGCCTGCGTTGCTTTGCTCACCACAGCTGTGTTCTGGCATTGGAGCTGATCACCAGGGTGCATGCACTGTGAGCCTGTTTTCCACAAGGCCGGCGTGCCCAGGTGACGTTGGATTACTTACAGGAGAGCATGGTCGCGATCACAGCAGACAGCTAGTGAGTGGAGATGGTGGTTTGCAAAAAGAGAACTTGACATAGCACAGTGAACTCGGGTCACGTTTCACCACACAAGAGCAAGGAACACGTGACAGTTTCTGGATGGGATCTTCAGTTGCAATGGCAAACTTGACCCTGCCCCTTGTTGGTCACAGGGCCCAGAGAGCTTTGTGTCTGCGCTGGTAATTGTTCGCTGGCGCTTTTGTTGCCAAACACTGAAGAGAGGCTTCTTGATTAAATATGAAATATGCATTAAGTATTTCACTTATGAATTTGAATTACTAAATACATATTTATAATTAATACTTAATCTGTAAACACATTTAAATAGATAAGTATTAAATATTTTTGGAATAATATTACAGCTACTCCTTATTGAGGATCTGTTGTGACCTCTTTGCTTTGATGCTTTACCTTTTAAAAATGTTTTTTTTTTCAGTGATTTATACATTCACTTAAAGTCAGGTGATTCGCTGAGACCTGCTATTAGGAAAAAACAGTAGGGACGGCCACTTTTAATTTTTTTCCACTAGTTCTTTTTTTGTTTTGATTTTTATGGTGCATAGTTCATCTATATTTATGGGGTACACGAGCTGTCTTGATACAGACATACAATGCGTCATAATCATATCAGAGTAACTGGGGGCATCCGTCCCCTCTAGCATCCATGACTTCTGAGTGCTGGTTCTTAAGGAGTGCTTTCTAATGCGGATAGTTGTTAAGTTTGGTGTCCTGCGGGGCTGAGGGGGCGATCTTGCTGGAGGATTGTATTTGGCTGTCCTGCTCCTCCGTTGGTGCTTTGTAGGTATTTGCCTGTGTGTCTCTAAATAAAGTGCCCTTTTTTTTTGTTTTTCCTTAATTTGGGGTGATATCAATGTGGACTCCCACAGAGAAAGAGGGGCTGGTGCTGTTTTCCTCCCCTGGCCCCTTGACCTGCATAAATGCCTAGGCCTGTCGTCCCCATGGCTGAGTTCCACCCTGGTTTCACTGAGATCGGTGTTCAGGGTAACATGACGAGGCGAATAATATTTGGAGCAGAGCCACGTTGTATGCTATGACTGTTCTTACCTTTCTAATATTTTGTTTTCGAGAATTAGTAATTCTCGTTTCTTTGTTTAGTTTTCTGTGTATGTTTTGCAGGTTGCAGATCTAGTCTTTTGCGTATTTCTAAGGGTCTCTTTGACATTCAAACACATTAATTTTTCTCTTCTCTTCCCGATTAACTAAGCTCTTGGAGCCTGTGCCCTACTTGAATCTCTCTTGGTTGTGAGCCAGGCTGGCCGCACAGCTGCTGCCTCTGAGCCGCCTTCCATTGTCACCTGGGACACTCCCCCTGACTGTGTAGATCTCCTCTGCCTCTTTCTTTTCAGTTTTTTTGTTAATTCCCCTGTTTTGGAGAAGCACATTTTTAACTCCTTCAGAAAGTGGTGCGTGGGAGGTAAATTTTTGAGATCTTGTATATCTGCAGGTGTCTGTTTTATTAATAACTTTTTTGTCTTTAGTTTTCAGAAGTTTAATTTATGGTATGAATTGGTTTGAATTTCTTTAGGTTTATACTAGTTGGGGTTCACGCAGGTTCCTGGATTGGTATATTTATGTCTTCTGTCAAATTTGGGATATTCTGAGCCATATTTTCTTACCCTGCTTTTCAGCTCTGCCCTCTTAGACTCAGCTTCTGAGACTGATACCAGTGTTTGAAGTTCTTTTATTTCCCACAAGTCCCTGGGACTGAGTGTTGCTGGATGGGGGGGTGATGATTGGCCTGCTAGTGGTAGAGCGGGGGCTGTATGTCAAGAAGTGTGGGTGGTCTCAGGCCTTCCCTGTGGCTGGGTGGAGGGCAGGGAGAAGCCAGTGTGGGCAGATGGAATCACCTGCTGCCACCTGGTGGGGATAGAGGCCTGGACTCTGCTGATGTCACTGGTGGGGATAGAGGCCTGGACTCTGCTGATGTCGCTGGTGGGGATAGAGGCCTGGACTCTGCTGATGTCGCTGGTGGGGATAGAGGCCTGGACTCTGCTGATGTCGCTGGTGGGGATAGAGGCCTGGACTCTGCTGATGTTGCTGGTGGGGATAGAGGCCTGGACTCTGCTGATGTCGCTGGTGTTCCCTAGAGCTCTGAACGTTCTGTGCAGTCTGTGGGACACTGCGTTGCAGGTGGGCTGGGCTCGCTTACCATCAGTGGTAGGGAAGAGGGGTGGGCCGGGGCTGAGGTCTGCCAGGCGGCCCTTTTCTTGCTCCTGTGCCGGCACGAGCAGGCTTCTCCTAGGGTTGTCAGGCTGTGCGCTTTGGTAGTTCTGCATCTCCAGCCTCCAGAGCTCTGTCCGGGGCAGATGGAAATCAAACAGGCCCCAGCCCCTCTGCCTTCCTCTTTCTGCCTTTCAGAAATCTGAAAATATGCACAGTTTCTGAGAAAAATGCGAATTAAAATACGAGGTACTGTTTCTTGTCAGTTTGGCAATATTGAGTGTTGGTGGAAGTTTGAAATGAGCACTTTTAGATACTGTTGCTGGGGATGTTGCTTGGTGTAGTTTGTAGAAACTTTTTGGAGGACAATTTAGAAAGATGTATTAAAAAGTTAACTGTAATAAATATGTCTTCTGACCAGAATTTAATGTATAGCTGGTTTACAGGTATATTCAAAGATAGACATACAAATATTTTTAATGCAGCCTTGTCTACACAAGGAAAGTACTGTATATGGTATCTGGAAATATACTGGAAATAATCTAAAAATCCACTAATGGAGAGTGGGTTCCATAATGAGTGGTATAGTCATATAGCATAACATTAAGTGTTATGTAAGCACCAGTAAGTACTGCCAGATAAATGACATGTTGTCTTAACTTTTGTGACTTGTGGAGAAGTGCGTGTAGTGTGACTCTGTCTCTGTCACATGGATGTGTCTGATTAGGCATCACAGTGGCAGACCAGGACCTTTGAATGCTGTGAAGAGGGTGTCCTCTGGGGCTGGAGTGGTGCTGGTGGTGGTCATGGGGCACTGGAAGGGAGGAAACTGAAATTTCTCTAAATGTATTTCTACTGTTGGGCAATTATGCTACCTTTGTACTAGTAAAGTATAATCCATTTTATAATGAAGTAGACTGTTCTTGGTATAATTTTTCTCCCACTCTTCTTCCCCTTTTAGGACATGACCGATAATAGCAACAATCAACTGGTAGTAAGAGCAAAGTTTAACTTCCAGCAGACCAATGAGGACGAGCTTTCCTTCTCAAAAGGAGACGTCATCCATGTCACCCGTGTGGAAGAGGGAGGCTGGTGGGAGGGCACACTCAACGGCCGGACCGGCTGGTTCCCCAGCAACTACGTGCGCGAGGTCAAGGCCAGCGGTAAGTGGCCGAGCCTGGGCTGTGTGTGGCTTTTTGCGATGAGCAGAAAGAAGTAAATGTACTTGACATAGTGTTTACTCTCCAGCTGGACCTGTGCAAATGACCTGGTCTTAGGATACAGTTTTTTGTTAGATGTAATGGATTTTCACCTCAGCCCCACATTGGGGCCCTGGCATCAAGGGCTCTCTAGTTACTAGCCAGCATTTCCTTTCATCCTGGCATTTTCCAGACGTGAAGAGAAACATCTCGAATCTTTATCATTGCAGTTTTACTGTGAAAGAATTGATCTTTTTTTTTTTTTTTAAGAGCTAGTGTCAGGACTTGGAGTTGGCAGTCCGCAGGCTGTGTTTAATTTTTGTGACTATGGGTGGTACTTTTGGCAGTGGTGTGCAATGAAGTAATTTCTGTCATTCTCTTTGTACTAGTGATAGTATTTTACAAATGCATTGCTTCCTTATGTTTTGTAGTTGTTCACATTGTTTCACTGACTTTCCGATTTTGAGGCTTGTGTTCTTATGAAAGAATAGTGATCCTCGGCACATGGCTATGGCTGCCGGGCTGTCGTGCTTCTTGTGGAAGCGTGTGGGTGGGTGGACAGAGGTGGGGGGTGGGATTTGTGAAGGGAACAATCATGTGTGTCACTTTACTTGCATCCTGCCCTGTAGTTGAAAAACACCGTTGTATACTACAGTTCCTCAGATTCTGCTGGGGAAAGAGTGACTTACAGAGAATAGCTGATACACAGGGAGCTGTGGAAAGGACATGATACAAAATTGTAGCTCTGCTCTAGGGCTTGGGTGACTGAGCCTCAGAGCCACAGGTGTTTCATATGGAAAATGAGGATGATAGTTCTCCCTTGTGCGGTCTTGTGGGGTTGAATTGTTAAGGTTTATACTATGTGTATGGAGTCTGGCAGAGTAGGAGCTCAGGGAATGTTAATGGCTGCTATTGTTTTTCTAAGGTAGCAAGAAAAAAAGATTTACAAATGGGAATATGACAATTTTGATGTAAAAATATTTTCTCAGTGACCTCAGAAAACAAGTATTTTAATAAGGCAGATGGCAGCCCTTATTTGTAAACTTCTCTGGTGTTGGAATTTTTAGGAACAGCACCTGCCTGTTCTTATTGTATGTATATGTATACATATATGTAAAGCAGTTCGCCATTTTTACCAGTTCTAAGTGTACTGTTCAGTAGCACTAGGTACATTCACAGTTTTATAACCATCACCACCGTTTATCTCCAGAACTGTTTCTTCTCAAACTGAATTCTGTTCCCATTAAACAGTCCCCATTCCCCTCCCCAGCCCCTGCCCTCTACCATTCTGCTTTCTGTCTCTGAATTTGATTACCGTTGGTGCTTCGTGTAAGTGCAGTCATTTTGTCTTTTGACTGCTTATTTCATTCAGCATAAAGTGCTGGAGGGTTTTCCATGCTGTAGCATATGACAGAGTTACCTTCCTTTGTAAGGCTGAATAATATTTCATCATATGTATGTACAACATTGTGTGTTGATGGGAACTTGGGTTACTTTCACCTCTTGGCTATGTGAATAATGCTGCTAGGAGCATGGTTGTGTAAGTATTTGAGTCCTTGCTTTTCAGTTCTTTTCTGTATATACCCAGAAGTGGAATTGCTGGGTCAGATGGTGGTTCTGTGATTAAGTCTGGAGGAACTGCCACGTGGTTTTCCCCAGCGGCTGGACCATGTCGCATTCCCACAAGCAGTGCACAGGGTTCTGCTGCTTCTGTGTTCTCGCCAACTTGTTTTTTTTTTTCTTAAAGTAATAGCCATCCTGTTGGATGTGAAGTTGCTACTGTTTTTTGTAGTTGTTAATAATGATAATTTAAAAGGCAGTATTTTTTATTATAATAAATCGACTTGGGCAGAATTTTTTTCCGGCTGCTTGTTATGTTCCAGTTAATGTATAAAGTACTTTCCATTTGCAACTTCAGTTCTCCTCATAACCCTTGAAGACAAGTATTGCTGGGATATTAAGAAGGGGGTGGGTTGCAAGTACATGACATCCTTTAAAAAAATCCGTTCATGTGTAGAGCCCACTGAGAGCGCGGCACTGGCACCATGCTGAGGCGTGGAAATGTCAACTTGATAGACATCACTGTTAGGAGATGCAGTTTAGTCTGTGACTCAGTTGGATGGCACTGGCCTGCATGAGCCTTCCTGGAGACCTAGGGCTAGGGCAGGCCCGGTCCATCCTGTGAGCCCATCTCCTAGCCCAGCCCCACCAGTTGGAGAGATCTTTTTCCTGGGAACCAATGAGAGCAGCCCTGGGCCGAGAGGCCTGAGGTGGCGCCAGTGGACTTTCCAGGAGGACACTTGAGCCAGGGCAGAGGAAGGAGGACCTCGTTCGTTGCTCACCTTTGCCAAGGAGAGTTGAGGTTACAGAACTGCTAAGTGGGACGCACCTTTGGAGTAGGGACAGACGCTTGTTCCAGCTGGTCTTTCTGACTTTCTTTAATTCTTAAGTGAACTCCTCCTTTAAGTGTGAATCCTGGACTGACTCTGAACCACCACAGTAAGAGTGCAGGTGAGTGGGGTTTTACTTTTCATGTATTTCTCCTTGTGGATTTTTTAGAAGTAACCCAGAGCAAGGAAATTACGCTGAAAAGATGGGGTTTGTGGATCTCAAAATCCTCTCCAGTTGGAAGTGATTTTCAGACACATTTGAATGTCGTCAGTGTCATCTGCCGTGGGAATTTGTCTTGCAGTATGCTGTTACCCCTGATAGCCCACAGGAAGGCATCGTGAGCCCCCGCTTTTGAGTGGACTGTGGGCCCTTGAGCTGGCAGCAGCAGAGGACGCCCTCCAAAGGACCGGCAGGGCGTGTTTAGAAACATGGCTCTCATGAGGAACAGTGCTCTCACTTTGTTCTACCCGAAGCCACTACTCATGTCTTAGGCGTGTCTGAGCGTGTGTGCGTGCCCGGTTTCAACGTATGTGCGTGTACATGGTGTGTTGCCATCAAGGAGCTCTTTGCAGGGGCCACACGGAATCCATAGGTGTATTAGGGTGCTTTAGAGGGACAGAACTAATAGTATTCTCCTGTTAGTTATATATATAGATATAGATAGATATATAGATATGAAGGGAACTTTATTAAGGGGAGTTTATTATATATACATGTTATATATATATAAAGGGGAGATATATATATATCTACATATACATATATACATATACATCCCCCTATTGTGGGACCTTGTGATCATGTAAGTTAATACCTAATAAACTCCCTTTCATATATATATAGATATATATGTCTATATATATCTATATAGATATATATGTCTATATATATCTATATAGATATATATGTCTATATATATCTATATAGATATATATGTCTATATATATCTATATAGATATATATGTCTATATATATCTATATAGATATATATGTCTATATATATCTATATATAGATATATATGTCTATATATATCTATATATATGTCTATATATATATCTATATATATATCTATATATATAGATGTCTATATATCTATATATATAGATGTCTATATATCTATATATAGATATATATATCTATATATATAGATATATAGACATCTATATATATAGATATATATAGACATATATATATCTATATATATAGATATATATCTATATATATCTATATATAGATACATATCTATATATCTATATATATAGATACATATCTATATATATCTATATATAGATATATATCTCCCCTTTATATGTATATATATATGTATCTCCCCTTTATATATATATATAACATGTATATATAATAAACTCCCCTTAATAAACCCCTTGATATATCTATCTGTATCTATCTATATATACAGCTAATAGGAGAATATTATTAGTTCTGTCCCTCTATTACTTCTGTCCCTCTAAAGAACCCTCATACACCTATGGATTCATATATGTATGTATATGTGTACGTGTACGTATATGTGTATATGTATACAAGGTCCCACGATAGGCCATCTACAGGCTGAGGAGCAAGGAGAGCCAGTCCGAGTCTCAAAACTGAAGAAATTGGAGGCTGATGTTTGAGGGCAAGAAGCATCCAGCATGGGAGAAAGATGTAGGCTGGGAGGCTAGGTCAGTCTCGCCTTTTCACGTTTTTCTGCCTGCTTTATATTTGCTGGAAGCTGATTAGGTGGTGCCCAGCAGCTTAAGGGTGGGTCTGCCTTTCCCAGTTCACGGACTCAAATGTGAATCTCCTTTAGCAACACCCTCACAGACACACCCAGGATTAATGCTTTGTGTCCTTCAATCCAATCAAGTTGGCACTGAGTATTAACCATCACAATAGGGTTTGTGCCAAACTGAGACCTAAGTAACTTTGGAAAATTTCCCTTTTTTTCCTGTTTATTTTTTAAAATTCAAGAAATGTCATTTTTGAGCATATTAGTGATGCATTTGCTAAACTTTATCTGATGGTTGAACCAAAGGAATAACCTTCTGTCCCTGTTGTTCTCTAATTACCTAAGCATATTGTATGGAAAGTCATGCTAGTTTTATTTTAGTTTATTTATTTTTAATTTTATTTTACTATTTTATTTTGAGATGGAGTTTCACTCTTGTTGCCCAGGCTGGAGTGCAGTGATGCTCACTGCAACCTTTGCTTCCTGGGTTCAAGCGATTCTCCTGCCCCAGCCTCCCGAGTAGCTGGGATTATAGGCACGTGCCACCATGCCTGGCTAATTTTTGTATTTTTAGTAGAGATAGGGTTTTACCATGTTGGCAGGCTGGTCTTGAACTTCTGACCTCAAGTGATCCACCTGCCTCAGCCTCCCAAAGTGCTGGGATTACAGGCGTGAGCCACCACGCCCAGCCCAGTCTGAGTTTAACCGTGGGCATTTGAGGCAAGTGTGAAACCACATTTTTTACCGTGTTACTCTAGAGCAGTTAAGAATAAAACTCTAGGATCACAATTACATTCAGTACAGCAGACTTCCCTCTCACCTCTGGCTTTGCGTAATGTGGTTACAAGTACCTGCAGTCAACTGTGGTTCGAAACAGGTGAGAACAATACAGTAAGATATCTTGAGAGAAGAGACCACATTCACATAACTTTAGTTATAGTATATTGTTATAATTGTTCTATTTCATTATTAGTTGTTGTTAATCCATTATTGTACCTAATTTCCAGATTAAACACACATAGGTATGTATAGATGGGAAAACATAGTATATATAGGGTTGGTATATATACAGAGATATAGCTGCAGTTTCAGACATCCAGTGGGCAGTCTTGTGGGTACCCCCGTGGATAAGGGTGGGCGGCTATATTGCATTTTTTCCAGTAGTTTATGTGGCTTTCTGATTTTGGAATTAGGTTTCCTTTTTTGAAGAGTGTGTTAAATGTATTTTGATTTATAGTTAATTAGTGCTTGATTTTTCTGAAAACAAAATTGTGCCAGGTTCCAAACTTAGAGACTTCTCTGACCATCATGTTAGGATCATTTCTTTATTCATGAAAACACTGACTTCCTTTAAATTGAGGGTTTCTCTTCTGAATTATATTTTAATTTGATGTACAAATAGTTTTACTGAGTAAACAAGAACTGAAGTTTTTCTCTAAATGGCACTTTTTTAGGCTGTTTATCTCCAGATAAATTGACCAGATGGTCCAATTCACCTCTCCTGCTTCCCTGGGGAAGTGTAGCCATTGGTGGTTTGCCCTCTTGTGGTCGGAGATGGAATTGTTCTTGTCAAGGTTCACCGTTGTGTTGGTGCTTTTAACCTGTGGTGTAGGATTTCTTGTTTGAATAGTCCCTCTTTGAAGACAGATAAAATGTTCTAGGATTCTGTAATAACGATCTTTCTAATGCTTGTGTCAAAAGCATTGTATATTATTCCTGAATATGTACAGTACAGTCTTATGGAAGGTAAATAATTGTCACTTAGCATTTATTTTCTGTGCACCTTTTTTGGTTAGGTAAAACCCATGGATTTCTATAGCATTTTTTTTTTTTTTTTGAGACAGAGTCTTGCTCTGTTGCCCAGGCTGGAGTGCAGTGGCATAATCTCAGCTCACTGCAACCTCCACCTCCTGGGTTCAAGCGATTCTCCTACCCCAGCCTCCCAAGTAGCTGGGATTACAGGTGCCCGCCACCACGCCCGGCTAATTTGTGTATTTTTAGTAGAGACAGGGTTTCACCATGTCAGCCAGGCTGGCCTCGAACACCTGACCTTGTCATCTGCCCGCCTCAGCCTCCCAAAGTGCTGGGATTACAGGCATGAGCCACCGCAGCCAGCGTCTACAGCATTTTTTACAGGCTGATATGTATTTGTGTTTCACACCCACCCACCCACCCTCACTCTTACTCCCTTGCTTCAGAATTTCCTAAATTCAAGGGAGAAGTTAAGGAGAGAAGCAGCAAGGTCCATTCTGGAAGTGAGTGGTGATGGTGGTTGCTGTGATTGGATAGAAGTGGAGGCACTCAGCTGCATGTGGCACACACGGTTAGCAGCTGTGAGAACACACCTCGTGCTCTGTGTGCTTCCAAGACCAGTTTTCTGTGTGTGCATGTGGACTCAGGCTTTTTTAGATGATTATTTCTAATGTGCTGACTTTAGTCATTCTCCTATTTCTGGACAGCTTATTATCTGTTGTAAAGACATTTCTTTTAAATGCTGTTTTGGGGGCTGGTTAGCTTGAGATGATGACTGTCTGTGTTTGGCAGTGATGTGAGAGCTTAAATGGGACTGTCATTTGCTGATCCACAGATCTTTAACGACATTGCCACTTTTTAAGTTGGTCACTTTTAAATATTTTTTACTTATTTTTGACATAAAGCAACACGCAGCTGAATTTTGGATGTCGTTATTAATTTAGCTGTGGAGGAACAGTGTTTGATGTGAGTATAATCTGTGCGGGGAAAAGGACAAAAGTACCCCAGAACCTTGCCTTCCTTCGTGCCACTGGATGTGAGCTTGTGCTGTAGTCCTTCCTCCTCTCCGGTGAGGATTGGGTTTGGATGGGACACATGAGGCTGCATTACAGGATGGACCTCTCAGCACTATTGTTTCAAGATGTAATTGTTTTTAAACAAGAGAGAAGAACATAAATTAGAAGATATGGGCCCCCCGAGGCAGGCGTAGGGAGCGTATTATAGCATTATGTACAAAGGGGTCTTGGAGTAGATGGTTTGGAAATGTTTCTGGCGTGTGAAAGTGAATATTTTCCTAGATTGGTATACCGAGCATGTCCTCACTGCAATGTGGCTGCCTCCCGTTGTCGGTGATGATTACACATCTTCCGTTTCAGGAGCACGTCCCATAGACCAGCTGACTTAGAGTAATTAGGGGTCAGGTTGTTAGTCTTCCAGTATTAGAGCTTCTCTTTTTTAAAAAAGTTTTATTTGCATTTATGCTTAAGTAATTGTATTACTTACATGCCACATGCTTGTAGCATGTGATAGCCAGTAGACGGAAGAGCTCATGTGGGGAAGAGCACAGGCCACCCACTCCCACAGCCCTGATCCAGGGAGAGGCGTTACTCACCTCCTCTCCTCTCCTACGTAGCTGCCTCGCAACTCTTCACAGTATGCAGAGACTTCTCTGCTTAGATTTATAGGGCGTATCTCACTTTATTGCACTTTGCTTGTTTTTTTGTTTTTTTTTTTTTCTCTTACAAATGGAAGGCTTGTGGCAACACTGTTGGTGCCATTTTTCCAGCACCATGTGCCCACTTGTCCCAGTGCTTCATTTGGGTAATTCTTGCACGATTTCACAGCTTTTCATTATTGTATCCGTTATGGTGATCTGTGATCAGGGACCTTTGGTGTTACTGTTAGAATTGTTTTGGGGTGCCATGAACCATGCCCATGTAAGATGGCAGACTTAATTGATAAATGTTGTGTGTATTCTGACTGCCCTACTGACCGGGAATTCCCCATGTTTTTCCCCAGGCCACTCATTCCCTGAGACACAAAAATACTGAAATTAAACCAGTTTATAACCTTACTATGGCCTCTTAAGTGTTCAAATGAAAGGAAGAGTTGCATGTCTCTCACTTTAAATAAAAAGCTAGAAACGATTAACCTTAGTGAGGAAGGCATGTAGAAAGGTGAGACAGGCTGAAAGCTAGGCCTGTTGCACCAGTCAGTCGTGAATACAAATGAAAAGCTCTTGAAGGAAATTATAAGTGCTACTCCAGTGAACACATGAATGATAAGCAATGAAACCACCTTATTGCTGATATGGAGAAAGTTTGAGTGGTGTGGATAGAAGATCAAACCAGCCACAACATTTCCTTAAGGGCAAAGCCTAATCTCTTCAATTCTATGAAGACTGAGAGGTGAGGAAGCTGCAGAAAAAGAGTTTGAAGCTAATGGAGGTTAGTGCATGAGGTTGAAGGAAAGAAGCCGTCTCCAGAACATGATGAAAGTGCAGGGTGAAGCAGCACGTGCTGACGGAGAAGCTGCAGCAAGTCATCCAGAAGATCTAGCTGACATCATCGGTGAAGGTGGCCACACCAACAGGCTGACTCTCTGGTCTGGGGTTAATGTAGCTGGTGACTGAGTTGAAGCCAATTCTCATTTACCATTCTGAAAATCCTAGTACCCTTAAGAATTATGCTTAACCAACTTTGCCTCTCTGCGCTGTAAGTTAGAACAACAAAGCCTGGATGGTGGCACATCTGCTTGTGTCATGGTTTGCTGAATATTTTAAGCCCACTTTAGAGACCTCCCACTCAGGAAAAAAAGATTCCCTTGAGCATGTTACTGCTTATTGACAGTGTACCTAATCACCCAAGAGCTTTGAGGGAGACATACAAAGAAATTAATGTTGTTTTCATGCTGCTAACACAGCATCCATACTGCAGCTCATGGGTCAAGGATTAATTTAGATTTTTGGGTCTTAGCATTTAAGGAATACATTTTGTAAGGCCATAAATAGTGGTTCCTCTAATGGATCTAGGCAAAGTAATTTGAAAACCTTCTGGAAAGGATTTACCCCTTTAGATGCTGTTAAGAACATTTGTGATTTATGGGAGGAGGTTAAAATATCAACATCAACAGGAGTTTGGAAGACATTGATTCTAACCCTGATGGATGACCTTAGGGCCTCAGGACTTCAGTTTAGGAAGGAACTACCTGTGTGGTGGGAACAGCAAGAGAACTAAAATTGGAAGTGGAGCCTGGAGATGTGACTGAACTGCTGCAGTCTCATGAGAAAACTTGAATGGATGAAGAGTTGCTCCTTATGGCTGAGCAAAGAATGTGGTTTCTTGAAATAGAATCTACCCTTGCTGAAGTGCCGTGAACATTGTTGAAATAACAAAAGATTTAGACTGTTGCAAAAAGTTAGTTGATAAAGTGGTAGCAGGGTTTGAGAAGATTGACTCTTAATTTTGTAAGAAGTTGTATGTGTGTAAAATGCTACCAAATAGCATCTCACGCTCCAGAGAAATCTTTCATGAAAGGAAGAATCAGTTGATACTGGCACACTTCATTGTCTTGTTTCAAGAAGTGTCCATAGCCACCGCAGCCTTCTGCAGCCACTGATCAGTCAGCAGCCATCCATATCAAGGCAAGACCCTCTACAAAGAGATTACAGCTTGCTGAAGGCTCAGATGATTGTTAGCATTTTTTTAGAAACTTTTTTTTTAACTAAGGAATGTACTTTTTTTAAAGACAGTGCAATTGCAAACTTAATAGACTACAGTATAGTGTAAACATAGCTTTTATATGCAGTAGGAAACAAATTTGTGTGACTCACTGTATTGCCATGGTCTGAAACCAAGCCCTCAGCAACTTCAGGGTCTCCCTGTGTACCCCGTTTGACTTACCTTCTTCCTCCTACTTTCTTCTAGGTTTGTTCTTTGTGATTAATTTGTTCTTCTGTTGGTTTCCTCTGTTGGTGTGCTAAACGAGATGCTTTAGTCTTATTTGTATTTCAGTGACATTTGGCAGATACCTCCTGATGCCCCATTTTGTTCCGTGAAGATTCACCTTGACCCTTTTCTCTATCCTCCCACATTCTGCCTTTACTCACCTGTATCTTCCTGTTGCATTGTCAAGGTTGTTCACAGTTACACCAGTTACACTTGGCTCTAAAGCCACACCCAGCATCCATTCCCCAAATACTTACTTTGGTGAGCACTGTTGTGGAAACTGAGAAACACAGCAGTGGGAAAACCAAGAGTGTCTTCCCAGAAGTTATGAAGCACATCTGAGGTGTCCTGCACGGCACATGAGGTAAGCGTGCAGGTCTGTGCTCTCTGCTCTCTACTGGCATCCAAAAAAGAGGAGGGGGCGCTTTTATAGAATGAAAGAGACTTTAGTGGCACAGCAGCCAGATGTGCTGCGCAGACTTCATTTGGTTCCTGATTCAAATAAGCTGACATCAGAAAGCCATTGTTTTGACACACAGGAAGATCTGAATATAGACTAGGCATTAGATACTATTTAAAAATTATTAATATCGTCAGGTGTGATAATGGTCTGAGGTTAGGGTTTTGAGTTTAAAGAAGAAAAGCTCCCTTTGCTAACACTGAAGTGTTGGTGAGTGGAGATGACCTCATCTCTGAGACTTGCTGATGGTGCTTCCAGCAGAGAACACGGCGGGAGCGGATGAGGCAGGCTCGATGCTGAGGACTGCTAACACTGTTAAGAGTCTATACGTGGTCATTCTCTGTATGTTTATGTATATTTTTAAGTTTCTAAAAGTTTGGGAAAAAGTAATGGCACAATTATAACATTTTCGAACAAAGATCGAGCGTCTTAGCAGATCATCCCTTGAACAACTCGGAGGACGTCACCTGACAGGAGGGTGCATGTGGTTCAGGAAAGCGGCAGGCAGACACTGCTGAGCACGGGCAGACACACACAGACATTGACTCTGTGAACTCTGAGTGCGTGAGTAACAGCCAACAAACCACGCACAGAGCCCCAGCACAGAAGGTCGGAAGAGGACGTGGGAATTCCGAGTTTTTCAGGGCCATGTCTGCTCTGGTGGTTGAAGCCAGCGGTGATGATTAACTCTGGACTTTGCTGGGTTGGTGACACGTCACAAATGAAAGCGTAACCACTGAAACAGAGGGAAGCGGCTGGGTGGCTTCCAGTCAAGCGGAAGAGGCAAGTGAGGACTCACAGAAGTGTGTTCTTCTCAAAAGAGGCAGAAATTCCCAGCCCTGTGATGGTGGAGCTGCCTCGGAGTGGGGAGGGCATTGCACCTGGCTCCCCGGACCTGGCCCTCGCCCAGCTGTGCAGCGTTCCTGTGTGTCTTGGTGGACTCTGGTTTTGCTCGGGGCTGGCTGTGCTTCCTCAGCCCAAGGAATCCAGAGCTCTTCAGTTCCAGAAAGGATCTTCTCAAGGACTACTTCCAGCTCACTCCCTGATTTTTCTCCTGAATATCTTACTAGATGTCTTATTTTGCCCTCTGTTTTAATCCGCGTATTTTAATCTACTTTGCGTATCTGTTTGTTTCACTGTGCTGTATTATCTATTCCTCTGCCTGTCAGTTCATTAATTCCCTCCTCACGGTGATACTAACCTGTTTGTGGAGATTTCCATTTTAGTGACCATATTTATTTGTAGAAGTTTTGCTGCGCTTCAGATGTTTTCAGTCTTCATGGCGCCTTTTTTATTCGTCGTGATTGGTCCTAATTGCGTATCTCTCCTGTCATTTTAAACGACAGATTACATTAGGTCTTGATTTTCCTCTTATTTCTACTTTGGGGAACCTGGTCCCTTTATATGCCACATCCACTCACACCCTCCTGGTAGCTCAGTACCTTCTGTGGCTGATACTGTTTAATGGTGGGCTTATTCCTGATGGTGGGTTCCTGTGTACCCTGGGTTGTAGAAATATTTCTACAGAGAGGAGTAACATTTGCTTCTTAGGGGTTCCCGGAGACTTTTTTGTCCCAGGCAGGTACTGGTAGTCCTGCAAGAGGAGAGCATAGGTTGGAGTGGTCCTGCTAAGCAGGTGCGGGCTCTGGGTTTTGGTTTCTTCTAGGCTGTGCCCCCGTCTGTGAGCAGCCTGCACACTTCCTTGCTATTTCTCTAGACCAGTGCATAGAAGCTTCCAGACATCTTTGCATCAGCTGTGCGGGTTACTAAGGGATCCAGTTTTATTTGCTTGGGTTGGAGCAGGTCTGTTTTCTTCCTGCGTTGGGTGTAGCCCCAGCTGCTGGAGCCTGGAGACAGGTGTGTCTCCCCTCCCCTAGTGAGAGGGTTTCCTCTTTGCTTTTGGCATGTCATCCCCTCTTTTTCTTTTACACGTCTATATTTAAATTTTCTTGTTTTCAGCATTTTTCGAGTTTATTTTAAGAAAGGGAAGACTTGCTGCCCCAGTCAGCCCTTGGAAAGGTAGCACTAAGCTACATTCTCTTGGTTCCCCACTCCTCAATACCAGTGAATTTTATTAATTTTTAGCTACCAGATGGGCCAAAAAATGCTGCTTTTCTTAGGATAGTAGGGCAGTTGAGTATTTTCTAATCTATTTCCTGGCTGTGTGCTTTTCTGTCTGTTACGAATGGCCGTAATTTAGCCTCTTTTAATTTCAATGCTGTTTTTTGGTAGAAGCTACTAGAAGGCTTCCTAGGCTGCCCGGGAGTTACCTGTGCCCCTGCTGCCCCGCACCCCTCCTGTTGATGGCACATTTCTTCTGGCGTGACCGCCCCAGGAGCCTGGACAGTGGTGGGGCAAGCAAGGAGCTTTGCATCAGAAGCCAGGAGTGGCCTTGCTGGGGTCTGGCAGCCAGGGGCTTCCTGTCTCCCCTGCAGGGTCTCCTGACAGCAGACCCACCTTGGGCGTTTGTGGAAATTACGCTTCCTGATTGGAAGCAAGGGCACGTTGTGGGTGGCACACTTCAGCAGTGCCCTCTTGTTGAAAACGAACCACAGGGTGTTCTGGGGAACGTGATCTTGACACCTTCCATTCAGCAGCCAGCAGAATTGGGAGCTCTTTTTTCCTAGGGGAGAAAAGGCAACCTGCCTGGACTTAATCTGATTTGACTGGGTTTCTTCTGCCTGTTTTTTATTTTTATGTAATGTTAGTAACCTGAAGCTTTTTCTTTTGAAAACTTTTTTCTTACAGTTCTTATAGTAAATTAATTGAATTTTATTAACTGTGGTGTTGAGTTGTGAGGTATGTCTTAAGTTTAAAATAACACAGCTGGCAAAATCATTACTTTTAAAATAATGCAGATTCAGGGTCACTGTTACGAAGTTCACTTCACCGGCACACATGCTGACGTGCGGCTTATGATCGCAGTGGCTGTGATTGAGGTGTGGACAGTCTCCCCTGCAATGTTGTTTTCTATCCTGCCTCCAAATTGTAGATTTCAAAGATGAAAAAGTGTTGTTTTTCCTCAGATGAAAACATTTCATAGTGTTTTCTTCTACAATTAAATTCTTAGCTGTAGAAAAGAGATTGAGTAGGTAAGTGTGCTAGCAAGAATAGATTGGTTTTCCTCCTTGTAGCTCTTACAGTGTAGAAGGGATTTGTTTCCTGTGGAGTTTTGTTTTCCATCCTGTGGGCAGAGAGAATTCTTGCAACTTGCAGCGGCACCTTATTTTGTTGTTTTCAACCACCTGGAAGTACTTAACAGTGAGGCATTGAAGGAAGATTTAGAAACTTGACAGTGAGGCATTGAAGGAAGGTTGAGGTAAACGGCTCCACAGGAGGAGGATCCAAAGTTAAGGAGCATGAGGTTGGTTCGGGGCATTCTGGGTTTCTGTTGCCAGAAGATGGTGCAGATCCTGAGGAGGCAGTTGACGTTAGGGACCTGAAGCCTTAGAGTGTTTGGGGTTGAAGGCACTGTTTTGGGATATACTACCTCAGACCCCAGGACACTGAGATTGTGGATGGGGGACGCATGGGAGGAGAGGAGAGCAGAAGGCATGGACTGTAGGCAGGTGCTGCTCACACACCAGAGGGGAGGAGTGTGTTCCCGCCCAGTGAGGGGGTTCACATGGCAGGATTCTTGCAGTGGAGGTGAGCTTTGAGGGAAAACTGGTAGGGACTAAGTCCTCTAGGAAATGCTCATCAGAATTTCTTGGGGAAGAATGTGGGAAAAAACCTCTCCCTTTCCTTTGTCCCCACTAGCCCCAATTTGATACACTGCTCTGTAGCCCTGGAAAACCAGTGGTAAACAGAATCCGTAGAACCAATGTTAGATATACAGAACCAATGTTAGATGTACAGAACGTAGAATCAATGTTAGACCTATCTGCCCACCCCCTAGAACTGTTGGTAGATCTACCCCATGGAACTATGATATACACACAACCATTGATAGACCCACCCTATAGAATTGTGATAGACACACCCTATCCATCTAACCATTAATAGAAATACACACATACCCATAAAACCATTGAGAGACAGAGGGACCCACCCCATAGAACCAGTGATGGACGCCATACACTGTCTGCAGAACTAATGGTAAAGACACAGACACTGTCTGTAGAACTGATAATAGACACACACCACCCCATAGAACTATGGAGAGACAGACCCACCCGCACAGCCAGCGATGGACACACCCACACTGTCCATAGAACCAGTGATAGAGACCCCCTCCCGTAGAACCATTGGTAGACAGGCCCACCCCATAGAGCTGATGACGGGCATGCATGGTGCCAGGTTTTGTTTGGCAGGTGTTTCTTCGGCAGGTGTTTCTTCAGCACCTGTTATGCAGAGTAAGTGTGTGTTGAATGGATGTGGAGTGAAAGCGGTGCTGTTTTAAAACATCAGAATCCTTGCTGGAGTCAGGACTGCTTTAATGGTTTTGCCTGGTGTGGAAGTGAAGGCGGTGTGGGTTTTTCTTGTTTTTGCCCCTGCTTGAGATGACTTTTCTTTCTCCTCCTTGTCTCCTGTGAGTGATGGTTATTTCAAGCCCTGAGCCAGATCTTGCTTGTTTAGAGAGACTTTTCCATTCTGAGGGATCTGAGTCCCTAACTTTTAGCCCTGATGTTTTAATATTGTTATGTATCTGCCAAAATGCCTTTTATTTGGGTGACGCTTTATATTTACCACACTATGGAATTGTCCTTGTAGCTAAACTGCTTTGGTTTTGGCTGGCATTCGTGGAGCAGTCTCTTAGACGCCTTCAACTTGAAACTGGGAGAACAGGGTGGGGATGGGGTGCTGTGATTGGCCTTGGTGAGCCGAGCCTGAGGGACTGGGTTTCTGGGGCACTGAGGGTCACTGTGGATGGCCTTTTCCTTGGCTTGCCATTTGGCTTGTTAATTCAGTGAGGCTGCTGGATGAGTATCCTTGGCCTGTGTGAGGGGCTGGAACTTTTGTCATCTTTAGTACTGATCAGTAAAACTATGTTACATTTTCATTTCAGAGAAGCCTGTGTCTCCCAAATCAGGAACACTGAAGAGCCCTCCCAAAGGATTTGATACGACTGCCATAAACAAAAGCTATTACAATGTGGTGAGTAATTGCAGAACATTTTTAAACTAACTGGTTTTTGACTGCCTGTAAAACTCAGCAATGTAGAATGTAGTGTAAAGTACCTAGAATAGGAAGAAGGAAATAAAGTTCATTCATCTGCCACACAAATGTAACCACCATTAAGGTTTTGGTCTGTTTCCTTCTAATCTCTGTATTTTTGTAATTGTATGTTTTTGTTTTAATATCATGTATATGGAAATGTCCCTTGCTCTTGTCCCGTAACATAGTAATGTGCGTGTTTCCCCATGCCATAGCCAGTCTTCAAAAATGATATTTGAAAAAATGTATAATGTGATTTGAAAATTTTATATGCATTGAGTGCCATTCTGTTTGTATTCAGAGTAGACTGTAAGTACTTTAGACATAAGGCTTCTAATTTATTTTTTCTCTTAATATAGTGTTTCCCAGGATTGATGTGTACATATCACATGGCGTAGAATTAGGGGAGCATGTCTAAACGCTATACGTGTTAAAGACAGGTGTTTCTGGATCCTAAAATTTGCTGCTTAATATGTTCAGTATGTGATACTAAATCTGTGTAGTCTAATGCTATTAAATCAAATGTATAGTCTCATGGTACTAAATCTGTGTCGTCTAAACCTTCTTTGTACCTAAGCTTATGTAGCAATTGCATGTTCTATAGAAATGGAAAATAATTTATTTTAAAGAATTTATTAAAATTTTAAACCACTCAACATGATAACAACAAAGTAAACCCTCTAAACATGTGTATGTTTTGAATTCTGGGGAAAATGCGCATTTGTTTTGTTATTTCTTCCCCTACTCCCAATCTTCATTTTCTTCTTGAGTAGATATAACTATGAACCCACGAGACCTTTGAATTGTTGGTGTGAAACAGCAGTTGATTGGTGTTTTTGTGCAGCAGTCATTTTCTTGTGAGCATTTCATTTTCTGCACCTGTGTTGGGAAACGGTGAAAAGGTGTGGTGCAATGGAGTCTGAGCAGCTCCACCACGTGGAGCTGTGCCACCGTCTTGTGCTGCGGGGCTTGCACTCTCAGCTTCCTCCTGAGTGCCCACCTTCCATCTGCCCCAGCATCGTACTGCAGGACAGACTGGCCTGGGGACCCACTCATTAATAACTGTTTATTGGGCGCCTGCTCTGTGCAGCTCTGTTAAAGGCACCAGGATGCACAGTGAACAGAATGGCGGGTGCCTCTCCCCTCGCTGAGCTCGCACTTGGGTACGGGAACACAATGGTCTTTTGTTGCCTCCATTTTTACTGCTTCTTTTTCATAATTTGACATCTGTGCACCTTCTTGTGAGCAGGTCTCCTCATGCATCATGCCACTTCTCTTACATTAGTGGCAATCTTTGACTTATTTTTCCTTGTATTTGGTCAACTCCGGATCCTTTTCTGCCTTGGAAACCCTTTTCTTTTGCTTCCCCTCTTTCTTCCCTTTTTTTCATTCATCTTCATTTGGCTGCTTGGACTCTGCCTTCCATCTCAACTTTGTGGACTTTGAGAAGATCAGACTCCTTTTAGCGCGTCGTGTGGCCCACATTACCCGAGACACCTGCTTTCTGTCATCTCTCCTAGTGCTCTGCATCGCCTTCATCCCTTGGCCTGTTGGGCATTTACTCCCAGGATTTGGCTCTACTAACCCATTCGCTTTTTAGTGTGTAATGTAGCTTATGTGTAGTTTTGTGTACGTAGCTACAGAGACAGTAGATGGGTTTTATGGGTTGTAGGAAAACTTGAGTTTTAACTCCTGGAGCTGCCCTTTCCTCTTGCATTCTTGTATAAGACACTGCTTTTTTGGGGAAGGCTTCATGTGGTGAATAACACAGCCACAATCCACAGTGAGATTCCAAAGGGTGTGTTACCTTCTGTTATGGTTCAGGTCCAGATAATTCTGTTAGAAAAAGTGGTCAGCAGTGTTTAAATTGGTGCCAAGGGCATTCTTTAGTTTCTCCATTAATCTTGCTTTCATTAGGCACTTTATAAAACCAGGCAACCATGCTTTTTTAGAAATCCTGGTGGGTTTTTCTTTGCATTATATATTCTGTAATACTTCTCAGATTGAAGCATAGTCGATACCTTTTTCGTTTTCCTTCTCTAACTGTCCTTTTACAGAGAGAATAGCCTGGGTATTATAAGTGCTCTTTTCTTCAAATCAGCCAACTCTTTCATACAGAATGATGGAAAACACCTTGACCTCAAAATCACATCTAAATTGTTTTCTATATAAAGCTGCATTTATAAATAGCACATGGTAAAATTACAGTTGTTATAGAAATAAACTCATAGAATTCATAGAGAATTGTCTTTTGATGTAGTACTCTCATTTTACAGCAGAGAAAACAGAAGCTAAATGCCTTGTCCAAGGTTATACACTGGTTACTAAGCCAGGAATCAATTTCAGCTTTCCTTAATTTTATATTTGTAAATTGTACATAAAAATAGAGAACAGAATACAACACAGAACAAAACATGATAGATAATGTGTTAGGCATTTCTACACCCCCTTTTGTAGTTTCGTTTTCACAGAAAACTATAAGGTCTGGGTGTTTTTAACCTCACTGAAAGTTGAAAACTTACTAAAGGGTAAGACTGGTGTGGACCAATGGTGTTAAGGAAATTTACATGAATGACTTGTCTTAACTTGGGATCAGTATAATGGAGTTGAGAGAAGAGTATTCCATGCGAAAGTACCAACATTTTGAAATTAAGAGACAATGAGACAGGTATGAATGGGATGGATATGTGTTTTCCTGCTATTGTATAATAGTTAAGATGAACACCAAAAAGACACTGGAAAGTAAAACTCGTAGTAATTTATGTCTGTTATTATGAACCATTCAGTAACTATTTCTCTCTCCTCTCCTTCTGGGACTCCTGTGGTGCAATTAGTCAAATATAGACAATATTTGAGCCATTGTCTTCATACTGTCCTTTAATTTTTTAAACATAGTTTCCTTTAGTTCTTTGGACATATTTATAACAGCTGCTTTGAAACCTTTATCTCCTAAGTCCACTATCTGTGCCCCCTAGAGACAGTTTCCATTGACTGCTTCTTTTTTTCTTGTGTGCGTGTGTGTGTGGTCACACTTTCTTGCATGTCCTATGATTTTTTAAATTGAAAACTGGATATCTTAGACCTATTTTAGCAGCTCTGGATGCTTGAAATCCACCTCCCCTGGGTTATACTGTTGCTGTTGCTGTGTCTTGCTCAGTGACTCACCTAGAGCACTTCTGTAGTTTATCTTCCCATAGTCACTGATGTCTATTTTTATTTTTTTATTCTTGTTTTTATTTTTAATTCTGTCTTTCTAGGATTCACTTTTGGGTAGCATAATTTAGTATTCAGCCAAAGATTCACCAAAGATTGTGCTTAAACACCTTTAACAGTTCAGGTATTACGGCTCACACCTGTAATCCCAACACTTTGGGAGGCCTAGTAGGGAGGATTGCTTGAGGCTAGGAGTTTGACACCAGCCTGGGCAGCATAACAAGACCATGTCTCTAGAAAAAACCAAAATTACCTGGGCTGGGTGGCAAATGCCTGTAGTCTTAGCTACTCGGGAGGCTGAGGTGGGAGGATTGCTTGAGCCCTGGAGTTTGAGGCTGCAGTAAGCTATGATTGCACCACTGCACTTCCAGCCTGAGCTACAGAACAAGATTGTGTCCCTAAAAAACCAAAAAACACCTCTGACGGTGAGGTTTCACTCTTGCCAGTGATCTGTATGGGGTTGGGGAATGCATTCAAAGAGAGGGCTGGGGAGGAGCATGACTTTTTAAAAGTTAAAGGCAGTGGATGAAATGACAAAGGAAAAGATAAATCTTTTAGGCTACCTAATGAGAGTTTAATATATTCCTTGCCTCAAACAGTATAAGCCAGATCACAAGTTAATTGGAATGTTATTTGCATCAGGTATAATACAAGGTTATCCTTAATGTCTGAAGAGCTCATTAAGACAAATACATGAAGATTAATAGACAAATGGGAAAGGTTGTGAACAATTTAAAAAATGGTAAACACTAAGGCTTTGAAAAAAAATAGTTAAACTCACCATAAAAATTTTAATAGGCATATTTTCTGTAATCAGTGAGCAGAGATTTAAAGAGAGAATCTTTAGTTCTAATGGTGGAAATGTAAATCCATACAGAGTTTCTCAAAAGTAATATGGCAGTTATATATAGAATTCTGGAAGTGATCAAGTTCTTTAATTTAGGGCTTTCTCTTTAATTTCTAAATTTCTTGAAATCCATTCCAGAGAATTAACCTGAAATATATTCAAAGATGCTTGTGTAAAGGCATTTTCAGAGGATTATTTGTTATAGTAATAAATTGCAAGCAACCCAAAATAAACAGTATGAGATGAACAGTACCAGAATGATTAAGCGATCAGTGGTTTGTCCATTTGTAGTTACTAAAGTGTACATGAGGCTTTAAAAATACAAAAAACATATATTTTCATGTTAAGTGCAATAACAGAATATGAAATTACACAGGTGATATGATCTCATGGTATTACAAAGTTGACATAGAAGATAGAAGACATTGTGCTAGAGAATGGTTTCTTTCCAGTGGAGGAATTTTAGCTTCCCACTAATGTAAGGGATAGTGATTATGGGGGAAGTCTTTGGCACCACAGTCCAGAATGTGTTGGAGATAGAAACGGGCCTCTGAGGCTAGGGAGGAAGCCAGCGTGGAACATGGCAGGCACACAGGCCTTGGGCTTGGAGAGTGACGGGGAAGGGAGAGGAAATCAAGATCTCTTAAATGCAGATCTTTTAATTTCAATTAGTTTTTGTGACACAGCCAGCCACTACTCTTGCCTCTATTTTCTCATGTACGTACTGTTTGAAATCAGTCTGTTAGCTGTGCTTAGGGTGCCCTTGTTGTGTAGGTAGTTCAGATAATTAAGATCCGGGCGGCTTGATGCAGTGGAAGGTGTACAGCCTTTTTGTTGAATCGTCCATGCTGCTTAGCCTGGGTGGCCAGGAGCTTTGGCCCTAGCTTCCTGAGCCCAGTTATCTCATTTGTAAAATGAGATTGGTAATGCTGGCCCTGACCTGGTAGTATTAAGTGGACTGGCAACTGGCCTTAAGGCCTCCAGCAAAGTGCTGGACCTTAGAGGTTTTTGTGTGTATTAAGAAGAGTATTTAAGAGCATTGGGAACAGAAGGCATCACTGAGGCCACCATACCATTCTGTTTGTAAACTGGAATCCCCGTAGATTTTGAGGGTGACCTGTGAAAGCTGTAGCCAAGGTGGCCTGATCATATAATTAAAAGAGACAGGTTTGTGACCTGATGTGCCCGAGCTTGGTGGATTTGACAGTGAAAGCACACTCGTTGCCCCCATGGCATGGTGACTGGCATCTTTCCTGATGGGGATCAAAGGAAGGGGTTGGATGCCTAGGCTGGAGAGAATGATGGTCTGGAGTTGCCTCTCGGGGGGATGAGGAGCACCCCGCTCCGTCATTAGAGAATGAGGTTTCTTAAGTCGCTGACTGGGAAGACACAGTCCTTATGGCCTTCCCTGCTCAGCGATATACACTATGGTTTGATTTTTTAGGCTTTCTGTATTAGTCCGTTCTCACGCTGCTGTGAAGAAATACCCGAGACTGGGCAATTTATAAAGAAAAGAGGTTTAATTGACTCAGAGTTCCGCATGGCTGGGGAGGCTTCAGGAAACTTACAGTCATGGCGGAAGGCACCTCTTCACGAAGCAGTGGGAGAGAGAATGAGTGCCAACAGGGGAAATGCCAGATGCTTATAAAACCATCAGATCTTGTGAGAACTCACCATGAGAACAGCATAGGGGAACGCGCTGCGTGCCCCTGCTCCCCCACACCCCCGTGCCATGATTCAGTTACCTCCACCCTGTCCCGCCCTTGACACATGGGGATTATTACAATTCAGGGTGAGATTTGGGTGGGCCATAGAGCCAAACCATATCACTTTCCCTGTTATTTAGAGCATTATTATAATACTGTGAATATAATGTAATAGGTAGCATCACTCTTTCTAATCTGTAAGTGTATAAAACGGTTATGTATCCTTAGATGCCATCACACACATCCACGGGCCTTTCCTGTGCTCCAGAGAAGCCGCACACCTGTCTTTTCCTCCCTGCTCCTTTAGTTTGCGATGGCCTTCAGATGCCAGGCCAAGGAGGAAAACCTGAGCCTCCTGGTGACAGGGTGTCTTCGGTCTCCATCCATCAGCAGTGACCCTAAACCCTGGCGTTGCTTCGTCTCTTCATCTTCTGCTTTGCCCTTGGCTTTTCTCCACCTCAATGAAGATTTCTGTTAAATCTTTTGACTCCTGAAGTCTCTGCTTGGGGCCCGTAGGTGGAGATGGTTAATGATGAGGGGCCCTGAGGTATCAGGGAGGGTGTGCAGCTTGTGGGATCCCCTCTTTTCCTGGGCGGCGAGGTGCCTGCTGGCTTCTTTCACACCTGGCTCCCATTGTTTTTCATGGGATTTCCTTGCTGTATCTGGACTAAGATGATACAGATGAAGGTTGTCAGGTAGGCACTAGTGGAATGCTGACACGGAGAGGAGCTCAGTGTTTGGGAGGATTGAGTGACTTAATTGCAAGAAAGGCTGTCTTGTGAAATAATTACCTCCTGACTGAAGGAGTCATTTAAGAAGCAGCTCCAAGTAAGACTCTACATTGGGCTGGAAGGTCGAAGGGTGACTGGCTAGATGCCTTCCTACTATAAGCCAATGACTGGCACTCTTGAGTAACCATTATAACCTCGTAAAACCCCTTTTTGTGAAAAAGGGAAACAGACCGATAGACTTGTCCAGCTGCAGACAGTCAGTGGTGGAGCGCAGCTGGGAGCCCAGGTCCACGTGGCTGCAGAGGCCGGCTCTACCTGTCGCCATGCTGCTGTGCAGGTGCCATTGGTGGTGTCTGCTTCCCCCTGTGTGCTGGAGGCTTTGCAGGAGCCATTGCCTATAAACCTTTAACATTTAGGAGAAACGTACCCCAAGACCTGTGAATCTCCAAATTTAAAAGTAATAGAATAACATTTATTTCAAAAGATACAGCATCATAAAAGCATTTATGTGGTCTCTCCAAACTTTTTTTGAGAACTAACGTTCCGAGGTATTGGTAAGGACCAGCAGTGCTAACACACCACATTAAATCAGCAACCGTGTGGTCGGGGAGCCACTGACTGCCTCATGTCATTGTGACCCGTAGAGGAGCCAGCAGGAGCTTCTGGGATTTCTTGTCAACACTCCTTCCTCCTCCTCCTCCTCCTTTCCGTGGAGTCAGATGTTTATTACAGGCCACATTGTGTGGTGAACTACTGTCTTGTAATGTACTTTTTGAAAATTTACTTGAAGTGTAAATAGACTGGAATGGAGAACATTAAATGATGATCTTGTTTCTCTGTAGCAGTGGACAGGGAAGGGCTGATTAGGTAGGGTGGAGGTAGATTTGGAATAATTGTGCCACTTTTTGGTTTTTCTTCTTGGACTTATACATTAGGATTGGGATATGGAAATACAGTTGTATGATGATAAAAATCTTTTATACAGATGAAACAAAAAAAATTAATGTTCTTTGTTCTCTTATGTAAATCAGTTATTTGTTTTTAAAGGCTGTTGATGACATAAACATATAAAACACCTACCGAGATTGGCAGTGGAAGTTGTAACCCATTTGTAAAATCAGAAATGCTAAGTACTCCTTTAATGATGCAACGAATAAAGTGTCTGTGTCTGCGAGGCACAGCAGTGAGTCCTCTTTGTTTTGCTGTGCTCTGAGGCGGGCAGCATAGGGATTGAGTGGCACCAGTGTTTGACTGCACTTGCCTCTCCATGCCTCGTGACCCCCGGGAAGCTGGCACTGGCTGAGCTCAGCTCTGTGGGCCTTTCTTCAGCACTGTGGGTCGTAAAAGCTGCCTTTTCTTTGAAAACTGCCTGCGTCCTCTGGGTTCCCAGCGTTGGTGGGATGGAGCTGTGGCGTCCAGGCTGTGAGGTCTCATGGGGTCCTGCAGCAGCCAGAGCGTGCAGAAGACGAGGAGGGGAAGAAAGGTGGTAAGTGGCACCCCCGGCTGCGCCCCGAGGTCAGGAAGGCCAGCAACCTCCTGGCAGAGGGAGTGGGCACCCCAGCTGGAGTCAGGGAGCCAGGCCTGGCTGTGTGTTTGAGGAAAAGTTAAGTGTAACTTGCATTGTTTGGTTGGGAGTAATACAGGAATTGTGTTTAGCACCCTATTTGAAAATAGTGTTTAAGACTATTTGTTGAATTAACCAACTTAACTATTTTAACAAATGTAGCTTTTTGGCAGAGGGCTCTTTCAAGTAGTTTTTGGTGCTTATGGGAAGCTTTCATTTCTACAACCAGCGCTTAGTGCTGTGACGGACAAAAGGTCATTGTATTTTATTCTTCTCATATTCGTGCTAGTGATAGTTTCTAGTGGCTGCTTTCTTATCTCACATAGGAACATTTTTCTGTTTGAAAATAAGTATATAGGTCTTCAGGTGTGCAGTGAGCAGTATTGGTAAGTTGGTATCCAATATTTGTAATTAGGAAGCTAAATCATATTTCCTATCTTTAACATTGAAAAGGACTTTTCTGATACGTCTGTGACAGATCTTATTTCATCTTATTTAGCTCAAGATCTCATTATGCTTGGCTGGCTTCCCCTGTTGTTCTGGAGGACAGGCCTGGTTTCGAGTAGCGTCTCTGGGGTGTGGTGGCTGGCATCACGGTTTACCTCTGCTCACCAGACCTTTGACATTTGTGTTCGACGGGAATTTCGTAGAAGGAAGACATTGTGGTTGTGGGGTCAGCATTTCCCATGAAGAGCCAGCTCCCTGCAGGGCCCCTCGCTCTGGCTCTCCCACGGTCGTCTCCCTTGAATAGATCCCTTCAGGGATGAGCCTGAGTTCCTTGTCACCAGTGGAAGAGCCTCTGTTTTTTTTCGCCCAAGTAGTTTAGTAAGTGATTTAATCAGATTTGCATTTACTCAGGAATGACTGTATTCCTTTCTCAGAGTTTACAGTCAACAGTAGGCAAACAGAGTAACGACCCGGGTTGTCTTTACTAAGGCTGAAATTTAAATTTAACTTGATGACTTTTTTCTTAAATGTTTAAATTTACATTTGGATTATCAAAAATGATGGGGACAGACTGAGCATGTTTAATATCTTTATTACTTCTGTACAATTTCTTTTGTATGAATAAGTGAGAATGTATTGTTAGCTCTGGGAGACAAATAGCACATCTTGATGCATGTACTAGATGCGCAGAAAATACGTGTAATGTGATTTCCTGATTTAAAAAGCACTAGCTCTGTAACAGACTCGGGTGAAAAAGAATGGAGGCAGGGATTCCACTTTCTTCACTTACGTCAGGTCCTTCAGGATCCTCAGCGTGCTCCTCAGTCTCATGCCAAAGAAGACAGTGTGGTGCGGTGCAGTGGCAGGAGGACCTGGGGCCGCTGTCTGGCTCTGCTTTTCTCAGCTGTTTGAGTTGGGAGAAGTCAGCTTCTCTAAGAGGAAAAGTTTTGTGTGCAGAGCCCCTTGCTCGGTGCCAGGAGTGCGAGGAGCACCTGCAGTTCACATCCAGGTGCCTTCTCGTCCCACCCTGGGCTGGGCCTTTGCTGCAGTGATAGCTGGTGGAAAGCATTCCTACTTGGTTTCATCAGTTTTGCACTTTATATTTATCTGTCAGTTTTTAAGACTTAAATTATTTTGGCTAAATTTGCTACACTAGTACAGGGTATTGGGAAACATTTTAATTTTAAGGTTAATTTATAATTATTCTGCTATCTTTAAATGAAGTAGTAAAGATTGTTAACATTGATAAACCTTTAGTTTTTAATAAATGTGGTAATAAGGTGTCTGAGACTGTCATATTCACTAGGGAAAGTCTGTAGTTCCCAGAAATTGATTTCAATTTTTAGATGCAATCTAAAGAGTAAACTGTTTTTTTAGTTGAGAGTAATATTACATATGTTAAAATACATAGATTTCAAAGGCACAGTCCAGTGAGCTTTTACAATGTATATATCTGTTGTAACCGCTACCCAAATCAAAATACAGAACCTATGTATCACCTTAGACATTTACGTCATTCTCCTTTCCTTGTTGTCCACGCCCCCATCCTACCCTTCACCTCTTCTCTGATTTCTGTCACCATAGATTAGTTTTGTCATCTCTTAGACTTAATACAAATGGGATGATGCAGGATGTCCTTTTGGGAATGGCTTCTTTTGCACCACACAGTGTCGTAGAGATTGATCTGTTTGTCCATGCAGTTGTGATTCTTGGCGGCTTCTCCTTTTTATCTAAACAGACATGGCATCTGATGATGGAATTCATGCTAGGTATACCTGTCAGATACGGTTGGCAGTAAGATAAAGTCAGTTGTATGGCCTTAGTAATAATTCATTACATGGGTTTAACAGTCAATAATTGCAAAGAATGATGATGATACTCAACACTTTAGTATTACATAGAAGTAACAGTGTGAATTGAACAATGGCGATGAACTGTCCAAAGTGTATAAATCTTAGTGTCAAATAGCAATTGAAATGTCAAATAACACTTATTCATCATTTATTATAGGTGCTACAGAATATTTTAGAAACAGAAAATGAATATTCTAAAGAACTTCAGACTGTGCTTTCAACGTACCTACGGCCATTGCAGACCAGTGAGAAGTAAGTTAGATGATAAATTGCATTAACTGTAAAATAGTCTAAACCTTAGGCTGTTCTCTTCTATTTTCAGAGAATAGAGGGTTAAATAGTGAAACAAAATTTAGTGTACCAGTTTGCCTTAGACATCAGCTGTTTATTAGGTTAAGACTTCAATAGGACATTGGGATGGCAAAGGAGAAGAATATAAATAAAACTGTTTACATATGTTTACTGTTATTTTTCTTGGCTCTAGGTTAAGTTCAGCAAACATTTCATATTTAATGGGAAATCTAGAAGAAATATGTTCTTTCCAGCAAATGCTCGTACAGTCTTTAGAAGAATGCACCAAGTAAGTAAGATGCTAAAAATTTGCAACACTCAGGTTGGTATAATTGGTATTTAAAGGATTAAGTGTGAAGTAATTTTAGAATTCACATTTCTAAAGATGCAAACTTAAGTTATTTTAAATCTTTTGGGTAAATCAGCTTTTACAGTAAAAGCTGTATTTTAGACTGTCTAGTTTGTATAGCAGGAATCTTCAGAGAAAGACTCAAGAATGGTGATTTTTAAGGTGTTCCATGGAGGAAGAGTCGGGATGAAGAGCCTCTGGGAGAGAAAGGAGAATGGCCTGACACCAGGACCACTGAGGGGACAAGTGGCTCAGCTCCTTGTGTGCCCTGAGTGCTGCGCAGGGGGCCTTGAAGGCCAGGTCTTTCCCCAATATCCTGCAGCTTGCCTGCTGTTTCTGGCCTTCCAGAAGCAGATACAGTGCTTCTAGAAATAACATATTAGGTTGGTGCAAAAGTAATTGTGGTTTTGGATTGTGAATTTTAAATCATAACTAGGCTCAGACACATCTTTATTAATCAAGACCATTCCAGTCAACACATTTTCACCAGTGAGAAATAAGTTTTATTCTTGTAGCGTAAAAATCTGTGCTTCAGGATTTGACAAACTCTTGGAAAGCACTTTCTGCATCCTGCTGGTTGTGGAAGCGTTTTCCCTGCAAAAAGTTGTCGAGATGCTTGAAGAAATGGTAGTTGGTTGGTGAGAGGTCAGGTGAATATGGCAGATGAGGCAAAACTTCACAGCCCAATTTGTTCCACTTTTGAAGTGTTGGTTGTGTGACGTGCGGTCAGGCGCTGTTGTGGAGAAGAATTGGGCCCTTCCTGTTGACCAATGCCGGCTGCAGGCATTGTAGTTTTCAAAGCATCTCATCGATTTGCTGAGCATACTTCTCAGATGTAATGGTTTTGTGGAGATTCAGAAAGTTGTAGTGGATCAGACTGGCACAGACCACCAGACAGTGACCAGGACCTTTTTTTGGTGCAAGTTTGGCTTTGGGAAGTGCTTTGGAACTTCTCGGTCCAACCACTGAGCTGGTTGTCGTATAAGAACCACTTTTCGGCGTATGTCACAATCTGATTGAGAAATGGTTCATTGTTGTGTAGAATAAGAGAAGATGACACTTCAAGATGATGATTTTTTTGATTCTCGCTCAGCTCATGAGGTACCCACTTACCGAGCTTTTTCACCTTTTCAAATTGCTTCAAATGCCGATCAACTGTAGAACAGTCAACGTTGAGTTCTTTAGCAGCTTCTCGTGTAGTTGTAAGAGGATCAGCTTCAGTGATTGCTCTCATTTGGTCGTTGTCAACTTCTGATGGCCGGCCACTACGCTCCTCACCTTCAAGGCCCTCATCTCCTCTGCAAAACTTCTTGACCCACCACTGCACTGTGTGTTTGTTAGCAGTTCCTGGGCCAAATGCGTTGTTGATGTTGGAAATTGTCTCCACTGCTTTACGACTTACTTTGAACTCGAATAAGAAAATTGCTCAAATTTGCCTTTTGTCTAACATTTCCATAGTCTAAAATAAACAGCAAGTAATAAGTCGTTAGCAAAAAAACCATCAAGCGAGAAATACGCATTAAAATGATGTATAACCACATTTATTTAAGAACATGTTCCAATATCAAATGGCAAATTTCAACAATGCAGAAACCACAAATATGTTTGCAGCAACCTGATGTAACATGCTATGCTGATGAACTAGGGCTTTGAGGCTTTGTCACTTTTCCAAAATTTTCCTTTGGAGGGACAGAGGCATGTTCTGAATAATCAGCCATCAGTTTTTTTCTGTGTGACTATTTTATTTTCTTGGTTTACATCAGACATTAAAGGATATTTGTTAATTTCCTGCCAGGTGACTTAGAACAGTAGTGCACATGGAAGCTTTTAGGTTTCAGTAGTCTATCAGGTGAGGTTTCTTTACTTGTGGGTTTGATGAAGGTGACACATTTTATTTTTAAATTATCTTTGATCTTTATTCATATAACCCCCAGAAAAGACTACAGTACATTATTTCCTTGGATTTCGGTTGGTCTCTGGTCTTCCCTTCAGCTTGTGCCTATTTAGGTTTTGAACGTGGTGAGGGAGTGGCCTTCCTTCTGTGCCACTAGTTCTTGCAGTTCATGACAGTTTACCAACCATGATGAAAATACTTTGTTCCCTTACCTTTTTGGCTGGGCTTTGAGGTTTTGTCAAGGCACTTTATACTGGACTATCGATATGGCAAGGAAAGCTGAATGCCAGAGTAACAGAATATTATTAGAAACCGTAAGTGAATATTCTATAGAACTTAAGACTGTACTTTCAACCCATCTGCAGGCCATTGTTTTTACTTTTATAGCATTTTTGGTTTGCATAAAGTGGCATTACTTACATGACCATGAAAGAATAGCTTGGGAATCACTTTGATTTTCTTTTGGTGAATGAAGGTCATTTGCTGATAATTCAAAGTCTTTGTAAGAGTTCATATTGTGCTCAAGATGGAAGTAAATGCTTGCCTCTGTTTTTCTCATTGGCTGTAGATAATGTGGTCTAACAAATTATTACAGTATATTTTAAAAATACAGTTTGCAGTACCTCTGTTGGGCATTATATCAGCCCTGCGAATTATTATCCTCACATTACTCGTTAAAAAGCTGAAATAAAGGCAGTAAAGTAATCGCTTGAAGCCATGTGTTTACTAAGGCTTCAGTCCTTATGTTATCTCAGAATTTGGTATGGCTTAGGTATTATTTTGATCAAGTTTCTCAAATTTTATGCTACATGTATACGAGGTGTTAGAGTTCCACGGGGAAATGGAATGTACTAGACGAAGTTTTCTTTCTCAGCTATTTCTCTTCTTTTTATTATGAATATTCTGAAATTTTCATCATTTCCATTTTAAGACTTACTTTCGTCTTTTTGTCCTATATGTGAAATTTCTGTACCATTTTACAGTTTACCAAATGCCATATATATGTAGCAGTTTCATACTCATTCTTTTTTTTTTTTTGATACAGAATCTTGCTCTGTTGCCCAGGCTGGAGTGCACTGGTGCGATCTCAGCTCACTGCAACCTCTGCCTCCTGAGTTCAAGTGATTCTCCTGCCTCAGCCTCCCGAGTAGCTGGGATTACAGGCGTGCGCCACCATGCCCAGCTAATTTTTATGTATTTTTAGTAGAGACGGGGTTTCACCATGTTGGTCAGGCTGGTCATGAGCTCCTGACCTCAAATGAACCACCCGCCTCAGCCTCCCAAAGTGTTGGGATTACAGGCGTGAGCAACCACGCCTGGCCTTCATATTCATTATTTCTTTTGATTTTTTTTTTTCGTCTCTACACAGACTTGATTCGTAGATGTCCAGGCCCTTTCACAGCTGCCTGTTGGTTAGACCCAGGAGTTGGCAAACTATGGGCTGGGTCAGATTCCGCCTACCACCTGTTTTCTATAAACAAAGTTTCACTGGCACGTGCTGTACTTTTTCATTCACCCATTGTTAATGGCTGTGTTTGTACTACAGTGGCAGCAGTGGAGTTGTGATAGAAACTGTCTGGCTCACATACCTCAAATATTTACTCCTTGGCTTTTTATAGAAAGTTGGCTGACCCCCAGGTGAGATGTGCTTTCTTCCTTGGGGCCTCGACCTGGCCCTAACCTCTCCATTCCCTGTGCGTTCTGAGGCCCATGTTTGTTTTCTCAGTATTTTTGCCATGTAGGACTTCTGTCTTCCGTCTTGAAAACTGAAGTTTCTATCTGGTGTCATTTTTCTTCAGGCAGAGGAACACTTTAGTTTTTTGTAATTCAGGTGTGTTACTGACAAACATGATCTTGGATTTTGTTGTCTGAAAATTGCTGCCTTCGTTCCTGAAGATTTTTTTTTTTCCCATGGATACTGAACTCTGGGTAACAGATTTGTTGTTTCAGCATTTGAAGGATATTGCTCCACTGTCTTTTGGCCTTCACTGTATCTGTTGATTGTATCTGATGATGACCTCCATTATATTCTGATCAGCACAATTTCAGATAGTTGTTCCCCGTCCGCTTCCTAGATTTTTGCCTTTATTTTAGGTTTTTGGCATTTTGACGGTGATTATCTCGGGTGTGGTTTTCTGACTTCTCGAACTTGAAAATTTATGTCTTTTACCAAATGTGGGGAATTTGCGGGCATTATTTCTTCAAATATTTTGCTGCTTTACTGTTTCTACTCTGCCTTGGGGCTCCAGTTACACCCATGTAGACCTTTTGCTGGAGGTCCTGGATTTGCTCGTTGCTTTCTGACCTGGTCTCTGCTCTGTTCTTCAGGTTGAATGGCGTCTGCTGTGTCCTAAGTGTTCACTGTCTGCCTCTCTACTCTCTTGTTCGTCCCCGTGCAACAAGTTTTTAGTTTGAGAATTTTTTTCAGTTCTAGAATTTGTTTCGCTTAAAAAAAGTGTTTAGTTCTCTGCTAAGATTTTATATTTGTTCATTCACTACAAGAATATTTTTCTTTATATCCTTTAGCAATAATTAGAATAACTGCTTTAAGGTCCCATCTGCTGATTCTTTATTGTGAGGATGGGTTACGTCTTCATGATTCTTTTTATTTCTAGTGACTTTGAATTGTGTCCTGTTTACTGTGGGTTGTAGACTCTTGATCATGTTAGGTTTCCCTGAAGAGTATTGATTTGCTTGTTTGACAGGCAGTTAACTTGGTCAGGCTCAAATTGCCAACTCTCCCTTTGGCAGATGCTCAAATCTCAGTCCACTTATTTTAGACTCAGCTGATCTGAAGTTGGCCTTGCAAGTTCTGTTCTGCCGTCAGCCAGAGATTTGGGCAGAATTTAGAGACAGAATTCAGGGTCACACTCACCGTGGGTTTCCCCCAGCTTCCCAGCAACTCTGGTAGAACCAAACCCTGTGGATTTTTGTTGGAGTTTTAGCTGTTCCACATAACAAAGTTGGCTGCCATTAGCTTAATAGTTGAGAAAGCAGGAGGTGCCCTGCCCGTTCTTTTTTCCAAATGTCCATCCTTCCCCAGAATATACCTGATGCTAACTAAAAAGTGATTCAGGCAGGTCTCAATCGATAGAGGTTTACGTAGCTGCAGTTGAGGACGTGCCAGGTAACAGGAGCATTTGTGCTTT
Source organism: Homo sapiens (assembly GCF_000001405.40). Lineage (NCBI taxonomy): Eukaryota > Metazoa > Chordata > Mammalia > Primates > Hominidae > Homo > Homo sapiens. Next base: position 111,249,398 of record NC_000013.11, read on the forward strand.
TTCCAAAGCTTTGAGAAGTTCAGTATTTAAAGGGGAAAGAACAAGCAGGAGGGGAAAAAAGGGAGGCTGGGGAGCAGTGAGGCAGATGCTTAAACATTGTTGTGAGCCTCCGATTGGCCTCAGTAAGCCTGCATTTTACACGGGAAAGGGGGAGTAGAGGAAAGTCAGTTGTGCGTTTTTCTCAGGGTTCTCTTTCACGGGAAGGGTGATTTCTGCTCTTGTCCTTGTCTGTACCTATGAAGATAAGCTGGTACTTGACATTGCCAGGGTGAGATACAATAGAACTCGGTTTTAGGGCTAGTTTTTAGTGGGGGACATATGTTCTGATAGATTTAGGGGCTCACAAGAAATCTCCTTGTGAGCACTTTGTGAGGAAGGCCATCTGGGGAGCTATGTGGCCTTCTGTAGTTGTGGGCACCTGGCGTATGGATGAGGCCATGACACAGGGTTGTGGAATGACAGCTCTCTGTTCGGCAACAAAAGGCAGACAGTGTTGCACAGTTCAGTTCCCAAGCTTCACTTTCCCACTGGCATAGTGAGTTTGGGTCCCAAGATTCTGTTATCTTTCATGCTACTTTTGAGTGCCTCTAGGCAGTTACTTTCTATATGTTTTTTAAAGTTTCGATGTTATTTGCAGGCGAGTCAGTTTGATAGGAGTAATTTGGCTATAGCCAGATTTATAGAACCCATTTCCTTTTAGTTTTTCAAATCACAGTTCTTCCTTTCATCAGCTGTAGAGGGCTCCTTGCAAGCATGCTTTGTCTAGGCTTTCAGTTCAAAACAATAGAAACTGCAATCTGCCTTCCATGCCCTTGTGCCATTTGCTGCATTAGTAGCGGCACACTGTCATTTGTGTTGTGAGGTTGTGATAGCTGGAATGTGCCCAGTTTGCCTAGAGCAGCTTTCTCAGGTATGCGTGCATTCGGCGCTTGTGCACACGCTGCCACCACGTGCGTGATGCTGGCTGGCTGCTGATAGAGCCTGTCCTGGTGGAGCTTATAGTCTGGTGAGGGAGACAGATAATTGAAAATTGTATAAATAGTTAGAAAGCTACAATTGCAGACCTTCTTACGAAAGAAATCATATCAGGCACCAAGAGCAAACTTCAGGGGAAGATCACTGAGCACTGAGGGGTAAATGGGAGGTAACCAGGCAAAAAACGAGAGGAGGTTTTTCCTCACACCAGCACTTCGTCAATTGTCTGACACTGAGTTTCCAGTGGTTCAGTTCTATTCGGACATTTGTCTCCCACGAGACTGCCACATTTCAAACCCAGCTGCAAATGGGGTGCCCAAGCTATATACTCCTACCTGACTGAGTACAGATTTGAGGGTTCCCATGACTCCCTTCAGGTTTGATAATTTGCTGGAATGACCCATGTATGTAACTCAGGAGAGTGCTTGACTTCCTGGTACCAGTTTATTATGAAGGATGCAACTCAGAATGAGATGGATAGAAGAAAGATGTAGGGTAAGGGATGGGAGCAGAGTTTCTAGGCCCTCTGGGTGCAGCACCTCCGTGCTTTCAGCAACCCAAAATCTCTCCAAGCCCTGTCCTTGGTGGTTTCTAATGTAGGCTCTGTTAGGTAGACATGCATGATTGACTAGATCACTGGACATTGCTGAGTGGCATGATCTCCAGCCCCTTGTCCTCCCTTTAGGTTGCTGGTTGGGGCTGAAAGTTCCTGTGATCATGGTGGTCTTTGTGACACCTAGCCCCCATCCTGTAAGCTGTCTAGGGGCCGACCCAGAGTTACCTCGTTAGCATAGACTCGGGTATGACGGAAAGGGGTTCATGATGGGTAACAAAAGACACTTCTGTCACTCAGAAAATTCCAGGGGCTTTGGGAGCCAGGGACAGTTTATCTGATATCACAGGAGAGAGAGCACCCTGAGGTGGGCATTGGCTGTGGCTGGAGCCTGTGAATGGAGAGGAGTGGAACAGTAGGAGCCCGGACGGGCAGGCGAGATCAGGTCCTGGAGACTTTGATTGGATCTTAGGTGACTGTCAAGAGTAGTTGGAAGCCGCTGATGGATTTGAAGCTTGGCAGTATCATAGTCGGCACTCTTCTGTAAAAGGAACCGTATGCTCTGTGATGAGTGGTCTGGGTGGGGCAGAGGGCAGGAGGACACAGAGACTCCAGAAAGGAGGATATTGAATTTTGTCGAGATTCTTTTCCGTGTTAAATAAATATCCGTTACCTTAAAAGCCACTGACTTATAATCATTCAGTGGTAATTTTGTGGAGGTGTTTATAAAAGTTACTTAGCAAGTCTGTTTTTGCTTAGGCATTGTAGTTAGTGCTTCTGGGATCCACGGCTGGTTGTAGGCAGCGTCTTCTCCCAGAACCACTCTGAACCAGGAAGTAGGTCACTACTTTCACATACACTCATGCCTGCATGCATTCATTCTCCCGGAACCACTCTGAACCAGGAAGTGTGGGTCACCACCTTCACATACACTCATGCATGCATGCATTCATTCTGTTTTTGTTTTTCCCCCAGAATGACCCTATGCCTAGAATTCTTTTGTAGCTTATATGACTTTTTCCAAGCATTCCTTTATCCCCAAAAGGGATCTCTTTGTCTGTGGTTGCCACTGTAGTTGATACTTCCAAAGTGGGAGGAGTGCCCTGGGGCCTTGTCCTCCTGGGGTCCTTGTGTGGTCCTGGAAGGTGCAGCGGGTGATTTGCTTAGCACTGGGGCAGAAGCCTAGATGGCATTCCATAGAAAGCACTAGTTAAGATGGCATAAAAGAGTTAGTCTCATTATAAAATATCCAGAAGCTGTAGAATAGGACAGAGTGAAAAACCACCAATAAACTTTTTACCCAGATGTAATTATTGTTGATACTGCCTTCCACTTCTCTAAGCTTTGGTGTATGGGAGAACACATGCATAATTAGGGCCAGGATTGAGGGCCTGCCTCTAGTTAAGATAAGATAGTGAGTGCTCTCTCAGGAGAGCCTGCCTGTTGCATTTGGGCAGTGAGGTAACCTGATTTGACCTCAGTATGGGGCAGGTGTGAATAGCACAGGCAGAGGCTTCTCCTTCCTAGATGTCCAGTACAGAAGACATTACATGTTTTGCTGCAAATTAAATGATTGCAGATGTGAAAAGAAGTTATCCCAGAAGAGAGCTGTAGAAGAATTCTAACCACTTTAATGTCATTAGGAGAGTTTTTCAAATACTTTAACGGCAGCTCATGTCTGTCTGATGGCTGCCTTACTATAAATATGTACAGTGAACTTCCATGTACAGACCTACTATTTATTGAATTCTTAGTGTGTTCCTGGTATTTTTTCAGTTATTAACTCATTTTATCCTTTAAAGGACCCCATGAGGCAGGTGTTTAAAGATAAGAAAGCTAGGACACCAAGAGGGTGAGGGATGTGCCCAAGGTTACACAACTGGTAACTGGGGCCTCAGATTTGGAGACAGGTTGTCTTCATTCGAGGTATGTATGTGAAAGGTTGATTCTGAGAGTCCCTGATTCATAGTTCCACCTCTTTCAGTTGGCAGTGCTTTTCGCAGGCCTGGCAGCTTCTCACCCCACCCTCTGCTGCCCTAAGGCAGCCCCAGCGAGAGCCCCCAGCCAGTTAGGTTCCTCTCCCAGGGCCAGGCCCAGCAGCAGCTGGAGCCCAGGCCCCCTTCTCCTGTTGGGGGCAGGGCCCCTGCCTCACTTTGGGACAAGAAAGCCTTAGTGGGGAGAAATAAGATAGTGAGTGCTCTCTCAGGATAGCATTTGAAATGCAGTTTTCCTTCAAACTATTGTTCTATGTGTCGGAGAATTCCCTGTACTACATGATTTACTGTAGACCCTGTTACAGTATGATTTAGAGAGTCTTTGGACTAGTCTGGGAATGTGGAACAGTGGTTTGTAAAAAATTGCCTCTATGGGAAAATGAATTCTTGGAATCTAATAGTATCTTTTAAACGAGTTTTTAAAATAAAACTGATAAGTTGGGAATTTGCTTCTAGTTTATGATAGAAAGGAGGTTAAATTCTGTTGAAAATAGAACCTCAGAAGCCCTCTTATGGAACATCCTTGTTGTACCAAATTTTATTCTTACTTATTTTGATGGTGACTCAGTGGTGTTGTAATACTTCCCCTAAAGAAATACTAAAATACCCAGTAACTCTCCGTCTCTTTGTTTAGATGCCAGCGCATGGGCTGGCAAACAGTGGAGATAGCAGGATTTGCCCTGTTCCCGTCTCAGATGTACAGCTCTTGAAATAGTGAGGGTGCCTGGATCACTGTACCCCAGAGTCTCCACCAAGCCTGGGACTACCACACTAAGCTTGTTGTGTGTAACTGTTGCTTGGGGCAGCTGCGACCATTTCACCATTCCTGCTTGAGTGTTCTGGGTGCTTTCCCCACCCCGGGTCCCCAGCCTCCCCCGATCCCTATACTTTGTGCTGCTTTGGCGATGTTCAGGGCCACCCGATGACCTCTCGCAACCCAGTTATCACAGTTCAAATGTCTCAGAGCATTTTGGCTCTGCTGCATGCCACCATGTGATACATGGGACGCCTTTTCCTCATGGAGTTTCACATAGGTTTCTGATGGTTCTGCCGTGTTCTCTGGCTACCTGGGAGATCACAGGATGCCACGCCTGTGGAGGACTGTGAGGGAAGCCTACCCTTCTTGTAGCTCAAGTTGAACCATTGTGGTGCTGGTTCATGGGTGCTATTAGTTTAGAGGGCAAGGTGGTGGTGAATTCCATCTCCAGTCCTTTACTCAGATTGTTCTAATATGTTGTACATTTTCTGTAAGATGATAGTGAAAACAGTACATCAAGAGAAAAATTTTCTTCTCTAGAGACTCATTCTCAGCATATTTGTTGTTTGAACTGTTTTTAAATAAATCGGTTAACTGCAATGTTTGTAATTTTCAGTTTCTATTCTGGTGACAGTTTTTTTAAAAATGTGATTTTGAGTCAAGTTGTTTGAGAGGATATGGGTGCCACTAACATGAAGGCCGGGCTCAGAAGAGGATTCGGGCTAAGGCGCTGAGTCACTAACATGAAGGCCGGGCTCAGAAGAGGATTCGGGCTAAGGCGCTGAGTCGCTAACATGAAGGCCGGCCTCAGAAGAGGATTCGGGCTAAGGCGCTGAGTCGCTAACATGAAGGCCGGGCTCAGAAGAGGATTCGGGCTAAGGCGCTGAGTCACTAACGTGAAGGCTGGCCTCAGAAGAGGATTCGGGCTAAGGCGCTGAGTCGCTAACGTGAAGGCCGGGCCCAGAAGAGGATTCGGGCTAAGGCGCTGAGTCGCTAACGTGAAGGCCGGGCCCAGAAGAGGATTCGGGCTAAGGCGCTGAGTCGCTAACGTGAAGGCCGGGCCCAGAAGAGGATTCGGGCTAAGGCGCTGAGTCGCTAACGTGAAGGCCGGGCCCAGAAGAGGATTCGGGCTAAGGCGCTGAGTCGCTAACGTGAAGGCCGGGCCCAGAAGAGGATTCGGGCTAAGGCGCTGAGTCGCTAACGTGAAGGCCGGGCCCAGAAGAGGATTCGGGCTAAGGCGCTGAGTCGCTAACGTGAAGGCCGGGCCCAGAAGAGGATTCGGGCTAAGGCGCTGAGTCGCTAACGTGAAGGCCGGGCCCAGAAGAGGATTCGGGCTAAGGCGCTGAGTCGCTAACGTGAAGGCCGGGCCCAGAAGAGGATTCGGGCTAAGGCGCTGAGTCGCTAACGTGAAGGCCGGGCCCAGAAGAGGATTCGGGCTAAGGCGCTGAGTCGCTAACGTGAAGGCCGGGCCCAGAAGAGGATTCGGGCTAAGGCGCTGAGTCGCTAACGTGAAGGCCGGGCTCAGAAGAGGATTCGGGCTAAGGCGCTGAGTTCCGTTTGGGGTTGCTGTGCATTTCAGTTGGAGATGTCACAGGGGAGGGTGGAAGCGGATACTGGGAGCTGCAGACTTCCCACCCGGCCTACTGCATGTGTGGGAAGAGGTGTGGCCCAGGTAAAGGTTAGGTTTGGATTGACAGCTCTCCTGGTCACCTGCCTCATGTTGCTTGCCCATGTCTGTCCCAGTGTCCTCATCTATAAAGCAGGGGTGCTGGTGTCACCCACCCAGAGTCTTGCGGAGGTAAAGTGGCCTGGTACTTACGGAACCATCTGCAAATGCTCGGGGCCCTACTTGGCGTCTGGAGCTGAGTTCTCCTGCAGCCTCTGTTCTGCCAGGGCCCTCCCTGTGCACCATTTATAACTTCAGTTGTGAAAATGTAACTTCGCACTGGCTTTGGAGGGCCCTGAGTGAGCTGGCTGGTGTTCGTGAAAGAAGATCTGTTTTCAGTCACATTGGTGAGGGACTTTTTTCCTCACCCTTCCCATTTCTGCAGCTTTGTCTTCACTTGATTTCACTTTCTGCCCTTAAACTCGGGGACATTTTATGACTGTCTTTAACTGGGGGATATTTTTCCTGTGGAAGGTGGGGTCATGGTGCTTTCTTTTCAGTGCTGCGTTTCTCTTGGCTCTGTCGTTTGGGGATGTCTGACAGGCAGTTGACTAGCCATGGAATCAGGTTGGAAGTAGAGAATGATTTAATGAACTTCATGAATGGTGTAATGAATTGGTATGATATTTCATTCGTTGTCTGGATCTTTTTAATGTCGATATTTTAATTATTTTTTTCCTAAAATAGCTGGAGGCAACTTATTTTTAACCGCCAGCTAGTTAAGCCATCATTGCCTGTATTTGGAATGGTAGAAAACAACCAAATGTGTCTTTAGTCTTATTCTTATCCTACACTAATCAGTTCCTTGATTAGTAGGCTGTAGCTATGGAGGAGGCGGTAGCTACGGCATAAACCAAAGAAGGCAGGAAGGTTTCACTTGGAAGGCGATGGAGAAATAGACCAAACGTTCAGGAAAGAAACATTTTGGATGATTAAGGAAGCTTTATAAATGGCATGTAGGGAGGCACAGTGATTGGAACTGCGGGCGCTTTGATGTTTTTAGCCACCATGCCTTCTTTCATAGAGGGTTACCTATGGCATGTTCTCCCTGCCCACACTCAGGTTCTGTCCTGAGCCTGCTCCGGTTCTCAGTTGATGCAGTATGGGCTCCACCATCCCTGGTCTTTCAGTGTCACAACCAGTTGTTAGCTCCTGCCTCTGAAGTCAGCCTTTCTGGATCAGATCTTTCTTGATTGTTCAGCTTGTCTTTTCGTGTTTGTGCCGATCTCTGTGGAGACCTTTAGTTGGCGTGCTTCAGGAATTCACTGGCATCTCCTCCTTCCTCCTCTTCCCTGCTCACTCGCTCTCTTCGTATTACCCACCTGTTGATTTCTTTTTAGAAACCTTTAGTGTATCTTTAACTCTTCCTTTTCCCCCACCTTGAATCATTTGCCGAGCTACCTCTTCTGTGCCTGACCTGTCCTGAACGCTGTAGTTCAGGTCTTGTGGGTTTTCATGGTGTCTGTGCGCTAACCTAACTGGGCCCTGACTTCTAGTTGGCTCCTGTTCTGTCCAGCTTCTCCACCAGCACTGGTCCTCCTGAAATGGTTCATCCCAGAAACTGGGGGTGACACCGCTTTATTCATTTATTCACCAGCTGGTCTTCAAGACGTTTGGACAGGACCTGTTAAAATTGTGGCAATTTTTGCTTCTTGAAAACAGCTAATTTAGATTGGTTCCAAAGTTGTAATAATCTACAGATGTCCCTCTACAGATTGGACCTCCTTTTTGGCCTCTGTCCTCAGGCCTTGGCTTATGAGCCTTTCTTGTTGCTGCCTGGTGGGGCTGAAAGTGGGATTTTCCCCCCACCCAGCTCTCCTTACTATTCCCTTTGTTTGGAATCACTTCTGCTTATCTTCTTACTAAAATCCTACTTAATCCTTCAGTCCCAGTGAACATACCAATTCTTAGTACAGCCTTCCCTTTGTCTCTTGTGTTTTGATTGAATGTATGTCTTGATTTTATTTTAATGGTAAATGCCTTTCAATGTATTACAGACATCAGTAGACTGAGTTCCCATTTGTTGACTTGTATATGATAGGACTTCAGTGTAGTGTATCAAAGAAAATATCCAATGTGTTTATAAGTATTTAATGTAATTGTTATAATAGTTAAATATCATGTAATGATTTTGTTCAAAAGTTAATTATAAAGCCTAAGATAATAGGGAGGAGGTGGAGCAAGATAGCCAAATAGAAACCTCCACTGATTGTCCTCCCCACAGGAACACCAAATTGAACAACTCTCCACACGAAGAAATACCTTCTTAAGAATCAGAATCAGGTGAGTGATCACGGTGCCTGGTTCTAACTTCATATCACTGAAGGAGAAACTGAAGAGGGTAGGAAAGACAGTCTTAAATTGCTGATACTACTGCTCCCTCAACTTCGGCAGCAGCCACGTAGCACAGAGAGAAAACCTGTGCACTTCGGAGAGGGGGAGGGCTCAGTAGTTGTGAGACTTTGTATTGGAACTCAGTGCTGCCCTGTCACAGTGGAAAGCAACATTGGGCACAGAGGTAGCATTTAGACCAGTCCTAGCCAGAAGGCTAGTCCCTGGTCCCAGCAGTTGGAACCTGAGTTCTGGCAGGCCCCGCCACTGTGGGCTAAAATGACCTGGGGTTCTAAATAAACTTGAAAGAGAGTCTAGGCCACAAGGACTGCACTTCCTGGCTAAGACCTAGTGTTGTGCTGGGGCTCTGAGCCAGTGGCCTTGGGGGGCCTGCAACCTAGTGAGACCTCAGCCGGGGCAGCCAAGGGAGGCCTTGCACCACCCTCCCACAGCCACAGGCAGTGCAGCCTGCAGCTCCAGGAGAGACTCCTCCCACAACCACAGGCAGTGCAGCCTGCAGCTCCAGGAGAGACTCCTCCCACAACCACAGGCAGTGCAGCCTGCAGCTCCAGGAGAGACTCCTCCCACAACCACAGGCAGTGCAGCCTGCAGCTCCAGTGAGACTCCTCCCACAACCACAGGCAGTGCAGCCTGCACCTCCAGGAGAGACTCCTTCCTTCTGCTAGAGAATAAGAGGAGAGGAAAGACGGCTTTGTCTTGCAGCTTGGATACCAGCTCAGCCACAGCAGGATAGAGCATCAGGCAGAACCCTGAGGCTCCCGGACGACATTTATAGACATACCTTGGACCAAAAGGGAACCCACTGCTTGGAAGGGAAGCACCCAGTTCCTGTCAGGATCCATCATCTGCTGACTAAAGAGTCCTTGGGCCCTGAGTAATCAGCAGTGGTACCCAGGCAGAACTCACCATGGGTCTTGCATGAGACTCAAAGACGAGCTGGCTTCAAATGTGACCCAGAGCACATTCCCAGCTGTGGTGGCTACAGGGAGGGACTCCTGCTTGAGAAAAGGAGAGGAGACTTTGTCTTGCAGCGTAGGTATCTGCCCAGCCACAGTGAGGTGGAACATCAAGTGGGCTCTTGGGAGTCCCCAGTTTCAGGCCTTGGCTGTTAGACATGATTTCGGGACCTGCTGTGGGCTAGAAGGCAGCCCACTGCTCTGAAAGGAGAGTCTCAGGCCTGGTGGCATTCACCACAAACTGACTGAAGAGTCCTTGGGCCTTGAAGGAACATTAGCAATAAACAGGCAGTACTTGCTGCAGGCCCGGTGGTGGCTACAGGGAGAGGTTTCCTGCTTATGGAAAAGGGGAGTGAAGAGTGGGAAGGACTTTTTCATGTGGCTTGGGTGCCACAAGAAATATTCAACTGCAGTAGAATAGTGCACCAGCTAGATTCCTAAGGTTTCAGCTTCCGGGCTCTGGCTCGCAGATGGCATCTCTAGACCTGCCCGGAGCCAAGGAGAACTCACCGTCCTGAAGGAAAGGACACGTGCCCATCTGGCTTTGCCACCTGCCGATTGTAGTGCCCCAGGGTCTTGAGCAAACATAGGCAGTAGTTAGGAAGTGGTTACCATGGGCCTTGGGTGCAGTCCAGTGCTTTGCTGGCTTCAGGTGTGAACCAGTGCAGTCCCAATGGTGGTGACTACAGGGGTATTGTGTCATCCTTCTCTAGCTCCAGCTACTCATCTCACACACACACACCCCTCTCTCTGTCTTTCTCTCTCTCTGTTTGGGAGAGAGTAAGGGAAGAGAGCAAAGAGTCTCTGCCTAGTAATTGAAAATTCTTCTGGATTTTGTTCAAGAACACCGTGGTGGTTCCTATGTGAATCAGCAAGAGTCACAGCATTACTGCGTGTGGGGTGCCCCAATTTAATGCAGATACAGCTGCAGTGAGACCAAAAACTTAAATTGCAACACCCAAGTCCCTTTGAATACTGGAAAGCCTTCCCAAGAAGGATGGGTACAAACAAGCCTAGGCTGTGAAGACTACAATAAACACCTAGCTCTTCAACGCCCAGTGCCCAGACACTGACAAACATCCACAAGCATGAAGTCCATCCAGGAAAACAGGAACTCGCCAAATAAAGCTACCAGTAAACAATTCTGGAGAGACAGATATGTGACCTTTCAGACAGAGAATTAAAAAGTAGCTATTTTGAGGAAACAATGAAATTCAAGATGACACAGAGAAGGAAATCAGAATCCTATCAGATAAATTTAAAGAGATTGAAATATGAAAGAATCAAGCAGAAATTCTGGAGTTGAAAAATGTAGTTGACGTACTGAAAAATGCATCAAAGTCTCTTAGCAGAATTGATCAAGCAGAGGAAAGAATTAGTGAGCTTGAAGACAGGCCATCTAAAAATACACAGAAGAGACTAAAGAAAGAATCAAAAACAATGAAGCATGCCTACAAGATGTAGAAAATAGCCCCAAAAGGGCAAATCCAGGAGTTATTGGCCTTAAGGAGGAAGTAAAGAGAGACATAGGGGTAGAAAGTTTATTCAAAGAGATAACAGATAGCTTCCCAAACAGAGAGAAAGGTATCAATATTCAAGTACAAGAAGGTTATATTAATAAAACACGAAGTAGATTTAACCCGTAGAAGACTACCTTATGGGATTTAATAAGCAAACTCCCATAGGTCAATGATGAAGAAAGGATCCTAAAAGCAGAGAGAGAAACAAATACCATACAAAGATGCTCCAGTACATCTGGCAGCAGACTTCTCAGTGGAAAGCTTCCAGGCCAGGAGACTGTGGGCCTGACATATTTAAATTGCTGAAAGCAAAAACCTTTTATCCTAGGATAGTATATCTAGCAAAAATATTCTTCAAACATGAAGGAGAAATAAAAACTTTCCCAAACAAAAGTTGAGGGATTTTATTAACACCAGCCCTGTTCTACAAGAAATGCTAAAGGGAGTTCTTCAATCTGAAAGAAAATAATGTTAGTGAGCAATAAGAAATCACCTGAAGGTACAAAACTCACTGGTAATAGTACTCAGAAGAATACAGAATAGTATAACACTATGTGTAAACTACTCATATCTTGAGTAGAAAGGTTAAAAGATGAACTGATAAAAAACTACAAGTTTTCAAGACAGTACAGTAAGATATAAGTAGAAACAACAAAAAGTTAAAAAGCACAAGGACAAAGTTAAAGTGTAGAGTTTTTAATTAATGTTCTGTTTCCTTGCTTGTTACATTGTTTACACAATCAATGTTGTCATTTAAAAATAATGGGTTTTATTATTTGGAAGTCCATGGTAACCTCAAATTAAGAAACATACAATAGATCCATAAAAAATAAAAAGCAAGAAATTAAAACATAAAACCAGAGAGAATCACCTTTACTAAAAGGAAGACAGGAAGGAAAAAAGGAAGAGAAGATTGCAAAACAAGAAAACAAATGACAAAATGGCAAGAGTAAGTCCATGGTTATGAATAATAACATTGAACTTAAATGAACTAAACTCTGCAATCAAGAGCCGTAGAGTGGCTGAATGGATTAAAAAAAACCAAAAAGACAAAAAACCCAATGATCTATAAAGACACCTATAGACTGGAAATAAAGGAATGGAAAAAGATACTCCATGCAAATAGGAACCAAAAAGAGCAGGAGTAGCTAGACTTATATCAAACAAAATAGATTTCAAGACAAAAGCTAGAGACAAAGAAAGTCATTATATAATGATAAAGGGGTCAATTCAGCAAGAGGATATAGCAGTTGTAAATATGCATCCAACATTGGAGCACCCAGATAATATAAAGCAAGTATTATTAGAACTAAAGATAAACCCCAATACAATAATAGCTAGAGATGTCAACACACCACTTTCAGCACTGGACAGATCTTTGATACAGAAAAGCAACAAAGACACTTGACTTTATCTGTACTTTAGAACAAATCAATCTAAAGATACTTACAGAACATTTCCTCTAGTGGCTTCAGAATGCACATTCTTTTCTTAGCACATGGATCATTCTTAAGGATCATCTATATTAAGCACAAAACAAGTCTTAAAATTTTTTTAAAAATGAGATTCATCTCTTAAAAAAATATAATTTTATCAAGATTCTTCTGACCACAATGGAATAAAACTAGAAATCAATAATGAGGAATTTTGGAAACTATGCAGACACATGGAAATTAAACAGTGTGCTCCTGAATGACCAGTGGGTCAATGAAGAAATTAAGAAAATTTAAAAATTTCTTGAAACAAGTGATCGTGGAAACACAGCATACCAAAACCTATGGGGTACAGCAAAAGCTGTATTAAGAGGAAGTTTGTAGCTGTAAGCAACTACATCAAAAAGTAGAAAAACTTCAAATAAACAACCTTAATGATGCATCTTAACAAGAAAAGCAGGAGCAAACCAAACCCAAAATTGTAGAAGGAAAATAATAAAGATTACAGTGGAAGTAAATGAATTTGAAATATTACAAAAGATCGATGAAACCAAAAGTGGCTTTTTTGAAAAAATAAAATTGACAAACCTTTAGTCAGACTAAGAAAAAAGAGAAGACCCAAATAAATAATTTTTCTTTTTTGTTTCTGATTTTAAAACTGATACTGCAGAAATTCAGACTCACTAGAGGCTACTGTGAACAACTGTATGCCAGTAAATTGGAGAACTTAGAAGCTTTGGTAGTCAACAAGAGAGACCTGCCAGAGGTCATGTGGTTACAGGGGCCCCGTGTCCCTGTGTGTGTGTGTGCATGTGTGTGTGTGTGTCTATCTCCACCCTGAGTGGGAGCAGGAGGCTACTTGTGAAGTCTCATCTCTGAAGGCCATCTGTTGATCACGACAGGCTGCTGGGTTCCTTGCGGCTGGAGATGTGTATGGAGGTTCCCCCAGCACATTGCTCTGTCTTCATGGGCATCTCAGTTTCCATCTGAAATCACTTGTTGATGAACTGAGAACCATTCCTCTGTCTAGTTAGCAGTATCACTAGGAGTAAACATGTTACGGGGGAAACTGCTTAGCATTTGATTTCTCAAGTGTTTTTTCTGAGACCCAGTAATCTTCTGGGTAAGGAAAAAAAACCCTTGGGTACCCCCTTTCACCTTGTGCTGTTGCTGTTACTGTGAAGATGTAGATGGTATGTGTGACTCTAGCTGTCATCAGATCATTCATGGACACAATGCAACATCACACCTGTTAGATTATGGCTTTGGTTCTGCCAGGAGGCCTGGTGGGAGCAGCTGGCATGATGCGTGCTGCCTCTCATGACTCATGTGCACCATCCTGCTGCCCAAGGCCTTGATGTAGCCCCTGTGGGGTGCCCTGTCTGCATGTTATCACACTCTGAAGAGCAGCCTATGGAGCACAAGAGAGAACCGAGGGGAACATCCCCTCCTTTAATTCTGAACTCATATTCTGTAATGGTGATTTCTGTGAGTCTGGCTGGTTGTCGTGTGAATTCAGGTGTCTAGGCAGCGTTATGTGTGGAATATGTTGGCACGTTATGCTCGAGTCCTAGGGCTCAGCTGACCTTTATGAGCTTTATCTGCTACTGAATTAATGAACAAGGGCTTTATCAGCCATGAAACTTTGGTGATGGCAGTGACAGAAAATTCTTGGGAGAATTGGTCTGGGACTGAAAGAGGTAATAAAAATCTAGAGCCTAGGCTCAGTGCGGTGAATTAAATAGGAAAAACCACTCGTACCGTGAATTGTTCGTTTATAAGCTATGCTGAAATATGACTTAATTTTCATTAATTGATGAAATATCAGAAATGAAAATCAGTTTATCCAGATTTCCTTTTCTGAATGGATCGGGGCTGTGGCACTGGACCAGGTAGGAGATGAAATCTTAGCATAGCCCATGGCCCAGCACTGAGCAGTATTTCTGCAATCCTAAGAATTTAACCCATTGTGGGTAGCACATATCCAATAACTTTCCTGTGCCACATCTCTGGCAGTGTTTTCTGTGCGTATACCTTTGGCATTCCATCATTACCCAGTGCTCTTCAGTCCTCCTAGTGAGGCATGCAGGGTCCTGTCATTCTAGAAGCCCGCCTCTTCCTGATATTTCACTGTGTCTCTGAGGATGAACATCACCTGCTCAGATGTCAGAAGATTCTCAAAACCTGTGTGTCTTAAAGGGCGTGTTCTTCCTCCTCTGTAGGCTGGCAGCAGTTTGTAGCTCCTGTCACTGAGACTACATAATTGTCTTCAGTTTACTTCTGTACAAAATGATAGAACTCACTTTAAGGTAGAGACTGTTTCTTACCCTGTTTTTAATCTGTTCCCAGTGCCTTGTAATGGTGCTGCATACATATAGTAGTTGAAATTAATTTGAGTCAGTGACTACCCTGCAAATGGACAGAACTGTGGCTAATCCCGGTAGGTTGTGGAAACCCCGCTTAGCTGTTCACAGTTGGAAATGGGTCTGCAGCAGTGCAGATGCTAGCTTACTTTGCCTTCTGTTGTGTTTTAATAAACTAAACAGTAAAGCACCATAATAACTGCATGACACATTCAGGATTTGGAAACATGGCTTGGATGAATTAGACCAGTGTTGTTGAGAGCTTGCATTGATGGAAACATGCTGTATCTGCTAGACAAATTTCAGTAGCCTCTAGCCACGTGGGGCTGTGAAGCTCTGGAAATGAGATTAACGCAACTGAAGAACTGAATTTTTAATTTTTTTAAAAAATTTAGTTAACCTTACTTGAAATAGCTGCAGGTGGCTAGTGGCTGTTGGATTTGAGGGTAAAGAAGCATGGTAGAGAAGGCAGGTGGGACAGCCTCCCATCTGCGCAGAGATCTATATGTCACCGCCACCGACAGGAAGACTTGTGCATCCTAACCCTTAGCCTCCTTGTGCTGTGGGCAAGGTCCCTGCTGTTGCAGACCCCACTAAATTCCCAGTCCGTGCAGGTAACTGTTGTGCTTCTGTGAGCCCCCGCCAGTACTCTGGGTGGGGACATGTCTTGCTCAGACAGAGATCAAAGGAGAGCTAAGAGAGGGAGAGAGATGGACAGTTAAATATTGAAGGAGGGCGTTGGCCTTTTTTTACACAGCACAGGGAAGAGACTAGTATGTGGAGGGAGCACTTACATTTGGTAGATGTTCTTACACAGATCAGCCACCTGAACGTGTGTGGGATATTTTTATTACCTATATTTTACATTTCTATTGTCTGTATTATTTACCGTAACTACATTTGACATCTACATATTGCTATGTTTTAGAAGCAGAGGTTTATTTTCACCTCTTTCCTGAAGGCCATGTTTTATAAAACTGACATGTTATCTAGTCTAGAAGGGAAGGCCCAGCTGGGCATGGTGGTGCATGCCTGTAATCCCAGCTACTCGGGAGGCTGAGACACGAGAATCGCTTGAACCGGGAAGGCGGAGGTTGCAGTGAGCTGAGATGGTGCCATTACACTCCAGCCTGGGTAACAAGAGAGAAACTCCATCTCAAAAAAAAAAAAAAAAAAAAAAAGAAGACCCATTGTGCTGGGAATGCTTGAGTCTGAGGAGAGAAAACGGTGGGTGGTGGGATTTGGCACCTCTGTCACAGCGTTACTTCCTGTGCTTTTCTGTCTCCACAGCTATTATAGGACGTACTGATAACAGCTCAGTAAATTTTCTTAAATTGATGAGAACAGGAACAGTCTTTTTGAGCCTCGGTTAACAGTTACTAAGAAATGAATAAAAAATGGTTGAAAAACAGGGAGAAGACCAAGTTAGCATAAATTTTGAGTGCTCTGTGTTTTGAACATGAGGTTTTTCCTAATACTTGTGACTTGCTGATTCTCCTGACTATGACTTTCTCCAGCCAGTACTTAGCCGCGGAGCGGAAAGCAGTGCTCATGAAGGTGGAGGCACACCCAGAGACTGCATGGAGGTGGAACCGGGAAGTCCGGGGTCTGAGGTCCTGCCTGCAGGGTTGAAAGGCATGCCTGCCAGCAGACACATTTGGGAGCCAGAGTGTGCTGTGGTCTGAATGTGTTTCCCCAGATCATCTGTTACTACAGATGATCACCAATTGGATGGTATTAAAAGGTGGGCCTTGGAGGTGGGTAGGTTGTGAGGATGCAGCCCTCATGAATAGGATCAGCAGCCTTGTAACAGCTGTGAGGGAGCTGTTTTGCCCCTTCCCCGCTGTGAGGATGCAATAGGGGACCACCTGCGGGTGCCTTGATCTTAGGCTTCCAACCTCCAGAGCTGTGGGCAGTGCATTTCTGTTGTTGGAAAATTACCCAGTCCGCGGTGTTCTGTTCCCAGCAGGGGCGGACTGAGGCCGTGTGCTTATCGGTGGGGACAGCAGAGCAGAAGCAGTGTCCCCATGAGTTGTAGGCCTGGACCTTAGACCCAGGCTCCAGCCACCTTTGTGTTGGATGCTGACGTCTTTCATTTTTTTTTGCATTCCTCTGTCATTTTGGTCACGTACCTGCTCTGGGAACTTCCCGAGGAGCAAGTGCATGCCAGGCAGTTAATCCATGTGAATGCTCACGGTTGACTCAGATGGAGACAGTTAGAGGAAGCGATTTCCACCCCCGTTTCAAGGGGTGCTTCAGTGTTTCTGGGCTCTGGTGCTGAGGAGCCCCATGCTGTTCCTCATTCTCGGTGTGAACAGGTGTTTCTCACTCAGAGCTCTTCGCATCCTTGTTTCTGGGCTTCTGAATGACTCTGCTGTTGTCTGGGGCCTCGGTCTTCTTTTGGCCTGTGTCGACGCTCGTGGACACCTTCGCTCTTGTGCCTTGCACTCTTTCTGTTTAGTCGTGTGATGATTTCTTTGATTGACTTCTGCTTATATTTTTGGTTTTCTGTATCATGAACTTTTATTCTGATGTGGAATGACTATCATATTTCCTTTTTCTCCTTTGCTCCTTCATTCCCCTTTTTTTAGGCAAATGTATTTGTCCTTTCATGCCTTCTTATAATTAAGGTTGGCACACTAAAAGCACTTTGGAAGTGCTGTCCGAGAGTTGGGACTGGTTGACTCTTGTTTTCTGTAGGAATCCCTGGTGTTCATGTTTTTGGTCACTTTTTCTCTGGCTCCCATTCCCTAGGTAGGAGGATGTAATCCTTCTGGTAATATTGTGGGTATCTGGGGAGCAAAGACACCCTGGGGTGCAGGGAAGGTGGTAAGAGTTCACGTGGTTCTCCTGTTTTCAGCACACGTGCCCCTGCTCCGGGTTGTTGCTGTTGTCCTTCAGAAACTCTGAGGTCTGGAGAGGTGAGCGTGTACCCCGTTAGGCACACCCAACACTGAGGCGGCACCACCAGGGGCCCTGATGCCCACAGCTTGTGCCGACTTGTCACCCCTCATGCAGCTTCCAGTGCTGGTTCTGGTAGTCTCTTCCTCATTCTTTTTGTTCTCATGAGTTTATGCTTCTTGGAAAAGCCTGTTAACTGTCAGGATGCTGTGGATCTGGGGAGGAGAGGCACCTGATAGGTGGGCTTGCTTTCTAGTCTCTAACCTGAAGGGAAAGGCGGTTTTTGTATTTTTTGTTAGTCTTGATGTTGCTGCTTTGGTAGAAAACCTCACAGACTGAATAACCACATTCAATAATTCTCCTTATTTTATGCAAAGCTGAAGGCTCTGTGACATCTGTTTTTCTCACTGCCCAAAGAACTTGGGCCTGAGGGTTGGTTGGGATGCTGTGCAGTCTGAATGCTGCTGGAGAGGACCTGGCAGCACAGCTGCTTTCTGGGCGCCCCTTCTCCTTGCTAGACTCAAGGCAGCAACACATGTGTGCTGGGATCGGGGCCTCTGGTTTTCACAGATGGGTGCAGAGGGAGGTTTTCCTTACTCAGAGTATTATATGTCTGTCAGTTAGCAGTTGTCCTGTCTGTAAAACTGATGACTATTTCCCTTTGTGTCGCATTTCTCCAGGTTGCCCGAAGCTCAGCAGAGAGTCGGAGGCTGCTTTTTAAACCTGATGCCACAGATGAAAACCCTGTACCTCACGTATTGTGCCAATCACCCTTCTGCAGTGAATGTCCTCACGGAACACAGGTGCGCTTGCTAGGCACCTTGGCAACAGGGAGGGTGGATGGCTCTGTGTCCTTCAAATAGTGCATGAAATAGTATGATGCTAATAGTCCCTTGGTTATTAAAGGGTATGAATTTTAATTACCCCTCAAAATTAGTGCTTGAGAAGTACTGGTAAGAAGTCTTTAAAATGATGGTGAGTATTTTTGTAAAAAGACAAATCTTTTCAATGTTTTCCCTACAGCCTGAAGCCCTTTGGCTAATAGGTTGAAGGGGTTAGTAAGTGTTCTGGGGTGTAGCCACAAGCTTAGTCAAGGGTCCTGGAATCATATTTCAGTTCTTAAAACTGGAAGTACATGAGTCCGAGTTACATCAGCTGTAACAGAAAGTATCTCATTTCAGATTAATACAGGTTTTATACACAAAACATTACATTGGAGACCCTTAGCTTTTCATCCTGAAACTAAAAACAAGTGCAACAGAGAATGCACAGACGTTTTGCTTATTTTATGAAGCAAGACAGTGTCTGCTTCCTGCGAATTGGAGGAAGATGTTTCTCAGCTGTTTCAGTTACTGAGGAGGATCTCAGTCATTAGTGAGTGTTAAGAATTGATTTGTTTGAGGATTGGCTTGGAGGAGACCACACCGGGGCTTAGAGAGCTCAGAGGCTCACTTTCTGCTTCTAAAAAGATTTATATTAATGTTTTACAAAAAATTAATACAAAGATTTGTATTAATATTTTACAAAAAATTTCATAATTTCTTTTGAAAACAGAAATTCACACATTTTCAAAACCATAAATGGAAAAGTATTGTTTTAGTAGCATAAAGATAAATGCCATTGTCTTTCTAACTTAAGTATTTAACTTCAGCTTAACCGAACATTTCCACTGAAAGCCTCGTCAGTGAACAGGTGTTGGTTGCCTCTTCAGAAGCACATTTGGGGCTCAGGTGTGGCGCTGCGTGGGTGTCCTAGGACAGCTCAGACATGGCAGCAGGGTGGACTCGGCTCTGGCTGTGGCTGCTCCCTTCAGGCTCTGCAGCCTTGGGCAGATTTCCTCCTGTCTCTGGGTTTCAGCTTCCTTTCCTGAAGGAACTCATTCACAGGGGTGTTACAAGCATTCAAGCTAAAACTGTCAGCAGGTCAGGTCAGGGTGAACGCACCAAATGCTCAGTGAATATTCTGTTGTCTTCTATTGTTTCTTCATTTTTTAATTTTTTTATTTTTTAAAAAAGACCCTGGATAGTTACTGTTTCCTGGGTGTGCTCAAATATAAAAGGATTAAGATTTTTTGAACTTCCTATTTGTTACTAAAGCATCTGCAGCCCTGAAAGGAAACAGCAGCCTTGAACAATGTAGTGAAAGGAAAGGAAGTTAGAACTCACAGCAGTGGCAGAAAAGGAAAACCCAAAGAACCCTCCCTCTGCACGTCCCGCTTGGGAGCGTGGGCCATGTCCGCAGCATCTCCAAGCGTCCAGCATGTTTCCAGTTATGTGCTATGCCCCTACCCCTGGGCTGTGTCCACAGCGTCTCCAAGCGTCCAGCATGTTTCTAGTTATGCGCTATGCCCCTACCCCTGGGAATTTATACATTGAATGAGATTTCCAGAAAGCGCAATGCAAGTGTTAAATTTGTATCTCTGGAAATTCTTCAAGAATTGTTGATGGAGTCATGAGGAAGATGAACAGAAAGTTCATCTTTCTGAGGACCTGTCCTAAAGATGACATTGAAAGTCACTAGGACTGTTAGTTTCCTAAAATGCGAAGCCATTCAAGAGCAGTGCTTGCGGGCGTGTGCTGTGTTGATCCTCTTCTCTGTTATTACCTTAATGAGTGTGTTTGTCAGGTCTTAATGTACGTGTAGCATTTTCCTGAAGTAACTAGAAGAAAGAATACAGGTGGGTTTTTGAGTCAGGAGGGTCTTTGTGCCTCCTTCCCAGGGCTGCCCAGAGAGTGGAGGGGCAGGCTGAGGCCCGCTCGGGACAGCAGCCCCGGGGCAAGTCACCATTGCTTTAGTGCTGGGAGTCAGAGCTGCGGCGAGAGGAAGGTCCCCCGAGCCAGCAGGTGCCGCCACTGTGGAACATGAAGCTTGTGTGCCCTCCCGAGGTCCCTGCACCACGAGAGTTCCCGCTGTGTTGGCCACAGATTCCTCCCCACCCCAAAGACACAGCAGTGAATTGGGGTCAGGCTTCCCTGTGCCAAGGCTCCTTCCTACCTCCTGCCTTTGTACTTGGATTCTTTCTTGGTCCTCTTGCCAGCTTTTCCATGTGTGTGACGGTCTTTAAGCTGCCACACCTGGGGTAGACTAATCTGCTCATGCTGTGGAGTAATTTTTAAGGATTGGTTCAAGTGCAGTGGGTTGAAGTTTAAAGTCTTATTTGCATCCTCACTGTCCTTGTGTTACTTGGGTTTAAGTTCTAAGTGTGAGCCCTGCGAGCGCAGAATGCCAACTCTGACCGTTTTAGCAGCTCAGACCTTCTGCAGCGTCCAGTGATGGCAGCAACACTTGTCCATGGCCAGCTATTTTGAATGAACTATGGGTGTCATAATTTAGCCTTTGAAAATGATTTTTTTCCCAGCAGTTTGTTCCTCTGCACTTGGCTCCATGCTTGCATGTGTTTTGTGGCTGCCGTCAGCCCACAGCACTGTGTCGGTAAGGACTGAGGAGACCCACTGTGTACGGGCTGCTGGCATCAGCAGAACTGAAGCTGAAAGAGCAGTCTTTGGTCAGAGTAGCTGTAACTAGCTGTTTTGTTTTATTATGGCACTACTTTTTTTTTTTTTAACTTCAAACTGAAACTAAAACGATGATCCACAAACATTTATAAAATTTCATTTCCTTTTTAACTGTATTTGTTCTGGCATTGTAAGAGTGTCTTGTGGATATTAGAAGGAGTTTTGCTTGCACATGTTTCACTTTTTTGGCTTCTGGGCTTTTTTTGAGGGAGTGGTGATGAGGGTAACTGTTTAGTTTTGTTAGTTTTTCTCTGCTGTACCGTAGTTAGGAAATTTCACAGGTAACCCTGAAATATAAATAATGACCTGAATGGATTTTTCCTTGATTCTTATTTTGGTGGAAAAGGTACTTATGTGGATTACATTTAAAGGAGTTGAAATATATTTTTAGTATCATAAAGTTTGATTTTCATGGGACTGCCTGATAAATTCTCCAACACCTAGAGAATTGTTGGTAAAATATAAATTGCTCCTGTCTGAAGCCCTCATGTCACTCTATTCATGCTTTAGGAATGGATAGAGTGAGTAATGGGAAGAGGAGCACTTCTGAGTAAGAACTGGGCGGAGGGGAGGGATGTGTGTGTGCGGAACAGGCTGCCCGTGGTCAGAGGGGCCGGCCATGCCATCCACATAGCAGGGGTCCGCCTGGGGTGCAGAGCGTCAGCTGTTCTGCCGGCAGTGATGGTGTGGGCAGTGGCCTTCATGCAGGCCGTCGTCTGTATCACTTGCAAAATTGTAGGTCTGCCCCACCCAGTGATGTTTGGAGCATTGATGTCTGTGAGTGCCTGCCCTGGTGCCTAGCATGGTGAGCAGTCCTGTGGCTCCTCCTCTGTCCTTGTGGTCCTGCTGTCCACAGAGTGCTCACAGTTGCCCCAGCTGAGAAGGGGCGGGGGACAGTGGCTGTAGTGGCTGCAGCAGATGGGAGTCTGTCCTGGACCCTCCTCAGTTCCCCACCCATCTTCCCGGGGAAGGTGGATGCTGAGGAAAGAAGGCAGAGGACGTGTGCGTGTTTAGAAATGATAGGAACACATGCGGTGTGCTCATGGGCTCATGTCAATGCAGCCTGTACGGTGAGCAGGACACCTTGCTGTGCAGGTGTTACCCACAGCAGGCCCCTGAAGATGGCACTGTGCTTTATTTCAGTAATCTCCAGCCTGGGATTGTCTCAAGGAAATGATTTTTGGAAAGCACAAAGTTACAGACAAAAGATGTTGAGTTGTCTGTTGCCCACAAAAGTGCACTTGCTCTCGTGCGTGCGTGCTCTCTCTCACAAAGACAGACACCACGTACACACACTCGGAAGTACTCTTGACAGTCTCTGTGCTACTAATTTTTAAAACAGCATCAACACGATGGGCAGCCTTACAGAAATAATTATGAAGCCTTATATATGGAGTTGATAAAATGTTTCTTGTCTTAATTTTTTTACAAGTGGATATATGCAACATTACCCTTTTTTATAATTTGCTTTAGTATTGATAATATCTGTTAAGTGTGTATATGTATGTGTTTATTGGAAGTATTTCTTGTTGGCAAGGGCAGACAGAGGTGCCGCACCCACATCGTTACTGTTTTTACACAGCATAGGACTGCACCCTGGCCTTGGTTAATGAGACCACCCTGGTTTTGTAGAAAGCGTTGAGATGTAAGTGGCCTTCTCAGAAGGTCTTACGTGCTTAGGAAGTGGAAGGCTGGTTTCCTAATGACTGTTTGGTTTTCAGCATGGTGTTTGAATCGGTTTCATTGGAGGACATTCTCCCTGGCTGCCCTGGCAGGGGATCCACATGGAATAAGGAGGGTGAGAAGCGGGAAGGGCTGGCACCACCCTGGCTCTCAGTCCTCCTTATGGGAAGCTGTGTTTAGGTTGAACTCTCTGAAACTGTTAATGTTCACTATTTGTGGACTCAGTTTCCTCTGGGTTAGCCAAAACACTGTCTGTCTTTTCCCCGGGAGCCCTTGATGGTTCTGGTGTCCCCGAGACCTCTGGCAGTAGCCAGCTTGGCTGGGGTGGTGCGGTGGGAGGCTCCTGTGAGACCAGAACCGGAAATTGGCTTGTTTCTCAGTTTTGCTGTTAGGATTTTCATGTTTATTTTAGGACATCGTTTACATAATGAGGATATAAAAGTATCTTTTCCTTTTAAGGGAAAACCTCTAGACTAGGAAAATTTGTTCCTAGGATTTGTGCCATGGGTATCATTTGAACCAAGCTCTGCTGACTAGAGACCCCTATCTTCTAGGATGGGGCGTGGTGATGGGGCGGGGGTCACCTGGGTCTCCTGGATGGGATGTGGTGACTGAGAAGTCATCCTGGTCTGGACCTGGCATCGGCTGCCAGCGCTGGTGCTGCCTCCCCTCCTTTCTGTGGGCTGTACACTGTCAGATGTGTGGACTGATGGCACATGCAATTTGAGGGACAGCAGACCCAGGGCCTGACAGAGACCTCAGAGATCGCCAGTGAAGGGGTGTTGCGGTCAGGTGACTGTCAGCCTTAACAAACGTGTGGGTGAAGAGCTGGACCCCCCACAGAAGCCTGCCCGTGTCCTCTGCCACAGCCATGGGAACTCTGAGGACAAAGATGACACACATGAGGACCCACTGTAGGGAAAGATAGGCGAGGCACTGTGAAGGGGATGGTTGAAGAGGAATACAGAAAGTTCTAAAACTTGTTTCTGACTCTTTAATTTTGGGATATGCACTGTTTCTATGTCCATACACAGGGACACCTTCCTTCCTTACGTGTTGTGAGGATTGAATGTAACAATGCTTTTGAAGTTCTAAAGCGTAAATCAACATTCGCTGTCTGCACACAGGGACCCCTTTCTTCCTCACGTATTGTGAGGATTAAACTTAAAGCTTTTGAAGTTCTGAAGCCTAAATCAGCGTTTGCTCTCTTCTCTTGCTGCTTCTCGTGCTCCTCACCCCAAGAGCCATTGCCTACTCCCAGGCTGAGTGCTGGCAGCACATAGGTGGGGCCTGCTCGCTGGACGAACTCGCATCTGGGGATGACTACCATCAGTGTGCTCTAGCTCTTTACCGGAGCAGCTCGGTCCTTGTTCTACCACCTTGAGACTCTGAGATTATTGGAATCCATTCTGGCTCTGAGTGTGCATGTTTCCATTGGATATGTCTGCATGGCACTGATGTGCTGGAGGACCTCGCCATCAGTAGGATCTCATGGAGACCCACATGTCCTGTGCTGTGTATAGTTATTGTTGCTCATATGAGAGCAGGAACGGGACCCCTTAGGGATGGGAGTCCCCTTTGGCATTTCCAGATAAGCAGCGCAGATTTGGGATAAAAGCTGGAGCCTTCCAGATGTTAAAAGCAACACTTATGTTTCATAAATTCTGGCTGTTGCTCATGGAGATGAGAGAGCCACCATTGTCTCTCATTGCTAACCACGAGTGTCTCTCTTGCCACTTGCTGCCCAGTGAGGAGTTGGGGGAGTTCATGGAGACCAAAGGTGCCAGCAGCCCTGGGATTCTCGTGCTGACCACGGGCCTGAGCAAACCCTTCATGCGCCTGGATAAATACCCTACGCTGCTCAAAGAGCTCGAGAGACACATGGAGGTACTGCGCTTTCATTCTCTTACTTGGAGTCCTTACCAAGGGTTAGTGGCATGGTCAGACTTACTGTGAAAGAAAGTATTATTCATGATTTATTTTAGAAGCCAGAACCAACAGAGTTTACAAAGAGTTTTGTTAAATATTATGTTTTTCTCCTTATTCCAGCTCTATTAGAAAACATTTACCCCTTATCTCTCTTTTACCCACTGCTGCTGATTGAAAAGTTTCCAAAAGCTGAAACATGAGAACTGATTTTCAGATAGTGTTGAGATGTCTTACCTGGATCATCCAGCTACAAACAATGTGTGCATAGGTTATAGGGTAATACTGTACTAATCATTTGATGAATGATTGTGCTCTTTTAATTTTGAATAACAGGTTGCAGCCTAGCAGAAATTTGGGTTGAAGTTACTCTCTTGGCTTGAGTTGGCAAACCTTTTCTATAAGGGGGCAGACTGTAGGGTCTTCTTCACGGCTACACAGCTCTGCCATTTTAGATACTGTATGTGAGCCGTGGCAGTGTTCCAATAAGACTTTATTGATGAAGCAAGTGTTGGCTTCCCCACCCCTGCTGCTTGTGACTGTTCTCTTCCAACTTATATTTCCCCAAAGTCTAATGGCTTCGTGATTTGCTGAAAGACTGACACTTTAATGCTGAGGGAAAAAGGGAATGTTAAGGGTTGAAAAGTGTTAGAAAAGTTTCAAGCTGGTCTGTAGAAAGTACCTTTTTAAGAAAAGCTTTTCCTTATGAAAGCTAATTGTATGTTTCTTTTACTCAAAGGATTATCATACAGATAGACAAGATATTCAAAAATCCATGGCTGCCTTCAAAAACCTTTCAGTAAGTGATTAAGCATATTGTTTTCCCCCCCAGACATTATTGTGACAAATGAATGTAAAAGAATTATCAACTGAAAAAGTCAAATGATTAAAAAATGACTTGTGCTGACATGAAAGAAAAACAGAGTCGGCATTCTGTGGCTGGTAAACTCCTTTTAGTGGACTATGATAGAATAATTATTTAAATTTTTTAAAGTCACTGTGTAATTGATGTTAGATCTACTTTAAAATTGTTTAAAACATTTTTTTACCCTTCATTCATGTTGTCTTTAATGATTTATTGCAAAACAGAACAATGGTGGTTCCATTTTCTCTGCTGTTGTGTTGTCTTACCAACTGCGTTTTGGAAATATATGGCCTTATTTTATAGCACAAGTTATACTTTCTGTTTCTTCTTTTCAGTCTTCCATATTGGCAAACACGAACAAAACCAGAATGAAAATACAGTTCTTGTCCTGTCCACATTTCTTTTTTGTACAAGTGGCAAAATGTGCTCTATCTTTCTAAAATAATACTTAGTATTCCAGAGCAGTTGTGTGTGTTGCTTCTCTTAACTTGGTTTCATACTTCTAAGCAAATACTTTCAATTCCCTATAATTAAGCAAATCGCTCAATAAATTATCTGTCTGAAGAAGTAAGATATAAAGCAATAATTGTCTTAAGGATGATACAAAGCAATGTGGCCGGAACTTAACATTCTGAAAGTTTATGTCTGTTAACAGTGTTGTTCTGTGTCTGTCAGGCCCAATGTCAAGAAGTCCGGAAGAGGAAAGAGCTTGAGCTGCAGATCCTGACGGAAGCCATCCGGAACTGGGAGGGCGATGACATTAAAACTCTGGGCAACGTCACTTACATGTCCCAGGTCCTGATTCAGTGTGCCGGAAGTGAGGTACTGCTGCCCACATGCACGCACCAGGGTTTCTGTCCCACTCTTAGGAGCTCATAGCAGAAGATTTTAAAGGCATCTCAAGCGATGAAAAATGTCTAATAGAAGCTCTATCTTATAATTTGTGAGCTACTTTTTATTCTTGACACAGGAGAGAGGCTTATGGCATGTTAGAGAGGCTTAGAGCTGAGTGTGGACTTGTTGATCAGTTTGATCCAGCTGAAGTCAGTGTGGCCCGAAGCCCACGTGAACTGAAGGATAGATAGTGTGCAGAAAGACTTGCAGGAGTCCTGTGCACACATCCGCATGGAGCTGTATGCGCTTATCTGGCCAGCAACTTTGTACCAAGGCTCACTCTCACAGGGACCTGCTGCTCTCAATGCTTTCGGGTCATTATACTTTCCTGTGAAAGTATGCTAGCTGACATATGCTTACAGGAGTCACAGTTTTCTTACAGGTTTGGTTTAAGTGAGAGATCAACCCAGATTTTTGGGACATACCCACCCACACAGTGAAAATCGAGCAGTTTGTTTCATGATTCACATTGACATACATTCAATGGGTCACTGAACAGGCACCTCTTTCTGAATTTTATTCTACCTTTGCAAAAATAACATGATCAAAACATGCGAAATGACTCATTTTTGAACACAAGACTCCAAGGAGAATAAGAAAACTAAAACTTCAAACTTATATAGTGTGTTTTCCTTTCCACCTGTAAAATATCACCCCTTCTACATAGTCTTGTAGTTTGGGTACCATAAGAAACCATGATTATAAAAACTTCACATCTTTTCAGAAGAAGTTTCTTTTTGAGTCATGCTCTTTTAAACTTTAATCTGTGGAAACATTTCCCAAAGTGTGTTCTTTATAATATTAGATCTATACAGCACTGGTGGGTGTTACTCCAAAATGCTTCAGAGTGGTTCTGATCACGACTGAACGTAATTAGTGGAAAAGATTCTTTATGATAGAGCTCCTCAGAGACTTGGCTGTGAATGTTCCCAATGTATGTTGTGATTCTTCAAGAGGGGAATATAGCAAGTCGTTCTCAGTGACTTCTTTAAAGTACGGAAGACTCTTTTCTCAAGGTGCTTTGCATAAGCCTAATGTTCTGAGGAATATACTTGGGGAAACTAATTCCTAGGACTGATTTCACTTTTTTGGGCCGTAGTTTAAATGTCAACATGTGAAAAGGACTGTGGCATTTTTTTGTCTCTTTTTGGATTCTTAGGAACTTTTTTCTTTCACTTATGGTCTCTTTGGCTTTTATCTTACTGAAGCAAATGATTTTTAATACATAAGTAATACTTTTAAGTCTGATGTAAACCAGGTGATGTTTATGGGGTGGATGAAAACAACACTGAGTCGACATTTGGGAGGTTTGGGAAGTGCCAGGAATTACTAGTAGACCAAAATTGATTTTAACATTTTATCCTTTCTTTAGCTTAAAGACTCCACCTGTTCCCCCTGACCCCATTAAAATTTATAGGTTCTCTCCTTTTTCTCTGAACCAGAAAAAGAAAATTTTAGCTTACCTGAAAATAGTTAATCACAGAGCTGAACTCTTTAACCAAATATAGTTTCAAGATGTTACACAGGCTAATTGTGAGTCCAGGATCTTTTAATCAGTCCGTTTACTTTCTTACCTTTTGTTTTTTGAAGAATTTGGAAGTCCTTCTCTTTACCTATATGTTAAAGCTCTCTCATAATCATATGTTAAGACTTAATACAGAATTTATCATAATTGTTTCCATTTAATTTACCTGATAAAACTTGATAGAAATACCTAAACGAGAAATATCATGTAATGTTTCATAGGGCCTAGTATAAATAAGTGAAGTATTTGTGCTCACATTTGTTAAGTAGATGTTTTTTAAGAAATGTTTTGGATTTCTTTTTTTGTATTAGGAAAAGAATGAAAGATATCTTCTACTCTTCCCAAATGTTTTGCTAATGTTGTCTGCCAGTCCTAGGATGAGTGGCTTTATCTATCAGGTAAAACACAATTTAAATTTATATTTTATTGTGGATCTGAGGATAATTTCAAACTGGCTTTGAATTTTGTGTTAAATATTACGTGTATCTATCTGTGTATGTGCTGTGTGTGTAGTGCTGTATATTCAGATATGGACGTACAGCTCCTGTTTGTGTTTCGTTGTGACTGCAAGCATATCCTATGTTAATTTCAAAAAAGGAAAGAAGTGTAAACTGTAGAGCAACCTCATAAGGACACAGACTACTGTGGCACAAGTCAGTCTCTGTCATTGCCTTCTGTCGTTTCATGCAAAATACCTTGCTCCTCCTTGCTATGGTTTTATTCTGTGAAATTGGTTCAAGTAGGGCTTGTGGGTTAGTGGGGTAGTGTAGACTAAGATCTTGTGTCAGTGGCACGGCACCGCCCAAATGCATCAGCAAACAGAAAGTGATGTAAGGGTGTAAGTAGCAGTGTGTGATCGTTGAACCTTTTTAATTTTTGTTTCCCTGCTTCTCTTTGAGAAAATGTGACAGCAGATTTGGGAAGGAGGTGCAAGGGTGAGCAGGGCCTTTTCTGTTGCGACAGTGGTTTATAGTGGTGGTATATGAAGGAGCTGGTATTTTCGCTGTCTGTCTAGTAGATGCACTTGGCAGGTTTCATTCTTCTTTTTCTGGGAAGTTACAGAGGCTCATATCCTTCCCATCAACTTTCTGAGGACTGGCCAGTCACCACGTAACCACTGCAGCAGAAGCCGCCACTTCGTGTTCTCTGGGTTGCATTTCATTGTAGCACGTGTTGTTTTGTGTTGGCGCAGCAAGGACGTTCAAGATCCCTAAGCAGACACTATGCCCTCACAGAGGCTCTGCCGACACCCAGAGAGGACTTGTGGCCATACGCTTACACCAACACACGTGCTTTAGAATTGGTGAATCACATATGTAGGAACAGACTCAGGAAAGTGAGGCTGTAGTTTGTTAGGCCACTGCTGAAGAGAGGTGATCTGTGGCTAGGATAGTGCCCACTACAGTTTCCCCCAAACTAGCAGCTACTTCTGTGTTAAATGACCTTGATAAACCTAAATCTCTGTCCTTTCTGGTCAGCACTATCTGGCTTCCGATTTTATATCCCCAGAATCTCATTCCAGTGGCTGGAGGCAGGGGCCTTCTCTAACCTAAGGAGAGAAGAGGTTGTCACTTGTGGCAGGCTTGAGTCTCTGCCTGTGTGGCTGGTGCTTACACTGGATTTGCCCTTGATGTGTTGACAGACTGCTGGAGCTCATCTCAACAACAGGATTTTATTTTTCCATTCTTAGCACAGTGGTGACCCATGGTCTCTGTATCATTGGTATCCGTTTCTACCATTAGAACACTGGCTTTGGGGGATGCCAAAAAGTGTTCGGTCCAGCCACAGTCATAGTGTTCTATACACCGATGTTCAGAGGGGCTAGGTTAAACACAGTTGTGCGGTTTCATTTTCTGTAGGACTTACAGCTGTTAAAGTACTTATATGCATTACGAATCTTGGAAAGGAGTTCACAGTGTGTAGCATTTTTTAAATACGCTTGGCCACAGAAGTGTCCAGCAGTCTCCTCTTCCACCGGCCATGCTTTAGGATGAGATTTCTCAGCCTGGGCACTGCTGACGTTCTGGACTGGATCGTTCATGGCCAGGGGCTGGGGGTCTCGGTGAGACTGTCCTGGGCACTGTAGGGTATCAGCAGCCTCTCTGGCCCTTACTTGCTGGAGGTCTGAGCCCCTGCCAGGTTGTGGCACTGCCACCCATTCTCTGTGGGGGCACGTTCCCCACACCAGTTGAGCAGCACTCCGTCTGGAGGTGCTTATGTAGAATCCTGCTCCGCAGCTGATGGAGTGCTCCCCAGGCAGCGCTGCCCAGACGCCCACTGCCTCTTCCTGCGGACTTGGTGGGCCACCATGTACTGTGGTTTCTGTCAGCTGTGCCAGGATGTTTTGTGTTCACTTCTGACTTGTTTGTAATGATCACTTTGTACCCCCTTTCTGGTATCTTTCCATTGACATTTCCTGGTGCAGTTACCGATTTCTTCTGTTTTCAGGGAGCACTGGTTTGCCAACCATTTTGTGCATTGTGTGCAGCATTTAGCACAACTACTTATTTTCTGTTTTACAAAGTAGAATGTTATGAAATTCTTGTTCTTGCCTCAATTTCCCACCCTTATTTTGACTTTAAACTTGGAACTTCCTCTGCATTTCTTTACGAGGAAAATACATGGTTCTTTTCTGCAAAAACATCATTTAAAACAACTGTTATACACGGTAGTTTTTTAAAAATCATAATGTGTGATGTCTTTTGTCCTGGTGTCTATGTTTAGTAGCAGCTCATCAGATACAGTGTGTGTTTGGGCTTGTCACTCTGTCCCTTGTCGCCAGTTGAGTTTCTTGCTTACAGTACAGTATTATAATTTATTATTTGAGATAAAAATTTTTGTATTATACACACATCTGCTACAAATGAGCTTTTTTTGGTTCACAAACACAGTTCCTCCACCAATTCTAAAATCATTTAATATTGACTTTAATAATGGTACCTTTTTCTAGAAAAGCACTAATTGTTTTTTTTTTTGTGGGGGGGGGTCTTTTTTAGGGAAAGCTTCCAACGACAGGAATGACAATCACAAAGCTTGAGGACAGTGAAAATCATAGAAATGCATTTGAAATATCAGGTGATAGGCACAAGCTGTGTGAGTGCTGTGTCTCGGGGAGGAGAGGCAGCTTGTCCCCGCGTGCAGATTCTTGCTTGCGTATTTCAGAAGGTGGTGTTTAAGCGCTGAGTGGAATTCTGGGGGGTGTGCACGCACGTGCTTTTTACCTGTGTTTCCACTCGGCCTATTTTTTCCTTCTCTCCTATAGGGAGCATGATTGAGCGGATATTAGTGTCGTGCAACAACCAGCAGGATCTGCAGGAATGGGTGGAGCACCTACAGAAGCAAACGAAGGTCACGTCTGTGGGAAACCCCACCATAAAGCCTCATTCAGTGCCATCTCATACCGTAAGGACTTGGTGCTTCTCCTCCTTCCAGACTCCAGGCGTGGCATCCCGTGGCTGAGCTGTCAGCAAGTGATCAGTTGCTTTAAAACCTAATCAATATTTGGATAAAAAGTGCAAAACACTTGCTTCACATTTCTCTGCAGATCTTTGGCCCTCTTCGTGCAGTAGTGAATTGTTTTCCAATGAGTGTTCTCGAGAAACAACCCTGAATTGTGCCTCCTCACGCACAGTTCAGAGGTGCTTGGGTGGGAAGCTGCTTCTGCTCCGTGTGGCCCTAGAAGACTGATTTAGGGGAGTTTTACACTCAACTATAGATGATTTTTCTGAGAATTTTAACTGTTTATTATGCTTCATTTAAGAAAACAAAAAATAAATGATTATGATGATGAAAAGGGCCAGACTCATGTTGAAGGCATTAAAAGAATTTATGACACACTGTTGATTTTAAGAAATTGAGGTGTCTTTTACTTAGAAAAGCTCAACAAGTCTTTGGATATTTAGAGACTTTTTTTTTTTTTTTTTTTTTTTTTTTTACAACTTTTCAGAATAGATGAACACTGAAGCTTCAGTGTTTAAACCTCTCCTGGTGTTTTGTGCTCAAGAAGTTGGTATCGGGTTGTTTTAACAGTCGTCATCTTTATCAAGTAATACGGAAAAACTGGGCAGAGCTTTTAAAGAATGAATGACGATGACACAGGCGTTTTCTGCTTACAGATTTCCTCACATCCTTATTAGGCTATTAGGATCAGCTCTGTCGTGTGCTCAGTTTTCATGTTTTCTTCTTCATGTGAAGGTTGTAGCTCAAGAAGGATTGCTGTACTCTGATATTCTCATCAGAGTTTCAGAGTCCATCTGATTTCTTTCAGCAGTAAAGATTGTAACTACTCATTGGCTTTTAGCTAGCATTTCATTTTTAATGGCTCTACCATTTTAAAATTCTCCATTCTTTCATGGAGATCAGTTTATCCCAGGGACGTGTGTGTACACGTGTGTTTATAAAGAACAGTGGATGAGCTGCTTCACTCAGGTTTTCAACAGCAGCCTGAAACTCTACTTCATACAATTTTATATCAAGTCAGCTTTTCTCTGTGGCCAGACCCTCCGTCTTAGTGTTTCTTTCACTGGTGGCTGGGAAGGCATCCCTTCAGCGGGGAAGGCACTGTGCCTCATGTTTAAAATGTTCTGCATTCTCCTACAGAGTTTCTTGTGTGGGATGATGTATTCTGTGATCCAACTCTGACCAGCTGAAATCATTTTCTAATTTTAGCATAAAGCATACTTCCTTTGACTTTTTCAAGAAAGGAGAAACAAAACCAGACACTGCTTTGACGTTGTTGCTAGAAGGGATGTCTTACATAATTTTATCCATCTATACATTATTTCCTATGAAAAGATGACCTTACAGTGGCTTCATAGCATGACCTGCATCTCACACAATTCCCTCCCCCATGCAGGGACTAGAATGTGATCGTTGCAGGAAGTTGATGGCTTCTATTCTTGAAATTGTGGCATTAGCTGCCGTCCCTCTCAGCCTGTGTTTTGAAGGTCGCGCACTTCCTCAGAATGCCGGCCCCACTCCGTTTCCAGTTCACAGCGCCACACAGCTTGTTCTCCCATTAAATGCACCTTACTATTGTTGGCTAATTTGAGGTCATTATTGGCTGATTTTGAGAATGACTTATTTAACTTTTCTCATTTAACTGTCATTGTGATGGAATATTTTGGGTTTTCCAGGAATATAAAATGCATTAATGGCACACCGCTCTAAGAAGTTAATTTTTGATTAACTTTGTTTTGATTAAAGTTGAGTTTTCTAAGAACATAATTGGTTTTAATACCAGGGTTTGGCAGTGTTCAGTAAAGATCCAGATGGTAAACGTTCTCTGCTTTACAGGTTCAGGCCTCTTGCAGCTGTACTCTGCCCTTGGAACACAACAGCAGTTTTAGACAGGCACAGGCCTGCCTGTGTGCCAGGAAAACTTTTTTAAAAAACAAAACTAGGCGATCAGGCCTTAGTTTCGCCCAGTACTTTATCACCAGGTGAAGAATAATACGTGGCTGGGGGGGAATCACCTTCCTTCTTACAGCCACATGCCCTGTGTGCTTTTGTGAAATTCTCATCTTTTTACTAGATGAAGTACCTTTTTTCTATAAATGTTACTCCGTAGCTAATAAATGTGGCTAGTGGATGTCTTTTGAGTGCTGGGGCCCCAGCTAGAGCTGCCCCTCCTGTCTGGGGCAGACGCCGTGAGGAGCCCCACGCTCGGCCCAGGTGGCGCGAGCTAGTGTTTGGCCCCAAAAACTGACTGCTGAGAGCCAGAGATACGAATGAAATGATAAATCCTGAGGTTTATTTCACATGGAGTGTTTAAAGAGCAGAAGGAAGTGCGTGATAAGTGCCCTTTCGCGGTGAGCACGCGAGTCTCATGTTCTCTGCCCTTCCCGCTCTGTGCCCTTGGCAGCTCCCCTCCCACCCGGTCACTCCGTCCAGCAAGCACGCAGACAGCAAGCCCGCGCCGCTGACGCCCGCCTACCACACGCTGCCCCACCCCTCCCACCACGGCACCCCGCACACCACCATCAACTGGGGACCCCTGGAGCCTCCGAAAACACCCAAGCCCTGGAGCCTGAGCTGCCTGCGGCCCGCGCCTCCCCTCCGGCCCTCAGCTGCTCTCTGCTACAAGGAGGTGAGGTCCCTTGACCACTCAAACAGCCAGATGACGGTGAGCATGCCTCGGGCCCTGGGTGTGCCCACGTGCTGGGCCTTCTGTGTACAGCAAAATGCACCCTAACTCCTAGAGAACTGAGAAGGGGGGGTCTGCCTTGGTTCTCTGGTTATCTGCTCTGCTGCTGAGAGGCCCGTGGTAACCTGTGTGGGAAGGCGATGTGCAGGGTCCCCCTCCTTTCTGCCATGCACAGGGGGGCCTTTACTGCACTTGCCGGAGGAGTGTGCCGCCAGGGGCCAGGAGCTGGAAAGGCGCTGAGCCCAGGTGGCTTTCACTCCCTGTGTGTGAGGCCATCGCTCAGCATCTGCACGCTGTCTGCTGCGTCTAACGACCCCTCCTCTAGGTTGGGGATCCTGTCCAGGAGCCCTGCATTTTGTCATCCAGAAGCCATTTGAGATGAAGAGAACATTTACTAATACAAATGAAAAACAATCACTTAGGCGGTTTCCCCCTTTGATGCATAAGAAATCATGATGCGGTCTTTGCTTGTCTCTGTTCTCATCCGGCATTTTTATATTTGCTAGGCGCAAATAAAGTACGATTCCAATGAATAAATAGAAGTGTTAACACTTCCTTACACTTTTACCTAAACCAGCTTGGATGAGGAAAGGAAGTGTCTTTAGAAATCTGTTCTGAGAAGTACTTTCACCTGAGGAAGCTGATAATTGAGATGAGAGTTGTTTTCATAAGCAGTTGAGCGTGCATGGTGGTGAGGTATGAGGAGTGGCGGTGAGAGTGTGGGTATCGTGCGCGTCAGTGTGAGCAGCAGTGCCCGTTGGTGGGGTGTGAGTGAGCGTGAGGATGGTGACACGCTCTTGCCTGGCATTGTGCCTCTGTGTCTGGTCAAGGCCACATTTGCCAAGGGAACTGGAGCAGACTTTTTCTACATTCTTGCCGGCAGCCCTGGGGGTTTTAAGGCCCACAGGAAAGTACTGTATGAGAAATTAGGATCTGTGCTTTTCATTTTTTGTTCTGAGTCTTTGTTTTTATGATATCTTTCAGGTAATCATGTGTGCAAGTCAGAATTTCCATTTTCTATCATGGGAAGTTACTTGAAGAATGTTGCTGTTCCTTATTGTATACTTTAGTGTGCACAGTCTAAAGAAAAAGTGAGCTACTACAAGAACTGGTGGAGACTGAATTACTAGGGAAGAAAATTGGGATAAAACTGTTGGGCAAAGAAGTAGAAAGGGCAACGGAAGGGGTATTGAAGTGAAGATAAACAATTTTTTTTGATAAGTCTGGCTGCATTTGCTTTGCCAACTCCACACTGGGAGAGAAGGGCTCACACCGAGCAGCTGCCGTCCAGTGTTGCTGAGCACCGCCCAGCAGTAGCGT
Organism: Homo sapiens; assembly: GCF_000001405.40. NCBI lineage: Eukaryota > Metazoa > Chordata > Mammalia > Primates > Hominidae > Homo > Homo sapiens. The sequence goes on from NC_000013.11 coordinate 111,284,741, forward strand.
GGAGAGTGATCTTGCAGGGTGTGAGAAGAGGACATGGAGGCTCGTGGAGGCCGCTCTGCAGCCCGCTCTGCCTGGCTCTGGCTCAGGTGTGCTGTGTGCTCTGTGACCCTCTGCGCCTGCAGGTGCCCTCGGAGCACGTGAGGGGCGGGCGTTGGCTCTTCAAGGCTCTCCATCTCAATTTGCTTCGAATTAGGGAAGCCATGAGCACATGTGTATAAATGTGTCTTCTGGAACAGATTGCTGCTGCATTTCTAAGAGCTTTCCAATTTTTTATAGAAATACTTTTGTTTAACTTTTTGAAGGCTATTTTAGATTCAGAGTTTGTTACGTGGCTGTATTGGGTGATGCTGGGGTTTGGGCTTCTGGGGTACCTATTACCCAAATAGGAAACATTGTACCCAATGGGTAGCTTTTCAAAACTCACCCCCATCACCTTCCGCCTTTTGGAGTCCCCAGGGTCTGTCATTTCCATGGTCATGTCCATGTGTACCCATTGTTTAGCTCCCAAGAAAAGACTTTTAAAGATAATTTTAAAAACCAAGCTTTGTTTCCTCTGTTTCCAGCCTGGTTCATTCCATAGCACATCTCATCTTCTGAGTCTTGGTCTCGCGTTTAGCATTCGTGATGGTTTATGTCGTTGGGGTGATGCAGAAACCAGCCTTTTTTTGATATCGGTATTTAACACGTGCTTGACAGTTGACACCTTACCTGCTCTGTTGGGACTTGCTTTGCTCACTTTGTTTTTTGCCGTCGTCTTCTGTGCTTGTTTGAAAAGCTGTTTGAAGAGGTAAGGGGTGGGCCATTCCGTTGTGAACACTCTGAGCTGGTGTGCATGTGGCCCCTGCACAGCAGCCCTGGCCGAGCTTGGCTGTGCTCCTGGCACTCAGAGTCAGGTAGCTGAGCACTCGCTCCCTTTTCTTCTCCCTGAAACTTCAAATATTTTCTTAAAGCAATTATTTTTTACTTATCTGTCATTTAATGACAACCTTAGTTTCCTCCTCTCTTTCCAGTTAGCTGTGCCAGGGGATAGGTCTGTCCTAGGGAGCAGCTGCCCCCTCCTCTCCTCCTCCCTCAGGAGCGTGCAGGATGTCTGTGCACACCAGCGCCAGCCTGCCTCCTGGTGACACCTCTCATCACAGGACTAACAGGACCCAAATGACACGAGGGGTTTTATTAGAATTAAAAAAAAAAAATTAGCCAATGACTAATACTGAAAATGCCCTATTGATTTTTAAAAATTAACGTTCAGAAGCTGGTAAAGAAAAATCAAAGTAGGAAAAGGCGAGAAGCTCTTATCAGTGGCTATAATAATTTGGGGTTTTATACCTTTACAGCAGCCTTTCTGATATGCCAGTGAAAATGATTGGCTTTAGAGTATGTTAGCATTTTCTTTTGTCTTTCCCTAGGATCTTAGTAAGAGCCCTAAGACCATGAAAAAGCTGCTGCCCAAGCGCAAACCTGAACGGAAGCCTTCAGATGAGGAGTTCGCGTCCCGGAAAAGTGAGTACCTGCGGTCCGTGTGGTGGAGGACGTGGCCTCCTGGTCACGTAGGCCATGGCTTTCCTGGGATAGAGGGAGGCTTGGTGGCTTTCTGAAGACTCCAAACAAAAGTAAGGTCTGCCCCTTGAGGCAGTGATAGGAATAAGCCACGTAACATTTACCCAAGCAAGCAGGAGAAGCGCCTTTGTGTCAGTGGTGAAGCCTCCGTGCCAGTCCCGGCACCACTGCCTTATAGCCCCTTCCTCATCCAGGAGCTGGGGCCGGACCTGGAGGGCTCTCCTGCTCTTCTGGTTCTCCCTCTCGCCTATAAGATATTCCACCCACACTTCCTGAAGTGCCAGCATCTCCCAAAGCACCCTGTGTCTGTTAGAAGCGTGACCTGCTGTGTTCTCCTGTGGGTAGCACCCACCCGTGCTGTTCTCTTGCTGGTCTCTCTGCTGTTGGACCTGTCCTGTCTGCTCCTCAGGCCTAGGGGTCTGACTCAGCTCTGGGTTCCTATGTGGCCTCGCAGCAAGCACCTGGCACCTGTTAGGTGCTCGGTAGATAGCTTTTGAATAAGTGGAGCTCTTTTCAGAAGTAAGTGATTTTCCTGGGGGTGACTGCTGGGAAGGGGTGCACGTGAACAGATTGCTGTGGACTGATGGGTGCAGCCCAGGGAGAGAGAGCCAGCTCTGGGAAAGTTGCAGGATCTGTCCTACAGGGCTCTGCCCTGCCCCGCCCCTGTGTCTGAGCTCAGCCTTTGTTGGTCCTTTGCCTTCACTGCTCACTTCCTCCAGCCTCAGGAGGAGGCCCAGCAGCCGTCCCACACGCTCACTGTGCCATGCCACTGCTGGCCTCCCCTCACCGCCACCTTATCATCAATCAGCCCAGTGAGGTGACCGTGCTGGGGTGTTCATTCTTTTCTTGTCCTTGTCACCTGATGTCCATGGCAGTATAAGTCACCATCCTGACTGTCCTTCTCCTTAGGTAGTCCAGGTCCCTGACCACCAGGGCCCCTGATGAGATGGTGAGGCCCTGGGGTCTAGTGATTGAAGTGGAGCTGGTGCTGGATGCCTGCTCTGTTGCTTACTGGCTGTGCCGGGGCTTCTCTCTGAGAGGGCTGTTCTGTGGGCCACTTCCTTCAGCAGATCCAGGGGCAGCACTGAGCTGGGCCGGGGGCCGGCTGCAGCTGAGACCATCGTTCATGGACGCGTGCTTCATCAGCACCTTCGTGGGCTGGGTGGGAAGGATACAGTGTGGCCGAAAGAGATCCCTGTTCTCATAGAGCCTATGTTTTAGTAGGAGGATACAGACAAGAAACAAAACAAGTGAACAATGTGTGGGCCATGGAGTGCTGCAGAGACCCAGTGGGGAGGACAGGTGGGAGATTCGGTGCCAGGGCGCCATTTGAGCAGCCTCCTGGGGCTGAGGAAGCAGGCCAAGCAGGTGTCTGGGGAGGAGCTCTCCAGGCCTGGTTGCAGAGACCCTGAGCAGGAACCCCAGGCTGTGCCCAAGGGACAGTGCGCTGTGTGGGCCCAAGCTCCCCTGGCAGAGCGGGAGGTAGCACAGCACCCTGAGCAGCAGGCAGCCAGAGTCCGGTTCCATAGACAAGATGATGGGCCCGGGTTTTCACAGGACCACGGGCTGCCGTGTGGGGAACAGACAGGCACGGATGGCCACGTCGACACTGAGAGTTGTCGGCCTTTTGTTTTCATCTGGCTGGCGTGTGGAAACACGAAAATGTTTTAATTTTCATTTCTTGTTTTAGCGAGATTGGACATTTTTTCTTAGAACTCTTCTTGTTTTGTGACTTCCTTATTCCTATCTCCTGCCCTTTTTTCAGTTTGAGAGTGGGGATACTAATTTTCTTACGGGTTGGTAGGATAATCATTATAAAGTTAGGATGTTCGCCGTTTTTCCAAATGTGTTGCAAATATTTTTATTTGCATTTATTTTATTTTATTTTGAATATAACTCATGAATTTTGTAGAAAACAGTTATCTGACAAGAAAATCAAGGGCAGATTATCTTACTTGGTCACTTTGGTCGAGTTGATGTCTGCATTGCATTCGTCTCGCCAGTTGCCCTAGAGGCCTTTCAGTTCGACTGTGAACTGTTGCGCATCTCTTGACAGGCACAGCTGCTTTGGAAGAAGATGCTCAGATTCTGAAAGTCATTGAAGCTTACTGCACCAGCGCCAAAACAAGGCAAACACTCAATTCAAGTAAGTTTAGCAATAAGGCCTGGGAAGTGTGGTGGTTTATTCTGTTTAGTTTCAAATTACAGTCTGAAGGAACCTGTTGTGGTAGGCCCCTTGCACAGCCCATGCGCCTGACCTCCCAGTGAGTGATGTTTCAGTCAGGGGTGGCAGGCAGGACAGCAGCTGAGCTTCAGGTCCCTAAATTCATGCAGCTGCGTCTGAGCTGTGGGCACAATTGCTGTGTGATTTTCTAGATAAAATTATACTAGGAAATATTTAAATAGAAGGTATTGCCAGAATTCATAATGCTTTTGCTAAGAGAAGACGTGTTTAGAAGATAGTGGAAGATTAGTTCAGTTATTTCAGCTATTTAAACTGTTGGTGTAGTACTGGAATTTTTGGTTTTTATTTTGTTATTATTTTTTAGTTTCTTAGAAATATCCAAAATACAAACCTTGAGCAAGGTTTCTTTTAGCCTTTCTAAAAAATAATTGCTTTTAAAAATTTTTTGGAAATTTACAACTAATTTATTCAGCAGATTTCAGAACCACAGGATTTACGTGTGTCTGATGTACAGTGTCTTAAATGAAAAACTTTTTTCTATTAAGGTGGCTTTTTTTTTTCTTTTTGGAGACGGAGTCTCGCTCTGTCACCCAGGCTGGAGTGCAGTAGCGTGATCTTGGCTCACTGCAACCTCTGCCTCCTGGGTTCAAGTGATTCTTCTATCTCAGCCTCCTGAGTTCCTGGGATTACAGGTGCGCACCACCACGCCCGGCTAATTTTTTTGTGTTTTTAGTAAAGATGGGGTTTCACCCTTTGGGCCAGGCTGGTCTTGAACTCCTGACCTCAGGTGATCTGCCCGCCTCAGCCTCCCAGAGTGCTGGGATTACAGGCGTGAGACACAGTGCTCGGCCCTAAGGTGGCTTTTTTTCTTTAAATTTTTCCTCCGGTGTTGCCAGTGAAGCACAGCAGGGTGGCGGCTGATGCAGCGTGCCTGTCATTTACCCTGCTGGCATCTGCGTGCCCACAACAGCTGACATGTGGGCACGTGCTGCTGGGGCCTCGGACACCACAGGTGGTCCTTTTGAGAACTGGATGATTTCTGTATTATCTCAGCATAGAAACTGATGTATCCTCAAATTTAGGACTTGGTGCCCTTTCCAGCTCGACTGTCACTTAATCTCACTTGCTCGTTTTGTTAATCACCTGCAGTGTGGTGGTTCCAATTAGTGTCATGTATTGTTTAATGCTGAGAAAAGGAGAGAGAGGGAAGAGGACTTCTCAACTGCTTTAGCTTTTATCAAAGACGGCTGCAGCTGTGAAGATAGGATGAGCAGGGTAAATCCTTCACGGAATCTCGATTATCCAGAAGCTTCTTTTTTTTTAACCATTTTCAGTATTTTACTGGTGTCGTACCATATCCCGTCTATGACATTAAGACTTTTTGCCAAGGGTCAACACTGTTGGTTTTTTTGTCCATACTTTAGTGAAAAATATCCATTTGTAGTGACTGCTTATCAGAATAGGAGAGAAATAGAGAAACGGAAAGGCCTGGGTAACCCATCAGAAGGTGGAATAAATATGTGTATAATCACACAATAACGTCTAAGTACAAATTGTTGTGATGAAAGGTACTACATTTTTATAATTTGATATTGATCATGTTTTAAGTAATAGGCTGTAAAATGTGGCCATAAATTTTTGGATTTTGAATTTGAGATTTTTTTGTCATCTCAATTTCAGTTACTTGAAATAAAATTTTAACCAAGTAGTCTTAGATGAACAGACCAGGTTCAGTTGGCCACCCAACCGTGTCTGTGAGTTCTGCATTTGTGAATTCAACCAACTGCAGATAACTACTCAGAAAAAAGAAACAATAAAAAGTAACAATATAACAGTAAAAAATAATACAAATAAAAAATAATTATACTTATAACAGCTATTTATATGGCATTTACATTGTATTAGGTACTATAATTTAGAAATGACTCAAAGTATATGGGAGGTTGTGTGTAGGTACAATGCAAACACCATGCCATCTTATATCAGGGACTGGAGCGTCTGAGGATTTTGGTGTCCAAGGGGAGTCCTGGAACCAATCCCCTGTGGGTGAGGGCCGACTGAGGGCTGAGCTTTGTATGTGTCATAGTGCCCACCACATTTCTTCATGACCAGGGTCCTGTGATACGCTGCGGCTTCACGGCCCCTGGCTGCCTAAGGGGAATGGCCCACAATTCCTTTTCTTTTCTTGTCACATTGCCTGTATTCTGTACTTCCATTTCTCCTGTGCAAGAAAAGCATTGAACGATACATTGATTTTTGTTTTTAATTCATATTATGGGCAAACCACTCTGGGGCTTCAGGGAGCTTGCAGTCATATATGCCCTTTAAACCTAACACTCAAAACTAGGGAGTAATAGGAGAAATTGCTCGCTTGTGCTGGAAAGGTGGTATACTTACTCAAGGTGTCTGGAAATGGGATCATAGTGAAAGCAGCTCTTTTTACATTAAATGCTTAGTAAAACGGGTTTTAGAAGGATAATATATTTTACCTAAAATGCAGCTCTGTTCAATACACACATTTGGATGCCAAGAAGATTTTGTAAACCAAACTTCCTTGGTATTGATTTCTAACTCCAGGAAGTAACGGCCCTCACAGTCTGTTATGATGTAGTTCTCGCAGTCTGAGAACAGAGGTCAATTTGATAGAAGCAGGAGTAGGGAGGGGCCAGGGCTACTGTGATTTGCCTTCACCTAGCGAGGGGCATCCCCGCCTCTGCATGGAGGGAGACCCTGGCGGCCCAGCCTGCCTCTCAGCCCAGGTGCCTGGCCATGGGCAGTGCTCATAGTTGCCAGCCACTCGTGATTATTTCTCTCCTGACATGTTGTGCCACTTCCTCTGTCATTCTCCTTTTAACACTGGGACGTTGCCAGTTCATGTCTCTCTTCCTGACAGCAGAGGGTCTGCATTGGGGTGGCCGGTGTTGCCAGCAGACCCAGCTTCCCACTGCACCCTGCCTGCGGGCTAAGCTCCAGCGCGCCCTGGGAGCAGGGGGTGGGTTCTGGGGCTGTGGGCCCTGCCCAATCCTTTTCTGCCCTCTGAGTTCTCACAGTGGTTATTGATTGATCAGGTAAGTCCAGACCCACTCTCAGGTTTATGGTCTTGGCAAAGAGCCAGCTGAAAAAGCCCGTCAGAATTCCTTTGAAATTATTTTGCATTTGATACATCTGTTTATTGATAGGAAACAATTTTTAATTAGCCACATAAATGGCACCTTTCCCAAATGATGTCCTAAATGAGACTATTTGTTAATTGAATGTGGAATAGAATTGATTAATTGCCACATGTCTATAGAATAATCTTTTGGACATGGGTGTGATTTGTAAAAGATTTCTTAAATGAGGGCTTTAGAGCAATATCTTTTTTTAAAAAAGCAGTTTGAAACATTGTATATTAGGTTTAATTAGATAATAATCGATCTAGTTTTATTCTAAGGGTTTTGCTAAGTTCGTTATTGTGAAACCCAGCCGTATATAAGGAAAAATATGCATTGTTGCCAATTTTTAACACTATTTTCTCTTTTCCTTCTCTTCCCATCACCTTTTGCTTTTGTTCCATGTTTTGGTTGTGGCTCTTCCTGTCGTTCTCCTCCTCACCCCCTGCCTGTCGCGCCTGTCCCTCCGCCCGCCCGTCTTAGCATGGCAAGGCACTGACCTGATGCATAATCACGTCTTGGCTGATGATGACCAACCAAGCCTAGACTCCCTGGGGCGTCGCAGTAGCCTTTCTCGTTTGGAGCCTTCAGACCTCTCGGAAGACTCTGACTATGACAGTATATGGACAGCCCATAGTTACAGAATGGGTTCTACATCTCGTAAGAGCTGTTGCTCATATATCTCTCACCAGAACTAATGCACTTCTGAGCTTTTCTTAACAAATGCTTGTTGTATCGCAGCCTGCTTTTCTTAGATGTTTTCTTGCTGTTCCTTGTCTCTTTTATGTGATATTTTAACAACTTTTGAGAGTGTTCCTGATATTTCCCATTGTACTTTGTGGAGGCTTAACTGCCGATGCGAGTATACATTCGAATGACTGACTATTGGAGGGAGGTGGTGTGTTCACGTGAGCCTACATCCGAGGGTGCTCTTCGTAAGGGGTAGTTGTTGTTTTATAGCTCCAAATGGTTTTTTTATTCTCAGTGTAGCAACTGTTTGATTTCTTTCTGGATACAGCTGTATGAACACTTTTCTATTTTATACTGAAATCACACAGGTTTGTGATCTAAGTGCCAGAACCATGGAGGAGACTCTGGCCTTATCTGTAGGGACCTAAATTTTTTAAGTGCTATGAACACTGATCAAGTAGTTGTGGAGAGATGAGAAGAATATATGCAGCAAAGGTGCTGTGAGCCCAGTTCCAACGGCTGTGTTCTGGTAATCGTGCAGAACAGCATGTGGGCTCTGGGCCTTGGCAGGTGCACAGACGGGCGGGCGTCACGTGTGTTCAGAGCTTGTCTCCACCTCACGGCTCTGTGCTCTTCTGTGTGCTGCGTTGTGGCCGTGAAGTGGGAGCTCTCCTTTCCAAAGGCAGAGCTTACTGTCATGGCTCAGATGTTCACTCGCATCTTCACCCCAAACTTCCCTGAATTGCAGTGATTTCTGTTATAAGGCACATAGCAAGCCTGTACCACTCTACAGTAAAATCTCTACACTAACAGTTTAAAGCCCGAAAGCTGAAGCATTCAGCCTCTGCAAGTGTAGACTACTGGACTGTAGTAGAGGCATTTGGAATACTTACAAAGTCAAGTGCTGTGGCTTCAGTTCCCCCGGCTCCCCACCCCTGACATCCATACTTATGTTGTCTGGAAGAGCCATGGACACATCATTATTTTCAGCAACCAGCTGCAGTGAAACTCCATTTACAGCAACCCCATAGTATAAAACCACAATGCCTCATTGTAATGGGATATTGAAGTTCATTGAAGAATTACTAGGTTGCCATGTGGCTCACTTATTTAAAAAAAAAAAAAAAAAACTCACCCGTTTTCCTGGGATTTGTTGTAAGGAGTTTTCACTGGCCTCACTCAGACCAATTTCTGCTTCAAAAAGCACTGAATGTGACCTGTTGCATTCAGTTGTAGCATCAAATCCACACCTAGTCATTGCTTGAGGGGCCAAATTGTGTTCTGTCCCATGCACGCTCTATTTGGTGTTAAAATGGAACCTTACGGTTGTGTTTTAAGTATTCATTGAAACCAGCTTCAGAAAACAAGATGCCATAGTAAATTGAGAATAACATTTTTTCCTTCTTCAGGGTGGCTGTAATTCCAGGTGGCCGTGATTTCTTTCTTCCCCACTGCCCACTCCTTCGCCAAACCCACGTATTCAGTGTTCTGATCTTGTTTGTGCAGAGTGAACTCTGATGCAGTATCAGTCTTGTCCTGGGAGCCGGGTCCTGCTGCTCACAAGCCCAGAGCTGCCAGGGAGCTCCTGGCAGTAGCACGTTGTTTAGAAAGTTGGGTGGCTTCATTCAGCATGGAACAAGCTAATGGCACAGGAGACATCAGGGCAGCTGTTAATTCCAAATATTTGTTCCCAAGTAGCTACTGAACTGCTCACACCATTGGAAGATTTTGTATTTTCATACCAATTAGTAAAAATAAGAACATTGAGGAGCAGTCAGAGCCCAGTGTTAATCTCCGGCAGAGATGGGGTTTATGTATGTTCAGCCAGATAGTAAATGGGATTTTTGGAGAAATAAGATAACTACAAAGTTTCTATACTTACTATAAGTGGATTTAGAAGCGATTTTGGTTTTGTATTACATACGGTAGTCCTCTGCGTCAGGGAGCACTTTTTTGTTTGCCTCGAGACTACTCATTAGCGCACTGGCTAAGCTGCCTTTGCCTTCTCGTAGGCGTGGGTTGCCTGTGTCATGGGCTGTGTAGACCACAACACTCAAACACAGTTGCTGCACTTGGATTTTCCTTTAATACCAAGTATCATTTGGTTATCTTACTGGGACATTTTCATTGATATTCTATACACCAAAGTTTTGACGGTTTACCATCATTCCATTTTGTACCAGTTAAAGGCATTTTGATGATGCTTTTTCTTGATGCTAAGATCACTGCAGAAGAATAACCTGACCTTTTCTTTGCATTTGTTTTGAATGTCTAACACCATTAGCTTTTGTGATCTGGTTAAGAAGTATTAGTGCCACAAGCCTGAAAAGACAGTTCTCCTGTGGCAGTGGCGATGTGGCATCCAGAGGGCCATTGTTTCTACTTTTGTGGGACTTCAGTCATGCTGATAATAGAATCTTCTGTTCATACAATTCTGTAATATTTATTTGTACAGTTAGTATTCTAATGAAAGGATGAAGAGTCTGAACTAGAAGGTAGGTTTAAGCCATCACCAGGCCTTTGCAAATGGCCTAAATGGTGTTCCCTTTGAAATAACGCTTGCCACAAGTATATAATAAGCTATATTAATTGTGTTTTGCATAAAATTGCCAAAACACAGTAATGTGTATATAGTGGTATAAGATCTTGAAAAAAATCTCTATAATTGTGCTCTTTATCTGTGAATGGGAAAAGCCATTTTTAGTAGGTGACTACCATTTGAAAAACTCAATTGGATGTATATCTGAATGTTGCATTGTATTGTACAGTATGCATATTATTGTTTGTGGTTGCATATGGCAATGAAGTGTTTGTTTTATATTAAAAAAAACCTGTTATGTACAGTTGAAATAAATTTTGCATTTGCTAGCCCGTGGCTTTTAATATTTGTTACATGGGGGAGGGGAATAGCATAGTTTGCAGTGTAATATAATTTGGCTCTTCTACCTGAACGGAACATCTTCCAAAGGCAGGCAGGTGATAGATAGAACCCTTCTGTCTGCCCTGATAGAAAAGCTTGCACTCTCTTAGATTAGCCGTGTTCTGGACAAGACGAAGTCACTCCTTGTACATTTCTTATTTCATCTCTTTCCCGTTTCTTAAGAAGCTTTCAGTCACTGGCGGGTTTGTCTTCAGAAAGAAGCATTATTTTTTGTGTGTGCGCATAAATGGGAAAAAGCACAACTTTAAAATGTTTTTATTTAGACTAAGGCCAGTTTTTAATTTTTGTTTTATAAAGTGCTTATCCAGCTAAGAGAGTAATGAAGCAAAATAAAGGGAAAGGAAACGAAGTACCTGGTGGCAGGTATAGTGATAGGACAAGGTGCAGACAGTAAATGTAGAAAACTCTCTCAGCACAAGTTGGGAGTTTTCCTAAGAAAAGTAAATTAGACCCTTAGAGCCATAAATAACAAAATGGCCTAGATGACTTTTGGAGAGAGATTACTAAATCGTTTTTAAGTGTAGTTGTATTTTGCTCCACTGTGAATGTTATTTGATTTTCAGTTGATTAGAGATGCAGATTTTAGAAAAGATAATGAATTTAAGAAGGTGAATTATCCTGCACATGTCCTGGTTCACTGGCCAGATAGACAGGTGTTCTCTTCTGATGAACTTACCCTGTTTTTAGGCTTTTGGTACAGGCAGGCTTACACAAGCATGCATGCACACCACACTGGTGCCTGGGCTGGACAGTTGCGCTGCGTTGCTCCTGGAGCAGTTAGTTGTGTGTCGTCAGATAAGGCCCCAGAGTGGTGTCTAACAGCCAAGCGTGGTGGTCGCGAGCTGGCACTCGGGGCCCCAGGGGTTGATCAGCACTGTGTTGCTGCTGTAGCCAGTCATCTCGTCTATGAAATGGAAATGCTGGGTTAGATCTGTGTTTCTTAAACGAAGTTCCATAGTTCTCTAGAGATGTGTGACTATTTGGGGTGGGGGAGGGGCAGGGTTCTCAGACATCCCTAAAATGTTAAGTTTTGTGCTCATGTTAACACACATGTGTACCAGCCTTCTGTGGCTCACACCTCTGAGTGTTGCTGTGGGGTCCTGGTGCCCCCTGGGGTCTCCAGTCGTGTGGCACACAGCAGCCCCTGAGAGTGGAATGCTTGCTGCAGGATTTTTCAGCACTGGGCAGGCAGACACCGAGCATCTACAGGCACATTCTTGGAGTCCTCGAGTTTGAGAAGTGCTGGATTGGTGTTAAGTATAAATTATTTCATTATATTCGTGTTTTTCTTACTCCCACCTCCATACGGAAATAAGAACCAACCAGCTGTTTTGTGTATGTGGTTATAGAAATAGATTATAAGCTGATCTAGCACTTCTCAAAATGTTAGCCACAAAACCACAAGATGTTAATAATGATATTTAAAAGAAAAAAAGTTCAGCACTCAAATGCATTTCAGAAATGCTGAATGAAAGTTAAGTGAGTATTTTTATGGCAGACTTCATCAGAGCCTGTACTGTGCTAAGGGTGCGCTGTGATTCTCCGAGAAGTGTAGCCCACAAGATTTCCCGAAACGATGTGTTGTGGAACCCCTCTCATCTCCCAGAAACAAAACAGTTTGGGAAACACAGATCTTGACTGTGCTAGAACCATCATGAATGTGTTCATCTCTGTCTGAGCCTCTGTTATGGATTTTAAATAAAGCGAGAGAACATTATCGGATCATTCTGCTGTTAAATTGTTTTTCCATTCTAGGTAACTCAGGGAATAATGTGCTATGATGTCTCTAAAAACACTTAATAATTTCTGAGATAACTTGTTAAATCTGCTTTCTAAAACATCGTTCTTTAAAGAAGTAGTCAACTTACGTAAACCTGGCTAGAGAACATTTCTTTGTTGTTTTTTGAAAGGTAGTAAAAACTTTTCAATCATTTTAGAAAAACTGTATGTTGAAAACTAGGCAGATTATTAGAATTGCATAATTTCTAGGCGTGTTAATAATCCTCATTTACAAGCTTCCTAGTTCGCCATCAGATCCGTAAATGGCATTTTTCACATTGGTGCATTTCAGGAATCAAGCAGTACATCCTATCTGTGATACAACATTTTCCACCTTACATTTGTGTATCCCTAAATCCTTCTCGCATGCTTTAAGTGTAGCTGTAGAAATAAGACCTGTGCCGGGCACATACAGTAACCGTACCAGTTCTTAGAGGCTTAGTTCCTCCAATCATGCTACATAATGGAATGACTTTTACCTTTATGACTTCATCTGTTAAAAGATATTTACAAAATGTAATATTTAAATCCTCAGAACAGCTCCAGAGAATTAGTTTTGCCGTGCTTTGTAAGTCATGAAATTGAGACTCAGTGCTTAAGTGCTGTGCCCAGGTTAACTGAAAAGACTCACCACGAGGGGCGTCCTGGTTCTGGCTGGAGGCAGTGGACACGTGGCTCATGGCCTCACAACTCCCGTACGGAAGTCGACCCCGTGTCTGACCCATTTCTTTACAAAGTTGACATTCTTTGTGATCCTATTTTATGTCATTCGAAAATGTTAATGTTGGAAACAGATGATATAAACAGGTTGTCTAGGAAGCTAGAAGAGACAAAAATAATTGAAATACAGAATTTACTTTGCCTGATCCGCAGTTACATAACTTTTTCCAGTGTGTCTCATTAGTGAATCCATTTGAAGAAATGTGTAGCAAACAATGTGAGATACACAAGTGATGCTTTTGTGAATTTGACTCTGAAACAGTCATCAACTGTCTGGGCTCAAAGCAGGACAACTGGATAATTGGTGGGAAAATTAGTTGACTAAAATGTGCGATGTTATCAGTGGACTTCTCTTTGCAGGGAAGAGTAAGTGAAGCCATTTGATTTCTTCACATGTGGTATAAATATCTGAATCTTTATGAATATTCTGGATTTTCTTTGTTTCATTTTTTATTTTCTATGAAATTTCTGTATCTTTTGGGCAAATAGCACATGAATTAACATTTTCTGGTAGAAACATGGGTACCCTTTGTATTTGTATGAGAAACACTGGCAGCTTCTCCACCTGGCTGGCACCCCATGCTCTGCTGTAATATCCCTCCCACATCAGTTTCCTTCCTAAGCAGTATCTTCCCGTGTGGCCCACGTGTCTCAGCAGCATTACCCGTTAGCCAGGAAGGGCCCACCAGAAGGCAGCCCAGGGCCCACTACCCTCAGGGTCCTCTCCCGTGGCCTCTTGGAGCACAGGCACCTGGAGTGTCAGGAGTCCTTGCAGCCCAAAGGGCTGTCTCCGTCCTTGTCTCCTGGACCTGTAGAGATTCCTAGGGCTGATACTACCAGCCTAATGTTTTAAAAAACGTTTTTCTGAAATCATATCTTGCAGTCCTGTCTGAATCTTCTGTCCGAAAAGTTATTCCCGAGACATAGGTCACCGTGTGTGTGGGTGGGTGGACTGTGGCCCAGGGGACGCATGTGAGGAGCTGGGCCCTCTCCTTCACTCCCTGACAGTGTCAGGTCTGCTGCTGCCAGCTGGTAGCACAGTGGAGACACAACAGCATGAGGGGGAGGGAGGGTCGCCTTTGAAGGGGCATTTGGCCCACTTTAACAACAGCCGCAGGTGTGCCAGCCATGGCTTGTGACTGAATTTTAAGTGCTACATTTGATCCTAAGATCCTGCAGTTACCCTCATTTTCCATTATCGGTGTGGCAAGTGTCTCCTGAAGCTTGTGCCAGGTGACAGAGCAGCACTTGGTTGCTTTCCCAGGACGTCATCTTATCTTCTTATGCCCGCGAGGATGAAGGAGCAGTGTCTTGATTTTGTTCAGTCCCTGAATTTCCAGTTTCCCAGGGGTTCCATTCTGAGGAGTGGAGCAGGTTTTGCAGACGCACAAGGGGCAGCACCTGGCCAGTGAGCTCCAGGCCTGGTTCCTGTTGCACGCTGCTGTGGAAATAACAGTGGTGCCCTCGCGTGTCAGGAACGTCTTATGAGACATCTTAAGCTTTGGCATCATCCTTAACCTTGTTCTGCTCAGGGGAGCCTAAGCGTGCAGTAAAATGCTGGTGAAGCCATTCATTTTTTTTTTTTTTTTTTTTTTTGAGACGGAGTCTCGCTCTGTCGCCCAGGCTGGAGTGCAGTGGTGCAATCTCGGCTCACTGCAAGCTCCACCACCAGGCTTCACACCATTCTCCTGCCTCAGCCTCCCGAGTAGCTGGGACTATAGGCGCCTGCCACCACGCCCGGCTAATTTTTTGTATTTTTAGTAGAGACGGGGTTTCACCATGTTAACCAGGTTGGTCTCGATCTCCTGACCTCGTGATCCACCCGCCTCCGCCTCCCAAAGTGCTGGGATTACAGGCGTGAGCCACGGCACCCGGCTGAAGCCATTCTTTAAAATCCCGTCTTCATAAAACATTCGTATTGTACTGAGCTTTCCTGTGACAGTGAGGCTGCACAGCAAGTGCCTTTCTTATGATCTGACAAACTTTTAGGAACAAGCAAAAGGCGGGCCAGAAGAAAGACCCAGCAAGCGGAAGCACTGTAGTTTCCATAGTTAGCGAGCGTGTCTCCAACATGAGTGTCCCTTCTTCATGGAGAAATGTTTCTCATGGTACCGCTTGCAGGTGCTTGTGTTCTGTGATAGATTATAGCCTTCTGATTTGCATCTGGCATAATTTTTCAAAAATATAAATGGTACACGTTGTACCATATAATCTTCAAGAAAATATTTTCTTTAAGAAAAGATTTTCTCCCTTGCATCATTAAATACAATTTGATTCTCTTCCTCACCTTTTAAAATGAGTATTTTGATTTCCTAATTTCTAAAGTACATATTTTGCAACATTTATTGAGGGCCTTTCCCATATAAGCTCTTGTGTAGGTGTTGGTTAAATGACAGAAATGTTCTGACATTGTGAGCAGTTTGCTTTCATTTAGAAAAATGTTTATATTTTAGGAAATATAAAGTTTTCATAAAGGACCAAATAATGTTATTTTTTCTAAACCATGTGCTATGATGCTGTAATATCTTGATTATTAAATGTTGCTGTAGAGTAAAATGTTTTTATTGCCAGATCTTTGATGTATAAACACTCACTGTATATGTTCTGATTGGTCTCATATGTCTTTGCTGAAACTCTTGGAATAATGGCTCAAAATGGGATGAATATCCAGAGCAGTACAGTCACAACCTTTAACTTCCTCCCTGTTGAAAATGCTGGGGTTTCAACAATCCGTAATTCCGATTTGAAAAGGGCTACAGTTTCCTTCCCTCTCTGGCTTTGGTCATGAGGAGGCCTGGGCTCGGTAGACAGAGGTGAAGAGAACTGGTAAAAGATGCCCTCCTCTAGCTTGCCTGGATGAACGTTTTTAAATGCATAATTGCTAGAACTTAATATTTAAGTGACATGGTATAGTCAAGTTGTTTTTCTTCATTCTGCCATGGTATTCGCCTGAGGTTTATTTATTATTTTTTCATGATCCTAGGTTCACGCAAAGAATCTGCTCCACAAGTTTTGCTTCCAGAAGAAGAGAAAATTATAGTGGAAGAAACTAAAAGTAATGGTCAGACAGTGATAGAAGAAAAGTAAGATGTCTTCCGGTATTCTAAAGCAGATGTTTGACCTCTGCGGTGGGGTAGTAGAGTCCAGACAACTCCCTGAGGGCGGGGGTATGGCTTCAGAAGCTTCACTTTTTTTTTTTTTGAGACGGAGTGTCACTCTTGTCACCCAGGCTGGAGTGCAATGGTGCGATCTCAGCTCACTGCAACCTCCACCTTCCGGGTTCAAGCGGTTCTCCTGCCTCAGCCTCCCGAGTAGCTGGGATTACAGGCCTGTGCCACCACGCCTGGCTAATTTTTGTATTTTTAGTAGAAACGAGTTTTCACCCTGTTGGCCAGGCTGGTCTCAAACTCCTGACCTCAGGTGATCTGCCCGCCTCGGCCTCCCAAAATGCTGGGATTACAGGTGTGAGCCACTGTGCCTGGCCAGAGCTTCACTTTTAAAATGTCTTCATAGGCTGAAGTTGCCCTTGACTAGGCTTGAACCTGCCATGCACAGAGGTTGGCAGTTTTTAGTTGTGAATGTAGACAGTACATGGGTAAGGCAGAGCAGCTCCGTGTCCTCCTCTCAGCATCGTAGTGTCTCCTGGTAAGTTTTCGTGTGTCCTCTCCATGCCTCACCTTGTTCATGTGTGTGTGTTCTGTTTCCTGTTTCAGGAGTCTTGTGGATACCGTATATGCATTAAAGGATGAAGTTCAAGAATTAAGACAGGTACGTCATAATCCATCTTTAAATCTTTTTTTTCTTTTCAAATGGGAGAAAAGAAGAAAATTACATTAAAAATAAGCTGGCTGGGTACGGTGGCTCACACCTATAATCCCAGCACTTTAGAAGGCCGAGGTGGACAGATCACCTGAGGTCAGGAGTTCAAGACCAACCTCACCAACATGGCAAAAACCCATCTCTACTGAAAATACGAAAATTAGCTGGGCATAGCGGCAGGTGCCTGTAACCCAGCTACTTGGGAGGCTGAGGCAGGAGAATTGCTTGAACCTAGGAGGCGGAGGTTGCTGTGAGCCGAGATTGTGCCACTGCACTCCAGTCTGAGCCACAGAGCAAGACTCCGTCTCAAATAAAAATAAAAAGCTGATTGTCCATAAGCAAAAAACTAAAAGGAGGTCATGTCTTTGAGAAGTCCAGCAGATAAAATAATTGGTTGTCTCTAAAGTGACTTGTTTAAACTCTTTTTTTTTTCTTAACAATACTGATTTTGATGTCATAAAACATCGCAAATTCTGTTGGAAGAATAATTTAAAATATCGAAAGTTCTGTCTGGTGACAAATCCTGCGAGGCGCCCCTGAGATTAGCCTCTGCCACTGCATGGTCCTTGGCTCCCGAAGCCAGGTTAGCGAGCCAGAAGTGGCGACTAACCAAGGGTGTTCTGGGTATTGCACGGAATGTGAGTATGAGCAGCTTTGGTCCTCTGCCCAGCTAGGCGAGGGAAGGTTGGGGTGTTCATTGCACGGAATGTGAGTACGAGCGGCTTTGGTCCTCTGCCCAGCTAGGTGAGGGAAGGTTGGGGTGTTCTTTTGGCCGAGGAACAGCCTGAGAAGAGTTGTGGTCTGGGATAGAGAGCTGAGAGCAGGTTGCTGTGTGGAACTGGACATGTGCTGTCATTCTAAGCAGTGTCCGCAGGTCTTCCAGGTACACCTTTGCCTGGCTGGCAGGCTTCCATGTTCACGCTTTGCCCCTACCGGCAGCAGGCATCTGTTTGTGCATGCCTCCTACGTCCGAGACATGCCTGGGTTCAGCTGCACAGAGCAGGTGCTCGCCCACTTGCTCCTGCACCTGTCAGTGGCTGTTACTTCCAGTCCTTTCTGTAACTCTGGAAGGTGGTTATAAATGGACAAAAAGGCTGGATAGGAGCTGTCTCGTCCGCAGTTTCCAGCTATTTTCTTACGGTATGTTCTATAGAGATTCATTCATGGACTTAATAAGAGCCATTAGGACCATTTCCATCCCGGGAACAGCAGCACAGTCAGGAGCACCGCTGCCACCCTGTCCAGGTGTTTGACCTTCGTGGATCCCCACGACCTCAGAGCCCATAGGCAGCTCACGTGGGATTTCATGAATCGAGGCCTTAGCTCCTCAAGGATACACATTTGGGGAAAGGAAGCCCTACGCGATGCCAAAGATAGTGAACACCCTGTGGTCTGCTTAATTTACAGGACAACAAAAAGATGAAGAAATCTCTAGAGGAAGAACAGAGAGCCCGCAAAGACCTGGAGAAGCTGGTGAGGAAAGTCCTGAAGAACATGAATGATCCTGCCTGGGATGAGACCAATCTATAAGGGATGTCCTCAGTTCTTTCTGTTGAAGACCAGTTCTGAGGTGAAGCTGGGCACCCCTGACCCAAGTCGGGGTGCACTCAGGACCACAGGGCAGGGCTGGGTGGGGCGCCACCTTGCTCTCTGTATATAGAAAAGCTGGAGCTTATTCTGCGAATGGAGACGATCAAACCATGACTGATGAATCCAGACAGGAGGGATTGACTCTGAGGACCTGAGCTACATCAATCCACTCTGTGAACATCTCAGTTACCTCATTCTGCAATAAGTTCAGTGACTGACTAAAAGTCTTGTTTTTCCAGACTTTGAATTGAATATATAAATATTATATATACATGTTTCTTGTAAATATCCCATTTTGAATGCATACCTGTGGTGGTTCTGTCCGGGCTAATCCCCATGCTAGAATGTCCTTTCCAGCTACGTGAATAAGAAGTCCCATGCCCGCATCCACCGGAAGCAGAAGCCTGGTGGATGCCTGGTTCGTTCCGCAGCACCAGGGCCTCCACCGTGCTGTGGCAGCACCCCCCATGTCGGTATTTCTAAATAACCTTATTTATACCTGCAGAGATACACTTCAGTCCCATTCAGAAGTCTTCTCTTAAAGCAGCATTACAGTCCCAGACCTGCGGGTTTCTGAGGGCAACTTGCTGGCTGACAGACTCAGTCTTGACCTCAAGGAAGGCCCATACGGCACTGCCGCATCCACCTAGAGGTGTTTGCTCTTGTCCGCTGTCTGAGTACTGTGATTCTCAGATGAGTTTGCTGCGTTTTGGGAGGACACAGACGGTTCTGTATAGGCTAGTTCAGTAACAACAAAATACACTGTTTTGTCTTCCCTCAAAGAGAGATCTTACTAGAACCTGTAAATAGAATGTATTATTTATTATAAGTCACTGCAGCTGATGAAAACAGATGGAGGCCATGCTGCAGGCTGATACTGATGGGTGGAGTTTTGTCATCAGGCCAGCCTCATCCCGAGGTCTCCTCCACCATTGGCCGTAGCCAGCAGGCTTCAGTGCTCACCGAAAGTAAAATCCCCTCCTTCAGCAAGAATAAAGCAATATACACCTTAGGTTCCACTAAGTAACATAGGCATAAGCAGGGAACGTTTCCCCCACTGTGTTCCAGTGCAGAGGAGACGAAGCCTGTCCTCACCGCGGCTCGCTGGGCCCAGGCTGGCTCTGGAAAGCCTGTGCGGTCCTGGGCAGGAAGCCCGGCCCGTGGAGCAGGTTTTCGTTCTGCTTCAGCAATAAATAAGGGTGACCACAGGGACTTTGCTTTTGGTTTCCTTTCCTGTGAAAAGGTTGGTTTTAAAGTGAGATACACTTTTCCGTAGAACAAGTGTTCTATCTTTAAAAACCCAAATTGCAGCACCGTGGATTACTGGTCTCAGAACAACTCATTGCGCATCAGATTTGACTCTCTGATTTTCTGTCTATTGGCCAAATTGCCCTTTAACTGCACCTGAATCCTTTGTGTACTGATGCCTTTGAGCTGGGCACCTTGGGAGAGTGTTGTGTTGCTGTTTACGGTTCTTCCTTGCCCTTGCTAATTACAGTCTCTGGTGCCCAGCAAGCCCCTTTGGCTTCCTTCCGTGACTGGTCACGTTGTCTGCCTGGGCTCAGCGTGGACCTGCCCCATGCTGCAGAACCTGGCCTCACCTGGACTTTTCACTAGAATTGCCAGCTTCCTCAACTTAGCAGATCATTCACTCATGCGGGCACAAGCAAAGATCAACACTTTCTTTTTTGGTAAGCTTGAGTTTTACAAGTTATTTTTTGGTGATGCGTAAGACATTGCAGTGGGAAACCATTCAACTTGAGTTTATTGGAGTTTGCTGTTGTAGCAGGTTTTAACTCAGGAACAACTCTTGTCTGATCTCTCCGCCCCTCTGCCGGGAGGCGACATTAACTGTCCTCTCGGAGCCGGTAGCGTTGCTGTCCGAGTCCCCAGGACGGATCTCCTGCAGACCTGCCTTAATGCTCAGATCGAAGTATTTCACAAGAATACTTGTGTTTTTAACAGCCCTTCCCCTGGACGGTGCGGCCATGAGGGCCTCATGTTACGGCATTGCCTTTTCTTTCTGTGGATCCAGTATCTTCCTCGGCTTTTTAGGGAGCAGGAAAAATGCGTCTGAGAGCAACTCTTTTTAAAAACCTGCCCTGTTGTATATAACTGTGTCTGTTTCACCGTGTGACCTCCCAAGGGGGTGGGAACTTGATATAAACGTTTAAAGGGGCCACGATTTGCCCGAGGGTTACTCCTTTGCTCTCACCTTGTATGGATGAGGAGATGAAGCCATTTCTTATCCTGTAGATGTGAAGCACTTTCAGTTTTCAGCGATGTTGGAATGTAGCATCAGAAGCTCGTTCCTTCACACTCAGTGGCGTCTGTGCTTGTCCACATGCGCTGGGCGTCTGGGACCTTGAATGCCTGCCCTGGTTGTGTGGACTCCTTAATGCCAATCATTTCTTCACTTCTCTGGGACACCCAGGGCGCCTGTTGACAAGTGTGGAGAAACTCCTAATTTAAATGTCACAGACAATGTCCTAGTGTTGACTACTACAATGTTGATGCTACACTGTTGTAATTATTAAACTGATTATTTTTCTTATGTCACAGAATGTGTCGCTTCGTCTTCTTTGATGTGTTTTCTGTGTGCTTGTTAGCTTTACAGTTTCTTTGGGCTGTTTTAGATTTGAAAATTCTGTCTGTCTTTGATACTGAAGATAACATGTTTCCTTTAAAGTCTAGAGTTTGAGAAAATTTGAAGATTTTTTTTTAAAAGACAAGGAAAGAACACTGGAAGTCTTAGGAACAAAAGCTGAAGTAACAGGTCACGCTGGTAGGCACAGCCCCCAGGTCCTCACCCATGCCTGGAGGAATGACCTGCATTCTGGAAGGCGCTCAGGACACCGTTTTGTGGGATCAAGTAAGCGAAACTTTCTTGAAGATATCTGTGGGGTCCCTTTTAGGAGCTGTCATAAGACAAAAGGAAATTGCTCGTGTGTGTCCCTGTGTGGCGGTGGTGCAAACGAGGGTGTCTTCCGGAAGGGTGGCCGGGAGGACCAAGCGGGGTCTCCTGTCCATGGTCCGTGTACCTGGCTCAGGTGTGTCTACAGCTCCGCTGCATGTCATTTCAGCCAGCCAGAGGTCAGGTAGCCACACGCAGTGCCCAGCCCACTGGCTTATTGTAGGAGCTCAAAAGAAGTCAGGATCTACACTTTCAAGGACTTTAGTCATTTCAGGTTAAAACAAGTAGGCGTTCAAAAACCCATTTCTGTTGATTTGCATTGTGACAAGAACGTGCGATGCATAAGACACCTAATGTGAATTGTTCATCTTACTGGTGGAGTAGGTAGGCATTTGTACTTGATACCTCACCAGTAATTAAAAACTAGGATGTACCTGAGCCATGTATACCGTTTTTTAACTGTACACTTTTTAAAGGTATACTGGGCCATGTATACTTCATTTTCTTGCAGAACTATTTATATTTTTCCCATAAGCAGGTATTATTTTCCTAATTAAAAACTAGCATGTACCAGAGTTTTTAATTGTTAAAATAATACCTGTTGATACGGAAAATAGAAACAGTATACCAGGATACAAAGTAAAAAGCATGTATTCTGCCTCCCAGCGCCCTGACCCTGTTCCCCAGAAGTAGCTCCTGTTCTGCGTTTAGGTTCTTCTGTTCATTCTTCTGAGCAAATGCCAGTGTGTGGTGTCTGTGTTTTAACTTTTTTCCCAGCAAGTGAGATTGCATTAAGTATATTCTTTCCTAAGTTGCCTCTTTGAACCTTATCTTTCCATATGGGTATATGTAGTTTGAACCATTCATCATTTTTGACCACTGCATAAATATTCCCCTGATTGAGTGCCCTGCAGTTTGTCACCTATGAGTGGATATTTGGGAGGGGGCAGTCGCTATTGCAGAAATGCTCTACTGAATATCCTTATGTATACAGCTGTGCAACTGTGCACATACAGCTAAATGATTAACTTCTGGAAACGTTTGTGCATTTTTAACTTTGATAGAATTTGCCATATTTTTACAAGGTGTTTTGGAAATGACAGCCTTGGCAATTGTACAGTTCTAGTTTCTCAAAGAAGGAATGGGGCCATGATGGCATGGGAAGCATGCTCTTCGTTGTGATGCTTTCCCATGGAAGCCGTTGACTCCGAAACATGCTCTTCGTTGTGATGCTTTCCCATGGAAGCCATTGATTCCAAAACATGCTCTTCATTGTGATGCTTTCCCACGGAAGCCATTGATTCCAAAACATGCTCTTCATTGTGATGCTTTCCCATGGAAGCTGTTGACTCTGAAACATGCTCTTCATTGTGATGCTTTCCCATGGAAGCAGTGGACTCTGAAACATGCTCTTCATTGTGATGCTTTCCCATGGAAGCCATTGATTCCAAAACATGGTCTTCATTGTGATGCTTTCCCATGGAAGCCATTGATTCCAAAACATGCTCTTCATTGTGATGCTTTCCCATGGAAGCCATTGATTCCAAAACATGCTCTTCATTGTGATGCTTTCCCATGGAAGCCGTTGACTCTGAAACATGCTCTTCATTGTGATGCTTTCCCATGGAAGCCATTGATTCCGAAACATGCTCTTCATTGTGATGCTTTCCCATGGAAGCCATTGATTCCGAAACATGCTCTTCATTGCGATGCTTTCCCATGGAAGCCGTTGACTCCGAAACATGCTCTTCATTGTGATGCTTTCCCATGGAAGCCGTTGACTCCGAAACATGCTCTTCATTGTGATGCTTTCCCATGGAAGCCGTTGACTCCGAAACATGCTCTTCATTGTGATGCTTTCTCATGGAAGCCGTTGACTCCGAAACATGCTCTTCATTGTGATACCTTCTCATGGAAGCCGTTGACTCTGAAACATGCTCTTCATTGCGATGCTTTCCCATGGAAGCTGTTGACTCCGAAACATGCTCTTCATTGTGATGCTTTCTCATGGAAGCCATTGACTCCAAAACATGCTCTTCATTGTGATGCTTTCTCATGGAAGCCGTTGACTCCGAAACATGCTCTTCATTGTGATGCCTTCTCATGGAAGCCGTTGACTCTGAAACATGCTCTTCATTGCAATGCTTTCCCATGGAAGCCATTGACTCCGAAACATGCTCTTCATTGTGATGCTTTTTCATGGAAGCCGTTGACTCCGAAACATGCTCTCCATTGCTGACGCCTTCCCTTGGAAGCCGCTGCCCCCACACGAGCATGGCTTTGAAAGTGGGGAAGATTGGGGTGGGTGGTTCTTTCCTGTGCCAGGCTCCTTGCTCATCTTTCTAAGGCATATCAAACTCGCCCTTGTCTAGGGTCATGACTTCCTGCCTAACCTGGCCCCTTCCACTCCACGCTGCTCTAAAACGTGGCAAGTGGGCAGGGCCTTCCTGCTAACTCCTGGGTGCTTTTAGAAAATGTCAGTTCCTGTGCCCCCCACCCCCACCCCCCACCTAAGGAGCTGATTTCTGAGGGTGGGATCCAGGAGTCTGCCTTTTTGACGCACCCCAGTGCTGTTAGTGCCTGTAGTAACAATGTACTGATGCCCATTTAGGTGGGCTGCTCAGTTGAGGTCTTCTGCATTTCTGTGCATGATGGTTACTTAGTGTCTGGGCAGCCAAAGGAGAAGGGCGTGTGACCAGCCTGTGTGCAGGAATAAGCCCGGCACCCCCAGCACTGCCACATCCTAGTTATTCTGGAGGCCACACCTTCTTTGCCATATCACTAAGAGCAGTTGCTGCCTGTCGTAATTGGAGAGGGTCATCCATTCTAAAACATGTTCAGGTTTTACAGCTGTTAAAGTGCTTTGAGAATCGGGGGAGTTGAGATGAACTATGGCATTGGGGGTCAGTCCTGTCTCCAGCTCTCCACAGTGGCTACATGGGGTCTCACAAGTGCAACCCCACTTCCTCCTCCTTGGCCCTCAGAGGATGTTGGACTGCTTACAAAAAGGTGCAACCTGCTGCGAGGGAACTGCCTCCACCTCTCACCACACTTAAAAACCTGTCACCATCTGTCCCGCTGCTCTGTCTTGTTTCGGTGGAAGAATTCGCCCGAGCCCCCAGCCCCATGGCTTCCTTGCAGGCCTGGGAGCCTGTGTCTCTTCTCCTGCCTTCCTGAAAGCCAGACCCTTCTCTTGGCCGCTATGTCTGTTGTGTTTGTTTCTTATGGAAAATGTCAAGCTTGTATAGAAGTAGGATAATGAGTGATGATTGCTCTCTGAGATTTATGAACATTCCAGGCCCTGTGACTGCTGGTCTGTTCTAGAATGAAGGAAAATGGCTGTGCAGTCCCAGGAGAAAAATGCTATGATCATATGATTATATTAATACATTTAGTTACAGTTCAGTATCCATTTGTGGAGATGAAACCAATTGCAGACCAGGAATAAAAGGGAATTTCTTCAGTCTGATTGAGAACAGTTACCAAAAAACCTATCAATATACATATAAGAAGGCTAGTAACGCTCACCGGCTATTCCCCAGGCATGCTGGTGGAGCAAGGCAAGGAAAAGGGGGAGGGGAACAGAGGTTGTAAAGAAACAACTACAATTGCCACGACTTCCCAACTATACTGTTGTTTATGTAGAAAATACAAAAGTATCCGCAATTAAATAGAATTAATAATGCTGCCAGATACAAGATGTAGCAATTTTCTCTAAATCAGGAACAAATGGAAAATATAAAAATCTTTTCAGTAGCAAAGATGTCAAATAGGAATAAAATGAAAAATATGTAAGACCTTCATGTAGAAAACTACAAAACACTGTTGAAAGAATTTAGGGAAGGTCTAAATTAACAGAGCGATGTGTTGATGGTTAAAGGACTGCATGGAAAGGCATCAGTTCTCCTTGTTGATTGTTGGAGGACTGCATGGAAAGGCGTCAGTTCTCCGTGTTGATGGTTAAAGGACTGCGTGGAAAGGCCTCAGTTCTCCATGTTGATGGTTGGAGGACTGCATGGAAAGGCATTAGTTCTCTGTGTTGATGGTTAAAGGACTGCATGGAAAGGCATCAGTTCTCCGTGTTGATGGTTAGAGGACTGCATGGAAAGGTGTCAGTTCTCCGTGTTGATGGTTAAAGGACTGCATGGAAAGACATCAGTTCTCCGTGTGGATGGTTAGAGGACTGCATGGAAAGGTGTCAGTTCTCCGTGTTGATGGTTGGAGGACTGCATGGAAAGGCATCAGTTCTCCTCTGTGTTTATGGTTAGAGTGTAGAAAGGCATCAGTTCTCTGTGTTGATGGTTAGAGGACTGCATGGAAAGGTGTCAGTTCTCCTCTGTGTTGATGGTTGGAAGACTGCATGGAAAGGCGTCAGTTCTCCGTGTTAATGGTTAGAGGACTGCATGGAAAGGCGTCAGTTCTCCATGTTAATGGTTAGAGGACTGCATGGAAAGGTGTCAGTCCTCCGTGTTGATGGTTAGAGGACTCCATGGAAAGGCGTCAGTTCTCCTCTGTGTTTATGGTTAGAGGACTGTGTAGAAAGGCATCAGTTCTCCTCTGTGTTGATGGTTGGAAGACTGCATGGAAAGGTGTCAGTCCTCCATGTTGATGGTGAGAGGACTGCATGGGAAGGCGTCAGTTCTCCGTGTTGATGGAAGACTGCATGGAAAGGCATCAGTCCTCCTCTGTGTTGATGGTTAGAGGACTGCGTGGAAAGGCGTCAGTCCTCCATCTTGATAGTTAGAGAACTGCATGGAAAGGCGTCAGTCCTCCATGTTGATGGTTGGAGGACTGCATGGAAAGGCGTCAGTTCTCCGTGTTGATGGTTAGTGGACTGCATGGAAAGGCGTCAGTTTTCCTCCGTGTTGATGGTTAGAGGACTGTGTGGAAAGGCATCAGTTCTCTGTGTTGATGGTTAGAGGACTGCATGGAAAGACATCAGTTCTCCTCCGTGTTGATGGTTAGAGGACTGCATGGAAAGACATCAGTTCTCCTCCATGTTGATGGTTAGAGGACTGCATGGAAAGGCATCAGTTCTCCTCCGTGTTGATGGTTAGAGGACTGCGTGGAAAGGCATCAGTTCCCCTCCGTGTTGATGGTTAGAGGACTGCATGGAAAGGTGTCAGTTCTCCGTGTTGATGGTTAAAGGACTGCATGGAAAGGCATCATTTTTCTGTGTTGATGGTTAAAGGACTGCATGGAAAGGCATGAGTCCTCCGTGTTGATGGTTAGAGGATTGCATGGAAAGGCATCAGTTCTCCACGTTGATGGTTAGAGGACTGCATGGAAAGATGTCAGTCCTCCATGTTGATGGTTAGAAGACTGCATGGAAAGGCGTCAGTTCTCCGCGTTGATGGTTAGATGACTGCATGGAAAGGCGTCAGTCCTCCGTGTTGATGGTTAGAGGACTTCATGGAAAGGCATCAGTTCAATTAATTGCTTGGTGGACTCCGTGCCAGCCATTCAATTCCTGTGAGTTTTTTACCGCTTTTCTGGATCTTGAAAAACAATTTATGTAGAAGTGCAAAGTGCCAAGAACAGCTGAGAGCCTCGTGCAAACGCAGAGCAAGGCGGGAAGACATGCCGTGCAGGATGACGAGGTTTAGGCAGCCAACCCAGGGGTGGTGCCCAGGGAGGGACCGCTGGAGATTACACCAGGGGTCTTGCGGCAGAGCAGTGGGGAAAGGACAACGTTTTCAGTCAGTAGTTCCTTTTAGCCAGCAGTTTTTCCACGGGGGTGAATGTGAACCTTGACTCCTCCCTCACACTGTGCCCATTAATCTTAGGTGGATGTTAAATGTAAATGTGCAGGCGAGGCCGAGCGTGGTGGCTCATGCCTGTAATCCCAACACTTCAGGAAGCTGAGGCAGGCGGATCGCTTGAGCTTGGGTTAAAGACCCCATCTCTACTAAAAATACATGCAAAAAATGCCAGGCATGGTCATGCGTGCCTGTGGCCTCAGCTGCTTGGGAGGCTGAGGTGAGAGGATTGCTTGAGCCCTAGGGGCAGAGGTTGCAGTGCGCTGAGATCGCACCACTGCACTCCAGCCTGGGCAACAGAGCCAGACCCTGTCTCAAAAACAAAAATGTGCAGGGGAAGCGAGAACCCTTTAGAAAATAATGTAGGAGAACATCTTCATGACCTGAGAGTTAGGAAAGACTTTTTAACAGGACACACAAAGCTCCGATCACAAAAAAAGATTAATAACTTTGACTAAAATGAATGTAACCAATGATAAACTGCTTAAACCACAGAGAAGATGCAGCCGTGCCATCTTCTCAGTGGCTGAGTAAGAGCACCGCACACCAAGGGCCACACCCAGCCTATGTAGCAAATCAATAAGAAAAAGACAATTGAGACAAGGTAAAAGATTTGAAAGACATTTCACAAAGAATATAAAATGGCCGGTCAACATAAAAGGTCTTTGATCTCATTTATAATTGGTGAAATGCAAGTTAAAGGTAAAAATTACACTATTAAAATACCACTAAAATGATGAATACTGTCAAGTATTTTCGAAGGTGTGGATGCTGTTGGTTGCAGAGTGACTTGGTATAAGCACTTTAGAAAAGAGCCGGGCATCATCTGCCGCAGATACTCCGCTCCCACATGCATTCGTTTGCTAGTGCTGCTGCTGTGACCGACTGCGTGCCTCACCTAGCATCCCGAGTGTGTCTCTGTCTCTGTGGGTCAAGAGTCCAGGCATGGCAGAGCTGCAGGTCCTGCTTGGGTCCTCCCAGGCTGACATTAAGGTCTCAGAGGGACCAGGTTCTCTGAGCTCGGGGCCTTTTCCAGGCACTCACACAGGTGGCTGGCAGCATTCGCTCCTTGTGGTGGAGGGATGGAGGCCCATTTTCTTGCTGCCCATTGGCCAGAGGTTGCTTTTGCTCCTTGGCTGCTAGTCATTCTCTCTGGTTCCTGCCCCCTGGCCCCTCACACATTCCAAACCCAGCAGGAGAATCTCTGACTTCAGCCAGGACAGAGCTCCGAATTTCATGCCATAATCACAGGAGCCAGGATCACACCGACTTTGCCTTACGATGCAGCCTGATCCTGGGGGTGACCCCGCCCTATTCACAGATCCCAGGGGTGACTGCGTCCTAGTCACGAATCCTGGTGGTGACCGCATCCTATTCACTGGTCTTGGGGGTGACCCCATCCTATTCACAGATCCCGGGGTGACCCTGTCCTAGTCATGGACCCCGGGGGCAACCACATCCTAGTCACGCGTCCCAGGGGTGACTCAGTCCTAGTTACGGATCCCAGGGGCAACCCCATCCTATTCACGAACCCCAAGGGTGACCCTGCCCTATTCACAGATCCTGGGGACAACCCCATCCTACTCACTGGTCTTGAGGGCAACCCTGTCCTAGTCATGGATCCCAGGGGTGACCGTGTCCTGTTCACAGATCCTGGGGGTGACCATCCTGATCCTGCCTGGACCTCACAGGGTCGGGGGCAGACACCGGGGGCAGGAATCCTGTGGCGTCTTTGAATTCTGCCCACCATACCATGTAGTGTCACTCCTAGGAGTATGCCCCACAGAAATGACCCAGATAGTTTGAATGGATAAGTGGTGAAAATGCACATGTCAAACCAAAGCTCTGCTCCTCAACGTGGGTGATGCTCTGAACGTAACATTAAATGAAAGAGGCCAGGTGTAGAAATACACTAAATTATTCAGTTTATGTAAAGTGTTAAAAAAAGTTGAACCATAGCATATAGGGATGCAAGCTTAGGTGGCAAAAGTGTAAAGAAAAGAATGTGATTCCCCTAAACACCAGGCCTGTTTTGACCAGGTGGAAAATGCCCTTGGGATGGAGTTTTCTGACTTGGAGAGGTAAGGGAACATGGCAGACTCGGGGCTCATGGGCCTTCCCTGTGTCACGGGGGGACCTCCCACCCCAAAGGGCTGCCACAGTTAGGATCCTTTAAGCTTTTCAAGAAGGCGGGCGCATCTCCGGTGCCGTTCTCTGAGTGAGGAACACGTTGACAGAAGTGGGTTGTCCAGATATGATCAAGGCAGGGGTCGAAATGGACCTCCTGATGGGAAGTCCCTCTGGGAGGAGTGTCAGCTCCCAGGCAAGGGCTCGCTTTGCCCCTCCATGGCACTGACCTGCTCAGGGCCTCAGCCACCGTGAGTGCTGACTCATGGGAACTTTGATTCTGGGAATGAGGCTGTCAAGGCGCAAGAGCGTTGCTTTTGTTTATGGATTTGGAGAGAGTGCTGGGCTCTGAAACTGTGTACATGAGAGCCTCCTGGAGCATCCATGGCCCCAGAGGAGCCACACGCATCCGTGGAAGGGTGGAGAGGACACTGGGGCCCCAGAGGAGCCACACGCGTCCATGGAAGGGTGGAGAGGACACTGGGGCCCCAGAGGAGCCACACGCATCCATGGAAGGGTGGAGAGGACACTGGGGCCCCTCTGGCTGAGACAGCAGAACAAGAAATGGGGAGAACAATCTCAGATTTGGTTTTTTGGTTGTTTTTTGAGATGGAGTCTTGCTCTGCACTCCAGGCTGGAGTGCAATGGTGTGATCTCGGCTCACTGCAACCTCCGCCTCCCGGGTTCAAGCAATTCTCTTGCCTCAACCTCCTGAGTAGCTGGGACTACAGGCACTCGCCACCAGGCCTGGCTAATTTTTGTATTTTTAGTAGAGGCGGGGTTTCACCATGTTGGCCAGGCTGGTCTTGAACTCCTGACCTCAGGTGATCCACCTGCCTCGGCCTCCCAAAGTGCTGAAATTACAGGTGTGAGACACCGCGCCTGGCCCAAACTCAGATTTGAATTTAATTTTATTTCTTTGGGCCTCGGCTTGCAAAAGCAGGGAGATTTAACTTGCAGACATTAATTTTCCCAAAAGTTCATCAAGAAAGAGTTCGTATTAGGATATGTGGTGTCTGCGTGTTGATGACACTGCATCATCAGAACGTCTGAGTCTGCCTGAGTTGTCACGTCCTTGTGGTTAGAGAGGGCCCCACATACATGCCAAGTATCCTGTATTTGCCCCTAAGAATGAAAAGGGGTTACTCTTGTTCCCTGGTGTGTCTCATGAGTTTTGTTGAATACTGGACACTTCACATCAACTCTGGATTCCAGAGGGCAGTTATTGGAGTTTTGTTTGTTAAATAACATGTCTGGACAAAATCTGTGATGTCTGCTCCCTGTCAGTGTGGGGCACAGATGTCGGCACTCAATTTTTGCTGGGGGCAGAGGGGGGATTGTTTTAATTCTGAGTTTTGGTGGGTTTTGCTCTTTGCCTGCAAGATTGAGCTGGAGACTGGGCTGAGGCTTGGCTGGAGCTGCTGCTCCCTACACAGCATGGCCTCCACTCTGCTAGGGCTCTGTGGGTGGGCTGGGAGCACATGCACCTCTTCCTCCAGCTCTCTGAGTGTGCCCTCTGGGCATGTCCCAGCAGCACCTGGCCAGGGAGGCAGGCTTGGGCCCTCCAGTGCACCCGCCTGCGGCCTCCCCCAGCCCCTCCTCCCTGGCCCCGCCCTGCTGAGTCCTGCAGGGCCCCCGTGCTTCACTAGCCCCGCTTTTGGACACCCCGCAGGGAAGCACCCCCAGTGGAGAGCTGGGCTCCACTGTGTTTCCACCCCTCAGAGTCCTCGGCTGTGCTGTCTTCTCTTCAGTGCCTAGAAGCAAGAACCATGCTCCTTCCCTGGGTGGCCCCAGCAAAGCCCCGCAGACTGCATGGCCTAAACTGCAGAAATGTGTCGTCTCCTGGCCTGGAGCCCAGGGCCCAAGCTCAGGGTGTCAGCAGGGATGGCTCCCTCCGAGGCTGTGCAGGAGAATCCGCCCAGGCCTCTCCTCCAGCTCCTTGGTTCGCTGCCGTCTTTGAGGTTCCTTGGCCTGTAGACGCCTCAGCCCTCTGCACTCTGTGAGGCTGGCCCAAATCGCCCCCTTCATAAGGACACCAGTCACATGGGATTAGGGGTCCGCCATCTGACCTCACCTTAATGCAGCACATCTGCAAGACCCTCTTTCTAGACAAGGCCATGCTGAGGTATAGGGGTCAAAGTTCCAGCATATTTTTGTTGGGGGCAGACATAACCAATAACACCAGCCTCATACATTTGCTCAATTTTACAGGTGAGTTCTCCTGGAAGAAGAACCTGATGCCAGCCATCTGTCAAGGAAGACAGGAAGTAACAGTGCAGGCTCAGTAAGTATCTGTTGGATGAATAAAGGAAATTAGGGATGACATCCTACAACCTGAGGAAGGTGTGGGGCATGCACACGCCTCCCGCCACCCACACCACCCTCTGCTGCCTCGTGGAGCCCCCGCTGTCTGCCCTGAGGCTGTCCCATGCGCAGCTCCTCAGATGCTTCCTGGAAGGAGTTCTGTGCACTGTGGGCTGTGCCGTTGCTGCAAGACGGTGGCATTTCCTGGCACTTCTGAGTTAGAAAGTGCCAGTTATTTCCAATGTTTTCCAGACATTGCTGGAATTCCATGACCAAAGGGCAAGGGCCAGGGAGTGTAACGCTGGGCCCGGGTGTCAAAAAGTGCTGTCCACAGTGGCTGAGAACAGAGTGAAACCAGTGCTGCCGCACACACAGAATCCTTCAAGGACCCTCGCTTTTCCCTTTTCCAAATACCGGATGCACATTGTCTGGGCTCTGGCTGGGCTGAAATTGATGCTGTTTTAATTTCTTTCTTACTGTATGAGTCTGTTTCACACTGCTATAAAGATACTACCTGAGACTGGGTAATTTACAAAGGAAAGAGGTTTAATTGACTCACGGTTCCACATGGCTGAGGAGGCCTCAGGAAACTTACAATCATGGCAGAAGGGGAAGGGGAGGCAAGGCACCTTCACAAGGTGGTGAGAAGGTAAGGAAGTGCCACACTTTAAAACCATCAGCTGTATCATGAGAACTCACTATCATGAGAACAGCCTGGGGGAAACCACCCCCACGGTCCAATCACCCCCCACCACGTCCCTCTCTTGACATGTGGGGATTACAATTCGAGATGAGATTTGGGTGGGGACACAGAGCCAACCCAGATCACTTATTTAGATGCAATATTTAATTAACGTATTTTATTCGTAAAGAAAGGTGGCTGGCATCTAGTAGCTGGGAGGAGGCCTGTGGGTGGTGATGCTGCCGTGTAACATTCTCCGCCAACAGCTTCAC
Organism: Homo sapiens; assembly: GCF_000001405.40. NCBI lineage: Eukaryota > Metazoa > Chordata > Mammalia > Primates > Hominidae > Homo > Homo sapiens. The sequence continues at coordinate 111,317,232 of NC_000013.11, forward strand.
GGAGTGAGGAATCATCCCGGGAGCCGTCCACTCTGAGGCCGTAGGGGTGAGGGTCTGCCTGTGAAGTTGGTGGCCTGCTGTCACCCCATGCTGTGGCGAAGGATTTGGGTGTAAATGGAATCAGCTGTCTTGTGTGGTTGGCAGCAGCATGTAGGGAATGCAGGAAAGCCAGGCCTGAGATGGCGTTGCCCTCTGGTGCCCTGGTGCTCAGGGTGGGGGCCACAGGCTCTGGTGTGTCCCCAGGCCCACCTCCAGTCTACAGTGTGACAGACCTGGCGTGCTCCTCCGGCCTTCGTGTTGTTTTATTTGGGGTTGCTTTCTAATGGGAATACTGGACAGGTGTTGAAGATTTGGAAGTATCTTTGCTCGGTTTATTGTCCCAGCGAAGTCATCAACACGGGCGTGTTTGCTTCCTGCGGCTGCTTTCACACAGCAGCACCGACATGGCGCCAACAGCAGAGCTTTCTTCTCGCTGGCTCTGCGGCCACAATCTGAAGTCAGGACGTGGGCCGAGGGTTCTGGGGAGGGCCCTCCTGCCCCTCCCACCCCAGGGCTGCTGGCAGTCCTCCGTGTTCCGGGGCTCGCAGGCGCCTTGCTCCTTCTTCACCTCTGTTGCTGCACAGCCGTCCGTCCCCTCCCCGGGCCTCTGCGCCTGCACTTGACACCCTCCCGGTGTCTCTCTCTTCTCATCTTAATAGGACACCGGTCCTATTGGACAGGGCCACGCTTACAACCTCAGCTCGATTACATCGGCAAAGACCCTATTTCCAAATAAGCCCTCATCCTTAGGTCCTAGGGGTTAGGACTTCAACATCTCTTTTTTGAGGAAACACAGTTCAGCCTGTGGTGATGGGGAAACTGGACTCACACCCCTGTCTAGGAGCCCCCCGAATCCCCTGCTCTCAGCCTGGCTGAGCTGCTCTGCTGGGAGTCAGGTCTGAGTGCTTTGCTCAAGTTGTTAGCCAAGTCCGTTACAGGGTTAATAGCTTCATAGTTAGGGGTCCTCAGAGGTAACGGGTCCCCGTGGCACTTGTCCTATTTCCAAAGAACCCCACGGCAGCTCCACACATTCCCATGGGAAGACTGCACAGTCTACCCCTGCAAACATCTTGCTCTTAGCTAAAATTGTGTCTGTCAGTGTAGTCACTGGTTATCACGTGGGAACGGGACTCAGGACCCATATAGACAGAGCTGAGTCCATGCTGGCTGCTCCGTCCTGTGGCCTGCTGGGTTTCACTCTTCCACGGCGTGGCCTCTCCCTAGAAGCCCTTGGTGAACACCCCTCTCCCTGTGAGTCTGGGGCAGTCCCTGCCGCCCCCAGCCAGTGGCTCCCGCAGCTTCCCGGTGCTGGCTCAGTCCTGGCAATGACCACACTGCAGGCTCATCTGTCTCCACTCCTTCCCCGGAAGCTCATTGATGACGTGGTTCTCCAGCCGACTGCTGCCCAGGTTGGTGCCTGCTGTAGGTGACAGTTCCCAGGAGAGAGAAGCAGTGTCTCTGCCTGGGAGCCTGCACGCAATGCTGGTGGGAACGTGAAATGGTGCAGCCACTTTGTAAAATAGCCTGGCAGGTCCTCAGAGGGTGAAACAGAATTCCTGTATGTCATAGCCCATCTGGACTGTAACAAAAATGCCACAGCCTGGGTGGCTTATAAACAGCGGACACTTTTTGCTCACACTTCTGGGGGCTGGAAGTTCTAGATGGAGGTGTGGCAGATTTGCTGTCCTCCGAAGTCCCCTTCCTGGCTCATATCCGGCGCCTTCTCACTGGGTCCTCATGTGGAAGAAGAGGCGAGGGAGCTCTCTGAGGCCTCTTTAATGGGGGCACGATTCCCATTCGTGAGGCTTCACCCTCACGACCTCCTCACCTTCCAAGGCCTCGCCTCCTAATCCCATCATCTTGAGGGTTGGGATTTTGACTTGTGCATTTTGGGAGGACACAAACATTGGGTTCTTCCCAGCGTGTGACCCGGCAATTCCACTCCTAGGGATATACCAAGGATAAGTGAAAATCTACGTCCACACAGAAACTTACATTGAGTGTTCCCAACAGCATTATTCATAAAAGCCAAAATGTTGGCCCAACCCAGTGCCCATCCACAGACGAATGACTAAGCGAAATGTGGCATGTCCCTGCAGTGGGATATTATTCAGTCGTGAGAAGGAATGAAGCTCTGACACGTGCTACATAGCAGGTGAACCTTCTGCAACATGAAAAATTCAGACACATCAACCCAAATTGCGTGTATGTGTATGCTTCCTGGGCGTGTCCCCTAGATGCCTCCTCTGTCCACCTGATGCCCACAGCACCAGCCTCCAGCCCCCCAGCAGCGTCCTCGGCTCACCATTGACTTTTTCTTCTCTTGCTCTCCACATCCAAGCCGTCCGCCACTCTTATTAATTGATTAGTTGATTGACACAGTGTCTCCCTCTGTTGCCCTGGCTGGGGTGCAGTGGTGCAATCACAGCTCACCGCAACCTTGACCTCCCAGTCTCAAGCGATCCTCCCGCCTTGCCCTACCAAGATTCTGGGATTACAGGTGCGCACCATTATGCAAGGCCCACTCCTTCAACTCAAACCATGAAAAGTAGCAGCCCCCTCCGGCAGTTGCCTGCCTTCTTCCTCATGAGTATCCCGTCCTTCCTGCTCACAAACCTCCCGACAGCCGTTTCCAGCACAGCAGAGTGATGCTGTGAAAATGATTCCATTTCTCGCACAAAATCTGCTAGTAACTCCCTACTTTGCTCAGAATAAAGGCCACCATCCTCACCATGACCCATGTGGTTTCATGCCCTGCCCTCCTGCGGCATCTCGGCTCCTTGTGTCTCTCAAGTCGCCACACCAGCCTCCCCCCAGGACCTCTGCATGCTCCCTCGTCAGCCCCAGACACACCTTCCTCCCTGGAGGCCGCCTGCCCACCCTGTGGCAAGGGGCAACCCCTGCCCTGATCCAGCCTGGCCCACGCCCTGAGTTTGCCTTCTCCCCACGGCCCGGGCCTGGTCCGAGGCAGCTACGTCACTCTGTCCTCTCCCCAGGAGGGAAGGGATTTGGTTTTGTTCTCTGCTGCACCCAGTGCTGGCTGGCAGAGAGGGGTGTCCCAGGAAGGACCGGGACACAAAGGAAGGGAGGGACAGGACTCAAGCACCTGTGCCCACAGGCTTGGTGGGCAAGGGGCGGGGGTATCCTGCAGGGAAGGTGGGACTCAGCCCATGGTGTCCCCAGCAGCGTCTTGCCCCTGGAACTCCCTCCCTACATCTGTTCATCTGAGTGGCCTTCGTCCTCAATGCAGCCAGTGTCAAGGTGGACACGCACACGGCTCCGAAGTCCTGTGTGACGCCCACGTGACCTCATGAGGCTGTGTGATGTCACAGCGGGCGGGGTGGTGTGTGCCCAGCCTGGTCCCACAGTCCATAGTGAGCGGCAGACAGAGGGGTGGCCAGTTTGTTGTTTTACCTAAAAGGTGTTTTCCACGTGGAGTGGGACTGAGAGGCACAGGTGGCTGAGGGGACCCGCCTGGGATGTGAGGCGCAGGTGAGTCGATGAACGCCCCCTCCTGGTGTGAGCCGCCCGCTCCCCAAACGACGTCCCCAGGGCCCCGCCCGTGCTGACCTCTCCTGTTTTCCAGGTGTGCTCGGCCCCTTCATCTGTCAGCTGCAGCAATGGAATACGTGCTGGAAGTGAAGAACTCTCCGCGGCACCTCCTGAAGCAATTCACAGGTATGGAGGGAAGGCGCCAGGGGGGCGGGTGGGGTGGGGGAGCAGTTGGGGGGGGGCACAGGGAGGAGCTGTTTGAGCCCCTGGCGCGGACAGGGGGTCCTGGTCCCAGACCTGGCTAGGAGGGCAAGGCAGCAAAATGTGTGTTCAGGAAATAACCTGGGAAAACGCTGTGAAGACTTCATTTTTGAAAATTTTATTACAAAATACACCCGAACCTGAGGTTTTCTAGATGAAGAAATACATTTAACTATTTCCAGGGCTTTAACAGGTCAAAGGCATTTTGTCCATGAGGCGCTGAAGATCCACTTCAACTACTTCATAACTTTTATTGCAGGAGTGACTTTTTTAATTAAGGAAAAATATTTATCAGCAATGAAGAAGTTCCACCTTCCCTTTCCCCACCCGGGCAACTGACCCGGAGGCAGACACTCACCACTGGGACTGGAAGGAACCACCGGTGTGGGATGTGGCTTCTCCCACAGGTGCCGTTAATGTGCATAGATGGGGGATGACAGTGACTTATGGTCAGGAAAAGGAAGATTCTGGAAGTTTGCACCTCCCCCGGGAGGCAGGAGATGCCACCTTCCATGGCTCAGGTTTACCTGCTACTTGAATGTTTTTTTCTCAATGGATCTTGTGTTCATGCAATGCTTTTATAAAACAACAACAACAAAAACAAAAAAAAACCCAAGAAAATCGGATGGGCGTGGTGGCCTGTAATCCCAGCACTTTGAGAAGCCAAGGCAGGTGGGCCACCTGAGGTCAGGAGTTCCAGACCAGCCTGGCCAACATGGCGAAACCCCATCTCTACTAAAAATACAAAAATTAGCCGAGCGTGGTGGCGGGTTGCCTGTAATCCCAGCTACTTGGAAGGCTGAGGCAGGAGAATCACTTGAACCCGGGAGGCAGAGATTGCAGTGAGCTGAGATTGTGCCACTCCACTCCAGCCTGGGCGACAAAGCGAGACTCCGCCTCAAAAACAAACAAACCAAGAAAATGGAAGAAAAAGAAAACAAATTAGATTGTTTTGGGTTGTTACCTTTGTTGGGAAGGTAGGCTAGGGAGCACCTCTCAGGCTGGCCAAGATGCTGGCAGCCACTGAGCACCTGCCCACAGCAGCACCTGGCCCTGCAGCTCTCGCAGCGGGACAGGGCGGCCCAGGTGCCAGGAATGTGTGGCATCTGCCAGACTGCGAGGCCTTCCAAGGCCACCAGGCCACCAGACTTTGTCACACCAGGGGGGCAGCTATCTCTTTGGACAGGAAGAGGGGTGTCCACAAGAGGGGTCTTTGCAGTTCCCTATCCAGATGCACCCAGGGTGGAGTGGGAGGCCTGCGCCTGGGGCCCCGAGGGAACGGGCCGCTCTTGTGGACGGCTGGGGTGGCCCCTCTCATATTCTGGCAAGATGGCCTGTAGCCAGGGCAAGCACGGGGGAGAAAGCGCTCCCTCTTCCAGGCCCTTGGGGGCCACCCTCCTGGTTTCTGCTTCAGGGCTGTAAGCAGTGCAGCTGTTGTGTGTACAAGCTGCTGCTGCTGGGCCTGGCCACCCCGTCTGTGAGGGGCTGTCAGGGGCTGCTGGAGGCTGGTGCCACTTCTCAGGGTGCATGGGACTGGTGGGGGTCATCTCAGGTGTGCCAGGTCACCCAAGGCACTGCCCAAGCTGACCCTGGGCTGGAGTCATCTCACCTTGCCATGGCCATGCCCAGGACCCAGCTCCTGGTGTCTGCAGGCGACACTCCTGTGTGCTCCCCACACAGCCTGTCCTCGTGAACTGAAGAACGCATGCAGGGGCGTCAGCATTGTCTTTATCATTCTTTGCACACTGTGGCGTGGCTGTTTTGCAACTGTTTCTATTCCTTTAGGGGTGTAGGGAGGCTGTGAAATGACAAGGTCAGGGTCTTCCTGGCTTGGAGTTGGCTCAGGTGTCAGCACCACCGGTGGCCTCAGCGGGCAGGTGGGGAGCTGGAACCTTTAGCCACAGTGGCTGGCCCTGGCCCTGCAGCTCAGGCCCTCTCTGCCACCCACCCCTGGGTCTGAACCCAAGAAGCAGCCTAGAGGAATTCCTCCTGTCCTTCTCTGCGCAACTTTGCAGATGTGGAAGAGACTCTGTGGCCGGGTGCAGTGCAGACTCTGGCCTCCAAGCCCACCCACTCTGCAGCCTCTTCCCATGTGGGTGCAGAGCCCTGCACGCCTCCCCTTCCACGCAGCCCTGCTGGGCTTCCCCATGTCCACACTCACTCATCCGGGACAGGAGGCAGCTGGGCCTCCAGACAGCCCCCTAGCAGGTGATGGCCTGAGGCTGGCTCCCAGGGCACCATGTTCACATGGCCCTGGATGGCGGGTGACCTGGGGGTGAAAGAGCGGAAATGAGGATGGGAGGATGACAGGTGGCCCCTGGGGAAGAGGCGTGTGTGGGGCCACTCAGCCCTGGCTGGAGGCTCTGCCTTACTGCGGGGATACAGCCTCGGCTGCTGCCTGTCAGCTGCTGCCTAAAGATTAATGTCAATTCTCTCCCTAAATAAAATAGTTTCTGCAAAAGTGCTTTTAAACTGTGACACACTTTCCACACCGGTGTGAGTTCTTCTCTGAGTGGCTTGTATGAAAGAGTGGGGACTCGAAGCCACTGCTTCTTCTCCACAGGCTCGGGGGTCTGTGGACATATTTGGACTCTCTGTGTCCGAATCCCCGGGATCTGTGGTCCTGCACACCCCAGATCCCCATCCGTGGTTCACACGTGCTCCAGGCAGGAAGGCCACACACATGAGCCTCTGCACACACAGGGATCCGTGGCCCTGCACGCCCCAGATCCCCATCCGTGGTTCACACGCGCTCCAGGCAGGAAGGCCACACACACGAGCCTCTGCACACACCATGCCAGCTCCCTGAACCTGCTGTGATCCCTGCCCAGCTTCCTCCTCCTCCTCCTTCTCACCTCTCCTTCCGTGTTCTGATGCTCAAACTCCGGGAGAACTGGTGTCTTCTGTCCAAAGATAACTTGACATGCAGCTTCAAGCTCAGTGTCAAGAAAATGGGTCTCCAGGTTCAGAGATTTTTATGTTGTTTATGACATCTGCTGTGAAGACACATTCAGCCGGATTCCAGGTGGTGTCACAGCTCACAGACAGAAAGGGGTGTGCAGTCTGGGCCCGCTGAAGGTCCTGGGGGTGCTGGTGGCAATCGTGACCGCAGGCACGTCTCTGGAGTTCCCACACATTTCCTGTCACCACTGTACTCAGAATCTTGTCTTCTCTTCCCGCCTGGACCATCTTTGGAAACCTGTCTGTGGTTGGGTCTTGCTGTCCGTGGCCACGCTGCCAGGAACCCTCAGCTGGGACATTCTAGTGGGCCGCCGGGCAGTGTGGCTTGGAGGTGTCCCCTGGAGGCCAGCCTGATGCCTGCCTTTCTAGGGGAGCAGCTCCCAGCAGGGAAGCTGAGCCTCAGAAGTGCTGGAAGCCTCCACGGTGCTGTGAGGTCATGGCTGCTGAGTCTGCCAGCTGCTTCTCCAGGAGGCGACCATGGTCTGTCCCCTGCTAATTGACTGCTTCATCGGGAAACGAGGTGGCAGAGGGACTTGGATGGGGAGTCACACTGAGGACCCGGCGCTGCCCTGAGAGAGTCTCTGGGCTTGACTCCTCCCCTAGGAAGAATTCCTGCAAGTGTGCGTTTCACAGAGAGAGGGCAAGGGAGGTGGATGGAGCACAGGAAGGAGAAACGCCAGGGAATCGTCAGCCACACTTAAAATGGTGACGCCTCCCCACCTGGATCATCAGCCACGTTTAAAACGATGATGCCTCACTGCCTGGGTCGGAAAGCCCTGGCCTCAGATCTGCACCTCTCTAGGCACCATGCCCCTCCTGAACCTTTCCTCTCCTGCTGCAGAAGCAGCAAAATGCAGAGTGAAGAGACTTTCCATGGCCTTGGAGAAAAATAACGGAACGTTTACCACCGTGCTGGCGTGGGCGTGTTAGAAGCCTCAGGAGGTGGCTGGCGGGAAGTGGGATGAGCGAGGGAATGAATGGCAGCCCCACTGTCCCTGGGGAGCGGTGGCTTCCCTGGGCTTGCTATCCACGCAGACGGGGTGACGGGACAGATTCATGGGATGAGCTTTGAAACCTCACTCCACGGGCCCCCATCTCACCTGGCACCCCTCAGCCAGGGTGGCTTCTCCCAGGAAGCACTCGGCTCATTTTAGATTGATTGGTTTAACCCCAGTCTCGTTTCAGTAGATCAGGAAGAACGTGGTTGCCCCGCCATCCTGAGGCAGCGCCTCCCCGTTCCCCTAGCCTGGCCCAGCCGATGGCTCCTCTCCCTCTTCCCAGCCACGCTGTCATGACTCTGGGAGAGCACAGGGAGAGAGCCAGGCAGTGAGCCCTGCGCTCCAGCCGTCCTGGCTGTGGTGTGGGGGGTGTGGAGGGCCTACTGGAGATACCACTGCTGGTGCCAGTGGCCGGGAGTCCAGTACCTGTGCAGTGGGCGAGCTGCCAGTGATGTTTCTAGAGGGAGCAGGGAGCTGCATCAGCCCTGCCGATCCCCCACCATGTGGGAAGCCCACCTCGGCCCCCTTGGCAGCTGTGACCTGGTGCCTGCCCAGAAAGCCTCAGCTTACTCCAACCTCAAAGCCTGTTAGGGGTTGTGGAGGAGGGTGGAGGGCCGGGCTAGGAATGGAAATGCGTGAGAGACTTTTCAGGGTCTACTGGATTTTTAAAATGCATGGCGACATTGTGGAGGTGCGTGCAGGAAAATAACGGTGGGTGTGGAGGGAAAATGGGACACCGGAGGAGGCGCGGGAGGACTGCCGGGATTCGACGGCTGGGCGGTCAGATGCGATGGGGACTGAACTTTTAAAATGAGAAAGAATGTATGAACGTTTGTGTAGTGATATTGAAGAGAACAAATCACTTTATGAATAAAAATAATGCTTCGTTCAGTGGCATATTTCCTGCCCAGTCTGTTTGCTGAAATTAAACATCCGCTGTCACCTGGAGCAAGTCTTCAGAAACCTTTGTTCTCCTGGCTCTGTGAGCAGATGCCTCTGTGCTGCTGGGGCTTCTCCTCCCGTGTCTGGGGACGGTGGGGAGGGCGCCTGGCACTGTGGAGACAGCAGGACCCTGAAGCCAGAGGTCTCTGTGGATCCCGGCTCCGCTGCGTCCAAGCTGGTGGGATCTTGGGTTTCGTCTGGATCTTCCCAGATGGGGTGGAAGAGCGTTCGGGCATCACGAGCTGGGTGCTGGCTGGTGTCTGCTGGGGTGGAGGAGACTGCGGGCAGTGTGAGCCTGTCTGGTGGGGTGGAGACTGCGGGCAACGCGAGCCTGGCGCTGGTGGGTGTCTGGTGGGGTGGAAGAGACTGCGGGCAGTGTGAGCCTGTCTGGTGGGGTGGAGACTGCGGGCAACGCGAGCCTGGGGCTGGTGGGTGTCTGGTGGGGTGGAGGAGACCGCGGGCAGCGTGAGGCTGTCTGGTGGGGTGGAGGAGACGGTGGGCAGCGTGAGCCTGGCGCTGGTGGGTGTCTGGTGGGGTGGAAGAGACTGCGGGCAGTGCGAGCCTGTCTGGTGGGGTGGAGGAGACCACGGGCAGCGCGAGGCTGTCTGGTGGGGTGGAGACTGCGGGCAACGCGAGCCTGGTGCTGGCGGGTGTCTGGTCGGGTGGAAGAGACTGCGGGCAGTGCGAGCCTGTCTGGTGGGGTGGAGGAGACCACGGGCAGTGCGAGCCTGTCTGGTGGGGTGGAGACTGCGGGCAACGTGAGCCTGGCGCTGGCGGGTGTCTGGTGGGGTGGAGGAGACTGCGGGCAGTGCGATCCTGGCGCTGGCGGGTGTTTGCTGTGCAGCTGCTGTCATCACCTGCGTCAGAAAGTGGAGGCAGTGGCGGACTCTGTGGGTAGTGTTTGTGAAGTTCTGGCGCTGTGTCCACCCTGGAATTGCACTCCAGGAAAAAGGCCGTGGTGCCTGGATGCCCTGGGAGCAAAGCCCTCCTAGTCACCCACTGTAGACACATGGGCTGCTGCATAGAACGTGGGGGACCATCTGGCCAGCCACAGCCCGAGACCAGTCACCCACCCCAGGCCCCTCTGAGCCTGGCTGTGCAGTACCTGCCTGCTGCTATGGGGCCTCTTCCGGCCTCCCCCGACCTCTCCCTACATGGTAGGTCAGCTCAAATCACACACAGCCACCCCATGCAACTGAGGGAGGAGAGGGTGGCAGCAGCCGGTGACTTCAGCCTGCCCTGTGCACTCTGCCTTGGCAGGTGCGGCATCGCCTCGGCAGGGCTCCCGTGTCCATGATGCTTCTGACAGAGGATGAGGGCTGCAGCCGCAGCATTTGCAAACCTGGAATGGGGGTGTCTTGAGAAGGGGAACCTGAAAGACTAAATCAACCCTAAGGAACACAAATGGGGCTCCTCAAGGGTCAAGAAGGCCGGGCAGCTCCCCTCCCGGCCCCTGTCCCAGTGGAACAACTTACAGAGGGGCCAGGGAAGACCCCCAGTGGCTTGGGTGCAGCCTTGGCCTGGGGCATGGAGCCTGGCTTTGTGGGACTGCAGTCCACCCAGCAAAGGTCTCTGCGGGCACCCTGGGCCCTCACCTGCAGGAACCCCCTTCATCATCCAGCCCAGTCCCTCGGTGGCCCATGGCCGATCAAGGCAGCCACATCCCTCGGGGCTGAACATGTGTGAGGCTGCTGAACTCCTCTGGAAAGGGTCGTCTGCCAGGAGCTCTCCCCGCCCTGCTTCCTTTACCTCCCACGGCGCGCCGCACACTCATTGTCTTCCCTTTTTCTCCCTTTGGGTCAAAACTGGCATTAAACTTTCTGTCCTTTTGATTCAAGTTTTAAAATTCTGAAATAATCCTCAGGCCATGCTGCTAATTCTAACTCCTGTATGCTTAAGTGTGAAATAATTACACGTTCCCTCCCGAACTCCCAAGCAGCCATTGTGTGAGCCCCGCGCTTCTGTGGGCTCTGTCGTGCGCCGTGCCTGGCGCTGCTGCGCGGAAATGTATTATCTCCTAATCGTTAGAGGCCCCTGCATTATTCTGTGTAATTAACTTGACATTATTTTGCTCAGAAATTTAATTCATTCTGGATCTTAGTTTCAAATAAAGATTTGCAGGATGCGTAATTGAGAAAATAACAAAACCACAACACAAACCCACAGCTGCTCCCCACACCGGTTCCCAGGTTCTTTAGCGGAGAGCAGAGTGGCTTTGTTTTCGGGGGTGACACTTGTGTATGTCTGTGCTTTTGCAGTGTGTGACGTTCCTCTGTATGACATTTGTGACTACAACGTCTCCAGGGACCGATGCCAGGAGCTCGGGTGCTGCTTCTACGAAGGCGTCTGCTACAAGAAAGCGGTTCCCAGTGAGTAGACGCCCCGGCCACCCCGTGGCGGAAGCCGAGGTAGCTGGTGACCATGCCGACCACTGCCCTGCCTGTCTCCCTTCCTCGGGGTCTCTGTTTGCTGGAAACACCTTTGTATTGTTCTCTGGCCAACTCTTCTGCTCCGTCTTAGTGGGGACAGTAGACTTGGAGTGGGGTTTGGGCTGGAGGGCCTGTGAATGTGACGTAAGCCACCATAGGGGTTCCATTCCCAGATGGGCTGAGCAGGGCATGGACGGGGACAAATGGAGGCCCCCTTCATGGAGGAATTTGGCCATTCTGGGTGGTTGCAGAGGCTGGATTTGGGGAAATAGTGCTGCAGAAACATGGGGCGCCGGCAGGGCCCGGGCCAGTGGCCGGGTGTGGGGTGAGCCCATCAGGGTGGAGCGGACCTTGTCCACCAGGGGCTCTGTGAGCTTGGCCCTGACTGGGGATTCCGTGGGCTGCTTCAACGTCAGACTAGAAGCCAGACCAGACGTGAGGATCTGCTGGAAGCCCCTCAAGCAGCACGGGGTGAAGTGAGGACAACAGGCAACCAGTGGGTGGGTAAGGGCGCCGGAGGCGTTGCCACTCCCCATCCCCGTGAAGGCTTCCGGAGGGAGGCGCGCCCTTCAGAGGACCATGGCTAGTTGTAAAATGTGTTCGAAGGGAGGTGGGAGAAGGTTAAGAAACCAGGATGGCCTGCGCGTGAAGGGCGTTGGGCTCCCACCTCCTCAGCATATTCTCGCCTGTGAGTGCACTGGCCTGCGCCGCTGAGGTCTTCTCATTTCCAAACCCTCATCAAGGTCCACGTGAAGCTTCATGTGTTTCCTTGTCCTGTGGAGGCCCCTTTTGGAAATGAGGGTAAAGGGGCTCTTTGTGCTGCGTGGGGAGGGGTGGACAGCAGCACGGAGGGGAGCAGCCTGCACAGCACGCCCTCGGGAGGGAACAGTGCAGCCCTTACCGGTGGAGATGATGGACGTGGCTGATGAGCTCTCACAGCTCTAGGCTTCCTTGGAGATGAGTTCCAAACCCTCCCTGTCCTAAGCCACTCTTTTCTCCACCCCCACCACCCCAAAGTGAGTAAAGGCCCCTGGCTTTGTGCAGCTCAGGGCCACTTCTTCTTCCTTTTACTTCTTTCTCCTGCATTTCCCGCTAGACTGAGCCTTCAGAGACCAGGCACCAGGTCCTCTTCGTTCCCTGTATCTAGTAGGGCTTAGAAAGTCGGGAAACGTTAGTGACTGATGGGAATGAGTGACTGATGGAAATTTCCAAGTAGTGACCTGCTGGTGGAACCTAGCACAAGCTTGGCTGCTCACCGCTTGCAAAGCCTGTAACAAATGAAGGGAAAGTGACTTTATTTCCAAAGCTAGCAGTGGGGAAGTGGCTGACTTGCGCTTCCAACTTTAGGCTGGGAAGAGGGGCTTAAAAAGAGGCACTCAGAATGGGAGGCACATGGGAGGGGTGCTTCTACAAGGTCTGAGGGTCTCGTTCCAGTGGCTGTCGCAAGCCACAGCCCACCTGGAGCGGGAGGTGTCATCATCTTGATGGCTGGTTGTAGACTCACCGCCTTCAGGTGATCTCTGGCATTTTGCAGCTGGTTCTCTATGCTTGGTCTATCTCAAGATGAGCCCCTAGAACTTGTAAGTAAGCCCATAATTAAATACCAGCACACAGTTAGATAAATGTGCATGGGGCTAGGGGGCGCGTGGTGAGAAAGGGAGACCATGGTGTTGCAAAGAAAGTACATTTCAAGGCTATATTTTAAGACTAAGGAGAACAAAAGTTTTTTGCAGTAAGCTTTCTGCATCGTGAGACTAGGGGAAGAAGAGAAAAAGGAAAAAAAAAGTTTTAAAACTCATTTTCAGGCTACACTGTTTGATTACGTGGGGACTGCCCAGTCCTACAGACGTAAAGCCTTAAGCCAGCTCCTCTGAGATGAAAGGGATATTCTGGGCACAAAATCAGTCAAGAAAGAAAGTGCTGATGGGATTCTGGCTTGCTCCAGAGAGGGTGTCTGTCCTGCTTCGTGGTGAGGATTTGGCACCTCATCAAAAGAAGATGAATTTTCGCTCCTCAGAGACAAATGAGAGGTCACAATGGATACCACTGATAGTTGGGAAGGTTTTCTGATGACGACGGCTCCTGCAGATCCTGGCTTTAGAGACTCGGGACCAGACCCCTCGCTGTCCCAGCCTCCACTTCCAGGAGCCTCTGGGATTCCCAGGATCTCACGCCTTCCTCTGACTACAGATAAAATCGGTTGGAAATTGCTTCAGCTATTATTTTTACCAAGATACTATACCATAAAATTCACCTTTTAAAGTATACAATTCAGTGGCTTTTAGTATATTCACAGTTGTACAGTCATCACCACTAACTCCAGAACATTTGTACCACTCCAGAAAGAACCCTCACGCCCATTAGCAGTCGTGTCCTATCCTTCCCTCTCTCTGGCCCCTGGCAGCCACTCATCTGTCTATGGACTTCCGTATTATGGACATTTCATATAAATGGAACCACATGATTTGTGGTTCTTTCACTCACGTAGTTCTCAAGGTTCGTTCGTGTTGTAGTAGCTATCAGTACTTCCTTTCTGTTTATTGCGGAGTCATTGTCCACTGTATAGGTATGCCGCATTTTGTTGACCCATCTATCGGTTTATAGACATGTGGGTTGTTTCCACTTTTTGGCTATTATAAATGATGCTGCTCAGAACATTTGTATATAGGTTTTTGTGCAAACATGTTTTTTATTCTCTTGGGTATATTCCTAGGGGTGGAATTGCTGGATCATATGTTAACTCTATGCTTAAATTTTTAGGGAACTTCCCAACTGTTTTGCAAGGTGGCTAGATCATTTTCCAGTCCAATCAGCAGCGTATGCGAGTTCCAATTTCTCCACATTCTTGCCAACACTTGTTGTGGTCCTTTTGTTTACAGCCATTGTAATGGGTGTGAAGTTGTATCTCATTGTGGTTTTGATTCATATTATTCTAATGAATAATGATGTTCACCATTGTTGCATTTTTTTTTTTTTTTTTTTTGGCTATTTGGATATCTTCTCTGGAAGAAAAGTCTATTCAAGTCCTTTGCCCAGTTTTAAATTGGGTTAATTGTCTTTTTATTATGGAGTTGTATGGGTTCTTTATATATTCTAGATATTAAACTCTTATTAGAAATGTGACTTGCAAATACTTTCTATTATTCTCTTACATGTCTTTTCTTTTTCTTGATAGTGTCCTTTGAAGCACAAATATTTTTAATTTTTATGAAGTCCATTTTATCCATTTTTCCTTTTGTTGCTTGTGCTTTGGTGTCACATCTAAGAAACCATTGCCTAATCCAAGGTTGCAAATATTTATACCTGTAATATCTTCTAAGAGTTTTATACTTATAACTCTTACATTTTGGTCTTTTTATCCTTTTTGAGTTAACTTTTGTATCTGGTGCAAGGAAGGTTTCCAACTTCATTATTTTGCATATGGATATTCAGTTGTCCCAGCATCATTTGTTGAGAAGATTCTTTTTCCCTGATTAAGTTGACACCCTTGTTGAGAATCAGTTGCCCATAAAAATGAGAGTTTATTTCTAGATTCTCAATTCTATTCTGTTCATCTATATGTCTATCCTTAGCCGGTGCCACAGTTTTGATTACTGTAGCTTTGCAGTAAATTTTGAAATCAGAATGTGTGAGTGCTTCAACTTTGTTCTTCTTTTTCAAGATTATTTTGGCTGTTATGGGTCCCTTGCATTTCCAGATCAAATTTAGCTTGTCAATTTCTGCAGAAAAGAGGTCCTTTGGCAATTTGATTGGGGTTGTGTTGAATCTGTATATAATTTGGGAAGTATTGCCATCTTAACACAATATTAAGTGTTCTGGTCCATGAACAGGGGTAGTCTTTCTATTTATTTCGGTCTTTAATTTTTTTCAATATTTTATAGTTTTCAGTGTACTGATCTTGAGCTTTTTAAATTAAATTTATTCCAAAGTATTTTACTGTTTTTAATGTTACTATAAATGGAATTGTTTTGTTCATTTTCAGATTGTCTATTGCCAGCATATAGAAATATAATTGATTTTTGTATGCTGATCTTGTATCTGGCAACCTTGTTGAACTTGCTCATTCTATTAGTTTTCTAGTTGATTCCTTAGGATTTTTTGCATACAAGATCATGGCATCTGAAAATATAGTTTTACTTCTTTTTTCCTAATCTGAATGCCTTTTAGTTCATTTTCTTGCCTAGTTTCTGACTAAAACCTCCAGTACAATGATGAATAGAACTAGGAAGAGCAGAAGCTTTGTCTTGTTCCTGATCTTAAGAAGAAACTTTCAGTGTTTCACCATTAAATACAGTGGTAACTGTGGGTTTTACTAGATGCCATGTATCTATTAATAGTAAATGCAAGATACAACTTGGAAACACACGAGTTGAGAAAGCTCCCTTCTCTTCCTGCTTTGTTGAGTGTTTTTATCATGAAAGGGTGTTGGATTTTTTTTTCAAATTCTTTTTCTGCATCTATTGAGCACCTTAATGGTGCTCTTTATTACTTCATGTGGATTTGACTTACTGTCTACTTTTCTTTCATTTCATCCTAAGAGACTCCCTTTGGTATTTCGTATAAAGAAGCTTTGCCAGAGATGAATATCCTGACTTTGTTTATCTGGAATGTCTTAATTTACCCTTCAATTTTGAAGCATAGAGTTGCTGTATATAAAATTGCTGGTTGATAGTCTTCCTGACAGCCCTTTGAATGTTTTATCTCATTGCCTTCTGGCCTGCATGGTTTCTGATGAGAAACTGCTGTAAATCTTAAGGCTCCTTTGTATATAATGTGTCACTTCTCTTATGCTGCTTTCAAGATTCTCTCTTTGTCTTTTGCAGTTTGCCAGGTGTCTGGGTGTGGATCTCTCTGAGTTTATCCTACTCAGAGTTCACTGAGCTTCTTGGATGTATAGATTAATGTTAACCAAACTTAGGAAGTTTTTACCATTATTTCTTCAAATATTCTTTCTGTTATCTTTCTCCTCTCCCTCTGGACTTTCATTATGTGTATTTGATAGACTTTATGGTATCCCACAGACCTCTAAGGCTGTATTAATTTTTCTTGGTTATATTTTCTTCCCTTCTGTTACTTAAACTGGATAACCTCATTGACCTATCTTCAAGTTTACTGATTGTTTTGCCTGCTCAAATCTGCTGTTGAGCATCTCCAGTGAATTTTCATTTCTGTTATTGTACTCTCAACTTCAGAATTTCTTTTTGGTCTTAATAATGTCTATATTTCTATTGATATCTTCTATTTGATGAATGTATTAGTCATTTTTTACACTGCTATAAAGAACTACCTAAGACCGGGTAATTTATAAAGGAAAGAGGTTTAATTGACTCACAGTTCTGCATGGCTAGGGAGGCCTCAGGAAACTTACAATCATGCCAGAAGGCAAAGGTGAAGCAAGACATGTCTTACGTGGCAGCAAGGTTGTGGGAAGGGAACTGCCAAACACTTTTAAACCATCGGATCTTGTGAGAACTCAGTATCATGAGACTATCATGGAGTAAACTGCCCCCATGAGCCAACCACCTCCCACCAGGTCCCTCGCTTGACATGTGAGAATTACAATTCGAGATGAGATTTGAGTGGGTCACAGAGCCAAATCATATCAATAAAATATTTTCCTTTTACTTTTATTTAGTTCCTTAGACATGATTTCTTCTAGTTCTTTGAATATGCTTAAAATGGTTGATTTAAAGTCTTTGTCAAGTAAGTCCAATGTCTGTGCTTCCTCAGTGATGATTTCTATTAATGGCATTTTTTATGTATATGGCCATACTTTCTCATTTCTTTGTATGTTTGACATTTTTCTTTCTTGAAAATTGGACATTTTAGGTAAGATAATATAGCACCTCTGAGAATCGGGTTCTTTCACCTCCCCAGGTTTTATTGTTGCTGCTGTTTGTTGTTGTGGTTGTTTGATG
This sequence comes from Homo sapiens, assembly GCF_000001405.40. NCBI lineage: Eukaryota > Metazoa > Chordata > Mammalia > Primates > Hominidae > Homo > Homo sapiens. The sequence continues at coordinate 111,334,272 of NC_000013.11, forward strand.
ACTTTCCTGAACTAACTCAGTAAAGTCTTTATTCTTTGTGGTGTGTGACCACTAAAAAGTCTTCTTGGGTAGCTACTAGACAAAAATTCCTTAGATGCCTGGAAACACAAGCCTCTCAGACTTTGCATAGGGGTTCTGTGTGCGTGCTGAGGCACACCTTCAACAAAGTCAGAATATTTCTAGCTCTGCCTTAGCTTTCACTTCCTGCTTATGCAGATCCTTAAGTCAGCCAGAAGTGAGGTCCCAGGGCCACCATAGGTCTTTCCTTGCAAAGCCCACAGCACTGGACATGTCCATGGCCCTCTAGATTCCCAGGAATGTGACAGAGCATTTCAGAGCTCTCTATGCACATCTCATTTCCCAGATTTTCATGCTAAGCTTGTTAGTTAGCCTCTTGTTTTCCCTCAACTGCTAACCAACACTTTAGCCAGTAAAACAATTTTCAGTTGCTTCTGATTATTTATAACAAATGCCTGGGGAAAAAGCTGTTCTCACCGAATGAGCTCAGATCAAATAAAGCTGATATTCCAAGGAAGCACCAGACAGATCAAATAATGACAACTCTCCGACGATGGGGCTTTGAAGGAGGTCCCACCCTGTTCTGCCCGCTGCAGTGGCTGCCAGGCTGCTGGCTTTACCATGATTACAGGCTGTTGATTTTCAAGCTACCATGGAGCTGGAGGGTGGGCAGGAGAGATGGGAACAGGGCTAGATAAAAGGTCCAAGCTTGCTCTTTTACTGAGATTCAGCTGTTTGCCTCAAACAAACAGATTTCTGCAAGCTTTTGGTTAATTTCCAGACTTCTGAAAAACTTTCCTCTGGTGATTTTTGCCAGTGTTCTCATTGTTTTTATGGAGGAAGAAATTGGCAGGGGGGTTCTCGCTCTGCTGTTTTTGCTGGTATCACCCTGAAAGTTAATTATGGGCTTTACTGAAGCCCTAGTCCGGTTGTACATAATCAGTTAGTGAGAGTTACAAGATGTAGTGCTTTTTCCCGAAGGAGTCCATTATCCTTCACCTGACTCACCTGTCTCATCGTAAAACCCATGCCCTTTAGCCAGAATCTTACTTGAGAGATCTTTTTGGGTTCCAGGCCTTCCAGTGTTGAACGGCCTCTCATATGGCTTCATTCCAGCAGCTCGTCCTCTGAGGCATGTGGCAGTACTCCTGAAGCCAAGCTCATGGCAGTGGGTGCTGACTTGGCCATGGTTTGCTGCATTGGCACTTGTCATCATCTTGTTTTTGTTGTGTGAAATTGAGGTTTGCTGCTCACGTTGCACATGCAGAGAGCAGCAGATGCTCACAGTCGTGCTCAGTTCATTTCCATCATAGAGTTGGACTTCTTACAGAACTCCAGTTTCCAAGGCACTTATACCACTTAGTTTTTCTGAGAAGTGTACCATGTAAGGCTCCTGAAAGTGGCAATCGTTAGCATCCAAAAGGTATTTAAGTTTATTCTTTCAATCTTCTCCATATAATGATTAGTGATCCCAATTTCCTCACATCCCAATGAAGCAGAGATCCAACCGTGTAAAGTGGTGTAAATGCATCACTCCAGGAAGATCACAGCGAGGAAGGGAACTCACGTCCAAGCTGCTACTGCCGCTGCTTTTGCCACCTCTCCCATCCCCTGAGCACCTTTTTATCTGTACCGTGCAGGTGCTGGCCTGTTTGTAAGTGTTGGCATGTATGTCGAACATGGCTTAAGTTAGAACAATCGCCGCATGCCTGTCATCCATTTTAAAAGTGAGCCTTAATCCCTATAGCAGCTTCATGACTGGTGTTATAAGGAACCCAGAAGAGAACACAAGCTCTCAAGAAAGTTTTTGACTTGGAGAGGGCTCACTGTTTTGCAAGGGGGTATATCATTTTTGCATGGAAGCAACCATTAAGTTCTTTCCATCATTCTAACTTTAACAGCTGGGTTGTGTGACTGTGCTTTTCTTGACTCCTGGTTTCTTTCGGGCCTGTAGGAAGAGCCTGGGCAGTGGGCCCTGCCTTGGGGCTCTCACTGTGCCCTCACATTACTTTTCATTTCTTTGACATCTTTCTCATTCAAAACGACGAATGAACCTTTGTGCTGTGCAAGTTGTAGTATTCAGTGACAGGGTATTATGAGCTCTTTGTGCACATAATTCCATGTTATGAAAACCTTTCACCAACTTCTTAAATTGGCTGGTTTGAAGTGCACATTGTGTTATGGCATAATCTGTATTATTAAGAATATGAATTGGGAATTAGCATTAGATCTTTCAGAAAGAATTGGGAATTCAAAGAGAAAGACTTGCCTTCATTCTTCAGTCTTGATTTAGGGTATGTTATTTAACATGTCATTTCTTCCAAGTATCTGACTTCAGTTTCTTCATGGGACTTGCTGAGATGATTTCAAAACTTTTGTTTAACTATATTTTGGGAACATTTACCAAGACGTTTCTTAAAGAAAATAATCCTTTCTTCAATTGCTGCTGTTCTGAAAGATAAACCAGACTTTGTGGTTTATGATAAGCCAAAGATATGGTCTGTAATAAATAGTGTTGCTAGACAGACACTGTACGGAGCGCATCATTGAGGTTGAGTCTCCATCTTTAGGAGCTTGGCATCAACGACAAAGAACGTGAGCACGTAGGAAGATACGGGAGATGTACTGACGGTGAAATACTAAGACGCTGACTAATATGTGTGTCTCTTTAACAGGACTTCACTCACATAATTTTGAATTTATTCCATGAGCCAAGACACAAATTCATACTAAGGAATAAAACATTTCCTGGAGTTCAAGAATTTCAGGGTTACCTTCTTGCCTCATGAACGCTCTTAATTCACCCTTTCACTTTATTTGTGCATTTCAATTCGATCGATTCTGTTTGTTGAACAGCATTTAAGTGCAGATTCTCTGGGCAAGCTCTAGGCTACCTCTCAGATCCATCCTCTATTGCTGTGTGACAAATTACCCCAAAACTTAGTGGCTTAAAGCAACTTAGAGGCTTTGCTGGGTGGGTTGGGTTTGGCTGTCTCATGAGATTGTGGTCAAGATGCCAAGTGAGGCTGCAGTCACCTGAAATCTTGGCGTCCCAGATGATTCACTTTGCTGGGAAGTTGATACCAGATGTTATAGGAAGATGACTCACTTTGCTGGGAAGTTGGTACCAGATGTTATAGGAGGCCTCTTCTCCTCGCATGAGGGCTGCAGTCTTTCCCAGAGCAACTGGCCCAAGAGAGATCAGGGCAGAAGCTGCAATGTCTTTTTTACCTGGTCTCGGGGGTTAGACTCTGGCATCTCCTTTGGCTCCAGGGATCAGCGTTGTTCAGTGTGGGAACATCTATCTAGGGTGTAAATACCAGGAGGTGAGAATCGGGAGGCCATCCTGGAAGCTGGTTATGGTAGCCCCGGATATTTGGAGGTGAGTCTGCCCCACTGTTTCCCCTCCTCAGGTAAGCAAGTTTCCACGGGACAGTCCTCACTTAAAGAAATAAGGCAGCTGATTGGAAGAATGTTTGACAAGCAGTTTCCCAGTGTGCTCCTCGGTACATGCACATTCCTGTTATCTGACAGCTTGCAACCCCAAGCCTCGCTCCCTTCCTCCAGCCTCTCTGTGAGGAACTCTTATCGAGCGCCCATTGGGTACTTCACCATTCCTTACTGAGGTCACCTCGGTATGAGGAAAATCGAGGATGTGGGTTACCCTCACAAGCTGGCTTCAATCCCCTCTCAGTTTTCTGACTTCAGTCCCCATGGAAAGAATCCTGGGCACCTCATCCATTGCTGGTGGCCCTGTGATGAGTCCAGGGAGTGCGGATCCCTTCGGAAGCTGGCTCATGTGCCCAGGAGGCCACTTTCTCTGCACCTGCGGCCTTGCTTCTGGGGTGGGTTGAATTGTGTACACCCAATGCATATGTTGAAGTTTAGATCCCTGGTACCTGTGAATGTGACCTAATTTAGAAAAAAGGGTCTTTGCAGGTGTAATTAGGTAAGATGAGATCATAGTGGAGTAGAGTGAGCCCTCCATCCAAAATGGCTGGTGTCCTTGTAAAAAGAGAAGAGACACAGAGACAGAGGAAAGACAGCCACGTGACAATAGGGGCAGAGACTGCTGTGATGCTAGGAGGAAGCCAGGGAGGACCCTTCCCGGGAGCCTTTGAAAAGAACACGGCCCTGCTGACAGTTTGTTCTTGGACTTCTGGCCTCCAGAACCATGAGATGATCAATTTCTATTGTTTTAAGCCCCCCAGTGCATGGTACTTTCTTACAGCATCCCTGGCAAACTGACACACCATCCAGGGAAATTACATCTGATGGTGTTGTTACTGCTTCACGACTTGGAAGCAGTTTAGCAGGAGGGGAGGTATGGGAATTGAAGCAAATCGTGTCACCTGCACTTGATATTTGCAAGTCAGCCAGTTTCTTTGAGAGAGTAAGAAAGCAATTAGAGAAGAGACTAATATTGATAATAATAACAACAATAAGAATTACTCTGTATATGTGATTAGCCAACCACTTAAGAACTTTACTTGCATTCATTAAAAAATTCCTTACATCAACCTGACGGAAGGAACATAGAAGAACAAACAGTAGATGAGGATATTATTTGACCAAGGACTCTGAGAGGAATGATGCTCGTGTACAAATGTTAGGACTTGAGGGGTCCAAGTCCTGAACCAATGAGCCGACGGAGATCCAGATATCAGCCCTCGGTGCTGGGCGGTGCTGCGCCCCTCAGGCCTCTTGCACAGACAGGGCCCTGCCTGCTGAGCAGTGGGCAGTCTCTCAGAAAGAGGCTCAGGAGGGGGCTGAGCAGTTCCTCCTCCCAGTTACCCCCGTCTTGGAGAGGCTGGGAGTGCACTCACGCAGGGAAACCCAGGGTGGCGGGGCTGCCCCTCGTGGCCACCTGGGGAGGCTTGACTTTTGCTGAGGCTGGGTTGGAGAAGGCACGGGAAACTTGGGGATTGCAGGAACCCCTTTTAATACAAGGAAGCCCAGTCAAGGATTTGTCTATGATCCAATAAGTGTTTTCCTTGTATTCAGTTTAGGGGAGGAATTGACCTGGGCATTGAGGAGCCATTTCCAGGGAGCTGGGGAGCACAGCAGGAACAGAGGGGCCAGCGCCATCTCTCCACGCACCCCCAGGGGTCAGGAGCCAGCACCATCTATCCTCCACACACTCCCGAGGGTCAGGAGCCAGCGCCATCTCTCAGCACAACCCCGTGGGTCAGGAGCCAGCGCCGTCTCTCAATGCACCCCCGGGGGTCATGAGCCAGCGCCATCTTTCCATGCACTCCCGGGGGTCAGGACCCAGTGCCGTCTCTCCATGCACTCCCGGGGGTCAGGGTGGTCACAAGGTGTCCTCTGGGTGGCACTGACTACCACCTGGAGCTGCCTTTCACAGGGAGCCCTCGCCTGCCTGCGGGGGCCTTTGGAGATGTCCACAGAGCTGAGTCTCCAGGAGACGCTGGGGAGGGTGGGTGAGGAGTGCTGACCATGGGCAGCCGCGCCGGGAGGGCCCGCACCCGACTCTGGGAGGGTTGCCTTTTCTTCATCTTCTTCCTTTTCTATTTACCTGGATCGAAATGACTTCAAATCCCACCATTTTTCAGTTTACATCCACGTGTTCTCTGCCTTGATTGTGATCATCGCTGGGGCCTTCGTCATCACCATCATCTACAGGTCGGTCCCTTTGTTCTTTACTGGGAGGGTGGGGAGGAGGGGACTCACCTCTCCTGGCCGCAGCTTCCTGCCTGCCTGGGCTCCTTCGGGCTTGGTGCTGCTGGGGTGACTGAGAACAGCTCTCCGTGAGCCTGGGAAAGGGAACTGGCCAGGCTCACGGAGGGCCCCACTGATTTTCTCCAGAGTGCTTGTTGATGAAAATCATAACCCATGTTTAGTGAGCACCTGTGCTTGTTGATGAAAATCATAACCCATGTTTAGTGAGCACCTGTGCTTGTTGATGAAAATCATAACCCATGTTTAGTGAGCACCTGTGCTTGTTGATGAAAATCATAACCCGTGTTTAGTGAGCACCTGTGCTTGTTGATGAAAATCATAACCCGTGTTTAGTGAGCACCTGTGCTTGTTGATGAAAATCATAACCCGTGTTTAGTGAGCACCTGTGCTTGTTGATGAAAATCATAACCCGTGTTTAGTGAGCACCTGTGCTTGTTGATGAACATCATAACCCGTGTTTAGTGAGCACCTGTGCTTGTTGATGAAAATCATAACCCGTGTTTAGTGAGCACCTGTGCTTGTTGATGAACATCATAACCCGTGTTTAGTGAGCACCTGTGCTTGTTGATGAACATCATAACCCGTGTTTAGTGAGCACCTGTGCTTGTTGATGAAAATCATAACCCGTGTTTAGTGAGCACCTGTGCTTGTTGATGAACATCATAACCCGTGTTTAGTGAGCACCTGTGCTTGTTGATGAACATCATAACCCGTGTTTAGTGAGCACCTGTGCTTGTTGATGAAAATCATAACCCGTGTTTAGTGAGCACCTGTGCTTGTTGATGAAAATCATAACCCGTGTTTAGTGAGCACCTGTGCTTGTTGATGAAAATCATAACCCGTGTTTAGTGAGCACCTGTGCTTGTTGATGAAAATCATAACCCGTGTTTAGTGAGCATCTGTGCTTGTTGATGAAAATCATAACCCGTGTTTAGTGAGCACCTGTGCTTGTTGATGAAAATCATAACCCGTGTTTAGTGAGCACCTGTGCTTGTTGATGAAAATAATAACCCGTGTTTAGTGAGCACCTGTGCTTGTTGATGAAAATCATAACCCGTGTTTAGTGAGCACCTGTGCTTGTTGATGAAAATCATAACCCCTGTTTAGTGAGCACCTGTGCTTGTTGATGAAAATCATAACCCGTGTTTAGTGAGCACCTGTGCTTGTTGATGAAAATCATAACCCGTGTTTAGTGAGCACCTGTGCTTGTTGATGAACATCATAACCCGTGTTTAGTGAGCACCTGTGCTTGTTGATGAACATCATAACCCGTGTTTAGTGAGCACCTGTGCTTGTTGATGAACATCATAACCCGTGTTTAGTGAGCACCTGTGCTTGTTGATGAACATCATAACCCATGTTTAGTGAGCACCTGTGCTTGTTGATGAAAATCATAACCCGTGTTTAGTGAGCACCTGTGCTTGTTGATGAAAATCATAACCCGTGTTTAGTGAGCACCTGTGCTTGTTGATGAAAATCATAACCCGTGTTTAGTGAGCACCTGTGCTTGTTGATGAAAATCATAACCCGTGTTTAGTGAGCACCTGTGCTTGTTGATGAAAATCATAACCCGTGTTTAGTGAGCACCTGTGCTTGTTGATGAAAATCATAACCCGTGTTTAGTGAGCACCTGTGCTTGTTGATGAAAATCATAACCCGTGTTTAGTGAGCACCTGTGCTTGTTGATGAAAATCATAACCCGTGTTTAGTGAGCACCTGTGCTTGTTGATGAAAATCATAACCCGTGTTTAGTGAGCACCTGTGCTTGTTGATGAACATCATAACCCGTGTTTAGTGAGCACCTAAGACTCTTAAGAGCTCTGCTCAGCCTTTTCAGCCCTTGAAGCCACTGACGATGTAAGTGAACTTACTGTCCCCGGACTGGGATGATTGACGCAGCATCGAGGGGGTCCCGAGGCTGATGGATGGGGCAGTGAGGCTCTAACTCAGGCTCCCAGTTGTCTCAGAGTCCCTGAACCCAAGGCTGCCTGCATCTCTTGGCCTGTGGCCTGCGTCCTCATTGCAGGGTGTCAGGGTTTGGAGGTGTCTCAGAGATGAGTCCACTCCCTCTCATTTTAATGGTGAGGAAATGCAGACCCGGGGGGCCAAGGAAGCAGGTGGCTATTCCCAGGGCAGGGCTGGAATCCAGCATCTCACTCCCCGGCCACCACCTTCACCATGAGCCCACTCTGTGTGCATACAAGCCCCTGAGATTATTTGAGTCTCTTTGTCCAGGAATGAGTAAAGCCATTTTCCTACCATGAGTGGTGCTGTATGCTGTCTTATGTGTGTTAATCATGAAGATGAGCCGGCAGTAGCCTGCAGTGCAACACACACCTTCCCCCTGCCCGGAGCTGTCTTTGGGAGTCTAGCTGCCTCATACAGCCATCTGTTTGGAGCCTGCACAAGAAACTAAAATGAGGCTGGATGTGGTGGCTCATACTTGTAATCTCCCAGCACTTTGGGAGGCTGAGGTGGGAGGATTACTTGAGCCCGGGAGTTGGAGGCTGCAGTGAGCCGTGTTTGTGCCATTGCACTCCAGCCTGGATGACAGATCAAAACTGTCTCAAAAAAAAAAAAAAAAAAAAGAGAGAGAGAAAGAAACGAAAATGAGAACTATTACATCAAAGCATTTACCTTAAAAAATAAGTATGCATGATCAGGAACCTGTGTTTTCAGAGGGATGTCCTGGTGGGTGGGAGGGAGGAACTGGAGAGTTTTCCATCTGTAACTTCCCTGACTGTGATAAAACCCTCTTCCCATCAGAGTCATTCAGGAGAGCAGGAAAGAAAAGGCCATCCCTGTGGATGTCGCGCTGCCACAGAAGTCCAGCGAAAAGGCGGAGTTGGCCTCATCCAGCAGCAAGTTAGGGCTGAAGCCTGCGAGTCCTGGGCCTCCAAGTGCTGGGCCCTCGATGAAGAGTGACGAGGATAAGGATGATGGTGAGAAGCTTCTGGAATGATCCTCAGCCTAAGGTCAAGGGCGTGGCTCTGTTCCCTCGGGAGACCTTCCCTGGGAAGGGGCTCAACATCTACACAGGCCCTTCAACCTCAGTGATCAGTGTTGCAGTTTGTTCAAAATTGTAATGTACCCAACATTGGAGGTTCAGGTTTGCAGGGTGGATGTGGCTGTCAGTGTGAGTTTCCTTCTGTGAGTCTTGTCCTCCCCCTTCCCATCCCCTTTTGCCTCCCTGTCATTTCACCCTCTGGCGGGGCCCTCATTGTTAGTGTGGGAAGCTCCTGGGGAGGGGGCAAGAGTCCTGCAGAAACTGCACATTTGATCAGGTGACTTCCTGTGGGGAGGCTGCAGGGCTGCCATGGGTACTCTCTGTGGCACCCTGGCCACGTGGTGGTCTTGGTTGTGCAGGGAGGCTGCCAGGCTGCTGTGGGTATTCTCTGTGGTGCCCTGGCCGCCTGGTGGTCGTGGATGTGCGGGGAGGCTGCAGGGCTGCTGTGGGTACTCTTTGTGGTGCCCTGGCCACGTGGTGGTCGTGGTTGGAGAGGTGGACGATCACTCTATGCCTGCTTCGGTTTCCAGGAAGGAAAGTTTCTCATATGTTGGTTTACCTGCTTTGGGGGCCCTTGGAGGTTGCCGGTTGCTTTTCCTAGATCAGCACCTTGCCAGGTTAGAGAAAGAAACATCTCAAATGGTAATCCTTATCTTCAGAGATGTTTGTACAGGATACAAACGGCCTGGCCTTACCCATTGTTACCAAATAGACTTGGCTTTACAGGGACCATCAGGAAAATCAGGAGGCAGGGTAAGAGGGCAACCCACACTTGATTTCAGATCTGGAATGCCTGGCCCCTAACTGAGGCTGCGTCTGTGCAAATGAGGCTTTCCTGCAGGACAGATGTTTGCCTGGTTAAGGGAGCCTCCTGTGTAGAGAGATGATGTGGGAGGAAGAGTGTTTTACTGTCCCCTAGAATGCAATGAGAAACATAGGAGGATACGGCCATCCCCAAAACTGGCTTTTGAATCAATCATTGCCAATCAGACACCATGTAGATGGGTTCAAAGATCCTGATGAAATCTTTTCGGGACTGCTGAATATTCCATTTGAAAAAACAATTCTTCTTTTCTAAAAATCTAGTAACAGGGACAATAACAGAAGCCGAAGAAACTGAGGACTGACTGAGACGCATGAAGAAGTGGAGATTGTCAGAATTATCCAAATGAAATGGTACAGCAGGTGCACTGTTAACAGTGTGATGGAATGACCACCCAAAGAGAAAAAAATAAAGGTATTTTGAAAATTGCTTCTCGTCCGATGTTGCTTATTCATTGCTATATTTTTATCTTAGGAGAGAGAAAGCCTGTGGGGTAGGAGAGTGGGAACCTGAACTTTCAGTTTTTAATGGCACTGCTTGTCACTAATATTAACACTATGGGGGCTCACAGCATGGGCTCAAGGTGGTGTCCTCGAGGTCTTCTTTTCAGAAGGCAGGCTGCACTTTCACCAAGAGTGGGCTGCCACACAGACACAGGCGGTTCAAGACTCTGGCATTTGGCTTTGCTAGGACTCAGCCGTGCTGCGAGGGAGGAGCAGCGTCTGGATCTGGATCTGAGAGGCCCCAAAGCATAGGCCGTAGCTGCCTGAGAGCCCCTCATGCAAGGCAGTGCGCTCAGTCCCAGAGTGGCCGACAGATGCTCACAGGCACGCGCAGGCCGGCCCAGGGCAGCCCACGGATCTTGGAGGCTCCGTTTTCTCACCTCAAAAATATGCATTCTACCCAGGAACTGTGGCCCTTATGTCCATGCATTGCAGCTTTAAGAAAGGATAATAAACAATCCAGATAGACCAGACGCATCCTGCTCCAAGGATTATTTAGATGAGAAATCAGTTTGCGTGAGCCCCTGGAAGCCCCTCGTCTGCTTTCTGGCTGGTAAACCTTGTCAGCTGCTCATGGGCTTGGCCCAGCGTCTGCACTGCTCTAGGGCTTCCTGCAGGGGGAGGTTATGGGCCTGCTGTTAGCCTCTTTCTGCTCACGGGCACTGACTGGCTGGCCTTAGGCCAGTCGGGCTCTTGTATTGGTGTAGATCAGGTGTCAGCACACTTTTTGTAAAGAGCCAGAGAGCTGGTATTTCAGGCTTTCAGTTCCGTAAGGTCCCTCCGCTGCTTGGCTCTGCGGCTGTAGCGTGAAGGCAGACACCGACGATGCCTCCAGGAAGGACGTGGCCTTGCTCCAAAAAGACTTTCTTATGGAAGCCAGTGACGGGCTGGACGCTGCCTACAAGCTGTAGTCGGTAAACCCCCAGGCTAGAGATGTTAGAAATGTGTTTTGGGGCCAGGCGTGGTGGCTCGCGCCTGTGATCCTAGCACTTTGGGAGGCTGAGGCGGGTGGATCACCTGAGGTCAGGAGTTCGGGACCAGCCTGGCCAACATGGCAAACCCCGTCTCTACTAAAAATACAAAAATTAGCTGGGCATGGTGGCACGTGCCTGTAATCCCAGCTACACAAGAAGCTGAGGCAGGTGAATTGCTTGAACCTGGGGGGCAGAGGTTGCAGTGAGCTGAGATCATGCCACTTCACTCCAGCCTGGGCGAGAGTCCATCAGAAAAAAAAAAAAAAAAAAAAGAGAGAAAGAAAGAAAAAAAAAAAGAAAAAAATGTGTTTTGGAGGTCAGTCACCTGGGATCTGAGCACTCCTTAGACTGTCTTCAAATAAAGCCTTGGCCAATGACTGGGAATGGGTTTTGGCAAGAACCTAGAGCTGTGCAGATGGGGCTCAGCGGCCCTAACTGGCAGAGTCTCTTTGCACGATGTTTCCAGCGTGGCCCGGACCATCCCTTGCAGAGGTGAGGCAGAATGGATGACCCCACAAAATAACACTAAAAGCCAGGTTTGGCCGGAGGCACGCCTACTTCTTAGCTTTCATCCTCAGGAGGAAGCGGCACACAGAGCGGCCTCCCGGCAGCCACGCTTTCTGGGCAGCTGGGTCTTTGCTGCCTGTGGCTCCTTTGGTGACTCCTCAGTCACTAGAGAGCAAGTTACTGGTGGAACACGTCCACCTTTGTGGGCCCCTTTGCTGAAGCCCTCAACCCTGCCCCCTTCCCTGAAAACAATCAAGATCCAGCCTGAAAAAAGTGCCAGGTTATTGGTGGACTGGATGCTCGTCAGAGACGTTAGGGGTCACCTGGGGCCTCCGGTTTGGGAAGCCCCTGTGACTCACTAGGGTGTGGGTCGGGGGAAGGGCTTCCCCATGTGTGGTTTGGGGACTGGCCTTGCTAAGGGCAGTGGGGTAGGGAATGAAGGAAGGGAAGCAGTTCAGTGTGTAGCTGGGAAGAGGACCGGGCCCTGGGGACTGCTCCGGCCAGGGCCCCCCAGGAGAAGGGCCAGAACTCCTAAGTACAAGTGAGGCCGGTGGGCACGTGGCCCCATCAGGGACAGCCAGCCATGGCCCGGATGTGTGACAACCCTGCACAGGCCGGGGCCTCTGCCCTCGCGCAGTTGGTGCCCTGCTGAGCGAGGCGAAGGCCAGACAGAGCTGCCAAGGAAGCGCTTCCCAGGCAGTGGCTTCTCACAGAACCCCTGGCCGGCAGCCACGGGCACAGCTAGTCGTGGCCAAGCTCAGAGTCAGTTTGGGAGAGGACAACCCAAAGACACAAACAAGCAGGCATGGTTTGTTGCGGTCACCAGATAGGCTGCCATAGCCATAAAATGTGTCTCTTGGTTAGAGGTGACTTCGCTGGTGTCAGCAGAAGTACTGTGAGCAGGGAAGGCAAATACACACCTGGGATATTGTCTATGGCTGCGAAGATTCAGTGTTGTTCCTTTCATGATGGAAGGGCCCAATGTACTCAACCTGCTAACGGGTGGTATCTGCCTACCCTGAAAAGTGGTGCCACATTGGTCTCTGTTGTTGGGAAAGGTAGGCAGTCGACTGATCAGCCCTGGTCAGAGGAAGGTCGGGCCATTGAGCCCATGCACAGCCTTTATCCCTGCTGCTGCAGCCGCTCTGTGCATGAGCCCTTCCAGCAAGCCTCAGGGTAGCCGAGGAAGGGCTAGTTGACATTCACGGGATATCAGATTGTCCATATAATTATTAAATGCCTGCCGGCAGTGGACATCTTGTGGTGGACATAGGTTCTGAGAAGTTCACACACGTGTTTCTCACTTTGACCCCTGATAGAGTTTGGATCCTTGTCCTCACCCAAATCTCATGTTGAAATGTGATACCCAGCGTTGGAGTTGTGGGACCTGCTGGGTGGTGGGTGGATCATGGCGGCAGATCCCTCATGAGCAGCTTGAGCCATCCTCTTGGTGACAAGTGAGCTCTCTCTCTGAGCTCACAAGAAATCTGGTCGTTTAAAAGTCTGAGGCACCTCCCCCAACACCCTCCCTCCTGCTTCTGCTTTCATCATGTGATGTGCCTGCTCCGCTCCCGCTTCTCTTTCTGCCATGATTGGAAGCTTCCTGAGGCCTCACCTCAGGAAGCTGAGCAGATGCTGGTACCATCCCTTTGCAGCCTGCAGAACCGTGAACCAACTGAACTTCTTTTCCTTATGTTACCAGTCTCAGGAGTTCTTTGTAGCGGTGCAAGAACAGCCTAATACAACCCCCTTGACACTAATTTCCCAGTCTTATTCTCTTCAAGCCCATGGCCAGCTGGTCAACCCATGAGCCACTGCCCACAAGTTGATGTGAATCAGCACCCCAGGGCGTGTCTTATTCCATAGAAAGTGGATGGTGGATCATGCCACACAGTTTGCTCACTGGGAGGGTCTCCTTTCATTACTGGGTTTCGTGTGAGGCCACAGCACAGGATCTGCCTACTTGCTGCAGTGCTGGGGTAGTGTGCAGGTCCACCCACGAACCTACACTTGCAAGAACTGGTTTCTACCGGACCCTAATAGCAAGCCCAGAGCTGCTTTTGGAAAGGAGATTTGCCAACAGAAGAGGGGATAACCTAACTCAAATCTTCAGAGATTTGTGCAATGATTCTCCTATTAGAACTTGCCAGATGGGTCCCTACAGTTTCTCAGTATGATTCAGACTATTCTCGAGGTCTTAGGCCTCCAGGACAATGCAGGACAATGCAAAAGACTTGGCCTTGTCCTGAATAAGGTGATTGTATAATTTACAATCCAAACCTGGATTTTGAAAGTGAAAGGAAGTGCTACTGATAATTCTGCCAGAACAACAGGTGTACCTGGGCCTTGGCAACGAAGCAACTCATCAAAGGCACATTGCCGTTGCTGCTACATGAAGGCAGTTTCTTATTTTTCTTTATGGATGCACTGGAATAAAATATTTTTCAAGTTGACAGCTGCAAACTGGTTGCATACCAGCTGATTTATTCTAGTAAAGGTAAATGTGTAATTGCACCTGCCACTGTCATCAACACCTCACTAAATCTGCGCGATTTACTGTTGCTCTCCAAGGCCCATGTGGCTGTTGTACTTGCTAAACAGGTGAGTTAGGTGAAGAGTGTGGCAGGAATCATCACTATATTCGTCCATTTTCACACTGCTATAAAGAACTACCTGAGACTGGGTAATTTATGAAGAAAAGGATTTAATTGACTCATAGTTCCACAGGCTTAATGGGATGCATGACTGGGAGGCCTCAGGAAACTTACAATCATGGAGGAAGGGGAAGGGGAAGCAAAGACCTTCTTTACATGGTGGCAGGAGAGAGAGAGAGAGAAAAAGAGACTGAGAGAGAGAAGAGGGAAATGCCACACACTTTTAAACCATCAGATCTCATGAGAACTCACTGTCACAAGAACAGCAAGGGGGAAATCTGCCCCCATAATCCAGTCACCTCCCACCAGGACCCTCCTCCAATTTGACATGAGATTTGGGTGGGGACACAAATCCAAACTGTATCAATCACCCAGGCACCAGGTCTTTAGTGGAGGCACTAATATTTGAAGTCTCTTTGGGATAGGATACCACTTTTTCTTCTTAACAACTTTATTGAGGTATTATGGGCCTATACCAAAGCGCACATATCTAAAGTGTACAATTCTGTAAGTTTTGGCGTATGAATACACCCATGAAATCATCACTACAATCAAGTTAATGAACACATCCATCACTCAAAAGTTGAGTCAGGCTCCTTTGTGATCTCTCACACCCGCCCTTCTTCACCCTTCCTGTCGTGCCCAGCAACCATGGATCTGCTCATTGACACCAGAGATTAGTTTTTATTTTCTATAAATTGAATCATACAGTATGTATTCTTTTTTGTCTGATTTCTTTCACTTAGCATAGGTATTTTGACATTCAGCCATGTTGATGTGTTTATCAATGGTGCATTGCTTTTTACTGCTGAGTAGTATTCCTTCATGCATATACCACATTTGTTTATTCAGTCACTTGGTGATTGACATTTAGATTATTTCCAGTTTTTGCTTATTACAGATAAATCTTCCATGAATATTCACATACAAGTTTTGTGTGGACATATGCTTTCATTTGTTTTGGGTAAATACTTAGTGAAATGGCTGGTCCACATGGTAGATGTATTTTTATTTTATTTTATTTTATTTGAGATGGAGTCTCACTCTGTCACCAGGCTGGAGTGCAGTGGTGTGATCTCAGCTCACTGCAACCTCCTCCTCCCGGTTTCAAGCAATTCTCCTGCCTTAGCCTCCCAAGTAGCTGGGACTACAGGTGTGCACCACCATGCCCAGCTAATTTTTGTATTTTTGGTAGAGACGTGGTTTCACCATGTTGGCCAGGATGGTCTTGATCTCCTGACCTCGTGATCCACCCACCTCAGCTTCCCAAAGTGCTGGGATTACAGGCATGAGCCACCACGCCCGGTCGTATATTTAACTTTTGAAGAAACTGACAACCTGTTTTCCATTTGCAATTCCTACCAGCAGCTGAGAGTTCCAGTTGCTCCACATCCTTGCTGAGATTTGGTCTGGTCAGTCTTTTTAATGTTAATTATTTTAACGGGTGTGCGCTATCATCACATTGTGATTTTAATTTGAAGTTCCCTAATTACTAATGATATCAAACTTATTATGTGGATATATCGAACTTATTATGTGGATATAGTTTGTTTGCTTTTTTATTTTTTGAGATGGAGTCTCGCTCTTTTGCCCAGTATGGAGTGCAGTGGCACTGTCTCGGCTCACTGCAAGCTCTGCCTCCCGGGTTCATGCCATTCTTCTGCCTCAGCCTTCTGAGTAGCTGCCACTACAGGCACCCGCCACCACACCCAGATAATTTTTTGTATTTTTAGTAGAGATGGGGTTTCACTGTGTTAGCCAGGATGGTCTCAATCTTCTGACCTCGTGATCCACCCACCTCGGCCTCCCAAATTGCTGGGATTACAGGCGTGAGCCACCATGCCCGGCCGCTTGTTTGTTTGTATTAGTAAAGTGTCTATTAAAATCTTTTGCCTATTTTTTATTGAGCTGTTTTCTTATTATTGAGTTTTGAGAATTCTGTACATATTTAAGTACAAGTCATTTTTTTCAGGCAAACGACTTGCAAGTATTTTTTTTCTCAGTATGTACCTTGTGTTTTCATTCTCTTAACAGTGTTTTCCAAAGAGATGTTCAAAATTTGGATGAAATCCAATATACTCATTTTTCATTTTATAGATCATGATTTTCTGTCTCTCACTCTCTCATAGTCTAAGAGGACTTTTCTGAATCCAAGGTCATAAAGATGTTGTGCTTTGTTTAATTCTAGATATTTTATAGTTTTGCATTTTATATTTAGGTCTATGATTCATCTTGAGTTAATTTGTCCATCAGCTACAAGGTGTGGATTGAAATACAAATTTTGGATGTGGATATCCAGTTGTTCTGACACTATTGAGAAGTCCATTCTTTCTTCACTGAATTCCTTCTGCACCTGTGTTGGAAATCACTTGACCATATATATGTGGGTTTATTTCTGGACGCTATTAGGTTTCATTATTTTGTCTCTATCTTGATGATGCCGTCTTGCATTCTCTTATTACTGTAGCTTCGTGATAAATCTCAAAGTCAGGTAGTATAAGTCTTTGTGAATGTTTTTCAAAGGGCTTTTGGCTACTCAAGGTTTTTGCATTTTCATATGACATTTAGAATCAGTTTGTCTGTCTTGACAAAAAGCCTGCTGAGATTTTGATTCAGTTTGCATTTAATTGATTGCATTGTGCATTGATTTGGGGAGAAATGGCATCTCAACAATACCAAGTCTTCCAATCTATGAATACAACATAGCCCATTTATTTAGATCCTCTTTAACTTGTCTCAGCAATGTTTTATAGCTTTCAGTGTATATATCTTGAACATTTATTTGTACATACATTTTATATTTTGATGCTATTATAAATTGTATTGTTTTTAAATTTTTCTGATTGTTTATTGCTAATGTATAAAAATTGATTTTTGTGTAGTGATTTTGAACTCACAACTTTGCTAAGCTCACTTATTAGTTCTAGTAGCTTTTTCTTGTAGATTTTGTTGAATTTTCTACAGAGACAATCATGTCATCTGAATAAATACAGATTCATGTTATCTACATAAAGACACCAATATGGGTGTCTCTTATTTCTTGTTTATGCCTTAATGTACTGGCTGGACCTTCCAGTAAAGTATTGAATAAAATAGTGAGAGTGGGCATTTTGCCTTGTTCTTGATGTTAGTGGAAAATCATTCAGTCTTTAATCATTAAGTAAACTATTAGTTGCTCTTTATCAGGGTAAGAATGTTTCTATTCCTAGTTTACTGAGTATTTATGTCAGAAATAGATGTTGGCAATCTGAAAGAGCATAACGAGGAAAAAAACTCAATGGTAAAGTGAGTATACAGGCAAATTCAGAATACTCTAATACTGTCATTGTAGTGTGTAAATCACTTATATCTTTAGTATAAAGACTAAAAGACAAAACTATTAAAGACAAACATAACTACAATAATGGGTTAATAGATTGGCAATATAAAAAGATATAAATGGAGACATTATAAAATTAAAATGTGGGAGGGGAATGGTGTTAAATTGTAGAGTTTGTTTTTGTTTCTTTTCTTTTCTTTGCAATCACAATTATCAGTTTGAAATAACTTGTTGTAACTATAAGATGGTTTTTGTAAGCCTCATAGTAACCACAAAGCAAAAACCTATAATAGATACACTAAAAATAAATAGCACAGAATCACAACATATTACTACAGAAAATAACCACAAAGGAAGATGGTAAGAGAAAAAAAAAAAAAAAGGAGAAAGGCTTTAAAAAGCAATCAGAAGACAAATAACAAAATGGAAGTAATAAATCCTTACCTACCAATAATAACCTAGAATGTAAACAGATTAAATTCTCCAATTAAAAGACATAGAGTGACTGAATAAAAAAAAAAGAAACCCAACTATATGCTGCCTACAGGAAACTCACGTCAACTATAAAGATAGACATAGACTGAAAGTAAAGGGACAGAAGAAATTCAAACGGAAATCAAAAAAGGGTAGGAGTGGCTCTACTTATATCAGATAAAATAGACTTTAAATCAAGAACAGTAAAAAAAGACAAGGCCATTATATAATGATATAGGGGTCAACACAGCAAGAGGACATATCAATTGTAAATATATATGTACCCAACACTAGAGCACCCAAACATACAAGCAACTATTAATAGACTTAAAGGAAGAGATCAGCTGCAATATAATAATAGTAGGGGACTTCAACACCCCACTTTCCACAATGGACAGGTTATTCAGATAGAAAATCAATGAAGAAACATTAGAGTTAAACTGCACTCTAGACCAAATGGACATAACAGACATCTATGGAGTATTCCATTCAACAGCTACAGAATACATATTCTTTTCAACAGCACATAGAATATTTTCCAGGATAGACCATATATTAGGTCACAAAACAAGTCTTAACAAATTAAAAAATCAAAATGATGTCAAGTATTTTTTCTGACCACAATGGAATAACACTAGAAATCAATACCAGAAAGAATATTGGAAACTCTACAAATACATGGAAATTAAATGACACACTACTGAATAACAAATGGGTCAATGAAGAACTTTAAAAGAAAATTTAAAAATTCTTTGAGACAAATGAAAATGGAAATACAACATACCCAAACCTATGAGATATAGCATTCTAAGCAGGAAGTTAATAGCTGTAAACATCTACTTCAAAAAAGTGGAAAGATCTCAAGTAAACAACCTAATGTTACATCTTAAGAAATTAGAAAGCAAGAACAAACTAAATCCAAAATTAGTAGAAGAAAAGAAATAATAAAGATCAGATCAGAAATAAAATGGAGAATTTTTAAAAATATAAAAGATCAAGAAAATGATGAGTTTTATTTTAAAAGATAAAATTGATAAACCTTGGCTAGACTAAGATGAAAGAGAGAAGATTAAAATAAAGATGAAAAATGAGACATTAAAACAGATACCACAGAGATACAAAGGACTGTTATGGACAACTATAAGCCAACAAATTGAAATATTTATAAGAAATAGATAAATGACTGAATACATAGAGCCTAATAAGATGGAGTCGTAAAGAAATAGAAAGCCTTGATATACTAATAATGAGTAATGAGATTGATACAGTTATAAAAAGTCTCCCATCAGAGAAAAGCCCAGGACCTGAAGGCTTCACTGCTGATGTTCTTTTTTTTAAAAACAGGGTCTTACTCTGTCACCCAGACTGGAGTGCAGTGGAGCAACCACAGCTCACTGCAGCCTCAGCCTCCTGGGCTCAGCTGATCCTCACACCTTAGCCGCCTGGGTAGCTGGGACTACAGGCAAATGGCACCATGCCTGGCTAATTTTTTGTGTTTTTAGTACAGATGGGGTTTCGTCATGTTGCTCAGGCTGGTCTCAAACTCCTGGGCTCAAGTGATCTGCCCACCTTGTTCTCCCAAGGTGCTGGGATTACAGGCATGAGCCATCATGCCTGGCCTGAATTCTACTAAACATTTAAAGAAGAACTAATGTCAATTTTTTTCAAACTCTTCCAAAAAATTGAGAAGGAAGGAATACTTTTAACTCATTATACTAGGTCAGCATTTCCCTGATAGCAAAACCAGACAAGAACACAACAAAAGAAGAAAACTACAGGCCAGGATCACTGTTGAACAAAGATGCAAAAATTCACAACACAATACTAGCAAAACAAATTCAACAACACATTAAAAAGAGCATTCACCATGATCAAGCAGGCTTCATCCCAAGGATGCGGGGACAATTCAACATATGCAGCCTGGGTGCGGTAGCTCATGCCTATAATTCCAGCACTTTGGGAGGCCACGTTGGGCAGATTGCTTGAGTCCAGGCATTTGAGACCAGCCTGGGCAACACGGTGAAACCTCATCTCTTAAAAAAAAAAAAAAGTAACTGTTATAATGTGGTTGAAGAAAATCATTAACACCATTGTATTATAAATGCGGGGAGAATGAGGATACAAAAAGGAGGTAAGATTTCTACACTTCCCTCACACAGGTACAGCTGCTCTGGAAAAACAGTTTGGCAATTTCTTAAAATTTTAAACATACAGTTATTATATAATTAACAATTGTACCCCCGACATGTATTGCATGGAAATGAAAACTTATGTTTGCACAAAAACATGCACATAAATGCTCGTGTCAACTTTCTTCGTATTAGTAATAGCCAAAACTTGGAAACACAGCCCTACAATAGCGAATAGTGAAATAATGTGTGGTACATCCATGCCAAGAAACACCACCGAGCAATAAAAAGGAAAAAGCTATCTATGCATGCGATAGTTTGGACAGATCTCAAAGTCATCAAACCGAATGAGAAAACCAATTTCAAGTCACATACATAAGGTAAGATTCTCGAAATGACAAAATTGTGGAGAGGGGAAAAATCAGTGGTTGCAGGGTGAGGAGTACTGGGGGTGAAATGGGTGGGGCATCTCTGAAGGGTGGCACAGGGAGGTGCCCATGGTGACGGAGGGTCTGTGTCTTGATCTTGGAGAGGTTGTGGAATCTGCATGGGTGATGAACAGTACGGAACTCAGCACACACGACAGGCAGTCTCTTGGCTTCAGTACGAGCTGCAGTCACGGGAGCTGTCACTGTTGGGAAGACCCTGCTGCACCACGTGTGAAACTTCCTGTGAACTAAGGTTGCTGCAAAATAAAAAGTTAAAAAGTGTTAAAAAAAAAAAAAAAAAGGCTTTCTGATGTAAAACAGAGCCAATGAAATGCCCATCCTACTCCAAAAAGTCAGCGAGCACAAGCCTGGTGTGTAGATATTGCAACTGTGAGTGTGATGTTCCTCTTGAGCATAAACAAAAGTTCTAGTTACTGTGCAGTCTGAGAGATGCTGGTTTGAGGAGAATAATTGTACTATGATAAAATACAGACCAGCACCATAATTCCAATAAGTTACATAAACGCACTTGGTAGCTATTCCATGTTTCCATGCTTTCTGGAGTGGAGTTCTGATTTTCGCCCTGCCCACGCAACCCTCGAATTTCTTTTAATCAACAATGAAAATCTTTAACAAGACACTGGGCTTTCTTCAATAGTTTAAGGTTTCTTAGTTATCCTGCATCTTTTCTTTTGTGTTTTCTTTTCAGTATGATCCAATTTTGCAAAAAGAAAAAAGGAAAGCCTTTCCACGTTTATGCCTATGACTATTGTGCCAATTATATTTGCGCTATCTTTTCATATTGATGAGACGGATAAAAGGAGAAGAATTTAAAAAGACTCTTATATCAAAGACTGAGGACCTCCTGTGTAAAAGTTCCTTTGTCCTATGGCCTTTTCTCTCCCGCAGGCTCATTAACACAGATGATATCTTCATGCCCAACGATAGAAAAATCTTGCATATCCCTTTTTTCAAGTCCTCTTTAGTTTCTTCCATATCACCTATGTAACAATGGACATGTATGTCCTTACCTTGCCTCTGCTTTCACTAAATTTGTGATGAAAATATCAACCTCTGCAGGGTGTGCTGAAGGTTGGCTGCTCTTTCTTTTTTCTTTCTTGGGCTGTGAATTGTGGGTTCATGATACGGAAGTTCCCCCAACTTGTTGATCCACCCTTCCCCTATGGCTTGATTCAGATTCATTCTAAGCCCAACTCAGGTGGTTTATCTTTCCCAGCTTCCAAAATTATTTCCAAATATTTCAGAATAAGTGGACTTTTCTTTTTTCTTTTTTCTGAAACAAATTGCTTTAGGTAGTTTACTAATGAAGCATTAACTTTGCAAACTAATATCTGCAAAATGATGGCAAAACCGTAGTTGCTTATCCAAAAAAACTAGTCTGTAAAACGACACCACGTATGAAAAAAGTATCAATAAAGATGGAGACAAGAGATTTTGCAAAGCCATTTTATTTGGGTGGACACACTTTGATATAGAAGTTTGCAACATGGAAATTTATGTAATAAGGATAAAAGAATCACTAACAAGGAAACATGCAGACTTCCTTGTGGGCGACTGGAAAGGTGGGTAGAGAGGACAGCAGCCGCTTCAACTTGTCATCCCAGAAGACTGGGGGAGTGGAGACAAAGAGCTAGAACCTCATTGTGCTCCAAGAGGTATCCGATGGTTGGAGAAGGAAACTATAGCCACAAAATACCGTATGTGACCAAATTTCTGAGTGTTTGGGGAGTGGGATGATGAAGAGTTTTGTAAATTTTTAGAATGAGAGCAAAAGTTGGCTGGATAACATTTCCTGGGCAGCAGTGTGGCTCTGAAGGTTGACTTCCTAGGTGTCCAGGTCCACTGGTCATGCTGGCATTTGATTCTGGATGGTGGAACATCAACAGTAGCCCTGAGGGTCATGTTAGATCACCTGTAGGATTAGGAAGGACAGCAATTCCTCCCAAAGGTTGGAAATGTCTTGCAGTGTTTCATTTCCCACCTTGCTTTGATTGGTGCTTACTCAAAGCCAAGAGAGAGTTCAGCTATTTGAAGGATGGAGTGGCCAGTAAGCCACTTTATTCATTCGACAGAAGAGCAGGAGGCTTGTGCAAAATGTCGCCTAGCCCCCTCAGCTTTCTCTGATGCAAGGAATGAAAACAAGATTGATTTGATCCTAGAGTGTGATGTGAGCTCTTACAGCTCACCTCCAGGACCTTAATATGCCCTTTTCGTAACACAAACGCCAGAAGCTCTAGAGGTGTCAAGATTGAATTGCATCATTGGCCTTGCAAACCCCAAATCCATAAAGCAATATCACACATCACACAAGCTAGAAAGAATGATTACAAAATAATGTGTGGCCAGAATAAGCTCAGTAGGAAAGATGTTCCTTGATACAGGAAGAAAGCAATGTCTGCTTTGAAATATTTTCCATGATTTTAAAAACATTTAATTTTCTAATTAACTTAGATTATTACTATGGCTATGTAAATTTGAACAAGTTTATATTCATATTGGCAGTAGGAGGTGGAATGGAGTGAATTGATAATGCAATGGGGACTGGATAAAATTAAGACAAAGTTCTTACCCTTTTTGAACTCATAACCTAGGGAAGAAGGCAGAAAAGTAAACAAGAGATTCATAATTAAAACCTGATAAATACTGTAATAAAGGTGTGGATGAGATATGGTTTGGGGAAGATAAAGCAATAATTCCGATGGTCATCTACTGGCAATATGTGAAGCTTGATCTTCTCCTTCTCCTTCTCCTTCTCCTTCTCCTTCTTCTTGCTTTTGGAGACGGGGCCTTGCTCTGTCATTCCAGGCACCTCAGCCTTCCACTCCTGGGCTCAAGCAATCGTCTCGGACTTTTATCCAGAGGGAGGTTCCCTAAGGAAGCTTAAGCACCAGGGTTCTTTGTTAGATTTGAGAGTGGCCCTAGACATTTTGTACTCATAATTTTGTATTCTGCTTCTCAGAGAGGGCTCCCATATTGTAAAGTTTTTGGTCCCACAAACCTGGTCCTCTCCCTGCCACCCAGCAACTCTCACAGTCCTCTCTAGAGGAGCCGGAGCTCGGCGTTCAACTGGCTTTCCTCAGTTTTGCTTCTTAGTGAATTGGAATATCTATTATACTTGTGGGTGCAGGAAAGTCCCGGTGGATGAGTGTGTGTGGTGTGTGTTGCACATGTGCTCTATGTGTTGTATTGTTTTGTGTGTTGTGTCTATGTGTTCCGTGCTTGTTGTAAGTGTTGTGTGTTCTGTGTATGTTGTATGTTGTGTGTTGCATGAGTGATATGCATATGTGTTCTTTGTGTTGTGCATGTTGTGTGTACTTTATGCATGTTGTATGTGCTTGTGGTATTGTGTGGGTGTGTTGGGTTGTGTGCATAGTGTGTGTGGTGTGTGGTGTGTGTTCTGTGTGTCATGCATGCATGTATCCTGTGTGTGTGTGTGCATGTATGTTGTGTGCTGTGTGTTGTGTGTGTGTGTGTGGTGGGGAATAGGGGGTCTTTGTAAGAACCCAGCAGTGTGTGCAGCGGGTGACCGTGGACCTCGCAGGACAGTCACTGGGCTGACTCAGACCCCCTTTTGGAGGAGCACGTCTCTGTCCTTATTGCCCCCACTTTTGTAGAAAAGACAACTTAAACTCTTGCTTTGTTGGGAAGGTGGATCAGCCAATCAAAACTGAGCCACAGATGTCAGCTTATGAGACTGTGCGGCTCCTTAAGTGTTTATCTCCTTCTAAAAAATCCTCTATGCTATAAAAAATGATGAGTTCATGTCGTTTGTAGGGACACGGATGAAATTGGAAATCATCATTCTCAGTAAACTATCGCAAGGACAAAAAACCAAACACCGCATGTTCTCACTCATAGATGGGAATTGAACAATGGGAACACATGGACACAGGAAGGGGAACATCACACTCTGGGGACTGTTGTGGGGTGGAGGGAGAGGGGAGGGATAGCTTTAGGAGATAAACCTAATGCTAGATGACGAGTTAATGGGTGCAGCACACCAGCATGGCACATGTATACATATGTAACAAACCTGCACGTTGTGCACATGTACCCTAATACTTAAAAGTATAATAATAATAATAAATAAATTAATTAAAAAAAAACAAGTTGAAAATGACCCTTGCTCCTGTCAGATCTCCTTTCTTAAACAAGCATGCTCAGGGCAACTACTGGCCTAACTTGATACTTCTTGGCTGTCCTGAAAGAGCATCTTTGTCCATCAATGCCCTTGAAATTATGCACCGATTAAATAATAAAATGAATCTTTCACATATTAAAAAAAAAAGAAAATGTGAAAAATTCAGAAAAGAACAGAAAAATAAGTTGTGCCTGCTCCCATGATCCAAATGGCCACTGGTTTACATGGTGGGAGGTGGCATTTCCTTCCCATCCTCTCCTAACTGTACAGCATTTGGAGTCCAGCCTGTCCTGTGGGACAACAGACGCTTCTGCTTTGCACCCTGTGTAACAAGAAATTTGGTCTCAGCCCAAAGAGAGATCTGGCCTTTGTCCCCAGTTCCTGGGAGAGAACCTCTAAGGCCTTGGAACTTCCCCAGTGGCAGGAATGTGTTTGTTATTCGTGGTAGGTCCTGGTGGTTTCTGCTAATGAGGTGACTCGTGGTGGGCCCCCAATGGCTATGCTAATGACTCAGGATGGGAACAAGCCAGGCCAGAAAGACCGTTAGAGGGCTGGGGATTGGACGTCTGTCAGTCCAAACTCTGACCTCTGAGGAGGGCACAGGGCTGGAGCTCGAGTTCAACCACATGGGCAGTGCTCCCCCAGCCATGCCTCTGTAATGCAGCCTCACTACGAACTCTGGACACAGAGACTCAGGGGTGCTTTCCCGGTTGGCAACACACACTGATGTGTTGCGGGGTGACGTGCCCTGTGGGGTGACACACTCTGAGGACACAGAAGCTTCACATTTGGGACCTTCCCAGACCTCACCCTGTGTGTCTCTTCGTGGGTTAGTTCCAGCCTTCATGCATTTGTTAGAGTAAAAGTGTGACTGTAAATGAGGTGCTTCTCTGAGTTCTGTAAGTCACTCTAATGACTTACAATCTAGTCTGGGAACCCCAAATTCATGGCCTCTCTCTGAAGTGAGGGCAGTCTCATACGCACTGTTCCCACAGGCACAGTTTGCAGCCCCCTCCCATGGAGGGGTTTTTGCTGCCTGGCCTCACCTGCTAGCTGGGGTGGGAGAGAGAGTTACAGGCTCTTGTGAAGACCAGCTCTGGTGTCCACAATGGGGAGAATCGAATCCACTTTCTTCGCGGCCCTCACCATGCTGTGAGGGGACAGGCCCAGGTGTAATCACCTCTGGTTTGTAAATTCACAGAAGAAGTAAGTGTCTTGGCCAAGGTCATGCCGAGGTGGGGGAGGACGAGGTTCTTGTGTTGGGGGAGCCAGGCTGCTCTGCTCCTGAAGGAAGCCTGTGCTCTGGCCAAGAGCATCCCGTCTGAAACACACACTGGCAGCAAATGTTTTCTCTTTTACAGACTGCATTTCTGACTTGTTTTTGTTCTTCCTTGCTGAAGCCTGTTGTGCTTTTACAATGGCAGAAACTACTCCATACCCCTCATTGCAGGGGAAAAATACCCTTTCACAATGGGGCTATACAGTACCTGACAGATTATGTAATAATTTTCATTGTCCTCACTTGTGAAAGAATAAAAACATTTTCTTCTGAAAGTGAGGCGGCGTACACTATAATCTGATCTTTTGATGAAGCAAAGAAAAGCTGATTTATTTTTAGATAATGAACTTGCTGATAAGCCTTAATTTGGACCCAGCGTGTTTGACTCCGCCCTGAGGCAGCGCAGCCCCTTCCCCCTTCCAAGGGTCCACAGGGACTGATGTTGCCCGTGGGCGCCACACCCTCCTGAACCCACCCACGAGTTTGCTTTGAGTCTCACGAGGAACAGTAAAGTCAGAACATTTTTGGGGGCTCAAAACTCTGCCTTCCCTCCCATGACAATTTCAAGTGTTTTCTTTTTTTCTTGTTTCTAGGTTTCAAGCAAATAGATTTTTAGAAATGATTCTTGATCTTTTGCTTTCATAGAGTGATTTGAGACGTTAAATATGGGTGCTTAGAATAAAGGCCACCAGGAGCTGGGGTCCCTCTGCTGGGGAGGGTCCGTCTTCCACATCACACGGGGGCTTTTTTCCTCCAGATAGTGGGTGGGAAGTGGACAAAGCACGATTTATATCTTTGGGTTGACAGATATATCTAAATAGAAAGAACGACCTGGACAAGTGGACCAAGTATGGGACCGGGGTGGGAGGGGAATGGTGGCTCCAAGTGCTGCTTGGTGAAGATTCTCCTGGCCATGGGACGTTGGTGGCATTGTAGAAGGGAGTGGGCAAGGCCATATGGCCACAGCTGGGAGGTGGGGGCGCAGCCTTTTGTCTGGCCCGTGGAAAACAGCCTACTTCATGCTGTGTGCAAGCAGCACCCAGTCCGCCCTTTTGGATGAAAAAGTGAACCAGCATCCATGCAGTGCTGGCTACGTGCCTGGGACTTGGTAAGATGTGCGTGATGCACAGGGCACACCCAAGTGTGCAGGTGAGGGCGAGATTGCCAAAATCCTGCAGGTGAGCCAAGGTCATCCATTGGAAGAGAGGATGGGAAAGAGGCTGTTACAACAGAATAAAGGCCCCCAAAGACATCTGCATCCGAGTCCCCAGGACCGGTGAACATGTCAGTCACCTTACAGCTGTGACTGAGGGACAGGGTCTTAATGGAGAGATTATCTTGGATCCTCCAGGTGGCACCAACCTAATCACATGGGCCCTTAAAAGTGGAGAGCCCCTTCTGGCGGCACTCAGAGGGACGTGACTGTGGAGGAAATGTAGAGGAATGCAGCGATGGTGGCTTTGGAGACAGGGAAAGGGCCGAAAGCAGCGAATGAAGCTCTAGATGCTGAAAACGGCACAGAATGAATTATGCCCTAGAGTGCCCGGAAGGACATACAGCCCCGCAGGCACCGTGATTTTAGCACTGTGGGCCCTGGGTTGGACTTGGGACTGCAGAACTGTAAGGTACCCCTCTGTGCTGTGGTTTTGCCATTAAGTTTGTGACTTGCTATCGCCACAGCAGGAAGCTGAGGCAGTGGCATGGAAGGTTTGAGGAGAGGAGCCCATGTGGGACCTCCCTCCAGGACCTCCCTCCAGGAGCTCAGAGTGCCAGGTGTGGCCTTGGGAGCTTGTGAGAGGTGCAGTGACCTGTGCCTCCCCTGACGGACTCAGTCAATGCTCTATACTAGCAGTGTCCTCAGGTGCTTGCCCGCTCAGATCTAGGAGAGTAGAGCCCTAGGTGCCCATGGGGACGTGGCTGTGAATTTAAAATGCAACTGATCTCGGAAGCTGCATATTCTGTTGCCCAGTGCTGCTGCATGGGTGCAGGTATGGCCAGGTGGGGAGCTTGGTTGAACCTGGGCCGTAGGTTAGCCAGTCGAGTGTGATGCTGGGAGGTGGGGTGGGGGTGAGGGGTGCATGTCAGGACATTCTAATAAAAGGAACATGAAAATAACCTGGGTGCAGAGGAGAGGAGGCCACAGCATGGGCGAGGAACCTGGGAGGAGGTAGGTCCTACGGAGAGGAGCTGTGAGTGGCTGGGGCTGAAGGGCAGAGGGCATGTGCAATGGAAATTATGGGGAAGTTGAGGTTATTGGTTATGACAAGGTCGAGAACCAGAACCAGCTGCCTGTTTGAGTTTAAGGTGAAGACAGGCTTCCTTTACTGCAGAAACTTCCTGAGGGCACGATTAAGTCTGACCCCACTGCTGTGATCAAGGATGTCACTACTTAAACATATGTGGGCAACTGTGTCTGATTGTGTAGCCTCTAACTTGACCCTTGTGGTTTAATTTAATTCCATCCACAAAATAATACCTTGAAGTATGATCGTACCCATTTTTACAAACAAGGAAACACAAGTTCAGAGGGGCTAAGTAATGTCACCAGAGTCACACAGATGGGATGTGGCTGAACTGAGGTGGAACCTGCCACCCTCATCCCCTGGGATCCATGAGTAAGGTGAAAATCCTCCAGCAAAGTGGACAAGAAATAGAACGATGTAAAGAATGACTGAAGACAAGGGAGGTGGGGGGGAAGACAAGAAGAACGGGAGAAAACTCTGTGTTGGCATTCCTAAAAATTACCCTCCAGCCACAGGACATAATCCGAGTGATTCTGGTTGTCAGCAGCCACGTGCCCAAGTTAGCTGAATTCCTCTCTCCCGCGGGACAAGGTGCCTTCCTTGCATCTTCCATTCAGGGCTGCAAAGTGTGGAAGCTCTGGGTGATTCCGTGTCAGGTGGTGGACTGAGTTATGTTGCCATCCCCAGAAGTTAAGAGTGAAGGTCCCAGGAGGGGAACTCATCTTGTTCCTGAGGTCAGCACGGTGATTGGTTCCCTTGAGCCTCTGTCCCCCACGTCAGGACTTCCCTGTACCTGCCCTTCGTCTCATGCCTTTCCCCCTATGAGGAGGAGGACAGGTTTCCCTCCCAGCTTCTCTGGTCAAGTCCACGGGCAGCACTGAGGATGCAGGCAACCGGGGCCCACACCTCCACGCTGTGCATAGATGGTGCTTGCCAAATTTGGCCCACCGCCTACTTTTGTAGACGACGTTTTATGGGAACACAGACACCCCCGTCCGTGTACTTCCATGGCTTCTTTCACAGGTCAGCTGCAGAGCTAAGTAACTGTGACAGGGACCACTTGGCTAAGAAAGCCTCCAGTATTTACTCGACTGCCCTGTGCTTTGGACTCAAAAGAGCTCCTCTCTGGCCCTCTGGCCACGATCGTCTCCATGAGACACGGAAGCTACGATGCTTGGCAGACAGGCTTGTGAGCCCACACCCTGCCTCCAGCCCAGGCTCCAGGTACCTGCCCCAGAGTTCCCTGCACAAGTGGCCCCAAGCTTGTGCTGGTCTGTGGGGGTTTCTTCCCTGGGCTGTTCTCCTGGGCATGTGCAGTCCTCAGGCTGATGGGCAGCTATGGGAAGGCTGGTCATGCAGGCTGGGTATCCACACACCTGCACACGTGGCTTCTCCTAGTGCAGTATGGAGTCAGGGATGGGCCGGGAAGGGCAGCCCAGCTGTCTTGGATCCTGCACACGTTAGAGGGGAGCCTGGTCTTCAATCTAGTCTTCTTTCCTGCTGCAGTTCGTTGCTCTATGAATAATCTTCTCTCGTGTTCCTTAAATCTCTTTCCAAACATGCTTGAGTCTCCCTTCTCCTAAAACTCTGAGGTAGAAAGACAATAAGATGAGGAGAGAAGAATCTTTTCAACAACGAGAACTGGGAATGCTGGAGGCACATATGCAAAAGAAAGCAGTGGACTTCAACACACTGTCCCCAAAACTCACCCAGAATGGACCATAGACCTGGATGCAGGTGTTAACACTAAACAACCCTTCAAGAAAACATGGGAATGACACTTCATGAGGTTGCGTCAGATGACGGTTTCTTCTTAGATACAGCACAAAAGTCACAAATGACAAAGAAAAAAATAATACGCTGGACTTCACCAAAATGAAAAACTTTTATGCTGCAAATTATATCATCAAGAAAGTGGAAAGAAAACTCACAGAATGGCAGAAAATATTTGCAAATCACATTTCTGATAAAAGACTTGTATCTAGAATACATAAAGAAATCTTACAACTCAAAAGTAAAAGGACATATAACCAAATTTAAAAATTGACAAAGGATCTAAGTAGACTTTTTTTTTTTAAGAAATAAGTGAATGGACAGAGTGAGAATGAGTACTAATGGGTATGGAATATATATATATATATATATATATATATATATATATATATATATATATATATATACATATTTTTTTTTTTTTTTGGCAGAGTCTCACTCTGTTACCCAGGCTGGAGTACAGAGGTACGATCTTGGCTCACTGCAAACTCCGCCTCCCAGGTTCAAGCCATTCTCCTGCCTCAGCTGCCGGAGTAGCTGAAGTTACAGGTGCTCACCACCATGCCGGTTAATTTTTGTATTTTTAGTAGAGACGGGGTTTCACCATGTTGGCCAGGCTGGTCTCGAACTCCTGACCTCAGGTGATCCACCTGCCTTGGCCTCCCAAAGTGCTGGGATTACAGGTATGAGCCACCGAGCCCAGCCTATGGAATTTATTTTGAAGTGACAACAATGTTCTAGAATAAAATGGTGGTGTGGCTGCCCAACTCTGTGAATTTATGAAAAACTATTAATTATGCACTTAAAACAGGTGCTGTGGATGTTCTAAGAATTCTCTCAATAAACTGTGAAACACACCTCTGTAGCAGATTGTTTTCCAGATGTTTTCACAGCCATGTTTCTGGTTTGCATCTCTTCCAGAACCTTCTCACTCCCCTAGCAAGAGGCGACATGTATTTGCTCTCCTCCTGGAGGCAGGTGAGCCTTTGGGCTTATGTGGTGACAGGATTCTCTGGAAGCCATGCTGCGCGTCTTCTGAGGCTAGGTCACAGGAGAGGCTGCCTCTTCCCCTGGCTCTCTTCCAAGAGCTCTAAGCCAACATGGGGGGTGGGGGCTGCCTCCCTGTTGCAAAGGCCTTATGTCAAGACTCTGGGGAGGCTGGGGGATGTTGGAGGAGCCCAGCTGATTCCCGCAGCTATTGTGCCTTCCCAGCCCAGGGCAGGCATGTGAGTGTGGGGCTCCAGATGACCCTGCCCAGTGAGGTTGCAGATATGAGGGGTCCGCACCAAGCCCTGCCCAGACTGCAGGTTTGTGAACAGAATAAACGTTGTCGTTGTCAGTGACTACATCTCGTGGTGGGTGAGTACACAACACTAGGTACCTAATGCAAGTGCCCTGGCCATGACAACCCAAAGCCTTATTTCTCCCTAACTTCTCAAGGGAGTGCCCTCTCCTTCTCACTTCCTTTGCAACCAAAGCACGTGAAAGAGCAGAGCATGGTCCACCCCAATTTCTGACCGCCCAATCTGCTCATGGTCAGTTCCTTGCTTTCTCGCTCTGATGTGCTGAGCTACACCCGGAGGATGCCCAGACCTCCATGGCCAGGTATGGTGGTCACGGGCAGTCCTAGCCTCTTCCCCTAGGTGTGAATTTCAGTGCGTCCAGCTGGCTTCCCTTTTCCTGGACGCCTTCTTCCCTCCCTGGGGTTCACCGACCGTGATTATGTCTAGAGTATATTGAGGCTTCTTTTATGGGACTATTCTATTTGAAATTTGAACTTGGAAACTTATAAACCTAGTGGGAAAAAAACCACTCTGCATTTGCCTCTAGACTGTTTCCAGTGGAGACTGGCAAGAGGGCCAAAATGACTTGGAACTCAGGGAAGAGGATGAATAGGAACCAGACAGCAGGGGAGGAAGAGAGGCGTGTGGAAATTGCCAGGGAGCACCGAGCCAGTTTCAGCAGCTACAGGTTAACAGGTTCACCATTTTCTGTAAGGAGCCATTGGGAGTTACCATCAGACTCCTGATGTATCTGGGCAATCTAACGAGATCATGCTTATGTAATAATACCAGGTAATTGTTTGTAACTTAATGAAGCTTCAAGTTAAGAGCCTCTCCTGTCCTTGTAATGAAGGAACCCTGGCCTTTGCGTCCTGATTGTACAGTGAGCTTTTAAAGGAAGACGAACTCTATCCTTGGGACACGTTCATAAGGCCCAAAACAGAAGCAGAATCAGGTGTGCGTGCAAGGATGTTCCTTGAAGCGCTATTTCCAATGGCAAAAATCTAGACGCGGCCATAATGTTCAACAGCATCCACAGTAGAAAAATAATATTTGTTACAGCCATACAATGAAATGCCTGCCAGCTATTGCAAATCATACTTTCAAAAAGTTTAATGGGAAACTGCTTATAATACCTCAAGTAAAAAGCGGGGTGGATGCAGGACTATATAAATGTTTCACCTTTGTTGCATTTACACAAAATAAATGCAGGGAATGAAAACACAGGGAGATAACACACAAAACTCTTGTCCATGTTTATCCTTGGGTGGGAGGATTGCCGGAAATATTAATTTTCTTATGTATTTTCCAAACTTTTTATACTTGTTTATGCCTACCATTGTCAGGCATTTGAGGTACAAGAGCACAAATAATTATAATACACTTCGACAAAATAGAAATGTAAGTTATAAAGTAGGTGCCAGCAACCCAAGAATGAAAGGGATGGACCAGAACTCCACCATGGTGGCCCAGCCGGTCCACGCCAGTGTGTGATAACAGAACAGGAGCCGCTTGAAAGGTTAGAGGACAGTGACCTTGGTGTGGGGGTGGAGGGGCCAGTCAAAGGCTCCACCTAACACTGAGGTTCCTGGTAGTCAAAGAAAAGAAGAAAATGTAGGGTCCTTATACAGTGATTAGTGGCATCAAACAAATTCATCTTGACAGACTCATGTTTTCCTGTCTTGCTTTCAAGGTATAACTTGCTCTGTGGACTTTTACCCAAGAGGCATGACTTCAATTCATGCAAAAACAACCAGAAATGTTCTTCCCATGGGTATGGCTCTTTGTTCGACATTGCATCACATCAGAGGTGCAACCCAGGGGGCTGAGCTCTGCTGTGAAGTTTGTGAGCCTGACTGGTGTGGACTGAAGGGAACCAATACATGGCCTGAGTGGAGGGCTAGCCAGCACCCGTGGGTATGAACTACTTTCTCCTCCAAAGGCATCTGACTGTGCTAAGCATTTGGACAGGTGCTTAGATGTGGAGGCAGAAGTTTTGGTGAGAGAGCCTATAAGAGATGTTACCTCATTGTGGTTTTGATTTGCATTTCTCTGATGGCCAGCGATGGTGAGCATTTTTTCATGTATACATATGTAGCTGGCCTGCACATGGTGCACATGTACCCTAAAACTTAAAGTATAATAATAATAAAAAAAGAATGTGATGAAATGTGCAGATTGTGAATAATAATTAGCCTAAAAAAATTATTCAGCCATAACTGTATATCAATTAGTACAATCCATCTCTACTGTTCAGGTTTCTCAAGAGGAAAGTTTTTGTGTTTCAAAACAATGAAGTATTTAAAAATAAATCTTTTAACTTCCTTAGATAAAAATGTTGGTATCTCAAAAGTAATAAAGTGTTTTTAAAGTAAAAAAAAAAAAAAAAAAAAAAGAGAGAGAGATGTTACCTACCGGCCACTTACTTCCATGTTCCTCAAAGTTAAGTTTGGTTTTGGGCAATGAAGATTTTTGGGTAGAAATATAGGAATTAAGTCAAGGTGTGTCCGCTGCAGCTGAAGCAACCCATTTTTTGGATGGGAGATTTCAGAACTGCTCATTTAAACACTCAAGAAGCTCTGCCCAGTATATGGTGATTCATTTCAAGGACTGTCGATGCTGGCTTTTCTCCCTGAGTGCAGTGCACAGAGGCTAACTCACCTTGCTGCTCTCTGCCAGTCACCCAGCAGATGTGCTCACCTCTCTCCACCTCTCCAGGTCCTCTGGATTGAGAAGGCCTGCCTTCTTGAGGAAGGCTTGGATGCTGGTGTCCAAACCCGGGCTATGAATCTATCTTACAGATGGCAACGAGGGGCTGACTTCTGTTTTTTGGTAACTAGCTCTCAGTACCAAGTGTGTGGGGTAGGGGGACGGGGAGGACTCAGCCCTTTTGTTATCAATTTTCTCACCTAAACACCTTGTCTTTGCTTTGCCAAAGCCATGTCCTCAGCCGATAGGAGATAGAAGACCAGTGTCTTATTTGTACAGAAGGGATCAGAATTAGAAACACTGTAATAAAGAAAGGCTCTTTCTTTACTGACCATTCCAAAGTTGGGTGGTTCATTTGAGCACCTGTCTTCCTCTCTTAAATCTATTTCTTGAACCACTTTCAAACTTATAGAAACATCGCAAGTTTTGATAAGTTTGGGTCCTGACTCTAAAATGAACTTCTAAAGGAAGACAAAGACTATACTTGGGATGGTGTTCCATGTAACGCTTGGGATAGTGATAAAGTGGGCAATCTTAGGAAGTCTCATCCAAAAAGTCAGTGCCTTCAGCTACAAAAGTTTTTCCCCACTGAACCATTTCAGAATAAGCTGCTGACATAATGCCCTTTTCCCAAATATTCTAGCGTATTTCCAATAAAGCAGGACATTCTCTCATATAACCACAACCCCACTATCAATATCAGTGTATGAATCCATTTTCACACTGCTGATAAAGACATACCCGAGACTGGGAAGAAAAAGAGGTTTAATTGGACTTACAGTTCCACATGACTGGGGAGGCCTCAGAATCATGGCAGGAGGTGAAAGGCACTTCTTACACGGTGGTGGCAAGAGAAAAATGAAAAAGATGCAAACACGGAAACTGCTGATAAACCATCAGATCTTGTGGGACTTATTCACTACCACGAGAACAGTATGGGGGGAAACCACCGCCATGATTCAAATTATCTCCCACCGGGTCCCTCCCACAACACGTGGGAATTATGGGAGTGCAATTCAAGATTAGATTTGGGTGGGGACAGAGCCAAATCATATCAATCAGGAAATTAGCATTGATATGTATTACCATCTAATCCTTAGCCCCTGCTGTGATTTGAACAGGCTCCTCAAATTTCACATGTTGTAAGCTTAGTCTGCAATGTGGTAATATTGAGAGGTGGGGGCTCTAAGGGGTGACTGGATTATAGCCTCCCTGAATGGATTAATCCATTCATAGATTAATGGGTTATCACAGGAATGGGCCTGGTAGTCCTGTAAGAAGAGAGAGAGAGACACCAGAGCCAGCACACCCAGCCCCCTCGTTAGATGATGCCCGGCATGGTCTCAGGACTCCCCAGAGAGTCCCTACCAGCAAGAAGGCCCTCACCAGACTTGACCCTTGTCCTTGGAATTCTCAGCCTCCTTAAGAAATAAGCTTCTGGCAGGGTACAGTGGTTCACGCCTGTAATCCCAGCACTTTGGGAGGCCGAGGTGGGTGGATCATGAGGTCAGGAGTTTGAGACCAGCCTGGCCAACATGGTGAAACCCTGTCTCTACTAAAGATACAAAAAATTAGCTGGGTGTGGTGGCACACGCCTGTAATCCCAGCTACTCGGGAGGCTGAGGCAGGAGAACCACTTGAACCTGGGAGGCAGAGGTTGCAGTGAGCTGAGATTACGCCATTGCACTCCAGCCTGGGCGACAGGGTGAAACTCCGTCAAAAAAAAAAAATTCTTTTCCTTAGAAATTATCCAGTTTTGAGCATTATTTTATAAGCAACAGAAAGCAGACTAAGATTGACCCCATTCAAGTTAAAGACAGACCCCATGTTTCCAGTTCAACCAAGGATGCCCATGTGTCCACAGGGCCTGGGTAAGAAGTGCACTCCGAGGCGGCTCCAGGACCCTCAGAAAGAACCCGGGTGAGACGTTCACCCTAATGCAACTCCAGGACCCTCAGAAAAGGCCTGGTGAGAAGTGCACACTGACAGGACTCCGGGACCACCAGGCTTCCTCAGCTGGGAACATTCCTTACACCTCCCTTCATGGGAAGGTCACTCTGAGGATTGCAGGCCAGTGACTTAGTGCAATGTCCCCTGTGTGGGTTTGTCTGGTGTTTCCTTGGTATAGACTCAGGCTCCACTCCTCTGGGATGAGGAACTGGAGAGGGTGATGTCTCCTGGCTGCCTGTCCCTCTGAGCAGCCCTGTGGCTGGTGACAGTCACTTTCCTGTTTGATCAAGGTGGCATCTGCCAGGCTTATTCGTGGCACAATTCCTGCTCAGTTAGTGTTTTGTGTGTTGGGCTTTGAGACGGTGCATACACGAGGTTACCATCATTCTTCATTTTGATGCTTAAAGTCTCTCGTGTTCGGCCAGGAGAAGCCGTGCAGGCTGGTTCCCGAGTCTCTCGGGCACGTCGCCATCATTCTCCGAGGATGTTCCTGCTTTGTGACACCACGCAACATCCCACGTCCTTCCCAGCCCTGGGGTTCTCCGTCCCTGCAGGGAGCCCTGGTTCCTGTCAGTGGTGCCTCCTTTATCCCCAAATTTGAGACGCTGGCTCCGGCCAAGCAAGGGGGTCAGGGTCCGGGAGGGGATTTTTCCTTGTTTTTTTGGGGAGGAGGCGGCTGTAAGGCCACCTCCATCTGGGCCACCTTTGTTTCCACACCTCTGGGGAAGCCGAGGCCCAGCATGGAAACAAGCCCTTCCTGGTGGCCCTGTCTTCCCCGCCTCCCTCCTCCGAGCAGGAGCTCTGCACCCGTTACCAGGGCCCTGCTTATGCGGCTCCGTGGAGTTCTCTTCTTTTCTTCTTCTTCTTTTTTTTTTTTTTTGGTTGATTTTTTAAAAACCCGCTTATCTATTCTGCTTCAAATTAATCCCCAAATGTTGCTTTATCAAACCATTTGTAGTTGCAGTGGCTGTTGATTACAGATGTACATCATTTCTCCCCCAGCCTTTTTAAAGGGCCAATCACTATGGTAACCATATTACAGAAAATTACTGCGTCTCCTTAAAATACCCTTCAGAAAAAGGTCATTCGGTATTAACATGTTCCAGCTAAACCAGCAGCGTGAGCAGTGCTGGAGCATTGTCACCACGCACTGTGCTTCCGAGTGCTTGGCTTTGGTTGCGTAATTTCAGGAAACTCTCAAAACAGGACTAAAGATTGAGAGTGGAATGTGCTCTAATGCTGCACTGTGTAGTGTGTGTGTGTGTGTGTGTGTGTGTGCAAATCTAAAAGCCACACTCAGTTTAGTTCTTGTGCTTACAGGGCAAGGCTTGTTGGCTCTGGGTTCCATTTTGCTGCTGCCCTGTTCTGAGTGTGGGTTGAGATTGAGGGTGCCTGCCCTGCTCAGACCTCAGGCTGACCCTTAGAGCAGGGCAGCCGTGGGCCGGGTGGATGAGACAGCTGCCCCCGGCATTGGAAGCGCTGCACCCAGGCAGGCTCAGGCCAATGAACATTTTTGTTGTTTCTCATGAAACCTCAGGGTTTTGATAGAATATTCCATTGCTGGTGGGGTTTTATTTCCCAGAAATAAACGGCAACTCTCTCACCTCTTTCATCTTCCAGGGGAGGAGACAGAAGCACAGAGGCCCCTGAATCTCACCACTAACTTTTGTCCAGATGGCACCAGACGTTCCACCTTCTGATCCTGCGCTGCTGCTTTCTTAAAAATTACTCACTCGAGGTCACCCATGAGCACAGTGTAATGAGCAAGTAATCCATGTAGTTCACAATGAAAAGCAGCAGCCCTCCCTCCACACCTCCTGCTCCCCGAAGTGGCCACCGCCACGTGTTTGGGTATTTTCCTCCTAACTTCTAAACAATCTCCTTAATAGCCCCTTGGATCTACTGAATAGCTATTTCTCCAGCACGCACTCTGCCAGGCTCTCCTGTGGGGGGGGGCTTTACATGTTTCAACTCTTACTTCTCTCTGCCCAGTGAGGAAGGTATTATTGTTCACCCCATGAGGAAGCAGAGGTCCTGGGAAGAGATGTAGGCGGCCCCAAAACAGGGAGTGAGAGACAGAAGTGGGGTTGGAACCCAGCACTGTGCCTGCGGCGTTCTTGGTTTATCAGCTTTGTATGTTATGCATGGAGTTAATTCCATGAAAGATGAAGATGGACGCCCCATATCCACCAATTCTCATAATTCCTTTCCCATCTTCCCATCTGCATCGCTAACCACAGTGTCCGCACGTGCTGTCTCGCTGTTTCTCTGACCCTGTGCCTCTATATCTGTCTCTCTCTCTGTCTGTTTCTGTTTTACACACACACACACACACACACACACACACACACACACTTCTTGAATCATTTGCAAGGACCCCCACCTGTGTCTCCAGGAACAAAGAGAGCCTCCTGTTTAACTACAGTTCTATTGTCTCCTCAATAAATCGTACACACCCCATGATATGGTTTGGGTCTGTGTCGCCCCCCAAATCTGATGTCAAATTGTGATCCCCAGTGTTAGAGGTGGGGCCCAGTGGGCGGTGATTGGATTATGGCGGTGGGTTTCCTCTTGGCCCTGTTCTCGTGATAGTGGTGAGTGCTCGCGAGAGTGTGGTTATTTAAAAGTGTGCGGCACCTCCCCCTTCACGCTCTTCCTCCTCCTACAGCCACGTAGAACGCACCTGCTTCCCCTTTCACCTCCCACCACGACTGAGTTTTCTGAGGCCTCCCAGCAATGCTTCCTGTACAGCCTGCAGAACTGTGAGTCAATTAAACCTCTTTTCTTTATAAATTACCCGGCCTCCAGTGGTTCTTCATAGCAGTGCAAGAATGGACTAGTACATCCCATGTCCCCACGGTGTCTTTATGTATTTTTAAAATCTCGGGATGTAACCCAGGGCCCTTGGATTTTTGATTACCTACTTGTACCTGTTGCACCTTGAGTTCCTACTGTTTCAGAAGCTTCCAGGAAGAAGCTCAGGCCCCGGGGGGAGGTGAACTTGGGTGAACCCTCCTCATTACCATCCTCAAATCCCCACCCAGGGAGGAGCTCATTCACCATTTCCTATGCATGTGGCGTAGAAGCAAGATCGGAACCTGTGCTGCGCTGCCTTGACTCCCAGCCACATGCCATGACGCAGCGCACCAGCCCAATAAAAGCCCCTATTTCACTTTTTTGGGGGAGGAACTGCTTTCGGAACTACCCGAGTGCTCTCCTTAGTTGTTGCAAGTAGTAAAATCCCTCTGGGTTGTGGTCATTAGACCATCGCCCACCCTGTGGTCAAACCCACCTGTTGTTGGGGGAACAGGAACAGTTAAGGCTCGCGGGTTACATTTGTTTCCAATGTCTCCCTAATTGCCTTTAATCCAGAGTGTGCCCACTCCCTCTACTTTCATTTTAAGACCCCAGTCAACATTCTGGAGTGCAGGTGCGCTCTCCTGCAGCACGCCCTCACTCTGGTTTGTCTGGTTATTTCCTCGTGATTAGCTCAGGTCACAAATTTCAGCAAGACCTCTCCATCGGTGATGTGATACACTTCCTGTTTAATTGCATTAGGAACATGTGACCCTTGTTAAATTTGATCATTTGGTTAAGGTGGCTGCCAATGTGACTGTGATTGTGTGAATATCCTGTTCTCCAATAACTTTTTACCTGGTGATTTTGCTTAATTATAGATGCAGAATGGTGTTCTAATTCTATCCTTCCTCCCGCATTTATTAACTGGCCTTTTCCTGTAATGAATAACTGTCCCTCTCCCCCGTTCCCTGTTTTTTTAAACAATTATAGACTCACATATTCTTTTAATCTGGTGTATTATAATCCACGGCCCTCATTGTTCTTTTTGATGATGGAGTTGTTTCACGTGTGGCTAGTGAGAGCCTCTGCAGTCAGGCTCTGACCTCTGTTGTGCCCTGTTAGTCCTCGAGTGCTTCCCTGCTTCCCAACACAAAACCTGGTCCAGGCTCACTTTGGCCTTTCCCTGCTTAAGACCTGGAAGAGCTGATTTTCTAAGTAGTCTTGGTTACTTTCAGTGGAGAGTGGTATTTGTGAACAAAACCCTGGGTACTGGTGTGTTCATTACTTCTGGGGTGTCATTGCTCCTGGTCCTAGGAATGAACAGAGCAGAAGTTTTATATTCTTACTAACTTCTCCAAACCGAGCCAAACACAACAGCTCCTCCTTATTCCACATTGATATTTCACTTCTATTATGGTGAGAATCTTGGTTTCCCCAGATGTAATATATTTACCTGTTGGCTTTCTGCCATGACATGTACAGAATTATCTCGGAATTACTACGCTGACACCTCCACCAACAGAGTGTTAAGAAAAATTCAAGATTTCTTTGTCATAATTTTTGTCTTTAGAGTATATCACACCAGGTGTGTACAGCCAGAGAACTAGGTCCAAATTTACTT
The DNA here is from genome assembly GCF_000001405.40 of Homo sapiens. Taxonomy (NCBI): domain Eukaryota; kingdom Metazoa; phylum Chordata; class Mammalia; order Primates; family Hominidae; genus Homo; species Homo sapiens. Next base: position 111,374,627 of record NC_000013.11, read on the forward strand.
GCATTGATTCTCCTTTCTGTGTGGTTGTGGTATCAGTTTGATATGGCATTAAGTTCATTTGTCTGTTTTCAATTTTAGGGTATGCCTTTTATCAATATATTTGACATTTTTGAATATGTTAAGTTTCTATATGCTCAAAAGACACTATATGAAAAAAAGCATAGTCAGATAATTCTTACTCTCATCCACAACACTTTCATTTATCTCTCACCAGCCCCTAGGATAATAACACTTTTTTTGTTTCTGGTGCATCCTCCTGTATGAGTGTGTATGTATATATGTATTAGGCATGCTTATGCATAAGCAATGGTTTTTTAACATAAGACACTATATGTATATTTCTCATTTAACCTCCTTGTGTATGCAAAAGGTAGAATACTACATATAATCTTTTGTATTTTGCTTTTTAACTTAAAATATATCCTGGAAATCATTGTATATCAATATATAGATGTATTCATTTTTACAGCTGCATGATACTCCATGCAGCTGTACTATCATGTATATAACTGGTCGCTTTTCAAAGAGCACTTGGGCAGTTCTATATTTTGCTGTTACAAATAATGCTGCAATGAATAACCTTGGACATATCTTTGTGAAAATGTCTTTTTCAGGGCTAATTCCTAGAGGTGGGATTTCTGGGTCAAAGGGTAAATGCATGGTTTTCTTGGCTATTGCCAGATTCCCCTCCATAGATGTTGAATCATTTCACATTCCCACCAGTGAGTTATAAAAGCGTACACTTTCCCTAGAAGGTTTGCCAACAGGGTGTGTGGTCAAGCCTTTGAATTTCTGCCAACATGATGTGTGTGATATGGAGTCCCAGAGTAGTTTTAATCTGTATTTATATGTGAAGTTGAGCATCTTTTCATACCATTAGGGCTTTGTGTATATTGTTTTCTGTGAACCATTTTTGTGATCTGTCCATTTTTCTGTAGATTTTTGATCTTTTTTTCCTACTTTTAACAGCATTTTATGTATTAGGGAGATTATTCCTTTAACTCTGAGAGATATTGTATGTATTTTCTATCATTTTATCTCTTGTTATTTGACTTTGTTTATGGTGTTTTTCAGAAGCCAAAAGAATTTATAGTCAAATTAATCCAGTTGTTGCTTTTATTGCTTATGAATTATTAGTTTAAAAGGCTTTCTTCACATCCTTCATCTCCAGATTATATATAAAAAAACTCTTGTGTTTTCTTCTAGAACTTTTTCCATTTAGAACACTGATCCATTTGGTGTTTATTCAGATATGTGGTAGGAGGTATGGATCCCTTTCTACATTTTTTCAAATGGTTATCCAGTTAACATATTTTATTAAGTCTATCTGTTCTCCAGAATTTGAAATGTCACCTTTATCATAGACTGTATTTCTATAAATACTTCCATCTGTTCCTGGACCCTTAACTCTGCACCATTGGTCAGTTTGCTCATCTGTCAACAGCACAGTTTTAACTAGTAAGGCTTTTAGAATACTTTACAATTTCAGAGGGTAATCCCCCTGCCATTGTTCTTCTTGTAGAGTTTTTCTAGCTTTTCTAGTATGTCTAATTTTTCATTTAAACTTTAGATTCAATTTGACTCAGTCCAGGATAAAAACTTGTTGGGAATTTTATTTCAATTTTGATAAGTTTATGTATTATCTCTAGGAGGGCTGATGTTTTTATAAGATGGAATTATCCAAGAACAAGGGATTTTTTTTTGTCATTTGTTCAAGTCTTTTCTATGTTTCTTAGAAGTGGTTTAAAATTGTTTTCATATTGGTTTTGCATATTTCTTGTTAAATTAATTTGTAAGTACTTTATCTTTTTCACTGCATTTGTTGTAATAGTTTCTCTTCCATTGTATATTATTTATGTGCACACACATGATTTTGTTTGGTAAATGATATTGATTTTCATTGTATAATCTGCTAATTTTGAATTCTTTTATTTTCATTATTAAATCTTTTGGGTTTCCAAGTGTATTATTACATCATCTATAAATTATGTTTATTTTCCAAATGTTTATTCTTTCAATGTTTTTTCTTCTCTAATTATACACATTATATTTCTAATACAGTGTTAAATAATAATGCAGATAGTGTGTGTCCTTGTTTTATTTCTGACGTTAGTAGGAAATGCTTTGTTTCCCTATTAAGAAAGATGATGACTTTAAGGTTGATTTTATACATCTACACATACATACATTTATATGTACATATACACGTGGGTGTACATAAAGACATGTGGATACATACATGTGTATAGACACACTCATATATACACATGTTTATATACACATACATATATATCTATATACATATGTGTATTCATATATCTATTGATGTGTGTGTATCTTCTTAGTATGAATAAAATTATGCACTTTTTCCTTATGTCTACTATTAATAGGGCAAATTATTTGGATTTTCTAATATAGATCTACCCTCACATTCCTAGAATAAGTTTTACTTGGACATAATGTACTATTTTTAAGCATGTTTTTCTATTCTTTTTGCTATCATTTTATTTAGAATTTTTTGGCATTGGTATTTATAAGAAATATTAAGCCATAGTTGTCTTTCTGGGGCTATCTCTATTGGCTTAGAGATTAATGTTATATTTGTTTTTAAAAAATTTGGAAGTTTTCTTCTTTCTATATTCTGGGACAAATTATGTGATACTGAGATTATCTTGTATTTTCTTAGTAGACCCTCTGTGAAACCATCCAGGTCTTGTCCTTTTTTATGGGACAATTCTTCGATAACTTTCTGTATTCTGTCTGTGGAAGTAGGACTGTTTAAGCTTTCTATATTTATTTGGATCAATTTTAGCAAATCATATTTTCTTAAGAAGTCATTTATTTTATCTAAATTTTTAATTTGCATAGAGTTGTACAACATGTTCTTATGAGTTTTTTATGTTGTTTTTTCATGGCTATTTTCCCCTGGTTATTTCTTTTTTATTTTTTTCAAGACAGAGTCTCATTCTGTTGCCCAGGCTAGAGTGCAACGGCATGATCTCAGCTCACTGCAATCTCTGCCTCCAAGGTTCAAGTGATCCTCGTGCCTCAGCCTCCCAAGTAGCTGGGATTAGAGGGGTGTGCCACCACACCTGGCTAATTGTTGTATTTTTAGTAGAGATGGGGTTTCACCATATGGTCCAGGCTGGTCTTGAACCCCTGACCTCTGGTGATCTGCCTGCCTTGGCCTCCCAAAGTGCTGGGATTACAGGCATGAGCCACCACACCCAGTGAACCTCCCTGGTTGTTATTTTTTTTTTTTTTTAACTTTCTTCATTAGGCCTAGTATAGGAGAGTCATTTGTTCATTTCTTTGGAAAGAAATAGCATTTTGAATTATGTAATGGTTCTACTTTTTAAAAAAAATTTTCTGTCATGGGATTTTTCTGTTTTCATCCTTATTTATTTTCTCCTGCTTTCTTTTGGTTTATTGTTATTTTTCTAGTTCTTTTAAGTTGAGAACTTAATTCCTTTATTTTTGTTTTTAAATATATTTGTATGATTATTTAAAGCTGTAAAATTTCCCCTGATTGGTAGTTTAGTTCTATCCCACAGATTCTGAATTGTCTTGAATTATCATTTTATTGAAATCTAGTTATAAAAGTTATTTTTCATTGTTGTACTGTTTTTTGAATTCCAATTATATGCATGTTAGATCTTCTTTGTCTATCTTCTTTATGTACTGTTTTATTTGATCCTTTAAAAATCTTTCTTATTTTAATTCTCTTCTTTATATTGTATCCTCAATATTACTTTTATATATTCAGTTGCATACATTTTTCTCCTGACCACTCAATAGTTTAATTTTATTTCCTTTTATTCCGTTTTTCTTAAATTTAGCAAATTCTCATTTTATATATTTCAGTATTTTTTAAAAAGCCATGTTTTGTTTTTAGCTGTTGAATTTTTGATGTAAAGTTTTTTTTAAAATCTATAATTGTTTAATAATATTTAATTTGGTTTGGAGTGTTACAGTTCTCCACTGCTCCATATTTTCTTTTGGGTGGAGAATTTTCACCAGCTGAAGTGCCTTCTACTTTCTGTTCATTTTGAAATGTCTTCTATTTTTCTAGACTAGCAACAATGAGTGATGCTATGTGGGCAGTAGTGAGGAGTTTGGTTCAGTTCAAGAACACACTCTTACAGATGGTGCCTTTGTGGGGTGTGAGTCCTTTTTCTTTCTTGCAGGATTTGTTTTTTTGAGACAGAGTCTTGCTCTGTTGCCCAGGCCAGAGTGCACTGGCACAATCTCAGCTCACTGCAACCTCTGCCTCCCGGGCCCAAGTGATTCTCCTGCCTCAGCCTCCTGAGTAGCTGGGATCACAGGCACATGCCACCATGCCTGGCTAATTTTCATATTTTTAGTAGAAATGGGGTCTCGCCATGTTGGGCCAGGCTGGTCTCAAACTCCCGACCTCAGGTGATCTGCCCACCTTGGCCTCCTGGAGTGCTGTAGTTACAGGCGTGAGTCACCATACCCAGCCTTTCCTGTAGGATTTTTAATTTGCACCACTTGCTTCCTCCTTTTCCTTCACCAAAAGTCTACAAGTGATGCCTCACTCTCCCCAAACATGGTGCCTGCTAAGACTGCTACCTCCAGTCCCACACATTTTCATGCCACTTTCTTTTTAGGACTTTTGATTTTAAAATAATTTTAGATCTTTAGAAGAGATAAAAAGACAGTACAAAGTGTTCTCATATGTACTTTCACTTAGATTTCTCTAATGATGACATCTTAAACATGGAATATTTATCAAAACTAAGAAGTTAACTTTGCTACAAGACTGCCTACTAAACTATGGACTTTGTTAGGCTTACCCCAGTTTTTCCACTAATACCATTTTTCTGTTCTAGGATCCAGTCCAGGATACTACAAGTATTTGTTAGGTCTCTTTAGCCTCCCCAGTCTATGGCAGTTTCTTGGTTGCCCTTTGCCTTTCATGACCTTGGCACTTTTGAAGAATCATGGTCTAATATTTTGTAGAACATCCTCAATCTGACTTTGCTTAACGTTTCTCATGATTAGGCCAAAGTTGTGGATTCTGGGTAAGAATACTGCAGAGATGATGTATCCTTCTCATCAAATCATATTGGATGCACATGATATCAATATGACTTATTACTGCTAATATTTATTTTAATCACTCAGTTAAGGTGGTGTTTGCCAGATTCCCTCATTGTTAAATTAACTGTTTTTTCATTTGCACTCTTTGATCATTATCTTATTCATACTTCTTCATAGTGAGTAAGTAGGTCCAGCCCACACTCAGGTGGAGGGAAAGTAAGCCCCACGTCCTGGAAGTGGGTATCTGAGGATCTGTGGGACTCACATTAAAAACATGATGGTAATTATCACATTTTAGGGGAGATATTTTGAAGTCATGTAAATATTCTGCTTTAAGTTTTGCACATTAATTTTAGCACTTATCAACGCATCTTTATTGTAGCAATTACTCCTCTGGTGTGTTAGTGGTGATTTTCTATTTCCCTTGTTCTTTCTACATGCATTAATGAGAATTTTTCCATAAGGAAGATTTGTCTCTTCTTCCACATTTATTTATAAACTCAGTCATTTATGTCAGTATGGACTCGTGCATGTTTGTTTTATTTTAGGGGTAATAATCCAGTGCTATCATCATTTATTCTGTTGTTCCTCACATTGCTTCAGTTTTAGCCCTCATGACTACCCTCAGGTTGCTTCTGGGTCCTTCTGACACAGCTTCATCTTGTTTGCTTGAGCACTTCCTTGCTTTCTGGCTCTGAAAGGTACCATATATATATACATCCTGTAATTTCCCTGCCTTCCCTGGAATCAGCCATTTCTCTAAGGAGCTTCCTGACTAGAGGATGGTGTTAGAAACCACCATCTGGGCATGGGATGTGCTCACCACTTCTGGGGTGTCACAGCCTCCAGTCCCTCTCAGCACTTCCCTTTCTCTGCTCACTGGATTTCTGGGCATGCACTGGGACCTTCTGTTCAGGTCAGTCTGCATCCTGGCACGGCTGCCCTCGGCTGTCCTCGGCCATCTCCCACTGGCCCCTCTCCCTGAAGGCTCCTTGTGAAGCTGCCCTGGTTCAGGCTCCTGGCATGGCGCTTTATTTGCTGCTTGTTCTCGGTCTCCAAGTTGGACAGAAATGTAGACATGTTGTTCCCAGGCTTCACAGTGGAGGAACTTGGTGTCATTTTTTTGTTTTGTTTTGTTCTTGTTTTTTTTTTTTTTTTTTTGCATAGGTCAGGGTAACCAATTTGTTAAAGCTATTAACCTGGAAAGTCATATCATCCTTTGATTCTCGAAATTTTTAGTTTTTTGCTTTTTAAAATAATTTATTACTTTCCTTTTATCCACTTAGATATGAATTTAATAAATAACCCTTATTGGAAGATTCAAATAACTTTTCAAAAAAGGAACTTTAATACAACATACGTAAGTGAATTTAGTTGCCATGGAAGTTGATTGTAGATTCTTTTGATCATATTTTATTCATCTTATTTTTTCCCCTCCAGCATCTCTTGGCAAAAGAAATTAGTGGAGAGATTTTAACGGTCTTTCGGGTCATTGGTTGTTTTTCCAAACTGGAAGGTTATGTTGGATGCACTGATGTGGTGGGTGAGCAGTCCCAGGGATGTCTGCTTAATGACTGAGAGCACTGGGGTCCTTAGGAAGAAAGTCTGTGAGGGTCTCTGACTGTCTGCAGACACTTTCTCCACTTTCTCCTCATCTGTTCTGCTGTGTCTCCTTACTGGAGTATGATTACAGATGTAAAATCCCTGTAAAGTGACCAGCAGAGCAGCACTGATGCAGATGAAGGTGTGTGTGGAGGCAGCTGGTCCCAGGAGTCTGGCTGTGCTCTGCACCTCTGGACACAGTAGGCGTCAACTCAATGCACATTTATTAGTTGAAGGAATAAGGGAGGGCACTGGTGAGTGAGGGAGCTCCCAGGGCCTCCTGCCCCTTTCAGATGGTGAGATAGTCATTCTGAAGTCAAGGATGTGTGTTCTGATGCAGATGCAAACTCTACAGTAGAAGCTGGGGCAGGGAGAGCTCTGCAGAGATGGTGGAAGGAGTGGCTGTTCCAGGGCTGTGGTGACTGCGGGGTGGGGTCTGCAGAGATGGTGGAGGGAGTGGCTGTTCCAGGGCTGTGGTGACTGGGGGTGGGGTCTGCAGAGATGGTGGAGGGAGTGGCTGTTCCAGGGCTGTGGTGACTCAGGGGTGGGGTCTGCAGAGATGGTGGAGGGAGTGGCTGTTCCAGGGCTGTGCTGACTGGGGGGTGGGGTCTATAGGGATGGTGGGGGGCTGTTCCAGGCCTGTGGTGACTGAGGACTTGGCTCTATAGAGATGGTGGGGGCTATTCCAGGGCTGTGGTGACTGGGGGTGGGGTGGGGTTGCAGAGACGGTGGGGGCCTGTTCCAGGGCTGTGGTGATGGGGGTGTGGGCTCTATGGGGATGGTGGGGCTGTTCCAGGGCTGTGGTGATTCGGGGCTGGGCTCTGCTCTGTAGAGATGGTAGAGGGGGCTGTTCCAGGGCCATGGTGGCTTGGGGGTGGGGTCTATAGAGATGATGGGGGGTTGTTTTAGGGCTGTGGTGATGGGGGGATGGGCACTAGAGAGATGGTGGAGGGAGTGGCTGTTCCAGGGCTGTGGTGACTTGGGGGTGGGGTCTGTAGAGATGGTAGAGGGTTGTTCCAGGGCTGTGCTGATGGAGTGGGGGGTGTGGTCTGTAGAGATGGTTGGGGGGCTGTTTCAGGGCTGCAGTGACTGAGGACTTGGCTCTATAGAGATGTTGGGGCCTGTTCCAGGGCTGTGGTGGTTGTGGGGGTGGGGTCTGCAGAGATGATGGAGGATGTTCCAGGGGTGTGGCAATGGGGGGATGGGGTTGTGGAGATGATGGAAGATATTCCAGGGCTGTGGTGATGGGTGGGGGTCGGGTTGTGGAGATGGTGGGGCCTGTTCCAGGGCTGTGGTGATGGAGGTGGGGTGGGGTTGTGGAGATGCTGAGGGGCTGTTTCAGGGCTGTGATGGAGAAAGGTGGGGTCTGTGGAGATGGTGGGGCCTGTTTCAGGGTTGTGATGGCGGGGGGTGGGGTCTGTGGAGATGATGGGGTTGTTTCAGGCTGTGATGATAGAGACAGGGTGGGGTTATGGAGATGGTGGGGGCTGTTTCAGGGCTGTGGTGGTTGTGGGAGCCCTGCAGAGATGATGGAGGATGTTCCAGGGCTGTGATGGGAGACAGAGTTTGGGCTCAGGGCCACGCACCCCTGGGGATGAATCCAGCTCTTTCCTTGCCTACTGGGTTACCAGGGCAGGTCCTTTTGTGTCTGGTCACAAAGTGAAATTCCCCTTCTTGGAGAAAACTCCTCTGGGTCCTCCCACTGCCCCCATAGGAGACTCTTGTGTGTGGAAGCTGCTGCTCATGCACTAGGTCCCTTGGGCTGGAGACGGGGAGGCCGTGGGCTGGAGGGGACTTGGGCCACTGCACTGGGATGAGGCCACCTCACCAGCTGGTTCTCAGCTCTTTTGTTTTGCATGACATTTCTATTGAAAATAGATAATAAAATTCCTAGACTAATCCTTAAATTGTTTCTTTCCATCTCTGCCTTCCTTTTCTTTGTTTTGTTTTCTATTATCTGGGTTGTTTTCTCCATCTCTATTCCCCAATTAAGTTAAAAAGTATTTTTCTCATGTTGTCTTTTTTGTTTCCTGAGTGATATTTCTTTTATGGAATCCTCTCCCCGTTTCATAGAATCAACCTCTCATCTCTTTGGTATTGTTAGTTATCCCTTTCAGAAAAGTCTTCCCGGTCACCTTGATGACACGTACTCGCTCTGAGTTCATTCTCGATTTTCAGCCTTTCCTTCTCGGTTTGTTATAGGAGGAACTTTTACCAAATGCCTGGGATTTCTGATATTGAGTCCATGTCTGATGCTTGGTTTCTGTGGGTGAGGTTTGCTGGCTGGCGGGTGATTGTGTAGGGACTTCACTATTTTGTCAGAAGACCCCTAACCTCTCTTGTCTTTCCTTGTGGGCATCGGACGGCCCTCCTACTGCTGATGGTGGCACAGGCCAGGCAGCAGGTGGCCCAGACGCTGGGCTCCCAGGGATACGGGCCTCAGTCTATGTCCAGGTGGCACCACATCTTCTTCACCTGTGGCTGTTCCGCTTTGCTTAATGCCACGATTATGGATGCCTCCCACTCAGAGACTGACCTGCCCGCTTCTGCTAGAGCAGAGGGGCTCCATTTCCTGGCTGTGGGGCTGGGAGAAGGGACTTGGGGCTCTAAATGGTGTCTCATTGGAATTCGACGACTCCGTGTCCTCCACACCCCTCACGTCTTGCCTCAAGAGACACAGGTGCCCCTGGTTCCTGAGCTGCTCCGTGGCCCTGGGTGTCTCTGCTGGCTTCTCAGGGCTCCTCTCATCTGGAGGCACCCATTTCCTGGAGCTCTGTCTGCGTCAGTGGCTGGTACCTGTCTGTCCTCATCATCCAGGGGTGCGTCCATACCTCCCGCCGGCTGCCAGCCCCCTCTCCTTTCCATTTGTCCTTGCAGTTTGCGTCTTTCCTCTCTAGTGCGATTAATGTGTAGGGAGTAGAGATGGAGGATGCTTCCCCTGCTCTAAGCAGGAGGCGCTTTCTGCTGCTGTCTAGCCACACCTTGCCTCGCTTCCCAGCACACCTTCTTCCTTTCAACTGTCTGCCTGAGATGTTGACATCTGAGAGTTTCTCATTTGTTGTTACGAAAATGATTCCTGCCTGGAAAATTTGAACATTTCTAAATGAAAACAAAATTAATAGTATTATCTCTCAAGGTGTGAGTTTATTTGTGCATGTGTGTGCTTCTGCATGTGTGTGTATCTGCATGTGTAGGTATCTGCTTATGTGAGCATGCATGTGTGCATGTGTATCTGCATGTGTGAGCATATGTATAAGCGTGCATATGTGTGTACATGTGTGTATCTGCATGTGTGCATGTGTGTGCATGTGTATCTCTGTATCTGCATGTGTGAGCATGTGTGTGTCTGTGCATGTGTATCTGTGTATCTGCATGTGTGAGCATGTGTCTGTGTGCATCTCTGCATCTTGCATGTGTGTATATCTGCACGTATCAGCATGTGCGTATGTGTGTCTGTGCATGTGTGTATACCTGCATGTATCTACATGTGTGAGCATGTGTGTGTGCATGTGAGTGTGCATGTGTGTATCTTTGTGTATCTGTGCATGTTTGTGTGCATATATGTGTATCTGCATGTGTGTGTGTGTATCTGTGTGTGTGTGTATGTACATACCCGTGAAGCAGGGCGAGGAAGTGGTGTGGCAGGATGTTGGGGGAAGGGTACTGGCAGAGGAAGACCTGATGCACAAGTTTAAAAGATGCCAGAAGCACAGCTGAGGCTGAGGCTGGGGTTGCTAATTCCCTCCGATGTGTGCATGCCGCTGATAGCAAGTTATGCGTATGACATTCTGACACTCTCTCTCAAGAAAGAGGAAGAGTGGCGTGAAAGATTCGGAGGATGCTGATTTAATTGGAAAGCCACTGAGGGCTGAGCAGAGCGGGGTGAGGAGCTGCTGTGTCTCTGCACAATGGCGATGGTTGAAGGTTGTATATAAGGTGGCCTTATTAAAGTGACAAGGCAATTTAATTCCTTTGTGCACAATGATTCTACTTCATTGATTTACAATGGGAAGGATATAATTTTGCTAGTGTTGGCAAAAAGCTCAAATGTCAGCCTTTTCAAATCGCCATACTTGCCTTGTTCAGGATGAATAATGAATAAGTCACCTTTTGTCTACAGTTAAATATTCTTGAATAAATACAAAGAACATAAAAGACATAAATGATTGCCTGATTTATATTTAAAATAAAGATCAACATTGTGATAAATGGTTGAAAATGCTGTGTGTGCAGCAATATGACTCTCCTGATAATTACATTATCAGTTAGGGAGCAGCCCAGGTGTAGACCGTGGTTGCGTGCACACACCCACTAACCCACAGCCCCGTACGGGAGCAGGCCCCAGGCTCTCCATGAAGGGGAGCTGGGGCCCTGGTCTCCTCAGACTCCTCTACATCCTGCAAACCCCAGCCAGGGAAGGCCAGGGGCTGGGACCCTTCTAGCTCCTCAACAGAGGGAGGAGGGCAACTTCAGTAGAAGCAGAGTCACACTGGGCCTGGGGGCCTCCAAGGCCCCTGGATCATTTTCTGTTTGTCACCTTTGAAAGGAAGTTTGTAGGAAACATAGGAGAATAAGAAAGCATGTTCATCTGACAATTCAGCAAATCCTTGGCTAAAATAACCCTAGCTTATCCACACCATGGAATTCTATGTAGCTATTGGAAATGAAGGAACAGGGAGAAGAATATTTTATGAGCAAATTACTATCTTCATATTCTCAAATGAATAAAGCATGCTTCAGTAAGATTCAGTAAGATTCTATTTTTATTACAAATGTGTGTGTATGTATATGTATATATATGTACATACATATGTATATATACACATATGTATGTGTATATATACATACACTATATATAGTGGATATATAGAGTGTATATATGGTGTGTATGTATATATATAGTGTATATATATAGTGTATATATATAGTGTACATATATAGTGTGTATATATATAGTGTACATATATAGTGTGTATATATATAGTGTACATATATAGTGTGTATATAGTGTGTATATATATAGTGTATATATATAGTGTGTAATATATAGTGTGTATATATATATTTATATGTGTGCGTGTATATATATATATATATATATATATAGTGTATGTATTAGGGTTCTCCAGAGAAACAGAGCCAATAGGGTGTGTGTGTGTGCGTGTAGAGAGAGAGATTGATTGATTTTAAGGAATTTGCTTACATGATTGTGGAAGCTGGCAGGTCTGAAATTTGCATGGTGGGCCGGCAGGCTGGAAACCCAGGGAAAAATGAATGCGATAGTCCTGAGCCTGAAGATGGTCTGGAGGCAAATTCCTACTTCCTCAGGGAAGTCAGTGTCTTTCTCCTTAGGCCTTCAACTGACTGGATGAGGCCCGCCCGCCTTAGGAAGAGGCACCTGTTTCACTTGAAGCCCAGTGGTCAAAGATTAATTTCACCTAAAATTACCTTCAGAACAACATCTAGACTGATGTTTGACCAAACATGTTGGCATCAGGGCTTAGCCAAATTGACACATAAAATTCCACCATCCCAATGTGTGTATGTATGTGTCTCATTAAAAGAAAACACATCAAAATGTTGACAATACTTGTCTCTGGACAATTGTTCTTTTCTGTATATTTGCATTTTCTCATTGCTTTTGCAACAAATGTGTTTTATTTTTGCAACAATGAGATGATATATTTTAAAAATATCTTGAGACTCAAATCTGTTGTGTGCAATCCACCTGAATCTTGGCATTTCCAGGACCGTGGTCAAGGGCGACATATCTGAGCACTTAACAATTTTCTCCTGCAGCGAAGGAGCCCCTCCCTCCCAGGGTGTCCACAGTGATGGTGGTGCGGCCGGTCCTGGGAGGGGAGGTAGATCTTGGTTCTGGCCTCAGAGCAGCCACTGAGCAGCTGTGTACCCCTGCGAAAGCACCTTGATTCTTGGGGCGTCTCTGTCCTCGCATGTCGATGACATGCCTGCTAGGGCCACGTGAGTAGCTCTGACAGGAAGGGGCATTTCCCAGTGTCCTGTGATTGGGAGTAGGCAGAGATACACTTAGCAAGGGTTTAGGGATGCCACACCTCTCTCTGCTCATACGTGGGACAGTGCCAGAGCACAGAGCTGGTCAGCATCCCACTCGCCCTTTAGTATACTGCTGGGCATCCACGCAGGTGAGAAACTGCTGGGATCGGCTGGGCTGAGCCCTCACCCAGTTTTCCATCCACAGATGCACACGTGCACACGCAGTGCAGTTGCCCTGCTTCAATGCACACTCTTGTTTTCTAAGATGCAGCTGCGATGGAAACTGAGGAGACGCTGCACTTTGTGCTGTTTGGAAGTTGCTGGGGCTGTGCGTCGTGGCAGAGCCTCAGTGCCTGTGGCTCAGCTTGGCAGCTGTGTGTGCACGCTCCCTGCTCAGGTGACTCATACAGATCCACCACGACATCAGCATGTCCTTAGAACGCCTGTGCGTTTGCATATTGAGGACATTACCTTAATAGAAATGACTTTTGCTTATTATAGTTGCAATATTACATATTGCTTGAAATAACAGATGTAGGAAGATCATGGAGTCTGTAACTATTTTCAGGATGGTATAAAGAGGCTGTTACAAAGCACTCATCATGAACAGTGGACTTTGGTCAACTGGATGAGGCAGCACTGCGAGGTGGCACTCAGCATCCATAGCATCCTGACCCTGTGTCACAGCAGATAAGGTGTCCTCATCTGTGCTCTCCCATGTGTGTATCTGACTCCCCTTAGTCCGGGTTTGCAATGGGGCAGGAAGGAGATGACCCCCAGACAACTCTGAGCCCACCTGTTTCTCCACCTCTGCTCTGGGCACCTGCCCCAGCGGCTCCATCACTTACCGGATTATTGAAATAACCTCCTGGCTGACTCCAGTCTCCAGAGGGTGAGTGATTGGAGGCCTCTCTCGGCAGTGCAGAGCTGCTCACGGAGGCCTTTCTCGGCAGTGTGGAGCCGCTCATGGAAGCATCTCTCTGCTCACCCCCTTGGCCTACAGCCTCAACAACGTTGCACTGATCGTAGGATAAAGAGCTGCTCGCTTAGTCATGGGGCACAATGTTGATGCCAAGGTTAGGTGGCTGCCTTCAGTTTTCCTTCCTAGCCGGATGAAAGGCTGTGGGCACGTCACTACTTGTGACCACCTGATTGGTGCTGTCGTGTCCCTCTGCTGGGCCTCGGTCCAGCCCTGTGTCCAGTCCTGGGCCTGCCTCGCTCTTTATGCAGAAATGGAAGGGACACTGACTCTAAAGTACCACTCCTCACTCCTCTTTCAGCCACGATAGCGCTCGCTTAGGGGCTGGATCCTGCTTAAACAGACGTCACAGGACGGCTGCCCCTCCTCGCTTCCCTCCTCCCTCTCCTCATTGTCCTGATAGCCCAGACTAAGAGGCACCATGTCCTTTCTCTCCTTCGGAAGACCAGCCTTTCCGTCATGAAACTTTTATTTTTACTATTCAGTATGTGAGAACGGGTGTGTGAGAGAGTGTATGTGGGTTTGTATTTGAGTGTGTAAATGTATGTGTGAGTGGGCATATATGTGTCACTGCATGCAATAGTGTGCACGTGTGTGTGCACGTAAGTGCACATTAAATGTGTGTGTAAAAGTCCGCGTGTCTGTGCCTGAGTGTGTGCATGTGTGAGTGGGCATGTGTGGGGGAGCAGTGTGAGTAGCTGTGAAGGGCTGGCATTCACTGTAGAGGTCCAGGCTCTGCCCCTTGCCTGGCCCTGGGAGCAGCAGGATGCCAGGGGAAGGACGCAGGGGGTGGTAGGTGCCCAGAGGGCAGGGAGCAGAGCATCCATCAGGTGTTCACTGGTCCCCAGTGAGTCCTGCCCTTTCTGCTTGACTCTGCCGTCAAGAGCAGTTTTTCCGAATGAGAGAACCAAGCAACGCCAAAGTAACCACACGTGGGGCCGTGTCCTCTGGTGGGGGTGTCTCCCACCCAGCTCCCGTGCCCTGGGCTGGAGTTATGGTCCAAGACCTGGAGCGGCGCCATCCAGACCAGAAGGAGATGGTGCAGGAAGCCCTCATGCAGGGAGATCAGCACCCAGCGCCCGTCCGCACAGGAGGTGGTGGGCGGGCACCAGCGAGGAGGAAATGCAGGCAGCACTGAAGTCAGAGCTGCTGCTTGATAGGGCGACAGCCTCATGAGAGAGAATGGAGCTGGCTGTCCTACTTGGCAGCAGGGAAGTAGAAGGAGAGAGGCAGGCAGCCGTGTGTGAGCCCAGGTGTTTGGGGACATGATCACACATGCACACACGTGTATACACAACACACACGTACACACAACACACACATGTACATGCATGCACATGAAGACAGTCCCATGCACATGTACATGTGTGTACTTGCCTGCACAATATGCACACATGCACACACAACATACACATGCAACTGTGTACTCACATGCACACACACACGAACATGAACAGATGGCACACATTTCTCAGTCTAGGCCCGTCAGGAAGCTGTGCCTGGCTCGCTGCAGACTGGAGACCATTCCCGGGTGGAGGCCAAGGCTGTGGCTGAGAGACTCTGGCTGGAGCTTGAAGTTGCTGGGTGCAAAGGCTCTGGGAGCCAGTGCTGAGGAAGTGCGTGGAGCACAGAGGCCTGCGGGTGACACTCCAGGTAGCAGGGAACAGGCGAATGTGTAGAAACTAAGACAGAAAAGTTTATCTACGGGAGTGGCCCCTGGAAGAGGCAGGAGGACTGCAGAGAGAAAGTCTGGGGGTACCTGCCCCGTAGCCCTTCTGCTCCCCTGCCGCTCCTACCCTTACCTTTCTCTGTCAGAACTGAAGAGATCGTGCTCTGTGCTTTAGGCACTGTCGACATGAGGGTGCACATGGCCCATGCTCAGTCACCTGCTTGTTAATCGTTTCAGTCATGTGATGAACACCCACAAACCCACCGTCCACCTGGGCCGAGGATGTCTTGACACCCCCCTTCTGAGCCCTGCACCCCCAGAGACAATCACCCGTTGGTGCCGTGTGGATCCTCACTTTGACTTTGGAGCAGTTTCTGGCTGGTCCCTTCAGGTGGGGTTGCGTCTCCTCCATCTGATGTGGGCAGGAGACCAGTGCGAGGGGCTGGGAGGCTTGCCCCAGGAGTCTGTGCTGCAGATGGGGCTGGCGTTGGGGCCATTCTCAACATCTAGCACGCCCCTCTTTTCAGGCTAGACACTGAGCTCCCTGGACCTCTCAGGAGTGGGCCACATGGAAAGTTCCGGCCATGTGGTGGGTAAGAAAGATGCGAGTGTAGTCAGTTCAAAATTCACTGTACTGGGCAGTCAGGTGGCGAGGCCATGGCTTGGGAAAAGGGGGGCTTGGTGCAGCTCACATGTCACACGTAGCATTGGCAGGGACCTAGCACAAGGGCAGGCTGCTTGACACAGGCTAAGTGGAGAAGAAATGCAAGATATGACAGCGAATTGGCTCTGCCTGAGGAGGTGTGAGGGTTGGGTCATCTGAAACGGGGTGGGACAGGGAGGGCAGCCGCTGAGCCTGGAGCTGTATCTGCAATGGCTGTGTTGCACAGGCCTGCTCTGTGCTGAGAGATGGGTGCCTCTGTCACCGCACACTGTCCTCCAGGACGCAGTGCTCCTGTGATGCTGATTGTATCCCAGCATCTTGCGCGCTCGCTCTGAAATGAACTTGTGTTTCAAGACCATGTTGTGGTGGAATGTGGCAGTTTCCAGGCTGGGGCACTGGTGCCTGGGAGGCGGCCATCAGAGAAAGTGGCTTCCTGCTGCAGTGACCAGCACCATCCAGGCTCTAGCTGCTCCATTCACCTGGGGCTGGGGTCAGCAGGACGGGCCGGTCGGCTGTGGGCATAGAATACGAGAGAAAGAGCTTTATTTTAAGCCACCAAGATTTTTGTTTCTCACCTTGCCATCACCTAGTCTCCTTAAGTGACACATATGCACACAGTCGGTGTGACTGGCCAAAAGGTTTTCTATTAATTCAATACAGTCATCCCTCTATCCTCAGGGGGTACGTTCCAAGACCCCCAGAGGATGCCCGAAACCACAGATAGTACTGAGCCCCATGTACACTATGTTTTTCCTATCCATCCACACCTGGGATAAAGTTTAATTTATAAATCAGGCACAGTAAGAGATTGACAACAACTAGTAAAATTGAACAATTATAACAGTATAGTCTCAATTTTACAAAAAGAAGATTCATTCACACTGGAGATCTTAGCAACCTCAGCGTACTATTTCTTTCTGAAGCCGAGAACTTTTGCTTTCACTTAAAGGAGCACCTTAAGGTTTCTCTTAGGTGTATCCACATCGCCAGCCTCACTGCCCTTGTGCTTTGGGGCCATGATGAAGTCAAACGAGAGTTCCTTGAACACGAGCACTGCACCCCTGTGACTGTTGAGCTGATAACTGAGAGGGCCCCTAGGTGACCAGCAGGGGCTTAAGGGGAGTCGGCAGCTGGACAAAGAGAGGGTTCACGTCTGGGGCAGGGTGGAGTGGGCAGCTGAGATTTTATCATACTGCTCGGAATGGTGCACAATTGAAAACTTATGAATTGTTTATTTCTGGAATTTTCCATTTAATATTTTCAGACCTTGGGAAACTGTGGAAAGTGAAGCCATGGATAAAGGGCCACTATCCTATTTCTCTTCTTCTAATAATTGCTTATATATTGATATCCTACCATGTGGCCTCAGTCCATTGATCCTTTGAGGACAAACACCAAAGCTCTATATACCAGTCAACAAAAAGGGTTTGCTGAGGCCAGGCGCAGTGGCTCACGCCTGTAATCCCAGCACTTTGGGAGGCCGAGGCAGGTGGATCACCTGAGGTCAGGAGTTCGAGACCAGCCTGGCCAACATGGTGAAACCGCTTTCTACTAAAAATACAAAAATCAGTCAGGTGTGGTGGCGGGCACCTGTAATCCCAGCTACTCGGGAGGCTGAGGCAGGAGAATTGTTTGAACCCGGGAGGCGGAGGTTGCAGTATGCCGAGATCATGCCATTGCACTCCAGCCTGGGCAACAAGAGCAAAACTCCATCTCAGAAAAAAAAAAAAAAAAAGGGTTTGCTGAGAATTTATTCATTCTTCCGTCCTGCCCTGGACACCATGGAATTTAATGAAGTGAAGAAGATCTGGAACTGGCCCCCAGATATACTATGAAACATGTAAATGGTGAACAAATAAGGCTCGTTCTTAGGAAAGATTTTCCATGCTGTTTTCACAAGTGTGAAACATGATGATATTTGGTCGGTGCAAAAGTAATTGCGGTTTTTGCCTTTAAAATTAATGGCAAAAGTTCTTGCCTGAGTTCATGCCTTCCTGGGGCCTGTCACGAACGCAGGGGCTTATCTTTCTGAAATGACCAACCTAATATGTTGCGTGTAGATTTCTTGCGACATATGGAAAGTGTTTGCAACATGCAGTATTTGATGAATGTTTATCCCAGATCCCTTCCTGGTGGTTCAGAGGGAGAGTGAGAGGCCAAGGAGGGAAAGGGGGGTTCAGACATCCTGGCTCTGAGGAAGGGGTCAGGGTTTGGCTACTGGAGGGGACGAGAGAGGGAAATAGGGTGAGTGAAGACGCGCCAGCTATGCCTGACCAGGGCCTGAGATGATTGTGGCCTTCTGCTATGTAGAACTTCTCTGTTTATAACCCTATGCGTGTTTTTGGGAGAGCAAATTCACTGTTCCATGCTGCAGATACAGACCACGTTGAGGAAACTTCAACAACACTCGAGAAAAATGCAAGAGAATCCTGCTGGCCATTTTGAGACTGATCACGCGGGCTTCTTCGGCTTTGTTTCTGTGGGATTAGCACTTGTCATCTCTCTGACCGCCTATTGGTTCTTTCTCCTTCCTAGCTTTGGCATTTGTTTTTTCCCTCTCTCCTTATGAACTACAGACTTGACTTTCTGGTGTCTGCTCTGCCCTGGGACAGGGAAGGTCTGCAGGCCGTCTGCTTCCTTCACTGAGGATGTCTCTGCACTGGCCATCTATGAAGGCCTGTAGGCCGTCTGCTTTGATAACTGAGGATGTCTGTGTACTAGCTGTCTGCAAAGGCCCGCGGGCTGTCTGCTTCCCTCACTGAGGATGCCTGTGCACTGACCATCTGCTACTATTTGGGAGGTCCTTGCCTGAGTTCACACCTTCTTTGGGCCTGTCATGAATGCAGGGACTTGTCTTCCTGAAACGGCCAAATGTCTTCTGATTGCATTATCTTCCAACTGCAGGCCCCTGAGTCCTTCATAGCCAGCCAAATGCTGTGTCCTGGGGAGAAGGAATGGCTGGGTGCTGGTCTCTGGAGCCTGTGTGTTGCTGGGAGCTGCACTCAGGCCACTGAGATCAGGAGAGGCCTACAGGGACACACACCCAGCCCCTCCAGTCACTTCCCCCTGGATTGACTCTTTGAAAGTTCCCTGTGTCCAGTGTTAGCACCGCAGAGTGACACACATCTCAGACACTGCAAGAGCGTCGGGATTTATCAGCATCATTGGAAACAGATGTGCCAATGATGGAGCGACTCCTTAATACAGCTCTCCAAGGTCTCTGCCATCCATTGGAAAGGACTCATAAGGTCCCTCCAGCTTCCACTCCTGCCCATGCTCATTTAAAAACTACAACAAAGGCCAGGCTCAGTGGCTCACGCCTGTAATCCCAGCGCTTTGGGAGGCCGAGGCAGGTGGATCATGAGGTCAGGAGATTGAGACCATCCTGGCCAACATGGTGAAACCTCATCTCTACTAAAAATAGAAACATTAGCTGGGCGTGGTGGCACGTGCCTGTAATCCCAGCTACTTGGGAGGCTAAGGCAGGAGAATTGCTTGAGCCCAGGAGGTGGAGGTTGCAGTGAGCTGAGATCATGCCACTGCACTCCAGCCAGGGCTATAGAGAGACTCCATCTCAAAAACCACAACACATAATCTAAAGATGGTGCTGGCTGAAACAGAGCAAACAAAACAGGAAAAAACACTGAAATGAAACCTGTTCTTCCTGCATGATCCAGCAACTGGGCTCCTTGGGATTTATCCAAGGGGTTGGGAACGGTCCTCACAGACCCCTGCCCAGGGATGTTCACAGCGGTTTTATTCGTGTGGCTGAAACCTGGAGCCACCACAATGTCTGTCAGTGGGTGGGTGAATGAACTGTCGCTCCCTAACCCGACAGCAGAATGCTTCCTAGCACTGAACAGAAACGAGCTCTCAAGCCACGAAAAGATGTGCAGGAGCTTTCCTGCATATTCCAAGTGAGAGAAGCTGGTCTGAAAGGCCACAGAGTATATGATTCCAGCTGTTTGTTGTTCTGGAAAAGGCACCTGTGGAGACAGTAGAAGGACCAGTGGTTTGCAGGCTTGGGGACTGGGGAGGAGGGTGAATAGGCAGAGCACAGAGGACTTCCTGGGCAGTGAAACCACACTGTGTGATACGACAATGCTGGGGACAAGTCGCCGGCATTCGTCCAAACCCACGGAGTGCCCAGCACCAAGTGTGTGCCCCCATTTGGGGACTGTGGACCATGCAGGGCTCCTCCGTTGCAGCCAATGGGCCACTCTGCTGGGGGTGTTGATCTTGGGGGAGGCTGCGGGAATTGGGGGCAGGGAATATGGGAACTCTCTGAAACTTCTGATCAATTTTCCTAAATGCTCTAAAAAAATAAAGACCATTTTTAAAAAGTCAGAGTCACTCATACGGTTGGAGGAGAAGACCTTCCTTTTGGTCTGAATCTTGACTTTCTTGAACTGGGAGTAGATTCCTGTTCGAAAACACAACTCAAGGAAAATCCCATTGTGTCATGGGGGACTTAGGAAGAGAGGGCAAGTGACTGCTATCACTAAATAGTGTTGGGTTCCAGGTCTGGCTCTAGACTAACAATAACATGCTGAGTGATTCATCTTGAAGGTTGGGGTTTGGATTCTCAGGTAAAGTTTGAACCCACTGTGATATGTCACTGGCCATAAAAATGCTTCTTGGCCATTGATATGGTTTGGCTGTGTCCCCACCCAAATATCATCTTGAATTGTAACCCCCCACAGTTCCCATGTGTTGGGAGGAACCCGATGGGAGGTAATTGAATTATGGGGCCGGGTATTTCCTGCGCTGTTCTTGTGATAGAGAATGAGTCTCATGAGATCTCGTGATGGTTTTAAAAACGGGAGTTTCCCTGCACAAGCTCTCTCCTGTCTGCCACCATGTGAGATGTGCCTTTCACCTTCTACCATGATTGTGAGGCCTCCCCAGCCATATGGAACTGTAAGTCCAATAAACCTCTTTCTTTTGTAAGTTGCCCAGTCTCGGGTATGTCTTTATCAGCAGCATGAAAACAGACTAACACAGCCATGATAAAGCCTTGCTTGCTCTGCCCACTGGCAGGACTCAGGCGTCACTGTGCGGATGTGATGGGGCATGAAGAGCTCTCCAAGACCCTGCCTAGGGTCACAGCTAAGCCCCAGAGCCCTCACCTGTGCTGTCTGTGCCGGCCTTGAGGCCGTTCCTCCACTAAGCCTACCCTGTGGCTTTCCTGCAGCTTGGTGCTGAGGGAGTTTGCCCACCCTCTCCTCTGTCCTCCTGGCATCCTTCTCAGTGTCTATGTACCATCTCATTTCCCCGACTAGATGGAAAGTTCCCTGAGTATTGATTGAAGCGCAGGCCCTGCTGTGTTCCCTAGGGTGGTGAGAGGATGGTAGCATTTTCTGAGGACATGGGTGGAGTCACACAGGGTTATGGCTGCTGAAGGAGGGCCATACTCCCAGAGGCCTATGGGCATCAGGGCATTAGTGAGGCTTTCAGGGGTGATGGACCCCCTCCTGGCAGTTCTGAGGCCATGCATCTGCTGGGGTGAGCTGTCCTAGCTGCCAAGTGCCTTGCTGGCCTGAGCTGTGGCCACTGGGCTGGGCTCTGTCCCTTGCATCTGACTCCTCTTCCCCCAGCATGCACCGAGGGAGGAGGGGCTCTTGGGACCATGGGCTCAGGGCCGGGCAGGGTGCATTCAGACACCTCTCTGCCTACTCAGTCCCCCTCCTTGTCTTTGGCATTGACACCTTTGTGGGTTAAGAAGTATGTGGAAGTCCCAACCCCCAGTACTTTAGAGTGTGACCTTATTTGAAAATCACATTGTTGCAGGTGTAATTAGCTAAGGTGAGGTCACAGTGGGATGGGCCCTGATCCAGTCAAACTGGCGTCATAGGAAGAGACGCAGAGGAAGACCACAGGGAGGAGCCCTGTGGGGGCGGAGGCGGGGTGGGCACTGCAGCCCAAAGCTAAGGACTGAGGTCCAGAGCAGGTGGGGACTGGAAGGGGCTGAGGGGCGCGGTTTTAAGGTCCTGACACTCTGACTGCAGGCTTCCAGTTGCTTTTGTTTTCAACTTCTGTCTTGCAGTGCTGTTACGGCTGCCCTAGGTGTCTCGCGCAGGGCCCCGTCTTGCACGTGGGAACCACTGTCCTTCACTCAACACTGAGGCACCACCGAGTGGATGAATCCCTGGGCTGTGAGGTCTGGGAAGGATCCACCTGGCCAGTGAGAGGCACCTGGGAATATCTGTGGGCCTGCTGGAAGATGAACCCTTTTCCACAGAGGGGTTTGCACACTGTGCTCCTAGGAACGCTAAGGGTTTTTAGAGACCCCAGAGACTGAGAGATGGAGGGGCAACCCTGCCCACCCTGTTCTGGCAGAGAAGCGCCCCACTGTTCGCTTAATTTATATATACTCATATTCCATATGAAAAATAATGCCCTAGATACAAATTTTCACACTTCTAAACTCTTAGCTGGTTGGGCTCAAGAATGATGGTTTGTTCCCTTTTTCATCCCCTAAGTGAAAAACAAAAGCCTAAATTTCAAATTTGCAGATAAGAAAACCAAGCCAGAGGTCACATAAAACCCAAGGCTTCTGACTCAGCACGAAGACCAAAATTCAGATACTTGAATACGCCATGAACTCTGTTAGTAAACATCACTGTATTCCTGTGGGGAGGTTTACGGGTTAGAACAAAACAGACCTTGAGTTCTTAGTCCATGGACAGAGTTATTTCCCGCCTTGACCCGCACATTGCCATGTGCTGAACAGAGAAACGAGGGGCGATGGGGCTCCGTGAAGGAGCACGAAGGAGCTGCGTGCGGAGCGTCCTGCGGTGGGAGCGGTCCTGATTTGCTGTTCACACAGTCGGGACCCTTCTCACAGTCTCACATGAGCCCTGCATTCAGGTGCCCAGAAGGAATGAACTTCAGAAGCTGTAACAGAGGGACACACGCTTCCCATCCCCACCTCCCGCTCCTCAGCCCCTGCTTCTCCTTTCTCTCTCTCCCTTTCTCATATGGGTTATTTAATTTCCTCCCAAGGGTTCCATGCTGCCTTTGTCAGGTGCTGTCACTGGCAGGCACTTGTTTGAGTGAAGCCATCTCCATTCTGTAATTAGAGTCTGGGCAGGGAGCATCCGGAGACCCCGGGCAGGACTCTGTGGGAGGGTGAGCCTCACCTCACCTCGAACGAGGGGCTGCTCAGGCCCAGACTGAGAACAGCGTGCGGGGAACAAACCCTTCCATTGTTATCCGCACGCGCCAAACCAGCTCCTTTCAAAATGATTTCTAAAATCACTGCGATCACAGAGCTCCTGCTCACTCCTGCCCCTTCAAGCCAGAGGGCCTCACCCTCAGAAGCAGAGGTCCCATGGTCTAGACACGCCCAGTGGGTAAGTGTAGCATGCCTACCTTTTTTTTTTTTTTTTTTTTTTTGAGAAGGAGTCTCACTCTGTTTCCCAGGCTGGAGTGCAATGGCACTATCTTGGCTCACCACAACCCCCACCTTCCCGGTTAAAGGATTCTTGTGTTTCAGCCTCCCGAGTAGCTGGGACTACAGGCATGTGCCACCATGCCCAGCTAATTCTTGTATTTTTAGTAGAGACAGGTTTCACCACATTGGCCAGGCTGGTCTTGAACTCCTGGCCTCAAGTGAACCACCCACCTTGGTTTCCCCAAGTGCTAGGATTACAGGTGTGAGCCACTGTGCCTGGCCTCCTGCCTGCTTTTTTAATGCATATCAGATTAACTCTTCAGTGTGACAACAGCCATTTACCAAGTGGCACCATTGCATGCTCCACCAAAGTCTGAGGGGACAAGCGGGGCTTCCCCCAACCTGGGCTGGATCTGTTCCTCCAAGTAACAAAAATGTGTTCTTGTAACGTGCACCATGGCGTCCCATTTTTCCTGATTGGGTTCAGTCTGAAAGCACAAGAGGTGGGTAATGTCTGAGAGAGGACTTCAGGGAGAGGAGTTTAGGGCAGCAACTGGTCAAACAGGTCAGCCAATAGGAAGAAAAAGATTGGTAGTGTTTAAATGGTTCTTCATCAACCCCAGAATAGGTGGTAGATGAATGAATGAAATTCCTACTTCAGAGAAAGTGATGCCAGATGTTTAGGATGTGGCCCAGCCTGCTTTCCCAGCTCCGGAGTCCCACATGTCCTCCCTCTTGGATGTGCGAATAGAAACGGCAATATGATTTGCACTGAATTTGTAACAGAAGAGATTGGTGGTTTTGGAATTTCAGAATGTTCAGGGCAGCCTCTTCTGTGTGAGACATGTTGCAACACAGGGCTCTTGTCTCTACAGCGTGTGGACAGCGCGCGCCCTCTACAGCGTGTGGGTGCGCGTGCTCTCTACAGCGTGTGGATGCGTGTGCCCTCTACAGTGTGTGGATGTGTGTGCAGATGACAGGGCTGGTCACTGGAAGCAAGACAGGCACTTCCAACCATCTCAGCTTCATGGGTATCTTCTTGTGGCCAAGCTGGAACCGAACCTAGACCATGGGAGGTTCTGGAGGAGAGAGGCTAGATCAGGCTGGGTACTCCTACAGGACGGGACGAGTGTGAAAAGGCTGCCATTTCATTGTTTCTGCAGGTGACATCCATCCTGTTAAAAAACAAAGAGCCCGAACCCATCGTACATGAAAACAACAATTGTGTGGTTCCTCTCCTTCCCCAATGTCAGGCTGTTCCGTGAACATGCTTCATCCTGGCCCCATCTCTGGGAGGACAGGTACTTGGCAGGAATGATGTCTCTTTCCCTCACAGATGGAAAATTTGGGACATAAAGAAGTGAGGATGCATTCAGCTCATCTCTCTGGCAGAATCAAAAGTGGAGTGGGGTGTCTGGAATCTGGGTGGGCAGACCTGTCAACTACTGTCCTCGGGAGAGACGGAACAGGGCAGGATGGGCCCTAATGAATGCAAAGACGAGACTCGAGAGAGAGGAGGAGAGAGGAGCAGAAGCCTGGAGCTGAGCGCAGCAGGGCCCTGTGTCCCCTCGAGTGCGTATGTGCTCAGGAGGAGTGGGTCAGGCGGGAAGTGGAGTGAGCCCTGCTGGCGACCAGCTCCCATCCCCTGCTTCCTCTGTGCAGGCACAGTACCTACCACAACCCCGAGACAGATGCAGCAGTCACCCCGTTTTCCAGTGAGAACCTTAAGGAACTGGACGGTTCCGAAACTTCCCATGGTTGCACAGCTCAGGATTTGTCTCAGCCGTCTCCAAAATCCAGCCCTAAGCTACCCTGCTGCATGGGTCTGAATCTTACTGGCTGGGAATGCCAGGGGTGCTTGGCTCCATCTGAAATTCCCTCCTAGGCTAGTGGAGCATCCCAGGCTCAAACCTGATCTGGGAGCGGGACTGGTGTGGAGGACAGGCCCAGGCAGCCTATTCTGAGCCTCTGTCTGCAGAACTGGACCAGGGGTGAGCACAGGGCTCCTGTGGGGGAGCTTCTGTGCCCAACCTGGTGTGGAGCTCTAAGCTG
The DNA here is from genome assembly GCF_000001405.40 of Homo sapiens. Taxonomy (NCBI): domain Eukaryota; kingdom Metazoa; phylum Chordata; class Mammalia; order Primates; family Hominidae; genus Homo; species Homo sapiens. The sequence goes on from NC_000013.11 coordinate 111,400,068, forward strand.
GAAGCACCCGGGTGAATTGCAGGAATGAGCCTTGGGTTCCTGGCTGCTAAAGTGGGGACAGCTTGGAAGATGAAGCGCTGGCCTCAGGGCATCGTGGCTTAGCTCCCGTGGAACAGATGAGGCCCAACTCTGAACAGGCTGGGCCTGTGGACTGTTTTTGCCTCCACTGGTGGATAAGGTCACAAGATGGAGTGAATCAGTAGGTGAAATTTGTGTAATTTTTCAGTTGCCCTGGGATCCGGTTGCGACGACCACAGTCTTGTCCAAGTGATCTGGGAGCGGCGTTTACTGGGACTCTGTGGTGTCTGCTCCGCCTGGCTCAGGGCGCTCTGCAGACGGAGTCTTTCCGCCCTCATGCTCCAGACACCCACGGTGCACATCCATCCCAGGCCATCACTCACCACCGCCCCTTTACCAACCTTTCCCTCGCCTTTCCCTCCTCCCTCCTCCCTCCTCTCTCTCTACCAGTGTATTCCTCCTGCTGACAGTACCTCTTTCTCCACATTGTGAAGGGACTTTGTGCTTCTGCCATTCAACTCTCACAGAAAGCGTTGCCTCCCATTTAGAACGTTTAGAAACCTCCAGAGTATTTATTTCCTTGCTTTGATTTGGACACAGAAGCAATTCTAGTCCTTTTTTTCTAAGCTGTGTGTGTGATGAAGATAGACACAGCATCGACACATTATTTCAGCCATTTCTATACCAGGGAATCATTCATTCATGGTTCTTCTTACTGCAAGCCCAGCTTTCAAGGGTGATTTTGACTTTCAGGGTAATATTCCAATATTTTGGGTAACATTTTCTCTCTGTAAGATAAAAGGTGTTTTTGTGGTGGCAGCTGCATCCTGTGCTTGGGGGAATGGACACGTACTACTTGTGTTAAGTGATCACTGCACGTGTTCACCGCCTCACCTCTCTCACCACGCCCACCCTTGGCTCTCACACCATCCCTGCTCTCCCTCTCTGCCTCATGCCAGGATTTCCTTCTATCTGGATTTTATTTTCCTTCGCCTCTCTCTGTTTCCAAATCCTCATCTCTTCTGTTTCACTGTTTCTTTTCACCGTCTTCAGATATCTTATTTAGATTTTTTCTATCTTAACCTTTTTTTAGTAAAAAGAAAATACCAGAGGTTTTTCTGATATATTCACTGATCATTTCTGAATTGACATACATTCAGCTATAAGGAGATTCTGAAACTACAGTGTGGCATGTGAGAGCAGATGCGTGTGACTGAGGTCGTGCCAGCACACCTGCAGTCCTGCAGACCTGGGAAGCTCCACTGACAGTTGCAAACCCCACGCCTGTGACTGCCTCCCCCACGGGGCAGGACCTGGCATGAGCAGAACCCACACCCAAAGTACTCTAGTTGAAATAGATGAGAAAAACAGAAAGCCATTAAATAACAGATCTGGAATCCATTCCACGTTTGCTGTGTGCAAAGCCCACGGTAGGTAATTTCACTGTTGAGGGTTCCTAGCCTCAGAGATGTCCTAAAGGCTGCATTAGCCACAGAGCCCAGGTTCGAGGCCAGCTCCCTCTGCACCAATGCCTCTGCTCTTCTCCAGCTCGCACTAGGAAGCACTGACCAGACCAGGCTGGTTAAATGGTCAAAGCAGACTCTATCCTAACGCACAAACCAGAGGTCACTTATCAAAGGCACTTCTGTGTTCACTTCATGAGGCCTGTGGACTTCTTTGGAACATCTCAACCTGATCTTAGCTCACCTCAGACTGCTCCCTGGGTTCTCCCTGACGTAACAACCTCGTTTCCGTCTCCAGCAACTGCCCGTTTTCCTCCTGGATGTGGCCAGAGCTCCTCCCCCGACCTGTGTGTCCACCCCAGCAGGCCCGCTGACCACCTAGAGCAGCGCTCTCCCACCTGGAAGTGGCCCTCCCGACATGCTCTATAGAACACCTTCCTTCAGGCATCATTGGCTGCCTGAGCTATGTCCAGGCTGGATAGAGGTGTAGGCTGAGGGAGGCCCTGGATCCTGGGGAGACTCTGTGCACACGCCAGGGAAGACGCTGGCCCCGGATCCTGGGAAGACTCTGTGTGCACACGCCAGGGAAGACGCTGGCCCCGGATCCTAGGAAGACTCTGTGTGCACACGCCAGGGAAGACGCTGGTCCCGGATCCTGGGAAGACTCTGTGTGCACACGCCAGGGAAGACGCTGGTCCCGGATCCTGGGGAGACTCTGTGTGCACACGCCAGGGAAGACGCTGGTCCCGGATCCTGGGGAGACTCTGTGTGCCCACGCCAGGGAAGAAGCTGGTCCCGGATCCTGGGGAGACTCTGTGTGCCCACGCCAGGGAAGAAGCTGGTCCCGGATCCTGGGAGGATTCTGTGTGCACACGCCAGGGAAGATGCTGGCCCCGGATCTTCGTGGGACTTTGTTGGTGTACACCAGGGAAGATGGTGGCAAAAGTGTGAGAGGCCGAGAGCTCCTCTCTCAGTGCCCCTCAGCTCAGAAAAATATAGGGCTTCAGCTGGGGCTCAGGTCTGCATGATTAAAACGGGCGTGAACGTATGACGGGCCTGAACTCCGAGTCCAGATGGAGCGTGCCCAGGGAGTGGCTCTGTGAGGTCTCCGGTCTCCCCTGCGGCGGCATTGCTATGCCTGTGCTGGCATCCGCCTCGGCCTGCACTGGTTCTCCTCACACTCCCTTCTTGATGTGTGCCCCCAGTAGCCAGAGCACACCTGCTCCAGCCCCCTTAGCAAACCCAGGGCCCCTTTCGTGTTCCCAAACCAACAATCCTGGCCTCATATGGGATGGGCCAACCCATTTTCCCCAGAGCTGGTGTGGAGCTCGCTAACCCCCTGGGTGGGGCGCTGCATATCACAGGAGTGGGGAACGGAACCAAAGTCGCCTGTTCTCAGGGACTGGGGCATGGTTGCTTAGGAAGCAGGCAGTGATGCCCAGCATGATGTGTTTCCTTTTATCTCCACTTCTGCCACTCTGCGGAGTCAGGCTCAGTCCATGCCCCAGGGATTGTGGGTCAGTGTCTCACGTGCTCTAATCAGAGACTCCAGGGACCTAACTCAGCATCCACATGGCTAAGGCAGCCGTGAGGAGTTCTCCAAGGCCCCTGCACCCCTACGTGACTTGTCCTGGTGGTGTGTTAGGCAGACTAGGGATGTTGGAAATGGATTTTCATTGGTTGGCAAGTGTGTGGATGAGGAAGGAATGTGTTCTGGGGCCGTGGCCCCTGCATGACTGGTGAGTCCAGCAGCCCTCGTACCCTGGAGCAGGCTCTGTGTTTCTATCACCAGAGGCCTTGAGAGATGGGCAGCTTACCCCAAACTCAGCAGTCATCTTGTTGCCTTGGAGGGAGTTCCCTGCAAAGCACTTGGAGCATCTGGGAGATGCTGCTGCTGAATGCAGGTGTGTGCCGGAGCTCCGGTGACCAGGCTGGGGGAGCCGGGGTCCTCCCCTCTGCGGTCACATGGGCCGCAGGAGAACCAGCATCAGGGAGCCGCTTCCAAGCCAGAGTCTGAAGCCGAGTGGGTTATGGGGTTGGTGTGTTGTGAATCCCACACTTTTTAGCCACATGACGTAACCCCTCTGTACCTAAGTCCTTTCAATGAAGTGGGGGTGATAATGGCGCTGGCCTCATGGAGTTGTTGGATTTACTGAGTTAAGATGCCCTGAGTGCTGAGGATGTGGGTGACAGAGAGGGCCCCCCCGGTGCTGGCCAGTCTCGCTGTCCTGAGGGCCGCCAGCGCCATTCCTCCTGAGCAGCCCCTTGGACAAGGGTGGTGACGAGATGAGCGAGTGTTGGCCGACACATGTGTTTGGAGGGGCTTGACTGGGTCTCACGTCCCCATTCCCTGTCTTCAGGAACCAAGTGTGAGCCAAGGGGGGGAGGTGCAGGATGGATACAGGTGACCAGCCCCGGGGGCAGGAAGAGCTGAGGACCCATGGCAGCAAGAGGCCCCTTGGCATGTGGACTGACTCCTCCACTTGAGCTGTTTCCTTATGTCCTCGACCTTAGGAAAAACCCCAAGCCTAGGCAGGCCTTGCTGAAATGCCAAGAGGGTCGCACATCGACGGCTCACCTGGGGACACCAAGGGGCTCCAACGCCACCTTGCGGTGGGGGGTGGGGGTGGTGCGTGATAAAAACACATACCTAGTCCTTGCTCCTGTCTCCTGGCAAAGAACTCCTAAAACACTTGGAATTCCCTGAGTGGTAGGAGGTAGTGCCTTTCCTTCTTCCTTTTCTATATTTTCAAGACGGAGTCTCGCTCTGTTGCCCAGGCTGGAGTGCAGTGGCACGATCTCAGCTCACTGCAACCTCCGCCTCCTCGGTTCAAACGATTCTCCCACCTCAGCCTCCCAAGTAGCTGGGACTACAGGCAACCGCCACCACTCCCAGCTAATTTTTTAATATTTTTAATAGAAACAGGGTTTTACCATGTTGCCTAGGCTGGCCTTGAACTCCTGACCTCAAGTGATCCGCCCACCTTGGCCTCCCAAAGTGCTGGGATTATGGGCATGAGCCACTGTGCCTGGCCTTTTCTTATTCCTGAGGAACCCCTTTGATGTTGGGTCTGTGCTAATGAGGTGATGTGTGTCCTCCTCTCCCCACCAGCCACAGGGTGAGAACTTTCAGTCTCACCCTCTGACATCCAGTGACCTCATCTCCCCCCAAAAACCAGCCACAGGGGTGAGAACTTGTGGCCTCAACCTCCGACCTCCAGGGAGGGAAGAAGCACTGGGGTTGAGCCCCGTCAGTCATGCCTTTGGGATGAAACTCTGCATGGAAACCCTGGAAAGACAGGGCTGGAGAGCTCCTGGCTGGTGAGAGTGTCAGTGGTGGGAGGGCAGTGTCTGGAGAGGCGTGGAAGCTCCGTGCCACCCTCCACTCCTGCAGCCCCAAACCTTGCTGGCCTACGCATCTCTTATCTGGCCACGTATTTGTATTCTTCAAAATAAACCTGTCACTTAACGCGCCCGCCTCCCAAAAGCTCCACGTGCTTTGCAGGGAAATCCCTCCAAGGCACCGAGGTGACCGCTGAGTTCTGGGTAAGCTGCCCATCTCACAAGGCCTCAGGTGACAGGAACACAGCCCACTGCAGGGTGCCAGGGCTGCCGGATTCACCAGCCCCTTAGACCACTCATGCGGCATTTTTCAAGTTCCGTAAGTCATTCTAGCAATGACAAAACCTAAAGAGGGAGTGTGGGAACCCCAGAGTGTATAGCTGACAGAAGTACGGGTGGTCTGGGAGCCAGGAGCTTGTGGCTGGCATCTGAACAGGGGCAGCCTTGTGGGATGAGCCCCTTAGCCTGTGAGGTCCGTGCTGACCCCAGGTAGCCAGTGTCAGGATTGAGCTGAACCATTGGACACCCAGGTGGTGTCAGAGAGAGGAGGCCAGGACACACTGGGTGAACATCTGACGCTCCAAGCTTGTTCATGCCGCTCTCCCAGCCCCACAGCCGCGTGTGCTCTTCATAGTAAAATACACTTCCCAGAAGCCTCCCTGGAGGCAGCAGGTCGCCTCTGACTGGAAGCAGGAAGGCTGTAGGGTGTGAGCAGAGGTTGGGGGGTGAACGCACATTTCCTTCTCCAGAATTAGGGAGCATTTTCTAGATGTGTGGAAGTATTTCCTGGGGGGAAGGTTGAGTGAGGACAGGTCCGGTGCATTTGGGGGCCCAGTTCTCCCTCTGGGTGCAGGTGGGTGTGGCTGGGCTTTGCACTCTCTGATAAGGCATGGGACGGCCATGCCCATCCCCGGGGACCGCCTATGACTTTGGAGCCTAAGATGCCTATCACGGGAGCAATGTTGCTGGACCAAATTCAGAAAATTCTCGTTAATACGGAAGGATTTAAAATAGAAACTTCCTAACTCTGGGTTGAACCTGGCTCACTTTCTTACTGTTACATATGCAGGAATAGAGGGTAAAGTAGCTGATACCAACCCTGATTCTAATTCTGAATGTGCATTCACTGTCACAAGCTATGAGCCGACTACTACAAAGGTAGGGCCAGATTCTCCATCTTTTGAGAATTGGAAAGGGGGGAACGAAGGGGTGAGTACACAATGCAAGCACTGATTTAACATGTCTAGGCTATAATTTTGAAGCATGAAGTAGAATAAGATAAAAGCTGGACAATGAATAAAAAAATGGAGTCGGATTTAATCCTAGCGTAATTTTTAGATTTTCTTCTTGAGAAGTGAATGACAGTTTCACCTGCTTCTTGAAATGTCTAGTGAATCTTGAACGTCTCCTATAATACCATCAGACTTATAGAAAGTATCTTCCCAAGCTAGCTAGAGGCTCTGAGGAAACAGTGACGTTTGTTATGTCATATTCTGATCAAGGCACTCACGCATGTCACTGCTTGTCAGCAAGGGGGGATGCGGCCACTCAGGATGGATCAGGGGGAACTTTGGTTGCTTGTGATCACATGGTTATTTCATTTCCTTGGCCTCCTTGGTTATAATCTGTTGCAAAGCTCTGATTTTCAGAGGTCTCAACTCTCCCTACAGGACAAAGATTGGCAGGATATCCTGAAACTCTGGAAGATCAGATGTAACTTTCTGGAACTCAAATTATATAGTTCTGCTGATGGGATAAGGAAGCTGCCTACAGGATAAGGTATTTTCTTGTTGGCACAGTGGTTTTATTTCTTTGCTTCCAAATTCTGGAAGCCAGGGAAGTCTTTGGTTGAAAGGGAGTTTATGTGCTTATGGATGAGGCGGCAGGAAGAGAACCAATTCACTGTGGTGGAAAGAAGCTCTACATTGTTTGGAAATGTGAGTGAGGGTTCACAATTCCAAAGATCTTTTCCTTTTTTCCTTTAAGTAAACAAACTCCTATAGTATTTGAATCCATGGTTTTCCGTAATTGCCTTGCTTCTTGGCATTCAGCTGCAGTCAGAGTATAATATGACACTCAGGATTTCCTCTTTCCGAGTTCTCTAGCCAGTATATCTAGTCTAAGCCATTGCACAGTGGTATTTTATTGAGCAGCTACTGATGTGGCAGGTGTCCACTTGAATAAAGGTGCACCTGCCTTTGAGGGGTTCACAGTTTGACAAAAAGGCTGGGTTGTCCCATGAGCAAATTGCAGGTGTGTCTGACAGGAACACCCAGTCTGATTTTGATATCCTTTTTGGCTTTCTGGACAGTGCCACAGCTGGGAGGATAAATGCCCTTCCATGGTCAGTGCGCCCTTTGTATTTATTTTGAACATAAAATCACTGACTGGGGAGTGTGCATCTATTTTGTACATGATTTTGCCCCTCAGATTTAGGGCTCTTAAGGGTTGAGAGCACCTACACTTTGTAGGTGTCACTGGGTGGCAAATCAGAAAAGCAGGTTGCCAGGGCCCCACAACAGGGATGCCAAGCTGACCACGCAGGACAGGCCCGGAAGCTTCTATTTCTCATCATCCGCCAGGTGACTGTGCTGGTAGGGGTGCGAGACCCACATTTGGAGAAAAGGTCCCGCCACCAGGTGGTCACACAGGCTGCAGCCTCATCTCCCAGCTCCCCCAGATGGGCTCAGGCTGGGCCCGGCCCTGTGCCCCTGCCGAGGAGCTGCCCTTCTCTCCCTCTGGCTGTCGCTTCATTCTGTAGCCTCGAATGTCACCACTCCTCGAAACGCGGGCCCAGCGTCTTCCAGGGCGCTCCTCCGGTCTCACTCTTTGAGTCCCCCCCACACTCTGGGACTCTCCAGTCAGCTCTGGTCCGGCTCATGCAGACACCAGTTGGTAAACAGGAGGTGCTCAACGAGTGTTGGCTGGTCATAGAGCGTGCCTCATGGATGTTCCGCTTCTAGCTTTTATCTTCATCAGCTTGGGTTGTTACAACACAGTACTGCAGACTGGGTGGCTTAAACAGCTGACATTTATTTCTCACTGTGGCGGAGGCTGGAAGTCCAAGGTCAGGGTGCCAGCTGTTTCGTTCCTGGCGAGGGCCTCCTCCTGGCTCACAGATGTCCTCACCATGTCCTCACGTGGTGGAGAGAGGGAGAAAGAGCCCTCTCTCTTTTCCTTGTCTTACAGGGCCACAGACCTATTGATCAGGACCCCACCCTCATGACCTTATCTAACCCCAGTTACCTCCCAAGACCCCATCTCCGAATCCGGTCACGCTGGGTTTAGGACTTCAACATATGAGTTTGGGGAAGATGCAGTTCAGTCCACAGCAGCTTTGCTACTTGCTAGAATTTGTAACCCCCCCAAAATGAATAATCTTGGAGATTTTGCGGTCGTTTGCAGGCATGCTTAGAATGGTAAAACGGTAAAACATGTGTCACTGGGCCAGGCGTGGTGGTTCACGCCTGTCATCCCAGCACTTTGGGAGGCTGAGGCCGGTGGATCACTTGAGGTCAGGAGTTTGAGATTAGCCTGGCCGACATGATGAAACCCGTCTCTACCAAAAAAATACAAAAATTAGCCAGGCATGGTGGTGCACGCCTGTTGTCCCAGCTACTAGGGAGGCTGAGGCAGGAGAATCGCGCGAACCTGGGAGGTGGAAGTTATAGTGAGTCGAGATCGCGCCACTACACTCCAGCCTGGGTGACAGAGTGAGACTCTGTCTCAAAAAAAAAAAAAAGTGTCACCAGACGTGCGTATCCCCAGATGATAGCAAGCAAGGAGATACTGAGACTTCCTCTCATCCTGTGGACAGTGTCCTTTTTGCAGTCTCTCGAGTGCCATGTTTTTCAAATTTCTGTGCTTTTGCTGGTGATTTCACTATGTAAGATGACCCACGAGAACAGGACTGAAGGGCTGTCTAGGGTTCCTAAGTGCAAGAAGGTTGTGCTGTGCCTCATGGAGATAACATGTGTGTTCAAGAAGCCACTCAGGCATGCTGCTGGCTGTGAGTTCAATGTTAATGACTCCACAATCCATATTGAATAATGTGTTATTAAATAGAAACAAACATTAAACAAGGTCATGTATGAATTGATTGACAAAACTGTTGTGACCAGATGTATTTCTCTGGGAGCAAAGGCTCAGTACTTGCAAATTCAGTATTCACAGTAGCTTTAGAACGTCACCACCATCAACGTTTCACTTTAGAACTGACTGTATATTGTTAATGAACAGGCTGCGTGTGCAGAAACCGAAGCCCTAAGAAAGGCAAAATATGCATGGGTTACTTGTCTTTTGTTGTCAGCCCAATGCCAAGCACTGAGATATCTGTAAGCACATGAATTCTTGATGGAAGTTTGCTTTTGTAAATGATCAGCCTTGACATTGTGGAAATACAGTGCTAGTGGTTACGAGATTGTAGCCACTCTGGGGCCAGGACGAGGGGAGCCATGGAAAAGGATTTAGCACAGCTGACATCTTCCTGTGTTCTACCAAACAGTCATGTTCAGGTGCCTTTAAGTCATTCAGTTTAGAGCAATGATTCTGAGAACCTTCAAGGCACATGTGGCAACCCCGAGACCCCAGAGGATCTCCTGTGAGAAGCCCCAGATTTCAGGTGGAGCCCCATGGGGCGGGTGGTTGGGGATGAGTTCGAGGCGGCAGGGTTGAGCCGGGCCAGCCTCTCCTGGTGTGTGCGATCACCTGGGAAGGACGCGTGGCTCCTATATCAACCCAGCTCCTCCCCGGAAGACAGCCAGTATAATTTCTGTGCTTGAGAACCTGTCTGAGAGAGAGAGAGAGAGGTGACAGATTGCTTGACTCTGACAGAGAACTGAGAAAACATTGATGCTGTTTGAATTCAACAAGTCTTTTGAAAATGCAATGGCCAACGGGGGGAGTTTTACCTTTTCTCTGGCATGTTTTAAAATACGAGCACTCCTTACCAAACAAAACATTGAAGATCACAAATTCTTCGCTTATAAATCCTGACTGTGCTGGATGAGTAAGGCAGGAGAGGAGAAGGGTCCCCAGGCTGATGACAGGTTTTAAGGCACCTTTCAGTGCTGGTTGGCCAAAGTCATTGGATCTCACCTGAGGCTTCTACGTGAACAGGCTGTTGGCTGGGGGCCTTGAGGACACCAAGTTATTACACTGCAGGCTCTATTTGCATAACCGCAAGTGCAGGTTTCTTTGGCAACCCCACTAGCTTAGCCATTATTGCTCAAATTTTAATGAAAGGAAAAGTGCCGTGCATGTGGAGAAAGTCATTTAAACAAGAACTACCTGTATCATTTAAACATGTACCCCTAAACCACTCTTGTGAGCACTCCAGTCCTCGCAAACTTCTCACTTCTTTGGGGAATGAGAACAAACAGGCGGAGGGGCACAAGCCCACCAGGGCCCTCCGCCGCACCGCGCAGGTGCGGGGCAGGCACATCCGCCTCCGGGCCCCTGGGCTATTGTTTGCTGGTACAGACTTTTTTTCCACTTTAAAATTGTGAAGATGAAAACCTATTCTGGCGTGGGGTAAAGATTCTCCACAGAGCCCGAGTCAAGTCCAACGACGACCACCCTGACAGCTCTTGGCGCGCAGCGTGGGGTGTGCAGCGGCGGCTCCTGGGTGAACTTTGTCCCTGGGCGTGTGGTTTTGGAGCGTGCCGGGGTGACATTCAGCCTCTACATTCATTTTTATGATAATTCCGAGTAAATTGTGGTGCAATAAACTCTTCAAGCCTGTCTTTCTTGTGAAAGCCATGAATCAATCAGCTGTGGGCTTTTTTGGGGGCCTTTCAATGTATAGTGATCATTTAGATTTGACGTGCATTGTGAGACCTTAGCGTGCCTCCTCTCCCTGGTCTGTCATTAATTCCAGCCTCCGCTATTCTGGAGTACAGTGAAGGATGACTGAGAAATCATTGCCCCTCTTCAGCTCTGTTATTGCACAAAATAGCAGCGCAATAATTTTTTGTCAATGTTTTACTCTAAAAGCTTTCTACGTCAGTTTTGAAAAGGAAGCAATAAAGCCCATTCAATGGTATGAATAAAAATCCTTTGAGGGTTAGGAGCAGAGCTTCTTTTCTTCAGCTGGTAATCAAATTGGAGCTAAAATGAAATTGAGTTTTCTTATGAAAATAGCCTTTGTTGCTGGGAAGGCTGGTAATTCATAAACAATAACCTGCTCTTTTGTGTGGATAATAATATATTCATGTTCTTTCAATAGGGTAAAAGCCAGACCTAGTGCATTATGGTACAGTAAAAATAGCAGAAGGAGCTGGCTGGAATGATCTTGAAGAAGAAATGAAGCACTCGGTGGCTCTGCCCTTCTGCGTCCCTCGGAAACGGCAGCCGGCTTTATTTGCGCGCCGGTTTCGTTGTTGATTTGTTGCCGCTATACAATATTCGGTTAATTGTGGACGGGCTCAAGCTGTGCTCATCCCTGCGAAGGCTGCCGCGGCTGCACGGTGCTCACAGGAGCAGGCTCGTTTCTCCGGGACCCGCCAGCTCCACAGCCTGGCACCAGCAGGCGACGGGACGCGGCGCTCGGGAGGTGAGCAGGCGGCGTCGCGGGCTCAGCTGGGACCAGGTAAAGTGTTGGGGGGACAACTTGCTGTGGATTTTCTGCTAAGTCTGTGGGGGTGGGGGGCAGGGTGGAGAGGGAGAGAGCAGGACACGGTGCGTGGGTGCGTGGAGGGAAGCGGCGTCTGGACTGCGGCGGCTTCCACCTGGCTCCCAGGTGGATCTGACGGCCGCTGTGCCTCTCGGCCGCGCGGGACCTTTCGAGGGAGCCTTGTGGTCATGTCTGCTGGTCACAGGAGCTGTCCTGGCCCTCATGGCCATGTCTGGGGTCCTTGGAGACCCAGTGGTACCTGCCGGCGCCGGGCATAGTGTGGCCTGGAGGCGGAACGATGGCTTCTTCTGGTGAAATCTGTGTTTGCTGAACTTAGCTTGGAAGTTGGCTGTGCAGTTGCAGGAGGCTGCTGGCATCCGGGGGGGGGGGGCTGGAACTGCTGCCTGCAGACAGCTCACTGGACGCTGCTCCTTGGGCAACAGAGACTTTTGTTCTCTATCTCAAGTTGGTGAAAAGTTGTGTTCTGGTGATTGCAAAAACGTGTGCCATCCCCATCTTTATGTCGGCATGTGGAAATAGCCTCCGTCTTCCCAGATCCACAGCCCTGGGCCGGGGTCCGGGCCAGTCAGATAAAAGGGGACTTTTCCATGAGGTCATTTGTTGTTACCATGCAACACAGTGCTGTAGGAATGATTCAGCTTAGCATGTCTACTGAGATTGTAAACATGAGATGAGGCTCCTCATGGAATACTCTACTTGCTCTTTTGGGAATGATTTTTGGTTGCTGTTTTAAGTTCCATTTGCTTGGCTCTAGACACAGTTCAGTGGACAAAAATAGAAAGAAAGAAAAGAAAACACACCTTTGAAAGCAGAGAAGTGTCCAGAATGAGGTGGGCAATGACAGCAGCAGGAAGGGAAGCGTCAGTCTGGCTGGACTGCGATTGTCAGGGGGGACAGCGGTGCTTTCCGTGTCCCTGGTGGCTTCTCTCCGGGTTACCTTTCCTGTGAGGCTCCTAACGGATAGTGGGTATCTTCCTGGCTTAGCCTAAGGGCTCTACAAACTCTGCACTTGGTCCAGAACTCAAGAATGGAGAAATTGAAATGAGTACCACGATGTGCAATTTTAAACGACTAAACTTTGACAGTGTCCGGAGAAGCTGAATCAGTGCATGGTGAGCCTGCCCTCATGGAAATGAGAGCAAAATGGAAACGGACAGAAGCGCAGGAGTGCTTGCGTGCACACAGCTATGTCAGGGATGTGTGCCAGGGTTAATGCCGGCTATCAGGTATTTGTGTGTTGTTTTGGTGTTTTAAGAATGAAATTACATGCTTAACAAAAGGAACTTTTTAAAGGCGCAGTAGAAGTTGACAGTTGTGGTAACATATGTCATTATCCAATTAGTTGATGCAAGTGCATGTTTTTATGCCTTCCTGAAATGCCTCCATGCGTTTCAGCTCTAGCAAATATTACTTCATTGAAGTCTTTCAAAATGAGGATTCTAATTGTATATATTTTACTCTGCCTCAGTAAGTGTTCTGTGCTTTTCAATATCATGAGCACCTTAATACATTCTGATTTTTAAATCTATTTCATATTTATTTGGGGGGAAAAAACCCAGGATTCTTTTGGCTCCCATTGTACACTTTGTCAAAAACCCCCTGCAAGTGACAGGTTCCTTCTGACTTTCTCCTGCTGACAGAGCTGCAGCTCATGGGGGCTTTATTCTTATGCTGAAGTTGAATCGCTGAATCAATGTGAAAGAAAAGATTGCTAATTGTCAAAGAATTACCCTTCAACTCAAGGTAAAGGAAACTGTGGAGGAACGCTCCTGGAGCATTTTTACTGTGGAAGAAATGATAAATAGATTTCGTCTGGATGCAAATCGTGGATCATATGTCACAGCACAGTTCAGCCTGAAAATGATAATTTCCTTCATTTTAACTCTTTGGTAGTGTTGATGCAAAGTTCTTCCCTTAACAGTACATGTTTTAACGGGTGATAACTTGGCTTTTTTTTGCCTGAGGGTGTGCAGGCTGCTGATTCTGAGCTGTGCAAACCTTGCTGCAGAAGTGTGCAGAGAGGAGAGGGGAGGGAAGGAGGGGTTCTGTCGGGTGGGTCTGGGCATCTGGCCCCGAAAGGGGAAGCCCACTCAGTGGGCAGGTGTCGGAAAGGACGGCTTTGGCCTGTTGGACTCTGGTCTTGAGTCTGATGTTCTCTCCGGTTATTTGAAGAGATAAAAGCCACTTATGCTGACTGTCCCCTGTTTTCCACGGCCAAGCACATGTTTTCCCTGCACTGCTCGGGGTAGCCCTACTCTCGGCAGAGGAACAGTTCCATGGGGAGGGCTGGTTACAGACGGTGGCTCACACACACCACTGGGCACTGCACAGCCCCAGAGCTGAGCCAGGTGGCATCTGGGTGTGTGGTGGGCATATGGCCAGAGCAGGCCTTCAGAGGGGAGCCAGGACTGAGTGCCGACACATCGGGGACAGGGGACCTCAGCAGACAGAGGGCCGGGACGTCGTTGTGCGTGCAGCTCTTCACCCAGGCCCTCTTCCCAGCTCCACTGGATGCCAAGGTCCCCTCCTATCCCCTGCTCGTGCCCCGAGCCCACTCTGCCCTTACTCCGGCTAAAGCCTAGGGCTGACCCTGAGGAAAGACTTCTTCCTCCTGACTCAGGGCCCCAGCAGCCCATGTGCCAGCCACAAGTCCCTCTTGTTGGGGAAAGAGCTGCTCCTTTCTTTTTGAAAGGCTTGATCTCCCCGGGGACCAATGTGGGGCATATGTGTGGGAACAAGGGGGCCCAGGGACAGGATAGGGGTAGATGAGGCAGGGACTTGGGGGTGGGGGGGATCACTGGTGATCTGGAACTTTTCCAGGTGAGTGCCCCCCAGCCCACTCATCTGCCCTTGCCTGGTGTCTGGCCGAGGCTTGCTGTACCCGGACGGCAGGTTGTCCGCATCCAGTCTGAAGACCCACAAGGGTCAAACATCTACCACCCACCTCCAGGCTCCCATCTTGTGCCCTGGGGCCACCTGCTGTCATGACCATGGTGGGTGGTGGCAGTTTCTTTGGTTCTGTAAGGAGACCCCATGAGGAGGTGACCCATGGGAGTGTGACCACCTGCCCCCTCTGACCGTGGCTGGCTGCTCACGTCTCCTCGGACACACTGGGACAGCGCCAGTGCTGTTCTGGTCTGGAAAAAGACTCAGCTAGGTCAGTGGGTGTTCCTGATGGGTATGAGGGCCACGGACTCACCTGGCTCTGATGATTTCTTTCTTAAACTGTAGGACTAGCTATCAAGGTGGAGGAGGGAGACAGAGAAATGGGGAATAAGATCCACAGTGCAGCACCGATTTGTTCCCTGTGACTTTTCTCCTCCGGCTAACATTTCCTAATATGGGGAAGCTGATCTTTTAAATTAGAGGCAAATACAATGAACTTACGTTAAGGTGAATGTAAATAAAGTCAAAGTCTTTTCATTATTGTTACTGATCCTCTATTTTCCCATTAACTTCATTTAAGCCTTTTAATCCTTAATCATCAAATAATTTGTATTTATCTTGGCTGGACTAGATTATCTACAAGATAAGAAAGTCTACACATATGGAATAGAGGTGTTTGAATACATATATTTTATTTGTAAGGGAATAAGAATGTAGATTAAAAGTGACGAGTTTTGGTCATTAGAAAAATATTAGGGAAATCTGGGACCAAATCAGCAGGTGCATTTTCATGTTGCAGCTAATGTCAACAATTTCAAAGGACATTATGGCGATAATTATCTGTCAAAAATTGCACCACAGCACGTCCATTTCTTTTTTCTCTTTTAATCCTGCTCTACTCGACCTTCTCCTTTCTGAAACTTTGGGGGCGTGGGTTAAGTGCTTTTTTACTGCTCTATGCAAATTGCACCTCCAAAGTTCAAAGATCTGGTACAAAGCCTGTCACTACTTGGAAGATTTCCTTTTTTTCCTTGTGCTATTGAGAATTAGGAGCTTATTTACAGATGAGTGCTTCTTGTATACTGCCGACACAGAAGGTTTGCCAATCTCATTCTCCCTGTGCTCTCCTGAGCACATGATTCAGAAACCTACGGCTGAAGCTTCCTCCGGCGATTTCTGAAAAATACACGTTGCTGACAGAAAAACCTGAAAATATCTAATTATATATTTTACATCAGTTTTAGTTTTGCCTTATGTATATTATTAAGGATGCCATATACCAAGGATGTGTTATCTCAAAAACGAAAAAAAAAAAAAAAAAAAGGCTCCAGTCCTTTCTGCAAAGTATTAAATACATTCTTAAAATATCATTTCTTTTCTTTTTGAAAAGTTAAAGTGTTTTAGGAAACAATTGTTATATCAAAGTTCCTGGCCCTTTGGAGAAAGTGTTCAGTAGAGAATTTGTTAATCATTCTAGAAATATCTGGTATGTATTTTCAACATGAAGAACACATTTATTTCCTATACCATGACTGTGCAGAATTGATGTTTAAGGACTTACAATTGTACTTATTTCTGGAGACAATGGTTAATTAATGAGAGTTAATTTTTATTGTATCAATATCACCTTATACTGCAGCTATCTTTAATTTTAAAGAAAGTATATAATAGCGATACATTTTATAACACAAATCACCTATCTAACTGGTTTTACTGAAATGGCTGTAATTGAGTTCTGCTATAGACATTTTTGCCATCATTTTTAGGTTTGCAGCAAAGATTGTGAAATCATACACTTAAAGGGAAAGGAATTAACCAAGAAAATCCACACAGCGCCACACTCAGCAACACCGAGCATTCAGCAAAAGTCTAGTGCAGTGTGCGGTGTCTGGCAGGGTGACTGTGTCTTACCCTGGTCATTTTAATTCTTTAGAAGTGGCTTCTTACCTTTGCATATAAACATAGGCGTTTCCCTTCTTTTGGATTTTGTTAATTATATGAAACCACCCGTCATTTCCAATCCTGACTCTAGGCCTTATTTCCTTCAGCCAAAATCAAAGTGCTGACCCCCGGGCCTATCTAAATCCTCACATTCTGTCTTTTGTGGTACCGTCATCCATGAAAGCAGGCTTCCAGCCAGCAAGCCACTGAACTCCATAAAAGCAGGCTTCCAGCAAGCAAACCACCAAACTCCAAAACAGGAAGAGTTGGCTTCTCCTCCCTGATGTTTGTGTCGTCCAGAGCACGAGTGCAAGAGTAGCTCTTATGTTTCATGTCTAAGCATTTCAGTTATAAATCAGGTTGCACAAGCAGGGTCTGTCTCCTACCTGCATGAATGTGCCTTCACGTTCGTGAACCTAAAAGTCTAATTTAAACGCAGAATCCTCACCTTCTAGGGCATCTGCACAGGAGCTGGGTGGATTCAGGCCAACCAGCTTCAGTGCCATGGTGAGCTGCCCCCTTCCTGCCCTGTGCATCTCAGCTCCATCCACACGCCCCACAGAGAGCCTCTTACATCTTCTTTGGGAAGACATGTCTGGGAGAAGTTCCCTGCAGGCTCAGGAAGGGGCCTTGTGGGTGTCTGGGGAATTCCGAGGTCCTGGCACCCATGGTATGTCATGGGGGGGCCCAATCTGAGTGGGTGTTTCTCCTGGGTCAGGATCCCTGAGGGATGCCGTGTCCCGGGGAGGGTGAGAGAGGGAAGCTCTGAGGTGTGGCATTCAGTACAGGTGTCTCTTTGCCCTGGTCTAAGGTCAGAGTCATCTGGCTTCCCGGATTGGGCACTTCTCCAGAAAATGGCTGAGGTTATAGAATGTGTGGACTGCATCTCTGTTGGGCAATGTGGTCTTAATATGATGGTTTATTTTCTCATCTCACGGCAAGGACTTCTCTTATGAAAGGTTATTAGTATTATAAATGGCATGTGTTTAAGTTCACAAATAATTGGACATTGTGGAGCCTGAACTGGATGCTGAAATGTAAGCATAATGCTGCCCAGAAAGAGCGGACACCTGGTCAGTTGGTGGTGGGAGAAAATGATTGGAGAAAAATGGGGAGCGTGAGACTCCGGAGTCCAGCTGTCTGGACAGGCACCTGGCTAGACCACCTTGAGCAAGTTCCCACATCTCTCCAAGCCTTCACCTTCTCAGGTGAAGCTGGGGAGATGGTCAGGTCTAGCTCATGGGGCTGGTACAGCTCAGGCTTGGAATGACAGCTCGGGATAAGCTCTCAGTAAGTGTTAGCTCTTGTCACACTGTATCTCATGAATTCTAGCATGTGCTTTTCTCCATGTCAATATCTTTAAATCAGGATGTTTCTTTCCATTTTCATAGCTTGGATTTGGTGGAAGATGGTAATCAATCTGCGTGACTCTTCAACAATAAAAGGATTCTTTAATTTGAGAATTTCTGAGAGGGAAAGAATATCTGAATTGATTATTGTGGGAAAATCTATCCCCCAGGATCCATTTCCCTGAGATATGTAGGTAGAAGGGAACCGTGGAGGTAACATTTAGATTTATAATGGTCAACGCTTTAAAACAGGTGTGAAACAAACAGAATCTCGAGGCGATCAGCCGCACAATCATTGCACTGAACACCTGATGCTCAGAAAGACACAAAGTGCTCGATTTTGAAAGGGATAAAATATTCTCTTTTATCCTGGGCACAAACAGACTTTACAAAAAGAAGGCAATTTAGTTGAGATCTTCATTTTCCCCTTGAAAAGAGATCAACTATATTCAGGCTCTAGCAATAAATGCAAAACCAAAAGTTTTCTCAGAATCACTATGCTTCCCATTGGTTTGTGAAAGCCCTCTCATCTCAGCTTCCACACACGCTCCAGGGTTCCGGGGAAGCCCGTGCCTGGGCCTCGTCTTGTTTTCAGGTGAGTGCCCTTCAGTGCTGCTGACTTCATTCACCCCAGTACCAAACCCTCCCAGGATGGGGGTCCCGGGATCTGTGTTCTTTCCATCTCCCACCAGAAATGCAGCACTCAAGCTTCACCAAGCTTGTCTGGTCTGGGCAGATGCCGCTGCCTACTCATGAGCCTGGGAACTTCCCTCAAAGGAGCTCTGGGGCTCTGTTCCTGAGGAGCCCCGAAGATGCTCTAAACAACGGCTTCTGCAGAATAAAGCAAATGAGTGCTTTATGACCAGTACCCAAGACAAGAACATGGTGTCCTTTGTTGATTCGGGGCAAGACTGTACGTGGTGGCTCCGGGAGCTGGCCGGATCCTGGGGGCTCATCTTCACGGGGGAGACTCAGGCATCTTGAATGCTGAAGAGGGCAATGGGAGGGGATGGAGAAGGCTGAGTCTCCTGTTTGAACATGTCCTGCCATCCAGATTGTCTATGTGGACTCTTCTGTAAATTTTTATAATTAAATATTTAAAAAACTTTAAAAGTTCCCCGAACAGGAAGGAACCCATTCAGAAGAGTCCTTACATTGACCCCGAGCTGTGGAGAAGACATGCTCCTGGGTGGCGGTCTTGAAACCTTGTTAAGCCCCTGCATGCAGGAGAATTTGCAGACACTCCCAATCCATGCATGTTCATTCTTTTACACAGTTTGGGAATCACTGTTCTAGACTCTATGTGCATTTATTAGACCGGGTCCCGACAGGAAAACCATGGCATATTCAGAAGGGAGGAGTGAGAGGCTAAGGGAACAGAAGCATCTGTAGAGAGGTGGGCAGGGCAGGAGAGCCAACCACGATGGGGAGGCCTGGGTGTCCGAGGTGGCCCTCCTGAAACCGTGGGCTTAGTAGGGCATGTAGACACTGCTAGCCCACAGCCTGGCTTGATGAACATGTGACCGAGCTCTCTTTTCTGAAATACTCTAATTTTGTACAAGCTTCTGCCATTGGCCCAAATCAACCTGGGGTGGGGCTGGTGACAGATGACAGCATCCCAGCCTGGGGAAGGACAAGCCCAGACGGCCCAGCAGGGGTTTAGTAACAGCCATCCCTTCAAAACAGGTGATTGCAAAGACGAATTCCAACAGAACAGACTTCGGGCGTCCTAGAACTTGTCTCTAATGTCAGTCCAACAAGAGAGAGAAGGGCCCCGCTCACTCGTTTCTGCTGCTGTGGTGGGAGCAGAAGAGATGCCAAGAGAGGCCCAGGGAAGGTGTCTGCAAACTTGAATTGGGCCACAGAGATCCTGCAGCCTGAGGACCGGGCCCTGGTCACCGGCAGCCCCTGGAGCTGCGGTGGTCCTAAAAGACCCCTAGGATCTTCTCAAACACAACGTTGACGGTCTTCTCTCTGTGTAGGGTATTCGCTGATGTGGCCAAATGTGTTCAAATAGAATTAGCCATGTGGTATGAAAAAATGATAGAATTACCACCTGAGGGACAAGAGGAAGGGCAGTGCAGTCTCACTGAGGTAGGCTTTTTATTTTTTTAAAGTGAGATGGGACCTTATGGTTTTTACATGTTTTGAAATTACCGTTAAAACTTGCTACCCATATAAAATTCACCGGGTCATCACTTAATTTCCGAACTTTATTTTTCTTTATAAAAGTAATAAAAGTTCATTCTAGTCAATTTAAGACTAGACAAGCAGAAAAATAATACACACCACCCAGACAACTGTTGGTGATCTCTGGAATGATTTGGAGCTTTACCTGTATGAGCAGGATGCCTCCTGAGCCAGAGGAAAAGTGTCCCTGAACCTTTGTGCTAAGAGGGGCAGCCCCACCCTGAGCACCTCATTCCTCCAGAGCAGCACACAGGTGCCAGCGTCCGCAGCCTTTAGGGCTCTGAAGGAGCGAGCACGTCGCTGGGTCTTTGTAGGAAGAACCACCTTTGTGTATGGGGAAGTTGTGGACATAAAAGTAGGGGAGGGGCACAGGAAAGGAGCTGGAGCAGGACCAGCCTGGCTGTGTCTGGAACCTCCCTGTGCCTCTGGGCAACCTCCGCCATGGGATCCTGTACTGCGGGACCCTGTGCCGCCCTGAGTCGAGAGGCTGGACACAGGCTTTGCCTACTCACAGTCAGCTCCATTTAAATTTCTAGTCCTCAGGAGAATGTGAGCAGAGGTGCTCGCCCCTCTGTCCTCCGTGTACTGTGCATTCGTGTATTCGTGTCACAGAGCATGGAGCCAGCATGGCTGGGGTGAGTGAGCGATGCCACGTCCCATGCTTTACTTGTACTGTGGTCAAAGGGGCTGTGAACTTCTCAGGTGCTCAGTCCCCATGCCCTGAAGTCCCCTAGAAAGAAGGCAGGCTGCCTTCTTCCCGGGCCTGGGCCTCCCTCCCCTGAGCATGGCTGCTCCCCTTGTGTGGCCACTGCGCTGAAGGCTAGAGAACACCACCGCCACCACCAACTGTGGCCCGAATGCTTCCTTGAACCCACGGTCCACTCATGAGATTTGCTGGGATGTGTATAAAATGTCCAATTTATAGTCACAACTCAGCTTTGGAAGCTGGAACTCTGCAATGTCTGAAGGGACTGAGGGAGCCCTGCCTAGCTCTCTCTTCTCAGGAGATCAGCTGTGTAGGGAGGGCTCAGGCCGAGAGGGGCGCTGGGTGGGGGGCAGCAGTGGCCACATGGGGTGCTGGGGTGGCTGGTGGCTCCCTCCCCTGGGAGTGCTGATGAAAACACCCCCTCGATTCTCTGCACTTGTACTGGGTGTTCCCTTGGCCCTGGTGTGTGCCTTTTTTTTTTTTTTTTGATAGTGGGAACTTTCCATTAAAGACTTTGAAAGGACAGCTGGCCCCTGGCCTGGGGGCTGAAGCTACATCGGTAGAAGGAAGGGAAGAATCCGATCGGGTGGTGGGGACCCAGTTCTGGCCATTTCCTCTTTTATTTTGGGACATTCTGCTTGGCCTTGGCCTTCTTTAATGGGTATGCAGTTCAGGGATGAACTACGACGGGAACCTGTCAGGGAAAGGGCTGTGAGAAGCTGGGGCGAAGGGTGCAGGGGATGTGACGGGGGACCGGGGACCTGTCGTCCTCGTGCTCAGGCCAGGGCTGCTCCAGCAGGAAGGGGGTTGAGGTGCAGTCTTGGGAAAGCGGTGCGTGGCTTCTCAGGCCCTTCCAGGGTGCCATGCGTGGGAGGGGCTTACCCTGGAGTAAGTGCATGGAGGGGTCAGGGCTGCCTGGCAGGAGCAGGGGTGAGGTGGGTGTGGTTCCACGGGTGGGACCTGCCTTGGAGGGCTGTGCATTTGGGTTCCTCTCTCTTGTATGCATCAAAGGCCTGTTTTCAAGAGATGGATTAAGTTTTGTCATATATCTTCTAGGCAAACATACTTTCCTGATATTTCAAATATCGGTAGCTTCCAGGACTGGGGGCGTAGGAGTGAGCTGGTGATAGAGCCAGCTATGTGGGAATCAGCACAGAGCACAGGCCGGGTGTGATGTGTGCCCTGCAGGCAGTGAAGGTCTTCCAAGAGCTTGCTTTAGCTAAGCCAACCCAATTAAGATACGCTGCATCTCTCCCGTGCACCAGGAACGTGCCCTGCATGATGGCCTGGCACTTGGGGCCAGCATGGGCCTCTGCTCCTCAGACCTAGATTCAGTGTCCTGGCCCATCCCCCCTTGAGACTCTGCTCGTGGGCTCTTGGCCGTGTGAATGTCTGTCCTGTGACCCTGGGGGTCTCTCTTGCTTTGTCCCAGACCTGGAGCACATGGACCCGGCAGGAGAACCCTCCAATGCTCAGTAGCACCAAAGTGCCTTGTATCCACAGGCCCCACTCTCCCGAACAGCCTCAGATAGCAGCTGGTGTCCTCTGTTGTACATTCCTACTTCGTGTAACCTTCACGCAGGCCCTAGGAAGCCAACTTGATTTCTTTATCATACAGACAAAGAAACCAAGGCCGGGAGGTGTGCGTTCACTCACCCAGAGTGACATCCCTGCAAAAGGGAAAGGGCAGGATGAAGTCATCATGGACCCTCTGAGCCTGACTCGGTGGTTGCGTGAATCTTTGCAACTCACCAGGTTTGCAACAATGACCCTTCATTGAATGAAATGATCAGAAGTTGCCACTAGTGACAAGTTCTGAAAATGCCACCGTGAGCAACAGGCTTGAGAGGGTGGCAGGAATTCCCTTCAAATGCAGAAGCTGGCACTCGGGCAGCAGTGAGGCGTTTGGGAGGGACGACGTTGCCATCTGCCCGTGTTAGGTTGGCACAGTGCCCGCCTCAGGAGGCGCTTGATAAATGCTTCCCTGTTTGCATTCTTGCTTGGGGCTGTCTAAGGGGAAACGCGGTAAAGATTCGGGACACACGAGACCAGAGATTTCCAATAGAGGAGGTGGATGTCAGAGAGAGAGAGAGGGGCTATAGCCATAACTGGGTGTTCACTCTAGAAATAACCATTTCGTACCATGGCTGAGCCGCCAGACCTTTGAGCCTGATGTACCCAAGGCTCTGTCATCACGAGGCTTTTCGAGGGATGCATATCCCTCTTCAGTAATGTGATGCATACTTTTTTGGGTTCATGTCAGCAAGAGAAATGTAAAATTGAGGCATTGAGAAGAAATGTACAATTGAGGCATTGAGGAAAATTCTGGATTTTCCATGGATGGAGTGACCATGAAATTCTTGAGCGACAGAAACAAAGTAATCTGAGCAAAATGTCCCCAAACAGAATTTTTTCCTACAACATTAAAATGTGGTTAAATAAATGCAGTATTAAAAATCATGTTGCAGACTGGCCACAGGGATGGAAACGACCCAAAGGCCTCCAGGCTGGCTGTGAAGAGAGCCAATGTCCCTGTCGCCAGGCTCCGGAGGGCAGGGGGGAGGGCAGGTGTCTTTGCCTCACTTTTCACTTTTCATCTTACTCCTTTCACAAGGAATGCATACATACACCAGGACCTTGTGGTTGTGAGAATGAAGGGATCCTAAAACCTGGTAGAGATTTTAGCTTCTGCACTGTCTCAGGGTGAGCAGGGCTCCGCGTCTCATCCCATTGCTGCGATGACCACAGGATCACACCACCACAGGGCTTCCCCTCCCACGCCTGTCCCTCCCAATGGCTGACGGGTGTCAGGCATTTCCAGACATTCCGTACAACATGGTTGAGTTCAGGAGAGCCCTCCCGCTCTGTCTGATGTTTTCCAATGATGATTTTGGCAGTCAGATCTGAGGTCCCTGTGTCCTCCTAGCGCCTTTTCATGCAGAACTCTTCACCGTGAATTGTAATTTCCTGCTCACTCGCTGATTTCCCCATGACTCAGAGAGTTATGACATGGAGCGAGGGGAGGGACAAGGTCTGTCTCAGGTGAGACTCTCGCTGCTGGGCACAGGGGCTCGGAAGTCTTGTTGAATGCACGGATGAATCATCGTGGCCCTGGCGTATTTTGAAAGGAAGAATCTGGGTAGAGTGAAGATAACATCTGAGTTATTTCCTCAGCTCTGCCACTCTGTATCTGGGGAAAGATATGGATTTTGGTTTTTTCATTTAAAAAATTTGAATAACAACATCTGCTTTGCATATTTCATAGTTTGCTTGGAGGATCCAAGAAAAGTGCTTTGAAACGCAAGAGCCCTCTCTGGAGCAGGTGTGGTTGGTGGAAATAGCATGAGTGTGGATTCCAGGAGCCCAGGGCTTAGAGTTGGCTCCTTCCAGGCACTGCGTTTTAGGAGGGGTGGATAGTAAATGGTCGATCCTTACCGCTGGTGGAATCTGCACTTGCAAATTTGCCTGCTCACTAAAATTTATTTATAATTCCAAAGTCAGTACTTGCAGAGCTTTTGAGGACGTGCACAGAGGGGAGAAAAGAATTGAGTCGCCAGACGTGTGTGTGTTTTTCCTACACATGTTCCCAGCTGAGATTGAACAAGGCCACACGGCCTTCTTGCTTCAGGGCTCAGGCTGTGAAGAAGTATCCTTTTCATGGTCGCGCGTCTTGTGTTTAAAACAGGCCACGCACAGTGCTGACACGCTATCTGATGTCCTAAGCGCAAGGGGAGGGGAGGCCCTCTCGCGAGAACACACGCGTGAGCTGAGCTTCACTCAGGTGTGAGTGACGATGCTGCCGGCCCAGAGTCAGTGCCTCTTAAATCAGGTGCCTTTCAACAGGACCACGCACAAAACGAGGCTATGCCTTGGTCCATTGACAAAAATGTGACTGGAGGCTCGCGGGAACCTAGCCCCGTGTCTCCTGAGTAGCGGTGGTTCAGGATTCACTAATTCATCATTTGTGTTAACTTCCTCAAATATACCTGCTGTGAGTAATGAGAAGCCACTGTATGTGGGAATGTCTGGCCAAAGACAGCCCCTCAAAAGATTCCCGTATGCCCTATTATTTTTCTGACCCTCCAGAAAAAAACGTACACATAAAAATCTAATTAAGGCCAGGCGCGGTGGCTCACGCCTGTAATCCCAGCACTTTGGGAGATCGAGGCAGGCGGATCACAAGGTCATGAGATTGAGCTCATCCTGGCTAACACAGTGAAACCCCATCTCTACTAAAAATACAAAAATTAGCAGGGCCTCGTGGTGGGTGCCTGTAGTCCCAGCTACTCGGGAGGCTGAGGCAGGAGAATGGCGTGAACCCGGGAGGCGGAGCTTGCAGTGAGCCGAGATCGCGCCACTGCACTCCAGCCTGGGCGACAGAGCGAGACCATGTCTCAAAAAAACAAACAAAAGTAATTAAATCCTGAGGGGAGAAGAGTTGGAAGACGAAGAAGCATTTACACAGCTGCTGTCCCTCCTGACACCACGCGAGTCACCTTCTCCTTCCAGCAGTTGCCCTGTCCCTCCAGCTGGGCATCGTGTCACGTCTTGTTTCTGTAATTTTATGGAAGTGCCATCTGACGGAAGTTTCTGTGGTGGTGGAAATGTTCTTCTGTGGGCTGTCCACTACTACAGCCGCTGGCCACGTGTGGCCGCTGAGCACTTACCATGTGGCTTATGTGTCTAATGAACTATATTTTAAATTTTACTTAATTTTGATGTATTTAAATCTAATTTGCCATGGTTGGCTGGTGGCTGCTGTTTTAGACAGTGTGGATTTCTACAACTGGTCCCTGGTGAATGGTCTGTGGTTGGGGTGAGCTGTGGACTCAGCTGGCTTGTCCCAGCTCTCCCAGGAAAGTGTGGCTCATATGAGGAGGTGCGGCGGGCTCAGGCTGGACACGGGAGCTGCCGGTCTGGCGCAGAGGGGAGCGAGGCAGGGCTGTTTGCCGGGGGTGCTTCCCATCCTTTGTGTCCTTGCTTCTCCTGATCCCTGGAGCTCCTTCATCTGATTCCAAGGACCCTGAGGCATGGTGTCCGCAGTGCCCAGGTGGGCAGGCATTTTCTGCCAGGGCCCCTCCTGCAAGTTCTGCAGCCCTGGTTGGGTCCTGCTCTCTGGGAACTGGCCCCTCCCTGGCACTTTCTGCCCCAAGACGAGCACTGACCCACCCAGAAGTGCCTCCTTCTCTAAAGTGACCCTCTCCCGTCTCTCACTCTTGGCCTCTCCTGCAGGGCTTCTGGCCTCCACTTGCTGGTAGAGCATTTGAAAAAGGACTCTTTTATCCCAAATGAAAGCTCGCTTGAGAGGTTTTCAGACTTTTGACCAAGGAAAGTAGAGTGTTGTGGGTGCTCGGGGGTGGACAGGCCTCTGGCGGCTGTGGGATGCTCTGCCCGCGTGGCTGTGGAAGGAGACTGAAGTCAGAGATAGGTGGTCAGGCTTTCCCAGTTAAAAAAAATAGCTGAACTTGATGGCGTGTTTAACATGCACCTGGCATTTTGCCACACACTGTCTCATTTAACCAGCGCCGCTGACTGGGAAGGAACCACTGCGGCCACCTCCACCTTGTGAAAGAGTGGCTGAGGCAGATCCCGCAACCTGCCCACCGTCCCCTCATCAGGAAGTCATGGTGTCAGGTCCAGGTCTTGGGCCCAGAGGGCTTTCTCCCTGAAGGGAGGTGAGCATCCTGAGCAGCCCTCATGCTTCCCCAGGTACAGTAAGACGCTCGGGCTTCTGGCACACACCTCTCCCGTGACGTTCAGTGACACCACGAGAGAATTGTTTGGATCTTCCAGCCGAGGCTCTGTAGCCTCGGATTTCCATCCAGCGTTGATACCAGATTTTGACACGCCACTGTTCCTGCTACCGATCTCCCTCCCTGTTTCCTAAAAGGTCCATCTCAGCCTCCTCACTGCCTCTGTGACTTCAGTAGCAGAGACAAGGTGGTGGAATCCACCACAGGAAATGGGGACCAGGTTGTTTTCCCATATTTAATTAGCAGGATTTCTCCTCATTTATTGCCAACAAAAGAATAGGGCTGGTAATGAATAGAGTTACACAGTTATTTTTTGGAGGGGGATAAAGTGGAAACCTGTGTAGACGAAGAACCTGTTTCTCCAAGTGTCTGCTCCAACTGTGGAAAATGGCCAAGCTGTGTAACCGTGGCCCTCAGGAGGGAGGACAGAGCCCCTCTCGGCCCCTCTCCCTGCCTGGCTCCAGAGTTTCTGGATCAGAAAAGGCAGCTATTGTGATGGGTAATTCTTTAATCATTGTAGAAATGCTGTGTTTTGCAAGCACTTTTATATTGTATTGAGCTGGTATTGAAGGTACTGAGTCCTTCAGACTGGTCTGATGTCCTTCCTTTCCCCAGGTAATTGCAGAACCCAGGTCTGGATGGAAGCAGAGGTGGTAACAGCAGGTTTTATCCTTTCCTGTGTGGTTCAGGAATGGCCTCGCCTCAAAGGGAGGACTTTAGGAATCACTGTCTTTTCTATCCTGGGACCCTACCAGCCTCCATTCAGGTCGAGCTGCCTCACATCTGGTCTGTGTTGTGCACTTGAAGCTAACAAAGTCTTTGCTTAGCTATTTGGACTTCTGTGTATGGAAAAAGGTTCCTTTGTTCTTTTCCTTGGGCATACATTTGGCAGCCTACATACCGGATGATGTTCTAAATATTTAACGACCAGCAGGCTCGGGACCCACCAGCCAGGAAGGGTGACTGCAGTGAGTGCCCAGGGGTATGAAGCTCGCAGCAGCCTTCCTGCCTGGGGCTCCCTGAACCTACTGAAGACGGCAGGGAAAGCTTAAGTTTTGTTCGGAGTTCACAGTATTTTCTGTAGTGCAGTGATGCTTATTTTTTCCCCAGTGGTTCAAAAGTTAAGGACCCATTCCCAGGAGAAAGGTACACACACGCTCCATTTTGCTTGCAAATGAAAGGGCTCATAGATTCACTGAAGCTCTCAGTATCAAAGAGCACTTTCTCTGAAGTGGGAGATCCACAAAACCAAGTCCTAGCACCCCTTTGCAGGCGCTAGCATCCATATGGGTGGAGTCCCAGAGAACAAGGACCTTTCACCATTTGTAAGAACTGCAGGAAAGGGGTCATATTTTATTTCAATATTTTTAGTAACTTTCAATTTTGATAGCGTTTCAATTTTAAGGAAAAGCTAATAAACAGCAAGAACAGCCTAATACATTTCCATATGTCCTTTAGCTAGGTTCAATTATTATTGACCTTTTACACCATTTGCCTATCTATCTGTATACACACACACACACACTTTTCAAGCCATCCGAGATTAAGTCAAGCCCCTTTAAGTGTGCATTTGCTAAGATCAAAATATTCTTATACATTTATGCAACTTAACTATCAAAATTGGGAATGTTAACATTTGGCTCAGTTATGTTTTCTAAGCCAGTGGTTCTCAAAGTGAGGTCCCCAGATCTGTGGCAGCATCTCTTGGGACCTTGTGGGCCATGGAAACCCCTTGTGGATGGAAGCCTTGGTGATGGTGTCCGACAGCCTTCCCTCTACATGCCTCCAGGTGATTCTGACATCAGCTAGGGTTGTGGAATTGCTAATGTAATCAACCGACTCAATAACATCAGCCCTAGGTTTTTTTTTTTTTTTTTCCTGTCCAGAATTAAATCCAGGAATCCACATAGCACTTAGTTGTCATGGCTCTTTAATTATCTTCAATCTGGGACAGTTCTTCAGCTTTTTCTGGGTCTTTCTTAATCTTGAAGTTTTTGAAGAAGACAGGCCCATCCTTCCGCAGACTGCTCCTTAATTTGGATTTGTCTGGTGTTGTGTATGATGGGATTCGAGCCATGCACCTGGGGTGGGCCTGTCACTGAAGCCACACTGCATTCCTTCTGGGCTGCACTTCAGGGGCCACCTGACATTGGTAGCTCCAGCATTGGTGACATCAGCTTTGATCCTGTGATTAGTGTAGTGTCTGTTATGTTTATTTGTTTGAAAATTTTATTCTAATTAGTAATTTATGGGGACATACACTGAGACTATGGAAATATCCTATTCCTCATTTTAGCATCTACTGGTGGTTCCCTAGCTTCATCATTTCTTCTATATTATTAGATATTATAATAAGTATTATTGATATATAAGATATAACAACATAAAATATAACATATAATATAGAGACAGACATAGGCATTCTTTTATAAGGGAGACCTTTCTCTTCTCCCTCATTTATTTATTATTTATTTACATCTATATAGTCTTTTTTTTTTTTTTTTTTTTTGAGCTGGAGTTTCACTCTGTCGCCCAGGCTGGAGTGCAGTGGCATGATCTCAAGTCACTGCAACCCCAGCCGCCTGGGTTCAAGCAATTCTCCTGCCTCAGCCTCCTGAGTACTTGGGGTTACAGGTGCCCACCACCTTGCCCAGCTAATTTTTTTTATTTTTAGTAGAGATGGGGTTTCACCATGTTGGCCAGGATGGTCTTGAACTCCTGACCTCAAGTGGCCTCCCGAAGTGCTAGGATTACAGGTATGAGCCACTGTGCCCGGCCCAGTCTTTTTCATTCTCATTTTATTCAATGGGTTATATGTAATCCAGTAGAATTATCTTTCATTTTGATGCCTACATTGTTCCAGATTTGGCCACTGGGGGAGCTGATGGGACATTGTGGCATAGGACATTATCCGACAAGCTTGTGGCCCCAGGTCATAGGCAGCCAGCAATCGGAGCTAAGAGTGTACAGTTCTGAAAAACCTGGACCTTGACCTTAGAAAAAGACATTCTGGCTAATGAAGCTGGGAGTGCAGCGCGTCTTCAATGCCCTCGAATCTGCTCTCTGACGGTGCCTTCCCAGTTCCCACACCCGTGCTGCTCTCCATTCCCCGACCCCTCGGTGGCTCCGCCCACTCCAGGGCTGCCCCTGCCCTCTGGCTGCTGCCCCTGGCTCTTCCCAGTGGCTCCATCCATAGAGCTGCTCCACTCCAGAGGAGTGCCTTCTCCACTTGAATGTCCACAAGCAGCAACTTGAATTAGGTATTGCTCCCTTCCCAGCCTGATGTTCCTCTTCCATGAACTAGCTCAGCTAATGGTGTACCCAGGTGCCCAAGCTAGGACCCTGGGCTCATTCTAGACTCTTTCCTCGTGTTCAAACTTCATATGTTATGAGGCACGTGATATTCAAAGTCCTGGAAGCGTTAATTCAGCTCTGGCTAGAAATGGTAATTCTGCATGAAGTCTGACGGAGGTCATTGCAACAGTGGAAAGCTGTTGTGCCCCGAGTGCAAATCTTGGGATAGTCCTTGTGTCTTGTTAGATGCTGGTGAGTGTTACGAATGCAAATCTTGGGATAGTCCTTGTGTCTTGTTAGATGCTGGTGAGTGTTACGAGTGCAAATCTTGGGATAGTCCTTGTGTCTTGTTAGATGCTGGTGAGTGTTACGAGTGCAAATCTTGGGATAGTCCTTGTGTCTTGTTAGATGCTGGTGAGTGTTACGAGTGCAAATCTTGGGATAGTCCTTGTGTCTTGTTAGATGCTGGTGAGTGTTACGAGTGCAAATCTTGGGATAGTCCTTGTGTCTTGTTAGATGCTGGTGAGTGCTACGTAGCAGCTGAATTGTTAACTTGAATTGTCTTAACAATTCAGGTTAAAACTCTATGCATTTTGTATCTTATAATCATGAAGTTGAGTGTCTACATCTGTTTATGAAGAGAAGCAAAGCCCTTTTCTGCACTTATTGAAAGTCTTGTTTTACTATTTCCAAGATTTGTTGAAGGGTAACTTTGAGCAGTAAATGTGTGTGTTAGAAATCTATTTTTCATAAAGTGTTTGTTGTAGAAAATAGAGTTAATTTAAATTTAAACTTGTGTTTGTCATCAGAGGCAGGTTTTACTGATCAACTGTGTGATGATTAACTCAGCATCCTTGGCCCCAGGAGGTTTGTTTCTTCCTCCTCTGCTACCTGTTGCCTCCATGGTTAG
Source organism: Homo sapiens (assembly GCF_000001405.40). Classification (NCBI taxonomy): domain Eukaryota; kingdom Metazoa; phylum Chordata; class Mammalia; order Primates; family Hominidae; genus Homo; species Homo sapiens. The sequence goes on from NC_000013.11 coordinate 111,430,554, forward strand.
GCAGCCTCAGGACTCCTTATGGACATGTGTGTAATAAACCTGGTGGCTTTTGCTGATTTGTTTCCTTAAAAAATACGTGTAAATTCAAGATTGGCTTCATCCTATAATCCCTCCATCTTCTTAGTACTTTTCACATCTTTTCTCTTCCCACAGCTGCTGTTTTATTTTTTTTTCTTCTCTAGCTGTGGCCATTCCACTGGTCCCCTAATCAGTCTCTCTGGACCGGGTGTGCTGCACTCATCCCGCCCCCGACAACCTCCCTCTGCCTTGGGTGGCCTCTGTGGAATGCAGGTCTCTGCTTGCTTTGCCCCTCTGTTGAAAGCTCTTCGTGTCTCCCCAGATGGAACAAGGCAGGTTGCTTGGGTTGACAGCGAGGCCTGCGCTGGGCTCCATAGCCTTGTTGTGTGTCTCTTTCCAGCGTACCCACTGTTTTGTCCACCCTGAACTGCTCATAGCTGCCCAGCACAGCGTGCCTCTTCCGCCTCCTTCCTCTCTGGTTCTGTTCAGGTCACCCCTCCCCTCCCCTTTTCAGCCTGGTGAATGCCCGTTGCCCGACACGACCACCTGCAGGCCAAGCCAAGCTCTCAAGCAGCTACTGATGGTGTCCTTCTCTGTCCTCTCTCAAAGCATTTGACTGCTTTTTGACACCCACCTCTGTTACGTCATGCATCCAACCAGACTTTAATTACTTGTTTACATTAACTATTTCCTAGTAGGCTGTTAGCAACTTGAGAGAATGTCTCTGTCTTTTAATTATCTTTTCCCACCTAGATTACTACCTGGCACACAGCAGATGTTCAACAAGGCTCTGCTGGATGAGAACTTAATGACTCCCTAGCATGACGGAAAGAGGTTACATAACAGAATTGAACACAGAAGAGTGTCACCTAATGACAGCTGCTAGGAAATCAGCTACTTTAAATAGACTCTAAAACATCCATTCCCTCCCTTCACGGAGGGCCTCACCTGAATAGACTGCCTCCACTAGAGGAGAAGTTGTTCTGTGATTTGTTTTTATGATTAAGGTATTTTAAATAGTTTATAATTACCACCACCACTAAACTTGAGCCCATTGTTGTCATTTTGTTGGTTTTTCATGGAAAATTTGCTACAGTTTGAATCCGAAATATGTCTGTAAGCCTTTAGGCAATCTCTTTCTGGAGTCATGTTTGGCCCCCCATGATTGGGGATTGGCCATGAGATTGGCCCCCCATGAAAATTCTACTGCAGATGGAAATGATGTTTTCAATGAGTTAGCAATTTTTGGCCCCATTAATGACTAAAATAAACCATTGAAAGTGCTCAATTTGAAGTGGGTCTTGAAGAAAGATGTGAAGTTAGGAATGAAAATAAGGTTTTCCAGACATCACAGTAAAATGCATAAAAAGAAGCAAACAGAACCAGCAGGAAGAATATGAAAAGATCTTAAAAGGAAGGCAAGAAGGAAGACCAAAAGCCTTGGAGGGCATCTTCAGCACAGGGTAGAGGGCCAAGGGTCTTTCTTGGGTGGGTGTAAATAGAGCCAAAGGAAGTTTCAGGAAAGAGATCATTCACACATCAGCAAGCACCACACACTGCACTGCAACAAGGTCGAGTTGTGCACGTGGGCTGTGCTTTGGAAGCGTCCAGACGTCCGTGCAGGTGTTCTCTTTAGAGTGTGCCCTGAATGGCAGTAAGCAGACAAGGACATTTTATGTAGAAGAGCATCTGGTATAGAAGGAACTGCTTTGATCAGTCCCACGCTCTCTTCTCTTTGGATGGTGACTTGCATCACAATCAGAAGCTTCTAAAGTTAGTAAAAAAAAAACAAGTGGAGACACATTTATTAAACTCCCATCATTGCATATGTGGTATGCTCCACAAATGTGTGCCTTAACACCACAGCTGTGTTGTCAAAGGTGTTTTGTGTAGGCATTTACTCTAGAACACTACTGATTCTTAGGAGAAACAGAGTTTAGACGTATAGAATCACAGAAATAAGGTTTAGGTAGTTCACTTAAAAGTGATCCAACTTCCTTAGTTTACATTCAAGGACATCCTCCATCTGACCTTAAATTTTCTTCCTGCTTTTCTTCCTCCCTCCCCCAACCTTTTTTTTTTTTTTTTTTTTTTGGAGATGGCATCTCACTCTGTCACCCAGGCTGGAGTGCAGTGGTGCGATCTCAGCTCACTGCAACCTCCACCTCCCAGGTTCAAGCGATTCTCCTGCCTCAACCTCCTGAGTAGCTGGGACTACAGGCGTGTGCTACCACACTTGGCTAATTTTTTGTATTTTTAGTAGAGACAAGTTTTCACTGTTAGCCAGGATGGTCTTGATCTCCTCACCTCGTGATCTGCTCTCCTCAGCCTCCCAGAGTGTTGGGATTACAGGTGTGAGCCACCGCGCCCAGCCCCTCCCTCCCTCTTTTCTGACCATCTCTTTATGCTGCTTATGTTTCCCACAAAAGCTCCACCTCCCATGTAGCATTTGGATCATGTTCTTTTCTTCTTCCTGCTCTGCAAACTCTTCAAACTTTTCATCCATTTTCCAGGTATTTTCCGCACACTTTTGACCCCCAAGACTGTATGTCAAGCCTAGACATGTTTCCTGAGGGCCAGATCCCTGAAAACCTACTATAAATCTCCAATTAAATGTTTCACTGGCACCTCAAACTCAATATGCTCCAAGATGGACTTGTCATCTCTCTTCCACCTTACCCTGATATTGATGTCTCTGATAAGCTGTTCTGTGTCTTCCCACCTGATGGCATCACCATCCTCCTGGATTCCTTCAACTTCCCCTTCACCCCATGTTCCCAAGTCCTTTGTGTGACTCTAAGTCTGACCTTGCACCAGACTTTCCCTATGCCTTCGCCATGGTAACCCACTCTAGGCCAGGGGTCTCCCCACAACCCTCCTCCCTCCAGTCTACTTTCTTCATGGCCCTACATTTCTCTACTGGCTACTAGTTGTGTATACAATAAATGTCAGAACCCTTTATTCTGCCTTATACTGGTGGACAGTGTCCCTTTCAAGTGGACCCCATCCTACTCCTGGTCTTACCTCCCTCTGCCCCAGCCCATATATCCTTCACCCCAGCCATACAAACTTTTCAAGCCCCCACATCACCTTGTCTTTTCATGGTTCTGAAATTTTCACATATGTTCCTTGGGCCAGTAATACCCCTTTATTATTTCTTATTTTGGCAGACTTTTACCCATAAGATGTACTTCTTTTTGCACTGGAATTTGTCAGTGAGCAAATGTTGTTTAATCACTTACTAAGAAGGTAAGTTAGGATGTGAGTTCCTTAACTTTTCCAAGGTTCATTTTCCTCATCTTTAAGATGGCAATGATAATATGCACATGGATATCCATCACATTCATGAGTGCCTGTGTTCCAGGGAGGAATTGTGCCAGCCTTTGTTCTTGAAGGGCTTAGGTAAGTGGAAAGAAGTGGGGAAGAACACAAATTAAAAACAGCATCTACAGGGAAAACCCATGGCAGGTCAGGTACACAGGCTGTGGATGACCATCTGTAGGGTGGGGAAAGGCTTTGTTAAGGGGGTATTGGTTTCATGGAGGGGACTCAGGATGATCATGAGAGCTGGCAGGTTTTAAACATTTATGTACTCGGTGTTATGCTCCATGTTTTACATGCATAATTTCACTTAGTGCCCACAAAACTCCTCTGAGGTAGATTCTTGTTATCCTCTCAGATTTGGGGTGTGGGGGTGTTTTGGGAATCCTTCTGAAGGAAGTCACAACTAAGCTAAGACCTGAAGGCTGAAAGGGCTTGGTGGTTGACTCTGTTCTATGAGACAGTATCTCATAACAGGTTGTGCTAAGACCTAGATGGAGTGAGGAACTTGAAGCATGACCTGCTCGAGAATGGGATGAGTTCCTTGTGTGGAGATTGGAGGGAAAAGGGTGGAAGGAGAGCAGGACATGAGATAAGGACAGTAAGTAAGCAAGTATCAGACCATGAAGGACCTTGTCTATTGCTTGAAAAGTAAGCCATTGCAGGAAAACCTACATGCCTTCCCACTAGATGGAGCACAATGGCTATGGTGTGGCTACTAGATTGGTGGATGAATGGATGGGTGTGTGAGTGGGCAGAAGGATGAGTGTGTGGATGGATGGATAAATGGTGGATGTGTGGGTGGATGGATGGGCAGATGAATGGGTGGATAGATGGGTGGTATGAGGATGTGTGGATGGATGGATAGGTAGATGGATGGATGAATGGGTGAATGCGTAGATGGACGAATGAGTGGGTAGGTGTATGGATGAATGGATGGATGGGTGGGTGGATATGTGGATGAATGGGTAAGTGGGTGGGTGAAACGGATGGAGATGTGGATAAATGGATGGATGGATAGATGGGTGGATGGATGAGTGGGTAGATGTATGTATGGATGGATGGATGAGTGGTAGGTGGATGTGTGTATAGATGGATGCATTGATGAGTGGATAGATGGATGGGTGGGTGAATGTATATATGGATGGATGGATTGATGAGTGGATAGATGGATGGGTGGATGAATGCATGAGTGAGTGGGTAGGTGGGTGGATGTAGGAATGCATGGGTGGATAAGTGGATGTGTGGGTGGGTGAGTGGGTGGCTGTGTAGATGAATGGATGGGTGGTGGGTGGGTGGGTGAGTGGATGTGTGGATGGATGGGTGAGTGTGTGTGTGGATGGATGGATGAATGGATAGGTGAATAGATGGATGGGTGGGTAGATGTGAGAGGGGAAGTTGGGAACAGAGCCAGGAGGCCGAAGGCAGAAGATAGGTGAAAAGGCTACTGTAAGAACAGGTGGGACAGATCAGCGGTCTTACATGGGGAAAACAATTGGGGTGGAGTGAAGTGATCAGAATTTAGAAATACTTAGAAACCAAATTAATGGGATTTGGTGATTGGTTGAGTGTGAGGAGATTAAGGGAAGAGCCAGGAGTGACTCTGCCACCAAAGAGGGCAGAAAAATTTAAAACAGATCCCTGAGGACAGTGACTGGGAGGCCATGGTGGAAGAAATGAACTGACTGAAGAGTTAAAGGAGTGAACTTTTGAAATGGAAACACCATGGGGATCGGGGAGGTCTGCACAGAGGCTGTGGATGGAGCAGTGCGGAGGCTCCTGGCCACAATTTTTATGAAACATCTTTTAGTATTAGTGGCATGGAGTGAACAGGTCAGAGTTCTCCCTTTTCCTTAAATACCGAAGAGTTGATGCTGCTTCAGATTCCAAACTCAGGCTCTTTCCTGAGTCCACACAAGGTAACTGGCCGTCCAGCATGGAGATACTGGCTTAGGTGATGGTTTCTGCTCAAGGGGGTGGAGCTGTGATGCCACTTCTGTCCTGCTTTGCTCTCTAGTCATTTGGAAGTCTTCATTTTGTCTTTTCTGGGATTTGAGAGGGGATATTATAATCACTAAATACCAAAGTCTTTTTATTTAATGTATTCCTAATATTCTGAAAGTTCTATTTTAAAGATAACAATTTTCCTTGTTCCCATTAATAGTCCTTGAAAATCTGGGATTTGATTAGGGAAAAGATCACTTACGTACTAACACAACATAAGGATATACATTATTAATGGAAACGAATGCAAAGCCAAGGTTATTCAGGGACTCCTTGGCCTCTGGGGCTGATATACAGCAAAGTTGAAATGCTCCCCACTCAGGTCCAGCTGGACCCTCTGAATTTCTTGCTTCACCTCCCCACACCTTCCCCTATAGTCTGAACCCTCACTCCCTCCAGATGTTTGGCACAGAGACCAGAGTTTAGACCTTGATTCCTACTACCTATTGGGTGTATTCTGCTGAAGGTTCTAAAATTTAAGCAGTCTACACTAAGTGTGTCCAAACGGGTGTTCATTTCCTTGGTGCATTGGTTCACTGGAGAACGTGGCTGGATGCCCCTGCGCACTCCTGCCCATCCCACTTGGCACCCCTGCTCCTCACTGCCTCGCTCCCCCACCTCCAGTCCAGGGCATCGCCCTCCAGCTGATGTCTCGGTGTGGACTCCGAGGGTGCAGGGTGAATCTGAGCCGCTTGCAACCTGTGAGATCTTGAGCAAGCTTTGTGATTCCTGAGTCCAGAGCCCTGACCCGTGCACCGAGACAGAGCAGCCTAAGCCTCCTGTGCTGGGGAGGCTGCTCCATACTGAGAGGGACAGGGGCTGGCCTCATGCTCAGCGCGCTAGTGAGGAAGGAAAGCTCTTCTGTAGCATCCTCTGCCTTCTGGATCCTTCCTCTTCCTCTTTGGTGCTGTGGTGTCAATGCGAGTCCTCACTGTCTCTGGTCTGGTGCACGGATGTCCTCTCTTCTAGAGGCACTACTTGAAGCAGGAAGCTGGACACCTCCCTTCCCTATATAAAAACATTTCCTTTCAGAAGACTAAGTCATTTCAGAGCCTGACCTCAACCTACCTAGTTGCTTCTCTCTCCCTCTCCCTGCCCTCCCATGACTGAGCGCACACATACACTTTATGCAGGACGTGGAGCTGCCCAGACGCCTCGGAGCACAGGCCCCTTTACCTCCTCTGAAAGGTCTTCTTCTCCTTCTGCCCTGTGCATGGGGTAGGAGGCCCAGCCCCTCCCCTCCAGGCCTGGCTATAGGATGTTTAACTAACTTGTGATTCTCCTACAAGCCTGGGAGCTTCTGAGGATGACAAACGTGTCCTTAAATACTGAGCACCTACAGAGGCTCTTTGTACCCACCCACTCCTGTGGAATTCCCTCCAGGTCATCTCGTTATCCCCATTTCACAGATGGGGAGACTCCATTGCCCAGAGACTGAGCAGCATTCTGAAGGCCAGTGAAGTAGCAAGTGCTGACACCAAGATACTGTCCCTCAGCTGGGGCCCCTTTACGTCCCAGCTGGAACTGAGCTCGCCATTTGCAGGATGGGGGAGCCACAGCTGCCGCAGGGGTGTCCCGGACACTTCCCAGCCCAGATGGAGCTCCCAGGGCACCAGGGACCCCACCTGCCGGGACCATCCAGCCGGAGGCTCTGGTTGCTACCCCTGACCCCCAGGCTGCTGGGTTCACTTCAAGTCTCTGCTTGGAACCAGCGCACAGGAGGCCTCGGCCTTCGGTCAACTTCCCACACCCCCAGGGAAGAGAGGTCCACAAGTTCCCAAAGTGTGGTCCCAGGCCAGCCTTGCCTGCCTCCCCTGGAGCTGTGTGGACATGGGAGGACAGGTCCCACATCGGCCCAGGGACTGCCGCCTCCTGCTTCCGCCCTGGGGAGACCCCCCTCATCTATCAAGGCCAGTCTGTGGGACTCAGAAAATCCATACCATGAGAAGGCGTCACCCCTGGGATCGGGAAAAGGCCCTGCTTCCAGCACAGGCTCTGTCTTGGCTCTTTATCTTCTGGATTCTTCACTGTGGGGACAGTGGCCGGTACCTTGTGGGTGCCCTGGGAAGAGGCTCACATAAGGAACTGGGGAAGCCCCGTGACAGCTGAGCTGAGGGCATGGCGGCCGAGGGCATGGCAGCTGAGACTGGGGCGCAAGATTCTGGCCGAGCTCCACGGCAGCCTCGTGGAACCTGCCCCCGACCCACCAGGCAAAGCCGCTCCTGAATTTAGACCCACAGATGCTCGGGGTCAGTGGTGGTTTCAGTTTCTAGGCTTTGGGGCAATCGGTGCGCTGCCATAGACAGCAGACACCCCCGGGAGTCAGAATCCTGGGAGGGTGTTCACAGGCCTCCGGGGGTTCTGACACGCACTCAGGCCAGAGAACTGGTTTCCTTTGCACCAGTCATTTATTCCTCCACTCTGGTGATTTCGCGGCTGAGGCCTGTGCCTGTTGGGCTCCCAGCCTCCTCCGACTTTTCACGGGCTCCTTCCCTTTAAGGGCTGATGCTCCCAGGGGCTCCCCGGTGTCCGGCTTTTAGCAATCTCACTGCTGTCACTGCTGCAGCCATCGCCCCTCTGGGGACAGCTCTCGAGGGCACCAGGCAGCCCACCACCGTCCTGCCCTGATAGGGGAGGGGCTTGGGGCCAGGCAGCTCTTTGAAGAGTACCTGGGTCAATACGTCGGAAGGCAAGGTGGCTAGAGCGCTTGGCCTCGTGGGCAGGAGGAGGCTGAGCAGCCAGGAGCATGGCCCTGAGGTCACCCACGTGGGTTCCCCACCTTGGCTGGGCACTGACCCAGTCCGTGACTTAGGCCCACCTCACTCCCTCTTCTTTCAAATGGTAATAACTGTGGAAACTTCTAGAGGGCTGTTGCAGGGATGACATCAGCTGGGTATGCGAGCAGGTAGCAGAGTCCCTGCCCAGGTCCAGCACTAGCCCGGGCTGTGGCTGTGGCAGCCCGTGTGAATGGCTGGCTTGACCACTTGTAACGGTGTGTCTGGGAGACCCGCATGTCTCAGTCAGTTGAACCAGTGATTTTAGTAAAGCTGGTTATACAAGAGGTGGTTTCTGGAGAAGGACTGCGCTCACTGGCAGACTTAAGTGTTTCTTGCATTCGGGACCTGGGTTGGGGCAGGGGCCTGCACAGGGTCCTGTTTCTACCAGCTCTTCCACTCGCAGCCCTGCTAATCCAGGCCTCATTGTTTGGGGCTCCGTGAGCTGCTGCCTGGCCAAGTCATAGCCTCCTCTGTGGTCCTCTGCTCTGGGCTGAGCTGCAGACTCAGGAGGTCTGGGATGGCTGGCTGGAGTCAGGAGTGGGGGCCCATCCTCCTCTCCCCCCATAAACATCCCCCCACCTGAATGTGGCTTATGTAACATGACTCTGGTGCAGTCCTTCTCTGAGGGAAAGGAGCCTACGGCCTCCAATTAACCCAATTAGAAGTCATTACAGGCAATCCTGGCCTCCCCCTAACTCTTGGATTAGCATAATGAGCCTGTATGAGTCGCCAATTATAAACACATTCTCCATGGATTCATATTTCTCTAAATTGCACTTCCCCTGTTGATGACAAGTTTTCTCCAGAACAGTTCCCTCTACACAGAAATACATTTTCCTGTTTCTTCCAATATTCAATCTACTTCCCACCTGGGGAAAGGCACATTGCTGGATGTCTGATTCTTTTCCTGTGCTTAGAGATTCTACAATTCTGTGTTTTTGAAGTTTTGGCACTTAGCAATAGGTCACTGGGAGGGACGCATGTCTTAGCTAGGGCTTATGTTATGAAAATGACATTTTCTTGGGCACAATTTCTGTGTGTGGCACAGTGGTTGGTTTGTGTGAGGACTGGGCTTTTTGAGCCTCTTGTTCCTTCTCCTGCTGTTTTCCTGAGTATGAGGAGCCCAGCTCTCCCTGCACGCTGTCGAGGCTCATCAGCCCAATGCCCTGGGCACCCTGGAAGAAAGTGCTATGTGATACGTGCAGTCGGCTGGGTGCCCCATGCTGTTTCCCGCTTTTCTTCCAGCCTCTGTAGAGAGGGGTGAATTAGGCATTCACAGACCTTCCTGCGGCATAATGGAGACACTGGTGGAGCTTTTTGTTGGGGAGGGGTCAGAGGGAGGTGGATGGTGTTTCCCTTCCTCCCTTCCTCTTTTCTTTGGAACCCCACAGCAGGGGTGGGACACTTCCAAGGCTGGCAAGACCCTTTTGAGAGATGTGGGTGCCTCTTGGGTGCAGAGGGCAGGGAGGTGGCAGGGATTCAGGTGGCCCAAGGGGTGAGGAGGAAGGGAACGGCCTTCATAGCCCCATCCCACTGACGCCTGCACACTACCAGTTGCCCTTGGAGAACATGGATATGCTGGGAAGCATCTCAATGCATGGAAGCAGGGAGGCAGTTTCTGCAACTGTGGAGCCCCCGGACCAGAAGTGCAGAGAAATTCCACAGCCCGCGTAGCGTAAGCGAAAGAAACCTTGACTGCTCAGCTCCGTTTGGATGTTCACGGACATCTCAGCTCTTCTTGTCCAAAGCAGAGATCCTTGCTTTCCTTTCCAAACCTGCCCCCTGCAGCTTCCCCTGCAGCTCCCCCTGCAGCTTCCCCTGCAGCTCCCCCTGCAGCTTCCCCTGCAGCTCCCCCTGCAGCTTCCCCTGCAGCTCCCCCTGCAGCTTCCCCTGCAGCTCCCCCTGCAGCTTCCCCTGCAGCTCCCCCTGCAGCTCCCCCTGCAGCTCCCCCTGCAGCTCCCCCTGCAGCTTCCCCTGCAGCTCCCCCTGCAGCTCCCCCTGCCTGTGCTGAAGGTCACTGCATCCTTTCAGTTGCTCAGACCAAACCTTTCAGCAGACCCCACTTTACTCCATCCAAAGGTCTTGTTGGTTCTACCTTCAGAATATACTCAGAACCCACCCCTTCCCACCTCTCCATCCCCGCCACCCTGCTCTAAGCCCCTAACCACACCCTCTCTTGCCTAAATGACCAGCCTGCTAGCTGGTCTCTGTGTCTTCTTCCTTGCCTCTTCCTCCTATAGCCTCTTAGTAACACTGAAGCTAGGGAGATCCATTTAAAATGTCACTCCGGGCTCTGCCCTGCTCAAAACTTGCCAATGCCTCCACCCCATGTCATTGAGAGCAAAGCCCAAAGCCCTTACCGTGGCCAACAAGACTCCATGTGTTTTCACTCTGCCTAGCCCACCTCTTTGCCCTCATCTACTACTTTCTCCAGGCTCTCTCATCTCCAGCCTCTGGTCTCTCTGCAGCTCCCCAGACCTTCCAGGAATGCCCCTACTCTGGGGCCTTTGCCCTGGCTGCCTGCTTTGCTGAAAGCATCCTTCTGCAGACATCCACACACATGCCCCCTCAACTCCTCCCGGAACATCCACACACATGCCCCTCACCTCCTCCTGGTACATCCACATGTGTACCCCTCACTTTCTCCCTCACCTCCTCCCAGCACATCCACACACATGCCCCTCACCTCCTCCCGGTACGTCCACACACGTGCCCCTCACCTCCTCCTGGCACATCCACACACGTGCCCCTCACCTCTTCCAAGTCTTTGCTCAAACATTGCCTTCTCAAGGAGGCACCTCAACCACTCTCCTTAAAAGTAGACTGGGTGTGGTGGGTGGCTCACGCCTGTAATCCCAGCACTTTGGGAGGCCAAAGTGGGTGGATTACCTGAGGTCAGGAGTTTGCCAGCCAGCCTGGCCAACATGGTGAAAACCTGTCTCTATTGAAAATACAAAAATTAGCTAGGCATGGTGGCACATGCCTATGATCCCAGCTACTCAGGAGGCTGAGGCAGGAGAATCACTTGAACCCGGGAGGCGGAGGTTGCAGTGAGCTGAGATTGCGCCACTGCACTCCAGCCTGGGCTACAGAGCAAGACTCTGTCTCAAAAAAAAAAAAAAAAAAGTGATACCAGTGTTCAACCTTCACTCTCCCTTAGTCCTTACCTTGCTGAATTTTCCCTGGAGCCTTTATTGCCTTCTAGCAGACTGTGTAATTTATTTACTGATAGTGTTTATTACACACCTGTTCCTGACACTAGACTCTAATCTCTACACGGGCAGGGCTTTCATCTCCCTTGCTTTCAGACGTGTCCATCCTAAGCAACTACACAGTGCCTGCCATGTGTGTAGTAGGCATCTGTCAACTAAAGGAAGGAATATGAAAATTGTTCCATATGTGGGTCTTACTTTTCAGCTCCCAAGTTCTCAAGATCTCATCTTGAATGAGGTTCAGGAAAATATGCTTGATAGTTTGAGCCAAGTCACGTGGCTCAGTGTGGTAGTGGCATCCTGTAAGATTTCAGGGATTGGGGAAGCTATGCACACCAGTGGAATTGAGCATGGGGTGAGTACTGGTGTCCTGGGGCAGCCACAACAGCAAAGACCTGCAAACAAGATGGCTTAAACAACAGAAATTTATCATCTCAGCCTGGAGCTGAAAGTTTGGGACCAAGGTGTCAGCTGAGTTGGTTCCTCCTGGAGGCTCTGGGCAAGAGTCTGTTCCAGACCTTGTCCCTGGCATCTGGTGACAGCTGGCTGTCCTGGGCATCTGTTGGTTTGTAGACACATTGCTCCATCTCTGCCTCTATCTTCACATGGCCACCTTCCTGTGTGTCTGCCTTCACATGGGGCTCCTCTCTGTGTCTTACACATTATGGTGATGATATCATCACCAAAATCAATGCATTTAGCTTTAATTCAATTCCTTTTAAGTTTGTGTCCAAATTTTGTCTGTTGTTACAATCATGTCCTCTGTAGGCATTCTTTTTCTAGTCCAGAATCATCTCCTAGATTTGGAATAATGCTTCACATTTTTTTTTTGGCCTTTCTTGATAATTTTGAAGAGGTCAGGCCAGTTATTTTGCAGATTGCAGAACATCAAAGAAGTGATGTTGTGTTCTTCTCAGTGCGCCCTATCAGGAGGCACAAAATATCGATTTGTTCCAATATTGGTGATGTTAGCTTGGTAAATTGATTAAGGTGGTGTCTGCCAGGTTTCTCCAGTGTAAAGTGACTCTTAATTTTTAGATGACCTGGCCCTGCATGTGACACTGAGTAGGTCATGGTGATGTTGGCAGTTTGAATGCCAGTGAGCCTCTTTCCTTTTATCCTCCACTCTCTTTATTTGGAATTAGTGAAAGCTCTGGACTGGGGGGACAAGATGGGAGGTAGATATGATTAAGGTGGGTGAAAGGCAAGGCTATTTTTGAAGTTTCCGCTGAACTCTACATCCACAAAGCACCATCTTAGGATGAAATCCCTAGTGCAGGTCAGCCTGCTTTTTGATCTCACTTGTGACACAGACAACTCAAAGTAGGACGTTGCTGACCACATGAACTTGTAAGGCTGTGCCTGAGTGTGTGTGTGTGTGTGTGTGTGTGTGTGTGTGCACCATGCTCATGTTTTCCTCCCACATCCCAGCTTGGTTATGATGGTTTCACATAGTCTGAGAGGTCAGTTCTGTTGGAGGTGGCAGGAGGCGGGCCTGGACACACAATGGCTTGCCTCATTCACCTTCACACCCTCCATCTTCATGTCTTTTGCCTCTAGTGCCTTTTCTTGCATCCCTGTAGCCCAACTCACTTCAGAGTGACCTCACAAGGCCTCACTCAGGTTAAGCTCTGCCTCTCCCGGTCTCTTCACTTGCCTGCATGACTCTAATACCTAGTGATGCTGTCTGCATGGAATTTGTGTTTGGAGGCCACCAGAATAAATTAATGCCCCCTTTATAAATTTTAAGTTTTTAAATTGTGGTAAAATAGATATAACATAAAAATTTGCCATTTTAAACATTTTTGAGTGTACAGTTCCGTGGCATTAAGCACACTCACATTGCTGCTCAACCATCGGCAACACCCAGCTCCAGAACTCTTCATATCCTAAATGGAAACTCTTTCCCCCAATCCCTGCACCTACCATTCTATGTTCTGTCTCCAGAAATTTGACTACTCTAGGGAGCTAATACAAGGGGAATCACATAATATTTGTTCTTTTGTGTCTAACTTCTTTCACTCAGCATAATGTCTTCAAGGTTTGTCCATGTTGTAGCACGTGTCAATTTCATTTCTTTTTAAGGCTGAATTATATTCCATTATATGTACATACCACATTTTGTTTACATTGTCATCTGTTGATGAATACCTGGGTTGCTTCTGCCTTTTGGCTATTGCAAAAAATGCTGCCGTGAATTTGAGCATACAGACATCTGTTCAAGCCTCTGCTTTCTCTTCTTTTGAACACACACCCAGAAGCAGAATTGTTGGATCCTGTGGTCGTTCCCTTTTTTAATCTTTTGAGAAACCACTAAACTGTTTTCCATAGCAGCTGCACTACTTTACATTTCCACCAGCAGTGCACAAGGGTTCCCATTTCTCCATATCCTCACCAACACTTGCTATTTTTTTCTTTTTCTTTTTTTTTTATAATAGTTATCCCAGTGGGTATGAGGTGGTATCTCATTGTGTTTTTTATTGCATTTCCATAATGATTAGTGATGTTGAGCATCTTTTCATGTGTACAGTCCCTTTTTAAGAATATAAATGTACCCTTTTTTTGGTGGGTGGGGATGGATATAGCTTTGTTAGTGTCAGTGTTTCAAAAGCAGCTATGAAAATGCTCAGCTGTCTGTGGAGGTGACCTGCTGGAGGGAATTTAGAGGCTTTTCTGTTCATCTTTTCCCTACTCATTGCTTCCCTTTATTAAATGTAGAGAAAAGTGAAGGCCCTGGTTGCCAAGCACTGCCCATTGGACTTCCTGTCCCCATGCCTTCTCCCTGTGCCCGTGAGCTCTCCCCTCCACATCAGCCCCTGCCATGGCACACAGAGGACCAGCCCTAGACCCTGGCAGCCCTTTGCTGTCATTTGCACAGTTGGTGGTGACGGTGGACACTGAGCTGACTCTTCAAGCCCCGTGGGAGGACAGAGGACTGGTGCTAAAAGGAGCAAAGGGCTGAGCATCTCTCGCTCGCTAAAGTGAGTACAAAAGCTAGAACAAAAACGAGAACCCGAAAACAACACAAAACGTGAAAGAAACTAAATAAAAATGTGTGAAAAATAGAATGTCAGCTGGATGAGGACAAAAATAAAATGACTGGAAAAATATTCCAAGTAAATACTGCTGATTGTCGTCAGAAAGCCATTGAATTGGAGATCACTGAGGCAGCATGTGCATTTTAATCTTTTGAAACTGTAGCCCAGGTGCTGGAAAAGTCTATTCTTGGAGGGAAGACATCACCACAAATGGGACTGAGCTTCACAGATCTGTGTGCCAGATTCACAGGTCTGCTGTGGGGTGCTGGGGCTCAGTCTTTTTGTCTAGATGCCATCACTTTTTTAAGATTGTGCCTTCTCACAAATACACCCCCTGCCAACAAAATTATGACTCTAAGAGTGAGAAGGCTGGACTGAAGCCCCCAGCTCTCACTAATACCATCTACGTAGGAGAGGCTGTACAGTTATGGCGGTGGCAGGTACAGACTTTGTATCCAGGGAAGCATGGACTGAAAATCCAGGTTTTCCATTCACTATAAGTGCAATGTTGTGTGACACATTTAGCCTTGCACACATTAGTACTCTAATCTACACACTGAAGAGAATGCCTTATGGAGAGTTGTTATGATTCTATGTGATAAATGATATAAATCACCTCACTCAGGTCCTGGAACATAGTATGTACTTGATAAGTGGTAGGTGGTGGTGTTATCATAATCATAATCTTGTACGGCTGATTAGGAGATTGAAAAGAGGTAAATAAGAGAATATGAGAACAGTGGACAATCAAAAATATGAGGCAAAGTGGTCTTGGGTACTGCCTAATTAATTTTGGTATGTTTATTTTGAATCTGGGTACTTCATTTACTTCATTGATTCCTTATTAAAATAGTTTTGTTGTGCTAGTTGGCAGTTATTGTTGATTTTGGTGACTGTTTTAAGCATACAATTATGTTACTATCTGCAAATAGTGATATAATTTTCACTATCTAGAATGGACACTTCTTATTTCAGTTTCAAGTAGTATTGCATTGGATGGAAGAGTGGCTTCAGGGAGCGTGTTAGTCACCTGGAGAGCTTGCTGAGAAGAGATCCTATTTCAAAAACCGTTCAATTTGATACCGTAAAAACTATTCTAGGAGTAGAAAAATATGGAACATTTTTAATTCCTGTCTTGTTTTATGGATTCTTTTATGCCTTCTGTTACTCTTTTAATCTGTTGATCATTTCATTTTCACTATTTTAGCATGTATATTTCTGCAGTTATTTTTACCTCTAATGTTTTCTAAACCTCCTCCTGTAAACTACATTTTTCTGGTTAAAAGAATGAAAGGTTTTTGATTTCATCTATGTCAGATGCCCTTCTTCACTGGCTTATCCATCATATTTCTTAGCCTTTGATGATGTAATCTGTGGTTTGAAACTGAGATTATTGTTGTTGTAGTCCTATTAAAACATGCAAGTGGTCTAGTCTCAAAAGCTTTAGGTCACAAGAAGATATCCCACCAAAGAGGAGTCAATTTAAAAATAACCACATTTTTTACATATCCATCTCAAACACCACACTGGGGCTGTGGAGATTATGACAAATATTCTAAAAAACCTTATTTTCTCTCTTATCTACTTTCTTCTATCCATCAGCTTCTCCAATACTTTCTTTAAATTCTTTAAAAATTTATATTCCCATTCCTAACCTTTATATCTCTTGTCCTTTTCTGTTTTCCTTTGATTTGGTGTTACATATATCATCCCCTACCTCCCCCCAAAAACCCAGCGTAACAATGCAAGAAGATTCTTGGAAGGGAGAGGGTGGATGATTTAAACAAATGAGCATAACCGGAATTTGTGTCATTGATTTACTCCTTTGTTTTTCTGGAATACATTCTTGTTTTTGTTCTATTAAAACAGTACATCCTAAGTCAAGTTTCTTTGTATTTGTATGCTTGGAAGTATATCTTTAAGCCTTTACTTAAAGCCTTTACAGCAACTGAGATAAGAAAGTGGCACCAGCAGGAAATTGTAGAAATTCTGTTAATTTTTCCTGAAAGTTTTTAGGACCTTTTCTTTATCTTTGATATTCTGAGATTTCTTTCTCATTCTGCTGGCACTTGTTGGCAGAATATTCTGTGGTTATGAGATGTTTTCTTGTATTATATCTTGGATTATTTTCTCCCCATTTTGTCTAGTCTTTCTTTCTGGGTCTATTTGGAGGATGCAGCTTGGAGGAATCCTTCCTGCTCTCTCCTCACTCTTGGACCACCAAGGTGGCACCCTGGAGAAGAGATGATCAGAGTACTTGGCTTACTCCTGTTGCTTCATGTGTTGGGGGATGTGTTCTCTTCCTTGGTCTACTTTTCTGTTTCTTCTCTGTTCTTATCACCAGAGTGGCAAAATCTTAAAAATCTAGAAATCTAGGTTTTCAATTAGGGGCAATTGCTAGAATTGCCCAGGGGATTCCTAGCAATATCTAGAGACAGTTTTGATTGTCACACTGTGTGTATGTGTCAGGGCTTGGGGGGTGTGTTATTGACGTATAGCCAGTGATGCTGCTAAGATACACAAAACCAACCAAGAACTCTCTGGTCCTGAATGTTGACGGTGCTGAGGTTGAGCAACCTGCTCTAGAGGACTGAGATATGATAAAATCCTGGAAGATGCAGACTAAGAAGGCTGCTGCCTGATTTTAGTCTCTAAACCACAGAAGCAAAAGAAAATGTGTGCCTCCCATGTAGCCAGCCTGATTTACTGGGGTCAGAGACCTGAAGAGGAACCACTTCCAGGGGTAACTCTTGCATCTCCCTTTCCAGAAAACTGCCTGAGCTGGAGAAGTTAGGTAACAATATAGGCATCCTGAATTCCAGAAGTCTCTTTCAATCTTTAGTTTGGGACAATTGATAAGTGCAATAAATGTTTACATCTCACCTCTGTGCTCAACTTGCGGATACAGCAGTCATTGGAAAGGATGTGGTTTTTGCCTGCAGAGTGTGGAGTTGAGTGGGGAAGAGAGGTAATAATACAGATAAGAATCACTGCATTGTGCGTGACCATGGGAGGTTATAGAGGCTTATGAGGGCCTGTGGCAAGGAGACTGAAAGTCGTCCAGGGGCACGGGGAGGAGGACGCCTCACTGAAGGAGTGGTGTTTAAGGGGAATCTGGAGAATAGCTCAGCAGAAGGGCAGTGTCCAGGCAGAGGGAAAAGCATGTGCAGAGGCTCAAAGACAAGGGAAGGCATCAGCACGAAGACGAATGGAGGAATTGCAGCGTGGCTGGGGCATTGATGTGAGAAGAAGGGGTGTGTCAAGGGCCAAGGCTGGAAGGATGGTGCCCTAGACAGCAGAGGGCTGGTGAGATCGATGGACATGGCAGATAATTCAGTGTCTGCTGGGCGTGGTCACAGCATCCAGGTATCTGGTCACACACCAGCCTAGGTGTGGCTGAGATGGTATTTTTTAGATGAGATTAACATTTAAATCTATTGACTTAGAGTAAAGGGGATTGCCTTCCATAATGTGGGCCTCATCTAGTCAGGTGAAGATAGGTCTCCCAGAGGACAGCAGACACTGCCACCAGCATCCTGGGATCACACATCTGTCTTGACTGCTCAGGGTTTTGTGTGATGTGGGCAGGAAGCCTGACTTTCAGGGAACGGGTGGGATGTGGTGTCTTGATGTCCAGGGGACCGAAGTGTGGCCGCATGGTCTCTTTGGCTCAGAGCAGAACTGACAACCCCATTTGCCTGATGGGGAAACTGAGGCCCAGAGGGAATGATGTGGTGTGCAACAGGTCCCATGGAGACCAGGAGCCCTGATGCCCCAGCTCACACTCTTGGCCACATGTGGCTCGACCTCCCCATGTGGGATTCTGCCACAGCCAGAGGGGAGAGAAGGAGAAGCAGCTCGATTTACAGAGAGGGCGTGGCTGGGGGCCAGGTGGGTGCCAGCCCCACAGCCTGACCTTGTCTCTGCTGTTTGAGATTATGGGGAAGTCTCTGATCGTTGTTCATATCTGATCCTATTCCAGTTTATATCTCTGAAACCAAACCTTGTATCGCCTCGTGAGAAATTCTAACTGTGGAAGGATTGACACCAGCCTCCAAATTAATGATGGCAACAGGGCCATGATGAGGCTTTCCAGGTGGGTGTGGTCACCCGGAACGCCTGGCACTACCACAGCCTCTCGCACTTGGGTGGTGCTCTGCTGGCTGGGGCTGGAGTGACCTGTGGCTGTTCCAATGGCTTGAAGAGGCCTCCTTCCCACTCCCTCCCTTCCCCTGCGCAGCCTCAGAAGGCACCTGAGGTCCACCCACCAGGCGCTACCTGCTCCTCCAGGCCTTAGGCACAGGAGGAGTAGTGCACGGGAGACTCCCCGGCCCTCCTGGCCCTGTGACGTGTTCTGCAGTTGCCAGCGCAGAATGCATTACAAGGGCTGCATTGTCTCTGGGTTGTGGCATGATGGTTGTTTCCACTGTACTCTCCCCAGTTGAGTAGTAAGTTCTCTGAGAACAATGAAGTAAGGCCTTTATACTTTTTAAAAAATCCTTCTAATGCTTAGCATGGTATCTTGGGTTTAACTGTCACTTAAGAAACTCTGAGTGATGGTGATTCATGAGGCTGACCCACAGGTGGCAGGGACTGGTGTGAGGGGTGTCTTTTGTCCTCCACCCAGGTGGTTACTCTTTGATAATTATTGGGTGTGCTCCTGTCCATCAGGAAGAGTCCCTTGTTCTTGGAACATCTGGTCCCTCCCTTGCTCATCAGACATGAGTGGCTCCTGTTGCCCTGGCATGGCTTCCTACATTCCTGCCACAGGGCAAGTGCAGGTGTGCCCCCCTCGGTATGCTGACACCAGCCTCAGTGCTGTCAGCCTCCTCCTTCCTCCCAGCTCAGGGTGTTCCAGGTTCCTCCTACGTGTATCCTTGGCCCCCTCCCCGCACTGACAGGAAGGCCCTCCCCTCTCTATTCCACAGCAACTTTCACTCTTCTCCCATCTCCCAACTTTAACTGTCCCAACTTTCACGCTGCTCCCAGCGAAGCACGCACATCCCATGTCACAGCATATGTCTCTCCTATTACTGAAATGATCATGCTTTCTTGATCTCCCAGCTAATTAATTCCATGAGTCCAGGGACATCCTTCTCATCTTGTCTGTTCCATATTCCTGCACATAGCAGATGTTCCTGGCCAGTTGGGTTTGATGGGCTATTGTGAGATGTGACTTCTCGGGACTCCACCCTGGCTACAGCTAGTGCAAATGCTGAACGTTGTCATAGGCCAAGGACACTGGAAGGCATTCTTGCTCTGTGGCCCAGTTTGAGGCTTGCATTTGGTGTCTGGCCCTTTAAGAAGGAAATAGTTGGGAATCTTTGGTGGATCCTGGCCGGACAAAAACCTGGATATTTATGGAATATTTGCATCATTCTGGACAATTTATTATAGACATATATCTGTTCTATCGTCTGTCAAATGAGAAAATGACATTAACATGTGAGTGGGAGAGGCCTCAGAAGAGATGGATTTAATAATGAATGAACTCAACCATGCAGAAACATCTCAGTTCAGGGTGGCTAAAAAGGAAAATTTGTCTTTGTGCCTCAAGCCTTCACTGTCTGTACAGAATTTCTCCATTCCTGAAACATTTTATTCTTGTAACTTTTCTACAAAGAAAAAACTGTGTTTCAAAATCTCCAATTAAGTTCTTTCTCTCTCTCTCTCTCTCTCTCTCACACACACACACATGCACACACACACACACCACACAGTAACTGATAGCAAATGCTCAAAAATGGCCCCTTTGTAATTTTTATGATTACTCGGAAGTGAGATATGGAGATGGCAAGAGAGACCCTGTTGTGTGGCTGTACTGGACACCGTTGCCAAGTGTTTACTCAGAATTGGCTGGAGGTGAACAGTTGAGTGTGGGAGACTCTTTGTGAAGGTGTGACTATCGTCACAAACCTACTCAGCCTTTTTATTCTGTGTTAATCTGTGAATTGGATTTGAAAGAGATGGGATGGCTCTCCATGGCCCAGAAGAACTAATTTAATTTCTCTGTGTGTCTACTTAACAGGCATGGGTAATATCCCGGTCATTTGTCTAGAAAAGACAGAAGCCAGCAAGCTCCTTTTGTACATTCCACCTGCATCCCAGACGCTAACTAACCCGTATGCAAACAGAAAGAACCCTTCCTATTGTTGCATGAGAAACAACAAAGGTCTCCGTCAGCAGCCAGCCAGCAATAGACCCAGAAGTCACTTGGATTCTGTGTTTTCTGGCACAAAACCCAACGCCACACACTCGGGCTTTGTTCTCTGTGCTTCATTTCCAGAATGTTTTATGTCTCAGCAACAATCGGGCATTCAGCAGTCCATTAGCCATGTTGCCAATCTGTTACTCCATCTTTGATTTTTTTTAATGTGCAGTAGTTTTCCAAAGATCAATATCTGACATTAGTTGCCTTGTGCAGTGGCCAAAAAATGATAGGGCTCTGACCTTGAAGAATTTGGGACTGGTTTTTCCTGGGGACATGTCTTAGGACAACATCGAGAGAAGCAATCTTTCATCTCCGACCCTCCTCCGATGCGCCCTCCTCCAAATGGCACTGCCCGGGTTTCACTGATTCAGTGAGTGAATCTTTCCTGAGCAGCCGTGTACCAGGCACTGCACTAGGTTTGGGAACTTAAGGCTCTGCAAGGGAGCAACAGAATGAGGTGATAGGTAAAGCAAGTGCCGTCCACGCGTGGCACCACAGCTGCCTACTTCCTCCCGTTTTGTCCACTTCGCTTTTTGGGACACTGTTACGAGTTCCGTGATCTAATAACTGCTGCCACTGCCCTCTCTCTCAGCATGAAGACTGTGGTCAGATTTCACAGGTCATGTCTCACTATTCCATACGTGACTGCTGGAGATGCCTCATCAGAGGCTGGACAACCTACTGCCAAGTGTCCTATAAAGAGGATAGAATCTTGCTTTTGATGGGAGGTTGCATAAGCTGGCTTCTAAGGTCTAATGCTGATACTGTGCGATTATTTTTTCAAACCACGTCGGGATAGAAAAACAGATATGTCAAGTGCTTAGCATCGTTCCTAGAGGATACCAAATGCTCCCTAAAGTGGTATTGTTATAATTATTGCACACAAAATATTTCAGTGATTTCTCTCTTCCCTTTCATTGTCCCAGAGCCTGTTCTCTGATTTCCAACCTCCTACTTATAAATTCCAAAAGAAAAGGGATCTTCTCTTAGCTGGCATCTCCCACAGTGTGTTAGATAAAATTGGCAGTCAAATATTGATTGAACATAGGCCTTGTACACCACACAGAACTAGCAGATAATTTTTAGGGAAGTGTGTTGTGCCATACACCATAGGGAGCTGGGAGGCCGAGGAAGAAAGCACTGCGCCTGGGAACACATGCAAGCTTGCGTTCACGGATCCACACGCTGTGCCAGACTCCTTCTAAGGCCTTTCATTAAAGCCATTTCTATGTCAGGACAAGCAGGTAGGAGGAGGGTACAGGTGATACTTTCAGACTTGGTCCTACAATGGGCACTGCTGCCTAACAGAGTGTGAGTGCAAGAGGCTCTCACAGTGTGTGGCTGCTTCCTCAGGGGTAAGACGGGGTGAAGCCCCACACCCCAGCTGGCAGCCACCGACACATGGCTGGATCCCAGTACAGTTCCCTCCTGATATGGTTTGGCTTTGTGTCCCCACTCGAATCTCATGTTGAATTGTAATTTCCAGTGTGGATGGAGGGACCTGTTAGGGGGTGATTAGATTGGGGGGTGGATTTCCCCCTTGCTGTTCTTGTGATGAAGTTCTCAGGAGATCTGGTTGTTTGAAAGTGTGCAGCACCTCTCCCTTCTCTCTCTCTCCTGCTGCATCTTGTGAAGAATGCTCACTTCCCCTTCGCCTTCCGCCATGATAGTTAAGTTTCCCGAGGCTTCCTAGTCATGCTTCCTGTACAGTTTGTGGAACTGTGAGTCAATTAAATTTCTTTGTATCATAAATTATGCAGTCTCAGATAGTTCTTTATAGCAATTCAAGATCAGACTAATACACCTCCCCATTCTCCATCCTTTTAAACCTTATTCCAATGTCAACATTCACTCTAACATTTTTTAAGATTCCTACAATGAAGAAAGTAATGTCCTTAACTTTACATTAAAAAGAAAAACAAACTCGGAATATAGAGTTTCTCTGCTGTTTTCTATCCAGGCATGGAATAGAAATTAATGTGCATGAGTGTTTTCTCTGGATGTAAATGACAGGCTGGTGTTTCTATTAGAAGATGCCATTTCAGACCAACTCTCTATCTGGGAATAACTCTCCAGGAACATGCTGCTACATTTGGTGAACCCATTTACAGTTGTGGAAAAGCCACAGTGAAGTCTCTTTGTGGAATAGAAGTGACATGATTTATAATAAGATCAGATCTGCAATCTATGACCTTTGATATAAATTATTTAGGACCAATAATATCAGAAAAGATGTTTAGTTCTAACTTGTCAAAAGTATTTTTTTAAAAGACAGCTTTTTTGAGGCTTAATTGACACACAATAAACTGTTCATCTTTAAAGGGTATAATTTGATAAGTTTTGATAAATGTATAGAAATGAGAAACCATCAACACAATGAAAAGAACAAACGAATTTCTCACTCTTAAAAGTTTTCTTATTTCATTTTGTAACCTCCTCTCTCATTCCCTTGTCCCATCAAATACTCTAGATTAGTTTATATTTTCTAGAGCTTTATAAAGTGGAATAATATAGTATGTGGTCCTTTTAGTCTGGCTTCTTTCAGAGTCCAGTGGGATTCTCAAAAACAGCTACTGGAACTAATCAGTGAGTTTAGCAAGGTTGCAAGATATAAGGTCAATATGTAAAAATATATCAAATTTCTAGGTACTAGAAGCTAACATATAGAAACAAAAACTACTATTTATGAAAGTAGCAAATAATATAAACTATTTAGAAATACATCCAACAAAAATATGTAGAAAGTTCACTGCAAACTATAAAATATTGCTGAGAGAAATTAAAGAAGCTCTAAATAAATGTAGAGATATACCATGTTCATGGATCAGAAGATTTAATAGTCTTAAGATGTCAGTTCTCCCCACATTTATCTGAAGATTCAACATGATACCAATTAAAATTCTAGCAGGCTTTTTTGGTATAAATTGATGAGATGCTTATGAAAATTATACGGAACTGCCAAGGACCTAAAGTAGCCAAAACAATTTTGAGAAAGAGAAACAAGTTTGAAAGACTTACACTTTCTATTTTATGATTTATTATAAAGTTACGGAGATCAAAACAATGTGATTTTGGTGTACAGAGAGAGACAGACAATTAAAGGAAGAGAGTAGAGAGCACATACATAGAATCACACATATATGGATAATTGATTTTTGATAAAGATACAAAGGCAATGGAGTAGAGAAAGAATAGTCTTTTCAATAAATCATTCCAGAAAAATTGGGTATCCATTTACAAAAGGGAACTTTAATTCATACCTCACACCACAAGCAAAGGTGAACTCAAAATAGATTGCACTTATAAATGTAAAACCTAAAACTATAAAACTTCAAGAAGTAAACACAAGATAAAATCTTTATGACCTTGGATTAGGTAAGATTTCTCAGGCATATTATAAAAAACACAATTATAAAAGAAAATAATTGACAAATTAGGCTTCATAAAAATTAAGATCATCAGTTTTTCAAAAGATGTTTTTTGGAGAATGAAAAGTCAGGGCACAGACTAGGAGAAAACCATGTGTCTAATAAAGAACATGTATTTAGACTATCAAAGGGACTCTTAAAGAAGATATGCAGATGAGGAGCTGGTGGTTTCCTAAGTGGTTAGACATACACCTACCATAAGGTTGCCATTCCACCTATGGGTATTTACTCAAAAACAAAACAACAACAACAAAAAAAACCTTGTATGTCCAAACAAAGACTTGTACATGGATGCTTAGCATTTTTTTTCTTTTTTTGTGATGGAGTTTCACTCTTGTCACCCAGGCTGGAGTGCAATGGCATGATCTCTGCTCACTGCAACTTCTACCCCCTGGGTTCAAGCAATTCTCCTGCCTCAGCCTCCTGAGTAGCTGAGATTACAGGTGCCCACCACCACGCCTGGTTAATTTTTATATTTTTAGTAGAGGTGGGGGTTTCACCATGTTGACCAGGCTGGTCTTGAACTCCTGTCCTCAGGTGATCTACCCACCTTGGTCTCCCAAAGTGCTGGGATTACAGATGTGGGCAACCACACCCAGCCAAATGCTCAGTATTTGTAATAGCCCAAAGTGAAACAATTCAAGCACCCCTCATGTTGAAATGTAATCTTCAATGTTGGAGGTGGGTCCTACTGGGAAGTGTTCGGGTCATGGTTGTGGATCACTTATGAGTGGCTTGATGCCCTTCCCATGGTAATGAGTGAGTTCTCACTCTATTAGTTCACAGGAGAGCTGGCTGTTAAAAGGAGTCTGTCACCTCCTCCCCCGTCTCTCATGCTCCTTCTTTTGCCATGTGACACACCTGTTCCCTCTTTGCCTTCTGCCATGATTGGAAGCTTCCTAAGACTTCCTCAAGAAGCCGGGAAGATGCTGGTGCCAAGCTTGTGCAGCCTGCAGTACTGTGAACCAATTACACCTGTTTTCTTTATAAATTACCCAGCCTCAGGTATTCCTTTATAGCAACACAAAGCAGACTAATACATGTACAATAGAATACTACTTAGGAATGTAAAGGAATAAATATTGATACTTACAACAACATGGATGAATTTCAGAATAATCATGCTGAGCAAAAGTCAGGCAAAAGGATGCATCCTTTATTCTTTCATTTATATAAAATTCTAGAAAATGTAAACTAATCTACAGTGACAAAGTAGGGCAGGGGCCTATGGGAGGGAGAGAGGGAAGGATGATGAAGGAGCATGAGGAAGCTTGGGCTGATGGACGTGTTCGCTATCTTGATTGTGGTGATGGTTTCGTAGGCATATGTTTATGTCAAACCTCAAATCACACAATTTAAGTAAATGCCATTTATTGTATGCCAATTATATTTCAATAAAAATATATTCTTCCATTTCCCCCAAAAAACGCTAGAGAAATGCCTCAGGCAGAACCTTAGTGAGACAATGTATTTAATGCATCTAGAGCAGGGCCTGATGTATCAGGTGCACTCAATAAAGGGTACTTTTCTTTCACTTTCCTTCCCCACCCCATCAAAATATTTAGATTACTGTACATCCAGTACAGAAACTTGTAGTTTCTCCTGTACAGATTATGGTGGAGCAGAAAGGCACTCATGTTTTGATCCTCAAAGGTCATTCAATACTATTTGTTTGAGGCTGAAACTTTTCAATGCTTTCACAGTATTTGGAACAAGACATGATTACCAGAAGCACATGTAGTTCAGTGTTGAAATTTCATTTTTTTGAAATGCATCTGGGTTTTAAAAATGTAGTTGCATGATTGAGCTTTTGCATGGAGGCCATCTTCATCCAGGAAGCATTTATTGAGGGCCCTCCGAGGTGTTTCTGACGCGTAGCAAAGGCTGTTAAATGAGTTACAGAAACGACCCAGCACGGCCGACACCTCCTTGTTCGGCTGTTGGCAGTTCTGTTCTTTGCCGCCTCCTTCCTGGTGGGCTCTGGGTGAGCCACTGCCATATACACTCTTTTATGTTGGTGTCTTTCCCTTTATCGCTGTCACTGTGTGCCTGTCTCAGCAGTGTCGTGCCTAAGTGTGTTGCGACATCTCCACTTCCACCCATTTCTGTGGAGGCTTCCTTCATTTTTGGTGCCAAGAGGTACCACGTGCCTGAAGCTGAGTTGCACCAAGGGAGGCTCTGGAATGTCAGGCACCAGTCTTTGAACCTACATGCAAGAAACGGTGAAATAATTTGATTTCCTCTCAAGAGGGGAATACAGGATGCAAAATGGAGACCTTTGTGTATGGAAGCCTTTGATGAGACTTGTGCCTGGAGGCCTTCTTTCAATGGTGACCGCAATGTGGGCAAAGCCTCCCTTGCAGAACCTCCAGCGAGTGTGGAAGAAGCCGCCCAGGAAGCTTTTGCCATATGGTGAGGGGGACCCACAGGAGGGAGCCATGCTCCCTGAGAGCAGGCTTCATCCCGGACGCTGGCCTGGGGTGTCTGGCACGTGCTGCCATTCCCCCATTTCCACCAGCCTGGCGCTGGGATGCAGCAAATGACTGCATGCAACTTACAAATGCATCGTGGATTCCACCAAATGATAAACGAGAGGATATTGTCCCCTGAGCTCACAAATGAAAAGTCAACAATTTAAGCAACAGTTGATGTCCCGCTTGTCTACCCCCAGTGACCCTGGTTTCATGGGGCAGAAAGGGCTCTTGCCTCTGTCTCTGTGTAACTGCTGACTGTACCTTGAAGTGCACCCTTTATCAGAGATAGATGCTATCAGTCAAAGTCGGTATCAGGACAATTCTCCACTGATACATGGAGTTAAATCTACAGTTGTGTGAGTTCCCAGGAAGCTCTTAACTCCAGGGAAAGTGGAGAGATGGAGAGCTTATTCCATAACATTTTTGTTAGACTTCCTCTCATTCTTTTCTTTGCAGCATCTACACCACTTGCAGAGACCCTGAATTAGTGTTTTTGGGATTATGTATGTGTACTGAAGACAGCAATTTAACTCTGAGTGTACCCTCCTAATATTCATGGAAACTGATTCTAATTACACTCTTGTCTCTTGGGTTAACGACTTCTAAATAGTGCCTTCACTCACCGCCCTTTCCCGATTGTCTGGCATTGTAAAGCCTCCATGCAGCGTGTGCGGGGAGGTAGGGTGCTATGCTGTTCTTTCTCAGGGAACTCCCTGGCTGCTGTAGTGACCGCCATTCCTTATCTAAATACTCACAGTGGGAGCTTTTGAATTTTCCTCCGTTGCATGTTTTTGGCACTTCTCAAGACAAGGTCCATGGGGCATTGGTGACCTTCAGGGGTCCTTTGGTGCTCATGGCTCAGAATGCAGGGGAGCAGCACCAGGGCTGGCTATCTCCTGATGGAGGCGGGGCGCTGGGGGTCGGAGGCACGGGCCCACAGCACGGGCAGCCCTAGCTCCGCTGCTCCCCAAGCTCTGCTGCTCCCCAGCTGTGTGGCCTGGGGTGCAGTAACCGGGTCTTTCTCTTTTCTCTATTTCTGAGTCTTTGACTTTGCTGAGCCTGGAAGGACGGCCCATTGCAGGGTCGGCCAATTCCTTGATAGTGATCACCTCACCTATGCACGTGCCTATCGCATGCAAACCCACAGTCTGGAGCCCACGCCCCACCATCTCCTCCTCTGGGCACTCACATGGCTCACACTGCAGTGGCCACTGTCCCCCTGCCACGGTCACTCCAGGACAGGTACCAGACACTTAGGGGCAGCCCCAATTCCCCAGAGCCCACTGAAATCACTCAGTAACTAGGACTGAAAGCAGCCAGTCCTGAGCTTGTCCCACCCCACCCAACCTTCCCACGAGGAAGGCTCCTGCCCCACGTTCCAGGCCTGGCCCCAGTGCCTGCCTTTGCCCAGGCTGCTCTGAGGGGCCGGTGGTGCTGGTCACCTGGGACACTTTCAGGACTACAGGTTGCCGGCATCTCTTTCTAAGCGTTCCTGTTTAGTGTAGGGCCTGGGGTCTGTGTAAGACACAGTCAGCGGGGATTTTCTGGCTCCTGCATTTGACTCTGGTACCTGGGATCCAGGATCCTAATGGCCTTTAAACGTGGAGGGTCTTTTTTGGTGCCTGTCTTCTTAGCACCCAGCATTGAGAACCTATGAAATCTCAGAACCTCAGGGTTGGGGGCGGTTAGGCACCCTTTAGTCTCCCTCGCTAGTTCTTGACTCCCCATTGGCACAGGCAGAGCTGCCTCTAGGCGACTTGCAGTACCTGGTGCGTAGGGAAACCCGGCTGTACCAGGTGCACAGAGAACGGGAAGCCGGCTCCACGGAGGCCGTGTGTCTGCCTTGCTGGGGTCTGCACAGCGAAGACCCTCCCTGCGTTGACTGGGCCACAGGGGGATGTCTGGATGGAAAGTCTGCACAGGATGTGGGCGCTCCTCCCAGGAGGGGCAAGGCACCTGTTGGCCCCATCGGTTCATGGGTGACACTGCGCTGGGCCAGCCTCCTTGTTCCGCTGTTGGCAGCTGTCCTTTGCCGCCTCCTTCCTGGGAGTGTGGGTGTGTTTTGCTTCTGTGGATAAAGCTGTAATGAACAGACTCGATTTAGGCTGTGGCCCCTTTCTCAGTTTCCCCTGTGAAGACCCAGAATGGCCAGTGAATCCCATGAGGGTCCCGAATGGGAGGAGTGGGATTTCGGGGATCCAGTAGGAACTAGGAAGGACACAGGTGGAAATGCCAGGGCCGCAGCCAGCCTGAGGCTGCAGATGCAGGGAACTTTTGGAGGCATGACCACCTGGGATTCATGTTATTTACCTGATACTGAAAGTTATCAACCAACTGTAAAAGTTATTTATATTTTATAGTCCAGATTTACACATCCTGTGCACATATGTGGTGCAAAAAAACAAGATTTTCAAATTTCACGGGTAAGAAAGCTTAGGTTCATATAAGAAGTGATTGACAAAAACGTTATAGGGAACAAGAGAAAGGGAAGAGCATGTTTTCTGTTTTGAACTTGTGTTCCTTGTGAAATAACTCATGAAAGCTTTAGAGGGAAAGGAGGAGTGGAGGAGGGGTGTGTGTGAGAGAGAGAGGGGAGGAGGAGGGAGAAAGAGAAAGAGAAGGGGAGAGAGAGAAGGAGAGGGGGAGGGGGAAGAGGGAGAGAGAGCGGGAGAGGGGAAGAGAGAAGGGGAGAGAGAGAAAGGAAAAGAGCGGCAGGGAGTGGGGGAGAGGGGAAGAGAAGAAGGGAGAGGAGAAGGAGACGAAGAGAGAGAAGGGAGGGGGAAGGAGAAGAGAGGAAGAGCAGGAGAGAGCGGGGAGAGGGGAAGAGAGAAGGAGGGAGAGAGAAGGAAAGGGGGAAGGAGAGAGACAGGAAGAAGGAGAGGAGGAGAGGGAGAAGGAGAGGAAAAGAGGGAGAGAGAGAAGAGGGGAAGAGGGAAAGAAGAGGGGAAGAAGGAGAGGAGTGGAGAGGAGGAGACAGAGAAAGAAGGAAAAGGGGAGGGAGAGAGACAGGGAGAGGGGGGAGGAAGAGGGAAAGAGGAGGAGGGAGAGAGGGGGAGAAGGGGAAAGAGGGAGAAGGAGAGGAAGAGCAGGAGAGAGGAGGAGAGAGGGAGAAGAGAGAGTGGGGAAGAAGGAAGAAAGCGGGAAGACAGAGTGAAGAGAGAAGGGGAAAGGGGCAAGGAGGAGGGATATGAGAGACATGATAAAGCTGACTTATGAGATGGGGTTCCGTATTAGGGAGGAGACCTGGTTGCTGGCCACACTGGACTGGTGTTGCTGTAAGGCCTTGTCTCGGGGCCTGGTTGCCTCCTGAGGTCCGTGCTGCTCAGGGTGGAGTGGGTCCCGGCGAGGGATCTGGGGGCTCCTGCCTGCAGCAGATTTGCTTTTCTTCGCTGCAAGTGAAGGTGGTTTGCAGTTGTGCCTTTCCCTCTGCTTGGCAGATAATGCAGGATTGTGAACCGCAGCTCAGGGCCAGGCAGGGTGAGGCCCCTCTGGTCAGCATGCCCCAGCTCAGGCTCAAGCTTCGGCCTCTCCTGTGAGGACCGGTGCAGGGATGGTTTCAGCCACAAGGCAAGGCACTGCTCAGGATATTTTTCCTAAAGAAACTGCTGGAAGCAGTTGCTGGCCTTGGGACAGGTGCTGGCTCAATGGATTAGGAACTTGTGAGGTCGTCGCCATCTAGTGAGGAGATGCTGGAACGTCCCTGTGGGCTGCTGTGGCCGACTCACCGAGCCACGAAGCCGGTGCTGCGTTTGTCTCACGCCCTTCACCACGGCAGAGATGAAGAGCTAGGATGAGTTATTGTCATCCTTCTAAGAATGTGTGCTTTCAGGCTCACCAGGCAGGTCTCTCCAGGTAGCTCCTCGCTTTTTTAAAAAGGAACACACAAACACCTTTGAGGAAGGCAATGCCAAGAAGGCACTGGCAATTGATGGGGCACGTGGTCGTGGAATCAGTTCTGAAGAACACAGTGCTGAGTGGCATTGTGGAGCCTGGCACGGGCCTGGCGAGCACTGCCTAGGTGGGTGAGCACTGTGCCTGGGGAGGCAAGCACTGTGCCTGGGCAAGTACTGTGCCTGGGTGAGCACTGTGCCTGGGCAGGCAAGCACTGTGCCTGGGCGGGTGAACACTGTACCTACATGGGTGAGCACTGTGCCTAGGTGAGTACTGTGCCTGGGTGAGCGCTGTGCCTGGGTGAGTGCTGTGCCTTGGTGAGCGCTGTGCCTGGGTGAGTACTGTGCCTGGGCGGGCAAGCACTATGTCTGGGTGAGTACTGTGCCTGGGTGAGTGCTGTGCCTGAGTGAGCACTGTGCCTGGGTGTGTATTGTGCCTGGGTGAGCTCTGTGCCTGGGTGAGCACTGTGCCTGGGCGGGCAAGCACTATGTCTGGGTGAGTACTGTGCCTGAGTGAGCACTGTGCCTGGGTGTGTGTTGTGCCTGAGTGAGCGCTGTGCCTGGGTGAGCACTGTGCCTGGGCGGGCAAGCACTATGTCTGGGTGAGTACTGTGCCTGGGCAAGCACTGTGCCTGGGCGAGGACTATGTGTGGGCGAGCACTGTGTCTGTGGGGTTGAGCACTGTGCCTGGGTAAGCCTGGGTGGGTGAGCGCTGTTCCTGGGTGCTCAGAACCTGGACTTGGTCCTCCTGCACACTCGCCTGGGACTGGTAAACTGTGGACCTTGAGCAATAGTGGAGGAGAGGAAGCGTCAAGCATGCATCACATCATTGTCAGAGAAGGTAGTGACACCCAGAGGAGAAAAGCCAGGGGAAAATGTCACATCAAAGAAAGACACAGGCTGTTTCCTCTGGGCCAAGCGTGGGCTCTTTAGAGGAAACCCTGCCCTGGAAAGGGCTTCCTCTCAGATAAAGGAGCTCCCCAAGGCTGCAGGTGTGTCCTGAGTGGTGAAGCAGGTGCATTCCCAAGGAGCTGCAGAACAGAGGTTCTGCGCCGGTGCCCCAGTGAGTCAGGGCACAGAGGCTGGGGACTCGCTCCCCACCAGGCCCTGCACAACAGCCGGTAGGGGAGGGTGGGGGGAGGAGGGGGAGGGCAGGCCGGCCCCACCTCTTCCGGTCAGTGCTGGAGGACTGCCGCCCAGTAAGAAGGGGTTAGCACAAGGGGACTGTGACCCTACACCTGGTGAAGGTGGTCAATTGTATATGTGGCTTTCACCAGCGTTTTTAAAAGGCCCACATTGGACTGGGATGGAATGGGGAGGCCCGCTTGCCTTGCACACTAAAATTGCCTCTGATATCAATTGCAGTTCACAAACCTGGGCTCAGTTTTCCCACCTAGAAAGTGGGTATCAAAGTTCTGTCCCAAGCACCTCGGAGCCAGTGGCATGGGCTGGACACTGATGGGAGGGGCGCACTCTCTGTTTGGAGCAGGATACAGACTCCAGGTGTGGACGGAGGACAGGCTGCTTTCTGCCTCTTGTCTGAGGGGTTCGCTCCGGGGTTTGTTCCTTGCCTTTCCACACCCCCGTCTTCTCTGCCAGCCTAGAGATGTCAGTCAGGTCAGCACAATGCGGCATCTTCGAGAATTTGGAGTCTGTGAAATCTAGTTTAGAAAAGTTCTGGTTGAGCCTGTGTTGTGTCTACACTTTGAATCAAACTCCAGGTAGAAGGACAGCAGCACAACTCAAACTGAGAGAAGCCGCAGCGTTCTGGGAGAAACGCAGCCATCGTCGGAACAAATGGCTTCACCAGAGCATTGCAGGGCATCTTTGAGCATTGCTGTGTGCTCCTGGGAGCTACTGAGGCTGAGGCCAAATAAATAGCTATTTATTTATAAGGGGCTTCCTCACCTGGCGGGAGGACCCCTTCCAGGATGGGGTCCCTTCAAAAGAGTGCCTGCTTGGCCAGAGGAAGCAGCCTGCATCTTTCTTTCATGTGACATTTTCTCCTGACTTTCCTAGACTGATGCCACCTTTGGGAACTGTCTGGATTCAGTCCTTTATGAGCCCATTACAGCCTTGAAGCCCTGAAAGAGCTAAGGCCACTTATGCTACATGGCCCAGGCTCTGCAATACAGTCTATTTACTTGCTGTCATTTTGAAGAATGTGGAATAAAATGATTAAATTCTGCTTTCTTCTGTGTTTTCCGAATGTGCAAGCTAAGCTAATTATTATAGTCCAGGCGTAGTGGCTCATGCCTGTTATCCCAGCATTTTGGGAGGCCAAGGCGGGTGAATAGGTTAGGAGTTCAAGACCAGCCGGGCCAACAAGCTGAAACCCCGTCTCTACTAAAATACAAAAAGAATTAGCCAGGCATGGTGGCGGGTACCTGTAATCCCAGCTACTTGGGAGGCTGAGGCAGGAGAATCACTTGAACCCAGGCGGTGGAGGTTGCAGTGAGCCAAGATCGTGCCACTGCACTCCAGCTTGGGCAACAGAGCGAGACTCCATCTCAATTTAAGAAAAAAAAGCAAACAAACAAACAAAGAAAACTAATTGTTACAGAGTCTCGAATTTTTCCTTCTTCATTGCTTCCCAGTGTATCAGTAAGGTGATGCTTTTAGCCTTTTGTTTACCAAAACTGAATTGACGTGGATAGAAATTTAAATGAGTGAGGCTGAACCCTTGTAGTTAAGGATGGCTGGATGGACACGGCTGTATGTCATTTTCTTCCACACTGGCTGCACTTTGCACCCATGTCCTCCCAGTGGAAGAGCCTTGAGAAGTTTTTGCATGTGGAGTCTCTTTCGTAGCCGGCAGCTCTCTGCCCTCCTCCAGCTCGCCAACTTTTTGGCGTGTCTTATGCAGGGGGCTGCTCTTTGTCAGACCCCTCAAGCCTTTTGGAATATTCCCCTCCCAGAGTTTCATTTCTGTCTGCCTCTCTTTGAATTTCTCCCTCTATTTCTATTCTGCACCCAGGTGAATTTCACCCCAAACATTTATTTGCTTTCCTAACTTAAAGCCTTACACTTTATTTAGAATTATAAATTTATTTAGTTATATGCTTATATGTATATTTATTCAAATTTGTAACTTACTCTGTAAAATGATCTAGGGACAGAGCAGGACTGATCAGGTTATTCACTTTATTTCAAAACTGTCCCATGTCTAAGGACGTACATGGGCCCCTCCGGAACTGCATGCCGCCTTGCCAAAGACCCAGCTGAGTCTCTCCTCCAGCCCAGCGCAGCACCGACTTTCTAGACAGAGGCTGGATACGTGGTCTTAGGAATATTCTGCGTCCCACCATCATGCTCAATAAAACTGTTTTGCTTGTGTCATATTTGACACTAAATGTCATGGACATTTTAAGAGTTATAATTCCTACTTTTTAATCTCACATTTTTTAGTTTATTACAACTTAAAACCTTGTAGAGACTTTACCAGTAAAATTATCACAAAAGATTAGATTTTAGATAAAAGTTTTTAGGAAGGAAGGAACTTGAAAGTAATTCTGGCAGATTTACTGTTGTCTGAAATGTGGCCGCATTTTTCTCTGATTGGTAAAATAGAATAATTTAGCTGCTGGTGTGCAGGCAAAATATTCACCTGTCCAGTCGACTTGTAAAAACTGTGGTTTTAATGATTTTTACTGAATTTATTCGTTATCTTATCTCTGCTACCTCTAGATTTTCCTAGCATTCAAGACCCGGTAATGGTGAATGGTGTATGTGGTGTGTGTGTGTATTTTAACCAGGCTTTAATGTATGAATATATACGCTCAAATGAGAGAAGTTTTATCTAGATTATCTTGTCCCTGTAAAAGCATGTTTTTCTTTATTTACTTATTTTTAATAACTTTAGCTTTTGTTTTAGATTCAGGAGGCAGCTGTACAGGTTTGTTACCTGGGTACGTTGTGTGTTACTGAGGTTCACGAGACGATCCTGTCACCTGTCACCCAAGCACTAGGCAGAGCACACAATAACTAGTGTTCCAGACCTTTCCTCCCCCATTTAGTGGTCCCCAGTATCTACTGTTGCCATCTTTATGACCATGAATGCCCATGATTCAGCTCCCTATTACAAGTGAGAACATGTGGCATTTGGCTTTCTGTTCCTGTTCTCCTCTTAGGATGATGGCCCCCAGCTGCATTTATATTGCTGCAAAGGACATGATTTCATTCTTTTCTTATGGCTGCACAGTATTCCATGGTGTATATGTGCCACATTTTCTTTATTCAGTCTACTGTTGATGGGCACTGAAGTTGATTCCATATCTTTGCTACTGTTAATAGGGCTGCAGTGAATACACATGTGCATATGTCTTTTTGGTAGAACGATTTATTTTCTTTTGGATATATACCCAGGAATGGAATTGCTGGGTTGAATGGTCATTCTGTTTTAAGTTCTTTGAGAAACCTCCAAACGGCTTTCCACAGTGGCTGAACTAATTTACATTCCCATCAACAATGTATAAGCATTCCCTTTCTCCGCAGCCTCTCTAGCGCCTGTTTATTTTTTATTTTTATTTTTTTTACTTTTTAATGATAGCCATTCTGACTGGAGTGAGATGGTATCTCATTGTGGTTTTGATTTGCATTTCTCTAATGATTAGTGATATGATGTTGAGCATTTTTTCATATGTTTGTTGGCTGCACGTATGTCTTTTTTTTTTTTTTTTTTTTTTTTTTTTTTGAGATGGAGTCTTGCTCTGTCACCCAGGCTGGAGTGCAGTGGCACGATCTTGGCTCAAGGCAACCTCTGCCTCCCAGGCTCAAGTGATTCTCCTGCCTCAGTCTCCCAAGTAGCTGGGATTACAGGCACCTGCCACCATGCCTGGCCAATTTTCTTTTGTATTTTAGTAGAGACAGGGTTTCACTACATTGGCCAGGCTTACCTCGAACTCCTGACGTCAAGTAGTCCACCTACCTCATATGTCATCTTTTAGGAAGTGTCTGTTCATGTCCTTTCCCCACTTTTTAATGCAGTTACTTGTTTTTTGCTTGTTCAATTGTTTAAGTTCCTTATAGATTATAGATATTAGAGCTTTGTTGGATGCATAGTTTGTGAATATTTTCTTCCATTCTGTAGGTTGTCTATTTACTCTGTTGATAGTTTCTTTTGCTGTGCAGAAGCTTTCTAGTTTAATTAGGTCCCACTTAACAATTTTTGTTTTTGTTGCAGTTGCTTTTGAGGACTTAGTCATAAATTCTTTCCCAAGGTTGACATCCAGAATGGTGTTTCCTAGGTTTTCCTCTAGGATTCTTATGGTTTGAGGTCTTACATTTAAATCTTTAATTCATCTTGAGTCAATTTTTGTATATGGTAAAAGGTAGAGATTCAGTTTCATTCTTCTGCATATGGCTAGCCAGCTAGCCTGGCACCATTTATTGAATGGGGTTCCCTTTTTTCATTGCTTATTTTTGTTGACTTTGTCAAAGATGATATGGCTGTAGGTGTGCAGCTTTATTTCAGGGTTCTCTGTTCTGTTCTATTGGTCGATATATCTGTTTTTGTACCAGTACCATGCTGTTTTGTTTACTGTAGCCTTATAGCATAGTTTGTGATAATGTGATGTTTCCAGCTTTGATCTTTTTGCTTAGATTTGCTTTAGCTGTTCAGGCTTCTTTTGGTTCCATATAAATTTTAGAATAATTTTTCCTAATTCTTTGAAAAATGAGATTTGTAGCTTGATAGGAAGCATTGAATCTGCAGATTGCACTGGGCAGTATAGCCATATTAATGACATTGATTCTTTTGGTCCATGAGCATGGGAATTTTTTTCATTTGCTTGTGTCATCTATAATTGCTTTTAGCAGTGTTTTGTGTTTCTCCTTGTAGAGATCTTTCACCTCCTTGATTAGATGTATTCCTAGGCATTGTATTTTTGTGTGTGGCTATTGTAAATGGGATTGCATTCTTGATTTGGCTCTCAGCTTGAATGTTACTGGTGTACAGAAATGCTGCTGACTTTTATACATTGATTTTGTATCCTGAAACTTCACTGAAGTTGTTTATTAGTTCCAGGAGCCTTCGGCAGCATCTTTAGAGTTTACTAGGCATAGAATCTCATCATCAGCAAAGAGAGTTAGTTTGACTTTTCTTTTCCTATTTGGATGCCTTTTATTTTTTTCTCTTGCCTGATTTCTCTGGCAAGGACTTCCAGTTAAACATCACACTTTTAAAACACAGAATAGTTGCAAGTAATGAAACATGAGAACTAAAAGTCTTTCCCCAACCTGATTCCTCATATGTACTCCTTCCCCAGGGCTAACTAATCCTTCTGACTTGTTCAAAATCCTTCCAACATGTCTGAATGAAGATTTGAGTGTAGATGCAGATCTAGATGTGGATACTGATGGGCAACACACATGCATGCACATAAACACACGTGTGCTTCTCTTTTCTCACATGGGGAGTGTCATGCTGTATGTCCTTTCTAGCTCAGACTGGACCCGATGTGGTCAGGAACAGTATCAGTGCCCTCTCAAGAGGAAAGGGACTTGCTTGAAGTATGATCCTTTCCTCCTTCCTCCTTTCATGCAGTAAACACTTACTGAGTGATAATACTGTCTTTCTCCTCCAGGGATGTGGCTGGAATGTGTGTTGTAAGTGGGGTGAGCGGGCGCCTGCCCTGGGATGCTGAACAGGAGCTAGAATGTGAGATGTCCCAACAGGAGAACCACTGCAGAGCCGTTCAGGGGACATTGCTGGGGGAGGGAGGGTCCAGCCAGTGCCTGACAGGAGCTCCATGGTTTGCTCTGTGAGTGCTGGTTAAGGGCGGGCATGAGGCTGGCTGTGGGACGGGGACATCCTATGCTAAGGACAGTGGCCCCCATGAGGGCTGGGGCAGGTCAGACCTTTCCCAGCAGGTGTCCTAGGTGGCTGCAGGAAAGAGAGAGGGCAGTGGCCTGGTGTGAGGCTGGAGAGACACAAAGACCAGGCTGTGGACCAAGTGATGGGGTCTAGACTTGATCCTATGACCGAAGGGACACAATTGATGAGCAATGTGTGTGTGTGTGTGTGTGTGTGTGTGTGTGTGAAAGAGAGAGAGAGCGCGCGAGCGCGAGAGAGATGGGACATGGTCTATGTTGTAGGCATTGCTTTGCCTGCAGTGTGGATGATGAACAAGTGAGTGGTAGGCCCCACAGGGGTCAGGAGGACGCGTAGTAGGAAGTGATGGGCGGTGGCTGGGACCAACGTCTGGACCAGGGGTGGCATGGGAAGGAAGGAAGCAGGTAAGACATTGGAAGAGTTGAGGTGGGAGAGGAGTCAAGGGGGTTCAGTGGGCCTGTGTGGTGGGCATGCAGTGGCAGACATGATGAGGAGCCATGCTTGGGAGCACAGACAGGGTCTCTGGCTCCTGGGACCCTGTGGCCTTTTCTCTGTGGCCTGTGTGTGGCTGAGACAGCTACTCTGTGCCCAGGTCCTCCTCGGCTCCCCCTGGGGTGCTGTGGGGATCCCGCCATAGCCACAGGATCAGCCTCCACATCACCTCTTGGCCCAGGTGCTCAGAGACCCAGAGCTTGGTGCTGCCGGCCAGAAGGGGGACTCATGTTCCCAGGACCCTCACCGGCCCGGCTGTGGGCCGGTCCAAACCCATGGGCATGCTGAGCCACTTTCTGCTCTTCTTGGAAGTTCCAGTTCAGATACCACCAATTGTGCTCCGTTATGGTGTTCCTGGCTGTTATCTGCTTCAGGCTTATTGTGTTTGCAGTGTGCACAGATCCGGCAGCGTCCCTACTCCAGAGGTGCATTTGCGTGTAAAGCTCTTAATCATTTAATGAAGCACTGAGGTGCTGGCCATCCCGTGGCTGGCGTGGGCTGCGAGGTGCAGGTGAAGGTGAGTGACCACAGTGCCTGCGAGATGCACTCGTGCTTTCTAACGGGCTGGCCGGGCCTCCCACTGTTCTATGTGTATGTCTATTTTCCATTTTGAGAGGCTTTACTTTTTTCTCTCTTTTAAAAATTAAATAGCGTGTTTGTGCACTATTAAAGATGACGTCTCTTGGGAAGGGCTTTTGAGGAGGAGGAAGAGCAGTGAAGGCCTCGATGATTGCCCATTCGTTTAGTCTGCTATCTGTCCTTGACCCCATCATCCAGCAAGCCCATTGGCTAAGGCTCTGATGGCTGGGTGGGCGGAAAGTCCAGCTAGGGCTGCTGTCCACCCCTAGTGTGTGGCAGTGTGTTAAATCAAAGCTCCCAACTTTCTGAGTTGATGTCCTATGGATAGAAACCTTATCTTCCCTGAGGACTTTGAAGCCAGGCTGCCTGGGTGCAAATCCATCTTCCACCCACTGCTGGTGTGACTCCTCCCACTATATTGCCTGAAATGAGCATACAAGTGATTCTCCTGCCTCAGCCTCCTGAGTAGCTAGGATTACAGGCACACGCCACCATGCCTGGCTAATGTTTGTATTTTTTTTTTTTTTTTTTAAGTAGAGACAGGGTTTTACCATATTGGTTAGGCTGGTCTTGAACTCCTGACCTCGTGATCCACCTGCTTCAGCCTCCCAAAGTGCTGGGATTACAGGCGTGAACCACTGTGCCTAGCCGGTTTATGGTTTCTTTAGAGGTAAGAGATTAGGAGGGGATCCCAGAGCTTGGTCTTTTGGGGATCCCAGCTGCCTCTGAGCCAGGGCTGCTGCTGTTAAGGAGGGCACCGATGCTCAGAGCAAGGGCCACTTCCCACAGCTGCATGGCCAGTCAGAGGTCCAGTGAGGTCCAGGGCCCGGCTCTTCTGATGCTCACCTCTTGAAGGAGCCAGAAACCAGGACACCTCCTTCCAGGCTCGTCCTGACCACTGGCCCACACCTGGTTATGGCAGGCATCCCCACCAGGAGACTAGAACTGGCTTCTTATTCTGATTCCAGTTCTGCCATTTGAGCCTCAGTTTCTCCCTCCTTTAAGTGGGGAAGACAGTAGCAGGGCCAGTTGTGAGCAGATTGGGGCTGGAACAGGTTGGCTGCCTTCATTCTATGCCACCCGAATGGTGGGATTCCTGCTCCAGGGGGTTGGTGAAGCCACGTGGAACACTGAGGGGTGTCGCCTGCGACTTGGGCCTGCTTCGGTGACGTTTGGGAATCCATGGAGACGTTGCCTCCACCCTTGCAGCCAGCATGCTTCCTGCCCGTCACAGCCTCTGCCCTTGCAGCCAGCACGCTTCCTGCCCATCATAGCGTGCTGCCGGCGGCGTAGTGTCCGTTTATTTAAGGCCCACTCGTGCTGGCCCCCGTGCAAAGCACAGACTGCCTGTCCGTCTCAGTGCTTGAGACAAGCAACAGTGGAGCAATGGGGGCTGATCTCATTTTTACAGTCAGGGAAGCAGGACTCAGAGAGGGGAAGCAACTTGCCCAAGGTCAGGACAGGGCCTGGTGGATTGAACACAACCCCGCACCGTGAGCCTTGAACCATGGCTCCTGGCCAAGAGCCTGTGTCCGTCCACCTGTTTGACTCCAGCTGGAACACCCAGATTTGACTCTCCTGCCTTTTCTTCAGTCCCTTTTTACAGTTTAGGAGAAGTTTAATTTCACATCTTTGGTGAGAAAATATACATATCTCCTCACACATGCGGCTAATCCCCCACCCTTCACTCACTCCAAAGCAAGTTTTCTTGTCCTTTCATCGAAGGTCACATATAAAATAATAAATATACTTCTCTTAAGAGTATGTGAACTCTGTCATCTGAAATATTTGAAAAATGACTTTTGAATTTTTATGGTTTCTATGGCAAAAAAAATTGCTGAAACAAAAACTCTACTAAATTTTACAGAACTGGAGGTTTGGATCTGCAAATGTGATCTCTCAATACCCATGGGGTCTGTGAAAGTCCCCGTTCGTGGCACTTCCTTCGGGATGAAGTAGGTGGGATTTCTTCCTGGGTCACTCCTAGGCTTCCAGAAGGCGCCCAAACAGGTGTTCCCAACAGGGGCCCTAAGCGCCCACTCCATCCACATGGGGCCAGAATCTGCCTCTCTCCTGAGCACCTGTCATGGTGCTTGTAATGCACCATCCCTGGGGGGATTGAAAGGTGAATCCCTGCAGTCATTTTCTGGGTTCTGTGGCTCAGATGAGGTGTCCCCTGAGAATGATGGCAGAAGCTTGTCATCACCTCCCTCACTGTCCCCAAACCGCAACGCTTCCAGTCTACCCAGAGAAGCCTGGTGCGGACATCAGTCAGTGTTGGATGCCATGGTTTGTCCAGAAGTGGGTGAAGCCCCCCCCCGCCCCAGTATCTGTGCTGACTGGAGCAGAGGACGCATGTGCCTGCTAGGGTGCACTGGCCAATCACTTCCCTCCCCCTCACCCCAAATCACAGTGAGGAGTTCAGAGGGGAGTGTGGGGCGCACATGAATCAATACCGCGTGTACACGGACCAGGTCCTGGCCTGTCTCTGCATCTATAGATCCACATGCGTGTCAGATCCATGTCTACGTATCTATGCATCTCTGCATGTTCCAGACCCTGTCTCTACATGGGTACGATGTCCCTGGGGTGCTGGAAGCCTCTGGCAGCAGAGTCTGCTCCTCAGATGCCACCTGGCGTGCCCCACACCCCAGTCATTCTTGCTTTGCTCCCTGGAGACTCCATTCCTCCAGTCACAGGCATTTGGCCCTAGGGGCACGGCTGGCACAGCATAAGGTGAGGGAGGTGCGTGGTGCGCACAGGTTAGAGGCGTTTACCCTCGGGACCATGCAAGTGCAGCGGCAGAGCCCTCGTGGGCCCCTGAGCACAGGCACTTCTTTGCGATTTGCTCTCAGGGTGCCTCCATTTCCTCATCCCAGTCTACGTGATTCTCAGGTGAGTCTAGCTCACAGCAAAGAGATCACTGTTCACTGTTAAATTTTAAACTGTGGTCATTAAATGCTATTGCACAGGCAGTATCTAAAGACTGATATCTAAAAACATCTGATTTTCAAAAGCCAGAGTTTGAGAGAGAAAAGATTTGGAAAGAATTCTACGGACGTGGCTTTGCCTGCGGAAGGTCAGAGAATGAGGGTCCAGGACAGAATCACACCCTGACTACAGCTTAGGGAATCCTTGGTGACTCTCTGGCTGCACCAAAGATCAAAGAGGGCCTGGAAGGAGAAAGGTGACAGGAGGGGATTGGCCCGAGCCCAGGTGTAGTAAGCCCATGGAGGCCCTGGGTAAGGGCTCAGGGCTGCAGAGAAGGGTCCGGTCTCCTGGGGTGGGTGCAGCCTCACCGAGAAGCCTACAGTGGCCCAGCCCTGGAGGGGCAGTGAAGGATGGTGACCAAAGAAGGCCCCAGGGCAGCTGCTGACCTGCCTTGACACACAGGATTCTGGAGCCCCAAGGGGGTTGTGGAAGAGCCGCATGGGCCACAGAGAACCAAGGATTCTGAGATGGGCTAAGGGGCATAGGCACGGACCACCGGCCTCAGGCGGGGATGGGGTGAGGGCTGTCAGCAAGGGTGAGGGGCATCCCGGGGCAAACGCCAGTGGAAGACCCAGGCCAGCTCAGGACTGGCTGTAGACAACTGGAAGGACAACGTGGAAGATTCTGAAGCCTGGATAGCCTCCTGGGAGAAGGAGATGCGTTCCAGCGACCACCTTGAAGTCTGGAGAGGACCAAGTGACCTTTGATGGGTGAGATGAAGTTTCGTGCTATTTGTGCAAATGCGGGTCAGTGGAATATGTGACTTTTCAGTTACGGAGAAAGAAAATCAAGGCATCCCACCGATTTCAGGTACTGCGGCTCTGATACTTGTACCTGCTACACTTTGCAAGGAGGTTGGCAAACAATCTTCCATCTGCTCCTGTGTGTCTCGCTGTCGGGAATGGGAAGGGAGGCATTCCTAGGGCTGTTGGCTTTGTGGGTTCCCACTGTCCCACTCCAACATTAGGTCTCGCAGGAGCTGGGATGCAGACCCTGGTCTAAGGCTCATCCAGGAGACCTGTGACGATGCATTTATTTTCTAGCGATCCTCCCTGCAGAGAATGAGCTCCTGAAAGGTGGCCCATGGCATTCTGGGAAGAGACTGTTGGGTAGGGAAGGTCCAGGGTTGGGGGTGAGTCTTGGGGTGGGCAGGAAGGAGGCCTGGCTCATCTGGATCAGCATCTGGTCAGGAAGCAGGGCTGGGGACAGGCAGGTGTTTTCCCATGAGCAGTTTGCATGGAGATGCCTTTCCTGCCCCCAAGAGTGCAGGTGCCGATGTCTGTGTACGTGCTGTGCACGTGGGGGTGCAGACTTGGCACAGCCCTGCACAGTCACTGGATGGGCAGCGGCAGACGTGGAACAGGTCAAACTGCCCTTTGTCTGCAGACTGGGCAGACCTGAGGGACGTGGGGAGAATCAGGCAGGACTCACTGCTGCAGGGCTTCCAGTCACTTTGGGAACCCAAAGGAGCTTCCAGTGCTGAGCCCACTGCAGGCCGTGTGCGGGCAGGGCAGGGACTGAGAGCAGGGGCTTTCCACCAGGACTTCTGCCTGCTGCAATGAGACGGGGCCAGGCAGGCATGAAGCGGAGGCCAGGGGGCTGTGCCAACCTGGAAAAAGTACACATGTAGAAAGTACATGAAGAACGTGATTACCTACAACAGCCCCAGCCAAGCACAGCTGTTCACATTGGGCCCATTTTCTAGGAGTGTGTCTAAGTGGGTGTGAATGGCTGTGTTCAGACTGCATACTCTTTGTATTGTCCCATTTGTCAATGAAAAGTAAGTCCTTCACTTTGGACTGGAAGTCCAACTTTTTTTTTTTTTTTTTTTTTTTGAGGCAGAGTCTTGCTCTGTTGCCCAGGTTGGAGGGCGGTGGTGCAGTCTCGGCTCACGGCAACCTCCACCTCCCAGGTTCAAGTAATTGATTTTCCTGCCTCGGCCTCCAGAGTAGCTGGGATTAGGGGCACCCACCACCATGCCTGGCTAATTTTTTTTGTACTTTTAGTAGAGATGGGGTTTCACAATGTCGGCCAAGCTCGTCTTAAACTTCTGACCTCAAGTGATCCATCTGCCTTGGCCTCCCAAAGTACTGGGATTACAGGCGTGAGCCACCACGCCCGGCCTAGAAGTCCAACTTTTTACCCTTTTGTCCAGACAAGACCTAGTCTTTTTTAGGGGGAGGTTCTGATTAGTGAGTGTAGATTTGCACTTGGTACTGAGGCCTGGTCATGTTTTTAAA
This sequence comes from Homo sapiens, assembly GCF_000001405.40. NCBI lineage: Eukaryota > Metazoa > Chordata > Mammalia > Primates > Hominidae > Homo > Homo sapiens. The sequence continues at coordinate 111,474,061 of NC_000013.11, forward strand.
GTGTTTCATTGATAAGCTACGGGTGCATGAAAATGTCTTATAATCACACCAGTGTTTGCACCTTAATGTTGTCGTGGGGTGAAACAAGGCTCTATCCATTCACGCTTGGACCACAAGGTCACCTGTGCTTGTTCCCTGCAACTTTGATGTGGGGCTGGTAGGAGACCTCCTGCTATGGGACAGGGGCCAATTCGGGGAGTGTCGAGGTCCCCCTCCGCCAGAGGGAAGCTGCAGCCCCAGTGAGGGGTCAGGAAACCCCGAGTGCTCGGGAACAAGGCTCCAGGGAGTCACTGTCCCAAGCTGGGGAGTTTTCTAAAGGTGTTCGTTGTTGTGGATGGAAGCGACGTTGCTGCCGGACTGGGACGCAGGTGCCAGGGGATACAAGCGAGTTCCGGCTTCACCCACTTTCTTGGTGCCTGTTAGGGAGGCGGGAGCTGTGAGTGTCCTGGAACCCTGCATTTCTTCTCTTGGCTTCCTTTTTATTCTAGAGCTCATGGTCTCTGATGGAGGCTGATTAAATCCCTGGATCTGGTATTTCTAAAGAGTGAGGTTTCTTGTCTTGCCACCAGATGTCAGTAAAATCCCTCTTAAAATAAATGTGCTGCTGGGCAGGTGGATCCAGAGAAGGGAGTCCTGTCTAGGATTTGAGGCTTGGCTGAGGTGCCGGAGAAGGCTGTGGTCCTGTGTGCTGATATGGGCAGCTCTGGTCCCCAGGCTCCTTGGGGAGGCCTGACTCTGAAAGCTCCCCCAACTTGCCTGCCTTGCAATCCCAACTCTGCTGGCACCCTCGCTTGTGCAGGAGGCCACTGCAGTGCAGGCGTGGGACGCGGAGCTGCTGCTGAGGGACCGGGGAGGGGCCCCACGCTGGGGTCTCAGCACTCAGGTTCCTCTGCTTCCGGCAACACCTCGGGCTCCATCTGTGCAGGATTTGTTGCAGGAACAGGGGAGGCTTTACAGGGCTTTGTTCAGCGTGGTTCTGCCTGAGGGCGATGACATTTTTATTTATTTTAATTTATTTTTTTGACACGGAGTCTCGCTCTGTTGCACAGGCTGGAGTACAGTGGTGCGATCTCAGCTCACTGCAACCTCCGCCTCCCGGGTTCAAGTGATTTTCCTGCCTCAGCCTCCTGAGTAGCTGGAGGCTACTCAGACGTGCGCCACCACGCCCAGCTAATTTTTGTATTTTTAATAGAGACAGGGTTTCACCATGTTGGTCAGGCTGGTCTCGAACTCCTGACCTTGTGATCCGCCCGCCTCAGCATCTCAAAGTGCTGGGATTACAGGTGTGAGCCACCACTCCCAGCCAACATTTGTTAATATAACTGCAGAGCCACATCGCGTCCACACCAGGGATGCTGTCGGGGTGACTCTCCATAGGCTGGAGAGGACCCCAGGAGACAGGGGAGGGATGGTGCTGACGGAGGTAGCAGAGGGCCCCGGGTGCAATCCCTATAATTCCCATGCTTTGCCACTTTACCTTAGAAATAGGGACCATCTCTGGATTGTATTTATTGCTCATGAAACAGTTTCACGCCTCTTTTCCACTTGTTCCAGCAGAAGCGTGTGGGTGGCACTGATTCCATTAACGTGTTGTCATCTTATTTACTGGGTTGATACTGATTCCAGAAGCTCTGGGCTGAGAGTGGCCCAGGGTGGGCCTAGCTGTCCTGCTGGGGGCTGGGAGGGCGGCGAGGTGACTGGATGTGCAGGCTTTAGGTAGAGCTGCACTTAAGTCCCAGCCACACTCGTGATTCCTGGATCACCCTGGGAAGTGTCCTGATCGTCCATCTTGCTCCTGTATCTCTAGAATGGCAGCAGTAATGCCTCTGCCATCAATATTTTGAAGTTTAAACAGATACTATCTGAGCTGTAAGAGCAAGAAGTCATGGTGAGCTCTGCAGAAGAGTGAGGAGGGACAGGAGCTAAGAAAGGGCCGAGCCAGCCCTGTAGGCCTCCCACGGGCTTGGAGGGCCCTTGTCTTAGTGGACAGATGAATTGCTTGGGTGATGATGAGCTGGCTGGGGGTTTGGTGGGCCCCTGTCTTAGTGGACAGATGAATCTGCTTGTGTGAACATGAACTGACTGGGGTATCTTTACATGAATAAAGAGCAGATTCGCCAGGAAGTGGAGAGCCTTGAACCAAGGCTTCACGGAATGTGGACACAGAGAGAAGGTGGGACTGCCAAGGCCTTTCCTGAGGCCCCCGCACCTGGCCCAGTGGCTATCAGGTGGCATTCACCTTTGCAGAGCGTGAGAAGGCACGGATGCTGCTGGCAGGCCTGGGCATGGTGGCCCAGCAGCCAGGGCTATGGACAGGAATTCCAGGAGCATGGCCGCTTCCTGGTGCCAGGGGCCTGCTCACCTAGGAGGCCTCTCCCAGGCATCAGATTAGCTTCACAAAGAAGGGAGGCTTAGTGACACCCTGACTCATCTCCCTGAAATAAGAAAACTAACTGCCTAATTCGAAGGCCAAGTCAAACCCTGAAATAGTCCTGGAACTGGAGGGTTATTTTAGGGATAATATAACCACACCAAAAAAATTCCAATGCTCGTTCCTCCTGCCTCTTGCTTTACTATTTCAGATTTTCAGAGTGTTTTTTGTTTTTTTGTTATTTTGGGGGAAAGAAAATCGTTGTACCTCTGCTATTTTTTCCTAAAGTTACATTAAAACCCAGATGGATGCTTTCTTTTCTTCCGTTCGGTGGTGGTGGTGGGGCATTCCTCTAAGATAAGAAGCAATCTTCCCTTCCGGGGTTGTTGAGTCTGGGACTCCTGCTCCTGGGTCATGTGGTTTGGCTCCGTGTCCCCTCCCAAATCTCAGAGCTGTGATTCCGGTGTTGGGGGCAGGACCTGGTGGGAGGTGATGGGATCCTGGGGCCAGATTTCACCCTTGCTGTTCTGGTGATAGTGAGTGAGTTCTCAGGAGATCTGGTTGTTTAAAAGTGTACCGCACCTCCCCCTTCACTCTATTCCTCTTGCTCCGGCCACGTAGGACCTGCCAGCTTCCCCTTCGCCTCCCGCCATGATTGAAAGTTTCTTGAGGCCTCCCCAACCATGCCTCCTGTACGCCCTGTGGAACCAAGAGCCAACTGAACCTCTTTTCAGTGACCCAGTCTCAGGTGTTTCTTTACAGCAGTGTGAGCATGGACTCATACATAGGATCTTTTTTTCCAGCCCTGACTGTGAGAGACTTGCTGGGGTCTGGGCTTGAGGTTCACAGGTTTCTCCTGGGGTGGCTGGGGTGGGGTGACAGCCAGGCTCTGGGCTCAAGCACCTGACACACCTGGCCAATGGGACCACATTCCCTAGAAAGGGGCCATGGGAGAAGCTGGACATCCACCTGCCAGGGTGAGCCAAAGGGCAGGAAGACTGACTGACATTTCAGAGCACGATTCACCAGGAAGCTGATGTGCTAGCTGTCTTCATCTTTGAAGAGTTCAGGAAGTGTTGGAAAAACCAGCTGCTTCTAGAAATTTCTCTCGTATTCTATTTCCTGACATAGAGATTGCCCATTTTTGGTTCCATGGGAGTGTGTATGTCTCTTAGGCCTCAGGCTGGGTTGCAATTCCCAACTAACTGAGACCACTTCCATTTCAGAGAGGGAGGCTCTGTGTGCACCATTCGAATTGTCTTGCAGAAGGATTTATTTTAGATTCTGATTAAAAAAACAAAACCTGAAACAAAACAAAACCTCACTTGCCTGTCATTTTCTGGAAAGTTATCTTCTCCATTCTTAATTTATTTCCTTACGACAAATGTTATTTATTTTCATTATTAAAAATTTAGACTACACATATGAGGTAAAACACAAAAATAAAAATTCATTTTTCCTGGTGATAACTGCTTTTGTGGGCCATCTTTTAAGACTTTTTTCTATGTGCGTATTTTTTTTTACAGTAGTGATATACTTGTCAGTATTTTTTAAAGGCAGGGATAATGGTGTACAATGAGAAAAATTTAGCAAATTCTACATACAGGTTTTTTTGTTTTTTATAAAAAGTAAATGGAAATAGACTAAAATCACATAGAACTAAGTGGCCGTTCTTCAAATGATTCAACATGGAGTTACCATAGGACCAGCAAGTCCGTCCCTAGGCACATGTGAAATGGAAACTCAAGAGAAATAAAAATGCACGTCCACACATCAACGCGTGCATAAATGTTCACAGCCACATCACTCAGTTGCCGAAAGACGAGAACAACCTGAGTGTCCGCCCCCTGAGGATGGGTAGACAACTGTGCTGTATCCACGTGGTGGAACGCTATTTGGCCTCAAAAAGGAATAAAGTGCTGGTACAGGCTGCATGGAGGAAGCTTGAAAACGTTATATAGTAAGTGAAAGATGTGAGTCACAAATCACTACCTAGTATATGATTCTGTTTCTATAGAATTTCCAGGCCGGGCATGGTGGCTCATGCCTGTAATCCCAACACCTTAGGAGGCTGAGGCAGGCAGATCACTTCAGGTCAGGAGTTTGAGACCAGGCTGGCCAACATGGCGAAACCTTGTCTCTACTAAAAATATAAAAATTAGCCGGGCATGGTGGTGTGTGCCTGTAAATCCCAGCTACTCAGAAGGTTGAGGCAGGAGAATCACTTGAACCCGGGAGGTGGAGGTTGCAGTGAGCCGAGATTGTGCCACTGCACTGTAGCCTGTGTGACGAGCAAGACTCTGTCTCAAAAAAAAAAAAAAAAAAAATCCAGAATGGAAAAATCCATAGGGACAAAAATCTATAAGACAGATTAGTGATGGCTTTGAACCTGAGGGCAAGGGCAGAAGGGGGCTAGAGGGTGACAGCTGAAGGCACAGAATTCCTCTTTGTGGTGATGGAAATGTTCGAAAATGCACTGTGGTGAAGGTTGCACGTACCTGTGAATATATTTAAAAACCATTAAATTGTACACTTTTAATGAGAGAATTAATGGTATGTGAGTTATATTCCAGCTAAGCTGTTGGAGGAGAAATGTGAGGAACCCTAGACTTGGGAATGTGAAAGGATTTTAGCAACTGTGTAGCTGGGAACCTCTGTATTTGACCATGTGATGTATTAGAGAGCCCCAAACCCCTTACTAAACAAGGAGAAATATTGCACAAAATGCAGCAGACATTTTAAATGGGTAGTTCAATTCGCAAGAAAGTAGGAAAAATCTCCAAGGGCTCTGAGACGAAGAAGAAAATGAAAATCGGAGTGGTCTATAAATAAGTGGTATTTTGGCAGCCAGGGTGGGGCAGGCGGCATTGTGGGTCTCATGGTCTCAGTCACCCAGAGACCTGTGTTTTGGTCCTCCCCAAATAAACAAGTGGAATATTGAAAGCAATGTCACTTCCCCCCCACCATAAAGCCAGGGTCCTTGCTAAAAGTTCCATTCTTGGTAAAAGCACATTCTAGAAATCATCTCTGCACTGGTGCTTGGTGGCCAGGAGGCTGGACCGCAGGAGAGGATGGTGGCGTTTGGATTCCAGCCCCAGCTCCGCTCCTGCCCTGGCTGGACCGTGCTGCCAGCACAGCCTGCGGACCCCCCGAAGAGAAGTCACCCAGGCCGTCCCAGGACGGGGCATCCCCCTCTGAGGCCCTGCAGACGCAGGCCCTAGACATGCCTGGAGGCCGCACCTCACAGGTTTCCCGCAGATCGAATCCTGCTGAAGAGGAGCTCATCCTCCCCAGATGTGAAGCCCAAGAGGAACCAACTCACCCAGAATTTGCTGAGGAAGCTGGCGTGCCGGTTCTCTTCATTTCTGAGAAATTCCAGAAGTGCTGGGTAAACCAGTGGCTTCTAAAATGTTCTGCCAAGTCTTCCATGTCCTGACGCAGAGATTGCCCATTTTCAGCGCTGAGGGGAACTCTTGTCAGGTGCGTCAAATAGGAGGAGGATGCAGGATCGTCACGTAACAGAGCCCAGAGAGAGGCAACAAGACCCAAATCTTCCCAAGAGGAAACTGAAACAGAGGTCCATGAAAACCACTGGGAAGAAGGTACGGGAAGCTTTGAAGAAGAACCAGGCAGAGCTTCCAGCAACTAGAAACACGACTTCAATCAAAACATAAGTGACGGGGTTAGAGGGGAATTGTGTCTAGCTGAAGGGAGAATCTGCTGGCATTTGAAGAAATTGCTCATGGTGCGGAGAAGCCTGGTGGAGACGGGAACTAGGAAGGGTGGCTACAGACCTGCAGGCCAGGGCGCCGTGTCCCCATGTCCCCATGTGTGTCCCTTACCCTGCACACGCGGTAGCACATGAGGCTCAGGGAGATGCTAGGGGTACCCTGGGTGGGCAGGGTGAGCCACACGTGCCCAGTTTGGAGCTTCTGAGGTCCGGTGCTCCCATCAGGAGACCAGACCCCTGTCTGTGAAACAGCAGCAAAACCTCATCGCAGGGGCTGACATCTGAGAAGCCTCCTAGGAGGCCCCCCAACTCCTTTCGAAGGGCAGGAGCACCTCTGCTCTTCTCCTTCCAAACCAACAGGCTAGTGTGGGCAGAGCCTGCACCATGAGAAAAGGAGGGGACTGACTTGTGTTTGGTAAAGAGATTACTCAGATGCATCACTTTTAGAGGATTTGCACAAAATGATGTAATAACATGTCAGCAGGGGCAGTTGGTGCTTGTCGTCAGAAGTGAAGACGATGACGGTGGTGGCCATTCCGGGCGGTGTCCATCCTGCTGCCCTGTCCGGCAGCACAGCATCCTTCTCCCATCCTGTGGGCACCTTTCTGGTATTTTGCCCCCTCCTTCTTCTGGCTCCCCATTCCTTCCTCGGCCTTTTGCAGCCTGGTTTATGAGACTCAACCAGGAGGAGAAAGCATTCTCTGAAAGTACCTTTGGATTAGAATGGGACCGCCAGGGAGAGAAGCCCAGACGGCAGGAAGTGGATGTAGGAAAGTCTTCTGGGGGGGCTCTCCTGGGATGAGGTTCACAGGGACTGTGAGTGAAGAAAGTACATGAAGAACGTGATTACCTACAACAGCCCCAGCCAAGCACAGCTGTTCACGTTGGGCCCATTTTCTAGGAGTGTGTCTAAGTGGGTGTGAAAGGAGCTGGCTTCACTCACAGACGGCCCCCGTTGCCCAGCTGCCGGGGAACATGCGCATGTGGTGAGGGTGGGCGCTGGCCAGCTAGGTGGGGATGAGTGATAGAGTCTGTAAACACGGTCGCAGGAGAGGGCCGGCTTGGCTCATTGTAAGGCAGATCTGGAGGCCCTTCCCAGCTGAGCAAACACCCACTGGGGACATTGCTGGTGCTGAAACCCCAGGAGGAACCAGAGTAAACATGATGGCCAGTTATTAAAATATGAAGTCACATCATCATTTAGGATTACGCTTCAGCATCCCCGAGTGGTGTCTGGAAATAGAGATGGTGACTGTTGGTAGCAACGTTCTCAGGTTGCTTTTGAAGCTGTGTCTGCACGGAGTTTCAGGTGCAGGCTTGGAAACAAATTAGAATCTGTCTCGGTGGGAGTGAGTAGCTATGGGTTCTATTTTATGAACACTTTCCAGGGCAGCCATTTTATACCAGCCCAAAGCAATTACAGCTGAAGAGAGAAACTTTCCAAAGGACCTCTCCCAGGATGTCAGTTACCTCATGTCATAATTAAATCTTTGCATATTTCAAACCTTGACTTTCTGTGCCCAGATCAGCACGACTTGAGTGCTTCCATGAGAAACTATTTTGCATTTTTCCTTTTGTTTAGCTGTGTGGAAATTTGAGTTCTGTAAAATGCTTATTATAAACTGGGACTTCATTTCTAAAAACTTGAAATACGCTTTCTAAAATCTCCTGCAGTTAGGCAGTTAGTAATTTTTTTTTTTTTTTTTCTGAGAAGAGTTTCGCTCTTGTTGCCCAGGCTGGAGTGCAGTGGTGCGATCTTGGCTGACTGCAACCTTTTGCCTCCCGGGTTCAAGCAGTTCTCCTGCCTCAGCCTCCCAAGTAGCTGACATTACAGGTGCCTGCCACCATGCCCGGCTAATTTTTATATTTTTAGTAAAGATGGGGTTTCACCATGTTGGCCGGGCTGGTCTTGAACTCCTGACCTCAAGTGATCCACCCGCCTCAGCCTCCCAAAGTGCTGGGATTGCAGATGTGAGCCACCGTGCCTGGCCACGTTAGTCATTCTTTTTGTGTCAATCAAATGTTACAGAAAATGTACAAGATTTTAAACAATCAGAAATCTGTAATGCTTTGTGTTTCCTGTGGCACTGGGGCTGGCAGCACATCACTGGCTCTTAGGTTGCAACAGTGACTCCTACCTCGGCCAGGGCGGGGTGGTGACGCTGGTGCTGGAGGCCAGCTCTCAGCTTGGGTTCCCCAGAACCGTGCCCATGAGGAGCCACATCCAAATGTCATGACTTGCCACAGACTCACCTTCCTGTTACCCATGGCAGGGTGTTGTAGGAGAATTAAATAAGATACTCCAAGAGCTGTGCCTACTAAGATCCCCCTGAAATTGGGCAATAAATCTTAGCAATTAATTAGTAATGGATTGGCACTAGGAAATCATAAGATTTAGGATCTAGACTCAGACCCTTGGGTTATTACTGCCTGATATGTAACAGGGGAGTGAGGAGGTCATTTCAGATGGGTAGCACCTGAACCCTTATGTCCTTGTTAGGGAAAAGATGGTAACCATTCAATGCACATTGAAGGCCAGAAGTGGAGAGTAGACTTCCTAAACAAAGGCGAGCATGATGACGCAGAGGTTGCTATCATCCAGCATGGCCTTCATCCACCATGCTGCTCCCTGGCACATTGGCCTTTCCCTATGGAGACACCATCCTGGAACCCTGGGCCAGGCTGCACAAGTTCGCACCCATCACAGACCTTCTCTAAGCCTGTAAGAGGGGAGGGACACATGCCCCCACCATCATGAGAGTTGGGTCGGGGGCTGTGTGCGGACCTTGGGGCAAGGAGCTGGCTGAGCAGGTGTGAGTCTGCAGCTCCCGGGGCCAGGCTCAGCCGCTATGCACCTCGCTCGGTGCAGGGGGGTGTGACTCAGCAGGAGTGCGTTGCTTTGGGACTTTATTTTCAGGAGAAGCTTCCAGGGGGGAAGCCCAGAGTAGTGGGTGAAGGAGCTGAAGAAAGGTGGGTTTTGGTGACTGCTACGGAGAGGATGAAAGGGGGCTGGAGACACCCACAGGTCTGTTACTCAGGGAGCATTAGGAGGTGGATTGTGTCCACAGAAGTGCAGGGAAGATGAGGAGCACGTGGGGCCCCTGGAGCTGGTGAGAGGAAGGGACCAGAGTCTCCCTTGCACCCCAGAAGAAGCCAGCCCACCTGGATGTTGGCCTTCTTTGTCCAGAACTGGGAGGGAACACACGTCTGTTGCTGCGAGCCACCTGGCCTGTGGCCTTTGTGACAGCAGCCCCGGGAGACTAATGGGAGGCCCTGCTCTGCTCTCGGCACAGCTGCTGGGGTCCTGCTTCCTCTCTGAGCCCTGACAGGAGTGGCCCGGGAAAGGCTTGGGGCGCTGGCCTGGGGAAGGCTTGGGGTGTGGTATCCGGGAGCAGGTCCCAGGTGTGCATAGGACTTGCTCAGCTCTTGGCTTTCTGCGTCTCTTCAGGAAGCTTTGTTATGTTGCATGCAATGTGCCCAGCACATAGTAGGTCTCCACATGAAGAATGTCACAGCACTGGGCCACCTGCAGGCCATATGTCACCGATGAAGAAACTCCTGAGTTATTTTATGTTTTCTTTTCTCTATATAAGTATATTGCACACGTGGCCTGGCCACACACATGTGCTCCTGGCCATGTGGGTCAAGTGGTCATCCTGTTAGACTGTGCAGCCCTACCCAGTGCAAAGCCCAACCCAACTGCTAAAGGCTCAATGACTTCACGGGCATTCATGATCCACGGAGTCCGGGATAATTAAATATTCAGCCCCCGACCCCATGGACATGTGGACCATTAGACACATTTCCCATGAACGCTTCTGTGTGAGGCACAGAGAAGCCACAAACCCACCTCCTGCTCTGGGAGCTTAGGATCAAGTTGCAAAGGTCACACGTCTATAGATATTTGAAGCTAGAAGGGTTGAAAGAAGGAAGGGATTACTTCTGCTGGGAAATCTGGAGGTAGGAAGTGAACAAGCTTGGGGCGGGGGTAGAGGAGGACGGGCAGTGTCTTGTTGAGGCTGTCGGTCGGGGAGGGCTGGCTAGCACCTGACTGCAGTGGTCCTTGTTCAGCTGCTGAGAGTAGGAGGCCCGCAGGGCCTGCGCCCGGCCTAAGAGGCCTTGTGCACGATGGCTGCCCAGGTCTGGGCAAAGGAATTGTTTGGGAGATACTCTGTGTTTTGTCCAGACATGAGACCAGGAGCAGTGGTGATCAGAGGCTGCCCTCTGACTCCTGGTGCTCAGGAGCTGGTGCCTGGAGTATGGAGCGCACCCAGGAGACGTTTGCCAAATGCATGAGCTTCATGTGACACCTGCTGTGCGGAAATGGACACACAGGCGGCAGCTGCGCTGCGGACACATATTCCTTGTCTCCAGCAGCTCAGCAGAAGCTCCTGCTCTTCCTGCTTGTGGCCACCTTCCCATGAGCAAGCAGACCTGAGATCTGCTCACCCGGCTCCCCAGGGCGTTGCTTTGGTGGTCTTTCTGCCCCCCCTCACCCCCCGCAGCATGTCTCTGCTTCCATAGTTGTTACTTTGAAACTGCTCTGCCTGGCCCTGGCTGGGGGCAGTCTGCGGGCCTGAGAAGGGCTTTGTCTCAGGGGAGGCATCCAACTGTTCCCAAGCAGGCAGTACCCGGCTGGCTGGAGAGCTATTCACGGCCGCAGGGTGAAAGGGGCTGCTTGCCATGAGCAGTCCGACAGGGCTAATGGGGTATTTTTCCCTGAACTATTACCCCATCAGTTTACCACCTGCCTTGTTACTAGGCTGCGGGCTATTTACATGGTCAGCTGATAAGTGATAGGTAAGCATGTTAATTGAAATCTTGGGGGAGAAAACCTGATGTTTCAAAGATCCCAGTGTTGGGGGGATGGAGCATGTGTATTGCCAGTAGGCATTTATTTTCTGTGTTGGGGTCTGGTGGGGACAGAGATGGTGGCATGTTCATGGGGCTTCCACTTCAGAATACAAATCCCGCTGACAAAGAAGAAGGCAGGGGCTGACCTCGCCGGGGAGCATGTGCAGGAGCAGGCACGTGTGTTATGTTTGTGGGTAACAATGTCCTGGCAAAGACACCACGCAACAAGATGTCCGCAAGCCCACTGTCCCATCTCAGTGTCTCTGAATTTGCTCTTTAAATATTTTTGAAGACCTACCGTGTGGTTGGATTGTGTTAAAGGTTATTTCTTTTTGTAAATAAGTTAGCATTGGGAATTTGTTATTTACAAAGGAACCAGTAATAATTCTTTTTATGTAATGAATCCTTATCTCCTGATTTATCTGATTTCAAAGTTCAGGTTTTTAGCAGGTTGGATATTTATTTCAATGTCAACTTCTCCTCAAGCCCCATGGACATTCTACCAAGAGGTAGTAGTTATTTTCAGAATCCAAAAATACATATATACAATGCAAGAAGTTTAAGAATGAGTGAACACTAGAGTTAGGAAACGGAGGCTTTCATGGAAACAGAATTCATCCTCGTGGCTCGTGGCATTCCGATCACAAGTTAAACTATTTGAAATGATGGCTTAATAGGCACCCCTCGCAGTGTGGGGGAGATAATGAGTGTAGAGTGCTCGACTTCTCACTGCCTGACTGCTTCGTGTTGAAATTAGTAAATGTACTATCATAGGAAAATGGATTTTTGAATTTAATTTTCATTCTTTCCACATTCCTATGCCCAAAAGATAGGGAAGAGACAGCATTCTCGAGAGTCATGTTTTAAAGTCATCCAGGTGGGCTCCAAATTAAAGTGTCCTGCTGCCTTTGGCGAGTGGCAAGGGACAGGCGTGGGGAGCTAAACACAGCCTGGATGGAGACTGAGCGGAGCCTGCCGGCATTCGCTGGGGGAGTCAAGTGCGGGATGGGCGGCTTATCACGGACCATGAGGGCATCTCAGAGGACACAAGACGGCCATATGATCACCCGGCATGGGGTGTCTGGGGGTCCATGCTGGAAGCAGACAGCATAAGGGGACACCCACCCTGAGACGCTCCCTCTGCACCCCTTCAAGGTTGGGCTTGGGTACCAAGGACACTCCAGGTTTACAGTGGGCGACTTGAGTTTACAGGATGAGTCCTGTTAGTGCAGAGAGTGGCCCCTGATCTTAGTTGATCTGCCACCAAGTTTTGCTAATTATAGAAGTGTATGTTTGTGTGTTTCTGGGGTATGACTTGCCTTATCCCAGCCCCAAGTGCCTTTTTCAGGAGTTGCTGAAGAGCTCTCCTCACAGTCACCCTGCTTCTGTCCAGCCTTTTCTGCAAGGTCACTGAGAACAACGTCTCCGCTGTGCCTCTGCCCAGGCCCGTGCCTGGCTTGCTTCGCCAGGGCCAAGTCAAACTTTGAGGCCTCCCAGGGAGACCCGTGTCAGTCTTGGCCTCCAGAAGCTACTGCCCACAGCTGGGCTCTGTGAGCCCTGAGCATCTGGCCTGGCTTCCTCCTGCCCCCAGCACCGTCCCTCCTCCCAGTCCAGCTCCCAGCCCGCTTCTGCTAGGAAACCCGGTTTCCTAACACACCACTCACAACAGCTCATGCCCTGTCTCTGTCAGATCCCTGTGGGGCAAGTGCCTTCAGCTCGGCCACTTCCTAAAGCTCAGTTTCCTCATCAGTAAGAGAGAGCACTGCTGGCTTTCAGGGAATTCTCGTGGGAGTAAAGTAAAAGTTAAACTTATTTTTATAAATAAAAACTACAGTTAGCAGTTGGAGTTTACAGAGCTCCTGCTGTGACCCAGGCACGACTCTTGGTGTTGGGGATCCACTGTGAACTAACGAAGTGAACTCAGGAAGGTAACCCTGGAAACCACCGCATGCACCCTCCCTGAGGGGATTCACATCCCATTGCTGCATCCACCCCACTGGGCCTGAACTGGGGGACCAGGACCCCCACAACTGCTTGGGTGAAACTCAGAGGCGCCTTGCATTTTCAGAAGGCCACTTTACTAGAAGTGACATCTCCAGGAGCTGTGCTATGTGAGCCTCGCCTTTTACTACATCTCTTTTAACTAGAAGCACATCCTGTAAGAGCCTAGGATGGCGTCCTTGTGGCGATGTTTGTGGCAGTCCCTGTTTTGGTCCTGCATGAGCCTGTGCTCGGCAAGAGCAAAGCCCAGTCATCCCTGGGTCTGCTTTTGGAATATGTTGTGGTGCTTAATGAGAAGGCTCATCATACAAGAGCATGGCGGTGTTGTAAATACACAGAATAGGAATTACATGTATAAATTAGGAAGTTAGAGACAACCGGTTCTGACTGCAATTTGCCTGTTTAAATTTTGTAGCATGTCTGATTTTCCATCTTCTTGTACAATAAAGCAACTTGTAAGCAAGGGCTGTGTAGGGTTTTCTCACTGCTTTTTCCTTTTCCTTTCTTCTCTCCCTCTCTTTCCTACTAAGTTCTTGCTATAGGAGGAAATAGAACTTTTTAAAAACTTCTTGGATTGTGTGTGCCTAACTCTTCAACCTTTGCATTAATATACATTTTTCTTTATATTTAATTTTGGTGACAGCCAAATTACATGCCCTTAATTGAATTAACACAAATTAGAGCTGAAAGGGGTTGAGGTATGAAAATTTGGGATGTTTCTTGAAAGCTTTCTTATTGCTGAGGCATGCTGAAAAAAAATCTCTCTTTTTCAGGAACGACACCAATTAAAGACACGTTAGAGTTAATACCGGCAATGCCTTCCCATAGCGGGAGTGATTCATCACTGCTTCTGAACCTATTATTTAGAAACTCAAATGCCATGCATTGAAAACCAGGACTAGCTTCAGGGATGTGCCTGGGTCTGGAGGGACTCGCCCCTCTGGGTGGCTGCTCCCACACCCACTCAGGAACCTGGAGGCACTGGAGCTGACCCTTACTTGAGGTTGACGGAGGAACTTGACGTGCCAACATGCTTTAGAAAATGGTGCAGGAACGAAAGAGCAGAGACACATTTTAGAAACTCCAGGGACCTCAGGTTGAACTGAGCCTTAAAGGCCACTGGACTCAGACTCTCCTGCTGCCAGCCCCTTGCTGAGGTTCTTCTTCCTGTTAGCACCTCTGTGATGGTCCATTCCCTCCACCTCCTGAGAGCTCCCGCCATCTTTCAATGGTGAAATCTATAAGTGAATGGTTTCTTAGATGAAGCAGGGCTCCATCGCCCTGTAGTCCCCTGACTGTTGATCTTGGCCCCAGCTCAGAAACACTGGATCCTGACTCGATAACAGCACGTCTTCAGGCATTTGAAGGCAGCTACCCTGTCCATTTCAAGTCTTCTTCAGAGTAAAACCCCTCAGCTCCTCCGGCTTTCTCTCCTGGGCTGTGCATTTGTGTCCCTTCACATCTTTGCATGGAAGGAAACACAGCCGCTTCTTGAGGGCACTGGTCTGCAAGTGAGGTCCCCAGGCAGCAGCATCAGCAGGTGGGCTGGGCACAGCTCTCCATGTTCTAACACGCTTCCCAGGTGTTCGAATGCACGCTGAAGCTCAGTGGCCATTGCTCTAGCTTTCTAACCATTCCTGTGCAAAGATGTGATAAGGATGCAGAAATACAGCTTCCTCTGCACACGAGGGCAGGGTGGGGACTCAGGAAGCCTCCCGCCTGGCCCGCAGCGGCCCCTTTCCTCACTCTGCATGTGAAGTGGTTCTCGCTCTCTCTGCATAACCTGTGGGGGGAAACCCTCCCTGGATATGCTGAGGTCAACTCCAGGGCTGGGCTTTGGTGGACCTCCCAGAGCTCACGAGTTTCTGTTGACAGCCAGCTGCTACCAGGTGTGGGCCAGAGCCCCGAGCTTCTTTTCCTATAGCATGGGGGGTGTTTGTCCTGTGCTCAGCCCTCCCCTAACCCGGCTAGTCCTCAGCTGCCCCAGGGGCACCTGGGCCCTCACCAAGCAGCTGGCCTGGAAAGAGACTCACGGTGGGCCATGGGTGACTTGGTTTAAAGGACAAAAGGACTCTGGGTGCATTTCTCCTGCCATACAGGCCATGAGGGAAGAGAAGAAGCAGACATGTCTCTGTCCCTTCACTAAGTGTCAGGAGAAAGGAGGAGACGACTGCCCATGGCTGCACTTGCTGCTCTTTCTGGCATTTCTGAGTTACTGGGGCAGCCAAAACATCCCTTCTGTGAAATGTGTGTGGCTGGTATCAGCTGGCAGCCAGGACAAACTTTGTGCAGCACAAGTGTGGCATTGGAGACCCTCTGTTTCTTGCATCTGCCCTAGGTGAGCTGTGAAAGAGCAAGGAGGCCAGGGGAGAGGAGGAGGAGGAGGGCTCAGTGCAGCCTCCAGGCAGCAAGCACCTGCCCAAGGGGCTGCCGAGGGTGAGCATGGGCCTCACCGCCAGCCCCCCGCTCATAGGCCACGCCTCACCAGAGAAGGTCCTGGAAGTGGAGAAGGTCCTGGAAGTTGGCCACGTGCAACAGTTAGGGCTGAGCAACCGGGGGTGCTCAAGGCATCAGTCACAACAGGAAGAAAGTGAAATACCAGGGCTGCTCCCCGCTGGGGAAAACCTGTGTGCCTCCTGTACAGAAGGGCCTTTTTATTGTTAATCTGAGAAAGAATGTTCCGTGAGGCTTGCTTCCAGCTACAAAGGGCCACCTGTAGATAGATATTGGTGATGTCTTCTTAGGTTGGAATTACTGCTCAAGCTCCATTGGGAAACTCAATTTTCCTTTTTTTTTTTGGAGGGGGCAAAGATTGAATGGAATCGATGATGTGGTCTGAGCAGAATTATTGCATTGTGTGGGCCAGTGAGAGCAAACCTTAAGAAATTTGTAGTGTACACTTGAAATTTGCTAAAAGGATAGCTCTTAATCCCAGCACTTTGGGAGGCCAAGGTGGGAGGATAACTTGAGGCCAGGAGTTCAAGACCAGCCTGGCCAACATTATGAAACCCCATCTCTACTAAAAATACAAAAATTTGGCTGGGTGTGGTAGTGGGTGCCTGTAATCCCAGCTCCTTGAGAGGCTGAGGCGGGAGAATCGCTAGAACCCAGGAGGCAGAAGTTGCAGTGAGCCAAGATTCCTCCCCTGCACTCCAGCCTGGGTGACAGAGTGAGACTTCATCTCAAAAAAAAAAAAAAAAAAGATCTTAAATCTTCTCAGCGTGGACACAAACAGGATAACTACACAGAGGTGATAGACATGTTAATTAGCTGGAATGTAGTGTCATTTCATATGGATAGGTGCATCAAAACATCAGGTTGTACATCTTAAATATATACGGTTTTTAGATGTCAATGCTATCTCAATAAAACTACTTTCTAGAAAGTAAAGTCTGAGCATTTGGGAGGGTGGGAATGGAGAACTCTTTTATCCGGATAAGAGCAGGCCGCACATAGACGTGTAACTGAGGGAACCAGCCAGGTGAGCCTGAGGCAGATCAGAGATTTGCAATGTCCCAGCAGGTATGGCAAGGGGTGCCCTGAAATTCTCCTGGTGGAATTTTGACAGGGAGTCCTCATAAAATTACATATAAATAAAGAATCCTATAAGTCTATAACAAAAGAGAAAATAAAATTTCCTTTTTTTCTCTTGTTCTCTCAAGGACACACCTGGTAAGTCTCCTCTTTCTAGGAATCAAAAAGCACCTTGGCCAGCAAGTGGGTTTTCAGCGCTTACCTGACTTGCAGGTACACCATGGCCTGCTGAGCAGTTCACTCACATGCACGGCGAGAAAACAGGACTGTCCCTGCCGAGTGTCATGATGGCAGCGGTCACTCTATTAAACAGGGACTGTGAACACACCTGACAGGTGTCATCCTAAAGACACGCTAGGCTGTGGACTAAGGTGTAAGGCTGGCTCCATTCTGTGGATCTGGGTTCAGGCAGTGTTTATTAGAACCAGCTTTCTCCAGTCTGTGGTGTGACTTCCTGGCTTGCTCATGGCACGGTGCTGCGAAGCAACTTTTCCCTCTGGGCCCCCTTCCTGAGTATATCCCTGGTTTCTCTGGGAAAGCCTTCCTCACTGCCCTCTCCCTTCCCTCACACCAGCTGCATTCATTTCTCCCTTCTCTGTCCCCTGGGAAGGAGCTGGAATGTGGGTCACGTCCTGCCGAGATACCTGCTCCATCCAGCTTGGGGCTGGGAGTGCCTCAGAAGCTGACGGCAGAAGGCCCCAGCTTAGCCCGGCATCCGGCACACAGCAGACACCCCGGGCTCTGGGCTTGAGAGCTATGAGCAGGTGCACATTACTCTACTCCAGCAGGAGAGTCGGGCCTTGTGAATGACTCATTCATTTATTCTTTTTGCTTCTCTCATGTTTTCAGCCGAAGGGTGCGTTTTGCCAAAGTTTCCCTCCCTCCCTTTCTCCCTCTCCCCATCTCTCTCCCCATCTCTCTCTCTCTGTCTTTCTTTCTCTCTCTTTTTTTTTTTTTTTTTGTGATGGAGTTTCACTCTTGTTGCCCAGGCTGAAGTGCAATGGCACGATCTCGGTTCACTGCAACCTCTGCCTCCTGGGTTCAAGCGATTCTCCTGCGTCAGCCTCCTGAATGGTTGGGATTACAGGAGCCTACCACCATGCCTGGCTACTTTTCTTTTATATTTTTAGTAGAGATGGAGTTTCACCATGTTGGCCAGGCTGGTTTCGAACTCCTGACCTCAAGTGATTAGCCCGCTTCGGCCTTCCAAAATGCTAGGATTACAGGTGTGAGCCACCGCACCTGGCCCCTTTTGCCAAAGTTTCTATGTCATATAAAACCTAGAGAGTGGACATAGTCATCACTCCTGGAGTCACAGGGCTGCGATAGCTCTGGGCTTCGGGAAAATAAGCTGCTCACATCTTGCTTGCAAAAGCACGGCTTCAAGTGCCGGAGTGGACTCACCAGAGATAAGCATAAACCTCACAGTGGCAGCTGTGTGGAGATGATTTTTCATTTGCTGGAGGGACTGTCAAAACTCACGGTCCTCGGAGAGTGTCTTTCCCACTGTCATGGGTGAGATAAACTTCCCCAAATGCTACCACGGCCAAGCTGCCAACTCCACATTTGCATTAGTAGTTTAGCTACAAATTAAACACGTTGCCAGCATGCTTTATTTTGGTTTGGGAAGGTAAATTGTAGTAATTATATTGGGACACAGGAATGCATACTTAAATTTGAGGAGAAACACATTGCCAAGGCTTGAATCTGTCATTTAGGGATGACTTGGCATATGTGCATCGCACCGAACAAGCTATATTTGCAAATGGGTGCTCCCTTTCTCAAGGTGAACAAGCCAAAATTAACCAATGCTTTCTTGCTAGCAAGTCTTCCCGGAGCATCTGAAGGATGATGGGGAACGTTAAAACCATCGTGAAATGTTGGAAACGACAGAAGTTTCTCCAGGTCTTGCTGGGGAAGCCATTGTGCATCTCCGAGTCAGTGGCGGAGGAAATGTGTGAGTTCATGCAGTTATTCTGAGGCTCTGCATTTACCCCCATAGTCGATACCAGGACAAAGGGGCCCCTGGCTGGGCTTTGTCTAGTCAGAGTTCAAGAAAAGAGCTGCAGAAGAAGACGCAAGTGCAGCTCCTAGTTTCGAGGCCTTGATATATAGGGAGATTTTAAAGTCCTCATCGTAACTCTGCGACACTGTTTCTGTCTCCTTTAAGAGACCAGCAAGGTGATTGGAAAGGCCGGGCCGGGTCCCTTGTCCTGTGCAGCATAAATCTCTGGAGGGTGACAGGCGCACAATGGCCACACTCCTGTGGCATCAGGGTGGCCGTGTCTGAACTATTTATTAACTGAAATGTGAATGGGCAAATGAAGGGCCCATTTATATGTTGTGCCGGGAGATGTATTACGGCTGCCTTAAGCATTGATTTCTTTCCTTCGTTGATTCTTGGTTGGGATATATATGCAGAAACTGCAATCAGGAGGGGTGGTCTTATCAGATCCTAGATATTTCCTCAGACTGTCTGCAGCCATTAACCTTGCATATTATCTGACTTTAGTGATTAGTACAAGGCACATAAAACCATATTGATGGCCAGTCTTGGGTTAGAATGGTGAGCTGAGTTATTAGAGGCTGGATTTTGCTGACTTTGTGATACAAACGATAGTATTATGCTGTTGCCGCGAAATTGCTAATTTGTCATTTCTTTCATGGTGTCGTCAGTGATGTGGTACTAATGAATGAAGCACATAATTGTGGGATGCAGCTTTCCTGAGGCTGTATTGAGAGGCAAAGGGTGTCAAGATGCTCTTTGTCCAACAATTCACTCCCTTTTCAGTGCTGTGCTGGGGTCGTCACAAACACAGTCTCTCATGAATGCCAAGGCCGTTGCGTGTTGAGTTTCCAATGCCGTTCAACCTGCTTTATTTGCTATTTCCAATGGGCAAACTGGTGGGGTTACATCATTGTCATCTACACTCAAATTCAGAGTCTCTTCCTGCCCTTGGTGATACACAACCTGATAGCTGCACATGCAGTTTTTCTTGACCACCAGCAACTCCAGGTTCGCAGACCCCCCTGAAAATGTGCTTTCCAAGCTTGCTCCTCAAAGGGAGCCCTGGATAATGGCACATTGCCAAAAAGACAAATAGTCCCATTGTGTATCCCAGCGTGGGATGGAGGCTGAAGCTGCTTCGTTATGTTCAGGGCCCAGTGCCCAACCTGTGTTACGGTATCAGTGGGGTCCGGGCAAACTTAGAATCATGGAGCTTGAACATTGGGAAGGGCCACGGTGATCTTCTCAGCCCTTCCTTTCTCCTGATGAATCTATGGGGCCAGAAAAACCTGAAGTCAAGAGATGGTTAGTGGTCCAACCAAAACTCACATTAGGTTTCTAGTCCCCTAACTCAGGGCCATCTCCATACTAGGATTTGCCCCTGGAAGTGAGAGACAGAGCATGACTGCTTATGGGCCTTTTTTTTTTTTTTTTTTTTTTCCTGTTGTTGTTTGAGATGGAATCTCGCTCTGTCACCCAGGCTGGAGTGCAGTGGCATGATCTCGGCTCACTGCAACCTCTGCCTCCTGGTGTCAAGTGATTCTCCTGCCTCAGCCTCCAGAATAGCTGGGACTACAGGCATATGCCACCACGGCCAGCTAATTTTAGTATTTTTAGTAGAGATGAGGTTTCATCATGTTGGCTAGGCTGGTCTCAAACTCCTGACCTCAGGTGATCTGCCCACCTTGGCCTCCCAAAGTGCTGGGATTACAGGCATGAGCCACCACACCCAGCTAGGGCCTTGTTCAAAGACTGGATTTGGTTAGACGTTGCTGGAGTTGGTCAGCTCCTCCCTGTTTCTGCATCTAAATGTGCCGGGTGCCGCCAGTGGATGGCAGGGCATGGAGGGATGGAGGACAGAGAACTCAACTCCAAAGGACGGAAGAGAGAGGAAGCCTTTGTTAAGAAATGCTTTCTTCTAAGAAATTTCCAATAAAAATCTGCATTGGCTGAACTTTATAAGGCATCATTATACTCTGAAGTGTAAACTATAGCAAGATATAAATGGAATATAAGTGCCTAGGCCCAATGTAATGCTCCTGAAGAAATAAACATGAATAATAGTTAAGCATTTCAAACTTTGGCTGGAGCACCTACGTTGGGTCAGCTCTCTTCTCGAAGCCAGAAGGTGTTGGTGGAGTGTGTGCTATACCTGGGTTCACGCTGCGTCACCAGCCCAGAGCTCCTGTGCCTGGCTTCTCTCGCCCACACATTCACAATGCTTGCTGAGCACCTGCTCTGGGCTAGGCTCTGGAGGTAAAGTGCTGCACATGCCCGCCACAGCTTCTGCTCTCAGGGAGCACCACGGTCCCATGAGGCAGAGAGACGGTGAAGAGGTCACTGTGGCAAGGGGCTGTGGGCACGTAACAGAGGCGCTTACCCGCAGGGTGAGGAGGCACTTGGCGGGGAAAATCCCCAGGTCTTGTTTCCTCTCAAGATACTATGCCTTGTGGTCTTCTGGCCTCTCCTTCTCTTTCTTTTCAGGGCTGCCTTGCATAGTAGCAGAACAATGCCCAGTGGATCCCGAGTTGAGAGCCTTCTGATGTTGTTCTAACATATATCCGTGCAGTCTGCTCATGTACGTCGCTGGTTTTTCTCTTGGGAGGTCCATGCCTGGATGGGTTATAGCAATCATTCTTGAGTGTCTAACAGAAGTCCATAAATGGGCAACTCCAGGCTTTCCATCTGTTAAACATTCATCGTCCACGGCACATGTGGGTGTTGGCACCAAGTCTGAGTGCCCCTCAGAGCAGATTTCCCATGACAGTTCTTATTGTTAAAACCCTCCTAATTTTTTTAAAAAAATTTTCTTACAGAAAAATTTAAATGTATATAAAAGAGGACCTGAGTGTAATGAACCTGTACATGCCCATCACCCACGTGCAGTCATTAGCCATTTGTGGCCAATCTTGATTCATCCATAACCCTCCCAGCTCACCTCATCTTATATTTTTAAAACAAACCCAAGATGTCAGATCGTTTAATCTGTAAATATTTCAGCATGCATCTCTAAAAGACAAAGACAATTTTAAATATAATAACAATGACATTTTAACACCTAAAAACTATCATTTTCCCCTTAATATCATCAAATATCCAATGTCCAAATTTCCAACAGCTTCAGACGATCAACAGTTTTTCTTTGAATCAAGATCCACATAAGATCTGTAGACTGCAATAAATGGCTGTCTCTTACATGTCTTTTTATCTGTAGAATTCCTCCACCATCTTGGTTTCTTCCCTTTGCAATTCGTGTGTTGGATTGGAGAAATCAAGTTGTTTGTTGCATAGTTTCCCACAGTTCGGATTTTATTGATTGCATCTCTGTGTTGTGTCTAACTTGTTCTTCTATCCCCTGTATTTCCTCAAGATTGGTAGTTGGATGCCAAGATTCTCAATGAGGAAGGTAACCACTGTTCAGGGGATGCTTGGCAATGTCTGGAGATATTTTCAGTTGTCACAATGGGTTAGTCTGGTGGGTAGAGGGCAGGGATGCTACTCCACACCATACAATGTGCAGGAGAGCCCCCACTACAAAGAATTATTTTTATTTTTTATTTTTTATTACACTTTAAGTTCTAGGGTACATGTGCACAGTGTGCAGGTTTGTTACATATGTATACATGTGCCATGTTGGTGTGCTGCACCCGTTAACTTGTCATTTACATTAGGTATATCTCTTAATGCTATCCTTCCCCCCTCCCCCACCCCACAACAGGCCCCGGTGTCTGATGTTCCCCTTCCTGTGTCCAAGTGTTCTCATTGTTCATTTCCCACCTGTGAGTGAGAACATGCGGTGTTTGGTTTTTTGTCCTTGTGATAGTTTGCTGAGAATGATGGTTTCCAGCTTCATCCATGTCCCTACAAAGGACATGAACTCATCCTTTTTTATGGCTGCATAGTATTCCATGGTGTATATGTGCCACATTTTCTGAATTCAGTCTATCATTGATGGACATTTGGGATGGTTCCAAGTCTTTGCTATTGTGAATAGTGCCACAATGAACATACGTGTGCATGTGTCTTTATAGCAGCATGATTTATAATCTTTGGGTATATACCCAGTAATGGGATGGCTGAGTCAAATGGTATTTCTAGTTCTAGATCCTTGAGGAATCACCACACTGTCTTCCACAATGGTTGAACTAGTTTACAGTCCCACCAACAGTGTAAAAGTGTTCCTATTTCTCCATATCCTCTCCAGCACCTGCTGTTTCCTGACTTTTTAATGATCACCATTCTAACTGCTGTGAGATGGTGTCTCATTGTGGTTTTGATTTGCATTTCTCTGATGGCCAGTGATGATGAGCATTTTTTTATGTGTCTTTTGGCTGCATAAATGTCTTCTTTTGAGAAGTGTCTGTTCATATCCTTTGCCCACTTTTTGATGGGGTTGTTTTTTTCTTGTAAATTTGTTTGAGTTCTTTGTAGATTCTGGATATTAGCCCTTTGTCAGATGAGTAGATTGCAAACATTTTTTCCCATTCTGTATGTTGCCTGTTCACTCTGATGGTAGTTTCTTTTGCTGTGCAGAAGCTCTTTAGTTTAATTAGATCCCATTTGTCAATTTTGGCTTTTGTTGCCATTGCTTTTGGTGTTTTAGACATGAAGTCCTTGCCCATGCCTATGTCCTGAATGGTATTGCCTAGGTTTTCTTCTAGGGTTTTTATGGTTTTAGGTCTAACATTTAAGTGTTTAATCCATCTTGAATTAATTTTTGTATAAGGTGTAAGGAAGGGATCCAGTTTCAGCTTTCTATATATGGCTAGCCAGTTTTCCCAGCACCATTTATTAAGTAGTGAATCCTTTCCCCATTGCTTGTTTTTGTCAGGTTTGTCAAAGATCAGATAGTTGTAGATGTGTGGTATTATTTCTGAGGGCTCTGTTCTGTTCCATTGGTCTATATCTCTGTTTTGGTACCAGTACCGTGCTGTTTTGGTTACTGTAGCCTTGTAGTATAGTTTGAAGTCAGGTAGCGTGATGCCTCCAGCTTTGTTCTTTTGGCTTAGGATTGACTTGGCAATGCGGGCTCTTTTTTGGTTCCATATGAACTTTAAAGTAGTTTTTTCCAATTCTGTGAAGAAAGTCATTGGTAGCTTGATGAGGATGGCATTGAATCTATAAATTACCTTGGGCAGTATGGCTATTTTCATGATATTGATTCTTCCTATCCATGAGCATGGAATGTTCTTCCATTTGTTTGTGTCCTCTTTTATTTCGTTGAGCAGTGGTTTGTAGTTCTCCTTGAAGAGGTCCTTCCCATCCCTTGTAAGTTGGATTCCTAGTTATTTTATTCTCTTTGAAGCAATTGTGAATGGGCGTTCACTCATGATTTGGCTCTCTGTTTGTCTGCTATTGGTGCATAAGAATGCTTGTGATTTTTGCACATCGATTTTGTATCCTGAGACTTTGCTGAAGTTGCTTATCAGCTTAAGGAGATTTGGGGCTGAGACAATGGGGTTTTCTAGATATACAATCATGTCATCTGCAAACAGGGACAATTTGACTTCCTCTTTTCCTTTTCCTAATTGAATACCCTTTATTTCTTTCTCCTTCCTGATTGCCCTGGCCAGAACTTCCAACACTATGCTGAATAGGAGTGGTGAGAGAGGGCATCCCTGTCTTGTGCCAGTTTTCAAAGGGAATGCTTCAAAGGGAATGCTTCCAGTTTTTGCCCATTCAGTGTGATATTGGCTGTGGGTTTGTCATAAACAGCTCTTATTATTTTGAGATATGTCCCATCAATACCTAATTTATTGATAATTTTTAGCATGAAGGGCTGTTGGATTTTGTCAAAGGCCTTTTCTGCATCTATTGAGATAATCATGTGGTTTTTGTCTTTAGTTCTGTTTATATGCTGGATTACATTTATTGATTTGCGTATGTTGAACCAGCCTTGCATCCCAGGGATGAAGCCCACTTGATCATGGTGGATAAGCTTTTTGATATGCTGCTGGATTCGGTTTTCCAGTATTTTATTGAGGAATTTTGCATCGATGTTCATCAGGGATATTGGTCTAAAATTCTCTTTTTTTTGTTGTGTCTCTGCCAGGTTTTGGTATCAGGATGATCCTGGCCTCATAAAATGAGTTAGGGAGGATTCCCTCTTTTTCTATTGATTGGAATAGGTTCAGGAGGAATGGTAGCAGCCCCTCCTTGTACCTCTCTAGAATTCGGCTGTGAATCCATCTGGTCCTGGACTTTTCTTGGTTGGTAAGCTATTAATTATTGCCTCAATTTCAGAGCCTGTTATTGGTCTATTTAGAGATTCAACTTCTTCCTGGTTTAGTCTTGGGAGGGTGTATGTGTCGAGGAATTTATCCATTTCTTCTAGATTTTCTAGTTTATTTGCATAGAGGTGTTTAGAGTATTCTCTGATGGTAGTTTGTATTTCTGTGGGATCGGTGGTGATATCCCCTTTATCATTTTTTGTTGTGTCTATTTGATTCTTCTCTCTTTTCTTCTTTATTAGTCTTGCTAGCAGTCTATCAATTTTGTTGATCTTTTCAAAAAACCAGCTCCTGGATTCATTGATTTTTTGAAGGGTTTTTTGTGTCTCTATCTCCTTCAGTTCTGCTCTGATCTTAGTTATTTCTTGCCTTCTGCTAGCTTTTGAATGTGTTTGCTCTTGCTTCTCTAGTTCTTTTAATTGTGATATTAGGGTGACAATTTTAGATCTTTCCTGCTTTCTCTTGTGGGCATTTAGTGCTATAAATTTCCCTCTAGACACTGCTTTAAATGTGTCCCAGAGATTCTGGTATGTTGTGTCTTTGTTCTCATTGGTTTCAAAGAACATCTTTATTTCTGCCTTCATTTTGTTATGTACCTAGTAGTTATTCAGGAGCAGGTTGTTCAGTTTCCATGTAGTTGAGCTGTTTTGAGTGAGTTTCTTAATCCTGAGTTCTAGTTTGATTGCACTGTGGTCTGAGAGACAGTTTGTTATAATTTCTGTTCTTTTACATTTGCTGAGGAGTGCTTTACTTCCAACTATGTGGTCAATTTTGGAATAAGTGTGATGTGCTGAGAAGAATGTATAGTCTGTTGATTTGGGGTGGAGAGTTCTGTAGATGTCTATTAGGTCCTCTTGGTGCAGAGCTGAGTTCAATTCCTGGATATCCTCTTTAACTTTCTGTCTCGTTGATCTGTCTAATGTTGACAGTGGGGTGTTAAAGTCTCCCATTATTATTGTGTGGGAGTCTAAGTCTCTTTGTAGGTCTCTAAGGACTTGCTTTATGAATCTGGGTGCTCCTGTATTGGGTGCATATATATTTAGGATAGTTAGCTCTTCTTGTTGAATTGATACCTTTACCATTATGTAACGGCCTTCTTTGTCTCTTTTGATCTTTGTTGGTTTAAAGTCTGTTTTATCAGAGACTAGGATTGCAACCCTTGCCTTTGTTTGTTTTCCATTTGCATGGTAGATCTTTCTCCAGCCCTTTATTTTGAGCCCATGTGTGTGTCTGCACATGAGATGGGTTTCCTGAATACAGCACACTGATGGGTCTTGACTCTTTATCCAATTTGCCAGTCTGTGTCTTTTAATTGGAGCATTTAACCCATTTACATTTAAGGTTAACATTGTTATGTGTGAATTTGATCCTGTCATTATGATGTTAGCTGGTTATTTTGCTCGTTTGTTGATGCAGTTTCTTCCTAGCATCGAAAGTCTTTACAATTTGGCATGTTTTTGCAGTGGCTGGTACCAGTTGTTCCTTTCCATGTGTAGTGCTTCCTTCAGGAGCTCTTGTAGGGCAGGCCTGGTGGTGACAAAATCTCTCAGCATTTGCTTGTCTGTAAAGGGTTTTATTTCTCCTTCACTTATGAAGCTTAGTTTGGCTGGATATGAAATTCTGGGTTGAAAGTTCTTTTCTTTAAGAATGTTGAATATTGGCCCCCACTCTCTTCTGGCTTGTAGAGTTTCTGCCGAGAGATCCGCTGTTAGTCTGATGGGCTTCCCTTTGTGGGTAACCTGAGCTTTCTCTCTGGCCGCCCTTAACATTTTTTCCTTCATTTCAACTTTGGTGAATCTGACAATTACGTGTCTTGGAGTTGCTCTTCTTGAGGAGTATCTTTGCGGTGTTCTGTGTATTTCCTGAATTTGAATGTTGGCCTGCCTTGCTAGGTTGGGGAAGTTCTCCTGGATAATATCCTGCAGAGTGTTTTCCAACTTGGTTCCATTCTCCCCGTCACTTTCAGGTACACCAATCAGACATAGATTTGGTCTTTTCACATATTCCCATATTTCTTGGAGGCTTTGTTCATTTCTTTTTACTCCTTTTTCTCTAAGCTTCTCTTCTCACTTCATTTCATTCATTTGATCTTCAATCACTGATACCCTTTCCTTCAGTTGATCGAATCGGCTACTGAAGCTTGTGCATTCATCACGTAGTTCTCATGCCATGGTTTTCAGCTTCATCAGGTCATTTAAGGACTTCTCCACACTGGTTATTCTAGTTAGCCATTTGTCTAATCTTTTTTCACAGTTTTTGGCTTCTTTGTGATGGGTTCGAACTTCCTCCTTTAGCTTGGAGAAATTTGATCTTCTGAAGACTTCTTCTCTCAACTCGTCAAAGTCATTCTCTGTCCAGCTTTGTTCCATTGCTGCTGAGGAGCTGTGTTCCTTTGGAGGGGGAGAAGCACCCTGATTTTTAGAATTTTCACCTTTTCTGCTCTGTTTTTTCCCCATCTTTGTGGTTTTATCTACCTTTGGTCTTTGTTGATGGTGACATACAGATGGGGTTTTGGTGTGGATGTCCTTTCTGTTTGTTAGTTTTCCTTCTAACAGTCAGGACCCTCAGCTGCAGGTCTGTTGGAGTTTGCTGGAGGTCCACTCCAGACCCTGTTTGCCTAGGTATCAGCAGCAGAGGCTGCAGAACAGCGAATATTGCTGAACAGCAAATATTGCTGCCCGATCCTTCCTCTGGAAGTTTTGTCTCAGAGGGGTACCCGGCCATGTGAGGTGTCAGTCTGCCCCTATTGGGGGGTGCCTCCCAGTTAGGCTACTCAGGGGTCAGGGATCGACTTGAGGAGGCAGTCTGTCCGTTCTGAGATCTCAAACTCCATGCTAGGAGAACCACTACTCTCTTCAAAGCTATCAGACAGGGATATTTAAATCTGCAGAGGTTTCTGCTGCCTTTTGTTCGGCTATGCCCTGTCCCCACAGGTGGAGTCTACAGAGGCAGGCAGGCCTCCTTGAGCTGTGGTGGGCTCCACCCAGTTCGAGCTTCCTGGCCACTTTGTTTACCTACCCAAGCCTCAGCAATGGCGGGTGCCCCTCCCCCAGCCTCGCTGCCACCTTGCAGTTTGATCTCAGACTGCTGTGCTAGCAATGAGCGAGGCTCTGTGGGCATGGGACCCTCTGAGCCAGGCGCAGGATATAATCTCCTGGTGTGCCGTTTGCTAAGACCCTTGGAAAAGTGTAGTATTAGGGTGAGAGTGTCCTGATTTTCCAGGTACTGTCTGTCACAGCTTCGCTTGGCTAGGAAAGGGAATTCCCTGACCCCTTGTGCTTCCCCGGTGAGGGGATGCCTCACCCTGCTTCGGCTCACACTCAGTGCACTGCACTCACTGTCCTGCACCCACTGTCTGACAAGCCCCAGTGAGATGAACCCGGTACCTCAGCTGGAAATGCAGAAATCACCCATCTTCTGCATTGCTCACGCTGGGAGCTGTAGACTGGAGCTGTTCCTATTTGGCCATCTTGGAACTGCCCCCCCTCCCCCCACAAAGAATTATTAACCCAAAATGTCAGTGGTGCCAAGGTTGAGAAACCCTGAAAGCCTGATCAGTTAGGTCATAACTTTTGGCAGGACGGGTTTGTAAGTGGTGAGGTATTTTTCTGGCGCTGGGTGCATACTATCTGACTGTCTCTGTGTATTGCATTCATTTCTTCCCAATGCCTAGATTCATTAGGGGTTACGAAATGGTGATGTTCTGAGTCTGTCTATACTGTTTCCTTTTTGTGTCTGGAATACTTCCATAAAGAGGATGCTCCTGCTCCTAAACCTTTGGAATGTTCCCTTAATCAATATTGTACATTCATGTTACACCTCCAAGACTGGTTCTTGTATTCAGAAACGGTGTGAGCATCCTCTGTTGGATCATCTGTTCCTGGTACAGTTTGGGTTAGAGCCAGGGTCACCAAAATTATGGGAATACATGGCATTTTCTCTTTCCTTGCCCTCCAGGTGATTTCTAATAATGATAGGGAGATGAGGTCTACAATGTCAGTTATGTAGCAATAACATGCTTAACAATGTAAGATAAAATAGTGATGCCACGCAGTGAACTGCAAGGGGATGTACCATCATGGAAGCCAGAGTTTGCTGAAGAGATGGAGCTGGATGCTGTGGGAGGCCTGACTCAGGCAGGGTGGGGAGTGGTGGTCTTGGAACCTGCATCTGGTTTGGGGAGGGAGTTGTCCTGGGGTTAAAAGCATGGATTGTGGAAGTGACTCTGGCTGGAATCCCATCTTTTCCGTGTCCTGGACCCACAGCCTCAGCTAAGTCTCCCTCCTTAACCTCTCACAGCCTTGTTTCCTCTTTGACTGAATGAGGCCCACACTAGTGCCCTCCCCTTGGGTGTCACGAGGGTCCCATGTGCTGTCCCGTGTGGAGCTCTCTGAACAGCATGGAGCACAGGGTGTCCGCAGCATCTCCCTAAGGGATTATAAGATTGGAGCATGACTGAATGCCTCTGATTTCCCTTCTCATTCCAGCACTCCATGACTCTGAGCAGAGAAAGCTCAGTGGGAGGTGTGGGAGCCGAGCTTGATGAGTGGGCGCAGGGAGGCAGGGAGGCTGAGGAAGGCCCTTGGATGGATGAAGGCTGGTGAGGCCACCATGGGAGCCTTTGGGGATGGAGTGTGCGCAAGCCAAGGTGGAAGGGCACTCAGAGGTGCTCCCAGCAGTTTATGCATAAAGTAGGATGATTTGAGTGCCTGGGCCACTTGGCTGGGGTCATCAGGAGCGACTCTTCTGCACTGCCTCCACGTCTGTCTATGCCACGTCACTTGTGGAAGTGTGGGCTATGGCTTCTGGCCATAGATGATGGAGGAGAGCGTGGTAGCCTTGCCTGGCTCTCCCTACATAATTGGCGAGTGCATGAGACATCCTCAGAACATGTGGGCTGGCCCTGCCTCAGAGGGAACTGGTCTTCAGGCAATTTTCAGACTGTAAAGGTGAACAGGCATGGAGATTCATTAGGCTGGGAGACTCGACTCTGGGGAAACTGCTCCCTGATTTCCCAGTGTTGTTAGGGAGGGAGGGAACAGAAGTTCAAGGAGGACAGCAACTTCAGCCTCACTGAAGAGCCATAGAGCAGCAGGGCCTGTTTTTGACTTCCAGCTCTGAGATGGGTCTATCAAAGTCATTCCAAAACCCCCCATTCTTAGAACCTATTTCCTTTGCAGCCCCTCCCTCTGGCCAGCAAAGAAACTCTGTGGCTTTGCTGGAGAAGGCTTGTCTCTTTCCCGAGCTTGCAGCTTTTGTTTGCCCTCCACCGCCCCACGGGAGGGTGCGCTTAGCAACACTGCACCTATTTCCATCCGAGTAGGCACAGATACAGATCAGTCATTTTTAAGCTCCATTAGTCACTTCTCTTCCTGCGCCCACTCAGCTCCACACTCCCACGGGCACAAACTCCTTTATAGTGAGATGTACTTTCTTTAAATTTCACTTCAATTAATCCCCAAGAGTTCAATATGTTTAGAAGTGCAGGAGGTGTATAGTTTTTCCAGAAAATGCTAAAATTCAAAAATTATCACCATTCACCAATTTGCTTTTTAATAGTAGGTGTGCTTGCACCAAAATACTCAATGCATCTTAGCATGCAGATAGACCAAAGCACTGGCACACCCTCCTGCCAGAACACGTACTCCACGGGTTCTGGTAGGAGAAGTAAGAGAACCTTGAGGCGTGGCGTCTCTTACTTCCTCTGCCAATTGACAAACCTGCTGAGGCCCTGACTTGCCAAGAGCACC
This sequence comes from Homo sapiens, assembly GCF_000001405.40. Taxonomy (NCBI): domain Eukaryota; kingdom Metazoa; phylum Chordata; class Mammalia; order Primates; family Hominidae; genus Homo; species Homo sapiens. The sequence goes on from NC_000013.11 coordinate 111,504,539, forward strand.
TGGAATATGAGAAATGTGAGAATGAGGTACAGCCTCATGCCAACACCTGCCCGAGTTGTTCTTCTGTGTTAGGAGTTCAGCCGTGGTGCTGCTGCATCTGTGGGTTCCACCTTCTGGAGCTGCCTTGAGTTTTGGCTTTGAAATACCAGAGAACTTAAGTTCCACGCTCTGAAGTCCCAAATGGCAATCTTGATTATGAATGAAAATGAGTGATAATGCCAAAAAAGATTTCCTTTATGTTAGAATTTAAGAGGATAGGCTGGGTGCGGTGGCTCATACCTGTAATCCTAGCACTTTGGGAGGCCGGGGTGGGCAGATCACGAGATCAGGAGTTCGAGACCATCCTGGCCAACATGGTGAAACCTCATCTCTACTAAAAATACAAAAATTAGCCGGGCGTGGTGGTGGGCGCCTGTAATCCCAGCTACTCCGGAGGCTGAGACAGGAGAACTGCTTGAACCTGGGAGTTGGAGGTTGCAGTGAGCCAAGATAGCGCCACTGCACTCCAGCCTGGGTGACAGAGCAAGACAATGTCTCAAAAAAAAAAAAAAAAAAAAAAAGAGAAAAAAAAAGAATTTGAGAGGATAAACACCTCTTGGGCATTTGAAACAGTCACGAGTTATTGATAATATTAGACATACATGTTAGGTTAAGTGATCTCCTCCAACAATCCCGAGGGAGAAGCACCACCAATAGCTCCGCTTTTCAGAAACAGAAAGCAAAGCTCATAGAAGCTGAGAGCTCATCCATGGTCCTGCAGGTGGAAGACCACAGGGAGGCGCTGGATCCCGAGCTGTCCAGCTCCAAATCCGTGCTGCCCCCTTCCTCACATCCACAGACACCACACGCTTTTCTTTGAGCCGCATTTGTTCTTCTCGAGGGTCCCTACATCTGGGAGACGTCAGAAGTCGGACTCTTTTATCTTTGGGTGTGGCTCTCCTGGCACCTTGCAAAGTCCACGCATACACCCATGAAGCCTTCTGTGTTTGGGCAGTGGTGGGGAGGCTGTCCCGTTTCTTCTTTGCCTTTGCGGCGAAGAGGATCATTGAGAACGCTGAGGACATGCACACCGATGTCGTGGCCTCCCAGCACTGCACGCCCCTAGGGAGCTTCTCGTCAGCTCATCTTCCTGTCTTGTTCCCCTCCCCTATAGAACGTTGGGATTAAAACATCAGATCATTGCCTCTCCTAGGTTTTTATTCTTGATGAATGCCAACAGAAACTATTGAAGACTATGGTGAACTAGAATGCATCATTGTCCTACAGGCTCTCAGATTACTTTGAAAAATATTGAAAAAAATCCCAGAACTTTGGGAGGCCAAAGCAGGCAGGTCACTTGAGGCCAGGAGTTCGAGACCAGCCTGGCCAACATGGCAAAACCCTGTCTCTACTAAAAAAATCCAAAAATTAGCCAGGTATGGTGGCATGCTCCTGTAATCACTGCCACTCAGCAGGCTGAGGCAAGAGAATCGCTTGAACCCAGGAGGTGGAGGTTGCAGTGAGTGGAGATCGTGCCACTGCACTCCAGCCTGGGCAACAGAGCGAGACTCTGTCTCAGGGAAAAAAAAAAATATATATATATATATATATTACAGAGGTCAATGAAAACAAAATACGCAATCAGAAATAAACCATGCCTCTGTAGTCTCTGAGCTCAGGGCGTGGAGCTGTGGCCCTGGAAGGCGGATCCCCTCCTGCCTTTGCATCTGGAGAGCTGAAGGCCTCAGGGCATCTGCTGCCTGGGGGTGTAGGTGGCTGCTGGTGCTGCCTCCATGAGCACATGCAGCTGTGACCTGCACTGAACCCTTGTCCTCATCTGTCTCTAGGGCACACATGCTGTCCGGGGAGGATGCAGTGCCCGGCACATAGGCAGCTCTTGATGAGAGTGTTGTATTTGTATTTGGAATCTGGGTGACCCCTCCATCCCTGCACCATTGCCCTCCTCAAGGACTCCACTGCACAATTCGGGGGATCCCCATCTCTGACAGCACCTGGGAGGCTGGGCCGCTGCAGCAAGTCCTCCACCAGGAGTCAGAGCCACTCGGTGAAAACACAAATGTGGCCATGTTGCTCCCCGTCCCACCTACCTTTGGCAAGTAACGCTCATTTCAAACACAAGGAAGGAGCTCTGTGACCTTCTCAACTCGGTCTCCGCCACTCCAGTGTGTGGATGGAGCATATATTGCCTGTCTCCCTTCCTCTTTGGGGCTGAGGAGGACTCCAGTGTGTGGATGGAGCATGTTTTGCCCATCCCCTCCTCCACGGATGGTTGCGTTGTATCCTTCTCTGGGCAGCTGTGAGCATCACTGCTGTGAGCGAGAGTGGATGGATGTCTGAGTGCCCAGTGGGCCCCTGAGGGCACCATCTGCCTCTTCTCCAACCCTTCACAGGTGCTGCCCTGCCATCAGGTGCCAGCAGCACCCCCACTAACCTGACGGCCTCTGCTTGCCCTTCCAAGCCTTCAAGCAAGTGTCCCCCTAGGGACAGCCCAGGCTGCATGTGTGCCCTTCACCCAAGCCTCCATGCGAATGTCCCCCCAGGGACAGCCTGCACTGCGCGTGTGCGCTTTGTCCAAGTTTCTATCACATCCTGTACCTCGGTCCCAGAATCTCTTACTTTTTGCGCTGCCATAGCTGCTATACTTAGTCAGCTTCCCTGCTCAACTGCAAGACACTTAAGAGACAAAAATGAGGCCTGAACTTTTGTGACCCCAACAAATAAATATGTGTTGGCTGGATTCATGGCAAGAAAATCAGGCAGCATGGGTGGCTTAGGGACAACCCATCTGTAAACCCATTTTAACTGCCAGTTTCACCTCATCCCTCCAGCCTCAGCCTCCACCCTCACCCTCACTTCCCTTCTGAGCCTAATGTCCTAGGCCTTTGTTTGGGATGGACTGTGGGGCTCCTCATCTCCCTGAGCACAGCCCCTTTCTGCAGATGCTGAAACCATGAACAACCCCATGCTGGTGGCTGGGTGAGTGAACGGGGGTGCTGGTGGCTGGGTGAGTGAACGGGGGTGCTGGTGGCTGGGTGAGTGAACGGGGGTGCTGGTGGCTGGGTGAGTGAACGGGGGTGCTGGTGGCTGGGTGAGTGAACGGGGGTGCTGGTGGCTGGGTGAGTGAACGGGGGTGCTGGTGGCTGGGTGAGTGAACGGGGGTGCTGGTGGCTGGGTGAGTGAACGGGGGTGCTGGTGGCTGGGTGAGTGAATGGGGGTGCTGGTGGCTGGGTGAGTGAATGTGGGCATAGGCTCCACAGCGTGGATCCCTCCTCCTGGAAAGACCACCAGCAGCCTTTGTTTGAGGAAATTCTGTGCTTTTATTTTCATACAATACAAGGTGACATTATTCACAATGGGAAAAAATATGGCAAAATAAATAACGGAAACCACTTTTCATTGACTTCCCCAGTCATTTGACCTGCCCCCCAGCCTCGGTGCTCAGGTCTCTGGTTAACTACTGATGGTATCAAGAGATTCACTGCACCTTCGGGGGCTGAATTCCTTATTTGTCAATTTTGCTCATTTTATGTTCTTGGTTTGCCCCGACCCACAACAAAAGCTTGGTCCATCAAGAGAATAACATCTATTCGTCACCAGCCAAACCAGATCCCAGGAGAGAACCACATCAGCCACACATCAGCATCTTTTGGGATCATGGCTTTTTGACCCAGACTAACAGAAATATTTATGTGACCAGCACTTGCCCGGAGGCCCCCGTCCTCCTGCAAATACTGTGACCCGGATGCAGGGCGGGTGAGCCTCACAGCAGGGCTTAGCCGGGAGGTGGGGCGGGGGGGGCTTTGCTTTGCCCAGGAAAGAATGCAAGGGTGAGCCAGTGGTAGAAGAGAACACCTTTTCTGAAGCCACAGTGCCACGGCTCTGGAGGTGTTACAGCTCTGTGACGGCCCCCGCGGAGCTGGGCTACCCCATAGGCTGAGAGTTGCTGCTTAAGGTGGTTTTGTTGTCATATTTATACCTACTTTTAATTACATGCAGATTAAGTGGCAGTTTATGCAGAAATTTCTAGGAAAAGGTAGTAACTTCTGGTTCATTGAGTCTGCCGCGGAAAGCGGGGGGTAACGCCCAGTGGCAACAGTAAACTGACAGGTGCACTGGGGGCGTGTCTGATGGAAAACTGCTTCCACACCTTCCCTGTTTTATCTAGTCTTCAGTTGGGTCCGGTGTCTGAGTCCTGCCTACAGAGTCGAGTCCCACCTCCTACCAAAATCTCATACAAAAACAGCATCTGCTGCCCCGAAGCTGGCCAGACATTGCGAAAGGTAAGAAACCCGCCATTGACAGTTGACGACCATCCCTCTGGCTACTCCCTCCCACCCACATCTCTATCTTTAAACCACTGAAAGCAAATGGAGTGAGTTGCGCCTTCCTTCAGTGTGTCTATCTGTGGTCGCTAAGGTGACATATTACATGACATCCTTGGGCACTGGTTTTGCAATAAGCCATTTAAAGATTATGTTACCGGTGGGTCTTTGTTCTTAGAGCTCCCAAGATGGCGGCGGGCCGCTCCCAAGATGGCGGCAAGCCTTTTGTTCTCTGACCTGGGGTTCTTGGCCTCACAGACTCCAAGGAATGGAACGTTGGGCCATGCAGTAGTGTTATAGCTCTATCAGAAGCCGTGGGTCATGGAAGAGAACCGTGGAACCCAGTGACAGGTGTTCAGCTCGATTAGGACGAATCCGGGCACTTAGCCATGCAGGAACAATGGCGAGCCTCTAGCCGATCCGGAGCGGCAAAGTCTAGCTGGGTCAGAAGCTCAGTGGACACTCTGCTGGATCCAGAGGGATGGAAGTTAGAGGCGGGCCTGTGACGGCGGCGATCAGCAGTGGTAGACGGCAAGTGAAAGCTCAACTTGAGCCAGAACAAACACAGACCAGAAGAGTGAGCAGTTGCAAGATTTAGTAGAGTGGAAACAGAGCTCCCGTACAACGGGAAGGGACCCAAAGGATGCTGCCCGATCCGGCTTGAATGCCTGGGTTTATATCCTGATCATTGTCCCTCCCCCTGTGCTCTCAGGCGACAGATGATTTGACTATTTCTTTACCTCCTGCTTTTAGCCTAATTGGTATGTTAGTGAGCTGAGTTACAAGCCCCTGTTTAAAGGTGGGTGCAGTCACCTTCCCCAGCTAGGCTTAGGAATTCTTAGTTGGCCTAGGAAATCCAGCTAGTCCTGTCTCTCAACTAGAATGTCTGTGTGTTTGTGCTGGGCAGTTGTTTGTTTCAATGGGATTAAAGCACTCTGCACTTTCAGTGGGTGCTATTTACAGTATTGAGCTATGTTGAGGGAAAAGTCTGCCGCTTTGTCAATGATGGGAGTTTCTAGTTAACAGCACTTTAAAGAAGTGGAAAATGCTCAGTTATCACCCAATGTGAACAGGATCAATAATAGTTTAGTAGTGCCTGATAATTGGAGTAGCTGTTATACACAAGAGCCTGTATCTCCTTGAGTGACTCTTATCAATCTATTGTCCATCATCATCTGATAATCAGACCGAAAATATGGTGGGGAATTTTCCCTTTTTAAATCAAGCTTGTGAAAAACATTTGAAATAATAAAGAAAAAAGCCCCGCTCATTGTTCATCTCAGCGGGGAGGAAAACCCAGGAGCTGGGTGACTCTGTAAGGCGAATGAAAACTAAGGGGTGTGTGCTGTGTGGAGGGATGCTGGGTGATGTCAGAGGAAAATAATTATATTCAGAGAGCATTTAAAAAATTTGCTGCTTAGAAGCCAAAGTAGTTGCTACAGTCAGACTTCGGGTGGAATTTTTAGTGACATATCTGCTGTGGATCTGGGAGGCCCTCAGAGGGTTTTATGTCATATTAGCCAAGAGGCATTTGAATCACACTGAATCTAGCCCTTCGTGCGTGCTTGGAAGAAGACATGGCATGGTGATGTTAGAGTTCTTTTCTCTGTTCATCCGTTCACCCAATCAAGGATTTGTTGAGCCTCTACTGGGTGTGCCAGACACTCCTGGGAGCAAGACCTCAGCTGTGATCTGCCACAGGTCTGAGGAACCCCTCACCTGGTGACAGCATACGTTGTGCTGTGAAAATTAAGGAAGACGCAGGCAATGGCCTCTGAAGTGCTGGCTTGCGCTCCTGTCCAAGGAGAGAGAGGCCCAGATCTGGGCTCCAGGGACCCCAGGGACCCGTGGGAGGGCACCAGGCATGTTGTCCATGGTGGTAGACTGGCTTGTTCCTGCTTCCCATGCCCTCCCTCTGCCACGGAACTTGCCCTGTCTTCCAGCATTCCAGGAGGAGTCCACCGGTATCTAGATGGCTGGATTTGGGCTTGATCCTGGGACTAGCTCTGGCTGGTGGAGTGGGAGTGCCATAATGCGAGAAATGAGTTGAATGTGCTTGTTTCTTCTGGCCTGGACTGCTGCTTTCCCATGCTCCTTGGGAAGAACACGCCGCAGGCAGCTGCTGGGTCCAGAGTGAGGAGGCATGGAGCCTGCCCCACCCTGTCCTCAGCCTGGAACCCCGCCTAATGCATCCCGGAGCAATGCAGGTGGCCCTAGACCCACGAGCAAGAGCCAAGCCCCTGTGGTCATAGCCCCTGATCGTGGAGTTGGTAGTTACAAGCATTCGTGCAATGAAACTCTAACACACATGCGCCTCCTGCAACTGCACGTGAGCCTGTGTGAGTCTCTGCAACTTTGGGAGAAAATCCTAGCTTTCATCCCGTCCTTAAAATCATCCCTGGAATGTAAATTAACGCAAACCACCCCTGTCAATGCTAACAGGTGTCCAGACTAACAAAATGTGTGTGTGGTGTGTGTGTGACATATGCAGTGTATGTATGTGTGTGTTGTGTGTGTGTGGATGTGAATGTGTGTGTGGTGTGACCATGTGAATGTATGTGTATGTGCATGTGGTGTGTGAATGTGAATGCATGTGATATGAGTGTGTGTATAAGTGTGTGTGATGTGTGTATGTGAGTGTGTATGTGTGTGTGTGGTATGAATGTGTGGTGTTTGTGTGAGTGTGTGTGGGGTATGAGTGTGTGGAGTGTGTGTATGTGAGTGGTATGAGTGTGTGTGAGTGTGTGTGTGGTATCAGTGTAGAGTGGGTGTATGAGTGTGTCTGTGTGTCTGTGGTATGAGGGTGTGTGTGTGCGTGTGAGGGTGTGTGTGCTTCTGCAGAAATCATGTCCTCACTCCCCCATGGTTTGCTAGGTCCACCAGGGACACAGGCTCCTCTTCTGAGCCCTGCCCCTCAGTCCCATCTCACCCTGATCCCTGACGGGGAGAGGCAAGCCTGGTTCTTCCCCACGCGTATGTGCACACTCTCACATATGTGTGCGCACTCTGGCCCTCGCACTCACCCGCACATGCCTGCCTCCGCTGCCTGCCCTGGCCGCCAACCTGCCCAGCCTGTGAGCTCCATCCTCAGCCGCCCCCCGCCCAGGGCATTCCAGCAGGAGCCGCCCTCTCAGCCCTGACTCGACTCTAGCTGCCCTGGAACCAGGCTACTCCGGTTATGGTCTCCCGAGCCCGGGCAGCGCCGTCCGCCTTGGTTGGGTGGAGAGCTTCTTTTCTCAAGCCCCCCTGTGCGGCCATGCACCCTGTTCCTGCTGCTGTAGCCTGAGGGTCCCCTTCTCTACCCTGATCCTCTCCCAGCTCCTTTCGAGATCTGAGCAGATGTGAGGCCCTGGACAAAAAGGGCCTGGGAACCCAGTGACTTAATCGCTGAGCCTCTCTGAGCACCAGGCTGAGTCAGCCCCAGGGGATGGGATCCACACAGCCTCCCCTCCAGCTCCGTGACCCGGGGCCGTTTCTCACCCTCTCTGGCCCTCGTTATAAAGCGGGCACGTCTTCGCCCATTCTAGGGTGGCTGTGCTGTTGGCAGAGGTGGTGTGCAGCCAGCCTGTCTCGCAGACAGGGCCCGCCTGGGTGTGCCAACAGCACCTGGTTCATCAGTTACCTTACTCTCCTGCTGCCCCTGTAAAACCTATACAGGGCCAAGCTCTCTCGCTGGCCCAGGATGGAAACTCCTGCGTTCCTGGGACTCTGACTCTCACGCAGTCAGAATGTCGCCCTCAGTTTTGTAATTAGCACACGTCGGTTGAGCATATTCACTAAACGTTGCCCTCCCCCTGCCCAGCCGATAGCTGGGACGCCCACCAGAGGCTGCCACGCTCTCCTCCTGGCCCTCCTGGCTGCTGTCCAGGAATCCTGGGTCCCAGGAGGAGGAGGGGTGGGATTCAGGGCCAAGGTGGCTTCCCCCAGCCAGGGGCTCCTCCCTCCTGGGTCCGGCAGTGGGTAGGGCTGACGCTTGCTCCCATGGGGCATGTTCATGACCCTTCCGGGCCCCACCACTGCACGTCCCAATCTCCAAGTCCCCCGGACCTGGGAATATGCATTTCTCTCTCGGGAGATGTTGCGTCCGCAGTCCAAGCCTATCGTACTTGTCTGCACATTGCTCATAAGGTCTCTGTCCTCTAGTAGCCCATTGGACACGGCTGAGGTGACCCCACGCTGGCACTCCCTCCACCCGGTCTTCGACCAGCCAGGGGCACACCCATGTCAGCAGCCCACAGACTCTGTGGAAAGGCTGCCCTCACCTGCCTCCGCTGTACAGCCGACTCCCGTAGTCTCAGGCTCCAGGGCAGCACTGTGTCCTGCGCCTCCCAAGTGTGGGGAAGGCCTTTCTGGCTCCCGGTCTTATAGGAGCCCCCAAGCAGGGTAGAGGGGAAGGAGCTGCCATCCCCACCTCTTGCCTCTGAGGGCAGAAGGGACTTGGAACAGCTCTCACTACTGAAACCGCGCTGTACTCTCCTGGCCAGGCCAGGGGTGCAGCTGCAAGCACTGCACTTTCTAGCTCTGGGATTTCTATGTTACATTTGGGTAACTCAGATAAAATTTTGATTTTTTTACATCTTGTTTTCTTGTTGTTGTTGTTTAAGAGATGGGGTCTTGCCACATTGCCCAGGCTGGTCTCGAACTCCTGGGCTCTGGGAATCCTCCTGACTCAGCCTCCCAAAGTGTTGGGATTACAGGTGGGAACCACTGTGCCTTGTTACATGTCCCATGATAGCTACAGACAGCAGTTATTATTTTCTAATTATTCTCTATAATATGATAATATAGATAATAGCTATTATATTTATAATACATATTATCTATTACATAGATAATAATCAGAAAATATCAATAATGAGACAGGATTGTCTCCTGCACCCCTAGAGGCACCTGGGCCTTGTCATACGGGGAACTACTCTATCCCACTTGCTGGTCTTGGCTTCTCCTTCTGGGTCCTCTGACACCTTTGTTCCTTCCTGAGCACCTGACCTTTAGGCTCATGGTGACCTGCAAGGGGGTGTTTTAAACTGGGCTGTGCACGCGAGTCACCTGGTGTCTTCACAAGGCAGGTTCGGGTCGGAGGGCTGAGGTGGGGACCCGGGAGTATACTGGGCTGCAGTCCACATCCTCCCTAGGCAGGGCGGCTGAGTCCTGCTGCTGGAGGCCCACAGGTGTGCAAGGCAGCGCCGCTGGCCTGTCCTTGCCAAGCCTGCCAGGTGCTCAGTCCTGTTCTTGCCCTGGGTTTGCTCTTCTGTGTCTGCTGCAACGGCAGCCCCAGTTCGAGTCCAAGTGCCTGCCCACCCCTTATCTCTTGCGCTGGCATGAGCCCTGCTGCCGGCGCGTCCTGAAAATCGAGGCCCCCGGAGCCACCTCCTCTCCACTCAGAGCATCCTTTTCCTTGGGACAGTCTTCCCTCCCAACTGGGGAAGGGAACTCCGGCTCACCCTGGAGTCCTCAGCTCTCCCACTTCACAGGGTGTCCAGGGACAAAGCCCATGCACCACCCGGGTCTCGGCTGCAGCTGGCTGCTGAATGGGGGGAGTTTTAGCCGTGGCAACGAGCTGTGTATGTTTTACTTGCTCCGCGTGGTCAGCAGAGCCCTGACCCTGACATGTCCATGCCCTGATTCCCAGAACCTACGGCCGTATCACCTGCCATGGCACAGAAACGTTGCAGGTATGATTAAGAGCCCACGCTGTGAGGCGGGAGATAATCCGGGATGGTGTGTGGGGGGGGTCTTAACAGCGCAGACCCTTCGCCGGCTTTGGTCAGAAAGATGTGAAATGGAAGAAAAGAGTCTGCAAGGCGCAGCGTCACTGGCTTTGAAGATGGAGGAGGAAACCAGAGGTCAAGAAGCAGGCGCCTCCCTCCCTCCCGCTGGGACCCTCCCACTCTCCTACCAGCCGTGGGAGGCATAGAAAGCCAAGAGCAGTCCGTGGCTGGGGATTTGGCCTAAGATGCCCCAGTGGGGAAGCTTCACCGACTCCTGCCCCTCAGGACCCTGTGTGTGCATAGGATGACGCTGGGCCCCGTGTGGCGCACACAGACCTGCTCCCCAGAGCCAGGCACCAGCACAGGTGCAGCACGCGGGCGCTTCGTGTGAACCACAGTCTAGAAACGACCAAGATGGGCACGAGGAGGGGCGCGCATGGGATTAGAGGATGGGAGGGCTCCAGAGAGGAGTGGCGAGGAGACTCAGTGGAGGATCTTCACACTCCCAGAAATACAGCCACTCCTCTCTGGAGCCCTCCCCTCCTCTAATTCCATGCATGCCTCTCCTCCCGAGGCAGGACTGTTTGCCCTTCCTTGTGCCCGTCTTGGTCACCTCTGGATCATTCCCTGAGTCTGGGGAGCATGTCTGTATGTGTCACATGGGGCTGGGTGCCGTCCTGTGTAGATGCAGTGTCCTGAGGTGAGGATCTGAAGGTGGAAAGGACCTGGTGTGAGAGTCTGAGGGAGGAGGGTCCTGGCATGAGGGTCTGAGGGAGGAGGGTCCCGGTGTGAGAGTCTGAGGGAGGAGGGTCCTGGTATGAGAGTCTGAGGGAGGAGGGTCCTGGTGTGAGGGTCTGAGGGTGGAGGGTCCTGGTGTGAGGGTCTGAGGGTGGAGGGTCCTGGTGTGAGGGTCTGAGGGTGGAGGGTCCTGGTGAGAGGGTCTGAGGGTGGAGGGTCCTGGCGTGAGGGTCTTAGAGTGGGGAGGGCTAGCATGAGGTAATAGGAGAAGGAGCAGTCATGCGAAACTTCCCAGCCTGAGGGACTCCTTTGCTTTCGGGAAACTGGACTGTGGACCTCCCCGCCACAGCTGACAGCCCTCCTCTCCCCGGGCACTGGGCTGGGATCCTGCGGGACCCTCTGGGTGCTGCTGTGCTGGACTCACCCTCCACGCTGGGAAGACAGACCTGCTGCTGGCCCGGCTGTCCCTCGAAAGCGTCTCCCATGTGGCCATTGTCCTACGTGCAGCGGGAGCCCTGGATTCAGTCCCTGCTCTGATGTGGGGAGTGAGGTTTGGTTCTGCACCCCTGCACAGCTTGGCCCATAAGCCATTCCGTGATCAACAACTTAGCAACGGTATGGGCCCCAGGCCGGCCAGCCTCCACACCTGCTCTTTTCACGCGGATGCCCACTTCTGCGTGAGTTTGGAGAGGAAGTTGTTCACGGTGAGTGGAAGAATGTAAAAATGCCTCCTAAACCTGGGACTAGAGAACTGCTTGCCTCCACTAAGGGATGCTGTGAAGAGCCTCCCGGACTCAAGTATGCAGTTCAATTTCTAGTGTTAACAGCCCAGGCGGAACTCACAAAGGCAGGAAATGGCAGTTTTCAGACATTTCTTACTGAAAGAAAGGATATTTTCCCATCTCTGTCATTTTCTCCTGCTTAAGAGAAGCATCTCTATTTTTCCACACACATGTAAACAGGTATAATATAATGCCGTTGTTTCTAGGGATAACTTTTAACAGGAAGTCAATATTTTGTTTTCTCTGTTTTTCTGCTTTTCTTGAAGGAAATGTATAGATTATATTTTGGAACAACAAAACCACAAAATCCGGCACTTTCAGTGATGCTCATATTCAGTAGCTGTTTACAACTGGTACAATCATTCTTTTGTGCCACTATTTAAGACTATTGATTTGAATTACTTTTAAAAGATTGTATATGTTTTTTCCAATTGCCACATTCTACCAGGTGTGTCTCCTAATAACATTTAAAAACAGATCTCATGGGTTTTAAGTGACTTTCCATTATTAAAAGTTTAGTCCAGCATAGTCCAGTTGAACACTTGGGATTTTTTCTTAAGTATCAGGGGTACATGTGCAGGCTTGGGTATATTGTGTGAGATTGAGGTTTGGGGTATGACTGATCCCGTCACCGAGGTGTGAACATAGTCCCCAACAGTTCATATTTCAGCCCTTGCCGCCTCCTTCCCTCCCTCCCCTGTCTAGTAGTCCCCAGTTTCTGCTGGTGCCATCTTTGTGTCCGTGAGTGCCCAGTGTTCAGCTGGCACTGCAGTGACACCATGAGGTCTTTGGTTTTCTCTTCCTGTGTGAGTCGGTATAGGATCACGGCCGCCTCCAGCTGCACCCGTGTTGCTGCAAAGGACCTGGTTTCGTTCCTTCTCACGGCTGCATAGGATCTGTGTGGACACTTCAGTCTTCTCTCCCACTTGCTGGCCCCTCCCCGGGTCTAGTGCAGCTGAGCTCTGTGAGTTGGGAGAAAAAGCAGCTCCAGCTTCTTTCCTGGGGAGCAACAGGAATGAGGCAAAAAAGGCAAAGGCTTTTGTGCTTTCATTTCGCTGGCGTCTGGCCTCAGTCTGCTGTTGGAGATGAGCCGAGCTTCCCGGTTAACCGTGGCTGGCTGTGGGGCATGGGGCGAGGCATCCTGTGGACCTTAGTCCCTCTTACCCGGGGGAAAGCACCCAGGCAGCTCAGGCCTCGTGTCCTCCACCCGTTCGCTGGACTCGCCAGCCACTCCTGCGACCTTGCTGTGACAAGGAGAGGGAGGCGGGTGCCTCCGCCCTGCCCTCTGTGCCTGGCCATGGCCTCTTTTTCCCAGTGAGGAAGGTCTCTTGGGGCTCCTCATTTGGCCATGGAGGACGAGGAGTGGGTGGTGGGCACTGTCACCCTGCCTGTGGAGGGGACACCCCAGCATGCCAGGCTGAGACCAACAGCTCTGCCAGCTCACACTCAGCAGCCTGTTGTGCTGATGCAAACCACATGGAATAACAGCAGAAAGGGAGGGCTGCGGTCTCCAACACCTGGGGGTGACCCTCAGCGTTCCCTCCCTGCTGGGGTCTTGGCTTAGTGACTTACCCTCTCCCATCCCTGACTACTCCTGTGTGCGCTGAGGATTCCAACACTGCCAGAATCGTGAGGTTGTCACACATATAACATGCAGGGCCCGCACAGTTGTCATTCACACATAAAACCCCTCATGGTTCTCTGTCCAGGACTGCATGAGGAGGCCTACTGGGCCTGCCCACAGCCCTGCTTACCACCCACGTGGGCCTTTGCCAGCTTCCTCACCTGGCCCCACCCCCCGGCTCCCTCACCTGCCCCACCGGCTCCCTCACCTGCCCCCCCCGGCTCCCTCACCTGCCCCCCCGGCTTCCTCACCTGCCCCCCCGGATTCCTCACCAGCCCCCCCGGCTTCCTCACCTGGCCCCCCCGGCTCCCTCACCTGCCCCCCCCCGGCTCCCTCACCAGCCCCCCTGGCTCCCTCACCTGCCCCCCCCCGGCTCCCTCACCTGCCCCCCCGGCTCCCTCACCTGCCCCCCCGGCTCCCTCACCTGCCCCCCCGGCTCCCTCACCTGCCCCCCCGGCTCCCTCACCTGCCCCCCCCGGCTCCCTCACCTGCCCCCCCGGCTCCCTCACCTGCCCCCCCGGCTCCCTCACCTGCCCCCCCGGCTCCCTCACCTTCCCCCTCCAGCTCCCTCACCTGCCCCCCCAGCATCCTCACCTGGGCCCCCCGGCTTCCTGCTCCCTGTGGTACTGGACGCGGGGTGAGACGCAGACTTGCTAGGGCCATCTCGACCAGGGTGGCCTCAAGCGGATGACCCCAGTGACTTGGGAGTGTGGTGATGGATTTGGAGGCTGAGGTAATGATACACGAATGTGTCAACAGTCACACGTGGCTTAATGACAGGGATGCGTTCTGAGAAATGCGCGGTCAGGTGATTTTGTTGTTGTGTGACCTTCGCAGGGTGCACTTACAAACCTAGGCCGTGTGGTGGAGCCTGTTGCTCCTGGGCTACACACCTGTGCAGCACGTGGCTGCACTGAGCATGGCAGGCAGCTGTAACACGTGGGCAGTGTTGGTGTATCTCCACATTGAAAAGGTACAGTGAAAAAGTACAGCATCACCATCAATGAGAACCCGTTGTCCCGTCCGTGGTAATACCATACTTTTTCACGACACATTTTCCCTTTGTGCTGAGTGACTGTGTGTGCATAGGGTCCCCAGGTGACACTCATATTCAGTTTCTGCTTACAGCTGGCAGACTCCTTCTTTTGTGACACTATATAAGACTATTAATTTGAATTACTTTTAAAAGATTTTATATGTTTTATCCAGTTACCACCTTCAACCATAATGTCAGGTATGTCTCATAGTTAATAAGATTTAAAAACAAATCCAATGGATTTTAAGTTTCTTTATTAAAAGTTTAGTCCAGTGTAGGGCAGTTGAACAACTGAGGTTTTTTAAGTATCAGAAGCACATGGTGTCACTGTGAGGACCCACATCTGCCTGCAAAGCCGTTTGGAGAACAGGCCCCAGGGCCACTACCTGCTGGAAGTCCCCGGGGTCCCTGACGGGGTCATGGTCTTGGGTCCCTGCCAGGCCTTTCTGTCCCTCTGCAGCACGGAGGTTCTGGGTCTGGGCATCGTGGTCCTTAGACCCCCGGCAGCCTCTGGACTCACCTTCTGGCTTCTCCTCCTGCATCTGGTGAAGCAGTGGCTGCTGACTCCAGGTGGGAATGGGGAGGAGGGGCAGGAGGCTGAGGTGGCAAGGGTGGTGCTTTCCTGGAGCTTGGTATGGGGACAGCATCCTGTGCTCCCTGAGGCGTCTTGCAGGGCCATTGGATCGTGGCCCTGTTCCTTCCTGTGGCAGCCCGGGACACAGGCTGCTCTGTGAGCTCCCCCTCGCTTCCAGGAGTTGGTGGTCGACACGCTCCGGTCAGTCTGCTTAGAACAGTTTCTTGCATTGAATCGGCTGGGGCTCTTTGAAAAGCTCCTCCCACAGCTGTTCTGTGGCAGCTATGATGGGGTGCATGTGGCTGCACTGGCCTCTCTGCAAAATGGAGGAGCAGCCATGGCCCAGACGAGGGCCTCCTCTGGAGCCGTTCCTGGGGTGGGAACAGCCAGATAAGGAGAGTAGTGGCTTAAAGAAGTGGGGTGAAGCCCGCTCCAGAGGCCTTGCATGAAATACCATATGTAATTAGGGAGATCAGAGGAGATATGACACTGTAAATGAAGATTTGGAGGAGTCTGAATAAAAACTTTTCCAAAGCGGTTTAATGAAGATGGACTTGGTGCGTTGCAGCCTCGGCGTGGCATCCAGCACGCCTCTGCGTGTCACCCATGTGCATCAGCCGCACAGTCAACCGCGTGTTGCCCCTCACCCTGCCCAGCTCAGAGCTGGCGGCGTGTCCACTGTGAGCAAATGATGACCTCTCGTGTTTCACTTAGACGAGTACTGAACGTTTCAGGATGGAGGAACGTCTGCCGGCCAGTTTCCCACCCGTGTCTCCTGGCTTCTGTCCAGAGCTAGGGGCATTTTACTCCAGGGCCAGGGTCTCCTTTGCTCTCCTTCAGTGACTGCAGGGTTTTGACGGTTCATTACATGGAATCCATTTGTAGCCCTGGCAGATGCAGAGAGAGTAGGTCTGAGGAGGCCCAGCATTGACCTTTCTAATGAATGGCCCAGGTGGCTCACGTGCATACCCCACTTCGAGAGCTCCCCTCTGAATTCTGACAGCAAGAGGCTCTGGCCTTAGCCAAGCAACCTTGCAACTTCTAGTCTGGTCAAGGTTTGCTCATAAATTCCCAGCCTCCCATCACCAAAAGGAAGTCAGGGTCAGTAGGGGACCAGGAGAACAAGACACGGCGTATGTGGGATTTGTTCCCAAGCCACCTACGTGGATGAGCACCACCCAGAGCCAAGAGGGCTGACAGCCACCCCCAGTCACAGCCGTGGCGAGATGTTACCATGCAGTGCATGAGGTTCCCCACCCAAATGCACATTCCTGTTGCTTTTTTCTTAAACTCATGCAGGATTGGCATTCAGATGGTAATGTGCAAATGAGGAAACTGAGGCTCAGATTCACCCAGAGGGTGGAGGGGTGTGTCCCACTCACACACAGGTCTTCTTCAGCTTCAGACCCTGCCCAGCTTGGCCTTCCCCGTCCACCTCTGTGCCTGCAGGTCCACTTCTGAGCTTACTGAATGGTGTCCAGGACGCCGGGAGCAGCTCGCACTGTCCTCCTGAACGCAGTAAAGTGGAGGTTACAAGGCACTGGAGGTAGCTCCGCTTTTAGAGGGGCTTAGATCTCGGGGGGTGGGGGCGGGCAAGATACTCACTAGCAGGAGCTAGCTCCTCCCTGCTTTCTTTTCTTCACCAGGCAAGTGAGCGGTTCTGGCAACAGATCAGGGCGTGTCAAAGAGGGGAGGTGTGTGGGGGTCTCGGCAGGGGTGGGCCCTTACAGTCACACCTGGGGGAAGCTGGTGAGGAGTGTGTACTGACCCCAGCCAGGTATGCAGAATGAAACCTTCCCAATGCATCATTGTTGAGGACCACGGTGAATTAGACCCCGTGCTGGGGCTGGGCATAGATGGGACAGGACAGAACCGGCCACAGAGCGCCCGCGGTGGGGATTGGAGCAGGCTAGGCCCCTGCGTGCCCTGTGGGGTGGCTTGGCAGACACATCTCTGGCAGGATCTCAGCCCCTCCCTCCCCCTTGGTGGATACTCTGGTACCTTGAACAACCCGTACAGTCATGCCCAGCGCTTCTGAGTGGTGGGTGCCAGGGCCAAAGAGACACATGCCTGTTCCCAGGTAGGTAATCTCCTGGGTGTTTGTAGGGAGGGGCAGATACGGGGCGGTTGCTAAAAGACAAATCCTCCTCATGAACTTGCTTGGGGCTCTGGAGATCTGGGCATCTAGGAAGAGTCCCAGAAAGATGTCCTTCGAAGGGATGGTCAGGGAGGAAACTGGAGGAGGAGAAAGACCCAGGTCAGCAGAAAGCCGGACAGGAATGTCCCGGGTGGGAAGGTTACAGCTCCCGGAGTTGGAGGGAGTGAGAGGGGGCTACCGTGAAAAACTGACACTGGAATTTCCTGAAGCGGCAAATGTGCTTAGTTCTGTCTGATGTGGTACCCGGTAGAAAGAATTATTAGGAGGAACTGGGGACAACAAGCAGAGGCCTTCCGAAATGCCTGTGGCTTTAATGGCCTTGCGTGTGGGACAAGGGAGGGGACAGAGCCGTGGTCGGCACTGGGAACTGGGAGGAGGCATTGGAGGTTTTCACTGAGCAAATATCAGTGAGCACCTACCCCGTGCTTGAGGCTGGACCCAGGTGGGAAGAGCATAGTTGAGCTGAGGAGGATGGCTTAGGCCAGAAATGGCTGATCTCTGGCTCAGGGGCATCGGCACCGAGTTGTTAGTGTGTTGGATGCAACATACCCAGGATGCAGTGTTCGTGGGCCTCAGTGTGGCCAGTGGGGTAGGATGGACAGAGCCTTTTGGATTATAGTCTAGAAGATGTGCATCTCAGAGTAATTAAGTGAACAGATCTGTGCTTTAAGAATACAGTGTCATCTTTTATCCTGGTGAGCTATTCCCGCGATCATGCTACAGAACAAACCACAGCAAATCCAGTGGTGTACATGGCATCCCCTTGCTCTCACGGATCTGCAGCTTGGCTGTGGCCTGGCTGCTGTGTGTTGGGCCTGGCTGAGCAACTCTGCCTCTCAGAGTGGATCTGTGGTTGCCTGGGCCACATCTCCCATCCTCCCTGGCCCACTGGCTCTTCTTGAGGCTGGGTAGAGGCACAAGATCCTCCTGTTGGCAGGAGAGGCTTCCTGAGACCTGGAGCCAACACATTCTCCTTCACCTCCTTCTGTAGCTGAAGCAGGGAGCACTCCGAGCATAACATCACAGGAAGGACCCAGTGGCCTTTGCTCGCAGTGAGGCCATGGAAAGATGTAGATACAGGTGTAGAATTGGGGTCGATACTTAGTTCACGACTCCTTTACCTAGAGATCACTTAGCCAACAACCTGTACCATCTAGAACACCATCCCAGAGCAAAATAAGCAAAAACGTTCATTTAAATTAAGGTGACAAAATCCTAAAATGTGTTTACTTTGTACCTGGGGAGCCCTCCAAGTTTCATGTATGCTACTTTCCTCTCCCTCATGCATAACAGAGGAGGCCACTTATCTGATTTCTCAGCCCTCTTGAGGTTGGACATCTCTCATTAGAGAAGGCGGGAGAGCACTTTGAGAGGCAGGCATGTTGCTAGCAGCAAGCTGTCAGCACAGACAGGCTCAGGGCAAATGAGAAAACAGAAAAGCTGGGATGGCAAAATAAAGAAAACCAGGTACTGTTCAAAGGCATTTTCCCTTTGATCTCCTTGGCTTTGGGAGCCTGGGGATGGAAATTGAGTAAAGCTCAGTGACTTGCCTGAGTGCACATCTAGCCAATAGGAGGCAGAGCCTGAGCTTAAATTAAGATTTTCTTGTAAAAAGTGGGTCATAAGAAGTGTCTTAAAAGCACTTAGAGAATGATGATGAGAAATATTACAGAAGGTAGTGTCAGCCCTGTCGGTGGCATGGTTTAGGTGCTGTCCGGCTGCTGCACCATGCGCAAACGACTGCTGTGTGTTATGCCTGGCTCTGCCATTCTAAAGGATTTGTCTATTTAGTGTAAAATGTGATCCTTTTGGAAACATAAATGCCCCTTGGAAAAATCAACAGGTGGCATATGTATAGGTGAAAATGTAGTTTAATGTTGTCTACATAGGGTAGATATGTTATCTATGTAGGGTATTGCCATGGGTGGTTAAGACTAGGCTGTATTTGCTCAAATGAAGAAAGTCAGCAGGCTTCATGCACAGGAGAAGAGATGTATCTGTGTGTGGGAATCCAGTTGGGGAGATGCCCTACACATGAGTAAGAATAGATATTATTTTACAGACACATTGTGCAATGATGTAAAAAGTCAGTCTTATAAGAAACTATTAGAATGCCAGCACATCCTAGAGGGTCTTTGGTGGGGCTGGCTGCAGGGAGGACAGAATATGGCATGAACACCCCAGTTGTCTGGTGGGCAGGCCAGTGCCTTGAAGCCTGGACTGGACATGGCTCCCCCTCATCCTGGACCCAATGCATGCTGCTGTCTTCACCTCCTGAGCATCCTTCTCCCCTCCCAGGATCATTGCCTGATCCACAGAAGCAGCATCTCTCCCCACAACTTCCTAAGTTACTTTGGGGCTGTTGTCAGCTTTGCTAACCATACATCTCAGTGTGGGGCATAGGCCTGCAGATACAGGTCCTCAAGAAATCCTTGCAGCAGTGAATTTGAGAAGCCACCGTCAGCACCACAAGAACTGCCAACGCATTTCCTACCTTCCAGATGTTATCACCCTTCCGTCTTCTCTTCCCAGGTCCCTTCCCAGGCCTGCCAGGCCTAGCATGTCCTGCCTCCTCCCCTAGCTTCATCTGTGGCTACTTCGCCTTCACTCTTCAGCTATTGTAGGACCATTTAGGGGACTGTGTCCCCTAAAAAGATATGTTGAAGTCCTAAGCCCTAGAACCTATGTATGTGACTTTATTTGGAAATAAGATCTTCATAGAAGTAGTCAAGTTAAAATGAGATCATACTGGATTAGGGTGGACTTATATACAGCGTCTGGGGTCCACACATCAGGCGGGAAGTTTGGGCACAGAGACACACAGAGAAGATGCCATGTGACGACGAAGTAGAGGTTGGAGCGATGCATCCAAGTGATACAGGCTGAGGAGCACCAAGCACTGCATCACCAGATGCTGGGAGAGAAGCCAGGGAGAATCTTCCCCTAGAGCCCTCAGAAGGACCCAAGGCTGCCAAGGCCTTGATCTCAGATTCTCAGCCTCCGGAAATATAAGAGAATCCATCTCTGTGGTTTTGAGCTGCCCAGCTGGTGATACTTTGTCACAACAGCCACAGAAAACTAACACTGCAGCCTTCATGGGGTTCCTTTCCACTTATTGAGTGTTCCCTCTCACTCCTTTATCCAGCCATGCCATCCTCCCAGCCCCTCTCAGCTCTGGCCTCTATCTCTGAGAACACTTCTCAGACTTCCCTGGAAAAGGCCTGGCCAAGCCATCACTTTGTTTTCATTTTGCCCCGTTCCTTTCCTTCAGTGCACACACCACAGGTGTCATTCTGCACTTACTGATTCAAATTTGATTATTTTATGGCCCTCCCCCTGGAGAGAAAATTCCAGGAATATAAGGATGCTGTCTACTTTGCTCACTGTTGTGTCCCAGTATTTCCCACAGAGCCTGGAACTAGGGAGTAGCTCAGTAAATGTTTGCTGGATGAATGCATGGATGATCGGATGAATGAATGGATGATTGGGTGAACGAATGGATGATCAGATGGATAGATGATCGGATGAATGAATGAATGGATGATCAGAGGCATGGATAATCAGATGAATGGCTGGATGGACGGGTGACAGGATGGCTGGATGATCAGTTGGATGAATGACCAGATGCATGGATGAATGATTAGATGAATAGATGGATAGATGGATGGATGGATGGATGATCAGATAGAAAGATGGATGGGTGATTAGATTAATGAATGAATGGATGATCAGATGGATGGATAATCAGATGGGTGGATGGATGGGTGACCAGAAGGATGGATGATCAGATGCATGTATGGATGATTAGATGAATGGATGGATGATCAGATAGAAGGATGGATAGATAGATGGATGGATGATCAGATGGCTTAATGGATAGATGGTCAGATCGATGGATGGATGGATGGATAATCAGATGGATGAATGAATGGACGGATGGTCAGATGAATGGATGGATGGTCAGATGAATGGATGGATGATCTGATAGATGGATGGATGATCAGATGGATGGATGGATGAGTGACCAGATGGATGATCAGATGGAAGAATGATCAGATGCATGGATGGATGCTTAGATGAATGGATGGATGGATGGATGATTAAATAGATGGATGAATGGATGGATGGTCAGATGGGTGGATGACCAGATAGAATGATGGGTGGATGATCAGTTGGATAGATGGATGGATGCTCAGATGAATGAATGAACAAATGATCAGATGGATGGATAATCAGATGGATGGTTGAATGGATGAATGGGTGACCAAATGTATGGATGATCAGATGGATGAATGATCAGATGCATGGATGGATGATTAGATGAATGAATGGATGGATGCATGATCAGATGGATGGATGATCAGATGGATAGATGGATGGATGATCAGATGAATTGGTGGACCAAATGGACGAATAATCAGATGGATGGATGAATGGATGGATGGTCAGATGGATGGATGGATGATCAGATAGAAGGATGGATGAATGATAAGATTGATTAATGGATGGATAGATGGATGGATGGTAAGATGAATGGATGAATGATCAGATAGAGGGATGTATGGATGATCTGATGGATGGATGAATGGATGGATATCAGATGGATGATCAGATGGATGGGCAGATGGATGGATGGATGGACAAATGAATGGATGATTGGATGGTTGGATGAATGGGTGGGTGGAGGAGTGGATGACTGAAAATGAATGGAAAGGAGACAGCATCCCACAGAGATGTTCTCAGTATCTCACTAATATAATTCTCTTCCTGTATGCAATTCAAACATAACAGGTTCTCAGAGGCCTTCTTTGAGACCCTGAATGAGCCTCTATCTGACTTTTGCATTTTTATGAGCATTGTTTCACACAATTCTCACAGGTGTATAAAGGTTGTACTCTCTCCATTTCACAGATGAAAAACCTGAGGCTGAGTGTGACTTACCCAAGGTCACTCATGGGCTTCTGACCACGCACCTTCCATTCACAACCATGTCCGATCTCACAGAGCCTGATGTGAGTGGAGGTGCCAGATACTGACACAGCAGATGTGGCAGTGGCTGGACAGTACCTGCAGGCAGATGCACACCTGCACTTCTTCCTAGGCAGGAACATACATGTCTGTGCTCTTGCGTGATGCTGAAGGCTAGCTGGAGGCTCTGTGTGTCTCACTAGAACATTCTCCCCTGTTCCTAGAACACTTTGAATGTGTCTGTCCCTTGCTTCTTCTCTGAGGCCAATCACTGGAGAATGGATTTAGAGAGCCCTTCTTCACACTGTTCCAAAAGCCCCTCCAGGAATTCAGTGTGAGCTGAGAAGCTGTGTGCATGATGCCTGTTCCCTCTGGTCTAATCACAAAAAGTAGTGTTATTTCCAGCAACTTTAATGAGCCATTTTTACTTTGCAAATCACTTTGGGAACTGATTTTTACCCAGACTTCTATATATATTTCTATACTATTTGGGGGCATTTTTCCAAAAATGAGTGGGAATTTATGAGTGTGTCTATATAAAATATAACTCCCCAGATGATGGGAGCAAAATTAAGCCAGCAGTGTAGATGCAGGGTGTCAGCAGTGGGCCTGGACAGAAACCGGCTCTGCCCTCACGTGGAGCCGACCGACGGGCTTGTTGGCTCATGGGCAGGGCTGACATCTCTCTTCCAAAGACTGTCCTGGTAGTGTGGCTGTGAGGAAGCGTGAGGAAGGCGGGCACTTCCTGAGCCTCCCAGGGAGAATAATACACCTCCTGTTTGTTTGAAATAAACTAGGCACAAGAAATGAGATTAATGATATGTCCAGACCCAGTGTAATCACTAAAATTAGCAGAGGCAAGTTGCATAATGGAAATGGTGAAAGTTCTTCTTTCTGGTGCTCCTGAGCTGAACTGAATGGTTTGGGTAATGAAGAATGCCAGCCCTGCTAATGAGAACAAGAATGCTTAACAGGAGGCTGCTGGGCTTCCTTGCTGATTATTATCCACTACTCCTGCTTGAATGGTGTTTGGGGTTAAATGTGAGAATCTGTGCTCTCTGCCTCTCCCTTTCTCTTCCTCCTCCTTCCTCTCTCTTTGCTTGTTGATTGTACATTTTATAAATAGTGCTCAGGGTCAGGGGGATTAGGAAAAACGTAACTCTCAACGGAAGGTAAGAATAGTAATGCTCCTCGGAGAAGGCATCATACAGCAAAGGCCATGCATTCCAGGGATGTGTGGCTTTTTCTCCTCAGTATTGCCACAGACACCTGACGTAGGTACGAGATTGATCTGCACACCAGCCCTGGAGCCTGTGTTTGGTTCATCAGCAGGATGCGCTCCCCTTCGCTTGCATGTCAGAACATCAAAATCAATTCCTTTTTGATTTTTGCAACACCCAAATGGCTCAGCTAACAGATGACAAAGACTCTATTTATAGCAGATGATTGTTGCATTACACATACAATTTTGCAGGAATTTAACAAAAAAACAAAAACAAAAAAAACCCTAAGAACACAATTTTCCTGCGTCATTTACTGTCTCACGCGATTCATCGGCCCTCTCAGTACTGCATGGTGCAGTCTGCAGGCTGTCTTCCAAACAGGCGATCATCCCCCAGAGCTGCATCTGTGCCCCTGCCACCACATGGAGGTGCATTTCCTTGTATTCCGTGGAAAGGGTTTCAGGGTCTACCTCTCTTTTCCTCCCTTCTCGTGTTCTTGGTTGCTGGAAAACTGCAATGGAGTCTCAAACCTGGGGCGTGGGCTTTGTTGTATGTGTTACTACCTGCCTTTCCCCCTCCCCCTGTTTGTT
Source organism: Homo sapiens (assembly GCF_000001405.40). Lineage (NCBI taxonomy): Eukaryota > Metazoa > Chordata > Mammalia > Primates > Hominidae > Homo > Homo sapiens. Next base: position 111,528,265 of record NC_000013.11, read on the forward strand.
CCTGTTCCCATACATGATGTGGGGGCAGAGTGGTGGTGGCAGCAACCAGTGTTGACAGCCTGTCACCTACTGAGTCTACGTCCATCTGGCCTCTGAATAGTTCATGACCTACTGAGGCCTGCTGTCCACCTAGCCTCTGGACAGCTTATCACCTACTGAGGCCTGCTGTCCAGTGGGCTTCTGGACAGCCTATGACCTATTGATGCCTGTCCTTCTAGCCTCTGAGCAGCTCTTGACCTACTGATGCCCGCTGTCCACCTGGCCTCTGGACAGCCCAGGACCTACTGATGCCTGCTGTCCAACTGGCGCCTGGACAGCCCATGATGTACTGATGTCTGCTGTCTACCTGGCCTCTGGACAGTCCAGGACCTACTGATGTCTGCTGTCCACCTGGCCCTGGACAGCTCATTATCTACTACTGATGCCTGCTGTCCACCTGGCCTCTGGACAGCCCATTATCCACTGATGCCTGCTGTCCCCCTGGCCTCTGGACAGCCCATGACCTACTGATGCCTGCTGTCCACCTGGCCTCTGGACAGCTCATGACCTACTGATGGCTGCTGTCCAACTGGCTTCTGGACAACTCATGACCTACTGACACCTGCTGTCTGCCTGGCCTCTCAGGAGGCCAACGTGAGCATAAGTGCAAAACTTGGGATGAAACTTGAAATTAGCTTCATGGAATGGGAGATTTTTAAAATTAAATTTTATTTTTTGGAATTACCTTCTAAAGCCACCGAAAGTTAATTGGTAGGATATCACAGGGGTGTTTTAACTTTTCTTTGAATTTTCTCCAATCTTAGTAACACAGCTGACTGGGGCAATCGCATCTCACTTCTACTTGATTTCTAAATATTTGTTAACTAATATTCTTCATTTATGCTAAGATAGACAGTTTTTACATTTAATAATTTTAGAATAAGATGCATTTCACCATCCATCACAACTTACAGTGATAACCGACCACATGTTTCTTTCTTACTGGTATGCAAGGTAATGGTGTGTCTTATACTGGCAAAGTCTTACATGTAATTAAAAATATTATGGTTCTGCTGTCCCATGTTCCTGAAGACAGGCTTGGTTTCTGCTGCTCCATTCTGGGGAAGCACAGGGGGTCTCCCATGAGCTCTTGGGGCTGCCCTCCATGGGGCAGAGCAATAGCACAGAACACCAATGCTTAGTGGTCACTGCATTGACCCTAACCCCCGCCAGGCCTGAGTTGCTGGGGTTCAGTATTACTCCAGAGGGAATGTGTGTGCATGTGTGTGCCTGTGATTTTAGGCGTTGACGGCGAGTGAGTAGGATGCTTTACTGATTCCAAATTGTTTTTTGGAAGATGAACAGGTTTATTTATCTTTCTATCATCTGTTTGCCACTTTGACTGGATTCTGGCAATTCTCGGCTCTGTGGATTAGACGCGTGCTCTCTCCTTCCGTCCCTGCTCCTCCCCCCTCCCCCTCCTCCTCCCTCCCTGTTTCCTTTCTAGAGCTGGGCTTCTGCTGGCCTGGCCCTGCGGCCGCCTGTGCCGTATCCACGTAGCCTCCCCTCTTTGCCTCTCTCAGCCACTCAGCTCATCAGTTCTTCATCCATAACAGGTCTCTTCTGCCCCTATTTGGTCAGCATGAAATGCATATTTTCTTGTTTTTTAATTTGGAAGCTTGGTTTCTCAGCTCACAGCTGCTTTCCTTCACAGCCAGGGCTGCCTGCGTGCAGCCTTCTGAGACGGGCTGGAGGTGTCTTGACCTCTAGCCTCTTTCTTGTCACGCTCACGGCCACGCAAGGTCCCTTGGCTTCTTGGGCACGTGTCTCCTACTTACAAAGGTGATTTAAGTCCCAGTTCTTTTGAGGATCCCTTGGCAACATTCTTGGGCTGCCGATTCTCTTAGGGGAAGATGAACATCTCCCAGTCTGCTGGAAGTTCCTACCCGCTCATGCCCAGCACTAAAGCTGCTGCCTCACCGGGGGTGGGAGTGGAGGCAGAAAGGCCCTGTTTCTGCTAAGCCAGGAGGCAGGGCTTTGCTGTATAACAGAATGGCCCCGGCTGGGCAGTGGAATAATTTCCCGTTGAGTCCTCTGGAGTCTTTGCCCCGTGCCTGGTGTTGGCAGTCTAGGTGACTCTTCCTTGGCTGAGGTGCTCCCCGCGGGCCTTTGCAGTCAGAGCTCAGGACCACAATTCCCGGGGGTGGGGCTTCAGGCTGCTGTCCTGCTGGCTGGCTCTACCAGCTTTGCTCACCAAGGGGACCCCAGACATCCCTCAAAGGCTGCCATCAAAGCAGGTAAATGACACAGAAGGAAGATTCCTCCATCTGTGTGTGGTGGGGTGGTCTCCAGATCCTGGCCCTGACCGGGCAGGAGACGCTCAGGTGCTTCATTTGTTGAGGGAATTATCCTGGAACTGTGTCTGACAGATCAGCCCGTTGGCGCGGTTTTCCTCCACGCCCTCCATGTAGTGGATGGGTACAGTCTGCCCATACACACCTGGAGAGAAGAAGGCTCTGAAGAGGTGCCATGCGCCCAGGTTTCCCTTCAGCACCACCACCAGCTGTCTACAGGCAGACATACAGTTGGAGCTTGTTTTTACACTGTGAGCTGAAGGCGGTAAAGTCTGCTTCTATGCAACCCAAGGTTTTTGTGAAGCAGCTTTAGGACAGAGGGTGGAGCTCACATTGCTTCACAGTTAGTGTTGGATTTGGTGGCCTGGCCTCTCCACAGACCTGCGGGTGTGTGCATGTTGCCACCCTGCTTCCCTCTGCCCAGGGACTGGGCCATGCTTCGGTCTATCAGAGGCATTCTACTGCTGCGGCCCCTTCGTGTAGGTGGAATATTGAAGCTGGGACTCGTGGGAGGAAGTCTTGTATTTTGCAACAGAAGGAAATATGTTAAATAACAATAAGGAGATTGGGAAGAATTTCATCTTTTTAAAAGGATCTCTGCTTTCTATTTCCAGAAGAAAGAGGTTTCCTTTCTCTTTAGAATATTTAAAGTCAGAAAGCATTACAGAGAGTTCTAATTTTGCACCATTTTTCTTATTGAAATTTTCTTTCCAGAGATGGTTTAAGGGTTTCTACTGTTGTTACAGACTTCGTTTCTACTGTGTCATTTATTAAATGAATTTTTTAAAATCTAAAGTTAAAATACATTCATTCTCAGGCAATATTTTACAAGATGCTGGTTATTTGAATTTAGACACCATCTTAGGTTTTGCTAAAAAAAATGCATTGAAACAGTTTTAAATAAAATCTGGGTGCAGGCATTGCAAAATATTTTATTGACAATGTAACAATTACTGGACTGTGATTTCATGTTGTGTATTTTAGTGCTATCGTTCTTCTTCCAGTCTGTCTGGCTGAGCCACGTTATGGGTCTGTCATCAGCAACTGGAGGCCGTGGCAGCTGGGACGGGTTGAGAGATTTTCCACTTTGGACTTAGTTGCATTTCTAGCTTTTGCAAATAGATGGCACTTTTGACTTACCCTAGAATATTGCTGATCAGACCGTAGCACAAGAAAAATACTTAAAATGGTCTGTGTGTCTAAGTCAGAAATGTGTTAGTTACTATTCACATGAAGGCCAGAAATTAAAATTAAGCCTCTCGGGAGACAGAGTATCGCATCTCTCTCTTAAATGCTAAAACCTTAAACACACACAACCAGCCCAAGTATAAAATGTGTGCATTTTATGTAATGTTTTAAAAAATGTTTATTGTACAGCATTGCAGGCTTTGATCTGGAAGAGCAAAAGAAAATGGTGTAAAGAAAGTTTTATTTGGAAATAGGATCGCATGGGTCTGTGTGTGTTTTTAGTATCTGTACTTTGCTGTGAAAAGCCCTTGCGAATATATTTTCCTCCCCCTTTTCTCTCTTCAGCACACACGCGTACAGCCATGCACACGCACACACGTGCACAGAGGAGGCACTTGGACCCTCACGCACACAGAGGGGAAAAAAATCAGGCTGTTGTCTTGCAAGTGTTACTTACCATATTAATTAAAATCTGGTGACATGATAACACCACCAGCTGTGTGGGAAAGCGAGGGAAATTAACAAACGTTTGATTTGTTGTGTTGCTAATGTGACACTTATTATACAGGTCATAGTAAAACAATACCTCAGCCCAAATATGCTAATGCAGCAGTGAACTGTTGCCGTTGTAGAAACATTGGCGTTTATTATAATCAGGCAGAATAGCACATTACCTTCAAGAGAAGGTATGATCTTTGAATCTAATAACATAAATAAATTTTTAACCATTCAGTCATTAGAAATAAAAAATGCAGGAAAAAACTTTTCCTGTGTAATTTTGAAAATGGAATATGAAAACAGAACTTATTTAAATTAATCTGGGCTCAAGGAAAATATATTTGTTGTTTAGTTTTTAAAGTTTTGCTATGATAAGAAACTGAATTATATAGAATATTAGCATATTGAATATGCTGTTGTGTGTTTTATCATCAAATAGTCAAATTTATAAAGATCAGAATAGTTTAAAATCAGGTTATATGTAAGAAGAAATTGTCATATTCATTTATTCATCCTGGAGGTTATAATGCTTCTACTATGAGTCAAAGTCTAAATTATTTTCAAAACAGTATAAACAAAATAGTCTAATATGAAAGGAACTTGTCACACATCCCCTTCCTCCTCACTCTGCTTCGTTCTCCCAAAGTCTGCAAAGAAGAAGCAACTGCACACTTTCTCAAAACACTTAGCAAACTTTTCCCCACTGTTCTCTGAGGCAGCTGTCAGAATCTGGGTCTACATGTCCAGGAGGCAAAAGAAAATGCAAGATGCTCCCATTTGCTATAATTTATGTCATGAATTTCGTGGAGATCATATTCAGCACTTGGCATCTGCACACTCACAAAAACATAGGATTTTTACCTTCCCACAGGGTCCTTCCTTGCAGTGGCTTTTCATTATGGGGCCACATTCTCTCCAGCCTAGATGAGATTTCTTTCTCCCTTCCTTGCTTCTCTTTCGGTGTTTTGATCAGGCTGCTGAAATGGGGTGTATGAAATCAAGCATTTGTTTGACAGTTTTTGACAGTGGATTATGTAGATTGTGCCTGAGAGAACAGGAGTCATTCAGAACTGAATTTGGAGCAAGCTGTCTAGATCAAAGGTCAGATGGTGCGGGGTCAATGGGGCAGAGACTTCACCCTCTTAAGTGGGAGACCGTGTGCAAAAAGATATGAGCATTGGAAGATGGGCATCCAGGGAAGGCTACAGGAAGGCGAGTCAATCCCATGGCATCAACAGCCCAGGTCCGTGAAGTTCCTCTGAACCTTGGTTCCTTTATACCAAGAAAACTCACTTGCCTCTGGGGCTCTGCCCTGCAGAAATGTGAATCCACTCCTGAAGTCAGGCCCAGGAACACGGGAGACCGTCCCCCTTCACCTGTGAGCTCATCTGCAATTGCCACAGCCGCCTTCAGGCCTCAAATGTGATGAAATGCAATTTCTTTCTTTCTTTTTTTTTTTTTTTAAGACTTTAAGTTCTAGGGTACATGTGCACTTCTAACTTGGATTGCTGCATGTTCTGTTGGCAGAGGAAAAATAATTTTGTATCTGTGCCTCAGATAATAATTCCACTCAACAAGCAAAGGGTTGATAATTAAGTCAAAAGGGCACTTTCTGAATGACAAGGACTCTGCTAGAGTCTGGGCTGGAAGCTCTAACTTCAGAAATGCCATAATAACAGTTTGCTTTCAAGCGATGTATTTGAGCTGTGTAGAGAGCAGCCCTTGTTATTGATTAAATCCATATAAATAAACACATCTACTGCTTGTGTGAGACCAAAACAAGATTAGGTTCAAAATATGATACTGTGTACACATACACTTGGTCATTAGGAGGGAATTCTCAACTCTGTGCAAACAGATGCAGCCCAGAGAGGTTTGCTCACAGCAAAACTTCCTTCTCTCTAAATCAGTGGTTTTAATGAAGACTTCGTGACGGAACTGGCATTTCAAAATGCAAAGACATTTAACTCTGACAAAAAAAAAGTTTATTTAGCTTGGAATGGATTTTTTTCTGCTTTGAAGAGCTTGTTTTTTTCTAAACATTAAATTATTAATGAAAGATTGAAAGCAATAAATGGGGATAATAATAAATGTTACGGTCGTGGTGCTGGGTAGAGGAAAATTTCCAGCGATTCTGTAGGGATTTTCCTTCATTCCTGAGAGCCAGGCATAGATCCAGTAAGCGTGGTTTTGTGTAAACTTCCCACCTGGCATTATGCTGGGACAGACCGTGACGTGTTCAGTGATGTTAAGGAGAATCAATTCAGTAACAGAGATACCCAGTGTATGATTTGAATCTATTAAATAAATGTCATTCAAATACCATTATATATATTAAAAAACACACTTAACGTTGATGAGAAATCCAGGTATGGTGTTCTACCAGGGTGAAGTGATTGAACTGGGAAGTATACCGCTGGAGCAGCATTATTAAGTAGTTTCCAAGTCTGCTCTACTCACTGACTCCCTCCTGCCCCAGTTAAAGCCAAAGCAAAGGAAACCAACCGCTTGCAGCGGCCGCTGCATAAGGAGAGCGCTCACCCAGCACCCTGAGACAGCCTGATGTGTCCAGGTCCTGGTAGGGTGTGCGATTGCATAGAAAAGCCAACGGCTGCTTAATATTCTCTACTTAAGAAAATAATTACCCATCACCCGGATGGAGGATGCTGAGCCCTGCCTGTTCCTTGTTCGTCTCTCTCTTCCCCTCCTATGCGCACTTTTCGCAGAGCCCCAGCCAGCCGCCTTCAGGAGAGGACGAACCTGGGCGCGTTTTCACCCGTCCTGGGACATATTAACGCCATTTTGGCTGAATGTGCAGAGCTACCCATAATCGTTGTAGCCAGTACGTTAGCATCATTTAATTTAATTTGCACGTTTTCTTCATCTCGGGAAGAAAAATAAATAGCTGCAGGCTGATGTGCACTCCCATCCGAAAGAATGCTGTCAACTGCAGGAAGTCTTGCTTTTGTTGTAGTGTCTTTTTTTTTTTTTATAAACCACCCCCCTCCCCGCCCACCTTCTTTATCCACTCTTCCTGCAGCTTTTCAAGGTCTTCTCTTTGACTCAGCTCCATTAATTGCTGAGAAGACCACCCAGCCTTCTCAAGAGTATTGTTCTCCACTCCACCTTGATTCTCCTGGAGGTTCTTAGAATGCGTCTTTGATATCTGGCTACTGTACCTCCTTCTAATTACATTAATCTACGTAATTGTACTCACATTCATTTTAATTATTCTTTGCATAAGACCCCAAACAGTTAATTTTCTCCACACAGCAGATTTTGTTGTGGTTTTCAGTCTACTTAAAGAACCGGGGAAACGATTATACAAAACAGACAGTATTTCTCACGCTTTTTTGCCTGCCAGGGTAGCCAAAGAGTGCATCTCACTGCAGCATGAAGCTACTGTGCCCTGTAGAGCTTCACAGTGCTTTAATTTTCAGTTTTCAGTTTTGTTTGATCCCGCTGAATATATGTGCATACACAGCACATTAAGACAGAGGTACACAGCCTTCTTTTGCGTATAAAAATATAAATCTTGTGTCACTAATTGAGAAAGATTATTATTTAGTTGTTCCCTTATTTAGAAGTGAGGTAAGAAAACATTTCTGACTGTCTAAATGTTAACTTTTGCTGCTTCGTGTGCCAGGGTAACGCCCGAGCTCTGAACAAACCTCCTTTATTTAGAGGGGAGTTAAAATAAGCTTCAGTCTGACCGTTCTCTCCTGTTCCTGGCAGCATGGAATTAATATATTACTTATTTTCTCCAATTTTCCACAAATACTGGGAAGGGTGTGGTGTAGAGAAAAGAAATTCAAAACATACCATTTGGATTTTAAGGACAGTTTTTGAAAAAGACCAATTTCCATATTTCAACACTTTTTGGTGTGATCCATGAAACATTTTGATATGATTTAGCGAAAACAGTTTTTGCATCAGGAACGCTATAGCTGCCTCATCTGCATCTGTAAAGACTGCAGAATGGAATCACATTAGGTATAAATTCAATGCAAAAAAAAAAAGACGCCCTTCGTTAATGCAACATGATGGGAGGAAAGTTAAATGCACAAAAGTCATAAAATTCAGTGTTCCGGTTCTCACAGCAATTATAGTGTGGTCGTATTTGCATAGTTGGCTTTATATATGCTGTTAGATTTGCTACCTTTAGAGGGAAGTGGCGTCTCTTTTGCTCAGCCCAACAATCATTAGGAAGGAGGGACTGGCGGCGATGAATAAAACTGTGAAATGAATTTTCTCGGTTTAATCACAGTTTGTGTTTCCAAACTGAAACTAGGGTAGATGGATCTTTTCTCATCAGAAGAAATGTCGGTTATACACAGGATGGAATATCTACCAGGGGAAACAGCATGTCAACCCTCCCCTTCCAGGAGGACGTTGAGAACTCTGTGTTGGGTACACGTTTGTGGGGACAGGCTTGAATTCCCAGTCAAGCCAAGTGGGTGTTTTGATGCCACTGCAGGGTCTTTACGGAAGGTCGTTGCTTTGACAAGGAACAGTTTGGGGACTGGTTCCTCAGATCCACTGAGGTCACCCACCATCTGCAGTACAACCCGTTTGGAAGCTGTTCTAGCCCCAGAATTGAAACTTAAAATGTGCTCAAGTGGGGCATAGCAATAGGTTATTAAAATAATCATATGTTTTATCTCATTTGATCTTATTCCCACTCATATTATTTCCCTTTCAAAACGCAGGAAGCAGAGCCTTGGGGGCTTCCGTGACTCATCTGTCAAATGCTCCACGGAGGCTCCAGCAGGGCCCGGACCTGAGCTCGGGGCGCTGCCAGGTTCTCCCTCCCTTCCCTCTGAGCCCCTCAGCACCTCCTGCCCTTGAACTCCTTCCTGCCTCGGTCATCCTCCTCCTTCTCCATCCTGAGGATGGCAGGTTTTTGAAAACATGGTGAAGGGCTTGCTCCGTGGTGACGGAAGGTGTCTCCTTGTTTCTGCGCTGAGGCTGCCGTGGACAAGGTCAGGGCCAGAGCGGCCTGCATCTCAGGGTCCTGACTCCAAGTTCCTCTCTCTTTGGCCTGCACTTTCCATCCCCTGCCAGCCATGACCTGTGGCAGCAGTAACTGCTTTGCAGAGGCAGGGTCTGGAAGGCTTAGGGCAGATTTTGGTGGGGGACGGGGTAGGGAATTGCAGCGTCTGACCTCTTGTCCGGGGTGGGTTTCAGTCCAGGCCCCTCACAGGGACCACATCACTGCCCTGAGCGTTGCATCTTTGTGCACAGCATCTCCAGGCGCTGGAGGTGTCTTCCTCTCGCTGCCTCCATGCCCAGCATGGGGGGATGGGAGAGATGAGGGCACATGGGGACCATGCAGGCGACTGAAGAGCTGCTTCTGAGCCCCAGAGCCTCTGCAAACACGCAGGGGATGACGCTTTCACTGGAAGGGAACCAAGTGACCCATTAATAGACAAAGGTTCACCAAGGGATCCAGGCTGGTGCTAGATGTCCTCGCGCCTCCTGCTGAATTGCTCAGTCTCTGCTCAGCCAGGCCAGGGCTACGGCCTGCCTGCCTCTCTCCCTTATTCCTCACTGTCTTGGCTGCGTGCTACCAGGCCCTCCACACCAAGACCTGGTTCCAGGCTGGATTCCAAAGGGTGTGGGAGATTCCCGCAGCCCTTCCCACTCTTCTTGGTGCTGAGTCTCATGCCTGGGTCTTCCTTGGCGAGTGTTCACTGCCTGGCACAGCATCTCTGACACCTGGTCGTGTGGGCAGAGGCTCCTCTTCCAGGCTGGAGAAGAAAGTGTCTGGGGGCCAGGAAGCCCGGTCCCACTCCAAAATCAGTAGCTGAAGAGCAACAAGATTGATGGCCTGAGGCTGGAGGTCCCAAGCCTCAGAAGCTCCCAGGGCCCACAAACCTGCGCTCAGGTGAGCTGCCAAGAAAGGACTGAGCCTCAGCCTCAGGTGTGGCCTCTCTGCCTCTGTTCTCTAATTAAAAAAAGACTTGGAGATTGATGGTACCCGCCTCCGGGGGTGTTCGTGAGGACTACAGCAGAAACAGCGCCAACAGGACGGGCAAGGTTGCAGGTGGAGAGTCGGGTGTCAGAATGGGGATTAGCTGGAATGATTTTGATTCAGGGCTTGTGTTAATCCAGGGACTTACTCGCTCTTCCACAGGTTGGTAGGAATGAAGGAGGAGTGAGGGTCCGTTTGTGTGGATTACACCTGAGAAGAGCAACTCGGACTCAAATGCAGGCTGCTACTTACAAAGTGAACCGTTTCTACCCTCTCTTCCCATGCTACCCCAGCCCCTTGGGAGACTGGGAAGGTCTGGAGCCCTGCGCTGCATTCCCGCCCCTGAAAGCGATTCTATAGGCGCATTTGCTTTCTTTTGTCTTGAAAATTATCATGTAGTAAAGTTAGCTATTTTTTCCTTTTGGTCTGCAGCTTTACGAATTTCTACACGTGTAGATTTGTATAACCACTGCCGTAATCAGAATATAGAATATGCCTTCACCTTCAAGCTCCCTGTCGTCATACCTGTGGCCACCCACCGGCCTGGGTTTCCTGGGACTGAGGGGTTTCGTGTGGATGGGGGACTTTCAGTGCTGAAACGTGGTGTGTCCGAGGGTAGGTTGTTACCCTACCACATCAGCCCTCACCGGGAACCTGGTCTGTTTTCCGTCATTAGAGTCTTTGCGATGTCAGATGACTTGAAACCTCCGGCCACCTTTGAGAGGCTTCTCCGCCTCAGCACGGTGTCTGTGAGGGCCACCAGGTAGCTGTGTCTATGGACAGGTGATTCCTTCTGATGCTGGGGAGGGTTTCTCGGTGTGGAAATGTCATGCCAAGTAAATTGTTTACTCATTTACCCGTTGTAGGACATCTGGATTATTTCCAACTTTTGCTTTCACAAATCAAGCTGTTCTAAACATTGGTATGTAGCTTTTTGATGAACATAAGTTTTCATTTCTCTAGGAGTAGGATTGCACATTTAACTTTATAAGAAAATATGAAAATACCTAACCATTTTCCCAAGCGGCCACACCATTTCCACCAGTAAAGCAGGCGTGGGGCCCCGCAGTTGTGCTTGAGGCACCAGGAACCATACAAACATGCCTTATTCAGGGGTGCACAACTCGGGCCACCCCCTGCGGCCTTGGGAAATGTCCCATGGTGACATTTCCATTTGTCACCGGAGGGGGTGTGCCTGGTATCAGAGGGTGGAGGCCGGGACGCTGCTCACACCCCCTCGTGCGGGATGCACCGCCCCGCAATGATCTACCCAGGAGGCCCATGGCACCTGAGTAGGACAAGCCCCAGTTCAGTCATAGAGTCTACCAGGCCCACTGCTCTTCCCCTTTGTGGGAAATGTTTAACCTCCTTATGTGATTCTTCAGTTCTTTCCCTTCTTTCAGTTGGTCAGACTGGCAAGGTGTTGAGGAAAGATGATTCCTGTTGGCACCTGCAGTGCCGGGCACGCACCTGTAGTTTCTCTCCCCGGTGGGTGGCTGCGATTCCTGCCTCTGAGATTCAGGGGCCCTGCTGGGGTTTGCTGAGCATGGATGTGTCCTTGGGGCTGCTGCTATCATTCCCGTTCCACAAACAAGGCTGGAGATGGAGAGAAGATGAGGATTGAGTGAAGTCAGGCCTGGCAGGGGCCCCCGTCCTTGGTACCCGCGTCTCTCACCAATAGTGTCCCAACCAAACTGCTAGATTCGGGACCCCGGCTCCCTGGATGCTCCTCTCTGTCCCCTCTACCCTCACCATCCCAGCGGCCATTCATGGGCACCACTCCTGTCCCCAGCACCCCCAGGGCACCGCTGCCCTCACAGCTGCAGGGGGAGCACTCTCCCTCACTGCGTCTTGTCTCCCAGGGCCCATGCTCTATGGCTTTGTTCGGGGTCGGAGCTGCTGCAAGCCTCCCATTTGCTCCTCTCTCTGCTTCTTTTGCCCCGTCCCCCCTCCCCAAGTTCCGGGCTCCTTTTTCCCAGGGCTCTGGACAGTGCTCCTCTATGGCTACTGGGTCCTGGGCCTGAGCATGGTGCCTGGAGGCTCTCCTTCCTCTCCTCCGATGCTTGTGCCCAGGAGAGGTTCCCTCCCTCTCTGGCTCTGTCCACCTGCCCAGCTGCCTTTGCGGGAGTCTTCTGTACAGGGCGGCAGCAGGCAGTGGTGGCAACGGGGCCCAGCCACCTTCCTTCCCTGGGTATGCATTGACTTGAGCCCCTGAAGGAGCGTCTGTATTCAAGGTACACCATTCTTTGTGACAGTGGAGAGACTCACAGTTGTTTATTAATTACATATAATCTTTAAAGTAAAAATGCTAACCAACACAAATGGAGTGGGGGGCATGGGGCCGGGGATGAAATGCATCCACTGCAGGACCTTTGAGCTGGGTGGGGAGTGGCGGGGCACGGAGGGCGCAGGACTTCGTCCGATGGAGTCAGGGGCGAGGCAGGGCAGATGCTCCAAATGATGGGCAGTGGGACCAGGCCGGGGCTGCCCTTGGGGAGGGGTGGGGAAAGGAGCTGGAGAAGCAACCCTTTCTTGGTCGTTATTGGGATGAAGAATAGGTAATTTAGAAACTGGAGGGAAAGCAATGTAAGGAAGAGCAACAGAGATTGGTGCCGTGAAAAACAGACATTTGCCTAAACCCTACTGGACAGGGAGGGGGCTACAGGCTTAACTCCTTTAGAAACTTTAATTATAATTTTGATGACTATTTAATTAAAATGAATGGAATACTGAAAGACGAACATTTTGAACACTTGCATCAAGTCTTTTGGCCAGTCTGTCCCTGGCAAGAACCCCGGGTGGGAGAGCTCTGAGGCCACGGGGTTTGTGTGGAATCCTCTCTTTTCTCAGTGTCTTCACCTGCTGGCCAGTCCACACCTGGATGTGGAAGGAGGTTCAGTGCTGGTGACTTCTTAATTGCCGTGGAAAATTTAATTGCCTCACTAGCCAAAAATGAACACAATTTGCATTAATAAAAGATTGGGTGTCCTGGTGCATTCCACTGAAATGGAATTGTGTCCCTGAATTTTTAACAGGCACGAAGTGGACAGTGGAATGAAAAGTCTGTTTCTTTTATAGAGCAAGAACAGATGTAAAATAATGTACTCAAAGATTATTAAACCGAAGGACTGCACAGACCCTGCGGGGGTGTGATCAGCACTCAGTGAAGAGCTGGCTAAACTGGAAAGGAAAAGAAAAAGATATTCAGAGGAAACAAACAGGGCTACACCATCAAAGCCCCTTCTGGTCAGGCTGCAATGGCATCCCGGAACACCCTGCGGGATTCAGCTTCTTGCCTGAACCCAAGGCAGCTGAGTGGCAGCACAGACTCGCCCCAGCCCAGGCTTCTTCGGCTGTGAAGCAGCTTCCTCGAATCTCTTCAGGCAAAAGCCATCCTCTGCTGGCTACGCACTAAGTCTTTCTCTGGCCGTAATCTCTAACTTGTGGCTCAAAGTCGAGACTCACATTACTGACACCTGCATCCGCAGGATGGGTCTCTGGAGAAGCCAGTCTGCTTCTAAGCTTTAATGCACATTGCAATTCCCTGCACATCTTGTTGAAATGCAGATACTGATCTAGGGGTTGGGGTGGGGCCTGGGACCCTGCATTTCTAACGAGCTCCCACGTGACACTGATGCTGGCTGTCCTCACTAAGGATGAACAGGGCTTGTTCTAGCTCTTGCCACAGTGCCCCGGAGCCCGAGCTGTTTCTAGCAGAGTTCGTTGGAACCACGAAGGGAACTTAGGGCCGAAGCAAAACCACAGGGGGCCAGGCAGTCTGCACTTTGCAAACTCTCAGGGGGTTCTAACATGAAGATGGAGCGCTTCGTCAGGGTGCTGGTTGTTTCTTCCCTAACTCGTCAGCCCTTAGTCTCAGAGTTTGATTATAAACCCCGTGGAAATGGAGTTGCTCTGTAATCAAATGTTTTCTCATGTGTGGTTTCTCCATGCTGCGGAGTGTTGGTAAAAGACATTTACTCAGTTTCCTTCAAGGTTCCTGGCAGAAGCTTCAGGATTCTCTGTCTGACTGTTGCTTCATCTGACAAGGCCTGTGTCATCTGTCCTGGTGGAAAACAGGACGTGACATCTGCTGGCCGCTGTTTCTGGCTCATGACACTGTATCGTTCTCTTGAATTAGAAAGACCCTAACCTCAGAAAATGGTCTTTTTCTCTGCTTTGCTTCTATAAGAGATTTAGGAAGGTCAGTCCTCTTTCCTAGTTCCCTGTTGACTAAGTTTTTTTGAAGGAGCAAACCAGTATTAATCATAAGAAATGAGCAAGATTAAATGAAGTGTGACATAATCTGGAGAATTAGTACTCACTGTTCAAAATGAACTCATCCTGTTATGTTTATGAGATTTTTAGTGATATATTGAGAGGGTAGATTTGGTTTGAGAGTGGAATCTACATGTATGCATGTGTGTATGTGTGCATTCGTTTCTGTGTACATGTGTGTGTATGTTTATATGCACGTGCATGTATGGGTACACGTGTGTGTGTGTGTGTGTGTGTGTGTGTGTATGGATGAAGGAATAACAAAGAGGAATCCATGTCTGGGTTACATTGGCATGTGAATCATTGTTTGGAGTCCACCGTGCAGGGAAGCCCCCTGCCCTGGCGATGTACTCTTACATGCTGAGACAGTTTGTTGCCAAGTGCTGTCATCATCTTGGCAGGTAGAATGTCCTGGCAAGGCTGAGTGGCCTGCATGAGGTTAAGGTGCAAGGCCAGCTCAGCATGGGGATGGCCAGCCCCGTCTGCTCCAGGCCTATCTGCAGAGGCCTTCTGCCCGGCCAGCGGTGTGACCTCTGCTCTGTGACATTGCCCATTTGGAAGAACACTGTCTGCAGACTTGCTAGTCTAAAGGTAGCTAACTGCTGCCTGCTCACCAGTGGCCAAATGGAGCTTGTTGAGATGTGGTGCCCACATAGGTGCCATGTGAGCTGCTCCTGCCTCCGAGCAGTGGGATAGACAAGGGGCAGGCTCAGGGCAGACGCAGGCCTTCTGGGGAGGGGTGGCGGAAGTCACGTGCTTGGAACATCAGGGAAGTTCCTCCGAAAGCGTGGGGCTGGGGAGGGCTTCAGTCAGGGGAGAGATGTGAGTTTGAGCAACAGAAAGTGCTAGATTCATGAAAAACAACTGCTCTTTTTTCTCTGGAACGTGGATCAGAATTAAGTCTTCTTCTGGTAAATAACACATGTAGAATTTCATGATGAAATATTTTGGGCAGATATACAAAAAAGAAGACATCGTGTTACAAATACCCCTGTCCCCATCACAGAGCTTAACAGGGAAGCCGCAACAGACCCCTCTCGCCACGCCCACCCTCCCTCCCAGAGGTGAGTGCTGTGCTGCGTTGGTTGTTTTGAAGACTAATATGTAGCATAAATTTGCTACATATTAGTAAATATTAGTATATACACACACAACACATGTGCACAGACATGCATTTGCATACACAAAGACAGGCACACACATACATGCATGTACATATATACAAATTCATACTACACACTACATATCAGTCAGAGCTGGGAAATGTTATGTAAATACCAGCCTGTTGTCTACATATTTTTGTGTTTATTGGTGGGGGTGTCTCAACTTTATGTTTTAAAGACTTATTCACGATGTTTCATCGCTCATTCATTTTTCACTGTTGCATAGTATTCTAGCTTATGAATGTGCAACAACTTACATACCCCTGGTCTTCCTGATGAATATATAGGTATCTTACACTGAATTGCTCCATTCAACAGTGCTACGGTGAATAGCTTTGTGTGTATTTCTGTGGGCACATGCACAAATGCATTTCTCTGGTTATCAAAAAGTACAAGAAAAATTGTAAGGTCTTAGAATATGCTTGTTTAATTCTTCCACTGTTGTTAGTTGCTCTTTAAATCATCAAATGAACTTCAGCTCTTACTGTAGAACTTATTTTACATCCTTGCCACAGCTTTCTACACTTTTTATCGTCAAATGAAATAGTAGAAGTGCTGGCCATAGGCAGGAGTAGACACCAAACGCCACATTCCCAATCAGCACCGACGATGCATGGCTCATGTAGACACCACACACCATATTCCCTATCAGCACTGACGGACGCATGGCTCATCTGTAGACACCACACACCACATTCCCGATCAGCACCGACAGATGCATGGCTCATATGTAGACACCACACACCATATTCCCTATCAGCACCGACGGACGCATGGCTCAACTGTAGACACCACACACCACATTCCCCATCAGCACCAACGGACGCATGGCTCAACTATACACACCACACACCACATTCCCCATCAGCACCAACGGACGCATGGCTCAACTGTAGACACCAAGTACTACATTCCCTATCAGCACCGACAGACGCATGGCTCAACTGTAGACACCACACACCACATTTCTCAATCAGCACTGACGGACGCATGGCTCATCTGCAGACACCACACACCACATTTCCAATCAGCAGCAATGAACGCATGGCTCAACTGTAGACACCAATCACCACATTCCTCATCAGCACCGATGGATGCATGGCTCATGTAAGAAAATCCCAACTTGATAACAAACACAATTTTCAATACAATACAAGATCCTGGGCCATATTGCCACTTCATTCTCTGTTCCAAAATGGTTCAAATGGGAAGAAATGGAGTACAATAAGAAAATTAGGACTATAATCACTTCAAACTTATAATCGTCTATAGAAACATCCTAGTAAAAAATAACTATCTCCATTATAAATATTTCTAAACACAGTCACATTCTCTCTGGGGACGTTGACATTAATCCTGCTAAAACGGGTTCCATACCAGCACCATCCCCTTGTTGATAACATTTTTCTATAAATACAAAAAGTATTGAGTGGTCAAATGCTGTATAGTAAGATCAATATTCTAGCCACATAAAAGTGCCTCTCTGATAATGTAGCATCAGGAGATAATCTTAAAAACACAGTTTTTCAAGCAGCATCAACTAAAAGATTCATAAACAGGGAGAGGATTTAAAAAGAGCCATAAAATAGGGCTGACGTTGGGGTTAGATTTTCAGGTTGCTTTTTACAATCGTCTTCCATCCTCAAGTCTCATCCCTCAAATTAACAAACCACTTGTTTATAAAGCTTTCCATGCAGAATCCAAGTGATACCCGTGAATGTTAACTGATCACTTTCTGTATGCCTGGCTTCCTTTCTGTGAGTGTTAACTGAGCACTTTCTGTAGGCCTCGCTTCCTTTCTGTGAGTGTTAACTGAGCACTTTCTGTATGCCTGGCTTCCTTTCCGTGACTGTTAACTGAGCACTTTCTGTATGTCTGGCTTCCTTTCCATGAGTGTTAACTGAGCACTTTCTGTATGCCTGGCTTCCTTTCCGTGAGTGTTAACTGAGCACTTTCTGTAGGCCTGGCTTCCTTTCCGTGACTGTTAACTGAGCACTTTCTGTAGGCCTGGCTTCCTTTCCGTGACTGTTAACTGAGCACTTTCTGTAGGCCTGGCTTCCTTTCCGTGACTGTTAACTGAGCACTTTCTGTATGTCTGGCTTCCTTTCCGTGAGTGTTAACTGAGCATTTTCTGTATGCCTGGCTTCCTTTCCGTGAGTGTTAACTGAGCACTTTCTGTAGGCCTGGCTTCCTTTCCGTGAGTGTTAACTGAGCACTTTCTGTAGGCCTGGCTTCCTTTCCGTGACTGTTAACTGAGTGCTTTCTGTATGTCTGGCTTCCTTTCCGTGAGTGTTAACTGAGCACTTTCTGTATGTCTGGCTTCCTTTCCGTGAGTGTTAACTGAGCACTTTCTGTAGGCCTGGCTTCCTTTCTGTGACTGTTAACTGAGCACTTTCTGTATGCCTGACTTCCTTTGGGTGAAGCTGTGGTAAACACCGTGAAGGACCCTCAGCTCCAGTTGGGAGAGGAGAAAGACCCTTAGAGGATTTAAAGGACTATTTGCTAATGTTGTCCAGAGGCCATTTGTCCCCAGGGAACAGAAAGGCAGGGACTGGAGGGAGCTGAGCTGCCAGGGCTTTGCTGTTTGAATTGTGTCCACCGAGTGCCGCAGGCTTCCCGGGAGGAGGAAAGAACCCAGTGCCATGGGGGATGGATGGGGAAGCTGAGGCAGGGCTGGGAAACTGGCTAGCCTGGAGTGGAGGGCCTGTTTTGGAAGGTTGTAAATGAGAATGATTGCATATAGGGGAAGGAGAGGTGATATCTGTGGTTTCCAGTCTGACATTGACCTTTTGGATGAAGCCATTAAGCGTTTGCTTCCACGGATGCTGCACGCAGAGCAGGTGGTGAGGTCCATGGCCCCTCCCTCCATCCAGGGTGGGCCTTTGCAACTTCCTAGGACCACTGAGCGTGGTGGACCTAGAGTAGCCCCCACCTTATCCATGGGGATACATCCCAAGACCCCCAGCAGATGCCTGAAATCACATAGTACCTGACCCCTACGTGTGCTGTGTTTTTCCTATAGAGTGACAGGCGAGACAGCGCAGAGTCTGGTTACACTGGACTAAGGGATGATTTGTGTCTCAGGATACAGAGGCACAGCCCAGATTTCATAACACTGCTCAGAACTGACCACAACTTAAAACTTAAAATTGATTTGTTTCTAGAACTTTCCACTTAATATTTTTGGACCAAGATTGACCGCAGGTCACTGAAACCGTGGAAAGTGCAATTGTGGACAAGGGGGCTACTGTAATGCTCTGGATTTCCTAGAATTCGCCGTAGCATGGTCTATGTTTTCATGTTGCTTTTTGGGGATGCTTGGAGGAAGCCCACAGGAAGTGTGGATGTGGGGGCCACGTGGGGAACCCCTGAGGCCCGTGGCCTGCAGCCTGTACCACCTTGCCAGCCATGCGGTTAAGAGACTTTAGGGGGACCCCTCCAGCCTCCACCTGAGTCGTCGCAGCTAACACCACACAGAGTCCAGATATGTCATTTCCGCCACTCCTGCCCAAACGATAAGGTCATCAGCAAAGGACATTGCTGTTGTTTTAAGCCACCAAATTGTAGGGTGGTTTATCACACAGCAGCCCTTTACAGCATGTGTACAAATCCCCTGTCGATCATTTCACACACCTCTACTTCCCTATCTAGAGGTGGAGAAGGTGTCTCACTCTAGGAGCTTGTCTTGTGGGTGGCCGGATGGATAGGAGTTCACCCACAGGAACCGGCTGAAGGTGGGGAGTTGGCCATCCCATGATTGGCCAGACCCCTCCCCAGGTGGTGGGGTGTGGGCCCACACGGCTCCCCACAGACACCCCTCTTAGTACGCAGGATCCAGGGCTCCCCAGCTCCCATTTTTCTAAACCCCAACACATCTCTGACACAGTAAAATCTTATAATATCGTTGGCAATGAGCGGCGGAGGTTTGGAGAGAGCCATGCTGGGGACTTCAGTCCTTGAGCGGCAGCAACGCAAAGCTCCAAGTGTGAACAAAAGCGAACTTTTTCTTGAGGCCGTGATAGAGGAATGACCGCCTCCTGGGACCTGTGGTTTTCTTCGGCGCAGGAGAAGGCGACAGGGCCCTGTCCTCGGGGATGGGCGGAGGTGCTGGGGATGAAGGAGGGACCCTGCGCCTTCTGTTCTGAGCAAGCTTCCAGGGTTCCTTAGCTCCGCAATGCGTTGGAGACTCCGGCTTCCTTGCACACGTCAGGGGAGGACTCCACGGAGCCTCGCTCCTCAGACCGGGGTCCGGGGACCGGCGGCACCGGAATCGCCTGGGCGCCTGTGGGACTGTCAGGCCCCCCCCGGTCTATTAAACCGGACAGCAGGCGACTGCGCGGGACCCAGGGCGACTCCGACAGACGGGGAGCCGGGGGGAGTGTGGTCCGGAGTCGATTCTCAGACGTGAGGGTGCCGGAGAGATCCCCTGCCCGGCTTGTGGAGCCCGGGTTGCTGGGCCCGAGGGTCAGGTGAGGTCAGGGATGGATAAAACGGAAAATGTCCTCATATATTGTTCCCGGAGAGATGTATTTCGAGAAGAAAATGGATGAAACCACTTGTTAAAGCCGAAATGTAATGGGGCACGCAGTGGGTGTGGACGTCAAACTCGCTGCCGGCCAGGGGGCTTGCCCTGGGAACCCCACTCCCGCTGAAGGCCAGCAGTGAGAGAGGTGGGACAGCAGTTTCTGCATCTGTTCGCAGCAAGGCAGTCTCTTCTGCCTCGCAGTCTCGTTCAGGCAACACTGCGGGAATTCGGCGTGCATCGCTGGCGGGCCGCTGCTCCCTGCCGCCCTCCCGGGTTGTGGCTGAGCCCACGGGAGGCGCGTATTTCCCACGCCATCGCTGGCTGCGCTTGCTCCTGTGGGTCCTGATGTCTCCTGAGTGAGCCCCCGGCCA
This sequence comes from Homo sapiens, assembly GCF_000001405.40. Classification (NCBI taxonomy): domain Eukaryota; kingdom Metazoa; phylum Chordata; class Mammalia; order Primates; family Hominidae; genus Homo; species Homo sapiens. The sequence goes on from NC_000013.11 coordinate 111,548,592, forward strand.
TGGAGCACCCAGCCTTGGCGTCTGCTGCGGGCGCTGGGCCCCTGTTCCTGGCTGGCTTCTGGGTTGGCTCCTGAAGCTGCAGCTGGGGCTGACTTCCCGGCAGGCAGACAGGCTCAACTAATGACCACAGTACTTTCAGGAGCCCTTGGAGATGCCTTTCTTTTAAAACCAGGAAAAAAAAAACTTTAGGTCAAATAAACTATTTTAATATTTAATATTAATATATTTATCTTCATACCAACATAGTCATGAAATAGGACTTTCAATAGTTACTGAGGCAGAGCCCCATAAAGGCAGAGAGTGCCTAGAGCCCATGAAAGTCACTGTGGCCCTGGCCTGGGTCTCTGGTCTCCGGGTTCTTCACGCCCCCTCCCCGCGACTCCATCCTTTCCCAGCCCAGAGCTCTCTCACACTTCTGTGCCCCATGGCAGGGATCATGGGCCCCCTTGGCGCCTTCAGAGGGCCCCCCGTGAGCCCTGGACATTCTCTGGGATGCAGGCGCCTGGGTGCTCTGTTTCGGCTCTTCCAGGACTATCCTAGCTACGCAGGTTGCTGGATGTGCAGGTTTCTCTAAGAAGCTGGCATTTCCCTCGTTTACTCCCTAAATATCAAGGAGCAACTGCCCATCACTTTCCAGACTTTTCTGAGAGCTTCTACACTCTGAGTAACTTCCCACTTCTTCTCTTCTTCTCCTTTGCCCCGTACCTGGAAAGCTCTTGATTGCTCCATAGAAACCCCTCCTCTGAGACCCCTTCCCCTCCTTGCTCTCGTATCACAGCCTACTCCTAGTGGGGCAGCAAGGCTGGGGAGCCAGGATCACCCTGTGGAGACAGTCACTGAGAATTATGCACAGAATTGCACACATGGCCCTGGAGAGCATTCAATGTAGCTAAAGAGATGGCTCACCGTTTCAGCAGGGAAACCATTTACCTTAGCAGCTCACAATCTGCTGCAATTCATCCTGGAAAAGCCAGGCTTTATCAGTGTGGCTAGACTTTCTCTTGGTTGCTTTGGTCTGTTTGTTTTAAGGGGCTGCCCACTGTTCTGGTGATAAGGCTCAGTGCCAGGCTACCGTGAGCTGGGGTGAGTCCTGGCTTAATCATTCACTAAGTGAACACAAGCAAGTCACCTAATCTCTCTCAGGCTCAGTTCCTTCCTCTGTGAAATGTAGTCAATAATAGCACCTGTCTCATATGTTTTTGTAAAGATGAACTGAGATAATCCACCCAAGTACCCAGCAGAGTGCCACCAAGTATGCCTTCAATCAATTTTAGTTGTTAATGCTACAACTTTCAAATTGGAAAAGCCTTTTGAAACCGTCATGTCCCTTAATTTTATAAAAGAAATTAAGATTAAGAAACTGGCTCACAGTTTATAAGTAATTAGTAGCAAAGCTAAGACCATGCTTTGAACTTCACCCATTTATCTATCTACTTATCTGTCCATCCACTCATCCATCCATCCATATTTCCATCCATCCATCCATCTACCCACCCACCCATCCATTCATATTTCCATCCATCCATCTATCCATCCATCTTTCTATTCATCCATCCATCCATCCATCCATCCATCCATCATTTCCATCCATTTGTCCATTTATCCATATTTCCATCCATCTGTCCATCCATCCATCCATCCTTCTACTCATCTGTCCATCCATCAATCCATCCATCTATCCATCCATCATTTCCACCCATCCATCCATTTTTCCATTCATCTATCCATTCATCCATATTTCCATTCATCTGTCCATCCATCCATCCATCCACTCATATTTTCATCCATCCATTCATCTATTCATCAACCCACCCACCCACCTACTCATCCATTTATCCATCTATCTATTTATCTTTCCAACAAACATTTATTAAACATTCACTAGGTACCAGCCATTGTCACTGATGATTCATAGATTAAAAAAACTCAGTTCCTATGTTCAGGATTCTCTTCGCTTAGTGGGATGGGAGCATATAAATTGGCAATGTAACGTCATGTGGGAATTACACTGATACAGGTACACAGAATCCCAGTGAAAGGTGGGGTTGGGTGGTGGGGGGGCTACTTCTCCAGCCTGTGTGGAGTAGGAGGTAGGTTAGGAAAGGTCTTCTGCATCTTAAAGGATAACATGGGTGTTAATTTGGGCAAAGAGAATGTATTTTTATCCTTGCAAAGCTGTTCCTTGATCCAGCAGCATCAACCTCACCTGGGAGGTTGTTAGAAATGCGGACACTCAGGTTGCACCCAGCGCCTCCTGCATCAGAATCTGCATTTTCACAAGCTCCTTGGGGTTCGCTTGCATGTTACAGCTGAAGCCTGCTTTACACTCTATGATGCATACTTCCTCTCACTTCCGGCTGTACCTATTAAACACAGTGCTTGTAGAATTCTGATATGAGAACCCTGTTTTGTCTTCAAAGTTATTGAATGAGCATTCTCAATACTTCCCCAGTGTCTTTCTTAATGCATTATGTAATACCAGAAAGCTAAGGAGTTTCTGTAGTATATTCTATTTAGCAATCTGGACTTAAACATTAAAAAGCAGCAGCAACATTTTATAAGCAGACCTGGAGCTCAGTTCTGATGAAAAGTGGTGTGAATAATAACATAAGCAAATGGCATCTCCTGCCTTAATCTCAACAAGAAAGATATCCCAAAGGAAAGAGACACGTTGCTCTTTGGCGATCATGTCTCCACGCATCTCAGGGTGAAGCCTTCTCAGCCCCCATGCCTCCAGGCTGTGATGCTGGTTTCTAAGGAGCCCTTGAGGCATGTTCTGCAGGCTCTGCTGATCTGTGACATCATTCCTGCAAACCAGCCCTTGCTTTGGGCTGCAGTGTTCTCAGCTACCTCTGCTTGGGCCTCTGCAGGCTTCATACAGAAGCCAATTTAATTAGAGGGCAGTGGGGCTTTGCTGAGCAGTGGTATGTGACAGGGCATGTTACTTGGCATCCTTTCTGTAGCGTGATGTTGAAACTCATCCACCGAATGTTCCTGTCCTGGGTTCATTTGGCCATGCTGCCAAATGTGCACACCAGGGGTGGTGACCCCCCTCACCTTCTCAGAACCCAGGGCACACCTGTGCCAGCTGGGACAGGTTGCTTTTCCCATCACCCTGCCCCCATTCATCTCTTCATCTACTGAGCTTTGCCTGGCCTTTGGCTCACCTGTGTTTCCAGAAGAGGTACAGGAAATGAGGAGAGGCAATTTTTGATGTGAAGATGTTAATGTAGTGACATTTTATTTTTACCAATAAGTAAATCAATTTATTAAGTAAAAAACAAACCAAAATCACCAACTAAAAACCCAGCAAATTGAACTTCTCTTTTCACTGAACACACTTTATTTGAATCTTCATTCCAGATCTTATTCCTGGATTTCAGACTCATGTTTCTGTTTACGTGATGTTGTACATAGTGAGTTAGTGACTTACCATGACCCCCAAATCAATTCGAGGCAAGTTCATAACTTTCTACTGCAAAACTCTGCCTCTTCTATTCCCAGTTGCACTAGGTGGCATTTCTACTGCAGCCAGGCTCTAGAAGGGATCTTAAACAATGTCTCTTCCCTTGCACTAACCTACCAAAACATTCATTGCCAACTCTTGTCAATTATACTATCTACATATATATGGAAATTAAAAAAAATTATGTTATCATGCACTAGTTTCCCCCATTATAAATGTAGCATGTTTATTGTTGAGCAGTTACATAATGTAACATTATAACGAAGCTGGTGAACATCCCGTGCTTATTGTCTGCATCCTGTTTCCTTCCAGTCTTTTTTTTCACTATGAGGAACTCTTTTCCATTCATCTGCACTAGTTTCCCACATTATAAATGTAGCATGTTTATTGTTGAGCAGTTACATAATGTAACATAACGAAGCAGGTGAACATCGCACTGCTTATTGTCCGCATCCTGTTTCCTTCCAGTCTTTTTTTCACTATGAGGAACTCTTTTCCATTCATCTGTTTCTGTAAGAGAAATGTCATTCAGCTGTTTCTCCTCTCTGCCTCCTGACTCCTCCTTTCCTGACGGGTTTGTGGCTGCGTCCAGCCTCCTGCCCTACCTCCCTGTATTCCTGTCCCTTCCAAGTCCAGCCTCGGCAGTGCTATCCCAGTGGGCTTTCAAAAATGTAATTATCACTCACCACTCTCCCTTAAAGTCATACCTCTTTCTTCCTCTTCAGGACAATGGCCACATATCTTACTGTTGCATAAAGACATTATTGATCTAGTCTCTTTCTCTGTTTTCTGCTTCATGTCTTAAAACTCTTGGCCATGTCCCCTCTGCTCCAGGTGGGCCAAATTACTCTGGATTCCTAGATGCACTGGTGCTTTCTCATAGCTGGTCCATTGCACCTCTTCTGTCTGGACCACCATCCTGGTGTGGCCCTGGAACACAGCCCTGAGCTGCCCACACCTCTGCCTGCCAAGAGGATGCCCCGATCCCTGAGGCTTGCCTGGGCTGTGGGAGTGCCTGTGCCTTGCCCTGTAACACAGAGGCCCTCATCACACTGTACCCCACAGCAAACCTATCTCTATATCCTCAGCACTGGGCTCTGCATCTCCACATGACCGGACCTCAGCAATGTTTACTGGATGAATGTGAGAGGGAGGGAGTGGATGGCCTTTGAGGCTTTGCAGCCACAGTTTTCTCCATTACCAGCTCTGATACATTTTCTGTTGTTTCCAACTCCATTCCCCTTTCACCTGCTCACCTGCTCTCCTGCTCTCCAGCACCCACTCCCCTTTCTGGAGCAGCACTAATGATTCCTAAGTTGTGTCCTGATGAGCTGCCCGGCCAACTGGCCGGGCCTCTAACCTCCTGAAGCGCTCGCTGATGGCCCCCACGCGGCCAGGCTGTGTTCTTCTGCTGTTGGCCAAGGTGCTTGTCAGTGATTTGCTGCAGCCAAGCTCTCAGCCAGTGGAATGAGATCTTGAGTAATAAAGCATTATTGACTTCTGTTGAGAACACCCATCAGACATATTGATCTGAAAAGTAAGTGCTGACCAAGGCGGTCAATATTTCACCTTGAAGGACAACGCACTTTGATGGTTTGCGGAAATATGTATTTTTCTACACGTTTTGACTGTCTTCATTAGCGATCCCTGAGAAATTGTTTGCATGTTTTGGAGCCCACGGTGTGAGCTGTCACTTTTGTCCTTAAATACCCCGAGGAAGAGATGCCTGCTCATTCTTCTCTGACCCTCCACGATGAAATGTGTGCTCTCTGGGCTGGGTGAATACACTGCCCACATTTGCAATGGAAGGAAATAGAAATATTTTACTGTAAAATGTATTTCTTTGACATATTTGGTTTTTTTTTTTTCTTTTTGAGACAGAGCCTTGCTCTGTTGCCCAGGCTAGAGGGCACTGGCATGATGTCGGCTCACTGCAACTTCCACCTCCTGGGTTCAAACAATTCTCCTGCCTCAGCCTCCCATATAGCTGGGATTACAGACATGCACCACCAAGTCTGGCTAATTTTTTTTTGTATTTTTAGTACAAACAGGGTTTCACCACATTGGCCAGGCTGGTCTTGAATTCCCAACTTTCAGTGATCTGCCCACCTCGACCTTCCAAAGAGCTGGGATTACAGGCATGAGCCACTGCGCCCAGCCTTCTTTGACATATTCTGAGGCAGCTATTTAGAGAGCCAGCCCTGCAAAGCTGTGTTTTGTGGGAAGATTTGCTTCTGCAGAGAATCCTGGTGGATGCATCCAGGCCTCCTGTGTCTGGTAGAGGGAAGGTAAATGGAATCTGACACCTTTAAGGATCTGAGACATTTGCCGTCCACTGTCGCCCAGCACTGTGCCTCTGAGGCTTCTCCTACATAGAGAGGCACCATGGCCAGCCAGGCCTCCTCTCCTCCCTCCCATCTGGCCTCCTCTCCTCCCTCCTGTCTGGCCTCCTCTCCTCCCTCCTGTCTGGCCTCCGTAACCTGATTTCCTGCCATCTCTGTGTTCGGCTGTGTTCTGGGCCCCCATTCTGTCATAACCAAAGATGGCCCCTAAGCTTCTGCACATCACTGGGGGCTTGAGGCAGTGGCGCTGCGGTCCTCCCCACACACGTTCACACCCTCATGTGCCTTTTTCTCCCATTAATACGCCTTCGTGAGTTGATTTTTCTGCAAACCTCCAGAGGGCAGAGGGGAGGTTTTCCCTTGGTCCCTACACTATGCAAATCACTGCAGGAAGGAGCCCGACACTTTTTATTTTCAGAAAATAGGCCCAGGTTATAGTAGAGCTGGGATGACCCAGCTAACTCAGCCCCCTTGGGTGGATACTCAAGTATTTGAGGAACAAATAGGTAACACGAATCATCTGAATCACATTAAAATATCACTCAAGCTGGGACTCAGCAGTGTAGATGGCACCAATGCCTGTGAAGCCAGGATGGGCCAGGCCTAGTGCCCAGGGAGGCTGGGTGGGATGAGGAGGTGGCGGGTGGTGGCCCGTGGAGTCCTCCCTGGCAGCCACACTGTGTCAGGGGGCTTTGCAGGGGGCATGTGCAGGTGGCAGGCTCTTGATGACGCGTTGCAGATGCAGCCAGGGCTCTAGTGGAGGTGGCCTGAGTGCCTGTCAGGGCAGAGGGACTTACTGTCTTCAGGGGGTGCGGCGGCTGCCAGGCTGTGAGCCGCGAGGGAGCACCTCTCCTGCCTGGGCTCAGCCCCCTTCTTATGGTTGCCTCCTGTGTCTCCGCTCTCTTCATTTGAGAATCATCCCTCCAGTTTGCCTTTTTCAACTCCAGCTTTCCCACCAGGACCAAAGGGCAGTAACCCCACAGCACCCTGTCTCAGCAGAGGGCACTGCCCCTGGGGAGCACTTTAGGCCTTTGGGGGCACTGTTGGCAGAGTTCCTGGAGGTCCTAGACATCCTACCTGGGCTGTCCCCTACAACGAGGCAGTGTGTCCGGCACCTGCAGTTTCCCTGCTCCTTCACAGAGGTGAAAACCCTGTTGCCAGGAGCCTCAGCCTAGGACTAACTGCCTTTTCCATAGCGTTTTCCAGAGCATTTTTGCATAGCTTTAACATACATTAAAATTCCCAGAAGTGCACACGTGCTTAAAATGAGGGAAAGCTGTTCTTCGCTGGCACTTTACCTAGAGCTGGTCACCGTTTGTTTCAGAAAGCCACCTCACTGAGCTGCTGCAGGGCACGTCCGGCCCCCACCCTCAGGACTGTCGTCCTCATGGCAATTGAAGCATCAGTGCAGCATTCAGCGACCATGTTGTGCCTTCGGGTGTGGCTACTTCCAGGAATTTACATGTGGAAATGCATTGAAATCCATATTATTTCTATGACAATTATCTTCCTTTAAATTCTGTTATGGCATTATGTTGAATTTTTAAGATTATGTCTATGGGTAGATTTTATTATTTTTTTCAAGATAGCAGAGGAGATGATAAAAATTATGCTATAAGAAGGAGCATTCGATCTGACGGGGCTGAGATCCACTGATGGGATGTGCCGTGGAGTATGTACTGGGCGGTTCCCATCCCTGTCCTGACAGCGCACGCTTTGCCCACCTCTGTCCAGAGCCCACAGTCTCCAGCACTCTGGGCTGGCAGGACAGCACTCCTGGGCCTTGACTCATTTTTAGGGCTTCCTCATCACGGTGCTCAACGCTTCCGTGCACCTTTTACTTTCACTGTCTCATTCCAATATCTGCATGAACTAATTTTTTTTCTTTTTTTTTCTTTTTTTTTTCTGAGACAGAGTCTCACTCTGTCACCCAGGCTGGAGTGCAGTGGCACAGTCTTGGCTCACTGCAACTCCTGCCTCCTGGGTTCAAGCAATTCTCCTGCCTCAGCCTCCCAAATAGCTGAGACTATGGCTGCGCGCCACCACACCCAGCTAGTTTTTGTATTTTTAATGGACATGGGATTTCACCATGTTGGCCAGGCTGGTCTTGAACTCCTGACCTCAAGTGATCCACCCCCTCGGCCTCCCATAGTGCTGGGATTACAGGTGTGAGTCACAGTGCCTGGCCCGAACTAAATTTAATATTATGTTGTATATTGTTGCATCACATAACAGTTGTACCACCTTCCCCTTATGTCTGCGTGGTAGTCATGGGCCGCGGAACGCCGTTGCAGTCAACGATGGAACGTCTGTGCCACGGTGGTCCCATAAGATGAAAATTGAGCTGAAAAATTCCTATTGCCTAGTGATGCCAGAGCCACCATAGGGCCATCATGCAATGTGTTAGCTTTTCTCTGTTCGGATACACAAACACCCTTGTGTCACAGTTGCCTACAGAATTCAATACAGTCGTGCGATGCAGAGGTTCACAGCTCAGGAGTCGTAGGCTGTGCTATTGAGGCTTCTGTAAGTCATTCTGTGATGCTCGCATGGTGACGGTATCACCTAAAGACGTGTTTCTCAGATCCTTTCCTTGTTGTTAAACAACACACAACTGTAGTTGCATACGCTGTTATATAATGTGCGTCTATCATTTTCCTCTTGGTTTTATTTATGGTTTGAAGTGTCTGTTCTCATTGACCCTATCATTCAAATTTTGTCTGTTCTAAGCAATACATAAGCAAGTATTTAGTTTATGACCTAAATCAGTATTTTAAGTGCCACTTCACAATAAAGTAGCAAAAATGTATGCTGTCTGATTCATTATAAAATTGCTTTTGATTTTACTCTTACATGTAGCGGTGGATATTTTTAACTTAAAAATGCTTCTTTTGATTCACTTTTTTTTCAAAGCGTATAAGGTCTTTATAATATATCTCCTGTAATTACCGAGACAGTGGGCTGTTTTGGTTCTGTGAATTCCAGTTGTCAGTAAATCGTGCTCGCTTTAGCCTCCAAAGTCTGCATTTTCATGTTTGAGTGGTGATGGAGAGAAAATGGCACTGTAAATAAAACAGGAAAATGGGATGGAAACTCGCGCGTAGGAGCGTGAAGCCAGGGGAGAGAGGAGAATGTGCGGCCCGCCGCTCTGCCGCTGGATGATTCAATTCCTATCACTTCCTTCTATCATCCCAACAGAGAAGAAACTGTGGCTCATTCCCCTCCTTTTCCTAGGACAGAGGTGATTACAGATGAGGAACAGAAGATGGGAGATCTGGGCACATTGGTTTAAGGGTGGCATCTGTCCATGCCTGAGGTGCTGGGTGGTTTCTCTCTGGGCCACTCCTCAGGAGCAGCAAATGATACAGAGGGCCTCTGTGTCCCTGCACCCACCCGCAGCACCCAGCACACAGAAGGGAATCCAGTCATTCTTCCCTGCAAGCTGCCAGCCTAGGTTGCACAGTATGGCCAGCAGGTGAGAGCTTCAGGAGAGGCACCAAAAAAGTGTTCAGAAGCCCAGGAGAAAGGATCGGTCTGTGGGGAAGTCAGGAACTGCCTGTGCATGCAGGCTCCTGGGTTCTAGATTTTGAGGGCTCAGCCAGGCTCTTCAGGCAGAGCTGAGGGTGTGGGGAAAGTGAGGCTGAAGAGGGTCAGGCTGTGCCCAGGCCTGGGGTCCCCAGGGGTAAGTGCTGTCTGAGGGAGGTGTGAGGCCTCAGTGTGCTGGGAGTGGTGGGAGCAGATCCAGAGGTGGGTTGACCCTGCTGGAGGAAGGCTGGCGCATCAGCCTTCCTCAGTGTAGACGTCTTGGGGAAGCTGGTGGCAGTGGAGGCCCCTTCCAGCAGGAGCCTGTTCAGACCTATCCTTTTCTCCTGGGAGGGTGAGTGGGGGCTGCCGTGGGAACATTGTGGGGATGCTGGAGTTTTCCAGAATGGTGGGAGAGCCGGGAGAGGGAGAGGGATTTGGCGATACATTGTGCGAGGAATCCACAGGGTAAAAACCAGAGGCTCGAGGGAGAAGGAAAGCGAGACAGGGCAGGGAGAACGTGTGCGTATTTTCCAGATTTCTGCCCCGCTGGCCAAGGTGAGGTGTGAGGCCACAGCATGGTGCGAGCGGTGGGGTGAATTTGCTCCCAGACATCAGCAGGCGTATGGGGCCTTTTAACCATGTCCGGGTCCTGGTTGAGTTTGGTTTCTAAAGCCCCACATGTGTGACTCAGTAGCAAATGGATTATCGATCAGCGGCGACTCCCTTGCTCAGATCACAGGAGGGTAGGCTCTCTGTGGGGTCTGCTGATACTGGATCTGGAACACTGGGAGCACGGGACATTAGGAACAGACAGTGTCAGCAAAGTAACTCTCCGCAGGGCAAAAGCAATCCCTTGGGCTTTAAAAAATGCTGGATTGTCAAAAAAGTACCGCCACGATCGCTGCAGAGGCCAGCAGCTGTGTTTAGCGACGGCGGCACCTGCGGAGCCATCTGATTTGCTCACTGTGTGGATAGGCAGATAGAGGCCCGAGGGACTCGGTGAAGGTCGCCCAGCCAGTTAGGGACCCGGAACAAGAGAGGGCACACGTTGTCCCACCTAAGTTTTAGGTTCTTCTCAGTCTCCCACGCTGCTTTTTGTTCCCTCACACACTTTATTCCGGACTATTAGGTTTAAAAGTGCATGTGGAGGGCTTTAATATGGAAACTTGTCTGTGGATGTGACGGATTTGTAAGAGAATATTCTTGCCCTTAGGAAATAGGTACTACTTAGAAGTCAGAAGCGCACAAGGCATGGGTGTATGTGGCCCAGGCTCCAGGGGCTGCAAAGAGGATGGAAATGTAGAGAGGGGAAAGGAGGGAGGGCATAAGCACACGTGGCCACAGTGAAGGAGAATTTGCAAATCTGGGTCTGAGGGGATACAAGACTTTTTCATGTAATTCTTGAATTTTTTTTTTTCTGTAAGTTTGAAGTTACATCAAAGTAAAGATTTAACCCAAATAATTTAGATTTTCTTAAAATTTAAATATAAGTTTAAAGATTTAAATAAGTCATTTAATCTCAAAACGAAACTGCCAAGTGCATGTGAGGTATAACTGTGTAAAACATCTGACTTCGTATCTCTCAGGCGTTCGCTGTGTCCCTGCAGTTTTCTAAGTACTTTATACATATCCAGTCGTTTCATCATCATAATCCCATTTTACAGATGAGAAAACAGAGGCCCCACGAGACAAAGGATGGGAGAGCCAGAGTTTGAACCCAGGCTGTCTGGTTCCCAGCCTTCTTCCTCCACCTTGGGGTTCCCAGGGCAGTCAGGCCCCATGTTCCTGCACCGTGGGGGTCCCCGGGCAGTCGAGCCCTGCGTTCCTGCACCGTGGGGGTCCCTGGGCGGTCGGGCCCTGCGTTCCTGCACCGTGGGGGTCCCCGGGCGGTCAGGCCCCGCGTTCCTGCACTGCCCCATCACCACGGTGGGTTAATGTGGGCGGCTGACTTTCACTCCTAGAGTGCTAAGCAGTGTTCAGACGGCTCTTACACACGCGGCCTCACCACCTCCTCTAACCCGAGCCGCACAGGGGTGTGGGGCAGATTTAGCACTTCTGTTTCCTCTGGGAGGAAATTTGAGGGCTGGCAACTTGACTTTGCTGAGGCAGACACAGCTGATCTGAGATAGCACCAGGACCCTGGAGGAGGTCCTGGAGGCTTGTCCACTGCTCCCCACACTTTCCCACGGGATTCCTGTCCCTCCTTCCTGCAGAGGGCAGCTGCAATGGGATATTTTTGGCAGTCTCCCTTTGAAAGCATCCCCTAAACGCGAATGTCAACAGCAGTGCTTGCAGGGAGCAGCTGTAGCTGTGGGGAGCCGTGTGGCAAGAAGAAAAGTGCCACCTCTCTGTCAAGGACACAGTCCTGCCCTCAGCACCTACGTGACAGAGTCTGGCCCAAATAGTCACAAATTTCGTATTCCACCCCTGTCACTAGTTTATTGTGGGGTCCACACTGTCAGGGCCCTAGAAGCCAATCTTCCTTTCTTTTCTCCTTTCTCCTGAAAGAGAAGTGCCTCGGATGCTGTTACCAACTTTGCTATGGTTCTGTGACCAGAGAGAAACATCTCCTCTGCGGGAAATGCAAAAATTATTTGTTCAGAAGAATTAGAAAATCTGGAAGAAAGGGACATGGGGGATGTTTTTCTGGTTGACTTTTGTTTTTATGTTTTAGTAGTAAAATAATTTGTAGATTTAACCTCATCTTGGGAAAATCTGGACAATAAGGCAAAAATACTTGTTCCCAGTCATTCTCATTCCTGATGAACCTAATTCAATTTCAAAGGTTTTTTTGTGGTTTCTTGATATCAGCATTTTCAAGACTTCATTCTGAGGAACATACTTGTTCAGTTAATTAGAGTTCTATAGAAAAGGGTTTCAAGGACAAGTGGATCTGTTCAGTGGTGCACAGCCGGCCTTTCTCCTGCCCAGTCACATGATTCCAGGAAGTTCCGTCGTGAGGATCTACTGGCTCTGTGAAGCCTAGTGACTTTCAAATTCACGGTCCACAGAACCCCCTTTCTCATGTAATATGTATTAACATCCACATTGGGCAACACCCCTTTATTTATTTTTAGGGTCATGTTGGCAATAACTCTTGGCTTGGCCAATTCTGAATGTGGGTTCCCAGCTCCATCTTCTCCTGGGAGTGTTCCTTCTGAGCTTCCCACCATGAGATGGCTCGGGGAGCAGTTTACAGATGTCCATATTTAGAAATGCAGAATGCCTTCAGACTGGTGGTTTTTAAGAAGGCTGGAGGAGGCGGGAGCACTGAGTCGGCCGAGTGTCATTCAGGCCTGCTTCCTGATGCCCTACGAGGCCATCACCCACACGCGGGGTGGTTTGCAGATCCTCAGCTTCAGCCTGGCCTTTGTCTCCTCTGCATCATCACTGGCCTGTCCTCCACCTGCACCAAGGCCCCACACGCTGCTGTCGGCATGGTTCAGTGCCTCTGCTGTTTCTCTCTGCCCCTTCTATCTGGCTTCTGCAAACCTAGATCCTTTTCCTGAGTTTTATCTCCTTTGTGTGTGTTTTCATTTATTCACTCATTATACTTTTATGGCCACCGCTGTGTGGCCCAAAGCTGGGAACAAAAGACCAAGCAATACTGAGGACCACAGCCTTGCATGCACGCCCCTCCCAGTCCAGCAGCACCGGGGGTGGGAAGGGCTCACCCAAGCCTCACTCACCTCCCCAGCCTGCTCCAGCCCAGTCTCTCCTGCAGGGTGATCCCGTGACTGTCTAAGCACTTCTCTCCCTGCCCCTGGAGCTTCTGCTGTCGACAGAGCTCTTACTTCTTCTCTGATTGCTTTAATGGAATTGACTTAGTTTTCCTAACCACGTGATCACGTTGGGAACCAAGTTCTTACCTTGGCATTTCCCACAATGCTGGGCACGTGCTCCATGGATAATTGTTGACTCCCCTAGCTCAGCCTTCACAGAGCAGCATGTAGTCACCCAGGACTAGCTCCCAGGGTACAAGAATGCTGGAGCTCTAAATCCTATCTCAGGTTCCTATCAGCTGGTAGGAGAGGCTGAAGACTTCCTTGTCATGGGATAAACATACCTCAATGCCCATCCAACTAGAACGCTTTGTGACCGAACCCCAGGGAGAAGTGAGTTTTTTTTTTTTTTTTTTTTTTTTTTTTTTTTTTTTTTTTGAGATGGTGTCTCACTCTGTCACCCAGGCTGCTGTGAAGTGGCTTGATCTCAGCTCACTGCAACCTCCGCCTCCCGGGTTCAAGCGATTCTCCTGCCTCAGCCTCCCAAGTAGCTGAGATTACAGTCTCCCACCACCACGCCCGGCTAATTTTTGTATTTTTAGTAAAGATGGGGTTTTGCCATGTTGGCCAGACTGGTCTCAAACTCTGACCTCAGGCGATCCACCTGCCTTGGCCTCCCAAAGTGCTGGGATTACAGGCGTGAGCTACCACGCCCAGCCAGAAGTGAGTTTTAAATTCGCACTCAGCACACACATGCACACCTGCACACACGCAATCACAGTTTTACAAAACTTTGTGGACGTCGACAAATGAACATAGAGTCATCCTGGAGTAGCCCAGGTCCTCGTCCCCTCTGCCCATGGTCCTCAAGAAAAAAGAGGGAAGTTCAGATGCAGACACACAAGGAAGACAGCCAAGTGACGGCAGAGGCAGTGTTTGCAGCGACATGTCTACAAGCCAAGGGCACCCAAAGATCGTGGGGGACACCAGAATCTGGAAGAGGCAGGAAGGACCTTCGCTAGAGTCTTCAGAAGAAGAGTGGCTCTGCCGAGTCCTTGACTTTGAACTTTGGATCTCCAGGACTGTGAGCGAGTAGGCCTCTGTTGTTTTAAGCCACGCAGTGTATGGCATTTTTTTTTTAAACAATAGTGGATATATAATTGTGAAGTTTTATATAGGAGGACACAGATCATCCCATCTGCTGTTTGGAAAGATGCCCAGTTGCTGTGGAGAAGTTAGGAGAAGGGGGTGAAAGCAGCTGCAGGGGCCATGGCTGCAGCCCTGGGGGAGGAGGGTGCAGGCGCCAGTCTTCACTCAGGCTCCAGCAGCCTGGCTGTCTCTTACTGTTCACATGCTGGTGGATGGATGAGCTTGCAGACCATCCCAACACATTCCTTTCTTCCTGGAAACCTCTCTAGAGGTTCTCTGTTGACCCCAGAAAAAGCTAGAGGTGGCTCAACACGGCTTGCATATCTCTGTGTGATCTGATCATGTGCATTCTCTCCTTTTCCCCTCCCTCCTCTCACCTCGTCTTTCCTTCCCTCCCCTCACCTCCTCTTTCCGTCCCTCCTCTCACCTCCTCTTTCCTTCCCTCCCCTCCCCTCCTCTTTCCTTCCCTCCCCTCACCTCCTTTTTCCGTCCCTCCTCTCACCTCCTCTTTCCTTCCCTCCCCTCCCCTCCTCTTTCCTTCCCTCCCCTCACCTCCTTTTTCCGTCCCTCCTCTCACCTCCTCTTTCCCTCCCTCCCCTCACCTCCTGTTTCCTTCCCTCCCCTCCCCTCCTGTTTCTCTCCCTCCCCTCACCTCCTGTTTCCCTCCCTCCCCTCACCTCCTGTTTCCCTCTCTCCCCTCACCTGCTGTTTCCCTCCCTCCCCTCACCTCTTGTTTCCTTCCCTCCCATCCTCCCTCCCTTATTTCACTAACTTCGAATTTCTTTAGCACTTAATATACGTGGTTAAGAAAATGGGCCTGAGATAGACTGCCTGTGTTGAATCTGGCTCTACCAATTACTTAATCTAGTGGATCTCACTCGGGGTGCGATATTTGATCCTCAAGAGAGATTTACAACTCCTGGAGACATTGTTGTCAGGTTGGAAGTGCTAGTGGCATCTGGTTGGTGGAGTCCAGGGATGTCACGAAGCACCCTGATGTGCACCCACAGCCCCCAACAATAAAGAACTATCTGGTTGTAAATGACAATAGTGCTGAGATTGAGAAACCCTGACTTCACCTGTGGTCAAGGTTACCAGGGTCAGGCTTCTGGAATTGGGGACCACAGCAAGAAAAGGACAGATACGTGAGCTGGGTAGGAGGTGGTGCTGGGGACATGATGGTGCCTGTCTGGGAGGTGTCCACAGTGGAGCTCAGGCTGGCACCCAGGACTGTGCCGGGGGATGCAGGTGAATTCCCACGTGTTCCCTCAACTTAAAGTTCCAGCCTCGCTTTGCAACGCATGAAAACACACAGGGATTCTCTTCTACAATTTCATCTTAAAGTTTTGTTACCTTTTGAGGTTTGAAATTTTCTCTTTCTTAACCTACGAGTTGGGGTGTCGAAAGAGATCCCTTGTCCTCCTGAGTCTTCTTAACGAGTTTTAGAAGTGGCATCTAACTTGCTTTGAAGACGTGCAACCTCCATAAATAGCAAATTTGGCAGAAAGCTGGGCGAGGTCCCATGATTATATAAAAACTAGTGTTCATTTTACATAAAATGTCAAGTTGGTCTTTAAATAGCAGTCTCAGAAGCACAAGCCATTTTATTATCCATTAAGTCATTTAGCATCCACTATACAATTTTTCAAAGTTACTTTCCCCAGAGGGTTGCTGATATACAGTATTCTTACAGAAAGGGTGGCAGGAAGAGAGGGGAAACATTGTTGAAAAGAGAGTATCCTGCAAGCAGTCTCTCATTGTATTTGCTTTATCATTTAGGGGCAATGCAGACATCAAATCTGAGACAAGAAGTCAAAAAGGAAGTCTTTAGAAGCCATTGTCAGCTCGGAGCTGTGTTTGGTGCCGCTCAGTGAGAATGCTTTGCTTTGCTGCCATAGTTGTTTCTATCTATGGCAAAAGCAGTCACAAATTACAACGATGTCCCACGCTGAACAGGGCAGAGTAACGCTGTATTAGGCACAAACGCAGGTCAGAAAGAAGAGACAGCCTCTTCCCTGGTGGGAGCCACTGTCTGGCCAAGGAGACAATGGGCACAGGGAAAGTGGCTCAGAGCCCCCAACGGCAGGCAGGCCCCTTGCCACTGGGGCCTGGAGACCTTGTCATCAGTCACGTCAAATGCTCCAATAGCAGAGGCTCTTGGGAAGCATCATTTCCAGAAATTCTCCAAACAGCCTAAAAGCTACATGCAAAATAGCCGTGTCCTTATAGACTTTTTATTTTGGTGAGGCAAGGATCTAACCTTTATCAGATTCTCAAAAAGGTTAACGGCCACCATAAATGGGGGCGGGATGGCCCCAGAGCATTCAAAGTCCCCAGCAGCGTCTGGTAAGGTTTACAGGAAAAGCTGTGAGTCACCCCAACAGATTTTTTTTTTTTTTGAGATGGAGTCTTACTCTGATGCCCAGTCTGGAGTGCAGTGGTGCGACCTCAGCTCACTGCAACCTCTGCCTCCTGGATTCAAGCGATTCTCATGCTTCAGCCTCCCAAGTCGCTGGGATTACAGGTGTGGACCACCACACCCAGCTAATTTTTGTAATTTTTTGTAGAGATGAGGTTTCACCATGTTGGCCAGAGTGGTCTCGAACTCCTGACCTCAAGTGATCCACCCACCTCGGCCTCCCACAGTGCTGGGATTACAGGTGTGAGCCACCGTGCCTGGCCCCAACAGACCTTTAATCAAGCGACTGGCCCGCCCGGCTGGGCAGAAAGGAAACGTGGCTGACAGGGGCAGATGCTGGGCAGCACTTGGTTCATTGCCAGCAGAGAAGCCCTCACCAGCAAACTCCCTCCCAGCCCAAGCTGGAAACTGAGTCTCAGCAGCATTCAGAATATTCACCTGTCGCCTGTCGTCAACATGTCTGTCAGTGGTCTTCCCTGGAAGGCCAAGGGTCCCGTGTGGAAGAGAAGAGGCCGGTGTGTCCTAGGATGCCCTGGTCAGGGTTGGATGGAGTCCTAGGACAGGGAAGGATCCTGTCACCTGCATGTGTGCCTCTGCGGTCCCCTTACTCTGCTGTGGATTGTAGTGGATGTATGTGGTTTGGAGGAGGCATTGCAACGAGGTAGAAAGAATACTTTGAATTCCTTTCAGTGAGATCAAACGTCAAAGTGGATTCTCAAAGTCAATTAGAATTGTTTGTCCTTTGCTTCTTCCTCCAGCCCCATGTCTGCCAATACACCCACCAGCAGGGTCCAGGTACCTCCTTACAGCCAGGCCGGGAAAATTCCCTGGATGCTGATCATCGCAGACCCTATGGTGGATCTCTAAAAGTTTAAGTGTTTTGTAGGCCGCTCCCTCGGACCCCTTGAACATAGGGCTGTTTTCAGGGGTGAGATTCAAAATATTTAACAGCTGGTACAACACAAACACCAACCAGGCCAAATAAATGGCAGCCATTACACAGGGCATGTCCACAAGGCCTCTTGCTGGCCTGTGCTCAACTTTCCTGCAGGGCTTGTTGGAATGGAGGGTGCCCAGGGATCAAGCTGTAGCTATTGACCAAAGCACAGGGGAGTATTTCAGTATTTCAGCGGCTGTACCCACAGCTTACTAACATCAGCTCACAATGCTGGTCGTTCATGGGCCCCCCACTCTGACATTGTAGAATTCCATGACCACCTCTTCTCTGATCCGGGCCTGGAGAGCAGAAAGGGCCTGGGACCCTCCTGCAACAGGTTCCAGGAAGATCATGGCTGAAAGGTCATCTGCCACTGTTCAACTTCCTTTTCTCCACACACTTCCCAGCTTCATATCACTTTCTGATAAATATCACTTATTACTCAAAATTCTGAATCTGACAACTCTCCCCATGGGTTCAAAGAGACAGAGCCACTGGGTCACCATGCAAGCCCCAGACACAGGGCCTCCAAAGTCCTGGGGCCCTGGGTCCTCCGGAGTGGGCATTCCCCCTGGGACCCCAAAGGCTGTCGTTGGAGGGGGGAGATGCCTCTGAGGACCGGGTGGCCGCTCAGCAGCTGCAGTCGCTTGTCCGTGTCCAGGGCGCACCGGCGTTCCCTCCACATAGAATGCTGCTCTACCATCTCCCCGTATTCTGGTGCTACTGCTGCTTTCAGGCCGGTTTAAATGTCCCCTTTCTCACCTCTGCCCGCTTCACCTCTTGTCCTCACTGACTTCTCTCCCATGGGCTGGCCAACTCCCCACGATGGGTGACGGCTACGTCTCTGCACAACCTATCCCCTACAACTGTACTGTGTGTTCTCTGAGCCAAACACCTTTGCACAGATCACAGTATTCCTGGGTGCCTCTGATAATGGAAAGATGTCTCATACCATCATCAACCAGGGGCGGGGCCAGCCGGCGATCACTCCTCTATTTGTAGGTGGTGGAGGATTTCCTCACATTTGGAAAATCATTCATGAGTTCACTTGACCCTTACGACCATCTTGGGAGCCAAGTACAGCAGCTGATTCCCAGGTTTATATATTGGGTAAATTGCATAAACTGTGTAGCCTGGAGGAAGACGTCACAGCCTTGGATGGAAGGAGTGGTTGTCGATGGCTCACTGGATCCCTGATGAGTCTGAAGACTCATGTCAGCTCTGGCCTTGGCTTTACTTAGATAAATTGTGAGATGAACTCATACTTCAGCATGGTCCTAGGTAAATAGCTCCACATGGGCTGAGCTCGGTTTGTGTCTGTGTCTCTCCACAAGGAGCTCTGGTGTCTCCACAGATGTGCCATAGAACCGTCATCTGCTTTTATCAAATTTGGGCTCAGTTCTATCCATATTCAACTTTTCTGGGCCCATTCCCTCAGCCTTGGTGAGAGAAAGGAACAAAATGGTGAAGAAAAGACTGAGAGAGGAAGGAGAGAGAGGAAGTTAGTGGAGGAAGAGGGCAGAAAGCGGACCCCACACACCACCTCCCCTCTCTGCCTCGCACAAGGCTCACCACGCCTCCTGGGTCCCCACTGGATGTATGAGTCGCACCTGCCCCTGCTCTTCCGTTCAGCAACTCCGGCTTGGGGCTTCCCTGGCTTCTGCTTGAATCATTGTCACAACCAAATGCGCTTCGGCATACCTCCAAGACGCTCTGTTGCCCCCCACGCTGCCCTCGGAGTGTCTTTCAACACACACTGGACCTTGTCGCCCCCACGCTGCCCTCGGAGTATCTTTCAATACACACTGGACCTTGTCACTGCCACGCTGCCCTCAGAGTATCTTTCAACACACACTGGACCTTGTCACCCCCACGCTGTCCTCAGAGTATCTTTCAATACACACTGGACCTTGTCACCCCCCATGCTGTCCTCAGAGTATCTTTCAACACACTGGACCTTGTCGCCCCCACACTGTCCTCGGAGTATCTTTCAACACACACTGTACCTTGTCACCCCCCACGCTGTCCTCGGAGTATCTTTCAACACATTGGACCTTGTCACCACCCATGCTGTCCTTGGAGTATCTTTCAATACACACTGGACCTTGTCACCCCCCACACTGTCCTTGGTGTATCTTTCAATACACACTGGACCTTGTCACCCCCCACGCTGCCCTCGGAGTATCTTTCAACACACTGGACCTTGTCACCCCCACGCTGTCCTTGGAGTATCTTTCAACACATTGGACCTTGTCACCCCCCATGCTGTCCTCAGAGTATCTTTCAACACACTGGACCTTGTCACCCGCATGCTGCCCTCAGTATCTTTCAACACACTGGACTTTGTCACCCCCACGCTGCCCTTGGAGTATCTTTTGATACATTGAACCCTGTTGCCAGCTTGTTTCAACTTTTCCCCTGGTTCCTGGAGGCCAGTGTGAAAAATAACACTCGCAGGTTGGCAAAAAGGCCCTTTAATATGTGACCACAGTCAACGTTTCTGGGCCCTTTCTCCACGGGGTGCTTTTCAACACTGTGGATAAATTAGAATCATCCAGGAGTCTTTTCAGCCACTGCAGCCCCGGCCCCAGCCCTACCCTGACCCAGAACCACACCCTTTCTGAGACAGAGCCTGCCTGTTCCTCCTGGTGCAGGCACAGGGACAGTCTCTGAGGCTGTCCTCTTCTGTCCACCTCGAAAGTTCCAGTCCTAATGTCAGCTCCTCCAGGATCCTCCCTGACTCGTAAAGGAGAGTTAACCCCCACCCATGTTTTCAGAGCCCCTTCTATTACATCTCCGTCTCAGCTGTGTCATCAGTTTCCCACAGGTGTGTTCGACATGCACCCATGAGATGCAGGTGGGCCCAGGTTCTGCCTTCTCTGTCACATGACAGGCAGATAGCACAGTGTCTGCTGTAGGGTTGGCACTCTCATGATTTCCTGCAAAACCTTGGTCAGCACATTGCCTGTGCTAGTCCCACACAAAATTGGCTCAGGTCCCCAAGGACTTTTCAGCTTACTTGAAGGGACAGAGGAATTAATCTACAAATTACAAAAGGTTTTGGTTATCTCTTGCTGTGCGGTGAACCTCTCAGGGTTCTGCAGGTTGACTGGGCTCAGTGGGCGGTTCTTCCGCAGGTCTTGCTCAGAGTATCTCATGTGGCTGCAATCATAAGGTGCCTAGTGCTGGATTTATCTGCAGGCTGGACTTGGATGCTGGCATGAGGGAGCCTCAGTGGTCACTCTTTGTGGTCCTTCCAGTAGAAGATCCGACTGTGTATGTGGTGGTTCAGAACTTCTGAAAGTAGCATCTTAAGAAGGTGGGAGAAGGCACAAGACCTCTCAGTGGTGAGGCCTGAACTTGGTCCCGTGTCATTCTGCCAGGTTCCTCTGGTTCCCAGGACTCACAGGTCCAGCCCAGATTCAATGTGGGAGGGGTCATAGCAGGAGGCATGTACCTTGGAGCCCTCTTTGGAAACAAGCTGCTGCCCAGTGTGATGAGCAGAATCTTTGGAGGGTGCATAGACTGTGCTGGGAAAAGAGAGGCTCAGGACTGGGACAGGGAACATTTCTGGAAGATCATGAAACTAGAGCAGATTTTTTAAAATAAATAAAATGTAGCCAAGTAAAGAAAATGGAATGTTTGACAAGGCAAGACAAACGCCTCCTAATACACTTGGAATAGAAGAATAATCCATCAACATGAAAAGTTATGTCATTTTAAAGCCCAGCCAGCAACATTTTATGGTTGAAATCCTAGAAATGCCCCCTTTCTGTGGGTAACTTGCCTGGGAGCCTGCTACACCACGATCCTGGGGGTTTTGTCCTGGAGGTTCCAGCTGAGGAAACAGGACAGAAAAAGGAAAGCAGCAAACATTTGAGAAGAGAGGAGGAAACATCGTTATTTTCAGATTGAGATTGCCTACCTAGAAAACCCAAGAGAGTCAACTGAAAAGCTGTTAGAATAATCACAGAGTAGAGGTGGCTAGTCACAAAATGAATGTTCAAAGATGGATCATGTTATTATACAGCAATGGTAGTTAGAAATCATAATCGGGAAAGTCTTCCTCTCAGAGCTACAGCTGCAAACGTTTACCTAAAAATTAATGTGACAAGAGCTGCATAGGATCCAACTAAAGAAAATAATGAAACTCTACTGTAAGGAGAAAGAAAAAAGATGTGAATGGTTGGAAGGACACGCCCTGCCTCTGTGGGGAAAGTTCAATACTGTAAAGATCCCACCTCTCTCAAGCAATTTATAGGAGGTGTAAGCCAATTCCTATCAAAATAGCAATGGGGCTTTTCTTGGAACATGATAAAATAATTCTAAATTTTATATGTAATACATTGATAATAAAAAAGAAACATATAAAAACCCATTAAATATTTACAACAGCAGATATGCAAACATACTATAAGCTATAATAACTAAGACAGCAGATGGACATAGCAAAAGGCCATAAAAGAAAATCCCCAAGTGGACCCAAATGTATAGTTACCATATGACAAATGCAATATTTCAATCATCGAGGAAGAGAATTATTCAATATAGAATGCAGGTATAGTTGGTTAAATATAAGGTAAATGAAAGTTCATGACCTAACTCCATATATATATATACGAAAGTTAGGTCATGAACTTTCATTTACTATATATATATATATAAACTATGACAGATTGAAAGAATAAATGTTAAAAAAATTATACAGTGAGAAAAAATACAGATGGCTATTTATATAATATTGGGGTGTGGAGGCTTTTATTAATAAAAAAGGAGTAAACATAAAGCAGGTTTGGCAGATTCGACAACAACAACAACAAAGAAATATTTCTGTGTCTTCTCAAGGTAGATACAAATTAACCTAAAATGACAAACTAGGCAAAAACATTTGCAACAGAGATGTCAGCTATGGCATGTATGACCCAATACAGAAACAATGCAGAAAAGCAGAAATAGAGATTGCTAGTAAATCCAGGACACTCAGCCTCTCTAGTAGTTAATCACTGACTAAAATGAGATGCCATTTATTATCCACTAAATTGTCAAGGAAAAAAATCTGACCATTGCCAGTGCTGGGGAGGCAGAGGAAATGGGTACAATGCCACATTAGCAACAGGAATCATGGCTGGTTTGAATATTTTGGAGTGAAATTTGGCTTTAAGTGTCTTACAAAATGTAAATATTTGTTCCCTTTGGATGTAGCAATTTCTTGTCTTATGTTGTAAGAAGAAAATACACTGTAAAAAGAGAAGCAAGAATATGCACAAATTTATAAAGCGATACAGTCAGCGTTATTTATAATGGTTAAAAATGAAAAACAGCTGGCAGTGCGTGGTGGCTCACACCTGTAATCCCAGCACTTTGGGAGGCTGAGGCGGGTGGATTACGAGGTCAGGAGATCCATATTGTGCCACTGCACTCTAGCCTGGGCGACAGAGGGAGGCTCCATCTAAAATAAATAAATAAATACAGCCTAACTGTTCACTTTAAAACACGTAAATTAGAACAAATGCACAAAGCACCATATATTGTTTAGCCATTAAAAATTATTGTTTAGACTATAGCAAGGCATGAAAAGACGTGTACAACAAATTCAAGCAAAAACAAAAACAACAACTGTGAAACTGGCGGTGACTAAATGAGTTACGCTACGTTCCAAATGGACATCCACCTCAACCCTCCAACTATCTACCTGCCCAGAGGGGGTGCAGAAGGCAGGCACGGCAAAGTCTACACAGATGACGAGATTCTCAGTAAGTTCATTTTCTTCTTTGTACTTTTTGAAATGTTTCAAGTTTTCCCTAGTAAACATGCACCACCTAAAAACATCTAAGCTGAAAAGTACTGCTTGAAAAACTAGACAATTGTAGTTATGCATTGCTGAATGCCTTGTGTGGCTTAGCCCTGATTTTCAAACCTGTCTCAGAGACTCCTGGCCTTTGCCTTCTGCCACATCCCTTCCTGGGGCCTCAAGGGGTAGAACAAATGTACTGGGGCCAAACTAGGTCTACTCGACTTCAACGCTGTGGCGTATATCAGGAAGGAGCTGGAGGGGGACTGGACACTCAAGTTGGCCTGGCAGCCACGAGTCCCAGTGTAGCTGCTTCCCCCAGGATTCCTGCTCCTCCAAAGCAGCCCAGAGCTCTGCCACTTTTGTGGCCCATCGGGATCACTGGTATGTTCTGGAAGCTCTGCCGGGAAAGCTCATAAGGGCTCAGGTGCTCTTTTCTGGGGCCCCTTTTTATCTAGAAAGTGGCTTCTCTTAAAGGCCAGTTATCAACTTGCTTTCATTGTTGGCACAAAAGAATTACAGTGAGGAACCTCAAGCCCTTGATCTAAATGACAATTTCTTCTCTATTTAAAATGTGTGTGGTTGATATCAACTGACACCAACCCACCGTCTCTTTCTCCCTGGGTTCACTTCTTCATGCTGTTTGTAGGGGTGACTCCACACCCCGCACAGAAGGAGCAGAGCCTCACATCTGCTTTGAACACTCTGTGGACCTGGTGGCACTGATTCTGTCTTACCAGCCCACTGAACACAAAGGAAGAGGGTTGCAGCACTCCATAGGTTAATTTGGAATCCTTTTTTGTTAACAACAAATCTTGTAAAAGTACAAAAAAAAGAAAAAAAAAAGAAAGGAAGAAATCTTCAAGTTAAGTTGTGGCTGCAGTGGCTTTGCAGTGAAGTCACCCGACTCATTCTCAATAATTCAAATGAATTGAGAATCCCCTTAGAAGTGACAGCCCAAAGTGTAAGAATGATAAACGGCTTTGGCCTTGATAATTTTTATTAAGCACTAAATGTCACATTTAACCTGCATTACTGAAAGCAATTACCCGTGTATCAACAGTCAAGCGGCTCGGCGCGCAGTGCCGGCAGAAGCGCGTTCGGCTCCATCTGGGAATAAGGATTTTCAATTAGGAGGCAAATGGCTGCAGAGGGGCTCGGGTCCTCCCCAGCTCCCAGAGGAGGCCTGCGGAGTGAAGTCTTCATACACAAGTAATCGCAGCCGTGTCAACAGACCGTCCCCAGCCATCTGCTGCCAGAGCAGCCGTACTTTATCAAATCTCAATATTTACAGACGCTGATCAGCTCGTGGGGCCGGGATGGCTCCCTGCCAGGGAGTTCTGGGAAATTCATTTTAAGGTGTGTTTCAGTAGGCTAATTAATTTACAAGCACCTGTTTCATCGCTGCGAGCTGTTAGTGCCGCAGATGAGCCCCAGCCGGGGAGGGAGACTGTATCCCGGCTAAATTGATTTCAATTGATTTTAATTTGCTGATGGCACAGTTGTAGGTTTAATGTGAACATAGCCTGAAGCCCCTATTTTTTTTTCCTTTTGAAGTAAGCCTTGTGGGTGGCTTATTTCTTGGCCCTGTCATTGCTGGGGAAAGTGGCCTCAGCAGGAGGCTCATGTGACAGACACGGGCAGTAACTGGGCTCTTAAAAGTGGTGCTTGTGGTGTACAGTCAGACATTAGATGTGGGGCTGCCCGCAAACGTACAGGAAACACTGATAAACTTGAGATTGGATAAACAACAAAGGACATTTTAGCAGTTGTGTCCCCACAGGACGTACTTAAATCTGACATTCACACAGAGCCAGGCATCCTGAAAATTATCTTTCGAATCTGGCAGCCCTCGTTAGGTGCTTGGAGTGGTAAAGGAGCAAAGTGCCCTGATCTGGGTGGTCTCCTGGGCTGGTGGGCCTCACTCTGCCCTGCATGCTGGGAAGACACTCTTGTTAAGGAAATGATATGGGAACACCAGGGGTTCGGTCTAGGCCCTGCTGCTCATTGCACAGAAAGCCGATGACGGAGACAATGAGCCCTGCCAGGGAAGAAGGCTTTCATCGGGTGCTGCAGCTGAGGAGACGGGAGCTCAGTCTCAAATCCATCTCCCTGACTGACTAGGGGTTTATATAGCAGGAAAGAAATGTAACCAAAGAGGAATTAGGGAGGGGTAAGGAAGAGGAGTGGTCGACAGGAAGTAGGTGTTTCCTTAGGCGATCATAATGGTGAGGGGTCTGGCATCTCATTGTCCAGATGAGATGGTCTGGGGAGTTTCAGCTCCTTGATACTACCTGGGAGGTCTGATGCTTGGTTGCCTGAAAAAGGAACTCAGATAAGACAAATGTAACTTTCTCAAGTTTTAAGACTGGCTCTCCCCTCATAGCAACCTGAAGTTGCTTCCTGGCAGGCTCTGTTCGGGCAGTGGGAACTCTCAACCCACTGCCCGAAAATGCTGCTGCCTGATGCTTACCAACACGTTGCTGAAACAAATCACAAAGCTTGTTGAAGGACGTGTACATCTGGCCCTCAACCAGACCAGAAACGTGGAAAATTATTTTGGAAACCCTTTCGTGTAGCCTTCATTGCAGTGTTGTAGGTTTAGCAGTGCCCCCGTGTTAAAGGGCACCACGAGGAACAGCTCTTGAAAGCTGTCCTCATCACCACTGTGAGGATGACTCTTGGCATCCTGGCCACCCTCTTTTTATGAGGACCCACAGGAGAATTTGCTCTTCAGTCTTCATACGAGGAATAAATTGAACTTCCAGTCTGCTTTTACTTTTGGATGATGGGATTTGACCGCATGTGACAGTGAGTGCCTGTTTGTTGACCCGTTTCTCCGTGATGTGCGTCCCACTCCATATCTGGGTCTTCCTTTAATCCCCCATAGTGTAGCACAGTATTTCCTACATGTAGGGACTCAATAACTGCTTCTCCAAGAAACGATAAAAGCATCTTTAGAAGTAAACTGAGGAGATAACTGATTATAATTGGATTATATCAATATAGAATGTCACAACTAGACATGGTTTACGATCATCCTTGGGAAGTGATGAAGATCTGGAATAGGTGAGTTGAACCTGGCTCCATAGCCCATTACACTGATAAGTTATATGCATGTGGATGTAGACATACATGCATCTTTATATACACACATACATAGGCATGATATGAGCATCAGTATGTGATAAATATGTAAATATAAATACAAACCCACTTGTGCACTAGCAAAGATGCTATCTGAGATGGTATTACCTAAAAATGCACAGCAGATGGTGGATGAGATAGAAAAATTACTTTCTAATGTGACTTAACAATCATCCGTAAGGAAGGAGCCCAGAATATAGAGACGAGTGTGGCTCAGCCCCTGTAGACCAGAATTACAGGACCCCAACCATAGGCAGAGTCCAAGGCCTGGGGTCTGGGGTCTGAGTTTCTAGCCACATGGTCCCCCATCATGACCACAGAGGCTCAAGTCAAGAAGCGCTTCAAACAGGACCCCCAAGAAGGGGTGGGACAGGCTCCCACCCCAGGCTCACTGCTGGCTACCGCATGGACTACTCGGCGAAAGAGCCCAGAGCTGCTGGGAAGCTCTGCCAACCGTGAGGCCCCGTTCCTCAGCAACACCATGCGGTTGGCACCCTGTTACTGCTGCAATACCTCTTCTACTCCAGTTCCCATCTTCTCTCTGGTCCCCAGATCAAAACGGGGACCTGGGATAGTGGGGCAGTGGGAGCTGCCTGTAAACGTGGCCTTAGCTTGAGCTGCCATTGAAGAACACTGGAGATGGGGCTTGAACACCGGAAACTGACTTCTCACCGTTCTGGAAGCCTGAGTCCCAGCATGCCAGGTTCTGGTGACGACCCTGCTTCAGGACTGCAGATGGCCACCTTTTCACTGTGTCCTCATATGGGGGTAGGGGGAGGAGAGAGAGAGCTCTTTGATGTCTCTGCTTGTAGAAGCACTAATCCTGTCATGAGGGCTCCAGCAGCATGACCTCATCCAACCATAATTACCTCCCAAAGGCCCCATCTTCAAATCACACTGGAGATTAGGGCTTCGGCTGAGCGTTAGGGAGGCACACTCAGGTCCTAATGGAGGCTGTGGGGCATGTCTCTGTTTGCACTGGGTTCTATTGCTGACCAGCCATTGATGAAGGCTTTGAAATTCTAGTGCAGTTCAGCATGGCTGCAATTATTGGAGCTTGAGGGGAAAATAAAAACCCAGCAACTTTTAAAACAAGTGCTCACCTCAGCCATTAGGAGAAAAAGGAAGGTAAATTTCTTGTATAGCAGCTTCGAAAAATGCTATGTCTTGTGGAGCTTCTGAGACAAATGACGACAGAATGAGTTAACTTGCTGTAGGAGATCATTAATTCTAAGCCAACTGCATCATGCTGATGAGCTATCAATAATGTCATACTCAATTTTTGAATAAATCAAGTCCTTGTTTGTGACAAGGTAACCAAATTATCTGCAATAGGAAATACTTGCCCTACCAGTCTCTAGCAGACAGAATGAGGAGAACACACATGGGCTGGGCATCCGAAAGTGTACGACGTTAAAAATGTTCCTGTGTTCACCCCGTAGAAATTATCATGTGATTCAGCAAAAGAATGGCGCTGCCATGTTGCCGCTCGATGTGTATCCAGGAGCAGATTTTGAATGCAATCACGACTAGTGTTTTAACATTGAATACATATAACTTAGCCCACACTGAATTATTGCCACATATGCAAAAATTGTGGATAAACCAATAAAGACTGTAAATATGTTTTGAGTTTTTTTTCTGTTTTTGTTTTTTTTGAGATGGGGGCTCACACTGTCACCCAGGCTGGAATGCAGTGGCACGATCATGGCTCACTGCAGCCTCGACCTCCCAGGCTCAAGCAATCCTCCCACCTTGGCCTCCTGAATAGCTGAGACTACAGGTCCATGCCACCATGCCCGGCTTTTTTTTTTTTTTGTATTTTTTTTGTAGAGATGGGTCTTGCCATATTGCCTGGGTTGGTCTCAAACTTCTGGGCTCAAGTGATCCGCCTCCCTCAGCCTCCCGAAGTGTTGTGATTACAGATGTGAGCCACTGCATCAGGCCCACATATCTATGTTTTATTCCAATCTGAGTTCTCAGAATGATCAGGAATATAACAGCCATCTAGAGTTGTACCTACGCTCTTGCACACTTTTCATGGAGAATATTATCCTGGGAGGTACAGACTTTTAATCGTAAAAAAGCAAATGGTGAAACACAGCAAATAATATGAGTAGGAGCATGAAGCTCACCATTGAGGAGGGGACTTATTTCCCTTTTAAAAAGGGCCCGTGATCCCACCAGACAGGGTTCATTAATTTAAGACAGTTGAACTTGCCAGCGTCAGAGTTCACAATTCAATTATGAAGGGAGATAATCTTCCCGGGGTGGTTTATTTAGCCTGTGATTTTTAATTAATTCTGCTCCATCAGGGAATGCTTCAGGGATCAGCCTGCGCCCATGATCTCAGGGCTGTTATCTGCATTTTAGTAGATGCTGCCCCGGCACACATGTGGCATAAAATACTTTCATGTAGTCTCGACCACATTTGGCTGCCGACCTCTGGAGTCAGCAGAGTGGAGTGGAACAGACACTTTAAATAGAGAGGAAAATGATCTCTGGAAGCTGCTGGGCTGTGTCCTTACACTGTGGACTCTGCTCATGGCAGCTGCTCCCCATCCCCCTCCACTGGTGTGGATGCTGAAACTAAATAGTAACAGACCTGACTTAGGGAAGACCCAGTTTAATAAGAGCATGTGTGTAGGGAGGCTCCCAGTCTCATGCGAATCGGGCCTTCACTCCTGCTATCACCTACCCTACTGCTTCTCTCTGAGGGCCCCTGGTTTCAGATCTCTCCCTACCTAGGCTTTTGACAAAGGCAAGGATGTCAGTCAGGTGGCTCTCACCCGTGGTGGTCGGTCCTAGGGATGGGTGAGATCACAATAGCTGGACTCTCAGGAGTATAGACTCTTGAATTGCTAATGGGTGCTGCACATCATCCAGATGGTAATAATTAGCTCATCAGGTATGTTTGGATAGGATAGCCCCATTCTAGACTTCATGTTATTACAACATACTCATATATATCCATTCATTCACTGGGCACACATCAGGGTGCACGCTGTGTCCCAGGCACTGGGGACAGAGTGGTCAGGGAAAGCTCAGCTAGGTGAGGCCACCGCAGCCCCGGTCTCAGCGGCCTGACACAGCAGTCATCGCTCACACACACAATGCAGACCCCGAGTTTCGGCTGGGCCCTGTCCTCCACCCGTACCCCACAACACACTGTCTGGAAATTGCTGGTTGTGGAATGAGAGAATGGGAGTTCTGGAAGACCTCCCTCCAGCAGCAGTTCAGTGCTGTGGGCTGGAGTTGACGGGGGTTATTTTCACTCGCAGTCCGTTGGCTTGAATTATACATGTGTCCCCCGCACACAAGGGAGTCAGGAAGTGTGGTTCCACCATGTGCCTGGGGGCAGAGCTAAGGGCTATGCTGTGCTGGAAAGACAGGTGCAGGCGAGATCCGATACTGTGGTGCATGCATTTTCCCTGGGCAGCCAGACATTAAACAGGCGAGGACAGGGTTGATTAATTATCTTCTTGGTAGGTGCTGTGGGTAGCATGAGGTGCCAGAGTGCTGTCCTTGGGTGTTGCTGTCTATTCATGAGTAGTTTCTTTTTTTTCGGTTTGTTTTTGGTTTGGTTTTGTTTCGTTTCGAGATGGAGTTTCGCTCTTGTCGTCCAGGTATGAGTGAAATGATGTGATCTCGGCTCACTGCAACCTCCGCCTCCCGGATTCAAGCGATTCTCCTGCCTCAGCCTCCCGAGTAGTTGGGATTACAGGTGTCCACCACCACACCCAGCTAATATTTGGTATTTTTAGTAGAGACAGGGTTTCATCCTGTTGGCCAGTCTGGTCTTGAACTCCTGACCTCAGGTGATCTGCCCACCTCGGCCTTCCAAAGTGTTGGCATTACAGGCATGAGCCACCACGCCCAGCCATGAGTAGGTTCTTTATTAGATGTTTTTCATTCTTAGCATGGAATAAATGATGAAGTCATAAATATTTGGAAGTGAAGGAGTCTGAACTGATAACACTTTTCCGTGGCTTTTAAACTGTATTCAGTGAATCTCCTGGGTGTGTCGGGGGGCTGATGTGATCAGAGAAGCTCTGACCTGGCCTCGTGGTCCACACGGAACTGCCGCAGCCGGTCATAGCAACAGCAGCCTAGTGTTTTAGGGTGTGTGCATCAGATTTCACGCACCCACACACACACACACACACCCACACACAAAATTGGTTCTGCTGCTTTAACATATATAATACAAATAGGCTTGTCTCAAACTAGCTTTTTGCTATCTGGGGCCCAAAGAAGTTAAGTGACTTCTTAAGGCTACATTTGAAACTACTGTCAGAGCAGACTCATTGCTCTGATTTTTTTTTTTTTTTTTTTAGTGATTTTTACTGTGGTAAATATACACAAAATAAAATTAACCACTTTAACCATTTTTAAGCATACAGTTCAGTGGCATTAAGTATATTTACATTGTCCAACCATCACTTCCATCGATCTCCAGAACTTTTCACTATCTCAGACTGAAGCTCTGCACCCATTAAACATTCATTCCCTTCCCTGGCCCCCAGCCCCTGGCAGCCCCCATTCTACCTTCTGTCTCCATGAATGGGGCAACTCGAGGGACCTCATATGAGTGGGATCGTACTGTATCTGTCCTTTTGTGACTGGCTTACTTCACATAGCATAATGCCCTCAAAGTTCATCCACACTGTAGCGTGAATCAGAATTTCATTCCCTTTTTAAGACTGAGTGTTTATTCTAAGGTATGTACACGCCACGTTTTGTCCATCCATTCATCTGTGATGAACATGGATTGTTTCTGTCTCTTGGCTGTTGAGAATAATGCTGCTGTGAACGTGGGCAGACAAGTATCTATTGGGGTCCCTGCTTTCCATTTTTGGGGATATATAACTCGACACTGCTTTGACTTGAAAGTTATTTTTTTCATCAGAAAAGTAACACCTATTCTTGTTACTTGAATTAAAAAAAAGTTAAGACCAACAATGTGCAAAGTGCTCTGCTAGCCCCTTTGAATGAAAAAATGTCCCCATTGCAGTGACCCTGAAGGACGGAGGGGGAGTTGCTGAAAGGAGCTGTGGCCTGAGCAGCCCTAGAACTGCCCTGGTGGAAGGGCACATGGACGGCCTCAGACTATTCAGGATATTGGCTGTTTAAGGAACTATGCTGTACACCCAGGCAGAGAAAAGTTACAATTTTACTCAGGCATTAAGAGTTTGAGAATTAAACCACTTTTGGATCTTACATTTTGCTTGAGATAATGAAGCTTCTGCGACCCCACGTTATTTCCTTTGGAGCTTTGCTCTCTTGTTTTGTGGGAGCGCATCCTGCAGTGGCTTCCTCAGAAAGAAGGCATGGGAAGTAAATTTCCTGAATGCTCATGAGTCTTAAATATCTTTGTCTGTCTCTACTTTGATTAATCATTTATTAATAAGGTATAGAATAGAGATAAATTTTTATCATGATTTTGAAGGTACTGACCCATTACCTTCTAGCACCCAAGCCATTAGTAATAATCCTATTTTCTTGCCACTGATTGCTTTAGGAATATTTATGGGACCAAATTCAGGCCCAAGAACACAAGCAGGATTTGCCAGAGAAAGAGTCTACGTTTCTAAACAGGGTGCAATCAGGACACTTCCCTCCTTTACCTTTCTTTTTGGAAGTTGTCCCTGGAAATAATGTCTGAAATTCCATTCTGCTCCCATTTGGAGGATAAAGCCCAGAGGTGAGGGTGGTGGAAAAGGGGAGTGTGCAGACTTGCAGGGAGGGAGTGGGGCAGTGAGGGGCATCTGCCCACCCCCTGGCTGATCTGTCCATAGAACAATTTGCAGGGGACAGCTGGCCTGTCTGCACCCCCAACGTGGGGGCCGCTCCACAGTCTGGGGCTGATGCAGCTTAGGAACTATATTTTAAGTTTTATTTAATGTTAATTAATCGAAACTTCACTTTCAATGGGCATATATGGTTAATGGCCCCTACCATGGCCAGCACAGCTCCACACAGAACACGAGCTGCCTTGTGTACCTACCGTTTGTGTGCGTCTGGCCTGGGGCTTCCGGACTCTGCAAGCAGTCATGCTTCACCCACTGCTCCTGCCCATGTGGGGTTTGTGGTGGTCGTGACTGGTTTGCTTGCTTGTGTTGTCCTCATTTTGGCAAGACGTGGGGATGAGAAATACTCCTGTGTGTCAGCCTCTTCTCTTTAACATGCATGAGGTGCATTTGTTTTCTTTTGTAAGGTGTCTAATTCTGCCTGTAGATCCACTTGATACAAATTGTGTTGATTAAAAACATATTTTTCTCTGGTGCAGGGAACATTATTGGAAATTGCAGGTCTTACTTAGTTTATTAGTTTCTACAAATAACTGAGTAGTTTTCTTTTCTTTTCTTTTCCTTTTTCTTTCTTTCTTTCTTTTTTTTTTTTTTTTTTTGAGAGAGAGTCTTGCTCTGTCACCCAGGCTGGAGCGCAGTGATACAATCTTGGCTCACTGCAACCTCTTCCTCCCAGGTTTAAGCAATTCTCCTTCCTCAGCCTCCCAAGTAGCTGGGATTACAGGCGCGCACCACCACACCCAGCTAATTTTTTTGTATGTTTTTAGTAGAGACGGGGTTTCACCATGTTGGCTGGGCTGGTCTCAAACTCCTGACCTCAGGTGATCCACCTGCTTTGGCCTCCCAAAGTGTAGGGATTACAGGCGTGAGCCACTGCACCTGGCCAGTTTTCCTTTCATTTTTGGATCCTTTTTTGTGAAAACTATGTGGTTGTGGCATTCCTCTGTCTTTCCCCGTATGCCTCACCTTTCCTCGAACTGGTTTTTCTCTTCGCCTTTCCTCTGTATTTGCCGTGTGTCTGCCTTGGGCTGGTGTCACCACCAGAGATGCGGCTTTCGGCAACCCCTGTTCTGCTCTCTGTGGTTCCTATCGTAGGCTACTGAGCATATCTAGCTCTCTAATTTCTTCCTTCAGCACAGTGGTGTCCAATCTTTTGGCTTCTCTGAGCCACACTGGAAGAAGAATTGCCTAGGGCCACACATAAAATACACTAACAATAGCTGATGAGCAAAGAAAAAAGAAAAAGAAAAAAATCACAAAACAATCCCATCTTGTTTTAAGAAAGTCTATGCATCTGTGTTGGGCCACATTTAAAGCCATCCTGGGCTGCATGTGGCCAGTGGGCCATGGGTTGGACAAGCTTGCTTTAGCATTTCAGCTTGCTTTTCTCCTCATTTTCTCTGCATATCATCTCACATGATATCTCTTGTCTTAAAAATTCATTATTTTCCTAGTTCCCTTGAGTATAAAGCTGTTTTATGAAATTTGGTTTGTGGAGTGAATGGTATTTCGTGGTACGTGCATCGTCTCTTTTGCATGCTATAATCTTTGTTTTTTTGGGCAGTAAAATTTTTGCATATGTTCACAATAATCTTTTTGTCCTTCTCTTACCTTTGAATTGGAGAGGTCCAAGATTGCTGTTGGCCCCAGTGTTGAAGTGGGTGATTCTCTGTGGCCCCATTCCTGTCCTCGGAGGCCCCATCTCATCCTTTCTGCAGCCCCTCCATGGAGTTCCAGTCCCTGACGCACGTCCTGTGTCCCAGGAGTGTAGAGGGGGCAGAAGCCTGGCATCTGGGGTGCTTCCCTAGTTGCTCAACCATCAGTGCTGGGATGAGTTCTCAAAGTTGGGGGCACATCTCCTTTAGCAAGATACCCTGATATCTGCCGTTTGTCCTGCATCACTGTGACAATGTCACTTCTCTCACTGTGCACAACTCAAGAGACCCCTGGTGTAGCCCAGGCCCCCCAGCTGCTGTGCTTTCCCTGGGGTGGGGACTGACACGCCTTCCTCTGTTCTTCTGCATCTGGGATCTTAGTGCTTACAGAGTCAGGGATCAGGGGATTGCCCAAGATTTCTTTACCATCTGCTTCAGCAAATGGCTCTCCTGGAAAGGTCGGCAGGTGAGCCTGATTTCTGAATTTTCACTCAGATTCACCAGTTTCATTGTTTGACCAACATTTCTCAATACGTGAGATGCGTTCTTGGTGCCGTCATGTTGATGATGTTTTCTTTGTGGCTTTTGTTTCTTTGTAAAATGTTTACTCGGTTCTATGAAGAGAAGCAGGAGATTCCACGCCTTATACCACACCCCTGTCCTTCCTGGAAGTGTTCTGGGTGTCGCAGGAGGGTGGGTTCTGAAGGAGAGACAGATCTCAGGAGATAAACAGTTTTAGGTACATGGTGAGATTTTTGTAGCTTTAAGATTTGTATGAGAGGTGAGTTATTACACAAAGAGAACAATTGTGATAAATTCTTTATCACTGGAAGAGGGGAAGCTTAGAGTTATGGAACTATCGAGGAGTTACACGGACCACTGGCCTCAAAGACTCTTCTGTTTTCCTTCAGTGTTTGGTCCATAGAACTGGGAAAAACAGGAATTTTCTAAGAAGAAGCATCTGACAACTTTGAGAAATTACTTTAGTAGCAGAGCAGGAGAGAAAATAGAAAGAGGATATGATTTTTTTTTTAACTTGAAGTACCAGAGTCAACCCAAGTAAATAAATAAAATAACGTTTGCATTCCACACAGTTAGAGAGTTGAGGCAGCAATGCAGGAAACAGTCTTGATGCCTGAATTTTTCGCACCAATGCAGATCTGAGTGTAGGGGAAGAACTAAGCGTGATTTTGTCATCATGAACCCAAGGACAAAATCGAGGCAAGAGCAAATGTGTGCTCCATCATAAGTAATTAATGAAAAAGCACCAGGTTGTACATTAAGATTTATAATGTAAAGGCTTGCTCTGTTTGTGGGTTAGTTTCAAGACAGAACCTATTAGTAAAGTGTGAGGCGTGCATTTAACACAGAATTCTGTTTTTTATAGAATGGGGCAGGGGTGACCTTTGCACAGAGAAGCTGCTTGGGCCCAAGGCCACGTGGCTCAGGTGGAGAGCACGTTCAAGGCCCCGCTGCTCTGTCCTCTCCCAGTTCAGCAGAGCGCTCAAAATAAGGGCCTTCCCAGTGCTGAGCTTTTCAAACCCCACACATGAAGTGACAATAAAATCACTACTCTGAGCAAGATCGACATTCTTTTATTTCTTGGTAGTCCTGTTTAGAACCACCGCCCTTTCCTGCAGTGAGTAATGTGAACCCCGTGACAACACCCCATGGCTTTCTCCAGCACCCGCCCCACCCTGAGGGCCATTTGTCACTGTCCAGGGCCTGTGGGTGGGACGTTTATGGGAGACGTCAGCCCGTGATTCCACCCCGCTGCCACCGCCCCAGTCCCGCGATAGAGCCAGACACTGGCGGGCTGCGCGCACCTCTTCTGGAGCCTGGGGCTGTGTTTGCCTTGGTGGGATTTGTTTTCCCTAGCACGCTGCCTGGAGCGCTGATGTGTTGTAGGAGAAAGACGTTGTTATGACAATGTTAGCCTCTCAGCAGATTGCCGAGCCTGGAGGATTGCATGCGAGACGTCACACAAACACTTTTTGGAGCTAATAATGTCGCGCCATATGTAAAGCAAGAAAAATTATTTAAATAGGTAGCATTTGAAGGAATAAAACAATCAGAAGGCTTTTGGGGATAATGAAAATTACTCTGAATTGTTTAAACAAGATATAAGCTTTTAAACAAACTGCATGCTCATGGCATCCTCCACGTCCCTCTTTAGCTACACCTTATTCATGCCATCAGAATTTATTTTCAGCATTTGTCTTTTTATAGATTAAACTAGATCTCTAGGTAACATTGTTGGAGAAACATCCTTTCCGTTTCATCTGGCAAACATGAAGCTTCTGATGAATCATATTAACTGGAGGAATAACATTCTTTCGAGCGCAGAGAAGGAAAAAGTGTTTAAAATAGAAGAAGGGAACTTCAGGCTGGAGCTGCTATATCGGGTGGTCGCTCTTCTTATTCTCCTTTCCAATGTCTCCCATTCTGGAGCATCATTTCACAGCGCTGTGCCTCAGGCCCGTGGCTGGAATAATGACAGGAAATCTATCTTCCTCTCCATACTCACCGTGTACAGCACGTACACATCTCACACGTTTTAATAAAGGCCCTTTAAAACGGCAAAGCCCGACATATCATTTATAAATCCAAGCCTCACCAGGGCCATGAGGAATAGAACCACTTGAACAACTAGTGTGCCTTCTGAGCAGCCACCGCCCTTCAAAAGCAACATCATCTGAAAGTGCTCGAGGCTTTGCTGGCAAACATCATCTGTTTATTGAGACAGGGTCTTGCTCTGTCACCCAGGCTGGAGTCCAGTGGCATGATTATGGCTCACTTCAGCCTCTATCTCCTGGATGTAAGTGATCCTCCCACCTCAGACTCCAAGTAGCTGGGACCACCTCCGAGTAGCTGGAACCACCACAGCTGGCTAATTTTTGTACTTTTTATAGATAAGGGGTCTGGTTATGTTGCCCAACCTGGTCTTGAACTCCTGGGCTCCAGCGATCCTCCTGCCTCAGCCTCCCAAAGTGCTGGGATCACAGGCATGAGCTGTTGCGCCCACCTACACCTTCTTTACACAGTCGGCTGGTGCTTGCAGGTGCTGTGCTGTTTTCTGGGAAGGTTGGCTCCATCACGAGCCATCCACTTCCTCGCCCTGTGTCATCATGGACATGGCAGTAAAGCAACTGTAAAGCGAGGTGAGAGGCTGACAGGTGCTGTGCCCAGGGACTTCCCTTCCGCGTCACCTCAGGGGCTGTGTGTGGGGGAGAGGGAAGAGTATATCCGCCTGTCCTCTCTGAAACATCAGGTTAAAAATTCAAATGTAGGCCGCATGCGGTGGCTCATGCCTGTAATCCCAGCACTTTAGGAAGCCGAGGCAGGCAGATCACCTGAGATCAGGAGTTCAATACCAGCCTGGCCAACATGGTGAAACTACATATCTACTAAAAATACAAAAATTAGCCAGGTGTGGTGGTGCACACCTGTAATCCCAGCTACTTGGGAGGCTGAGGAAGGAGAATCACTTGAACCTGGGAGGTGGAGGTTGCTGTGAACTGAGATCGCGCCATTGCACTCCAGCCTGGGCGACAAGAGCAAGACTCTGTCTCAATAAATAAATAAATAAATAAATAAATTGAAATGTAAAGATCAGTTCCACAAAGTCCCTTCTGGGACAAACATGCTGTGGGCGCCTCCTTTCCTGTTGACGTGTTGGCATGTTCACTGGCCTCAAGACACTGTTTTCTAGACCTAAGACCTGCTTGCATCCCTGACATCAGGGTTGGCTTCTCCCATCCTGATCCCTCACGCCTGCATTACGTTCTTCCTCGTGCCCTGCACTGCGCCGGAACCATTCGGTTCTCATCCTCTCCCTCTGCGCTCGCCTTGCGCTCCGCCGAAACCATTCGGGTCCCGTCCTCTCCCTCCGCGCTCGCGTCCCTCCTTGAAGTCGGAGTTTCTCTCGTGCACGTTTGCACTTTGCAGGCTCCAGCCGGTCACTTGCACACGCCGATGCCCTGGGGATGCCGGTTGTAGTGACCTGGTCCCTGTGACTAAGGGGCCTTGGGGAGGCCTGTCTGTCCCTCCTTCTGCCTCTGATCTCCATATGACCCCGCCATGCCGCTGTAGAACTTGGCCCAGGAAGCTCCAGCAAATGGGGACGAGAACCAGACTTTGCCCCCAAACAGAAGCCCTGGCTGGGCACCCGCTCACCAAGCCTAGGTTTGCCATTCTCACCCCAGCACCTGAATCAAATTCCTTTCAAGTTTCAAAGAAGTAAAAACTCGGTCTGTGACAAATGTCTCTAACATGAAACATGTTCCCAGACTTCCAGGACACAACACAGAGCCGCGGTCCTCTTTCCCTGTATGAACAGTGTCTTTGTGAGAGAGCGTCTTTGTTCAGAAGGGGAAGAAAGAATGAATCATGCTACGGAACACTCAGGCAGGTGCCGGCCATTCTGGAAACACGTGTATTTCGGCGTATCGTGTACTGGCATGCTGCGGGGAATAGCAATGAATAGCGTGGAGGACAATCGTGCATTGTTGATGTTTGTTAAAATAAAGATATTCAATTTATAATAAAAGGGATTAAAAGCTTAATTCATGACTATGTTAATATTTGTCTGCAAGTACACAGATAAATGGCAACGCACCTTATCACGTTGAACACCTGTGCGCACAAGTTCCTCTGCTGAGATCGCCATGGGATTGTGTGTTTCACAGAGCTTAAACTTTCATTTCCCAAAATAATGATATCATTCATTTACAGGTACAGATAGGCTCGCCTTGCTCTCACTCTATCCTGAAATGAGTATTGTGGCTTCAGCTACAAAAATACGGGATTAATTATGGCAGTGATATGCCACAATCTGCCGGCGGCAACAACAGCTGGCTCAACGCACCACTGCCGCTGGCGTCCGCATGCACCCCTCCTAAAAGCCCGTGGGACGGGGCGGCACCCAGCTGCTTCCTCCTCCCGCAGAGTGGGTGCAGCGAACACAGCTTCATGGAGAATTGCTATTCACGGATGCTTGGACATCAAATCATGTTTCCAAATGTCCCAGGGAACTTGCTCTTAAAAGAGATTTATGATAAATTATTTGGATAAAGCATCCTGCTTAAAAAAAAACTACAAATATTTATGAACAACTCTCACTTGACCATTCCTGGGCTAATCACCCTGGAAGATGCAAAGGTAGGTCAGGCTGTGATTCAGACAGAAACCAGATGGGAATAAAACGATCAGAGGTAAAGCTCCGTACTTTATTCCACAGGACAGATCCTATGTAGATGGCAGACCATAGATAGCCTTAAGGCTCTTGGCTGCTTTCATGTCCTACTGCTGCCATAACAAAGTACTGCATACTGGGTTGGTTAGAACAACAGAAACGTGTCCTCTTACAGTTTTGGAAGCCAGAAGCCTGAGATCAAGGTGCTGGCAGGGTCATGGTCTCTCTGAGGGCACCAGGGAGGATCTATCCCCATGTCTCTAAGGCTTCTGGGGTTCCCTGGCTGGGCAGCACCACTGCAGTCCTCACACAGTCACTCCCCAGGGCCTCTTCTCTGTGTCCAGCCATATTGGACTAGGACCCACACCCTATGTGAGAATGACCACATCGTACCTTAATTACATCACAATGACCTTATTTCCAGATAAGGGCAATCTGAGGTACTGGGGGTTAAGGCTTCAACCTGTGAATTTGCGGGACACCATTCAGCCCAGAGCACTGACTGGTGCTAGTTATATTTGTGTGTCTGGCTGTACCCTGTGATCACCTGGTTGATGTCATGTTCCTGAACTTTTGTGAGTGCAAGAGAAGAGAAGGTATGTGGACTGGCCCCGTCGCCACTCTATGGAATAAGCCACACCTCACAGCCGGGAGGAGACGCAGGTCTGTGGCATGGATGAGGAGTTCCGGACATCTCAGCGTATCTGGGAGGGAATGTGCCTTTGGGTGGTTAAGTCTGTGACATCTGCTGAATCAGAGTAGAACCTGTTGGCTGAGGAAGGCTTGACTTCTGCCATGCTGCAGGTGGTACTCCAGCTCAAATACAAACGCTCACAGCCGATGCCTGTGCTTTCCACGCACCATGTTTTGTTCTGGGCCTAGTGGAAGTGAGCGAGCCTGAGAGGTGAGAGTTTGACCATGCAGCTCTGTAGGGAGGGAGGTGTCCTCATAGTCTCACCTTGCACCGGGTGCTGTGTTCTTCGTGGAGTTTAGTCCTCTTATGGAGAACTCCTGATCTCATTGCCGGATAAGCACACCAAGGCCTAAAGCAGTTTGAGTAATTTACTCCAAGCATCTTAGCCAAGTACCAGGTGTCGACCATCAGTCTGGGGCCCTGAGAGCTACTGCCAGCCACAGTGCTATAAACTCTCCCCACCAAAACCGCAATAAAAATTTCAGAAGGACGAGTTAACAATGGCAGAGAGGGGACAGGATGTCTGGGGTGGGTCTGGCGAGGGTGAAGCAAAAGGCCAGTGGCAATAATACAGGTGCAAAGTGATGAGCTTCGCAGGACAGACGAAGAGGAAAGAACAGTGTTCAATAGAAGACATTAAATCAGAAACTGATTGGCTGTAAAGGACGGTCATTGGTGCATCCTAGTTTATTTACAGCTATCTTAATTTACACCATTTAGTATTTTCTGTAAAGAATCCATTGCATATGCATTTAAGATAGAGAAAACGTCGTGCAACTTTGCATGTGGATAAATTCACAAACCTGAAAAAAAGTTGCCAGATCTTGTATTCTGCCATCTATTTTGGTTTAGTGTAGATCAGTTAACCTAAGTACTGGAGAATGCAGACCAGAGAAGCTTTGAGCCTTGAAGGACAGTCATACCCCCGCCACAGTGAGCGAGTGTGGGGACAGACTGACCTAGGAAGACCCCGCCAGGCCTAGGAGCACAGCCTGTGGTAGACACCCAGCACCAGCAGGTGCAGAGTGACCAAAGCTGACCTTCAGGATCAGGTCAGCTGGGAGCACAGCTCCAGTGAAGTGAAGCCCAGTGCCTGAGAAATGGGAGCAGCTGGAAACCAGCAGCAAGTGGGCTGCCTGGACCCTGAGTGAGGTCAGAAGGTCTTGTGTATTCAGCTGGACATGACAACTTTGGGCAGCACTGGACACCCAGATGCTGACTCTAGCCAATACCCTGCAGAGGCTGGCAGGTACACCTGTCCCTGAGCGCAGGGCAGGCACATCACTGTACCTCATGTATGGAGAATGTGACTGTCAGGAGGGGAGCTGGTTCTGGGGCAATTGGTGAGACTAAGCCTGAAACAGAGGAGATAGCAAACACAGCTCAAAACTTCTCCTGAAACATCTCACAGGACACATGGTCTGACAACTCTTTAGGTCTGTGAATTTATTAATGTGCCAAGTTGAATGATATTTTTAGTCACCATTAAATGCATATGTAAAGGATTCCTTGTAGAAAATGTTAAATGTACAATTTGGATAGCTGTAAAGGGTTAAGAGCCAATGAATAAGCAATGGAGTAGATGGATGGATAGGTGACAAAAGGGATGGATGGATAGATGACAGAGCAGATGAATGGCGATGGAGGGATGGGTAGGCAACGGAATGGTTGGGTAAGCAATGGAGCGAATGATGTGGAATGATAGATGATGGACTGGATGGATGGATAGGCGATGGAGGGATGGATATGTGATGGAGTGGATGGATAGGTGATGGAGTGGATGGATAGGCAATGGAGTGGATGGATGGACAGTTGATGGAGTGGATGAATGGATAGGTGACAGAGCAGAAGAATGGGCTACAAAGCAGACAAATAGGTTATGGAGAGACGATCAGGCAGTGGAGTGGACGGATGAACAGTAATAGAGGGATAGATAGGCGATGGAGGGACAGATAGGTAGTGGAGTGGATGAATAGACAGTGGAGTGAATGGATAGGCGGTGGAGTGGATGGACAGGTGGTGGAGTGGATGGACAGGTGGTGGAGTGGACGGACAGGTGGTGGAGTGGATGGACAGGTGGTGGAGTAGACGGACAGGTGATGGAGTGGACAGACAACTGTTGGAGAGGACGGATAGATGTTGGAGAGGACGGACAGGTGGTGGAGTGGACGGACAGGTGGAGTGGACGGGTAGGTGGTGGAGTGGATGGGTAGGTGGTGGAAGCAAGTTCCAGGTGCAGTTCCAGGGAGGTGATGTTTGGGTGTGTGACCTTTGAAAGGACAGTGAGGACAGCCAACTGAGAAAATCACATTTGTGCTCTGTGAGAGATTCAGGCTGAAAGGCAAGTGTTCACTCCACATCTCTGACTACACTTCCGAGGCCTTCAATTGACCTCTGTCCGTGTGCTCAGCTCCTTGCCCTGTCTCTCTGCTCCAAAGACAGGACCCTCACTGCATGGCATTTTGATAATGGCTTGCACATCTGCAGTTCCGAGGCTGTGTGCCCTTGGGCTGTCTGTCTCTTGTTCGTCCTCCCTCCCCAGCGGCTGACGAAGAGCCCGCCCAGGATCAGCACCTGGCTGCTCCGCCCTTGCCGCGCGGTTCAGCCTGGCAACTGCTGGGGCAGTTGGCAACACCACCGACCATCTCCTCTTTCCTTTTGTTTCACTTTCCCTCTTGTTCTTTTATTTCTTCGTTATTTTTCTATTTTTGCTTTTTTGCTGACTTCTCAGTTCTCGATTTTTCTTCATTTCCCACCCTTTCATCGTCTCCAACTCCACACTTGCCCTGCTGATGGGTTGGGACTGCCTCACGACGGGAACAAGGGCCCATTGTTAAGCAGAAGGATAAATCAATGTTCACAAGCATTGGTTATATCTATCATTTAAGATTCAGTTTTAAGGACATAGACAATTGCAGCCATGTGGTTGGGTAAAGATGTTATTGCAAATCAGTATTTACTCATACAAATCTTTTAATCTGGATTATTCCTGCAGAGCTGTAGTATCCAATATGCTAGCACCTCATTGCCTGTGGCTGTTAATTTAAATTAATTAAAATTTTAGTTCCTAATTCTTGTTAGCCACATTTTAAGTGCTCAAAATGCCACGTGGGGACTGGGAGCCACCACATTGGATAGAGCGTGTATGGACATTATCACCATCACAGAAGCTTTTAGTGGACAGTGCCGCTCTAGAGGGTGACATGTGTGTGCCAGTGATCCACGGTGGGGACTGGGAGCTGCCATATTGGATAGAGCGGGTATGGACATTGTCACCATCACAGAAGCTTTTAGTGGACAGTGCTGCTCTAGAAGGTGACCTGTGTGTAGCAGTGATCCAGAGTGGGGACTGGGAGCTGCCATATTGGATAGAGCGGGTGTGGACATTGTCACCATCACAGAAGCTTTTAGTGGACAGTGCTGCTCTAGAGGGTGACCTGTGTGTAGCAGTGATCCAGAGTGGGGACTGGGAGCCGCCATATTGGATAGAGCGGGTGTGGACATTGTCACCATCACAGAAGCTTTTAGTGGACAGTGCTGCTCTAGAGGGTGACCTGTGTGTAGCAGTGATCCAGAGTGGGGACTGGGAGCCGCCATATTGGATAGAGCGGGTGTGGACATTGTCACCATCACAGAAGCTTTTAGTGGACAGTGCTGCTCTAGAGGGTGACCTGTGTGTAGCAGTGATCCAGAGTGGGGACTGGAGCCGCCATATTGGATAGAGCGGGTGTGGACATTGTCACCATCACAGAAGCTTTTAGTGGACAGTGCTGCTCTAGAGGGTGACCTGTGTGTAGCAGTGATCCAGAGTGGGGACTGGGAGCCGCCATATTGGATAGAGCGGGTGTGGACATTGTCACCATCACAGAAGCTTTTAGTGGACAGTGCTGCTCTAGAGGGTGACCTGTGTGTAGCAGTGATCCAGAGTGGGGACTGGGAGCTGCCATATTGGATAGAGCAGGTGTGGACATTGTCACCACCACAAAGTTTTAGCGGACAGTGCTGCTCTAGAGGGTGACCTGTGTGTGCCA
Organism: Homo sapiens; assembly: GCF_000001405.40. Taxonomy (NCBI): domain Eukaryota; kingdom Metazoa; phylum Chordata; class Mammalia; order Primates; family Hominidae; genus Homo; species Homo sapiens. The sequence goes on from NC_000013.11 coordinate 111,592,474, forward strand.
GTGATCCAGAAACACTGTTCCAGATCATGGGTTCTCGTTAATTGATTGTGTCATGAAATGAAACCAACTGGCCTTCAGCTATAGTTCCTTTCTTTTTTCTCTATTTTGACTCTAGATAGAAAAAATCAATCTTTTGAATCTATTTTAGATGGAAAAACTTCAGATTAGATTTTTAAAGAGTCTATTTTGACTCTTTAGATACAAAAAGGTCAAAGTGGAACTTTGAACTGTTAAACAGGAATAAAGTTACAACTGGCAAACTGTAGAATGTGTGAAGATAGCAAAAATAGCAAAATAGAGACAGCAAAAATAGAGTTTCAAGTTGTTGGTTCTGTTACCTCATTGCAGCAAGTTATATATTGTAATCAAAACTAAGTTTTAAATATAACTGAAAACAAAAATAATCTTAATTACTTTTAGAGTAAAATACGTGTTTAAAGATATTTGGGGACTCATTCATTTTTGGAGTCTTTGAATATTTATTAAAAATTTATAATGCTACAGTGGCTACAGGCTCAGGAGCTAAAATAATGTGGGCTACCATTTTAGCCCTGTGACTTTTAAGATGTGTGACCTCAAGGAGCCGACTTAGCATCTCTGATCCTCAGTGTTTTCAATAAGGAGCCGATGAGTCATCCGTCAGATCGGGCTCCTGTGCGGATTAGATGGTTAACATGTGGGGATGGCTAAGCCCAGGACCAGTGTGCCCTAAGGCAGAAGCAAGGATTTGCTCTCAGAGTCGTTGGTTGCTGTGTGCTGGGAACTGGTGTCTGACACAAGGACACATTTTTAAACATCTGTGTTCAAGATCAGATCATGGGGGCTACTGAGGCAGGCTCAGAATTGAGTGTGCCTCAAAGCAACTTTCTTTTTTTTAAATTTTTTTTATTATACTTTAAGTTCTAGGGTACATGTGCACAATGTGCAGGTTGTTACATAGGTATACATATGCCATGTTGGTGTGCTGCACCCATTAACTCGTCATTTACGTTAGGTATTTCTCCTAGTGCTATCCCTCCCCCAGCCACCCACCCCATGACAGGCCCCAGTGTGTGATGTTCCCCTTCCTGTGTCCAAGTGTTCTCATTTTTCAACTCCCACCTATGAGTGAGAACATGCGGTGTTTGGTTTTTTGTCCTTGTGATAGTTTGCTCAGAATGATGGTTTCCAGCTGCATCCATATCCCTGCAAAGGACATGAACTCATCCTTTTTCGTGGCTGCATAGTATTCCATGGTGTATATGTGCCACATTTTCTTAATCTAGTATATCATTGATGGACATTTGGGTTGGTTCCAAGTTTCTGCTATTGTGAATAGTGCCACAATAAACATACGTGTGCATGTGTCTTTATAGTAGCATGATTTATAATCCTTTGGGTAATACCCAGTAAAGGGATCGCTGGGTCAAATGATATTTCTAGTTCTAGATCCTTGAGGAATCACCACACTGTCTTCCACAATGGTTGAACTAGTTTATACTCCCACCAACAGTGTAAAAGTGTTCCTATTTCTCTACATCCTCTCCAGCACCTGTTGTTTCCTGGCTTTTTAATGATAGCCATTCTTTCTGGTGTGAGATGGTATCTCATTGTGGTTTTGATTTGCATTTCTCTGGTGACCAGTGATCATGAGCATTTTTTCATGCAACTTTCTTTTACTATTAGTGAGGCATTTGAAGGCAAGCCAAAATTCACTAGCCTTTGAAACAAAGAATTGATATAAATAATTAGAGAAGTAAAAGCTCTTTACGTTTCTGGTGAGAGTAGTTTTATTTGACTACTAACGAGTGACCTGAGCTTCCATTTGAAATCTGAGAGCCTATCGCTTCTCGGCCTTTTGGCTAAGATCAAGTGAAATCTGAGAGCTAGTCCGTGGTCTCTGACTGAGTGTCCTGGACCACTCACATTGATGACACTCAACAGAAAGAACAGAATCCACTTTTTACGTTTATATTCAGTGAGGAAGGCTACAGCCGTAAAGCAGAGCCATCTCCTAGAAGGGGTTAAGATGGGTGAGGAGGAGCTAGAGATGGGAGGAACTTGGGGACAGGCCAGGGGCTGGTGGTCCTTCCCACCATGTGCGCCCCCCTGCCCACCCACGTTGGAGTACAATGCCTGGTGCCACCATCTGAACCCTGTGTGCAACCTGGGTGCCTCAGCTTGGTGAGGGAGGGGCGGCAGGACTGCCCCGCTTACCATCTCCTTCATCCTGCCACGGCTCTCATGTGCCCTACCCTCTAGATACTCTAAATGTTTGCAGGCCTCCATCAGGCTTGGCTCCCATGCACCTTGTGTTTGAACACGGTACATTTGGGCCTGCTGCTCCTCTGGCCTAAGTCTCCCCTCCATCCCATCCACCCTCCAGACCACCCCGTCCCAACCTGCAAACTCGCTATCCCCAGCGAGTCTCCATCTCACCTTCCAACAACACTGAGCTCACGACTCACACTTAGGTCACTGTGTTGTGGCGTCTGTCACCCTACACTCTCCCCTGTGAATTCTCTGAGGATAGGGACTGTCGGGAGTCCCTCAGGCCACCCCAGGTTCTATGATTCTCCAGGAGGACTCAGAGAACCCAGGGTTCCATCGCACTCACGACTGTGGCTTTTTACAGCAAAAGGATGCAGGGCACACTCAGCAAAGAGGGAAGGTGTGTGGGGGAGACAGGCACAGGCTTCCAGGCCCCCCTCCTAGTGTAGTCACAGGGATGTGCTTTGTTTCCCCTGCAGTGAGTGTGACAGCACTGGAGGGGGTGTGACAGCACTGGAGTGAGTGTGACAGCACTGGAGGGGGTGTGACAGCACTGGAGTGAGTGTGACAACACTGGAGGGGGTGTGACAGCACTGGAGGGGTGTGACAACACTGGAGGGGGTGTGACAGCACTGGAGTGAGTGACAGCACTGGAGGAGGTGTGACAGCACTGGAGGGGGTGTGACAGCACTGGAGGGGGTTGACAGCATGTGAAGGGTTTTCCTGCAGTGAGTGACAGCACTGGACTGTGACAGCACTGCACCGTGACAGCACTGGGGGGGGCGTGACAGCATTGAAGTGAGTGTGATATGAAGTGTCTTCTACCAGGGGAGCTCCTTAGAGGCTGCATGTCCAGGGTTTTTATTGGGGGCTTGTCACACAGGCACCGTCTGCTCAGCACACCCCAAGATTCCAGACTCCCAGAAGGAAAGCAGGTATTCCACATCAACCACACTGTTTGCACAAAGAGCCCCTCTTAGCAGAGAATGGTGGAAACCCTTCCAAAACCCAGGTTCCCAGATGCCAGCGCAGGGCCACCCTTGCAGGCCTTCCTGCGGGTTTCAGCTCCAGGCCTGCCGCATGACCTGCTTTCTGCACTGGCATCACACAGGTTTATTTATTAGCACCCAGGTGGAGCTGAGTGCATGTCACAGGACCATAACTATTGACTAAACAAGCGGGAGACGAAGTGTCATAGAAACCCAGGTCAGGGCCACCCTCTGGCCTGCCTGTGGGGAGCAGTGGTGATGAACCTTTAGGAAGCAGGAGCCAGGCTGTGGTGGCAGCGTGTGGAGGACGATGGCAGCGAGGGGCCATCTCTAAGGTGGAAGAAACAGGGCTTGCACAGGGATGTAGGGCAGGAGAGGGTGTGGAGCTCCGTGGTGGGGGAGAATCTGTGGATGAGTGCCGTGGATGTGGCTGTGGTCGGGTGGACACCGGTTGAGAAAGGGGTTCTGGGGAACGCTTCAGGACCATGCAGACGGTCTTCCCCTTTTCGTATGAAGACGCTTTGGTGGAACGTGTCACTCGGTGAGCATGAGAGAATGTTCTCTAGTTCTCACACTGCAGGAGAGTGTGCTGGCAGGGCCACCATGTCCACTTCCCTGTCTCCCTGGGTCACAGAACCCCAAATTCAAGCTGAGCTGTCCACGATAAAGGTTGCATTTCCCAGCCTCTGCAGCAGTGGCTGTCGACCACGTGCCTACTTTCTAGCTCATAAGATCAAACCTGAACAGCTCTGGAAAGGCATGAAATGTGCTCTTCTTCATCCCTCAGCTGTGCCTACCAGCCATTGGGAGCACCAGCATGACAGATGCCATTACAGGTCGTGAGGCATCCCTTGAGGGAGCAGCCTGGTCTCTGATGCCCCAGGACCTCCCTGGCCCTCCTGCTCTGCGCTCCTTCCTGGGAGGAGAAATAAGCTCTTGTTGGGTTGAAGTCACTTGTCCCTCAGGGTTTTGCTGCTGTTACTTCCAGCTAAACCTACTCCCAGCTAATATTTACAACCAGAGCTGTTTCCATCACACCAAACTGGAAGAAATATGTCTGTGAAGGGAAAGCATGACCCACACTGATGGGAGGGAGACCCCAGGCTCCCTGTGGAAGCAAGAAATGGAAAGAGAATTCAATTCTTAGTAGCTACAGGCCAAGCTCACCTTCAGTCCTCCCTAAAGTGAAAATTTTATATGTGCATGTGTGTGTATCTGTTTGTGTCTGCACACATATATAAAGAGGTCAGTTCCTGTCCAAATAAAAAGGGAAAATATGTGGATTGAGAGGGGATTATTTAAGAGCCCATTCTCTGCAGAATGTTGTTTATAGCGCAGTTCTGACCTACCTTAGACTGGACATTATTAAAGATAACTGTGTTTGTGGGAAGATGGGCTTCTGCCCCCTCCTTTTCATTTAAAGAGAATGACTTTTTTTTTTTTCTTTAAACACTGGAACTGTTGTCATGCTAATCAGGCAGGGAACATTTCCAATTCAATTTTACCTGGGCCTGGTCAGCTGAGTTCCCCTTTGTTGGCCGTCTCTGGGGACCTCCCTTGTCTTTTAAACTGTAATTTACTTGAGCTGCCATCAATTTCCTCTGCTCATTACATTTGTGGCGATGTCACTGATATGCAATCTGTGGATGCTCCCGGAACCGAGGGGGAATGGCCGCATGAACCCAGAATGAAGGCGGAGCAGGCTGGCCCTCCGCCGGCCCCCAGAATAAACCGCCCTGGCCACATGCTCCACTGCCTGTCCAGAATCCTTGGCCTCAGGCTTGGTTTGCATTGAATCTGGGAATAGAAGCTTTTGCTTCACAGAGGTCTGTCAAGGGGCACCCGGCTCCTTGTCAATTAGTGATTTCCAGGAGGTGGACTGGCCCTGGTGCTGGCCCCCGTCCCCTGTTCACTCTCATCCAGCCTGGGAGGAATGAGATTCAGCCATTTTAAGGGTTTTATGATTAATTTTGATTGCAGTCACCAGTGACTGTGGATGTAGGCTGACGGAGCAGGTGTCAGTGATGCCCCCATGGCGTGAAGCTGGGCCTCGAGCAGTTGTCTGGTAACATGAGGCCACTGGGAACAGTTCCTGGTGCAGGAGGTAGTGATGCTGCCATCACCCCAAACGCCGTCCTCCGAGTAGCCCCTGACGTGACCCTGCGGGAGGTGTCAGCTGCGTGCCCCTGAGGCCCTGCACCCTCCACATTCTGGGCTGGCTCTCCAGATTCCTCCAGGCACCAGGGTGGCTTCCTGCAGGGAGGGTGGCGCGTTTCCTTTCCTGTCACCGACAACCCTGAGCTCCCGCCCTCCTCTCCCTTCTGTTTTCCTCTTCGCTCTTTCTTCCACACGTGTGGTCTCCATTCTTTTTCCTTTCTCTCCTGCTCTTGCTCTCCAGTCCCTCCTAGAGTTATTGTTGACAAAAGCCTGGTCCCCGTTAGTGTTTAATGGTGAGAAGGGGTCAATGCACTTACAAGCAGCAGCTCCAAACTTCATATACCCTGAAAATATCCTGACATATGGCCCTGTTCTCAGGGGCAGGCATGTTGGCTTCAAATATTTCTGATGTGCTCCTGAAGATGCTCCTGTTACATTCTTCCCGGAGTCAAATAACAGAGTTGTCAATTTACCCATTCACTGCTGCCAGATACATGCAAATGGATGGGATCAATATTCCACGTTAACCGTGCACCTGGGGGGCTCACCCCATCAAAGAGGCTGTGATGGGTCAGCAGCAGGCTGAGCACAGCATGGACCTGGACCCACCCCGGGTCCCAGTTGGCCCGCTTCCCTTGGCAGGAGGGCCCGGACACTCACATCTTGTCACAACCAGTGCTGATGGGTTTTCTCCCCACTTGAGTGCTTTTGGCATGGGATGATGAAGCCCCTAAGGTCAGGTATTTCATTTCTTCTTGTCCCTGGTGGCAAAGGACATGCAGACTGGGTGAGGTTGATACTGTTTTCTTGGTCTGAGGACATCCTCTTAATAAGTACACCTGTGGATTTTTGCCTAAGGGTGCATTTTCTAAATGCTTACCTGCCCAGCTCAGTTGACACTCAGACGGACCAGGTGGGTGAGCTGGTGACTTTGTCATTCACGTGCTCATGGCTGCCTGTGGCTGAGTTTCCCTCCCTCCAACCTGGAGCTCTGAAGCTGAAGCATCTCTGCCTGGCAATTTCCTGTCTGGGCATTGTGTAGGAGGCGCTTCCTAGAACAGGGTGGGCAGAAGGGCTTGGAAACAGGAGTGGCTCGGTCAACCGTGGACTAGAAAAAGCTGCATTTCCTGCAGTGGGGCTTGATATTGTGTAGGGGCTATGGGATGGTGGAGAGGGCGTGAGTCTGTGAGCAGAAGGCGGGGGACCTCCAGCTTTGCTCTCCACAGCTGTGTGAGCCTGCAGGGGCACTACCTTCTCTGGACCTCTGTTCTTTACATGGAAAACGAATGTTGTGATATCAAATGAATAATGAATGTGAAGGCGTGGGCACAGCTCCAAAAGCAATCCAGGGCTGGCCCTTCTTATGTAGAACACACAGGGCCCCGATATCTCACCGCGTATTTAGTGTGTAGCATGTTAACTGGACTTAAGTATTACTTATTTTGCAAGGAAAGTGTGCCCATGGCTTGGTCAAAATTCAGGCTGTGAGGCCTCCATCCAAGTTAAAAGACAGCCAAACACTCAGGGCTCCATCCAAGTCCCTCCTAATAACATAATGAAATAGATGGTAAGGAATTATGTTTATTTAATCGGTGTGTTGGTGGGGAGCAGTGCCATGTCACGACAGCTGCTTTTGAATCATCGATCTTCGCCGAGGACACCACACATTTGTTGCCAGTCAGCAAGGTGTGGCCTACAAGCATCTTTCAAAATATTCAAAACATTTCAAACCAGCCGGAAAGGTGAGAAAGTGGTCCCTTTGGGAATCCATTCCTAGCATGAATGCTTTCCTTCCATGCACGCTCAGATGGACACTCGCAGAACAGATCCAGGCTCAGTATCAGCCTCTGCTGGTCCCTTCTTGCTGCCCACATTAGCAGAGCCCATCTGCGTTCCTGGCGTGGACTTGGCCACCCAGCGGGGGCGGTGTCCCATGACTCTGTACATCCATAAGGGACATGGCATGGTGTGCAGCCAGTGACAGAAAGGACAAGCTTAGAGGTCAGAAGGAGCCCCAAGGTCACAGCACGACTACAGTGGTGTGAGGGAGAAGGGGCAGGCGTGGCCTTGGGAGGGCTCGGGGGTGGCAGGCTGGGTCTGTTCCTGGCGGGTGTGGAATGGACTTCCTAGTGGAGAGACAACCTCCCGGGGGTCGGGAGTGAACGTGGTGTGTCCAGGAACACAAGTAAGTTCTGTGGTGGGGAAGAAACAGGGAGCTGTGTGAGTGATGGGCAGGGCCAGTGGGGTGGAGGGTGACTCTGTGGCAAAGTGGAGTGGGTGGGAGGAAGCCCAGCAGGGGTCGGCTGGAAGAGCCAGGAGGACCTGCAGTCGACTTTCAGGCATCCGAATCCTATTTCCAGGAAAATTGCTCCAGTGATGGTGGCACATGGGGAGGGGCTCAGGGGAAGTGTCCAGAGCCGGGAACACAGGCCTGGAAGCCATTGCAGCCACTGACCAAGACGCAGGAGCAGGGCTTCATGCGGCTGGATGCAGGAGGTAAAGACAAGGGGCTGGGGGAGGGGGAGAGAGAGAGAGGCAGAGAGAGAGTGAGGAAGAGAGAGGATAACAGCAGTGGCAAGGAGGCCCTGCCTCCCTCATGTCTCCCACATCTTGTGCTTCCGTGGCCCCAGTCAGCAGGTGGGGTGCTGCTGATCCTCCTTAGGTGGGATGCATTTGAAAGTCGCCCGGAGGAAGCCTGGGAGGATCAGGAAAGGACCCTTCCCTGTGTGGGAAACACCTTAGAAATGCGAATTGAGGATGAGGACACTGGCATAAGAAATTATGGGTGGCATGGCCCCCGGAAACGCACTCTGCTTACACAAAGTACAGGGGGGCTTGAATGACTGATGACCTGATGCATTCATTGGTCAGCAGGCAGATTGAAAAAGAGGAAGTTCATTTGGCAGAAACCACGCCTGGAACATTCTAGATTTGTGGCAGTGTGATTAATATGTTTGGGGATAGCCTTAACTATTCATGGCAGGCCAGGAGTGGTGGCTCACGCCTGTAATCCCAGCACTTTTGGAGGCCGAGGCAGGGGTTTGAGACTAGCCTGGGCAACATGGTGAAACCCCATCCCTACTAAAAATACAGAAATTAGCCGGGCGAGGTGACACACACCTGTAATCTCAGCTACTCAAGAGGCTGAGGCAGGAGAACCACTTGAACCCTGGGGGCAGAGGTTGCAGTGAGCCGAGATCGCACCACCCCACTCCAGCCTGGGGGTGATAGAGTGAGACAATCTCAAAAAAATAAAAGTAAAAAAGAGTTCATGGCCAGTGAAAACAGAGTCATCTTTTAATAAGGCATTAATAACTTCACACCTTTAGCATTAAGTTAATGATTTATAAGTTATCAGGCCATGGCATTCAGGCTGATGTCTTTCTGTAAAGGGCTCCTCCTGGATTTCCATGTTTAACTCTTTGCTGATAGTTTAAAAGAAACTCTAGACTTTTCAGTGCAATAAGTCTAGATGTACCAGTGCAGGTGAGTGCACATCTCATCAGAAAGTCACAATCTCTGCGTACAGCAGGTGCTGAGATGCTGGGGAGAGACATGCTCCCGTCCTGCCCACAAGACTGTGCGGCAACACCTGCCTCACGTGGAAACTTTTCTTTTTGCTCTGAAATTGCCAACAGCATTAAGTCACATCATCTCAGCCACACGCGTTTTGGGAAAGAAATCTGGAAACCGTGAAAGCAAATGGACTGTTGTATTTACAGGTTGTTTATCCTGGTATCACAGGCAGGCTTTCCCTTTTGTCACCATAAAAATGAAACTCATCATGGGGAGACAAACAAAGACTCCTCATTAGTCTGAGCTTTCATCTTCCTCCCTGGGAAAAGCCCTGCCTCTCTTTTATTACAGACACTCTTGGAGACGTCTGCAAAGGCTCTTTTAATTTGAAGGTGGTTCAAATGTTGATCATTTCAATGAACTACTATTAGTATACTATTTGAAAACAATGACTGTTCTATTATTTTGAATATATTTGATAAATGAATTATTTCTGAAGTTACATCTATGTTCGGTGCTTGCAGAGATCAGATAATATATAACGGTAATGAAAAATAATGCAACAGGTTGAGTAAAGCAGCATTCACTGTTGGGCTGACTGACTTACTCTATCTTTTATATACTCACTTTGACAGTCCACTAGGGAGAATTAATTTCTGGCCTCAACACTGTCTCCAGAGCAAAATCATGTTGTGCTGGGGTCACATAAATTTAAACTACAGTTAAATGTAATTTAAAAGTCAGTGGTCTCAATCATTAACGGTGGCTCCCCGAATCGTTCCTATAACCACACATCATCTACTCAGATTTCTTCTTTTGTGAGTCTTGCCAACCATGACAAATGTTGACTGGGACCTCTGTGGCCTCGGACACCACATTTGCTCTGCCAGAGCTGTGACTGCTGGCTACAGAGCCAAGTCCTGCAGGTACAGAGACGCCTGTGCCCCTGCGGCTGCCACATCTTCTTCACTGGAAGACGCTGCACCTGTCTCCCAGGAAAAAATTGCAATAAAGACTGACTCTTCTATTTTAATAATATAATTAGTAATAATCCATTTAATAACCCTGGATTAATTAAATTTTCTTCTCATTCCAAGAAAGTTCTGAAGAAGCTAGTTCATCACTCTAGGGGATGACTTCCTTCTCTTTGCCATGATAGTTAGGCAGAACGTTTGAAATCAGTCCTGTTTACGCCTCTCATTTTCTCATCCACGGCTCAAAAAGGAACCCAGGACCCGAGAGAGAAGGTGTGTGCTCATACGCGCTTGACATGGCTCCCCTCCTCCAGATGCCTCTCCTCTCCACCAGTGCTGCAACCTAGGAGAAAAGGCCTGGCAGCCCAACTCCATCGGCATTCTCTTTCCATCGGGAGTCTTGTGCATTGGGCATCTCTAGAGCTGGAGAACCAGACACAGCCTTGTAATAGCTGACTTAAGCTCAGGAATCATTTTTGCTACCTCCTCCCGAGTGTGTCTACCTGCCCAGGCAAGTGAAAAACCCAAGGCAGTGGGCTCCATGGCCTTGGTCAAGGTCACTCAGTAAGTCCCCTTGGACCTTTGGATGCCCTGACTCCCTGCCGCACACTGAGACAGCCCTTCACAGCCCATCCCATGCACCCACAGGGGAGGTGACGGAGACAACGGAGAGCCAAAGAAGGCCAGACCCCATACTTGGCTGTTGCATTGCGATGCCTCCATCGACACGTGATGACGCGCAGCGGCGACACAGTCTCACAGCGGAAATGTCACAGTGCCCCCAGGGGAGCTGATGGAGACAACAGAGAGCTGAAGAAGGCCGGATCCGATACTTGGCTGTTGCATTGCGATGCCTCCATCGACACGTGATGACGCGCAGCGGCGACACAGCCTCACAACGGAAATGTCACAATGGAGGGGAGGTTGTTGAGGGGCTGGGGCTCCCTGGGAATCTGTTCAGAGAGGGGTGTGGTAATTTTGTGGGCCTTTTAAAATCTTGTTTTGGAAAGCTAGCTTCATGGGGATTTATTTCCCCAGCTAAAACATTAGGTCCCTGAAGTCAACATTTCATTTGTAGGGTTGCTAATTTTACAACCTTCTTTGGATGCTGTTGAAGTATCACCTGTTGGCCCTGGCACATGGCTTTGTGTGGGAGTTCAGCTGGTAGCATTCCTTCTTTTCTACACAAGGAAAAGCAAGAATGATCTTTATCATGACTATAGGTTTCACTATTCCTCGTCTAAGCAGAGGCGGATGTGACATTCCAGATGGGTGCTAATTTGAACATCAGGAACATGGGTTTCACAGAGAAGAATTCCTGGCGGCATCTGAGGAGCTCTCAAATTCCTCTGCCCTTTTCAAAAATCCCCTCAAAGGACTGTCACAGTAGCTTGTGTGTCACCAAAACAAACTAACTCCTTTAGATTGAGGTTCATAACTCTGTGTGACTTGGGCAAAAAGGCTAATAACAGATCCTTTAAAGAGGGCAGCAGTGCCTGACGGTAAAGACCTTTGTTAGGGTGACTGGTCCGAGGCTGCAGGTGTCATTGAGGTGTCTCTGATAACTTTTAGATGAAGCTATGACCCTGGGCCACACCGTGTGGATTGTTGGTGACTTGTCACATTGATAACACTGTCTTTATATTATGTATAGTCTTTACTTCTACCTACCATTTATGCCAGGTCATGTAACAGCCAATGATTGAGGTTTTTCCTTATACAACTTTTTGTTTTCCCTGGAGTTAATAATTGTTTCATTCAATTTGCTTAAGTTCCTGCATATTTTTTACGAATTCATCCTTAAATTCTTGGAATTTAAATACAAAATATTAGATCAACTCGCCCTCTCATCCCTTCTCGGCGATGCCACCGCGTCCTCCTGGACTGATGCTGCCTCTTCTGGACCGGCCCTGTCACTGCGGACGCCCCTTCCTGGAGCATCCTGGGATGGCTGAGCCACTCCATGCCCTCGACCTCATTTCCTTGATCTACCTTTGTTCGGGCAATGGGACTGAGGCTGTAGTTGTCACTGGAAGCGTGTCTGATAACTTTTAGATAAAACCAAGCAGACCCCGTCTCGCCCACTCATAGTTTTGCCTGCCTTTTGGTGAATTAGAGACTTCACTAACTTTCTGAAGAAGGCGTGTGTGGAAAATGGCAATTTAAATCATGATCTTACTTCCTACTTTCATGCTGAATTGGGGGGTTTGGTTGGGGATAGACAGTTAAATCTGGAATAGTTCCCCTCAGGTTTTGAAGGTGTGGTCCTCATTGTTGAGGCTCCAGGGTGGGGCGATGTCACGCCATTGTGACTCCTGGTCCTTTGTGATGGACTCTTCCTCTCCCCACTTCCCTTGGAAGCTTTTGAAAAGGGTTTTCTTTTGCTCTCAGTACCTAGAAGCTGTAAAACTCTGGTCTTTCTTATTTCTATTATTTATATGTGGGTGAACCTTTGCAGCCTAGGCACTCACATTCTTCAGTCTGGAAAATTTTCCTGAATTCTTCTATAAATTCCTCATCGACATTTTCTTTATTCCTTCTCTCTGAAACTTGTACTAATCAAATAGTATCTCTCTTGTATAGATCATTTAATGTTTAAAATTTTATCTCTGTTTTGCATCTTGTTGACTTTTGCTCTAATTTCTGTATAATAGGATAATAATTTTTCTATTAAAATTTTAATTTCAGTCATATATTTTTAATTTCAGTTATCTTATTTCTAAGAACTCATTTTTTTCCTTTTTTTAAAATTATACTTTAAGTTCTAGGGTACATGTGCACAACGTGCAAGTTTGTTACATATGTATACATGTGCCATGTTGGTGTGCTGCACCCGTTAACTCGTCATTTACATTAGGTATATCTCCTAATGCTTTCCCTCCCCACTCCCGCCACCCCACGACAGGCCCCAGTGTGTGATGTTCCCATCCTGTGTCCAAGTGTTCTCGTTGTTCAATTCCCACCTATGAGTGCGAACATGCAGTGTTTGGATTTCTGTCCTTGCAATAGTTTGCTGAGAATGATGGTTTCCAGCTTCATCCATGTCCCTACAAAGGACATGAACTCATCCTTTTTTATGGCTGCATAGTATTCTTTGGTGTATATGTGCCACATTTTCTTAATTCAGTCTATCATTGATGGACATTTGGGATGGTTCCAGGTCTTTGCTATTGTGAATAGTGCCACAATGAACATACGTGTTCATATAAAGAACATACGTGTCTTTACAGCAGCATGATTTATAATCCTTTGGGTATATACCCACTAATGGGATGGCTGGGTCAAATGGTATTTCTAGTTCTAGATCCTTGAGGAATCGCCACACTGTCTTCCACAATGGTTGAACTAGTTTACAGTCCCACCAACAGTGTAAAAGTGTTCCTATTTCTCCACATCCTCTCCAGCACCTGTTGTTTCCTGACTTTTTAATGATCGCCATTCTAACTGCTGTGAGATGGTGTCTCATTGTGGTTTTGATTTGCATTTCTCTGATGGCCAGTGATGATGAGCATTTTTTCATGTGTCTGTTGGCTGCATAAATGTCTTCTTTTGAGAAGTGTCTGTTCATATCCTTTGCCCACTTTTTGATGAGGTTGTTTTTTTCTTGTAAATTTGTTTGACTTCTTTGTAGATTCTGGATATTAGCCCTTTGTCGGATGAGTAGATTGCAAACATTTTTTCCCATTCTGTGGGTTGCCTGTTCACTCTGATGGTAGTTTCTTTTGCTGTGCAGAAGCTCTTTAGTTTAATTAGATCTCATTTGTCAGTTTTGACTTTTGTTGCCATTGCTTTTGGTGTTTTAGTCATGAAGTCCTTGCCCATTTTTTTTTTTTAATGTAACTTTTGGGTATTCTTGTTACCAAGGTGCAGCATCTTCTCTTTTCTCTGACATTATTAATGTTTCATTATTTTAAAATTTGCTTAAATTTTTTCTGATCTCTGCCTAGGTTTCTTTCTGCTGTTTATTCTTTTTGTTTGTTTGTTTGTTTTGGTCTCTTTCTTACTAGCAATGTTTCCTCAAATTCCTGGTGCCTTTTGACTGCCAGGCATGTTTAAGGGTGAGAGGCACCAAATGGCAGTGCTGGGGGGCTCCAAAAGCTCGTGAGAACTGACTGCTGGGTTTCCAGGACTTTTATGAGCCCCTCGTTGTACACAGTTATTATTAAAATTTTCTAAATGCACACTTAACTGATATGAAAAACAAAGGCAACACATTCTTAAAACTTATGCTAGTGTGTGTGCTACACCTTACTGCTGTTCATGCTCCTGGGGTGATTAGATGTGTTATGTGGCACCTCTGCTGCATGCATAACGGCATGCTCTTGCACTCCTCCCCTCCCCTCCCCTCCCCTTCCCTGCCCTCCCCTTCCCTCTCCTTTCCTCTCCTTGGCATTTAAGAATGTCACAATGCTGGCTTGAAATCAACCACTCTGGAAGTATTTGCACCCTGGAAATTGTCACACACTGTCCCATAGGGCTCTCTTGACCCTCTGTCCCCCATTGCAGAAACATTTACTAGAACGAAGCCTCGGTAACCCTCTTCTTTCAATGAGAACTGGCACTCACTTATCAATAAGAATCATTTCAAGTTGTTTTCCGAATGTAGAAATGGATTTGCATGGATCAATCCCATGACCTCAGCCTCAGCCGCTGTTCCAGAACCCGAAAAGAGACACTCCCTCTTCATCAAACTTTCTCACCAAGAAGGCAGCAATTCTCTCCCTCACTGAAACTCACTTTCCTCCAGTGTTAGGTCTAAACAAAGGCCAAACTGTGGGCTAATGGTCCTTCTGCATTTCACAAAATGATTGTATAAAACTATTCATGTTACAATTTTGAAATGACTACTTACCAAAGAAGAAGGCTATTTCAATTGAGCTTTGACTTCTCAGGGGAAATGTTGGGTTTTAGTTCTTCGGTGTGCACAAGAAACTATAGTTTCTGTAGACTGTCTTTTAATTTCTTCTATTCTTTTATTTGGAAATATTTATAATAGTAGTTGACAGCATACCCTGTAAAAAAGTGTTTAATATTTGTTATACAAGGAACTATAGCTATACATACCCACTGCAAGATGACATTTTAAAGCATTCAGATGGAATCTATAGTTAAGACACAAGACATTTTTTTATTATATTTTGATTTTCTTAAAAAGTTAAAAATTAAATCATATACATATATCAACTATAACAAAACTATATTTTCTACGCTCAATATTTTAGTCTGAAAATTATGACATTGTGAATAGGAAAAAATATAAACAGCCAGAATAAGACAATCATGAAGAAATGAGATAACAGTCTTCAGATGAAACAATTAAATATGAATTATGACATAATTACAGACGCCCCGATGGGTAAAGAAGAAAGCTACTGATGATATAATAGTGTTGTCTGAAATGTCAACTGCTGTTTAGGCTAAAAATACATTTATTCCATTGCAAATTCTTCTATTTTGTTGTTTTTAAACTTTCTCAAAATGTTCCTTTAGACGGGAGATTCTATGCTTCAATTAGGTCAAAAGTAATAATATTGAAAAAAGTTTAATCAAAGTTCCAGTGGATTTTTACACCAGAAGGCATTCCCTTCAGTGCCCTGCTTCTAGACATGGAGACGAAGAATTCCTTACATGTTAGTTAATTTGACCATCATATCAAAATATCAACAGAATAAAATTCCAAATCCTCAGTAATGCATTTTTAAGTGGTAGGTATAAAAATTATTTCAAAATTGAAAACATCGAGTAGACTGTATCAACCTGTACAGGACTAGCTCAACTATTTAGGTTTTAACTTTTTGTGTTTTTTTAAATTCCCATTCATTCAGTAGTAAATACCATTACTCTACTAGTCTGTTCTCATATTGTTGTAAAGAACTACCTGAAACTGGGTAATTTTTAAAGAAAAGAGGTTTAATTGACTCATAGTTCCATAGATGAACAGGAAGCATGGCTGGGGAGGCCTCAGAAAACTTACAATCATGGCAGAAGGCAAAGGGGAGGCAGGTGCATATTCCACATGGCCAGAGCAGGAGGAAGAGAGTGAAGGGGGAAGTGCTACACACTGTGAAACAACCAGATCTCGTGAGAACTCACTATCACCAGAACAGGAAGAGGAAACCTACGTCCATGATCCAATCACCTCTCACCAGGTCCCTCCTCTAACATTGGGATTATAATTCGAGATGAGATTTGAGTGGCGACACAAATCCAAACCATATCAATTACCCAGGCAATGAAATCACAAATTTAGATGGAAAGCTTAGTTTCTGAAATTATGTAGCTGGAAGCTGAGGGAAGAATCTGGAATGCACGCACATAAACATATACACATACATATATTAACATATATATACAATGTATATATACAGAGATAAACATTAGCAGAGATAAACATACGGAAGTATGCATATACACAAACATGCATAGAAGCACACCCACAGTCATATAGAGACTGCAGAGCAGTCAGCTCGGTGCGCCTCATAGCTGTGCCACCACACATGTTTTATTACAGCAACTTTGGCCTCCAACACACAACAACACAATTAGTTTTGCACCCTCACAAGGCAATGCTTTGATTAAAATCTGGCATATCACATTATTATAAGGTATTATCTGCATAGATGTTGCTGCTAGAAGTCTTGTGAATGGTCCCGTTAATAAATATGCCTAACAACTGTGCCCTTTGCTAACTTCAAAAGATGAAGGGTAAAAATGTATACAACGGCTGATTCTGGGTCTTTCACTTGTAAACGTACATGATCCCTTTTTAAAATAAAACTTATTTTCTTATATTAAATGTAATTCTGGTTATGTTACAAATGAAGTATAGCTTGGCAGGAGCACTCCTCAGTGATGGCGGACACAGCTGCAGCATACAGCTAGAGTAAAGGTCTGTTTCTCTTTCTGTGATTGTCACTCTGCAGTGCTGAGATCCTCACTTTGGTGTCCTGGTTTCTTCTTAGAGCGTTATGGAATGAGCGCATTCCAGGAGACGTCTTCCCATGTCACTAAAGCTCTCGGTCAACCATGTTTCAGTGACTGGAGAACTTTCTGGATGTCGTTGCAGTGGAATTCCCTTATCCCAGCTTTATGACTGGGCACTCAGTCGCTTAACGTGGTTTGTGGTACTATAATCATCTTACAGCGAACCTCTTTGAATCAAGGATTATTTTCTAAGAGTGGATCTTCAGAAGTGAAGCTGCTGTGACAGGAGATATGAGCACGTTCAAGGCTCCTAACACTTTACCAAGTTGCTTTCCCGAACAGCGAAGTCTGGGGGGTGCCTCGGTTGGCCCTGTGTGCGTGTGCTCTTCCTGCACTTGCGGGACTCCAGCTGCCTCAGCCCCAGCGTTCGCATGCAAGGGCCAGCCTCGGTTTCTCCTGACCCAGGTTTGTTCGTGGGTGAGGTGTCAGGAGGGCACTTTCCTATGTTAGGGTGATAGTACCTCTTTCAAGCCCCCAGAGAGCTAGGTGCGATTTTTCTCAGCCTGCTGCCCTCTGTGCCCAGTGAAAGCTGGGGCTCCCCTGGGTGCTTACTTTCTTGTATCATGTCTGGTTTTCAACTCATGCTCCTACTACATTTGTTCAGTTTTTGGATTTTTTTCCCTATTGATATGGTTTGGCTCAGCGTCCTCACCCAAATCTCAACTGGAATTGTAATCCCCAATGTTGGAGGAGGGGCTTGGTGGGAGCTGACTGGCTCATGAGGGCAGATTTCCTCCTTGCTATTCTTGTGATAGTAGACTGTATCAGCCTGTACAGGACTAGTGCAGGTTCTCCTGTGCGGGACTAGTGCAGGTTCTCCTGTGCGGGACTAGTGCAGGTTCTCCTGTACTAGTGAGTGAGTTCTCCGGAGATCTGCTTGTTTACAAGTGTGTGGCACCTCCCCCTTTGCTCTCTTCCTCCTGCTCTGGCCATGTAAGATGCAGCTGCTTCCCCTTCACCTTCTACCATGATTGTAAATTTCCTGAGGCCTCTCAGTCATACTTCCTGTACAGGCTGTGGAACTGTGAGTCAATTAAACCTCTTTTCATTATAAATTGCCCAGTCTCAGGTAGTTCTTCATAGCAATGTGAAAACAGGTGAATACACCTATCATTCAGCCTTTATTCCATCGCAAATTGACCCAGCTATGAAACTCAAGCCCCCCTTTGACTTCCTAAAAACAAACAAACAAAACAAAACACACCCAGTCATCCCCTCTTAGTAAGAGCAGAGCAGACCGGAGGTCTCAAGTGGCTCTGGGGCTGGCTGAGCGGGACCTACCCTGAAGCCAGGTACTGCTCCTGGAAGAGCTCAGGGTGGCCCTCAGCTCCCATGGGTTCTCATCTCAGTCCTCCTTCCCTGGAAGCCTCTCCTCCTGGGGCCCTCCATAGACTCTGATTCCCTCTCACTCCTATTCCACAGGGCTTTAGCATGTTCTGCTTTGGTTTCATTGTTTCATAAAATAAATAGTAGGCCTTGGGGGAGGGTTTTTTAAGCACGATGTAGGCAGATGCTGAGGCAGAGTGTGGTGCGGGGAGTATGGTTGGGGAACCAAGGCTGCTGAAGGCATGGAGGCTCTAGCTCTCCTGCCCTGGGCTTGGAAGTGAGCATAACACCTTGTCAAGGACCAGGCAACCTGGCGAAGGCAGAGGGAGGATTCACAAAAGCATCGAGATTGAGTGCCATGGGGTCTCAGGACTGTGGTCCTGTCTACACTGGACGATGGGACTCTGGGCCTCCGGAAGGCGGTGACTGCAGTCCTGTCTACACTGGATGTTGGGACTCTGGGCCTCTGGAAGGCTGTGACTTCAATCCTGTCTACACTGGATGATGGGACTTTGGGCTTCCGGAGGGCTGTGTCTGTGGTCCTGTCTACACTGGACCATGGGCCTCTGGGCCTCTGGAAGGCAGTGTTGGGTCCTGGTTGTGATGCATGGGCTGAGCAGATCCCATTGCCTTGCAATGTCTCTGCATTTTGTGTGACATTAGCTGAGGTGTTCAGTGGGGTTAGGATGCAGGGGACAGCACACTCCACAGGAGCACCGCTCATAATGGTTTATGATGATGGAGCTGGCTGCTTTTCATGTAATTACAGTCCTCACTTATTCATTATTTTTGACTTAGCTAGATCTATACTTCAAATAGATGTGGGACGTAATATGTGAATATTGTGTATGTATAATGTGTGCGTGTGTATCCACCCACATTCAATACCTATGCAGATAATACCTTATAATAATGTGGTATACCAGATTTTAATCAAAGCATCCCTTTGTCAGGGTGCAAAACTAATTGTGTTGTTGTGTGTTGGAGGTCAAAGTTGCTATAATAAAACATCCATCTTGGAGCTTTTTAGAGGAACCTGTTTAAAAAGGTTAAAGTGGGTAATTATCACATCCTAATTTACAACTACTTGGCAATAAGAGTTGCTTTTCAACGAACCATTCGTTCATGATTCTCTGCTCCACACTGCAGGGTTCTTCTTGACTAGGTTAGAAAATGTAATTAATAAATGATAGGATTATTTATGGTTCACGGTGCCAGACTGGGAAATACAATGATATACAGAATGAGCTAAAAATGATTCTCAAAAGCAGCCTAGCCGTCTTTAATCCATGGATTGAATCATCATCGCCCTCAAGGAAGCAAAGTGAATTCTGGACGGAATTCACAGGACACTGTTTCTGCACCTTCCTCTTTTTAGTTCCAATAGAAAACAGCAACAGTCCTTCCACAGCAGAGTTAACGTGCAGTTGTTCATCCTTGCTGGGGTGTGCCTGGATGGGTTTTTTAGCAGGGCCATGGGAGCAGGGGCACTCATATGATTGTGTAAAATAGGGATTCTCTCTGAACGATGACGTAAATTAGGGCTCATAGTAAATCATAGCAAGAAAAGAAACGTGATGAACTTGCCCGGTGTGCCCTCACATTCTCAAGTCAAAACATGTTCAGTCTATGCTGCTGTTTTTTCTAATAGTGATTTTTTTGCATAAAGACAAATATTAATAATGTCATTTGTTTTCCAAGCCTCTCCTGACACTGCACATAGGAGGCACTTAGTAAACAATGGGTATCGTTGAAAATCGAGGCTTGTTTTAGCCAACATCAGAATGCAGAGTGCTGGCCTCTTTCCTCCCCGGGCTGTCTTGAAGGCTGGAAAGCAAGCCGTGGGGTTTGCATATTTCTGCTTGGCCAATGCTGGGGGTTAGCACCTGCTCCAAGACGAGCACGGCCATGGAAGCTACAGCAGTCACTGTGATTCCAGCTCATCGAGTTTCTGGCGGGTGCCAGGCACATTGCTGTGGGCTTTCAGTGAGTGGATCCTTACCCTGCCCTGAGAGGTAAACAAGGCAATTCCAAAATCCCAGGTGAAAAATTCAGTTTTGAAAATGAAGTGATACGTCCGGCCTGTGTGGAACAGGGTAAGCCAGGGCTCAGAACGGGAGGCAGTGATGCCGTCAAAGCTAGGATAAGATGCATTGTAATGGGCGAGCCAGCCCTGCACTAAGCACTGCTTCATGCGTTTTACAAGGTCATCTGCACAGCTACCCCATGGACTCATTTACTTCTCTCCCTCTCAGTTTCCATATTTGTAAAATCAGGAACTTCATACTGCCTACCTCCCAGGGTGCTTGTGAGGCTTAGCTCAGTCAATAGAGAAAAGCACAGGGTGGCGGCGCCTGTGTGCGGCTTGCTCTACTCAGTTTATGTTTGCTGCGTAGCTGTCTCCATTCCTATTTATAGGTGGGAAAACTAAAGCCAGAGAGCGGCTGTACCACCAGCCACAGGACACACAGTGAGCAACGCGTGGCTCCGTGGCACCACTGCCTTAGCCCACGTGGGGGCCGTCACTGTGCTAAGCCCTGCTTTTCCTGCATGGCCAAAACTGAACCTTCCCCAGTCCCAGATGAAGCTGCATTTCTGGGAACCAAAGCTTAACTGCGTCTCCCTTTTCACATTTGTAAAATGGGGATGATCATAGCATTGACCTATGTGTGTTATTATATGGGTTATTGTGAGGGGAGGCATGGGGAGAGGTTGATCAAAGAATACAAAATTTCAGTTAAAAAGAAAGAACAAGCTTAAGAGGTCTATTGCGTAGTAAATAACAACATATTGTTTTCTTGAAAATTGCTAAGAGAATAGATTTTATCTATGCCGTTTTTATCATAAAAAAGACGAGTATGTGAGGGCATGCACATGCTAATTAGCTCAATTTAGCCATTCCACAATCTATATGTACTTCAAAACTGCATGTTGTACATGATAAATACATACAATTTTTATTTTTCAATTAAAAATAAATTTAAATAATAAACCTGCACATAGAATTTCAAAACAACAACAACAGCAACATAATGCCCTAACTCTATTATAAAAGAGAAATAAAAGGAAGGTAATTTAGCACAGAATAATATGTATTTTCCCATATAAATGCTTGGCGTGGCTCTGCAGAAGGTGTGGTTGGAATGAGAGGTCAGTGCAACACCAGGCTTTGAGTCAGTTCCCTGTGAGGATCTAGGGGACCCATGGAGGTGCACCTCCCTGTGGACCCAAACACCACACAGAATTGCTGCTGATTTTCCTGAGACGGTAAGCAATCCACTGTCG
This sequence comes from Homo sapiens, assembly GCF_000001405.40. Lineage (NCBI taxonomy): Eukaryota > Metazoa > Chordata > Mammalia > Primates > Hominidae > Homo > Homo sapiens. The sequence goes on from NC_000013.11 coordinate 111,613,955, forward strand.
GTTTCGATCAAAGCCAAATGCAATTTCCCCTTACCTCTCCTGGTAGTTTGATTTTATGAAAAATTTGGTGCACATTGAAATTAAGAATTCTGCCTAGATCTGCACTTACATGAACGTCTCATAGACTATTTGGAAGTCACGCAAGAATAAGGGCAGGTCTTGCTCATGTGACTCTGCAGACACTGAGGGACATTTAATATCCTGGGTCCCTATGGCCAAGTGCCAGAGTGAGCCCAGCTGTTGGGACAGTCCAAAGCAGACCAGCTCATTTTTAAATGCCCCCTAGGGCACGTGCCAGCTTTGCAAGGACCGTCGATCAGGTGTTGTCAACGGCACCGGGATGAGATACTGTAGGACTGGAAATTACACAATCTGCTTGGTGCAAATTACATAAGCATTGACAAATGATTTCTTTATTAGGGGTCCAGCCTCAAAGTCTCTTGGTAGTTCTGCTTGTCAGATGAGGGGTGGTGATTTCCTGTTTCTAAAGGGGGTAAGCCCAGGGCATGGTGACACCCTGGAGGTGCCCTGCCACTGCCTCTTGTAGACAGAGCGTCAGCAGCTGTTATTATGGAATTTGGGATGTTGGCATATATAGGTTTAGGTTTACTGACCTTAATTTTAAATTGACACTTGCAAAGCCCATTTTTGGTAGGGACAATTTTCAATACATATACATTTGTCACAGCTATGGTTTGGGTAGGAAGCGGGGATGTGTCCTTCCTGAGTCCCCAACACATAATGTACATCCCTTGGGCGACGTCCTGATATTTACCATAAACTGTCAAGGTGAGTATGATATCACCTTTTTCTCCCAGTTGAAACTGAAACACAGAAGTTAAATATTTACCAGCTCAGGGTGAATAAACTCTGAGTTCAGCTCCTGCGTGGTACCAGCCATGTTGCAGCATTTTCTGACTCCTTACTTGTCCTTAACAAACATGACAATATTCTGCTCTGACAAGGCTAGGAATACAAATGCTTTGTGTGGGAAAAAGTTACACTTTAAATTATTCAGGTAGAAATTATACAGTTGTGAATTGCACATCGATTTCCATTCCTTTCTGACTTGTCAGTATTTTCACCAAGTTTATTCGTTAGCAACTTTACCCAAATAAGAACAGCAGCTGGAGAAATAAAATTAGAGTAGTTAATTACATTATTTTTTTAAGTTCTGGTAAAATGGTTGATGGGTGATGAAGCATGCATTTGATGAAAATGGATGATTGGGATTTGATTTAGCCATACCCTTTCTGTTCTTTGAGAATTGATGGTTTAGATGCCCTAAGTACTATTTTATGTAATGAAATAACTTGCAGCTTTTTTGACAGACAGAGCAATATTTCTTTACCCCAAAGTCTATCATTGTGGCTTTTGAGCTTCACTTAATATTTTGAATAATGAAATAGAAGAATCTTTGTTTGGCAGTTTGAGAGCAGAACATCACTGAAAGATGAAATTGCTGGAGTTAATCAGGCTGAATAACACTGACATTTGCAAGAGGAGATTGCCAGGGAATTAGGATGGGAAAAATGTTCTTAAAGTCGTACAGAGTCTTCTGTGAATTTAAGGGGTGAAAAAACTTAAAAGCACAATTAAGTTTTCCAGGAAGCATTTTTCTCCATGGAATAGAATTTCTGCACCTGATTCCAAGCTCAGTGTGCTTGAAGGCCACTGACAGCCCCGCATCTCAGACGCAAATACCCTGAAGGGGCAGCCTGTGAGTCACTGGTGTCCATGTTTCACTGAATTCTTCTTTTAGGTGTGGAGGAGTCGCTTCTGTTTCATTTCTGATCTAACACCCTGTTGTTCCTTAGGCTTAAAACCCATCCGGGAAGGCATCTCTATGGTGCCCCAAACTGACTTCAGCGACGGGCTTGAGCCACATTCCCCCAGCCTCGGCGGGTACTTTGGAGTCTCTGTTTTGATTTGGAGGCTTGTTTTCTGATAGGAGATTCAATTCTGTCAATTAAGGTAGAACACCTGCTTTTTCTCTGATTTTTCAGTAGATTTACATTTTGAAAAGCAAAGCAGGTGCTTGAATTTTGTAGCATTATAATGAAATGGAAAATTGTCAATGTCACCAAAGTGATTGAAAAATTTCCAAAACGAAGTTGAATTCATGAAATGTGATGAGGCCATGAGGCCAAAATCCCAACATGGCTTTCAAGGAGACGTTCCACCGGGGAGCTTGGGGAGGACTGTGGAGAGACGGCTTCCTCCTGGGGCCCTGCCACCCCAGGACTTCAGCATTCCAGGAGGGGTTTGAAAAAAAGATGGAGTGCTGGGATACAGTTTCATGTGGTATATTTAATACAGCATTTGTGAATAGCAGATTGTCAGAAACTCTTAGGAGCGCTATTATATCTGTGATTCTGGAGCCAGGAAGAGACATGGGAAATTGCAGCAATTACAGTCCCATCTCATTGATTAACGCCGATTGCAAAATAGTCACGAAAATATTGGCACTGCAGCTTCAGTCTGTTTTACCTAATACTGTTCATGCCAATCAAATGGGGTTTACCAAAGGAAGGCACTAAAACAACAGCCGAGAAGCATTTATCATCTCGATGTCCATAACTTAATGCAGGGAACGCAGTCGGTGGCCGATCTCTCCCGAACCGACCTCCTTCCTATCCTGAGCTTCATCTGCAATCACTACTTCTTGGCTTAATCACAGGAAACAAAGATAGTTAACTTTACAATGTTACATGTTTTGATATGTTAAAAAAAAAAAGCCATCAAATCGTATAGTACAATTACACATCATCTGGTGAATCACTGGGAAAGACCAATCTTGAAAACCAGCCAATTTCTTCCCTGGAAAGAATAATTAATTCAGGAGTGATGTTTCTATTTATACATCTTTTCAAGAAAAGTGAGAAGTTGTACCCTGAGGAAGTTTCCGAGCATGTAAAAGTTGTTTACATTTCCAGGTTTTATGTTCTATTTTTCTAAATCTTTTGTTTCACAAGAGAATTTGTTATATATCTTTATGTGGAAACATTTGTGGTCAAAGCAAAAACTGTAGGAATAAAATTCAAATCATTTTGCAAAGGTTTTTTGGTTTTTTTCCCCTGATCTCCATTTTCTGCCCCTGGCCCCTGCCTCTGTATTAATGTACATACAAATTTATGTTGAACAAAGAGTGACAGGAGTTTGAAAAGACAATGAGGCCCTTTTGTCCCTGGCCTTTGAATGTATACTAGGAGGGAATTCACATTAATTGAGTGTATACTAGGAGGGAATTCATATTAATTGAGCATATACTATGGGCCAGGTACTGTGTCAGGCATTGTGTGACTGTCACGTTTTCCAGTCCTAGCTCAGGGAGAAAGGTTGTCCTGTTTCCATTTTATGGATAACAAAAGTGAGGTTCAGGGGGTGTAATTTGCTGGAGGGCACCTGCTGCTAAGCGGAGGAGTCTGGTTTCTAGGACTTAAACATCCTTCTTTCTTCCAGCTTCACAAGATTCTTCCACTTGGCGTTCCCGTGTTTACTCCCTAGAGTGATGTCTTTAATCTAACTGGTAGAGAAAGAAAGTGCCCTCCTAAGTTTATCTGAAAGCTGATCAAAGTCTAAGGATACATAAAAGTCATTTCTGTTTTTATCTGCAAGGCATATACAAAATGTGCATGTGGTCAGCACAGCATTACAAGCCAGTCAGCACTAGCCCTGCTCTCAGAGAATCTAGACAAGGGTCAAGGGACTGAAAAATCTTACACAGATAAAAAGAACAACCAAGGTTCATCTCATGCCATAGAAATGGAGAAAATCCAGCAGGAGTAGCAGTTGGAGAGAGAAGGTACAGCACAAAGAGTGAACCAGGAAAGTCTTCCTGGAAGAGGAAAATTTTGATTTGAGATTTGGCTTTTTTTCCTCTGGTGCTTCATGAATATATAGCATTAAAAAAACCATGAAATTGTGAGACCTCTGACTAGAGGGGTAACCAATGTTAATTGCTAATTTGTACGTGTAATTATTGGAAGGCCCTGATAGGCCGCATCATTCCTGAGGTAGAGAGACTGTTGTAGAGTGTGTACGTATGGATACGTGGGACCCTCACAATGTCTGTTTGCCATTCACTTCATTCCCACAGAACATAGCCCTTCACCATATGCACAGAAACATTGAGTGTTATCATTGAAAAATGTCTTACTGAACTTATGGGGAAAATAATGTATTTCATGGATTATTAGTGAGATTGGACAGACGTTCACATTGATGACATATTAATCTTCCTTTTCCTTTTAATTCTCTACTTACAAATTTTTCCCATTTTTCTACTGGATTATAGAGTGTATATAATAACATGATCTTTATGTCTCGAGAGTGAACCGTTCTCTGTTATTTTGAAGTTATTTCTGTTATGTTGAAGTTATTTTTTCCTAGTCTTCCATTTGTCTCTCATTTTGCCTTTGACATCATTACATAGACATTGATGAGAGTCGTAGGGGAGGAAAAATTTAATTTTCCTTACCCATTGCTAGGTTCATGGCTGAGGCCCCTGTAACAAAAGGCAGATTAACAGGAGAAGAGCAGACATATCTATTTAATGTCAGTTTAACATGCCACAGGAACCTTTAGAAATGGGGACGTATGATTGGACAATGAGGTGGATAGCCTAGCAGTAATAAACCAGGGAACAGGGAGGCTTAGCAGGGCCTGTGTGTTCTGAATCTTCTCTGTGTCCTTGTCTTTAGAGATAAAAATGTTCCTTTCCTCTGGGCATAGGGAGCACACCTCTCCCACGAGGGTCTCAGGACCAGCTTCAGCGGAGCAGGGTGGAGAGAGGTGAGAGGAGCTTTCCTGCTTCTGCTGTTTCCTCAAAGGCCAAGGGGCTGTGTCCTGGGCTGCTTGTCCTCAACCCGCTCTGCCTTTTTGTCTAGAGACACAGAAGGCCTTTTTTATCCCCATTTCATGATTACCCCTTTTCCGTTTGCTTGGAGAGGACGCAGCAGTGGCACTTGCGGCTGCAGTGTTTACCCCGAGATAACTTTGTCATGAAATACCTCGCTTTTGTTATTTTTGCATCACTGTAATATATCAACTTTGGAAACAAAAGACATTCTATTTATAGCATTCTGTTTTTAGTAACGATACTTTCCATTTACAAAATCGCTGAAAATGTCAAATCCTAGAAAACGTGGCATTCTCACATGTGATACGAACATCATTCTCAAACAGTTGTTGGCCGAAGATTCATTTGATGAGTCTGATTTTTCCGAAACTGACAATTCTGATGATTCAGACGATTCTGATGTTAGCTCTGTTTAGAAATAACTCCAAGAACAGTTTTTATATTTTACTTTTACCTTGAAAATCAGTCAGATTTGCTTCAGCCTCAAAGAGCGTGTTTATGTAAAAGTAAATGAGCGCCAGCAGTGAGCTGCACTTTATTTTTCTAAATGGGCAAAGGGTTAATTTTTTAAAAAGTGTTCTGTGATATCTTTTAGTACTTTTATAGTATTTTGTGTTTATCACATCTGAAATTTATTTTTGTGTAGAATATTTAATATTTTTGAAAGGAGTAGTTCAAAACCACTTGTTGAATTGACAAATTTTTCCTTGATATAAAAATGTCACCTCTACCGTATACACCAAGATGCATACATGCATTTCCTACTTCTAGGCTCTTCCTCTTGTTCCATTTATTGAATTTTTATGTTTCTGAGCCAACACCACAATGTTTTGAGCACTACAGTTATCAAATATTCTTTGATATTTTACACTGCTAATTATTGGTTTTTCCTGTAGATTTTCTTTCCTAGATGAATCTTGAAATTAGCTAGTCAAAGTCTGTAAAATTTCCTTTGGGATTTGGATGTGGATTGGATTGGATTAATTTGGAGAACTAACATTCTGATGATAATGTTTAGCGGTTTGATTTTCATTTTCCGTGTTATCATTTTCAACTGCACTTGCTTCGACCTTCCCTTGGCTCTCTGGGAGAAAGTCTTCTGTCTCTCCCCAGCAGCATTGATTCCATTTTCTACCCGGTCCACTCTGCTTTTTGCTGCCTTCAGTGCATATTTTAACCCTGCTCCTGTTGCTTTCCCTATGACGCTCTTTCCTGTTGAGAAGTGTCAAGTAAAACTCTCTAAAAGTGCTTTTCACCTCCTTTAGTAGATAATTTCCAAGGGTACAGTTTTCCACTGAATCTTAGATGATTATTCCCTTTCTCCTGTGTTGCAAGGTGTCCCTGCAGAGACATATTAAATGAGAGCCCTCTGGGAGCTGGTGGTGGGCTTAGCGTGGTGCACGTTGAACCAACTGCAGGATTCCAATCTGAAGGGAGGTTCTCCTGCAGGGGGATGCTGCTGATGGACTACTGATACTGATGGGTACTGACAAGCACCAGGCCTGGAGAAGCAATTCTTTACACCAGGATGAACAAACAGAAAGGACATCATGATGGAAGCCGTGGGTGTATTTTGAATGCAGCAGAAAGGAAATGTTAGCCCCACACTTAATGGGAGATATGGTGGTTTTTTCACTGGCTGTGGGATTTCACATAGAGGCAAGAATGTGCACACTCTCTGATCACAGAAAACTGACTTATCACGGGAGGAGGCAGACGGCTCAGAAAGGCGAGAGCTCTAACTTCCATGAAGTGGCAGAGTGATGTGGTGTGTGTCTGTGGAGGTGGCATATCACGTGTCATGGCGTCTAATAATGTGGTGGGTTAGAACATGGTGAGACCAACGTCTGGAATGGCCAGGCTGGCTTCTGCCTGCATCCCTGTCCTCCGTGGGGCTGTGAAGGGCCCCGGCGGCAGGGCCCTCTCCTGGGGGGCTGTGGGAATGCCTGGCTGCAGGTCAGCCCACGGAGGAGCTTTGACACTGGCCCAGTGTGAGCTCATGGGGACACCCATACCTGTGTGAATGTGTGAGAGGACATCTGTGCGTGCCAGTGGGGAACCAGGATGTGTGTGTGTGTCTGAGGTGTGTGTGTCTGTAGGTGTATGGTGAGTGTGTGTTTACGTGTTTGTGGGGCATATGTGTCTCTTGTGGGAGGTTGGAGGTGTGTCTAGGGGAGGCTGTGTGTGTGCATCTGTCTGTGATATGTGTATCTGATGTGTGTGTGATGTGTGTGGGCATGTGTCTGTGGTGTGTGTGGTGTGTGTCTGGTGTGTGGTGTGTGCGTGTGTCTGTGGTATGTGTATCTGTGGTGTGTTTTTGTGTCTGGTGTGTGTAGTGTGTGTTGTGTGTGTGTGGTGTGCGTGTGTGCATATGGTTTGTGATGTGTATGGTGTGTGTCTGTGGTTTGTGTGGTATGTCTGGTGTGTGTGGTGGGTGTCTGTAGTATGTGGGTGTCTGTGTGTGTGGTGTGTGTGTGGTATGCGTGTGGTGCGTGTGTCTGTGGTGTGGGGGTGTGTGTCTGTGGTGTGTGTGTGGTGTGTGTGGTGGGTGCCTGTAGTGTGTGTGTCTGTGTGGTGAGTGTCTGTGTGGTGTGTGTCTGTATGGTATATGTATGTGGGGTGTGGGGCGTGTGTGTGGGGCTTGTGTGTGTGGTAGGTGTCTGTGGTATGTGTGGTGTGTGTGTGTCTGTGTGGTGTGTGTCTCTGTGGTGTGTGTGTGTGGTATATGTACATGGGGTGTGGGCGGGCGTGTGTGTGTGGTGTGTGTCTGTGGTGTGTGTATTGGTGTGGTGTGTGTGTCTGTGTGTGTGTGGTGTGTCTGTTGTGTGTGTGGTGTGTGTGTGTCTGGTATGTGTGGTGTGTCTTTGGTGTCTGTGGTGTGTGTGTGTGGTGCGTGTATCTGTGTGGTGTGTGTGTGGTGTATGTATGGTGTGTGGTGTGTGTGTCCGTGGTGTGTGTGTGGTGTGTGTTTATTCGTGGTGTGTGTGTGTGTGGGGTGTGTGTCTGTGTGGTGTGTGTGTGGTGTGTGCGCGTCTATGTGGTGTGTGTGGTGTATGTCTGTGGTGTGTGTGTGTCCGTGGTGTGCGTGTGGTGTGTGTGCATCTCTCTGTGGTGTGTGGAGCACACAGTCCCAGCTCTCCCTCTGGTGCCCTCTGCCCATGTCTCCATCAGCCCCACGTGTCCCCCTCGTCCCTAGGCCGCATCCGACTGTCCACGTTGCCCTCTGAGGTCCGGCGCCTCATCCATCAGGAAACTGGGTCTTGGGGCCGCACAGGGGACAGCACCCAGCCCGCATATGCAGGCGGCTCTGGGGGCTCCCAAGGTGGCCTCCCTCCCGGCCAGGGCGCCTTCCATTCTTCCTCATTCGCGGCCATGGCCCTTGCTGGAAGCTCAGGCAGAAGCCCCTGGCATGTCTCATATGGCTCCTGAGGTGGTCCCAGCCCCTGGGACCTGCGGGGCGAATGCGGACTGGGAGCCTCTGCCCCAAGCCACATGGGCCTCGATCCCCACTCGGTAGCCCAGGCATCAGGTGCTGCTGCCCAGAAGGTCCCTGTCAATCAGACAGAAACGGTCCCTTGGGGCCCGGCCTCCTGGGTGCTGCCCGGGCGCTGCCATCCACCCCTCACCAGTGTGGGCCTCGCACCAGTTTGGCTCAGTGAGGAGCACCGGCGAGAGGAGGCCGCTGTGCCTCCCAGGTTCTCCCGGTTCTGCAGCCCAGCCTTCACCTGTTCTCAGGCCACAGCCAAGCTGCTGAATTCCTGGCATGTTTTGCTTGCTTCCACCTGGGACTGAAATTTTAAACACTTGACCTCCATCCTCCTTAAATTCACACATCATGCAACGTGTCTTACAAGAAACCAACACAGGCCGGGCGCGGTGGCTCAAGCCTGTAATCCCAGCACTTTGGGAGGCCGAGATGGGCGGATCACGAGGTCAGGAGATCGAGACCATCCTGGCTAACACGGTGAAACCCCGTCTCTACTAAAAATACAGAAAATTAGCCAGGCGCGGTGGCGGGCGCCTGTAGTCCCAGCTACTCGGGAGGCTGAGGCAGGAGAATGGCATGAACCCGGGAGGTGGAGCTTGCAGTGAACCGAGATTGCGCCACTGCACTCCAGCCTGGGCGACAGAGCGAGACACCGTCTCAAAAAAAAAAAAAAAAAAAAAAAAAAGGAAACCAACGCAGTTCCTGGCCCTGCACTACAGCTGAGCTCGCAGGGCCTCGGGAGCCACACAAGTTCCTTTTCTTCCCTGCGAAACATTTGTTGCTGTCTTGACTTTTTGGGCATCATTGAGAAAACATGTTGATGTGTATTAACGCCAAGGCCATTTCGATTCATGGAGAAGAAAACGCCACTGGGGTCTAATTAAGCCATTGATTTAAAACAATGCTCAGAAAACGGTTGCAGAGACTCCGTGTTCCCTAAGTTACGATGAGTTTGTTCCTGCCCGCAGAAGCCGCCTCGCCTCCGCAGTGCCACCTCTGCTGCCCCCAGCCACCGGCACAGCTGAGTCAAGGTACAACCGCCCAGCAACGCTTTCCAGCAGGGAACGTTGCCCTGAACAGCTCTGACTGTTGAGCGCACGTTAGAAGGCGCCACGCTAGCGCATTCCCCTGCGGTATTTGAAACGACTCCTGTTACATTTGTTGGAGGAATGAGTCAGCAACCCTGAGAGCCTGTGACTCTCGCACCCTATACTGGCTCTGCCCTGTGGCCAGCTCCAAGGGCAGCAGGGAGATATTTTATATCAGCACGACCCCAAGGCTTGCCTCTGAGCAGCAGCAGCAGGAGCACCGGCCCACCCTAGGCAGAGCCAGGGTCTGTTCTGGCTCTGACACTTTACAGCCATGTGGCCCGGGATCATCTTTCTCATTCCCAGTTTCCCTGTTTTTAGTAGAGGGGTGATAACGTCCACCCCCTTCACGAGCTTCTCCTAAGAAGCCCAGGAAATATGAATGGGAGCGAGGCTGTCACGGGTTGTGTAGTCCGATGGAGGCGGGGGTGATCCTTGACTTGACCCATAGCAGGTGTCCACTGAGTATGTCCTGATCCAATCCGTGCCCTGCACTGCTGCTTCTCCCTACCACCATTTCTCTCCGTGTGCAAGGACAGGAGGCCACTCCAGCTTTCCCCTGTGAGGAATTTTAGTAAACGTTCTCAGGGACACCAGTCCACGGGGTCCGGATCCAAGTGCACTGTTATCCTCAAATCCAGTCCACAGGGTCCAGATCCGAGTGCGCTGTTATCCTCAAATCCAGTCCACGGGGTCCGGATCCGAGTGCGCTGTTATCCCCAAACACTGTTGCAATCCCTTTCCTGGTTGAAGTCAGGTGGACTCTGTTATACTAAGAAGTCTCTGTGTTTGTGCTGCTTTGGAAACGCCTTAGTTCATCCTAGCTTGGCCTCCCTGAGAGCATCGTCTGCACCATCCTCTCTGCAGACCCCTCCTATTTCCCTGCAAAGCCCCTCCTCGGTAAGTTCCCGTCTGCTCTGCGCCCCTGCTCTCCCCACCGGGTCCCTCATTGCTTTGAAGGCTTCAGACCAGCGTTGGTCTGCAGCCTCCTCTCTTAGTGGTGCTCTGGTCCCGTGAGGCTTACGGCACACACGCGTCCGTGAGAGAAATGCCGTTGGCCCAGAAGTTCACTCTGGGGGCTCTAAAATTTGACTCCCAAGAGCTGAGAGATGGCTTGCAAAAGTCTGGTTTCAATAGTGAAGAGTTCAGGAAAACCAACCGCGATGAATAATTGTCATTGCAAAGACAGAACACTGAGACGTGAAGTGAGTAAGAAGGGGTGAGACAGACACTCTCTGAAGTGGAGTTCACCATTGAAACACTTGTGTTAATAATAAATCAAAGCAGTTTTCATGGAATATTCTGTTGTTTTCCTAACAGTATTTACTGCCTGCTCACAGACCCACAGGCAGGGGATACTTTCTGAGTGTGGGAACAAGGTTGCCCCATAGAACCAGGGCCACCGTCTCAGCCCTCAACCTGGATGCAGGAAGGGGCAGGGAGGACGTGGGCCCTGAGGCGCACAGGTCCCAGCTGGGCGGCATCTGTGGCATCTGGTTGTTCTTACCTGGGCCAGTGGCCTCCTTTCTAGTGGTGGCCTACCTGGTGGGGCCTACCTGGCGAGGCTCTGGCGGGTCGAGCTGAGACAGAACATGGTCTATGCCTCCAATGGTGCCTCTCGATCTCCACAGCCCCGCAAACAGCACTCCTTCCCTGTCCCTCGTCATTTCTGGGGGTGGAAACATCTCCAGATCCTAACAAAGCCCATTCCCTTCTGAACAGTTTCCGCTGAAGCTGAGGCAATTGCAGTACTTTTAGATGTAGGATTCTGAAATTCAACATGTAGACAAACTTAGGAGGTCAGGCCGTGGGAACCCTGAAATGTCATGCAATTTTATGCATATGTAAATTTTCTGGGGCAAAAATCCAAAGCTAGTACCTGATTCCTCAAGGAGCTTCTCAGACCCCCAAATGTTCAGAACATGCTTTGGTGGTCCAAGTCCTCTCTGAGATGAATACAGAGCAGGTCCACATGGAAGGTGTTCCATGAGTCCACGTGGCTCCAAACCTGGGATCCCGAGGTCTAGGGCAAAGCACTCTAGAGACAGGAGAGGTGGTGGTCAGAAAGGAGGAGACACCTGGGCTGATCTGTGTTGTTAATTCTGTGTGTCAACTTGGCCAAGCCCCAGTGTCCAGATATTGGATCAGATATCAGTTTGGATGTTGCTGTGAAGGTGTTTTTAGAGGAGATTAACCTCAAATCAGTGGACTTTGGGTAAAGCAGATGGCTTTCTGGAATGTGGGGGGTCTCATCCAATCTGTTAAAGGCCTTAAGAGCAAAAGACTGAGAACTCCCCGAGAAGGAGCTCGGCCTGCAGACAGACGCTGAGCTGCAGCATCGGCTCTTCCCTGGGTCCCCAGCCTGCCCCCTGCCCTGCAGACTGTGGACTTGCCAGCACTCATAGTCACGGTGAGCCAATTCCTTAACATAAACCTTGAGGTAGACAAACAAAGATGTAGCTCTATAGAGAGCAGATACAGGTCTATTGGTTGTGTTTCTTGGGAGAACTCTAATACATGGTCTCGTTTTTCTTATTAATATTTATTTAGCTATTACTAAGCTCTAATTATGTTACACACACTATTTAATTCTCAGAATAGCAGTATGAGGTGGGCCATGGCCCAAGAGGTATCCAGCAGGAAGTGGTGGCGGGGAAGAAATTTGAAACGCCTCCCGTGCCTAGAGCCTCTGGTGGATTCTGGGGAAGGAAGAGGACGGGGTGAGTTTGAGCCTGTGTCTTCTTTCCTTGTGATCGCTAGCGTGTTGGGGAGTGGACCACTTGCCTGAACTTCTGTGCAGTGCTGGTTGTCTTCGTTAGGGTAGAATTTGGCCCTTTGGAAGCATCACTGCATCCACAGCTCCCACACTGGCAGCATGCACTCCCTTCTTAGCCCTTCCCTAGCTCCAGTTCAAGCTTTCTTGTCTACGCAGCCCCTTCCAAAAGTGAAGACGAGCGAGCTTGATCTAACTCGGGGAGCCTCCAGGACCCCATCTCCTGGGTGACTCATGTCTGCCCCCGCTTTGGGAGGCTGCTCAGATTCCCTCCCACCTGGGCCCTGGCAGGAGGGAGTGCTTCCAGGAGAGCCTTGCGACCCCACCGGGCTTTGCTGGACACAGTGCATGGCAGCTCAGGCTTGTGAAAGGCTCAGATTTGACTTGGCATAAGCTCAGCCGTGCAATTATTCCCACCGGGACACTGAGTTCTCTTTCCCGGCCAAAGGACTTGGCAGAGCCCAAACCTCATGGGGAGGTGAGGGCACCTCGCTCTCCTCTTCTCTCAAGCAGATAGCTCCAGCACTCCTCACCCACATTGACCACACACTTGAGCCTGGCACTCCTGTCATCATCCAATTATGCCTGGAACAGCGTGGGGAGGAATGGAGCCACCGCAAAGGCAGGAGGGGAAGAGGGGACTCCCACCCCTGACCTCGCAGCTTTCTGGCGGGCAGCCACCCCTCCCGGACGTGCAGGGCCAGGCTCCCTCCCCGTTATTCTCAGCCATCATCTCAGAAACCCTGGGACAGTGAGAGCAGGGTTGGCAGCTGCAGTTGGCTTCAGGACTGTCCTCAGCTCTGGATTTGGCATTCCTGGGTGGCTTTGCAGGGCTGCGTACTTTATCTTGTCAGAGGAGGGACATGTGTGAGCAACACCATGAGGCTTAGATTTTCAAAGATGAGCAGCTCACACTCAAGTTGTCCCTGAATGCCAAGATCTGTAGGAGATGGCTGTGTGGCCCCTTCAGGAGAGAGGCCAGGAGCATAAAAGCAGGGGACATGGGGTGGAGTGGAGAGATGCCACCCAGGGAACTGGCAGTTGTTGGGAATGTCAAGTCTCTGTGGGCACCAGGCCTGGGGGTGGGTCTTTGCTATGACGCCTTGCTTGATGCCGACAACCACCTTCCGACATGCTTCTCTTTGGTCACCAGAGAAAAAGTGTCATGAAAACTGGAGAGGTGCTAACAGTGGTCCAGCCTTCATCCTTCACCATCTGCCTGCAGCACACGGCAACAGCCCTGTCTCTGACTTCTCCCAAAAACTTTTGCTCCAAATTGGTCTGCTTTGCCGAGTGGGGCATTGGCGCGCCCCGGTTCACAGCTTGGATCACAGGACCCCTTACACCCCCTTGCCTCCCGCCCCAGCCCTATCCCAGGAATGTTCTCTTCATCTTTTGAAACCTACACTTTGAGATGCTTCCAGCCTTCTCTGCCACTTGAGCTGCAAGCAGCTTATCTTCTCCCGTTCCCGTGGCAGGATGCTGTCGCTGTGCTCCTGTCCCAGGACGGTTGACAGTGTCTCTCGGGTCACCACCCCCCCGCCTGTATGATCGCTGAGGTTTATGACTGGATCTTATGTCTTTGCAGTGCTGGGCACTGGCACGGCTGCTCATAGAAAGGTCCCAACAGACACTGCAATGGCGGGCAATAGAGGGATATGCATGGGTGGCCAGCCCCTGTGACGGCAGGACTGAGGCAGGGCCATACCTGCATGGCCAGCCCCTGTGACGGCATGAAGACCCCGGACCCCTGGGCTTCTCCCCTGTGATCAGTAGCTCCCCCGACACACTTTAGGAGTGGCTCCCCTCCACACAGCTGCATACTTTGGGAAAGAGGTTGGGTTTCGCATGAGAAATTCCTGTTTTCAAAAGGAATAGATTGGAAGCTGTGAGTGGACACTGACCACAAGGAATTCCTTCCCTGGAAGTCACTCTCTCAGCAGGTAGCTTGGAACAGAGTGTGCTCTTAGGACAGGACGAGAAGCAGAGGGGCCCAGGTGTGTCTGCAGCGGCCAGAGTTGTTTGTGATTGACCTCACTCTGTGAATGTGGGGTACCCAGTGAGTAAGTCTCAATCCAACCTTCCAGTCCAGAGGGGTCATCCACAAATGTCTTCTGCAGGGAAACTCCACCTTGAAGGATACTGGCGAGCTCAAGCTTAGAATGATTGTCTGACATAGTTTAGGAAGATTCTGTCTCATCCTTTTTTCCATCCCATCAAATTTCTCCTGAAACATTTCTACCATCAGTGGTCTGTATTGGGTAGGGTTCTAACATCACAAATAACAGAAACCAAGTCCGGCTCATTTCAGCAGTTAGGGTTCTGATATTGCGGATAACAGAAGACGAATCCAGCTATTTAAGCAGAAAAGGATTTTTATTTGGACTGAATTAAATGGGAGAATCAAGAAGCGGGTTCTGAAAAAGGCAGCAGTCAGGGCAGCTCTGCAGCGACTCAGAAGGAAAGGTGAACACTCCGTGTGCTGCTGGGGAATGGAGAGGCTCCCACCCCTTCCTCACTGCTGGTGTTTCCATCTTGCATGCCCCGCTCAAAGCTCAAAGCCATGGAAACGGGTGTCTGACTGATGTGGCTTTGAAAAGTGTCCACCCTGACTTGGGGAGAGGCATCCCTTTGGTCACTGGGCCCTGGTTTTTGGGGACTCAGTGAGTCCGGAGCCCATGGTGTGGAAGATGGAGGAGCTTGGAAAACCTGAGGTTCCAGTCTCAGATTGCTGCATTTAGGGAGATGAAAGAGAGGAAGGGAAGATAATGAACTGCCCTCTGACACGTGAGGTTTGGGATGGGTCGTCAGGGTGGAGAAGCCAGTTAGCCATCAGCGGAGAGCACAGAGTGGGTTCAGGGCTGGGAGAGATGTGCGGGAATTGCAGGAGATGGGAGCTGCCGATGAGAAAACGGCTAAGGGCACACAGGAAAGTGGGCAGGGTGGGATAGGACGGCGTGGGGAACTCTGACTCTCAGCGATCGCTCAGATGAGGACAAACAGCTGGCAGTCAAGGCTGGAGGGTGCCCAGGAGGCAGGGGAGGTCGCTGGTGCCGCTGCTGAGCCCGCAGGCCAGCCTCTGCCAGGTACCCTCACCACTCTGGCCTCTCCTTATGCACAGCCTGTTCAGGGACCTTCCTGGACGTGGCCACTGTCAGTCCTTGGGCCTTGGCTGTAGCCTCTGTGGGAAATACTTATAGCAGGTTCCTTTGGTGGAAGCTCATGGAAATTTCTACCATTTTTTAAAAAAGTGAAATCTTAATTTTAGAGAAAAGTAAAGTCCCTCCCTCCCATAATGCTTTGGAATGGCAAGTTTTGAGAAGAGCCAACCCCAACTTTGACAACAAGACGTGCAAACGCTCCTTCCTTGCCCACTGCCCCCTGCTTTGATGGAGCACACGCTTCACATCGACCCACACGCTACCCCCACAACGAAGCCATGCAGCCTGCTCCAAGGACAGGGAGGCCGAGGAGGAAGCACATTGACTGGGGGCACGTGCAAGGTCGTCCTCGTGCAGGCTCCGAGCTCTGGGCTGGGACAGATGAGACCTGTCCATGCCGAGGCCTCCTTGGCACGTGGGCTCCACTGTCTCTGCTCCTTTCTTTTTCTGTGCTCCGTGGAAAGAAGATCATTGTGGCCCCACACCTCCCGGTGCCCCTGTACTTCCTCCTGGGCCACTCAGCAGAATTCTCGGGCCCTGTCCATGGCATTTGGGTGGGGGCCTTGCCAGTCCTCCATGAGCCCAGAAGCTCCTGGTGCCTTCAGCCATCTTGGCATTGTCAGGGGAGATTTTTTTTTAATTAAAAGTCTGCCTTGGAGTATGTCAAGCACTCCTGTATTTTTGCCATTCTTCTTATCTCTATGGCAACGAAAATATCTCAACATTTACATGGACATCGTATTCTTTGCTAATGTACTATCTGAACCGTGTGTGTGCGGGGGACGCGAGCAGCAGCCGCCTGCTTCTGCCGGCTGGAGTTGCTTAAGTTGCCACGACAACCAAGGGCCCAACGATGTCCTCACAAGCAGCACTAAATGGAAGCTCTAAATTAATTCACCCGCCTGTGTTTTTGTAGCTTATGTTGTTAATTGAAATAATAGGGATGGCCTTGCCTATACGTTCAGAGCACCTGTCCTATGAAACGGCCTGCGGTGTTGACTTAAGCACACTCAGCCATCAGGCTGACCTCGCGTGAAATGGGGAAAGTGCAGAGACACTTATGTTGTGCCGCTCCGTGTTGACTTGCAGTTATGGGGAAGCAACTTCCCTTCTGACAGGCTGGAAACACTGGCAATGTAATGTTTTATTTTAAAACTTCACTTATGTCTGCCTTCTTCATCACGGCTCTGAATCAGAGCACCTCCACAGCTCTGTCAAATGCTCTTGCTTGGTTAACGAGGGCAGCAGCCTTCGGTGACCTTCCTGCATTTACCCAAACATCACGGAGGTGGCGCTGAGCGCGTGGGCCTGTGGGCCGCCTGGCTCTCCTTGCCCTCTGAAGCACGGGATCAGGACATGCTCCAGCACCTACCTCGTAAGGGTATCGTGTGCCATCACCCCTGCCTTGCCAGTTTCTCTGCTTCCCAGGGCTCCCCTACAGGAACAAATTATGAACTTGGAATCCTAGTTGATTTTCCCACCAAGATGAAAATCCTAGGAGTTAAGGACATGAAACTAGAGCTTTCTCATCCATCTAAATAAAGAAACGGAAGCCCAGGTTTTTTGTGACACTCTGCTTCTGATGAAGGTCCTATTTGGGCCCATGGGTTAGATTACAAGGTTAAACACTTACACTTGGGAGGTTGGAGGGAGGAATGCAAGCATATATTTGCATGGTCCCATTTTAAAACCATCACCAGCTGTGGAAATTGGGTTAGCCTGGCCAGTGTCACCTGGAAGTGAGTTGGCAAGCACTGAGTCAAGCATGAGAGCTGGTCTCCAGCCACCTTCAGTGACATTCCCTTTTTCTTTAATTCTAGACATTCAGGAATGAGTCTAGAAAAAATGAAGCCATTTTTTGCCCATTAATGCCTTGGCAGATATTTATTTGCCAAACTGGGAAGTCAGTCGCAGGCTGTGAGGCAAGAGCCCGGGGCAGGCCCACACCCCAAGGGACAGGAGGATGCAGAGACCTCAGGTGTGGGCTGGTCTAGCCTGGGACAGCTGCAGAGACCTGGGACATGGGCTGGTCTAGCCTGGGACAGCTGCAGAGACCTGGGGCATGGGCTGGTCTAGCCTGGGACAGCTGCAGAGACCTGGGGCATGGGCTGGTCTAGCCTGGGACAGCTGCAGAGACCTGGGACATGGGCTGGTCTAGCCTGGGACAGCTGCAGAGACCTCGGGCATGGGCTGGTCTAGCCTGGGACAGCTGCAGAGACCTCGGGCATGGGCTGGTCTAGCCTGGGACAGCTGCAGAGACCCGGGGCATGGGCTGGTCTAGCCTGGGACAGCTGCAGAGACCCGGGGCATGGGCTGGTCTAGCCTGGAACAGCTGCAGAGACCCGGGGCATGGGCTGGTCTAGCCTGGAACAGCTGCAGAGACCCGGGGCATGGGCTGGTCTAGCCTGGGACAGCTGCAGAGACCTGGGGCATGGGCTGTCTAGCCTGGGACAGCATAAGCATGGGGCCCCTGCAGGCCCAATGAAGTCTCAGGCTTCAAAAGAGGAGGTAAAGGGAAAAAAGGCAGGAAGGACAAGAACTTATCAGGAGGCAAACTTCAAATGTTTCCCCTCTCTATTGTCATATGGGGTCAACTTTCACATGTGGTGTAATTTCTTTTTTCTTTAGTCCTTTTATACAGTATGATCAAGAGTTGTGAATTTAATTTCTGTTATCCAGTGTCTATCGCTATAGAAAAAAACAACAATAAGCAAACAAGCAAATACGCAGAACTCTTTACTTTATTTGGAGTAAAATTCTCATTTTCCTGGCTTTATTGAAAACACTGCTTCTAGAATGTAAAATGTGTACCACAAGAGTCAGATCCTGGGTAAGTTTATCAATAGTGGTTGTTATTGATGAAAAGAGCCAAACTCTGAAATGTTTAAGGAGATTTATTCTGAGCCAAATATGTATGACCATGGCCATGACCCAGCCCTCAGGGGATCCTGAGAACATATGTCCCAGGTGGTTGGGGTGCGGCTTGGTTTTATGTATTTTAGGGAGACATAAGACTTCAACCAAACACATTTACGAAAAATCAAATACATTGATTTCGTCCAGAAAGGCGGGATAACTCCAAGCGGGGGCTTCCAGCTTATAGGTAAATTTCAACGTTTTCTCATTGACAATTGACTGGGTTTATTTAAAGACCTGGCATCAAGAGAAAGGAATGTCTGGGTGAAGATAAAGGACGGTGGAGACCCAAGTTCTTATTTGCAAAGGAGGCCTTCAGGTAGCAGACTTCAGAGGGAATCGGTTGTATAATGTTTCTTATCAGACCGAAAGTCTGCGTTGATGTTAATGGCAGAGAGGTAGAGTGAGGCATGTCTAACCCTCACTGCCCGTCATGGCCTGAACCAGTCTCTCGGGTTAAATTTTTAAAGAGCCCTTGTTGAGGAGGAAGTCCATTCTGATGGTTGGGGGGCCTTCATATTTCATTTTTGGTTTCCAGTGTTAATGGTAATAATAACATGAGAGGCTGAAGGGGGAATAGAGAGGATACAGGCTTTGGGGGCCAAAAGGCCAGACTTCCAAGTTCTCAACTTCCAGAGCTTTCTGCAGAGCTTTGATGCCCTGGGCTTCGAGTTCCTAACTCCAAGTCAGAGGGAAGCCACTCCCTCCTGGGCTGTAGGGAGGAACCGGATCTGAAGGGCACTGAGGAAAGAGCACCTCCTCCCTCTATGCAGAAAACAGGATTCCTCACTCGCAGCAAGCACCTAGCGAAGCTGAGCAAACCTGCCCTCCTGTCTCGGCTGCTCTGGCCCTGGAGGGCGGCTCAGCCCCACCTCAGGAGCAGCCCCGGCTGCTCCCAGAGTGGCTCCAGGCCTCCTGGGCACTGGTAATCACTCTAATGGTTTTCTGACTGCTGATTTTAAAGGCGTTACCAGGAAGGCTTTTACAAGGATGACTTTTACTTTATAGCTGCAACACAATATGCACTGTACTGTCTTTTCATGCCTTCAGCTAAACACATCGCTGACCCAAGTAGGAGCCCAGTGCACCCACAGCTGCCGAGCCTCAGGAACAGAGCTTGGCTTACTGCGGGGAGGGGCAATTCTAGTTCTGTGGAGGGTATGACTTTTTGTAGTTGGGTCTAGCTTTTTGTTATTGCTCGTAGAAAGCCAAATTATACTTTGTTTGAGGAGATAAGATTTCCACCCCAACTTAAAATGTTTTTTCCTTTTAAAAGAAATCATAAGTCATTGTGGCCATACATGCTTGATTTCAATTAAGTGACAATTTTAGGCAGATTTGCTGCCAGAAATAATTGGGCAGTAAAAGAAAAACAACAGGTATCGTGTATAACTGTTGCTCATACTCATAGTTATCATTGACACGTAAAGGTGGCATTCCCCAATTGTCCTCCAAAAATACTTAAAAAGTTTTCCAATGTTTGAGTATCTGCACTTGGCTAGTTTTAAAGTAAGCGTATATCACTAAGCATACATTTGAATATCCACACCAAATACTTCCCTTTTACACAGATTTGTGCAGTTTAAATAAGAAAAAGGCTGGTGGAGATTGGGTGATACTCTGGAATCCAGAGGATTTTTACTGTTTGAGAAAATACAATCATCAGACCCTTGGCTGAATGATATCAAATCAGGAACTGGGTTGTGAATTGAAAATTAATTTGGGAGCATTTCTAAGTAAATAATCGGGAACTTGGAGAAATTAGAGCAGATGCATCCCACAGAAGTACAGACCTCAGCTCTTCACTGATCAGTGAGTCCAGCCGCAGTTACTGTGGCTTCTTCCGGCCCAGCGTCCGGCACATAATCACCGGGATCTGTGCGTTCATGGGTGCGAGGGCCCTCCAGCCGAATTTCTGGTGATAAGTGATGAATCATGAGAAACAGCAACGGAAGTTTAGGCTTCAAATCAGTCTTATTTCATTTTTCTTCTTGAATTTACTAGTTCATTATTGCCTTATAGTGATTTTTCCCATACCTTTGTATATTTAATTTCCTTTTTAATAGACAAACTGTCATGGGAGGTTACACAAAGCATTATTGTTCAAAGGAATGTTTATATCACTCAGATAAATATCATAGTGCATTATGGATTGGGAGTGTATTTATTTCATATACAACAGAAAAATGACTGTGTATTATCAAGTAAATACATGCTATATTTAAATAATGTGATAGCAATCACCAATCGCCGAGTTTTTCCTTGGTGTTCTGAAATTAGAATATACAGAAAGGCAAATTAATATTTAAACTCTCTGTATAGTTTTGAGGATCCATAATATGCATAACAAAGAGAGATGACTTTGGGCCATGCGGGGTACGATGGTATCGTGAATGGATTGACTACAGGGGGCCTGCAGAAGTCACACGCACTCAGGGGCCTGAAGAACTGGGGTAATACCTTGAGCACTAAGATAATTCCATTATTATTGAAAGCGTTTATTGCCTGTGGTTCCTCTGTGGGCACCGTATAAAGTACTTGAAACAAAACAATTTGTGATCTTTATGTGCTTTGAAACCCAGGCTACAGATAGAACAAACAGGCTGAGGTGAACTGTGTAATTGTTAGGCACACATAAAACATGTGTGTTATTTTATGCAAGTCAAGGGTGGTCACTGAAAAGGGAGGTAAGACACAGGAGTGAAAAGTTTCTACGAGGCGACGTCTCTCAGTGTGGGAGGTGTGCGGCACTGACTTGGGGATCGGTCAGAGCTGCTTTCAGACAAATGGCCCGTCCAGGACAAACCTCCCGCATCTCTAGCTGTTTAACTCATTTCATTTGGTTTTCTAACCTCTGTTTAATCCAGCACAATTTCCTATCTACCCCTGGATGAGTTAAAAGTAAAACACTCAAGTTCAAATCTGCCCTAAAATCCTCGGAAGGATGATGAATTTAGTCAAAGATGCCCCGCTATGAGAAATTCAGCCATGAGACATTCACCGCGACGCCTTTCAGCTACTGAAAGAACCTACAGATTTGTCCTTCTCTTTTCCATTCCTTAGCGAATTAAAAAGAAAAAACAAAAACAAAAAACAAATGAAGAAGCAACTGGTACGAGCAGATTTGGTGCAAGAGAACCAATCGCAGGAGCCGCCCAAGCTCACTTAGGAAAAGAGCTGAGCGACAGCAGCTGCACCCAGAAGGTGGAGACCGCATGCGAACCCAGGATCCCAGGCAGCACAAGGCTAGAGACCCTGCAAGCAGCCATGGCTGTGCGTTCATGCAGAGCGTCATCACAGCCAACACGGTCTTCCTCCTGGTTAACCAAGATCCCGTTTCAGCCATTCTGGAATTGCAGGGCTGGCCAGAACTTTAGGAACAATACATGCAATGCCTTCATTTTGTGAGTAACTGGTGTCCTGAAGAGGTGACACCCCTTGCTCAGGACGACTGTAAGAGAGGTCATGGCCGAATGGGGACCCCTCTAATTTGAGATTTGTGTAGACAAATAAACCTTCTCCATAAGAAACCATTCACATAAATAAGCCACTCTGCCTGATCAGCACCCTAATCCCTTCAAAATGTCCTAGCATAGCATATTTTCTTTCTCTGTTTTGAGAAGAATTTTGAATACATGTGATATGTAACATATAAAATATACTGTGATATAAAGTATATGATAAGTAAAGATATTATACATATTTTTAATAGGCACCTGGGAGATTCCGGAAACTGTGTCAGTTTCTCTAAGTCAGTATCTTATAAAATCCTCAGAAAAACCCTCCCAGGCAAATAATATTCATATTTTTAAAAATGGGGGAAGTGAGATGCACAGAGGTTAAATTTTTTACCCCACTGAGTGAATGAGCAGTGGCAGGCGTGGGGCCCACACTCTTGTCTGCCAGAGTCTGTTTGGGCAGCAGAGTGTCACAGCATGTCCATCTTCCCTAACCTGCTTCATTCTCTAAACATCGATTTAAACTCAGACACCCCATTGAGAGTCCAGCACAGCCAGGTCCCAGAGGAGCGGCTTCTTCCCAGCACAGCCAGGTCCCAAAGGAGCAGCTTCTTCCTGAGTCCTGCATAGACAGGTCCCTGAGGAGCAGCTTCTTTCTGAGTCCTGCATGTCACTTGTCTTGCGATTCCTGCGTTGGAGGCCATGTCATTGATGCGACTCCACTCCCAGCCCTGAGCCTTGCAAAAACCTTATTTAATGCCTTGGAGCTGAGTGGATGGCGACACCAGCTACATGACAACCAAGGACCAGGCATCCAGGATCCGAGTGTGTGCTGTAATCAAAGAAAACTTAATCCACCACATATTAGTGACATGCACAACAGTCATTCTGCACATGGTCATTAGCCATCAACGGTAAGCAGCTCTGGTAAACGGCGGTAACTGGTATGCTACTACAAAGCCGAATGCCTTGCCCCCACTTTCTGTCTTTATTTTATTGATCCCAATGAATGGCATCGACGTCAACAGTTCCCTTAACTTTTCCACAATGGAGTCCTCATCTCAATGCCCCTCCCCTCATCCGCCCCATCCCTGCTTCTTTCTCTCTTCATCTCTCTTTGCATTGTGCACACACACGTGCACCCTCACACACATGCACACATACACGTATGTGCACACATACATACGTGCACACACACGCACAGACAGCTGAAGATTCCCGTGATGGCCCATTTGCTCAGTGTTGCCCCACACAGCATCTGCCAACACTGTGCTTTAGTGGACGGCGGTATTTATGGCGCCTTACACAGTATTGTCAGATGCAGGACTGACCTTGTTCTGGAGGACAACTGAGGCAACCTCTGCTGTCTCCCCTGGCTGCCACCGCCATGCCATGGCATCAACACCCCAGGAAGGAAAGCTCCTGCTGCCTGCAGTCCAGAGGATGCTTGGGATTCCTGGTGGTAAACATGCTGAGCTTCCCCGCTCATCCTCCCACTAACGGCCAACAGTCTGGGCTTTCCTTTTCTTTGTTCTGTCTCCCAGGTCTATGACCTTGCCTTTGAGAATGCAAAGTGACCATAAATAGTAGGGCTCCTGAAAGATTAAAGAAGGCAAACTTCTGAATATTTTGTAATTACAGATAGATAAATAGATAGATAGATAAATAGATAGATAGATAGATAGATAGATAGATGACAGATAGAGAGGCAGAGAGATGCATGTATGTGATATGCCTCCTACCTTAACCATCTCATAAAAACACCCGTGGTAGCGCTACGATGCTCAGTGATGTTCTGCTGTATTTCCGTGTTGGGCCGTTCTCTGCAAGGGAAGGCCTTGTTGATTCTGACCTGCTTCTGCATCAGAGCTTCTCGGTCTGTTCACAGGAAGAGGTCACAGGAGTCTACCATGCGTCTTGGGTTCAGGGATGGGTGCACACTCACACACGCAGACACACGTTTCCACCTTTGAAAACGCGGAAGGAATAAAGGATACTGTTGTGCTTTGAGAACTCAGATATCTCAGGGGAAGGAGGCTAATGCGTGAGAGTTCCATTCAGTGAATGGACCAAGTCATGAGAAATCACTCTTCAGGGGTGAGCTGAGAAATCTCTTCGTGCTGTAAATGCTTCCTGGCTCTAGGGAACCTTGAAATTGTTCCCTACTTGGGTGAGGATGGCGACACTGGATAGGAAGTCATTGATACTGACATGCAACTTCTCAGGAGGAGGGGGTTTGGGTGGGGAGGGGGAAGTCATTGATACTGACATGCAACTTCTCAGGAGGGCGGGTTTTGGGTGGGGAGGGGGAAGTCATTGATACTGATGTGCAACTTCTCAGGAGGGAGGGTTTTGGGTGGGGAGGGGGAAATCATTGATACTGATGTGCAACTTCTCAGGAGGGCAGGTTTTGGGTGGGGAGGGGAAGTCATTGATACTGACGTGCAACTTCTCAGGAGGGTGGGTTTTGGGTGGGTAGGGGGCTACATGGTGATTAGCCACCATGGGGAAAGCAAGCCTGTGGTGTACTACCAAAGGTGAGTTTGGATACCTGTCGGATGGACATTGATATAAAGGGCTAATAGCAAAGCCATTGGCATTTCTGTTAGACTCTCATTGACTTGCATTTAATATACTCTGCTGCCAGTGGGAGCTGAAGGGCCAATTTGCTTTGGTGCTTTTTTGTGCATTAGTGTCCATTATAAGGTAATGGGTGTCTATCAGTGTCAGAATGTCAGCCACCAATTAATTCAGCTCACCACTTCTTCCCAGCAATTGCTTATCACTGGACCATCCCAAGCCACATGGTACTAAATACCTTTTTGACCACTGCAAATAGCATTTATGGCCAACAGGAGGGAAAGTGACATTTAATGTCTCATAATTAAACTGGCAGGCAATATTGATTATGACAGAGGTTTTTTTTAGGAGAGGACTTTTTATAGAAGGATTTATATTTCATGTTATATATATGTTATGATTTATGTTAAGTATTGTATATTAAGTATTAATAAGTATGGGTTATATATTAAAAATTATATATTAAGTGTTAGATGTAGACTATATTTGATAAGCTATTTCATAAATATAAATAACATTTATTTATTTATTTAATTTATTTATTTGAGACAGAGTCTCACTCTGTCACCCAGGCTGGGGTGCAGTGGCATGATCTTGGCTCACTGCAGCCTCTGCCTCCCAGGTTCAAGTGATTCTCCTGCCTCAGCCTCCTCAGTAGCTGGGACTACTGGCAAGCGCCACCACGCCTGGCTAATTTTTGTATTTTCAGTAGAGACATGGTTTCACTATGTTGGCCAGGCTGGTCTCGAACTCCTGACCTCAGGTGATCCACCCATCTCAGCCTCCCAAAGTGCTGGGATTACAGGCATGAGCCAGCATACCCGGCCTCCAATTTTTAGTTTTTTGAAGAGTTTTATATCTGATTAGAAGAGATAATATATGTGGAGTGATCGATTATGTTTAGAAGAAAACCTGATAGAGATGCAGTCAGCATCAAGAAGCCACAGCCACCCAGGAAAGCCCTGAGCTCAAAACAATGGAATTCCAAAGCCTGGACAGTTCAACAAAGACTGAGCCACGGGGGTGGCATGAACTACAGGGCCCCTCCTGCCCACGATGCAAGAGGAAGAAACCCCTCCTGCATGTGGTAGTTTGGGCGGGGGGGCCACTGACCTAGCTTCCGGCCTCGAGGGAGGGCTTGGGAAGCAGGGACATGGAAAGAGTGCAATGCGCAGAGGGGATGTTTAGTGACAGAGGTGACAGTCACAGGTGATGTCCCGGCCCTCAGAGCCCAGGCCTGTGGCATCCCACCAACCTGCACCTCCCACACGCCTGAATTGTAGCTAGCATTGCTCGGCTCAGCAGGTGATCAGTGCAGAAGCCTTAGGCCAAGGACTTGGGGGGGCCGTAGGCTCTTTATCAATCCATAAAGATATGTGAGATTTTTTCAGAATTGAGGATGAGAAAACTACAAAACTGTAATTCATACTTTTTTTTAATTTAAAATTTATTTTTTTCTGAGACAGGGTCTTGCTCTGTTGCCCAGGCTGGAGTGCAGTGGTGCATTCACGCTCACAGCCTTGAACCCCTAAGCTTAAGTGATCCTCCCGCCTCAGTCCCCCAAGTAGCTGGGACCACCAGCACGTGCCCACCACACTGGCTAATTCATTTTTTATTTTTCCATAGAGATGGAGTCTTGTTATGTTGCCCAGGGTGGTCTCGAACTCCTGGGCTCAAGTGATCCTCCTGACTCAACCACCCAAAGTGCTGGGATTTCAGGCATGAACTACTGTGCCTGGCCCCTAAACTTTCTAATTAAATGTTTTTAAAACAATATCAGGTCAAGTTTGCGAAGGTTACACTGAGTTTCCATCGCAATTGCACCGCCTTTGGAAATGGCTTATAAGTCAGCTTTCCTTACTCATCAAGCACCCCTGAGTGTGCAGAGAGAGTGCCAAGGCAGCCTCGCCAGCTGCAAGTCACGTGAGTTCGCGGCTGCCAAATGGCAGTGCAGAGGAGCACGCAGCAGCGCCTGGGAGGCGCTCGGCTCCCTCCAAGTCCCTATTACGTTAATTTACTTCCTGGTCATAATCACCCATGGGATGAGTGCTATTGCTATTTCCATCCTATAGACGAGGCAGAGAGATTTTAAGTAACTTTTTTCCAGATCCTACAGCTTGGAAAGGCGGAGCTGGGCTTTCCACACGGCACTTCAGCACCGTCCCATGCTGTCTCTCAAAAGAACAATTATAAAGTCCTTCCAAAGCTTTAAAGTAAAAATCAGTTTAAATGTGAGGTATGTGGGCACTTGTTTGTTTCAAATGATGTGCAGCAGTGCCTTTCAGTGCAGTCAAGGGTGCTTGGAGTTCTCAGCACCTCCGGAGACCTTGACGGTGATCAGGAATGGAAACCGCATGGATCAATCAAAGTGGCTCCCAGGGTTGCACTAGAGGCTTTGCTGCAGAGCCCAGCCTGGAAAATGACGGCCACATTCCCCGTGGCCTTGAGCCCAGCGTGTTCACCAGCCATGACGGCCCTTTGCCTTTTGTCTGTCTACCCCCACCAGACCCAGCTGGACGAGAGGGACGGATGAGGGTACTACCTGCTCAGGGCTGCCTTCTTTAGCCCTTCTCAGAATGAGAGTCAGTCTTGTCTGAATGTGCAATCTTTGAATGAAATCAGATTGTTCCTATTTGTCATTTTATTAGCAACTCATTACAGCCATTTCTTTGGGATTAAAAAGAGAAGAAAGAAGGAACATAAGTAAAAAGAGTGAGCTAATGGCTCACCCAGAATGCTGTGGCAATTTATGGTGTCTTGAATGAAATGACAGAATTGCCATAATGTTAAATTTAACATGTTTTATTTTAGCAATATGATCATCTGATCATATCTCCAAGCTCAGCCAGCATTACAAAAGTAATTTTTATAATTGTAAATTCATTCACTCTAAGATGCTTCAGAATTACTTTAGAGATCACATTACCAAATTTTCAGCTTAAAAGTGACTTTATCCTGTCATGTGTATCACTTCAGTGATGGGAGCAGAATGGGAATGTCTTCTGCACATAGAAATGGAGTGAACGCCTCGTGGACTTCAGGCTTTCAGAGCACGAATTGTCGCAGGTGCTTTCTCCTCTTAACAGTGTTTGCCAATATTTGTTTCTCCCCTCCTGTCTTGGGTACCAAGGCTCTCCTCAATGCCTCTGTCCTTCTCCCTTTTGACATTGCCACCAGGACTTAAGAAGGTCAGGGAGGTTGCCCGCAATGTGCCTGCTGTAAGTAAGAGTGTCCCGGCTGTGAGGACCACCATGTCGCATAGATGGGGCCTGCTGGAGGTGCTGCTGGCAGATTTGTGGGCCTAATTCTGGCTTTGGGGAAGGGCAAAGCCCTGTTCTCATGAGTAGAGGGGTCGCACAGAATCCTCAGCGCGTATCCTGCTAATTGCTGTAGCCCCTCCTAGTAACTCTTAATAAACACGACTGGTCATGCACAGAATGCAAAACCCTTTTCTCTCTGTTGGCAGTTTCTCAGGCTGAGAAAAAAACATCAGTGTGGGGGAAGATTTGGGACCCCTGTCTGCATCTACCTGGACTCTCATTAAACAGATGATGTGATGAAGCAATCAGAAAGCCTGGCCAGCTGCTCACCTCCAGGGCAGCTTCTTGGGAAGACAGTGAACAATTCTGGGGGTTAAGAACTGTTTTTAAAAGAAAACACTAGGGAGGCTGGGGCAGGAGGATCGTTTGAGGCCCAGGAGTTGGACGCTGCAGCTAGCTATGATTGTACCACTGCACTCCAGACTGGGTGACAGAGCAAGACCTTGTCTCTAAAAAATAAATAAATTAACCTTTAAAAACCAAGCGCAAGGTTAGCCTTCCACTGAACCCCACCGCTGTCCAGCATCTCGTGTCTTGGTGCCCGCTCTGAGGCAGGGTTGGATGTGGTTTGCAGCAGGCCTTCCAGGGCTGGTTTTCATCCTGACTTCATGGCTGATGCTGGCTGACCCAGGAGCCTGGCTCCCTCCCTCTAGGCCATGTGGCACTGTGACCCGCTCCCTGGGGCCATGGCAACTGAGGGGAGAAGTGAATGCTTTGCTTTGGGCTTTACTCTGTAAATTCTGCTCATAGGGAACGCTCTGGATCGTTGCCCAGATTTCTCCCGTCTTCTCTGGGCCAGCCCTTTCCTCAGGTGGAGCTGGGAAAAGAGGCCAAGGACGCAGCTCTGGGAGACGACCTTCCAGGGCAGCCTTGGAACACCATGTCCCCAGCATCTCTGCTGGCAGGACCGCCATGCATGAGTGGGAAATCGCTCACAACCTGCTCCCATCCAAGAATGACCATTAATGTCTATTTTGGCCACTTCTCAAGTAATTGTCAAAGCCCAGCTGGGAGATGCCCGCACACAGAGCCCTGGGCCCAGGCCACAGGGGCACACCGTTCCTACCTTCCTTTGAATCAATTGTTTCATTTAAACTCAAAGCAAAATATTTAAACAGACCAAGTAATATTTCTTTTTCTAATCCAGGTGTGCACACGTGCGTGAGCCCTGTGTTTTCCCTTTCTGCCTCCACTTTTACAGATCTGTGAAGTGGGGCATTCGGCACGGTGGTGGTGAGACACATGGGGTCTGGGGGCCAGGCTCCTACATCCTCACTGTGCTGACTGCATAGACCAGGGGCAGCCTGGGAAGAAGAGGCACCAGGCGGCAGAACAGGCCAGATTGTGTCCAGGAATTGAAAAAGCATGTGTATTTTTCTCATCCCTTATGTTTAGAGAAAAAATATTTATTGCTACTTCTTTCTTAAAGCTTCATTTTTAGTTAGCTTCTTATGAGTTCCACATATGGAAACGTTTCCATATTTTCACAAATCTAAGTTAATGATACCTTTACAACCAGCCCCCCAATGCCCAAGTGGCCTCCAGAAGATGACGAATAACATAAATGAAATAAAATCATCAGCTGAAGAAAACGTCTAATGTATTTGTTTCTAAAAATTCTTGTGGTTGACTCTATTTTATTTAATTTTTGGATGGGGAGAGAGTTGTCTTGTTTGTTGCAAATTTATCTTTAGGTCTGAGAGAACAAAACACCCGGTTTTCTCCCTCGTCTGATATTAGCATTATAGACACGGTACTACTCATAGGAACGTTTTTTACTCAGAGAGCGGCCATCTCTTTACATCTCTACTGTAGAATAAGAACTTCTAGCGCTTGCAATAGGTTCCTAAGCTGTTAGATGAGCCCCGTTTGATAGGAAGAGGAAGCGAGGTGCTGAGGTGAAAGAGTTGGTTCCAGGCCCCACGGCTCTCAGGAGGATGAGCTGGGACTTGAGACCCCTTGGGCTCTGAAGCTTGTGGGGTACCCCCCAGTAAGTTCCTCAACTTCCAACACCGTGGTTGTCTCCATCCTGGAATGCCAAGTGTCCAGTGGGTGATTTCCAAGGAGCTCACCCTCTCTGAGTGCTAAGTCCTGTGCAGGCAGAGACAATCTGCATAAAAACACCTCAGAGCCAGAAAGACCTGCAATAAGTGGCTGACGGAAATTCACATTTTAAACTCAACAGGGAGAAACAATAAAATGATCCCTTTTTATTTGTTAATATGATTTTATTATTTCCAAATGTTTGATTATAACTACATTCAAAAGGAAACATTGATGCCATATTAAAGAATATTAAAATATATGAGAATAAAAACTACAGTGCCAAATAAACCTTGTTTAATTCTCCTGAATGGAACTCAGGCCAAGGAACCCCGGAAAGGGGAGGAGGCAGGTGTCTTCAGTTTGCTTCTTTTTAATGAAATATAACTAAAAAATATTAGCTTCTTTCAAATTTATGAAAGAAACTGAATTCAATTTCAATTGAATTGCCTGATAGAGCAGTCGTTATTCCTTAGCAATATCTAGTGTCAACAGACTACAAGAAAACAAGGACCCTTCTTGTTAAGCAGGCATTTCCCCATGCATATGGCATGCATGTGACATTTCTGCACGCGCTGGAAAGTTGAGGTTGAGGACTCATTTACGTTGCTCTCTCTGGGTGTCCAACCGTGACTGATATAAATATTTTATTAGGCAAACCTGCAGGTTTCTGAAGATTATATGTCTTATCAAGTTGACCCTTATAATTATGTTGTCTTCTGCAGCCATAGGATTGCTTTTAATTTTGCAGTTCTTTGGTAAATATTGAACCATAAGAAAGGTATACTATTGTAAGCACAGACGACTGAGGATAAAAACCATGTAAACAGAATTCCTCGACGTGGGAGGAAAGATGCACTTCCGTTCCGTCACTCCAGAGAACTGATCACACGGAGATGAATCGGGGGAGAGGATGAACTGGGCTCACACTTTCTGACCCTCACTTTGTAGCCAGCCTGCTGCCAGGGCCTTGGACTACCCTCTCCCTTTGTATGTTGCAATGAAACTTTGGTAGTGAAATCCTGGACTGCCTGAGGAGGGGCTGGGCTATGGGGGGTGGGTGCTTATCCATTTGCGTCCCCCACCTGTTTCTTCTCATCATCATTGTGCATTTCAGCCCCCCATGGCCGGGGCTGGCCTTCAAAGCGCTGTGTGCACTGCTTTTCTGTGCGGGTGCCTCTCTCTCCTGCCTGGGGCAGCGCCAGGGGGGGAAAGGAGCCCCTTAGCTCCCAAGTGTGCACCGGGAGGGGCGGCCCCAGGCTGGCTGGCATCCTTGATGTGCCGGGTTCCCTCTTTGGGCCTGTTTCTCATCTCCATCCACGCCCCAGGGAACTGGGCCCAGCACAGGGTGTCTTTGACACTCACGGAGGCAGCACCTCGAGTGCGCCTGGCAGGGGCCGGCCGTCGTCCCCTACTGGGGCCAGCGCTGTGTCACCCACTTCTCTCGCTGCCCTTCCCATCCTCCTCACTTCAAGGATAATTACCTCTCTCATGCCCCACTCAGGTGTGCCTCACGCAGATCTCTGGAGAAACGTTGAGGAGCTGAACGTGGTGGCAGGTGGGTTCCTGGGCCCTGCGGGACATGAGTGTAAGTGTGGGAAGCCGTGCTCTTTCCTTTCTGCCAGCAGCGTCTCCCGTGTGTCTGTGACAGGGCTGGCTGTGGGCTCAGGCCTTGTGGGGAGCCAGCCGCTCCGGTGTGGCGTCGGGCCCTGCAGCATAGAGGCTGCCCTGGCTCTCAGCCGGGCGAGCCTGGTGGCCTCAGGCACACGGTGCCCTCACCAGACACTCACCCTGGGAGAGAGGTACAGAGCCAGGGCTGCCAGGGTTCCAGGACCAGGCTGGGCATGGCAGGGTGGGGTCACTTCAGTAGGCTTGTGGTTCTCACAGTGGCTCCAGCCCAGCCCCAGGAACATGAAATCGAGGTCTCTGGAAAGCAGGCAGTGGGTCCCATGTGTATAGGTGATTTCACTCCAACCTGGGACACGAGAGGGGTGGCTTATATTCTAGAAAGAGCACAGGACTAGTGGGATTGGGGGGCACCCCTCACATTTGTGGTGACTCTCGGACGTGGGATGAATCCTGCAGGCTGAGCAGGGGGCTGATGGGTGACCGTGCACATCCTAATTGATGGAGGAGCAGTGGGAGAGGCCAGGAGGCGGGGTGGGGGAGAGGTGGGAACAACTGCCTTTGGTGGTGCTTTCACGCAGCACTGTCATCCCTGTGGCATGGACGCCCCGTGGGATCCCCACCCAGCCCCTTCGCAGGTCACAGGCCCCTCCGGTTAGCATGACTGCTCACAGCCATAGGTGAGGCTGCAATAGGTGAAGTGGAAAGGGCTGAAGAGGACACAAACGGTGGACGCTGCCCGGCAGCTGGGAGAAAAAAGCCTGAACCCCCCCAGCAGAGGCTGGCCCTGTGGCTGGGGCCGGCGGGGCGCGGGGCCACAGAGAGGCCTGTGGAGCCTCTGTTGTGGTCCAGTGAGAGAAGGCTGGTTGGGGTGTGCTGGTGGGACCCCGCCAATGCCTGGCCTTTGGAACCTCCTTGACTGCAGGTGAGCTGGCTGTTCACATCCTCACTCCACCAGGCTGAGCTGACCCATCACATCACTGCTCAGGATCCGGTTTCTGCCAAGTGGGGGCGGGATCAGAATCTCCCTCGCAGAACAAGACCGAGACTTAAGTGAGATGATGCCCACGGGGCTGATGGCAGGCGTTCCTTCCACTGTGCCAGCGTCTCTGTCAGGGGCCCACTCTGTTACGGTCACTGTGTCATTTCTCCCAGCCGTGGCAGAGCTGGGACTTGAACCCAGGGCCCCCTACTTTCTGATTTCTTGTTCCCTTGCATCAGCACACGTCCTTAACTATAATGATAAGGCTTACACCCTGCTCTGTGAAACCCACACCGTTAACACGCATCAGCATGTGGAGTCTTTACCATCCGCACCTCCCAGATGAGGAAACTGAGGCAGGAGAACTGTGTGACGGGGAGGGATAGAGTCTGCATCCCAGGCGGTCAATTGTTAGGACTCAGGACAGATGCATCATGGCAGCCACGGCCTTCCAGAGGACCTGCCTAGGGCGGTGGCCTCCTGGTGCCTCTCCTTCCCTTCTTCCCTGACGCTGCCCTATTCCGCACCCTGTTCTAAGCTGGTAGCCTTTGGGGAAGTAGTAAAGTAAAATGGAATGGATTCCTCTCTCCTATAAATGACACATGTAAGACCAATTCAGACTTGAGCATTCACTCACCAGTGACAAGTTGTCAGTATCTCCTTGGAAAAAACGGCCTCAGTTGGCTCTGTTCTTTGGGTCTTTCTCAGTTTTACACTTCTGAGTTGTACACTCAAGCACACTCCTCCTCTCCTTCATCCTCCCCTGCCTCTCCTCCCCTCCCCCACCCCTTTCCACCTCTGTCCACCTCCCCCTCCTCTTCCCTTTCTCCTCCTCCTCTTCCTCTTTTTCCTTTTCCTTCTCTTTGTTCTGTACTGTAATTAAGTTGCCTTAAAGTAATTTTTCATTCTATTCTGAAATAAGGATAAATTCACAGGAAGTTGCAAAGACATGTACACGGAGGCGGCAGATGCCCAAACCCTGCCTTCCTCAGTGGAGGCTTTTGCATGCCCGTAGGACAATATCGAAACCAGGACACTGACAAGGGCACCCTTCAAGGCCTCATTTCAATTTCACCAGTTGTGCACGACACATTTCTGGTGTGAACACAATT
Organism: Homo sapiens; assembly: GCF_000001405.40. Classification (NCBI taxonomy): domain Eukaryota; kingdom Metazoa; phylum Chordata; class Mammalia; order Primates; family Hominidae; genus Homo; species Homo sapiens. The sequence goes on from NC_000013.11 coordinate 111,647,362, forward strand.
CTATGCCATTGCCTCACGTGAGCCTCAATCAAGCTATTTTATGGCACCATCCCCGGCAGATGAATCACCCCATATCACACAGTATGTGCTTTTTGAGGTTGAACCATGTCACACAATCTTCTTGAGGTTCACCCAGTTTTTGTATGTATGAATGATTTGTTCCTTTGCATTGCTAAGTAGTAATCTATGCTGTGGATACATGTTGGTGACCATTCACCCACTGGAAGGTGCTTGGATTGTTTTCAGTTTGGGCTTCTCTTGTATAAAGCTGCTACGGCCATTCATGTCTAGGTTTTGTATGTACCTAAGTTTCTTTGGAATACACGCCTAGAAGCACAGTTGCTGGGTTATATGGGAAGTTGATTTCAGTTTTTAAAGAAACTATCCAACTATTTTCCAGAGTAGCTGTACCATTTTACATTCCTGCCATTAATGTATAAGTGACCCAGTTTTACCTCATCCTCACCAACCTTTGGTATTATTATTTTTGTTTTCAGTACTGTGATAAATATACAGTGATTGTGGTTTTAATTTTCGTTTTCCTAATAGCTGATAATGTTGAACTTCTATTCATGTACTTATTTGAATGTCCTCCTGGTGAAATATCTATTCATGTCTTTTGCCCATTTGCTCATTATATTGAATTTTGAGATTTCTTTCTATATTTTAATGCAAGCTCTTTGCCAGGTATATCATTTGCAAATATTTTATCTTGGTCTTTTCTCATCCTCTTGACATTTAAAAAAAAGTTGATGAGTTCTAATTTTTCAATTTTTTCCTTGCTTTTGGTATCAAGTCTAAGCATTCTTTGACCAGCCCTACCTAAGTCCTGAAGATTTTCTCTTGTAATTATTTTTTCCTAAAAGTTTTAGAGTTTTATATTTTACCTTAAGCCTGTGATCTATTTTGAGTTAATTTGTGTGTAAGATGTGAAGTTTGGATCAAGGTCCATTTTTTGTACCTATGAATGTCCAATGGTTCCAGCACCATTTGTTGAAAAGGCTGTCCCTCCTTCATTAAGTTGCTTCTACACTTTTATCAAAAATCTGTTGGGTGTATTTGTGTGTGTCTATATCTGGATTCTTTGCCCTGTTCCACTGATCCATGTGTCTGCCCCTCTGCCAACACCACACTTGATTACTATGGATATGGTGTGTCTCCAAATCTGGTAGACTCTTTCCTTCTACTTTATTCTTCTTTTTCAAAATTCTTTTGGCTATTCTAGGACATTCCTATTTTCATATATATATATATTTTAGAATAGGCTCATCTATGTTTACGAAAAAAAGTGCTAGGATTTAAATAGCAATTATATTAAACCTATACATCCACTTGGAAATATTTGACATTTTCACTATGTTAAGTCTTCTAATCCGTAAACGTAGTATGTCTCTCCAATTATTTAGGTCTTTTAAAATTCATTTCTTCATACGTATTCTGTACATCTTTCTTCCTTTGGAGCAATTATAAATGGTATTAAATTTCTGCTTTTGGTTTCCACTTGTTTATTGTTAGTTTATAAAAATGCAACTGATTTTTGTATTATATCCTAAAACCATGTTGAACTCATTTATTAGTTCTAAGAGTTTTTGCAGATTCCTGGAATTTTCTATACGGAAAGTCATCTGCAAATATAGACCGTTTTCTTTTTTCCTTTCAATCTATATGCCTTTCATTTTCCTTTCTTGCCTTATTGTCCTGACTAGAACTTCTACTACTAGGCTGAATAAGAGCAGTGAAAGCCGACATTTTTGCCTTTTGCTAAACTCAAAAAGAAAGCATTCAGTCTTTTACCATTAAGCATGATTAGCTGCGGATTTTTTTGTAGGTACTGTCTACACAGTTTATGAAGTTCCACTGTATCCATTGTTTGCTCAGAATTCTTATCATAAGTAGGTATTAGATTTTATCAAGTCCTTTTTCTGCATCAATTAGTATGAGCATGTGATTTTTCTGTAGCCTGTTGATGTGGTGGATGACACTGATTTATTTTTGGATATTGATATCGAAAAATACTTTGCATACTTAAAATAAATCCCACTTGGCCATGGTGTATTATTATTTTTGTGCAATTCTGGATTTGGTTGGCATATATATAAATACATGTGTGTGTGTGTGTGTATATATATATATATATATATATATATATATATATATATATGATATCCAAGTTCATTAGAAACATTGGTTTGTAGTCTTATGTTTGGCTGATTTGGTTATCACAGTACTACTGGCCTCATAAAATGAGTTGTTCCTTCCTGTTCTATTTTCTGGAGAAGATTGTGTAAAATTGGTTTTAATTCTCCTTTAAATCTTTGTAAGATCCTTCAGTGAAACCATCTGGGCATGGATATTTCTTTTTCTAGAGTTTTAAAATTACAAATTCAGTTCTTTAAAAGGTATAATACTACACATGTTTTCATCTTTGAAATGCCAGAGGCAGACTCTATGAGAGCTTCTTCAGTAAGAAGCACAGGTTTGTGGCGGGGTGAAGGAATGAGAAATGTAGATGACGTGGACCAGTGCTGCCATGATCCTGACATTCCTCACTTACAAAACAGTCCATTTATTGAATGCAGCATTGATGCAGAAGTTCACCTTTCTCCTTATATATTATATTCTTAAGACATTTTTGATATTATTTGGATAAACTCCATCGTTTCTTATTTCTCTTACTCTTTTAAAAATCTTGAACCCTTACAGGATAGAAATACTTGTGGTTTTAACCTAGTTTCCACTCTCTCTCTTTTTTCCTCCCTCTATTATATTTAGAAGTGTTTCCAAAGTTGATTTCTTTGCTTGAGTTTGTTACACAAAGCAAGCATCTGCCCCAGTAACTAATGGAAGCTAAAAATCGATTCCCGGCAACGTCCCTGTTTGTGTGAAGTAAAGTTTTAAACCATCCACGTTATGGCAGCAAATGAATCTCAAGATCCCCCATGACCTATAGCAATGTCAGTCAAGGGAGCCCGAGTTAGAAAGTGTAATGCTTCTGGAGCGTAATGTCTCCTTTCTAAGGCTGCTTAAAAACATCTGTGGGAAATAGAAGGCTACGAGGATACTCTCTGTACCTGGTACGCTGGCTACTGGTATGTGGCACTTGACAATTCCTTTCCCTCTGGGATCTAGAAACATACTTGCCACCAGGTAACATTTATAAAGGGCTTTTGTGTGCATTATTTCAAAAATATGTTTTTTTATTTAGCTCGGAGAGAGATACAAATTATGTCATCAAGACCCATGGTAAGATAATTTGTCTTTATCAAATATACCTTGCAAATGTTCCAAATGTATTTTACATTTTTCATGAGAAACAGATACCCCACAGAACCTCGTTTGATTGGCCATGATGGTGAAGTTGGGTGGTTATTGTGGAGGTGTGGGGTGCACACACAGGAGAACGTAGAGTCAGGGGCCACTTGTGGCCTGGCTTGGCTTGCTGTTTGTAGGAGCAAGAGACTGTCCAGATCCTGATAGGGTGCCTCACCCACCCTGCAGAGCCAAAGGCAAAAGCGGGCACTGCTGGCTTCACCATATGGAATAATCTGACAAGAAAGCCTCCCATTATTTAGAAGTGCATTATTGTCAGTAAATAAAATGCCCTCATCTCGGTGTTTTTAATGTTAAGGGAGAAGGATATGGCATTAATCACTCACATCCTAAAGCAGATCACGTGTCCCTGAAAGCAGCCTCTGTGTAAGAGCAAATTCAGATTTTATCGATGATTTCTCTTTGGACTGCTATTTATTTTACCTTCAGAATCTGTGAAATGCTGCTGATCTTTTTATTTCTTATGGGATGAGCAATTGCAGCCTTAAGAGACATTTAAATAATGCTTAATTTTTAAAGCAAAAGAATTAGACAAATGGATGTGTTCAGCCCAGACTTCAGATCAGGTTTCTGTTTTTCAAGCTTAATGTGTGATATTAGCCTATTAAATGGCATTTCTTTATTTGATATATTCTCTATCCCCATTAGATGTCATTTCCATTGATGTTTTGTATTGTTTGCGTGTTAGCGCTTCCTGTGTTAAACTACGGGGCTGAAGGGAGGAAATAATTAGATTTATGGCTTTGTACTTGTAGTTTTCAATTTAAAGGTCTATTCAAAAATAACTCATGCTTTAGTACACACACAGCTATTTTCTATTTAAATTAGCTTATCAAAGCGAAATATCTGCTTTTGCAATTTTTCTGGAGATGAAGAAAGCAGGTGCCCAGTTCCTCCCCTCAGTGGAAACATGACTTGAGATTTTCCATAGCAATAAGCACCCTTAAACATCATAGGCAGCATTAGCATAATTAATGATGATTTTTTATATAATTTCTTAATACTCAAGCTTTTCTAGGGCAGCTGGAAGGAGATGACTTCCCTAGTGGCCGGTCTTGAGGCCTCTTGCGGGATGCTGCCCTAACAGCCCCTCACCTGGAAGAATGTGCTGGAGCTGGGGGCTCAGAGCAGCCTGTGGTCATGTTACACCTGAGGCTGAAATACAGATCCAACACTGAAGACTATGGGAAAAGGGGCCACCACCATCTTTGGTGGTGTCACGGCTCTAAGCATTTGTTCTACCTGCTGGCTGACTCTAGACTCTCTTTTTACGGGGTTAACATTAATAGTTTTAATGGCTGGGTGTGGTGGATCACACCTGTAATCTCACTACTGTGGGAGGCCAAGACAGGTGCATTGCTTGAGATCAGGAGTTCAAGACCAGCCTGGCCACATGGTGAAACCCCGTCTCTACTAAAATATATATATATATATGCACAAAAATTAGCCAGGCGTGGTGGTGGCACACACCTGTAATCCCAGCTATTGGGGAGGCTGAAGCAGGAGAATCACTTGAACCCAGGAGCAGAGGTTGCAGTGAGCTGAGATCGTGCCACTGCACTCCAGCCTGGGTGACAGAGCAAGATTCCATCCCCAAAAAAACAAAAACAAAAACAAAAGAAACAAAAAAAAAATTAGTAGTTTAAGATGATGGCCTTCTCAGCCACCTGGCCTTGGGGTTCGGCCCCAGTTCTACTGCTTCTAGCTGTTGTACTCTGGGGGATCTATTTTAGCTCCTTGAGTCTGTTACCTAGGTTTTAAAATGTGGACAACAGTGTCAACTTCACATGGACTGGAGAGGATGCAGACAACCCCAGCACATAGTATGTGCTCATTAAGTGACGGTGACCATTTGTTTGCAGGTGTATTCATGGCGCAAACAACATAAAAGATTCCACTTCCCACAGAACATATTGAATATTGGCAATGGCTTTCTGAACATGTCTGGAGCCAGCACTTACCCACTGTTTGGTTTGGTCTGCTCACTTGGTGTCTTTGCGCTTGACATTCTTTATTTGCAAAATGGATGTAAAAAATGCCTACCTCGAGGGCTGTAATGAACATTCTAGGTATTTCATGTCACGAGCTGGTCAACTCTTGGGAGCTGTGGCCACATGCCTGGCAGGTGAAGGACCTTACTGTGCAATGGCACCTTTATGGTATCCCATGATGATTTTATTTTCCCATCTGACAGGTGAAGCTATTGAGGGACAGATGTTGATATGGCCTGGGTAGAACTGGGTCTGCTGGGCGGGGACCCTGAAACGGCACCTGCTGCAGGCATTGCTGTTCCCTGTGTATCCAGGAAGATGGAGGTGCTCATTGTAGCCATGTGCACAGCACTCACAAAGTCTATCGTCTTCCCAGCTCTGCCTGGGTTTCCCCTCCCTGTTCTCTCCCAGGGTCCCAAATGACAGGGATGAGATTAAACCATGACTCTATATCTATGTTCCAGAGAGCAATGTTGGCCCCAATCCTTCCTGATTAACTTCAGCTCCTTTACAAGCATGCAACAATTATAGTGTAGGAGATGATGAGAATTCCAGTAGAACATAGGAATTTCAAAATAATTCAGGGGCTCAATGCCTCTTGCAAACTAAAAGTAATTAAAGACATAAATATCAGAAGATCTATTATGTTAATATACAAATCGCTCAGTTAGAAAGTTCATCTGGCGAAATGGCTTCGGTTTTAGGAAGCACTGTTCAACATGTGGCAGGAGGTGAAACGAGTTTTACTGAAGATGTTGATATCTTCAGAAGCCACATGTTCGATGGCAAACAGTATTAAATAAGTCGTGTGGGAGCCCTCTGACTTCACCGCTTCCTGGCTGTGTAGCCTGAGACGGTGTAACCTGTGATTTAATCTCTTAAAGCTTTAGGCTCCATATCTGTGAAATGGGATAATGCCACCTCACCTGGATTATGAGGATTAAATGAAATCATGTGTATAAATACATGTAAAGCGTGCACTTCAGACCTCAGCACAGCATGGGTATTTAAGAATTACACCCTTCTCTGTTCCTATGACTATGGGGAAAAAGCAAAAGCATTTTGTAGTTTATTAAACATCCTGTCCATTAACATATTTCTGACTCTGGGTTTTGAAATCCTGTACACATCCCCTCCAAGGCACCTTTCATCTTCCAGAACCCCCAAGCGTTTAGAAATCTAGCAAATGAAGATAACCCACCATTGATTCGCGGAGGCCACTAATCCACTCCTAGAACACGGCCACCTCTGGGTAAAGAGATCAACAAACATTTATCAGCTACATAACACCTCCGTTAAATTCAGTGGAACCCTTTCATAGCGTTTCTTACAGGACGGAGATAAGAAAGTGGTGCATGGCGGTTCAGTTTCACCTGTGTCTGTTTACCCAGGTCTTTAGAAGATAAATACTGCAATCAGGGAGTCAAATATTAGGCAATTATAAGACTTCAGAGACTCGAAGATGAATTCAGTCCCTTTCTCTCCAGTCGGGTGATGGATTTAAATCAGAAACAATAATCTTGCCCCAAAAGGGAGTTGCACTCCCTTCTGGACTAAGACAGCACGGGATGAGGAAGCTGTGTCTTCTCTTTGCTTGTGTGTGTGTCTCCTCAGGTAAACTGGGGGCTCATCAAAGATGGGTGCAGCTTAGCAGCACCATCCCTGCCCTTGGGTAATTATGAAAATTCTTGTGTGGACTTGCAGCAGGTGGCATGGGCCCTTGGAGCACCTAGTTCATTCCATCTCTCTCCCCTCTAATCTACTGTTGTACATCAGCCCCTGTATTAATGCTGAAACACCTACATTCTTCCACACACAGACCTGTGGCAGGGTTGCCAGAGTTTCCAAAAAAGACAGAGTGCCTGCAAATCCACTTGACTGGATATTTGTGATCATGCTTTCACTTTGCTTCCTTGAGTCACTTAACTCTGGAGGGCTCTCATTTCTCAATATGTGGAATTGGGTCGATAGCCAATGACCCCATGCTTTGCAGGCTGCTGATGCGATGTCGGCAGTCACACCTGAGCGTGGCAGCCAGGTGCTGAGCTGATGCAATGGGGCCAGCTTCTGATGAGACTGGTGCGGGTTGTGCAGGCTGCTGCCCTCAGCCGTGAGCAAGAAGAGGACCTCTCAAGGGGCAGGACAGAGCCCTAGGTCTGGATTTCGGTTCCTCTAGATTTATCATTTTCTGATGATGGCGGCTGTTACTGGGAAGCATGAGAAGCAGGGAACAGCTCCCCAGAAAAAATAGGGTACTGGATCCCCAGTGTGTAGATGCTGGTGGGAATAATGAGGGTCTTCAGAGACGTGAATGAGCCTCATGGTTAAGGCAAAGGGGGAGAGGGGTAACACAAAGGAGGAGAAAAGGAGAACAAAAACCTCAGAGGACCAGGACATGAAAAGCAGCAAGATGTAGGAAAGGTGGATTGGAGAGGAGAGATGGGGAGTGAAGATGGAGGAAGGGCATTAGAGCCAGAACAGGCAGCGGGGCTGAAATCACAGCTGCTTTGTCATAGCTTCCCTTTACTGAGAACATATTAAATACCAGGCACCATGCTGAGTACCTCACATATGGAGTCTCACAGCCTCCCCAACAAGCCCATGAGGTGGATATTATGGTCCAGACTTTACGGTGAGGAAACCACGTCTCAAAGAATGGAGTTTCCAGCGTCGCACAGCTGCTAAGGGACAGGGGCAGAATTCACAGCCGGATCTGTCCCGCCTGCCCACTGGCCTTGCCATTGCACAGAATATGGTCTGCATCAGAGGTGGCAAATGTTTTCTGTACAGAGCTAGGTAGTCATGCTTTTGAGCTTTACTTGTCTCATAATCTCTCTTAACAGCTTCTTAACCCTATTTATGTAGCCCCAAAGGAGCTGCAGGCATATATAAATGAATGGTCATAGCTGTGCACCAATAAAACTTTATTTACAAAACAGGCAGTGGGCCAGAGTTGGCCTGAGAGCCTAATTTGCTGTGGCCTGGTTTACATAAAAGTGAGCAGCTCCACTGCAGGAAGGGGGTTCAGTATCCCCTGAGGGTAACAGAAAGAGGATAGCGTAGGAGACCGAGGAGCAAGTTTATTAGAGACAAGACAAGGTGATGCTGTGGCTACCAGCAGGTTATGATGACGGTGATTCTTATCGCAGTTTAAAACTTTCATAATCATTTGTGCTCCTAAACATTTTTCCTATACTTAAAAAATATAAATTAACTAACTCAGTGTCCTTGATTGAGTATTTTCTGTCCTAAGCCCCAGTCCCCAGTATCTTCTCCTATTCCCAGTGTTCTCCCCAGAAGCTGTTCAGTCCCGCACCTTCCTGAGATGTGCTCGGGAGGCTCCCAGGAGGGAGCTCAGCCCCAACTGAGGGGCGATGCAGAGCTGAGCTTGTGCAGGTTTTATTCCCAGCTCGGAGCTCTTGTGATCGCTCTCTCTTTTGTAGGGTTGGGAGTCAAGAGAATTGTTCTAAGTCTTCTATGTTTTCTATACAAATATCAAATGTGAGCAGGAACGATTTTTCAGCCAGTGAAAGTGACCTGATGAAATTTTGGGATTGGTGTGTGTGTGCACTTTCTGCTTGTCTGAAGCACTCTGCTACAGGTACTTTTATAATTCCTTCTTGCTGACAGTAAAAGACCTTGAAAATGAAACAGGGAGGTGGTATATCAGCACAAACTTGACCTTTCAGTTGCAAAGCACTGACCTGCATCAACAGTTTGAAGAAAACTATGGAAGACCATGCCTCTCATCCAATGAGGAAGCAACTCAAGGGTGCAGCGGCCACCCAGTAGAACCTGCAGCCTCACCCCGTGCCCTTGAAGGGCGCTCCAGAAATCTCACCATCACCACTGGCAGCCACTGCGGCCGCCCAGGAGTAGAACCTCTGCAGCCTCACCCTGTGCCCACGAAGGGGTCTCCAGAAACGTCACCATCACCACTGGCAGCCACTGCGGCCACCCAGGAGTAGAACCTGCAGCCTTACCCCGTGCCCACGAAGGGCGCTCCAGAAACGTCACCATCACCACTGGCAGCCACCGTGGCCGCCCAGGAGTAGAACCTGCAGCCTCACCCCGTGCCCAGGAAGGGGGCTCCAGAAACGTCACCATCACCACTGGCAGCCACTGCGGCCGCCCAGGAGTAGAACCCGCAGCCTCACCCCATGCCCACGAAGGGTGCTCCAGAGACTTCACCATCACCACTGGCAGCCACTGCAGCTGCCCGGGAGTAGAACCTGCAACCTCACTCCGTGCCCACGAAGCGTGCTCCAGAAACTTCGCCATCACCACTGGCAGCCACCGCGGCTGCCCAGGAGTAGAACCTGCAGCCTCACTCCGTGCCCAGGAAGGATGCTCCAGAAACTTCACCATCACCACTTTACCTCTTCCTCTCACCTCTGTCCCTCAGCAGCACCAAGAAAGACTTCTTTTTGTCTTGAAGTGTCTCCTCTGAGCCTCCTCCTTCCTCATAGTTTCACCTCTGCCCAGCAGTCACGCCTCAGCCTTGCTATGTCCATGAGAGCGCACCTGTGAAGCCTGAGGGCATCATCAGAGATGAGGCGTGGTCTGTCCAAAATGCCTGGAGAGTCTCCTGGCTCCTGGAATGCAAACATGCAGCAGAAAGCTGATTGCCGAAAGACACTGGGAGTTTATGCCAGCAACCAGACCTTCACAAAAGACTAGCAACCTCTTTACTCTCATTTCTGCTTTTACTGTCTGCCCTAGTTGCATGGACTTGTTAGCAGCCTCTTTGAGGACTAGAAAAGATCGTCTCATGATGTCCAGCAGGAAGCCAGACATCCTGTAAGATGTGTGCTCCAATTTCCATCAACCATGAAAAGATTAGGCTAGGTGAGTTTTGGGGAGTAGAAAACCCACATCTAGCTTTTTTCTAAGCACAGGTACCACTTTCAGGTCATCGGCATAGCATCCTTACCTTAGAACCAGGAAGTTCCAGTTTGTCAAAGCCCTGCTAACCATCAGAGCAGGGGCCAACTCATGGTAGCCCACACCTGGCTTTGTACGGCTGGTGATCTCAGAATGGTCTCTCCATTTTTAAGTGGTTGGAAAACAAATTACAAGAAGCATGGTATCTCATGACACATGAAATTTATATAAAATTCAAATTTCAATGTTCCTAAATAAAGTTTGACTGGAACAACCCCACACCCAAGCATTTGCATATCTGGGGCTGCTTTTGAGCTGCACTGGCAGCACTGAGTAGCCACAATGGAGACTGTGTGGCCTGAGAAGCCAAAACTATTTATTACTTCTTTTTTCAGAGAAGAAGTTTGCTGACGCCTGCACTAGAGGTTATGCCTGGCACTTCCCTTGCTTTCTCTCATCTATATGATCTGCTAAGTTCTGTTAGGGACATGGAACTGCACTTCTGAAATATTTCCAATCTGCTCTCAACCCACAGTGTGGGGAACTTCAAAATGCAACAAAGCAAAACTCTGATTAATAAATAAAACTGCACAATTGTTGACTGTTTGACATTAAAGACCCAGGCACAGCAGGCCAACCAAACCAGTCCCCATTTCAAATCGTTCTCCCCAAACATGATGCATTTCAGCAAAGATTGAGGATCCCTGCTTGCTCCAGGCACGGCGGCCACAGGGCCCAGGCAGCAGGCCCGGGAAGGCTGAATGCATTCCGCCTCTCTCTTCTGATACCTCTTTGTTAAGGTCTCCCGGGAATCCAGCTTCCTTTGTGCAGGCAGCTGCGTTTCCAGTGCGTGGTGCAGGAGGCAGGCAGGGGAAGTGTGGGCAGGCCGGTGCTGATTTGCAATCGGATGAGCATTGTTTTTCTCCTGCTCTGCACTAAGTCTCTGGAATCTATCAGTTATATAGATTATGTAACAAGAGCCAATAGCTGGGTGAAAACAAGCTTCAGAAAAACAGAAAGCTTGACAGCAACAACAACAAGAAAGGCAGGTCCAAGGGAGGTTATGAAATGGAGCTTGACCTCTCTCCCTCTCTCTCTCTCCCTCCAAGCCACGGCTTTACAGTTGGCTAACTTTGCTGTAATTGAGTCTGAAGGTTGAGTCCTTGTTCTTTAAGAATTGCCAATGGAGCCCTCTAATCCTCTGTGGTCTCCTCAGTGAATCAGGACTTTGGTTTATTGACATGTAATTAGATCAGTATGTCACTACATCAATGCCAGTGTAAACATCCTGGAGTAAGTAGCTGATCCTTACAAGATCAGCAACCTAATCTCCACTGGGATGCCAACCGGCTTTGTCAACACTCCAGTTGAGGACTGTATCTCTTTTCCTGATGTCTGACTCCAGCAAGGAGGGGGCTGGAACCGAAGCAGGAATCTGCCACCTGAAGACCTTCTTATTGACATTTGGGCTCTTCCATGACCTTCATTACTGAGGGGCGCCAGTGACCTAAAATAAATACTACCGGGGCATGCGAATTCCATCTCCTTCTCATGTCTTCCCTCTGCGTTTCTCACTATTAGGAAGAAGTACATCCAGCAGAAAAGCCAGAATTGAAAGCACCTGAAATGTCCATTGCCCATGAGAGTTTCACTTCTAGCTCACACTTTCAATTAATGTGAATTAATTTCAAGGAAAAGAAGCTTAGGTTCTAATTCTGATGTTTATTGATAACACTACCAATAACTGGCAGAAACATGCTAGGTATGTGACATTCAAAGTCAGCAGAGACTGGCTCACAGATGGTGGTTGGGGCTGCTGTTTGTTAGGCATTTGCTGAGGGCTGGAATCTGTGCTGAGTGGGCGTTTGCATCCGCCTCTTCGCTCATTCCCTAACGATCTGAGGGAAGTGTCCTGAGCATCTCCGCTGAACCGATGAAGGAGCTGAGCCTCAGAGAGGGTCACTGTCTTGCTAAACATTACACAGATTGGAAAGCAGGTGGAAATCAGGCCTGTCTGATGGTGTCATCTGTATGCGTAACTATCACACTCAATGGCAACGGGGATTTCCACCTGCTGCAAGGATTGGCCTTGGTAACTCCAGGGATTGGTGGCCAATGAAGAGCAGGGATAGAAGGAAGCCTAGTGGGCTCAACGGGAGTCCAGACTCAAAGAAAGAAACTTGGCTGGCAGACAGCCTACCTAAGAGGAGATGTGGCTTACTTTAGGATAAAGGGCAGAGCTGTTGGCCTGAGGCAGGTGCCATGTCGGTGGAGAAGCTAGTTTTCCTCTTCTCCCTGGCATACCATCTCTCATTTCCTCCATGCAAGTGGAGGGGTGTGCTCCACAGAAAGGGGTCGGTCTTCGTGCCAGCAAAGGGCTCTTCTGACGTCCCACCCAGTCCCTGTCAAACGTATGACCCTGTTGGTTTTTCTGTGTTAAGGATCTGATCATCGAGCTGTCTAGAATCCTCCTGATGAGGTCACGGCAGGACAGGGGCACGCAGCCAATTGAAGTGGAGATCAACACAGGGAAGTTGGATTTTTAATAGAGCAGAAAACAGCATTTAATTTCTTTAAAAAAAATCTGCAGAGAGCTCTTACTAAGGTTCAGTCTGATTTTTTCTGCTTGTACAAGTAGCTGGCCCTGATGAGACAGTCCATATAATCTAGGGCAACATTTTGCCCTAAAAAGCAATTAGAAGAATTTATGAAGCAATTTGTGGTGAAAATGAGGGAGCGATTATGTGGGTTTTTTTTTTAAAAGGGAAACAGCAGAGCTCTCTCTCTCTGTTCAATGCCCCTGACTAGCGATGCCCACAAATATCCTGCCATAATCAGAGTCAGTCAGAGGTAACTGGCCCAGGGCATGCGGCCAGGGCAGGCTGGGACTCCCTGTCAACTTTGGTGGAGCCTCAGAACCACCCCAAGCTTCCATTTCTTTGGCTGCCAGTGGTGAGGACTCTCGCATTGTGAATCCTCTACCATGAGATAACGTCTTATTGATGCATCTGATTTGAGCAGAGAGGCCTTTGAAGAAGACAGGCATGCTTTAAAATGCCACATCAATTAATAAGTCATGTGGCATTTGGTGGAAAGAACAAGTAATACATCTTATCTTCCTTGTGAGTGTACATTCTATTTTATTTTATTTTTGGTAATTAAAAGAAAGTTGGAAAAGAGAAGTACATGCTTGTAGTTAAAAAAATTAAACCAGTACAAAAACAGCATAGCATGAAGAGTAGGTTTGTCCCCTAAGCTGACTATGACTACTGTCTCCCCATCTCTTTCCAATGATGACCTGCACATCTGCAAGCATGTGTATCTGCCAATCTAGACTTGTGTGTACCTATGTTATACATGTGATGTTGGACATATATGATGCATATATTCAGTTCTCTATGTCTGTGTCTATGTAGGAATTTTAAAGATAAATCTCACACGCTGTTCTGCACCTTGTGGAATAAGATCTCTTGGAGATAGCTTCTCACCGGCATGCGAGCACATGACCTTGCTTTATGCATGGCCGAGGTGAGTCTGGGGCACCTGGCACTCCCGCACCTGCTTGGCACTGGCCTGTGCTTTCTGGGTTTTCCTACGATGTCTGAGTAGCCACTGCCCCCAGACTCCTGGGCAGCCCTGACACCTGCTCCTGCTGCCTTGGCCTCGGAGGGCAGCGTGCATCCCCACGCATCTCGGCACTTGCACCCAGTACACTGTATTCCTGCAGCCTGACTCCTTTTGCCTGTGCCCCTGGCCAGGGCAGATACGGAAAGGTCAGGGCTGGTGTGAGGCAGCATACGGAGGAGGCCAGCCCACCCTGAGTTCCCCACATCCCTAATGGGGGCCGTCTGCTGAGGGTGGCATCGGTGGAATCCTCTCACCACCTCGCGCAGAGGTGGCTCCGCTCGGGGCTACCTCATATTTATCATGTCTCTATTGCATCCATTACACAGTTATGCTGTGAGTGGATTCCACTGTGTCCCTTGTCTATAGCACTGCTGCCTCCATGGGAGGCTGCCATGACTATCTTTGTGCCCGTGTGCATGGAAGATGGAATTGCTAAGAGTGGGTCAGAGGTTTGTGCACTTTAGACTCAGAGATAATTACTGCACTAACCCTCTCCAAAGCCAATTTGCTGCAATTAGCAGTGTCTGAAGAGTAACTCTATGTGGCCTAGAGCTGGTGGCAGGGTGTCCCCATGTCAGGGCACTCGTAGGCCACATGGCTCTGCGCTGGAAGCACCCCGCGGGGGTGGGGGTGAGGCCACCCTTAGAGTTTCCCCGAGTGGTTTCAGGAGCTGGCACCCGGCTCCTACAACATTGGGGCCTGGATGCTGCAGATGCCCACCCCACACCTCCCACTCATGCCCACTGCCCGTCTCCTGCCTCCCACAGGTGCATCTTGGAGATAAGCCCCCTTAGTGGAGGAGGAAGAATCCTCCTGAAGTTGAGAGTTGAGAGAGGGGAGCTGGAGCTCCAGTGGGAAGTGACAGGTGCCTGACGTGCCTCCCCTGCCCCACCCGGGTCCCATTTCCATATCTGCTATGAGTGAGCCTCAGGGTCAGGGAGATTCTTAAAGAGCAAACTTCAACAGGATGTCAGCACTTTTATCTAAACCTTCATAGGAAGCAATGAGATACAGGCAAGGAAGCTGCCTTTCCATCAGGAGAGCAGCTTGAAATTGAGAGGAATGGTCCCAGCAGATAAAAGGGCATCTTACTCGATGGTTTTGTTTAATAGTGATCTGTGACATAAGAAACACACTATGTTTCTCAGAAAGCTAAACATAGACTTACATGACCCAGCAATTGCACTCCTAGGGATATACACAAAATAACCAAAACTGAGGCCTCAAGCACATATGCAGAATACATGCAAACCTGTGTTCATAGCGGCATTACTGACAAGAGCCAGAAGGGGAAACAGCCCATGGGCCCTTGCGGTATGTGGTATAGACAAAGTATGCTATGCCCCTGCAATAGAATATTACTCAGCCATGAAAAATGAATGACATTCTGATCCATGCCACAACATGGATGGGCCTTGAAGACATTGTGCTACACAGAGGAAGCCAGACCCCGAAGGACCAATGCTGTACGATTCCCCTCATAGGATACTCCAGAATAGGCAAGCCAGAAAACAGAAGGCAGATGAGTGCGTGCCAGAAGCAGGGGTGGGTGTGGGGATGGGGAGTGATTGCTTAATGGGTGCAGGGTTTTCTTTTAGGGTGATGAATATGTTTTGGAATTTGATAGAAGTGGCAGTTACACAACACTGAAAATATTCTAAATGCCATAACTATCTTTTTTATAACAGCAATTTTTTACTTTTTTGCATAAAAATTGCTTTTTAGGAAGCTACATAACAATTACTTACACATCTCCTCATTTTTGGGTCTTCAGGGTTTTCACGTTTTGCTGGTATAATTGGACTGTGATGAATACCCTGGTACTAACCATTTTTCACGTTCTCAGTTATCTCTGTTGGATAAACTCTCAGAGTCATTACAGCAGTGAGATTGCGTACTTTAAGGTTTTTTTCCAGCATAGTATTAAGTTGGCTTCCTCAAATGCACTGTCTTAGCCCCTTCAGTAGGATCTTATCATGTCTGTCTTCCCAAGTGCTTGCCAAGAATATTTTGCCAATGTGATGGGAGAAAATTCACCACCTGTGTACTCACGTGATGTGCTGCCAGGGTCTGGGGCTACCCACTGTTTGGCCTTCTTCCTCTTCCTGTTCCCCTTCCCATTCCCCTTCCCCTCCTCCTTCTTCCTCACCTTCTTCCTCTTCTCCTTCTTCCTTTGCTTCTTCCTCCTCCTCTTCCCCTTCCCCTCGTCCTTCTTCCTCGCCTTCTTCCTCCTCCTCCTCCTCTTCTCCTTGGAATTGTCTGTTCACACTTTTGGTCCCAGTCTCCTAGTGTTTTTAGTATATGAGTAAAGAATATGAGTCTTTGTCTTCAATGCTGAAAACATGTTTGCTAATGGGTGTCACTGGGGCCGACCAGAAGAAAGGGAACAGCACAGAGGCAGAAGAGAAGGATGCCTGGGTGCTCAGGGGCAGAGCACACAGACCCCTGTGTGAGGTCCAGAGAAACGTGGGTGGAGCGGGAGTTGAGACCGAAGCACAGAGCGCCCCCCGCCAGGCTCGGGGCTCCATTGCAAAGTTCCCCTGAGCCAGAGGTAAAGGCCCGTGTCTCTGTGTGTGTGCCTGCGTGTCTAACTGGCCAGCGGCCTATAAACTGTTGTTCTTAATAGAATTTTAATCTCTTTCATCTACGGGAGTGGAAGGCGTTTTTTAGCTTAATAATTTTCAAAAGCACCAATCAGCTTTGAGACTGAATTTCTTGCTTTTGTTTTCTCAGTAGCGGGAGCGTTGGTTACTAAAGACCTAACCCTGACTGCTGGGAATTTTCACCGGGTTAGGGCATTGCTTGGTCTTGTTGTCTAGGTTTCACTACATGTGGGACTGCAGGAGAATCTTAAGCTCTGGGGCCGTCTATAATCTTCTGGGGAGGGAGCGTGGGTGTTAAATAAAGCACATGTACACACACAGTTTCAATCCTCCAGATGTATGATGTCCTGTAAGATGTGATGGTTCCAGAAAAAGAAGAGCTATGTTTGGTTGAAAGCAGAAAGGCCTTGGCAGCACTCACGGACTCAGCCTCCTCCTGTTTGCACTGCGGCCCATGGCGGGGGTGCCTGTCCTGCTGCTGAGCACTACTCCATCTGAACCCAGCTCACTCCCACCCCAGTGCTGCGTGACGGAGCCCACAGTGTGGAGGAGACGGAGGCTGCAGACATTTATGTTTTCTGGACCATCTCCAAGACAATGTTTAGCATTTAGAGATGTTGAGGGTTTTGGACAGGGTCTAATCTTGCAGGTGAGCCCAGCCCGTGTCAGAGGTGGACTCCAGCACTGGCGGCTCTAGGGCCTGGCGGATGTGACTGGCCTCTCTGGACTTTAATCATCTTCTCTGCTAATCCTACTTCTGTGGGTTGAAAATGCACCCTCAACTCATACAGTGAAGTCCTACCCCCAGTGTTTCAAGGTGTGACCTTAACTGGAAATATGTGCCTAGTTGAGACAATGTTGTCTTGGGGTGCAGTGGCCCCTAACCCAATATGACAGGTGTCCTTATAAAAAGAGGGAGTTTGGACACAGAGAAGAGATTGTGAACCTGCACAGTGTCAGGACTGGAGTCATGCGGCTCCACACCCAGGAGCCACTCTCTGCCAGGAGAGAGGCCTGGGCAGACCCTTCCCTAGAGCCCTGGGGATAGCATGGCCCAGCTGGCACCTTGAGTTTGGGCTCCAGGCTCCAAAACGAAGAGAATAACTTTCTGTTGCTTACCTCCCAGTGTGTGGTGCTTTGCCACAGCAGCCAGGATTTTCACACACACTGGTGTGCCCATGTGTAGGGCACCTGGCTCGTGGGTGCGCTTAGCCTGGAGCAGCTCCTTCTCCTGCCCAGGTGGTGCTGGGCTGGGGTGGAAGCATCATCCTTAGCTGTGAAAACACAAAAAGTCATGCACAACAAAAAGAGGCCATCACAGGATTTTCCCCTCTTTGCAAAGTTTCACAGCACACACGTTACTGTTTATTTTCCAACCCCTCTTTCTGATCTTGCATGATGCAAATTCCCAGAACCCAAAAAGACTTCTTGAGAAAAGACTCCACGATTCGTGGCAGAAAAGGTCAGATTGTTTGAAAATGACTAATGATTAGTTTATAGTTCTTATAACAGGTTCCATAACAATGGAATTAATCTTTAGAGGAAAAAATTAAAAGGTAGTTTGCTCCCGAGGGAGCTGCGCTGGGGTTTGCACATTAGTTATGATGAGCACTCGCTGGGACGGAAGCAGAACCCCAGGACGCCTCATTGTTTAATCAGGACGGGTAATATCAAGTTGATTAATCCGCACGCTTCCCTCTGCCATCCTAGAAGGGCTGCCGTCCTGCATAATGCCGAGCTTGGTGCTGCCAGGGCTGGGCCCCTCTGCGGGGCTGGGGAAGGGGCTGGGTCCCTCTGCGGACCTGGGTGAAGGGGCTGGGCCCCTCTGCAGACATGCGGGAAGGGGCTGGGCCATGCTGAGTGTCACCCTCTCTGCCTTGGGCCACCCTTCTGTTGTCACTTTGCTTGATGCAAGTGCTCACCTGAAAGGTAGCAAACCTGTCAGGAGCTAAAAAGTGAAACAGGCCTTTTCCTTCTTCCCACACACGCGTGGGATCACTGGTTTCTGTGTCTGATGCCCCAGCCTAAAGGTGAGCCGGCAGGTGGCGGGGGCGGCCGGGCCTGAGAGTTCATGCAGATCTAGCTGGGGCCCCCACCCCCACGTCTGACACCATAGTTGACCTTTAATTCTGAGTCTGAGTAGTTCCTGGGGGACATGCACACCTTTACAGGCACAGGGCGGCTGCTGCATGCCCAGATGGTGGCCCCGCTTTGTCCTTCGTAGAGGAGGGGGTCCCAGGTGCTCGCAGAGCTGGGTCCTGCACAGCAGGCTAAAGCCTGAACTTGGGGCTTAAGGTGGTTTAAACAAAACAGCGATGCGGCTGCACTTGCTGCTGCCTACAGTGTTCTGGGTCCCAGCAAAACCCTCCTTTTTCCATTAAAAGGAAATTATGTAAAAGTGTCATCTCTATTTTGGTTTATAGAATTTGTTCTAAGAGGGTGAAACTCCTCGTTGATCCACTTTATGTGCATCAGAAAGTCATTCCTGGAATAAGAATGATGGCTGGGAGGGGCCAGTTAGCGAGGGTTGCCACCTGACCATGTGCTCTGGCCTCCAAAGCGTCCCAGGAGCAGCTGCAGAGCCAGTGCCCGAGGTCTCCCCACCCAGAGGCCCCTCACTCCCAGTAAATGCAAGCGTGCATTCTGTATGGAGGCGATGGTTCAGCAGGAGAGGAGAGGCATATGCCTGCGTGTGTGTGCATGTGCATGTGTGCAGGTGTGTGCATGTGCGTGTGTGGATGTGCGTGTATGTGCATGTGTGTGCATTGGGTGTGCATATGTACATGTGCATGTACGTGTGTGCATGTGTTTGTGTGCATGTACGTGTGTGCATGTGTTTGCACGTACGTGTGTGCATGTGTGTATGTACGTGTGTGCATGTGTTTGCATGTGCGTGTGCATGTGCATGCATGTGTACGTGTGTGTGCATGTGTACATGTGTGTGCACATGTCCGTGTGTGCATGTGTGTACGTGTGCATGTGCATGTGTGTGCGTGTGCATGTGCGTGTGTGTGTGTGTGTACATGTGCGTGTGTGTCCATGTGTGTTGTAAATAACTGAGCTGCAGGACAAAACTGACCTGGCAGGGAAAAATAGTTGCGAATAAAAATATTTTTATTATTAATCAAGATGTCCTTGGAGATTATAACAAAGAGAAGAACCACAGAAGAACCATTTCAGGAAACCTCACTACCTTTTCACATTCTGGGATTTGGAATTGTACAGGACATTTCTTGGTCCTCATCTTAATTTGCATAGTCTGACATTTCACTGTCTCCTAATTTTAGCATGTTAGAATAAACATAAAGTGGTAGTTTGGGCAACTTCAAAATTTTATTACAGGGTGACAAAGAAAGTGTGTGTACATCAGCACGCTTTTTCGTTAGCCTTGCCGAGAAATAGAGCTTGCTACTTAAAAACTGCTCATTGGCAACCAAGGATCGTTTACCTGTATTAGTGAAGAAAAGAGACATTTTCTGTCACTCTACCTTGTAAAATAATTAAATAAGGAATCTTGGTGAGCACACTATTATAGCTACTTAATAAAATTTATATTCAGAATTTTACTATTTATAAAATATATTGTCTCACCTGGGTGTTCACAGGGGAGCAAAAAATATATATGTATCTATGCATATATAGTTTTTTAAATGTTGCTTATTTCATTTTATGGAAAACATGGAAAATCTCCTACAACAATAAACATTCATAATATAACAATGTATGAAAACTGCATGTACCACTAAGCCAGTGGCAAGGGCTGCCTCTGAATCTCTGAATATTAGCATATTATAGATGGAAAAAGCTATCCTCTCCCTCATGGGAAAATCTGTTAGCATTTTACCAGCAAATTCTGAAAAGATATACATTTAAAATAAACCTTCATCTTACTTTTGAAAGAAAAGTATAAATATAAAATCTGCTAAGATTCGCCGCCCTTGCGAGGAGCCTCGGCCGCGTGTTGAGATGCTGTGACCTCACCACTCACCTGTGAGTCTTGCTGGAACTTGAGGCCTTAGTTCCACCTCAGGTTAAAATAATTTCTATTTTATATTTTCCACATCTTTTATATTTTCTTTCATAGGATCTTACGTTCATTTCTACATCTCGATTCATTGTCAGTAAGAAGTAAAAGGGCCCGAATGTGAGTTGGCTGCCAGTGCATGCGCTGCCTCTGAGGCCATGCAGAGCCGGCTGGTGTCTCCCTCAGCGGCATTTTGGATCTATTGGTTGATAACCAGATGCTTCCTTATTAGCCAAGAGTGCCACAAGTTTTCCCGAATCTAAATGTTGAAAAATCTTGACAGTACTGCCTCTTCCTTTTCTGGTATTTGACTGACACTCACCATATTACATCCTGTGCGTTCCTCGTTGCAAAAAAATATGAAGATGAGATAATCTTATGACATAGTCCACCGAAAACACACGCGTCTTGGGACCGCAGTGGTGGTTCCACGTTGGCCGAGGTCCACTCCCTGCTGCAATCACTCGTGGCATCTACAGGGAACTCAGAGGCTCCCTCTGAGGGGCTGAGCTTTGCGGGAGAGAACAGGGGCTGGGAAGTCCCTTGGTGTCTAAAAGTCTGAATTGCAGACAATCCCTGTCGTTAACCTGGAACTGAAAATCAGCCTGGGAGCTGGGGACTGGGCCACCTGGGCTGAGGGCAAAGGTCAGCCTGCACCGTGAGCGCAGGACAAAGGCCGAGGGGTGCGGTGGTGGCCTCGGTGGCGGGCGTCTCTGGCCGGTTCTCCGTGGAAGGGCACGCCACCTCGCCGATGAGATTCACCCAGACCCTTGACCGAGCATCCGCTGAGGGGTAAAGCGCCTGCGGACGCTATTTCCCATCAGATTTTGTGCTTCCTGTGAGCGGGTGCCTCAGCTCTCACCGTGCAGGCGCGGAGACCCCCGCAGGGCCCGCGGCTCCCCCAGCCTCACAGGCCACACCCGCGGGCTCCAGCCCAGGCCCGCCCCTGCACACCGAATGCGGTGACCTTGTGGCTATTTGGGCGAATTTGAGGGGACTGACAGCCTCTTTCATGCAAAGGGGCCATTGGCTCAGGGAGATTGTGAACGGGACCCCCGGCTCCAACTATAGAGGGGCGAGGGAGGCGTCTAATACGAGCCAGCGGAAGTCCCCACAGTGAAGACGCTCATCCCCGGAGAACTGGGAAGGGACCCTGGGATTTCCTCCACAGATAAGACGCAGCTGCTTCCCACCCTCATCTGGAAAGGTCTGCGTGTGGCCCTGCCTGGACGCTGCACAGGCTCCCACGTAACCATTCCGGGGCTGGTTGCCGCCCTGTGGTTAACAAGATCACTTCTGTTTGTTTCCACCTGTGGATATTAATGTGAGCATATTTTAAGTGTATACATTTGGTTACATAAAACCAAATTACAGAAAATTACCTCTATTTTCCTAGGCCCAATCAGCGTCTTTCTTTTTTAACTCCCATGCAGGATAGAAATTGAATGGGGATCTGAGACGTGCGGGATGAGTGGGACTGAGCCTCCTCTGGAGCGTCAGCTCCAGGAAAATGCTGGAGGTGGAGCCGATTACCAACGGGGTCACAGTTGCACCCGCAATGTCTTCAGAAGAAATAGTCCCCTTCCTCCCTGAGCATTTCGGAGCTGCTCTGAGGCCTGGCGAGGCTCCAGAAGGCCCAGTGACCTTCGCAAGGTCTGATGTGGGCTCACAGTGTGTGGGGCGGTTTCCAGGCGCTCACAAGGACCGCTGTTTCCTCCGGCCGCCTGCCCCCTGCCCCCTGCCCCCTGCCCCCTGCCCCCTGCCCCCTGCCCCCTGCCCCCTGCCCCCTGCCCCCTGCCCCCTCGGGACTTTCCTCTAGGCTGAAGGGTGCTGGCGCAGGCGCTAAGATGTTTATAATAATTTAAGCTTAACGCTCGGAAAATACTTTCTAAGGAGCAAGGAAATGCTTTTTCTGGTTTGTTTCTCACATCTTAGAATCATACTCATCCAGTTAGGGTTACGGTTAGAGGTAGAGTTAGGGTTAGGGTTAGTTGTTCTTTAAAAACGTTAGTCTTTTTAAGTAAAATGTGAGTCTTTAAAAGATGCTTTCAGTGACACCGTGGGCTTCAGGGGAGAGGGTCAGTCTGAGTCTGTCACCACGGGCTCGAGACACACACCCCCGCCCCCCGCCATGGCTATGGTGGAATTGTGGGTGAACCTGGGCGTCTTCAAATGTTCTTTTAGTGCGAGGCACTTCAGGGTGGCATGGGCAGCGACTTTCCACAGGCCTGGGGGGCGTTTTCTGAAAGCACCTGCTGTGTGGCCCCAGCAATGTCCCCGATGGAGAGAGACACAGGCGAGCACACAGCAGGGACCCCTGGGTGACAGCAGGCAGCTCCAAGGTTCCTTGTCAGCTCCGGAGGCCGCGGCCCTCTAGCCATCACCATCAGACCTTGCTGTATGAGGAGCGCCTGGCTCAGCTGCTTTCTTAAACTCACTTTCAACCAAGCAATGAATAACTGAGGACCCATCGGGAGCCAGCGGGGTGCCGGCCTCTGGCTTGAGGCAGATTGTATCTGTTCACATCTGCCCTTGTCTATCTGGTGCGACACCCAGCAGGGAAGGGAGGAGGGGAGGGACACGGTCTGGACGCTCCCTGCTCGCTGGCAGGTCATGGTGTGGCAAGGCTGTAGGAAGAGCGGCCTGCTTCCCACAGCTGCACCGCCCAGGCCTTCCTCTCCTTCGCGTCTGCCCATAAGAACTTATCACCATTGCAGCCCCATCAGAAAGACTGTGTTTGAGGTGAAGGAAGGTTTAATACCTTTAAAAAATCCATTTTACAAGATGAGATGGATCCAGATGTGGACCACGGCTCACCACAGGATGACTCCCGCCAGCATTCCCTGCAGACTCTCAAAGGGCATCCATGCAGTGGCGCGTGTGACACTCCACGCAGCAAGGCTCTGCCGCAGGGGTCAGTGCGGAGGGGGCGGCCGCAAAGCTGGGGACAGGCCCGGGGGCCCACAGGGTCCCCACATTCCATGTAGCAAGGCTCTGCCCCTGGGGTCTGTGTGGAGGGGGTGGCGGCGAAGCTGGGGACAGGCCCGGGGGCCCGCAGATGCTCTGCACAGTACCAGCTCCCTACAGCTCGGACTGGATTCAGCGGGGGTCCCGCCTATGCTGGCAAGGCCAGATCAAGGGGTACAATTATATAAAAGGGGTAAGATGTTGGTTTGAGGGATGAACTGGAAATACTACGTCTGCCCGTCCCCTGTCCCCTCCTCCCTTTTCCCCTCCCTTCCTCCTTCCTTTCCATCTTTCCTTCCTCCCTCCCTCTCTCTTCCGTCTTACACATGTGGCTGCACATGTGACGGGGAGCGCGGGAGCCATCCCCACAGGGCAGGGGAGACAGGAAGGTGATAGGCGAGGCCGGACTGTGAAAGGACGGCAGGGCAGGGCGTGAGGCAGCCCAGAGCCCAGGCCAAGAGCTGGCAGGAGGCAGGATTGCCTGTGGGATGGGGCAGCAGAGGCAGGGCAGTGGCGGTCTGCGGTGGGAAGGAGGGCGGCTGGGAGAGGCGAGGCTGGCAGGGACGTCCAGAGGCCTCAGCCCAACTGGTCCTGGAATCCCATGGAAAAGTGCTGTTGCGGGGCGGGGGTAGGGGGGTGGCGGCGTTAGCAGGATGGCATCCGAATCAAATGTGTGTTCCTTTACGTTCAGGGGAAAGTGGGTCTGGAAGAAGGCCCGGGGCCAGGGCAGGTCACAGAGGCTCTTCCAATGGCCAGGCCAGGGGTTCAGGTGGTGTAGACCTGGAGCAGAGAGACACCCAGGAGTGGGGAGGAGGACTTTGGGGTGCAGGTGATGGCAGGCACAGGGAGGTTGGGGAGTCATCACCCATCCTTAGTGCTGTGGATGGAAGCGTCCCCAGAGGCAGAGGAGCAGATGGGGGTTTGGCAGGAGGAGGGGAGTTTGTCTTAAGACGTGGAGACGTCCAGTGGTGGATCTGCAGGTGGAAGCTCCGGAGAGAGGCGGGGGCTGAGAGCACAGAGCTGGGCCAGTGGCACTCAGCTAGTACTGAAGCCACGGCAGCCTCGCTGATGCTGGCCCGAGCCGGCCGCCCCTGCACCTCACAGGCTTCCTGCAACCTTACCAGGCGCAGGCCAGGGTCTGCCAGTATCTTCTGTCTCATGGTGCTGCATTTCTTCTGGCCTCCTCCTTAGATGCCTTCCAGCCAAACATCATCAAAGTCTTGAGAATTGTTCAGGAACATTTGGGTCAAAACCCAGTCACAGGTCCCAGCCCAGCTGCAAGGGGGTTAGGGTGCAGTAGTATCCTGTGTGGGGAAGAGGCATGGATTTGGTGGATGTCCTGCCTGTCCTTGCCACACCCAAGAGTGGGCCCTATTACCCAAGGGCAGTTGGGGGATAGGAGGTGCGGGGCTTTCCTGGGTGAGGTGAGGTCACAGAATGTGGGCGAGGAGAGGGCTTCAAAAAGGGAGGGGCAGGCAGCTCAGAGGTCAGGACAAGGGCAGATACACATCCAGGGGTTTTCATGGAAAAATCAATCTTTTGCAATTTCAAACTGGACAGTACCTACGCAAAGCTACCCTTTCACATACTGCATTTGTTTACTCTCCCAGCCTGGTGTGGACTAAACAGAGTCGGTTAGAAAAGTGTTCTGATGCAGTCACAGCTTTCAAGGCCTCAGCTTGCATAATTACAAGGGGCAGGAGCTGAAATTTCATCTGTGCGACATCAGCTCAAAAGGAGCCGAGACTGGAAGAAACCGGGAGCTATGATTTGCACTTTGATAACTTAAGTGAAATAAATCGATGATTCCAAATGGAAAAAAATGACCAGGTCTATTTCTATAGACTTTAAAGATTATCCAGGTTAGAAATTTCCGCAAATGGGACAAAGATAAAATCAGTTGTTCACTAGTACCTATTTTAACACCTATAAGACAGTGTAAAAATTGGCTTTATCATGTTAATATCTTGCTATAAATTTTGACATTAGTATTGTTCATTTTGAGCACAGACCTGGGCTTGCTGGCTAAAACACAGAGCTCTAGAACAGTTTCCATGAGGATGGGTAAATTAGGGAGTGCCTGTCCATGCTAGCCCAAGGGCCAGGTTCACCTGCGCGCTCGGCACATTGCAGGATAGCTGTCAGTTTATTTGTCCTTCTCCCTGTCTGCAAGCCAAGTGCTTCATGCAGGTGTGATACACAGGAGGTGTGCAATAAATGTTGAATAATTGAGCAACTATATTTGCATTATTTTATTTGATTTTCCCAATCATCCTGCAAAAGTGAGAAAGGACAAACGGGATCTTCATTTTACTTTTCTATTTTTTTAAATATTGAACAGGGAGGCTGCGTGGGCCCCAGGTTTACACCTGAGGATACTGAGGATGAAAAGCAATTTGCCCAAGTGGGTGGGCATCACAGCTGCCCCTTGACCTTGGGATTCTCTGAATCTGAGGTGCGTCCTTCCCACCCCACTCAGACGCACCCACCCAGTGGCTTCCACCATAATTAAGATTTTCGGATTATTCCAACATATTGCATATTTAAGGCTTATTCCAACATATTGCAATCATATAACTATTAAAAGCCATAAGCATAATTTGCAACATACGTACCCACATCTCACTTGTATTTTGACCATATGTATGACATGAATAGTGTGTGGATTTTATAGAAGCAGAGGTTTAATGATGCTCATCTGAGTCTCCCACATGGAAGGGCATACTGATAAGTGGGTGGATTCAAAATAATCCAGGTTACTTTATTAGATTTCCCACTGGGGGATTTTAAAACCTTGCTTATACCGGGGTCTCGGTGCGACCGGTACCCTGCCTGCCTCAGAGTCCTGGATGCAGCCTCACTCTCCCCTCTGCTGCCCCAGATCCGGCCTCCGGAGGAAAACACCCTGGTCCTAAATATTCATGAGTCTCCACACAAAGTGCCTGTGGCAAGATGTGCTCTTCTCCCTGGGAGCTGATAATCCGGGACCATCATTACCACTGAGGAGACTGTGTGAGTCAGGTTGCCTGAGAGGGCCCTGCTTTTTCACCTGTTGTTGTGATGTAATTGATACGTGTGCCATTGTTCATTTCCAAACATGAGAGGGAGCTTTTATGTGATCACCCTACTTAGAGCTGGCATCTACTGAGTCCTGAAGAGAAGGGACCATTGTGAGTGATGGGCACGTGTTACCTATGGTAATCTTCCCCACACCATGAAGAGGGAACGATAGCTTTGCAGTTAACAGCATAGATTCTGGGTCGACCTGCTTGGGGGTGTGGTCCTCACTAGCTGTGGACCTTGAATAAGCTCCTAAACATCTTTATGCTCCATGTCCTTCATCTGCATATGAAGATGCTAATAATAATAATGGCCTCATGTCTTCATTTGCAAGAAGAAAAAAAAAAAAAGCGCTGCAGCCCCTGAGGCTGGACCAGACAGGACAGCATACGGAGGGTGTCCTATGGGCTCTAAAGTGCTGCGTAAACACACGCGGTCACCATAACCACCTGACTTTCATCTGTTATTTTGCTTTTTATCTTATTTAATATTTTAAGCTCGTTTCATGTTGAAAATAATGTATGAGGGCTAGAGATATGAGGAATTATTACATGCAATCCCTATTTTTAAGGTACTTATTATTCATATTTATTTGAGGAGATAGAAAATAAATATGAGAACATTAACAAAAAGAAGGCCCATCATATACCCTGGGGTAGGGTGCTGCTGATGGAAAGAGTGACACAGACTTGGGGGCCAGGAGCTCAGTGGGGACAGTCAGGAGCTGTCCCACAGGGCAGCCAAGAACAGCCTTGGTTGCACATCAGTTCTAGAAAGCAGAGTTTTCTTGCCCACTTCAGACAAGTCTGTGGTTTTATTTTGTATGTGAAAAGAAACCTGTGTTGGATGTACGACTGACTTGGAATTGGAAAATGACTTTGGGCAGTGATGACACAAAATTAAATATAGCTTTTGTAAAGAGAAAAAAGATAGCATTTATTCCTATAAATCTTACTATACATGAGTCCCCAGGCATTAACTATACACTATATACTAGACATGATTTTTTACATGGGTTGGCTTACTCTGCCTGATATAAATTTATGACTCAGAGGCTGCTTTTGTCTTCGGTTCCCAGATGAAAAACCTGAGTTTCAGAGAGGTTAAGTAACTTCTCCAAGGCAGCATATCCACCACCTGGCAGGGCTGAGATTTGGACTGAGACCAACTGGATCCAGAGTCCTTGTAGTTACGGACACACTCTGCCGCCCTTTGTGAGGACTGAGTAGAATGCAGGCCATGTGGCTCCTGAGCCCTCGAACATTCTCTATACCCCTGGGAACCTAAACTAACTGCTTTTTCATTGAAATGTCCTGTTTCTTCCCTTATTCTATGAACCTGGGGAGTCACTGTCTAAAGGGCACCCGCGTTGGTTCCATAGGGTTACTGTAACAAAGTGCCACAAACAGGGTGGCTCCAAACCACGGAGATGAACCCTCTCACAGTCCTGGAAGCCGGAAGTCTGGAATTAGGGCATCCAAAGGGCCCTGCTCCCTCGGAAGCCCCTGGGGAGAGATGCTTTCCCATCTCTTCCACTATCTGGTGGCCCCATAGCCCCAGTGCCCCCATGGCTTGTAGATGCTTCAGTCCGATCTCTGTCTCCATCCTCATGCCTTCTTCCTGCGTGTCTCCTCTCTGTGTCCAACCCGCTCTCCTTATGAGGATACCAGCCCTGTTGGATTAGGGTCTACCCGACTCCTGGATGACCTCCTCTTGTCTAATTACATCTGCAATGACCTTACTTCCAAAAAAGTCACATTGTGAAGTTCTAGGGGAGAGAGCCTCAGCATATCTTTTGTAGGGACACAGTTCAACCTGTAACAGCACCCACGAAGAAAAAGCATGGCCCCAGAGAGGGTGGGCTGAGACGTCTGTAAAAATTCTTCAGTATAGGCTCTGACTAAGAGCAGAGGTGCTGGCCCTGCAATGGCTGTGAACTATGCTGTTCTTGCATTGCTTTAAATAAATACTGGAGACTGGGTTGTTTACAAAGAAAAGACGTTTAATTGGCTCATGGTTCTGCAGGCTGTATAAGCATGGTGCTGGCATCTGCTCAGCTTCTGAGAAGGCCTCGGGAAGCTTCCAGTCATGGTGGAAGGTGGAGGGAGAGCAGGCACATCACAGTGAGAGCAGGAACGAGAGAGAAAGAGAGCAAGAGAGAGAGGGAGGGAGGTGCCACACACTTTAAATGACCAGATCTCATGTAAACTCAGAGCAAGAGCTCACTCATCACCAAGAGGATGGCCCCAGGATCCGTCCCCCATGACCCCATCACCTCCCACCAGGCCCAACTCCAACATTGAGGATTACGTTCCAACATGAGATTTGGGTGGCCAAACTCTAGCAGGCCACTCAATAGATCAGAACGGACAGTGACTCACTAGCCTGGACACTCAGCCAGCAGGCGGGGGGTGCCCATTCGTGACTGTCTGCCCAACCCAACAGAGATCCCATCAGTCTGGCCGGGTGGCACCTTCAACCCCTGGCCAGGCTGAACACGGCTGAAGGGCAACCCAGGTCTGAGAGGAAGAAGGAAACAGTGGCTCTGTGGGCGCAGGTTTTGCCTTAAGAAGTTCAGCATAGCCCAACCAGCAGTTGGGCACTGCTTTGCGGTAAGTGGACAGACAGAGAGGCCTGGTGGGCTTTGGCATGGCTGACCCCTCATTGCCTAGTGTGTGGCTGTGTCACTGCCTGCTGCCTAGAGAGTGTGAGAACGAAAATAAGAGAGGGTCATCGAGCATCGTGACTGGAATAGGAGGCGTCGGACCCTCTGGGCAGCCCCCTGACGAGAAGCCCCTGCCTTTCTTGGGGTGGGTGGAGCACAGGACGCTGGATTTTAGTCTGAGGAGCTCACATCTCCCCAGCTGCATCGGAACCTGTAAATGTCGGGGTGGGGGAGATTAGCCGACCTTCTTCAAGGAATGAAGAAAACAGCCGCTCTCTGTAGAGCCTGATGTGCCAGGTAGGGCCACAGCAGGCTTTCCAGATCTTCTCTGGGAAAGAACAAAGCATAAATAAGTATAAATACAAATTCCTTTCATTCTCTTGGGCTGTGGTTCTAACTCTGGACTGTAGCATTTGGGTCAGGGAATGCAGGGTCTTGGTAGTTATTCACATGTTGCACAGGATGTCTCCAACGTGGCTGGGAGGTGAAGTTGCTGAATCGTTCAAGTGCCATCTCTTATTTCATCTGGACCCCGTTGTATTTTGGGAGGAAGGCCAAGCCCTGAGCACCGAATTAAACCTCCTGTGACTTGGCCTCCCTCCGCCTTCTCGGCTGTGCTTGAGGTGGGCTGAGGATTACTCTGTCTTTACTAAAGAAGTTTTCTTTTCCCTTGATGACTTGAACTTAAAAACACAAATCAAAGAGTTGTGTGATTTCCATAGGGACGCATTAGGCAGGAGGAAATTATTCCCATCAGAATCCAGTGAATTTCATGTATATCTAGAATTGCTCTTATAATAAAAAATAAATGTTCTATAAGTGACGGTACCTGGGGAAATCACTCGTCCTACATCAGTTGATTTTGTGCTCAGAAGTCAGGTTTCCCAGCCCCCTGTACCTTTCATCTTCCTGCTTCACCATCACTAATTATGTGACTTTATTTCACAGCATCTTATATTTTGTGTGTGTGTGTGTGTGTGTGTGTGTGTGTGTGTGTGTGTTTTTCAAACAACACTTATTTGTGCCTTCAATGGGACTGACTTAGGTTCCTGTCGAGCTCAGGCTGTGGCTCGGTGGGAAGCTAAGTCTGCACCGGCTCACCGCAGAACTTGTGCTTCCTCAAAAGCCCCGGCACACATACACAACAGAAAGAGGCTGTGGCCACAGCAGTTTTGGGAGTGCAAGGGCCGGTTACCCCTCATTTTGGCCGCAGTGGTTTGCTACCATCAGCTTGAGAGAATTTCTTTCTCTTGCAAGGTGAGTGACGGTTTAGAGCCAATATTGGAAAAAATACCCCTGCATGAAGAAAGTAAGAGACAGAGCCTGCATCATCCTTGGTAGGAAGACGATGAAGGTTCAGAAGAGGGTTGCTAAGGGGCTGCTGGTTCACAAAGATGGGGACGCAGCCGGCCCAGGAGGGGGTGACATGCTCAGGAAGGGCTGACATCAGCATGCAAGGGGTTGCCCTGTTGTCAACTTGCTGCTGGAATTTAGAGGAAAATAAAGCCGTGGTGTATCTCTTGCTGGTAGTTAACACTGTAAATTAAAATGAGAACCCCAACCCACAATGTGAAACTCTGGAAGTCAGAATGTCTCAGTTGCCTACATACTGGGCCACTGAAATAAAAACCATCTCCCTCTCTCCCTCTCTCAACACATGCACACACACACTCAAAGAAAACAAAAGACTTCGTTAGCAGGTCTTTGCAAAGTTCACAGAATGCCAGCGGGGAGATCCTTTCCACACACACCGAGTCTTTGTTTCCTTAGGTGCATTCTGTACAGGGGGGCGGGGGTACGGGCAGAAAGTACCAGGGAGAAGGGCTCTGGAGCGGCGGATGGAGTTGTCCTAGGCTCTCGGAAGCGAGACACGTTGTCGATTTAAAAACAAATATTGGGTTTCCATTTTTTTCTGAACGGGATAAGGCAATTTCTTTTAGATTGTTTAAACTCTCCCCGCTAGATTGAAGGGGGCGGTGGGTATTATTTCTAGATTTAGACGCCGTACGGGTGATAATGCAGCGACTCCCGTCTGTGGCTGGGAGCTGTGGCTGCACGAGACCCGGAATTCGAAAGGCTCTGCCTCCCCATGGACGGAGACTTCCGTTGTTTTCTTTCCTTTCTCTCCGCAGCGGAGAGGGCTGGAGCGGATTTGGGTTCACATGAAAGTGTGCAGTGTTAACTAGGTGGCATATGGGTGGGGGGACATTCCTGCCTGTCCACTGCAGCCGGGGGGCGCGTCTCCATGGAGATAAGAAGCGAAAGTGCTCCGTGGAGCCTAATTGGTATGCATCCCTGGTTCACGTTCATTGTGCTCCTGCTAATGACAGGGTTGTCTCAGTAATAAGGATGGTGCACTGGAGAAATTTGCTGCCTTGGTATATTTTTCCCTGGCAGAAAACTACTTAGAGACTGTAGTCAGTAAGAAGAGTGACTGGCAGGCTCAAGGGCTGCCCGCAGCATATGGGGGAAGGCTGCTGCTCCGTGCCACATGCATATGCTGCCATTAGACTCCAGCTTTGCGCTTTGTGTGTTCCTGGGCCCGTGCCAGGAAGCCCACCTGCTGCAAGAATACTTGTAAAGCCCAACTCAAAAGTGATTGAAAAGCTGCTGGAATAAACTGTAATAACACAGTAACACAGAGCTTCACAGATGGGACATAATTGCACGCCGAAGTGCACAGCCTCTGCAGTAATGAAAACACGAGCCATTAAATTAAAATCACAAGGGAAAAAACGATAAAAGTCTGTTGATTTTTTTTTTTTTAGTTTTATTGCAAAAACTTCAATTTTCCTGCCCTCATTAATCAAATACCATAAAACTATAGCGTTACTTTGTTCTGGTGGAGATTCAGGCAATTAAAATGATGAATGTTGATTAAAATGATGTAACTTTGGTTATTTACTTGCTAGGATAACTTAAACCCTCTGTAACCAGAGCCGCAAGCTACTGACACTCATCTGCGTGTCTGCAGATCGCAAAAGCCTTTGGGCACCTGCTCTGGAAGTTCGTGGAGGAGTCTGTCCAAGTTCGCCCAAGGCCGAGGGGGCTATCAAAGAAGAGCTCTGGGTTTTGTGCTCAATATTGATACATGTGAAGGGTAAATCCTTTCTCCCCGATCAGCCTGCCCTTTTTCTGAAATATTAGTAATTTTCTTTTTCTTTTTCCTTTTTTTTTTTTTTTTTGGACAATTAAGGGAGACTTGTCCAACTATGTAAACACAGAAAGCACTCAAGCAACAATGCCCTCGTAATTAGCAGCGGGCAGGCCGGCGTCTGGGCTGGCCCGTCAGGCGCGGCGTCAGCTGAAAGGGCCCAGCAGGGCTCTGCGACGTTGGGCTCTCGAGGCCTGGCCGGCAAAGCCCAGTGCGGCATTGTTCGGCTCCTTTCTGTGGGTGGGCCCTACGAGGAGAAAGAAACATTTGTGTCACCCAAGTAAACAGCCTTGAAAAGACTTTCTTTTTTCATTTTTAATTATTCATTTCTTCAGCATTCCTCATGGCAAAGTGGAATGATTCCCACCCATTCAAAAAAAAAAAAAAAAAAAAAAAAAGAAAAGAAGAAAAAGAAAAGAGAAAATCAGCAGCAATAGGACCAATATATTTTCAATTTACAAACCGAGACAGGTGTGGGGCTTCATGTCCCCTCCAGCGGGACTGCAGGGAAAAGGAACCCGCGTTTGTCGTTGCAACTTGTTTCCTTTCTTCCCCTTCCCTGAAAAGGACACAGGGGCGATTTCTCTCCTGTGAGTCTCCTTTGCTCCAAGAAGGCCTTGCCAGTCACTAGAGGTGCTAATGAGTCATTCACAAAAACAACACCCTCCCTTTCTCAGCGGCCTCAGCTGAACACTGTCTCTGAAGGAGGGACATTTGCCGCTGGGTGAAAACTCAGAACGATTCAGTGGCAGGTTCAAAACAATAATCATAAGCAGAAGCAGCATCCCTGCCCCGTCCACGGCGGGCAGCACAGGGGAGAACAGCAGGGCGGGAAGCTGCCGTCCAGCCTTTGACTCGGTGCAGATTGGTTATTTTCCCAGGGCATGAGCCTGTCTGTTGGATAGAGTCCTTTCTTTCGGGGGACGGTGGCAGGGCTCACCGGGCAGCCACACTCAGGTGCAGACAAGTAAACAGAGGGCCAGGCGCTCACGGTGCTGCCAGACTACACCACAGGCAGCAGCTTCCTGTGCCTCAGTTTACCAGGGGATGCACTGCCCTCCTGAAGTGCCATGTCACGACCCCTTGTCTGCAC
Source organism: Homo sapiens (assembly GCF_000001405.40). Taxonomy (NCBI): domain Eukaryota; kingdom Metazoa; phylum Chordata; class Mammalia; order Primates; family Hominidae; genus Homo; species Homo sapiens. Next base: position 111,680,760 of record NC_000013.11, read on the forward strand.
ACACCGCAACACTCACATTGTATTCCCGTGTAGTCAGCCGGGTGTTATCACTCTGCCACACCCCAACAGTGCCACGTCCTGTACTGTGGGGCCCTAGACATCTTCCCAGAGGTGGGATTTATGTGTTACGCTGGGAATGAGGCACACACGTAAGGCCGGCAAAGGGCTTGCCAAACTGCTCGTGGGATCCTCCTACTCGGACCCGTTCTCTTTGGTGACTCGGCAGCCTGTTCCATGTGGCAGGCAGGATCCTGGCTGGGCTCCATGCTCCCTGAGGCGGGTGGGCTGGCCAGCCCCTGCCCAGTGGCCCCGGAGGGCATTTGGGCCACAGGAGGGGCAGAGTGTTGAAGTCAGGACAACACTGGGTTGGGGGGGGGTTCGGTTCTAACTTGAACTTCATCGGGGTGGCGTGTTCGCGTCACGTGGCCGTGTTTGTGTGAGCAGGGCTGCCCTGCACCTCCTCAACATGCTGAGAAGTGGCCGGGGCTGGGATGCGGGCCGCGGCTTCACCGTGCAACTGCGGCCCATTGCTACGTGCCTCGTGTGCTCTGCCATGGAGCCCAAATGTGGCAAAGTACGGCCCTTTGAACCCTCAAAGCAACATGCAGCAATTTTAAGTGCGAAGGGAGAAGGTTTTTCATATTGATGGGGTTTTTCCTCCTTCAGCCAAACAACTGATTCACAAAAAAGGCATGGGAAGTCTCTGCTTCTGATGGGATGTCCGTGCAGAGCACGTGGGCTCCCCACGGGAATGTGGAAGTGACAGCCAGCAGGCCCCTTCTGAAGCAACACAGGTGGGAGCTCGGTTGCTGTGTGGAAGAAAGCAGCCGGCTACCCAGGGCAGAGGAGGGTTTCTGGAGCCCCTGGGACCGTGGGAGCCCAGGTTCATGTTTCCTCACCCTCATCCCTGACGCTGCCCTGCAGCCTGGCCTGCTGTCCTGTCCATGGGTGCCTTTTTGGAAATTTTACCAAACAAGCCAGGTTGAAAGGCACACAAGCAAATGCTCACAGGTACCTGAGAGAGCCTGCCGGGATCAGGGCGCTCAGGAGGCCTGAACACTCCCACACTGCACAGCGTTACTCTGCACAGGGTTAGAACGCTTCCTCGAGAATCTTGTCATGAGTGCATTTCTCTTGCTTAAAAAAGAGTGGCGAGGCTGGGCACACACCGACAGTGCGCAGGCAGCCATGCCGAACCATGTAGGGACATCGGGTACACTCAGGTCCCTTGCGCCCTAACAGGAACCAAGGGCCGTCCCCTGTAGAAACGTTTCTTGCCTGGTGACCAACGTCTGGTTCTAGATGTTTGCTTTCTCTGCTCTGTGTTCCTTCTCATTCCCAAGCCCAAACTTGGAGGGGATGCTGAGGATGCTGACCGAGCGCAAATGTGGCTGAATTAAGGCAGTTTGTGGGACAACAGAAGTTTGTAGTTTATGATAATTAAACAGTGTTCTCTCTTCACATCATAAGACTCTATCTTTGGCGATAGAATTGATTGACTTTCAAATTTGGTTGTTTTTCTCCTCTCTGCCTTAATAAGATGTTCTAAAGGAAAAATGGCTGTTTGTTTTGTGGTAGGATCCTTAAGAGAAGGATTCGAGGCCCTGCAATCCCAAAAGATGCTGTTTCAAGAAAGGAGTAAACGGTCCTTTCACAGGTCTCCTGGGTCTCCGTGAAGGATTACAAAGAGTTATAGATCTGGGTTTTGCTATGATATTTTACTAGTTTTGGTCAACTGGCCATCTTTTGGCAACACGGGAATTGACAGGAGAGTTGCTTCAACTTCTTAAAAGGCTTGGACTGATGGGTGTTGTCCATTTCTCAGGTCTGGTAACGTGTCAAACTTGAGACCTTAGGTGTCCAGAAAAAATATGGCCATAGAGGTGTTCAGTCATCTGGTCATTCCTTGTCTCTGGGGGTCTAGAAGATAATTTGTAGGCCGGGAACAGTGGCTTACACCTGTAATCCCAGCACTTTGTTAGGCCAAGGCAGGTGGATCACCTGAGGTCAGGAGTTCTAGACCAGCCTGACCAATATGGCGAAACCCTATCTCTATAAAAATACAAAACTTAGTTAGGCATGATGGTGGGCACCTGTAATCCCAGCTGCTTGGGAGGCTGAGGCAGGAGAATCACTTGAACCTGGGAGGCAGAGGTTGCAGTAAGCCAAGATTGCACCATTGCACTCCAGCCTGGGTGACAGAGCGCGACTCCGTCTCACCAACAAAAAAAGAAAGTAATTTGTAGAACAAAATCATCTCCTTCTCGGATCTGTTGGGGCCAAACACCTTCAGCTGGGCTGTGCTTCAGACCTTGTTCTTTCCACAGGACCAGGTTCTGCTCAGCCACAAAAGTCAGTGGCATTCTCTGCTCCAGGGCCTCTCAGCTGCCGCTTAATGACTTTACCTCAGGCTTTGCGGCTTTTTCCTCTTCTGGCTTCCCCCTTAACAGTTTTCCGCATCCTAGTCTGGGCAGAATCCTCCTAATACCACACTTATTAATGGATTCTAGAAATTTCTGACACTTGGATGAGAAAGCTTTCCACGCGGCTTGTTGGCCGTGGGTTTCCGGTGAGTGTGTGGCTCTCCCCAGCGGGCCGGGTGACAGTCTGTGTCCATCCACTGGAAGGTTCTGCTTGGAATCAACTGAGTCACAAACAAAATCCAGAAACGCGTTCTGGGGTCGTGCTTTTATCCGTTGGAGGTCAACACGTGTGGAAAATCAGCCTGGGAAGCCACAGGCCCCCCAGGACCGATCCACAGTGAGGCTGTGGCCCCTGGTCACCGTCGTCCTGTTCTCTGGTGACAGTGAGGCTGTGTCCCCTGGTCACCATCGTGCTGTTCTCTGGTGACAGTGAGGCTGTGTCCCCTGGTCACCGTCGTGCTGTTCTCTGGTGATAGGCTGTGTCCCCTGGTCACCGTCGTACTGTTCTCTGGTGACAGCGAGGCTGTGTCCGCTGGTCACCGTCGTGCTGTTCTCTGGTGACAGGCTGTGTCCCCTGGTCACCATCGTGCTGTTCTCTGGTGACAGGCTGTGTCCCCTGGTCACCATCGTGCTGTTCTCTGGTGACAGTGAGGCTGTGTCCCCTGGTCACCGTCGTGCTGTTCTCTGGTGACAGTGAGGCTGTGGCCCCTGGTCACCGTCGTGCTGTTCTCTGGTGACAGTGAGGCTGTGGCCCCTGGTCACCGTCGTGCTGTTCTCTGGTGACAGTGAGGCTGTGTCCCCTGGTCACTGTCGTGCTGTTCTCTGGTGACTGAAGCTTGATAACAACTCCTTCTGCCTGGGGGATAACTTCAATCTTGCTCTCAGCTCTGGGTAGGGACCTTCTTAAGAGATAATGTTTGGCTGCTGTAGATCTCACTAAATCATTAAAAATGTTCCCATCCACTGTGGCTCAACAACCAGTCTGCTTGATTGCAGTGGCCCAGGCAGCGTGGCAGCCATGCCTGGTGGGGCCCAGCCAGCATGGCCAGCAGCCATCATCCTGCAGGGAGGCCACCCTCACCTGTGCTTGGAAGGAGCGCCCAGTCGTCGAGAATCAAACCCTTCCATCTTCGGATGTGCTGACAATTCCACTACAAAGTGGCCAGGGAAACAATAGGCTAGGCGGCACCAGTCACCCAACTTTGCTACCAGTTTAGCAGTTTGGTAGAGCAGAGAAGGAGTTTGAAGACTCCGGCAGCATCAAGAATTTTATCTAAAAAGCCAGCACCTGCCCGGGCGTCATCCCTTCACTGACCAACCTGTGACCATGACAGTGATGGCACCGGGCTGGTCTGTGCGTGCACATGTGCTTGTGCATTTGGGCCTGTGTGCGTGCCTGTGTCAGTCAAAGAAAGGACGAAAGCTCTTCTGGGACGTCTTGATCACAGACACAGCAAAGTCACAGTAATATAACTTCTTATAAAGTGAAGAAAGCCCTCCTTCGTCCTGCCACCCCCAGTTACTGTGATCTGTTTTGGGTTCTGAGATGGAGGTTCGCTGCAGTGTGGGTGTGATGGGTAGTCTGGGGAGCTCTGGCGGTGGGAAGGCCCCCCAGGGATGCCTCAGAATGAGGCCACGGAAGGGCCAGCAGGGAGAGAGGTAACCTTCGGAGGATGTATTCATGTCTGGGGGCTGCTGTCACAAAATACTGCAAACCAGGTGGCCTGAAACAGCAGAAATTTATTTATTCCTTCATGGTTCTGGGGGCCTAGAATCTGAGATCAAAGTGTGGGCAGGGATAGGGGCTCTCTGGCGTCCCTGGGGGATCCCCTCCTTGTCCTCCTGACATCTCTGGTGTTCCTTTTCTGGGAGCTGCTCGCTCCAGGCTCTGCCTTTTTCCCCGCAGTCCTCTCACTGCATCTGTGCCCTTACACGGCCTCCTCCTGCCCCACTCCTCTGTGACCTTCTCCTGACTGAGCTGGTCACATCTGCAAAGACCCTGTTTCCAAGGTCCCATCCTGAGGCTGCAGGTGGACATGGAAGTTGGGAGGTCACCGCTCAACCTGGAATGAAGGCAGCCCCCGCACTGGCCCTCCCTGAGCAGGGCCTGAGGGTGTTGGTCCTGGGGGAGGGACCTGGGCGTCGTGCCCGGTGTCCAAGCACCACCTTCACAGCAGGTGCACTTCTCGTCCTCGTGCTGATGGCCATTCATCTGGAGCTGAAGAGCTCTCACACGGGCTCCACGAAGGGCAGAGTCAGAAAGGGTGGAGGCACCCGAGATGCTTGCACATGGCGATGGTGACGTTGGGCTGTTGCTTTGCCCACTGTCGCCCTGTCCATGCATGGCCTGCCCTGCTCACAGTCTCTGCTGGCTGTCTCCTCCGGCTCTGACCCTGTCTCCTGCCCCAAATGCCCTCTCTGTCACCTCGTCCCTCTGCTTCCTCTCAGTGCCGGCCTCTCCCTCCTCCAGACCTCCACCTGCACTCCCACCAGCCTGTCCGGCAGCTGCCACCTTTTTTTCCCTCAGGTTGGAAGAAACATGGCAGGAGAGAGGGTCCCGGCTCAGCAGCGGCAGATCTAGGATGGACTGGCTGGGGGCTGGAGTTGGAGCAGCAGCGAGCGGCACAGGCACAGGCTCTACCTGGGAAGGGAGCGCTTGGAGATTTGTTCCTGGAGTGGACTCACCCGCCGGGACCACAGGTGTGAGCGGAGGCATTAGAGCCCACGCCGTTCCCTTCAGTTCTCACCACTGAGAGACATACATACACATTATACCAAATAACCTAGGAATCCAATTCTTATAAAGCATATGGCGAATCAAAGATTAGGGTGAGGCCCGCGCATGGAGCATCGTTGGTGGGGCGGGCAGATGCTGGATGTGTCCCTAGCTACCTTTCTCATTTTTATCCATCATTCTTTATCTTCCAAATCTCATTGTGAGATAGTCTCTAGCACACAAAACAAATCGAGGCATGGAGAGGAGTCGGTAGGAAGGAGCCAGCTGGAGTGCTGTTTGCCCGGGCTGCCCGGCTCCACGGAGCCACACTTCTTACCGGAGCTGGGGTGTTTCCCTGTCGGCACTTCCCACAGATTAGGAACCAGGGCTGGAACGCACAGGGCAGGTGTTTCAGGAAGTGCCAGAACTGCTCACCTCACCATCTTGATCCTATGGGGTAGGAACCTGCTTAGGCCCACGCTGGTTCTCAACCTGGTTGTATGGTCCAGCCCTGATCTTCAATGTATTGCTTAAGGCATGAAAATCGGTCTTTTTGAGCATGGTAGCAAGTGCCTGTAGTCTCAGCTACTCGGGAGGCTGAGGCAGGAGAATGGCGTGAACCCCGGAGGTAGTGCTTGCAGTGAGCCGAGATCATGCCACTGCACGCCAGCCTAGGTGACAAAGCGAGACTCCGTCAAAAAAAAAAAAAAAAATCGGCCTTTCCACAGTTGGTGTGTGGGAGAGGACAGAATAAGTGCATGGGGTCTCTTGGGGTCTCCCTGGACCTCAGGATCAGGCCTGTTCCTCTTTGTTCAGCCGCCTCAGCTCCCTATAGGGTACTCTGCTTGGGAAAAGACCCCAGAGGGCGCAGCTTACAGTGCAGTGCCTCTCTCCACTGTCAGAGGCAACATAACCACTGCGGAATCTCTTTGCGGTTCTCTTCGGCCAAGCCAGAACTCAAGGCATATAAGGCTGTGGCAGAGATGTACGCATTCCCGAGACAACTGACCCCAAGGTCATCCCTGAATCAGTGACTCCAGAAACATGCAATCCTGAAAGAAATAGCACAGTGTCTTGGGGTCTGAGCGGGATCTGCAGCCAGTTCTGGAATGGAAGAGTCGCAGCTGTGGATGTTGAGTGGCTTTATGGTTGGAAAGTCACGGCAGGACCTGACAGTAGCTATAGTGTTGTGGGGCAGTGACCTCTCACCCACCAACCTGTCAAGAAGGCCGCCCGGTGGCCACCCCTGTCACTGAGCTCAAGGCCAGGGAGAGGTGGCTGCAATGCCTCTGAGGTGCTAGAGAGCCCTGTAGGTGGGAATGACACTGCTCTCTGCTCTTGTCTCCTCGGACACCCTCCCTGACAAGAGGCAGGCACCAAGAGCCGTGAAGGTCCAAGGATGCAGACACCTCTGGGCCCATCATATACACAGAGCTTGCTGCTTCATTGGCAAGATGATGTGGGGGGTTGGAGATGATTTTTGATCATCTGAGATTATCTTGAACTCAAGAGGCAACATCCTGAGTTTGTCCTACAGTCTCTCATTGGGATGGCACTAAAATATAGGAACCCCCTCGTCCCTCTAAATTTCTGCTGATTACTGTGGACCTTTGCATGATGCCAGAGTGAAGACAGAAAAGTAAGACACATAGAGGTATGATCCATGAAGAGCCATGATCCATGAAGAGCCATGATCCATAAAGAGCTATGATCCATGAAGAGGCATGATCTATGAATAGCTATCATCCATGAAGAGCCAGGATTTATGAAGAGTTATCACCCATGAAAAGCTACGATATCTAAAGAGCTATGATCCATGAAGAGGTATGATCCATGAAGAGCTATGATCTCTGAAGAGCCGTGATCCATGAAGAGCTATGATCTATGTAGAGTTATGACCTATGAAGAGCCATGATCTCTGAAGAACTATGATCTATGAAGAGCTATGATCTATGTAGAGCTATGATCCTTGAAGAGCCATGATCCATGAAGACCTATGATCTATGTAGAGCTATGACCTCTGAAGAGCCATGATCCATGAAGAGCTATGATCTCTGAAGAGCCAAGATCCATGAAGAGCTATGATCTATGTAGAGTTATGACCTATGAAAAGCCATGATCTCTGAAGAACTGTGATCTATGAAGAGCTGTGATCCATGAAGAGCCATGATCCATGAAGAGCTATGGTCTATATAGAGTTATGACCTATGAAAAGCCATGATCTCTGAAGAACTGTGATCTATGACGAGCTGTGATCCATGAAGAGCCATGATCCGTGAAGAGCTATGGTCTATACAGAGTTATGACCTATGAAAAGCCATGATCTCTGAAGAACTATGATCTATGAAGAACTATGATCCATGAGGAGCCGTGATACATGAAGAGCTATGATCTCTGAAGAGCTATGATGCATGAAGAGCTGTGACCTCTGAAGAGCTGTGATCTATGAAGACCTATGATGTATGTAGAGCTATGACCTCTGAAGAGCCGTGATCCATGAAGGGCTATCATCCATGAAGGGCTATGATCTATGTAGAACTATGATCCATGAAGGGCTATGGTCTATGTAGAGCTATGATCTCTGAAGACCTATGATCTATGTAGAACTCTGATCCATGAAGGACTATGGTCTATGTAGAGCTATGATCCATGAAGGGCTATGGTCTATGTAGAGCTATGATCCATGAAGACCTATGATCTATGTAGAGCTATGATCCATGAAGGGCTATGGTCTGTGCAGAGCTATGATCCATGAAGGGCTATGGTCTATGCAGAGCTATGATCCATGAAGGGCTATGGTCTATGTAGAGCTATGATCCATGAAGACCTATGATCTATGTAGAGCTATGATCTCTGAAGAGCTGTGATCTAACTGAAGATGTGACAGTCTCTTCTAAGAAACTCAGCAACAGTGTAGGGGTTATTCATTGGCGGTGGGCCTCACAAGACTTATTCCTGAACCTTACAGGAGTGAGAGCTGCAAGAGTTAGCGCAATTCAGAAAGAGGGGGCCCACAGAAAGTGAATTTATCTGAGAAGCCTCCGTACAGTGCTGGATCTTGGTGTCCTTATAAGGAGGCGGGAGAGATGCATGGAAGGAAGACAGCACGTGATGACGGAGGCAGAATGGGGGTTTTTTAGCTGCAAGCCAGAAAATATCATGGACTATGGAGCTGTGAGGCTCTGGAGACAGCCTGGCTCTGCCAGCACCTTGACTTCAGACTCTGGCTTCCAGAACTATGGGATTCTAAATATTTGCTACTTTAAGCCACCCAGTTTGCAGTAGTTCCTCACAGCAGCCTCAGCACACAAATCCAGAGTGCTCAGCCTGGTCTCAGGTGCCTAGAATGAAGGAGTCTTACTGAAAGGGAGCAGGAGTTTCCTAAGAAATGGTGTGGGCTCAGGTTTGGAGGGCCTTGGTGGGTGGGCGAAGGGGCCTGGATGCCAAGACGTTCGCAGAGGGAGTATGGGCAAGAATTGCCGGGTGGAGGAGTGTGGGATGAATTGGAAAGACTCGGCGAGGGAGGCTGGCAGAGGGGCTTTGTGAGTCTCCGGAACGGGGCGCTGGGCTCCCCTTAGAATCCACTCCTTTCTTCCAGAAGACACTGGGGAGGCTGCTGCGATCCTGAAGCAATGAAGTTCGGGCACCACCCCCCTCCCCCACACTGAACACGGCTTCTCCAATAATCCACGACCCCTAGGGGAGAGTAACAATTTATTTTTCTTTCTTGGCTACAATTAGGCTTCCAACCATGGTGCACCATTCCCGCCGTTGCCTCCATCACAACTTAAGACAATGAGAATGCATTCGGATGAAAGTCACCGATGGCAGCGCTGTTGGGCAGGGCTTTATGCGGGCGCTCAGCCCTGGGGCGGGAGGCCCCTCTTTCTTCAGCAAGACACAAATCTGAATGTGAAATGTCATTAGAGCCTCCTTCCTCTAGTACTGCTTCTTTTTAGAATAACAAAAACACATCAGTGGTAAGTTTCAGTGTTATTTTTAATAAAAGAAAACCCTTTAATTTACATATATTTAAGGCTAAGTAAATGAAAATGCATTATGTTACCACTGTTCTATTGAATAATGAGCCCAGAGGGTTCAGAAGAACAGTTTGCTTTTCAAACCTTGTACACCCCCAGCTCAAGCCTGCCCCTGGGGATAAGGGAGGGGACCAGATGGTATTGATTGTCTGGGGCCACACTGGGATGTTTTATGTGCTGGACTGGCAGTGCCCTGCTTGGAGACTTTGGGGAACAAGTGGGTCCTACATAAAGCTACCGCCCAAGGCCTGGTCATCTACAGCAGCACCTGCAGGGGCTCAGAACCCATCCCCCACAGGCTAGCCCAGAGGCAGGCATACCTGACTCTCCCAAAAGCAGTCTTCTAGCCTTGCCTCTCCAACACTGAGGCAGCAGAAGGCCAGGGAAACAAAAGAAATAGCGCACATACTTACATGCGTGTGCCCCCACACAAACACTTGTGCATACACACACACACACACACAAACACATACACTTACACACAAATATAGTTCTACATGCATAGACATACAAACACATGCACACACACAGAAACACATATACTCACACACACACATGCTCACACACATATACACACATGCACACACACAGAAACACATATACTCACACACACAAATGCACACACACATACACACACATACACACATGCACACACACAGAAACATACGCTCACACACACTGTTAAATGCATATAAATACAAACACACATGCACACACACACACATACAAACAGAAACACATGTGCTTACACACACACATACACACTCCTACATGCAAACACATGTACAAACATAATGTCCTCCCCTATATTTTATGAGAAAAAAAAATCCTTAGGATTTAAAATTCAAATTTTTCCCAGACTTCCAACTTGGAGTCTGGCATTCCCTTTCCCCCTTAGGTCCCCAAGGAGGCCATGCTGAAGCCTTGAGTGGTGTCCAGGTGAAGCGTTTAGCACAAACTCGGGCACGCAGAGCCCCAGAAGGAACATCAGGCATCATCACCATTATCATCAACTGTTTCATTAACAAGCATTTACTATGCTCTGCACTTTAACCCTTGTGGTCGTCCAGAATTCATTTTTTAAGAAAAATACTCCAGAGGCCCTGCTTGAGGTAAGAGGATCTGGTCCCGGCTCCAGTGAGATGCCCTCATTTCCGCCGTGGAGTGCAGGCTGGATGTGGGCAGAAGAAACACCTATCCCAGGGTCTCTTGCCTGCCTTCCGTTGCTTCACTGGGATTTTCCCTGGGCAACTTCTGGGTGTGATCCTGAGCTCACAGCGCTGTGTGAACAGTGAGCTGAGACCCAGCCCTTCCCCTGGGACAGCTTGGCCAGGGCTTCCTAGGGGAGGTGGCTTCTGTCCCAGGCCTGGAAGGGTCCCTGGGCGGTGGCCAGGCAGAGACTGAGCTGAGCAGGGAGCCAGCCACCTGCAGGCTGAGGAGGGTCCAAGTGGCCTGGGGGAGACCCGAGGCTGCCGGCAAAGGCGGGACATTCCTGTGGCCTTTCGGTGACATTACCACCTCTGTGCAAGGACACACTCTTTTCTCTCTGTTTCTATTTTCTCCAGTTAATCAGGTGACTTAAAAAGAAGCTAGATAACGGTATTGTTTGCATTGACAACATCCCGATGATACTGTCAGGAGAGATGGGGGAAATGTCGCCTTCTGAACCAATAGAGTTATTAGGGAACCCTCTGTCACCTCAGCACCCGGGTTAATTACCACAGAAAACCTGGGAATGGCAGCTATAATTTTTCTCCAGAAAGTACCGTATTTTTACTCTTGAGGCAATAAAATGCCCATGACAGTGCTTTGAAGGACCTCATTTTACAATCTAATGGTGTGATCATTTTACCAGAATGACCCTCTGTGCTCCTGTTCAAGGGGCACTGTCCTTGTGCATTTGATTAAATTTGGGCTGCAAGTTATGGGCTGCACAAATGAAATCCTCTCCTGTCTCCAGCGGCCCGTCACCATCTAGAGCATCTATGAATGGGCACGTTGGCCTACTACAGCATCTCTCTGGGAAATGGAGACTCAAGCCGCTGAGGGGACGGCATCTGCCTGCGCATGTGACTGCCTGGGCACGAGCTGATTCTGTTTGGACAGCCACATGCAGACATTTCTCAAACAGCATAAGGCAGCAAGCTGCTGGCTTTTGGCTCACATCAAAATTTTGGCAAGGAAAGCTGTTTAGAGAATTTTGATGGTTGGTTTGATCTTAGACCGTGACAAACCTGTGTGAATCTCATGAAACTGAAAACCACAGCTTGCAGAAGGCAGTCTGCACTGAGAGGCAGAAATGTGTGCGGTAGCATGTTGAACTTTCTCCTGAAGGGACAGACTTCTGTAATAGTGGTCACATCTCTTTATTGTCTTCTTGTTTCTAAAGGAGATGAAACTTGAAATGACTCATTTTAGAGCCTGACTGCTGGAGATGCTGCCCTGAGCTGCCAGGCTGCCCACTGGAGACAGAGGTGGCATAAGTCTGCAGCCTGATGTTGGAACACTCTTCATCCTTTCCTCTTTCAAGAAAGCCTGTCCTTTAGTTTTGGCTGTAGATTTTTACACGCTGCTCAGAATTGTATAAAATGCAAGGGGCCTGGGAGAAACGATGTATGACTCTTTCGTTCTTCTGCCTCCTGCCCTGTTGTTCACTCTTTTTGATTTAGACGCTGGCTGGCTGTGCCTGGCCTGGACACACCCTTACAGGAGCCACGGGGGTGTGGGAAGTCTTGGACCCAGAGGGCAATGCCTGGGGTCACGGTGTGCCTCCCAGTCTCAGCACTCAGTTCATTAGTAGGGTGGGCCCAGAGCTGGTGAGCGATGAACAGAAAGGCTGTAGGTAAACAAAGGGCAGAATGCTGGAGGGGCGGCCTCGAGGGGAGCTCTGGCTGACCCCCCAGGGTGTGGGGACCAAAGAGGAGACCTCCGGATTCCCTCCACCCTTGCCTGTCTCTGATTCCCCGGAACTTTACCGAGTGTGACTGTGCTTGGATGCCATACGTGGTCTGGCTCTCCTATAGATGGCAAGCTTGGTGAGAACAGGGACCATGCCCTGCGTGTCATGATGTCCCCAGGATAACGCAACACCTGGCCACAAACACCTGCCCCCAGAGGGACGTCAGGTGCTGCCGTGTGGCTCAGCACAGTCGCCTTTCAGCAGCATTCCCTGGGACCCCTGGGCCGATGCTAGAATGTTCTCTGAGGGAACCCAACCCTGAATGTTTTACATTGTGAAGCAGATGACTTATGAGGATGTTTTTGTTTTATCTTAAAAAATTGTCTTATTAGAGATTTATGGAGCTATTTTCCAAACCAAAGGCCAAACGTTCTTCCAACCTCATTCTTTAGGCTGCATGAAGGGATGAGCTCGTGTGGATTAGCAAGGGAATTCCCCCCTCACCTTCCCTTAGCGGGGACATCGTCACTGTCGGAAGCGTGATAGAACTGTCAAAAGTACACGAAATCAGCTATGCAAATGGTGAAACAGAAGTCACAGTTCCCTTTGTTCTGTGACAGGGTAAAAATTTCACATTTTTCATCAAAGAGGAAATAACATTCCAACACTTACACATCTAAATAATTGGGTAAGGTTCCTTCCACACTTCACATCACCCCTGTCTGGCTGTGCAGGGCCAGTCGCTGCCCTAACCAGCATGAACACTGGCCAGGTTTACCTGCCAGCTGCAAACACCATGTTCTCCTGGAGTATGCCAAGCTGTGGAGACGTTTGGGTCTGTCCTTGCAGAGCACAGGCACTCACAGAGGCCCTTTCACAACCTCTCTAGTTCTAGTTCACTGCCTATGCCAGAAACCTGCCACAGTTGCACAGGAGAGGGGCTGTGGGAGGAGCTGCAGGCTGCAGCCTCGGCCGGAGATGCTATCCACCCCCTGCCTCTCTCTAAATTCCCTAGGTGGTCCCGGTGGAAGGGCGGCTGCTCCGTCAGCAGTCAGCCTGGGGTCTGGGGGAGGCCTAAGGAGGAGACCAGCTAGACCACCGTGTCCTCTGCTGTTCCCCGGAGGATGCGGCTTTCCCAGAAGCCCTAGAGTCCTCAGGTCCTCTCCCAGCCACTGTCACTGGGACCCCTGGCAATGCCTGACTGCCAGCCTGCCTGGGGATCCCCCCTGCACCAAACCAGTCCTGGACACCTGAGTGTCTGCCATGGTCCCACAGAAACTCCACTTCTAGGGGCACTAATGCCTGCAGAAGCAGCTTGAGCAGTTTCTAAACATCAAGAGAATGTCACTGAGCACCGCTGACCCTTGAACAAGGGTCAAAAATCCACACATAACTTTTGACTCCCCCAAAACTTGACTAATAGCCTACTGCTGACTGGAAGGCTTATCAGTAATGTAGACAGTTGGTCACCATATATTTATTATGTTGTATGTATTACATATCATATTCTTACAACAAAGTAAGCCAGAGGGGAAAAGTGTTATTTAAAAAATCTTAAGGAAGGGAAAATACATATACTATTCATTAAGTGGAAGCGGGTCATCCTGCAGGCCTCCATCCTGCCATCTCCACATGGAGTGGGCTGAGGAGGAAGAGGCACAGCGGGGTCCCTGCACTGTCTTGGGGCGGCAAAGAGGGGAGAAAATCCAGTACAAGTGGGCCCTTCAAACCTGTGCTGCCCAAGGCTCAGCTGGAACTGCTCAAAGAACTCCACAAAATCCTAGACCACACCTTTATCTTTATAGGGGCTGCCTTCAAGAACCAAAATAATACAGGAGTAACAGGAGAATGTTAAGGAATGTTAATAGGCAGTGTCTCCCCAGAACACCTCAGTCACAGAATGGTGGCCGCCCTCCCTCTCCTCTCTCCGCTGTCTCCTCAGAACACCTCAGTCACAGAATGGTGGCCGCCCTCCCTCTCCTCTCTCCGCTGTCTCCTCAGAACACCTTAGTCACAGAATGGTGGCCGCCCTCCCTCTCTCTCTCCGCTGTCTCCCCAGAACACCTCAGTCGCAGAATGGTGGCCGCCCTCCCTCTCCTCTCTCCACTGTCTCCCCAGAACACCTCAGTCACAGAGTGGTGGCCTCCGTCCCTCTCCTCTCTCCACTGTCCGCTCAGAACACCTTAGTCACAGAATGGTGGCCGCCCTCCCTCTCCTCTCTCTGCTCTCTGTCTCCTCAGAACACCTCAGTCGCAGACTGGTGGCCGCTCTCCCTCCACTCTCTCCGCTCTCTGTCACCCGTCCCCACCCCTCACACCGTGGAGAGGAGAAAGTAGAACAGAGTGATATGGTCGGGGATGTTTGCCCCCTTCAAATCCCATGTTGTGATGTCGCCTCAGTGCTGGATGGGCCCAGTGGGAGGTGTTGGGGTCACGGAGCAAGTCCCTCTGTGGGCTTGGTGTCCTTCTGTGGTAATGAGTGAGTCCTCGCTTTGATAGTTCACATAAGTGCTGGGGGTTTGAAAGAGCCTGGTACCTCTCCATAGCTCTCTCGCTCTCATGTGGGGCACCGGCTCCTTTTCCTTGTCTGCCATGGGCGAAACCTTCCTGAGGCCTCCCCAGAAGCAGATGCTGGTGCCATGCTTCTTATACGGCCTGCAGAACCGTAAGCCAAATAAACCTCTTTTAATTATCCAGTACCCAGCCTTGGGTATTCCTTTACAGCAACACAAAATGGACTAACAGCAGAAGGCAGAAATCAGCCCCAGTGGATGGAAGAACATTCTAGAAGAACAGAGGTTAGGGCAGAGTCCCAGGGAGTTTTGGTTTTCCCTTTCTCTCCCAATAACGAAGGCAGGAAGCCAGGAGGAGAGGGGAGCCCCATTATCCAGGCAGCAAACCTACCTCTGGACGTCACAGACTCTTCTCTACCACAGGGACCCCCAAAGGAGAAGAGGGCCTCCTGCCATCCTGCCCCACTGCTGGTGCCCACACGGCTGCCAGTGGTCCTGGGAGAACACAGGGCAATGCCCGCCCAGCCCCAGGCCCTCTCCCTCCTTTGTGGCTACAGGCCCAGAACACAAAACAGAAGCTACTGCTTCTGTTGGGAGGAAACGGGGTCCCCCCTCGTCTCACACCTCCTGCCGGGCAATGTGTTGCAGAAAACAGAACAAAACAGGGTAGCCAGCCATGCCTGCAGGGCTGTGCCTCCAGCCTGGGCATCGGAGGGCAGGTAGCATTGGAAGCAAAGACAGAGATTTTCAGGGGGCCACAAGGTGTTGGGAGGTCAGAGTCCTGGGCACTTAGGGGCTGTTGGAGCTGTGTTCTCTCTCCGCTGCTGACCGTGGTCCTTGTCAAAGCCCCAGACACACCCATGGGGCCTCAGTCTTCCCATCTGTGCAGCGAGTGTCATTACAAGACGATTTGCAGAAAGGAGTGTGAGCAATCCTGTGAATATTTGCAGCTGCATAAATAATGAATGACGACAGAGGCAAACCTTCGTACACATGTCACCCTTCATGTGATTTTACAGGGAAGGGAATGGCCGGAGCTTTGTGCTTTGGGGAGAGTAAACTAGGTTTACTTCCTCAAGGATTTCATCCATTTGCGCTTCACCCATTCCTTCCTGTGTGTGTGCGTGCATCGGAGAGTTGCGGCATGCCAGGCCTGGCTTATGTCCCTGCTTTCCCGGAATCTCCACCAAGCTCATTTTCTGACAGTGTTGCCCATGGGCCACCTACGTCAGGGTTCCCTGGAAACATCTCATAATGCAGACGCCTGACCCCTGCCTCAGACTGGCTAAGTCAGAGCCTTGGAGGTGGTGCTGAGGAACCTGCATTTCCACAAACTCTCCGGTGATGCTGCTGCACACTAACGTTTGGGACCCGCTAGTCAAGGAAGGCTGTTTCTGGCCAGGGGTGTCTACAGGCCCGTGTTGTAGAGCGGGTACGCCAAGGCTCTCTCCACAGCTCCGTCTCGGCTGGGGGCGTTTGCATCTGAATCAGCTGTGGAACTTGCTCCAAATAGCGGTGCCCAGGTACCTGCCTGGAGATTCTGATTCCTGATGTCTGGCAAGAACCTGGGCACCTCGTTTTTATCAAGCCCCCCAGGCATCTCAGATTCAAACAAGGAAAACCACTGCAGACTAAAAGTCCCGTGAAACTGCACTAGACTAAAAGCCCCATGAAAGTACCCTCAAGTGAGTCTCAGGGGAACTCATGGTCTCCGCTGCTGAAGGGATCAAGTCTAGCTGAGATGCACGGATTTGTTCCAGGCCATGTAGTTACTGAGGGGCCTGGCTGGAAGGCAGGTGTCCGGAGCCAAATCCGCCACCTCCCAGCCCTGCAGAAGGCCTCTCTGCCTCCCTGCAACCTCCCAGCCCTGCAGAAGGCCTCTCTGCCTCCCTTCCTCTCCCTTCCTCCACAGAGCCAAATCCGCCACCTCCCAGCACTGCAGAAGGCCTCTCTGCCTCCCTTCCTCTCCCTCCCTCCAAAGCCAAATCTGTTACCGCCCAGTCCTGCAGAAGGCCTCTCTGCCTCCCTTCCTCTCTCTGCCTCCCTTCCTCTCCCTGCCTCCCTTCCTCTCCCTGCCTCCAGAGCCTGGCCAGCCGACCTCCCAGCTCCAAGGTCTCCCTCCTGGCTGGCTGTGAGATGGGGAGGCTGATGTGTATAAACTACAGGACTGGCGTTGTTTCTGGCTGAGAAATTAGTTGTAAACACATATCTCTTCAACCAACAGGGCCTTCTGTGTGCCCAGAACTCTTTTAGGTGATGGAGATGTAAAGCTGAGATGTACCAAGTCCCTGCTGGGCCAGAGCACAGGGGTAAGAGAAACAGAGATGGCATGGAACTCAGGGCCAACCCGGAGAGGATGCATTACACTTCAAAAGTCCATGGAGATTTGCAGAGAAGTTGCCAAGATGCTACAGTCAGTTCCTGTGTAATCCACACCATTTCCAAGCTGTTAAGCTCTTACATTAGGATGATACATTTGACTTAACTAAGGGACCATTGTTGATACTTTGTTATTAACTAAAATTCACACTTTTCTACTTTCCTTCTTTCTGATGTAAATGTCCTTTTTCTATTTCAGGATGCCGTCCACTTTTTCTTAAAACGTTGCAATTGCTGAGTTGCCAGGCACTATGCTAAATGCTTCACGTGCATGTTTAAAAACTTTATGCCTTCAAGGCCCTGACTTGGGAACATTAGTGACTTGCTCAGAGATGAACCCTGATATGCCTCAGACCTGAATGCGAAGCCCACGTTTGTCTTGGTCCAGGGCGCACATTCTTAGTACTGTGCTGCTGCTTCTTCTTGGGAGGGTGCGGAGGTGACCAGGGAGGCTGTGGTGTTGATGGTGCTCCCAGTGCAGAACCCCCAATGCAGGACCCCCAATGCAGGATCCCCTGTGCAGAGACCCAAATGCAGAACCCCCAGTGCAGAACGCCCAATGTAAGACCCAAATGCAGAACCCACAGTGCAGAATCCCAAATGTGGGACCCCAATGCGGAACCCAAATGCAGGACCCCAAATGCAGGACCCCAATGCAGAACCCCAATGTAGGACCCTAGTGCAGGGCCCCAAATGTGGGACCCCAGTGCAGAACCCCCAATGCAGAACCCCAACGCATATCCCCCAATGCAGGGCCCCAAATGCAGGACCCCCAGTGCCTACAGACGGCTGTCTTCTCTGTGTCCACATATGGTCTCCCACTGTGTGTCTGTGTCCTAATCTCCTCCCGTTAGGACGCCCGCCTCTCAGAACTGGATCAAGGTCCACCCCAATGACATCATTTTACCTTCATCGCCTCAGTAATGACCCGATCTCCAAATACAGTGGCATTCTTAGGTATTGTGGCTTAGGACTTCAACACATGAATTTCAAGGGAATACAGTCTAGCCCAGCACAGCAGCCTTCCCTGTCCTGGCCCCGACAAGTGATAGCAGGAAAAGGGGTGTTTTGGAACCCAAGAGGGGGCTGCATTTTGCCCTGAGGCTGCAAGTCAATACCATCAGAAATTGTGGCTTCATCCTCGTGACTTTGGTCGTCTTGATCAACCACATCTTATGAATAAGAACATCACTTTCTATTTTCAAATGTCTAAAACTAGCCTCCATGTTATTTTCTTTTTAGGCTTTCTATACATTTTTCATAACTTAAAATTATAAGAAGCTTAAATCATTAAATGTTTTCAAAATCAGAAAAATTGTCCTGAGGAATTTGGAGCCTCGGTCGTTTTAAATCACTCTACGTATGCCTTTCCCGGGGCTGTGTTTAGGAGGCAGGCTCTCCTGGTGGGCTTCTTCCAGTTCCTGTGCCTCCTTCTGACCCCTTCCTGTCATCCACCTTCCACGGATCTCGGCAGGGAAACCTTTCCCACAATTAAGGTGCGCCGAGAGGATCCATCTGCTTTGTGTGATCTTGTCAGAGATGTGGCACTGTAATCCAGCTGTTGATTGAAATCTAATTCCCGTTCACTTTTCCCGGCCTGGGCGAGGCCAGTTGCCTGTTTTCCACCTTCCTTCCCTGTTCTGTACCTGCCACCTGATCAGAGATGACGGCATAATTGATTTCCAAGCCTTAGCTGAGGCCTTGAAATTGCCTTTGTTGGTGGTTGGTTGAGGTTGTCACATGTTGGGGATGAAGGAAAAGCCACGTCAGGATTCTTTCTGCCCAACAGGTGGGTTCCCGGCTGCAGAAGGCAGCTCCCCATGGGCAGCTGGGGATGATGGTCACGGCCAGGGAATCGTCACACATGACACATGGTTGCTGGTGTTTTCATGTGACATCATCCCCCTTCTATCTTGGAGCGTCTTCTGGAAAATGCCTTGTTCTGATGCATATGATGAAGAAGAAGGCCCTGTGGATTCTCCTTGTAATGACTCGGGGCTTCTAAAGATAATCTATGAAGCGGAATTTCTGTTGACTTTGATCCTTTTTGGTGGTAACTACTAAGATGGAGGCTGAGCTGGCTTCAATGTCTCACAGCTGGTGCGCAGAGCTAAATGACAACTGAAATACGTCAAATATGCATCTCTCCTCTGGCCTCCTTCCCACTTTTAGGACGTGATCACGTGACTACCTTGAAAGGGAGGGGCTGGTTTGTACGAACGTCTTCTTCCGCCTGGGCTTCCGCGTGTGCCATCTCCTTTCCCCTTTACCACCTGCTGCACTTTGCAGAGGATTTTCTAGACGCAGAGTTTTAGTAAGTGCCCAGGGCTGGACAGGCTGTGAGTGGTGCATGTGGGATTCACTACCACACGCGTTCTCCTTCCGTCACACCCTCCTCCTGAACTGAGCACGGATCCAGCTGGACAGCCCTCGGCTTATATGGCTTTACAAATAGCTGTTTCAGAAAGAAGCCTGGACCGGCCAAAAGGGCCTTTGTGTACCAGGCAAACTGACTAACTCTGGATGTACGGACTCTTTTTTTTCTCCTAAGGGTGATATTTTGGGACCTTTTCTTTAAATGGCTTGCCAGGGCTGGGTTCCAGGAATACAGATTCTGAGACACATATTGAGATGTAGGAAGTTTGTTGGGGATTCTCCTCTGCATGGGAGAGAGGAGGGCAGAACTGGGCACAGGGGCTGTTGAACGGCAGGCTGGGAAGACTGAGGTCCTCGCCAGCCCTATGAGGAAACCTGGGGCAGGGGCACCCTACAGTGGGGTCACCCTCGGTCCTACACCATCAACTGAGGGACCCTCCCCCTAGGGTAGGCTGAGGGAGAGGCATTAGTGCCACTGTGGGGCTGTCTTGGGGTTAGGACCACCTGCCTAGCCGCTCACACGCTCCTGTCCCATGTCCACGCATGAACGTCCTGCTAGAGTGTCTGGACCCCATGCCCCTGCCTGTCCCCAACTCATGCCGTTCTGATGACGCTGTCACTCGTTGTCTGCTGACAAGTGCTCAGTCTCTGCCGAGGCCCTGCAGCATGTCCCAGGCCTTTTGCAAGTGGCACGTGGTTCTTTAAAGTAGCGGCCAGCATGGCCTTGCTGTGGGACCCTCAAGGCCTAGGGGGAGCCTCCCTCTGGCTGGCTGAAAACTCAACATGACATTTTCCCACCAGGTGTTCCTTTAGGTCTGCAGTGTCTTCCAGGCCAGAGGGCAAGGAGAGGGCCACTTATACCAACCCCAGGCCCCCTGCATGCCCTTGTCCTTCTCTGGGTCCCAACCACAGCTGGGAGCTTGTGCTGTCACTGGGTATATGTTGAAACCACATTCCAGAGGCTGCAGCATGAGGCCTCTATGGCCCAAAGACGACCCCTGTGGTTCCACTAGAGGAGGTGGAGGTGGAGGATGATGACTTCGTCTTTGTTTTGGAGGCCATCCCAGCGTAGCTGCACTAATGTGGTGGCCCCTGACCCTTCTGGGGCTGACCTCCCGCCCTTGGAGAGCTTGCATCTAGCACGCCTCTCATGTCTGGCCCTTGAAGTCTGATGACCTTGACCCACCAGCACAGGGGGCCAAGGGGATGCTCTGTGGAGAGCTGGGACATGGGGGTCCCTGAGGACGGAAGGCAGGGGGTTCACACACCCCTGCAGCGAGACCACAAAGGCATCCCACATCTCCCATCGGTGTCACTGTTTCTGGTCCTACTTCCTGTGAGAGATGGGAACCCACGTGCTTTTCAGGTCAACGCTGGTCCCACATCCCCGACGCCACGGGACCCTTCCAGCACAGATGCCAGGGCAGGCGCAGGCAGCACCCAGGCATGCACTGTTGGGTTGGTTATTGCTCCAGGCTTCCTGGTGAGCTACTTGGAGATGTGGCAGGATGGCCCATGCACCCTTTAGGCTCTTCTGGAATTCATCTGTGGCTTGCTCATCCATTTGGCAAGGGGACAACTTTGAGGCTTCTATCTGAATCTCTTCATGCTGAGGGCTCTTACCCCATGGGCCATTCCAATCTCACAGAACATTTCCACTCCAGGTGTACAGCTAGGAACTGAGAAGACAGCCATCATCCAGGTCTGTGGGGCCAGATGGGGTGGGACTCCATTTATTACCCAGCTCCCAGCAGGCCCACCCAGACATCGATGTCTGCAGACATTGATATTAAACTACACCCCGTGCCTCTAAATGTCTGCATGCTCCCTCTACCTGAGGCACAGTGACCCCAGCAATGGCCGAAGGTCCACTTTGACAGGGTGGAGAATGAATCACCGTATACCTTGCGTGAATCACCATTGTCCAAGCCACGGAGGCGTGGCTTGGACATGTCACAGCAGTTGGTCTAGCTGGAATCAGCCCAGCACATAACAACAGCTTAATGGGGCTGCTTGGCCACCTCATGACCGAACCCTGAAGGAGTCAGGAAATGTCAAGTTGACCTGTTTTGGAGTTTTTTTTAGTTAAACTCTTTAAGATCATTGGTGTATGCTGCCCACACCTGTCCACCAGGGGACACTAGGAACTCAAGATACACTAACGAGTCTGTGCCCTGTCTTAAGGAAGCTGGCTAGGAGGTTCTAGCACTGTCTCTCTTTCCCACTGCACCTCGGGTGTCCCCATCCCAGCCATCACTGGCTGTACCTGCACAGCCTCCATGACAGCATGAGGAGGACGTGGGAGGGGTGAAGGTGGCACCTCCAGGGCTGCCGCTGTTCTAACTCCAGTGGTAACAGAGCATCTCATGGTCAGCCCCTTCGTCCTCATTACCCAAACCTGGCTCTTCCCCGGTGGCACTTCCTGCCCCGCGTTTCCAGCTGCAGCTCCTCCAGGCCTCCTTGGCGATCCATTTTTGAGGAGCCTTCCTCCCTAGAGATGAGGGTGCTGCTTGCCTAGTTTGAGGTTCTGGCAAGCATTTTGAAAAGGATCTTTCTGATTGTTCTGTTCCTTTAAACTTTTAATTTTCAATTGCCACTGACCCTGAAGAAAGCAGAGGTCCTGAAAAGTGAGAGACCCAGGGGCGTGGGTTTCCACTGCAAAAAGTGCAGCGAAAATGTTTGGAGTCACCGAAGACAATTAAGTGTCAGGCAGGACTGTATTAACCAGGCCATCGGGTCTCAATTTAAAACGGGAATGGTGTTTCTGTTTGAGGGATCTTGTGTATAAACATATCAACCTAGTTAAATTTGTTAGCTCGTACCTTGAATTTTGGCTTCCAAATGTAGCTATTTGACCAACTGGGGAAGTTTCTTAGAGGATGTGGGATTTGAACTGGCCTTTTGGGAGAGACTGGGTGAGTGTGGGGCGGTGGGAAGTTCCGAATGGGGACAGCGCCGAGCGCAGCCCAGGTGGGAGAGCAGGGCAAGGGTTTGGGAAACAGACTCACTGGCCATCGCTTGCCTCCTGGCCTTGGCTTTCTAAGCAGACAGGCAAAGTGGGACTGCCAAGATGTCTGTTTCTTGTTTAAAATACGGTTTTCTCTGTGGTGTTTGGCTGTTTCCTTATTGCTTAACATTCATCGGGTACGAGGATTGAGGGTGGGAGATGCCCTATAATCACAGAAGCTCTGGCTCTCGTCAGTTACACACGCGCATCTGTATAAGAAAGGTTGCACAAAGCTGCACTGGTGCGGGGGCGAGAGCCATGGCTGAGTCGCCCAGTGCTAGTGCAGTGGCCTGGGTGTGCTCAGCATGCAAATAAATGCAAACATTTTGAATGAACATGTCACACGCATGCACACATGTGCACACATAACACAACATGTACACATGCATCTAGACTTTTGTACAGCTATGATCTGGAGTTAGTAGAGAGCCTCTGATGATAAGTTGTCCATATTTAGCTGTAATCTGGAGTCAATATTCCGTAGGTCACTGCCGCTCAAGCCTGAGTGTGTGTGCAAGTCCCCAGGCACCTGGGTAGAATGCAGATTCTGATTCAAGGGGCTTGGAGGGGCGTGACATTCTGTGTTTCCAGCAAGCTCCTGGGAGATGTTGAGCTGCTAGTTCGTGGCCCACACTTTGAGTAGCAAGGCTCTGTGCCTATTAGCGAGCGAGCTCTGCTGGCAGTCACTGATGTCCTCTGCCTGCTGCAGAGGAGGAGCCTGGTTATCAGAGCCGCCGCCTGGGT